>NC_000023.11:42285837-44785837 GCF_000001405.40 Homo sapiens
GCGGAGGGGCTCCTCACTTCTCAGACAGGGTGGTTGCCAGGCGGAGGGTATCCTCACTTCTCAGACGGGGCGGCTGGGCAGAGACACTCCTCACCTCCCAGACGGGGTCGCGGCCGGGCAGAGGCGCTCCTCACATCCCAGATGGGGCGGCGGGGCAGAGGCGCTCCCCACATCTCAGAGGTTGGGAGGCCGGGCAGAGACGCTCCTCACTTCCTAGATGGGATGGCGGCCGGGAAGAGGCGCTCCTCACTTCCTAGATGGGATGGCAGCCGGGCAGAGACGCTCCTCACTTTCCAGACTGGGCAGCCAGGCAGAGGGGCTGCTCACGTCCCAGACGATGGGCGGCCAGGCAGAGACGTTCCTCACTTCCCAGACGGGGTGGCGGCCGGGCAGAGTCTGCACTCGGCACTTTGGGAGGCCAAGGCAGGCGGCTGGGAGGTGGAGGTTGTAGCGAGCCGAGATCACGCCACTGCACTCCAGCCTGGGCACCATTGAGCACTGAGTGAACCAGACTCTGTCTGCAATCCCGGCACCTCGGGAGGCCGAGGCTGGCGGATCACTCGCGGTTAGGAGCTGGAGACCAGCCCGGCCAACACAGCGAAATCCCGTCTCCACCAAAAAAATACGAAAACCAGTCAGGCGTGGCGGCGCGCGCCTGCAATCGCAGGCACTTGGCAGGCTGAGGCAGGAGAATCAGGCAGGGAGGTTGCAGTGAGCTGAGATGGCAGCAGTACAGTCCAGCTTTGGCTCGGCATCAGAGGGAGACTGTGGAAAGAGAGGGAGAGGGAGACTGTGGGGAGAGGGAGAGGGAGAGGGAGAGGGAGAGGGAGAGGGAGACTGCTTTTTTACCTTCATTTATTCCTTCTTTATTATTCCTTTATGTGGACCTGAGTTTCTAACTTATATCATTTTCTTTCTTTCTGAGCTTTTGAAAAACATTTCTGGCAAGAGTCTCATTGATTTTTCTCTATTGCTTTTCTGTTTTCAATTTCATTGATTTCTGCTCTTAAATTTGCTACATTCTTCTTGTTTTGAATTTAATTATTTTCTTTTTCATGTTTTTAAGGTTGAAACTTGGATCATTGATTTGAGACCTATCTTCTTTTCTAATATAAGCATGTAATGCCATAATTTCCCTTTAAACACTGCTTCAACTGCATGCCACATATTTTTATATGTCATAATTTTGTTTCTTTCAATTCAAAGTGTTTTCTATCCATAGGTTATTTAGATGTGTGTGATTTATTGGGTTATTCATTTCTAGTTCAATTCCATTTTTGTTATATAACATAATGTGTCTGATTTCACTTGATTTTATTTTGTTAAGTTTTGTTTCTTGATTAAGGATATGGTCTATCTTGGTGAACATTCCACACATACTTGTAAAGAATATGTATTTTATTGTTGTTGGGTAAACAAATTAGGTTATGTTGAATGATAGTGCTGTTCAGGTCTATATCTGTACTAGTCAGCTCAGGTTGCCAGAACAAAATATCATAGACTGAGTGGCTTAAACAATAGAAATGTAGGTTTCACCATTTTGGAGGCTGGGAAGTCTAAGATCAAGGTGCCAGCTCATTCTGTTCTTGGTAAGGACTCTCTTCCCGGCTTTCAGATGACCCCCTTCTTGCTATGTTTTTCACATGGCCTTTCCTTGGTGCTAGGGCTTCAACATGTGAATCGTGGGGGGACATATTCCATTTATAGCAAGGTCCTTGTTAATGTTCTAATTGTTCTGTCTAATCATTGAGAGAAGAGTGTTAGAGTCTGACTATAATTGTAGGTTTATTTCTCCTTTCTGACCTATCAGTTATTGCTCCATGTATTCTGAAGCTGTGCTAGTAGTGCTTACATATTTAGGATTGTTATTTTTTGTGAACTGGCTGTTTTGTCATTAGGTAATGTTTCTTTATATCATTGGTAATTTACTTGTTCTGAAGTTCTCTTTGTTCAACATTAATATAATCCATTCAACTTTCTTTTGATTAAAATTTATATGGTATATCTTTTCCTATTGTACTTTTTATATTTTTATGTAGACTCTTTCCATTTAATGTTAGTTTATTGTAGACAACCTCTTGTTGGGTGTTGTTTCTCATCCAATATGACAATATCTGCTTTATAATTGTGTTTTTAGACCATTTAATGTAATGTAATTATTGATATGTTTGAATTTAGGTCTACTACTTTATATTTGTTTTGTTTGTTCCCTTTGCTCTTTGTTCTTCTGTTTCTCTCTCTTTCTCTGTCTCTTTCTTTTTCCTGACTACTTTTGGATTATTTGAATTTCATTTATTTGAATTTTAACTTGTCTATTTTTGGCTGTATCTCTTTGCATTAATTTTTTGATTGTTCTAGAGATTGTACTCTCTCTCTCTCTATATATATATATATTTTAGAGCTAATAGTATTTCACCACTTCAAGTAAAATATAAAAGCCTTATAACCATATACATCCCCTTTATGCTTCCCCCTTTATGTCATAGTTGTTATATGTGTTTTATCTACACACATTGTATTAGTCCATTTTCACACTGCTATAAAGAGTACTACCTGAGACTGGGTAATTTATAAAGGAAAGAGATTTAATTGACTCACAGTTTCACATGGCTGGGGAGGCCTCAGGAAACTTACAATCATGGCAGAAGGTGAAGGAGAAGCAAGCATCTTCTTCACAAGGTGGCAGGAGAGAGAGAAGTGAAGCACAGGAAAAACTGCCACTTTTAAAACATCAGATCTCATGAGAGTCACTATCATGAAAACAGCATGGGGGAAACCACCCCCATAATCCAATCACCTCCCACGAAGTTCCTCCCTTGACACATGGGAATTACAATTCAAAATGAGATTTGGGTGGGGACACAGAGCCAAACCATATGACACATTGAAATCCCCACCAGACAATTTTATAATTTTTGCCTTTACAGTCATACATACTTTGAATATCTTAACAAAAATTGTATCAGTATTATATAATGACCCTGATATTTATAATTTTTGTTGCTTTTTCTCATTTCTGATGTTCCAGATTTCCCTCATGTATCATTTTGCTTTGTGTCTAAAAAATTTCCTTTAATTTATTTTAGAGCAGGTCTGCTGGTGAATAATTCTTTTAGTTTTCCTTCATCTGAACATGTTTTATTTTGCCATCATTTTGAAGAATACCTTTGTTTTGTATAGAAGCATTGACATGCTTTTCTTTCAGCACTTAAAAATGTTGTTCCATTGTCTTCTGGCTCCCTGGTTTCTGATGAGAAATCTGTTCTGATGGCAACAATTCAAGTCATTGTCCTCCTATATACAATGTATCACTTTCTTTTTGGATGCTGTCAAGATTTTTTCCCTTACTACTGGTTTTCAGAAGTTTGATCATGGTGTCTCCAGTATGGTTTTCTTTGGGTTGATGCTGTCTAAGGCTTGTTGAACTTCTTGAATCTCTAAATGAATATATTCCACCTTTTTTTTTTTTTTACACTTTCGGTAATTATTTTTCAATTTTTCTTGTATGAATATTTTTATTATCTTCTCCTGGGACTCACTGACACAAATGTTAGATATTCTGATATTGTCCCATGCCTGCATCTCTGTTCACTTTTGAAAATCTTTTTCTCTTTGTTATTCAGATAGATAATTTCTACTGACTCATCTTCAAGTTCGCTATTTCTTTCCTTTGTTATTTTTTTTCTGTCGTTGAGCTGAACAGTGAATTTTAAAATTTAAGACATTGTATTTTTCGATTCTAAAGTCTCCTTTTAAAATAGTTTCCATATCTACTTTGTGAACTTCTATCTTTCTATTTATAACAAGTGTATTTACCTCATGGAGCCTAGCTATAATAGCTCTTTCAAAGTCTTTGATAATTTCAGTATCTGAGTCATCTTGGTGTTAGTACATGTTGATTATATTTTTCTGTGAAAATTGGTCATATTTTCCTAGCTGTTTGTATATGAAATAATTTTGGAAAATATTCTGGACATTTTGAATATCATACTGTGAAACTGAATCATTTTAAACTCATCTGAGAAATGTAGATCTCTCTCTCTCTCTCTCTCCCCCTCTTTCTCTCTGTCTCCTCTGTGTGTGTGTGTGTGTGTGTGTGTGTGCATTTTAGACCACAAGTTCTGTCTCATCCTCTGTCAGCAGTAATTCCAATGTCTGTTCAGTTTTCAACATCTTTGGTTTGTTTCTTTGAGTCTGTGCCATACATGTGCCACTTTGGGGTCAGTCTGGAAGTTGAGAAGTAGTTTATGTTATATTTTAGTTCTGAAAGCTTTTGCTATGCTGTTTTTGTTCTGCCCCATGCATAAATTACTCATGGATTATTCTAGGACTCAGGAGTGAGTTATATCTTAGTTCAGTTCTCAAAGTCTTTGCTATGCTGACTTGGGTCTGTCCCAGGCATCTACAGCTCAGGTGTGAGGTCAGATCTTATCTGAGATGGTACACAATATTCAGAAATAGTCTTCTCCCTTTTGTCTGGGATTCTTCAACCCTTCACCTACCACCCCACCACACACAAAATATACACATCAGCTTGCAGAGACCTCTTTTCTTGGTGATATGGCTAGAAAGATGGATATTTTATTGCCTGTGCAACTACTGCCACAGCTCCTAACTAGTGTCCATCTTTGGGCCATGAGATAAAAGAGAAAAAATATCTGAGAATCTTATACTCCCATATGGGTCTCTTCTTCAAGATTTGATTCCTGTCCCCAATCTGCCTACTTTTGTCTACTTTTGAGTATTCAGGTTGTTACTTTTTGTGTTTCGTCCAGAGTTTTTAGTTACAATCCATAAGCACACTCCATCTTGGCCAGCACTGGAAGTCTCTCTTCACTTCAGTTTTAAGAAGAGAACTTAGGCTTCATGTTTGCTCCACAGTCTCCTATCATATTCTGGGTAAAACACAAGACTTTTAAAGAAATCATAGACCTGTATCCACTAGGAGGCAGCACTAAGAAACCCAGCATTTCTCCAGGTCTCTGCAGCCTCAAGTACGTGGATGAAATCTTGGCACCTTGTGGCTTCCAATTCCCACAAAAAGAAACACTAGGACCCTAAGCTCCCCTCTGCACTCTGCCTCATTCCCATTCTTTCCTTAAGGGTTGTAGGTATGTGGCCAGTGCTGCTGCCATGTCCACCTGCTTCCAGTGCTTGCTCAGTCAACTTGCCGTGGCTGCATGGATGGAAGAGGGCTTCTCCCTGGCAGTGTTTACAATTCTTTCAATAGGCTCCCAAAGCTGACTCTTTCAATATCTTCAAAGACTCTTCCAGAAAAGCTGGAATAAGTGCCTCCCTGCCGGCCCAAGTTAAGTTGAAAACTGAAGTCACTGGTTGCTGCTCATCACATACTTCTGGCTCTCTAACTTCTCAGCACTTAGTAGGGTCGTCTTCTTGGCCCTTTTGTGGTTGGGTCAGGTCACATGATTAATTTTGGTCTATAAGTTGAGTTGGAAGTGATGAATATTACTTCCAGGCTGGAACATTAAATTGTCAGTGTGAAACTTTCTAGAGTTCTCTTTCCCTTTGTCAAAATGACTGTAATGTTCCAGGTTGTAGCTCCTCTATCAGGCAAGGTCTCAGAGTGAGGACCACATAGTGCAGAGCCCCCTGTCAACCTACAATGGCCATGAAGTATGAGTGAGAAATAACTTTTGTTGTTTTAAGCTACTGAAGTTTTGGGGTTATTTGTTGGTGAAATATTATCTAACCTACGCTGACTGATACAGAAGCTATATGAAGAGTACTACCTAGCATTATAGTAAAAATTATTTCTTCTTACCTACTTCAAATAAGGGTCTCAGGGCATAGACAAGTTATCTTGAGGTGGTCCTAGCTAATTGTTAGTTTTCTGTCCATTCAAGCACTCCTCTTAGAACTTGAAGCTGTCTCTGTCTTGCTGGAATTTTTGAGTCTTAGTGTCCAGGACCTGAGTATCATTTCTTAAATTTATGCCCTACATTTATTCCTCAAGACCAGGTGATCTTCATACAAACAGAACAAATGGTAACCTGCCAACAAAACCCAGAATTCAAGAGGTGGGCTAGAGTTTAGACTCCTCTCTTTCTTCCATTCTATTACACTAAAGTTGTTTATTTCTTTTTCCTTCCTTTATTCCAGTAATTTCTGGCACTTTTACCTTTTAATATTTTTTCCTTTATTCCCCCTTTATAACACCCCACCCTGAAGACATCTGGTTACTTATCGCTATACTTTTATATCCTTCTTTCTCTTAGTGGACTACCCTTTTCCTTATTTAGATTAAATTTGGTGTTCTCACCTCAAGGCCCTTCAATATTTTTATTAAAGTTGATTCTATCTGTGACCCTTGTTTAATTCTTGCATCCCTGGCCTAAAGAAGTAATGTACTGAATCTCCTGGAATAAGAAAATATAGAGATAACGCTACATGGTCATAACAGCCCATATACAGCACTTGTTATGTACCAGGCATTTTTCTAACCTCATTAAGATCTATTAACTCATTTTCTGCTCACAAAAGCTCCATACATACATAAGTATTATAATCTCTATTTTGCAGATGAGGTAACTGGCGCAACGATTATTTGACTTGTTCAGGGTCACACAGGTTATAAGTGGCAGAGCGAGAATTAGAAACCAGGTTGTTTGGCACCAGAGTCCATGTTTTAGTCACTACGTTTTATTGCTTCACTGTAATGCGGAAGGTTTTAAACCATGGGTTGATAAACTATGGTCCTCAGACCGTATATGCCTTGGCATACATTTGTATAAATAAAGTTTTATTGGAACACAGACACTTCGACTTGTCTAATATTGTTCGTGGCTGCTTTCATGCTATAAGGGAAAGGGTGAGTAGTGGAGACAGAGACCATATAGCCCACAGAGTCTAAAATATTATTACCTGACCCATTTTAAAGGGTGAATAGGAGTATTTCAGACAAAATGTTCCTGATAAAGGGAATGGCATGCAAAAAATTATGGGGCATACAACCTCAGAGTTTTTTTGCACCTGCTCTGTAAATGTTTTAAGAGAAGAGTCTCATCTCACCATGGTGAGAACACCATACACGCTCAATACAGAGTTGTTGAAAACATTTGTCCAGTTTATCCGCAATGTTAAGCCACTCATAAATGTGTACTGCTGTACCTATTTTTTGTGTTTTCCAGCATTATTTTTTCTTCTAATATTTAATTTTTTAATTTTTGTGGGTGATATGGTTTCGTTCTGTGTCCCTACCCAAATCTCATGTTGAATTGTAATCCCCAATGTTGGAGGTGGGGCCTGGTGGGAGGTGATTGGATCATGTGGGTGGTTTCTCATGAATGGTTTAACATCGTCCCCTCCCCTTTAGTGCTGTTCTCATAATAGAGATCTCACGAGATCTGATTGTTTAAAAGTGTGTAGCACCTCCCGCCTCATTCTCTCTTGCTCTTTCTCCAGGCATATGAAATGGTGCTCCCCCTTTGCCTTCTGCTATGATTGTAAATTTCCTGAGGCCTCCCCAGAAGCCAACAAGATGAGCCAATTAAACCTCTTTTCTTTATAAATTACACGGTCTCAGGTCTTTATAGCAGTGCAAGAACAAACTAATAAAGTGGGTATATAGTAGGTGTATGTATTTATAGAGTACATGAGATGTTTTGATACAGCCATGTGTAGTGATATTGATTATGATCATATGAGTCAGGAACAAGGAAGGATAATGAGTAGTCCAGTGAACTGAGTATATTATAAATTCACATTATTATGATTTTAATTATATTACTTTTATTCATCTAAGTATTTGTTGATAGGTTGTATATTTTGTGTTCAAATGTGTTTTATAATAGAAAATAATCTTAGTGAATCTGATGACATGTCAAAAAAATTTGTCCCTGAATTTGTGGTGGTGGTGATAAGGGGCTTAGAACACACATACATACACACACTCACTATTACCAGACCTTGCCCCTTCCCAACAAACACACTTACAGACACATTTTAATAATTAATGTTTTATTTAGGCCCATTTCAAAGATGAACATTACAATGACAATTATTTAAAATATAAGTAGGATCCAATAACTCTGACATAATGTATTTCTGAGGAGAGAACTGAGGAGGATCATCAGAGGGAGTCACATTGCTTATTCAGTTTGCACAGTTGTTTATTGTTTGCAGCAGTAGAAAGGAATAGTTTTATGTCTTAATAACTTCACAAGGTTTTGTTTGACACTTAGTAAAACGGGGAACTGTTGCCTGGGAGAGTTTTTTAATACAGAAGGAAACGATTGCATGTACTAAAATCTTTTGAAATTTAGTGTATGTGTTAGATTCAAGTTTATAGGCAGGAAAGTGTTTGATCTCTGTTATAGATCATTTTTTTAATCTGATGAATAAAATAGTGTTTTTGTTTCTACGTGTTTTTACTGAATACCTAAGATAAATGATTAATTATATAAAATCTTGTTGTAATAAAAATTAGTTTCCATATTATGAGTCCATAGTTTTAAAATTATTTTCTATGTATAACATACTTTTTTAAAAAAGAATCTTTATTTTAGGCTCAGGGGTATGTGTGCAGGTTTGTTATATAGGCAAACTCATGTCATGGGGGTTTGTTGTGCAGATTATTTCATCATCCTGGTACTAAGCCTAGGACCCAATAGTTATTTTTTCTGATTCCTTTCCCTTCTCTCACCTTCCACCCTTAAGTAGACCCAGCGTCTGTTGTTCTCCCTTTGCGTCCACGCAGAACACTATTATTTACACATTAGGATTTTTTTGTTTATATAATATGTTTTAGAAACTATAAAAGTAGCCTACTTGTTGAAAAAGTATTTTTTAATATTCTAAAGATCTGCTATGTTCTCTTTTCATGTTTCAGTACCATTGAACTGTTTATCTTAACAGTGTCATCTGATAATCTGAGACTTCTTGAACAAGCAACCTCATTTTTTTTAGAAAGCATAATACTTCAAACTATATTTTGCTTGACTGTACAGGGAATACTCGACGACGGTTTCAGTGGGGGCATCTATAAGAAACGCTATGATCTTTCCCTCAGCAATTAAATTCTTTTTTACTAACGGTAGCTTAATTAATTGAATATGCTAAGTTTGTCTAATTTTTTAAACTTTTAAGTTCAGGGATACATGTACAGGTCTGTTACAATAGTAAACTTATGTCACACGGGGTTGTTATTCAGATTATTTTGTTACCCATGTATTAAGCCTAGTATGCATTTGTTATTTTCCTGGGTCCTCTCTCTCCTTCCACCCTTCACCCTCAGGTAAGCGCCAGTGTCTGTTGTTCCCCTCAATATGTCTATGTGTTCTCATCATTTAGCTCCCACTTATAAGTGAGAACATGTGTTGTTTGGGTTTCTGTTTCTGTGTTAGTTTGCTAAGGATAATGGCCTCCAGCTCCATTTGTGTTTCTGCAAAGGATATGATCTCATTCTTTTTTATGGCTGCTTAGTATTCCATGGTGTATACATACCACATTTTCTTTAATCAATCGACCATTGATGAGCAGTGATTCCATGTCTTTGGTATCATAAATAGTGCTGCGGTGAACATACGTGTGCATGTGTCTTTATGATAGAAAAATTTATATTCCTTTGGGTATATACAGTCAGTAATAAGATTCCTGGGTTGAATGGTAGTTCTGTTTTTAGCTATTTCAGGAATCACCACAGTGCTTTCCACAATGGTTGAACTAATTTACACTTGCCTGAACCGTGTATAAGCATTTGTTTTTCTCCTAAATCTTGCCAGCATTTGCTATTTTTTTACTTTTCAATAATACCTATTCTGACTGGTGTGAGATGGTATCTCATTGTGGTTTTGATTTACATTTCTCTAATGATCATTGATACTGAGCTTTTTCATATGCTTGTTGGTACATGCATGTCTTTTTTTGAAAAGTATCTGTTCATGTCTTTTTCCCGCTTTTTAATGGAGTTGGTTTTTTTTCCTGTAAATTTGTTTAGCTTCCTTAAAGATGCTGGATATTAGCCTCTGTCAGATACATAGTTTGCAAAATTATTCTTGCATTCTATTTAGTCTCTTCAATCTGTCGATAGTTTCTTTTGCTGTGCAGAAGCTGTTTAGTTTAATTAAATTCCATTTGTCAATTTTCGCATTTGTTGCAATTGCTTTTGGTGTCTTTGTCATGAAGTCTTTGCCTATTTCTATATCCAGATGGTATTGCCTAGGTTGTCTTCCAGGGTTTTTATAGGTTTGGATTTTACATTTAGGTCTTTAATCCATCTTTAGTTTATTTTCGTACATGGTATAAGGAAAAGGAACTGGTCCAGTTTCAATTTTCTGCATATGCCTAGCAAGTTATCCCAGTACCATTTATTGAATAGGGAATCCTTTCCCCATTGCTTATTTTTGTCAGGTGTGTTGAAGATCAGATGGTTGTAGGTGTGCGGCTTTATTTCTGAGCTTTGTATTCAGTTCTGTTGGTCTATGTGTCTGTTTTTGTACCAGTACCAAAGAAAAAGGGGAGTATACTTCATAACTTTTTTCTCTCTTTATTGATACATAATATTTGTACATATTTATGGAGTGCATGTGATAGTTTTTTTATATGTACAGAGTGTGTAATGATCAAGTCAGGGCATTTGGGGGTGTCCATCACCTTGAGTATTTATCATTTCTATGTGTTGGGAACATTTCAAGTCCTCTTTTCTAGCTATTTTGAAAAATATAATACATTGTTGTTAAATATAGTCACCTTAATATATATGTGTGTGTGTATATATATATATATATACATATAATTAAGGTAACATGGCATTATCTTGGAATAGGCACATAGACCAATGAAACAATATTGAGGCTGGGTGCAGTGGCTCATGCCTGTAATTCCAACACTTTGGGAGGCTGGGGTGGGGAGATGGCTTGAGCTCAGGAGTTCAAGACCAGCCTTGGAAAGATAGTAAGACCGTGTCTCTACAAAAAAAAAAAAAAAAAAAAAAGAAGCCAGGCATGGTAGTCCATGACTGTAGTCCCAGCTACTCAGGAGGCTGAGGTGAAGTATCACTTGAGCCCAGAAAGTTGAAGCTGCAATGAGCCATGATCATGCCACTCTACTCCAGCATGGGTGACAGAATGACACTCTTTTAAAAAAAAAAAAAAGAAGGGAAGAAGACAAAAAACAAAACTGAGGGTGCAGAAATAGCTCACATATATATGGTACTCAATACGTGACAGAGGTACAGATGTGTCACTATAGGTCAGTGGGAATATATTAGTTTTGCAGGAATCCCATAGAAAGTTACCACAAACTTGGTGGCCTAAAACAACAGAAATGTATCCCCTCACAATTCTGGAGACCAGAAGTCTGAACTCAAGCTGTTGGCAGTGCCATGTTTCCTGTGAGGACTCTAGAAAAGAATCCTTCCTTGCTTCTCCCAGTTTCTAGTGGCTCCCCGTGTTCCTTGACTTGTGGCAGCAGAATGATAATCTCTGCTTCCGTCTTCACATGGCCTTTCCCCCTGTGTGTCTATATCTTCTCCTCATCTTATGAAAGCACTTGTCATTGAATTTAGGGCACATCTTGTTAATTTAGGATTATCTTATCTCCAGATCTTTCACTTAGTTGCATCTGTAAAAACCTTTTTTCAGAATATGCTCACATTCATAGGTATTGGGTGTTAGAACTTGAATGTATCCTTTTCAACCCACTACAGGGGCTAAAGAAGAGAGAGTTTAATACATGTTGCTGAGGTAATTGGCTATTCATGTAGGAAAAAATTGCATTCCTAAATCACCCCATATCAAAACCAGACTTCCATGTGGATAAAAATGCAAAAAGAGAATTTTAGTGGGAAAGCAAATATGTAGAATATTATAATCTGCGTAGAATTAAAAAAAAATCCTTGTTTAAAAAGAGGCCCTGAAAACACAGGCATAATGGAAAAAAATTCATAAATTCAATTACATTGAAATTTAATACTTCTATACATCAAAACTACCATAAATAATGAAAACACAAGTTATATTAGAAGAATATATTTGCAATATGTATGTCTAATAATGAATATGTATAAATCAGTAAGAAATGGAAACAAAGCAAAGCAAAATAATAATTTTTAAAATGGGCAAATGTGTAAACAGGCAGTTCATAGAAGAGCAAATAAACCTATGAAAAGATACTTCAATTCCTTGCTAATATGGGAAATGTAATTTCAATGAGGAATGAGATTCCGTTTTGCAAACATCAAACGTGTAAAAAACTGAAAAACTTGAGATTACCAACACTTGATATAGTATACATTAGTATAACGACTTTGGAGAGCAATTTGGCTTTGTCTAGTAAAGTCGAAAGTGTATATACCTAGAACCTATAAATTCTCCTGGAGACATGTGCATTGCAGCTCTCAGTCATCAGTGAGGGAATGAATAATTTGTAATAAATTCATGGAATGTAATATTCTGTGACAGTTGAAATAAATGAACTAGCTCTATCTGTGTCAACCTGAATAAATCCTTAAAATAATGTTAAGATAAAAAGCAAATTTCAGAAGAGTAGATACAGTATGAGAGTGTTAAACACCAAACTCTGGAGAATTACTCCTTTCGTGGAGGTGGTGGAGGGAAGAAAACTTAATGGAAAGAGATAAATATAGGACTTAAAATTTATTTGCTATGTTTTCATTAGGCTGGATCATGAGTACATGAGTATTTATTATACTATTCTCTAGATTTTTGGTATTTCTTAAAACTTGGAAAATCTTTCATCATTTCAAAAGCAAAATGTAAGAGATGATTGATTGAGTTATTACAGGGAAGATATTGTTCTGATGATTTCAGTCCTCTCAAATTTAAAATAATGTGAATTGTAGCTAAAATTATAGCACAATGGAATTTAAATACAAGGAAGAATAAGTGAAGAAGGAACATGGGAAATCTGGAGGCCTGGGACTCAATTTTGGTTCTATCAGCAACTAGTTCTAGGACCATGGACAAATCCCTTAAACTGTCTGAACCTTTGTAAAGTTGGATTGAAAACAGACCCTGATCTTGATTGTAGGTAAAATGTCTATGGTTTGTAAAATTTACAAAAAACATGACCGTGTGAACTGACAGATAGGAGGGCTGCTCCAGAGGAGGTAGACAAAAGCTAGACCTTTGTTGATTGAAGTTCCAGGATGCTGTGATTCTTTGATGTTAAGGCTGTGGAGTGAGGAAGATTTGAAGTTGGATAAATTTGGGGCTATCTAGTATAATTGAAAGTGCACAACCCCACCCCAGAACCTAGTATTTCCTCTGGAGATGTGCAAAAATGTTCACGGCAGCTTCAGAAGACGATGAAGAAGAAATAGGAATGTGGCAAAGAATACTCTTTAGTGCAGACATGAGGATGATCAAAGACTCCGGTCTTCTCCCTAGATAAATTGGGAAGTATTTTGTGTGTGGTGTTTCTTATCTTGCCAATCATGTTACACATCAAATAATATTTTTACTGACACTTTGCAAACTGTATAAAACAACACAATGTTGTAGAACAAGCATTAACTGCAGATTCCTTTGAAGAGGAGGGCTGGCTGACTGGCTGACCCTAAGGATCCTCAAAGGGTGACATTCATTATGATAGACCAGAGCCTGCCTCTCAGTCAGTGGAAAATTCTTCTAATCATCAAATGTGTAAAATTGAAGCCAAGGATTCAGATCTTATCTATGTCTAATCAAAAATGGAAGTTTCCTCCTTGAAAGAGATTTTCCCTAAATCTAACAGATAATCCTAAGAAACCCACACATGGCATTATTAATAATAAGTTGTAAGTTAAAACTTTTCTAAACTATTAATAACAAAATTTTTTGAACAGCCATTTTAGGAAACGGAATTATCTTTCTATTCTCTCTGTTAAAATGATACTACAAAATCATTATCAAATGAAAAGACAAAAGTGCATGCATCAAAAAATGTGAGAAAACAGTATTATAGAGGTGGGTCAAGCTTTCAATTAGTGAAAACATTATGTTAATTTTTGTGGATTTTGTTTTACCTATGTTATTTTCCAGATATTTAAAATGTGTATTTATTGTGATTTTTCTCATTCTAAATTAATATTTACTTTTATATGTTAATTTTATTCTTATTTTCATGTATTTTTTTCTTTCCAGTTTTTATTTTAGGTTCAGGGGGTATCAGTGCAGGTTTGTTTCATGGGTAAATTGCATGTTTTGGAGGTTTGGTGTACAGATTATTTCGTCACTCAGGTAATAAGCATAGTACCTGATAGGTAGTTTTTTGACCCTCACCCTCCTCCAACCCTCCACCCTCCAGTAGGCCTTGGTGCCCATTGTTCCGTTCTTTGTGTCCATGTGTACTTAATGTTTAGTTCCCACTTATAAGTGAGAACATGCATATTCTTTTCCCAGAAAGATCTCCCTCGGACTGCATAAGCTTCAGATACCACAGAACCTGTATTTTCCCCGAGCTTAAGAGATCATGAATCCCAAATACCAATTTACCACGTACATTATGGATCCTAACGGTCAGAAATTGTGATACTTGAAATCCTTATGAACAACCTTTTCAAAGCCTGGTGTCAGACTTACTAAATTACAGTTACTAGTTGAAAATGAGCAAAAAAATGTGACAAGAATCCACATGACCTGGTTAAAAATCTATATTGATAGAGGTAAATAGAAATAGTAATTATAAAAATGGTAATAATCATAGATAACCTTTGTTGAGCACCTTCTATGTGCCAAGCTCAGTATTTTATGCCTTTTGTATCAATTCTCAGTTAATATTTGCACTAACTTTATTAAAGTAGTTTTTATGCAAATAAGGGCAAGTGCCCAGACAACACACATGTTAAGACCTGCTAGATCAGTGATCATTTGGAAAATCTCATGGAGATTTTAAGCAGTAGCAGGTGTAAAGTACCTCTCTTGCTCATTCATTCTAGGGTAGTGCATGGTGATCTAGCAGAGCCAGACATTCAATTCCAGGAGAGGCGCCCTTACTCTTGGCTCTGGGGCTTTTAGGCTACATGATTAGTGTGAGAGCTTTGTAATGTGTCAACTTGGCTAGGCTAAACTACATTTCCCAGAATCCCTTTCTTACATGTTTCTGGTTAAGAAGACCACAAAGGAGATTCTGAAGAGATTTGGAGAGCTAGGGGGAGGCAGCTGCCATTTCATAGCATACACACATTGTTGCCAATCTGCTGACTTACCTCCTTGGCATGACACATCAGCTGGGTTAGGGTTATGTGTTTAGCTCTTTGATGAAGGACCCTGCTTCCTCCAAGCTATCCTGGTGTCATTGGCAACAAGAACAGATACTGATTTCAGTCAACCCTTGTGGGTTTCCAACTTGTGATCCTGGAGTCCCAGGCTGCTTGTGTTCTTCCTTTCCTGGTTGCTTTCCCTGTGAACTTCAAGTTCTAACATCAGACATGAAGACAGTCTCACAGAGACTGCTTAACTAATTCCGGCAATTGTGTAAGCCAATTCTCTGTAATATCTATAGATATAAATGTAGATGTAAATATATAGAGATAGATATATATCTCCTACTGGTTCTGCTTCTCTGACTGAACCCGACTGATACAATTAGAGAAGCCTTGGCCCCTCCCTTGATATGATAAGGGCCCTGATGTCCATCATTTGCAGTTCCAGGTGATGACATGATGAGGTACTGCTAAGATTCATCAATTCATTATTCATGATTAGAGAAAAATTAGTTCTCTTCCTGGCATAATCAAGGAGCTAGGTGCCAGGCCTTAAAATTGAATAGGGTTGATTATTCTTATTACTAGACTATAGCTGGTTTGCATGAAGCTTTGCTGGAGGCTAATTCCTTTACTGAGAGGCCAATTTGCAGGGATTCAGTCTTGGACAAGTATGGCAGATGGTATTTTCTAAAGATAGCTATACCAATATACAGTGCATCCCACATGCTCTTCCTAACAATACAATGTTGCCACTCCTCCATTGAGAGATAGGGTCTGTATTCCATTCCTTTGAACCTTGGAAAATCTTTGTAATTGCCTTCACTACCAGAATGCAGCAGAAGTGATAGTATGTGACCTCCAAGGCTATATTATAAAAGGCTATATGGCTTTCATCTCTCTCTCTCTGTTTCTCCCTCCCTCCCTCCTCCCTCTTTCTCCTCTCCTTTCCTCCATCCATGGCACACAGTCACCATTATGGAAGATAGCCTAAACTAGCCCATGCAGGGAGACCACACAGACACACCCATGTGGAGAGGAGCAAAAGTCTCCAGTTGTTTTCCAGCCATCAACTACCAGACATGTGACCGAGTGAGGTTTTAGAAGTTTTGATCCCCTAGTTTTTTAGTCTTCCAGCAGAGGCCTCAGATACTGTGGAGCAGAGTGGAACACAGATAAGCTGTCCCCAGAAAATCCTGCCCAAATTGAAGATTCGTGAGAAGAATAAAGTTGGTTTTTTTTACCACTAAATTTTGGAGTAACTTGTTTGGTATTAGTTACTGGAAAAGACAAGTTAACTGTGTGTAATAGTGATCTACTGCTGTGTAACAAATTATTTGAAAATTTAGTGACTTAAAACTATAAACATTTATTACTTCACAGTTTCTGAGAATCAGTAATTCAGGAATTGCTTAGCTTGGTAGCTCTGGCTCAGGATTTCCCATGAGGTGGTAGATGAGATGTTGATCAGGGCTATAGTCATTTGAGGGTTTGACTGAGCAGGAGGATCACCTTCCAAGATATCTCCCTCCCATGGTTATTAAGAAGAAGTCTTAGTTCCTTGCTGGATGTTGACAATAGGCTTCAGTTGCTTGCCACATGGGCTCCTCACAGGGCTGTCTTAATGTCTTCATGATGTGGTATTTGGCTTCCCCTGGAGCAGATGAGAGAGAGAGAGAGAGAGAACAAGAAGGCAACAAAAATTCTTATCATGTCCTAGCCTTGCAAATTGCCCACCATCATTTCCATCACATGCTGTTTGTTGAAATACAGCCCACACTCAATGGGAAGGCAATTACATTCCACCTTTTGAAGTGGGGAATTTCAAAGAACTTGTTGGTATACTATAAAGCCACTACACCCTGACCTCAGTTGTAGCTTCTATGCCTCCTTCCCCCATTTTGTGACCATTCCATCCTCTTTAAACAAAAGAGGGCTGTGAGGCTAATTACTGCCATCATTCTAGGAAACACTGGAGAATAGTTCAGAATGGCTGGGTGACTATCCAGGGGTGCAGGTCATGTTTACCTGAGGCAGTTGGGGGAAGGCAATTTGTAAGAAGGATCCAGGAGGCATGCATTGTGTGGTCTGCAAAGTAATAAGGCTGACACCTACTATTGCTGTGTGGAGACTGAGGAAATGTTAAACACGATTTGCAGAATTGCTCTTGAGTTTCTTCCAATGGGAACCTGTGTCATTCGGAAGAAGAATGAGCTCTCCTGCCTTGTTGCTCAGTCCTGGATCCTAGGATCCATTGTTATATTTTTATTGATGAGGATTAATGTTTTAACTTGGTGGAATTTGCAAAAGACTGGGAGATGCCAGTAGCAAAGTGGTGATGTTAGGAGACACTGGAATGGCCTTGATTTACTTCAAAGAGTCATGAGGATGACAGTTTTCCTGGAATGCAAGGTGGGTGGTAACTACTGATCTCTACCCCCTTCCTCCTATAATTTTTTGTGATGTTTTAATACTAGTTGAGGTGCTTCTTCTTCTACTTCAGATGAAGTATTCATTTCATTTGGTTCATATCCAGGGTGATAATCTTGATGGAAACCCAGACACTCTGTTACTGCCACATTTAAATAATTTGTTATTAGTAGTTATATCTTGCTTTTTAAAAATTGAGGTAAAATTCACATAAAATAAAATTAACCACTTTAAAGTATACAATGAAGTAGCATTTGGTAAATTCAAAATGTTGTGCAACCACCTCTCTCAAGTTCCAAAACATTTTCATCACTCTAAAATAAAACTTGTATGCATTAAGCAGTCACTTTTCATTCCTCTCCTACTAGACTGTGGCAACCACTATTGTGCTTTCTGTCTCTATGAATTTACCTATTCTGAATTTTCAATGGACTATTCTTCAGCCATAAAAATTGAAGTACTGATACATGCTACAATGCTACATGTGGATGCACCTCAGAAACTTGCTAAGTGAATGAAAGTCAGACACAAAATGTCTCATTACTGTACGATTCTATTTGTTTGAGTTTCCTTGTTTCTAGTTTGTTTTTATCAAAAGAGAGTGCTGCATTTTGTCAAGTTCTTTTGTTTTGCATCAATTGACATGATTGTGTGTGTGGATTTTTTCTGTCATTCTATTAATGTGGTATATTATATTAATTGGTTTTCAATGTTGCACAATTCTTACATTCCTGGGATAAATACCACTTGCTTATGGTGTATAATTCTTTTAATATGCTGCTGGATTCAGTTTGCTCGTATTTTGTTGAGATATCGCATCTAAGTTCATAAGGGATATTGGTTTGTAGTTGTCTCATGATGACTTTGTCTGGCTTTGGTATTAGAATAATTCTGGCATCACAGATTAAAGTACAAAGTATTCCCTCCTCTTCTATTATTTTTTGGTAGGCTTTGAGAAGAGTTGTTGAAAATTCTTTTTTATATGAGTGGTAGAATTTACAGGTAAAGTCATCTGGTCTTGAGCTTTACTTTGTTGGGAGGATTTTGATTACTTATTTAATCACTGATTAATTCTCTTATAATCCTTTTTAATATTTCTATTGGTCAGTTGTAATGTCTCCATTTTTATTTCTGGTCTTAGTAATTTGAATATTCTCTTTTTTCTTAGTCAATCTAACCAAAGATTTGTAAATTTTGTTCATTGTTTTAACTGACCAACATTTGGCGTCATTGATTTTCTGTATTTAAAAAAAATTTTAGATCTCATTTAATTTCATCCTAATCTTCATTATTTCTTTCTTTCTGCTGGATTTGGGTTGGATTTTTCTCTTCTCTTTCTAGTTCCTTAAGGTGTAAAGTGAGGTTATTGATTTCTTCTTTTTAAATGTATAAGTTTTTACAGCTATAAATTCCCTTCTAAGCACTGCTTTTTCTATATCCCAAACATTTTAGAATGTTGTGCTTTCATTTTTATTTGTCTGAAAGAATGTATTTTCTAATTTCTCTTGTAATTTCTTCTTTGATCAATTGTTTTTTTTTTTTTTTAATGGAGTCTCTCTTTGTTGCTCAGGCTAGAGTGCAGTGGCACGACCTCAGCTCACTGCAACCTCTGCCTCCTTGGTTCAAGTGATTCTCCTGCCTCAGCCTCCCAAGTAGCTGGGATTACAGGAGCTTGCCATCATGCCCAACTAACTTTTCTATTTTTAGTAGAGACGGGGTTTTGCCATGTTGGCCAGGCTGGTCTCAGACTCCTGACCCCAAGTGATCTGTCCCCCTTGGCTTCCCAAAGTGCTTGGATTACAAGCATTAGCCACCATGCCTGGCCTTTGATCAACTGGGTTTTAAAGAATGTTGTTTAATTTCCAGATATTTGTGAATTTTCTAGTTTTCCTTCTGTTATTTATTTCTAGTTTCATTTCATTGTAGTAGAAGAAAATACTTTGTATGATTTCAATCTTTTAAAATTCATTGAGATTGTTTTGGCCTAATGTATGGTCTTCTGTGGAGAATGTTCCTTGTATATTTAAGAAAAATGTATATTCTGCCGTTCTTGAGTAGAGTGTTCTCCGTATGCCTCCTAGGTCGTGTTGGTTTCCAGTATTCTTTAAGTTCTCTATTTCCTTATTGATCTGCTGTTTTGTTGTTCAATCTATTATAGAAAGTAGGGTGCTAAAGTTCCCAACTACTATTGTAGAATTATTTTTGCTTCACATATTTTGGGTCTCTGTTGTTAAGCAATATACGTTTATTATTGTTTATTATTGTTGCATCTTCTTAGTGAGTTGACCCATTTGTCAGTATATAATGTCCTTGTTTGACTTTTGTAATAGTTTTCTTATTTAAAGTCTATTTTGTTTGATATTAGTATAGCTACTTCATCTCACTTCTTGTTATAATATGCATGTAATATTTTTCCTATCCTTTCACTTTTAACTTTACGTTTTTGCATCTAAAATTAGTATCTTGTAGATAACATATAGTTGAATCGTGTTTTCAATCTATTCTGCTAATCTCTGCCTTTTACTTTTAAAATTTTTATTTTGTTTTTTACTTTTGTGACTACATAGTAGGTGTTTATATTTATGAGGTACATGAGATGTTTTGATACAGGCATGCATTGTTAAAAAATCACATCATGGAGAATGGGGTCCCCATTCCCTCAAGCATTTATCCTTTGTGCTGTTAAAAGAAAAACTTTGGCCGAATTAATTTAAAGGAGTTTAGGGGTGGGGCCAAGATAGCCAACTAGAAATAGCACCATTCGGAGGATCCCATAAAACAACAACAACAACAAAAACAAAAACACAATATAATAAGCATGTGAATCCTTCACCGGCAACCAAGGTATCCAGGATCTTTCATCACAACTGACTAGGAAGCTGGCATGACCCATGGAGAGAAGGAAGAACAGTGTGGTGTGGTGGCCCACCTGAGAGCCACACAGGGCAGGAAAGCCCCCTCCCCCCAGCCAAGGGAGGCGGTGAATGAGTGTGCTACCCAGCCAGGGAAACCATGCTTTTTTCACAGCACTGTGCAACCCACAAGGATTGGAAGATCCCACTCATGAACCCATGCCACTAGGGCCTAGCGTCCCAACCCTGGAACACGCAGACGTGCAAACTCTTAACAGCTTCTCAGCTGAAATCTGCTTAAGCCTACTGAACTTCCTGGTGGAGAAGCAACCAGCACCATGGCTGTGGCTGCCTGCTGTCTAAGCCCTTTGAGCTCCTTGGAGGAGGGGCAGCAGCCAGCACTGGGACTCTAAACTGCCTAACACACTAAGCTCCCAAGGCGGGGCAAGGGCAGCACCCATCTCCATAGCCCCAGAGTGTGCTTTTCCCCTGCTGGAGTCAGGGAGGCTGGATGGCTTGGTCCCAAGATTTGGCCCCTATAGCCCAACACACTGGCTGTGGCAGTCAGCTTCCAGAGTGCCTCTTCAGGCTTGACTCTGACCCATCCTTTCTCAGTGGGCGGGGCTTCCCTGCAGGAAGTCCAGTAACTCTAGCCAGAGGCTCAAGGACAGAACCCAGGTCCCCCTGGGCCTGAGCCCCTAGGGAGAGGGGTGGCCACAGTCTCTGTGGACAAGCAGACTTAGCCTTTCCTCCTAGTAGTTCTGAGGAATCTGGGCAGCCCAGATGAGTGGGTTTCCCCCAAGCGAGGCACATCCCTCCAACAAGGGGCAAAGTGCCTGGTTAAATGGGTCCTGTTCCCCATGCCACCCAACTGGGTGAGACCCTCCAACAGGGGTTGTCAGACACCCTGTACAGGAGTGATCCTACTGGCATCAAGTTGGTGCCTTTCAAGGTCAGAGGTCCCAGAAGAAGGAGCAGGCACCCATTTTTGCTGTTGTCCAGCCTCCTTGAGTGACATCTCCAGGCGTGGGAGCGAATGAAATGAATAAGGCCTGAAGTTAACTCCCAGCAAACTGCAGCAGCCCTACAGAAGAGAGACCTGACCATTGAAAAACAAACAAACAAACAAGCTGGAAGCAACATCATCATCATCAACAGCAACAACAAAGCCCCACAAAAACCCCATCCAAGGGTCAGTAGCCTCAAAGACTGAAACTAGACAAACTCTCGAAGATGAGAAAGAATTAACAAAAAAATGCTGTAAACCCAAAAGGCCAGAGTGCCTCTTGCCCTCTAACTGATCACAACATCTCTCCATCAAGGGCACAGAAGTGGACGGAGGATCAGATGGACAAATTTACAGAAGTAGGCTTCAGAAGATGGGTAATAAAAAACTATGCTGAGCTAAAGGAGCATGTTCTAACCCAATGCAAAGAAGCAAAGAACCTTGATAAAAGGTTAGAGGAATTGCTAACTAGAATAAACAGTTTAGAGAGGAACATAAATGACCTTTATCGATATTCAACATTTTTAAAGAAAAAAATTTTCAACCCAGAATTTCATATACAGCCAAACTAAGCTTCATAAGTAAAGAAGAAATGAAATTCTTTCCAGACAAGCAAATGCTAAGGTATTTTGTTACAACCAGGCCTGGCCTGCAAGAGTTCCTGGAAAAAGCACTAAATATGGAAAGGAAAAGCCGGTACCAGCCACTGCAAAAACACACCAAGATATAAAGACCAATGACACTATGAAGAAACTTCATCAACTGGTATGCAAAATAACCAAATAGCAGCATAATGACAGGATCAATACGTATAACAATACAATTCAAACATAACAGTACTAACCTTAAATGTAAATGGACTAAATGCCCCAATTAAAAGACACAGGCTGGCAAATTGGATAAAGAGTCAAGACCCATCAGTATGCTGTATTCAGGAGACCCATCTCACGTGCAAAGACACACATAGGCTCAAAAATAAAGGAATGCAGGAATATTTACCAAGCAAATGAAAAGCAAAAAAAAAAAAAAAAAAAAAAAAGCAGGGGTTGCAGTCCTAGTCTCTGACAAAACAGACTTTAAACCAACAAAGATGAAAAAAAAAATACAAAGAAAGACATTACATAATAGCAAAGGGAACGATTCAACAGGAAGTGCTAACTATTCTAAATATATATGCACCCAATACAGGAGCACCCGGATTCATAAAACAAGTTCTTAGAGACCTACAAAGAGACTTAGACGCCCAAACAATAATAGTGGAAGACTTTAACAACACACTGTCAGTATTAGATCAATGAGACAGAAAATTAACAAGGATATTCAGGACTTGAACTCAGCTCTGGATCAAGTGGACCTAGTAGACATCTACAGAACTCTTTACCCCAAATCAACAGAATATACATTCTTCTGTATATGAATAAGTGCCACATGACACTTATTTTAAAATCGACCACATAATTAAAAGTAAAACACTCCTCAACAAGTGCAAAATAAGTGAAATCATAGAAAACAATCTCTCAGGCAACAATGCAATCAAATTAGAACTCAGGATTAAAACACTCACTCAAAACCACACAATTACATGGAAACTGAACAATCTGTTCCTGAATGACTCCTGGGTAAATAATTTAATTAAGGCAGATATGAAGAAGTTCTTTGAAACCAATGAGAACAAAGAGACAACGTACCAGAATCTCTGGGACACAGCTAAAGCACTGTTAAGAGGGAAATTTATAGCACTGAATGCCCATATCAGAAAACTTGAAAGATTTCAAATTGACACCCTAACATCACAATTAAAAAGGATAGAGAGCCAAGAATAAACTAATCCAGAATCTAGCAGAAGACAAGAAATAATTAAGATCAGAGCAGAATTGAAGGAGATAGAGACACAAAAAAACCCTCCAAAAAATCAACTAACACAGGAGCTGTTTTATTTTGAAAAAAATTAACAAAATAGACTGCTAGCTAGACTAACAAAGAAGAAAAGAGAGAAGAATAAAGTAGACACAATAAAAAATGACAAAGGAGATATCACCGTTGACCCCACAGAAATACAAACTACCACCAGAGAATGCTATAGACACCTCTATGCAAATAAACTAGGAAATCTAGAAGAAATGGATAAATTCCTGGACATGTACACCCTCCCAAGACTAAACAAGGAAGACACAGAATTCCTGAATAGACCAATAACAAGCTCTGAAATTGAGGCAGTAATTAATAGCCCAGCAACCAAAAAAAAGCCCAGCACCAGATGGGCTCACAGCTGAATTCTACCAGAAATACAAAGAGGAGCTAGTACCATTCCTTCTGAAACTATTTCAAACAATTGAAAAGGAGAGACTCCTCCCTAACTCATTTTACGAAGCCAGCATGATCCTGATACCAAAACCTGGCAGAGACACAACAAAAAAAGAAAATTTCAGGCCAATATCCCTGATGAATATTGATGCAAAAATCGTCAATGAAATACTGGCAAACTGAATCCAGCAGCACATCAAAAAACTTATTTACCACGATCAAGTTGGCTTCATCCCTGGGATGCAAGGCTGGTTCAACATATGCAAATAAATAAACGTAACCTATCACATAAACAGAACCAATGAAAAAACCACATGATTATCACAATAGATGCAGAGGAGGCCTTTGATAAAATTCAACATCCCCTCATGTTAAAAACTCTCAATAAACTAGGTATTTATGGAACATATCTCAAAATAATAAGAGCTATTTATGACAAACCCACAGCCAATGTCATATTGAATGGGCAAAAGCTGGAAGTATTCCCTTTGAAAACCGGTACAAGACAAGGATGCCCTCTTTCACCACTACTATTCAACATAGTACTGGAAGTTCTGGCCGGGGCAATCAGGCAAGAGAAAGAAATAAAGGATATTCAAATAGGAAGAGAGGAAGTCAAATTGTCTCTGTTTGCAGATGACATAATTTTATATTTAGAAAACCCCGTCATCTCAGCCCGAAAACTCCTTAAACTGATAAGTAAGTTCAGCAAATTCTCAGGATACAAAATCAATGTGCAAAAATCACAAGCATTCCTTTATACAAACAACAGAGAAGCAGACAGCCAAATCATGAATGAACTCCCATTCACAATTGCTACAAAGAGAATAAAATACCTAGGAATATAGCCAACTAGGGATATGAAGGACCTCTTCAAGGAGAACTACAAACCACTGCTCAAGGAAATAAGAGAGGAGACAAACAAATGGAAAAACATTCCATGCTCATGGTAAGAAGAATCAATATCGTGAAAATGGCCATACTGCCCAAAGTAGTTTATAGATTCAATGCTATTTCCATTAAACTATCATTGAAATTCTTCACAGAAGTAGGAAAAGGTATTTTAAATTTCATATGGAATCAATGAAGACCCTGTATAGTGATGACAATCCTAAGCAAAAAGAACAAAGCTGGAGGCATCACTCTACCAGACTTCAAACTATACTACAAGGCTACAGTAACCAAAACAGCATGGTACTGGTACCAAAACAGACATATAGACCAATGGAGCAGAACAGAGACCTCAGAAATAACACCACACATCTACAACCATCTGATCTTCAACAAATTTGATAAAAACAAGCAATTGGGAAAGGATCTCCCATTCAGTAAATGTTGCTGAGAAAACTGGCTAGCCATAGGCAGAAAACTGAAAGTGGACTCCTTCCTTACACCTTATGCAAAAATTAACTCAAGATGGATTAAAGACTTAAATGTAAAACCCAAAACCATAAAAACCCTAGAAGAAAACCTAGGCAATACCATTTAGGATATAGGCATTGGCAAAGACTTCATGACAAAAACGCCAAAAGCAATTGCAACAAAAGCCAGAATTGACAAATGGGATCTAATTAAACTAATGAGCTTCTGTACAACAAAAGAAACTATCATCAGAGTGAACAGGCAACCTACAGAATGGGAGAAAATTTTTGCAGTCTACCCATCTGACAAAGGTCTAATATCCTGAATTTATAAGGAACTTAAACAAATTTACAAGATAAAAACCACCCCATCAAAAAGTGGGCAAAGAATATGAACAGACACTTCTCAAAAGAAGACACTTATGTGGACCGGGAGTGGTGGCACATGCCTGCAATCCCAGCACTTTGGGAGGCCAAGGCAGGTGGATCACAAGGTTAGGAGTTCGAGACCAGCCTGGACAATATGATAAAACCCCATCTCTACTAAAAATACAAAAATTAGTCAGGCATGGTGGCATGCGCCTGTAGTCCCAGCTACTCGGGAGGCTGAGGCAGAAGAATCGCTTGAACCCACGAGGTGGAGGTTGCAGTGAGCCAAGATCGCGCCACTACACTCCAGCCTGGGTGACAGAGTAAGACTGCATCTAAAAAAAAAAAAAAAAAAAAAAAAAAGACATTCATGTGGCCAATAAACGTATGAAAAAAAGCTCAACATCACATCAGAGAAATGCAAATCAAAACCACAATGAAATACCATCTTAAGCCAGTCAGTATGGCGATTATTAAAAAGTCAGGAAACAATAGATGCTGTGGAGGCTGTGGACAAATAGGAACACTTTTACACTGTTGGTGAGAATGTAAATTAGTTCAACCATTGTGGAAGACAGTGTGGTGATTCCTCAAGAATCTAGAACCAGAAATACCATTTGACCCAGCAATCCCATTACTGAGTATGTACCCAAAGGAATATAAATCATTCTACTATAAAGACACATGCACACATAGGTTTATTGCAGCACTATTTACAATAGCAAAGACATGGAACCAACCCAAATGCCAATCAATGATAGACTGGATAAAGAAAATGTGGTACATATACCTCATGGAATACTATGCAGCCATAAAAACGAATTAGATCATGTCCTTTGCAGTTGCAAGCCATCATCCTCAGCAAACTAACACAGGAACAGAAAACCAAATACTGCATGTTCTCACTTATAAGTGGGAGTTGAACAATTAGAACACGTGGACACAGAGAGGGAAACAACACACACCAGGGCCTGTTGTGGGGTAGGGGGGTGAGGGGAGGGAACTTAGGGGACGTGTCAATAGGTGCAGCTAACCACCATGGCACATGCATGCCTATGTAACAAACCTGCACGTTCTGGGCATGTATTCCATTTTTTTCAGAGAAAATTAATAAATAAATGTTCTCATCACACACACAGACACAGACACACACACACACACACACACACACACAATAAATTTAAAGGAGTTTAATTGAGCAATGAACAATTTGGGAATCAGCCAGCCCCTAGAATCACAGAAGATTCAGACAGACTCCAGGGGTGACTTGTGGTCGTAACAAATTTATAGACAACAAAGGTAAAGTGTTGTACAGAAATGGAAGTGAGGTACAGAAACAGCTGGATTGGTTACAGGTTGGTGTTTGCCTTATTTGAACACAGTTTGAACACTCACCAGTGTATGAGTGGTTGAAGTATGGCTGCTGGGATTGGCCAAGACTCAGCTATTGTTATAGGTGCATACTCCCAAATTAGGTTTTCAATCTTGTCTACCTATTAAGTTATGTTGCAGTTCATCCACAAAGACTCAAATATAGAAGTACAGAGTCCTTCTCAGGCCATATTTAGTTCTCTTTAATGGTGTTACAAACAATCCAATTATACTCTTTTAGTTATTTTAAAATATACAATTAAGTTGTTATTGACTGTAATCACCCTGCTGTGCTATCAAATAATAGGTCTTATTCATTCTTTCGAACTATTTTTTGTACCCATTAACCATCACCATGTTCCCTTCCAGCCCCCCATTAGCCTTCCTAGCCTAGGGTAACCATCCTTCTACTCTCTGTGTCCATGAGTTCAATTGTTTTGATTTTTAGATCCCACAAGTAAGTGAGAACTTGTAATGTTTGTCTTTCTGTGCTTGGCTTATTTCACTTAACATAATGATCTCCAGTTCTATCCATGTTGTTGCAAATGACAGGATGTCATTCTTTTTATGGCTGAATAGTACTCCATTGTGTATATGTACCACATTCCTTTATCCCATTCATCTGTCAATGGACATTTAGGTTGCTTCCAAATCTTGGCTATTATGAATAGTGCCGCAACAAACATGGGAGTACAGATACATCTTTGATATACTGATTTCCTTTCTTTTGGCTATGTACCCAGCAATGGGATTGCTACATCATATGGTAGCTCTGTTTTTAGTTTTTTGAGAAACCTCCAAACTGTTCTCCATAGTAGTTGTACTATTTATATTCCCATCAACAGTGTATGAGGGTTCCCCTTTCTCCACGTCCTCGATAGCACTTGTTATTGCCTGCCTTTTAATTAGAGAGTTTAATTCATTTTTATTTAAAGTAATTACTGATAAGAAATGACTTACTGCTAATGTCTTGATATTTGTTTTCTATTTGACTGGTATATTTTGTGTTACTAATTTCCTCTATTATTACCTTGTTTTGTGTTCAATTGACTTTTTGCAGTGTGCCATTTGATTACTTTTTCTTTCTCTTTCTTTCTTTTCTTTCTTTCTTCTTTTTCAGAAGCTTTTGTTGTTTTCTTGAGGATTACCATTAACCTCTTACATGTGTGACAACCCATTTTGAATTAATATCATCTTAGTACCCTCTTAAGGTTTCATATAGGGAACATCTGCTAAGGGTGAACATTCTCAGCTTTTGTTTATCTGTGAATGATTTACTTTGTGTTTCATTTTAAAAGGAGTGTTTTGTTGGATATAGAGTTCTTGGTTGACAGTTTTTTTTTCACTTTAAATATGTCATACCACTGCATTCTGGCCTTCTTGGATTCTGCTGAGAATGTAGCTGTTAATTTTATTGATGATCCTTTGTACATGATGAGTTGCTTCTCTGTTGCTACTTTTAAGATTATTTCTGTCTTTTGAAAGTTCAATTAGAGTATGTCTTGATGTGATTCTCTTTTTGTTTATTCTATGTGTCAAGCTTCTTGGAAGTGTAGATTAATGTGTTATTTTTTAAAATGGGAAGTTTTTCACCATTATTTCTTCAAACATTCTTTTTGTACATTTCTCACTTTTTATTCTGGAAATCTCATTATGTATATGTTGGTAGGTTTGATGGTGTCCCATAAGCCTCTTAAGCTCAGTTAATTTTTCTTAATTATCTTTTCTTTCTGATCCTCAGATTGGATAATTCAATTGACCTATCTTCAAGTTTACTGATTATTTCTTCTCCCTGCTCAAATCTGTAGTTGAGATCCTCCAGTGAATTTTTAATTTTACAAATTATGTTTTTCAGCTTCAGAATTTCTGTTTGTTACTTTTTATAATTTTTAATCTCTTTAGTAATATTCTCTATTTGTTCTGTACATCATTTTCTTGATATTTTTTAGTTCTTTGAGCATGTTTAAGTCAGTTGGTTTAAAGTATTTGTCTAGCAATTCCAATGTATTTGCTTCCTTTGGTACAGTTTTGGTTAATTTATTCAGTGAATGGGCTATACTTTCTTGTTTCTTTGCATTTTTTCATAATTTTTGGTTAAAAATTGGACATTTTCAGTAGTATAATGTGGTAACTATGGAAATCAGATTCTTCTCCCTCCTTAAGGGTTGTTTTGTTGTTTGCTGTGGGTTGTAAGTTCTTTTTTGTTTAGTGGCTTTCTAAACTATCTGTAAAGACTATATTTTTTTCTTGTGTAGTCTCTGATGTCTCTTTGCCTTTAGCTTATGTTATGATAGAGATTTTCTTGAATGGCTGGAGTCAATAAAGGAAGAAGAATGGAAAAAATATTTTAGTCTTTTAAAATTGGCTCTATTGGGGACTGTATTAGTCCATTCTCACATTGCTATAAAGAACTACCTGAGACTGGTAATTTATGAAGAAAATAGATTTAATTGACTTACAGTTCTGCAGACTGTACAAGAAGCATGGCTGGAAGGCCTCAGGAAACTTATAATCATGGTGAAAGGTGTAGAGGAAGCAAGCATGTTTTACCATGGCAGAGCAGGAGAGAGAGAGGGCTAAGGGGGAAGTGCCACATACTTTTAAACCAACAGATCTCATGAGAACTCCCTATCACAAGAACAGAAAGGGGGAAATCTGCCCCTATGATCCAGTCACCTCCCACCAGGCCCCCTCTCTCTACATTGAGAATTACAATTCAACATGAGATTTGGGTGGGGATACAGAGCCAAACCAGATCAGGGACATTCCTTCAATGCTTAGCCAGTTTCTTTATAACTCTGCCTTAGTCTTCACTCTATATTTGTGCTGAGCCTAATGATAAGCCTCAGGTGAATACTTAGGGTCTTCTCAGGTCTTTTCTGAGTGGGAGCCCTCCCCTGGGGATGCATGAATTTCTAAATTCCCCAGCTGGTACATTAAATTAAAGCATTTTCAATGCTTTAATTCTTCAAGGAATATTTCTTTCCAGTTTTTTTTTTTCTCCCAGGCTTTTAGTGCACCCATTCTTTACCTTGACTGCAGTCTTTTGCCCTAGGCAACAGTGTTTTGTTAATTTGCCTTTTAATATTTTTCAAGAATATCCTCTGTATACTCTCTTTTCTTCCCTGAGAGAGTTCTGACTTAGATGAAGCAAAGGCAAGTACCTTGTGTGAGTTCTTTAGGCAGTTGCCCTATAGATCAAAACAAAAAAAAAAAACCCCACAATTATTTGAGAACATAACCTACTGTCTCTCTCTGGAATAAGGTACTAAGGTCCTACACTGGGACCAGAGGAACTGTCTTCAAGACTGTTGTCAAGTCAGAGATGGGACAGTGCAAGGGCAAGTAAAAACACTGAAAAGTTCTTCTACCATTTTAAAATTGCCTTTTTCTTGACTCAGCATTTACTTGGTTTCTACAAAACTCTGACTATTTTCCAGAATTCCTACAAAGGTGATTCTGAGCATGTTTGCTCATTTCTTGGTATTTCTGTGGAGGAACAGGCCTTTGGAGCTAACTGCTTTGCCATTTTTGCTGACATCACCTTTCCACAATTTGTTTTGGATTCCTCTAGTATTTATTAAGGACTTGCTATACGTCAGGCACCATGTTAAATGTTTTATGTTTATTTAACCCTCATACTAATTATATGAGGGCAATATTATTATCCGCATCTTTTTCACAAAAGAAGAAAAACAGGGAAGAATTGTCCAAGGAAATACTACAGATAGGAAGAGATACACATGAGCTTGAACTCAGATCTGTATGATTTCTAGCCCCAGGCTCTTAATCGCTAGGATAAACCAATATATTAAGAAAGGCAGGCATAATAAAAAGTGTTAGGTGACCTAATTCTAGACACAATTTTATGCTAAGGGATTAACTGTAATTTGTTTATATAAAAGACAGTTTTTATTTTCTATCTCTCATTCATGCTTTGCATCTGAATGGTGTAAGTGAGTGTGAAGGGTCTCAATAGAAGTAAGAGAAAGAACTATATCCAAGATAATCCATCAATATACAGGATGAATAAACAAATGTTGATTACTGTTCATGCTAGCGTGTAATGTTTTTATTAAAAGATTTAAGCTAGGAGGATGGCCAAAGTAAATAGAAAAGGAGTGAAGGGAGGATGTGTGGATACTTGATACATGATTATCCTATTCTTGTGTGTTGCAGTTGTTCCTGATTATTTTGATGGAAGACTATTAGGGAACTGTAAGAGTTGCGGATTTAGACTCCCTGAGTTCAAATTCTGACTCTACTTTTTGCCATCTCTATGGCCTTGGGCAAATTCACTAATCTGTCTATGCTTCAGTTTCCTCACTATGAGATATGGGGATAATAATGGTACCCACTTAATCGTATGCTTCAGAATCAGATAAGCTAGTAAAGTGAACAGCATTAAGAACTGTGTCTGGCACAGAGTAACCATTTTAAAACATTGGCTATTAGTATTATGATAAAACTAAATAGAAAAAAAACACATTTTTTTCTCAATAAGATTTTAATGGTCACACTTCATTATCACCTCCCTTTGTTCACTTACTTATCCTTGTGGACCCTTATGGGGCACATGGCACTTTAGAAGCATCTCTTGTTTTGCATTTGACCTTGTTAGGGTAACTGTAACTCAAAAAAGACAAAAGAAAATTGAATGGCTTTCCTATCATGCTTCTTCCTGACAACTTCTTCAATTCTCCTTCATTTCAAAGAGGATGAAAATGTACAGACAGGCATTTTTTTAATAACTGAAATTGTACAAACATCCCTCATACTTGTACTGAAAGTTCCATTTTCATTTAGCATTTTATTTCCTTCTGTGTAATTTTAAGTTTACAAAATCTCAGATAACATTAATCTCAACAAAATTTTGTTAATGGTGTTACTTCTGGTACTCCAATATGATGAAGCTAAAATATGAATAGATGGAAGTCTTTTTATGAATTTTTATTTGAAAGTGTCTTGGGGAGCCTATGGACATGAGGATTTATATTGTTTTTCCACTGTGATACATATGAAGGATGATGTTGATGAGATTAAAACAGCCCTGTGGACTCATCTAAAAATTCCTTGTGTGTACTAACAGATGGTAATCTTCATATTTCCTCAAGAAGTCATTTAGGAATGCCAGCAAATAAGTGTGACATTATTATTTTTAAACAGATTTTATATTTTAGAGCAGTTTTAGGTTCACAGCAAAGTTGAGCAGAAAGTCCAGATATTTACCATATATTTACACATAATATCTTTCCCCATTATCAATATCCCCCACCAAGGTGGCACATTTATTGCAATTGATGAACCTAGGTTGATATATCATTATCACTCTAAGTTCATGGTTTACATTAGGGTTCCCTCTCAGTGTTGTACATTCTATGGGTCTGAAAAATGAATAATGACATATGTCCATCATTATAGTATTATACATGGTAGTTTTATTGCCCTAAAAGTCCTCTGTGCTCTGCCAAAGTGGCATTATTTTAACAAATAAATTTGACCTTTTTCCTAGTCTCACTATAAAAAGCAAATCCTTCAAACATGCTGAAACTTTATAATTAGTGATGATACTGATAAGAAACCTAAGAAGTGACTCTGCATCATAATGGGCCCCAAGATCAAGAACCAGCTAACTTGCCAAAGTGCTTCACTTTACAAAAGAAGAGAGTGGTGATCAGTTGCCCAAAGTCACACAGTGGTGAGCAACTCCAGGGACACTTGACTCTGGGCTTAGTTATTCAGTCCACAGACACTTATTGAGCTTCTTCTGTGTTTAAGGCCTCTTGCCCAACAAAATGGTGAACAAGACTCCACCTACTTCAAGGATTGGGAGAATAGAGAGTGGAATGGGAACAACTGGTGAGTAAAGCATCAATTATGTAACAGTATTAAGGTGAAATACAGAAGTTGGTAGAAGCACAGATCAGGGCAATCAAACTGGAATTTGTAGTAGGTTTGAGGAAGGCTGCCCAGAAGAGGGGATATCTAAGGTAGACTTGAAGAATGAATGGGAGTCAAGTCATATTTGGCCAATTGATAATTGACATTAAGGTAAGACTATGTCCAAAATTGGCATCATAGAAGAAAAAATAGCCCTTTAACAATCCTCCTCTTGTAACCTTAGCCAGAGTTAGAACCTTTACTGGGTAATGATAAATAATAATACTCATTGGTTTATTGTTGTTAATTTGTAAGCATATCTGTATTAGAACGTCATGTGATTCTTTCAGTGATTCCATGAGTAAGGAAGAGCAGGTATAATCAATATCTCAAAGAATGACCTAAAATAAATTTGGAAGTAAATAAAGTGAAATTACAGTGGATGTGACCCTTTTGATTTTTTCTTTGAGATATGAAATAGCCTTTGTTTGCTCAAACACATACTGACCATCTTGTGGAGTAAAGTTTGGTTCATTAGAGAAGTGAAAAATGCCATATCAGTCATGTTAGTTGATGTTCTTCCCATGACCAGTTTGTATTCTGATTGAACTACCTCACCCACAGCCTGTGACCCTACATCCACAGGATGAGCCTATCTTTCCTTTGGTTGAAACTAATTGACTAGGATTGGATACTTTGATCGTGATTCTATAAAGCAGGGCTATACAGATAAGATTTAATTATTGGCCCCAACTTTTTACCCTTCTGTTTGTTAGTCTGTTTGTGTTGCTATAAAGGAATACGTGAGGCTAGATCATTTATAAAGAAAGGATGTTTATTTGGCTTATGGTTCTGCAGACTGTACAGGAAGTGTGGCACCAGTATCTGCTTCTGACGGGGACTTCAGGAAGCTTCCAGTCATGGGAGCATCTGCTTCTGGTGAGGGCTTCATGAAGCTTCAGGGTAGGGGAATAGCTATCACATGGTGAGAGTGGAGAAAAAAGAAAGAGAAAGGAGATGCCTGGCTCTTTTTAATAATCAGATCTCTTGGAAACTAATGGAGTGAGAACTCACTCATTACTGTGAGAACAAGACCAAGCCATTTATGATGGATCCACCCCTGACCAAAATACCTCCCACCAGACTCCACCTCCAACATTGGAGATCAAGTTTCAACAGAGATTTGGAGGGAACAAATATCCAAATTATATCACCTTCCCTTGCACCCATATTCTTATGGTCTCATTATGGGCAGAAAGTACTTTCTCACTCAGGACTTTGGACTTGCTGCATGACTTGTGCTGGCTAATGGCACGCAGGTGGAAGTGCCAGCCATTCTGAGCCTATGCTTTAAGAGGCTTTCTGTGTTCCTTCTCATCCACTTGTGCCTCTGTCATCTCACGATAAAAACTTCTCTTGAATAGCTTCTGCCCCTGTAGCCTGAGTCTTAGAATAAACTCATGTGGAGCAGAGCTGCCAAGCTAAGTCAATTAAGTTTAGCTGACACCAGCTGACTCACAGATCCATCAGAATCAATGGTTCATATCTTGCCCTTGATGTTTGCAACTAACTTGATGGAAGAGCAGTAGATGTTGTCCTCTTGACCTGAAACCTAAGGTAGACTTTGTGGCTTGGACTGCCATTTTGGGCTACAGATGAGTATGTAGAGGAGGTCAGTTTTCAGAGAAAGACAGGAAGTGAAATATACAAGTGACAGAGACAATCATCTTGGCTTCTAGCTGTTCTCTAGATTTAGCTTCCACAAGGCAGGGAGCTATAAGGGTAGGTAGTGGTCTTTGGACTGGGTGACATTCTCAATCTATGAGAGGACTGGCTATTGTTGGACTGTCTTGCAAAAACTGGGATACCATGTGGTTTCTTGAAATTAGGCAGAATTACTAGCAGTAAGACTGAGGAACAATGTTAAAGTATGGTTTCTGCAAGGTTGTCTTGAAGCTGAGTCACCTTAAAACAAGGATAGTTTAGATTTTTCTCTTGGAGAGCAAGATCAGTCCAAAAGTCTAGGAAGTGGCTGCACCTACAGGGGATCAAGTTTCCAGAGATGAATAAAGGAGATGCAAGAGGCAGCTGTTATTTTGTCTGTACAGTTTTCTTTCTTGGGTTTACTTAAAAATGTTCCTGTGAGAAATATACTGCCTTGCCTAACTTCTCTTTTCAGCTTAAATTATACCATCCCCAGCCACACTCAGAAGCGGTCAGTCTTAATACCATGTCACTCTGCCTTTCCTCTCTCCTCATCACAAAGTAAATTGAACCAAGGGAGTACTTCTGCCTGACCCAAAGGAAACCAGTCCATGTGGCTTCTGTGGGGCTCAACCTGGTTACAGGGGTGTAAAGATTTGGCAAACAGACTAGCTCATCTGCTTGGCTACAGTGATTGGTTCAGTCTTAATTTAGGGCCCCAGCCAGGACAATCATAGTCCTCTCTAGGGTTTTTCTTCCAGAAGGTTGAGGAGAGACTATTATTTTTACTCTGATGGTTGAGCTGGCAGCATTTAAGGGAAGAGCTGATAGTGGCTATTTTGATGCTATCAGATGAGAACCTAAGGATTAATTCTGGCAGATGCAAGAAGTATGGTGAAGAAGCAGGAAGGTGGGAGGGAAGAAGGGAGAGACAGAGGAAAGAGAATGAGAGGGCACTGAAAATAGTGCCTGAACTCCTGGTATGCAGCCCTGCTAAAGCTAACTCTATCCCCTGGTTTTGACAGGTGCTAGTCCAATAAATGCCCGCTTCTCTTTTTCTTAAACTGGTTTGAGTTAGGTTTCTATCACCTCTAACAGACAGTCTTGAAGAATCCAGAAGGACCACTGGGGTAGAGAGGAGGCAGCCCATTGTGGGGACTAGGTCTTCTTTATTGGCACAGAGCTCAGCTCCTTAAAATACAAGAGAGAAAGCCTGCATAGATTCCTCTGAAAGCAGAAAGTAAATTGTAAAATCATGAAGGAAACCAAAGCAAAACATATCAGGCCTAATTCAATTTACGTTATTAGGTAAAGGTTTTTATAAGACTTTTAAGACTTGCTGTAATTTCATAATGTCAGTGGTAGGTACTGCTCAAAGTAAACTGCATGGATTCAAATCCCACCTTCAGTATTTACTAACTGTGAATATTAACCTCTCTGAATAGTAGCCTCATCTCTAAAATAGGGATAAAAGTAGTGCCTATCTCATGCAGTTGTTGCAAGAAATAAATGACTTAATTTATGCAAAGCTTTTAGAAGAGTGTTCAAGAAACACACAATAAGTGAAACTGTTATTATGAGCTGTTTTTATTTCTCACATTTGTTACCTTGATTTGTAAGAGCGATGGTGTATTTGTGTAGGCTCAAGAAGGTGGGATGATGAACAACACAGGTGAACAAATCCCTAAGGTTTCTGGGAAAGAGGAAGCAGGTAAACTATAAGTGAACCAGAACTCATAAATATCCCTGGGTGTTCATTCTGGCTTAAGGTATTTGGGAATCAGGTATCTATAATGTACAGGTAAAGACATTGAGGACTAGAGACTGATGTGCTCCAGGCCCATCAGAAGTTACAGGCAGAGCTGAGACTTGAGCCCAGATCTTGTGATCTTAATTGGGCCCCCTTTCCAGGTCACCATAGTGTGAGCAATGTGAAGGCAGGGACTGTATTTGTTATCCTGAGGGTTTGAAGAAATTTAAATGGAATGAATAAATGAATGAATGAATGAATGAATCCGGTCCAAAATGACTCTTCTGGTCACTAATGGTATTTAACAAATTACTGCAACGTTGGTGGCTTAAAACAATAACCATTTTATTATGCCCATGGATTTGGGGTGAGGAATTCATGAAGAGCCCAAGTAGGCAATTTTCATTTGGTTTCTCATGCAGTTACAGTCAAATGACGTCTTGATTCATTTGGATGTTCAAGATTGCTTAGTCATGTTACTGGCAGTTGGATAACGGTTGTTTGCTGTGAGCTCAACTGAGGCATCTGAAGCATCTATACACGGCCTGTTCATGTTGGACTTCTTACAGGATGGCTCAGGACTCCGAGCAAAAGTGTTGCAGTGGCGAAGTGGAAGCTACCTTTCCTTTTCTGACCTACCCTTAGAAGTCACATAACATTACTTCTACTGTATTCTGTTGGGTACAAGTGAATTGCAAGCTTGCAAGCAGAGAGGACATAGATTGCACCACTGAATAGGTAGGGTGTCAAAGAATTTAGGGCCATAAAAATGAAACTTCCACAATGACCTTCATTATATTTGTAAGTTATATCCATGTAAATAGACTCTGCAAGGGTGAGACTTGATGCTGGTCCTGTCCCAGGTTACCTGATATTCCTCAGAACATGAGTCACGGAGGTGCCACCTGTTTTGCTTACTGGCCATGGCTACACACCCTCTTTCTGCTGCTGCTTATTTGTATCTCAAGCCACCAGTAGGATATTATTCTTGCCTCTGTGTGACATGATTCTTACTCTTTGCACCATGCCCATATCCATTCTCCTGTTTCTCTCTTTCCCTGGAAGTCAGGCTACACCCTTTGCAGCAGCTCTTCCTGAGTGAGGCTGTCACGAGCCCATTTTCCCATCAGAAACCACTCTGAGAGTTCCACTTAGCTCAGGGCAATGCACACCACTTTGGTGTCACTCCTGATTTCACTGCCTACAGTTCAAAGGTTCTCTAGATTAAGTCCCTTTGGTTTAGAAAAATATCCTTGCTAAAGTCTCTTTAATGGAGGATGAACTGGTGAGGTGTAGGAGTGATCCGTGCTACTAACAAAAATGAGACAAAGTCCTGAAAATGTTTGCGCTTTTCCTGCAGAAACCCTTCCTAGGGGACATAAGGGTCACCAAACAATGGTTTCTGAAGATGATGCTGCTGATTCTGAATCTAGTAATTTTTCCAGGAACCACCTAGAAATAAAACATAACCCTGAAACTTTTACTGTAGTAAAAATTTTAAAGCAAATCAAAACACAAGGAATACAATATGCAGATCAATGCAATGAATCTCTATATTGCTATATTTAATATTTTCATTTTTGAAGGGGTTTGGTTCACTGCCAAAATAATCTGAAACGCTAGAATCCCATTAGTCATTAAGAACTAATTAGGTGGGAAGTTGTCAATTTGTAAGCTAATTTGGGGCATATAAGAGAAAAATAAACTGAATTATTTTAAGGGACCACAAGCATCTCTCACACTTCTAAGTATAATTATGCCACAACCAGCATAGATAATGCTGCCCAAAATGGAACTTTAAGATAAGACTAAACACAACCTTTTAAGCCCTAAGGAAAATATTTATGAACAGTCTAAAAGAATAATAATGCTAATTTATAAGGTAAATTGGGAAATGAGAGTCAAAGGAATATTATGTTCAAACTATATGTTATGGTTAGAGTGTCCCTGAAGCTTAGAAGAAAAAAAAAAAATCATGAAATTAGAAAGCTAGTCCTAAGGAATTGAAAAATGCAGTAATTATCTTGGTTGTGGTTAAGGGTACAGGTAATTCATTTTAAGTAACAAACAAACAAACTGTATTTTACTTCCTGAAATCTCACAGAAAAGCAATTTCAGTAAGATGAAAAACACCAAATTGAAAAAATGGTTGATTTGGCTTTCTTCGTCACCTCACGGACCAAATCAAAGAGACTGTAGAACTAATTGCCCCAATTGTGAAAAAATGAACTAGCCAAGAGAAATGAGTCCTCCCGAAGCAAATTCAGAAACAAACTAAAATTGGTGTATATTTTTCTTAATTCTTTTTCATTTGAGAACAAAGAACCTATATTGCTCAGATTAAAAAAAAAAAACAGAGCAAATTCAGGGGTCATAGAGTCCTGCCAAAGCAAATTCAGAAACTAAAATTGGTGTATATTTTTCTTAATTCTATTTCATTTGAAAACAAAGAACCTATATTGCTCAGATTAAAAAAAAAGAAGCAGAGAGAATTCAGGAGTCATAACTGAACTGAAGGTTTGATAGAATCAGGGTGGGTCATTGAAGATGGTATACCTGGGATAAGATACTTGGAAGTCTGTGTTGGGTGTGTCCTTTTGTCTCTGACAGAACAACATGCAGTATGCTTCATGGTGGGAAGGCCTGTAGCTTTCCTAACTCTTGCTGGCTGCCTTGTGTTAGCAAATAATTAAGAGTCATTACTATAAGATGTGACACTGTTATTAAGAATTTCAGAAGTTAGAGACTTCCCATAAATGTCAAAGGGAGAAAAACTTACCATTGGGTAGTGACAATTCTGGTCCTTTTTGGAAGATATAATATGTTCAAGAGGTTATAGATGCTGCTTCACATGAACTTAAATTGATCCATTTGCCAGTTGAGGCACGTGTTAAAAGAGGCCATGCAAAAGGTTGGCTGTGGAGGATCAGGCCTATACTGCTTGTTCAACGCTGTGGGGCTGACCCCTGAAGATTCCCCTTGCCTGCTCCTGCTCCCTCTCTGACAGCCCGAGTGGAGGGGCTGAGCTGTGTGGTATGGTAATTCTGGGCTCCTTGGGACCTCTTAAGAACCTAAAGCAAGTTAAAGAGAGCCTCCCCAGAACCCGTGTCCTTTTAGGGACCAAGCAGAGTATGTCCCATGGCATTTTGAGTGTTTTGTTTTTGCCTCTAATTTATTTTAAGAATCTGTTTACACAGGAAGTTCTCTTAAATAACTGACATCCAGCTAACAAGAATACTTGCTTATAGAAATGGCAGCTAGCTCATCTTGTTCTACTTGTTTTAGGCTCTCTTTCTCCAGTAAAATATCTTGAAGCTTATTTTTGGAGAATTTGAAGTTTAATTTTGGAGTATTTGTGGGCTCACAGGTAAAGGAAGGAAGGAAGCTGGAAAAGAGGTTATATTCTAAGGCAGGAATGAGTAGTACTTCTCTCCTACCATCTTTCTCTCCTGCTGCTCATTTTTACTTTTTTTGTCCAACTTTGAAGTTGACAGGTAAACATTTGGGGAGCACAGATAGTATTGATTTCGAACTCAAACTTCTCTGGACTCTAGTTATATAGCTCTAACTCCTATACCATACCTCTATTTGGACAGATCAAAGGCACCTCAAATGCCACACTTCCAATGCAAAAATCATAGTTTATTTCTCCCCCAACAGCCACTCTTACTGCTCTTCCTACTGAACTTTCATACAGCAACCAAAGTCAGCCTTTAAATATGTAAATTGCTGATTTCTTTGAGCAGTGTTTTCTAATTCTGATTGTAGAGATCTTTTAGCTCCCTAGTTAGCTGTATTCCTAGGTATTTTATTCTTTTTGTGGCAATTGTGAATGGGATTGCATTCCTGATTTGACTTTCGGCTTGACTGTTGTTGGTGTTTAGGAATGCTAGTGATTTTTGTACATTGATTTTCTATCCTTAGACTTTGCTAAAGTTGTTTATCAGCTGAAGGAGTTTTTGGGACAAGACTATGGGGTTTTCTAGATATAGCGTCATGTCATCTGCAAACAGGGATAATTTGACTTCCTCTCTTCCGATCTGAATGTTCTTTCTTTCTTTATCTTGCCTGATTGCTCTGGCCAGGACTTCCAATACTATGTTGAATAGGAGTGGTGTGAGAGGGCATCCTTATCTTGTGCTGATTTTCAAAGGGAATGCTTCCAACTTTTTCTCATTCAGTATGATGTTGGCTGTGGGTTTGTCACAGGTGGCTCTCATTATGTTGAGGTATATTCGTTCAGTACCTAGTTTATTGACAGTTTTTAACATGACGGTTGTTGCATTTTATTGAAAGCCTTTTCTGCAAATACCGTTCGACCCGGCAATTCCTTACTGGGCATATACCCAGAGGAATATAAATCATTCTTTCATAATGACACAGGCACATATATGTTTATTGCAGCACTATTCACAATAGCAAAGACATGGAATCAGCCTAAATGCCCATCAATGGTACAATGAATAAAGAAAATGTGGTACATATATACCATGGAATACTATGTAGCCATAAAAAAAACAAGATCCTGTCCTTTACAGGAATATGGATGGAGCTGGAGGCCATTATCCTTAGCAAACTAACACAGTGACAGAAAACCAAATACCGGACGTTCTCACTTATAAGTGAGGGCTAAATGATGAGAGCACATGGACATATTGAGGGGAACAACACACACTGCAGCCTACCTGAGGGTGGAGGTTAGGAGGAGGGAGGGAACCAGGAAAAATGATTGATGCGTACTAGGCTTAATACCTGGGTGATGAAATAATCTGTACAACAAAGCCCCATGACACAAGTGTACCTATGTAACAAACCTGCACATTACCCCAAACTTAAAATAAAAGTTCAAAAATAAAATCAAAAGAGGGAAAAATATATGTAAATCAGAGCATGTCCTTGGTCTGCCTAAAACCCTTGGATGGCTTTCAATGGCTCTAAGAATAAAGATCCAAATCTATTTTAAAAAGTCTCTTGGCCGGGTGTGGTGGCTCATGCCTATAATCATCCCAGCACTTTGAGAGGCCGAGGTGGGTGGATCACTTGAGGTCAGGAGTTTGAGACCAGCCTGGCCAACATGGTGAAACCCCATCTCTACTAAATATACAAAAATTAGCCAGCTGTGAATCTGTCTGATCCTGGGTTTTTTTTTGGTTGATAGGTGTATTAGTCAGGGTTCTCTAGAGGGACAGAACTAATGGAATATATAGATATTATATATAGATATATATTATATATTTTATATAATATATATATAGGTCCAGACAGATTCACAGCTGAATTCTACCAGATGTACGAAGAAGAGCTGGTACCATTCCTACTGAAACTATTCCAACAAATTGAAAAGGAGGGACTGCTTCCTAACTCATTCTATGATGCCAGCATCATCCTGATACAAAAACCTGGCAGAGACACAACAGAAAAGAAAGCTTCAGGCCAATATCCTTCAGGCTAATATCCTTGATGAACATCGATGCAAAAGTCCTCAACAAAATACTGGGAAACTGAATCCAGCCGAACATCAAAAAGCTTATACACCATGAACAAGTAGGCTTCACCCCCAGGATGCAAGGATGGTTCAACGTACACAAATCAATAAATATGATTCATCACAGAAGCGGAACTAAAGACAAAGCCCTATGATTATCTCAATAGATGCAGAAAAGGCTTTCAATAAAATTCAACATTCCTTCATGTTAAAAACTCTCAATAAACTAGGCATTAAAGGAACATACCTCAAAATAATAAAAGCTACATATGACAAACCCACAGCCAATATCATACTGAATGGCCAAAAGCTGGAAGCATTCTCTTTGAAACCTGGCACAAGACAACGATGTTTTCTCTCACCGCTCCTATTCGACATATAGTATTGAAATTTCTGGCCAGGGCAATCAGGAAAAAAGAAATAAAGGACATTCAAATAGGAAGAGAGGAAGTTAAACTATTTTTGTTTGCAGACAACATAATACTATATCTAGAAAACCCCATTGTATCAGCCTAAAAGCTTTTAAATCTGAAAAACAACTTCAGCAAAGTCTCAGAATACAAAACTATTGTACAAAATCTGCTAGCATACCTATACACCAACAACAGTCAAGCAGATAGCCAAATCGGGAATGCATTCCCATTCACAATTGCCATAAAAAGAATAAAATACCTAGGAATACAGCTAACAAGGGAGGTGAAAGATCTCTACATGGTGAACCACTGCTCAAAGAAATCAGAGATGACACAAAGAAATGGACAAACATTTTATACTCATGGATAGAAAGAATCAATGTCTGTAAAATGACCATACTGCCCAAAGCAATTTATAGATTCAATGCTGTTTTCATTAAACTACCATTGATATTCTTCACAGAACTAGAGAAAATAATTTTATAATTCATATGGAACCAAAAAAGAGCCTGAATAACCAAGGCAATCCTAAGCAAAAAGAACAAAGCTGGAGGCATCACACTATCCGACTTCAAACTATCCTACATGACTACAGTAACCAAAGCAGTATGGTACTGGTACAAAAGCAGACAAATAGACCAATGGAGCAGAATACAAAGCCCAGGAATAAGACCACACACCTACAACCATCTGATCTTCAACACACCTGACAAAAATAAGCAATGGGGAAAGGAATCCCTATTCAATAAATGATGCTGGGATAACTGGCTAGCCATATGCAGAAAATTGAAACTAGACCCTTTCCTTACACCATGTACAAAAATAAACTTAAATGTAAAACACAAAACTATAAAAACCCTGGAAGACAACCTAGGCAATACCATCTGGATATAGAAACGGGCAAAAATTTCAAGTCAAAGACGTCAAAAGCAGCTGCAACAAAAGCAAAGACCTATAGACAGAAATACCAAAAAGCAAAAATTGACAAATGGGATCCAATTAAACAGCTTCTGCACAGCAAAAGAAACTATCAACAGATTGAACAGACTACATAGAATGGGATAAAATTTTTGCAAACTATGCATCTGACAAAGGCCTAATATCCAGTATCTATAGGAAACTTAAACAAATTTACAAGAAAAAAACAAACAGCCCCATTGAAGAGTGGGCAAAGAACATGAACAGACACTTTTCAAAAGAAGACATAGATGTGGCCAACAAGCATATGAAAAGAAACTCAACATCACTGATCATTAGATACATGCAAATCAAAACCACAGTGAGATACCATCTCACACCAATCAGAATGGCTATTAATAAAAAGTCAAAAGATAACAAATGTTGGCAAAATTGTGGAGAAAAAGGAATGCTTATACACTGTTAGTGGAGTGTAAAGTAGTTCAACCATTGTGGAAAACAGTGTGGTGATTCCTCAAAGACCTATAGACAGAAATACCATTCAACCCAGCAATTCCATTACTGGATATATACCCAAAGTTATGTAAGTCTTTCTGTTATAAGGACACATGCACATTATTCACAGCAGCAAAGACATAGAATCAACCTAAATGCCATCAATGGTAGACTGGATAAAGAAAATGTGTATATATACACCATGGAATACTATGCAGCTGTAAACAATAATGAGCTCATGTCCTTTGCAGGGATATGGATAGAGCTGATGACCATTATCCTTAGAAATCTAACGCCAGAGCAGAAAACCAAATACTGCATGTTCTCACTTATAAGTGAGCTAAACGATGAGAACTCATGGACACATAGAGGGGAACAATGCACACTGGGGCCTCTCAGAGCGTGGAAGGTGGGAGGAGGGAGAGGATCAGGAAAAATAACTAATGGACACCAGGCTTAATACCTGGGTAATGAAATAATCTGTATAACAAACCCCCATGATACACATTTACCTAAGTAAAAAACTTGCATATCCTGCACACCTCTGAACTTAAAAGTTTAAAAAAAGATTGTTACTTATGAGTTTAATGCCATACATACAGTAAGCACTAAGCAAAACACTCAATATCGAACACTTAGTTCCTTGTAGTTGGCAAAGCATTTTCTCATGCACTAACTCATTGATCCTCATAATAATCCTGTAAGGTAAATATTATTAACTCCAACTTTACAAGTTAGGAAGTAGATTTTCATATTGTTAATGGGCTAAAGGATGGTGTGGAATTGGGGGTTGATATGTGGAAACCCCAATAGGAAGCAATGAGAGGCTGGCAAACTGAACTAGCTGCAGAGTATGGCCTCAACAAGAAACCTGAGCAGGTTGATCTCAGGGGCTGACAGGAAGATCAAGTTTGGGCTTTAGCCAATATTCAGAATCAAGGGAGAGACTGCTCCAGCAGATAGATCACAATGAAGAAGGACACTGAGCTATTCTGTAATATTCAGCAGAGAATCCCAGGCAGGAACTCAGTGCCATGGACTGGTTCAACACAGGAAACAGAGAAATGTCCATTGGTGCTGTCAATTCTAGTTACCACCCATGGGAATGCTGAGGTTCCTGTTATGTATCCTGCCTTTGTCCCATTGACTGGCCTGTGTGTGGGTACTTTCAGTAGTAGGGACAGGGATAATGAGAGCAAGAGGCATTAGGCAGGGGTGAACCTGGGGGAGCAATTCTTTGTCTTTTTACTTCATAACCTATGCAATTTCTACTGTACCTCACTGGCTGCCATGGATAAGAGAAGAAAATTAAGGAGAGGCAAAGAGACAAAAGTCAAATGACCAATTGGTGTGTGGAAAGATGGGTATATTAACTAGAATTAACGGTAACTTGTGAAGAAAGAAAGAAAGATGAGTGTAATCAATAATGGCTTCACAGTGCAAATGAGTTTTTAACTTATTCTCAAAGGAAACAGATCATGTAGCCTGACATTTGCTGTGACCCTTAATACAGTTAAATGACAACATTAATTGTCCTGAAGCCCAGTTATATATTTTATCATCTTCTCCAAGGAAATCAGTTTGGTCTACTTTCTTCCAATCTTCTCCTCGTAGTATCTATTCTTAATTCCAAAGACTGAGTGAAGGAAATGATCCTGCCTTCCATTTCTCATGGATATAAGAACTGTTTAGAGCTGCGTTTTTCAGTATGGTAGCCATTAGTTACATTTGGCTATTGAGTGCTTGAAATCTGGATACTCTTAATTGAGATGTGCACTAAATGTAAAATTTGCACTGGGTTTGAAGACTTGAGGTGAAAAAAATGTAAAATCTCATTAATAAGTTTTATGTTGATGGCATTTTGAGATAACTATTTTGGATATATTGGATTAAATAAAAATATTAAAATTAATCCCACCTTTTTTCTTAATTTTTAAAATGTGGCTACAATAAAATTTAAAATCACATATGTGATTCACATTATATTTCTATTGGACAGTGCTTTTTTAGAGAGAAGTGCCAGATTCCTAAAGGATTGCTCCCTTTCAGACTTTGCCAAATGATTCTCTCCCCTCTAGGCCAGTTTTAACAAGTCAAATAATACAGATTTCATAATTGGAAGGAAGGCTGCAAGTCATTTGGAAATTACGTGATGAAGCTGCAATGGGATCATAACTCCTGCATGACAATTTGCTTTTCTGAGCCTTTCTTATTCCAAATGGAAAAGTCACTGCTCTGTTCTCTCTTCTAGCTAATTTACATCTTATTTTCTTTCTGTCAGAAGTGTCATTTCCTGTGATTGATGAAACCATCTTTGCTAAGTGCAAAAACAAGGCCACCACGTTATTAAAACTGGATTCACTACAAATATTTTCATCCTGTGGATTGGGAAGAATTCATATAGTTGCTTGGAAACCCTTTTAAAAATTGCAATGTTTAGTTACTTTCAGAAATTTGAAGTCAGGATTACAGGAGCAAAAAATATCACTACCTTTACAAATATGAAAAAAAGGAGACATTATCTGGCAGAATGATTTTCCTTTAATCCTAAATCATAGCTATACATTGCCTCTGAATTGGCCATTTTTTTGATTCAAGGGTTTTAGGGCCATCTTAATGTTGGGCTTCTGTACAGTTAATTAGATTGACAATGCAATGGATTTTATTCACTTAGAAAATAATTGATTTGGTCTTTAGAGATGATTTTTTGCAATTCTGCAGTCTTCGTTTTATGAACACAGCTGAGTCTGTAACAGCAATGTCGGAACTTTATAATGATTACTTCAAAATAAGGAAGACATGTTAAACAAAAGGAAACAGACCCTTTCTCTTTAAGAGGCAACTGGGACAAATTGCACAGTTGTATTTACTCCCATGATGCCTTTTTCCTGTTTTGCTTTAGTTTCTTTGTCTTTTAATTTTATTTTGTATAATCTTACATTACATAAAATACGTATTTTATATATTTATTAAAATATCTGCAACTCAGACTTGTTTACTGTTGTTTTTTGTATTATCATTTTAAGTTACAGATAGTAAAATTTACTTTTAAATTGTAACAAATGTATAAATTTTTGTAACCATCACTAACAGGATATAGAACAATTCTGGCACTCTCCAGAATTCCCACTTGCTACCTCTTTGCAATTAGACATTCTCCCTACCCTTGATCCTTGGCAACCACTGATCTCTTCTCTGTCCCTAAAAATTTTGCTCTTAAAGAATGCCATATGAATGGAATCATATAGTATGTAACTTTTTGAGACTGGTTTCTTTTACTTAGCATGATGGGTTTGAGATTGATTCATGTTATTGCATCTGTTATTTTGATTTTTGACTACCATAGTATGTTTATGCATTCAGTTATTGAGGGACATTTGGGTTGTTTCTGTATTTTTCTGACTGAAAATAATGCTGATGTAAATGTTCATATCCAGGTTTTTACATGAAAATAAGTTTCATATCTCTAGGGTGAATACCTAGTAATAGGATTGCTGGGTCATGTGGTAAGTGTATATTTATATTTTTAAGTCGATGTTTAAATTTATAAAAAAATTATGCCAATGTTTTCCAGAATGGTTGTACCATTTTGCATCACCACCAGCAATATATGAGTTTCAGTTGTTCTGCAGCCTCACTGGCACTAGGTATTGTTGGTAGTTTTTTTAAAGCCATTTTAATAGGGATGTAATGGTATCTCATGGTGGTTTTAATTTGCATACCCTTAATGACTTATGAAGTTGAGCATCTTTTCATGTGATTATTTGCCATTATATATTTTCTTTGATGAAATATCTATTCAAATATTTTGTCCAGTTTTAAATATTACATTATTTTATTATTATAGAGCTTTACATAAGTCTTTTGTTGGATATGTAACTTTCAACTATTTCTCCCAGTCTGTGGTTTGTCTTTTCACTTTACAGTGTCCTTCAAAGAGCAAAACTTTTAAATTTAAAAGATGTACACTTCAATTTCTTCTTTTATGGATTGTGCTTTTGGTGTTATGTCTAAGAAATCTTTACCTAACCTAAGGTCACAGAGAGTTTTCCTATATTTTCTTCTAGGAGTTTAGAAAATTGACCCATTTTTGTTTTTGGTATACAATGTGAGGTATAGGTCAAGGTTTATTTTTTTCATATGGATGTCCAGTGGTTCCAGCATCATTTGTTGAAGACTGTCCTTTCTCTATTAAATTGCCTTTACATCTTTGTCAAAAAATCAATTGAACATGTTTACATGGCTCTGTTTTGGAACTCACCATTTTTTCCATTCGTCTATATATCTATCCTTAAGCCAATACTGCCCTGCCTTGATTTCTATAGGTTTAAAGTATATCTTAATATTGGGGAGTGTGTCCTTCAGCTTTGTTTTTCTTCTTCAAAAATGCTTTGGTTATTTCACTTTCCATAAAATGTTTAGAATCAGCTTGTCAATATGTACAAAAAATTTTGGAATTTTCATTGGGATTGCTTAAAATATATACATCGAGTTGCGGTGATTTGACATTTTAACTATATTGAGTCTGCGAATAGCATGATCATGATATATCTTTCCATTTATTTACATCTTTGAATTCTTTCATTAGTAATTTGTAGTTTTCACATACAGATTCTATACCATTTAAATATATTTATACTTAAGTATTTCATATATTTCAATGCTATTGTAAATGGTGTTTTTCTTTAAATTTTAAATTCCAACTGTTCATTATTGATATATGGAAAATTTTTAATGTCAACTTTTTATCCTGCGACCTTGCTATACTTGCTTATTACTTCCAGGAGTTTTTTTTTCTTTTTGTATAGGCTTTGGGATTTTATACATAGATAATCATGTCACATGCAAAAATATTTTTGTTTCTTCCTTTTAATCTATACACATTTATTTCTTATTCTTGTCTTATTGTGCTACCTAGGACTCCCAGTACATGTAGAATAGGAGTGATGAGAGAGGATGTTTTTGCCTTGTTCCCAACCTTGGAAGAAGGCACCCATACTTAAGTCCAGTCTTAAGCATAATGGAAGCTATGGATTTGTTGTAGATGTTCTTTATCAAGTTGAGAAATTTTCCCTGTTTTCAGTTTTCCAAGAGTTTTAATCACACGTGTTAGATTTGTCAAATGCTTTTTCTGCATCTATTGATATGATTATGTGATTTCCTTCTTTAGCCTGCTGATGTGATCGATGTTGATTAATTTTCAAATGTTGAACCAGCCTTGCATAACTGGAAAAAATCTCACTTGGTTGTGGTATATAAATTTTTAAATACATTGTTGGATTCAGTTTGCTAATATTTTCTTGTGGAGTTTTGTGTCTATGTTCATGAGAGATACTGGTCTGTAGCTCTTTTTTCTTGTGATGTCTTTATTTGATTTTGGTATTAGCGTAATGCTGGACTTATAGAATGTATTAGGAAGTATTCTCTCTGCTTCTAGTTTTCTAGAAGAGATTGTAGAGAACTGGTATCATTTCTTCCCTAAATATTTGGTAGATTTTACCAGTGGAACTATCTGAGCCTGGTGTTTTCTTTTAGAAGATTCTTAATTGTTGATCCCATTTCTTTAATAGGATTGTTGTTGAATAATATATATTTCTTCTTGTGTGAGTTTTGATAGTTTATCTTTCAAGGAGTTGGTCCATTTCATCTAAGTTATCAAGTATGTGGGCAAAGAGTTGTCATAGTACTCCTTTATTGTGCTTTTAAGTTCCATGTGAAATCAGTAATAATGGCTCAGCTTTCCTTTCTGATATTTGTAATCTATGTCTTTGCTCTTTCCCCCTAACCTTGGTTAAACTGGCTAGAGGCTTATCAATTTCATTGACCTTCTTAAAGAACCAGCTTTTGGTTTTGTTGATTTTCTCTATTAATTTCCTGTTTTTAATTTCATCGATTTCTGTTCTAATTTTTATTATTATTTTTTTCTATTTGCTTTAGTCCTACGTGGTTGTTCATTTTTTTTATTTTTTATTTTGTAAATTTATTTTACTTTAGGTTCCAGGATACATATGCAGAACGTGCAGGTTTGTTACCTAGGTATATGTGTGTCATGGTGGTTTGCCGCACCTATTGATCTGTCCTCTAAGTTCCCTCACTCTCCCTCCCCTCTCCCTTCACCCCACAACAGGTCCTGGTGTGTGTTGTTCCCCTCGCTGTGTCCACGTGTTCTCATTGTTCAACTCCCACTTATGAGTGAGAATGTGCAGTGTTTTTGGTTTTCTGTTTCTGTGTTAATTTGCTGAGGATGATGGCTTCTAGCTTCATCCATGTCCCTGCAAAGGACACGATCTAATTCCTTTTTATGACTGTGTAGTATTCCATGGTGTATATGTACCACATTTTCTTTTCTTTTTCTTTTTTTTTTTTTTTTTTTTTTTTTTTGAGACGGAGTCTCACTCTGTCGCCCAGGCTGGAGTGCAGTGGCGCGATCTCGCAGCATTGCAAGCTCCGCCTCCCGGGTTCACGCCATTCACCTGCCTCAGCCTCCCGAGTAGCTGGGACTACAGGCACCCGCCACTACGCCTGGCTAATTTTTTTTGTATTTTGAGTAGAGACGGGGTTTCACCGTGTTAGCCAGGATGGTCTCAATCTCCTGACCTCGTGATCCGCCCACCTTGGCCTCCCAATGTGCTGGGATTACAGGCATGAGCCACCGTGCCTGGCCACCACATTTTCTTTATCCAGTCTATCCTTGATGGGCATTTGAGTTGGTTCCATGACTTTGCTATTGAAAATAGTGTTGTAATAAACATATGTGCGCATGTGTCTTTATAGTAGAATGATTTATAGTCCTTTGGGTATATACCCAGTAATAGGATTGCTGGGTCAAATGGTATTTCTGGTTCTAGATCCTTGAGGAATTGCCATGCTGTCTTCCACAATGGTTGATCTAATTTACATTCCCACCAACAGTGTAAAAGTGTTCCTATTTCTCCACAGCTTCACCAGCAGCTGTCGTTTCTTTACTTTTTAATAATCGCCATTCTGACTGGTGTGAAATGATGTCTCATTGTGGTTTTGATTTGCATTTCTCTAGTGATCAGTGATGTTGAGCTTTTTAAAATATGGGTTTTTTTTTGCCACGCAAATATATTCTTTCAAGAAGTGTCTGTTCATATCTTTTTTATTATTATTATACTTTAAATTCTGGGATACATGTGCAGAACGTGCAGGTTTGTAACATAGGTATACATGTGCCTTGCTGATTTGCTGCACCCATCAACCCATCATCTACATTAGGTATTTCTCCTAATGCTATCCCTCTAGCCCCCCACCCCCTGACAGGCTCCGGTTTGTGATGTTCCCCTCACTGTGTCCACGTGTTCTCATTGTTCAACTCCCACTTATGAGTGAGAATATGTGGTGTTTGGTTTTCCGTTCCTGTGTTAGTTTGCTGAGAATGATGGTTTCCAGCTTCATCCATGTCCCTGCAAAGGACATGAATTCATCCTTTTTTATGGCTGCATAGTATTCCATGGTGTATATGTGCCACATTTTCTTTATCCAGTCTATCACTGTTGGGCATTTGGGTTGGTTCCAAGTCTTTGCTATTGTGAATAGTGCTGCAATAAAGATACGTGTACATGTGTCTTTATAGTAGAATGATTTACAATCCTTTGGGTATATACCCAGTAATGGGATTGCTGGGTCAAGTGATATTTCTAGTTCTAGATCCTTGAGGAATCGCCACACTGTCTTCCACAATGGTTGAACTAATTTACACTTCCACCAACAGTGTAAAAGTGCTCCTATTTCTCCACATCCTCTCCACCATCGGTTGTTTCCTGACTTTTTAATGATCACCATTCTAATTGGCATGAGATGGTGTCTCATTGTGGCTTTGATTTGCATTTCTCTAATGACCAGTGATGATGAGCTTTTTTTCATATCTTTGCTGGCCACATAAATATCTTCTTTTGAGAAGTGTCTGTTCATATCCTTCATCCATTTTTGATGGGGCTGTTTGTTTTTTTTCTTGTAAATTTGTTTAAGTTCCTTGTAATTCTGGATATCAGCCCTTTGTCAGATGGATAGATTGCAAAGCTTTTCTCCCATTATGTAGGTTGCCTGTTCACTGTGATGATAGTTTCTTTTGCTGTGCAGAAGCTCTTTAGTTTAATTAGATCCCATTTGTCAATTTTGGCTTTTGTTGCCATTGCTTTTGGTGTTTTAGTCATGAAGTTTTTTGCCCATGTCTGTGTCCTAAATGGTATTGCCTAGGTTTTCTTCTATGGTTTTTATGGTTTTAGGTCTTACATTTAAGTCTTTAATCCATCTTGAGTTAATTTTTGTATCAGGTGTAAGGAACGGGTCTAGTTTCAGTTTTCTGCATATGGCTAGCCAGTTTTCCCAACACTATTTACTAAATAGGGAACCCTTTCCCCATTGCTTGTTTTTGTCAGGTTTGTCAAAGATCAGATGGTTGTAGATGTGTGGTGTTATTTCTGAGGCCTCTGTTCTTTCCATTGGTCTATATATCTGTTTTGGTACCAGTACCATGCTGTTTTGGTTACTGTAGCCATATAGTATAGTTTGAAGTCAGGTAGCATGATGCCTTTAGCTTTGTTCTTTTTGCTTAGGATCGTCTTGGCTATGTGGGCTCTTTTTTGGTTCCATGTGAAATTTAAAGTAGTTTTTTCTAATTATGCAAAGAAAGTAAATGGTAGCTTGGTGGGGATAGTGTTGAATCTATAAATTACTTTGGGCAGTATAGCCACTTTTGCGATATTGATTCTTCTTATCCATGAGCATGGAATGTTTTTCCATTTGTTTGTTTCCTCGCTTATTTCCTTGAGCAGTGGTTTGTAGTTCTCCTTGAAGAGGTCCTTCACACCCCTTGTAAGTTGGATTTCTAGGTATTTTATTATCTTTGTAGCAATTATGAATGGGAGTTTACTCACGATTTGGCTCTGTTTGTCTATTATTGGTGTATAGGAATGCTTGTGATTTTTGCACATGGATTTCATATCCCGAGACTTTGCTGAAGTTGCTTATCAGCTTAAGGAGATTTTGGGCTGAGATGATGGGGTTTTCTAAATATGCAATCAAGTCATCTGCAAACAGAGACAATTTTACTTCCACTCTTCCTATTTGAATACCCTTTATTTCTTTCTCTTGACTGATTGCCCTGGCCAGAACTTTCAATTCTATATTGAATAGGAGTGGTGAGAGAGGACATCCTTGTCTTGTACCGGTTTTTAAAGGGAATGCTTCCAGCTTTTGCCCATTCAGTATGATATTGGCTATGGGTTTGTCATAAATAGCTCTTATTATTTTGAGATAACGTTCTATCAATAACTAGTTATTGAGAGTTTTTAGCATAAAGTTGTGTTGAATTTTATCAAAGGACTTTTCTGCATCTATTGGGATAATCATGTGGTTTTTGTGATTGGTTCTGTTTATGTGATGGAGTACGTTTATTGATTTCCATATGTTGCACCAGCCTTGCATCCCAGGGATGAAGCCAACTTGATCATGGTGTGTAAGCTTTTTGATGTGCTGCTGGATTCAGTTTGCCAGTGTTTTATTGAGGGTTTTCACATCAATGTTCATCAGGAATATTGGCCTGTAATTTTCTTTTCTTGTGTCTATGCCAGGTTTTGCTATCAGGATGATGCTGGCCTCATTAAATGAGTTAGGGAGGAGTCCTTCTTTTTCTGTCGTTTGGAATAGTTTCAGAAGGAATGGTACCATCTCCTCTTTCTACCTGTGGTAGAATTCAGCTGTGAATCCATCTGGTGCTGGGCTGTTTTTGGTTGGTAGGCTGTTAACTACTGCCTCAATTTCAGAACTTGTTATTGGCCTATTCAGGGATTCGATTTCTTCCTGGTTTAGTCTTGTGAGCGTGTATGTGTCCAGGAATTAATCAATTTCTTTTAGATTTTCTAGTTTATTTGCATAAAGGTGTTTATTGTATTCTCTGATGGTAATTTGTATTTTTAAGGGATCAGTGGTGATATCCCCTTTATCATTTTTTATTATGTCTATTTGATTCTTCTCTCTTTTTTTCTTTATTAGTCTTTCTTTCTCTTGACTGATTGCCCTGGGCAGAACTTCTGATACTACGTTGAATAGGAGTGGTGAGAGAGGGCATCTTTGTCTTGTGCCAGGTTTCTAAGGGAATGCTTCCAGCTTTTGCCCATTCAGTATGATATTGGCTGTGGGTTTGTCATAAATGGCTCTTATTATTTTGAGATGCATTCCATCAATACCTAGTTTATTGAGAGTTTTTAGCATGAAGGGGTATTGAATTTGTCAAAGGCCTTTTCTGCATCTATTGTGATAATCATGGGGTTTTTGTCATTGGTTCTGTTTATGTGATGGATTACGTTTATTTATTTGCATATGTTGAACCAGCCTTGCATCCCAGGGATGATCGTCATGGATAAACTATTTGATGTGCTACTGGATTAGATTTGCTAGTATTTTATTAAGGATTTTTACACCAATGTTCATCAGGGATATTGGCCTAAAATTTTCAATTTTTTGTTATGTCTCCACCAGGTTTTGGTATCAGGATGATACTGGCCTCATAAAGTGAGTTAAGGAGGAGTTTCTCTTTTTCTATTGCTTGGAACAGTTTTAGAAAAAACGGTACCAGCTCCTCTTTGTACCTCTGGTAGAATTCAGCTGTGAATCCCTCTGGTCCTAAGCTTTTTTTGGTTGGTAGCCTATTAATTACTGCCTCAATTTCAGAACTTGTTATTGTTCTATTCAGGGATTCGAGTTCTTCCTGGTTTATTCTTGGGAGGGTGTATGTGTCCAGGAATTTATCCATTTCTTCCAGATTTTCTAGTTTATTTGCATAGAGGTGTTTACAGTATTCTCTGATGGTAGTACGCATTACTTTGGGATCAGTAGTTATCTCCCCTTTATCATTTTTTTATTGTGTCTATTTCCTTCTTCTCTCTTTTCTTCTTTATTAGTCTAGCTAGTGGTCTATCTATTTTGTTGATCTTTTCAAAAAAGCCAACTCCTGGATTCACTGATTTTTTGAAGGGTTTTTCGTGTCTCTATCTCCTTCAGTTCTGCTCTGATCTTAGTTATTTCTTGTCTTCTGCTAGCTTCTGAATTTGTTTGCTCTTGCTTCTCTAGTTCTTTTAATTGTGATATTAGAATGTTGATTTTAAATATTTCCTTCTTTCTCCTGTGGGCATTTAGTGCTGTAAATTTCCCTCTAAACAGTGCTTTAGCTGTGTCCCAGAGATTCTGGTACATTGTGTCTTTGTTCTCATTGGTTTTGAATAAATTGTTTATTTCTGCCTTAATTTTGTTATTTACCCAGTAGTCACTTAGGAGCAGGTTGTTCAGTTTCCACGTAGTTGTGTGGTTTTGAGTGAGTTTCTAAATCCTGAGTTCTAATTTGATTGCACCGTGGTCTGAGAGAGTGTTTTTTATGATTTCTGTTCTTTTGCATTTGCTGAGGAGTGTTTTACTTCCAATTTTGTGGGTGATTTTAGAATAAGTGTGATGTGGTGCTGAGAAGGATGTATATTCTGTTTATTTGAGGTGGAGAGTTCTGTAGATGTCTATTAGGTCCCCTTGGTCCAGAGCTGAGTTCAAGTCCTGCATATCCTTTTTTAATTTTCTGTCTCGTTGATCTGTCTAATATTGACAGTGGGGTATTAAAGTCTCCCACTATTATTGTGTGGGAGTCTAAGTCTCTCTGTAGGTCTCTAAGAACTTGCTTTATGAATCTGGGTGCTCCTGTATTGGGTGCGTATATATTTAGGATAGTTAGCTCTTCTTGTTGCATTGATCCCTTTACCATTATGTAACTGCCTTCTTTGTCTTTTTTGATCTTTGTTGGTTTAAAGTCTGTTTTATCAGAGACTAGGATTGCAACCCCTGCTTTTTTTTTTTTTTTTTGCTTTCCATTTTCTTGGTAAATATTCCTCCGTCCCTTTAATTTGAGCCTACGTGTGTCTTTGCACGTGAGACGGGTCTCCTGAATACAGCACACTGATGGGTCTTGACTCTTTATCTAATTTGCCAGTCTGTGTCTTTTAATTGGGGCTTTTGTCCCATTTATATTTAAGGTTAATATTGTTATATGTGAAATTGATCCTGTCATTATGTTGCTAGTTGGTTAGTTTGCCCATTAGTTGATGCAATTTCTTCATAGTGTCGCTGGTCTTTGCATTTTGGTTTGGTTTTGCAATGGCTGGTACTGATTTTTCCTTACCATATTTAGTGCTTCCTTCAGGAGCTCTTGTAAGGCAAGCCAGGTGAGAAAATCTCTCAGCATTTGCTTGTCTGTAAAGGATTTTTTTTCACCTTTGCTTATGAAACTTAGTTTGGCTGGATATGAAATTCTGGGTTGAAAATTCTTTTCTTCAAGTATGTTGAATATTGGCCCCCGCTCTCTTCTGGTTTGTAGGGTTTCTGCAGAGATCTGCTGTTAGTCTGATGGGCTTCCCTTTGTGGGTAACCCGCCTTTCTCTCTGGCTGCCCTTAACATTTTTTCCTTCATTTCAACTTTGGTGAATCTGACAATTATGTGTCTTGAGGTTGCTCTTCTTAAGGAGTATCTTTGTGGTGTTCTCTGCATTTTCTGAATTTTAACGTTGGCCTGTCTTGCTAGGTTGGGGAAGTTCTCCTGGATAATATCTTGAAGAGTGTTTTCCAACTTGATTCCATTCTCCCCATCACTTTCAGGTACACCAATCAAATGTAGGTTTGGTCTTTTCACATAGTCCCATATTTCTTGGAGGCTTTGTTCTTTCCTTTTCATTCTTTTTTCTCTATTCTTGTCTTCATGCTTTATTTCATTAAGTTGATCTTTAATCTCTGATATCCTTTTTTCTGCTTAATTGATTCGACGATTGTTACTTGTGTATGCTTCCCGAAGTTCTCATACTGTGTTTTTCAGCTCCATTAGGTCATTTATGCTTTTCTCTAAACTGGTTATTCTAGTTAGCAACTCCTCTAACCATTTTTCAAGGTTCTTAGCTTCCTTGCATTGAGCTAGAACATGCTCCTTTAGCTCGGAGGAGTTTGTTATTACCCACCTTCTGAAGCCTACTTCTGTCAATTTGTCAAACTCATTCTCTGTCCAGTTTTGTTCTCTTGCTGGTGAGGAGTTGTGATCCTTTGGAGGAGAAGAGGCTTTCTGGTTTTTGGAATTTTCGGCTTTTTTGTGCTGATTTTTCCTCATCTTCATGGATTTATCTACCTTTGGTCTTTGATGTTGGTGACCTTCAGTTGGGTTTTCTGTGTGGACATCCTTTTTGTTGATGTTGATGCTATTTCTTTCTGTTTGTTAGTGTTCCTTCTAACAGGCAGGCCCCTCTGCTGCAGGTCTGCTGAAGTTTGCTGCAGGTCCACTCCAGACCCTGTTTGCCTGGGTATCACCAGCGGAGGCTGCAGAACAGCGAAGATTGCTGCCTGTTCCTTCTTCTGGAAGCTTCAGCCCAGAGGGGTACTCTCCAGATGCCAGCCAGAGCTCTCCTGTATGAGGTGTCTGTCAAACCCTGCTGGGAGGTATCTCCCAGTCAGGATACACGGGGGTCAGGGACCCACTTGAGGAGGCAGTCTGTCCCTTAGGAGAGCTTCAGTGCTGTGCTTGGAGATCTGCTGCTCTCTTCAGAGCCAGCAGGCAGGAACTTTTAAGTCTGCTGAAGCTGCCCCCACAGCTGCCCCTTCCCCCAGGTGCTCTATCCCAGGGAGATGGGGGTTTTATCTATAAGCCCCTGACTGTGGCTGCTGCCTTTCTTTCAGAGATGCCCTGCCCAGAGAGGAGGAATCCAGAGAGGCAGCCTGGCTACAGTGGCTTTGCTGAGCTGCAGTGGGCTCCACCCAGTTCAAACTCCAGGTGGTTTTGTTTACACTGTGAGGGGAAAACTGCCTACTCAAACCTCAGTAATGGCAAATGCCCCTCCCCCCACCATGCTCGAGTGTCCCAGGTTGACTTCAGACTGCTGTGCTGGCAGCGAGAATTTCAATGCAGGGGATCTTAGCTTGCTGGGCTCCATGGGGGTGGGATCTGCTGAGCTAGACCACTTGGCTCCCTGGTTTCAGCCCCCTTTCCAGGGGAGTGAACGGTTCTGTCTGGCTGGCATTCCAGGCACCACTGGGGTATGAAAAAAAACTCCTGCAGCTAGCTCGGTGTCTGCCCAAATGGCCACCTAGTTTTGTACTTGAAACCCAGGGCCCTGATTATGTAGGCACCAGAGGGAATCTCCTGGTCTGCAGGTTGCAAAGACCATGGGAAAAGTGTAGTATCTGTGCTGGAATGCATCGTTCCCAATGGCACAGTCCTTCACAGCTTCCCTTAGCTAGGGGAGGGAGTTTCCTGACCCCTTGAAATTCCCAGGTGAGGTGATGCCCCACCCTGCTTCAGCTCACCCTCCATGCGCTGCACCCACTGTCTAACCAGTCCCAGTGAGATGAGCCACATACCTCAGTTGGAAATGCACAAATCACCTGCCTTCTGCATTGATCTCAGTGGGAGCTGCAGACTGGAACTGTTCCTATTCAACCATCTTGCCAGCCACCCCCGTCAAGATATGTTTCTCTGTTCATATCTTTTGCAAACTTTTTGATTGTGTTGTTTGTTTTTTTCTTCTAAATTTAAGTTCCTTGTAAATTCTGGATATTAGGCATTTGTCAGGTGGGTAGATTGCAAAACTGTATAGCCAAGACAATCCTAAGCAAAAAGAGCAAAGCTGGAGGCATCATGCTACCTAACTTCAAGCTATACTACAAGACTACAGTAACTGAAACAGCATGATACTGGTACCAAAACAGACATATAGACCAATGGAACAGAACAGAGACCTCAGAAATAACACCATACATCTACAGCAATCTGATCTTCAACAAACCTGAAAAAAACAAGCAATGGAGAAAGTATCTCCTATTCAATAGATTATGCTGGGAAAACTGGCTAGCCATATGCAGAAAATTGAAATTAGACCCCTTCCTTACACCTTATAATAAAATTAACTCAAGATGGATTAAAGACTTAAATTTAAAACCCCAAACCATAAAAACCCTAGAAGAATACCTAGGCAATACCATTCAGGACATAAGCATGGGCAAAAACTTCATGACAAAAATGCCAAAAGCAATTGCAACAAAACAAAAGTTGACAAATGGAATCTAATTAAACTAAAGAGCTTCTGCACAGCAAAAGAAACTATAATCAGAGTGAACAAGCTGTTTATTCTTTAGTTTGCTGAGGTGGATTCTTAGGTTACTTACTTTACATCTTTATTCTATATACATACACACATACTATATATACTTATATATACATATATATAGTAACTTTTTCCTCTACACACTGTTTTTGCTGTATCCTACAAATTTTGATAAGTTGTATTTTTATTTTTATTTAGTTCCACATGCAGATCCTGAATGTATTTTGTTAGAATTGTACATAAATATTTCATTGGGGGGCTACTATGAATAGTATTATTCTTAAATTTTGGATTCCTATTGTTTATTGTGGATGTATAGAATTTGTATCTGTGCCCTTGCCAAAGTCACTTATTAGTTCTATGTGCTTTTCTTAGATTACTTGGGATTTTCTACATAAGTCATCTGGGTATATTAATAGCTTTATTTATCCCTTCCTAATCTATATACCATTCATTTCTTTTCTTGATTCATTGTACTTGCTAGTACTTCCAATACGATACTGAATAGGAGTGGTGAGAGTGGTCCTCCTTGCCTTGATCCCAATCATAGGGAGAAAGCATGCAGGTTTTCACCATTAAGTATGATGTCAGCTGTAAGGTTTTTGTAGATGCCTTTTATCATATTGAGAAAGTTTTCTTCTATTTCTTGTTTGCTGAGAGTTTTTATCTTGAATGAATGTTGAAATTGTCAAGTGATTTTCTGCATCTTTTGATATAACCATGCATTTTTTTCTCCTTTAGACTGTTAATACAATGAATTACATTGATTGATTTTCCAATGTTTATCCATTCTTGCATTCCTGGAGAGAAACCCCACTTGGTGATGATGTATTGTTCTTGTAATATATTGCTGGGTTAAATTGCTAAGTGTTTTTTTTTTTTTTTTTTGAAGATTTTTGCACCTATGTTCATGAGGGATATTGGTCTATAATTGTCTTTTCTTGTATGGTCATTGCTGGTTGTGGTATCAGAGTAATGGTGGCTCAAGTCAGTTGTGACATGTCCCCTCCTCTTCTTAGATGCTTAATAGAATTCTACAGTGAAATCACCTGGGCCAGGAGTTTTATTTTTCAGAATAATTTTGATTATGAAATTAATTTCTTTAGTAGATATAAGATTATTGAGGTTATTTATTTTATCTTGTGTACATTTTGGTAGGTTATATCTTTCAAGCAATTGGTCCATTTTATCTAACTTGTCATATTTGTGTGCATAGAATTGTTTTTAATATTCCTTCGTTGCCCTTTAATGTCTCAGTCTATAGTCATATCTCCTCTTTCATTCTTGTTATCCATTGTAAGTGCCTTCTCTCTTTTACTTGATCATCAAGCTAGAGGTTTATTAATTTTATTGCATTTTTTTCATAGAATCAGCTTTTAGTTTAATTGATTTTCTCTGTTGTTTTGTTGTTCTCAATGTTATTAATTTATTTTTCTTTATTATTTCCTTTTGTCTTTGCTTTAGTTTTAGTGTCTTCTTTTTCTGGTTTCTTAAGATGGAAGCTTAAGTTATTGATTAAGCTTACTTCTTTTCTAGTATAAGCATGTAATGCTATTAATTTTTTTCTAAGTGCCTTTTGGGGCACATTTCACATATTTTGATATTTATTTCTATTTTTATTCAGTTCAAAATACTTTCTAATTTCTCTTCAGAGTGCCTCTTTGCGCCATGGATTAAATGGTAGTGTGTAGTTTAATTTCCAAATCTGGAGATTTTCCAAAAATCCTTGGTTATCAATTTTTAGTTTAATTATATTATAGTCAGAGAATATATTTTAGATAATTCAATTCTTCTAAGTTTAACAAATTTGTTCTATGGCCCAGGATATGGTCTGTTTTGGTGAATATTTCCATGTGCTCTTGAAAAAAATGTGTATTCTGTAGTTGTTGGGTAGAATGTTATATAAAGATCAACTAGAACTACTAGTTCATCAACCAACTACTTTGTTGATGATGTTGCTCAGGTTTCTATAGCCTTGCTGCTTTTCTATTTGTTTTATCAGTTACTTCAAGAGACAACTTGAAATGCATAAAAATAATTATGGATTTGTTTATTTCTCCTTTTAATTCTGTCCATCTATGCTTTACTTATTTTGAAGCTCTGTTGTCAATTGCATACACATTTAAAATTGTCATGTCTTCTTGAGGAACTGACCTTTTTATCATCATGTGGTGTCCCTTTTTGTCTGTGGTTATTTTCCTTTTCCTGAAGTTTACTTTGTCTGATATTAAATACACACACCAGCTTTTTTCTTCTCGTTAGTGTTTGCATGTTATATCTTTTTCTCATAATTTCATTTTTAACCCATGTATATCATTATGTCTTGAGTAAAATTCCTGTAGACAGCATACAGTTGGTTACTGTGTACGTGTGTGTGTGTGTGTTTAAAAATCCAATCTAATTATCACTCCCTTTTAATTGTTTTGTTTAAACTATTTTCATTTAATGTAATTACTGATATGGTTGCATTTTGGTGCAGCATTTTATCATTAATTTCTGTTCTCTGTATTTTATTACCTTGGTTTTCTTTTTTTGTGTTTTTTTGAGTTACTTACTTTTGAGAATCCTATTTTAATTTCTCTATTGCATTTTTGACTATATCCCTTTGAATTGTTGTTTTCAGTGACTGTTGTAGGAAATGCGATATACACATCAAACTTTATACAATCTAGTTAGCATCAATATCTTACCATTTCACATAAAAATAAGGAATAAGTATACATATATAATCATTTTACTCTTCTTCCTTTTACAAAATTTTCATATGTATTCCATTTACTTATTGAAAATCCCATCATACAGCATTATGCTTTTTGCTTTCAACAAAAATATATTGTTACACAAAATTATGGGACAAAAAAAGTCTATTTTATTTAGGGAGACATTTACTATTTTTGTTGCTCTTTGATCATTATTGATGTTCTAGATTTCCTTTAGTTATTATTTCCTTTCCACTTGAATTTCTTTATATTTCTTTAAAATTGATTTATTAGCAATGAATTATCTTATTTTTCCTTCATCAGAGAACATCTTCATTTTTCCTTCATTCCTGAATGATAATCTCATTGGTTATAGAATTCTGGGTTGACAGGCAGGTCTTTTCTTTCAGCACTTTAAAACTGTTGTTTCACTGTCTTCTGGTCTCCATCATTCCTGATGAAAAATCAGCACACATTTGGATCTTTGTCCTCTAAATGTAATATATTGTTTTTCTTTGCCTGCTTTCAAGACTCTATTTTTGATTTTCAGTAGTTTTAAAATAATATGTACAGGCATGATTTCTTTGAGTTTATCCTTTTGGGGATTCACCAAGCTTCTTAGATTTGTAGATTTTGTTTTTCCTGGAATTTGGGAAGTGTTTAGTCAAATATTTTTCTGCACATACATTTTTCTCCTGTCTTGCTGGAACTTTGATGAGATGAATGTTGTATCTTTTGCTATTGTTCCACAGGCTCTTAAGCTCTGTTTTATTTTTTTAAACTGTTGAATCTCTATATTTCAGATTGCATAGTTTCTATTGACCAAATTCACTAATTCATTCATCTGTCATCCCCATTCTTCTATTGATCCCTTCCAGTTTTTATGTATATTACAGTTTATTTTCATTGTTGTATCTTTTAGTTTTATGATTTTCATTTAGTTCATTTTTAGACCTTCTATTTCTCAGAAGAGAACCGATATCTTTACATTTATTCCAAAATTGTCGACACTTACTTCATGTAGCACAATCATAATAACTGCTCTAAAATCTTGCCTGATAATTGCAGCATTTAGTCACCTCGAGGTTAGCATCACTTGATTGCCTTTTCCTTTGACAATTTCTTAGGTTTTTATGATTCTTTATACATTGAATAATCTTTGATTGCATTTGGGCATATTCAATACTATGTTATGAGACTCTGAGTCCTGTAAAATATTATAGAGAATTTTTTTTATTTTGTTTTAGCTGGCAGTCAAACCTGTTGCATCTAGACTGCAAGTCCTAAGCCAACTTCTGTAAGCTATAGTTCCGATGTCAGTTTAGTTAAAAAAGCCATTGCAGTGATCTTCTGGTTTGTACTCTTTCGTACATTCTTGGTGCCAATTTGGGATCTGGGCAGTGATCTATGGTGTAGTTGAGTTCATAAAGCCTTTGCTGTGTTCATTACATCTGGTTTCACACATGAGCAGCTTGGGACTGAGCCCAGGACTTTAGAGATTTAAAAATCCCCTTTTCCAGCTTCATCATCTCTGTAGTTCTCTCTAATTCCCAGAGGCCCTTTTCCTGGTGGTCTAGCTAGAAACCCAGAGAGCTTCAGCTTTCCCACATTTTTATGTACTTCTTGTGACTGGGCCTAATTTGGGACAAAGTAGTGGGAGCAAAGAGCTTGTGGGGCTGCTACTGCTGCCTCTACTGACAACATTTTTGCCCAGTGTAGTACAGGGAGAGTAAAAAGGGGCTTCTCCACTTCACAGTGGTAACCTCTGTCATACCAGTGAAGGATGGCGTGACTTTTCTTTGCTGGCACTCAAAATGGCTTGGGGCCACCTCCGTCTTGTTTGGAGCAGTGGACTCCTGTTTTGTTGCTCATGCTTGAGAGTGAAAAGGGGTTTGTTCCACACTGGCCCTCACTCCTGCTTCTCTGGCTAGAGAGAGTGAACTTCTCTTGAATCTTACTTTATCTGCGCCTGTTAGTAGTTTTGATTTTTGCCTGCCACAGAGTTTAAGCCAGGATATAGAAGACAGGGGGAGAAACAAACCAACAGGCAATTTATTGCTGATTTGTCCTTTGAGTACGGAATTCTGTATTCAGACTACCTGGTCTTATTTTCCTTTCAGAGTCTTCTGAGAGTTGCTTTATGTATTTTGTGCAGAATTCTTAGTTGTAATCAGTCGAGGAGGTAGGATGGAGTTATTTACTCCATTTTAACTGAAACTGGAACTCATCTGCTTTGCTTTTACAAGTACATTGTATTTATAATATGAAAATATATATCTGGTTGGGAGTATTTTTAAAAATGCAGATTCTCAGGTCCTATCCTTAGACAAAATAAATCAAAATATTCTGGGAGTGGAGACTAATAACCTATATTTTATGGAATATCCCCATATGGGATTCTGATGGAACAGTCAGGTTTGGCACCTACTTTTTCTCATTTGCAGATGAGAAAATGGAGACCTAGGTTGTATTCTGTTCTCATTCAGTTTATTCTTTATTGCCCATGTTTTTTTATTTCACCCTGTGAGTCATGTTTTGTGCTAATTGGGAATATTTTCCCACTGTATCAAGGGCCAGGCTTATTAGTGCAACTGTAAGTGTTTATGTATTTATTTATTTATTTTTATTTTATTTATTTTTTTTTGAGATGGCGTCTCTCTCTGTCACCCAGGCTGGAGTGCAATGGTGTGATCTCAGCTCACTGCAACCTCTGCCTCCCAGGTTCAAGTGATTCTCCTGCCTCAGCCTCCTGAGTAGCTGGGACTGCAGGTGCCTGCCACCACGCCCAGTTAATTTTTATATTTTTAATAGAGACAGGGTTTAACCATGTGGCCAGGATGGTCTCGATCTCTTGATCTTGTGGTCTGCCTGCCTCGGCCTCCCAAAGTGCTGGGATTACAGGCGTGAGCCACCGTGCCATGCTAACTGTAGGTGTTTAAACCACAAGGCAGTAGAAGAGGAGAAATGGGTAAAATTGGCTACATGTGATAGTTGGATTTGGTTTCTTCCAAACATTTTCCATTGTGAAAGCTTCATAGCCAATCAGAAGAGAAAAATCATTTTACAGAAATTCATGGAATTAAAAACTTCTTACAAATTATCCAATTGACATATAAGGAATAGACCCGAATCCCAGACAGGGAGAGAACTAGAAAAGAAATTTTCAGGTTTTGGCTGAGGACATAAGAGGACAATGGGGAGGAAGAGCTGATAAATATCTAAATGTTAGAATAGAGGCAAAAATAGGACTGGATGAGCTACCTGTGAAATTAGTTACAAAATGAGTGAATATCATAATTAATAAGTAAAGCTATATCAATCTTGTTTAATTTAATGGGACTCTGTACTTGTTTGTTCCCTAATATATATCATCTTGTATACTAAGGATGGCTTTGTAGATTGTATGCCACACAACTCCATAAGGCACCCTATGCATATATTAGAATGCCTGGAGTTGAATACAACTGTATGTGCTACTCTTTCTTGTATCTCCAAGATTTTTTTTGTTGTTGTTTGTTTTTTTTTTTACTAAACAGTAAAGTGGTACCTTTTCTAGATGACTGTGTACTATGATTGAAAGGCAGTAGAAGAGGATGAGTGGAGAAAAGCAAAGTGGAGGGGCGTTAGTGTAAATCAATTGTAGGATGTATGGGGTTCTAGAAATAGTGAGAACTTACAACCTGAACTCATTAAATTCTCTACTACCACAGTCAATTTCTTCCCCCTTCAGCACCCCTCTGCAACCATCCCACAGAACAGACTTCTAAAGGAAACATTTGGCCAGAGGACAAGGCCCAGCAAACGTACACTCTTTTTACTATTATTCCAGTATAACTTCTGGTGAGCCAAATTGAGTGACATGGAAGACCCTTTTGTCTAGAGCTAAACCTCTTCTTTCTGACCATCCTGTGCTAACACCCAAGCCTTAGTCCTTCAAATCTTACACTGCAGGAAAAAATAGACTCATAGCATGAAAGCTAGAAGGTAAATTGGAAATTGGAGGTGCAGGGGAATGGTGTGAAAAATCTTTTATAAGGCTTGTTTTTCAAAATACAATCCTCTATAAGCATTAGGGCCACCTGTTTTCTTTTTGCCAAAAGAGGCTTATTCCTGAGCTTCACCACCAGAGAGTTTCTGATTCCATAAGTGTGGATTTGGGATCAGGAATCTGTATTCACAGGCTTTTCAGGTTATTTGTAGAAACTTTAAAGTTTGAGAGGAAGGAGGACGGTATCATAATATTGGAGGAAAATTGACCTTATTTACCCACCTTACCTTGATTATAACATGGACCCCTGATTATTCATTGAACTGAGTAAACCTAGAAAACTAAGAATAACTTAGTATTATGTATATAAAGGTAGTCAGGTGTACTATCTTAGTAATACAATACTTGTCCAATTCTTACTGAACAATTGGCTCAGAAAAGACAAATTATTTTGGTAATTATAGATAAGTTACCTTACAGTTTATGTTTGCATTTGTGTTTCTTTTTTCTTCTAGAACTTTATTGAAGAAAAATGAATGTAAACAGTTTGTTTCTTCTTATTCATTCTTTTCTTTTTAGAGTTTTGCTTATTTTAAATATCTTTTCCTTTTTATTTTTACACATTTATGGGGTAGGTATGCAATTTTGTTACATGCATAGACTGCATAGTGGTCAGGTCAGGGCTTTTAGGGTATCTGTCATCTTAATAACATACATTGTTGTGCCCATTAACCAATTTTTCATCATCCTCCCCTCTCCCACTCCCTCACTCTTCTGTGTCTTCATTATCTATCATTCCACTCTCTATGTCCATGTGACCACATAAAATAATTTTCTGTAGTTTTTCTAATATGTAGCATACAAATAGATGGAGTTATCAAGTGGAAAAGACAGTGGAGAAAGGAAATTTGTAATATTGGCAGGACTGAGTCACATGGGGCTTCAGGATTTACTTAGATTTCACATATAAATTAGAAGACTATTTTATTACTTCTAGTTAGCATGAAGTGTCTTCATACATCACATTGCTACTTAGCACTGCAAATTTGTTTTTTTTTTTTGTTGTTTGTCTGTTTTTGAGACAGCGTTTTACTGTTGTCGCCCAGGCTGGAGTGCAGTGGTGTGATCTCGGCTCACTGCAACCTCCACCTCCTGGGTTCAAGTGATTCTCCTGCCTCAGCCTGCCAAGTAGCTGGGATTATGGGCATGCACCACCATGCCTGGCTAATTTTTTTTTATATTTTTAGTAGTCGGGGTTTCAGCATGTTGACCAGGTTGGTCTTGAACTCCTGACCTGAGGTGATCCGCCTGCCTTGGCCTCCCAAAGTTCTGGGCAAAGTTGTATTTTCAAGGGACATTTTCTATCATAAAAATGATCTAAAAGAAGATTTCGGTTTTGTCAAGAAAAACATTTGCAAGTCACTTGTGAGAACCTAGAAAATTAATGTATGTATTATAAAATAGTCTTTTACTTACCGTTTGTCTGAGAAATTCCACTTCTAGATATTTACCCCCAAAAATGAAAATGCATGTTCACAAAATAAAATTACAAGAACAATCATAACAGCCTTAATTATAATACTGCAAAACTTGAAACAACTTAAATGGCTAACTTTAAGAGAATAGATAAATAAATTGTGGTATATTCATAGAATGAAATATTAGAAAGAAAAAAAGGAAGAAACCACTCATGGATGAATCTCACAAACCTTATTCTGAGTGAAAGATCCCAGACACAAAAGACCATATGCTCTGCAATTCTATTTATGAAGTCCTAGAATTGGCAAAACTAATCTATGGCATGGAAAAAATTCAGAACAATGATTGTGTCTGGGTTGGGAGTATAAATCGATTGGAAATGTACATTAGGGAACTTTCTGAGATGATGAGAGTATTGAAAATCTGGATAGGGAATATGGGTTATATGGGCACATTATATTTCTCATATGGTATTTGTCAAAATTACACAGTTAAGATTTTTGCCTTCTGATATATATAAATTTTACCTCTATAAAGAATGTTATAGAAATAATAATTGAGTTAGGAATAGAGGAAAATGTAAGAAACAAGAATGACAGAATGTTGTAGTTGTTGCAGCTGGATGATAGATATGTTGGCTTTGTTATACTGGTCTGTTTACTTTGCATAGGCAGGACATTTTCCATAATAAAACGTTTAAAAGGTTGCACGCGGTGGCTTGGGCCTGTAATCCCAGCGCTTTGGGAGGCTGAGGCGGGTGGATCACGAGGTCAGGAGATTGACACCATCCTGGCCAACATGGTGAAACCCTGTCTCTACTAAAAATACAAAAACTAGCTGGGCGTGGTGGCACATGCCTGTAATCCCAGCTACTCAGGAGGCTGAGGCAGGAGAATTGCTTGAACCGGGGAGTGGGAAGTTGCCGTGAGCTGGAGGTTGCGGTGAGCCGAGATTGCGCCACTGCACTCCAGCCTGGCGACAGAGCGAGACTCAAAAAAAAAAAAAAAAAAAAGTTTAAAAACTCGGCTGGACATCTCTGATTCTGATCAGATTTTTTTGGTCTACATGATTTTTTGTTGTTGATCTACTCAAAATTGTGATGTTTCAGTATTAATATAAGGAAATAAAAAATAGAATACCATTAATCCATAAACTCTGAAATAATTTGTGCCTGCAGTTTACAAACTCCATCCATGCTAGACTTACATTCTAGCCTTCAGGTTTTATTAGTTGAATGCTTTTATAAAAGTTATTTTAGGAATCAAATAAATGAATACTGTACTTGAAAGAGTCTGAGGTCATTGTTAAAGTTTCCATGAGGAGTTGAAGTGGTAATTCTTGTTCTTAATAATAGCCATACTCTTTAATATCTGTCTTAGTTTGTTTGGGCTACTATAACAAAATATCATAGACTGGTGTCTTCTAAACAACAGAAATTTATTGCTCACGTTGCGGAGGTGGGGAAATTCAAGATCAAGGCACCAGCAGATTCTGCATCTAGTGAGGACCTGCTTCCTGGTTCATAGATGGCACCTTCTTGCTGTGTGTGTCCTTATGTGGTGGAGGGGGGATGGCAGTTCTCTGGCGTCTCTTTTATAAGGGCACTAATCCCATTTATGAGGACTCTTCCTTCATGACCTAATCACCTCCCAAAGGCTCCATCTCCTAACATCATCACAATGGTGATTAGGTTCCAACACATGAATTTGAAGGGACACAAACATTCAGACCATAATAATATCTGTGCTTTGCAACTACTCATGGTTTTTTTTTTTTTTTTTTTTTTTTAGACAGAGTCTCACTCTGTCACCCAGGCTGGAGTGCAGTGGCGTGATCTCGTCTCACTGCTGCAACCTCTGCCTCCCGGATTCAAGCAATTCTCCTGCCTCAGCCTCCCGAGTAGCTGGGACTACAGGTGCGTGCCACCATGCCCAGATAATTTTTGTATTTTTTTTAATAGAGACATGGTTTCACCATGTTGGCCAGGCTGGTCTTGAACTCCTGACCTCGTGAACCACCTGCCTTGGCTTCCCAAAGTGCTGGGATTACAGGCGTGAGCCACCGCACCCAGCCCACTCATGGTTATGGTGATCACTCAGAAAGAGATCATTATGGCCATCAGTTTGCTTCAGAGTAGAATGTCTTCAGGTTCAGCATAGTATGTGCACATAGCAGACAACTGAAGATTTGTTGACTGAGTAGCTAGTAGACAAGAGGAATACGCAGACACTGTGACCACCAATAATCTTGATTTCCCTTTTGCCTTGTAAGAGGATGTTCTCAGTTAAACTGGACAGCCTATATCCCCACAACCATCCATGCCATGGGCTGTGGTACTTCAATGGCCATTTGTTTAGTACAGATGTATTTGTGATACAAAGTATTTGTGAACATTTCCCAGTTGTGTGAATTATTTAACCTTTTTTTAGCTCCTTTTCCTCATTTGTAAAATGAGATTAATACTAGTACTTACTTCATTGGAGTCTTATAAAATTAAATGAATCAATATGTATAACACACTTACAACAGCACTTGAGACATAGTACCATGAGAGTGCTTATTAGAATTATCATCATTATTATTACTATTATTATTTACCATGATTGATACTGATCTTTGTTGTTTTTTTCAAGCGAGAGCTCTTATTATCTAAGTTAAGCCCCATGTTTCCTTTAAGTGTCCAGGCAACGTAGTATCTTCTGGCTGTGTAGAGCTGGCTTTAGCAATTTCTTGGTACGAAATCACCACTTATTCCTGTAATTCTATTCTCTTTTGGATCTTGATAACCCTACAATACCACTGCTATGGCCTTAGCCACTAAAAAGTGGCTTTGCTGGGCCTGCTAAGAATTATAACCTTCAGAGGGGAATCTACAAAAACGTGGGGACTTTGAGGAACATGGACCACTCCATTCACTTGAGGGGCACTTAAACTCCATAAAATTTACCAAAGACCACACTGAAAATCTTGCATAGCACAACTGCCAAGAGTCTTAGCTGGAGAGGGACTCACTCTTATGTCAACAAGGCTGTATAAAAATATGTGGCTCTTTTATACCCATAAATCATGACTTTAGAGGCAGAGAGACTCGGATACCCACAAATCGTGACTTTAGAGGCAGAGAGACTCAGATGGTATGAGGCGTCTTCCAGAATAAAGGGGTTTATTTATGCTGTTCAAATTTAGGATAAAGTTAGCGTTAGGTAACTTCCTGGTTATTTGTGATGTGGGTCTCTAACTGAGAATTTCTGCAGTCTCTCTAGATGCCACAGTAGCATCACTTAAATTAGAGGCCGCAGCCTCTGGATGCTTGTCACAAAATTTGCCTGTGGTGATCACATTCATGATCAGAGATTTGTTTATTTCCACAAAAAATGCAGCCTGGAACCTACCCAGCAGCTAAACCCAGACTAGCCTTGTCATCCCTATGAAGGTTGGAATTATCTACCTGGATGGGGTTGTCCACATTTACAGGGCAGGGTTCCCAGACCCTAAGTATGATTTCCAAGAGTTTCTTCTGGCTTTCTTTGCTGTAAGGGCCCCCAAGTATGGGCAATTCTTTTGCTTGCAAATGAGAATCCAAACATCCTGTGTTTTTTCTGCTTCTCAAAATCTTCTACCCATTAAGCAAGCTGCGTTTTGAATTATAACATCATTTATATTTTAGTTCACGTGATATTTATGATTGTATCTTCTCTGTTCATGGTCTGTTTCCCTTTCTTCCTCTCTGTCCAATTCACAGTAATTATAGAAATGAGTTAAAATATTTTTACAGGGAAGTCAGATTAAAAACCAGCAAAAGTAAATACAATAAAAGGGAAACTAGGTGGCCTTAGGCAGGTACCTTTGATTAATTTTACAAAGTTGTTATGCATGAATTGCTTATATGCAGTGTAAGCAAGAATATAAGTTTATGAGCTATTAACATTTTCTTATGAAAGTAGGAAACTGACTGGCTATTCTATGATTCCTGAGGTTCCTCTGGGGGAAAAAAAAGCAAAAAACCTTACTCTTCATGTCAATAATTGTTTCTACTCTAGACCTTACTGAAAGCTGCCTGTTATGTATACCACATGCTCTTTCTTGTCTGACCTGTCCTAGGTTCAGTTTTCTTTATTGGGTTCTCAATTGTTCAACACTTATGAAATGGACATATCTCAGCTGGTAGCAAAGAGAGTGAGAAACATTTAGAGAGGGGCAAATAATTGACAAACATGAAGATACTGAGCCCTTCCTTCCATGTTGCCACCAACCGTTAGCAAGTTGGCTTGCCAGAAAATTAAGAGTAAGCTTTGCAGACAGTTTCTGACTCGCCTGTAATGCCAGCACTTTGGGAGTCCAAGGCAAGCAGATCCCTTGAGCCCAGGAGTTCAAGGCCAGCCTGGACAACATAGTGAAACCCCGTCTTTACTAAAAATATAAAAATTGGCTGGGTGTGGTGGTGTGTGCCTGTTGTCCCAGCTACTCGGGAGGCTGAGGCAGGAGAATCGCTTGAACCTGGGAGGTGGAAGTTGTGGCGAGTCAAGATCTCACCACTGCACTCCAGCCTGGGTAACAGAGTGAGACTCTGCCAAAAAAAAAAAAAAAAAAAAAAAGTCTGTAAAACTCATAAACCTCGGGTGAGACTTTCATAAAGATAAAAGGAGTAAGACAGAAATTGGTAATATCAGGAATCAAAACTGGGAGTCACATCACTAGAGACCCTCATGCCAATAAACTGAAAATTTAGAGGAAGTGGACAAACAGTAAAATACTTAAAATATTGAAAAACTTAAAACACTGAAACCTGAGAGAAGATGTAAAAACATGATCTGAACTGTATATATGAAATAAATGCAATCAGTAATTAAATAATTTTGACACTGTGTTTCTGTATGTTACACACAAACCAATTATTTGGACTTGGTGCATGTAGTCTTAGCTACTCACTGAGTAGCTGAGACACGAGAATTGCTTGAACCTCGGAGGTGGCGGTTGCAGTGAGCTGAGATCACCTCACTGCATTCCAGCATGGGCGACAGAATGAGACTGTCAAAAAAAAAAAAAAAAAAAAAAAAAAAAAAAAAAAAAAAAAGAGAGAGAGAGAGAAAGAGAAAAAAGAAAGTTCCTGACTCATCACCTGTTGTGTTGCAGGTGATTTGTACTTTTGAATAAATGACAGAAATGCCCGGAGCCCCTTTCCTTGGCAGGCAGTGATTGATCTAGAGAAGCACATATAAGTCCTTAGTGAATTTTAAGGGTTAACAAGATAGTAATGCCAAGAGTGTCGGTCCCTTTCCCTATTGTATTACTTAATAAAGGACAGATGTCTCTCCAAGGACCTTACTGGCGATTAGAGAATGCATTTGCCCTTAGTATTATTTCAATAACTGTTAAACCTCAATGGACTTCATTGTTTGTGTTTGTAGTTGTAACTCACATGATATACTCTATAAACCTGGTACAAATATGGACATACTTTTTGTATGTAGGTTGAGTATCTCTTATCCAAAATGCTTGGGTTGAGAAGTATTTTGGATTTTTTACGTTTTTGAATATTTGTATATACACAATGAGATATCTTAGGGATGGGATCCAAGTCTAAATATGAAATTCATTTATGTTTCATGCACACCTTATATGCATAGCCTGAAGGTAATTTATTACTTAAAATAATTTTGTGTATTAAAGAAAGTTTTTTTTTTTTTTTGAGATGGAGTCTCACTCTGCCACCCAGGCTGGAGTGCAATGGCATGAACTCAGCTCACCGCAACCTCCACCTCCCGGGTTCAAGCGACTCTCCTGCCTCAGCCTCCTGAGTAGCTGGGATTACAGGCGTGTGCCACCATGCCTGGCTAATTGTTGGTATTTTTAGTAGAGTCGGGGTTTCACCGTGTTGGCCAGGCTGGTCTCGAGCTCCTGTCCTCAGGTGATCTGCTTGCATCGCTAAAGAAAGTTTTGACTGTGACTCATCACATGAGGTGAGGTCGAATTTTGCACTTATGGTGTCATGCTGTCACTTTAAAAGCTTTGCATTTTGGAGCATTTCAGATTTTGGATATTTGGATTAGGGATGTTCAACCTGTATTTCCATTTAACTGCTCAAGACTGGATTCCTTTGAAGTAGTTTCTCGCTCTCTCCCAAGACCCTCCCTTTATCCTCCCCTCCCCACATATAGTCTTGGAATGCAAGGGCTTATGGTCTCAGTGGCAGTCAACCTGGCTTTCATAGTCAAGTGGAGAGAGAGCTGGGCCTGATCGGTGCACTACGGCCCACGCTTCTGAAATCCATAAGGTGTTGTTATTGAACACTCATCCTGCATGGTCCAGCGTCAATGCTTGTCGACTGATGTAGTGAGACTTTGGTGACCAGATTCTGGAAAATGATGCCATGATCTTTTCTGGGCAGACCAAGCCATTATCACAATGTGGAATCAACCAGTATGCCCTATGATGGTCATTTGCTCTTCACACACATTTATAATCCTGTCCCCCCACCACCCCCAAGGTTTAAATTGGCCCCTAGAGTGTCAGGACAGGTTTAGCTATCCATCACCTAATGAAACCTGCACTGTGATTCCACTTCATTCCCTGGGATTCACACCCTGGAAGTTGAGCATCTTTTACTATTAGACATTCAAAACACAATACAATGTGTATGATGATACCCATTTTCTCTGGCATCTGAGATCCTGGACAACTCCTTAGGGCACTACTTTCAGGGACACCAAAGTGGGTTTTCACTTTTTTCCTGCTAGAGACAGGGAAAAAAACCTGTACAAATATACTATAGTATATAGTATAATTCAATATATATGGGTTAAAAAGGCTTTTGTGGTCCAACATGGTGACCTACCTAGTGCATCTAATATTATATTTACAGATACGTGCACCTGGTCCAAATAATTGGCTTATGTGTAACATATGGAAACTTAGTGTATTCGTTTGTTGGGGCTGCCATAATAAATTACCACACTCTTGGTGGCTTAAAGCAACAGAAATTTATCCTCCCACAGTTCTGGAGGCCAGAAGTCCACAGTCAGTTTTATTGACTTAAAATCAAGATATCAGAAAGGGCACATGCCTCTCCCTCTGGAGGCCCTAGGGGTGAATCCATTCCTTGCCTCTTCCAACTTCTGGTGGCTGTGGGCATGCCTTAGCTTGTGTCAGCATCCCTCCAGTCTCTGCCTCTATGGTCACATGGCCTTCTTCTCTTCCATGCATGTGAAATCTCCACTGGGCTTCCTCTTACAGGGATATTTATGAATAATACAGGATAATTTCCCCATCTCAAGATCTATAAACCATCACATCTGCAAAGCCTTTGCCATATAAGGTAATCTCACATGTTCCAGGGATTAGGATGTGGACATACATTTTGGAAGCATTATGTAGCCTATCACATATAGCTAATTTAAATTTAAGATTGACTATGTAATACATCCCACTCATCTTTTCCTTATTCATAGAAACTCATGACACTAAGAAATACTTACCATGTACACATTGACTGACTGGACAATGAAAGTGAAGAATGAAATGGCATTATTCAACAAAAAGATATTAGTAACTCTGCAATATGCTTCTGAGACAGATAAGCTTGATCAGTTACAACCATTTGTAAACACTGAAAGGAATTGCATGAGTATCTTGGTATCTCTGGGAATAATTTGGTGATTAAAAAAATCCAGCAAAACAATAAATCAATAGAAAAACTTACAGGGTGTTTAGAAAAAGAAACATTGCTATATATTGATTACCCACTTTCTCCCTGGTTTAAATTCAAGCACTGCAGAATATGTTGAATAAGCACATTTAGCATACTCAGTTTATAAAAGTGTCTTTTGTCAGTTTGATGCAAACTACATTGGGGGAAATAAAAAATAAAATCCAGAATTAATGTTCCAAACTGCAATTGCTGAAAGCGGGGAGGGATAGTGAAAAACCCCAAATAGAAATGACACTTAAAAATAAATCCTTGAGTGACTGCCAGCCTGTTTGATATCTATTTCCTAAAGCATAGAGCATTTGTTGTCTCACATCTGAAATAGATGGTTTTGTTTTGCTAGAGCTTACACATATGTACATTTGTTTATTCTCTGAAGGTGATTCTTCATCATAAGGTATTGGAAACAGATTCTTCAGGGAAAACATCTGCTCAGCTATAATGCTAGCATCTGCCAAGTTAGGTGTGCTGAGAAAAAAAGAACTTGATCTTAGTGGTTCAGGGACCTCAAATTTACAAGTTGACAAAATATCAAACACAGACAAGTTGCATCTTTCCTCCATTACTCCTGCCCATAGTCTGGAACTATATCCAGAATCCTAGCCTAGCCGTGGCCATGCCAGACACAGAACACAAAAGTGAGACAGCATTAATCCTAGGGTCAGTTCTAGGGGCAGAGGCCATTGGGTCTACTAAGCAAAGGGCCCTGACACCAAAGCAGACCTTGGCCTTGCTTTACAGTTTCCTTAGATCTTTCCCTGTTGCTCTAGGCTGGCTTGATGTTTATGGATCTGAGGTCTTGGATGTGGCACATAACGTAGTCATTAGGAGCGTGAATGCTGGAGCCAGATTGCCATGGTTCAGACTCTTGGCTCTGCCGCTAACTGTGTGAACTTGGGAAAGTTACTTAACCTCTCTGAGCTCCTATTTCTTAATTTGTAAAATAGGGACAATTATTTCAGAATTGGATATAAATGGACAAGATGTGTAAAGGTGCCACTACAACCTGAAAATATGTACTCTTAGAACTGTTTAGAATGAATAACAAAATAGTTCATACTGACCTAGTTAAACCTGGGGAGTAACTAACCCTTTGATAAAAATCCCCCATGGGAAAATGCCCTGTGCCTTCAAAGAATTGTAATCTACATATATCCTTACTTTAATCCAACTCTCTTTACTCCAATAGAATCTACTGGCCTCCCTCACCTTTAATTTGTGCTCCCTGCCATAAAAGTGGTGAGCAAGTTGAGTACTTTCTGGAATTTGCAGAAGATTTACAAATCCCGAGCTTATGAAGCTTCAGAACTCACTCCATTCCCATTCCACAAATGTTGTCTTAGTGTTTGCGTGGGGCAAGACATTTGTTACTGAGTAGAATTTTGGTACTAACAAAAGCAACTATTGGTTGTAAAATCTGTTCTCTATTCTGTTTCTCTTGATCAACCATTATCTAACTCTGCATTATGCATTGAACTCTGTGCTAACAACTTCTTTGCTTCTTATTCTCCATTGTTCTTGTGTCCACTGTAATGTAGATCCAGATTGTTGTCATTCCTGGAGGCCACAATGAGGTGCCAATTTAGAAACTTAGAAAAACTTAGAGAAAATTAAAATAAGATTTCTGTTTGAGAGTTAAACTTTAAAGGTTATATGTAATAGATCAGAAGTAAGGAAGAGTTGTGTAAAGAGGCAGCATGGCTCTTGGGCCAGCAAGGCTGGACGGCAACCAGACCTGTTATGGTAACATATCTGAGGAACAAAACAGCCTTGATAGTGGTGCCAAAGCGAGTCCTACACAGTCAGGACCCTTCTAAGTACAGTAGAGAAGAAATCTGGGCCAAGCTGGCTGGCAGGTATAACATCCTTGGCAAGACTCTCACTGTGCTGAGTGAGGAAGCTCAGGCTACATCAGCTAAGGAATATTTCTCACCTAAATTCTTTCTTTGAATCCATAGTCATCAAGACCTCTTGTCTCCATACAAAGGGGGAATATACTGATCTGCTACTTTGAGCCTTCTATTACACTTGACATTTGAATTTCTGATGGTAAATGGATGAGTCAGCATATTTTTGGGTGTACTATTTTGGTTCCATGAGCTTGATGAGTATGAGGACAATCCTCAGGGTGCCTTGGTCTGCTACCTAAGTCACAGGCCTTTTTTGATGATGCTATCGCCCACTGCTTTTTAATTTTGACAAAAAAATAACCTCTTGCCTAGATTGCAACATCACTTTCCAAATGAATTTTCCATTTTCCTGCCTCTTCAAGTCTATCCTGTACCTAACCACAAATGCTTCTTTCCCATAATTTGAATTTCATCATGACACCTACTCAGGAAACTACTATGATTGATTGCTCTCCCAAATAACTTGAAGAGGCATGTAGAAGATCCTCACCAAAGAATGTTTTATCCCGTCCTAACTGCCAAACTACCAGAAATTTTATTATCAGAGCTTTATTCCTTTTAGTTTAAGGCCCAGAATTTTGGACCATTCTGTTTCCGTTATCTTCTGGCCTCCATTGTTTTTGATGAGAAGTCAGATATCATTCTTATTTGTGTTCCTTTGTATATGAATATGCTTTCTCTCCTTTGGCTACTTTTAAGATTTTCTCTTTATCTCTAGTTTTCAGCAGTTAGACTATGATGTGCCAGTGTTTGGCTTCCTTTGTGTTTACATTGATTGGGGGGTCACCAAGCCTCCTGAATATCTAAGTTGTTTTTCTTTATTAAATGTGGAAAAATTTTACTCAATTTGTCTTCAAATAGTTTTTATGCACTATTGACTCTCTTCTCTCCATCTGGGACTCCAATTACATTTGTGTTAGTCTGCTTGATACCATCCTGCAGGTCACTGTGGCTCACTTTATTGTTTTTTCAAATTATTTTTCACCCTGTGTTTCAGTTTGGGTAATTTTATTGTCCTGTCTTCAATTTTACTGATTCTTCTTCTGTTGGTTCCAATCTGATATTAAAGCCATTCTGTGAATTTTTAATTTTTGATTTTTTTTAGTGCTAGAATTTTTATTTGGCTCTTTTTTTTTTCAACAGTTTAAGAATCTCTCCTGAAAATGATTTGTGTTAGTGCGTTTTCATGCTGCTGACAAAGACATATATCCAAGACTGGGAAGAAAAAGAGGTTTACTTGGACTTATAGTTCCACATGGCTGGGGAGGCCTCAGAATCACAACGGGAGATGAAAGGTACTTCTTACATGGCAGCAGCAAGAGAAAATGAGAAAGAACAAAAGTGGAAACCCCTGATAAACCCATCAGATCTTGTGAGACTTATTCACTATCACGAGAACAGCACAAGAAAGACCGGCCCCCATGATTCAGTTACCTCCCCCTGGGCCCCTCCCACAACACGTAGGAATTCTGGGAGACACAATTCAAGTTGAGATTTGGATGCGGACACAGCCAAACCATATCGTGATTGTTCTACCATTTATCCATTTTTCCCCTGTAAATTTTTAACATATTTATTATAGTAACTTAAAAATATTGGTTAATTCTAACATATGGATCACCTGTGCATTTTTTATATTAATGAATTTTTTTACACATTTCTGGTTTTTTCATTTGTATATCTAGTAATATTTTATTGTACACTTAATGTACATTATAGAGATTCTGGATTCTAGTTTCCGCTTCTGAAGAGTGTTGAGTTTGTATTGGTAGGCAGTTAAGTTACTGGTGGAACATCTTGACATTTTGGATACTTGGTTTTAGGCTTCACTAAGTCAGATCTATTTTAGTTTTGCCTTTTGTCCTTGGATAAATCCCTTCACCCTGGCACGTGATGGAATTATAATGGAAAGTCCTAGGTGTTTACCAAGCCCTTCCAATTTGAGAGTACTCAAACTCCAAACTCTTTCTCCTCTGCAGGGGGCAGTTGGTAAAATTGATATTCAGTGCTTCATCTTTCCAGCTGTCTTCCTATGTATTACAATTCAGAAGTCAGTCATGGATTTGAGGAATGTTTGAATGCAAATTTTGTAGCTTCTCTCTTTGAAACTCCTTCTTTCTGGGATTTCCTCCTCCTCAATTCTCAGTTTCTCTGTCAGGTCCAAAGTTTGTCCTCTGAATCTTCAGGTCAAGAAAACTCAAGCTTTTTTGTTTTAGCCTTATCTTGGAGATTTGTGAGAAATGAGGGAGGTCCTAAGAAAAAACATATAAATATGAATCTCAGCCAGTGTGATTCCCCTGTTACACAGGCCAAATTTCCTCTACTTTCTTCCTGCCCAGTGCCTCCAAACAGTTCTTTTATGTTTTTCAGAGTTTATGGTTGCTATCATCAGAAGGGCTAGTTCAATACTAGTTATACCACTATTACTAGGGGTCCTGAGCCTCCTCTTTGACATTATAAATCAAGCTTGTCCAACCTGCAGCCCAGAACAGGTTTGAATCCAGCCAAATACAAACTTGTAAACTTTCTGAAAAGATTATGAGATTGTTTCGCCATTTTTTTTTTTAGTTCTTCGGTATCATTAATGTTCATGTATTTTATGTGTGGCCCAAGATAATTCTTCCAATGTGGCCCAGGGAAGCCAAAAGATTGCACACCCCTGTAATGTAAACTATCCCTAGAGTGGTTAATGCATTGTGTTAGTCTGTTTTCACTCTGCTATAAAGAACTTCCCTGAGACTGGGTAACTTATAAAGGAAAGAGATTTAATTGGCTCACAGTTCCACATGGCAGGGAAGGCCTCAGGAAACTTACAATCATGGCAGAAGGGGAAGCAGGTGCCTTTTTCACAAGGTGGCAGGAGACAGAAAGTGTGTGAAGGAAGAACTGTCAAACACTTATAAAATCATCAGAACTCATGAGAACTCACTCACTCATAAGAGCAGCATGGGAGAAGCCACCTCCCACCAGCTCCCTCCCTTGACATGTGGGCATTATAGGGATTACAATTTGGGATGAGATTTGGTGGGGACGCAGAGCCAAACTATATAATGCATAAAACTTATTGCCTATTAATACATTTTTTTAAGAGAGAAGCTGGGGTTCTTTTTGATTTCTAGACCCTGACCACCTGTCCCCAGTGACCAGCTGTTTGCTGCCTGCCGCATCTGCCTACCCACAGTGGTTATTTTGGCACAAAAGGAACTTGCGGGAGTGATGTTTACAAAGTGGTATGAATTATAGTGACTGACCAACCACCATGAGGTTAACTGAATGAGCACTGAAAATATATACTATGCTAATGGAACTCTATGGGAGGCCAGAGAATGTAAAAATTTGGAACAAATGCTTTGGTGTCAGATGTTTTGGGTTTGATTTTGAAACAATTTGCTTAACTTCTCTGTCCCCATTCTTTTATCTGTAAAATGAGGTTATTATCTTACATGGTCATTGTGAGAATTAAACAAACAGATATATATATAGCTAAGTACAATACCTGTTATATAGTAAGTTTTCATTAAATCTTTATAATAGTCCACCTTATCTGGGGGGATACATTCCAAGACCCCCAGTGGATGCCTAAAACCATGGATAGTACCAAACCTGTACAGTTGGCTCTCTGTATCTACAGGTTCCACGATCTCAGATTCAAGCAACCTTGGATCAAAAATTTTGGGAAAGCAATAAAAAATAACAATATAGCAATAAAAATAATAAAATTAAAACAGAGTATAAGTACTGTTTACCTAGCATTTATATTGCATGAGATACTATAAGTAATCTAGAGATGATTTAAAGTATATGAGAGGACGTACATAGATTATATGCAAATATGATGTTATTTTGTATAAGGGACTTGAGCATCCATGGATTTTGGTATCTTTGCAGGGATCCTGGAACCAATACCCTGAAGATACTGACAGAGAACTGTATATACTTTATTTTTTCTTACACATACATACCTTTGGTAAACTTTATAACTTAGGCACAGTAAGAGATTAACAGCAATAGCTAATAATAGAACAATTAAGTAAAATAAGGATTACTTGAACACAAGCACTGTGATACCGTGACAGTCAATCTGATAACCAAGACAGCTGCTGAGTGACTAACAGGTGAGTAGTGTATACAGAGTGGATAGGCTGGACAAAGGGATGATTCTTGTCCCAGGAGAGACAGTGGGAGATTTCATCGTGCTACTCAGAACAGCCCACAATTTAAAACATGAATTGTTTATTTTCTGGGATTTTCCACTTAATATTTTTCTTCCACAGTTGACCATAGTTAACTGAAACTGTGAAAAACAAAACAGCAGATAAGAGGAACTACAGTATTAAAAATTTTTTAAAGTCAAGAAAATCTTTTCTATAACCACACTGTTCAGAGAGGGCTAAAGTAGCACGTTCACAATGTTGTCACTGAAACCGTCACTCTTTCTCCGTGTGTAATCAGCAGACCTCTGCAGCAGAATTATCTGAGGCTGCTTTTTAGTAAATCTGATTTCCTGGCTCCCACCTCAAAACTACTAAACTAAAATTGACAAGAGTGGGGCCTAAGAATATGAATTTTTAATAAGCTCTCCAATAACTCCTATGTCACTAAGTTCTGAAAAATACTGGATAATTCAGAGGCAAAGAGAAATTTCTTGAGGGAGGAGTGGAAAGACTAAGACTTTGAACTCCCATCTCACCTTCCAGAAGTCTAGATTTCATTGCCTTTCTGGCATTGATGCCCATAAGCTTATTACTTTAGATGGAGACTGAAAAGTTTTAGTCATTCTTAAGTGTCTGGCTGGAGGGTGATCGGCAGAGTGATTAAACCAAAAGAGGTTATAATTCATCCTTCAAATCTGTGGTTAAAGGCATTCTGCTGCATAACTTTTCACCTGTGAAATACTCCAAAGCTTTTAAAATCATCTTTTACTAAGGGGAAATTCCAGCTTCCTAGCAAAATAGATGGCACTTTTATCCCTCATTTCTCTTGCTTTTTCAACAAATATGTTAAAAAACAATTACATTTCAGAGTGCAATTTTCATTCCCTTTTTATTGTGGAATCGTGGCAGGGTTTTATAATCTGCTTAAAACACCTGGACTTAACACAACATAGGGCAATTATAAGGGTCTTCAATATAGTGTGATTATGGTTTTTAAGATCTGAGGTTATTTTTGAAAGAAAACAGAAGTTCCTGTGTTTAGTAAGCAAATAGAAAAACCAAGATAGTGTCAACCGAGGTCAAAGGGAAAAGAGGAAAGGATCAAGACTCACTAGGATGATCTTAATATCTAGTATATTGCCTGTCAGTCAATTGGCACTCAGTAGAGATTTATTGCATGAGTTGAATGAATGAATGAATGGACATTATGTGCTTTATATTTGGAATTGATAGAGTCCCACTTTTGAGCGGGTAAATGAGTATGTTCTGTCCTATGGGAGCCCTCGTTTCACAGTTTCTCCTTCATTTAACCAAATGTTCTGGGATGGAAAAACCTGCTGATTGCGAAGTTGCAGAATAACGTCCAGGCTGAGATAGTGTCCTGGATGGTCTATCAGTGGGCCCCTGCCTGTGGCTCCCTCTGTAAGCATGCTCTTCTCCACCCCATCCTTTACCCCACAACTCACTTCTCAGATTTTCCAGTTTTCTTAGCCTACTCATCTATATTGCTTCCCAGAGTGCTACTCGACTCTGGATGCTTCTCTACTGACCCCTCAAAGGGATGCTTTTGAAAATCATACCAGATAAGTGAATGAGGAGTAGAAGCTATAACCATGAAATGAACCACTTTGATCTGGAAAAATAAATCCAACACAGCAAAAACTGACAGGCACCTGCTCATGAACAGCAGTAGCAGTGCTGTGGATCTGCTTGCTAGCTGTTTCATCTGCTGAGGGAATTGTTTTAATTTTGCAGGCTGTGGCAGACCTGGGGAAACATACTATAATATGCAAAGCACAGACCCCGATTAATATTTCACCCATTGCATGTGGCTTGATGGCGTTCCTGACTTGTTGCAATCATAAGTGTGAAACTCTGGGGGTTTCAGTTAAATTATTTCATAACATGTAGCCTAATATTTTTGTGCCCTAACCTCACCTTCTATTAAAATAATTTTAGGGTATTGCTTGTATACAGTGACACTATACATATTATATAAACTGTGTTTTATTTACAAAAGGTTTTTTAAAAGTGTAAAGACATCCCATACCTGTTTGTTGTGGTTATTGCTTTTAAAGATCAATTTATGTTTGATAAATAACCAATAAGCCCACAGTTCTGTATAAGGAAAGTATTCACACTATGAAATCACATAAAGGAAAGGGAAACAAGGTCAGCAGTTAATGCAACACACATATAAGCTGAAGGCTGATCTTGAGTGAATGGTTTGTACTGGTAGGTGAAGGGTGAGAGGGTGCAGAAATGACTGTGATTGTTATGAATTACTAGATTGTAGTAAACACTATTGAGGTCCTTCTCATACCTCCCACCCATACTGCCTGTAGTGGATAGAATAGTGGCCTCCCAAAAGATATGTCCATGTCCTAACCCCTAGAATGCATGAATGTGACCTTGTTTGACAAGAGTCTTTGCAGATGTAATTAAGTGAAGGATCTTGAGATGAGATCATCCTGAATTTAGGGTGGACCCTAAATCCGATGATAAGTATCCTTAGAAGAGAAGGGGAGAAGATACAGAGACATGAAAGAGAAGGCGATGTGAAGACAGAAGAAGAAATTAGAAGGATGTAATCACAAGCCAAGGAACCTCAAAAATGCCTTGAGCCACCAGACGCTTTAAGAAGCAAGAAAGAATTCTCCCCTAGAGCCTCCAAAGGGATCATGGCCCTGATGATACCTTAATTTCAGACTTCTGGCCTCCAGAGCTGTGAGAGAATAAATTGTTGTTGCATTTAAGCCACACAGTTTGCGGTAATTTGTTGTGGCAGCCCCAGGAGACTAAGGCACCACCTCAGCGTATGCAGGCTGGCCTGACTTCCAGCTGCCAGAAACTGCATTTCTTTACCCCAGGCTTCCTCTGGCTGCCAAGACCTACTCTGCCCACTTATTGAACAAGCTAGGCTGATTGTGCTGAGAAATTAGTGTCCCTGCCTCAGCAGCTCTCATGTTAAGGACTGACAGGGGGAGGCAGTGTATACCGACATTAACCCCCTTGCCCCTTGGGTGGGGTAACTGCAGCACTCATCCTGTGCTGACTCCTGGGATTTAGCTCCAGCTCTTCACAGTGTTCACTAACTGGACAAACTCTGTACTGGCTTCCCAGTACAGAGTCTTGTCTTTCACAGTTTCAATTGCCCACTCCCATACTAGTTTTTGCTGGAATAATCTGCCAAATAAACTATTTGTATTTCAATACTTGTCTCAGGATTGATTGGCTTGAAGGGGGAACCCAAACTATAACATAAATATAAAAGGACATTACAGATCATCCTGATAGCTTAGAGGAAGTACCCAACTCAGTGATGTGAGGCCTTGGGCATTTTCCTGGGCTGTTTTATGAGAGTTGTCTGATTCGACCTTATACCAACAGAAATCTGCTGTAATTAAAAGTGATCTCTCTAGTTATATATTTATCCACAATCTCTTTTAGAAAAGGATTTAAGGTAGCATTAGAATTATGATATTTAATATATCATGTCACATTCTTTTATTCTCTCCACTTCAAAAACATTGTGATGATTTGATAACAAGTAAAAATATCAATTTTCCAGATATTCTATTTCAACTTTCCCATTATTTGTTTTCATTTAGTATGTTCTCCCCTTTTTTATTTCCCATAGACATGTTCTCTGCTTTCATTTAAACAAGCAAACCATAAATCTTCAAGTGAAGGAAAATGTGAATATTTTCTCTTATGATAGTTTTTATTGAATGTAAAGCCTGGTCTCATATTAAAAAGCGCTGTAAGGAATGCTTGCTTGTTTGATGTTTGTTTTAAATGGTTGAATAAATCTTCTCCAAGTTTTGACAAAAAGTTTTGAAGCCACTGACTTCCTTATTCTTTTTATCTCTTTTCAAAACACTGAGGAGATGGTCTGAAGGTGAAGTAAAGCAGGTTTACAAACAAAGGGAAAAAAGCTTTACAGTATTTTAAAAATCAAACCTTTTGAATGTAGGTAAGCTCTGGTGCAGCCAACATGTTTTAATCACAGAATTATCTGGAAATAACTGAACAGCCAATTCTCTGTAGAAAGTGTTATATTTGACCTTTTAAAAAATGTACTGCCCATGCTGATGACTTTTTTCCTTAAGAAAATGTAGGAAATTATGACAAATAAATAGGCTGTTTCAAGTTTCTTGAGAAAGAGGGCATCTGGCTGTGGGAAAGATTGCTAAAGTCAAGAATAAGAAATGACGATTTTGCTCCTTGCAAAAGTAGCAGACTTCCTTTAAATATTTTTTTAAATTTATTTTTAATTTTTGTGGGTACATAGTAGTTGTTTGTATTTATGGGATACATGAGATGTTTTGATACAGGCATGCAATGTGAAATAAGAACATCATGGAGAATGGAGTATCTATCCCCTCAAGCATTTATCCTTTGTGTTATAAATAATCCAACTATACTCTTTTAGTTATTTTAAAATGTACAATTAAGTTATTACTGACTATAGTCACTCTGTGATGCTAGTAAATAGTAGGTCTTATTCATTCTTTCTCTTTTTTTGTACCATTAACCATCCCTGCCTCCCCCACCAATCCCCCCACTACCCTTCCCAGCCTCTGGTAACCATCCTTCTACTCTCTATGTCCATGAGTTCAATTGTTTTAATTTTTAGATCCCACAAATAAGTGAGAACATGCGATGTTTGTCTTTCTGTGCCTGGCTTATTTCACTTAACATAATGATCTCTAGTTCCATCCATGTTGTTGCAAATGACAGGATCTCATTCTTTTTTATGGCTGAATAGTTCTCCATTGTGTATAAGTACCACATTTTCTTTATCCATTCATCGGTTGAGGGACACTTAGGTTGCTTCCAAATCTTAGCTATTGTGAACAGTGCTGCAACAAACATGGGAGTGCAGATATCTCTTCAATACACAGATTTCCTTTCTTTCGAGTATATATGCAGCAGTGGGATTACTGGATCATATGGTAGCTCTGTTTTTACTTTTGAGAAACCTCCAAACTGTTCTCCATAGTTGTGCTACTAATTTACATTCCCACCAACAGTGTACAAGGATTCCCTTTCCTCCACATCCTTGCCAGCATTTGTTATTGCCTGTCTCTTTGATATAAGCCATTTTAACTGGGATGAGAAGACATCTCACTATAGTTTTGATTTACATTTCTCTGATGATCAGTAATGTTGAGCACCTTTTAATATGTCTGTTTACCATTTGCGTGTCTTCTTTTTAGAAATATCTATTCCAATCTTTTGCTCATTTTTTTAATCTAATTACTAGAGTTTTTTCCCTATAGAGTTGTTTGAGCTCCTTATATATTCTGGTTATTAATCTCTTGCCAAATGGGTGGTTTGCATATATTTTCTCCCATTCTGTGGGTTGTCTCTTCACTTTGTTTATTGTTTCCTCTTTATTGTTACTCATTTCTTAACAAAATACTTTTGGGTTTATGCATTCAATCAAGAAATCTTTGTTTGAAGTTTCTTAGATCTTCAGAATGAAGTAGATAATTCTTCTTGCTTCCATGTATTAATTTATTATCATAAACAACATTCACTGGAAAAATATGAGCAAACTTTACATTAATATAACTAGATAGTGTATTAACTTTAATCTTTAATAAAAATTTACAGAGTGGGACAGACAGAAAAGTGATAACGTTTGAATTGAAAGCTTATCCCTGTTTTTTCATAGCAGGAAACAATGTATTTTTTATCAAAAGGAAGCCATTTGCTGACATGTGGATTTGTATGTGATTTTAAACATTGTTGAAAAGTGCAAAGTCTGGAGGACAAATATCACATAAGAAAGAAATTAAACTGAGATATTTTGTATTGAAGTACAAAATCCAGGAATTAAGGAACTGATGGATCCAAGGACGAAGGCTATGTTAAGATTCCATTATTGTGCCAGTTTTTGAGGGAGGAAAAAAATCCCATCATCTAGATTTTATCATAAATGCTGGTGCAAATAAGTTTTCCGTTGAGGTTATGAATTGGATTTAAAGTAGCACAAAGTACTTTATTAATAACTTTCAGACATTTTATTACTTTAAGTAGCAATCGGTCCAGACATCACACAAATAAAAAGGAAAGCTGCAGCATTTCTTTGCTGCAGAAGCAACTGTTGCACGTAATTTTTTTTCATTTCTAGACTAATCTACTGTCAGCATGCCTCTCTCAATGACTTCACCATGATTTTTAATGGGTTTTGGATGGCTTCTTTTTACCTTTGTGACACAGTTTCAGGTGTAAGGATATAACACTTCTTCCCAATTATGCTTAGGAATGGCGAGGACTTATGGTCAATGGTAATTGAATAATTCATAGACTACATTGCAATGCATTATATGATATTCTTACACTGATCTGCCTACTCGTTGCTTATGCTCAGTAGAATCCTGACAGTTGTCTGCCTTTTCTGAATGGTTACTGGGCACTGCTGGGGTGTGTGTGAGAGGCAGTGTCAAGGTGACATGGTAGGGTGGTAAGAGAAAGCCAGAAATTCAGAAAGCTTTAGGGGTCTCAGCAAAGTGGGTTATCAGACCCTGGCTGTAGGTTTTAGGATATAAGGTCTCATCTGGCTATCTAGCTCAGCAGTCATAACAGTGGGATATTTACTATTCTTCACTCTGGGTTACCTTACCAGGAACTGTGTGCTAATCAGGACCCTCTCCTACTCAGACTCTAAGCTCAAGACTCCTAGGCATCATTCCTTGTTCACCAGCACAGGGGGGATCTGTGACAAATCTCTTCTGATAGTGTATCCTTCTCACATAGTGGTTTAGTTTCAAAGTTTTCGTAAAGAAATTTAAAAAGAGAGATAGTTCAAGCTTTGCCTACAAAAGAGATGGAACCACCAGTCTGTGTGAGGTGGATGCTGCAGGAACAGAACTGGCAAGTCAAGATTTCCCACAGGGCTGGGTTGTTGTTGAAGTCATGTGTGAGGCAAAAGCTTCTTATCAGCACTCAACACAAAATCTTGCAGTTCATATTAAGAGCATGTGAGCTGAGAGTCACTGTCGTCCATGTCTGAATGGGACATTTTCAGAGATTCTGTCACCGTTTACCACTTTTCGGGGCTGTCCACGAAGAAGGAAAACACTGAACAGAAGAGTTAAACACTCATGTACGTGAAGTAGGCTTTAGCAGCTTGCAGTGAAAACCATCCGTCCTTGTCTTCATCACCAGCCTGCAGAAAAGAGTGGCAGGATGGAGACAGCAATGTTCTGCTGTCACCAGCTTTGCTTCTCTGCTATCTGCCATGGCTGAGCCTCGCAAACATTACAGCAGAGTTCTAGACACAGTTCGTGCACTTAGAATGGCTGCTGGGGAAGTGTTGGTTACAATAAGAAAAAAAAAAAGCAGGATGGAGATTTTTATCAGGGCTTCTCTAGTCAAGCAAATGTGTTTGTAAAGAGTGATTGGTTTTAGAGGCTGTGTGAGACACCATCATTTAAGGTATTTCCAGACACAAACTAGATGATAGCTTACATAAGTCAAATACACATGAATCTTTTTCCTGCTACAGATTTAAGCCTTTTGACACTAAAGACATCAATACTTGTGTTTGGTGAGAGATATTCTGTCTACAGGATGAGTGATTTATGGCAACTCTATAATCCCACAAAGCCCAAGCAATGTCTTCTGTATTCCTTGTGGAACTGGGCCCCCAATATAGATTATAAAGAGCAGAAATTATATCAATTTGTCAGACTGTACCCATTGCAGCTTTCTATGACAAGGCTCCAAATTATATTTATCCCTGGGGTCAACTGAGATGAACTCTTTTTAACTTCATTAAAGACTGTATAATTCAATGTATAATTTTCAAAAAGTTAGAAGCATGACTCTCGTATGCACATAGTATGAGCACATGCTCAAAATTTATTAACTCATTAATGAAGAAATCTGTAACATGGTAAAACTGGTTGAAAAAGTATTTTGAGGGCCTGAGTATTTATAGACATTAAAAAAAGAATATTAAAATAAATTGCTATTAGATACAATCCTGACTTATATCCTACAGGACAATAAAAATCCATAAGCTTTGAAAATTTTTTTCAACTGTATAGAAATTTTTTGCATCATTACTGGAAAAGATCTGCAAGTCAACATGTAACTTCACAGAATCTGAGCCAATAATTAACAGTAAATAGCAAAGTCAAACAAAGGTACATTCCTGTAGATAATTAGACAATTCTTGGTGAGCTAGTTGTAATATGACATTGAAAGGACATTATTTCTAAGTTTTAGACGTTTTTAACACCTTGTGTTCCATTTAGTAATATGAGCCTAGGTTTCATTTTCTCCTGCCCCAGTTTGATTTAAGGCCCCCAGACTCTACAAAATATTCACTTTCCTCTCTGCCAACAGGAATTTCAGGGACTTACTAGGAGGGGAACAGATCACCTTTTTGTCTGACTGCAGCTCTATTTGGTGGGTGCCTTGCCTGCCACTCTGCCCCTCTGACCATCACAGTCTCTAAGTCTCTATTGTTGCTCAGCTGCTCATGGAGTGTCTGCAGCCTCCATAGGTCATTACCTTTGGTGTACTAGAGCCCTCAGCCCTGCTGTAGAGTGAATGGTAGTATTTTTTTTTTTTTTAGCAACTACACACAGTAGTAGGTTTATTGCAACCAATACTGATGTTGGCTGAGCACCACCACCTCTTTTTGCCCCAATGGGTAAATGACCACCAAGGGTGGGAGTCAGTCTGGGCTCTCCGAGGAGCCTGTGGGCCGCCTGGCAGGGGGACAGGGACATGAATGAACATGCTTGCAAAATGATTCTGGAGTCACAGAATATCATCCAGTTTGGTAGTTTTGAAATCTTTTAAACAAGCACTTTTTTTTTTCCTAAAGCAACCTCACAGAGACTCCCGATGTCCAAAGTGCACAGGGCAGGCAGGGCTGGTCAGGTGGAGGCCTTAGCTTTCATTCACTGGAGCAAGGACTGATGTCTAAAGCTCAGCAAGCAGCCTACACAGTCGGCGGGGACCTGTGGCTCCCTCCCCAGATGGGGCACTCTGCCTCTATTAAAGCAGCCCACGTCCCCGTCTACTTGTCAGGCAGCTGTGCCACGGCGCTGAGGTCAAGCAAGGCCCCAGGGCCTTTGCAGAAGGCTGCTGCCTGGTGCCACCTCCCCAGCTCGTTCCCTGACAGCTGGGCGTGGATAGCTGTGTAGCCCCCGCCCTTCTCTGTGGATGGCCCACTGCCCATCTGGACACCCTTCCTATGCCAGCTGATCCCCTAAGCCCTAGGCTTCCATCATATCACTGACCAAAGCATAGGGCAGTTTGAGTGGGGGTCAGAGGCCTGGGGGGTCTCTGGCTGGAAGGACTTGGTAGTCTTTTCTAAGGTGGGTCTACACTGTGCTGATAAATGTTTAACAATTGGTTCTACAAAAAAAAGACCCTGAATGATTTGTAACATTTGCCAGTTTCCGTGGTGTAAATACTTCCACCATGGTCAATTTCAAGCTGCCAACATGATGTTTACCAGCTAGCAAAAATTCCTGAAAATGTAACAATCAATTCTGGCAAGGCAATGTAAGCTAGCTTCTGCGCACCACTGGCTGGAGAGCAAGGTGGGATGCCTCCCACTACTGGGATGGGAGAAGAGATGAACACTATTCTAGAATCTCACAGCAGTGCTCCTGAGGCTGTTCCAAGGGTTTTCGTAAAAAAACAAAAAACAAAAACCTCTCAGCATTTTTCCTTACAGCTTCCAGGTTTTGCTCAGTAACCCAGTAGGAAAGCTTCAGTCATTGTAGGGAAAGAGGCAGTTCCAGTGGGATCCACAGCAATCCTGTTGCTGGTTTGCCTAGACTGGCGACTGCTTGATTCATGGCTGAGTCTTGAGAAGCACATGGAAAGCCATAATAACAAAAATGCTTAGAGCTGATTCACCAAAATTTTGAGAAACAAAGCCTCAGGAGCTCTACTGTGGGGTCCTTGAGCAGTTGGATTTTATTTTAACTTGTTTGGAACTGTTATAAACTATACAAGTTTAAGTGTGTACAATCCAAATACAAAGAAATATACTCAGTATTCTGCCTTAGATAAAGGTGAGAATCACATATCTGGGAGAAGGCTTAGAGGCTACCTATTTGCGAGAGGGCTGGGACACTACCACACATTTATGTCTTGCTGTTATATTCAATATCCAAACTCTTGCCAATTCCGAATAGCCAATAGATTTTTTTCCTCCATTGATACAGCTAAAATTGACCAACCTAAGAATTGTCTGTCAACCTTCATCTTTCCTGAGGAATTGCTCATTCAGGATCCTGTTTCACCACATCACCTAGAGCATTTTATTTCCTAGGACCTCTTCATTATCCTTTACATACTTCTTGAGTGTTGTGACCACAGCTCTACATAGTGTCTCAGGTGTGCCCACATTGCGTTTGGTACAAAGAAATAATTTCTGATTTATTTTACATACATCTTCAGAGGCCTTCAAGTATTTTGCTGGTTTCTTTTGTCTGTAGAGCTGTGCCAAATCAATGTCGTCAGGAATTCAACCAGATATCTGCATGCTTTGGAGATTTCCCATTCATTTCACCTCTCACATGGACAGGGACCTAACCAATGTCCGTACTAGCCCATTTGGGGCCTTTGTCCAAAACAGAAAGATGCTCTTTTCTATAAGTGAAAGTAGCCCTGCATCAGGGCACAACACTTGTTGAGCAGAACATGAGCTGGACTTCAGTATTGATTCCTATGGCATCTGACTGCATTCACCTTCCCACCCGGAGCAATGCTGATCGTCCATCCCTATGCCTTGTCTATTGACTCTAAACTAGACCTTAGCCTCTACAAGAGTCCCTGAAAACAGAAATATATTCAGATACTCTCCTGAGAGATGCTACAAGGGCATTTATTCCCATTTATTTCATTGGGAAATGAAGTAGGCTGAGCATTAGCCCCATGTGGCTGAGATACCCATCTATGTCCCCATCCCAGACCTCTAAAATAATTTTAATGAAAACTACATGACCTCTAGAATGTTTTTAAGCTGACATGTGAAATGTTTCATCTAAAACTTAAATAGCTGAAAGTACGTAATTTGTGGTATATTATAAACATTGATATTGAAAAATATAACTCTTACATCACCCTTTTGAATAAATCTAAGGGAATCTAAATATCATAGTGATTTGATACCAGCTATCACCATTAAAAAATACATGAACAAGCTCTTCTGTAACAGACAGAAATTTTAAATCCTTGATTTATCTCATTGTACTCCTTTTTCATTCTGCTTCCCTTGCAGAATTTAATTCTAACCTAATGTATTTTTATGTATGAAAGAATTTTATTCATCATTGTATTATACTTCTCTACAACAAAATATATATATATAAATTGACATTATTATTATTTACATTTCCTGTGACTATAAGGCTCCAAGTGCTTAAAATGTCTTCTGGATTGAGTTACTGTTACAAAAATTAGCTATTCCAAGCTGATTACAATAGTATAAATATATTACAAATTTTGATAATCATTAAGCATAAAAAGTAAAATTTTATTGAAAATACATTTCTTAATAAAAAATGGGGATCTTTAAAAATATTTCATGTATCTGTGGATGAATATTTTTATTGCTAAAATAAAACAGAGCTTAGTATAATTTTATTCCTATTTTTAAAAAAGATGTGAGCCATAAATAAGAAGATGAAAGGAAGAGGTTTGCTTTATCGGCTTTACTCAGTTGTTTAAACTCCTTGCAAGTTACATACCAAAAAATCACAGGGAAATCTCCTTCCAAATGTAATCTTAAATGATCTATCAGCTGACAACTCAATAATCTGATAAAAGCTGGAACCACTTAAGTTGCAAAAGTTTTGTGACCCCGTCTTGAGAGTCTTTTGCTTTCTCAACACCAATTCCACTTATTTTGAATTGTACCTTTGTTTGGCGTTTGGAGATTTTCACACCCCAGGGTAATGCACTAGCGTAAGATTCAGGAAAGTAGGAAAGAAGAAAGAGAGATACTCCTTTATTCTATAAAGCAGGGAGAAGCAACCATGAAAGGGGAGGCGGGAGAGGGAGATAACTTGCATCACAGGCATGTTCCCAAGCAGATCACATTTGGAAAAATTGAGGACTTGAACATTGTTCTCCTTAAAATCCAGCTGTGTCCACATAGCTCATGGAATGTCTTCATGTGTCCCCAAGATAAGTACCAGTTTGAAGACCATTGTACCTGCTACTTACGGTTGCCAGATTTAGGAAATGAAAGTACAGAATACTCAGTTAAATCTGACTTCAAATAAACAATGGATGCTTAATTAGTATAAGTATGTCCCATGGACTATGACATGCAATATTTAGGACATACATATACTAAAAACGTATTTATTGTTTATCTGAAATTCAAATCTAACTGCGTGTCCAGCGTTTTATTTGGCAGTGTTAACTAACCTTATAGTGCAACTTAATGTCATAGCTCTTGGAAGGTGGTTTCTTCCCTGCAGATGACTAAACTCCTCAAAGGTAAGTTTGTGTCTAACTCATCTTTGTAGTTTTTGTTTTCTCAGCAAATAGAAAACTAGTAATCATCAAAGAATATGTGTTGACTGAACAAATGAATAGATGGCATATAATAGGCGCTCCATAAGTGTTTATTGAAAGGAGAGGAACAACCTGATCTTGGCCTCTGGACAATGGATTTCTGGACTGCCCTTTCAATAACATTTAGTGTCTTCTATGTGAATAATTAACTGTTCCTGACTCTGCTACTCACCCAGCCTCCTGCTTCTACATCTTTTGTTACATAAATTCTCATCCTCAGATATGTACTTGTTTGATTCAACATACCTATGCATAGCAGTCATTTCATGCAGTTTTCATGCCCCTGCATATGGAGGAATCTTCCAATGGCTTCCCAACTTACCTTGGATAAATACAAATGCTTTTTAATGCTTTACAAGGCTATCTCTCTGGCTCAGCTCTCCCCATCCCTAGTTCTGCTCAAGCCACATTGATTCTCACCTCAGGGTTTTGCACTTGCTGTTCCTTATGCCTGAAATGTTTCCTCAAGATCTTTGCATGTCTTACTTACTTCATTCAGGTCTCTGCTCAAATGAAGCTTTCTCAAGAAGATTTTTTTTCCACCCTAAATGTTATAGTTCCCTTCCTCCAAAACAGCAGGGGGCTTTGAGGCAAAGTCTGTCCCTCACTTTCACCTTTCAAATCTCATCTAATTAAAGGAGACTTGATCATACCTAAGAGTCTAGCCACAAGGAAGTCTGGGAAATGTAGTTTTTAGCTATCTAGTTGCCAACTTCAGCAAAGTGCAGGAGAGGGAGGGTGGAATGAAAGTCATATCCACCACAACTATGTGGCTACTACATATAATGTTTAAAAGAATATTTATACGTGAAAAAGTTTATAAAACAATAAGAAAATATACTATAGTTGTTTTAAAAATTAGCATAATGCCCCCCCCAACCCACACACACACATATGAACTAGATTATATACCAAAGTTAGTGATGTTTTTGAGTAGTGGCTGTAATATGTTGACAGAATAAATTCTTGAATAGGATGGTGATGGAGATAGGATTCAAACATGTGATGGGATTGGCTTGGAACAGAAGAAAGGCTATCTTCTCCTGTGAAGTAGGAAAGGAAAAGATAGAGACAAGTGTTCAAAGACAAGACATAGGTGGGGCAGGGGCAGTGAGATGGTTCTTAATTGTTGGTCTCCATTTTTGCTGTGAAATGGAGGCAAGGCCATTTCTGGGAGTGAAAGGGGAAGTTGTAGGATTGGGGGTGATGAATTAATGGTGAAAGTTCCTGACTACAGATATGGGGAATGGTAGGACAACTGGCCAGGCTGACACAGTTGTTTGTGGTGGGCAATTAGGGCCCAGATGGTGTAAAACAAAAAACAAAAAACAAAAAACAAAAAACAAAACTAGCTTGTGCTACCGAGGTCATTTCTCCAGCAGGATTTAATAGCCACAGACACCAATTGTGACTTGTCATGGTCTTCAGCCCACCTAACATTTTCTGAGTGAGGTAAAGTTCTCTATCGACAATCATTAATTTCAACGACATCAGAAATGATTAGGCATTCATTAAACAGTCATTTTTATTAGAGAGGCAACACTACTGTAATCAATAAGATCTTGGGTTCTCAAATACAACTGCCTAGGTACAAATCCAGGCTGCATTATTTATTAGAGTTACGTGACTTCTCTATGCCTCAGTTTTCTTATCTGTATACTGGAGGCAAGAATAGTATTTATTTCATAGGGTTGCTCTGAAATTTAAATGATAATACAAAGTGTTTAGAACAATGTCTGGCACATAGTAATCTTTTGATATATCTTATTTGCCATTGTTATTATCTGTGTTAATATGGAAAAGGAAAAGTCTGGGGGTGAAAAAGTGTGATTTAATTTTAGTACCTATTTCTACCCCCACCTGACCTCATCTCAGTCCTGCTTGTTATACCAACATGGTTGAGAAGTAGGGGCCTTTAGTTAATCAAATATTCTTATTTGTAGATCATGGCCATATATCGATTGGCAATTGCCAAAGCAGCACAATACAATAAAATAGGCAGAACATGGACATTTTTAATGCATATAATCTACTCTTTGATGGCTTAGGAGGATTTAAATACCTGTTACAGATTGGTTTCCCCACCGAGCAGATCGCGAGTTACAAATTAAGACACAGGATGTTTATGAGGGAGAGGTCTTGAGATCAACACCAGTGAAATGAAGGAGAAGGAAGCAGGAGTGAACAGGTGATACAGCCTGTACTGATACCTCAGCTTATCTTATGAGGAGCTCTAAGCCTTGGATGGCCCCTGAGAGTTGTCATGAATTGGAGCAAGGTTGTCCAGCCCTTATATCTGTGCATTGATCAAACATTTGATGCAGGTTACCCCTGGAAGGAAGCTTGACCTTGGGTGAGGTATTTTATTTTATCAGAGGCAATTCCCAAAAAGGGCTGACAGCTGAGGGCCACCTTCTACTAGCACTCCCAACAGCTGAGAAAATTGTCCTTCCTTCCTTCTGAAAGGGCTTCTGGGTGCCATATCAAAGTGTACACCACCTGATTCTTTGAGTGTCATTGTTTGAGTTACTCATATACGATAGACTTATGGGTTTGTTAAAACATTGTCTTGACCAATTAAATACCAGGTAAAAGAGATTCTGCAGTTTGACTTCTTATGGCAACAGAACTCAAGTGGTCTATTTATTGCCTGTGAAATGATGTCATCCTTCTACTATGGAAGAGTTCTGAGAACATACGTGTTTGCATAAGTGTGTGTGTTTGTGCGTATGTATATGTGTCCTCCAATACAAAATAAAGGCACTTTTCTCTTTATCTCTCTTCCTGTAAACCATATCTCCACTTTCCCAGCCTTGCTTTATCTGTCTCTTCTATTCAGTGTTTTTAATACTACATTTTCTCGTAACAGAAGGGAATGTGAGCCAAAGCCACAGGGAATTGACCTTCTTGTGTTGTTTTCTACAGATGCTAAGGATTAGCTAAAACAGGCACTTTTGAGGGGAAGGATTACCCAAAAGACACAGTAGGTTCTAGGGCAAAGAGGTCAGTATTCTGGCAGAGGTGGTAGTCATAGCAGCTGGTATCAAATGGCAATGATGGCTTGAGGACAGTGGGGTAAACACTGGTCACTAGGCTTCTGTTTGGGAATCATGAGGGAGAGGCCTGCTTTGTACCTGTCCACAGTATTTCACTATTCCCAGTGTCATCTGGGGCTGTGGATTAAACATGGAGCTGGTGAAAGCTTATACCTTGCTTCACCTTCATATTAACTTGCTCCATCTGGGACTTAAGTTTTTCAAGCTATTGAAAAGCATTTCTCTCACCAGGACTGCTTGTTGGCAAGGGCCTGAGGAGGAAGGCAAGACACTGTTATTGTTCCTACCACTGTTTCAGTCTTGATGGCAGTGTAGGTAGCTATTCTTTGGTGGCATTTATGGTAACATTTAATAACATTTATGGTAAAGTAAAACAAAGAAAATCCCAGAGACCTTATCTGTAATTAATGGGAAATGGTGGCAGTAAGTGGTGTTCAAATGAAAGGTTCATTGTTTCACCCAAACCAGACCCCACTAGGGAATTCTTTCTTTCTTTCTTTCTTTCTTTCTTTTTTTTTTTTTTTTTTTTTTGGACATAGGTTTTGAGAATTGAGAACTGGATGGTAGAATGCATGACCTTTTAACAGACGGGAAAAAATGCTAGTTGTAGTGGAGTGGATGTGATAATACAGGATGCAGTCAGCCAGATAACAAATACTTATTGAATGCCTACTAGCGCCATGCAGTGCACTGAGGAGAGCAAGAGAGCTTGCAGTTAGTAGTAGAAACCATCCGTGTCCTGCTCCTGGACGTTGCTTATCCTACATCAATGCACACAGGCCCCTCGTACAATTGTCGGCACTCTCATTCTGTGACAAAGGGGTTGGGGAGGAAGAGCAGGGATGGAGAGGGGACTTTGCATTCCACTGGGGCTTGGGAGCTTTTTCTGGCTGTCAGAGCCCAGTTGCCTGTACCCTGGAAATGCTGGGAAATTGACATTCCTTCGGGGCAGCCCTCAACCATGACTGACAGGAGTTGGTATATAAATATCTCACCTTTATCATCCTGTGTGCTGGCTCTGGAAATCCATGCTGTATTAAGTTCCACTGGCCCACAGTAATAGCTATCTTGATAATGAATCTTGATAACTGGCTTCCTTCTCTGTTCCTATCTCACTTCCCCACACCCCTATGGAGGTCCCATATACATGACTTGCACTCCAATCCTGAAGGCATCTTGAGGTCTTCTGAGGAACCCAAGCTAAGATCCAGTCTATAGGGGAAGGCAGACATACTGACTAGTGTGAAGAGGGCAACAAGGTGAAGTACAATTTGTTTCCAGTTACAATCTTCCTGCTTAATTTTCTGTGTGACATTCAGGGTCCTTTGTTATGAAGAAGAAGAGACATAGGGGAAGAAGTACTTATTTTGTTATATACAGTGTGGGGAAAAAGTTTCATTGTTTTATTGAAAATGGAGAAATATGACTATGAATCCAGCCATGAGCATGATGCCTCTGTTATCTGTAATGGGAAAATTAAAGATGCTTCTGATTTGTATTAACTGTAATAAATGGGCCAGGTGTGGGGCAGAGGGCTCTGCTGGGCAGCAAAGAGAGGCAAAATGTGATTTACAATATCCAAGGCCTTAATAATGGTTTCAGTAACCTTAAATACCAGTTTGATAACTTGATAAATAAAGCTCTTTGTTAGATTATAAAAATAAAAGCAAAAAGATCAAAAGTAATAGAATTGGGGCTGAAAAAATTATTTTCCAGGCAGCTACTGACCATTACAAAATTCCTTCTTTCTGTTTATAGTGACGGGCCACCCAACCTCCAAGTTATTTATTACAGTGTAACAGCTGCATTCTATGTGTATGGGTGCATTACCTAAAATCCCTTATGCTTTCCTTCAATAATGATTTTATTAGCATCAGTGATTGTGTCTGTATTGAGTAGTTTATAGCATATAGTGAGCCATGCTGTTCATCTGTAGCCAAAGCTCAAAAAGTGTTAGTAAAGCAGTGTAAAGGAAAGCTATTTCGCTTTGGGCTCACTGGCTCAAACCATTGTTCCCTCTGTTAACCTGTTATTTACCTAGTATGGAAACAGGGTGCTGCTGAGCAGAAATGAGCAGTGGGAACACTTCTTTCCCCTCAGAAAACAGGGGAAAGAAGTGCTAATAGCATCCGGGGTAAACTGCACTAAAAATCTTGCTCTAGGCTGGTCGCGGTGGCTCATGCCTGTAATCCCAGCACTTTGAGAGGCTGAGGCTGGTGGAACATTTGGGGCCAGGACAAGACCAGCCTGGCCAACATGGTGAAATCCCGTCTGTACTAAAAATACAAAAAAAATTTACAGAGTGTGGTGGTGTACATCTGTAATCCCAGCTACTCGGGAGGCTGAAGCAAGAGAATCACTTGAACTCTGGAGGCAGAGATTGCAGTGAGTTGAGATCGTGCCTGGGCGATAGTGAGTGAGACTGCCTCAAACAAAATAAAACAAATAAAAAAAAGTCTTGCTCTACAGGGGCATAAGGGGGCATAGTTGCCAGTCAATTCAGTCCCTGTGTACTGGCCTTTCATTGTCTTGCCTCTCGGCTAGAAGACAGTGTTGTCCCAAGGTTCTCCCAGGCAGGGAGGAAGCTCAGGAAGAAAGACTGGGTTTGAGCCTCTGACCAAATGCTTGCCAATGTGCAGGAAATAGATTCTGTCCGCTCCACATGAAGGATCTCTTCTGTCATGTTCCCTTTTATCCAAATATGTGGAATGTGTGGAGAAACACATTAAGTATCCAACACCAATAGCACATTAGTGTAGCTTAGTTCATCATGTTCCCTTTAGAGAAGAACCTTTCTCCTTCTGGGTAACAGTATAAAGTAATGGTGGTGGTGGTGTTTCCTGCAGGGAGAATAATAGACATTTTGATGCGACAGATTCTGTGTAATGGAGAACCTTGGCTAACAGAGCTTGCTGATTTCACAGAAAATAATTTGATTTCTGAAATCATTATTTAAGGAGCACATGTCTTTTTTTAATGAGGACTCCACCTGCTGTACAGGGAGGAGTAAAGGAAAGATGCCAGGAAATGAAAGCCTGGTGAAGGAAATTAGAGATGACTAAGTATTCTTAAGAAGCCGCATCTAACACTAGGCATAAAGGCTGGCATTGGAGAGGGGCCAGCCTGAGAACAGGAGCTGACTGTACTCCTTGTCAACTCCAGTGGGCAGAACCTAGTGGAGAGGAAGCTGAAAAAGGGCAGTTGAGGGGATAAAAGTGGATAGAAAGGAGGCTATTAGTTCAGAGTCTTTAAGAATAATTTGTGCTTTTACACTGCAGCTGTTATTTAAGTTAAGGGAACCAAAAGGAGGAAAAGAAAGGACAGAACCACATGTCTGCTTTTAGAAGAGTTACTGATAAAGAACACAGACCTTTCTCTGTCACTTCATCATCAGGCTTTATTTGTTCACTGCATAATTCCCTCTGGTCCTTGCTCCTCTGTGAGGGCATCTGATGAATTAAGCTACACTGATGTGTTATTAGGTACTATACATTCATTGTATTTCTCTTCACAGGTAGTATATTTGTATTTCAAAGGGGATTCAAATTTGAGGAAATAATTTATCATGTGACAGTGGTAAACAATTAGGTCAAAACCAAATTTTGCCCTCCCTATTCCTGTCACAGATCCATTAGTTGTGAGCTCAAAAAACATTCTCTCTCCAGATTTCTGTTCAACTATTCATCACATTACTTAAACATGTGGAGTATACAATATAAACTATTATCTTAGAGAGGTATAAAGAAACAACAAAGGCAAGGTACAGGACTGAATGGCAGAGATATGTGCCACTCACTCCTACCAACCCCATGCTTGGATGAAGGCATCTTCAGAAGCTGTAAGTTTCATCACTGTATGACATTTGAATTGATCATCAGCAAAAGACTTATGTGGAAGTGATTCACTCAGAGCTGGTTTCTTGCCAGAGTATTCTAGGATACAATGGATTGTCCCGGAGCTTCTCTATGCCTGTGGTGCCTTGTCAGGTGACCACCTAACATAATTTATATTCTGAGGCACTAGGCAGGGTACGAGAACACCAACTTTCAGCCAACAGTGAACAGGTTTATTTCACTGTGCTTTAAGGTAGACCAGCGTTGTTCAGAAGAACTTTCTGTGATGCAGGGAATGTTCTACATCTGTGCTGTCCAATACATAGCCACTAGCCACCTGTTTTTGAACACTTGAAATATGGCTAGTTTGACTGAGAAAATGGAATTTGAATTTTATCCTTTTTAATTAATTTGCATTTAAATTTAAATAGCCACATGTGGCTAGCGGCTACTGTCTTACACAGTGCAGAAGTAGACCTTGGAAAATGAGGAAATTGAATAATTAGCAACTTTTATCTTTAACATTAAAGAGAAGCCTGTTAGCCTGTGGTCACCCATTTAAATCACTGTTTTTCCTGGTAGCTATGTATGTCTGTGAGTTTGAGTGACTATGATGTGAGCTATTGTTTCTCCAGGAAACATGTAAATTTGGTGTTAAGGGTAGAGTCCCCTTGCCCTCTTTTTCAGCCTCTAGTAAGACTAACAAGTAGGGCCGCTTTCTCTTCCATATGCAGCAGGCATTGCCTCACAAAGCTGGATTGGGCTTTTTGGTAATAGCAAGAAGCTGGAGTCTTTCCAAAAAATAAAAGCTTTCCTTAAAGAAAAGACATTCTCTAGGTACTGGCTGTGGAAATAAGTAGAGGCCTCTTAAGTAGAAATAATGGCAGCCCTTCCTTCAACTCTCCCCAGGAATGACAGCATTAGTGGTTTGAATACATTAAAGGCTGGATCACTCTATCCCCACTCCAGGCGGATCAAGCATATACATATTTTTAATTCCTTGCCCTTGGTCAACCAACAAAAGGGGATTGGGACTGAAATCCCATGTGCGTCTCCTTGGAATTTAAAGCCCACTTTGCTGAGACAGGATTAGGCAAGATAAAGGAAAAAGCAAGAAAATGAACACAAACACAATTAGACTAAACCAGCCCTGGAGTTAAGTCATGTGTAATTTCCAATAGAAAAAGATTTAATTATGCTGTCATGACCAAAATCACTTATTAAGTGCCCATTTATATGTGATGCTGGACTGAGAAGATAGACAGAAAAAGTCAGACTTGGTTTCAGCCCACTAGACATACAATAATGAAACAGAGAGATATTCAGGATGGGAATTAAATACATTAATGAATATTTACATTCAATGCAAACGTAGCCCCCATAGAGCAGGCTTGAAACTCAAATAACTACAGAACAAAGCTCTGGACTGTTCTCACTTGGATGTGTTGGATGCAGAAGGTTGGGGGAGGAGGATGAAGGAAGTTACTTGGATCTGTTATTCTCTCTGTGATATACATAATGTGCTATTTGTCCAATGGGGAAGGTATATGGGTAGTGGCAGGTGGAGAGGGAGGAAGTCCAGGACTTATACAGCCTGGAAGCTGTTCTCCTTCTGCTCCAAACCAGAGAAATACAACCAAGCCTGCACCTCTCTCTGCAGCGTACGCTAATGTAGGTCACAGAAGGTGTGTGGAAGAGAGAGACAGCAAGTGAGTAGTTGAACTCCATGAACCACCAGGAGTCCCTCTAAACGGGGTGGAGCAAGGGTTTTCCCACCCCAGGCCATTGAGATAAGAGAGGCAAACTAGGCTTAAAGCTAAGCACAAGGCTAAAGACCAAGAAACCAACTGAAGGCACCCAAAAGTTTGCCAAACCAAAGGAGCTAGAGGTGCAAAGTAGGTATGAAGTACAAAGCCAGGAATGTAGAAACCAAGAATATGGGTGAAAGAAAATGGGTTGAGAAAAAAGAGATAAATTTGGGGCAATTACTTAGAACAGTTACAATCATTTGAAGCTTGTTTTTAGGCTGGCATATGCTGAATTTGAAAAGTTAGATGAGTCATGGAGGTAATGACAAGTGGTGACTTTGTAGGGCAAAAATTGGAACTTCCAGCATTGAAAAAATCTGTGCAATAGCCAATTAGAAACCTAGAGCTCAAGGATAGTCCATATCCAAACCAAAATGTCACCTTTGTGAGATTAGGAAAATAAGGTGTGAAAATTCTCCAAGTGTGCTGGCTCTGATACAAAGAAGTGGTTCTTCCATCACAGAATGGTGTGGGGCATGGAACAGCCTGGAACACAGACAAAGGCTAAGAAGAAGAAAAATCTAAAAGAACACAGGATCTTTTTCTGAAGTACAACTCCTTAAATGTCTTACCTCTCTAAATCCAATGGGAATTTTTCAATCCTTGCTTATTTTCTTGGTCACATTTGATAGTATGGATCAGTGTTACCCTCTTGAAAACTTTTGGCATTGGTTCTGTGACATCACATTCTTCTGGCTTTCCTCCTCACTTGATATCAGTCTTTTATGGAGTCCATAGATGCCTTAAGACAGTTGAATGAACTTCTAAAATTGTGTATGAAATATTGCTTGTTTGCACTTGAACATTTTTTTCCCTTTGGAAAGGGGGTTTTAAGCTTTCTTTGGATCCTCAAAGTAGTCCTTCACTCAAAACAAGTTAAGAATCACTATTCTATTCACTCTTCTTGGATGAGGATCTCCTTCTTTTCTGAGGCTTTAGTTAGACTCTATATGATAAAAACATCTGAATCCATATCTCCAGCCTGTTTCTTTCACCTGTGCTTTAGATACATATATCTAACTCTCTACTAGAAAACACCACCTGGCACATAAAATTCATCGTGTTCCAGATCAAATTTATTATTTTTTCCTACTGGCCTCAATTCTCCTCCTCTACCTGTGTTTTCTACTTTGATTAATGATATTATGTTTTCTTAAGTTTCCCCAAAAGTAGACTTTGAGACAAAGATTTGAGTGTAGTATATTTTAGAGATGATCCCAGGAAGCATTGTGAGGGAGGAGGGAAGTGGGGTTGGGAAGGGAAGATGGTCAATAAAGTGTAAACAATCACACCAGAAACCACTGTGGGAAACCAACACTTATTCCTACTGAGAAAATTCTGTGAACACTATAGAACATAGACTAAAGCTGAGATATTTATACATTAGCTCCTATCTATCATTTGTTGAGGACTGCTTTCCATGGGTGTTACTTCTCCAGCACTGCTGGCCTCCAGCATGGATGGGCAAAATGTGCTTCAGTGGCTGGAGAAAGACCTCAGGTGAAGGAATGTAGGGGCTGGGAGCTGGAAATTTGTGTGGCATTTTCCAAGGGGGTAAAGGCAAGAAGACATGAGTGGGGCACCAACAGCATATACTACAACCATCCACCCAGTTGGTCAGGTTAGAAACCTGAACGTGATCCTTTATTTCTTGCCTCTTTTTCATTCCTCACGTGCAATTATTCAGCAGGGACTGTTGCTTCTATCTCTGAACATCTCTCAAATTCATCTACCTCTCTCTTTAATCCCTATTCCCTGTCAGTTCATGCTACCATTTTCTTTCACCCAGACATTCCACAGCAGCCCCCTAAATTATTTATTTTTAAAGAGAGGGCATTTTCTCTCTCTCTTTGCATTCTTGTCTCAGTTCATGAGATGGGAACTTCCGCTGGCCTTTCTCCCCTCAGGGAAATGCTGGTGAATGCCAACACTGCTACCCTCTCCATGAAGTTTAGTGGAGGAGACTCTAACAGTTTTTGATTCCTCTCCGCTCCTGACTTCAATGCCCCACAAAGAGTATTGAATTTATCTGAGGGATGGTATTGGGGTAAAGGTCATTGTTCAGCATGGGGCTTTCTCTTTCTCACCCAAGCAATGCCCTCCACCTGTCTGCCTATGAAGCAGCACTTTCTCCTTTCCATTCCTGCTTCCATGTGGTAAACTAACCAGAGAAAGGCCTCTCCACCTTAATATGGAGTTTGTATGTTTCAAATTCATCCAGTTGGATAAACTCAATTCAAAAGGAGGAAATAGGAGGAGCCATTAGAACTTGGGCCCCAGTGTCCATCAGGGAAATGTAAGTCAAAACCACGGTGAGATATCAATTCACACCTGTTAGAATGGCTGTTATCAAAACAACAAAAGATAGTAAGTGTTGCCCAGGATATGGAGAAATTGAAACATTTGCACACGGCTGATGGGAATGCAAAATGATGCAGACACTATGGAAAATGGTATGGAGGTTCATTAAAAAATATAAAATAGCACTACCATACGATCCAGCAATCCCACTGCTGGGTATTTATCTGAAAGAATTGAAATCAGGATCTTGAAGAGATATCTGCACTGTCATATTCATTAAACTACTATTTATAATAACCAACATGTAGAAACAACCTAAATGCCCATTGACATATAAGTGGATAAAGAAAGTGTGTTTTATACATGCAACAAAGTATTATTCAGCCTCAAGAAAAAGGAAATCCTTCCATATGTGACAACATGTATGAAACTTCAGGGCATTATGATAAGTGAAATAGTCACAGAAGGACTAAATATTGTATGATTTCATTTATAGTAGGAATCTAAAATAGTTAAACTCATAGAAGCAAACAATATAAGGGTAGTTGTCAGTACTCAGGAGGAAGGGTAAATGGGGAGTTGCTGTTCAATGGATATGAAAATTCAGTTTTGCAAGGCAAATAAGTTCTAGAGATCTGGTGTGAAACATTGTGCCTACAGTTAATAGTACTGTATTGTACACTTAAATTTGTTAAGAGGGTGGATTTAAGTTAAGTGTGCTTACCACATACAAACATGCACACGAAAGTGTCCGGATGTGGACAATAAAATATAGGATCACCCTACATCAAAACTGTACCTCCCCTTGGCATGACTTACTTACTCTCGCCTTGGCTTTCCTTCCTCCTGTCATTGCCAATCTTCTTCCCCTGCTCTCTCAACTCCAGCCTGTTTTTCTCCTGCATTCTGCTCTGCCTCACCTCTGTGTGCCTTCGGCTGGAATATGCTTCCGTGCCTGCTGCCTGATTCATTAGCTAACCCCTACTGTTTTTTGGGTCATAGCTTTGTTATCACTCCCTTTGGGAAGTCTTTCTTCACCATCTTAGCCTAGGTTACTGCTCACAGCACTCTGTGCTTTCCCTATTATGACATGTGTCACACTGCATTGCAATTGCCTATGAAGCTATCTGTACCCGTGCTAGACTATGAACTCCATTTAGACAGGGATTGTGCTCTCTTTGTCTTACTGTGCCCAACACTTGGTGTAATTTACTCTCTGCACACTTTAGATTCTCAGGAGATTCTTGTTGAAAAATTTAAATGTATAGAAAACCAACGTGTAACCTCATTATTTAAGTTCCATAGTTTGTTAATGTAGTACAAGAGTCAGATGGATGAATTTTGCAGTACATTTCTTAACAATTACAAAGCACTTTAAATACAAAATTGCCTACATAGGCAATGGGTAATGGCTATGACCTGGAGTGGGTTGAAAGGACTTGAAGAATGAATTGACTTGAGAAGATTGGGGAAAGCATGGAGGACAGATCCATGAGGACAATCGAGTGGGCCAAGGCACATAGACCCTTGACTTGAACCTAGCATGTTCAAGGAACAGTGAGCAGAGCAGCTTGGCTCAAAAACACTAGATGTAAATCAATATGGAATCCTAAAATGTGCTTAAGTAACCCATAGGAAGGCAAGGAAAGATAAACACAGGAATAAGAAATAAAGGAAACAAATAGAAAACAAGTAATAAAATGGCATGCTTAAGCCCTAACATATCAATAATAACCTTAATTGTAAAATGGTGCAAATGTACCAGTTAAGAGACTGAGTGAACAAAGAATATAATCCACCTATATACTTTCTGCAAGAAACTCACTTTAAATATAATAGTATATGCAGGTTGAAAGTTAAAAGAATAGAAAAACATATACCATGTAAACATTAACATTTTTTTAAAAGCAGGAGTGATTATGTTAATACTGGTCAAAGTACACTTCAGAGCAAAGGAAATTACCAGGGACAGATAGAGGCATTACATAATGATGAAAAAAATCAATCCACTAAAACATAACAATTCTAAATGTGCATGCGCAAAACAACAGAGCTTCAAAATATGTGATGCAAAATCTGATAAAGCTGAAGATAAATGTGTAAGTAAACGCATAATTATAGTTGGAAACTTCAACACTGTACTCTCAAAAATTGGTAGTACTACATTAAAAGGTTAAGAAAGAAATACTGTGTGTATTAGAGTTTTCCAGAAAAAAAGAACCAATATTTTATACACATAAATATTGTGTGTGTGTGTGTCTGTGTGTGTGTGTGTGTGTGTGTGTGTGTGTGTGTGTGTGTGTGTGGAGGGGAGGGAGAGAGAAGGGGAGAGAGAAAGAGGTTTATTAAAAGGTATTGGCTCATGCAGTTGTGGAGGCTGAGAAGTCCCCTGATCTGCCATTTACAAGCTGAAGACCCCAGAAAGTTGGTGGTGTAGTTCTAAGGCCTGAGAACTAGAGGGCCAATGATACAGAGTGCAGCCTAAGTCTGAAGGCCTGAGAACAAGGAGCGCTGAGGGCAGGAGAAGATCGATATCCCAGAGCAAGTAGTCAGGCAGAGGGACCATGAACCCAATCTTCCTCCACTTTTTTGTTCTATTCAGGTCCTCACCTGATTAGATGAGGCACATCCACAATGGGTAAGGCCATCTACTTTACTTAGGCCTCCAATCCAAATGCTAGCTTCTTTAGATAACACCCTCACAGACACACCCAAAATAATATTTAATCAACTATCTGAGCATCTCATGGCTCAGTCAAGTTTTATGACACATAAAATTAACCATCACATTGTGAACAACTGTATAATCATAAATTCAACAGCTTAGATGAAACAAAGTAATTCCTCAAAATGTACAAACTACCAAAACTCACCAAGATGAAATAGATAATCTGAATAGACATAAAACCATTAAAAATTGAATTTGTAATTGAAAGCTTTTTAAAAAAGTAGTCTCTAGGGCTAGACGGTTTCACTGGTGGATCCTACCAAACATGTAAAGAACTACACTCATTTTACTCACTCTCTTCCTGAGAATAAATTATTATGGATGTTTTAAGCCACTAAGCTTTGATGTGGGTTGCTATGTAGCATTAGGTAACTGAAACACCAGGTTACTTACATTCTCTTCTAATGGTCTTATTCTTTCTGTAACCCATGACAATCCAAACTGGCTCCTTCCTTGAAGATGAGCTATTATATTAATTACAGAGAATTTGACTGGTGTATCTGCAGTTGTTCAGTTTCTACACCTGGTATATAGTTGACCAGTGCCTTACTTACATTGTTCTGTTATTTCTGTTTCTAAATGTTTATGCTTCATCTTATGCAATGTTGAAACTCTTCCTAGGACACACTGAAGTAAAGTAAATCTCAGAGCGCCCTCCAGCTATTGTCATCTCAAATCCCTCTATCTTTCTGCCTTAGGCCTCTGCTCTGCTCAGAGTGGCCATGGAGCATCTTTTTATCTTATGGTAAGGGAGAATCTTAGGTTGGTTTTTATGGTTATAACTGTTATTTACTGCTAACATTTATTGACTGCTTACTATGTATCAGGACTATACATGTATTCCTCCATAGTTGTTATGTCTGTGCCTATTGGCAGTTCTGGGTTGGAGATGTCTGCAGTCCGATATACATGAGGATCAATAAGGAAACCCAAGAAAATCCTTGCTGGGTCATCCCTCAAGTCCCAAGGTCCCTAGGCATTTCACCTTCTTTCCACCTTTCAGAGTTTTCCTATACTCAGTTACTGTGTTGTGTTATATACTTGGTTATGTTCAGGTTTTTATTTTAATTGTAAGAGAGAAGACCCGGGATGAATGGAGCTACTCCATTTTGGCCAGAAGTAGAAATCCATAACCATTTATTTAGCTTATGAATCTACAATTTGGTCAGGACGTATATCTGCCACTTGTGTTGTCAGCTGGGGTGACTCAAATGGGGGCTGGAGGATCTACTTTGAAGATGGCTCACTCCCATGACTGCCAAGTTGGTGCTAGCTGTTGGCTAGGAGCTGATCCAGGGCTGAGGTCTGGGGGCTTGGTTTTCTTTCAGTCTGGTGGCCGGGTTCTAGGGGCAAGCATCCTGTTATAAAAGAGAAACTGCATTATCTTTTATAATGGCCTTAGAAGACACATAGTATCACCTCTGCCTTAGTCAAAAGCAAGCCCTGATTCAAGGGGAGAGAATGTAGATACAAGTCTTTCAATGGGAGGATTACTGAAAGCTCATGATAGCAGATATTGTTGTGGCCATTTTGGAAAGTATTAATATAATCTGCCATACCCGGAATCAAAATGATAAAAGGAACAGGTACCCTGGCAGGCCCAGGACAGAGATGATTGCTAATCCTCCCTCAGATAAGAAGTTCTTAAATGAGGAAAGTTTGGAATTTTTTTTTAATGTAGCTATTAAGAGCATGGGCTTTTGAATCGCTTGTCATGGGTTCGAATCCCATCTCCCACTTCTTGGTTGTGTGCCCTTGGACAAGTTGACTTATCTTCCCACACCTCATTGTCCTTATTTTCAGGGTGATAGTAACAATAAATACTAAATAGGGTTTTGTTAGCATTAAATGGGTTAATGAATAGAAAATACTCAGCACAGTACCTGGCCCATATAAAATTATCAAGCTATGGTGATTATTGAAGCTTTAGATGTACATATCACAAATGCATACATCATGTGCATTACTAGAATTTTAAATTATATTTATTATATAAATATATAGAATTACACACATTATGCTTTAATCATTATTAAAGTTGAATTCAGTTATTTTCAATGTACATTTTGGTTTTCTTCATAAAGTCCTTTGTTAACGAATCCCTCTAGGTGTCATTAAATATAACTAATTCAGACAGGAATTTCCAGAATGGAAATTGCTGCCAAGGTCTTGGTGCACTGAGTTGGGAGAGGAGAGGAGGTAAGCTCCTCTCTCACAAAAAGCTGGCTGCCTTCATTAACCACCTGGACACCCATGACTATCCCACATCTTTCGCTACTGCAACACCTACACAGAGTAGATGCTCTTTAAATGTGTCAATGGCTTTAAATTCCCATTAATACCAGTCTCTCAGAAAACTCTTGGTTGGAGATTGCTAGCAATTACATATCTAAAAATTTCTCAGTAGGGAAGAGCTGGATAATAATATCACTTAATCAGAAGATACCAGTGGTCTGGCTGTGACTGTGTTTGCAGAAGTCCTGGCATCTCATCAATTTCTGGGCCTGCTAGATTAAGCAAATGCCTGAAATTCTGATGCTCTGAATATGAACTCCTTGATCAACCAGTTACTCTGATGCGGGCCCCAGATAAATCTCCAGGGCTCTGTTTCCCTTCCTGCAAAATAACATTCTCCTTCTTCACCTCTCATTTCTCTTGCTGAGTGGAGAAAGTGATATCTTTATGACCCTAAGAGGCAATGCATGATTTAGAATAGCTTAGTAAAGAGAGCCATAAACAATGGTTGGGATGCAGAGCACTCGCTACCTTCTAATTTATTTCCTCTCCATCTGACTTTAGATGGAAAAGTAAAAGTTGCTGTTTATTTGCAGGAACAATATTTTTATGTCTCAGCTTTATTAAGCTAGATTTTGAGTCTGTTTAACATAAATTTCTCAGAGTTAAACCTCAATTCCAACTAGATTTTCTAAGATGGAAGTATAAATTAAATGAAAGTTGGACAGGGTAAATATTTCAGTAAAAGTATCTATACTGCAGTCTCTGTTGAGGCTTTGGGTCCACTGTGCCCAGCATACTCAGAAGAAGGTTTGTAGGCCCTCTCCCCTGTCACTCAGACTCTAGTAAACCAGGCTGTGTTGACCTGCCAACCTCTTCATATTATGAGATGCTTCCTACGCCAGACCTTCCCTTCTTTCTGCCGCTATTGTGTGTGTCTAGCCTACTATCTTGGTTTGGTTCATCTTCTCCCCACCCAAAAGCAGACCCTGAGATGGGGATTTAGAGGAATATTATTTGGAACAGGCCCAGGAAACATGTGAGGGAGAGAGAAGTGAGAAGGAAGGATGCCAATAAAAGGGGTATTAATGAGAGGGTTACCTCTGTGGGCAACTGGGGAACATTCCTACTCAGGATCCCCTGAGAAATTGTGTGGAACACTCCTCAGAATTGAGAAGCAAGAAATGGGGTGTTTATCTCTTATCTCCCGTCTCTCTTTGGTTGAGGGCTGCTCTCGGTGCTGTTAACTCCCTGACAATTTCAGCCTGTCCTGCAGGTAGGCTGAAAATTGTTTTGCAGCCATAGAAAACCCTCAGGCAGAGTCACAAGTGTTTGCAGTAGAAAGTCACTGTAGGTGTACAGATGACAATAAGGAAACTGTCCACCGAACCTGGGTGGGTCAAGGGAATATAGGTGGGGCACCAACAAAGCAGCTGCAATACCTATATTCTGCTTCCTTTACCTCTTCTCACTCCCATCTTCCACCCCAACACCAGGCCCATTCTTACCTTGCCTTTCAAATCTCATTTCAATTAGCTCAGTTCCATTCAGCGACATTCCCTATTGTCTCACACCATCCAAACTCACATGTTTAAATTACCTGCTTGGCCTTCGTAGGTGTTTACTTTGTGATCCTTGGAATAAATAAAAGTGTAGACATGGCTGTTAATGGATAAGGCTTTGGGGAGCCAGAGTAATTGATGTGACTGTGGGTAGGAATAGCAGAAGTCGAGACTAGGAAAGGAGACTGGGACCAAATCATGAGGCCTGGGGAATTTTGTTAAGGAATGTGAGCTGTGTTATATATTTCATGATGAAGTATGGATTTTAAGTAGTGTGATCAGATAGGCACTGGAGATAGGTAACTTCAGAGAAGTATGATAGGAATAGTAATTTGTGTGTGTGCAAGTGTGCGTTTAAATCCCTCTGGGTGATTCTGATGTAGCTCCTAGTTTTGAGGCCCATTGACACACAGGATGAAAGGGTGGGGAAGCCGTTGAAAGGCAGACATTAGTGAGGGGCTGTGATGGTTAGTTTTATGTGTCAACTTGTCTGGACTATAGTATCCAGTTATTCAATCAGACACTAATCTAGGCATTGCTGTGAGGGTATTTTGTAGACATGATTAACATTTACAATGAGTTGACTTTAAGTAAAGGAAAGTATCCTCCATAATCTGGGGAGGCCTTACCCAATTGACTGAATGGCCTTAAGAGTAGAACTAAGGTTTCCTTGAGGAAGAAGAAATTCTGCTTGTGGACAGTGGTGCAGCTCCTGCCTGGTGGCTCCGAGTCTGCTACCTATCTATAGATTTTGGACTTGTCAGTCCCCATAATCATGTAAGCCAATGTCGTGAAATAAATCTCTCTTCCTCTACCCCTGATTGTTTCTATTGCTCTGGTAGAATTCAGACAGACATGGGGCATTGACAAAGTTCAAATTGATGAAAATCTATATAGGGGCTGTGGGAACAGAGATATGAATTGTGTTTAAGAGACATTTTTGAGATGGAATCTGGAAGTTAGATGTAAGGCTTAAGGTAAGGGTGAGAAATAGAAAAAAAAATAAGGTAAGATTTATAGTCCTGGAGAGTGCATGGATGGTTATGCTATGAATGGAGATTAAGAACTCAGGAACGATGACATGTTTGGGATGGGAAAGAAGCCAGTACCTGGGGACATGGCAAATTTAAGGTGCTTGAGGAACTTTGCTATTATGTCCAGCTGGCATTTGAAAATTAGTCTGATTCTCAGGGTGGAGCTGTCTGGGCTGGAGAGAAGAATATGATCGTTGAAAGAATGTTCTCTTTTTCCTAAATTATTCATATTTCCTTTTTTAGTTCATTTCTATTTTTTCATCTTTTTTTTTCATGACAACTGTTTTTCTCAAATATCTGTTGATCTTTGGAGATCAGTTCATAGGCAGGCAGAGGCTGTATTCAATGCATATACTGTGTATAACTGTGGGGGGTAGGATGAAGACCCATTGACATGTGTACCTAAGACAATTCTTTAATAAAGTACCCAGAGCTTTTCCATTCTTTACATTAATAGGCTCTAGTCTTGAGCCCTTGAAGATGGCTGACATATTTTAAGTTTCTGTTTCCTGCCTTCCTTTTCCATAAATTCAATCCCATGTGCTTTTCCTTCTTCTTGGGTTTCAAAATTTTTAGTTCAATTCCAGTTTTCTTTTTAAATTTCTTTTCTTGTGTTATGATTTAATATTTTGTATATTAAAAAATTGTATTTTTCTTTCGTTGGTATCTTAGAGGAGAAGTGTGGTGGATATTCTACATTTGCCTCTCCAGATTCACATTACGCCCAACTCTGCCCTGCTCTGTGTCTCAGGAGCTGACCTGTATGAGCTGCATCAATAGGCCCTTTTGCCCTCCATTTGGGTTGAGTTCAGCTAACAGAAGGCATTGACAAGAGACTGGAAGGCAGGAAATAAGAGAGAGGTTAGGTGAGGCCAAAATTTGGTAAGGGCTTCATTACTCTACCTATAGCTCCTATTCAACAATTCTCTCCTACAGCCACAAGTCTCATCAGGTTCTGGTAACTGCTCTCTCCCCTTGCCCACTCCATGCTAGGGATGGTAGTAGCTTAGTATTCTTGCTGAACCTGGGGTGCTTCACTATTCCTTGTTGATTTCTCTTAATCCTACCTATACCTTGTAAGAGTCCCTTAACTGAACTCTTTTAAATCATACTTTTTGAGAGTTCCCTCTAATTCCTGCCAGAATTCAGACCTATACAGGAGTGGAGAAAGATACGTGAATTAGAAGCCCAGTGAAAGAGATAATGAGGGCATTTGGAGGTTTTCAATACCTATTATTTAACTTGAAATGACCGATTTTTCCATTTTTTTATTGTTGAGACACAATCTAAAAGTTAAAATTCCAACACTGGAATCAGATTGCTTGGGTCTAAATACTAATTCCACAGGTACTAGCTGTGAATCCTTGGAAATTTACCTTACCATTTTGAGCTCCAGTTTTTTTGTTTTTAAAATAAAGATCATAATAGTATCTACCTCATTGGTGCTATTGTGAAGATTAACTAAGTTACTGTAAGTGAAATGCTCACAACAGCTCAAAAAAGACACATTAAATGTTAGCTGCTATGATTATAGTTGTTATCACTATTATTATCTCTTCTTCTCATTCTCCTATCTAACATGTAATAGGCAGCATGACTCAGCACCGCATTTAGATCTAGAAGGACTATTTTCTTTACAACAGGCTGCCGCTTTGGTTTCCTGTGCAAAATTATTTAGCTGAACAGAGAGAAACTTAACACTTTCATCAATTCTAAGAAGTTCCCACGTTCATTCCATTTGTTGTACCCAGCATGCTAGTGCCCGTGCCAGGATTCTTGAATTTTCGGTCTTCTTTCTTCTTTTCAACCCTCTACAACCAGGCAAAATTCTAAATTATGCTCTCTACCCCAGTAAAGGAAAACAGGGCTTCTGTTGCCTAAACTTGAGTGCATGAGTTTGGTGAGGGAGAGTTCTAGCCTCTATACTCTGGTGTCATATGCCTGTTTCGTCAAGCCCATTCTCTTCTCAGTGTAATTGGTTTCATGCCTGACGGAGATGGAAAATCTAGGGATTTTACAGTTTTCAGATCTGCAGCTAACATTCTGGAGACTCTACAAACAAGACACGATGGAGTGTGAATTAGTTACTACTCAATGATGTTAACAGAATAAGAATCCGACTTAGTCAAGGTTCTTTTAGTTGTAAGTAATATAAACCCACTCAAACTTGTTTCTGCCAAAAGGAGGAATTTATTATGAGAATACAAGGATAACCACAGAGCTCAAGGGCAGGAAGTAGAGCTAAGCTTCTTTGTGAATTGGAACCATGAGTAGAAAGCTGTAACAGCAGGTTTAGCTTGTCTGTCTCACTGCTTGTTCTCTTCCTATGTGGCTTTCTCACTCTTTATCTCCATGCGTAGAAGGTAATAACTGGCCTGCAGTTCACACATTTACTTGTTTCCCTTCCAGCCACAGGAAGAGATTAACCAGCTATTCAGAATCTCAATTGTATATTCCAAGGAGACAGACTGTGATTGGATCAGTTTGGGGGCAATGTCTATCTTGGATCCAATTAGCTGTGATCTGAGGCTCAAGGTCACATAATACAATCATGGCTTTCAGAGTCCTATCTCTATGGATGAAGGGAGCAGTTCTCAGAAGAAAAAAATGGATAATTTTGGGATAGATGGAGATCATTAAAGGTCTCTCCTTCACTTTCATTTTCCTCTTTCCTCTATTTTTTCCTAGTCTCTCATGGGAGAAACCAATTTTCTTATATGATTAAAAAAAATTAAAAAACTCTTTTCACTCTTTTAATAATTTCTCCATACTACTAAAGTAACTGAATGTGACTCATAAATTAGATCTTAAATTACAAACCACCAGGATCTTGGAATTTTCTGGAACTAGAGACTGTAGACATTAAGGGTTCCTGGCAATTTAAAGCCAAGTTTTGTGTTCATTAGTTTGGGTATTTAGTGGGTATTGCAAATATCATTATGCTTTGTGAAAAAGTCAAAGTATCTTCTTGGATTTTATTATTTCTTCTAGAGACTAGCTTGATGGAATGTTTGTCATGTTATTGATGTGCTGTGGTCTGAAGTGAGAGGTCAGTCTCCCAGTTGGGATGCAGTTACTTCCTTAGTTCAGGATGTTGTAATGTTACAGTAGGTAGTCAGGCAGACACGAGCAGGGCAGGGAAGCAACCGCCATCCCACCAGGAATGTCAGGCAACCATCAGGTGATGGTCAGGTGGTTATTAAGCTGTCTCTCTAAAATAATAATTGGTTGCAGCCAGTGCCAGGGAAAGGCAGTCTCCCAATAAACAGAAACACCTGAAACTGGTGATCAGCAGCTTCCCAATATCTCAAGAGTTGGGTGAATGGGCTGAAGCATGTGCACTAAGAGTCAAAATGGCAGTGTTTAACTGGTATATGACCTTCTAGGGATGTTTGACTGGTTCCTATGGAGAGGAAGAATGCCTCAAGTGGGCATGCATACAACTTCAGTAAACACACCATGCATGCTCACTTCCCAAGTGCTAGCAGGCCACTGCACATATGGACAGCCCACCCCAAGGGGAGAAGGGACACAAGACCCTGGAAGCATGCCAGCATATAAAACCCCAAGTCAAAAGGTCAAACCATGCACTTGATCTCGCAAGTCACCTGTTGGCCCTCTTCCAAGTGTACTTTACTGCCTTTCATTCCTGCTCTAAACCTTTTTGATAAACTTTTCACTCCTGCTTTAAAACTTGCCTCAGTCTCTCCTTCTGTCTTACTCCTGTCAGTTGAATTCTTTCTTCTGAGGAGGCAAGAATAGAGGTTGCTGTAGACCCCTATGGATTCACTGCCAGTAACAGTAACCTATTTATGGCCTGACTATAGTTTGTTCTTGTGAGTTGGTACCGTGAGTACAGCCTGGCTGTAAGAATAGGATGAGGATTTCTCAGCAGTGACAACAGTAGTGGCAGTAGCAGAGAAGAAAGAATGACTATGTGATACATTGAATACTCAGCAGTATCTTACAGAATATTGCAAGATATCCATCACTTTACGTGTGTGAAGGCAGATAATCATCATTGGGCAAAATTCTTCATGATTTTGGGATTTGTATGTTGGTGAGGACCTTAAGATAGTACTTGGAACAGTCTCAAGAAAAATGACACAGGTTTCTAGGTACGATCTTCCCTTCTTTCCAGGTTGGCCTGTTTTCACTTTGTGTTTTTGAAGAACATCATGCACTTGTCATTTTGCTCAGTGTCAATCCCAAAGCATCAGTGTAGTCATGAAAGGGTAATCTCTTTCAGCAGACTGAAAAGGAAGACCTACAATATGGGGAAGATGAAACTCTGTTGCTTTACAATAGTCAAGCTGTACATCAGGGGCGATCTGATTAAACAACTTGGACAGAGAGACAAAGAAACTGCTGTGAGCTCTCTGTGGAGCACCTTTCACTTTAGAAGTTTCTCGTTCACAAGAGTCATCTTCTGTCTAGCAAATAGCACCAACAGCAATTAGATACTATGCATTCAATGGATATTTTATCTTCTGCCTTTTCTTATTTGTTTTCGTTGTTGAAATAACAAGCTTTGAAAATATCATCGATGTCAGAGGCATATGCCTTGACCTTCACCACTGGGTCCTGCAAACCCACAGGGAAAGCAGACAGCACAGTGAGTGAGGGCTTGATCCAACGCGGGATTTTAATTTATCGTTTCTGGAAAACAAACTGTAAAATGGATGCCATAAGAGGTACGAGTAGGTGTTGCTGCTGATTAGTGGGTTTAACCACATATATCTTCTTACTGGCCGAGTAAATAAAGTCACCACCCAGAGCATTTAAGATAATAAACCATGAGAAACCATAAAGTAATGAAATGTACTTTTTCTACTAATTATCTAGCACTGCTTTTACTTCACTGTGGTTGAGTAGGGGAGTGGTTTTTATGAGGTTGTATTATACATTTTTTAAATAAATGTTTATTGAGCACCTACTATGTGCAAAGGATTATCTTAGGCCTTGTATAAATAAACACCAGCACACAGAGAGGTATAAAAAGGGACAAGTGGCATTACAAGTAGAGGGGTGAGTGTAGAGATTCTCATTTATTTCTTGCTGCCTTTGTCTCACGCTGATTCTTCTTTTTTCATTGATCTGAAAGGACATACTGGTAACATGAAAGCTCATTAATTTCTCCTGATCCCCTTATTATTTCTGTGGCAAAGAAGCTCTTAGAACTTGTGCTGACTGGAGAGTGGTGAGAGCCTCCTTGCTGATAACATTCTCCTAAGGCCTGGGTGTAACTACAAGAGAAAATACCACTTTAGTCCAGGAAGCATTTGAATTGATTTTGGTGCACCCACACTGACTTCAGTAATACACCATTCTCTAGAGCACAGGCTTTCAGGAAACTCAACTGTGATGGATGCCATGATGTGCTGATTGCCCTTCAGAAATGAAGCGCTTACTCCTCCAGTTGCTGGGAGTGCTGCCTGCAGACTGTCTTCAGCTGTCAGCCTTTTTGGAAATTGCCTCCACTGAAGAAGACTGCCTCACCTGAGATCTCACCTCCTTCCTGGGGAAGTTTGTATACAGTGAGCAGTGTACAGACATGAAAGTCCGACCTCCTTGTTTTAACCTGATATAACCCTGAAGGGCCATCCCAGATCCAGAGCTACCCTAGGGTTGGCTGAAACTTTTTTGGGCTTTCAGAACAGCCTAACTTCTCCTTATGCCCACTCTTGCTTCCTTCCCCTCCTCTTCACGGGGCTGAACATCTAACACGGCACCTAATACATGTCGAGACATGCTCATCTCTGTCTCAAATTCTGCTTTCCAGAAACCCAAACTGTGATATCAACCCTCCAGAACACAGCCTGAACTCAGAAGCAGGTAGGAAAGGAACATGAGAAACTACAATAGTCATCATGAAGCTCTTACGCAAAAGGCTTGGGGACCAGGCGAAGCAAAATAGACACAGAAATAAGTAAACAAAATATTCTCTGTTCCTGTGTGGGCTTGATGAGTGCCTGGACAGTGGCTGAACGATGCTAACGATGTCTCCACAGTGTAATGAGAACTGGCAGATTGGGATGGAGTTGGGAATGGGCATGAATGTGGTAGCACTTTGCTGGAGTAGTTCCTGTAGCTGTTTGCAAGCAGAAAGACTCCAAAGGTAGGATCTCTGAGCCTGATGGCTATGTGTATGGTCTATGCACCTTTCTGACTAATGTATTTGTTAGTTTTGAGGATTGCATATGCATTCTGATACCATTAGCATATGGTATTAAGAAATGCCTGTGAAAACTCTGGCTTTTTAGAAAGGATGAAGGGTTTGAAGATATAATAAAGGAAAGAATGAAGGGAAAGAACTGCCTCTAAAAATTTTAAAGGGTGGGAGGATATGGTAGAAATCTAGCTCAATGATGTGTATAGGCACCTACTATGTTAATAATTGCTTCAAGGCTAGTGTTGGGAAGTGGATGATGGAGTCTGAGGAGAAAAGTCAAACATTCGTGCTATGGAAGCGGCTACATTGTCTGGGGTAAATACCCGGGGTTCGTATTCTCCTGCCAAAATATTTAGGACACGAACACACACGAGGAGTTTAGGAGCAGAGGTTTAATAGGCAAAGAGAAAGAAAGAGAATGGAAAACAGCCCTGTCTCTCTAGTGAGAGAGAGGGGCTTTTGAGAGGAAAAGCCTGGCCAGCTGCAGATGCACCAGATTTTATAGTCAGGCTAGAGGAGGTGGTGTCAGTTTACATAGGGCTCACAGATTGGTTGGATCAGGTATGGCGTTTCCATAGCATGGGGAAGGCTGGCTGCCCCACCCTAATCTTATTATGCAAATAAACTTGCCCCTTGACTGGCACCATATTGTCTGTTCCTTACTGTACTCATGGCTGACAAAGAGAAGGGAAGATGGCGCCACCATTTTGAACATGATTGGCACAACTGCCAGCATCTATGTCTGCAGCTTGATTTTACAGGCTGTTCTTTGTTAGAAAGGAAAATGATTTGGGGCTGCATTTCACTGAAAGGAAATCCTTACCGAGGACTTCTGTACCCTCACTATCTGTGTGAGTAATTTCTTCTTAACTCCTGTATCACAGTGGAATTAGAGCATGATGTTGGAAAAGTAGGGGCTGCGTCCCATTTGTTCACCTTTCCATGACTAGTGTCTAGCACAGCCTCTGGTACATAGTTGGTGGTCATTACATGTTTTTAGTGTGAATGAATAAATGTACTGTGATAGTAGGTGATTGTAAATATATGAGGACTTCAGGAGAAGGAACATATTATGGGGTTGAATTAGGAAGCCTTCATGGGCTTCGAGATGGGCATAAATGGTAGTGAAAGATTTGGAATGGGAAAGAATAGTATTCTAGGCAGAGAGGCTGGAATTTGAGGGTTGAAAATAAAAAAATGTTTATAGGAGAACAAGTTCTGATTTGGTGACCAAGAAAAGAGAAGGGCCTAAAAGTAAGGTGAGATCAGTGAAGGGAGGCCATAGGGGCTCCATCTGGCCTTGATCTGATGATCAATGAGGAACCATCCAGGGCTCTTCAAGAGAGGACAGAAAGTGGAATTTTACAAATGGGTATATCTCTATCTTGTTTTATAGGATTTGTGTTTTCTAGTTATCATTTTTATCACCATCACTATCACTACCTTCAATTAATATTTAATACACAATCTATTAAAAAATAATCAAATTCTTTGTCAAATTTGATGAATTGACCACATTTCCTCTTTCTCCCAACACCAAAAATGATGTGATGGAATAAAAATGTGTAGACTCATGGCATGAATAGAATGATAGGGAAGGCTGGAGCAGGTGAGATATTTCAACACATTTCTGGAAGACAGAAAATGCATGCAAGAGTTTATACTAATGAAACACACAAAAGATGCCATAGCTCATATCGTACACGGAGGAGCCACAGTTAGGGAGGACTGAACCTGTCCTGCTGAACTACAAATATGATGGAGAGTTAAGGGCGATACATAAGGGATTAATTGAAGTCTGGATATGAAACAGAAATCTCACCCATCCATCTTGAAGGTGGTGCATGCAGTATGTATATCACTCAAGCAGAAAAAAATTACAGAATTCTCAAAATAAGTGAAATGTCTCTGGATTAAAAAAAAAATTTCTACATTCTGACATTTAATGGCTGCACAATCAATGGTCTCCAAATATGCAGAACTCCTCTCATTTATTCCTCCCCCTGCCAAGTGGGCATTTAAGGAAAATCTATACTATGGAGCAGAGACACTTAGATAAACAAATAGAAAAATATAATTTCGAGGTGAGAGATACATTGAGAAACAAAAGACAGTTTGAAACTCAGAAAGAATATTATATTAACAAAACAAATAATACAGGATACTATAAAAAGGGAACAACCTGAGAACAAGAAAGAATGCTTAGAAATAAAAGAACATTGTGAAATAAAAATATGTATAAAAGAGTTGAAAGATATGATAAAGAAAATATTTTAAAAAGGAGAATGTGTCTGTCAGGATTTTACCAGGGAAACAGAGCCAGTAGGAGATCTATAGCTATATTTATCTATCTAGAAGTTGTCTTATGTGGTGGCCAGGCGCAGTGGCTCACACCTGTAATCCCAGCACTTTGGGAGGCTGAGGCTGGCAGATCACCTGAGGTCAGGATCCTGTTCGAGACTAGCATGACCAATATGACGAAACCCCATCTCTACTAAAAATACAAAAATTAGCTGGGCGTGGTGGCATGTGCCTGTAATCTCACCTACTCGGGAGGCTGAGACAGGAGAATCACTTGCACCCTGGAGGCAGAGGTTGCAGTGAGCCAAGATCACGCCATTGCACTCCAGCCTGAACAACAAGAGCAAAACTCCGTCTCAGAAAAAGAAAGAAGGAAAGAAAGAAAGAAAGGAAGAAAGAAAGAAAGAAAGAAAGAAAGAAAGAAAGAAAGAAAGAAAGAAAGAAAGAGAAAGAAGAAAAGAAAGAAAGGAAGGAAGGAAGGAAAGGAAGGAAGGAAGGAAAGGAAGGAAGGAAGGAAGGAAGGAAGGAAGGAAGGAAGGAAGGAAGGAAGGAAGAAACTGGCTTATGTGATTGTGGGAGCTGACTAGATAAGTTGAAAATTCATAGGGCAGGCCAATAGGAAGAGTAAGCTGGAACTCTTGGGCAGGAGCTGATGCAGCCATTCACAGGTAGAATTTCTTCTTCTTCCTTAGAGAAACCAGTTCTGCTTTTAAGGCCTTTCAACTACTTGGGTCAGGTCTACCCAGATTATGAAGGATAATCTCCCTTTCTTAAAATCAACTGATTGTAGATGTTAACCACATCTACAAAATACATTCTCATCAACACCCAGATTATTGTTTGGATAATTGGGTACTGTAGTTTAGCCAAGTCAACACATGAATCTGACCATCACAAATGACAACAACAAGAAAACAGATAAGACAGAAGATCCATTCAGGAGGTCTAACCTAACTGATTAGGCGTTTCAGGAAGAGAAAATAGAGAAAATGAGAACGGAAAGGTTATCAAACTAACAATAGAGAAAGAAAAACTAATTCCAAAACTGAAATGTCAGGAGTACAAATATCCACATTGAAAAGCCTATTGAGTACCCCCGGCAGGGAATAAACATACAAATAAACAAACAGAACCATCATCTAGAGAAATCACCAAGAATAAAGTTAAATTCTTAAAAATTTTCAGAGGGTGGAGAACAATGCCATACAAAAAATGAGAATCAGATTGGTCTCAGACTTTTCATTATCAACCCTAGATACCAAAGGGTAATAGAGCACTGCCTTCTAAGGTATGAGAGATAATAATTTTCAACCTATAACTTGTTAACCAATATAACCCAATCTGTTACTCAAATCTGAGGGTAGACAATTTGAGAAATTTCAGAAAACTTGTTTTCTATATTACTTGAGGATGTACTGTGGTAAAGTAAGGGTGTAGCCAAGAAAAAGAAAGACATGGGATCCAGTAAATGGTGACATCCCAGGACAGCAGGGAAGGAAAATTCCAGGATGACAGCTGTGCCATCAGACCAGCGAGATGGAGCAGGTGGATGAAAAACTGAGAGAAGGAGCTTTCCTTAAAACACACATACCACACAACACCATGATAGGATGGAGAGTTTAATCATTTGCTTGAAAGAGAGGCATTGCAAAGGCGATGGGAAGAAACTATTATTTTTGTTCCCAACTTTTATCTTAAGTTCAGGGGTACATGTGCAGCATCACGTGCATCAGGGGTACATAGTGCAGGTAAATGTGCACTATGGTTTGCAGCACAAGTCATCTCACCACCTAGCCCAGCATCCATTAGCTATTTTTTCTGATGCTCTCCCTCCTCCCACCCCCAACCCTCCAACAGGCCTCAGTGTGTGTTGTTCCCCAACCATGTGTCCATGTATTCTCATCATTCAGCTCTCACTTATAAGTGAGAATATGCAGTATTTGGTTTTGTGTTTCTGCATTAGTTTGCTGAGAATAGTGGCTTTCAGCTCCATCCATGTCCCTGCAAAGGACATGATCTCATTCCCTTTTATGGCTGCATAGTATTCTATGATGTATATGTACCACATTTTCTTTATCCAGTCTATCATTGATGGGCATTTAAGTTGATTCCATGTCTTTGCTATTGTGAATAGTGCTGCAATGAACATACATGTGCATGTGTCTTTATAATAGAATGATTATATTCATTTGGGTATACATTCAGTAATAGGATTACTGGGCTGAATGGTATTTCTGCCTCTAGGTCTTTAAGCAATTGCCACACTGTCTTCCACAATGGTTGAACTAATTTACACTCCCACCAACATTGAAAAAGCGTTCCTTTTTCTCCACAACCTCACCAGCATCTGTTGTTTTTGGACTTTTTAATAATAGCCATTCTGACTGTTGTGAGATGGTATCTCACTGTGGTTTTGATGTGCATTTCTCTAATGATCAGTGATGTTGGGCTTTTTTTCATATGATTATTGGCAGCATGTATGCCTTCTTTTCAGAAGTGTCTGTTTATATCCTTTGCCCACTTTTTAATGAGGTTGATTTTTTCCTGTAAATTTTTTCAAGTTTCTTGTAGATGCTGGATATTAGGCCTTTGTCAGGTGCATAGTTTGCAAAAATTTTCTCCCATTCTATAGGTTGTCTGTTTACTCTGAGGATGGTTTCTTTTGTAGTGCAGAAGCTGTTTAGTTTAATTAGATCCCACTTGTCAATTTTTGCTTTTGTTGCAATTGCTTTTGGTGTCTTCATCATGAAAACTTTGCCTATGCCTATGTCCTGAATGGTACTTCCTTGGCTTTCTTCTAGTGTTTTTATAGTTTTGGGTTTTATATTTAAGTTTTTATCCATCTTGAGTTGATTTTTGTATATGATGTAAGGACGGGGTCCAGTTTAAATTTTCTGCATATGGCTAGCCGGTTCTTCCAGCACCATTTATTAAGTAGGGAATCCTTTACCTATTGCTTGTTTTTGTCAGGTTTGTACAAGATCAGATTGTTGTAGGTGTGCTGTCTTATTTCTGGGTTCTCTGTTCTGTTCTATTGGTCTATATGTCTGTTTTTGTACCAGTACCATGCTGTTTTGGTTACTGGAGCCTTGTAGTATAGTTTGACATTGGGAAGAGTGATGGCTTCAGCTTTGTTCTTTTTGCTTAGGATTGTTTTGGCTATTCAGGCTCTTTTTTGGTTTTATATAAATTTTAAAATAGTTTTTTTCTAATTATGTCAATGTCAATGGTAGTTTAATAGGAATAGCAATGAATCTATAAATTGCTTTGGGCAGTATGACCATTTTCATGATATTAATTCTTCCTATCTGTGAGCATAAAACGATTTTCCATTTGTGTGTGTCTTCTATGATTCCTTTGAGCAGTGGTTTGTAGTTCACCTTGTAGAGGTCTTTCACCTCCCTTGTTGGCAGTATTCCTAGGTATTTTATTCTTTTTGTGGCAGTTGTGAGTGGGACTGCATTCTTGATTTGGCTCTCAGCTTGCCTGTTGTTGTTTTATAGGAATGCTAGCAATTTTTGTACAATAATTTTGTATCCTGAGACTTTGCCGAAGTTGCTTATTAGCTTAAGAAGCTTTTGGGCTGAGACTATGGGGTTTTCTAGATATAGAATCATGTCATCTGCAAACAAACATAATTTGACTTCCTCTCTTCCTATTTGAGTGTCCTTTATTCTTTTCTCTTGCCTGATTGCTCTGGCCAGAAATTCCAATACTATGTTGAATAGGAGTGATGAGAGAGGGCATCCTTGTCTTGTGCTGGTTTTCAAGGGGAACACTTTCAGCTTTTGCCCATTCAGTATGATATTGGCTGTGGGTTTGTCATATATGGCTCTTATTATTTTATGATATGTTCCTGCAATACCTAGTTTATTGAGAGTTTTTAGCATGAAGGAATGTTGAATTTTATCAAAGGCCTTTTCTGAATCTATTGAGATAATTCATGTGGTTTTTGTCTTTAGTTCTGTTTATGTGATGAATCACATTTATTGATTTGCATATGTTGAACCAAACTTGCTTCCCAGAGATAAGGCCTACTTGATCATGGTGGATACGTTTTGTGATGTGCTGATGGATTTGGTTTGCCAGTACTTTGTTGAGGATATTTGCATCAATGTTTATCAAGGATATTGGCCTGAAGTTTTCTTTTTTTATTGTATCTCTGCCAGATTTTGCTATCAGGATAATGCTGGCCTCATAGAATGAGTTAGGAAGGAGTCCTTCCTTTCCAATATTTTGGAATAGTTTCAGTAGGAATGGTACACACTCCTCTGTGTACCTCTGGTAGATTCCTCTGTGAATCTGTCTGGTTCTGAGCTTTTTTTAGTTGGTAGGCTATTCATTACCGTCTCAATTTCAGAACTTGTTATTGGTCTATTCAGGGATTCAGTTTCTTCCTGGTTCAGTCTTGGGAGGGTGTATGTGTCCAGGAATTTATCCATTTCTTCTAGAGTTTCTAGTTTATGTGCATAGAGGTGTTTATAGTATTCTCTGATGGTTGTTTGTATTTCTGTAAGGTCAGTGATGATATCCCCCTTATTTCTGATTGTGTTTATTTGAATCTCCTCTCTTTACTTCTTTGTTAGTATAGCTAATGGTCTATCTATTTTATTAATTTTTTCAAAAAAAAACAGCTCCTGGATTTGTTGGTTTTTTGAAGTTTTTTTTTTTTTTTGGTTTCTCCTCTCTTTCAGTTTGGTTCTCATGTTGGTTATTTCCTGTCTTCTGCTAGCTTTGGGGTTTGTTTGCTCATGGTTCTCTAGTTCTTTTAGTTGTAATGTTAGGTTGTTAACTTGAACTCTTTCTAGCTTTTTGATGTGGGCATTTAGTGCTATAAATTTCCATTTTAACACTGCTTTAGCTGCATTGCAGAGATTCTGGTACATGGTGTCTTTGTTCTCATTAATTTCAAAGAAATTCTTGATTTCTGCCTTAATTTTATCATTTACTCAAGAGTCATTCAGGAGCAGGTTGTTCAATTTCTATATAGTTGTGTGTTTCTGAGTGAATTTCTTAGTCTTGAGTTCTAATTTGATTGCACTGTGGTCTGAGAGACTGTTTGTTAGGATTTCAGTTATTTTGCATTTGCTGAGGAGTGTCTTGTTTCCAATTATGTGATCAATTTTAGAGTGAGTGCCATGCGGCAATAAGAAGAATGTATATTCTGTTGGTTTTTGGTGGAGAGTTCTGTAGATATTTATCAGGTCCACTTGATCCAGAGGTGAGTTCGGGTCCTGAATATTTTTGTTAATTTTCTGTCTTGATTATCTGTCTGATATTGTCAGTGGGGTGTTAATGTCTTCTACTATTATTGTGTGTGAGAGTAAGTCTCTTTGAAGGTCTCTAAGAACTTGCTTTATGAATCTGGGTGCTCCTGTATTAGGTACATATATATTTAGGATAGTTCACTCTTCTTGTCAAATTGAACCCTTTACCATTATGTAATGCCCTTCTTTGCCTTTTAAAATATTTGTTGGTTTATTAATGTCTGTTTTGTCAGAAACTAGGATTGCAGCCCTTGCTTTTCTCTGTTTTCCATTGCTTGGTAATTTTTTCTCCATCTGTTTATTTTGAGCCTATGTGTGTCTTTGCATGTGAGATGGGTCTCTTGAAGACAGCATACTGATGTGTCTTGGTTATTTATCCAGCTTGCTATTCTGTGTTTTTTAATTGGGGCATTTAGCCCATTTATATTTAAGGTTAGTATTGTTATGTGTGGATTTGATCCTGTCATCATGATGCTAGCTGGTTATTTTGCAGACTTGTTTATGTGGTTGCTTCATAGTGTCACTGGTCTGTGCACTTCAGTGAGTTTTTGTAGTGGCTTATAATGGTTTTACCTTTCCATATTTAGTGCTTCCTTCAGGAGCACTTGCAAGGCAGCTCTGGTGGTTAAAAGTTCCCTCAGCATTTGCTTATCTGAAACGGAACTTATTCATCCTTTGCTTATGAAGCTTAGTTTGGCCAGATATGAAATTCTGGGTTGGGAATTCTTTTCTTTAGGAATGTTAAATATTGGCCCCTCAGTCTCTTCTGGCTCATAGGGTTTCCCTGAGAGGTCTGCTGTTAGTCTGATGGGCTTCCATTTGTAGGTAACCTGGCCCTTCTCTCTGGCTTCCCTTAACATTTTTTTTCATTTCGACCTTGGAGAATCTGATGATTATCTGTCTTGGAGATGATATTCTTGTGGAATATCTTACTGGGGTTCTCTATATTTCCTGAATTTGAATGTTGACCTGTCTTGCTAGGTTGGGGAAATTCTCCTGGATGATATACTGAAGTATGTTTTCCAACTTGGTTCTATTCTCTCTGTCTCTTTCAGGTACCCCAATTAGTCATAGATTAATTCTCTTGATATAATCCCACATTTCTCAGAGGTTTTGTTCATTCCTTTTCATTTTTTTTTAAATTATACTTTAAGTTCTGGGATACATGTGCAGAATGTGCAGGTTTGTTATATAGGTATACACATGGCATGGCGGTTTGCTGCACCCATCAACCCATCAACTACATTAAGTATTTCTCTAATGCTATCCCTCCCCTAGCTCCCCATCCCCTGACAGGCCCCAGTGTGTGATGTTCCCCTCCCTGTGTCCATGTGTTCTCATTGTTCAACTCCCACTTATGAGTGAGAACATGCAGGGTTTGGTTTTCTGTTCCTGTGTTAGTTTGCTGAGAATGATGATTTCTAGCTTCATCCGTGTCCCTGCAAAGGACATGAATTCATCCTTTTTATGGCTGCATAGTATTCCACGATGTGTATGTGCCACATTTTCTTTTTTCTCTATTCTTATCTGCCTGTCTTAATTCAGAAAGCCAGTCTTCAAGCTCTGAGATTCCTTCCTCTGCTTGGCCTATTCTGTTATTAATACTTGTGCTTGCATTGTGAAGTTCTTGCAGTGTGTTTTTCAGCTCTAACAGGTCAGTTATGTTCTTCTCTAAACTGGCTATTTTGGCTGTCAGCTCCTGTAATGTTTTACCATGATTCTTTGCTTTTTTGCATTGGGTTACAACATGTTCCTTTATGTCAGCGAAGTTTGTTATTATCTATGTTCTGAAGCCTACTTCTGTCATTTCACCCATCTCAGCCACAGCCCAGTTCTGAGTCCTTGCTGGAGTGGTGTTGAAATCATTTGGAGGAAAGGGGGCACTCTGGCTTTTTAGTTTTCAACATTTTTGTGTTGATTCTTTCTAATCTTTGAGGGCTCATCTGCTTGTGATATTTGAGGTTGCTGAGCTTTGGATGGGTTTTTTGTGTGTTTTGTTGTTGTTGTTTTCTGTTGGTTTGTTTGTTTTTCTTTTAACAGTCTGGCTACTCTCCCATAGGGCTGCCACAGTTTTCTGGGGGTCTGTCTGGTCCAGACCCTAGTTGCCTTGGTTCTTCCCATACCTGGAGGTATCACCAGTGAAGGCTGCAAAACAGCAAAGATGGTAGCCTGCCTCTTCCTCTGGAAGCTCCGTCCTGGGAGTTACTGACTTATTTCTGGCCCAAACATGCCTGTAGGAGATGGCTGGGGACCCTGGTTGGGAGGTCTCAACCTGTCAGGAGGAGTGGTATCAGGGACCTGCTTAAAGAAGCATTTAGGCTGCATTTTGGTAGAGCAACTGTGTTGTGTTGGAGATCTCTTCAGACCCTGATCAGTTTGGGTTCTCCAAGGCCCACAGGCTGGACCAGCTGAGAAGCCCGAATGGCCAAGGTGACAGCCTGCCCCACCCCTCAGGCACTCCATCCCAGAAAGAAATTAGAGCTCTGTTGGGCTGGTAGAGCACAGATAGAGATGGCTAGAGGCCCTGGCTGGGAAGACCCACCCTGTGAAGAGGAGTGGATCGGGGTCCCACTTAAAGAAGCAGTCTGGCCACAGCTCAACAAAACAACTGTGTCATGGTTGGGAACCAATTTTGCCCCTGTTGACTTGGACTGTCCAAAGCCTGCAGGCCAGAACCACTGAGTCACCCAACCAACCTGGGTGGTGGCCCTTCCCTCCCCTAGGCACTCCATCCCTGGGTGAGATCAGAGATCTGTCCATAATATGTGCAGGTGGGCAGGCGTGGCTAGAGGTCCTGGCTGCGAGGTCCTGCCCAGTGAGGAGGAATGGATTGGGGCCCTGCTTAGAGAAGCAGTCTGGCCACAATATGGCAAAGCCACTGTGGGGCACTGCTGGGGGGATCCTTCCTCGACTGGATTATTTGGAGTCTCCGAAGCCCACAGACACAAATGACTGAGTCAACCACACAGCAGAGATGGCACCCACCCCTCCCCTTGGAGGCTCCATCCTGTTTCAGGCAGGCTCCGCCCTGTTGCCAGTGGCTGGCTGGAATGCCAAGCCAGTGAGTCTTATTTTGTGAGATGCTGTGGAAGTGGGGTCCACAGAATGATACTGCTTGAGTTCCTGGATTCTGCCCCCTTCCTAGGGGTATGTGTGGACCTTCTGCCTTGCCTGAGTTGCAGACACGTTTGTTGGGGATCCTGGAGCCAGATTATGCAAAGCTTCTGGGCCTATGCATGCCTGAGAAGGTGCTCTGCCAACTTCACATAGCTCTGTGTGTCAGACCTAAGGTCCTGGTGGCAGGGGATCATGAGGGGATCTCCTGATCCATGATTTGCAAAGATCCGTGGGAGAAGCATAGTTTCCCATGAGTGCAAAATCATTCACCGCTTCCCTTGACTGGGGTTCCCTTGGCTCTGTCATTCCTGAGTGGGCCATCGCCCCACCCTGCTTTTCTTTTTCCTCTGTGGGTCGAGTTATTTTCCTGATCAGTCCCAATGTGACTACCTGGATATTTTAGATGAGGGTGCTGTATTCACTTGCCCCTTTCATTCCTCTCTGTGAGTGCTGCAGACCTCAGCTGCTTCTAATTGGCCATCTTGGCCCCTCTGAACTCTCTTTAAATTATACCCTGACTCTTTTGATTATTTTAGGTTGACATTTGATGACCTGCAGATGGGACCTGAAGCAAGCTTCCTACAATCCTCACTGCTTTGCTGACATTTGGAACTTTAGTACAGGATGAGTGGCTTTCACTTATTTGACTTCATCAGAGCTGAAGAGGGTCTCTGGCATGGCTTCTCTCAGGTTTTGAATCTCCCTGGTTTTGGCTGAGATTCATACTTTATTCAGGCATTCTGATTCCACACTCAACAAAACTGGAATTGAAGCTTCACTTTTAAAAGTGGGAGTTTCATTTGTTATTTCTTTAGAGATTCTGCTGTTTGCTGATACTGTTAGTATAATTTGGTTTTGTTTTGAAAGGTCAAAAGTATACGTGCAACAACATGGATGAACGTTGAAAACATTATGCTAAGTGAAGGAAGCCACTCACCAAGGACCACATACTGTATGTTTCCATTTATATGAAATCTCCAGAATAGGCAAATTCCTAGAGACAAAAGTCACATTAGTAGTTGCCGGGGCTGGAGGTGGGTGGGTGGGGGAATGGGGAATGATAACTAAGGGGTAAAGGATTTCTTGTCAGGTAATGAGAATATTCTAAAGCTGATTGCGGTGACTGATGTACAACTATATGAATACACTATAAGCCATTGGATTGTAAACTTTAAACGGGTGAATTGTATGGCATGGTATGTCAGTTAAATTTCAATAAAGCTGTTTAAAAAACACTCATGAAGACTAACTGGAAGCTCCTCAAGTGAAAAACATGCTATTATCTTGTCAGCCTAAGGCAATTTTTACAAAAGGCTCTCCAGACTATCTTCTAGTTCTCTAACCTAGATGGGCTACTTGAGTTTGTATCAACTACTTTCCTTTGGCTGCTCACAGCAGTTCCGCCCCTTGGCTGAACTCCCATCTCAGACTTAGCCCTTGCCCTTCAGTCTGTCATTAGTGCATTGAACCTTTTCCCCTATGGCTCACACTGGTTCCACGGTCCTTACCCTCATCTCCACCAGTCCCAATACTGCTCTCCCTCCTGCCTCAGTCTGCTGGGCAAATTTCTAGCACATCATCAAATCAGCCTCCCTTGAACCCTTGCAGATATCCCCCTTACAAAATATCATCTAGTGCTCTCAACAGAGACAAGGCTAGGAGACCAGTGGTCAGAGATGCTGGAGAGAGGGGTTTGAGCACTGGGAGGAAGATTGAATTAGAATGACCAATGCTTCTAAAAATTTAATGTGAACACAAATCAACTGAATCAACTGGGGGTCTTGTTAAAATGCCCATGCTGATTCGGCAGCTCTGAGGCCTTAGGTTGTGCATGCCTAATAAGCTCTCAGGTGATGCTCTGCTGGTCCTGAGACCCCACTTTGAGTATTAAGGAGACAGACCATCTCTGAGGTCTATTTTAGCTCTTACATTCCATCTTATACTTGACCAAGTTGATCACAGGAGACCCACCTACATCCCATCTGACGCTGCTGTTGCAGCTCATGAACAGCTCCTGCAGAGTTCTCTCTGGAGGCTCTGGAAGTGCAAGTTACAATGTAACAGAATGGAAAACGGCTTTTCTCTTAAGCAGGATAATATTGCTAGCATTAAGAGTCATATCAACCAAATATGGAATATAAAATATGATCAAAGTACCATCAAATCATTTTTGTCTCACCAAAGTTGATTAATTTCTGAGGAATGCTTTTATTTAACTTACATTTAAGTCTCATTTGTTAAAGAATGGTATATAAAACCATTTTTAGAAGTTGGCAAACTGTGCCAGGAGTAAGAGAAAAAGAGAACTCAAAAGTGTTACGATAATTTTTATTTCAACGATTGATTCACAACTCTAGAAAATCAAAAGGGTAAAATCCATAATTTTTAGATTACACTAATTATTACCATCACCATGTTATTAATTTTATTATTATTTTAAATTAGAATAATTCATGAAAATTGTTTTCAAAATGCATTTGTACAGAAACATGTGTAATAATAAACAGTAGTCCCTGATATCACCCCTTCCCAGTTGCATCTATTTTTAAATGATTTTGCCCCCTTTTTCTTTGTAGCTACTTCCACATTCCTAAATACAATATATTTTTCTACTGTTTCTTGATGTATCAGTTGTACACATGATATATTGACTTCCTCTATAATAAATGAGAATTTTGCTTCTGTATTTCTTCTCTCCTCATCTTACTAACAAATTCATATGCCTATTTCAGTTCCACTGTTAGTTACCTCTGTAGATCTAAGTAATACATTTTAATTTTATCAACTAGATACAAAGTACAGAATCCTTAACTCCTCACTTTTTAATGAGAATCTTAAGGATGCTACCTTTTCTTAACTCTTCTCTCACATGTCCACCTCCTAACTTTTGCCCCCATACACTTGCATTTCTATTTGAAGGTTCATAACAACCATGAACATATAATTCAAGTAAGTAAATCCTCTCCTTTTCTGTAAGTTAATTCTACAAGTGGAAAATCAAAAATGTTTACATCATTGTAGCTATGTAAATATTGTTCACTGTCAGACAAAGTAGTGTTACTATGACATTTCATTTCTCCAAAGCTATTTCTTAACTTTTCTTATTGTCTTTTTATTGCAGTAATAGAATAGGCCCTCAACTTGAGATATTCTTACTCAAAAAGTACTTACTTTTTTAGTTAAAAGCCTCAGAAAATTCCCAGATCTTCTTTTCTTACCTTAACATAGTGTCTTAATCCATTTGCTACTGCTATAACAGAATACTACAGACTGGGTAATTTATAATGAACAGAAATTTATTAGCTTATGGTTCTGGAGGTTGCGATGCCCAAGATCAAGGAGCCAGCATCTGGCGAGGGTCTTCTTGCTGTGTCATCCCATGGCAGAAGGCAAGAGGAAGAGAGAGAGCAAGAGGTTGAATTTACAACCTGAAGTCCTTTTATAATCAGCATGAATCTATTCCTGAAGGTAGAACCCTCATGACTAATTAGGCCCCACCTCCCAACAGTGTTGTATTGGGGAATAAGTTTTCAACACATCCTTTTTGGGGGACATAGTCAAACCATAGCATATGGGTTTTGGACCTGTTTGAATTTTGTTATGTCCCCAACTCATCCTTTTTTTCTAGTTCTTAGTGAAGTTTGAGCTCAGATTGCTCCAGGACACAGGATAAGAAGAAGCATCTGGCTCTTCAAAGCTTGCTCTGGAGTAAAAGACCTACAAATCTTAAATGATTATCTGTGTGCTGGAAGGTCAAGACTCCTTTCCCTTGCATCAGTATTTTTTAAACTGCAGCTCACTACCCAATAGTGGGACATGAACTGAATTTGCTGGGTCACAACCAACATTTTGAAAAAGTGAAATAGAATGAACAGACTTCATCATCCATAGTAAGGTTTAAGTGTTTTTAAAATAATATGTATATGTATATATTAGTATGTGTGTTCTGATTGCATGTGAAATATATATTTAACTGTTGGTTGCTATTAAAAAGGCTTGAACAATCCTGTCTTGCATGCTGAATGGGTCTCTTTTGGGCCTGATTTCTGGTTTTAAAGTTGCCCTTTTTGATCAGTGTATAACACTTCTTGGTACTGAGGAGATGGGACCTCACTGTGTCTAACAGAGCCTCAGGCTCTACTTCTTTTTTTCTGAAATTCATCTTCCCATGTTAATTACTGAGACCTGTTGTGGCTCAAGTTCCCTGTGGGTTTCTGAACCTCATCTTCACTGGGACTCCTGGTGGGAAATGGCTGGTCTCCCTTTGTGCCTTGCCTGGTGTATTGAAAACCAGAATAGATCATTTATTGATCAAATTATCTTCAAAGTAGTCATGATATAAAATGAATAATACTGGCCAGAAAAGAATGTAGACAGTGAACATTTTCTTGAACTTCAAATATATTATGCCAGTTTTAAAAAGTAATAAGAATAAATATTACAGTACAAAAAGGGACAAAATGTATAGATGAATACTTTTTAATTACATGACTGTCATGTTGGGGAAAAATGGTGACATGGCCACGGCACACATAAAGAAAAATGTCTGAAAGCATTAATACCACCAGGTTCACAGAACAATTTTGTTCATGAAATAGCAGAATTGAAGTAACTCGGTTTCTGTTTCTCTGTATTTATAATCATTTTGCTATCACTTCTTAGTTTGAATCTACTGTTTAAATGCAGAGATGTGCTGTATTACAGGGGATGGAGCAAGGAACTTCATCCAAAGTGAGCTCCATTCACTTAGAACTGTTATCTTCTCTAGCAATGGGCCCATGTAGCTGAGACTACATGTGTCAGGATGTCTCTATAACTGGGAGTTCTCTGAATTCATTTCCTTGTAAAATACCATGTTGATTGAAGAATAAGCAATACAAAATGCTGTTTTGAAGTTTATGTATATGTAACAGTTTTAAAGCTTAAAAGCAATCACGAAAACAAGAGAATTTTTTTTTTTTTTTTTTTGCGGGGGGAGTATTTTCTTGCTGATTTATTTAGAATTGCTAGTACATGGTGAAAATCAAGCAGATGGACTAGCTGGTGTTATTATTGTTTTAAAATAATCTATAAACAATGTAGTCTCTTATTGTCTGTACCTGGGATTGACTGTTCCCACTGCCTTACCTGTGGTACCCCAAACTCCAGGAAGAAAAGCCACTCCCACTCTTTTATTAGTTCTTTTGATAATGTGTTTAGAGTCCTCAAATAGAATTAGGGAAATGAACCTGTGAAACGCAACACAATGATTCTTGCTCACAGCTAGCTCCTCATTTTCTTTTGGTAGGCTTTAAGCCAGGGAACAGGTTTATGGACTTTTCTTGGCTCTAAGTTTCTACTCCCAGCAAGCGTGTATGTGTGTGTGTGTGGTGGTGGGCAGGGGATGGATGGTAAGCGTTGGGTGGAATGAGGAAAACACACGGAAGCAAATTTGGCTACAGAAGGTTCATAGGATGCACATACATGCCAAGTGAAAGGAAATCCCTGGACATCCATAATACTTCTAAGATCAAGTCTAATCAAAATCTTGGGTTATATTTGCCAATATACTTGCAAGTTTACATGGGTACTGCCTCTTTGCTTCTCACCGCCATCCTCAGTTGTTTTTCTCTCAGTTACAAACACCAACTCAAACTTTCCTCAGATTCTATAAGCAGAGTCACAGGTTGTTTGGTTAACCTTTGCTTTTATTTTTCTTCACTTTTCAAACAGGAGAACATCTGTGACTGACTTAATCTGCCTCCAGCGTTATAAATGTGCCTTTGTTGCTTACTTTTTTACTTGTTTCAATGGCAAGGGTCCTAGCTTTGTACACATGTAGGTTCCCAACTTAAGTCCACCCAGCCTAGCCTAACTTTCAGAGCTCAATGGGGGGAGGGGATTTCTTCCAGAGGGAACAAGTTACTTAAAATGGAGGAACAGCTTAGTGCTAATGAAATTGTTTCAAACAGGAACTCTCTGGCTTCAAACTGTCTTCCTGTCTTATTTTGAGCTCATCATTCTCTTGCCTGAATTCCATATGAGAACTAGCCTGGGCTTCTTGATTTCTCCTCTTGTTTTATACATACTTGTATCCTGCCATGTATCCCCGGGCTTCCTTCTGGCCTTAGGGCCAGCTTGGCCTCTGCTTCCCCTTCAGATTCAGCTAGTGGAGAAGGTACTCTCATCTTTCAAGGTTTAGTTTCAAGGCTGCGCCTTCAATGCAGTCTGTTATCCCAGCCAAATGCCCTTTGTCCTTTCTCTACAGCCCTAAGTCCCTTACTCTGTTATTGCCCAAGTGACTTGCACAGCTTGCTGCTCTGCACTGTAGATATCCACTTGCGGGGTCGGGGGAGGCATCTTATGCAGCCAATGGACTATAAACCATTTGAAGGTAGAGCCTAACTTATTGAACAATTTTTTTTCTCACTATACAATGTATCATATATCCTTGAACAAAATGTATGCACCATAAATTTGCTTAGTGGATAAAAAGTTTAAAAATGGAATGAGAGTCACAAAATGTATCCCTGCATTAATTGAGTCTGTGTGTATATGAAGCTATTATTTAAACATTTTCCATGATTCTGTTAATACAAAGCAATGCTTTTCAAAACAACAAGACAAAGACAAATATTCCAATAGATAATGTGGGAAATAATGTGATCATTTAAAAAATATGTTGATTAGATATTTGTGTTTCTTCTTTTGTAAAATGTGTATTGACTATCAATAGCAATCAAGGAAATACAAATCAAAACGACAGAAAGAAAGCCACTTTTTGGCCTAACTGAGCGGCAAAGGTCTTTTAAAACAGTGTAATACTTAGTGTTTGGAAAAGTTCCATGTGGGATCTGATATGCTGCTGGGAGATTGTAAGGTTTGAGAACCTTTCTGAATAGCAGTTTGCATCAAGAGACTTAAAATGTGCATATTCTACAACCATTTTAGAAAACTGTTTGACAGAATATACTGAGAATAAAAATATGCCATCTCAATAAACTAGTATTTCCACTCCTAAGTATTAATACATATCCAACAGAAGTTTGTGTGTATGTGTCCCATGGTGAGCAGGTCTATGCATAGCTACCCTGAAAAGTCTGAGGAAGTTGAGGGGCTGAAGAAAGAGGCTGACATATGGTACAAAACGACTGGTACAAAAACAAACACATAGAGCAATGAAACAGAATAGAGAGCCCAGAAATCAGGCTGCATACCTACAACCGTCTGATCTTTGACAAAGCAGACAAAAAACAAGCAATGGGGAAAGGATTCCCTATTCAATAAATGGTGCTGGGATAACTGGCTAGCCATATGCAGAAGACTGAAACTAGACCCCTTCCTTATACCATGTACAAAAATCAACTCAAGATGGATTAAAGACTTAAATGTAAAACCCAAAACTATAAAAACCCTGAAAGACAACCTAGACAAAACCATTCTGGACATTGGGCAAAGATTTCATGACAAAGCTGCCAAAAGCAATTGCAACAAAAGCAAAATTTGACAAATGAGATCCAATTAAACTAAAGAGCTTATGCACAGCAAAATAAACTATAAACAAAGTAAACACACAACCCACAGAATGGGAGAAAATATTTGCAAACTATGCATCTGACAAAGGTCTAATATCCAGCATCTATAAGGAGCTTAAACAGATTTATAAGCCAAACAAACAACCCCATTAAAAAGTGGGCAAAGGACATGAACGGACACTTTTCAAAAGAAGACATACATGCGGCCAACAAGTGTATGAAAAAAAGCTCAACATCACTGATCATTAGAGAAATTCAAATCAAAACCACAATAAGATACCATCTCACACCAGTCAGAATGGCCATCATTAAAAAGTAAAAAAAGTAAAATAAAAGAGATGCTGCTGAGGTTTTGGAGAAAAAGGAATGCTTATACACTGTTGTGGGGGGTGTAAATTAGTTCAACCATTGTGCAAAGCAGTGTGGCTATTCCTCAAAGAGCTAAAACCAGAACTACTATTCAACCCAGCAATCTTATCACTGGGTATGTACACAAAGGAATATAAATTGTTCTGTTATAAAGACACATGCGTGTGTATGTTTGTTGCAGCACCATTCACAATAGCAAAGACATGGAGACAACCTAAATGACCATCAATAGTAGACTGGAATAAAGAGAATGTAGTATATATACACCACGGAATACTATGCAGCCATTAAGAAGAACCAGATTATATCCTTTGCAGCAACATGGATGGAGCTGGAGGCCATTATCCTTAGCAAACTAATGCCAGAATAGAAAAGCAAATACTGTATGTTCTCGCTTACAAGTGGAAACTAAATTATGAAAACACATAAACACATAGAGGGAAACTACAGACACTGGGGCCTCTCTGGGGGCATAGGGTGGAAGGAGAGAGAGGATCAGGAAAAATAACTAATAAATACTTGGCCTAATACCTGGGCGACAAAATAATCTTTACAACAAACCCCCGTGACGTGAGTTTACCTGTATAACAAATCTGCATATGTATCTCTGAACTTAAAAGTTAAAAAAAGAGACTGATATATTCTGTTTCTCAGAAGGAAATATTTAATAGAGACTTAACGAACAGAAACCATGTCTGTCTCAGGCAGTGGTGAGACAAGATGGTGGATCCCCACACCATTATCCATCAGACCCTGTGCTCCATAGGGAAAGGGCATATGTGACTCAGAGGAATGTGTAGGACAATTGCCAAGCGCAAGACACATGGTAAGTATGATAACATCAAGGTTGTTTTAACCTAAGGGCAGGATTTATGGTAAGTACATGCTCTTATACAAGAAACAATAAACTGGAAATCTTGGAGGGCTTCCCGGTACTGAAGTTAATCAGAGGTCAGCATGGTGGATTAGCATCCAAGATGGAGTTGCTTTAGCCTCTGCAATATGTTTACCAAAAGACATGTTTTAGAACGTTCATAGCAGAACTATTCTTAATAGCTCCAAATTGAAAAGTATTCAAATCCTCCTCAACAGTAGAATGGATAAGTAAGCATGGCATGTGCACACCATGGAATACCATCCAGCAATGAGAAAGAACAAACTATCGCTACACTCAACTACATGGATGAATTGCACAAATGACATAGTGTTGAGTGAAAGGGCCAGATTAAAACAAGAGTATATACCAGAAAATGATTCTATTTATATGGCATTTAAACAGCAGTAAAATTAATTTATTGTGTGAAAGGTCAATATAGTGGTTACCTTTGGGGTATTTAGGAACTGACAGGGGTCTTCTGGGGTGATAGAAATATTTCTTGATCTGGATTTTGGGTATTTTCCGTGGTTGTATTCCCTTGATAAAAATTCTAGCAATGCCCTTACGGTTTGTGTATTTTTCTGTGTGTATTTTATACTTCAGAAGAAATTATCTAAAGCCTGCATGTTCTTTCACCCAGTAATTTCACAACTAGCACTTTATCCTGGTGAAATAATTATACATGTCCACAAAGAATTTATATGCAAGTGTTTTCATTTCAAAGTGCTGCTTTCAACAGTGAGAAACCGGAAATAATAGAAGCATCAAACAATAGTGAAGTGGTCAAATATAAAATGGTAGGATATTTACAGCTCTGAAAAGTCATGTTTATGATGACTACATAATGACAAAGAAAATTATGATTTTATGTAAAGTAAAAAAAAGCAGGACTTTAAACTGTGTACAGAGAATGATCACAATTTCATAGTGAAATGTATTCATGTTCAATGCCAACACTGGTTATTTTGAAGCGATAGGTTTTCAGATGGTTTTATTTTCTTCGTTATACTTTAATTTATATTCAAAATTATATGCAATGATTACATAATTACATTTTAATCATAAAATGTATTTAAAATTTTTATGAAATCATGACCCAAAGAAGATTCTGTCATCCTCAGTCCATGCTTTTGCAAAGCTTATGAAAACAGTAAAGTCAAACAGGCAAACTCTTTTCTTGTTGGCTGGGCATGCAAGCCAGTTTTCTCTCTCCAGGCCTACTGACTCCCATAGAAGTATCCGAAGCACACGAAAAATCTCACAAATCCTAGAGGGAGATAAAAGTGAATTAACCTCATTTCTGAAAGGCAAATGTGGACTCATGGTAGAAGATAGGGACTGTAGGAGGCAGGAGGCCAGATGAGAGGAATCCATTATTTTTCCATTTCCTAGGCTTATAGTGCAGTTACTATCCATGGGCTAAGAGAGAGCACTACTGTAAACAGCTACCGACTATTCTCTCTCATCCGCACAGCTCCAAAGTTGGATGGTTACAGTGGAGGACAAACCCTGGGAAATCCTTTTCTATGTATGAGGCTGCATAACAAACTACCTTGTGCGTGCCTTGGGAGAGATGGCTTGATTCAGCTTACATTCTTGATGCCAATCAGAGGCAAAGGAGGGTGGCATTTCTTAGACCAGGGCACCAGAACCTCATTAACTGATGCATATAATAAGCAAAATATTCTACTTTTTTTTTCTTTTTTTTTTTATTATACTTTAAGTTTTAGGGTACATGTGCACATTGTGCAGGTTAGTTACATATGTATACATGTGCCATGCTGGTGCACTGCACCCACTAACTCGTCATCTAGCATTAGGTATATCTCCCAATGCTATCCCTCCCCACTCCCCCCACCCCACAACAGTCCCCAGAGTGTAATATTCCCCTTCCTGTGTCCATGTGATCTCACTGTTCAATTCCCACCTATGAGTGAGAATATGCAGTGTTTGGTTTTTTGTTCTTGCGATAGTTTACTGAGAATGATGTTTTCCAATTTCATCCACGTCCCTACAAAGGACATGAACTCATCATTTTTTATGGCTGCATAGTATTCCATGGTGTATATGTGCCACATTTTCTTAATCCAGTCTATCATTGTTGGACATTTGGGTTGGTTCCAAGTCTTTGCTATTGTGAATAATGCCGCAATAAACATACATGTGCAGGTGTCTTTATAGCAGCATGATTTATAGTCCTTTGGGTATATACCCAGCAATGGGATGGCTGGGTCAAATGGTATTTCTAGTTCTAGATCCCTGAGGAATCACCACACTGACTTCCACAATGGTTGAACTAGTTTAAAGTCCCACCAACAGTGTAAAAGTGTTCCTATTTCTCCACATCCTCTCCAGCACCTGTTGTTTCCTGACTTTTTAATGATTGCCATTCTAACTGGAGTGAGATGGCATCTTATTGTGGTTTTGATTTGCATTTCTCTGATGGCCAGTGATGATGAGCATTTTTTCATGTGTTTTTTGGCTGCATAAATGTCTTCTTTTGAGAAGTGTCTGTTCATGTCCTTTGCCCACTTTTTGATGGGGTTATTTGTTTTTCTCTTGTAAATTTGTTTGAGTTCATTGTAGATTCTGGATATTAGCCCTTTGTCAGATGAGTAGGTTGCGAAATTTTCTCCCATTTTGTAGGTTGCCTGTTCGCTCTGATGGTAGTTTCTTTTGCTGTGCAGAAGCTCTTTAGTTTAGTTAGATCCCATTTGTCAATTTTGGCTTTTGTTGCCATTGCTTTTGGTGTTTTAGACATGAAGTCCTTGCCCATGCCTATGTCCTGAATGGTAATGCCTAGGTTTTCTTCTAGGGTTTTTATGGTTTTAGGTCTAACGTTTAAGTCTTTAATCCATCTTGAATTGATTTTTGTATAAGGTGTAAGGAAGGGATCCAGTTTCAGCTTTCTACATATGGCTAGCCAATTTTCCCAGCACCATTTATTAAATAGGGAATCCTTTCCCCATTGCTTGTTTTTCTCAGGTTTGTCAAAGATCAGATAGTTGTAGATATGCGGTGTTATTTCTGAGGGCTCTGTTCTGTTCCATTGATCTATATCTCTGTTTTGGTACCAGTACCATGCTGTTTTGGTTACTGTAGCCTTGTAGTATAGTTTGAAGTCAGGTAGTGTGATGCCTCCAGCTTTGTTCTTTTGGCTCAGGATTGACTTGGCGATGCGGGCTCTTTTTTGGTTCCATATGAACTTTAAAGTAGTTTTTTCCAATTCTGTGAAGAAAGTCATTGGTAGCTTGATGGGGATGGCATTGAATCTGTAAATTACCTTGGGCAGTATGGCCATGTTCACGATATTGATTCTTCCTACCCATGAGCATGGAATGTTCTTCCATTTGTTTGTATCCTCTTTTATTTCCTTGAGCAGTGGTTTGTAATTCTCCTTGAAGAGGTCCTTCACATCCCTTGTAAGTTGGATTCCTAGGTATTTTATTCTCTTTGAAGCAATTGTGAATGGGAGTTCACTCATGATTTGGCTCTCTGTTTGTTTGTTGTTGGTGTATAAGAATGCTTGTGATTTTTGTACATTGATTTTGTATCCTGAGACTTTGCTGAAGTTGCTTATCAGCTTAAGGAGATTTTGGGCTGAGACAATGAGGTTTTCTAGATATGCAATCATGTCGTCTGCAAACAGGGACAATTTGACTTCCTCTTTTCCTAATTGAATACCCTTTATTTCCTTCTCCTGCCTAATTGCCCTGGCCAGAACTTCCAACACTATGTTGAATAGGAGTGGTGAGAGAGGGCATCTCTGTCTTGTGCCAGTTTTCAAAGGGAATGCTTCCAGTTTTTGCCCATTCAGTATGATATTGGCTGTGGGTTTGTCATAGATAGCTCTTATTATTTTGAAATACGTCCCATCAATACCTAATTTATTGAGAGTTTTTAGCATGAAGGGTTGTTGAATTTTGTCAAAGGCTTTTTCTGCATCTATTGAGATAATCATGTGGTTTTTGTCTTTGGCTGTGTTTATATGCTCGATTACATTTATTGATTTGCATATATTGAACCAGGCTTGCATCCCAGGGTTGAAGCCCACTTGATCATGGTGGATAAACTTTTTGATGTGCTGCTGGATTCGTTTTGCCACTATTTTATTGAGGATTTTTGCATCAATGTTCATCAAGGATATTGGTCTAAAATTCGCTTTTTTGGTTGTGTCTCTGCCTGGCTTTGGTATCAGAATGATGCTGGCCTCATAAAATGAGTTAGGGAGGATTCCCTCTTTTTCTATTGATTGGAATAGTTTCAGAAGGAATGGTACCAGTTCCTCCTTGTACCTCTGGTAGAATTCAGCTGTGAATCCATCTGGTCCTGGACTCTTTTTGGTTGGTAAGATATTGATTGTTGCCACAATTTCAGATCCTGTTATTGGTCTATTCAGAGATTCAACTTCTTCCTGGTTTAGTCTTGGGAGAGTGTATGTGTCGAGGAATTTATCCATTTCTTCTAGATTTTCTAGTTTATTTGCGTAGAGGTGTTTGTAGTATTCTCTGATGGTAGTTTGTATTTCTGTGGGATCAGTGGTGATACCCCCTTTATCATTTTTTATTGCGTCTATTAGATTCTTCTCTCTTTTTTTCTTTATTAGTCTTGCTAGTGGTCTATCAATTTTGTTGATCTTTTCAAAAAACCAGCTCCTGGATTCATTAATTTTTTGAAGGGTTTTTTGTGTCTCTATTTCCTTCAGTTCTGCTCTGATCTTAGTTATTTCTTGCCTTCTGCTAGCTTTTGAATGTGTTTGCTCTTGCTTTTCTAGTTCTTTTAATTGTGATGTTAGGGTGTCAATTTTGGATCTTTCCTGCTTTCTCTTGTGGGCATTTAGTGCTATAAATTTCCCTCTACACACTGCTTTGAATGTGTCCCAGAGATTCTAGTATGTTGTGTCTTTGTTCTCATTGGTTTCAAAGAACATCTTTATTTCTGCCTTCATTTTGTTATGTACCCAGTAGTCATTCAGGAGCAGGTTGTTCAGTTTCCATGTAGTTGAGCGGTTTTGAGTGAGATTCTTAATCCTGAGTTCTAGTTTGATTGCACTGTGGTCTGAGAGACAGTTTGTTATAATTTGTGTTCTTTTACATTTGCTGAGGAGAGCTTTACTTCCAAGTATGTGGTCAATTTTGGAATAGGTGTGGTGTGGTGCTGAAAAGAATGCATATTCTGTTGATTTGGGGTGGAGAGTTCTGTAGATGTCTATTATGTCCGCTTGGTGCAGAGCTGCGTTCAATTCCTGAGTATCCTTGTTGACTTTCTGTCTCGTTGATCTGTCTAATGTTGACAGTGGGGTGTTAAAGTCTCCCATTATTAATGTGTGGGAGTCTAAGTCTCTTTGTAGGTCACTCAGGACTTGCTTTATGAATCTGGGTGCTCCTGTATTGGGTGCATATATATTTAGGATAGTTAGCTCTTCTTGTTGAATTGATCCCTTTACCATTATGTAATGGCCTTCTTTGTCTCTTTTGATTTTGTTGGTTTAAAGTCTGTTTTATCAGAGACTAGGATTGCAACCCCTGCCTTTTTTTGTTTTCCATTTGCTTGGTAGATCTTCCTCCATCCTTTTATTTTTAGCCTATGTGTGTCTCTGCACGTGAGATGGGTTTATTGAATACAGCACACTGATGGGTCTTGACTCTTTATCCAACTTGCCAGTCTGTGTCTTTTAATTGGAGCATTTAGTCCATTTACATTTAAAGTTAATATTGTTATGTGTGAATTTGATCCTGTCACTATGATGTTAGCTGGTTATTTTGCTCATTAGTTGATGCAGTTTCTTCCTAGTCTCAATGGTCTTTACATTTTGGCATGATTTTGCAGCGGCTGGTACCGGTTGTTCCTTTCCATGTTTAGCACTTCCTTCAGGAGCTCTTTTAGGGCAGGCCTGGTGGTGACAAAATCTCTCAGCATTTGCTTGTCTCTAAAGTATTTTATTTCTCCTTCACTTATGAAGCTTAGTTTGGCTGGATATGAAATTCTGGGTTGAAAATTCTTTTCTTTAAGAATGTTGAATATTGGTCCCCACTCTCTTCTGGCTTGTAGGGTTTCTGCTGAGAGATCCGCTGTTAGTCTGATGGGCTTCCCTTTGAGGGTAACCCGACCTTTCTCTGTAGCTGCCCTTAACATTTTTTCCTTCATTTCAACTTTGGTGAATCTGACAATTATGTGTCTTGGAGTTGCTCTTCTCGAGGAGTATCTTTGTAGCGTTCTCTGTATTTCCTGAATCTGAATGTTGGCCTGCCTTGCTAGATTGGGGAAGTTCTCCTGGATAATATCCTGCGGAGTGTTTTCCAACTTGGTTCCATTCACCCCATCACTTTCAGGTACACCAATCAGACGTAGATTTGGTCTTTTCACATAGTCCCATATTTCTTGGAGGCTTTGCTCATTTCTTTTTATTCTTTTTTCTCTAAACTTCCCTTCTCGCTTCATTTCATTCATTTCATCTTCCATCGCTGATACCCTTTCTTCCAGTTGATCGCATCGGCTCCTGAGGCTTCTGCATTCTTCACGTAGTTCTCGAGCCTTGGTTTTCAGTTCCATCAGCTCCTTTAAGCACTTCTCTGTATTGGTTATTCTAGTTATACATTCTTATAAATTTTTTTCAAAGTTTTCAACTTCTTTGCCTTTGGTTTGAATGTCCTCCCGTAGCTCAGAGTAATTTGATCGTCTGAAGCCTTTTCTCAGCTCGTCAAAATCATTCTCCATCCAGCTTTGTTCCGTTGCTGGTGAGGAACTGCATTCCTTTGGAGGAGGAGAGGCGCTCTGCGTTTTAGAGTTTCCAGTTTTTCTGTTCTGTTTTTTCCCCATCTTTGTGGTTTTATCTACTTTTGGTCTTTGATGATGGTGATGTACAGATGGGTTTTTGGTGTGGATGACCTTTCTGTTTGTTAGTTTTCCTTCTAACAGACAGGACCCTCAGCTGCAGGTCTGTTGGAATACCCTGCCATGTGAGGTGTCAGTGTTCCCCTGCTGGGGGGTGCCTCCCAGTTAGGCTGCTCAGGGGTCAGGGGTCAGGAGTCAGGGACCCACTTGAAGAGGCAGTCTGCCGGTTCTCAGATCTCCAGCTGCTTGCTGGGAGAACCACTGCTCTCTTCAAAGCTGTCAGACAGGGACATTTAAGTCTGCAGAGGTTACTGCTGTCTTTTTGTTTGTCTGTTCCCTGCCCCCAGAGGTGGAGCCTACAGAGGCAGGCAGGCCTCCTTGAGCTGTGGTGGGCTCCACCCAGTTTGAGCTTCCCGGCGGCTTTGTTTACCTAATCAAGCCTGGGCAATGGCGGGCGCCCCTCCCCCAGCCTCGCTGCCGCCTTGCAGTTTGATCTCAGACTGCTGTGCTAGCAATCAGCGAGACTCCGTGGGCATAGGACCCTCCGAGCCAGGTGCGGGATGTAATCTCGTGGTGCGCCGTTTTTTAAGCCCGTCGGAAAAGCGCAGTATTTGGGTGGGAGTGACCCGATTTTCCAGGTGCAGTCTGTCACCCCTTTCTTTGACTCGGAAAGGGAACTCCCTAACCCCTTGCGCTTCCCAAGTGAGGCAATGCCTCGCCCTGCTTCGGCTCACTCACGGTGCGCGCACCCACTGACCTGCACCCACTGTCTGGCACTCCCTAGAGAGATGAACCCGGTACCTCAGATGGAAATGCAGAAATCACCGTCTTCTGCGTCACTCACGCTGGGAGCTGTAGACCGGAGCTGTTCCTATTCGGCCATCTTGGCTCCTCCCACAATATTCTACTTTTTAAGCGTCATATGCATAGTTCATTTTAGTTACAATAACTCACAAAACATCTTTAAAATCAGCATACTGATGTTCGTGGTCATTTTCAAAGTAGCTTGCCATACCTAACAGTTTGTTCCGTGGTCAAAAGGACACTCCATGCAATTATTTGCAGAATGTTCAGAACATTTGTCAAGGTGGAAGGTCTCAGCCAAAAGTGTCATAAAATGTCAAATCCATTTATGCTCAAATCCCCAACATCTGTGATTATATTCATTGTAAACACAATAATACAATATTAAATATTATATAAAAGATGTAGCTACATGAAATGTTACCTCAGGAGCTTGGTAAGAAGGCAAACGTATGCTCTGTGATAGTGAAACAAACAAAATCTAAACATAAGATGTGTGTCTGTCTATCTATCTAATAGATCTATTGGCAGTTGATGGGAATTAAAGGAGATTGTATAATTGAAGTGGCTGTGTGCAAAAGAAGGAATGGCCAGCTTGGTGCATTAAAGAGAAAACATGGAGAATTGTCTGGAGGAAAAAAAAAATGTTCTTTCAGCTGACAGGAACATCAGTTTGCCTGCAGGTTACATATTGCCACCATGGCAGCAATACAGAAGCTATGGAGACCTGATGGAATCAAATCATATATCTTCCTACCACCTACTTTGAGGTTTCATGAAGATGAAGACCATGCAGATCTGGCTGCCACTAACATTTCTCATGTGCAAACAGTTGGCAGGCACAGTTGGCACACACACTTTGTGCTTGCATTAATTTTTTAGGGCCACTGTAACAAATTATCACAAACTTGGTGTCTTAAAACACAAGTTTATTCTCTCACTGCTCTGGAGGCCAGAGGTCTGAAATAGTTACCACTGGGCTGAAATGAAGGTGTCAGTGGCAGAGCTGCACTCTCTCTGGGGGCTGTAGTGGAGACTCCATTCCTTGCCTTTTCCAGCATCTGGTGCGGCCCAAGTTCCTTGATGTGTGGCCTCATCACTCCAATCTTTAAGACCATGATCTTCAAATCTCACTCTGCTCTGTGTTTACATGGCCTTTTCCTTTGTGTATGTGTAGTCAAATTCCTCTCTGGCTCTCTCTTAGCAGGATGCTTGTGATTGCTTTTAGGGTCCACCTGGATAAATCCAGGATACGTTTCCCATACTGACCACTTCTGCAAAGAGCCTTTTACCAAATAAAGTAACATTGAAAAGTTCTAGGGATTAAGACCTGTTATCTTTGGGCTCCATTATTCAGCCTACTACAATGCTCAGTAAATATTTGTTGAATGATTATTGATTCTGCTAACATGACTTTTCAATCTATCTAGAAGTTTTAGCTCTCATTGAAAATTAGTAAATTTTCACTCTGAATTTACATATGAATCTCTAGTAGGCCTTGTTAGTTGGAGGCGGCATCCAGCATATAATCATCTCAAAGACTCTGAGAAAGCTGAGTTTGTTGAAGCACAGTCCTGGACAGTGATGAAATCACTAAGGTGCTTTGTGAGGAACACTCACATTCTGACTTTTACTGAAGAGAGCTTTTGTCGAGAAAAGATTTCCTGAACCAAAAATTCTACTTCTACAGCTTTGTTTTGAAAAACTTTAAAATAAAATTTAAAAATTTAAAGTTTGATAAAATGCTCTAGCAAGACTTTACTGCCGGCTTAGTATTGCTCAAAAATTAAATTCGATATGGATTTTTAAACTCACAGCAAAATCACAATGAAAATACTTGTATATAATTTTTTTTTCTGTTAGAGATCAGCCTAAAGTGTATGTCTATGTTTGTTGGTAGGATCAAAGTCCCAATTAAAGCCCTGCCCATTTGTTTGAACATAAGCTGCAGAGTGAAATATTACAGGGCTTGGTATCTTTCTCTCTGCTTTCAAACACAGAGAAGATGACTGAGCTTTTGAGCCCTATCAGCCTCCTCCTCCTTCCCTGGTAGGATTCTGCACCTTTCATTCTCTTTGATGCTGGGCAGGGATGATGCCACTCACCAATCTGGGCTTCTCCTCCTCTGCCAATGACAAGGTGAGCCCACTGGGTGAGCAGCTTTCCTTGTTATCACCACTAATACCTTGGATTTTGTTGAAGGCTGTTCTTTGAGGACTCTGAGGAACTTACACAGATATACTTGTTATCCTCCCTGTAATCCTTTGAAGTGGCAGAGACTGTGGACATTTGTAAATGACCTAGATGATGCTGGTCCTGCCCTCAAGTTTACTTAAGTTTATTATGTCCGTTACCTGGCATTCTGTCAACCAGGACTCTCTCTTAATCATCAGATCTGAACATCAAAGTAGACTGAGATAAAAAAAAAATCCCTGTTATTCATATAACCTTAAGTCACTTAAGAACCCTAACGGGCTTTTAGAATTACCTAACAGAAAATTTGGTGTATTTATCCATGGCTTTAGTATTCAGTATGGATTTTTGATAAACAAAATATTTAAGAATTTTTAACCTTCAAATGATATATCCTATTGCTTGATTCATGAGACTGCCAATGAACTTTGGACCTTTTAAAAAATTCAGATACATATGCCTTATGCCAGACCCATTAAATCAGATCTCTTGGATGGGACCAAAGCTTCTCTCTCTCCCTCTCTCTCTGTGTGTGTGTGTGTATGTGTTTCTTCATATCTCTATATACAGTATATTTTTATATATATGTATATAGCATATTTATTTTAACTTCTTATGGAATTTTTCAAACATAAATAAAAGTAGAAAATACAGTATTCCCTACATAGTTGTCATCCAGATTCAACGTTTCAACACTCTGCTGTTTTAAGTTTTACTTTTCTTTACCCCCCCACCCCACTTTTTTTTTGTTTGCTGACTTCTTCCAAAAGAATATGTCAGTATTTACCTCCATAGACAAGGAATTTTTAAGAAAAAATGACCAAATTTTTATTATCGATCCACAAAATTAATAATAATTCTTTATTATCTGTTGTCTAGTTTAATTTTCTCTAGTTGTCTCAAAAAAGTCATTTGTATATTATACATTAAATCAGAATCCAAACAAGGTGCATACACTGTATTTGGTTGATATGCTTCTCTCATATCTCTTAATCTATGATAGCTCTTCCCTTTCTTAATGTAGTATACACACTTTTCTCCATGTAGCAACATATTGAAATATTCCTATTGCTTTTTACAGCTGCACTGGACTTTGTTGGGTGAATGTACAATATTTTATTTAATCCCTCTCCTGGTGATCAATATTTGAGTTGTTTCTAGTCTTTGGCTATTACAAACAGTATTGCATGCCTGGTGGATGTCTTTTTACTTTTTTGCCATTGTGTCTTTGGTATAAATTACTAGAGGTAAGATTGCTGGGTCAATTACTGTATATTTGATTTTGCTCTATTATTAGGAGATCATGTTGCTTTGATAATATTCTTTGCCTTCATCTCAACTTTAGTGCTGTTTTATAGGGAATGATGTCAATTACTAACCTGCTGCTTTGCTTGTCACTAGCTTTCTTTTCACCTCCTGTGACTTTCTTTCACTGGATAGATGACCAGCTTCAAAGTCTTGAGGTCTTTGTTCTTCATGATTATTAGGTTTGGAAGACTGTACACAGTCAAAAGCTAACTCACTTGTAATTCAGTTTATTGGCACTGTTCAATTACATGTGTTACCCATTTGGTTGCAAATTTCCTGAATACTTTATGCTAAAAAATTGGCATTTACATTTTAAAATCCGCAAACAGCAGCCCTTTGAGTCCCCTGTCCACCACTACCCTAACTCTAATGTATCACAACTAAGATCACTGTTCCTAAGAAACATACAAGAACAACAGTTGTACTGCCTTGAAGTTCCTGATTGAAACAGAATGATTCAGCAAATTTGGAGGAAAAAAGAAAGCACTCTGTTACATATTTTAAAAATCAGATTCATTATTGATAGCAAACATATTCAAACTTAAAGCAGACACAAGGAGAACTTGAAATGTAAGAATATAAGGATAGGCCAACATGCAAGCACCCTGCCATGCTGCCACTGCTGGTGCAAACACACAGATGCCACTGCCCTGTTCCCATTTGCATCCCATCCCATCTGATGTGCACGTATCCTCACCATACTGCTGTAGCTGCTGGCACACTTAAGCGAGTACAGATCCTGCTGCCACCACTGACAAACCGCTTTGGCAAGCACCCCCATTGGAATGTTGTGGCCAGCAGATGGAATACCCAGGCCCTCCAGCACAGCATGTTACTGACCTCAAGGGGCCAGAGAACAAAGCCAGGGGCCCAGGTACCAGCCCAACAGAGTTAGAGCACACAACCCAGGAATGCTGAGCTGAGCCTTAGCCCCCTGAAATCTTCCAGAAACGAAGCCAGTTGACTGAATCTACCTTATACCACAATCAAACTGATATGGTTTGGCTGTGTCCCAATCCAGGTTTCATCTTGAATTCCCACATGTTGTGGGAGGAACCTGGTGGTAGGTAATTGAATCATGGGAGGTGGGTCTTTCCCATGCTATTCTCATGATAGTGAATAAGTCTCACAAGATCTGATGGTTTTAAAAACAGGAGTTCCCTTGCACATGCTCTCTCTTTGCCTGCTGCCATCCATGTAAGATGTGACTTGCTCCTCCTTGCCTTCCACCATGATTGTGAGGCCTCCCCAGCCATGTGGAAGTGTAAGTCCAATAAACCTCTTTCTTTTGTAAATTGCCCAGTCTTGGGTATGTCTTTATCAGCAGTGTGAAAATGGACTAATACACATACCCTCAAGGGCATCAAATAAGATGAAAGCAGCAGCAACAACAACAACAAAAACAAACCCCATCCAAATAACAGAAACTCTGAAGAGTGAAAGAACATTGGTCCACATGGATCAGAAAGCATCAGCACAAGAACTCTTGCAATTCAAAATGCAAGAGTGTCTTCTTACCTCCAAAGGACTATACTAGTTTCCCAGCAACAGTTCTTAACCAGGCTGAAATTCCCGAAATAACACATAGGATTTAGAATATGGATAGGTATGAAAATCATCAAGATTCCAGAGAAAGTAGAAACTAATTCAAAGAATATAAGGAATATAATAAAATGATAAAGGAGTTGAAATATAAAATGACCATTTTAAGAAAAAACAAAACTGATCTGATAAAGGTGAAAAACTCACTACAAGAATCTCATAATACAATAGTAAGCATTAACAGAAGAACAGTCCGAGCTAAGGAAAGAATCTCAGAGCTCAAAGACCAGTTCTCCATATTAACTCACTCAGACAAAAATAAACAAAAAAATTAAAGTGAATGAACAAAACTTCCAAGAAATATAGGATTATGTAAAGATACCAAATCCACAACTCACTGACATCCCTGAAAGAGAGAAAGCAAGCATCTTGGAAAACATATTTGAAGATATCATCATGAAAATTTCCCCAACCTTGCTAGAGAGGCTAACATCTAAATTCAGGAAATATAAGATGACCATCCCCAAGACATAGTCATCAGATTCTCCAAAGTCAACATGAAAGAAAAAATATTAAAGGCAGCTAGAGAGAAGGACAGGCCGTCTAGAAAGGGAACCCAACCCAATCAAGCTAACAGTGGACCTCTCAGCAGAAACCCTACAAACCAGAAGAGATTGGGGGCCTATATTCAGCATTCTTAAAGAAATTCTGACCAGGAATTTTGTATCCAGCCAAACTAAGCTTAATAAGCAAAGAAGGAATAAATAAGATCCATTTCAGAGAAGCAAATGATAAGGGAATTCATTACTACCAGGTCTGCCTTACAAGAGGTCCTTAAGGGAGAGTTAAAATATGGAAATGAAAGATTGTTACTGCCACCAAAGAAACACACTAAGGTACATAGACCATTGACACTATAAAGCAACTACACAATCAAATGTACATGATAACTAGCTAACAACATGATGACAAGATCAAATTTGCATATATCAATATGAACCTTGAATGTAAATGGGCTAAATGCTCCAATTAAAAGGCGTAGAGTGACAAGTTGTGCCTTGCCACATCTCACATGCAATGACTCCCATAGGCTCAAAGTAAAGGGATGGAGAAATATCTAGCAAGCAAATGGAAAACAAACAAACAAACAATAGCAGGGGTTGCTATTCTAACTTCAGAAAAAAACAGACTTTAAACCAACAACAATCAAAAAAGTCAAAGAAGGGCATTACATGGCAGTAAAGGGTTCAATTCAATGAGAAAATTTAACTATCCTAAATATACATGCATCCAGTACAAGATCACCTAGATTCATAAAACAAGTCTTAGAAACCTACAAAGAGATTTAGATAACCATACAATAATAGCAAGATGCTTCAACACCCCACTGACAATATTAGACAAATCATGAAGGCAAAAAGCTAGCAAAGGTATTTGGGACTTTAATATGACACTTGACCAGATAGACTTAACAGACATCTACAGAACTCTCACACCAAAACAACAGAATATACATTCTTGTCATCTGCACATGGCACATCTTCTAAAATCGACCACACAATCAGCCATAAAACTATTCTCACCAAATTCAAAGAAACTGAAATCACACCAAGCACAGTCTCAGACCACAGTGCAATAAAAATAGAAATCAATTCTAAGAAGATCTCTCAAAACCATACAATCACATGGAAATTAAAGAACCTACTCCTGAATGACTTTTAGGTAAACAATGAAATTGAGGCAGAAATCAAGAAATTATTTGAAACTAATGAAAACAAGGATAAAACCTACTTTAATCTCTGGGACACAGCTAACACAATGGTAAAAGGAAAGTTTATAGTGCTGAACAACAACATAAAAAAGTTAGGAAGATCTTAAATTAGCAACCTAAAATCACACCTAGAGAAATGAGACCAAACTAACCCCAAAGCTAGCAAAACAAACAAACAAACAAAAACAAACAAGAAACAACCAAAATCAGAGCTGAACTGAATAAAATTGAGATGCAGGAAACCATACAAAGAATCAACAAAACTAGAAGATGGTTCTTTGAAAGAATAAATAAGATTAATAGACTGCTAGCTAGACTAATAAAGAAAAAAAAAGGGAAAAAGATCCAAATAAACACAATCAGAAATGACAAAGGGGACATTAACCACCAACCCCACAAAAATACAAAAAACCTTCAGAGACTATTATGAATACCTCCATGCACACAAACTAGAAAACCTAAAATAAATGGGTAAATTATTGGAAACATGCAACCTCCCAAGATTAAGACAGGAAGAAATTGAAATCCTGAACAGACCAACAGGTTCTGAAATTGAATCAGTAATAATAATAATAATAATAAAAAACCCCCTACCAACCAGGAAAAGCCCAGGACCAGATGGATTCACAGCCAAATTCAACCAGACATACAAAGAAGAGCTGGTACCATTCATACTGAAACTATTCTAAAAAATTGAAGAGAGAGACTCCTCCCTAACTCATTTTATGAGGTCAGCGACATTCTGATACCAAAACCTGGCAGACATACAACAACAAAAACCTTCAGACCAACAACTTTGATGAACCTAGACACAAAAATCCTCAATAAAACACTAGCCAACTGAGTTTAGCAGCACATCAAAAAGCTAATCCACCACAATCAACTAAGCTTTATCCCTGGGATGCAAGGTTGGTTCAACATACGCAAATCAATAAATGTGATTGATTATATAAGCAGAAGGAAAAACAAAAATCACATGATCATCTCAGTAGATGCAGAAAAGGCTTTTGATAAAATTCGGTGCTGCTTTATGTTAAAAACCTTTTAACAAACTAGACACTGAAGGAACATACCTCAAAATATTAAGAGCACCCTATGACAAATCCAAAGCCAAAATCCTACTAAACAAGCCAAAACTGGAAGCATTTCCCCTGAGAACTGGAACAAGAAAAGGATGCCCACTCTCACCATTCCTATTCAACATAGTACTGGAGGTCCTGGCCAAAACAACTGATCAAGAGAAAGAAATAAAAGGTATCCAAATAGGAAGAGAGGAAGTCCAACTATCTTTCTTCACGTACTTTATGATTTTATAACTAGAAAACCCCGTAGTCTCTGCCCAAAAGCTCCTGGATCTGATAAACAATTTCAGCAAAGTTTCAGGATACAAAATCAGTGTACAAAAATCACTAGCATTTCTATACCCCAACAACATCCAAGCTGAGTGCCAAATCAAGAATGCAATCCCATTCACAATAGCCACAGAAAAAAAAATAAAATACCCAGGAATTCAGCTAACCCCAGGGAGGTGAAAAATCTCTACAAGAATTGAAAACATTACTGCAAGAAATCAGAGATGACAGGAACAAATGGAAAAGCACTATATGCTCATGGATAGGAAGAATTAATATCGTTAAGATGACCATACTCCCCAAAGCAATTTACAGAATCAATGTTATTCCTATCAAATTACCAATGACTTTATTTACAGAATTAGAAAAACTATTCTAAAATTCATATGGAACCAAAAAAAAAAAAAAAAAGAGAGAGAGAGAGAGCCCAAAGAGCCAAAGCAATCCTAAGCAAAAAGAACAAGGCTAGAAGCATCACATTATCCAACTTCAAACTATACTACAAGGTTACAATAACCAAAATGATATAATAAAAAAAAAGACATGTAGACCAATGGAACAGAATAGAAAGCCCAGAAATAAAGCCATACATCTATAGCCATCTGAACTTTGACAAAGCTGACAAGGAAAAGCAATAATGAAAGAATTCCCTGTTCAATAAATGATAATAGAATAACTGGCTAGCCATATGCAAAAGATTGAAACTGGCCCCTTTCCTTATATCATATATATAACCAACTCAAGATAGATTAAAGACTTAAATGTAAAACCTAAAACTATAAAAACCCTAGAAGAAAACCTAGGCAATACCATTCCGGACACAGGCTCCAGCAAAGATTTCATGACCAAGATGTGAAAAGCAAATCCACAGCCAACAACTTACTGAACAGGAACAAACGCAAAAATTGACAAATGGGAAATAATTAAACTAAACAGCTTCTGCACAGTAAAGCTATCAACAGAGTAAACAGACAACTTGCAGAATGGGAGAAAATATTTACAAACTATGCATCCGCAAAGGTCTAATATCCAGCATCTATATGGAACTTACATTTACAATTTTAAAAAAACCATTAAAAAGTGGACAAAGGACATAAACAGACACTTTTCAGAAGACGACATACACATGGCCAACAAGCATATGAAAAAATGCTGAATATCACTAATGATTAGATAAATGCAAATCAAAACCACAAAAAGATACCATCTCATACCGCTCAGAATGGCCATAATTAAAAAGTCAAAAAATAACAGATGCTGGAAAGGTTGTGGAGAAGAGGGAATGTGTAAACACAACTGGTGGGAATGTAAATTAGTTCAGGCTTTGTGGAAAGCAGTATGGTGACTTCTTCTAGAACTTAGAACTACCATTCAACCCAGCAATCCCATTACTGAACATATACCCAAAGGAATATAAATTGTTCAGTCATAAAGACATATGCATGTGTATGTTCATTGCAGCACTGTTCACAATAGGAAAGACATGGAATCAACCTAAATGTCTGTCAATGGCGGACTAAAGAAAATGTGGCAAATATACATCATGGAATACTGTGCAGCCATAAAAAAGAATGAGATCATGTCCTTTGCAGGAACATGGATGGAGCTGGAGACTGTTATCCTAAGTGAACTAATGCAGGAACAGAAAATCAAATCTGCATGTTCTCACAAGTGTGAGCTAAGCATTGTGTCCACATGGACACAAAGAAGGAAACAATAGACACTGGGGACTCCTTGAGGGTGGAAGGTGGGAGGAGGGTGAACATCAAAAAACTGCCTATTAGGTACTATGCTTATTATCTGGGTGATGAAATAATCTGTGCACCAAACGCTCACAACATGAAATTTACCTATATAACAAACCTGCACATGTATCCGTGAAACTAACATTAAAGTAAAAAAAAAAAAAAAAAAAAGAACAGCAATTACTAAAAATGTTCATGTTCATAGCAAATAGGAACAAGTTTTTATGGATAAGTGGCAGTCCAAACATTCAAGAGCACAATCTTCATATTAAAATATTCATGTTATCTAACCCATAATTGTACTTTACCTGAAGCTTGGATAGACCGGGCCAAGTCACAGCTAAATTGGCTAAATAGGCATCTTGGCAGGTGAGGGGACCTTGGCATAAGCCAATAATGGCTCTCTCCACTCCCTGGTATAAAATATTTGTGATGATGCTTTCCAATCAAATGCTGGTGACTCTTGGGCATATAAGGAAAAATATTCTGTTGTAAGTTGATTTCAGGCAGAAAATGGTATATTCTTTCTTTTCTAGTCTCATACTTCTAGAAGTCATATCAAAATGTTGGTTAGAAATTGAAGATGTCCCATTAACCATTTGTAAACTAAATATGACTTTGAAGTCTTAAAGACCTGGGTCTAACCTCAACCTCTCAGGAAGTGTATAAACTTTTTCACGATTTAAGTATCCTGAACTCCTTTTACTCGTGTATAGTTGTAATGTAAGGCTTACAAGGAAGGCTCAATATTATGTTCAGCCGTGATAGCTGGTAAAATTAGTGCTTTGTGTGCACTAATTACAAGTTTCCCTCCCTACTCTGCTCCTATGGATACAGTCCGGAGACAAACAACTCTCCTTATCACAGGAATCAGGCACGGTTTCTACATATCTTTGAGTAGTGGGTTACAGTTTCCTGACAGTTAATGGAATTGTCCAAACAAGCCAATTGCATCCTCCCATGGAAACCAGGGGGCACCCCATCCTATACTTGACACTGCAAAGCTTCCTATAGCCCCTAGTTGTTCACTGTGTTCTGGAGTACAATCTTCATGTGGCCCTGCATGCCACGGTGTCCTCCTCCCCTGAGCTATGAGTATATGTAAGAAGCTGCTGTCACTCTCATGTGACTAGTATCAGGTGTTGTGAGTTCAGCCATCCCCACAACCCAAGGTTAGGAACCCCTCCCTCACCATCGGAGTGAATAGAAGGCTATTAAAGCAATATCTCATAGGGCTATTGTCAGGAATAAATTGAATTAAGTGAAATACTTGGAGGTAAAGATCTGTGCAACTTCTCTCAAGATATTTTGAAGTACTAAAGAGGAGAGAAAGAAGAGTTTCTGTCCTCAAGGCATTCAAAGCATAATGGAAGAGAGACATCACATAGCACAATAATCCTTGATTTACACTTAAGAGTGAAGGTGTAGAGGTAAACCCAGGGTTCTCAGTGAGCCAAAGGAAATTAGATGAATAAGGCATAAATCCCTTAGCTCAGTTTCTGGCGCATAGTAAGGGCTTAATAAATAGTAGACTGAGTTGAATTTGAAGGACTAATAGTCATTACTAGATGAAAAAAGTATTTTACAAAATGTGAAAGACCCTAATTTATTTCTAGGGATTACTATTAATTCTTGGTTTTTCCAAGAATATATTTTCTAGGAGAAAATAATCAATTTAGATGAACAGAATAATGTGGCTTCTTTATATTAAGCAGTTCCACAGTTTAAATGTTCATACCACTGTCGTGAAAATCCCCAAAGTATCCTATAGAAACACACAGAATTCAACCTTTTTGGCAGCCCTGGCATGTTTGTTAGGCAATTAGGACCACAACTGACTTCACAGATTTTGTTCGCTTGCTCGCTTGTTTGTTTCACGTTTTGTTTCCTTTGGGTTTCTTTTAAAGGCTTCCCTTAGACATGCACCATTTTGTTAATAAGTAAAAAATACAAGCAGTGTCCAGAGTGCAGTGTGATAAATATCACTTCTGTCTTGTGATGTCTCATCAAAGACGACCCATATGCAGTAGATTTTATAATAGCACTATCTTCTTGTGAACTTGGGTTTAATTGACAATTACCTGCTACCTTTGGCTGTTTATTTCTGGTTATCAGATAAAAGGGCAGTATGGTGGAGTAGAAAGAGACCCATTCAGGTGTCACCAGATGGTCTTTTGTGTCAGTTCTGCCCTTAGCTAATTTTAGAAACTAGAGAATAGCTCTTAACCTGTGGGAGCTTCAGTTTTTTTCTTCTGTGAAATGAAGTATTGGGCTGAACTCAAAGATCCCTCATAACTCTAACAGGCTGTGAATGTGAGAGTCAGAGTTAGGGGTTTGGAGCCTGACAGATTTGGTTTAACATTTTGATTTGCCACTCATTAGCTCAGGGATCTAGATAAACTCTCCTTGAGGGTTATTTTTCTCATCTTACACAAGTTTTATTACCTTTATTTTACTAAGAGTTGACTAATATTTTTAAACCAATTCATCAGTAATCTTGTTGTCTATACTTTCAAAATAATTCCAGAACCTGACCAAATCTTATTACCTTCAAGCCACCATCATCTCTTGCCTTGATTATTCCAATAGCATCCTAATCAGCCTCTGTAGCTTCCATGTTGTCCTACCCACTCCAACAGTCTGTTTTCAATGTATCAGACAGAGTGATCCCTTTAAAATATATCAACTCATGCCGTTTTTCTGTTGAAAATTCCCCAGTGGTTTCCCAACTCACTCAGAGTGAAAGTTCAAACCCTTACCATGGCTGATGAGGTTCCACATGATGAGGGTTCCTGCTGCTTCCTCTCTTGTGACTCTCTCTCTAATTACTCCACTTTAGCAATACCTGCCTTCTTTATGTTTCCTAAATACTTTGCCTTCAGATATCCTATAGGGGCATTCCTTCATTGAAGGGAAGTCTTTTCAAATCTTACCTTATTAGAGGTGCCTTTTTTCTATTATCTTTAAAATAGCATTCCCCAACCTCCATCCCATTGCTCCCTATCTCCCACTCAATTTTATTTTACTTTACAGCATTTATCATCATTTTCTGCCTCCCTTTGACTCAAATGGAAGTTTCATGAAAGCAGGAACTTCATTTCATTCACAGAGGTAGCCTCATCTCTTAGAATAGCACCTGGCACATAGCAGGCACTCAATAATTATTTGTTGATCAAATTAATAGGCTATATAAATCTTTGGGCACTCAGTAAATGCCACTTCTCAATGACCTTCTTAGAAACAAAATATTTGGCACCCTTTCATCCTGTTATTTGATTAAAATGCAATGCTGGACATACCCTGGTTTTAGCTCTGACGTGTAAAGAGTTAGGAAGTTGTCACTCCCATCCTTACAAGAAGAAAAATATAGACAAAGTAAAAATCAACAACTTTTCCTGAACCCACTAGAGAGCCAAATTCTATAACCCGATGATTAACTCTCAGTGTTTAGTGGGTCTGTATCTCAGGGATGTAACATGCACAAGTATTTCTCCACTGTCACACCTTTCCTTTTTCCTTGTAGGACAAATTGTCACCCTGAAATCTGTATAGACAGGTGTATCAAAAGAGTCACAGCTGAGATATGCTAATTTGAAGCAGGAGTCTCTGGAGACAGAAACTGATAGGAACATTTAAATAGTAATTTGATGAATTGTTGGCACCTCAATGTAGTCTAACATGAAAGTAAGAAACTCATGGGGTTTCAGTTATAGAGGGGCCCCACAATTTTGTAGGTTTTGCCTCCAGGAACCCACCAAATTCTTTTAGGGAGTATTAAAGAAAGATCCCCTTGTGGCAGAGAAATGGGAAGCATAATCATTGTGAAATTATCTCCAGAGCCTTTTCCATAAGAAAATGTTGCAGTCAGAAAGGTAGGAGGGGCCAAGGGAGAAAAGAAAGCTGTGCCACTGCAGAAATACTTGTGAAGGCTACGTCCCTGAGACATAGGCCCACTAAAACACTAAGAGTTAATCACCAGATTATAGAATGCTCCCCTGCCACACACTTACCAGCACCCCAAGAGGGCTCTAGTATGATAGTGGATTATAGCTGAAAGAGCTGCAAGACACAAACTCTCTCTGAGCAGGAGAACTTTGGGAAACATAAAGTCAAGAGAGGAGACAAAAACAAAGACATTAGAAGATTTTGAAATCTCTGGCACCTGTAGCTATGGGAAATTTTAAACACAGCCCAACTTCTAGTCATATTAACATGAATCCTCACATTAAAGGCCTATTTACCTCAATTCCTATTTTCCAATATAAACTATCTGATTTTCAACAACAAACAACAAGGGAAATACAGCTTAAAGAGACAAAGCAATCATCAGAACAAGACACAGATATGACACAGATGTTGGAATTGTCAGACAGAATTTAAAATAATTATGATGATGTGTCAAAGGCTCTAATGGAAAGAGTAGACAACATACAAGGACAGATGAGTAGTACAAGCAGAGAGATGGAAACCTTAAGAAAGAATCAAAAGGAAATGCTAGAAATTTTAAAAAGTAACAGCAATGAAGGATATCTTCAATGGACTCATCGGTAGATTTGACATGACAGAGGGAAGAGTCAGTGAGCTTGATGACAGGATCATAGAACCTTCTCAAACTGAAATGCAAGGAGAATAAAGCATGGGTGAAAAAAAGAAAAGAACATTTAACACACACATACCAGGAGAGTAGAGAGACAGTGAAGCAAAAGAACAATTTGAAGTAATAATGGCTAAGATCTTTCCAAAATTAATGACAGATACCAAACCACAGATCAAGGAAGCTCAGAGAATACCAGCAGGAAAAATCTCTGCCTCCACAGCCCACCATGAAGTCCTCACACCTTGGTATATCATATTGAAACACAGAAAACCAAACACAGAGAGAAAATCTTGAAAGAAGCCAAACAAGTGTGTGTATCAGGGGGGCACGGGGGTTGGGGGGTGAAGGGAAGAGAAAACATCTTACCTATAGAGGAATAAAGATAAGAATGTTTATAGCAGCACAATTTGCAATTGCAAAAATATGGAACCAGCCTAAATAACCATCAACCAATGAATGGATAAAGAAAATGTGGTATATATATATACCATGGAATACTACATAGTCATAAAACAGAACAAAATAATGGCATTCGCAGCAACCCGGATGGAGTTGGAAACCACTATTCTAAGTGAAGTAACTTAGGAATGGAAAATCAAACATCATATGCTCTCACTTATAAGTGGGAACTAAGCTATGAAAGCACAAAGGCATAAGAATGATATAATGAACTTTGGAGACATGAGGAGAAGTGTGGGAGGGGGAGTGAGGGATAAAAGTCCACACGTTGGGTACAGTGTACACTGCTTGGGTGATGAGTGCACTAAAATCTCAGAAATTACCACTAAAGAACTTATCCATGTAACCAAAACCCACCGGTTCCCCCAAAACTATTCAAATAAAAAATAAAAAAGAACTACAGTGACTTTTTAATCAGAAACTGTGTTGTAAGAAGAGAGTGGAGTGAAATATTTAGCTTTGAAAGAAAAAACAACTCACCAATCTAGAATTCTATATCAAAAAAATTATCTTTCAAATGTGAAGAAGTAAAAACTTTCTTAAACAAAAACTAAGAGAATTCACTGCCAGCAAACTCACCCTACAAGAAATGTTAATAGAAGTTCTTCAGGCAGAAGAAAAAGTATATAGGTCAGAAACTTGAATCTACATAAAGAGAGCACTAGAGAATGAATAAATAAAGATATGATGAAGTACTTTGATTTTTAAATTTTTAATTGGTGTAAAATATTATTGTTTGTTTAAAGTAATAATAGTAAGAATGTATTGGGTTATTATGGCATGTGGATAAGTGAAGTGAAATCTGAAATAAAATTAATAATAGCAATGTTACAAAGAATGAGTGGGATGAATTTGGGATACTCTGTCATAAGGCATCTGTACTGTGCTTAAAGCAGTATAGTATTATTTGATGGTGAAATTAGACCAGTTTAAAATATATATTGGAAAGTCTAGGGCAATCACTACAAAATTTTTTTTAAAGAACTGTAATTGATATGCTAATAAAAAAGATAAAATGGAATGACATAAAATGCTCAATTAACACCAGAGAAGAATAAAAAGAGGAGAAAAGTAATAAAAAAATGCAATGCACAGGAAACCTTTATTATTTTTTTTTAAATTTTTTTTATTTTTTATTTTATTATTATTATACTTTAAGTTTTAGGGTACATGTGCACAATGTGCAGGTTAGTTACATATGTATACATGTGCCATGCTGGTGTGCTGCACCCATTAACTCGTCATTTAGCATTAGGTATATCTCCTAAAGCTATCCCTCCCCCCTCCCCCGACCCCACAACAGTCCCCAGAGTGTGATGTTCCCCTTCCTGTGTCCATGTGTTCTCATTGCTCAATTCCCACCTATGAGTGAGAATATGCGGTGTTTGGTTTTTTGTTCTTGCGATAGTTTACTGAGAATGATGATTTCCAATTTCATCCATGTCCCCACAAAGGACATGAACTTATCATTTTTTATGGCTGCATAGTACTCCATGGTGTATATGTGCCACATTTTCTTAATCCAGTCTATCATTGTTGGACATTTGGGTTGGTTCCAAGTCTTTGCTATTGTGAATAATGCCGCAATAAACATACTTGTGCATGTGTCTTTATAGCAGCATGATTTACAGTCTTTTGGGTATATACCCAGTAGTGGGATGGCTGGGTCAAATGGTATTTCTAGTTCTAGATCCCTGAGGAATCGCCACACTGACTTCCACGATGGTTGAACTAGTTTACAGTCCCATCACCAGTGTAAAAGTGTTCCTATTTCTCCACTTCCTCTCCAGCACCTGTTGTTTCCTGACTTTTTAATGATTGCCATTCTAACTGGTGTGAGATGGTATCTCATTGTGGTTTTGATTTGCATTTCTCTGATGGCCAGTGATGATGAGCATTTTTTCATGTGTCTGTTGGCTGCATAAATGTCTTCTTTTGAGAAGTGTCTGTTCATTTCCTTTGCCCACTTTTTGATGGGGTTGTTTGTTTTTTTCTTGTAAATTTGTTTGAGTTCATTGTAGATTCTGGATATGAGCCCTAAACCACTGCTCAATGAAATAAAAGAGGATACAAACAAATGGAAGAACATTCCATGCTCATGGGTAGGAAGAATCAATATCATGAAAATGGCCATACTGCCCAAGGTAATTTATAGATTCAATGCCATCCTCATCAAGCTACCAATGACTTTCTTCACAGAATTGGAAAAAACTACTTTAAAGTTCATGTGGAACCAAAAAAGAGCCTGCATCACCAAGTCAATCCTAAGCCAAAAGAACAAAGCTGGAGGCATCACACTACCTGACTTCAAACTATACTACAAGGCTACAGTAACCAACAGCATGGTACTGGTACCAAAACAGAGATATAGATCAATGGAACAGAACAGAGCCCTCAGAAATAACGCCGCATGTCTACAACTATCTGATCTTTGACAAACCTGAGAAAAACAAGCAATGGGGAAAGGATTCCCTATTTAATAAATGGTGCTGGGAAAACTGGCTAGCCATATGTAGAAAGCTGAAACTGGATCCCTTCCTTACACCTTATACAAAAATTAATTCAAGATGGATTAAAGACTTAAACGTTAGACCTAAAACCATAAAAGCCCTAAAAGAAAACCTAGGCCTTACCATTCAGGACATAGGCATGGGCAAGGACTTCATGTCTAAAACACGAAAAGCAATGGCAACAAAAGCCAAAAGTGACAAATGGGATCTAATTAAACTAAAGAGCTTCTGCACAGCAAAAGAAACTACCATCAGAGTGAACAGGAAACCTTTATTAAAACTAAATTTTTTTCTGTTCTGAAAAAGATACTGCTATAAGAATAAAAAGTCAAGGCACATACTGAGAGAAAATATCAGCAAAATACATATTTAATGAAGAACTTATGTCTAAAATATACAAAGAACTTTAAAAACTCAATAATAAGAAAACAAACAATTCAATGTAAAAATGGACAAAAGGTCTGAACAGATTCCCCACCAAAGAAGGTATACAGATGGCAAAGAAGCCTATGAAAAGACACTCGCCATCATTTTTCAAGCAAATTAGAAAAATGCAAATTAAAACAGCAATATGATACTACCATACAAGTATATAAAGGCTAACACCTACAATCTAACAATACTGATTGGTGGCAAGGATGAAAAACAAAAAAAACCCTGTCATTTATTGCTGGTGGGGATACAAAAAGGTACAGCCATTTTGAAAAACACTTTGGCAGTGTCTGACAAAGGTAAACATAGTCCTACCCTAAATCTAGCAATACTGATTGGTGGCAAGGATGAAGAACAAAAAAAAAAACCCTGTCATTTATTGCTGGTGGGGATACAAAAAGGTACAGCCATTTTGAAAAACACTTTGGCAGTGTCTGACAAAGGTAAACATAGTCCTACCCTACAATCTAGCAATTGAACGTCTAGGTATTTACCCAAAGGAGTTGAAAATTTATGTCCATATAAAAGCCTGCACATCAATGTTTATAGCAGATGATTGGAGGTGCAGCAAGATGGTGGAATAGAAGGCTCTACCAGTCATCCCCCACACAAGGACACCAATTTAACAACTATCTACACTCATAAAACACCTTCATGAGAAGCAAAATCAGACAAACAAAAGCTGTGGGATTTTATCAACACCAGACTGGTCCTACAAAAAATGCTGAAGGGAGTGTTTCAATCAGAAAGAAAAAGACATTAATGAGCAATACATAATCACCTGAAGTACAAAACTCACTGGTAATAGTAAGTACACAGAAAAACACAGAATATTATAACACTGTAACTTTGGTGTGTAAACTACTCTTATCCTAAGTCAAAAGACTAAACAATGAACCAATCAAAAGTAATAACTACAACAACTTTCCAAAACATAGTACAATCAAATATAAATAGAAACAACAAAATTTAAAAAGTGGGGGGATGAAGTTAAGGCATAGAGTTTTTACTAGTTTTCTTTTTGCTTTTTTGTTTATGCAAACAGTGTTAGGTTGTTATCAGTTTAAAATAAGGGGTTATAATATTGAATTTGCAAGCCTCATGGTAACCTCAAACCAACAAACATACGACTGATATACAAAAACTAAAAAGAGACTAAATCATATCACCAGAGAAAATCACCTTCTTTAGAGAAAGACAAGAAGGGAAGAAAGAAGGAAGGAAGAGAAGACTACAAAACAACCAGAAAACAAATAACAAAATGGCAGGAGTAAGTCCTTACTTATCAATAATAACATTGAATGTAAATGGACTAAACTCTCCAATCAAAAGACATAGACTGACTGAATGAATGAAAAATCAAGACTCATTGATCTGATGCCTACAAGAAACACACTTCATATGTAAAGACACACATAGGCTGAAAATAAAGGGATGGAAAAATATATTCCATGCCAGTATAAACAAAAAAAGAGCAGAAATCACTATACTTATATCAGACAAAATATATTTCAAGACAAAAACTATAAGAAGAGACAAAGAATGTCACTATATAATGATAAAGGTGTCAATTCAGCAAGAGGATATAAGAAATTTAAATATATGTGCACCCAACATGGGCATATCCAGATATATAAAGGAAATATTATTAGAACTAAAGAGAAGGATAGACCCCAATACAATAATAGCTGGAGACTTCAACACCCTACTTTCAGCACTGGACAGATCTTCTGGACAGAAAATCAACAAAAAACATTGGACTTAATCTGCACTATAGACCAAATGAATCTAATAGATACAGAACATGTTATCCAATGGATACAGAATACACATTCTTTTCCTCAGCAAATGGATCATTCTCAGAGATAGACCAAATGTTATGTCACAAAAAAGTCTTAAAACATTCAAAAAATTGAATTAATACCAAGCATCTTCTCTGAACACAATGGAATAAAGCTAGAAATTAATAACAAGAGAAATTTTGGAAACTATATAATACATGAAAATTAAAACAATATGCTTCTGAATGATGAGTGGATCAATGAAGGAATTATTAAGAAAATTAAAAAATTTATTGAAACAAATGATAATGGAAATACAACATACCAAAACCTATGTGATACAGCAAAAGCATACTCAGAGGGAAGTTGATAGCTAGAAGTGCCTATATGAAAAAGAGGAAAAACTTCAAATAAACAATCTAATGATGCATCTTAAAGAACTAGAAAAGAACCAAACCCAAAATTAGTAGAAGAAAATAAATAATAAAGATCAGAGAAGAAATAAATGAAATTGAAATGAAGAAAACAATACAAAAGATCAATGGAACAAAAAGTTTATTTTTTGAAAGGTTAAACAAAATTGACAAGCCTTTAGCCAGACTAAGAAAACAAAAGAGATCTAAATAAATAAAATCAGAAATGAAAAAGGAGACATTCCAACAGATACTGCAGAAATTCAAAGGATTATTAGTGGCTACTATGAGTGACTATATGCCAATAAATTGGAAAATCTAGAAGAAATGAACAAATCCCTAGACATGTGCAACCTACCAAGATTGAACCATGGAGAAATGCAAAACCTGAATAGACCAATAACAAGTAATGAGATATAAATGATAATAAGAATTCTCCCAGTCAAGAAAAGCCTGGGACTCAATGGCTTCACTGGTGAATTCTATCAAACCCTTAAAGAAGAACTAATACCAATCCTACTCCACCTATTCTGAAAAATAGAAGAGGAGGGAATACTTCCAACCTCATTCCATGAGGTTGGTATTACCCTGATACCAAACCAAACACAGACATATCAAAAGAAAAAAGCAAAAAAACAAAAAACAAACAAAAAAGAACCCAAAAAAACACTACAGGCCAATATCTCTCTGAAGAATACTGATGCAAAAAATCCTCAACAAAATACTAGTAAATTGAATTAAATAACACATAGCATGTTCTCATTGATTTGTGGGATCTAAAAATCAAAACGATTGAACTAATAGACATAGAACGTAGAAGGATAGTTACCAGAGGCTGGGAAAGGTAGTGGGGGGCTTAGGGTAAGATGGGGATGGTTAATGGGTACAAAAATAGTAAGAATGAATAATTCTTAGTATTTGATTGTACAACAGGGTGACTATAGTCAGTAATAACTTACTTGTATATTTAAGATAACTAAAAGTGTGTAATTGGATTTTTATAAGCAAAGGATAAATGCTTGAAGGAATGGATATTCTTCATGATGTGATTATTACACATTGAATGCCTGTATCAAAACATCTCATGTACCCCATAAACATACACACTTAGGTACCCACAAAAATTGAAAATAAAAAATTTAAAATTAAAAAAGTTTATAGCAGGTTTATTTATGAATAATCACCAAAAACTAGAAGCAACAAAAATGTCCTTCAATAGGTAAAGGAATAAGCCAACTGTTCTACATCATATAATGTAATACTATTGAGTGATGAAAAGGAATGAGTTATCAAGCTATGCAAATACAAAGATGTAAATGCATTTTGCCTAGTGAAAGAAGCTAGTTTTCAAAGATATATTTGGTGTGATTCCCTTTATATGACATTCTGGAAAAGAGAATACTCTAGACACAGGTCAGTGATTGCTAGAAGTTCAGTGGAGGTGGGGAAAGGTTGAATGTGAGAATCACGGGGGATTTTTTTTTAAGGCAGTGAAGCTATTCTGAATGAGACTGCCATGGTGGATACACAATATTGTATACTTGTCAAAACCCACAGAACTAGAGCCCAAAGAGTGGACTTTAATGTATGCAAATTTAAAAACCATTTAGGAGATCAGTGGATCTCAGAATGGAATGCAGAATGTGATTTTTAAAAATCTAACTGTATTACGCATGTGTTAAACAACATAACGGAAGGGGGGGTAGAGGAAATGTACAAGGTAATGGGTAGAGTCTATAAGACTAAAGATAAAAGGAACTGTACATAAGCACTACTCTAAATGATAAAGTTGTTTCCTATTGGGATATGGGTTCACAATTCTTAAACTACTATACATGGATACTAGGATTACACAATAAGGAAATGGACGGCAGATGGTGGGAGCTAGTTTTCTCATTGTTGGAGCAGAAAGGTTACAGATAAGGAGAAAAGAGTAGAATAATTCATGTGGTAATGGATTGGAATTAAAGACATTAGTATGAACTCATGATTAGTTTAATATAGACACAGATAGATACATACAGAAATGTTTACAGATATGTGTATATACAGCATTTATATATACAAATGTATTTCCTTGTGCTGTCAGTTTACAGGGCTAGAACCAAAAACACTCCAGTAACAGTAGTCACACATAGTGCACAGATCTTGGTTTCTAATACCATTTTTCGATAAAATAAACCAGGGCTCCTGGGAGAAATGGCTGATTCTAGGACTGGGGCAGGAAATATGCAGATGATCCTGGAACATTTTGTACTGCTAGAAAATAAGAAAGTACTCAAAAAAAAAAAAAAAAGAAAAAAGAAAAGAAAAGAAAATCCACAGTGGTGGAAGTGTGTCAGAAAGACACAGGAGTCAACTGAAAGAGCTCCCAATGGCTGAAAGTGGAATGATTTGAGGATCAAAATAAATAAAGCAGTATTGGATTATAAGCCAAAGTATAAAATAAATATCCATGAGTTCATACTGACATAATAAATGATTGAATAAATAAATGGGGAAGAATATACAAAAATCCCACGTAGAAGAATTCCAGATAATTTACGTAGATACTCCCCTTCAAGAATTCTCACTTATATGTGGACACTAAAACAATCAAACTCAAAGCAACAGAGAGTAAAATGGTGGTTACCAGAAGCTGGGGTTTAGGGGGAATGGTGAAATCATGGTCAAATTATACAAAGCCTCAATTAGGCAGGAGGAATAAGTTTTTTTTTCTTTTTTTGCTTTGAGATATATTGCACAGTGTGGTGAATATAGTAAAAATAATATCAAACATTTAAAAATTGCTAAGAGACTAAATTTTAAATGTTCTCAACACAAAAAATGTTAGGTATTTGAGGTGATGGGTAGGTTAATTAGCTTGATTTTATTATTCCATATTGTAGTCATAAGTCAGAACATCATTTTGTACCCCATAAATAGGTATAACTATAATTTGTCAATTTATATTTAAAAAACAAAAAAAGAAACAATGTATTAATATCGGTTCATTAATTGTTACAAATGCGCTATACTAATATATGATGTTAATAATAGGGGAAACTGGGTGTGGGATGTTTTGGAACTCTGTACTATCTTAATAACTTTTCTGTAAGTCTGAAACTATTTTAAAATTAAAGAAAGTTTATTTAAAATTGCAGTGCCAAAATAGAATATTCAATTTTTTTTAGATATGAGACCTTTATTTTTTAACACAAAGGAGTTGCTCTGGAATCTATTGCTAGGGCAGAGCATTGGGAATTCAATGCGCTGGTATTATTCACAAAGTCCAGATTTTATCAGCAAAGTCTTCCCATCTTGTTCCTCTGCCTTTATTAGCATTTGCAACTCTCTCAATTTAGCATCGTTCACAATGTCATTACCATGCTGGTTATTTCCTCTTCCAGATCATTAAGTTAAAATAGACCAGCTCCGACACCACACCCTATGGCAGTTTTGGGACCTTGTCCTCAAATGGCGGCAGATCTGTGAAGTTAGAAACCAGCTAAATAATAATTATCTGTAAATGGCAATTTCCTAACTTAATTGGTTGAATTTCATTCTGCAGGTGGTGATATTAAAGCAAACACTTTCCTGCTGTCCAAACAGACACACTCTGGTTCTGAATTATGATGGAAAGGTAACCAAGTGAGCTTGTTGTGGCATATTATTTGTCACTCCCCAGGGCTAATTGTTTGTATCTTAGAAAGCTGATCATTATCAGATCAGTATTTCCATAATCCTCTTTTATCACTTTATACTACTTTCCTGTATGTAGAGTGTTTAGTAGAAACTAAACCACATGTCTGTCACCAACTGCATTCTTCCTCTGGACTTACTAGTCATACAGAAAAGTACCCCTATTGCAGGCATAAAGCTCAATGAATTCTTAAAAGGTGAACACACTCTTGTAATCAGTGTAATCAGGACCCAGATCAAGAAACAGAACATTACCAGCACCCAGAAACCTGTCCAGGCTTCACCTGCCACATCCTCAATATCAAAGAGTAACCACTATCCTGATTTTGAAATAATAGATTTATTTTGACTATTTATTGCATATTTTGAACAAATTGAATTATAGCATCCATTGGGTCTGACTTCTTTTGCTCAACATTATGTTTGTGATATTCATCCATGTGTTGCACGTAGTTGTAGATAATTCATTTACATTGCTGTATAGCATTCCATTGTGTAAATATACCAGAATTTATCTGTTCAATTGCTGTTGTGCATTTGGGTGGTTTCTAGTTTTTGACTTTTAAGAATAATACTGCTATTTAACCTTCTAGTTAGCATGTATTTTTCGGTGACCATATGAATGCATTTTTGTTGGGTATTGTTTAGCTTTGGCAGATATGTTAGGCAGTGTATAATTAAATACTTGGAGCTGAAATTCAGATAAACCTGGTCTTAAATTTGGCTCTACTACTTACTAGGAACTTGGACAAGTTACCCAACCTCTCTAGGCCTTGCCTCTTGTAGTCTGTCAGGTGAAGATTTAAAAAGTTCCTGCCTCGTAGGGCTGCTGTTCATATTAAAAGAAATAATGTATGGCCATGATTTAATACAGTGCTTGGCATAGAGCAAGCATCAATAAATGTCAACCATTGTGATTTTTTAGTGTTATTTATTGAAAAATTGTTCAGTATTATTTAAATTGCAAACAGAGGTGAAATAAACAGATTATTTACAGAAACGTTTTTCACTTGTAAGATCTTGAAAAAATGTGTTCCGACCCTGTGAATACTATTCTTAAGACCTCTCCACCCAGCCACGCCCCAGCTATTGTTCCTTACTCCCTCAAATTCTTAGCGCAAGGACATGCTTGCAGTTAAACCTTCCCCATCCCACCGGCTGCCATAGAAGCTGAGAAGAAAATAAGGGGAATAAGTCTTCATTTCTGTCAGTTTCCTTGTGGGAAGGACTGAAAGGATATTTGATACCTGGGACTCACTGCCAAATTTGTATCCATTTTGAACACTTCATCTATTCTAGATTATTCAGACCAGATCTTCATTATTAAAAATATATTTCATAGTATTATGCAAATACTATGCGGTTCATGTTGAAAATGTCACATATAAAAGATACCCATATCTTTTTGTGTAAAAAAAAAAAAGCACTCTTTTCTTTCAATATAAATAATTCATGCTTTTGTTACAGGTAGTTAGGCGTGGGTGGGGCAGGAGAGGGCTCTCCCCCCACCCACTAGAAAAGTCAGGTGATGATTTGGCAATTATCGCATTGCCTCTCTTAAAATGATAATTCGGCAGCCAGGGAGAGACTGATGGTCCACACCTGTTAATTATTAATTAAAACTGTTAACTGAATGCAGACGCCAGGGAGAAACAGCTTCTTGGGCATGCATATTAAGAGACAAAAATGGCGAAGTATGATCCTTCCAGGTACATTCCACTGGAAAAAGGAAGAAAGCCTCAGATGGGCATGCCTGTAACTCCCTAAACACACTGCATGAGCTCACTTCTCAAGGGTAAGGAGGGCTCTGTGCATGAGGGCAGCCCACTGTAAGGGAAGAATCATGGTAAAGAGGCGAGCTTATGAAAGTCCCAGGATCACAGTTAAATGGGGCACTTGTCCGCTCTTTAACCTTTCACGTGCACGCTTGGGTCTCTTCCAAGCGCACCTGACTTTCTTTCCTGTTCTAAGGCCTTTTAAAATAAACTTCTATTCCTGCTGTGGAACTTGTCTCTGTCTCTTTTTCTGATTTTGTCCCTCAGTCGAATTATTTCTTCTGAGGAGGCAAGGACTGAAGTTGCTACAGACCCCTAAGGACAGGCCATCGGTAACACTGGGTAAATCAGATCTCTTCCACGGGTAAGACTTTCTATAAAAATATTGAAAAATACAAGAAGTAGTTTTGTATGCTGTAAATATTCTTGTATGAGAAGAAGAAAATGAAAAATATTTGTAATCCTATTGCCCAGAGATTTCTGGGTAGTCTTTTCAGACTCAAATAAATAATATTTCCATTACAAAAATGTAGAAAATTTGTTAAAACATAGGAAAGCAAAAACAAAACAACAAATAATAAATCCCTGTGTTCCTAAGATATAAAACAAAATTTCAACAGAGCTTGCCATTCCATTTTTTCCCCTCCTCTTTTCCTCTCTCCTTCCCTCCTTTTCTCCTCTCCTTTCTCTTTCTTTCCTTTCTTCTCTCTCAATATAATAGCATCATTTTATAATACTCTTTTGTAGTTTGCTTTTTAAAAACCTTTTATGGGCATGTCAAATATTTCATATTTCAATAAATATTCATCTAAAACTTGATTTTTGATGACTGCATAACATTCTATCTTATGAATAATTTGCCTAACAGTTCTCTAGTGTTGAGCATTTATTTTGTTTATACTTATTCACTATTATCAAGAAGGCCATGGTGAACTTTGTTGTATATACATCTTTTTGCATCTTTGATTATTTTAGGATAATTTTATGGAAGCTGAATCAGTGATTCAAAGTTTATATACATTAAAAATATTTTGATAACCATGGCCAAATTGCCTTCTAGAAAGCTTATGTCATTTTAATTTCTACTATCAGTTTATGAGAAGCCTATTTCATCATGCCTTTGGCAGTCCTGAGCATTATAACTTTAATTTTTACAAATGTAAAGGGTAAAAAAAATCATTGTTCTTTTATTTTTCTTTGATTAACAGGGAGGTTGAATTTTTCTGGATTTTTAAAAAATTTTTATTCTATGAATTAGTTTTTTATGCCCTTTGATGATTATTCCTAATGTGTTTATGTTTTTCTTGTTGGGTTATTGGCGTTTTATATCTTAAAGGATTTTTTGCATGCTTTTTAACGTATTTTTAAATATCTTAAGGGACTAATATTTGCTTTTCTTATTTATTTTTAATATTTTCCTAATTCATTATATAACATTCATGGTGTCCTTGGATATACAAAAGTTCTAATGCTTTACGCCAAGAATCAAGTCTTCTTTTTATGTAGTCGTATTTTTAGCTGCTTAGGTTATAATTTCTTACATTATTTTTATACTTAGTAATCCCTTTTCAGTCAGAAATCAATGAAGTTGTCACTTATAGTTTCTGCCTTTTGCAAAAAAAATGGTTTTGTTCTTAACATTTGACTCTGATTTGTCTGGAATTTACTTGACAGTACGAGATTATATTATGAGACAGAGATCTAACATTCATTTCTCCAAATACATAGTTAATTTTCCAAACCCTATGCATTAAATAGAACATCTAATTCCTATTGCTTTGTGATTCCTTCTTTATCACATTTGAAGTTATAGTATATACTAAAGTGTATTTGCTCCCATTCATCTGTCTTTTATTTATGCAACATATTTTTTAATTTCATTTTTTATTTCAATAGTTTTATTGGGGTACAGGTGGCTTTTGGTTACATGGATGAGTTCTTTAGTGGTGATTTCTGGGATTTTGGTGCACCTATTACCTGAGCAGTGTACACTGTACCCAATATGTAGTCTTTTATCCCTAACCCCCCTTCCACCTTTCCCCTCAAGTCCCCAGAGCCCATTATATTATTCTTATGCCTTTGCATCCTCATAGCTTAGCTCCCACTTACAAGTGAGAACATAAGAATTTTGGTTTTCCATTCCTGAGTTACTTCACTTAGAATAATGTCCTCCAGCTCCACCCAAGTGGCTGCAAAAGACGTTATTTCATTCCTTTTTATGGCTGAGTAGTATTCCATGGTGTATATATACCACATTTTCTTTAACCCCTTGTTGGTTGATGGGCACTTAGGTTGGTTCTCTATTTTTGCAACTGCAAATTGTGCTGCTATAAGCATGCAAGTGCTTGTGTCTTTTATATATAATGATTTCTTTTCCTTTGGGTAGATACCCAGTAGTGGGATTGCTGGATCAAATGGTAGTTCTTTTAGTTCTTTAAGGAATCTCCATACTGTTTTCCATAGTGGTTATGCAACATATTTTTACTGAGTACCTAGACCTACTGTGTCCCAGACCCTATGGTTGTCCTGGAACACATGTTGCTGAACCAGACAGACAGTGTAAACTCCATAAGGACAAGGAGAATCTCGTTGTGTTTCTTCCCCCACGTGCTTCTTAACATCAACTTAATTTGAAAGCCTTCAGAAGGTGAGAAACAAGTCTTCATTTTCCATGCACTCTCCATGGTGTTTTTGCCAGGGCCAAATGGACTATAGGGCTTCATAGGAAAATCCATCAAAAAAATGTTCTACTCCTTTCCTCCCACCTTGACTTAGCAAAGGTATAGAGTCTCTTTTTCAAGATGCAGCCATGGTGAATGAGAACATTAGATCTAGAGTCAAGAAACCTGGGTTTGAATTGTGATTATGTACTAACTTCATGCCCTTCAAAAAATATCTTCACTCCTTGGAAACTCAGTTTCCTCATCTTTAAAATGGAGTTAATAGGCTGGGTGCAGTGACTTATGCCTGTAATCCCAGCACTTTAGGAGGCCAAGGCAGGCAGATCACTTGAGGTCAGGAGTTCGAGACCAGCCTGGCCAACATGGTGAAACCCCGTCTCTACTAAAAATACAAAAATTAGCCAGGAGTGGTGGTGCACGACTGTAATCCCAGCCACTCAGAAGGCTGAGACACGAGAATTGCTTGAACCCAGGAGGCAAAGGTTGCAGTGAACCGAGATCGTGCCACTGCACTCAAGCCTGGGCAACAGAGTGAGACTCAGTGTCAAAAAAAAAAACAAAAAAGTAAAAATAAAAAATAAAAATAAAATGGAGTTAATGCTTATAGGAATCTTTGAGTGTGAACTGAAAATTGGTGTTAAAACTCTGAAAATTGTAAAATGTCATGGAGATAAAAATTATTATTTTCATTTTTAGTCAAACTAAAGTACAAATAACCTGAAAGCAGGGCTCATATCTTGCTGCCTTTGTGACCCCCTCTGCCTAAGTACACTATTTACTTAGTACTTGTACTGACAGGAAGCCCTAACCAAATATTTATTGAATACATAAATAAATTCCCCTGCTCAGGTAGATGCTCTTCTAATATAACCTAATGGAAACACCCCCTGCCAGAAAGCCTAAGCAAATAACTCATTATTTGCTCTGGATTTTAGTTGGCTTTAGTAGATTATATATGTATCCTGATACCCCAGAGTTTGGGAGCCAACTTAAATATTGTTTAAAAGAATAAAAAGGATCTATAAGATAACACATTAAGCCTTTGATATTTGAAAGAGATACTTCCCTAAACCCTCACAAATCTCCAAATTTGTAAATACTATGATGATGCACACTTTCCATCACTGAATACAGTAAAATGTAACTAAAATATTTGTGATCAAATTGTTGGTGATTCTGTAAGTCCACTGGCTCTTTAGACTTAAGTTCAACTGGTTGGCCTTTGCTTTCTTTTTGGAGCTAGTTTCTCCTGTTAGCTCCATAGTCTGCTCTGCTAACAGGCACCAGCAGACTTCTTGAACACTGAATCTAGGATGAACAGAGCTTATGCCCAAATTGACCTCCCTCCTCAACTTTAAATCTTTTCTATCAGGATAATAATTCATAGATCTTAATAAAATTGATGAGGCCAGATGAATAGCCAGGAGGTTGAGGAGACTTGAAAGCCGAAAAAAGTGGGTATTTTGAAGTCATTGGTCCTGTCAGAGTTTTAATCTCATTTTACAGATGAGGAAAAGTAGGACTCAGGAAGATTTAATAACTTGCCTAAGGTCAAGGAGCTGAAAGAATCAGTACTGCAAACTCTGCTAGATCTATATTTCATACTCCTAACCATCTTGTTCTATGGAAATGCCACGGACTCTTTTGGATGCCAATTTTTTCCTGTTAGGTATTCAATAAGTGCCCAGATAAATTTAAGAATTGTGGAGAACGATTTAGACTTGCTATGCAACTGGAAGGTGAATTTTATTCTGTTTCAAATCTCTCTGTGAACAATAGGAAGGATTAAGCAGCTGGTAAGCAATTAGGGGTCTGAACAGCTGAGCCCCACACTGAGCAAGACAGACAGTCTGCCAAGTGGCAGTGAGGGCGGGCCCCGGGTGCTCAGTGCCAGTTCAATCTGGCAACTTGGTGACCCCAGGGATTCTGATTCCTGCAGCCCCACAGCACCTCCACTACTATGTTTAATAATTTCCGCATCTGTCAGCAGATACCCAGACATCCCCAATTCTCATGCTGATGGGCATTTGCTCTCAAATGAAAACTGGGATGAGGAAGGCCTAGATGTCTGGATCCCCAGCTAAGACAGGGGTTTGTTACTGTGGTGCCAGAGTTCTCTTTTGTGCCTCTTCTCAGCACCTGCTTGGCATGTTGAGGATACAAAATGTGCCTCCCTATCATAATGCACCCACCCCATGCCCTACCCCAAGTTATCTGAAAGGGAGGCCTCGTCTCACTTATCCTGTTTTCTTAGTTAGGGTAAAGAAGGTAGGTCCATCCTCCCATCAACCCCAGCTCTCCTCTGGGAGAACCAAACCCTCTCAAGAGTCCTCCCCTTTCAAATTTGGAAGCACAGGTCTCTTTTAAACATTGCAAGGATTATCTATTACTCATCAAATCCTATGGTCTTTATTACAATATGCCAAATATGCATTTTGGCCAAATGCTAAAAGGCCAGTGTCAAAATTCATATTTGGTCAAAGCCAAGGCCAAAGTGGAAAATAACCCTCATAAAATGACCTTCTAGGTCATAAGGATACATCTGAAAATATATCAAAATATTTATTATTAAAAATCTAGTAGTCACCTTTCATGAGATTGACATTATAAACCAGGGACAATATTTTCTCAGGTACTGTCATCTGCTGGATTGTTTGTGTGGTCACTGTACTGTACAAGTGTGATACCAAATGGATGCTCACTTTCAAATGAGGTTGGTGGATAAACAAGATTTTTTGAGGCTTGTTTTGTCAAGTAGGATTCTGCTGGGGCTAAGGCTGCCACCACATTAGTGAGCCTTTCTTTCTCTCTCCTAGTAACCAAGTAAGGTTAAGGATATTTCCTCCTCATCTCTTGGACTTGAACACTGGTTCATGGTGATGCACTTTAACTGAAGCAATCCTCCCCAAATGAAGCTCTGTGCATTGCTTGGGGAAGATGCTTTCTTAAATTTTCAGAAACAGTCTTACAAGTTATCTTGTTTCATATTATGAATGATATGAATAATCATGATTATTCATATCATTATAATCGTATTTCATATGATTATAATGAAAATAATCTCCCAAAAAATAGATGTGTGATGTAGTCTAATCTCTGTTGTTTGCCCTTGTATTGTTACTGAATTTAAGTTTTTATAGAATACTAGTTGGCTTAGAAAGGAATTAATGTTCTTTTTAAACTTATCAACTAATACTCAGTATGTATAAACTGTCAATCTACATCTCTACTTATTTAACTACTTGGAAGTTCTTAATAGTTGTTTTTGAATATAAAATTAACAGCTTTCACATCACCATTAATTGTAGTAGCATTTAACTTTTGCAAAGATAAATATGCATTCATACTTCAACGGTTTGAAAGAATTTCCATGTACAAAGCCCATAAGGAGATTTTTTGTTCCATGCTACATTAGAATATCTACCTCTAAGTTTCCATTAGAATTTGAATGTGAACATTCTGATAATATCAATTAATCAGGGTGACATGTCTTGTTCATCTCACAAATGTTATGTTTACTAAATATGAGGGTAATATGCATCATGACGTGATCATTGATTGTTCACAAATGACCAGAAATGATATAGGTGTTTAGTTGTTTTTTGTTTTTGCCTTCCCAGGACCAAGACTAATGCAGATTTTGTCTTAATACTGAATCTAAAACGTCATGTTGGATACATCTTTAGTTTTCATCTTAAATACTTTTAGGACCGTGTTCAAAGCAGCCCTCCTTTAAAAGGTCATCCCTTCACTTGACCTTGATGTTCCTGCTAACTACTGGTCCACTACTTCCCTTCTTTCACGGGCATACCTCTCAACAAAGGTCTTCCCTCTTTCCTTCTATTCCACAGTACTCACTCATTCATTCATCAAAGATTGTCTGAGCTTGTGTAATGTGGCAGGCAATGTGCTAGGTCCTAGAGATACAGCTGAAAGTAAAACACTGCCTTCCCTCAAAAAGCTTATATTTCTAGAGCTGGAAAGATGGGTAAACATGGGATTACTATATATAGTCTGTGATTAATGTTATGAGGCAAGAGAACACAGGGTGCTGTGGTAACTCCTAGGAAGGTGGCACCTAACCCAGCCTAGAGAGGCAGAGGTAACTTGCTGGGGTTTCCCACTGAGGCTGGTTAGAAGAAAGCCAAGAAAACCCCAAACCAAACCAGACATAAGCATTAATTTGGTTCTTACCCTTTTTGATGAACCCAGTTGGTACTTGGTGTGATTAAATGACCTTCTTGTAAAATCCAATGGTCCTTGTTTTTGTTTTTGTTTTTTCTTTCAATGGCCTCTGAGACTTGAAACCATGCACATTTTCCCTTTCCTGATACTCTGGCTCTCATGGCCTCATCTGCTCCAGTGTCCCCTATCCTTGTTGACAACTTCTGTGCTTCCCTTGATGATCTCTCCTTCTCTTCTCTCTATCTGTGTATGGAAACACACCCAGGGCTCCACCTGTGGCCCCTGGAATTGTCTTCTCCTTCTAGGACAGTTAATCAACCTTCAAGGTTTCTATACCTTTAGTCCAAAACTTCCCTCATTTAATTCCTTTGCACCATACCTCGGACTACCTGTGGATATGTCCCATTGTCTGTCCGTATGTCTATCTCACTCCTATCCTGGCCCTCCTCCTGTAGCAAAGCCCATCACTAGGAAGAGAATGGACATTGGCCATCAACATATCAATTACAATTGGTTTTCTCCTTCTGGGAATGGTAGCAATGGTTTCATTTCAAGCCTCGTTTCAAACTATAGGATATAGATTTTATCCCGTTAGAGGAATTTTTTACTCCAGCAGACATATGATGTAGTTTTTTGTTTTATTTTTCTGGCCGGGGCTGCGTGCACTTCCCAACTCTCTTAAAATAATAGCACTGAAAATACATATGGAAACAGGTTTATTGTATATTATTATCAATCAAAACTGAAGAATGTATTTAAATATATACAGAATGTGTATGTGTGTGTGTATATATATATATACCTACATACATATATATACTATATATATACACACACACATATATAATGTATATATTTGTTATTTATTGCTACTTAACAAATTATGCCAAAACTTTATGGCTTAAAACAACAATTTATTATCTCATACTTTCCATGTGTCTGGAATTTGGGAACAGCTTAGCTGAGTGGTTCCAGCTCAGGGTCTCTTGTGTGGTTAGAGTCAGAATTTTGGCTAGGTCTGAAGTCTCTGAGGACTTGACTGGGGCTGCAGGATCTGCTTCCAAGATGGCTCACTCACATGGCTGTTGGCAGTAGGCAACAGTTCTCCAACATATGGGCTACTCCATTGAGCTGCTTGAATGTCCCCATATGGCAATTGGCTTCCCCTAGAAAGAGTGATGAGACAAAGTGGGAGAGAGAGCAGGAGGAAAGGGGTGGGGGGTAGGGGTGGGAAGAAGCAATAGAAAACTGCAATACTTTTTATGACCTAGTTTCAGAAATCACACACCGTCACATCTGTCACATTCTATTAGCTAGAAGCCAGTCATTACATCTGACCCACTCTCAGTGGGAAGGGAATTAGGTTCTACCTTTTGAAGAGAGGAGTGTCAAAAACTTTGTGGACATATTTTAAAACTACCACAATTTGTGGAAAGATATCTGCAATAATAAATGCAACATTTTAAAACAATGATTTTATCTGGGAGGTGAGATTATCAATTATTTGTTTATATTTTTCCCATTTTATGAACATAACTATATTAAAATAATAAAAATTTTAAAATAGACCAAAATTGTATTATGCTGATGTTGTATAACACTGAACATATTTCCTGAAACATCCTCAAAGGATTTACTGGAAATGGTTTGGCTAGAAATGTTTGCATGGCGCAGAACTTCTGAAGTACATATTATTGTTATCCTCAGTTTATCGGTGATGAAACTGAGGTATAGAGAGATTAACTGAGGTTAACAAGCTACCCAGGGTCCTAGAGTAAATAAATACGTGGTATAGATAACATGGAAACCTAGGCAACAGAGTTCTATAGCCCAAGCTCTTAAACTAAATGAAACATCCACAATACATATTGGACTGTATAGAATCACACTGTAGATCTTACAAACAATAGCTCAGAGATGTGAAAGAGTCAAGGGCTCATCTTAGTCAGGGAAATTTTCATTAAAAAGGTGGACAGTGAGCTGTGCCTTAAGGAAAAAGTGAGATTTGGGTAATCTAGGGTTGACATTCCAAATGAGGGACACAGCCTGGCTGAGGCTTAAAAATGGGTTGGGGCCTGGCCTTTCCAAGCATGTCCCAGTGAGAAGATTAGTGCAGGTAAAGTTGAGTGATTCCTGGTAAGCTGTGTGAGTTAAGGCAAAATGGATTGAGATGGTGGTAGGGGTGGGATGCCAGATTCAGAGGAACCCCAGATGCAGGCAGGAGGTCAATTTGTATTCATACACAGACTTGGAGATCTTGGCCCTTTACCATCAGGAAGGAACTTAGAAATGTTGTGGCTCGTGCCCCTTATTTTAAATATAGGAAATTATATGGAAGAAAATGATTCATTCACCCCAAATGTATTTCTTATTTATTCTGTTATGTTAAAGGTTGTTGGACTGTTAAAGCATTTTTTAAAAACATCTTAATTATTACATTTTTACCATTAATTTTTTTTCTAGTACAAGGAATAAGGAATCCTTTTACTAAATTAGGCTACTTCAGGCTATAGCTTATTCCATACTAATTGAACCTATAAGAATTCTGCGTGCTAGACTAGGACACTAGATTCAAAGAAGATCCGTTTCCAGAATTACTCAGTGCACTTCATGCTCACGTGGGGAGATTTACTTACTTATTTGTTTGTTTGTTTAGTATATCATGTTCTGGATGCATAGGGCTTCTCAAACCAGATATACAAACCTGTCTGCAAGGACTAAGCAGTTTAAAGTCCATGAAAACTTGGAAATTATCAAAGTTAGATGTTTTCAGCAAACATTGGAATTTTATTACTCTCAGAAATAGTTTCCAGATGGAAAATTTAAAAATATCCAAATAATGAAAGACACCCTATTTGGTTTCTTTTCTGTGTATCAAAGTCTATGTTGAAATAAAGCACTTAAAGAGCTGGGATCAGTTCTCCATGTTACTTTGTACCCATTTCACACTGTGGGCTCTTAGATGATCTCATAATGTTAATTACCTAGAAAGGCTGGATGAAATAATTATTTTCCTTCAATGACTAATGATAGCTGGTGGATTTTTATCGCCTCCCCCATGATTTTTTCAGCAAGGATTCAAAGAGGTTTTGCCACAAACTAGATATGGGTTCCAACTCCTGGATCATTTTGAATTCGCTAGTTCAGACTGAAGATGACAGGTGATTCAGAGTACACACACACACACACACACACACACACACACTGCCCTGGGAACTAGGCAGGATGTCTTTATCTTGCTGGGTAATTTCCAGGGTACCAACCTTGGCTTATACATGGTCTCTAGTAATTTCCAAGAATGAATTATAGCTTGCTGTTTCCACCTCTCATCTCTTTCCTCCCTCCCTCCTTTCCTTCCTTTCTAGCAACAATGTAAGAGAAACAATATGCAATTATTGCTGGGGCGCTTCGAAGCCAATCAGGGAAAAGAACTGTATATGTGACATTGTCAAAGAGGTCAGGCCATTAGCAAGGCAATTAATGTACCCTATGATGCCTCTCATTGAGAGTCAAGTCTCCTTAATAGCTAATGTGGGGAAAATAATCTTCAAGCATCCATTACAGCTCCCAGATAAATGCCCAAGGGAATTAGTTCACTGGCTACCTCTAGTTGGGAACACTGTTCTCCCCTGACCTGAGGCCTTCGTACTCAGTCACAGCTCTAGCCTCTCTTAGGTGACTCACCTGGCTCAGATCCACATCCAAAGCACTGCTTAGCTTTGCCCTCTTCTCACTCTTCCTGCCATCTGGGGGGCCTCCTATTCACACACTCCCAGGATTTCCAATGGACTCTTTCTGACTTCCTTCCCAAACCCAGAATCATGCAATCAACCTTAATTGTCACTATTTTATGTTACCACTTCTCAAGCTTCTTATTGAGTGCCATTTCCTCTGCAATTTTTTTTGCCTCTTTGGTTTTTCTTCAGTTGTACTTTCTATCCTTCAGCACTTTACTATGGTATTTTTTAAAAAAGAAAATTGCCCCTGCTAATGGGGATTAAATTGTGGGTGTATTAAGGCACACATTGAGCAAATGTTTTCCAAAGGCAGCATGTATTATTTCCCTCTTTCTGTATTTTGTATTTTTTTAAATGGCAATTTTATTTTGTAGTGAAATAATGCTATAAATGTAATATTGGGGGGAAAAGCTTTAGCTCAATACTTGGTTATTCAGTTATAATTTCTGTCACATATTAATCAGATTTCTGCTGAGATAATGATGCATAAAAAACAATGCTCCAAATCTCAGTAATTTACCAAAAAAACCACAGTTTTTTTTCCCTCACTCTTTGGTCTGCAGGTTGACTGGGAGAGCAGCAAGTAGGTGCATGTGAGTGAAACACTGACATGGGGTGGGGCCAGCAAGGAACAGGTGGAAGAAGACGAAGACCCCAGAGGTGGGCAGGTGGCAGGTTTACAAGGGCCTTATGCAACAAGGAGACAATGGGGAACCCCAGAGCTTTTAAAGTAAAGAAGTGGCAGGATTTTATTTTAGAGAATAACACTGATGTTGTATATAGAATGGGCCAAAGCTGGAGTCCCCTGGAGTCAGATGTCCACCCAGAAGGGTGTCACAGGAGTTGAGGCAGGAGCTAAGGAGCCTATGAAGTAGGACTTTGGGCCGTAAGGAAGGGATGCAGAGCACAGATACTAGAAATTCGTTCCAGGAGGCAAAAATCGTCAGTCTATTCTATGTAGGGAGTAAGGGGAGGAGAGGCTAGGGTGAAACCAACATTCAAAGGCCATCTAGGAAGAGGGTGGTGCAGCCCTGGAGAGAGTAGGCGAGTTCAGTAGAAACCGAGGAAAAGGAGGACCTTGGCATCCTGCAGACCCCTCCAGGATAAAAAGGGAAGGCGTGAAAACTTGTTTCCTTAGCCAGAAAATTAGTTCAGAATGTGGGAGAGGCAACTGACTACAATGATGATGATGGCAGCAATTACCATTCATTAGGTTGACAATGAGCCAGATGTTGTCTCTTTTTATTGCATTATTTCATTTGAATCTCACAACAATCCTATGGAATAGGTACTATTACTATCCCCATTTCACAGATAAGGAACTGACATGCAGAATTGGTAAGATTCCAAAGACACCCAGCTGATAAGTGGTAGAGCAGAAATTTGATTCCAGGTGTGTCTGCTTCTTCATCTCTGCTTGGTGAGACAGTTGTTACCCCAGTGTTAGGCTGATATTCAGGTAGAGCAGACTGGCCTATGACTAGAGGGATGATTTCACACTTCTCTGAAGTCCTCTTGAAATAGTCTGAATTATATAATTCAGTGCCTTTATTTTCACAATCATTGTTCGGTTGATGGATTGATTGATTTCAGTGGTTTCATGACAATCATCTTCCTAACTAATAAAGTTCACCCCTTACAAGAGTAGTGTCAGGCCTCTGAGCCCAAGCCAAGCCATCGCATCCCCTGTGACTTGCACATATACGCCCAGATGGCCTGAAGTAACTGAAGAATCACAAAAGAAGTGAAAAGGCCCTGCCCCGCCTTAACTGATGACATTCCACCATTGTGATTTGTTCCTGCCCCACCTTAACTGATTAACCCTGTGAATTTCCTTCTCCTGGCTCAGAAGCTCTCCCACTGAGCACCTTGTGACCCCTGCCCCTGCCCACCAGAGAACAACCCCCTTTGACTGTAATTTTCCATTACCTTCCCAAATCCTATAAAACGGCCCCACCCCTATCTCCCTTCGCTGACTCTCTTTTCGGACTCAGCCCGCCTGCACCCAGGTGAAATAAACAGCCATGTTGCTCACACAAAGCCTGTTTGGTGGTCTCTTCACATGGACTCGAGTGAAAAGTAGCACTTTTCACTTCACAGATATCTTTCACATGCATCTTCTCATTTGCTTTTTATAAAAATGCTGATGGGAATGCAGGGTGGATATTATGATCACCACCTTTTAGTCCAAAGGTCAGCAGAGATTTTCCTTAAAGGGCCAGATTCTAAAGATTTTAAGCTTTGTGAGCCATATAGTGTCTGTGGCACTACTCAGCTCTGCCATTATAGCATGAGAGCAATCATAGACCAATACAATACAATACAATACAATACAATACAATACAATACAATACAATACTAAATTATTGAGCATAGCTGTGTTCCAATAAAACTCTATTTACAAACATAGATGACTGTCTATATTTGGTATGTGGCCATAGATTGCCAACCCTTGCTCTAGGTAAATAAACTTCCATGCAAAGTGATTAAATGATCCTCCCAACTTTATATAGCTGGTAGAAGTATGAATGGAACCTAGACCTCTTGCTTGCTTTATTCATTTAATAAATATTTATTGAGTCCCCATTATGTGTCAAGCACTATTGTAAGTACTGGGGACAAAAAAGGTCCCTAGCCGCAAGGACCGTGCATATTTTGGGGACACATATGATGAACAAGTAAATGAGCAAAGAAGATAACTTCAGAAAGTGAAAAGTGCCATAAGGAAAATACAACTGTGATAGAGGGCAACTGTAGCTACAGGAATCAGAGTGATCCAGTCTGAAGCAGAAAAATGTGAACTGCAATCTGGAAGAAGAGAATAAGCAAATTATGCAGGGATTTTGGGATGATTATTCCAGGCAAATGGAATAGCCAGTGGAAAAAAAAATAAGTGTGGCTAGAGCAAAGTAAATAAGGAAGAGGAGATCTGAGAAATAACAGGGGGCAGATAAGGGCAAGAATTATAAACCATGGCAAAAGATGTGGATCTTATTTGAAGTGAAGTGAGAAGTCAGTGCTTTCCTGGTTTTAACATTCCATCCTTCCTTTTGTGTCTCCTCTGCTGCCCAAGCACGAGGCAGATACTTTCAGAATATATTGGTTGATTGATGGGTTCTGTCACTGAGGTGCCTTCAAGGCATGAAAGACTTAACACGCTGGGCTCATTGAAGACCCTTATGAGGGGACATATTTAGTAGATCCTCTTTCATTGTAGGTTTCCAAGAAGGCTGTGCCTAATGCTTTTTTTCAGAGACAGCATGGTGGCCCTTTGTTCTCTCCTGGGGTGATTCTGGGCATCATCCAGACCATCTGCTCTGGCCCCGGCTCCCTGGCCATATAGGCTTTGCCATCATTTGACAAAACACTCCAATAGCTAGGAGTGAGATGTCTCTGACATCAGAGCCACTTTGTCAGGATGAAACATCATGGTGGATTAACAGTTTTGTGGCAATCCAGTTCTAAGTGTACAATTGACCAGCTGTGAGGAAGCAACTCAAAGAGTTGTTGGACTGGTGAAATCAACTTATGTATGTTCAAGTCCTAGTATACTGCCTGGGCCTTAGAGTGCCCAGTGGAAGTCAGCTGCCTTTTCTTCCCAAATGCTCTTGTATTTAGTGTTTACTGGCCATGTCCCATTGAAAGCAGTGATTCACTTAGCATCCTCATTTCATTAGGGCTTACAAAATACTAAAATATTTTAGGAAGCCTTAAAGTAATTGAAAGTAAACTGATGCAGTTCGGCCATCTCTGAAATTATTGACTTTTCAGAGAGAATTGTTTTGGTGGATACTGGGATGTTCCTCCACCCAGATTCCCCTTCAACAGAGGATGGGTTGTCCCAGCCACTGGAAGTGCAGTCAGCAGTCAGCCTTCAGTGTCAGCTGCTTCAGAGATTGCCTCATGCTACAGAGAGGAGCCTCACCAACTATTTTGGCCCAATTTGGGACAACTCTGAAGGCTCCAGAGCTTCTCAAGGAGGTTAGCTGAAGCTGTTGTTGAGCTTGCTTCACAGCTCAACTTCTCCCTCTATCCAATCCTGCTGCCGTCTCCTTCTTTCCACAAGTGTAGATCCTAAGATCATTCTCTAAAAACCATCACGCATGGTTAAACTCCACCCAGAGTCTACTTTCCAGAAAACCCAACCTGTAACAATTGGGTACAGGTGTCAGTGTTAGCATTCCTGTGATCTTCTATTTGTGAATTTGGTGCTCATGTAAAGTACTTCCTTACAATCGTTAGCATTTATGTCCTGTGTCTGAAAGGGTATATGACCTATGTATTGTTTACAAATGACTTTTCTTCTGTAAAGTTTAAAAATGACAGAAATGTCAAATATTCACTGAAGCACCTGGAACATATTTCTCTATGTTATAAGAGCTAAAAGAATTTTAAGGGATCTTTGATTACTAAATATTCATTAAATATGAATGACATGGATGTATATCAAATGAGAGGTTAATTATAGACTTATCTATGAGGTTATGTATCATATCAGCATGCAAGAGAAGGAGAACATCCTGGCATTTGAGGGGTTAATTCAGGGTCAGAAAGATTAAGAAATTTAGAAACGCATAGAAAAGATGGTATATCATATTTATTTGAATCCCAGGCTACTGAGAGTTTGCAAATGCTTTTAAATGGTTGTACATGGCAGCCTGTGTCCTTAGCAGAGAGTGTCCTTGGGCAAATTAGTCTTAGAGAGGTTAAATGAGGGTTGTTGTGGTGATTAAATGAGAAAATGGATAGATGGTACATGGTAAGTGCTCAATAAATATTAGCTTCTGCTGTTGTTGTTATTCAAAGTGGCATCTGGCTAGCAGTCCCCAGGGAAGGTTCTCTCAATATCTAACAAAAACACTAATGAAGGCCTAGGGGAAAAAAAATAAAGCTCCCAACGTGGAAAATAAGACTGATGGGTAATCTAATACCAGAACCATGAAAAAACTGGAACTAATTCCCGGACAGAAGGAGCTGGGTTTGGACACAAAATCAACTTCATAAAAGGTAGAAAAATAGTTCGTGCTTCTGTCACTGGAGATTCAGGATTTGAACTAGCCAGAAACTTAGGGGCATCTCTCTTTTCTCCTGGGTATGGGAAGAGACAGTACATCTACAGGCAACAGGTTGGTAGGGTATTATTTGCATGGGGCCTTTGTAGGAAGACCCCAGGTAGCAGTGTAGGCTGAGAATTGTAGTATTTGACATAACACATCAGTTCAGAGTACCAGAGAACCAGACGGTGAGGTAGGGGGAAGACGTCAGATTGCAAGGAACAAAGGCACACAAAATTAAGTTCCACTTAACTTGCTCATCAACTTGTCATTTTGTTATAAATAGTAAAAGAGTGTTTTACCACTAGCATGGGACAGTGTGCAGGACAAAGGACTAGCTAAGACGAATAAAGAAAAAAGTAGCAATGGGGCCTGTGAAATATACCACAGAACAAGGAAACAGACAGTATCTAGAAGATTCAGGAGAAAAACTTCTGATAATTAAGTGAATCCAGAGGAAAGCCTCAAAAAACTATTTGACATTTGCAACAGAGCATAGGAAGACATAATCTTCATGAAATAGCTGTGGAACATTAGAAGGACGGCACTGAATATTATTTAAAAATTTGATTATAAAATCAAATTAAAATGTCAAAAATTATTCCAAAATGAGAAAATACATGATTTTAAGAAAATGATAGACTTAAAATCCTTTATTATGTTATTAATAAAAACAGGTTTATTGGGCCCTGGTAGTGAGGGTCAGGAACATTAGACTGTATTGTATCCCTTCTCTCAAACAGAGGAAACTCAAATGATATAATTTCACTGCTCATTCATAAGGATTAGACAGAGTGCAAAGCGTTTATAAAAATAACTTCTAAATGACTATTAACAGAATTAAAGTCAATTATTGTCAAAGAACAGAAAGCAAAAGAAACCAGAAGGAAGAACTAAAAATAGGAAGGCATAGAATAAGATGACAGAAGCCAAATTAGTGATAACAATACTGTAAGTAGGTTAAACCAGTGGTTTTCAAAATTGTAAGCACTTGAAGCTTATTTTCAAGTGAAATACTATGTTTAATCACAAACTACAAAGCTCTACTTTTTTCAGTTGCATGTGTTTATTATAAAGCCAATTAATGAGACCAAAGTTAATGAAAAGTAGCCTCCACTGAGTGCATACCACCAATCCTTGAGCTGTCAGTTTTTTTGAAAATTGATCTGTAGATGAATGCAATTCCAATCAAAATATTGTAGGTGTGAAAAAGGAAAGCTTCCCCCTTCATCCTCTGAAGGCTTGCTGAAAATGAACTGACGAAAGGCAAATTAATAGGAAAAAAAGGCATAAAAAATGTATTTTAACATGTATAGAATGGGAGAATTTCAGGAGAATGATCACTCAACAACTCAATGGGGGTACAGATGCTTGTACCTTTTTCTTTTTTTTTTTTTTTTTTAATTTATTTTTTTATTGATAATTCTTGGGTGTTTCTCACAGAGGGGGATTTGGCAGGGTCATGGGACAATAGTGGAGGGAAGGTCAGCAGATAAACAAGTGAACAAAGGTCTCTGGTTTTCCTAGGCAGAGGACCCTGCGGCCTTCCGCAGTGTTTGTGTCCCTGATTACTTGAGATTAGGGATTGGTGATGACTCTTAACGAGCATGCTGCCTTCAAGCATCTGTTTAACAAAGCACATCTTGCACCGCCCTTAATCCATTTAACCCTGAGTGGACACAGCACATGTTTCAGAGAGCACGGGGTTGGGGGTAAGGTCACAGATCAACAGGATCCCAAGGCAGAGGAATTTTTCTTAGTGCAGAACAAAATGAAAAGTCTCCCATGTCTACTTCTTTCTACACAGACACGGCAACCATCCGATTTCTCAATCTTTTCCCCACCTTTCCCGCCTTTCTATTCCACAAAGCCGCCATAGTCATCCTGGGCCGTTCTCAATGAGCTGTTGGGCACACCTCCCAGACGGGGTGGTGGCCGGGCAGAGGGGCTCCTCACTTCCCAGTAGGGGCGGCCGGGCAGAGGCGCCCCTCACCTCCTGGGCGGGGCGGCTGGCCGGGCGGGGGGCTGACCCCCCCCCACCTCCCTCCCGGACGGGGTGGCTGCCGGGCGGAGACGCTCCTCACTTCCCAGATGGGGTGGCTGCTGGGCGGAGAGGCTCCTCACTTCTCAGACGGGGCAGCTGCCGGGCGGAGGGGCTCCTCACTTCTCAGACGGGGCAGCTGCCGGGCGGAGGGGCTCCTCACTTCTCAGACGGGGTGGTTGCCAGGCAGAGGGTCTCCTCACTTCTCAGACGGGGCGGCCGGGCAGAGACGCTCCTCACCTCCCAGACGGGGTCTCGGCCGGGCAGAGGTGCTCCTCACATCCCAGATGGGGCGGTGGGGCAGAGGCGCTCCCCACATCTCAGACGATGGGCGGCCGGGCAGAGACGCTCCTCACTTCCTAGATGTGATGGCGGCTGGGAAGAGGCGCTCCTCACTTCCTAGATGGGATGGCGGCCGGGCGGAGACGCTCCTCACTTCCCAGACTGGGCGGCCGGGCAGAGGGGCTCCTCACATCCCAGACGATGGGCGGCCAGGCAGAGACACTCCTCACTTCCCAGACGGGGTGGCGGCCGGGCAGAGGCTGCAATCTCGGCACTTTGGGAGGCCAAGGCAGGCGGCTGGGAGGTGGAGGTTGTAGTGAGCCGAGATCACGCCACTGCACTCCAGCCTGGGCACCATTGAGCACTGAGTGAACGAGACTCCGTCTGCAATCCCGGCACCTTGGGAGGCCGAGGTTGGCGGATCACTCGCGGTTAGGGGCTGGAGACCGGCCCGGCCAACACAGCGAAACCCCGTCTCCACCAAAACCAGTCAGGCGTGGCGGCGCGTGCCTGCAATCGCAGGCACTCGGCAGGCTGAGGCAGGAGAATCAGGCAGGGAGGTTGCAGTGAGCCGAGATGGCAGCAGTACAGTCCAGCTTCGGCTCCGCATGAGAGGGAGACCGTGGGGAGCGGGAGACGGAGACGGAGACGGAGAGGGAGGGAGAGGGAGAGGGAGAGGGAGAGGGAGAGGGAGAGCAGAAACTTTTCAATTTAATCACTTCTACTACCCTAGTCTCTCTCCAGATGCTTGTACCTTTTTCATAGGGGAAGGGAAGTGGGGGAAATGTGGCAATTTGAGGGATAGTAAGTGATTTTTAGGGAGAAATGAATAGGCCTAATGCTAAGACAATGGTAAGCAAATAATTTTCTTTGGAAATTGAGTGGGATAGAGAGTAGACAAAGGTTTGGGATGAAGTTTTTCTGGGGTTTTAGATGTGATGTTGACGTTTTAGTCTCTTTAGGTCCAGTAGCAAGGGGAGGTCAGAGAGATTTTGAGGCTGTTTAGTTCAGCTGTATTTCAGAGTGAGGTGAAATATTCTGGTTTCCTTCATAACAATGCAATTTTTATTAGAAAGTGACAAAATGAGTCTAAAGAACATTTTGGAAAAATAAAGAGAAAATAAGCCACAAAGACCTAAAAAGAAGAGTATGAGGGGGGTGAAGTTGCTATGCCAGATATTAAAGCATACTGAAACACTCTAATAATTAAAAGTGTGATACCAGCTCCAGAATATCCATAGAACTTTAAAAACCCAACTATATGTGCATGTGTTTATATTTTTTAATTTAGAAAAGATTGCAATTCAACTCAATTAGGAAAGTATGGATTATTCAACAAGTGATATTAAGCCAGATGTTTAACATTGAGAAAAAATTCAGTTAACAAAATTAATTATAAATGTATTAAAGACAAAAAGTTTAAAAGTGAAGACATAAAAGTAAGAATAGAATATATAATATAATATAAGATAATATAGAAAATAATATATGCTTGTGGTGGAGAATAACTTTCAAAACATGACATCAATGGCTTATACCAGAGATTCACTGCTGAATTTAGAATGTAGCCATGCTCATTCATTGACATATTGTCTATTGCTGTTTTTGACCTACAAAAACAGCATTGAGTAGTTGCAACAGAGACCATTAAGCTGGCAAAGCCTAAAATAGGTATTTTCTGACCCTTTACAGAAGAAGTTTGCTGACACCTGTCATAAACCATACAATAATTTTATGTGGTCAAATCTAAAAACCTTAGCACAGAAAGTAACATTGTAAGCAACAAGGAACTGGGAAGAATATTTGTAGTATATGTGGCATAAAATGGTTGCAATATATATGTTATATATATAAACAGCTTTTACAAAAAACTAAGAAAAGTTGTACACTAGTAGAAAAATGGTCAAAATACAGAAACAGGCAATGCACAGCATAGGTATGATAAATAGCCAGTAAACCCATGTTTAAAGGAATGTATTCAAAAAATACCACAAACAGATATTAGCAGGGGCTCCCAGCCCCTTGGCTGTGGACTAGTACTGTCTGTGGTCTGTTAAGAACTAGGCTGCACAGCATGAGGTGAGGAGCAGGTGAACATTACCGCCTGAGCTCCACCTCCTATCAGATTAGCAGCGGCATTAGATTCTCACAGGAATGTGAACCTATTGTGAACTGCATATATGAGGGATCTAGGTTGCATGCTCCTTATGAGAATCTAATACCTGATGATCTGAGGTGGAACAGTTGCATCCTGAAACCATCACTCCTCCTCCCCCTGTTTGTGGAAAAATTGTGTTCCCTGAAACTGGTCTTTGGCGCCAAAAAGGTTGGGGACCACTGGATATTAGGAAACCAAAAGAAGAAAAATACTCAATGTGGGCCAAAATATGGAAAAACAGAGTCTCATGAGCTTTTGGTGGGTGTGAAAACTGAAGAGGAATTGGTAGCATGTAGGAAAACCTTTAACATGTATATACCCCCCCCTTTTTTTTTTTTTTTTTGTGATGGAGTCTCGCTCTGTCGCCCAGGCTGGAGTGCAGTGGCACAATCTCGGCTCACTGCAAGCTCCGCCTCCCGGGTTCTTGCCATTCTCCTGCCTCAGCCTCCCCAGTAGCTGGGACTACAGGCGCTCACCACCATGCCTGGCTAATTTTTTGTATTTTTAGTAGAGACGGGGCTTCACTGTATTAGCCAGGATGGTCTCGATCTCCTGACCTTGTGATCCGCCTGCCTCAGCCTCCCAAAGTGCTGGGTTATAAGCGTGAGCCACCACGCCCGGCCGTATATACCTTTTGATAAAGCAACTCCACTACAAGGATTTACTCTAAGTAAGTAGCTAAGGAGTGGTACAATGATTAAGTTCCAAGGATGTTCATTACAGGATTGTATATAATGGTAAAACATTGGAAGCAAATTTAAATATAGAAGCATATGGCATTTTTTAAGTAAATTATCAACTCATGGGATAAAATTTTCTAAGCTATTGAGATTATGTTGTTGGACTCTTTTTTTTTTTTAAAAAAAAAAAGCACAAATGTTCAGAATATATTCCTGAGAATAGAAGCTAGGTCAAAAAACAACGAATACTTTGTAATTGCATTTTTGAAAAGAAATTCACATAAGAATTTTTGGCAAACATTGGTTAATATTAGTTATAGCTGCCTTGTGGGATAACAGATGACTTTTATTTTCTCCTCTTTGCTTATTCATATGTAAGTGTTTTATTGAACTGTCTCATCCCTGTGGGGTATGAAGAGGAAATGGTTTTATTTTTCTCCATTCTAAGCTCTCACTCCCACAACTGTGCCATATGAAAAATCCCTCCCTGCTGGCTCACAGACTCCTTAAGGACATCTTAGGATGATTCCTTAACTTTGCTTTTTGGATATTAAAAATCTGTCCATTTCATTTACCCTTCAGAACTTTTCTCTTTCCCCAGGGCCTGAGAGGTTTGTGGCTTGAGGGGCGTGAAGTGAATATGGTTTGTGGTGAGCTCCTCTGGGATGCTCTTTCTCTGCCCCTTGCTCTTCCTGCTACTTATCTGGTATGGGCAAAGGAAAGGAGGCGGAATTAGGGGAAAGAGCCAGTTACTTAGCTGGGCTCCCTTGCAATCTGCTTTTGGTCATTGCTCCTTCTCTGACAGGTCCTAAGTGCCCTCCTTTTGAGGAGGTCAAAACCCCTGCTCTCCTAAGGGGCGATGAGATGTGTACCATTTGCCTCTTTTTTTATCTGTTCCAACTCCTGCTTTCTCTCCAGGCCTGCTCAACCACTAGGCTTCTGGGGTGGGGACATCTGCAAAACTTGCTCAGCTTTGCTTCCTTTGCAGCCATTCTCATGACACATGCAAAACTCAGTCATGAATGGCAAACCAAACTTGGGAAGTGCAAGCTGCTTCACAGTAGCTCTGCTGTCTCTTCCACTGCTCTTCCCTGCTCAGCAGGGCACAAGGATGGATCAGTAAGTCCTCTCCCTACTTAGATTTCAAGACAGGACCTGGTACCAGTCTCCACCTCTTCCAGGGAAAGCCAATGTTACTACTGGTGATTCCCTTAGAGCCTCTCCTCTGGCTTGACTTTCTTCATATTTGGTTAGCTTTGACAAAAGGAAGTGCTCCGGTCCATTGAAGGGTAGGGAGGAGAGAGAAGGGAATTCAACAGCCCTCCTCACTTCTACAATGAGCTAGGAATCCAGAAATGTCCCCCTTTTTCCTCTCCCTGTCCCCTCTTATAAATCAGGGATTATGGAATGATGAAAATCCTAGTGGGATTTTTTTCTTTGAATATTTTAGGAAGTTCTTTGTGAAGAATGCACTGATGAATAATGTTATAAAATGTGAAAATTTGAAGTTATTTGAATGTTTTTTGAAATATTTCCAACTGCCCACACATTATAAAATGTGTGGGCAGTTGGAAAGACTTGCTTGACCAGATCTCAAACACATTATACAATTACAGCATAATTATGACCAAAAATGTTGAATGATCAATTTTTAAGAGAACACATAGCCCTCGAACAGATTCTAGCATATGGAAGACCTTAGTGCGTGCTAAAGGAAATATCAGACTAATGAGAAGGGATGACATATTCAACAAAAGTGCTGAGAAAATTATCTTGGAAAAAATATTATGTTACATTCTCGTACACCAACATAAATTTCAGATGCATTTAGAATTTAAAATGTAAGCATGAAAATTCTGGAGGATAAAATAGGTAGTTGTAGAACTGATCTTAAATTGAGTAAACTATTTCTCAGCCCCAAAGCAGTGGAAAAAGATACAAAGAAAAATATGATCATTTTCTGAAAAGTAAACATATGCAAGTATGTTATGGGTCTATTGAAAACTCCATCTAAATAGAAGCAAGTGAGATATGTCAAATCCATTCTAGTATAACAGGACAGACAACAGGCTAGTATATTTAACACATAAATATACTACCAGTCAGCAGTCAAAGCACTAATGTCTTCATAGAAAAATGGGCCAACACAGAAATAGAAAGGAAAGTTGTATTCATGACCCCAAACGATATCAAAAACATATCTGACCTCCCTAGTAATAAAATACTGCAAGCTGGGCACAGCGGCTCATACCTCTAATCCCAGCACTTTGGGAGGCTGAGGTAGGAGGATTGCTTGAGGCCAGGAGTTTGAGGCCAGTCTGAGCAACATAACAAGACCCAATATCTATAGAAAATTAAAAAATTAGCTGGGCGTCGTGGTGTGCACTTGTCCCAGCTATTCTGGAGGCTGAGGTGGGAGGATCACTTGAAGCCAGGAGGTGGGAGGATCACTTGAAGCCAGGAGTTGGAGGCTGCAGTGAGCTATGATCATGCCACCACACTCTGGGCAATGGCGCGATACCCTGTCTCTACAAATAAATACATACATAAAATAATGCAAACCCAAGCAACAATAAAATACCTTTTCACCTATAAAATAAGAGATTTTAAATATGTGCAAGACGATAACAGAACAGTGAGGTGATCATTTTTATCCACAGCAGATGAGAGAGTAAATTGCCCTAACTTTTAGGTATGCACTTGAGCATAAAGTAAACAGAGCCTTAAAACTCCTAATCCTCTTCCACTTAGTTATTGCACTCCTAGCAATCTATCTCAAGGGATGAACTGAATGTTCAACACAATTTATGCACAAGAATATTAATCATATATTTATAATCATCAAAAGTTGAACAGAAAGACAAATGTTGCATGTTCTCACTTATTTGTGGGAATTAAAAGTCAAAACAATTGAACTCATGGAGGTAGGGAGTAGAGGATGGTTACCACAAGCTGAGAAGGGTAGTGGGGTGTGGGGAGTGGGGATTGTTAATGGATACAAAAACATAGTTATATAGAATAAATAAGGTCTAGTATTTGATAGCATAACAGGGTGGGGATATAGTCAATAATAATTTAATTGTACATTTCAAATAACTACAACAGTATAATTGGATTGTTTATAACACAAAGGATAAATGCTTGAGGAGATGGATACTCCATTTACCCTGATGTGATTATTACATATTGTATGCCTGCATCAAAATATCCCATATGCTCCATAAGTATATGTACCTACTATGTACTCACAAAAAATTAAAAATTAAAAAAGTTGAAAATAAACTATTATATTTTTATTGGGCATTCAAAAAATGCATTACAATGTCTTTATTGGATGGTTTTGGTACCTGTGAGATATGCCAAATATTCCATGTGTTGGAGAATTTTAATTGACATGGCCAAGTGCTTATGTGAAAAAAAGCTAACTACAAAACTATTTATAGCATGACTGATTTTTTTTTCAAATCTCAGAAACATGGCTTTGATCATTTTAGTGCTCATGCCTGTTAGATTGTGCTTTTTTCATATAGACAGAGAGAACCTTCCCAAGGCATGAGAATTTCAGCCCAAAAAGGAAACAGAAGGGATTCAGTCCTATATTCCAGTTATAGCAGTCATCCCTGTCCTCTTCACTCTCCTTTCTCAGTGCATCCTCTGTCAAAATTTTTAAAATTGTACTAGATTCAAATATTCAATTTCTATTTTCTTAATTATATTTCTAAATATTTGTTTTTCTTATATTGTTGACATTTTAAGAAAACAGCTTAATTGAGGGATAATTGACATGCAATAAACTGCATGTATTAAATGGTGCAATTTGGTACATTTTGACATATGTATATGCTTGTAAAACCATCACCATAATCAAGATAATGAACATAGCATGATTGGGATTTTATTATAAGAACATATGGCTTGGAAAGAACTATGCCATAAAGCTCAGATTATTTATATTTAACAAATTTTATTTTACTCTTTTGAATGTGTTTTCAAAATTTTCTATGATGCATATGTGTTACTTTTATGATCAGAAAAACTTTGAGGAAAAGTTAGTAACAGTGACTAAAGGTGGGTGGCAGAATGGCAGGTCAGGACTTGCTGCCTTATGGAAACCAAATAAAGAGAAATTCTTAGTGAGGAAGGCTCAAGACTTTGAAATCTCATGTATCAGACAATTAGGTTCCATCAGAAAGGGTCCAGCTCCATTTTTGTGGAAAACTGATAGAGGAGATTAAAAAAGAGAGAGTGAGTTAAGAAATGAATGGGCTTGGCAGAGTGGAAGAGGAGGGGCTGGGGCCCAGGTGACAAGATAAGCCTAGACCCTGAGGAGGGATACTTCCTCCCCTGAGACCAGAAGTAATGAAACTAGAGGGAAAAGAGAAGTCAGACAAAATTTTATATTGGTGGGTGGAGAGTTAACAGCTACATCACAGCATCACTTTTGCTTATGGAGCAGGAGGCAAGGTTGTCTCCTACCAATAATTTGACTTAGAGGTCATAATGAAGGACATTGGTGCTTGCATTGAAGAACTGCCTGGTGGCAGAAGACCACCGTTTGAAATAGCCCCTATTTTCCTGTTTTGCTAAATTTTGTCAGTAGATTGGGGCAGAAGAAAAGTGAGGTGTGGGATTAATTCAGTGTTGGAGTTGACAGAGAAGAAGGGGGTAAGTAAAGAATCAAAGAGTTAGGGACACAAGTTAGGTCAGGGGTACTTTATTATTGCAGGAGCAATTGCTGGGATATAAATTAGAAATATCTACTGTTAAAAAAGCAGTGTGTGTGTGTGTGTGTGTGTTTAAAAACTTAAAATTATCACTCTTATTACTGGAACATGGTTGATTTTGATCATATTTCAAGTTGGATTATCACATTCTCCTCCAGCTAATTGTTCACCCAATATCATTTAGTTGGCATTTTCTAAACACTCCCTGTGCTAATTCATTCCATCATTACAATATAGCAGTTAAATCAGCTCCCTTGTTTTAAATGAAATGCCAGGAGTAGTACCTGCCTGAAGTAGACGTTCTACAAATATGTTTAATAGATGACCAAGTATTCCTGTGCATTTACAGTCACATATAAAACAGTGCATCATTAAATAATGGCTTTGAGATTCTTTCAGATAGCCACGAATAAGACAATGTTAGCATTATCTGTAATAGATACTTGGGAGGAAAATAAATTTATCAGTATTCTAGGATCTCTAAAATGGAAGAATAGCCTACCCAACCAAATCAATGGCAAATGTGGTATTGTCCTCAGTTCTACACAGATCAGATGACAGCTGCGAATGGATGTTATCTAGTGAAAATTTCCCACCATATTATACTTGCTTGCTTCAGGCATCTTCATGTTTTATTAAAGTCACTAAATAAATTGTCATTTCCTTTCCTTGCTCTTGGAATGTTCTAAAGTTTCTGAGAGTCATTACTTTTCAGAGAGCACATGAAATTACAGAAGTTGTTTATCAGCACTAGGTATTTCCTTTGAGAGTTGAGCTTTAGGGATAGCATATATTTATTTCCACCAATCATGCAAGCTAAAGGAAATTGTCAAGAACTAATATTAAACAGCCCTAATAGATTTGCATTAACTCTAGATCTAGTATTCACCAAAGATCATTTTCAGCAGTTTTTGTATGCTTCCTATCTCTGCCATTCTCATTTAAGCTATGTTCATAATTGAAGAGTCACTGTCTTGAATTTATATTTTGAAAGATGCCAGCCTGTTATATGGAGTATTCCAGTGCCTGAGTTTCAGATCTAAGCTTCGTCTTTTTTCCAGGAGGATCCTCATACAGTGGCTGGGTGAAGTGACTTTTGTTCTCTACTGCAAGTAGTGATGTCTCAGTGAAGGTACTGGAAACTTTCCATGCTTCAGTTTCCTCATCTATAAGATGGTAATAGTATGTCTGGCTTTATACAACAGAACTTTTCAGAGATTCAATATTTTTTTTAATGGGAGAACACTTTGAAAATAATTCAGGGCAAAACAAATACAGGAAATTTTTCCTCTTGTAAGAAGAATTCAACTCAATGCAAAGAAGGTTTTCCCTTCTGGAATGTTACCATTGGGATCCTGGCATCATTTCTCTCAGTATTTTGATGAAGACTTCTGGTTGAACCACTCTTCCATCATTGTTTAGAATCCACTACACACTATTCATTTTTAGTCTCTTATAGGAGCTAAATATTGTCCCTCTCTGGATCTCATCCTGTGTACTTGGAGCAAGATGGCACCCAAGGCTCTGAGAGACCCATTTAAGACTCTTGAAAATTTGGTAGTTGGAACTCGGTAGTCTCTGCTGAAGGAGAAAAGCCATCCTTAGTTATTGAAGAATAGTTTTTATGTTTAATTTGATTTCATTCCTGATAACTTAATTGTTATACTGATTTGTTTATAATGTTGAAATTACCTCTTAGCTCAGTCAGTAATGATTTATTTTGATATTACAAAAAGTCATTAAAGGTAAGATAATACTCCTTCTCCTATTACTTTGCTGCTTTTCTAAAGATAATTGCCTTAAGATTTATAGTTCTCCTATTCTTAAAATAAGAACATTTGTCCACACAAAACTATTTGCCTAGCTCTAATAAAATATTATCCACATAGACTTTTTTCTGGAGAAAGAAGTATACTTGAATTCTGAACACTTTCACTATGGATTTAATCTCTACTGCAAACTACAAACATTATCAGTGTGAAGATAGGAAGTAGGTATAGTGGGATGAGTATTAGTAGCATTTAGTGCTTTGGGTTGGAATGACAGGAGTTTAGTTGCAATAGTTAGGACTTTGAATGAGGATTTGCGTCTAAGTTTCTTTTCTTTTTTAAAGGCTGTTGGAAGAGTTTCTACCTAGATAAACCAAGAACAGAGTTATCACATTACCCCTGACTATTTGAGGTAGCAGATACTGTTAGAGCCCCACCCATATCTCTTCAGCTTTAGGGATTTCATTGCATGCCAGCCCAATTTCAAATGCCAGCAATTGCATTTTTGCCTGAGGGCTTTCTCTGGGTGCTTGAGCCAATTCTACTCTTGCCCATAGCAGGCCAGAAGCACCAGGAAATTAATGCCACCTGAGAATAGCCTTCAATTAATGGCTGATGAAAATAGCTGAATAAATTCCTCAGCCTTTTTGCTTCTGGGACACTATAACACTGAGTTGTGTTCTATGCTGTTTCTCAGAGTTCTCCAGTGGGATTGAGTTCACATTGCCCTCAGTGGTAACTTCATGGTAATGCCTCTTTTATTGACCTTTCCTTCTCTGTCTCACTTCCTCACTCCTTTACTGGTGGTTTCTAGAATCACCTCCAAAAAAATCTACTTGCACTTAAATACTTGACTTACGGTTTGTGTCTGGGACAGTTGTGAATGTAGAACAGTTGGAAATCTAGATTCTGTCCATACAAGTATGTTTAGGGAGGGAGGTTGACAGCTGTAGTCAGGATAGGGATAATGAAGGATGAAGAGTGAACTTACGGATTCACATCGTAGAACTATTCGCAAGGGCTATGATGGCATCAGAGAGAAGGCTTTCTGCCCTTAACTAAAAGGGCAGGTGAACAAGTAACTCAGTTCGTGTGGCTGAGAGAGAAGCAAAGAGAGAGAAAGACGAAGAGAGAGAGAGAGAGGGAAGGAGGGGACTTGAGGGCCAGGGGCAGGAAGAGAACTTGACGTTGAGAGTGACATATGAGAGCATGGACACCAGAGTTCACAGGTGAGGAGTGATAACAGTGTTGCTTGTGGCAACGCAGTGCACAGTCCATTCTGATCAGCACAGTGGCAGTAAGAGCTTTTCTGAGATACCAGCATTCCCAGCACACACCACCCTTTTGTGGCTCTCCCTTCACTCACCCTACATTACCACCACCCCATAGGAGGCATGGCTAGGACTTGGTTGATACAGATTTCCATGCATCTCTCCCTAACTATGTTATTTAAAAAGCAAATGTGGATGGACCATTTCTGGTGAGAATAAGAAACCTGTAGGTAGTTAATATTCCCAGTTCATGGTAGAGAGCAGCACTGTAAGAGGAGCAAGATGTTGTTTGACATTTAAAAATAGACCTAACTCTACCGATTAGTCTGTTCTGTCCATGGTAACCTTATTCAATGTTATGGTAGTAATCGCTTCTGGAAAGCTTTGACATATTTTATAATTGAACTGCCAGGTTCACACTTAGCTATAATTCATTCACAGATAAGTGTGTCTTGTTAACCAAATTATGTTGACTCCCTTGGAAGGCCAGTGTGAGGACTTTCCTGTTTCTTGTCTTCATGTGGTTTTATAGTCTCATGACAGACCATTAGCATGATGAAAGATTGATTATTGTCTTGGGTACCAAACTGTAATTTGGCCCTATTTTCATTTTTCTTTTTCATCAACTGCAGAATCATATGCATTTATCAAAATGGGTGTCATCTGTTTTGAAATTCATGAAGTTAGATTGCACACTTGTCAAACATTTTTTTTCTGGCATTGACAAAACATCAACATCAAGCTTTACTTAAGTTATTTAGAAATAGAGATGTCCAGGTGAAAGAATGGTGGAATCAAAATGAAAGACTAGGGGCTGGAATGGCTCATTCATTCTACCGACATTTTTTGAATGCATTCAGTGCACATGGCAAATTGCCAGGTGGTGAGCTGGAGTCTGTGAATGGTTGGAGAGACATGAAGCTGATTCATTCACTCAAAAACGTTTAGTGCCTACAGTGCTTGACACTGTACTAGGCACTGGGGAAACAGCAGTAACAAAACAGGCAAAGTCCCTTTCCTTACAGAGCTTATATTCTAGAGAGCTTATATAATATAAAAGAAAGGGAATATTTAGTCCTTATCCTCAAAGATCTTACAATCTACTTGGAAAGATAAAGTAAATGTATTAAGTTAAAATTACACAGCAATGCAAAAATGGGACAAATGAATAAAGAATGTGTTTTACATGTAGGTGGTTAAAGCAAGTGCAATAAAAGAATGACCCAACACTGCTCTGCCAGAAACTTGCTAGGACCTCAAGGAAGTCATTTAACTGCCCAAAACTGTTCCTGGAGCAGTGATTTAGGGGCAGTTTTGCTGCTGATTGGAGCCTTTGACTATCCGTCTTGAAGGCCATTCACAATGAGCAATCTGGAAGAAAGGCAATCTCTGAATGCAACTTTAAAAACCTAAAGTGAATATCATACGAAATGCTGATGCATATATTCATTTAAGATTTAGTGACAAGATAAGGTTGCCTGTTAGCACTGTTTGGATTTAACGTGGTATTAAAGGTTGCAAGCGGTGCATCAGACAAGGAAGATTAATACAGTTTTAAGAACTGGAAGGAAGAAGTTAAATTGTCATTATTTTTAGACAATCTAATTGTTTATGGAGAAAATTCAAGAAACTCAACAAGCTATTAGAACTAATAAGAAATTTCAACAAGGTTGGTGGATAAAAATAAAATTTGAAAAGCAGCGATATTCCAATACATCAGAAACAACCAATTAAAAATGTAATTTTAAGAATCCTATTAACATGAGCAAGAAACACTTAGGAATAAATGTAATAAAAAATATAAACAACTTGACATAAAAAAACTGGGTGGAGAGTACTACATGTTTGTAGATGTTATTTCGACAAAAATCCCAGTAGTTGTGTGTGTGTGTTTGTGTGTGTGTAATTTGATAAGATGATCTTAAAATACAAACAGGATGGTAAAAAGCCAAGACCACCAAGCCAATTTGAAAAATAAATAAATAAAAGCAAGGTGCAAGAACATGACCTAACATATATATACATATATATGTAGAAATATATATGTAGATATATATATACATATGTATATGGATATTTATATATGTAGATATATATAGCAATATTACATTAATTTAAACAGTATAGTGTTGCTACAGAGACTGAAAAGTAGACCATTTATCATAGGAAACTGTAAGCATTTCTGTGTGAGTGTGCTTATGTATTGAAGTGTGTGAATGTGTGTCCTATTTTAAAATAGAAGTATTCTAGTCTCAGTTCTCATTGAAGCATGAAGACAATAAATCCTATACTCCAAAGACACCACCATACAAACATTTCAAAGTCAAAATATGACAATTGTTTATTTTGCCTCTGAGCCCTTTTCTTTCATAGAGGATGTAGAAAGCAGTGGAGACTTGGAGGGGGGTTTGTGAAGAAAATTTCTTTGGTAGTTGCTGTCTCACTGCAAACTCCTGCCAGGGCAGGACAGTTCGGATTGCTCTCCCTTTGCCTCAGGTCCAAGGAGAAGAAAGGACTGTGAGAAGTTGGTATGGAGGTCCTAATGGACTGGTGCTGGGCCCCTTCCATGAAGTTTAGAGGCTGTGTAAGGAGCAGGGACCTGCGTTGGCGATGGAGCAAGTGCCCCTGTGCTGAGATTGGCTTCCACTCTTGGACTTTGCTGGTGCTAAGGGTGTCAGAGTGGTTCCTGTGGATGAGATGGGGCCACGTGCAGAAGAGAGAGCCAGCCTGGAGCTTTACACAACCCTGTCCTAGAGAACCACCAGGAGGGGCAAAGAGATTCCAAGAGAGAGTGATCTATATGGAGTGGGCACCTGAAGAGCAAGAGCCGAGAAAAGTAGCCAGCAAGGGGAGAGGCATTTGCCTGGCTCACAGGACATCCACCTCAATGCCTCAGGGGAAACGTTTGTTCAAAGAGAGAAAGTCAACTGTGGTGTCTGCCAGGCCCAGAGAGTATAAAGTCATCTTTTACTCCCTCTTCTCTCCTTAGCTCCTTTATAATCAGAAAGCTGGGGAGCAAGGTAGGGGCAGGGAATTGGAGGCTTTAGGCAGAGAGACAAAGGGGAAGGATCATGTACTGTTCTACAACACAGTCCTCATGTCTGCAGAAGGCCCAGCTGGGTGCAAAAATATAACTTTAAATCAGTTTGAGTTTTGATCATTATATAGGACTAAACTTTCATATGTATGTATATATTCAGGCTCCTGCTATAACACCAAGTATGCATTTCTGAAAAACCTCTCATGTTGCAAAATCACACACTATAAATAACTGGCTTATGGGAAAAATAGAGTTGGGGCAGACCACTCAAAATATATGGAAATTTCTAACTAGACTACTAACAAAACCATAACAATTCTAATAAAAACCCTGGCATAGTTCCATCTCCACCAATATTTACACTCAGCCTCACAATCAGCTGATCCTTGTCTGCTCTTGGCCATAGATTTCTTTCACATTTGAGATGCAGGATAGTGAGGGCATTCAATTATGATGAGAACTTTAATCAAAACAAAAAATCAGATGCAGAGTGCAGACATTTTAAAATCAAGGTCCTTCCTTCCTCCCGCTTCCCTCTCCACTTCCACATCCTCCCTCTCTCCCTCCCTCCTTTCCTCCTTCCCTCCTTTCCTCCCTTCCTCTCACTCTCTCTCCCTTCCTTCCTTCTAATTGGCCAGCTTCATGTAATATCTTGTTGACGGCAAATAATCTCAGTGTCAAATTTTGGAAGATCCTAAGAAGTCATTTAATTGAAATTATTGAAAGGAAACTTTCAGCAAAACCATGAAGGATGCTCATCGGCACACTGGCCCACCTAGGCTCTTATTTCTTCATCATCATTTGCTCAGCTTATCTTGATTGCTTGATCAATGGGTTATTTTGCCAGCCATCTTTTCCTTCATTTGGCCCTTCATCCACTACTCAGCTGCCAGGCCCAAGTCTCCATGGTCTGTGTCTGATTTGTGTTGTGATACAGAACTTAAAAACAGCCAGCTAAACTACATAAAAAATAAATACTTCCAAATACCACCTAAAAACCTAATGGCATGGCTCTGATAACTATGTCTAGGAAATGTAAAATGTAAAAGAAAAATTTCAATTCAACACTAAACATGTACTGGATGCTTGAAAAAGAAAAATATCCATTTCTCTACCAATGACCACCAACCATAGGTAGTTGCATCCATGGCAGGAAAGAGTCAAGAGGAAGAGGTAGACCAGAGGGAAAAACAGATGGATAATAAGAAAAATAAGCCATCAGGTTACCAAGTTGAATTCTAGCAGAGTCTCTGTTGAAACTTCTCTCTCCTTCTACCACTGTCTCAGCCCATGCCTCCCTCAGGGTACTCACCTCATTCCCTGGTGACCAAGTCTTCTGGGTCTACTGCACATTTATTTAATAAGTATCTTGGCTGCACTCGGTTCCATTGATTGTGAACTTCTCACTTTTCATAACAAAATCTGTAGCCTGTAACAGCAGTGTGACTGAGAAAATTGCAATCCTGTTTCCAAGTGATCCACAGAGATCAGAACAATTCCTGAGGAACACTGTTTCTTTTGAACTATGTAATCTTCTTTTGTGGTCCTATGGTATCCAAAGGAAATCTAACCTTGTGACTTTATCAGGGACCAGAGAGAAAAGCATCTAGAATCCAAGATGAGTAACTGGCATTTAGGTTTGATAGGACACAATGGATTTAAATTGTTTCTGAGGTTAATCTTTTTTCCTTGACTTTGAAATTGTTTATTATTGGTCAGAGGCCCATGTTTCCCACACAATGATAGAGCTGGAATCAAGGTTCTTATCCACTTGTTTCCAAAGTCCAGGCTTAGGTAACAAGGTCATTAAATTCAGAATAATGGACATAGTTTGCTAGGGAATTTAAGGGTATGATATCTTTGTGACTTGGTAGGCATTGTATCACCACAAAGGGAGCAGATTCCCTGTTGTACAATACGAAATTAGAATCCCAGCAATGATTCTTGCCCACCGTGTGACTTTGGGCAAGTTTCTTAACCTCTCTGAGTTTCTACATCTGTATAGAGGGAGTAAGGATTTATACATAATGAAGTTGTGAGAATTAAATGAGATTATGCATGTCAAGTACCGCATGCAGTGCCTGGAACATTTGGAAACAGTCAAATAGTACCTTGCTACTCCATTTTTGAGCCCTGTATTACTTTTTGGGAATTGAGCTGACTGGAACAAGTTTGATGTTTGTCTTAGTAAGGATGGGCTATGTTATACTGTCATAAAAAATAATCCTAAAATATCAGTGTCTTATAACAACAAAGGCTAGCTTCCTTCTTTCTGGGACCCTAGGTAGCAGAGTGGCCTCGTCCTGGAACATTGCCAGTAGTTGTGGCAAAGAAAAAGGGAACATGGCGAGGAAGAGATTGGCCCTTAAAACCTCCATCCAGAACTGACACACATCACTTCTGCCCACATTCATTGGTCAAGGCAAGTGACTTGGCCATACATAGGTTCAACAGAATGGAGAAATATACTCCTTCCACGTGGACAAGCAGCAAATATTGGTGAAGAATAGTAGTTTACCACAGGGTTGGTTCAGCTGAATGTTTATTTTCCAGCTTTATTTCTCTGAACTCTCCAGACAAACATGTGGAGTGAGTATCTGATCATATGATTATCCACTCATATGAGAAGTTTTTGTATAATCCTACCTACTTATCCTTTAAGTATCAACTCAGATGCTGCTTCCACCATAGTCTTTTGGGATTCTCCTTGCTGAAAAATAAACTCTTTCCACTGTGGTATGACACTTTTCTTCCTAGGGCATGCACCACACACTTTCATGGATTATAATGTATTATTTGTATAGATTTTTTTTCTTGAGAGTAATTATCTTCAAGGAGTTTACAATCTGTATCTTATTAATCTTTAGGAAAATACCTAGTTCAGTGTCTTGCACATAATTGATTCAAATATTTATAGAGACAGACTGAAGATCTGAGGTGAGAAGTGATAATATTGGTGGGCAAGGTGGAGGAAAGTGGGTGTTACACAACAGAGAAGGGTCTCCTCTTGAAGGCAAATATATGTTTTCTGGAAAAACCTTGGTAGTAATCATGGGAAACTCCCTGGGGAAACTGGATGTCAGCTGAGACTCCTGAGAACTACTTGTGCAGGGTTCAGAAAGGACAGAGGCTGTTAGAGAAAATTAAAGTCATCAGACAAATATATCAGCTAGTTTATAATTAGCAATTACTGCAGGAAGGAGAAACATTTATCCCATTCTGACAACAAAGATTGCATAATTGCACCAAGAGTGTTTGCCCACACCCTTTCCAAGATGTGTTAAGCATTTACAAACAGAAACAAATAGCCTTAACATTGGTGGGAGCAGCAAGAAAACAGGCTTTCTTAGGCTGTCACTGATCCATGAACACTAGGCAACAACATGGTTACCATGTGGGTGGATGAACCGTGTCTCCATGTTCATTTTCTTTACCAATAATCTCTAGTGCTTAGTCAGGTCTGAGAAAGAACCAAGAAAAATCAATTCATCCCCAGTTACTGGAGATACCAATAAATCACCTGTATATTTTTAATTCAATTATTAGGTATTGAGAATCTACTATGTGCCAGACAGTGATAGCTTGAGTCTACCCAGTCTTTTAAATGACATAGAGTCTTATTCTCAATGCCTTTGTAAATGTTTTTCCCTCCACCTGAAATATTCTGATCTCTGTCCCCTACATACCCTTCTGGTTTTGCTTTAGACATCACATCAATTCGGAAGAATTTCTAGACCTCCAGACAAAGGTTTCAGTTCCCCCTTCAATGTGCTTTTATAACAATATAAACTTCCTCACACACAAAAAAGCACAATTGTATTTTCTTGTTTAAATTGTCTGTAGTTTCCATTGGCCTATACACTCTTAGAAGGCAAGGCCTGTTTCTTGCTCACTTCTGTATCTCCTGCACCATTGTGATGCCTGATGAAAGTTGATTAATGTGTCATTATCTTTTTATGGCTATTATATGATTATATTATTACAATGTATTACCATGTCAATGCCCTATAATAGTGTTAAGTGTCTATGTACTTTTCAGGGATTTAGCCATTTGCAGCTAGCTGTAATTTTTGAAGAGCTATCTTCTATGTGTAGCGTGCTTTTTGTTTCAGTGAGCTAAACAAAGCCAGGTTTGTCTCTGTGACTATCTTGTGGTGTGGTCTTGGGAAATAACTTTACGTCTTCAAACTTTTTCCCTCATTTGTCAAAAAAGAATGTGAAATAAGAGATGCCATATGTTTGACATTCTGTGGTGGCAACTGTGTGGTGATTTTGAAACATGACCCAAACATTTTTTAACTCTCCTCCCATTGAGTGGTGGGGTCTATGTTCCCTCCTCTTGAATCTGGGCTCTGTGACTGATAGTCCAATAGAATATAGTAGAAATGATGCTGTGCCAGTTTCTAGGCCCAGACTAAGAAACTGACAGCTTCTACTTCCTGCATCTTGGGATGCTCACATTTGAAACTCAGCCACCATGCCGCAAGGAAGCCCAGGTATTCCAAAGAGAGGCCTGCCATGGAAAGGAACTGAGTTCCCTGGTCCCCCGTCCCAACTGAGCTCTCAGATAACAGCCAGCTCTAAGTTGCCAGCCATGTGAGTGAGCCATTTTGAAAGTGAATCCTGCAGGCTTCCATTGAGCTGCCCTAGCTGATGCTGTGTAAAGCACGGAGGAGCTGTTCCTGCCCAGCCCTTCTCAAATTGCAGATATAAGAATAAAGTAAATGATTGTTGTTGCTTTAAACCACTAGGTTTTGGAGTGGCTTGTTACACAGAAATAGATAATTGATATACACCTTTTGCTACTTCACAGTGTCTCAGACCTTTCATCCACTACAATATTCTGGTATGTATAAAATTAACTCCAGACCTTTGAGAAATCAATGCTTACTCCAAATTTATTACAGGAACAAAAGCAGTAAGGATGAGATGCCATTAAACGATCAAATGCTGGTTGAGTAGTGCCTCTCCTGGGCTTCACAGCAGAGGTTAATGGAGAAAACTTTGGTTAAATTAACTGATGTAGGTGACAAATGGGCCAACCACTCTCCATTGGAATGTAAGTTCTATGATTGGTGATAACTCTTTGAAGGACTTTCTGGAGATGACTGTCAATTACGGGTGGATCCCCAAACCACATGGGAGGCTTTCCCTTCATTTATTTTGTGCAAAGTAATGTTCTCAACAATAGCACTGAGGTATCCATTTACCACTGCCCCCCTCAGTGGCCTGGGGCTTGGAGCCGAGACCATTTCTTTCAAATGGCATTATGCTACATATAAAATAAGATATTTACATCCTCCAATAAATAAGTCTCTAGGTGAAACAGTCTAGGGTGCATAATGAAGAGAAGCTCTTCTTTTTCACTAGCTAAGACGTCAATCTTCAACAGGCTTGGGAAATAAGGATTGATGGTGACATCTTTGTGCTACCATTGTGGTTTCTGGGACTGGTGGCTTCTGGACTAGGTACCAGGACCGAACTTCTGTGATTACTCTTCTACGGGAGGGAGTTGCTTTTCCCCCTTAGAGCACAATGGTTGTGAGCAACAGCCCTGGAGCCAAATAATCTGGGTAAAAGCCCAGCTCACTAGCTGCATGACCTTGTACAAGTTACTAGGCCTTTCTATGCCTCCATTTTCTCATCATGGTGATAATACTAGTGACTGTTTAATATGGTTGTTTTTCTAAGGTTAAACAAATTAATATGTATAAAGCATTTAGAACAATGCCTGTAATATTGTTTGGATGTTCATCCCCTCTGAATTCATGTTGAAATGTGAGCTCCAATGTTGGAGGTGGGCGCAGTGGGAGGTATTTCAGTCACGGAGGCAGATCCTTCATGAATAGCTTGGTGCTGTCCTCTTGGTAATGAGTGAGTTCTGACTCTATGAGTTCACACAAGATCTGGTTGTTTAAAAGAGCCTGGCACCTCCTCCCTGTCTCTCTTGCTATGTGATATGCCTGCTACCCCTTTACCTCCTGCCATGATTGGAAGCTTTCTGAGGCCTTCACTAGATGCAGATGCTGACACCATGCTTACTGTACAGCCTGCAGAACCATGAGCCAAATAACCCTCTTTTCTTCATACATTTCCCAGCCTCAGGTATTTCTTTATAGCAGTGCAAATGGAGTAACACAACCTGCAATGTAGAAAGCACTATATAAGTGTTAGCTATTACTATTACTGTTAATATTGTCATTAGTTAATTTTATTTTTATTTTCTTCTTACCTTACAGCTGATTACCTTGCCTATAATCAGATCCTTTATGTATGGACACCAAGCAGAGCTGCCACATTCAGAAGGCCTTTTATTAATTGCAAAAGTGCAAAGCATACCATTGGAACAGGGAACACTTTGGGCATCCTCTTTTCCTCTCTTATTCCTGGGACTTTGTCCGCCACAGCACTCTCCTCTTAGTTATTCCTCCTCCTAGGAACTACCCACTCCCATTCCACTTCTACTAGTCCCTTTTTATACCATCTTTTGAATAACATATTTGAGAAAAGATTTGGGGTTTGAGGCCTCGTATATTTTGGGAGTTTTTTTCCCCCAACACTCAGGTTTAAGTCTACACCTCAGATTGCATTCCCTGGAAATGGATTCTAGATAGAATTGTGTGTAGAAGGTTTACTGGGTTGTGCTCCAGAGAAATACACGCAGAAGGAAGTGAGGAAGGCAGGACTGGACAAAGGCAGAAGACTCATGATGGGGTTGCTACAGAAGCCTCAGTTGATCCTATGGGGAGTGCTAGATCAGGGAAGGCCCTTCAAGTTGTGCCAAATTGAGGTTTATGGGGCCAGGCTTTTGAATCTCCAAATCAGACACTGAAGCCGAACTACCTGGAGGAGGCATAAACTTGGGCAGGCTGTTTCTCATAGGCAAGGGCACTTCATGTGAAGGGGTGCAGCTGTGAATCATCTGCAGCTGATAGTTCCAGCAGCTGTGGATGGGTGCATTGACCCTGAGAAGAGGATCTGGACAGAGCACCACAGTGTCCACTAATGCAGACAATTTGTTTCAAGAAAGATATATTTCTAGTGAAAAGAGCTTTGAAGTATACTCACAAGGGGTATACGACCCAGGCAAATTATTGAATCTCTCTCACCCTCCTTTTCTCCTATACATTGGAGATGAGATCATTTCTAAAGGCTAACAGGGCTCTGCGACTGCATCTTTCCTACGGGGAATACTCAGTCAAGTCTAGCTCCCGTCCCATCTTGCTCAATTGCATGACACCAAAAATCTTAGGTCCAGAAATTCTAGCCCCGGTATTTTCAAATGGCTCTGGGGCCTGTATGTCTGTTCTCACTTAGCGCTAGCCCTGAGGGCAGGAAGTGAATGCCACTTAAGCACCTACAATGAGCCAGGCTCTCTGCCAGCTCATGTCACCTTCACCACAACACTGAGGGCAGGTGTTAGGTCCTCATTTTACACAGGAGGAAACTGAAGCTCAGACAGGTGAAACGACTTGCTTAAGGTTATACGGCTAATAAGGGGCAGAGACAAGACTCAAATCCATGTTCATACACTGCTTCATGTACTGCTGCCCTGGCCCAGGTATAATGCTCTTCACTTTAAAGCCCAAGCTTCCAGAATATAGCTGGAAACAAAAAATTAAAATTTTAAGGGGGATTAATATTTTACAAATATTGATGTAATTTTCTATTCTGCCTTCCTGAGCATGTGATTGTACTCTAGTTGGCTCATGATACCCAAGTACCTAGAAATATTTTTGAAGCTATGTGTCTGTATGTGTGTCTGGGTATGTGTTAGGGTTAAGAAATGTTAAGGAATACAGAAAGAGCATGACCATATTTGCAGAATATGATTGTGCAGCAGGGCAACAGCCTTGTAAGTCAGGCTATAGTCTTAGAAAAGGATTTGCTCAGTTTTTAAAGCTCATTCCCTTTTTACAACATAGCATATCCAGCCTCAAGGGCCCAGAGTAGAACTAAAACACACTGAGTCCACACAGCAAAGCCATGAATCTTGCTGCTCAGTACTAGAAGGAGAATATGACCCAGGGAACTAAGAGATAGCTGAACCCCTTTCCCTCCCAGAAGAAAGTGGGAAGGAGAAAGAGGTAAGAGGAAAATGGAGATCAAACTAAGCTGTTATGCGTCCCTGATTGTTTTCGCTCCAGGTGTCAGTAAGGAGATGGTGAGGGGATTTAGAGAAATTAGGGTAATGCCAAGAGTGAATGAGGCATAGCATGGCTGGACAGAGGAAGCCCCTAGGTTAAACTTTGTGGTACTGCCAGTGTTCAATTCCTGGACTTGGAGTTACCATAGACTTGGAGTTGAGAATCCATGGACTTTTCCCAGGGATCCCCTGTGACAGAATGAAGAACAATTTTACTGAGTCTTGGGGTAGATATCTGGGCCAACAGGCATGATGGAGCACTTGGCAGAGACCCAGGGATTGGTCAGTAACCAGTGGGGGTTGAAGTGAAGCCAAGTCACCACTGAGTTGGAAACAAGCTGAGAGGGTTAGCAAACAAGGGATTTACCACCCACAGCCCTCAGTGGATAGTGGGGACACAGTAAATAGTCCATTCAAAAGGGGACTAAGGTGTTCCCCTTATTGCTTTGGAGGCAGAGGTCACCATGCCTGAGGAACTCAAGCTCTTCCTGCCATCATGAGGATGCATTAGTCCCCCAAGTCCTGTCCCATTGAATAATAGTGTGTTAGATATTATTTTCCCTATTCCCACACAGGATTCATTTTCATCCTTTTCTGCACCTACCAGCTCCCTTGACTTCTGGCTTCTGGCTGCCTTTGGCTAATGGACATCACCAGCAGGAAGGCAAGAGTGTGGGTAGAAAGATTGGGCTTATTTTCTTCCTGCTCCCTCCATACCTGACAGTGGATTAAAGGGGACTGCATTCCCCGGATGAAGGTCACAGCTTCTAATGAGCAGCCCTCTCCCATAGCCATAAGCCTCACCAGGCTCTGGAACTCTTACCTCCTTTTACTCTTTTAGGCTTAGGGGTGGCAGCATCCTCCTACTGTTGTGGGCCTTAGGTGCTTTCCCATCTCTTGTTGGCTTCTCTTAACCCTATCTACACCTTTGAAAAATAGACCCTTAATTAAATGAACCCCTTTTGACTGTGGTTTCCATCTGGATAGAATGACTTTCTGTACTGGTTTGCCCCCAGACAGTCCCAGTCTATTCCAATTATTCCAGTATAATTATTTCAGCATCCTGCTTTACTCTCAGAAGTTCCTGGTTTGGACAGTATCCTACTCCTGGGACCCTGACTGCTGTAGCATCTTAGGGAGGGTGGCAGGAGGAAGTGTTATAGGTTATATTTGAACCATACTGCGCCTTTAACTAACTGGCTTTCCTGCACACTCACAGGAAGGTATCCAATTAGTTATAGACGCAATCAAAGAAGCTAAATTTCCTCTACACTTGCAGGTTGTGATGTGAATGATTTTTCAAGTCCTATTTCTCAATCGTCACTCCTGGGGGACAGGACTCTACCTTATGCATCTCTGCCAGCTCAGCTATACCAAGTTCCCTGTCTGGCCCAATGTTCATAAACACTGTCTGAATGAACAATAAAGGAATGGTGTCACTATATTCAATCAGCGTGACAACTCACTCACACATAGAGGTAACCATGGCACCAGTTCTTACAGGAGCTGCACATATTTCACAGAAGAAGATGCTGTTAAAGAAAAAGGAATGGGAGGAATGGATGTGTGTGTGTGTAGGTTTGGACATGAGATTATAATCTAAATACGAATTCACAATGAAGTCTCATTTCTGTTATTAGGGTGAGCATGAAATTTAAAGATCTGCCTGCAGATACTGTGGTCCCAACAACGAGCATCCCTGAGTGCAGTCAGCCTCCTTGCATCAGGAGTTAGAACTCACTGCCTCTACCTCCTGCCTGACCTCTTTCTCCCTTTATCTGAACAAATATGAATAGAAGAATCTCAGTAGAACTCATTTGTTTCTCTTGAGAAGCAGGAGTCTGGGGTACTCAACGACCACAACTGCCTATGACAACTTCTCAGAAACTCAACCAGCCAAGAGTAGCCTTAGCCCTTCTGGGTGGGCTTGCACTTTCTCTCAGGCAATGATGTTCATTACTGAGATGCTGGTGGCCAGAGGTGGGTGTTGTGACAGGGAGTTTCCTGTGCACCTTGAGCCAGGCCTGGGTGATTCCACAGTTGTAGTCCTGAAAATGACACTTATCTCATACTCATCATGGTGGGTCTCTGAGTACTCTTCGATTTTGACTACCGCTCCTCTGGGCTCTTTCTCCCTGCCATACAGGGCTCACCCTCATATTAAGCAACCTCTATCCTCAGGTCCGGGATCCATTTGGGGTCACCTTTTTGCTACAGCAACTTGTCATGACCTCCCCTGCGGTGGACTTGTTATTTATGGGCTCCTTCTTACCTTTTCTCTGGCCATGACCACAAGCATCCCTGAGATTCCTGATAGAGTCTCTGCATTCTGATTCTAGCTCCTTACGACTGCCCCCACTTGTTTCCTATACCCTAAAAGGACAATGGGTTCCCCAACTCAAGAGATGTGTCATGCTTAACACATGACTGCACATTTTTGTCACTCGTCCCATCAAGAGCTAAAGTCTAATCCCCTTCCTCTTGAACATGGCCTGGCCATAGTGGTTTGCTTCTAACAAATAAAATGCAAAGAAAATTATTCTTTGTGATTAGACCTAAACTACATATTAAATTATTTCATCTTAAAAGATGAGACAGCATTGGCCTGGCTCTCTGTCTTTTTTGAGAGGCTCACTCTTGAAACCCAACCCAGGCACCAGAGACAGGCCACAGGTGGGTGTTCTGGCCTACGACCCCAGCAGAGGTCCTTGTTAACAGCCAGCATTAACCACCAGATACATGAGTAAGGACACCTTCATGAGAACTCCAGTTCCAGTCTCTGTCTGACTGCAACCATTTAAGAGACCCTCAAGAGAAAACCAGCTAGCCGAGCCCAGTCAACCCCCAGGCCTATGAAAGATAATATTAATAAATGGTTGTTGCTGTTTTAATGCCATCGTGTTTGGGGTGGTTTCTTAGGCAGCTATAGACAACCATAATGAGAGGCAAGAAGAACTTGGATAAAGCTCCCAGAGAGCCAGAGGCTGATTAAAAGGTTATATATAAAACATGATAACATGCTGGGGAGGCTGAGCTTCTAGCCAACCAAAGGAAAGATCAAGAGGAAATTTAAAAAATATCTTTAAAAACGCAACAAAGGAGACTAAACCTTCTTGAGTTCCAGTGAGGACAGCATAACAAGAAATCAGCTTAAATTGTAGCATGACAATTTGGGATTGATGTAAGCAGTGATTTTTGAGTGGGGAAAAAGCCCTGGGTAGTCATATTTTCACATATCATATATCCCCTTTATTGTCCTCCTACCCAGTTAGGTGCCTGCCCTTCCTTCATGTTCACTGTGGTTTCTAAAAACTATTAATACAAAATATAATAAATACAGATTGAAGATAAAATGCATTAATTAGTTTATAGATATTCATTATTTGGGTTTTAAAGAATTAACAAAGAAATTATGTCCAAACAAGATTTCCTTAGAACAGTGTCATCTCCTTAAATAGTATGATTTTTTAAAAATTAACACACCTGGGTTAGTTGGTTTGGAGCTATGTAATATAATTTGCCAAAAAGATTCATGTAGAAGTGTGTACTGGAGAGATATCACTTAGCATTCTCGTTATACATGAGACTATTTTGCAATTCCATGGCTTTCAACTTTCTTCAACCTGGAAGCACCCCCATCTTACCTCATCTGCCTGTACAGTTACCTGTTGCTAAGTAACAACTGCACCCTACCCAAAATAAAATATAGCCTACCTTCCGTATCTGTGGGTTTCACATATGTGGATTCAACCAACCATAAATTGAAAATATTTGAAAAAAATAAAATGGATGGTTGCATCTGTACTGACAAGTAGACATTTTTTCTTGTCATTATTGCCTAGAGTGTAACAACTATTTACATAGCATTTACATTGTATTAGGTATTATGAGTAATCTAGAGATGATTTAGTATACAGGAGGATGTGCAAAGGTTATGTGAAAATACTATACTAGTTTATACCAGGGACTTGGGCATCATTGGATTTTGGTATCCTCAGGGTCCTGGAACCAATCCCTCCACAAGTATGAAGGGACAACTATATTATGTAAGCAGTTATTTTTGAGTGGGGGAAAAAGCCATGGGTATTCATATTTTCACATATCATATATTGCCTTTATTGTCCTCCTACCCAGTTAGGTGCCTGCCCTATTTATATAGCTCATGATTCTGAGGATTGGTTGAGTCCCATGGTGTCTTTGAAACTCTAGTCTGAGACTTTGCTATACTGTATATAGTTTGGAGACGTGTTGAGCCATCAGCAGGTGAGGTGCTCCATAGCCACCAGGAGTACTGTAGTTCATGAGCAGAGACTCAGAAACCCTTGACTGGACCGCCGCCCTCACTCAGTCTTGAAATATCGTTTGTTTTTATTCCCCACCCCTTCCACACTTACCCATCCACTGACACTCTTTGGGCAGGAACCTGGATTTACAGAAAACATCCAGAAACCTCTTGAAGGAACAAGAATGACCCTCCTGCATCTTAAAGGTAATCACAAAAGCTGAACTCGGAGAATTTTTTTCCTACTGCTTCTGCTGAAATTTTTTGATGCTGGAAGGCATTTATTCAGCTTTTATTATTTTCTTATTAAAGAATATTTAATCTTACTAGTGGGTTGCTGTGGGTGGTGATCACTTCAGAGGGAAGAAAAAGAAATCCAAGCATATTTCTGTGGAAAAAATACGTGTTAACCATTATATGATGGTACATTATTTAGGGTTAATATACAGTTCAGGAAAGAACATAAGAGAATAGCTTCCAAACCATACAGAAAGCAAAATCAACTCTGTGTAAACCATACCCTGTATTAACAAACTCTGAGCTGTGTTATCTTGGAAACCAGATTGATTTTCTGGTGGACATTTTTTCTGAATTAACTTATTGTTTATAAAGTACCCTGGAGCTACAAAGTAACATTGGTTATACAATGGATCAGAAATTCTCTTGACCTACAATGTTGAAGGCTCAAAAAAGAAGGCCCAAGAGAACTAAGAGAGGGCCTTGGAATGTTTACCTTGTAAGTACCAAGGCCAGAATCTTGAAGAAAACATATAAATGACACTGCCATTAAACAAATCACAGTTTAGTAAAATGTTAATCTAAGTTTGTCCTACCATTTGCTATGGTAGAACAATCCCTTTAGTTTAACTGCCCCAGGAAACAATACTCTGTCTGTGATAGACTGGTTATTTCTTAATGTCTTCATGATCTGTGAAATGGAAAATAATAATAGTAATAGTAATAGTAATAATACCCCCTTCATGAGGTTGTTTTGAGTATTGCATGAAGTAACACATAAAAATGTGTAGCCCAGTGACTGGTACTTAATACTAGCTAACACTCAGAGTCATGATGAGTATTACTGCTAGTAGGCATCATAATGCATGTAAGAACATGTGTTTTTAAATTTGATATAATTGAATTTAAATGCCAATTGCTTTTTTAAAAACATAAGTAGCAACACATCCTTGGGTATATCACCATAAAATTGTGATAATATTACCTGTCTTATATAGTTGCTATGAGGCTTAACTGGAATTACTTACAAAAATAATTGAACACAGTGTCTGGCACATGGAAATTAATGAATGAATGATAGCTCTTATTACTCTTTGGAACTTCTATAGTATCTAGAGAGATATGTTTGGTCTGTGCCATACCTGATGGTATGCAAAAACAAGCCACTGTGCCTCAGGATTTGCGGTAATTGTGGGCTGAGTCAGCTCAGGTCCTCCTAGAAGATGGGATTAGATGTAAAATGACTTATTGGGAGAGGCTCATTTTGATGGATAAATGGGCAGTAAGCAAGAGTAGGCAGAGAGAACCTTCAGAGTGGGAGGCAGGTCTGACTCCTGTGGAAAGAGAGAGGAAGGAAGGAAGGGTGGGTAGGGAGAGACTCTGATGGCAGTGCAGCTCTGAGAAAGTCTCACCCAGGCTGATGGGGAGCCCCAGAGCACAGACTGCACATAGGAGAGGTTCCCTGTCAGGCAGGAATAGCCCAGCTCTAGTTCTCTCACTGTACTTTGCCACTGGCCTGGGGTAAGCACAACCTTGGCATGGGTGCCACGGTGGATCTGAAGGTTTTGCAGCTGTAGACTGTCAGCAAATGATGCTCCTCCTCTGAGCAGGGCTCTTGAAAGGAGATCTGAATGCCGTACCTCTATGGCCACCGAAAGGTGCCAAGTTAAGCAGCATCCCAGTCAGAATTATCTTTGTTCATATTAGTTAGGGCTGGTTTGGGCCAAGCCCTCATAACAGACCCTTTCTAAATGTGAAATTGAATAGAATTTTTTAAAAATAAGAAATACTGCATGGAGTATTTATAGAGAACAATTGAGGCACTTAATTGAAAAACTATGATATTATGAAAAATTAACAGTTTTCATTTAGAGAAAAGTAACACAGGTGCCAACTTGTCCTGTTTGATTCCTGGAAGGAAGACAGACCCTACATTTCTTTTCTATATGTAATTGAAAAAAAAAACTGGAGATTTTAAGTGACATCTTTAGTTATGAAGTTTCAATAATTCATTCTGGTGTCTATTCCTAATTGCACTGATCAGATTTATTTAAACTTTCTGTTTTAGAGGGATCTCAGGAATATAATAGTAGAGGTAGAGTGGAGGAATATAGCCAGTCTACATTTACCTCTTATTTCTACTTCTACAAAACCTTTGTGTTTTCCATGTGTCCTTTGTATTTTCCTCATATTTTGTGATGTCAGGGAGGGAACTCTTTTCCTGTACCCTGTTAGGTTTAGTGACTGGGGCCGATGAACTAAACTGACAAGAGACAGATAAGGAAGAGAAAAGACAGTTTTTGATCACCAACATGCATGTGCATATGGGAGTTCACAAAGAAATACGACTCAAAGAGGCAGTTCGAATTTGGAGCTTATACACCATCTTAATAGGGGAAGGGGAGAGAGAGAAAGGATATTTATCGAAAAACAAATGACTTTTTCTTGGAAAGATAAATAAGCCCTTAGGAGAATAAATGGGAGATATGAGCGTTTCTCTGACAATATCTGTTTAGCTGTGGTGTGGAGACTTCTCAATCTCTGATGATAAGAGTCAGTCTTCCCCAGTTTCTCACAAGAAGAGGATTTATGACAGTTGAGTTCTTCTGAGTTCTTTGGGAAGCTCTACTTTTAGGCAGATAAGGGATTTTAGAAATTCAAATGTCTTCTCAAAATAATTTTTTATGCTACAGAGACATACTCTGAACCCCTTCAGTGACATGGATACTGAAATATTGGTTTGCCACACAATTTGAGGGCCCAGAACAAAGGTAGTGCGTAAAGCTCACTAATACTACTGGTATTACCTTGCCAGTTCAGTGTTTACTTACTGGAAATAATTTAATAGTGGTGGAAAACAATCCAGAGGAGCCCATAAGTGGCATTTGCTGATGGCATAGGTCCTGGAAACACCTTATTGGAAAGAAAAAAAATTACAACTTTTCTAATCAGAATATTACCATAATAAGGAAAAGAAATTGGAATTGAGGGAATGGGAAAGGGGAGAGAAAGTATGAACAGTATCAGACAGGAAATTTCAGAGCCAAGAAATAACAGGTTTGTGGCTGGATAAACTGACTGCTTAAGAAAAGCCAACAGGGGTGAACCAATGAAAATGTCACATGACTAGGGAATTGACAGGGCTAGTAAAATCAGCAGCAGGCCTGAAGAAATTAAACCTTGGCAGTCCAGGCAGAGACCATGATCACAGTTGCTATGACCCATTCTGAATTTTCTACCTGAGTTGAAAATGAGGTGAGAGTGAAAACAAAAGTTGATGTTTACACTGCTGGTATCCTATGGAATCATTGTAGAGTTTTTGATGAAAAACAATGTAAGTTCTGTTGTTTTTATTTTTTATTTTTTAAAAGATGAGCATCTCTGAAAGGCAAGGGCAACAGGATTACATACTAGATAAGTTTGCTGATATAATTTTGCCTTTGGCCAGAGTAATGCAGGACTAAATAGTGGACTCAAACTTTTGTTAAGAGTGTGTTTGAGGTTCTGCTAGAGGTTGGTAATTACTTGATACCATTGACTAAACAATACTCCTATACTATCTGGGAATCGATCCTCTTTGAACAAATGGGTATATTCAATACTATTTTTTGCACCATTGTTTTTAATGACAAAAAATCTGTAAATAATCTGAGCATATATCAATAGAGAAATTATTGAATAAATTGTATTATATTTATACTATGCAGCTATTAAGAATGAGTTAGATCAATACTTACTGACCTTGAGAGATATCTATGAAGAAAAAAATACCATGATGTTAAAAAATATTCCAAAATTACACCTGAGAGACTTTGAAACTTCTTTTGTTTATGATTTGAACCATATATGAATCCATCTGGTTGATAATAAAAAGCAAATTATTAAATTATAGTTCTTTCAATTTAGCTAGTAGATAGCACTTATCTTGTGTTTGGCACACTTTTCTCTGCCTCAACATAGCTGAAATAATCTTGAGAAAATAGTATTATAATAGTATAATAATAAAATTACTACTTTTTAAAAGTTAAAGGAGTAAGTAGATTTGGGGTGGTAAAAGGTGGAGTAATAAATGTGCTAAATTGTTTGTTTACAGTTAGGTACTTTAAAAAATGTTTAAATTCGAGACGAAAAGCAAAGATGTTTTATACTTCTTTTTGAGTAGTAGGAGAAGAGATAGAGAAGCAAAAGTGATCAATGTAAAAGGTGTAGAATTGCCTATATGACTTCATATTGATACGGCTCCCATGAATGGAGGAACACTAGGGTTCTTGATCCTCATGCCAGTTTAGATAAAATGACACGGACACACATGGAGTGGTTTTAAGGAGCGGAGAGTTTAATAGGCAAGAAAGAAGGAAGAAGAAAGAAGGAAGAACTCCCCTCCCCCCGTACAGAGACAGAGGGAAGGGGGCTCCAAAGCCGAGAGAGGAGATCCCAAGTGCCACAGATACCAGCCAGTTTTGTGAGTAGGCTGGAGGAGGTGGTGTCTGATTTGCATAGGGCTCTGGGGATTGGTTTGACCAGGCATGTCATTCACGTAGCCCTCGAAAAAGCTGGCCCTCCCACCCTAGCCTTTTAATATGCAAATACAGGGCACCAGGATGTTCTACACACGTGGGGATATGTGGGGGCTGTCATGTTGCCAGGAACATGTGGGGCAAGGACAAGAAGGCCTGGGGGGATCGCCGTGATTGAGTGGACCATTTCTAATGGCTTGCATTTGCATATCAAAGGTTGCTGGCCTGGCTCTAAGAGCTGCTTTAAAAAGGAAAAGTTTCCAAGGACCACTTTTCCTCTCTATCTGCCTAAAATAATTTCTTAATAACTCCTACAACAATATGTGTATAGAGCATTGCAGTTTTAAAGACATTTTCACATCTAGCTCCCTACGTGTCAGAGAGCTGGATATATGCCTGCCATTTCACAGAAAAAAAAAGCATAATGTCTCTGAGTGCCGGCTAAATTGGACAATTGATAAAATCTGTATGTGGAGTCAGTCAAGAGAAAATTAAGGTTTTCTTCATTGGAGTTTGGAATTGAGATATTCTTCAGTGTAAATAAATACATGAGCTGCGCTGTGGATGAACTCACAGCTCTCCTGTATTTTACAGAGGCTCTGAGAGATTTGGAAGCAGAATGAGGATGGAGTAGAAGGGATACCATCTGGGTTGTGATGCAAGTTAAGAGGAAAGAGCAGAGGACTTGGGGTATAGAGGTCACAGATGAATTACAGTGATGATTATGATGAGTCTGGGTACAGAACTCCCACTTCTGGTAAGGTTGGACTAGTTAATTAAGACTAGCCCTCCTGCTGAAGACAGCTAAGAAAAGCTGACACATATACATGAACACAAACATACACACACACACACATATTTCGTATTAAAATGATATTCTCAAAAGTGCCAGATAAGTTAGCTAAAATTTAAAAAAAAAAAAATGGAGTGGAGAATTACTGGGCCAGAAACCACAGGAAGATAGATTCTCAGGGAGTGAGGCAGGGTTTGGGGCCAGTTTTCCCTTGGGATAGCTGTCATTTCCTTAGCAGGTGACTAAGAACCTAAAAGGTTGAATGCTGCTTTTGATAGCATTATAAGTGTAGAGATACAGGGTTTGACATTCAGGGCTCTCTGAGGCCTTAGTACCATAGGTCTATATCCTAGGAGTAAGGGTATACCTGATACAAGCTTTCACGAATACTGTAGTTCAACTCATGTTCAATCCCTAAGTGGATTGCAGTGATACTGAATGAGCTTAATCCTCCGATAAAGGCAGAAGCAAAGGAAAATCTACTTTGGAGGAGGCTAATAGTTTCTTAGGCCTCACATAATTTCTATGAATATTTTATAAATACAATGTCTGGCAAACAAAATTTAGCCAGATGCATAAGAGACAAGATCACCTAAAAGAAAACCAGCAGAAACAACAGATAAGGAATAATCAAATACACAGCTTAAAATACTTTTTACTGTGCTCAGAGACAGAAATTAAAATTGAGAAAATAGGCATATAATTGGAAATATGTAAAAGAATGAAAAATAAAGTTCAGAAATGAAAAACACAACAAAAAATTAAGAACTGGTGGCTGGCAAGATGGCCAAATAGGAACAGCTCTGGTCTGCAGCTCCCAGTGAGATCAATGCAGAAAGCAGGTGATTTCTGCATTTCCAACTGAGGTACCCAGCTCATCTCATTGGGACTGCTTAGACAGTGGGTGCAGCCCACAGAGGGCAAGCCAAAGCAGGGTGGGGTATCACCTCACCCAGGAAGCACAGGGGTCAGAAAACTCCTTCCCCTAGCCAAGGGAAGCCGTGAAGGACTGTGCTGTGAGGAACAGTGCACTCTGGCCCAGATTCTAACCTTTTCCCATGGACTTCACAACTCGCAGATCAGGAGATTCCCTCGGGTGCCTATGCCACCATGGACCTGGGTTTCAAGCACAAAACTGGGCAGCTATTTGGGCACACACTGGGCTAGCTGCAGGAGTTTTTTTTTTTTTTTCATACCCCAGTGGTGCCTGGAATGCCAGTGAGACAGAACCATTCACTCCTCTGGAAAGAAGGCTGAAGGCAGGCAGCCAAGTGCTCTAGTTCAGGAGATCCCACCCCTCGGAGCCCAGCAAGCTAAGATCCACTGGCTTGAAATTCGCGCCACCAGCACAGCAGTCTGAAGTTTACCTGGGACACTCAAGCTTGGTGGGGGAGGGGCATCTGCCATTACTAAGGCTTCAGTAGGCAGTTTTCCCCTCACAGTGTAAACAAAGCCACCAGGATGTTTCAACTGGGCAGAGCCCACCACAGCTCAGCAAAGCCACTGTAGCCAGGCTGCCTCTCTAGATTCCCCCTCTCTGGGCAGAGCATCTCTGAAAGAAAGGCAGCAGCTACAGTCAGAGGTTTATAGATAAAACTCCCATCTCCCTGGGACAGAGCACCTGGGGGAAGGGGCAGCTGTTGGGTCAGCTTCAGCAGACTTAAACATTCCTGCCTGCTGGCTCTGAAGAGAGCAGCAGATCTCCCAGCAGAGCGCTCAAGCTCTGCTAAGGGACAGACTGCCTCCTCAAGTGGGTCGCTGACCCCCATGCCTCCTGAGTGGGAGACACATCCCAGCAGGGGTCAACAGACATCTCATATAGGAGAGCTCCGGCTGGCACCTGGTGGGTGTCCCTCTGGAAAGAAGCTTCCAGAGGAAGGATCAGGCAGCAATCTTTGCTGTTCTGCAGGCTCCACTGGTGATACCCAGGCAACACTCCAGCAAACTTTGGCAGACCTGCAGCAGAGGGGCCTGACTGTTAGGAGGAAAACTAACAAACAGAAAGAAATAGCATCAACATCAACAAAAAGGACGTCCACACAGAAAATCCAACTGAAGATCACCAACATCAAAGACCAAAGGTAGATAAATCCACGAAGATAAGAAAACCAGCACAAAAAGGCTGAAAATTCCAAAAACCAGAAAGCCTCTTCTCCTCCAAAGGATCACAGCTCCTCACCAGCAAGAGAACAAAACGGGAGAGAGAATGAGTTTCACAAATTGACAGAAGTAGGCTTCAGAAGGTGGGTAATAACAAACTCCTCCAAGCTAAAGGAGTATGTTCTAGCTCAATGCAATGAAGCTAAGAACCTTGAAAAATGGTTAGAGGAATTGTTAACTAGAATAACCAGTTTAGAGAAGAACATACATGACCTAATGGTGCTGAAAAACACAGCACAACAACTTCGGGAAGCATACACAAGTAACAATAGCTGAATCAATCAAGCAGAAAAAAGGATATCAGAGATAAGATCAACTTAATGAAATAAAGCATGAAGACAAGAATAGAGAACAGAGAATGAAAAGGAATGAACAAAGCCTCCAAGAAATATGGGACTATGTGAAAAGACCAAACCTACATTTGACTGGAATACCTGAAAGTAACAGGGAAAACAGAACCATGTTGGAAAACACTCTGCAAGATATTATCCAGGAGAACGTCCCCAACCTAGCAAGACAGGCCAACATTCAAATTCAGGAAATACAGAGAACACCACAAAGATACTCCTTGAGAAGAGCAACCTCAAGACACATAATTCTCAGATTCACCAAAGTTGAAATGGAGGAAAAAATGTTAAGGGCAGCCAGAGAGAAAGGTCAGGTTACCACAAAGGGAAGCCCATCAGACTAACAGCAGATCTCTCTGCAGAAACCCTACAAGCCAGAAAGAGAGTGGGGGCCAATATTGAACATTCTTAAAGAAAAGAATTTTCAACCCAGAATTTCATATCCAGCCAAACTAAGCTTCATAAGCAAAGGAGAAAAAATAAATCCTTTACAGACAAGCAAATGCTGAGAGATTTTCTCACCACCAGGCCTGCATTACAAGAGCTCCTGAAGGAAGCACTAAATATGGTAAGGAAAAATCAGTACCAGCCATTGCAAAACCAAACCAAAATGTAAAGACCATCAACACTATGAAGAAATTACATCAACTAATGGGCAAAATAACCAACTAGCAACATAATGACAGGATCAAATTCACATATAACAATATTAAGCTTAAATATAAATGAGACAAAAGTCCCAAATAAAAGACACAGACTGGCAAATTAGATAAACAGTGTGCATCAGTGTGCTGTATTCAGGAGACCCATCTCACATACATAGACACACATAGTCTCAGAATAAAGGGATGGAGGAATATTTACCAAGAAAACAGAAAGCAAAAAAAAAAAAAAAAAAAAAGGCAGGGGTTGCAATCCTAGTCTCTAATAAAACAGACTTTAAACCAACAAAGATCAAAAAAGACAAAGAAGGGCATTACTTAATGGTAAAGGGATCCATGCAACAAGAAGAGATAACTATCCTAAATATATATGCACCCAATACAGGAGCACCCAGATTCATAAAGCAAGTTCTTAGAGACTTACAGAGAGACTTAGACTCCCACACAATAATAGTGGGAGACTTTAACACCCCACTGTCAATATTAGACAGATCAAAGAGACAGAAAATTAAAAAGGATATTCAGGACTTGAACTCAGCTCTGGACCAAGTGGACCTAATAGACATCTACAGAACTCTCCACCCCAAATCAACAGAATATACATTCTTCTCAGCACCACATTGCACTTATTCTAAAATCAACCACAAAATTGGGAGTAAAACACTCCTCAGCAAATGCAAAAGAACAGAAATCATAACAAACAGTCTCTCAGACCACAGTGCAATCAAATTAGAACTCAGGATTAAGAAACTCACTCAAAACCACACAACTACGTGGAAACTGAACAACCTGCTCCTAAGTGACTACTGGGTAAATAACGAAATTAAGGCAGAAATAAACAATTTATTCAAAACCAATGAGAACAAAGACAAATTGTACCATAATCTCTGGGACACAGCTAAAGCAGTGTTTAGAGGAAAATTTATAGCACTAAATGCCCACAGGAGAAAGCAGGAAATATTTAAAGTCAACATTCTAACATCACAATTAAAAGAACTAGAGAAGCAAGAGCAAACAAATTCAAAATCTAGCAGAAGACAAGAAATAACTAAGATCAGAGCAGAACTGAAGGAGATAGAGACACGAAAAACCCTTCAAAAAATCAATGAATCCAAGAGTTGGTTTTTTTGAAAAGATCAACAAAATAGATAGACCACTAGCTAGACTAATAAAGAAGAAAAGAGAGAAGAAGGAAATAGACACAATAAAAAAATGATAAAGCGGAGATAACTACTGATCCCAAAGTAATGCGTACTACCATCAGAGAATACTGTAAACACCTCTATGCAAATAAACTAGAAAATCTGGAAGAAATGGATAAATTCCTGGACACATACACCCTCCCAAGAATAAACCAGGAAGAAGTCGAATCCCTGAATAGAACAATAGCAAGTTCTGAAATTGAGGCAGTAATTAATAGGCTACCAACCAAAAAAAGCTTAGGACCAGACAGCTTCATAGCTGAATTCTACCAGAGGTACAAAGAGGAGCTGGTACCATTTTTTCTAAAACTATTCCAGGCAATAGAAAAAGAGGAACTCCTCCTTAACTCACTTTATGAGGCCAGTATCATCCTGATACCAAAACCTGGTGGAGACACAACAAAAAATTGAAAATTTTAGGCCAATATCCCTGATAACATCGATGTAAAAATCCTCAGTAAAATACAGGCAAACCAAATCCAGCAGCACATCAAATAGCTTATCCATGACGATCATCCCTGGGATGCAAGGCTGGTTCAGCATATGCAAATAAATAAACATAATCCATCACATAAACAGAACCAACAACAAAAACCCCATGATTATCACAATAGATGCAGAAAAGGCCTTTGACAAATTCAATACCCCTTCATGCTAAAAACTCTCAATAAACTAGGTCTTGATGGAATGTATCTCAAAATAATAAGAGCCATTTATGACAAACCCACCATCAATATCATACTGAATGGGCAAAAGCTGGAAGCATTCCCTTAGAAACCTGGCACAAGACAAAGATGCCCTCTCTCACCACTCCTATTCAACGTAGTATTGGAAGTTCTGGCCAGGGAAATCAGCCAAGAGAAAGAAGTAAAGAGTATTCAAACAGGAAGAGAGGATGTCTAATTGTCTCTGTTTGCAGATGACGTGATTGTATATTTAGGAAACCCCATCATCTCAGCCCAAAGTCTCTTTAAGCTAAAAAGCAACTTCAGCATTCTCAGGATACAAAATCAATGTGCAAAAATCACAAGCATTCCTATACGCCAATAATAGAGAGCCAAATCATGAGTGAACTCCCATTCGTAATTGCTACAAAGAGAATAAAATACCTAGGAATACAACTTCCAAGGGATGTTAAGGACCTTTTCCAGGAGAACTACAAACCATAGCTCAAGGAAATAAGAGAGGACACAAACAAATGGAAAAAGCACTCCATGCTCATGGATAGGAAGAATCAATATAGTGAAAATGGCCATACTGCTCAAAGTAATTTATAGATTCAATGCCATCCCCATCAAGCTACCATTGACTTTCTTCACATAATTATAATGAACTACTCTAAATTTCATATGGAATCAAAAAAGAGCCTGTATAGCCAAGACAGTCCTAAGCAAAAAGAACAAAGCTGGAGGCATCACAGTACCTGACTTCAAACTATACTATAAGGCTACAGTAACCAAAACAGTATGGTACTAGTACCAAAACAGATATATAGACCAATGGAACAGAACAGAGGCCTCAAAAATAACACCACACATCTACAACCATCTGATCTTTGACAAACCTGACAAAAACAAGCAATGGGGAAAGGATTCCCTATTTAATAAATGGTGTTGGGAAAACTGACTAGCCATATGCACAAAACTGAAACTGGACTCCTTCCTTACATCTTATACAAAAATTAACTCAAGATGGATTAAAGACTTAAACATAAAACCTAAAACCATAAAAACCCTAGAAGAAAACCTAGGCAATACCATTCAGGACATAGGCATGGACAAAGACTTCATGGCTAAAACACCAAAAGCAATGGCAACAAAAGCCAAAATTGACAAATGGGATCTAATTAAACTAAAGCGTTTCTGCACAGCAAAAGAAACTATCATAAGAGTGAATAGGCAACCTACAAAATGGGAGAAAATTTTTGCAATCTATCCATCTGACAAAGAGGTAATATCCAGAATCTACAAAGAACTTAAATTTACAAGAAAAAAACAAACAACCCCATCAAAAAGTGGGTGAAGGATATGAACAGACACTTCTCAAAAGAAGGCATTTATATGGCCAACAAACATATGAAAAAAAGCTCATCATCACTGGTCATTAGAGAAATGCAAATCAAAACCACAATGTGATACAATCTCATACCAGTTAGAATGGTGATCATTAAAAAGTCAGGAAACAACAGATGCTGGAGAGGATGTGGAGAAATAGGAACCACTTTTACACTGTTGGTGGGAGTGTAAATTAGTTCAACCATTGTGTAAGACAGCATGGCGATTTCTCAAGGATGTAGAACCAGAAATACCATTTGACCCAGTAATCCCATTACTGTGTATATACCCAAAGTTTTATAAATCATTCTACTATAAAGACACATGCACGCATATGTTTACTGCACCACTGTTCACAATAGCAAAGACTTGGAACCAACCCAAATGCCCATCAACGTTAGACTGGATGAAGAAAATGTGGCACATATACACCATGGAATACTATGCAGCCATAAAAAAGGATGAGTTCATGTCCTTTGCAGGGACATGGATGAAGCTGGAAACTATCATTCCCAGTTAACTAACGCAGGAACGGAAAACCAAACACTGTGTGTTCTCACTCATAAGTGGGAGCTGAACAATCAGAACACATGGACACAGGGAGGGGAACATCACACACCGGGGCCTGTCAGGGGGTCGGGAGGGGTAGGGAAGGAATAGCATTAGGAGAAATACCTAATGTAGATGATGGGTTGATGGGTGCAGCAAACCACCATGGCATGTGTATACCTATGTTACAAACCTGCACGTTCTGCACATGTATCCCAGAACTTAAAGCATAATAAAAAAGTTAAAATAAAAATAAATAAAACATAAAAATAAAAAATTAAGAACTTACGGTTTACAGCAAATTAGACAGAGTTAAGGTGATTAATGAATGGGAAGATAGTTCAGAAGAAAATATCTAGAATTAAGCTGGGTAAGTTAGAAAGATCAAACATACAGAAGATACAGTAAAACGTATGGTAAGATGATCTAGCACATATGTAATTGGAATCTCAGAAACAGAACAAAAGAGAGATTGGAACAGAACAGCATCTGAATAAAATGGCTGAGACTATTTCAAAAATAGATAAAAGATATCAAGAAGCCCTATTGATTCCAAGCAAGATATATAAAATGGAATTATTACCTAGGCACATCACAGTAAAACTACTGAACACTCAAAATAACAATCTTGAAAAATGTTAAAAGCAGCTAGAATAAAAATATCAATTACTTTCGAAGAAGCAACAAATGCAATGACCACTGACTTCTCAATAGAAACATCACAAACCCAATACCTTGGAATGACATCTTTAAAATGTTGAAAGAAAACATGCACCACCCTAGAATTCTACACTAAGTGATAATTTTCTTCAGTAGTAAAGATGACACAAACACGTTGTTTTAGTTATTTGTTGTTGCATAACAATATTACACAAACATAGCAGCTTAAAATAATGCATATTTATTATTTCACAGTTCATGTGGGTTGAGAGACTGGGCATAGGTTAGCTGAGCCCTCTGCAAAGCTGCAATCAAGGTGTTGTCCAGAACTTGGTTTTCATTTGAGGCTCTACCAGGGAAGACTTTGTTTCCAAACTCACGTGGTTGTTTGCAGCATTCATTTCTTTTCAGGCTGTCAGACTAAGGGCCTCAGCTTCTTGCTGGCTTTCAGCTGGAGGCTGGAGGTTTTAAACCCACGTATGATAAGAGGAAGGCTAAAAATCAATAAGCTAAGCATTCATATAAATAAATTAGGAAAAGGAAGCCAAATTAAAATCAGAGGAAGTAGAGGAAAATAAAAAAGCATCAATAAGGATACTTATTGACACTTTTTATTACTTTAAATCAATGGATAAAATTTTTAAAAGTCATAAAATATCACTGTGCATCCTAGACATAAAAATATATTAAGAAGCTATCATATACAACTTTATGCCAATAAACTTGAAAAATTTAGATGAACTAGAGAAATTTATAGAAAAATACAAGTTTATAAGCCTGACACAAGAAGAAATAGACGACCTGAAGAATAGAAAAACATTTGCAAATGAAATTTATAAGCTTTTCTACATGTAAGGGAGAAAATCTGTATTTTTACCTCATAGGTTCTTAGTTGAGACACTCCCCTGAAAATAAAAGTCAGATTAACAAGAGAAAAACCAGTAGAAGTTTATTGACAAATGCTATACACATCACACAGGAGAGGCCTCAGTTCAAAAGCACTTTTCTTTCAAGACAGTGGCCTAGTGGTTTTACTTAGATAGTATTTTAACCAAGAGCCATAAATTCTACAGTGAAAAGACAAAAAGGAGAGCATCTTCAGGCTTCCAAAAGGTGGGAAAATGTGAGAAGTTAAGTTTGTGGGAAGAGTAAAATCTGCTTCTAGATCCTCAGGCACCACTGTCTCTGAGCTGATAAGCAAGCATTGTAAAGGGGCCTATCTTTAGGTAGGAAAAGGCAGAGGGAAGAAAAACCTTGTCTATGGAAATTGTCCTGCCATCAGGCAAGCAGAGGGAGGAGCAGAGTGTCCTCCTGCTATTTAATATTCTTCAGCTCAATAATTCCCAGTATTTTAAACAGCAATATTTTGGTTTTCTTTATACACAGAAAATTCCCAAACGACTTCACTAGTACATTTTACCAAACATTTAATGAAAATAGAATGGCAATCTGTTAAAAACGATGTGACACATGAAGAAAAGGAGAACATTCCCCAACTCATTTTGTAGGCCAGCATAATCAGGGATACTAAAAATCTAAGTAGGATATAACAAGAGACATTTCAGGTCAATATTACTCAAGAACATGCATGAAAAATCCCAAATAATATAATAGCTATTCAAAACTAGCAATATGTTAAAAATATGATAGATCTGAACCAAGTTGAGTTTACTCCAGAAAGGCAAGGTTGGTTTAACAATACAAAGTTGAGCAATGTAATTCATCACAACATAATTAAGGGCAAAAATGATGTGTTCATCTCTATAGATGCTGAAAAAATTGATAAAATTCCATATCCATTTATAGGGGTAAAAAGCTCCTCTAAACAAACTAGTAATAAAAGAACTTTCTTAAACTGATAAAATTATCCACAGAAAAAAAGCTACAACAAAAATCATACTAAATTATGAATTGCTAGAAGCTTTTCCTTTATGACTGAGAACAAGACAAGTTTGCCTGTTATCACCTCTTCTATTCATTGTTGTACTGGAGGACCTTAACAGAGAAATAAGGTAAGATAGAAACTTGGAACGGATATGGAGGAGAATGAAAATAACTGAACTCTACAAATTTGCTTGGCCCTGCTTTATTTTGGGAAGGGTGTGGCTAGGACTATTTTGTTCTAAGTTTTGTATATCTTTTTTTTTTTTTAAACATTTCTTATATTTGGTTCTATGCAAGTGAAATGGCATATTGGGGAAAAAATATAAAACGATGGTTACTGGCCATTTGAATTGACTTCTGAAGGAAGGAGACATTTTGAATCAGCCTTGCTCTAGTCAATGGGGCTTTCTGAGGCTTAGTGAAAATTTGTACTTGTGCCCTATTCAGGCCAAGGTTGCTGGAATATCTTATTTTGATTTTACTATGGCTGACAAAAGGCAGAGTACAGAAAGAGTATTACTTTGGAAGATATTTTATCTGGGGCTATTTTTTTAGAACAAAATCAACGGGGTGCTGATATGTGTTTGGATACTGGAGCACTGACTGATCAGTATTGTGATTCACCTACTCTTAAAGAAAATGACATACATCTAGCTATTGCACATGCAGAAAAATGTCTAAGCCTGATGCTAATGGATGAGTAAGCTTAGCTTCAACAATTGGAATGAAAATAAAACAATTTATTTTAAGACTTGCTATTACTAGACAAGTTCAAACAACAAGGATGATCATAATAGAATTAATAAAGATCTTTGCATGGTAGACTGACAGGCCATGCAGATATGAAGGAAGCAATAGATGTAACCTACATAGACATCAATGGAGCTTTGATTATATTAAAATGATATTCTCCTCCAAAAGAGATGAAGATTTCTCTGCTATTCTTAGATATCTATTGGGAGGGTGATAGGAAGGAAAAGGTAATTGAGGGAGTCACTGGGTAGGTGAAAAGTATACTCGGCATGAATATACTTGGGAGTGGGGTCATAGGTTCTTAAGTGAATTTAGGATGTTTCCATAGATGGCGTTAGCCTTGTTTGCTTTTTAGTCTGACTCAAGTGGTTACAATTAAACACGGTGAGTGTTTTCCACTGATTTGGCTGCTATTGGGCTGCATATATGCAATGTCAAAACAACAGAATACTTTGGAAACTTTGCCAACGTGGGTGATTGACTCACACAAGCAGTTACAAAGAAATGTTTAAGGGTCTTCCATATACTGAAGAGCTGATGTTTAAATTCATCTTACTTCTCACAAACACATAAAGTGTGATAAAGCTTGTTGCTCCTGGGTAGGCAATGAAAGATCAGCAGCACACCACTGAAAAGATGTGAGTGTAGCCATATGTTGAGCATCCCTAGCAATTATGGAATGCTTTAAAATGGATAGGTATTCACATTTTGAAGCTATAAGTTTCAGATATTTATCTTCTTTGATGCAGCCGTCTGAACCAAATCTTGAGATTTGGTTTTTCCTTTTTCTTTCTTTTTGAGACAGGGTTTTGCTCTGTCACCAGGCTGGAGTGCAGTGGCACAATCTCAGCTCACTACAGCCTTGATCTGCCAGGCTCAAGCAATCCTCGCACATTAGCCTCCTGAGTAGCTGGGACCACAGGCAAGTGCCACTACACCTGGCTATTTTTTTTTTTTTTTTTTTTTTTGGTAGAGACGGGGTTTCGCCCTGTTGCTCAGGCTGATCTTGAACTCTGGTCTCAAACTCTGGTCTCAAGCAATCCTCCCACCTCAGCCTCCCAAAGTGCTGGGATTGCAGGTGTAAGGCACCATACCCAGCCAAAATTTGGTTTTCCGATGTGATTTCAGGATTCTAGATTGGGTGCTGTTTCTCCTACACTTTCCTTCCCTCAATCTCCATGTTAGGTTGTTCAGAGTATGCACTGTACAGGGTCAACACATCTGAGGAGGCACCATTCACATTGGGGACACATACAGAACTAACTTACCTGGGAGCGCTGCAGGTGAGTGTAGACATTCCAGGCCTCTTGGCTGAGTCCTGAAGCAGCAAGAGAGCGCCCTCTACTCCATAAACTTTCACTCTCTCAACTGGTCATGCACACCTCAGCAGGGCCTGCACTATCACATTTACTTGGAGATGAACATGTGCACATGGCTACGCTTTCTTCTGGCTGTACTCTGAGTATCTGGATTCCAACATTTCCTCTTACACTGAACTTCTCATGGTCACCTCATCTGGGGTTGGAGTATGTGCGCTCCTTACGTTTTATGTGCTGGGCAGGAGGTAAGTTCACAGGAATGTATGGTTTTGTGTGTGTGTGTGTGTGTGTGTGTGTGTGTGTGTGTGTGTGTGTGTGTACACAAGCAGCTGCCACCCTCAGGCCCTGGGACGATCTTCGTACTCAAGTGGAGTACATTCAAATAGGCTTTATCCAATCCCTAAAGGTAGTGTTCCCCTGATTCCTTTTCTCTCTCTCCTGCCCTTCTCTATTTTTTTACACACTGGCTACCTCTATGGTCACTGTGCTAGGCTGAAAAAAATGACATCTCTTCCGAGATATAGCCACTTCCTAAGCCCCAGAACCTGTAAATATTTTCTTACATAGTAAAAAGTGAATATTACCTTATATGGCAAAGTATGTGATTAAGTTAAAGATATTGACACGCAGTGCTTTTCTTGAATTTTCTCGGTGGGGCCTAAATGCAATCACATGTGTAAGAGAGAGGCAGAGGGAGTTTAGAGACAAATACAGTCACCTAATCTGGCCAGAGGGGTCAACAGCTGGTTGCTGTGTATGATTGTTGGGATTACACATGAATATATATATTAGCTTTCTATTGCTGCATAACAAATTGCCACAAACTTAGTAACTTACAACAACAAATATTTATTGTCTCACGGTTTCTGTGTGTCAGGACTCTGGCCGTGGCTTAGTTAGGTCCTCTGCCAGGCTGCAATCCAGGTGTCAGCCAGAGCTGAGTTCTCATCTAGAGGCTCAACTGGCAATGGATCTGCTACCAAGCTCTTGTGGTCGTTGGCAGAATTCATTTCCTTGTGTTTGTAAGACTGAGGACTCTGGCTTCTTCCTGGTTATTGGCTGGAGGCCGCCCTCAGCTCCTAGAGGCTTCCATAGCTCCTTGCCACATAGCCCTTTCCATAGGTCCACTCAACATGGCGGCTTACCTCTCCAAAGCCAGCAAGGAAGAAAGATAGCAAGTTAGCTAGTAAGATGGAGTTATATAATGTAATGTGATTATAGGAGTGACATCCCATCGCCTTTGCCATATTCTGTTGGTTACAAGGAAGTCACAGGCCCCACCACACTCAAAGAGAGGGAACCATACAAAGGTATGAACTCCAGGGGTTGGGGATCATAAGGCCACCTTAAAGCCTGTCTACTACAATACATTCATTTAAGAAATTATATGGAAAGATGTTGGTCAAAGGGTACAAAGTTTTTGCAGGATAAATAAGTTCTGGAGAGCTAATATACAGTCTGGTGACTTAAATTAACAATACTGTATTGTATACGTAGAAGTTGCTAAGAGGGTAGATCTTGAGTGTTCTCACCACACACACACACACACACACACACACACACACACACAAAAGAAAGAAAACGGTAACTATGTAAGATGATGAACATGTTAATTAGCTTGATTGTGATTATTTCACAATGTGTATGTATATCAAAACATCAAATTGTACACCTCAAATATATACAATTTTTATTTGTCAATTATACCTCAATAAAGCTGAAAATAAATTATTAAAGAATGAGAACCTTTTCCTAATTCACACGAAAGTATCACATTGGTTAGTAGCAGCTTTTTGTCCACCCCAGCACTCTTTATTTTTTTCTGACAAAAGTAGTGCTAAAATGATAAATCAAGGGACAGACATGTAGTTATTAGCTGATGGAAAGTGATAAAATTGGAGAGGATGTAATCATGGTGTAGTTTTACAAGCGTTCTTTCCATTTTGATAACTTTTATTAGAATGTGCCTGGTTTTGGAAAACAGAAATCTTAATAAATAAACCACCACAACTTAAAATATCTCCTATTGGCTCAAATTCTTCTTTTTTATCAGACAAATTATCTCCCAAACAGGTCCTATAAATATGCATTTATTACAAAGTTGTGTGTTCGTCTTAGTGAATTTAGAAAGTAGGGGTTGCTCGTTAGTGTTGATCTAGTTTCTCTGGGTTCCTGTAACTAGAAGGTATGATGAGCTATAGTGTGTTGAGTGAAAAATATTTGAAAATATTTTCTTCTTCTTTGAAATCTTGTCCATTCTCATTGGCCCAAGCAGGTTTTAGGCCTGAGTCACCACTTACCTGGACTGTTGCCAAAGACTCCAGACTTCTCTTATTCTAGTCTATGCCTCTCTGATTTGTGTTTCTCCTCAGCTTACATACTTTGTATAGTGCTTCATTCCCCTCACCTTAAATTCTGAGTCCTTTTGACTGTTCTCAAAGGCCCCACATGGTCCCCCTACAGGCCAGTTCCTTCAGGCTCTTCCTATCAGAGTGAAGGAAAAAAACATGCTCTTATATGCCATAGGTCTTTGCACATTGTTTCTTCTACCTGAAATACCTTCTTCCCTTTCTTCAACTTGTAAACTCCAACTCATTTCTTTAGTGCTTTGTTTTATGTAATTATTAACTTACATTATGAAACCTTTCAAACATAAACAAAATAGAATAACATAATAAACAAACATATCCCTACCATCTGTTTTAAAAATATTGGTATCTTGCCATATTTACCTCAGATGTATATTTCTCCAACTTCTATAGTAAACATTTTCTAACATACAGAAAGTTGAAAGAATGGTACTATAAACACTCATATACCTGGCACTGAGTTTTGACAATTGCTAATATTTTGCTTATTCATTCTCCTTCTCTCATTTCATTTATTTTATTTATTACTACCTCCTCCAACACCACATACACGTGGAACATTTAAAACTAAGTTAGGTCATTGCAGGCATCATCACTTCACCCCAAAATATTTCCACATACCTCTCCTAAGAGTAAGGTGTTCTCCTACGTAATGTTCACATCATTGCTGCACCTACAAAAATTAACAAGCATTCCCTTACTTCATGTAATACTCTGTCAATATAAATTTTTCCCCAAAGTATCTTTTTATAACTATTTTTTCTATGCAACATCCATTCAAATTTCACTCATTATGTTTGGTTTTGTTTCTTTAAACTATTTCATTCTAGAACGGTCATACCTACAATTTTTTCTTATGATACTGACTTTTTGAAGTCATCAGGACAATTGACTAAGTGGCATAATGCATAATCTGGACTTCTCAGAATCTTTCCCCATGTTTTCATTTAACATTTACTTTAGAACATATGTCTCCTGATAACTGAACATTTTCCTCTTTCCCATGACTCTTTTACCTAATGGTTTTAGCATACCTTGACGCCTGAATCAATGATATAATTAGTGATTCTAAGATGATGGTAATTTTCTAATTCTTTCAATTATTCTACATTTATTAGTTGCCATTCAGCTAAAAAGAAGAGCATTTATCACTGATCAACTGGGAGTGAACTCCAGTTTTTCCTCTAGGGTGATTACTTCATTCTTTTCCTTTAATTAGCAATTTTTAAAGTAAGTCATCTCAATTGATGGCAGATGAGTGGGGTTTTCCTTCTTTTCTTTCTTTTGAGGATTATTGTGGGCTATCTTAGTGTGGGTTTCCCCAGAAACAGACCCAGAGACAGAACTCAAGCGAAGGTAGTTATTTAGAAAGTGATTCCAAAGACACTGGTAGAGGAGTAGGGAAATGAGACAGGGAAGAGATGGAAGATAATCAGGGAGTGTTACTTAGTGGCTCACCACTGCAATTAACTAGAGCTTAATCCTGATGCAGAAAAGAGCCACGTAACACATGTGCCACAGAGCTGTCTCATTTGAGAGGTATTTATTCACCAATTTCTGTCAGTCATTCTTTGAAGACTGCTCCTAGGAGCATTAATTAGTTGGTATTATCAACTGGCCATGTGGGCAGGCAAAAGGGCTCCAATATCCAGAGAAAGCCCTCCAGCAAAGAAACACAAGTGCTGGCAGGTACTGGCACTCAGAAGTCTACTGATTAAGGGGTATGAGCAAGGCACCAACAGTTAAGGTCAGCTACACTGATTCATGAGTTTTTATTTATTAAGGGTGTTACCATCACTTATTAAAATCTCCCAAATTTGGCCAGTGGGAACCTTTTCAAGCCTACTGGCCTTGGATTCTTTTGGTACACTTTGATTAGCTTTGGGCACTTTCTAACTTTCTGACACATGATGAACCAGACTCACTTCATACTTCCTCTGTCCCAGACCTGGAATTAACCATTTCTCCAAGAAATTCTGATTCATATTATGAAGGAAACTAGGATCTGAGAGCTAAAAATACTCACTGTTACTGAGTGTGGGATTGCTTCTTGGCCCTTTGTGTGACCTAGTTTCACAAGTTCACATTGACATTCTCAATTCAAATTTATACAGAATTCTTTATTTTTAACTTTTCTTTTCTCTTACACTGAATATACTGTTTCTAGTAACACTATTATTTAAAAATTAGTATACCAATATTACTACTGAGTAAATATTATTATAATTTCTTTGCAATTCTTTTTGTTCTTACCATATCCTAATAAGTATATACAGAGTACTGTGCTCTACAATTACCTGAAATAATTTTCTCTGTCTTTCTTTTGTGCTTTCTTTTTAAACATTTTGATACAGTTATGATGATTTCTTGTCATTTTAGAGGTTTCTTTTATTTTTGAATATAGTAAAACATTTACACAGTGCATATATCAAAACACATATAAGAAAATACTCAGAAAAATCTGCCTTTTTAGTTTCCTGGTCTGCCTTTCCTGTGCTTGTTTTTGCATATGTATTTATATTTCCCGTACTTTCTTACCAAGATGGTAGACTAGTGTATATACTGTTATGTACTTTGCCTTTTCCTTTTAACAGTATATCCTGGAATTGAGTTTACTTCAATTCATAGAGATCTTCCTCATCACCTTTTAAAGTTGCATAGCACTCCATTTTGTGGCAGTAACACAGCTCATACCACTGCTGTTGAATGACATTTGGGTTGCTTCCAAATCTTTGCTTTCTCAAATAAAGTTGTAATGGATAATATTGTGTGTGTGTGTGTGTGTGTGTGTGTGTGTGTGTATGCATTTATAAATGTGCAACTTTAGAGTAGATTCTCTGACATTCATAGCCTCATCAGTAGTTTGTTGTTATTAATGCACTTGTTTATTCCCATTGTACTCATATTATTTACACTGTTGCACTTTTCCTTCTAAAGCCATTTGCCTCCAAGTTTCCTTTTGTCTAATTGCTTTGGCTAATACCTCCAATACAATATTAAGAGTAGGGGACATAGTGAGATCCTTGCACTGTTTCTAACTATAATGTGAGTGGCCTGCACTGATTCCCTATTAAGTAAGATGCTGGCTTTATTCAATCTTATTTTATCACGACAAAGGACCAATGCCTATTTTATTAAGTGTTTTAAAAGAATGGACTTCGACTATTACCAGATGCCTTATTTTTAACATGTATGGATATGTAATTTTAAAGATATATTAATATAAAGCATTACATTAATAGATTTTTTAAAATATTGCAACTTTCTTACATTCTTGGAATAAACCCTTTTTGTTCATGATATGTGAGGAGTTCTGTGGACCCGCTCCCCAGTTAAACTGCTATAAATTATAAAAAACAAACAAGCGTTTAAAGTCTCTGGGAACAGCCCTAAGGGCAAAATGAAAATGAAGAAACATTTATTCAAGATGATTTAGTAAATCAGTTACTAAAACTCAAGAAGAACTCTAAGAGTCTGTAGTATTTGTACCCTCCCTCCCTTCTCTCCGTTCGGTAACTCAGAAACTCCACTCAATACTGGTATAGCCAAGAATACAGGGCTCCTTTTTCTCCCAGCTCCCAATTGAGGGCTTACTTACTGGAAGAGGCACAAAATCACCATTTCTCATCCTGCCCTCAGCTGTCTGTTTCTGAATCTAAGCTCTGGGCAAGTACAGGTGAGAGGGAGGGGCTCCCTTCTTCTGCCCAGCCCTCACGTATGGAATGGAGTCTCTCTACCTTGGGTGTGTTGCCACTGAGAATACTAGGGCCCCATTCATCTTTAACCCAGCTCAAGGCACATGAGTTCCATGCTGCAACAGGCAAGCAGAGAAGACCTGGTTTCATCTAGGTTTCTGAACATAATTATAACGACTACTTGTAGTCTTTAATCTGTCAAATCTGACATTTGGTCACTCACAATTTCTGCTGCTTGATGTTTGTTTGTTTGGTCAGTTGGTTGGTTTGCAGTATACGGGTTTTACCTTCTTGTCTTTTTGCATGTCTTGTAATTTTTTTGTTGAAATCAAAAAATTTAGATAATATATTGTAGCAACTCTGGGAAGTAGTTACTCCTTTTCAGGGCTCATTATTTGCTTGTTTACTTGTTTAATTACCAGCAAAATTATTTCAGTGAAATCTATTTACCTCTGCAGTGTGAATCCCCTGATGCTGCTTTTCATGGAGTGCAGACTTAGATGTACCCACAGTCATGCTGGGATGACAATGGTTTTGGCAGGGCTCTCTTACTGTCTCTTTCCCTGACCCCATCCAGCAGTTGAGCTTCACTAATTGCTGCCTGATTGCTGTATATTTCAAACAATGACTTAGGATAGAAATTGCTTCCCCATAAATCCAGTGAAATCTGGGCTCCTTTGAAAGGATAGTTCCCAAAGATACTATTTGAAATTAGTTATTACTTCAGAAGGGCTCTTCAACTTTGTCTTTCCCTATTTCTCTCTGGAAAACTAGCCAGCCTACAATTTAGCTTGTTGTTCCACCTATCAGACTCCTCTTGAGTCTGGGTTGCCTCTGTGACTTTCTTTGATCAACAGGATGCCATGGAAGTGATATAAGAAATATGAGATCACCGTACTGTGAGCAAGCCCAGGTTATCCATGTGGAGATAGAGAGTTCACATAAAGGAGCATCAAGGCACCACATAATTGAGTTAATATTTCTTGGACATTCCAGCCAGCTCAGTCACCAATTAAATGCAGCTGAGTGTATTATCCTAGCCACCACATAAAACAGAAAACATTCCAGCTGATCCCTGCCTGAATTCTTGACCCACAGAATCATGAGAAATAACAAATTGTTGTTTTCAGACTCAGTGTACCTTGTCAGAAATGGAAAACTGAAATGCCCATACTGTTATAAAGAAAATCCTTGTAACTTTTTCTAAAAGTTCTAAAGTTTTACATTTTGCATTGAAGTCATTATTCAGGTGTATGGAGTCACCTGGAGCTTAATGAGCTGCATCCAGGTATCACAGACAATGGCCAAGAACAAATCAAGAGAACAGGGCTGGCTGAGTGCAGTGGCTCACACCTGTAATCCCAGCACTTTGGGAGGCCAAGGCAGGAGGATCACTTGAGCCCAGGAGTTTGAGACCAGCCATCTCTGCAAAAAAGTGAGACCCCCTGTCTCTGCAAAAAAAAAAAAAAATTAATTTTTAAATTAGCCAAGTGTGGTGGCATGGGCCTGTGGTTCCAGCTACTTGAGAGGCTGAGGTGGCAGGATCACTTGAGCCAGGAGGTGGGAGGTTGAGGCTGCAATGAGCCTTGATGTTGCCACTGCACTCCAGCCTTTGTGACAGAAGGAGGATTTGTCTCAGGAAAAAAAAAAAAAAAGAGGGCGGAAGTCCAGAAATGTATTTTACATAGCCAGCCAAGGGAAAAAAAAAAAAAAAAACCTTTAAGGCTAAAAACAAAGCAAAACCAGTTACTACTAATATTAAGAGGATAAATATTATGAATGATGAAAAAGTTAACAAAGTGAATAAAGCTTTTGTAAGTATACAAAAGGAGCTTGCATGCTTCTCAAAGGGCCTTTCTTTTGAATCTCTGCAGAATGAACTGATTCCTCAGCAGGTCATGAAAGAAAACCAGCTAATATTGATGAAGCTACAGAATTAATGGCTCACTTGTAATACAGTAGTGATGCATCTAATTCCCCCAAAAGACCAATAAATAAATGTTTTATACAACAAAAGTCTTTCTTCAACCTAGAATGCATTCACATATTATGAGGGTTAGAAATCTGAGGTTGTTTTATTATACCATTTGTTGTATAATCCACATTTTCCCCCACTGATTTGTAAGATCACATCTGTCATAAGCAAGTGGAGCAAATTGTCCAGAAATAAACTTATGCGTATATGGAAAGACCATATTTATCTAGCCATATGCTAGTACCATGCAGTATTAACTACTATAATTTTACAATGGTTATAATATTTGATATGGCAAACAATGCTGCCCCTGTATCCAGTTATTCATAATTTTTTTACTATTGTCATATGACTCTTGGGATTAGTTTGTCAAGGTTTATGTAAAATCCTGTTTGGATTTTAATCGAAATTGCGGTGAAATTATTCTCTAGAGATGTCTTGTACATATTTGCTAAGCTTATTTCTAGATACCTAATGACTATTGTTCCTTGTAAATGGAGTGTTTTTTCAATAGCATTTAAAAATTAGTTAATAATATATAGGAATGCTGTTGATGTTTGTATGTTAATGATATATTGAACAAGCTTGCCAAATCTTAAATCCAATTATTTTATTCAAAATTCTCTTTTATTTTCTATGTAAACAGCAATAGATAGAAAGGATAAAGTTTATAAGTAAAAAACAAAAAAAAAAAGAAATGAGAATAGATACGCTAAAATATGAAATGGTGTTACTTTGTGTTTTAACTTGCGTTTTCTTGCTTATTAATGAAGATGAACGTCTCTTCATTTGTTTGTTGGTCATTTGGGTTTCTTATTAATTCTTCCTTTCCTGGGAATTCCTATTCCTACTTCCTAGTCTGCCCATTCAGGAATCCTATTCCTGTTCTGACCTGAATAGAATTCAACACAGAATTATTTTATTTAAAAAAATCTGTACTGTTATGTAGGATTTTGCATACTTAATATTGCATTTATGTACATTTTCCGCTTGTAATTATCTCAGAATATGGCTTTATTTGGAGATAGGGGCTTTATTGTTTCTTGAAACAACCTTCTTTTCAGTGTGTTGATCTGCTCTATTTTTTTTGTTTTCTATTTCACTACATTTCTCTCATATTTATTATTTTTTTCTCTTCATACTTTAGGTTTAATTATATTTTTTCTAACTTCTCCATTGAATGCTTACCTTTAGTTTGAATCCATTTAATATTTTAAACAATGAATTTAAGCTACTGATTTTCTCTAACTGCCATTTTAGCTGTAGCTCCCAAATTTTGATGTAATTCTTTTGTTAAAGTTTACTTTCTAAACATTTAAAAATTTCTCTTGTGGTTTCTCTTTAACCTGAAATTCTTAGCCCTTGAGTTTCGAAAGTATACACACTTAAAAGATTCTTCAATTATATTTTATTTTTAACCCTGAAAAAAATCCCATCATTTTATTACATATGATCCACAGGTCCAGCTAATAGAATATAATTGGAAATTAAGTGAATTAGGTTTTGTTTATTAGAATTCTTAGTGGCTGCAGGCAGAATACTTCTATTTGCTTCAGTCTTCCTACTGATTTAACTGGGACAATAATAAAATATAACCTTTTTTTCTAGCAATAACCTCAAACAATCAAATCTTTCTGGCAATCAGACTGACTGTCAGTGTGCAAAAGCAATAATATACTGCCCATAACTTTACAAGGTAATTATCTGTGTTAGCATCCTAAAATGTTTTAAGCTTTGGTGGGAATTGCGTCTAACTTTGAGGAGAATAATCCCCAAAAGACTCGAGGTAGAGCCAACCGACTATTTTAGGACGAACTGTGAAGCTATGCAAAGAAATAGAACTACTTTTGATTTTTAAGTTTTTTTTTAATTTAATTGCATTGTGGTCATAAAATATGATATATAAGATATCAATTCCTCATACTTTTTGAGATTATTTTTGTGACACAGTGTTTGGTCAACTTTTGTAATTGTTTCAAGTGTACTTAAACTATGGTCTCTGTTGGGTTCATGCCATTCTCTTTCTGTATATAAATATATGTATGTAAGTATATATATATGTATATATACATATATATATACTTACAAACCGTTTTTCAAGTCTCAAACCTATGCTCTTACTTTAGTTGCTTGATCTATCAATTTATGATAGAATTATGTTTAATATTCATCTAATACTGGGCTTAACAATTTTTCCTTGTAACACATCTTGCTTTATGTGTTTTGAGGCTATATTATTTGGTGCACTTAAATTTATGATTTATAATACTGATGGTTATATTTTTTTACACTGACTCTTTGTTTTAATGTAACATTCCTACTTATCCTTAATAATGCTTTTCACTTAAATCTGTTTTGTTTAATGTTAATGTGACTATACCAGTTTTCTTTTGTTTAATGTCTTCCTGGTATAGTTTTCCCATCTTTTTATTTTAAAACTTTCTCTATGGTTTTGTTTGAGAAGTCTTTTTTATATGAAGTATATAGATGGAGGTTTTTTTTAGTATTCACTATCTTTTTGCATAAAAAGGAAGTTAGTACGTGGATTGATACATTTTTCTCTATATTTCTATTCTTTACTTATTTTGACAGTAGATGCTTTTAATTTTTTTTTACTAGTTATCCTTAACACTTTGACATATATATTTATGTCTTTTTTTAATACTGTACAGAATCATTTCCTAATTTTGGTCTTTTCCCTAACTTACTAAAGACTTTATCATGCTTTTACTACCCGTAAAATAGCACCCATCTTATTATTGATGGCTAGAGATTTAGTTTTACCATTTGTAAGAAAAATATTTTTTACGAAAAATAATGAATTATACTTTATGTTTTCTTGTTATTTTTTAACCTACTCTTTCCTCCAGTATTTATTTTTTCTTCCTAAAGAACATCCTATAATATCTCTTTTAGTAAGGATCTATGAGTGGTAAACCTTCTTAATATTTGTATATCTGAAAATTTTGTTATTCTCTCCATCTACCTTAACTAATAAATAATACTTAATCTGGGTATAAAATTATAGGTTGATAGTTTATTTTTAGCACCACAAAGATATGATCTTACATTGATTTCTAGCATTTATTGCTGATATGAATTCTGCTGACAGTCTAATTATTATTCTTTAGTAGGCAATCTTCCCTTTTTGCATGATAACTCTTTTATAGCATTTTTTCTTCCATATTTTTATTCACCACATTTATTATGTACTTGAGTAAGGATTTATATTTATTTATTCAACATGTTTCTTGGAAAGCACTTTTGATTTTAGGCTTCTTCTCTTCCTTCAACTTTAAAGTTATTCTGTTCTCTCTATAGGTCTCAGTACAGCCTCAAACTCACCAAAGATCTCACTGCTTCCCAATCACCAAATCCCTTCCAATAGGTCTTGGAGCTCATAGCCTATCATCAGTAATGTCCATTATATCCACAGACTCTTCTCTGTATTTCTCTTTTCTATATCTACTTAATCTTGGTTCATTCTGCTTTGTAATTAAACACTTTGTCTCTGTATATTTTCCAATCTGCTCACTCCTCCCTTCCACTTGGGTCCCAGACCCCCAGTGCAGAATCAGCTCAGTGCTTTCTGCCCTGGTGATGTTGGTGATGTGGCAAATACATTCTCTATGCTAACTGTCAGCTTGGCCTAGTTCCTACATCTGCCTCTTCTCTCTTTGCTAGCTTGAAGCTGTCTGTCATTAACTACAGGCACAGCTGTGTTTTTCAGCCTCTTTCTAGGAGTTGGGGAGGTATATCCCAGCCTGTTGCTTCAGTTGATAGGCCAGGCTCTGTTTCCTCACTTTATATGAGGTGTTTTTAGTCCCTTTACCCTATAGAAGGTAAACTGCCAGTCACCAAAGGCTGCTGTAGTCTCAGAGCCCAGCAAGCCTACCAGGCCCATGGCCTCAGTACTTCACCATTATGTGTTTCTGTTCCATTTCAGATCTAATATGTATTTGGTTTGCAAGCCTGCTTATGACTATTTTTGGTTGTTATAGTTTGTCAGTCATGCAATATATTGGAGCAGATGCAATGCCTTACAATATGGGCTTGCTTCCACATTGTGTCGAGAGGTTCACTGTTCATTCTTAAAATCCCAACTTAGACAATACCTCTTGCAGAATGCCACCGTTGGTCACCCACAGCCCATTCTACCCCCAACCAAAGTTGATAATTTTCTCCTTTTTGTTTTGTCTGCACATGGTTCATCGCTACACCCATAACACTGTAAGATATGCTGTATTTGGTATTTTCTTCCACTTGTAGTGAATCTCCCCTCCCCACAAATGATGGAGTCCTGATATGTTGAGTAATCCTCAAGTTTCAGAATCCAGCTCATTAGAATTTGCTATGTTGATTACAGTATGCTTTCAGCATTTAGATCACTGTGGCAGACATTGTTGGTGCTAAAATCTTCTCAGATCCCTTTTATCCTTTTTAGATCCCCCTCTTTTGGCCTTGGTATGCTTTAGCTTTGAAAACCTAACACCTGACATTCTTCTTTGGAGGCTTGCCCTTGGGCTACTGGAGGCTCTGCCTGCATGTCTGGGAGCTGGGAGTGCTTGCGTGTACAAGTTAGCCCATGGCTGCCCTCAATCAATGACTAATAAGTATGGGAGTATAAAAGCTCAGCTCACTTACTTTTGGCAGCAGTGACTCTGAGGCATAACTCAGACTATAGAGTTAGTTTCCTTGCAGGATAAGGCAGAAGCTACCCTCTATAGGATTTTGCTTGTAATTGTACCCTTGCTTGGTTTCTTCCCCTTTCCCAACCTATTTCTTCCACTCCCTTAGTGTTTTTTCCTGGGAAAAATATCCTTAATAAATTGCTTGCATATGACTTCTGATTTTATGGTCCACTTTTAAGGATCTTGACTTAATATACCAACAGTTAAGAAAGCCCAAGATCTAGAGGTAGAGAGAAGTAAATACTCTCACCACTGATGCACCCAGATGTCTTCACCCCAGAGCATTTCCTCTTGTATGTATCTATGGTTTTTCTTCTTTGTTCTTTATCTATCTGTCTTACCTGTTAATTGCTCTGTCCCTCCTTTGAGTGGAGGGTCTATTTGTCTTTTCCTCCCTTTCTTTTAAAATTTCCTTCCTCTTCTCACTTTGCCTGAGGCTAATGATTACTCCTAGTCCCCAGGAACATATGTCTCAACTATTCCCCTTGTTCATATTAATTGGAAGCCTCATATACTAACAAACTTGTGGTGCAATTTTGAGCTGAAAGATAGAAGGAACCATGGGGTCCCCTTTTAATATAGGGGTTCTGGGTGTCCCTGGATTACTGGGCATTTTAAGACTATGTGTTGTAATATATTTTTGGTATGTTTTCCCCATGTGCTAGACTTGAAGGGCACAGATTAACTTCTTTATTTTTGCATCCAAAGCTCCTAGAAAAAGAGCCTAGGGAAGTGGTTTTCAAATCATCTGCAGATGGGGAGATGGGGAATTTAGTGTGCTGGGCCCCACCCCAGATACACTGAAAGCAGAATCTCTAAGGGATAAGGCCTATAATACTACTTCTTAAATAAAATCACCAGGGAATTCTTACACGGTTTGAAAATTCCTGGCCTAAAACTTAGATCCCTCAAAAAACATTTATTGAATTAAATGGGCCTGCTTACTTAAATGACAAATATAAGAAATAAAGCATATTACAGACATTAGATTACTGCAGATTTGATAACACTTTTTAAATTATAAAAGAATTCTGGAAGCATTCTATCCCCCTGACTGATGGAAGTTCAAATAGGTAACTTCTAAAACACAAATCAACTTGAAACAAAATTATGAAAAGAGGCACTAGGCAATTACCTATAGATAGATGCTGCAGCTAAAAGTTTGGGTCAGCAATCATTAGGTAATACTCTTTTCCTCAGATAACTAGTCCTTGGTTTTGGTTGTGAAAAAACACCTGTAATGGCAGAAATTAGTTGGACTTTCATATCTGTTGATGTTAGAGAAATTTAGTCGCAGCAGATACCAGCTTGAACTCACCAAAATTGATAAGCTATCTCTGACGTTTTTACTGCAGGGTGCAGTGACAGCCTGTTTCCATGGAAACAGACACCAGCTTGCTGAAAACAGAGGAAGGAACTTTAGCATTAATTACTGTTTCAATTTGAATTCAATTGATTTCAGAGTAAATCTAGAGACAACTTGGCAGTATTATTGTGAGAGTGCTGTAGGCATGCCCCACACTATATTAAAATAGTTTAACAAATATAACAAAGTGTTGTGGCTTATAAGAGAATTAAAGCTCAACTGTTGAAGTAAGCAGAAGAAAAGTATACACCAAAGTCTCAAAAGTCAGTAGTTTTTAATTCCTTTTTTTTTTTTTTTAAATTCAGAGGATACATGTGCAGGTTTGTTATATGGGTATATTGTGTGATGCTGAGGTTTGGGCTTCTAATGATCCCGCTGCCAATGTAGTGAAGAGAGTACCTGATAGGTAGTTTTCCAACCGTTGTTACCCTCCCTTCCTCCTCGCTTTTGGAAGCCCCAGTGTTTATCGGAACCCCCAGTGTTTATTATTTTCATCTTTGTGTCCATGTGTACCCAATATTTAGCTCCTACTTGTAAATGAGAAGACGTGGTATTTGGTTTTCTGTTTCTGTGTTAATTTGCTTAGGATAATGACCTCCAGCTGTATCCATGTCACTGCAAAGGACATGCTTTCATTCTTTTTTATGACTATGTAGTATTTCATGGTGTATATGTACCACACTTTCTTTATGCAATTCACCATTGATGGGCACCTGGGTTGATTCCATGTCTTTGTTATTGTGAATGGTGTTTTGATAAACATACAAGGGCATGTCTTTTTGGTAGATTGATGGGATGGGATTGCTGGATCCAATGGTAATTCTATTTTTAGTTCTTTGAGGAATCTTCAAACTGCTTTCCACAGTGGATGAACTAATTTGCATTCCTACCAACAGTGTATAAGTGTTCCCTTTTCTCTGCAACTTCCCCAGCATCTGTTATTTTCTGACTTTTTAATAATCACCCATTCTAACTGGTATGTGGTATCTCATTGTGGTTTTGATTTGCACCTCTCTGATGATTAGTGATGTTGGACGTTTTTCATAGTTTATTGGCCAAAAAACTCACTTTTTGAACTGTGTAGATGAAAGATTGACTTGCTTTTAATTAATCTAATTCCCTTCAAAAAAGCCACATCATTATAGGATTGCTCTTGATGTCCCTTCCACCAACACCGAGGAAGAAAATGCAAAAAGAAGTAAATTTTTAAAAAGTCTAATTTTGGAGTACTCTATGTTTGGCTCTATGAGGTTTGAGGATGAGAATGCTGGGTTCCTTAAATTATTTATCCTATTGGCCATTGGATTGCTTAGCCTCATTTCCTGGCTTCCTTGGGGTGCATGTGTGTGTGTGTGTGTGTGTGTATACACTAAAATCTTAGGAAGCTTTTGTCAATTTTGGTGCACTCAAGCTTGGACTGGTTAGGACTGAATTTCTCTCCAACACCGACAGATATGAGAGTCTGACTAATTTTTAGAATAGTTTCAGTATATATTTATATGTATATGTACACACACATATATATACACATGCAGTATATACACATAGACATACACATATATATACACACACACACATATATATACATACATATATACACACACACACACACACACATTCAAGAGTTTCTATTTTGAAAGTCCTTGGAAGGAGTTATACAGTAGAACATTATTTGCCCTGGAAAGTAATAGGTTGGGTTTAGTAGTTAGTTAGAAGTTGGCACAGAACTAGAAGTGAATACAACAAATAATTGGTGAGAAGTCAGGATGAGGAGTCCAAAGGACAGAAAAACACCAACAAATCTTGACAAAAGTGAATTTTGTCTATTGAACTATTTCATTGAGACTGTAAAATTATATATAATGTATATATAATATTTAAATGTAAATATATAATTAGTATATATTATTAATATATAAATATTTATTAAGGTATAATAAATGTGTATTACATATTAAATATATACTATGTATTTATATATAAATATGTAATATATAATATATATTTAAGTATATTATTTAAAACCCTAGATAAGCAAGATGGAGAGCATAATGACTATCAAGAAGGGCTTCAAGAAAGTCACATTTCTCTCTAGAGAAGTGTGTGCATTTCTTGGTCACAGTTTTAAAGCAGAAGATCTTAACAAAGTCAAAAGCCAAATGTTGCAAGATAGTATTTAAGAATGGGGATTCTAGAGTAGGATATAACCAAAAGTAGAAGGAAGTTGTTAGGGCCTCACCTAGATTTCCTCTGTTCCATTTACCGAATCTCTGAGCCCAGCTCCCAGCTTCTGTGTGCTATCAGTAGCTATTAATAACATCTGTGACCTTTCTGGTACTATCTTTTCGGTTATTGGAGCTGTTTCCTTTGCATAGACAGCCAGAGCCTGGAAGTTCACAGGCCATGCCTATATCTTACTGTTGTAGGACCACAAAAGCCTGGATCTTTTTTTCTTGGAGTGGGACAAACTTTGAGATGCAACTAACACTTCAGAGTTCACAGTAGGATCAGGGTGAGGCAGGGACTTTGCGTGAAATCTTACTCTTGTTTGGCTTCTACCCCTTCTTGGCATATGTGGTAGCCAGCCTCCAAAATGACCTCCGACGACCCTTGTTTTCTGGTTTTCATGCCTTTGTAGAGTCCCCTTCCACAATAAATAGGGCTTACCTGGGTGACCAATAGGATATTGTGAAAATGATATGTGTGACTTCCAAGGCTAGATCATAAAATTCACTGTGGCTTCTACCTTGCTCTGTATTGGTCTGTCCTCCCTGGGGGAAGCCATTTGCCTTGTGAAGCAGACACTCAAGTAGTCCTATGAAGAGGTTCATGTGGCAAGGAACTGAGCCCTCTCTCCAATAGCCAGTACAAGTTTGCCATTTACATGAGGGAGCCATCTTGGAAGTGGATCCTCCAGCCTCAGTCAATCCTTCAGATGACTGCAGCCCCAGCTGACAATGTGACTACAACCTCATAAGAGACCCTAAGCCAGAACCACCCAGCTAAGCTACTCCAGATTTCTGACCCACAGAAAAATATGAGAAGATAACTATTTGTTGTTATTTTAAGTCACTAGGTTTTGAGGTACTTTTTAGTGTAGCAATGAGAAAAGTGATAAATATTCTGTCCCCCACTTCCTTTGTTGGTTTCTTCTGGTACCACATGCTTAATGAATAACTTGCACCTGAATTTTATCTCAGGCTCTGCTACTGGTGAGTTTGACTTAGGACATTTGGATTGAAATCTGAACTCTGCCATCTCTAAGCTGTGTGACCTTGGGCAAATCACTAATCTGTTTATTGTGCCTCAGTGAAATGTGAATAATGATAGTACTGACCTCTTAGAGTTGTGCGAAGATTAAAGGGGCAATGCTCATAAAGTTCATAGCATTGTGGCAAGCACATTGCTGGAGCTCAAAAAATGTTAGTAATCACTATGAGGGTAGCAGTACAGGGTGGCAGTTGTTAGCCTTAAGATCTAAACCAAGTGGAATTTTTCTTCTAGCCTCTGTGGCCCCTGTTATCCACCATGCTGGCTTTTGACCATAAGGAAGTATGAACAGGAGGCTGTGGATGCCTCAGCCCAATTTGGTAAAAAACAAAACAAAAAAACACAAAACATAAAAATAATTCAAGGCACATGTGTTTCTTCTCCTTGCGGTAGGTCAATAGTGTCATCTTTATAAATGAAACTCAAACCATTGCATTATTGTGATAAAATCTGCCATTTTACCTTAAGTAAACAAACCTTGCTGCCTGATCCGTCACTGTTCCTACCACAAAGGAGGTGTAAAGCTGAAGCAGTTATTTCAACAGCTAAGTGACAATATTTTTCTGCTGGAAACAACAGACCAGACAGTGCCATCCTCCCATAGCTTTTTACATTCAGGAAACAGTGTTATAAGGCAATGCCCCAATTAAGAATCTTTTTAAAAGAGATTCTTTTATTCTAGTAAGGCTGGTTTAAAAAAAATCTTCATGTAATATTAACATATGCGTATGAATAGATATTGGACAATTGTAATAGACTGGAGAAAAGATGATCATGTTCTGACAATGAGGATATAATGAAGAAAAATCAGAATTCTGCAAGCTGAACAGGCAGTGGAAGATGAGGGGATTCTGGACATCGGACTCCAGTTAAGTAGCAACAAGAGAGAATTCTGCCTTAATGAGGAATATAAGGGAAGAATCTCAACCATAAAGCTGCCAGATGAAATGGCTTAATGCACAGAGACCCTTAGAAGCTTTCTCAGTGCCATTTCTTCCTCTACGATGGCTGAGAAAAACACCTTCAGCAGCCCCAATAAATTCTTGGAGAATGTTTTCTCCTGAATTTTGTTTTAGCATCTATAGTCTAATCATCAGCTACAAAGACTTGTTGATTTTTTTTTTTTTTTTGAGACAGAGTCTCGCTGTGTCACCCAGGCTGGAGTGCAGTGTCGGGAACTTGGCTTACTGCAAATTTCGCCTCCCAGGTTCAAGTGATTCTCCTGCCTCAGCCTCCCAAGTAGCTGGTATTGCAGGTGTGCACCACCATGCCTGGCTAATTTTTTGTATTTTTTAGTAGAGATGGGGTTTCCCCATGTTGCCCAGGCTGGTCTCGAACTCCTGAGCTCAGGTGATCTGTCCACCTTGGCCTCCCAAAGTGCTAGGATTACAGGCGTGAGCCACCACACCCAGCCCCCAGAAACAGTTTTGACACTCAACACTTTGTGAGTCCATTGCAGTTTGTCCTATTTCCAGGATTCTCTGAGGAATACTCCCTAAAACAGGCATGGCTAGTTATGTTGCTTATTCAGAGCCTTTCTTGAGATTCCTGTGGAATTTGTGATTAAGCCAACCCATGAAACTGGCATCTGATACCAAGAGAAATGTTCCTTTTGGCTCAGTAATAGTTCTGCTTCAATGCATGTGGGCTGAGCCTGCCAATAGTCATGGAAATGGTGCACTGAGGTTTAAAAAAGGGACGTTTGATTGAGAACAAAAGTCACAGAGAACTTTTCTGAAGGTCTTTGGTCAGCACGAGAATTATTCTTTAATGGCACAGGGAGAGGGGAATCTTAAGCAGCTCTGACCTTTTATCAATCGTGAAGAATTGGCCATCATTGTGTACATCATTGAATTTCAAAGCATTTAAGCTCTTGCTTATCCAGTACTCCCCCTAGCAGTCTGCACGAAGTGGGTTAACTGGGCACTCACACACTGTTGGTAGGAGGACAAATGGCTACAGCCTTTTAGTAGGCAATTTAGGAACGTGCATCAAAATTCAAAATGCATGGTATCAGTCAAGGTCCTGGCATGAAACAGATGGCACTTTCAAACTGGGTAATTGAGGGCATGCGATAAAGGGCTTAGGGAAGCCAACAAGGGATGGTTGGCCAGAGCAGCAAACCATTACTACCCTAGGTCTGAGGGGTGAGAGTAAGGAGTGGTTAGCAGAACTTGGAACTGTATGGAAGGGTCAGCTTGCCAGGAGCTGTGGCCTTTGACAAAATGATACAGCCAATCTACTCCGATAGCAGGGAGGGTATTGAGAGAAACAAATAACCCAGAGTCACTCTCTTCCTTTCTTCCAATCTCTTCCCTGTACCTCCCACTAGCAAAATCCAAACAGAAGCCAGAGGCAAGGGAGCCTATAGTTATAGTCCATATGGGTCAGTCTTCTTGGGCAAGAAAGAGGGTGCTAAAGGGTACGAGTGGGTCTGCAGTGACAGGCAGAAACTATCTGGCATATGCATATACCTTTTGATTCTGCAATCCTATTTTTACAATCCATCCTGTAGACATGTTCCTTCAGGCTTTCAAAGATCATCAGTATAGAATGTATTTGTAATAGAGAAAAACTGGAAAGAACCTAAATTTCCAGTAATAAAAAAAAAAAAGGTTAGGCTGAGGGTAGTGGCTCATGCCTGTAATCCCAGTGCTTTGGGAGGCCCAGGCAGGAGGATGCCTTGAGCCCAGGAGTCTGAGACCAGTCTGAAAAACATAGTGAGGCCCTGTCTCTAAGAAAAATAATTTTAAAAAATTAGCCAGGCATGGTGACATTTGGCTGTAGGAGGCAGGAGGACTGCTTGAGCCTAGAAATTCAAGGCTGCAGTGAGCTAAGATCCTGCATTCCAGTCTGGGTGACAGAGTGAGACACAGTCTCTAAATAAATAAATAGGAAAAAAGGAAAAACATTAAATAAAGACACATCCATATTATAGAATACCATGCAGCTATTAGGAAGAATAAGATAGACTCTCTATGTGCTAATATGGAAATGTGTCCAAGATGCAGAGTCATGTCAGAAGATGCAAAAACAGTAAACAAAAAAGAAACACAAAACACAAGTGGCAGATCAGTATCTAGAGTGTGATCCTATTTTTGTTAGGGAAACAACAACAAAAAAAATCATAAACAATGACATGTGCATTTAAATACTTATACTCAAACCTGATTGGGGATGAGCAGGTAAAAAGGAACTTTTAGTATTTTTCCTAGATGCATTTTTATTGCTTGAAGTGCTTATCAGAACACATTTGTATATTACTTGTGTAATTAGATAAATCTAAGAAATAAGAAAGTGCAACTGTAAAACTTGGGGTAGGTAAAATGGTTAACTCCTGATGGGCAGAAATGAATCCCCTCCTCAATTCCTTTCCTTCCTTGTCGCTCTGCTTCTAGTCTGTTTTGTGGGCATTGATGGCCTTTGATGTTCAGTCTCAGTCCTGCCACTTGACAAGACAATGCTTGGCAAACCTAGGGAATTAGGCTTCATGTTTAATTCTCCTTCAGCCTGTTGGGCGTAGGATGTGCTTCCTGAGCTGTTTGCTTTCACTTTTCGATCTTGCTGTGTTAGTTCCTAAACTCAACCATGTTGTACTAAGACTTAAGCAAAATGTAGGAAATGCACAGTGACCCATGCCTGTAGATCATGTGTAGCTGGAATCTTTGAACTTCCTATCTGAGTCTCACACCTTCTCTATTGCACATTGTCCTGTTGCTTCATCTCTGTCCTACTTTCTGATTGCTCAAGTCCTCCCATTTGGTATCCACAATGTTTGAGTATGCTAGCTTGCCCTTGTAACTTATTATTGTTGTTTCATTCTGTCATTTTTTTTTTTGGTTGTACTTCTACTAGCCTTCCCCTTTGGCTAGATGAAGGAGCCATTGCTATGCCCTGCCTTATCTGACAGCCCTGCCGGGCATGGCCCCATTTCTTCCCTACACTCTGACTCTGACCTAAAAAGCCCATGTCTAGAGAAGCTCCTGCCTTGGTTTCCAAATGCACTAAGGTTTCTTCATTTGTGCAGTCTTCCCTGGACCCAACTTGCATGGTTGGGACCTGCCCGTCTTGTCTAACTCTTACTAACGTTTTCTCACCAAAGGGATATTCACCTTGCTTCCTGTACATCCAAGTTCTTTCTGTCTTGCTCTAAATCAAGGAGACCACATGGAACCACTTGCTGCAAACTCTTGAGTCTTTTTGTTATTGAGTGGTTCTCAAAGTATGGTCCCTAGCCCAGCAGTATTATTATCACTTGGAAACTTGTAAGAAATGCAAATCCTCATTCTCACTCAGACTTATTGAATCCGAATCTCTGGAGCTGGGGCCCAGCAAACTGCTTTTAACCTCCAGGAGGTTCTGATGCATGTTGATGTTAGAGGACCACTGGCCTAGATACTCTGACTATCCCACAATGGCTCTTAAATATGAAGTTCTCAGATTTTAGTGTGTATAGGAATCAGCTGAGGAACTTGTTTGTAAATGTAGATTACAGCATTCTACCCACAGACAGACTGATTTATAGAGTGAGGTTCAAAGATTTTTATTCAAAAATATTCTACTCAAGAAGTCTGGGGAAGGTATTTTGAGGAATATTGTCTTAGTTTTTGGATGAGCTCCAAGTTCTCCAGGGAGTTGGGCCACTTACAAGTGACCCAGGCCCTCCTTTAGAGTAGAGTTAGATGTCTATACTCCAGTCTATTTCTACCCATTAATCACTTTCCCCATTTATAAACTTCTTATAGCCAAGATCTTAGAATGCCTCACAGCTGGGTTCAATACAGGAATTACAATGACACAGAATTACTATCTGGTAAAAGATTATCAATTCAAATGGACAGCTATTTCTTCTCCATGATAGGAGTGGAGGTGTATTGTGAGACGGATTTTTTTAGACCTCCTATCTTTTTCTATTTCAGTCAGGAAAGTTTTCTGGTGCCCAGGCAAACTGCTTGCCATATGTTTGCATTGACTCAAATAATGCATTCATAGAAGCTGACACAGTGATTATAACACTACCTGGTAAGTCTTATCATTTCAGTTAAGCACATATTTTGGAGCATAGTTTATATGGGGCATAGTTATTGACATATGGTTGTATCAATTGGCATACTTAATAAACTATGCCAAGCAAATATGTGTCTCTTGACTGGTTTCCCTTTTCTATTGTGAAAAGGTGCTCTATCATATCTCCACTATTGGAAGTAGCCTTCTGATTTTCAGAGCAAATATCCTGCCAAATTTGCCCTTAATAGCAACCTTCAAGACCAAATTTGTTCCTGTCTGGAGGTTGTAACCTAAGTCTGAACTGCTTGTCTTAAACTCTTTCAGCTGATTCAGTTCATTCAACTCAGGATTCAAATCTTGTTTGGCCTTCACCAAACAATTCAGCCTGAAGGTCTAGGATCATTCCTGGTCTTACCTCAAGTCTGACTCATCATCCAAGTCCAGGGTCCAATGACACCTGCTTTGTCAAGCCTACCTTAACAGGTCCCCTCCCTATCAGTGTTCCTCTTAAACCTCTGTATTTATACCAATCATCATTTTTGTTCACAAGAAACTGAAAAAGGCCATTTGAAATTAAGTACCAGTGTGACTATCTCTCTATACTGCATGTTTCTTGAAAGTAAGAATTATATTTTCATACACCCTTGTATACCTTGTAGCATATCAAGCAGTGCTCTGCATATATGTGTTCGGAATGTCACCTGGATTGGATAGAAGAATGAAAGACTACTTTATTGTCTGAAGGGCACCTGGGAATCAAGTTATCCATAGCACAGTCCACAGGGATTAGCCATCTTGGTCCATGTTGATGAAGTGGATATGACTATTCTCCATGCCAAGAAATAAGAAATAGTAATACATAGTAAAGCATTTAAGGCAGCCCTGGGTGTGCTAATGTGGGGTATAGATGGTAGAACTATTTACAGTACTTTTCTTGTTCATTTACACATCTCTTCAACTTGTATCTATCGAGCATCCACTACATCAAATGCACTGTGCTGAGTACTAAGGAGGATACATAAGAGAATAATATGAGGTACCCACCCCTGACTCTTTTGACTTCAAGGAGCTTCAGGAATAACTTTTTGGGAGATGAGAAATGTACATAAAAACAGATGGCAATGCAAGATAGTACTTAAGTACAATATGAAGATTGTTGAAGCTCAGAGGCAGAAGTGATCATAGTGGACTGGAATGGTCTGGAGAAAGTGTGCTCCACTTTCTCCAGTGGAAGGCTAGAAAGATTAAGATTACAAGGTGTTGGATATTCTAGCCAGGAGAACTGTTGATGGAATATGCATGTGTGTCTATGGAACAATAGATAAACTACAGTTTTTAAAGCATGGAACCTAGCAACCTTGAGCTCTCGGATCTCAGTCAGTGGGATCATGGACATCGCTAGTGCTCAATCATAATCTGGTTCCTACAGCACTCAAATCTCTTGGTTACTAGATATCCACACACTAACTAACCTGAGCCACTTGGTTATCTCCCTCATGGGTCATCTCTGCTGGAAAGATGCTTACCTTTCAAATAGTATTTTTCTCTCTTTTCTCATAAAGTTGCCTCTTTGGGGTTTAGTTATGTATGTCTTCAGAGACAGCACTAAGGGAGACTCAAGCTCAGTTCACTTTACTACCTATCTGTTGCACAATTTGAAGCATGTGGCATGCATTGGTTGTCCACTCCTAGGATTGCAGTGTGTGTAGTTAAACCATAAGCTCCAAAATTCTATACACAGTCCCTCCTATGGGGCCTGGGAATTTCTCTACTTATTGAGCCCCAGGGCCTGCCTGACTACCCCAGGGCTTCCTGAGGAATGCATGCAAATTAGACCCAAACAGTGACACCAGATGACACTTAATTTTTATTTGTGCTTGAATACCTCTTAAAAAATGCACATAACATCTAGAACCACCCTCAAGGGACTTATTTTGACTATCTCTTCATGGAAATAACTAATATGGGTTCAAGCTGAATATATTATGGAACTATTTCAAGGATGATTTCTTGGGTTTGTTTTCCCTTTCTCAAGGATATCACTGTGCTCTTCATAATTGGCAAATTAGATATTGTGAAAGGGAAGGAAAAATGAGCAATGAGAGCAGTAACATGCCAAGAGGGCAGCAATAGAAGCAGCTAATGGTGAGGGTTGCTTCACAGGCTTGCACTGTGCAGGTGCAGCTCCCTAAGGAGAAGAGCCAATGTATTATGCCGTAGAAAGACAAAAGAAGCAAGTGAGACAAAAGAAGCATTTGGGTGTTGGTGACTGCTTTGCAAATATTTTAAGAGCTGCGTTTTTGACTTGTTTTCCTTTCTAGAGATATTACCTTGGTACTATCATTTATATGACATTGCCAGGAAGCTCTCTTGACCAGTGATGCCTTGTTAGCATGGGCCTCCATGCCAAGAACAGACATTCAGGCTTCCATGAGCATTTTCAGCCAGGGGTAATTGAGATAATCTGGAGGCTAAAGTCAGAATGAGACCCACTGTGTGTTCAGCCAGTACTGTACAGCTTCCTAAAGCTTCCATGGCAGGATTTGTGTTTCTCATGGCACAGCTTCTACTCAACCAACGTGGCTCCTTTCAAGAAAATCGTAAATTTTTTTTGTAAAGAAAAAGAGGCAAAAGAGGCTGGAAGGGGTTAGAGCAAGATGGCAGAATAGAAGTCCCCATTGATTATTCCCCCCAATAGGGACACCACATTCAACAACCAGCTACACGAAAAAGCACCTTCATAAGAACCAAAAATCAGTTAAGCACTCACATTACCGGTTTTTAACTTCATATCACTGAAAGAGACACTGAAGAGGATAGGAATGACAGTCGTATTACCAACACTACCCCTCTGCCATTTCTCCACAACAGCTGCATGGCATGGAGAAATCTGTGCACGTGGGAGAGGGAGAGTGCAGTGATTGAGACTTCATACTGAATTCAGGGCTGCCCTGTCACAGAAGAAAGCAAAAACTGGGCTGAACTCAGCTGATGCCTGTTTATGGAGGAAGCATTTAGGTGAGCCTTAGCCAGAGGGGAATAGCCCATCTCAGCGGTAGGAACCTGAGTTTAGCAACCCTTGCCACTGTGCGCTGAAGTACTCTGAAAGGCAATCTAGGCCACAAGGACTGCAAGTCCTAGGGCTGAGCTGAGCTCAGAGCCAGTGGACTGGGTGGGGGACAGATACATGACTTACTGGAACACCAGCAAGACAACTTAGAGATTGCTTGTGCTACACCTTTCCAAACCCTAGGCAGCACAGCTCACAGCTTCAAAAGAGACCCTTTCCTTCTACTTGAGGAAAGAAGAGGAAAGAGTAAAGAGGACTTTTGTCTTGCATCTTGGATAATAGCTCAGCCATAGCAGGATACGGTACTGATCAGAGTTGTGAGGCCCCCATTTCAGGCCCTAGCTCCTGGATGACATTACTAGACACATTCTGGGCCATAAGGGAACCTGCTGCCTTGAAGGGAAGAAACAAGTCCTGGCAGGATGCATCACCTGTCGATTAAAGAAACTTTGGGCCCTGAATAACCAGCAGTGATACCCAGGTAGTATGCCATGGGCCTTGGGTGAGACTCTGAGACATGCTGGCTTCAGGTGAGACCCAGCAATTCCTGGCTGTGATGGCTATGGAGACAGACACCTCTTGTTTGAGAAAAGCAGAGGGAAAAACAAAGGGAACTAGGTTTAGCACCTTAGGTACCAGCTTGGCCATAGTGGGGTAGAGCACCAAGCAGGCTCTTGGGGTCCCCAGCTTCAGGCTTTGGCTCTTGGACAGCATTTCTGGAGCTGTCCTGGGCCAGAGGAGAGCCTAGTGCCCTGAAGGGTGAGTCCCAGGCCTGGCAAAATTCACCACAGGCTGACTGAGGAGCCCTTGAGAATTCAGTGAACATCAGTAGTAGCCTAGAAGTACAGCCTGTGGGCCTTTTAGTGGTGATGGCCACAGAGAGAGGCTCCTCTGCCTGTGGAAAGGGGAGGGAGAGAAGAGTTAGAAGGACTATGCTTTGTAATTTGAGGGCCAGCTAAGCCACAGTAGAATAGTACACCAGGTAGAATTCTAAGGTTTTTGATTCCAGTCCCTAGCTCCCAAGTAGCGTCTCTGGACCTGCTTAGGGCCTGTGGGAGTTTGCCACCCTGAATAGAAGAATGCAAACCTGGATAGCCTTGTCACCTCCTGATTGTGGAGCCCTAGGGTCTTCAGCAAACATAGACAATAGCCAGGTAGTGGTTACAGTGGTCGCTGGGTGAGACCCAGTGCTATGCTGGCTACAGGTCTGACCCAGACAGTCCCAGTGGTGGTGGCCACAGAGGTGCTTGTGTCACTCCACAGCACTATTTACTCAATATTTTCACTTCAATATCACCTCAAGGTCAACATGTCCAAGACTGAATTTATAAAATTAAACTTATGGTCACTTCTCACTATCTTCCAATAAAAGAAAAATAAATGCCACTTATCCCTGTTTTAGAATTCCATATTTTAGTGAATGTCACCTTTATCAACAGTGTCTCAAGAAAAAACAGAGGTATAGATGATGCCTCCCTTTTTACATGCCAGTTTCTTATCTATCACCAAGTCCTGTTGATTTTACTTCTTAACATTTCACAACCCTGTCCACTTCTTTTCATTTCCCCAGCACCACCATTTTCCTAGACCAAACCATCAGTATGTTTTGAGTGAACTGCTGCGAAAGCTCACAAACTAGTCTCCAGAGATCCATCTTTCAGTCAGAATGGACACAAGTGATATCATGTGTATTTTCATTCATTTCTCTATCCCCAGCGCTAGAATAGCACCTAGCAATAGTAAGCATGCTAAGTATATGCTGATTATTTAAATAAATGACTTTCCTCAAGACATTAAAGAGCAATATCTTTGACATGGCCAATAGGATGCTGCATTATTTGTCCCTGCCTAGCACTTCAGTATCATCTGTCATCAGTGTCCTTCCCAAGGTCTTACTTTCTGTGCCTCAACCAAACTGGGATTCTTTAAGCTTCTAGAACAAATCCTGCTTCTTATATCAGCAGGGCCTTTGCACATACAGTCCGCTTGGCCTGGGTTGTAGTCCTCCTTCAACTAATGAGCTACCCTTCATTCAACTCTTAGGCCACATGCTGCCTCCCCAAGAAAGCCTACCCTCCCCGTTCTCCCAGACCTCACAGATTTCTTAGTAATTTCTTAGTAATCCTAAGAGGCCCAAAACCCTTTCTTTTACAACACTTTTCTCCATTTGTAATGATGTATTCATTATTGTGGTCAATTGACTAGTTTCTGTTTCCTTATTTAAACTGGAATTTCCACAAGAGCAAGGGAAATGTCTTCTTTTGCTAACTAGCACCTAGCACCTTGCCTGGACTATAACTGGTACACTATGAATGTTTACTAAGTGAAGGCAAATACTTTATTGAGAAATTAATTAATTATAACTAAATATTTGATTATGTTGTGACATTTCTAGATGTCACTGCAAATAAAGTAACAATTTGAGCACACTTATGGTATTGTCTGTCTTTTCTATTACTTTCCCTTCAGTAGAGTGTAGTCTACTATAGGTGTGTAGTTTTTAAAAATTGAGTCGTTCATCACCTTAGGGAAGACAGTAATGAAAGTATTCATTTAGAATACAAGCTGTGACAGAAAACCAAACACCGCATGTTCTCACTCATAAGAACATTGAAAACACATGGACACAGAGAGGGGAACAACACACACCAGGGCCTGTTGAGGGGTGGGAGGTGAGGGGAGGGAACTTAGAGGATGGGTCAATAGGTGCAGCAAACCACCATGGCACACATGTATCTACGTAACAAACCTGCACGTTCTGCACATGTATCCCATTTTTGTTTTAGAAGAAATAAAGAAAAAAAAAAAGAATACAAGCTGTAAACAGACAGAATCCTAACTTCTATGTTTATGAAGTTAAAAGTTTAGAAGTTTATCATTTGTTACTGCCATCAGGTAGCAAGACACTTTTAACTGGTGTTTCAGGACCTAAGAGGAAATGAACTGGGTAAAAACAAATAGAGTCAGCCATAAAATTAAATGGCTTGATTCTTTACTCTGCCAAGTGTCTGAGGGGGAATTATTTAATTTAGCCAGTGAGTCAACAAGTCAGTCTAATTCTCTAAATCTGGTTATTTTCCTTAGCAAAATGTATTTGTTCTCTTCACCACAAAAGCATATTTGCAGAAGATGTTGACTATGAAATTCCTTTTGCCACAGTTATTGAAAAAGAATATAAAGAGCCACATAATAATTAGACAATTGATGTTCTCAAAACAAGATTAAGATTCTCATTCCCACTCAAAGTAATTCTTTGTCAACTGAGCTATGAAAACTCTCTCTGCCCAAAAGGGAACCAAATTTAAGCACTTAAATGTCTCTAATATAAATCCTGAAAACTTATGACACTTTTAGTCATTTGGTGGTAGCGTCTTTCTTAAAATATTTGGAAGTATTAAATATTATTTTACCTATTTCAGAATTGTAAGCCCCAACTGTTTTTCCAAGTCTACATATGTATCAAATTAAAAATATTTTTAAAAAGTTAATGAAAACAACTATGTATTTTTCTTGGTGGATATTCCAAGTAAATCACTATGCTCTGTAACAGTATCCTCTTGTAGTTTACAGCATGCGTTGCTTAATTTGATCCACAGAATAATCCTATGAAAAAAGCATTTTTATCCTCCCCTGCTATTCCCAAATGGCAAAACTGAGTGTTCCCCTCATCATCAAATAGTAAATAGTGAAGCTTATAATTCATTAATATCTTCAGATTCCAAGTCCCATAATGGTTTGCTCTACACAAGTCTGAAGAGAAGAACTATCAATAAGTTTAAATCACTGGGAGAATAAGCCAGAACAAATTGTCAAAGTTTCCAGTATCCCCAAACTTCAATAAGAGAAGTCTGAGGCGGGTGATAGTGATTATCAAATTTCTGCAGGGTTACTAAGATCTGTTCTTGTCCCTCCTAACTCCAGAATAAAAAGAAATGGACTCACCTAAAGACAAGTTCTGTTCATTTATTGAGCTCCCAATATATACCAAGCACTGTCCAAGGTTCTGGAAATACAAAGATGGCTAAAACATGGCCCCAATACCCTAGGGCTTCATGGTCCTTTGGAGAAGATGAACACATAAACAGGTAGTCATGAGTCAATGTGGCAAATGCAGTGAAAGATGTGCAGAAGGGCTTTTGGAACACAGAGAAAGCCATCTACATTGGCCTACAGTATGTCAGAGAAGTATCCTTACTGAAGATAGCCCCAAAGGCCAACTGGACATCATGATGCATTTGGGATACAAGTTCTGTGAGAATAAGAGGACTAATTTTACTTATTTTTGTATTCCCCAGTACCTAATACATGACTAGTGCTCAATGCATTAGTGTATTTAACCAAACTGAACTGCCAGATCAGAGATTCTGAAGAGGCTCATGAAATGCTTGTCCTCTTTCTTGGAAAGAAATATGGCCCTCAGGCATGTGTGAGGCCATTCTTGCATTGCTGTAAATAAATACCTGAGACTGGTTAATTTATAAGTAAAGAGGTTTAATTGGCTCCTGGTTCTGCAGGCTGTACTGGAAGCATAGCAGCACCTGCTTCTGGTGGGGCCTTAAGAAGCTTACAATCATGGCAGAACACAAAGGGGGAGCAGGTATATAACATGGCAAGAATGGAGCAAGAGAGAAGGAGGATGTGCCACATACATTTAAGCAGCCAGATCTCATGAGGAACTCACTCACTGTCTCAAGGACAGCACCAAAGGGATGACACTAAACTCTTCATGAGAAAACTTCCCCCATGATCTAATCACTTCCTACCAGGCCCCACCTCCAATACTGGGTATTGTAATTCAACATGAGATTTGGGTGGGGACAAATATACAAACTATGTTATTCTGCCCATGGTCCCTTCCAAATCTCATGTCCTTCTTACATTTCAAAATACAATCATGCCTTCTCAATAGTCCCCCAAAGTCTTAACTCATTCCAGCATTAACTCAAAACTCCAAAGTCTCATTTGAGATGAGGCAAGTCCCATTCACCTATGAGCCTGTAAAATAAAAAATAAATTATTTACTTCCAAGATCCAATGGGGGTATAGGTATTGGGTAAACATTCTCATTCCTAAAGGGATAAATTGTCTAAAAAAGGGGCTACAGGCCCCATGCAAGTTTGAAACCTAGCAGGGCAGTCATTAAATCTTAAAGCTCCAAAATAATCTCTTTTGACTACATTTCCCACATCCAGGGCACACTGGTGCAAGTGGTGGGCTCCCAAGGCCTTGGGCAGCTCTACTCCTGTGGCTTTGCAGGGTGCAGCCTCTGAGGCTGCTCTCACAGGTTGTTGAGTGCCTACAGCTTTTCCAGGCACAGGGTGCAAGATGCCAGTGGATCTGTCATTCTGGAGTCTGAAGGATGGTGGTCCCCTTCCCACAGCTCCACTAGACAGTGTCCCAATGGAGACTCTGTATGGGGTCTCCAACCCCACATTTCCTCTTGGTATTGTTCTAGTAGAGGTTCTCTGTGAAGGCTCCGCCCCTGCAGCAGCCTTCTGCCTGGGCACACAGGCTTTTTTATAATTCCTCTGAAACCTAGGCAGAGGGTGCCAAGCCTCATTTACTCTTGCACTCTGTGCACCCACAGGCTTAACACTACATGGAAACTGCCAAGGCTACAGTAGCTTGCACTCTCCAAAGTGATGGCCCAAGCAGTACATGGGGCTCTTTGAGCCAGTGTTGGGGACAGAGTGGTCAGGATGTGGAGAGCAGTATCCTGAGGCTGCATAGGGCAGCAGGGCTCTGGGCCTGGCCCACGAAGCCATTCAATCCTCCTAGGCCTCAGGGCTTGTGATGGGAGGGGCTGTCTCTTAGATATCTGGAATGCCTTTGAGACCTTTTTCCCAATGTCTCAGTTATTAGCACTTGGCTCCATTTTATTTATGCCAGTATTTCTAGCAAGTGGTTTCTTGATAGCCTGATTGAACTCCTCTCCTGAAAAAGCCTCTTCTTTCTCTGCCACATGGCCAGGCTGCAATTTTCCAAACCTTTATGCTCTGATTCCTGTTTAAATATAAATACCAAGTTTAGATCATTTCTTTGCTCCTACATTGAGCATAGTCTGTTAAAAGCAGCCAGGCAAAATATTAAATGCTTTGCTGCTTAGAAATTTCTTCCACCAGATACCCTAAATCATCACTCTCAAATTCAAACTTCCGCACATCCTTAGATCATGAACAGAAAGAATGCAGCCAACTCTTTGCTAAGGCATAACATGTGTGACCTTTGCCCCAGTTTCCAATAAGTTCCCCGTTTTCATCTGAGACTTCATCATCAGCCTGGACTTCACTGTCCATGTCACTATAAGCATTTTAGTCACAGCTATTCTTGTCTATAAGAAGTTGCACACTTTGGGAGGCCGAGGCAGGTGGATCACGAGGCCAGGAGATCAAGACCATCCTGGCTAGCAAAGTGAAACCCTGTCTCTACTAAAAATATGAAAAAATTAGCAGGGCATAGTGGCAGGCGCCGTGGTGGGCGCCTGTAGTCCCAGCTACTCGGGAGGCTGAGGCAGGAGAATGGTGTGAACTTGGGAGGCAGAGCTTGCAGTGAGCTGAGATCCCGCCACTGCACCCCAGCCTGGGCGACAAAGCAAGACTCAGTCTCAAAAAAAAAAAAAAAAAAAAAAGAAAGTTGCAATCATTCCCTCATCTTCCTGTCTTCTTCTGAGTCCTTCAAACTCTTCCAACCTCTGCTTGCTACCCAGTTCCAAAGTTGCTTCCACATTTTTAGGTATCTTTATAATAATGCCCCATTCCCAAGTACCAATTTTCTGTGTTAGGCTGTTATTGCATTGCTATAAAGACATTCCTGAGACTGGGTAACTTATAAGCAAAGAGGTTTAATTGTCCCATGGTTCTGTAGGCTGTACAGGAAGCATAGTGCTGGTATCTGCTTCTGGGGAGGCCTCAGGAAGCTTATAATCTTGGAGGAAGGCAAAGGGGAGCTGGCAGCACATCACATGATGAGAATGGAGCAAGGCAGTGGGGGTGGAATGTGCCACACATGTTTAAACAGCCAGATCGCATGAGAACTCACTCACTATTGCAAGGACAGCACCAAGAAGATGGCACTAAACTATTCATGAGAAATCCACCCCCATGATCTAATAACCTCCCCCAAGGCCCATCTCCAATATACTAGGGATTACAGTTCAATGATATTTGGAAAGGGACAAACATACAAACTGTAGCAGGCCACATGATGAATGTCTTTTCAGTTCCTCAGTTAACCTGATTTTTCCTATCAAGAAATATTTTCAAATCTGTGGAATTTCCTTCTATTAGAACTCTGGGCAATAAATTTAATCTTTTTTTTTTAACAGTGGTTCTATCTGAGAGAGAAACACAAAAGGTTTCCTCCAGCCCAGTGATCTTTGACTCTTGCCCTGGATTTTTCTTACTTAAAAGAAAAAGTGGTTTTGTATGCTAATCAGTGCCTATTGCATTAAATGGCCTCATATATTAACATTGCATTTGATAAAACCATAAATTTAACAGTCTCTTATTTATTCAGTTATCAAGTTCTATTAATTCTACCTCAAAACTGACTCTTGAATCTCTCCTTTTTTCTTATTTTTTAAAATTGTATACTGCCTTGTCATCATCTCTTGCCTAGACTTTTGCATTAACATTCTAATCCCATGTTTACAAAGCTTCCAAAGTTATCTGGAGACTATTTTTCAAAAACCTTTGATGGGTCTCCATCACTAATGTGATAAATTCAACACCCTTTAGCATGGTTTACTAGGTCTTTATGTCCTGAAAAGTGAATTGGGTTGAAGTGAATTACATTGTGTTATTTGTAAACAGAATGGTCACAGCCCATGATCAGTGAGTTATTTTAATAAGTTGAAGTCAATCTTTAAAACACTGTCTTGTGATATACTAATTTCTTATCCTACCAAATATATTTACAAAACAGGGCTACAAAGCAGAGTCACAAAATTGCCATGCCTAGATGCTGAAAAGACTGCCTGTTTGACAAAAATATTGCTCTCTTGGAGCATGCGGAAGCTAAGAAAATAAGTTTTCCACTGATGGAAGGCCCCTGCTGTACTCTCTGATGATGATTGGGAAATATTTATTTTACCAGAAGTGGGATTATAACCATTTTCATGCATCGACGGAGGTTCAGGAGTCAGCCCCTCAAATTCTGTTGTCAATTCTCCTGTCAATTCAGCTCTGCATTTAGACTCTCTCCAGGGTCTGCTGGAACTTTAACTGCTGAAAACTTTAAAGATTTTGCCTCCTTCAAAAATATTATAGAGAGCTTGCTGTGTTGACTTAACTTGTGTGTGTGTGTGTGTGTGTGAATCTTGTTCTTCATACTCTACTAACACACCACTACCTCCAACAATAGGGGAGACATTTTTGAATTGATGTCTCAGCAATTGTGGCACATCATACTGAATCATTCACCTTTTCCTGCCCAGCCTGCTTTACTTTCAGATACTAAAGAGAATGTTTTAATGAGCAGGGGAAAATTATGGACAGTCAGAAAAAATAAACTGATTGAATTCAAGCATCTTGTTTTTGAAGTTGAAGTCTGTCTGGCACAACAGCTGGAGCTTAATTCAGAGGGGATACCACAGTAGCTTTTGGTCTTGAAAAGTGAGTTACCAATGTTTTCTTCTAAAGAATATCTGCCATTTCCTTTTATTTCTGTGCCTTGACTCCTGTTTCTTTACTGTACCAAGGTAATAGAAAAAAAACTAGTGAAAGGTACAATCTGTTAATATAGCTCTGGGAAGTGTAAAAATGAATGAGATCTCTGTCTACTGTGCTTGGAATGTCTGAGAAGCACCCCTGGCTGGATGATTGATATTTGGGTTTAAATCCTGATTTATTCAAGACTTACTATAAAGTTGATTCACTTATAGGATGAAGGGGTTGTCCTGGTTGATTTATGAATATGTATGTGTGAGGGGGTGGGAGGAAACGTCTTTTTGTATCTAGCATTCCCTGACTCTGTGATCTATACCCATAATTCTAATAAGGATCTCTCTGTGTGTAATTAAGGGGTTTCCTGGCCTTTTGCAGAAGTATGTAGAACAGAGAGGACAAAAGAAGGAGGAGAAAATATAGAAATGCAACTTGGGCCAATAATGCTACTCCCCAAATCTTCTCATCTGTTTCTCTATGGGTGGCTCCAATCATGTTTCCTCCATGACTCAGTACAATTTCAGGCCTAGGTCTGACTCTGTACTTCTAAGAGAAGTAAACTGCATCTTTAGTTTAGAGGTAGGGGAAGAGTGAGCATAATGGTGGTAAAAGGAGGCAGATGCTTGTGTCAGATGATAGGTATGCTCGAACTAGAGCACATGATTGTCATGTAAGGTAAAGCAGAGCTTGAGGTGGTCACGGATGGAAAACATGCCTGTGCTGACAATAATAGATACAATGTACTGAATACTTACTATGTGCTAGGGACTACTCTAGATGCTTTATATGTGTTGACTGATTGACTCTTTCAATAACTCTGTGAGTTAAGTATTACCAACCACATAGTACATATGATGAAACTGAGACTATCAGAGATTAAATATCTTGCCTAAGGCCTCATAACTCGTAAGCAATAAAAACAGGATTCAAACTACGAGCTGGCTATATTCTTAACCATTCTACCTCAGTGGTCTTACATAGCCATAATCTGATTTTTCTCTTTATTCAAAATTTTGAGAGTAATAGATGTTGCTTAAAACAAATGGGGTTTGAAAATAATCCATTTGAGACCAGGCACGGTGGCTCACACCTGTAGTCCCAGCACTTTGGGAGTCTGAGGCGGATGGATCACCTGAGGTCAGGAATTCAAAAATAATCCATTAGCACCTTTTTAAAAAAATCTTTTAAGATCTTGTTTTAAAATTATACTTAAATTCTGGGATACATGTGCAGAACGTATAGGTTTGTTACATAAGTATACATGTGCCATGGTGATTTGCTGCATCCATCAACCTGTCATCTACATTAGCTATTTCTCCTAAAGCTATCCTTGCCCCCTCTCCCATCCGCCGACAGGCCTTAGTGTGTGATATTCCCCTCCCTGTGCCCATGTGTTCACGCTGTTAAACTCCCACTTATGAGTGAGAACATGCGGTGTTTGGCATTTTGTTCCTGCATTAGTTTGCTGAGAAGGATGGTTTCCAGCTTCACCCATGTCCCTGCAAAGGACATGAACCCATTCTTTTTTATGGCTGCATAGTATTCCATGGGAGATATGCGCCACATTTTCTTTATCCAGTCTAACATTGATGGGCGTTTGGGTTGGTTCCAAGTCTTTGCTATTGTGAATTTTGCTGCAATAAATATACGTGCACATGTGTCTTTACAGTAGAATGATTTATAATCCTTTGGGTATATACCCAGTAATGGGATTGCTGAGTCAAATGGTATTTCTGGTTCTAGATCCTTGAGGAATCGCCACACTGTCTTCCACAATGGTTGAACTAATTTACAGTCCCACCAACAGTGTAAAAGCATTCCTATTTCTCCACATCCTCTCCAGCATCTGTTGTTTCTTGACTTTTTTTTTTTTTTTTTTTTTTTGAGACAGACTCTTGCTCTGTCACCCAGGCTGGAGTGCAGTGGTGTGATCTCGGCTGACTGCAACCTCCACCTCCTAGGTTCAAGCAATTCTCTGCCTCAGTCTCCCAAGTAGCCAGGATTACAGGCACCTGCCACCATGCCTGGCTAATTTTTGTATTTTTAGTAGAGATGCTGATTCACCAACTTGGCCAGGCTGGTCTTGAACTGCTGACCTCGTGATCCACCTGCCTCGACCTCCAAAAGTGGTTTCCTGACTTTTTAATGATAGCCATTCTAACTGGTGTGAGATGGTATCGCACTGTGGTTTTGATTTGCATTTCTCTAATGACCAGTGATGATGAGCTTTTTTTCATATGTTTGTTGGCCACATTCTTTGAAAAGTGTCTGTTCATATCCTTCTCCCACTTTTTGATGGGGTTGTTTTTTTCTTGTAAATTTGTTGAAGTCCTTTGCAGATTCTGGATATTAGCCCTTTGTCAGATGGATAGATTGCAAAAATGTTCTCCCATTCTGTAGGTTGCCTGTTCACCCTGATGATAGCTTCTTTTGTTCTGGAGAAGCTCTTTAGTTTAATTAGATCCCATTTGTCAATCTTGGCTTTTGTTGCCATTGCTTTTGGTGTTTTAGTCATGAAGTCTTTGCCCATGCCTATGTCCTGAACGGTATTGCCTAGGTTTTCTTCTAGGGTTTTTATGGTTTTAGATCTTACATTTAAATCTTTAATTGATCTTGAGTTGATTTTTGTATAAGGTGTAAGGAAGGGGTCCAGTTTCAGTTTTCTGCATGTGGCTAGCCAGTTTTCCCAATACCATTTATTAAATAGGGAATCCTTTCCCCATTGCTTGTTTTTGTCAGGTTTGTCAAAGATCAGATGGTTGTAGATGTGTGATGTTATTTCTGAGGTATCTGTTCTGTTCCATTGTTCTATATATCTGTTTTGGTACCAGTACCATGCTGTTTGGTTACTGTAGTCTTTTAGTATAGTTTGAAGTCAAGTAGCATGGTGCCTCCAGCTTTGTTCTTTTTGCTTACGATTGTTTTGGCTATATGGGCTCCTTTTTGGTTCCATATGAAATTTAAAGTAGTTTTTTCTAATTATGTGAAGAAAGTCAATGGTAGCTTGATGGGAATAGCATTGAATCTATGAATTACTTTGGGCAGTGTGGCCATTTTGATGATATTGATTCTTCCTATCCATGAGCATGGAATGTTTTTCCATTTGTTTATATCCTCTCTTATTTCCTTGAGCAGTGGTTTGTAGTTCTCCTTGAAGAGGTCCTTCACATCCCTTGTAAGTTATATTCCTAGGTATTTCATTCTCTTTGTAGCAGTTGTGAATGGGAGTTTGCTCATTATTTGGCTCTCTGTTTGTCTATTATTTGTGTATAGGAATGCCTGTGATTTTTGCACATTGATTTTGTATCCTGAGACTGCTGAAGTTGTTTAACAGCTTAAGGAGATTTTGGGCTGAGATGACGGGGTTTTCTAAATATACAATCATGTCATCTGCAAACAGAGATAATTTGACTTCCTCTCTTCCTATTTGAATGCTCTTTATTTCTTTCTCTTGCCTGATTGCCCTGGCCAGAACTTCCAATACTATATTGAATAGAGTAGTGAGAGAGGGCATCTTTGTCTTGTGCCAGTTTTCAAAGGGAATGCTTCCAGCTTTTGCCCATGCAGTATGATATTGGCTGTGGGCTTGTCATAAATAGGTCTTATTATTTTGAGATATGTTCCATCAATACTTAGTTCATGAAGTGCTTTTAGCATGAAGGGGTGTTGAATTTTATCGAAGGCCTTTTCTGCATCTATTGAGATAATCATGTAGTTTTTGTCATTGGTTCTGTTTATGTGATGGATTACATTTATTGATTTGCACATGTTGCACCAGCCTTGCATCCCAGGGATGAAGCTGACTTGATCGTGGTGGATAAGCTTTTTGATGTGCTGCTGGATTTGGTTTGCCAGTATTTTATTGAGGATTTTCACATTGATGTTCGTCAGGGATATTGGCCTGAAATGTTCTTTTTTTGTTTTGTCTTTGTTATGATTTCCGTTCTTTTTCATTTGCTGAGGAGTGCTTTACTTCCAATTAAGTGGTCAATTTTAGAATAAGTGCTATGTTTTGCTGAGAAGAATGTATACTCTGTTGATTTGGAGTGGAGAGTTCTGTAGATGTCTATTAGGTCCACTTGGTCCAGAGCTGAGTCCAAGTCCTGAATATCCTTGTTAATTTTCTGTTTCATTGATCTGTCTAATATTGACAGTGGGGTGTTAAAGTCTCCCACTATTATTGTGTGGGAGTCTAAGTCTCTTTGTAGGTCTCTAAGAACTTGCTTCATGAATCTGGGTGCTCCTGTATTGGGTACATATATATTTAGGATAGTTATCTCTTCTTGTTGCATGGATCCCTTTATCATTATGTAATGCCCTTCTTTGTCTTTTTTTATCTTTGTTGTTTCAAAATCTGTTTTATCAGATTGCAACCCCTACTTTTTTATGCTTTCCATTTTCTTGGTAAATATTCCTCCATCCCTTTATTTTGAGCCTATGCGTGTCTTTGCATGTGAGATGGGTCTCCTGAATACACCACACTGATGGGTCTTGACTCTTTATCCAATTTGCCAGTCTGTGCCTTTTAATTGGGGCATTTAGCCTGTTTACATTTAAGGTTAATATTGTTATGTATGAATTTGATCCTGTCATTATGATGCTAGTTGGTTAGTTTGCCCATTAATTGATGCAGTTTCTTCATAGTGTTGATGGTCTTTACATTTTGGTTTGGTTTTGCAATGGCTGACACCAGTTTTTCCTTTCCATATTTAGTGCTACCTTCAAGAGCTCTCATAAGGCAGGCCTGGTGGTGACAAAATCTCTCAGCATTTGTTTGTCTGTAAAGGATTTTATTTCTCCTTTGCTTATGAAGCTTAGTTTGGCTGGATATTAAATTCTGGGTTGAAAATTCTTTTCTTTAAGAATGTTGAATATTGGCCCCCATTCTCTTCTGGCTTGTAGGGTTTCTGCAGAGAGATCTGCTGTTAGTCTGATGGGCTTCCATTTGTGCATAACCCGACCTTTCTCTCTGGCTGCCCTTAACATTTTTTCCTTCATTTCAACCTTGGTGAATCTGACGGTTATGTGTCTTCGGGTTGCTTTTCTCGAGGAGTATCTTTGTAATAAAACCTTTTGTTTTTTGCCACTGGAGATATAGATATGCAGAGATTGATGATAACTAAGAAACAATCTACAGAGTATGCTTGTAAGCATGGTTATGAACAGAGACTGTGGAAGCTCCTAGGAGTGATTTGCCAAGGTCTATTACTCTCTCAGATCACAGTGCAATAAAAATAGAAATCAAAACTAAGACAATTGCTCAAAACCATACAATTACATGGAAATTGAACAACCTGGTCCTGATTGACTTTTGGGTAAATAATGAAATTAAGGCAGAAATCAAGAATTTCTTTGAAACTAATGAGAGCAAAGATTATAATATACCAGAATCTCTGGGACACAGCTAAGGCAGTGTTAAGAGGGAAATTTATAGCCTTAACACCCACATCCAAAAGTTAGAAAGATTTCAAATTAACAACTTAACATCACAACTAAAAGAACTAGAGAACCAAGAGCAAACCAATGCCAAAGATAGCAGAAGACAACAAATAACCAAAATTGCAGCTGGGCTGAAGGAAACTGAGACCCCAAAAAACATTCAAAAGATTCAGGAGCTTTTTTGTTTTTAAAAATAATATTACAAAGTAGATAGACTGCTAGCTAGGCTAATAAAGAGGAAAAGAGAGAAGATCCGAATGAACACAATTTTTAAGTGGCATATGGGGTATTACCCCTGACCCCACAGAAATAAAAACAAATATCAGAAATTACTATTAACACCTCTATGCAAACAAACTAGAAAAGCTAGAAGAAATAGATAAATTCCTGGACATTTAGCCCCTCCCAAGATTGAAACAGGAAGAAATTGAATCTCTGAACAGACCAATAATGATCTCCAACATTGAATCAGTAATAAATAGCCTATCAACCAAAAAGAAAAAAAAAGTCCAGGACCAGATAGATGGATTCACAGCCGAATTCTGCCAGATGTACAAAGAAGAGCTGGAATCATTTCTACTGAAACTACTCCAAAAGCTAAGAAAGAGGGTCTCCTCTCCAACTCATCCTATGAGGCCAGCATCATCCCGATACCAAAACCTGGCAGAGACACAACATAAAAAGAGAAAATTTCAGGTCAATATCCTTGATGAACATTGATGCAAAAATCCTCAGCAATACTAGCGAACTGAATCTAGCAGCACATCAAAAAACATATCCACCACGATCAAGTAGACTTTTCTCTAAGATTCAAGGTTGGTTCAACATATACAAATCAATAAATGTGATTCACACATAAACAGAACTAAAGACAAAAGCCACATGATTACCTCAATAGATGCAGAAAAGGCTTTCAACAAAATTCATTATCTCCTCCAGTTAAAAACTCTCAACAAACTAGGTATTGAAGGAACATACCTCAAAATAATAAGAGCCATCTGCGACAAACCCACAGCCAACATCATGTTGAATGAGCAAAAGCTGGAAGCATTCTCTTTGAAAACCATCACAAGAGAAGGATGGCCTCTCTCACCACTCCTGTTCAACTTAGTATTGGAAGTCCTGACTAGAGAAATTAGGCAAGAGAAAGATATAAAGGGCATCCAAATAGGAAGAGAGGAAGTGAATCTATCCTTGTTTGTAGATGACATGATCCTATATGTAGAAAACCCCATCATCTCAGCCCAAAATCTTCTTAAGCTGATCAGCAACTTCGGCAAAGTCTCAGGATACAAAATCAATGCACAAAAATCACTAGCATTCCTATACACCAACAACAGTCAAGCCAAGAGCCAAATCAGGAACAAACTCCCATTTAAAATTGCCACAAAAAGAATAAAATACCTAGGAATACAGCTAACTAGGGAGGTGAAAGATCTCTACAAGGAGAACTAAACTGCTCAAACAAATCAGAGATGACACAAATTTCCCATGCTCATGGATGGCAAGAATCAATATCATAAAATGGCCATACTGCCCAAAATAATTTATCAATTCAATGATGTTCCTATTAAACTACTAATGAGATTCTTCTCAGAACTAGAAAAAAAGCTATTTTAAAATTGATATGGAACCAAGAAAGAGCCCCCAAATTTCAAGGCAATCCTAAGCAAAATGAGCAAAGCTGGAGGCATCACACTACCCAGCTTGGTAATGCATTTTCTTACATTTGCTCTCCCTCCTTTCCTGTCTCACTTCTCCTTTTCCTTACAAGTGAATACCTTGAATTTCATACCCCTAGAAGTGTTAGCATGTACCTCAGGCTCTGTTTTCTAGGCAACCCAAGCTAAAATGATAAAATATTGGTGCAGTTAGTAACATGATGAGTTGGTAGTTGAAGGGCTTTGAAAATTGTGCTTAAGAATTTGGATTTGGGCTTTATCCACAGGTTGTGGATAAGGAGAAGGGTATTTAGATAGAGTTCCTGGCATAATACTTGGGTGATGATATAATCTGTACAACAAACCCCCATGACACATATTTACCTATTTAACAACCCTACACATCCTGCACATGTACCACTGAACTTAAAAGTGAAAAAAAAGTTGCTTAGAAGCTTTGTTACTTATGATTTTGAGATTAGAGAGAAAAAATATCCATAGTGTCCTCAAAAAAGAAATGTAATGAATGATGTCTTTAACATTTATATAGTAAATACAATAACATATTTAATAACATAATTTCTTATAGCTTCTTTCTTATAAGTAGGCCAAGGGCAAGATAGCATAGAAGCAATGTACTCTATATTTGCATAATGTATATAGAAATTGGCCCACTCAAGCGGCTTCTTAAAACAGCCTAGACACAGTCGAAAACTTACCTAGTGGAATGACCATGCCAAAGGAAACTCATTGCACCTGGGTGGTTCAGACCAATGTCTGATGGCCGCTCTATAAACCACAGATAAAAGATCTGATTCACTCTACTGGCCCTTCTTCAAAAAAGAACAGGAGTCCTGAGAGATCTGTAAGCTCAGGACTATTTTCAGCTTGTAAAGGGCTCTCTCCAGTCCTTGCACATAGTACCCTACATCTCAGAACCAGCAATAGGGTGTTGAATGTTTCTCATGATGCCATGTCTCCAACCCTTCTTTTGTCACATCTTTTTCTGACCAAGCTGGGAAAGATTCTCTGCTTTTCAGGATTTTGTGATTAGACTTAGTCAACCCAGGTCTTACAGCCAATTGCCCCATCTCAAGGTCAGTATCCTTAATCACATCTGCAAAATCCCTTCTGCCATGTAAGGTAACATATTCATAGGTTCCGGGCATTAGGGTGTGGATATAATGGGAATGCGGGGCATTATTTTATGTACCACAATGCCTGTTTTGATCAAGGTGTAGTAGTGGAGATAAAGAAAAGCAGGAGATTCCGAATATGTTTTTTAAGGTAGAAACAATGGGATTTGTCTGTTTTGCTGAGATTACAAATGAAAGAGAAAATTCAAGGATGACTCTAAGTTGCTTGGCCTGAGTAATGGGAATTATTGAATTGCCATTAATTGAGATGAGGAAGACTGTATGAATAGGCTTGCAGGGTCTATATGTCAGGATAGGTTAGGTTATGTTGTAGTAGCTAACAATTATAAAAGCTCAGTGGTTTTACAAAGGACATGACAGCCAATTTTTAAAAATTTTTATAGATTTAGGGGGTACAAGTGCCATTTTCTTACATGGGTATATTGCATAGTGGTAAACTCTGGGCTCGACAGCCACCTGTTTTATTTGGTCCTTGCCTCAAGGTATAGTTTTAAAAGCCCTTGTGATTCAAAGAATTTGTCAGTTTTATATTTGATAGTTGGTGGCAAAAACCACTTACATCTTACAATCCTGCAAGTCCCTGGAGTTTTGAATTCTATTTCCTCTCACTCCTGTTTCAAATTGGCAGAGCTCATCTCTTTCTTGAAGTACAGTGTCAAATACAGTCAATAGTAGCAGACATAATACTAACATTCTGTTTTGCAACATTTTAAGCCATAAAGCAACAAACTTATTAAGAACATTATTTATCTTTGAACTTATTGCAGGCAAACTTTTCAGCACTGCATACTGTAGATCACCATACCTTCCATACTCTGGTAACATTTTTTTTTTCTTCTCACTACCTGGCCCTGAAACCAATGCCATGTTTTTTTCTATTATAGCAGAACTGACTTCTGGCACCAATTTCACTATCAGCTAGGATAGACTAGGTCATGTAGCACCATCACACACCATAAAATTCTAATGGCTTATAACCACAAACGCTTATTTCTTACTCACACATCTCATTCATGTCATCTTCACTCTGGAACACACAATGATAAAATACCTACTATCTGGATTATTGCCAGTCTTCTGAGAGGGGAAAAAGAGAGAACATGAAAACCGTGTATTGACTCTTAAAGCTATGCCTAAAAATGACACATGTCACTTCTGTTTATACTTCTTTTGCCCAGAATAAGGCAAGTAGCCAACTCGATATCATCAGGACAAGGAGTATCATCCTCTGCCAGACTGGGTTAGTAAATACTTACAGGCAATAAAATAGTCTAATATAGGAGACCAGCTCAAGTGTTTGGTTTTGGATGTATTATATTTGAACTATCTCTTAGATGTCCAAGTGGAGATACGAAGTAAGAATTTGCATTTGAAAGTTTGGAGCTCAGAAGAGATAGAAACTTTAGGAATCGAGATCATATATAAAGTAGTTAAAATCAGGAGAGTGGAGTGATTATGATCATTAAAGAAATGAGTACATCTAGAGAAGAGAAGAGATCTACCATCACTTAGAAGTGAAGCAAAAAGAAAGTAAAAATTTAAAAATAAATGGGGGAGCAGTTGTCAATAAGTTAGAGGAAAAACTGGGGATGTATGATGTCCTGAAAGCCAAGCAAAGAAATTATTTCAGTGAAGAGGCAGTGATCATCTTTGTTATGTTGCCAATAGGTCAAGTAAGATAAAGACTGAAAATTGACCATTGGCTACATTTGCGTGGATACCATTGGTGATCTTGAGACAGTTTTTTGTGGGGCAGTGGGTATGGAAGTCTGATTAGACTATACTTAAAGAGAGGGTGAGAGAAAAGGAATTAATGATAGTTAAAAATGGGATAATAGAGGGGTAAATAGGGCCAAGAGAGGGTTTTTTTTTTTTAAAGAAATGTGAATGGTATCAGCATGTTTATGTGTTAAGTAAAAAGTTCTACTCTAAAAAGATCTTACTCTAAAAAGAGTTAGAGATGTTAGTGATGATACAGCACAGATAGAGGAGAATCGCTGGAACAAGGTTTTTGAGTAAGTGAGAGAATATGGGACCCAGTTACAAGTTGAAGCTTTGGTCTTAGCTAGAATCATAGACAGTCCATTCTTAGTAACAGTAGAAAATATTGAGCATACGATACAAATGCTAATACACAGATAAATGTGTTGGTGGCAGCTTATTGAAGTTCTCTATTGATTTCTTCTATGTAATCAATGAAACAAGCAACAAAGTCATCTGAGACCAAGAGGAAGAAAGTGTTGGAAGGCTGGAAATAGTGGAAAATGTATGAAATTGTCCTATGAGAGAACAGTGGAGAGAAGAAACTAGGGAAATATAATTTAGTGATCAGGTAGCATTAAGAACCCTTCTGAGGCCAATAATCATAAATTTAAAGACCAGTCAGTATGGATGTATGTTTTGCTCCAGTCACATTCAGATATAGAAGTAAAGCCATGGAATAGGTGAAAAACTGAATTTAACTATGGTTGGAGTCTTGCCATGTGAGAATGATGATTTGAGAGAGGAGAAACAGTATTTGTGTTATATGCATGGCGGTGGTTATAATTGCCCATGGGCTTTTTAAACTGGATAATAAGGGAAGTAGTATCATTCAGAGGGCTACAGACAGTGAAAAAATGATAGGCTCAATACATGGTAAATCTAAGTGGGATTGAAGAATTATGGGATTCAAGTTACTCCAGGAAGTGAACTGTAAAGAGAGCAGCAATGGCTGGAGGCTGGGATGCATGAAATTGAAATTATGAAAAGATTATACATATACGTAATGACAGGATCTATGCATCATCATCTTTGTTCTCTCTTTTGTCAGAAAAGGCACTGCTATTTCCTCTGGCCAGAAAGAAATGTATGTTTGTAGCACTAGAAACCCATGGGTTGGGACTTATGGGTGACCTTAAATTATCTGGGTCTCTGTTATCTCATCTCTAAATGGGATTGATAATATTGCCTTTTCTTTGGATTAATGCAAGGATTAGACATAATATATGTTTGAACCCAGGAGTTCAAAGTTGCAATGAGCTATGCTCACCCCACAGTACACTAGCCCAGGTGACAGGGTGAGATCCTGTCTCTAAATAATAACAATAATAATAATAATAATAATAATAATAATAAATGTAAAGTGCTTGAAACATACCATTTCTGAATGCCTGTTATTATTGTTGTTATTGCTATTATCCTTATCTCAAACAGAACTGGCGCTTGGCATTTCTTACTTAGAGATTACTTTCGATGGTTTTGGAGTGAGGGGAGAGATGAGACTTACCAAGAATCAGAAAAGCCTGTGAGGTCATGAAGAGAAATAGCATTTTCTTTTCCCAGCCTTCATGTCCTCATTCTACTCTTTACCTCACACTATGTTTATGACATTAAACTGACATGGTTGAAAGTCAGAAGGTACATCAACACTGTGTTCTATAAGAACTGATCTTTTGATAAAGTTTGTGCATAAATTGTTGACATTGTGACAAATGTAAAAGCCTGTCTCAGCCAAAAACCCCATCCCAGGTAGTTTAACATATTCCTTATAATTATTATACATTTATCCCCAAGAACTGATAATGCCAAGGGCTGAGAGCCTGGGAAACTTGGACATAACCTGCTCCAAGCTCAATTCCAGTTATCCTTAAAAGAGGGGTGTGGTAATGTTGTCCCAGAGTGACAGCTTCAGCCAGTTTCCTGTCCCACTCTTCTGCCCCAGAGTTTCTTTCTTGTGGTGAAGAGAAGGAGGAAGACAGCAGGATGTTGGTGGAAACCCTGCTGGCTGAAGTGGACAGAATGGTGTTCAGACACTGTTCATCTCCAAACCTTCTGCTTTACTTTTATGACAACATTCCCATGGGTAAGGCACTCTGGCCATCTGGCACACTGATCCCCCATCTCCTGCACCCCAGACTGCTTCAGGACCTTTGTTTTGAGTTCTTGGACTGCTCGGTGAACAGGACCAGGAGGGGACATAAATTTTGGATTGTTAGTACCAGCTAACTAAGTGACCATGTCATTTCCTCTTGTTGGGCTTCAGTTTGGGAGTAGGGGTAGGCAAGATACCAAGGGAATTCTATGATCTCATGGGAACCCAAGAACCCAGTGGTGCAAATAATGTAATCATTTGAAAAAAAAGTTTGAAAACAAGTATTGAGAAACTACCATGTTGGTCAATTTCAATTTAAATGGCTGCCTCAGAATAATGTGGATAAAATGCACAGCATTGACTTTACCTGGGTTCTCTGAGCCCTAACATTCTTAATTTAGACAACACATTGCTATTGTTCTTGAGAAATACTAGATTATAAAAAAATTCAAATTCAATGAAAAAAATAAATAATTTAAAACATATTTTATATTGTTCCCAGTAACTTCTTCATTTTCTGATTAAAAACTATTACCCTTGAGAGATTATATTTCTCCTCACTGATGATTTGAAGGAGTTATTTGGCTTATTTTTTGGTCAGAGTTGCTGTAATGTTGAACTTTTTTGTGGGGCAAAGGGTGCGTCTAAAAACTTCCAAAAGTTGTTTACTAGGCATTTTTGTTTGATCAAAGTATTAAGAAATCACAATAATGGATGATAAAAATCTTAGTTTAAAAGCAATGGACCACCTGCACACGTCAGCTGTGGTGAATGTCAAATGACTGCCCCATGTGAGAATAAGCATAAGAAGCCTAACCAGAGGTCTGGAACCTGTAGCATCTGTTTTAAGTTTCCTTCCTGGACTTAGACCCTACGTGGTATAACAGACAACCCTTATGTAGATCCTTTCAGCTTCATCTATCTCCAGGGCCACCTATTCTGCCCTAGTCACTCAGTGTTGATGGACTTCATGGGAGACCCTTACCACCAGGAATCTCTGGCTTCTTCCACCACTTTTTTTTTTCTTTTTTTTTTTTATTATACTTTAAGTTTTAGGGTACATGTGCACATTGTGCAGGTTAGTTACATATGTATACATGTGCCATGCTGGTGCGCTGCACCCACTAATTCGTCATCTAGCATTAGGTATATCTCCCAATGCTATCCCTCCCCCGTCCCCCCACCCCACAACAGTCCCCAGAGTGTGATATTCCCCTTCCTGTGTCCATGTGATCTCATTGTTCAATTCCCACCTATGAGTGAGAATATGCGGTGTTTGGTTTTTTGTTCTTGCGTTTTCAGGACATAGGCATGGGCAAGGTCTTCCACCACTTTTAGACTTAAATATGGCTTCACATAGTCATGCATAGGATCTACGTTCCCCAGCTGTGGCTGAAGGGGCCTTGCGATGCAACTCAGAACTGGGAGGCTGTTAATTCCCTATGAAATTAGGGTGTGAACTTTAACAAGTTGGGTTAGAAGATAAGAGAAAACTGGTTGATGAATTTCCAGTCTGGCACCCCATCACTCTGTTTAGAGATAGTAGCTTCATAAATCTCTCTAAACATCCAACATGAGTGAGCAATTGACTGTATTTTTACAAAGCTTTGGCTAGCTTGTTAATGCATGCTCTTACATTTGCTCTCCCTCCTTTCCTGTCTTACTCCTTCTTTTCCTTACAAGTGATTACCTTGAATTGCATACCCCTAAAAGTGTTAGCATGTACCTCAGACTCTGTTTTCTAGGCAACACAAGCTAAAACAGATAAAATATTGGTGCAATTAGTAACATGATGAGTTGGTAGTTGAAGGGCTTTGAATATTGTGCTTGGGAATTTGGATTTGGGATTTATCCACATGTTGTGGATACCGAAGAGGGTTTTTAGATAGGGTTCCTGGCTGCAAGCAGCAGAAACCAGCTCTGACTAAAGCAAAAAAGGAGATTTATTTGAGAAATATTATAGAAATCCTCAGGATGGAAGGTAGGACTTGGGAGGGATAGGTGTGAAGATAGTACTGGAAAACTCGGTGGTGGAACTCCTGGGCCCTCTCTTTAAAAACTATCATCAAATCAACTTCCTGCAAATTAGAAGTGGACCAGGTATGAACCAATCATTGTCAAGATTCGAGAGTGAAATAAAGGGGAAATGAAGTGTAAAAAGAAGATTGAAGATGTTGGAGAAAAGAGGAACTGGTGAAGGAGTTCTTCCTTAGGCAGTTGGGAGAGGTGGTAACTGAGACTGTGAAGCCTGTAGAAAGAAGTAGGATATGTTGTCTTCCTAAATAGGAGAGAAAGAAGATTATGATTTTAAACACAAAAATTATCTGAGATGGTGAGAAGTAGTAGGTGAGGGAATGAAGTCTGGATAGAACTTCCCAGAGGATGAATTCACATTTGTTCATGTGCTCCCTCTGCAGTGTGATTATGTTATTTACTTCACTTCTGTGATTCAGTTTCTTCATATTTTAAAACAGGGTTTCAGACCCAAAAGTCCTTTTCTACCTAAATAAGCTATAATTCTCTATCTCCTTTGGTGGTAGAAAGGGTGAAGAGTAGGTTGGGGGGACTCTTTGGTCTATCTTGGATAGATAGAGCTCTTTAGGTTTCTCCATTTGCACCAACATTTCTCAGACATTTTCCTCCAAAGTTATGCCATCTTAGACAATATTTGTGTAAATGGATGGATTAGGCTGTGATTCTTACATATCACCAAGAAGAGATATTTTCACTATCAAAGTCACTTGATTTCTCTTCAATTTGCCTCTCCCTACAGGAAGATGCTCTCCTGGTACCTGACCATCTTACCAAGGATGAAATACACTGACGCATGGTATAGAAAGCTGGGAGATGTCATAGCAGAATACCTCCCCTTTGTATTGTCAGGATTAGCCATATGACTTGCCTTAACAATTAATTGTTAGCAGAAATGATGTGAATCACCTTTGGCAGAAACTTTAGGAGCCCGTTTGAAGCTCTTTTTTCCTTCTGCCATGGTGACTGGAAACATTCTCCAACAGTGGTTGCTCCTTCGGCCTGAGACTTAAAGTGACAATAATGGCAATGCAGGGAATAGCCCAAGCCAACCTTCTAGAATTGTTACAAAAGCGAGAAATCAACCTTTAGGCTACAAGGACTTGAGGATTGTTTATTAGTGTGGTGTTCCCTAGATTGTCCTAATTGACACAAGGCCTCAATACTCTTCTATTGAGTGTAGAATTGTTTAGGCCACCAAAAACCAAAGAAATGCTGGTAGTGCACACCCCCTTGACTTCTTTAATTGCAATATAGCATGATACAGTTACAAAAACTAATTATGCCTTTAGCTTCATTTCTCCCTCCCCTTCCATTGTTCTTTTTCTGTCTTGCTACTGTTCCTCTTTATAATGTTGGGGGTGTTAAGACTCTTTCTTTTCTTTTGTAGGAAAGAAGTCACCCATGCTTGGCCCAAAGATCCACATATTATCTCTTTGATTGTAGGCATCGAGACATTTTTTAAGCACATATTATTCAACAAATGATATTCTCAGTTTCAGTAGATAATAAAAAATAAAAAGCCCAATGTACATTCTATTCCTGTAGAAACAGACAACCAGTGATTTATTTTATCATAATAAAAAGTATTTATGCCATGACTCATATCTTTAATGCAGTGTCATTATTCTGTGGCTGTGCTAACTGTAGAGGAAGAGTTGTTTATAGTCACAGACAGAGCGTCAGACTGAGACCCAAGAGTTATTCCAAGAATGGTGACAAGAACAGAGTGTGTTAGAAGGAGCTGCCCAGCTGAGAGGAGGATTGTGTGAAGTAGAAGTAACCTAAATATTCTATTATCTTCTGTGCTTTTCTTCTCTCCAGGGAGAATTTCTTTGTTCTGATCTTTATTGGAGCCCCTAGTTCCTTCACATTCCATTCTTTAATGATGATTTTTTTGAACATCCAAGTTCGTAATGGAATCTCTCTCCACAAATTTCGCTGGGATTTCCACAGAAAAAGGTGTACACATAGCTAGCTTAAGAATACATGCGCCAGTATGGGCTGGTCCAGACCAATCACAGAGCGCTAGTGCACAGTGTATAGTCAGACCATTTAACTAATACTAACAAAGCCTTCTTTTTCTCTTTTCCTGAGACAGAACAATTATAACTCTGGGATAATGCTAGGGAACTTGATTTTCTTTTAGAAAGTTATACTTTTTCAAATGATAACATAAGGAAACACCCATATACTCATGTTCCAGATTTAAAAACTCTTAATAATTTTTATATTTCCTTGTAGCCTTTGTGTGTATGCTTTTTTAAAAAAAGACCACAAGTTATATAGATGTATTCTTTTTTCAGGTTTAAAGGTTTTTTTAACTTTTATTTTGGGTTCAGGGATACATGTGCAAGTTTGTTATATAGGTAAATTGCATGTTGTGGGAGTTTGGTGTATTGATTATTTCATCACCCAGCTAATAAGCATAGTACTCAATAGGTAGTTTTTTGATCCTCACCCTGCTGCCACCCTCCACACACCCTCCACCCTCCACCCTCAAGTTGGCCCCAGTGTCTGTTGCTCCCTTCTTTGTGTCCTTATGTACTCAATGTTTGGCTCCCACTTGTAAGTGAGAATATACAGTATTTGTTTTTCTGTTCCTGTGTTAGTCCACTTAGGATAATGGCCTCCAGCTCCATCCATGCTCCTGCAAAGGACATGATCTCATTTTGTTTACGGCTGCATAGTATTCCATGGTGTATATGTACCACATTTTCTTTATCCAGTCTACCATAGATGGGCATTTAGGTTGATTCCATGTCTTTGGTATTGTGAGTAGAGCTGCAATGAACATACACCTGCCTGTGTCTTTATGATGGAATGATATATAGTCCTTTGGGCATATACCCATTAATGGGATTGCTGAGTCTAATGGTAGCTCAATTTTAAGCTCTTTGAGAAATCTCCAGATGGCTTTCCACAATGGTTGAACTAATTTACACTCTCTCCAACAGTATGTAAGTGTTTCCTTTTTTCCGTAGCCTCACTGCCATCTGTTGTTTTTTGACCTTTTAATAGTAGCCATGCAGACGGGTGTGAGATGCTATCTTATTGTGATTTTGATTTGCATTTCTCTAATGATCATTGATACTGAGCTTTTTTTTATATGCTTGTTGGTTACATGTATTCCTTCTTTTAAAAACTGTCTGTTCATGTCCTCTGCCCACTTTTTAATGCGGCTGTTTGTTTTTCTCTCGTAAATTTAAGTTCCTTATAGATTCTGGACATTAGACTTTTGTCAGATGCATAGTTTGCAAAAATTTTCTCCCATTCTGCATGTTTACTCTTTTGATAGTTTCTTTTGCTGTGCATAAGGTCTTTAGTTTAATTAGGTCGTATTTCTCAATTTTAGTTTTTATTACAGTTGCTTTTGGTGTTTTCATCATGAAGTCTTTGCCAGTTTTTTTTTTAATATATAAGATGTAATACTCCTCTTTGACTGTATTTCCAGACCATTGCTCTCTCCCTGTTCCTCAGAGACAACCACTATGATGGGTTTGATATTCATCCTTTTAATACTTTTACATATAGCAATAGAAATTTAGAAACAAGATATAATATTTCTAAGTTTTGAAAAACTATATGTATGGAATTGTTCCATGCATTTCATTCTGCAATTTGTTTGTTTTTTAAATTTAACGTTGTTTTAGGGCTATTCTTACTGATTGATATAGCTCTGATCTCTTTCTTTTAGCTGGATAGCAATCCATTTCATTAAAATTCCGTATTTTATCTATTCCTTTAATGATGGATGTTTGGATTATTCTTAATTTTTTTTTTTTGCTATTCCTGACAATGCTGTAATAAACATCCATTTATGTGTCTTCTTGTATACATAGTCAAATATTTCTCTAGGGTGTACACCCAGAAGGGGAAATGTTAGGTTGTAGGTTTGACATCTTTCTCATTTTACTAAATACTGTTACATTCCTCTCCCAAGTGGCTGTTTCAATTTACACACCGAAAAGCATGGTATGAGATTATCTGTTTATTCATCCTCCTTCTCTATACTGATGATTGTCACACTTTTTAATTATGGTTAGTCTGATGAGTAAAAGATGCTCTCTCATTGTAGTTTTAATTTACATTTCCCTGATTACTGGTGAGATTGAATTTCTTTTCATATGTTTATTGACCATTTATGTTTCCTCTGGATCCATTATATGCTTACATTATCTCTGCTGATTTTTTCCTACATACAGAAAAAGTACACTCAAAAGCATTTATGCATAAAAAGAAGCTGGAGGAAGAGGGAAAACCATTTTCAGTATTGTTTACTAGAGCAGTTTTCTTTAATCTACCTGAATAAGATGACTTCATTGTGCAATTTCATTTTAGGAAGAAGAGACTACGGTATCACATTCATTTACTGCATAGATGTTATCTAATCACAAAGCACCTTCAAAACCGATACAAATTCTATGCAACTTCCTTCAAAATTAACACATTAGCATGCTTTAAGTAAACATCAGTGTGTAATAGCTAAAACATGGGTTTTGGAGTCAGAAGGAGTTGGCTTCCTATTTCAGTTCTGCCAGTTTCTTCCTAGAAGGAACTTGGGGAGTCCATTTAGTGTCTCAGAGTCATTAGTATATTTTCTTGGACTCTTTTTCAGCACCAGACTCAGCGTTCACCTCTCCATCCACTTCCTTGTTATAATTCCTGGCATTTTCATGATAATTATACAGCCTGGCTTCACAGTCTAGAATTTTTCATTCGGACACTGTCTCCTTGCTACTTCTGTTGACCTATTAGTATGGTCTCACATAGAACCAGGTTATTACTTATGATCCACCTCCAAGAACCCCAACTTCAAACTTTTTCTTTCTGGCCATCGTGCTCCTTCATTTCTGATCCTTCACTTTTCTTGTTATATTATCTTCCATCCCACTAGCTCTACCCTATCTTCACAGGTCCTCAGCCCCTTTTCTCTTTACCAGCTTGTCTAGCAGTCTAAAGCCTTGTTCGACAATGCCTTCTCTCTCCAGGGCTCCCCTGGTCCTTCCATTGCCTCCACCTGGTAAGTCCTCAGTCCCAAACACACCTGCTGTGAGTTTTCTCTGCTCTTCCCATCATGAGCTAGTCAGCACCAGGATAATTCGATTACATACAGCAGTGGTTCTCCAAACATGGGTCCTGGACCAGCAGCATCCACATCACCTAAGAACTTATTAAAAGTGTACATTCTTGAACCCCACCCCAGACCTACTGATTTAGAAATTGTGGGGCTGGGACCCAGTAATCTGTGTTCAACATGCCCTCCAGGTGACGTACTACACCTTCTTGACCTCAGCTGAGGTTTCTTGACAAATCTATTAACTCTTCAGTTGAATGCCTGCCAAAATTTTCAAACTAAAGTGCAGATTCCCCAATGTTAACAATTCTAATTTAGTATATCTTAGTGCAACTCAGGAATCTGCATTTCTAATATGCATTCCATGAGTTCTGATTCAGGAGTGTCTGTGGACCACACCGTGGCAAACATTGGGGAAAAAAGAACCCTCATGGTAGTCTTCTAATACCACTAACCTCAACCCATCTCTCGAAAAAGACATGGCCTCTCTTTTGAGCTCAAGGAGTTGAAAGCTCAATCCGATTCTTTCCTCCCTCCTCTGATAACTCATTCAATTACTTCCCACTTATGTTCCCCCACATACGGAAATCTGTTTTATGTTTAAAAACGTTTCCATGACATTGCTACACCTTTGGATTCTAATTTTATTTTATTCCATTTCTTCTTTAAGTATTTGCAAGAGTGAAGTAACCACACAACTTACATATCTTCACGCTCACACTCACTCACTTCTACCACCGTCAACACTTCACTGAAATTATTCTCTTGACGTTTCCTAAAGACTTCAAAATTGTCCAATCAAATGACCTTGTCAGTTTACTTCCTCCTCTCCCATTCTAAAATTTTATTCTGATGACCACCCTCTCTTATTAAAACTCTCCCTTCGACTGGCTTCCCATGACAACAACTTCTCTCGGTTTCCCTTCTATGGCTCAGATTTCCCCTTCTCTTTCTCTGTTTTGTGGCTTCCATCCCTCCAATTCTCTCAGTGAAGAGTATGTTTTCCTTGCTCTTCTCTTTTCTTTTTCACATATGTTAATCATTTTTTTCACTTTCAATTGAGCTGTAATTGACATACGATAAAATTCAGCATTTAAAAAATGCAATTCAATAGATTTTGTTATATTCACAGAGTTGTGCAACCACCATCACGGTGTACTTTCAGAATATTTTTATCACCTCCCTCCTGCCCCCTCAAAGAACCCACCCTGTACCCATTAACAGCCACTCCCTATTCCTCCCTCCCTGCTGCCTCTGGCAACCACTAACCTTTTGTCTCTACGGATTTGCTTATTTGAGACATTTCGTATAAATGGAATCATACAATATGTGGCCTTTTGTGTCTGGCTTCCTTCACTTAGCATGATGCTCTCAAGAGAGATCCATGTTGTATCATGCATCAGAATTTCATTCTTTTTATGTCCAAACAATATTTCATTGTATAGTTATATCATATTTTATCCTTTCATTAGTTGATGGAAATTTGATTTGTTTCCACCTTTTCACTATCATAAATATTGCTACCATGAAATTTTGTGTACAAGTTTCTGTGTGGACATATATTTTCAATCCTTTTGTATATATACCTAGGAGTTCAGTTGCTAGGTTATATTTTAGCTCAATGTTTAAGTTTTTAAGGAACTGCCAAACCATTTTCCAAAGCAGCTGCATCATTTTGCATTCCTACCAGCAGTGTATGAGGATTCTGGTTTCTCCACATCCTTACCAACACTTGTTACTGTTTTTATATTTTAATTATAGCCACCCTAATGGGTGAGAAGTGGTATAATTTCATGATTTTAGTTTGCATTTCCTTAATGACTAATGACGTTGGTAATCTTTTCATGTGCTTATTGGCTATTTGTATATCTTCTTTGAAAAATATCTATTCTTACTTTTGCCCATTTTAAAATTGGACTATTTTTCTTTCTTTCCTTTTTTTTTTTTTTTTTTTTTTTTTGAGCTGTCAAAGCTCTTTGTGTATTCTGGATACTACTCCAGTATCAGATTTATGTGATTTGCAAATATATTCTCTCTTCTTCTATGGGTTGTCTTTTTACTTTCTTGATAGTATCCTTTGTGTATAAATGTTTTTAATTTTGATGAGGTCTAAGTTATCTATTTTTTCTTTCCATGTTTATGCTTTTGATGTCATATCTAAGATTCCACTGGCAAATTGAGGTCATTCTCTAGAAGGCTGTGTATGCTCTGAATCAGCATCTAATATATGGTAGTGTTTCTCCCGTATCCAGGATTCATGTGTCCAGGAATCAAGGGGTAGAAGGGGAAGTGGCACCACTCACCACCAACCCTAGTGACCCACTAGGAAAATTTTTGCTTCCTGTTCCTGCGACATTATGTTCTGCTGGCCTAGAGGTCTTAGTTCCAGAGGGAGGCCACCAGGAGACACAACAATGATTCCATTAAACTGGAAGTTAAGGTGACTACCTGGCCACTTTGAGCTCCTCCTGCCTCTAAGTCAACAGGCTAAGAAGGGAGTTACAGTGCTGGTTGGGGTGATTGACCTGGACTATCAAGATGAAATCAGACTACTACTACACAATGGAGGTAAGGAAGAGTATGTGTGGAATACAGGAGATACCTTAGGGTGTCTCTTAGTATTACCATACCCTGTGATTAAGATCAATGAGAAACTACAACAACCCAATCCAGGCAGGACTACAGGTGGTCCAGACCCTTCAGGAATGAAGGTTTGGGTCACTCCACCAGGTGAAAAACCATGACCAGCTGAGGTGCTTGCTGAAAGCAAGGAAATACAGAATGGGTAGTAGAATAAGGTAGTCATCAGTACAAGCTATGACCATGAGACCAATTGCAAAAACAAAGACTGTAATTGTCATGAGTATGTATACACCTGTACTAAGAAAATATCCTTGTTTTATCTCCTTTCTTTTTCCTTTATCATGTGACATAAGATTTATTGACTTCATATTAGCATTTAAATGTTGTTAACTTTCTGTATTAGCATTTAGGTTAAGTATTAATATGCTTCCAGTTGTACAAAGGGTAGCTGTACTATGTTAGGTATAATTATGACCTTATTATTGTCTTTATTTGGAGATTAAGTATGATTTCAGGAGATGCGTATGGGTTCAAGTTGACAAGGGGTAGACTTGTGATGGTTAATATTAGGTGTCAACTTGATTGGATTGAAGGATGCCTAGATAGTTGGTAAAGTATTGTTTCTGGGTGTGTCTGTGAGGGTGTTGCCAGAGGAGATTGACGTTTGAGTCAGTGGACTGGGAGAGGAAGACCCACCCTCAGTGTGGGTGGGCACCATCCAATAGGCTGCCAGCACTGGTAGAACAAAGCAAGTGGGAGAAGGTGGGCTAAGCTGGCTTGCTGAGTCTTCTGGCTTTCATCTTTTTCCTGTGCTGGATGCTTCCTTCCATTTCTCCTGCCCTTGAACATCAGACCCCAGGCTCTTCAGCTTTTGGACTCTTAGACTTACACCTGTGGTTTGCAGGGGGCTCTTGGGCCTTTGGCCACAGACTGAAGGTTGCACTATTGGCTTCCCTGCTTTTGAGGCTTTTTGGACTCCAACTGGGCAACTACTGGCTTCTTTCTTCCCCTGCTTGTGGAAGGCCTATCGTGGGACTTGGACTTGTGATAGTGTGAGCCAATTCTCCCCAATAAATTCCCTGATAGGATATATATAGCCTATTAGTTCTGTCCCTCTAGAGAACCCTAATACAGTTTTACCCCTATATTTTCTTCTAAGAGTATTAAAGCTGTAGCTTACAGCTAGGTCTCTTATCCATTTTGAATTAATTTTTGTCTATGATGTGAAGGGCTCAATTTCACTTTTTGTTTTTGCATCTAGATATCCAATTGTACCAGCACTATTTGTTGAAAAGACTATTCTTTCCTCATTAAACTGTTCTGGAAACTTTGTTGAAAATCAATTGATCATAAATGTAAGAGTTTATTTATTGACTTTTAATTCTATTTCATCTGTATCTCTATTCTTATGCTAGTACCATGCTGTCTTGATTACTAGTAGCTTTCTAGTTGATTTTGAAATAGAAATGTGTGAGTTCTCAAACTTCATCTTTTTCAAAATTGTTTTGGCTATTCTGGATCCCTTGTAATTCCATAAAAACATTAACATTAACTTCTCAATCTCTGTAAAATATCCAAGTGGAATTTTGTTAGGGATTGCATTGAATCTGTGGATCAATTTTGGGAGTAGTGCCATTTTAATAATATTATGTTTTCTAATCAATGAACATGGAATGTCTTTCAATTTATTTACATCTTTAATTTCTTTAAATAATGCTTTGTACTTTTCAGTGCAAAGTCTTGTACTTCTATGGTTAAAGCTATTTCTAAATATTTTGTTCTTTTTGATGCTCTTATAAATGGAATTATCTTAATTTTGTTTCCCAGTTGTTCATTGCTACTGTATAGAAATACAGTTGACTTTTTTAGACTTTGCTATAACTATTTTTTGGATATTGATCTTGTATTTTGCAACATAGCTGAATTCATTTATTAGTTCAAATAGGTTTTGTTGTGAATTGCTTAGGATCTTCTATGTGCAAGATCATGTCATATGTAAATACATACAGTTTTACCTCTTTTTTAAAATCTGTATTGCTTTTATTTTTTTTCTGTCTAATTGACCTGTCTAAAATCTCCAGTACAATATTATATATAAGTGGCAAGATCAGACATCCTTGTCTTGTTCTTGATCTTAGGGAGAAAACTTTCAATTTTTTGCCATTAAGTATGTGTTAGCTGTGTGTTTTTCCTAGGTGCCCTTTATCAAGTCGAGTAAATTCCCTTCTATTTCTAGTTTGCTCAGTGATTTTATCTTGAAGTTGTGTTTAATTTTGTCAAATGCATTTTCTGTATCTTTTGAGACAATCATGTGGGTTTTTAAAAATCCTTTATTCTATTAATACAGTGTATCACATTGATTGCTTTTTGTATGTTGAAGTAACCTTACATTTATAGAATAAATCCCACTTGGCCATGGTGTATAATCCCTTTTATATGTTGTTGGTTTCCATTTGCTAGGATTTTGTTGAGACTTTTGCATCTATAATCATAAAGTGTGTTAATCTGTAGTTTTCCTGTCATGACTGCCTGGTTTGAGTATCTGGGTAATACTGACAATATATAATAAAATGGAAAATATTCCCTCCTTTTCTATTGCTTTAGAAGAGCTTGTGAAGTTTGGTGTTAATTTTTCTTTAAATGTTTGGTGCAATTCACCAGTAAAGCCATGTAGGACAGGGCTTTTCTTTGTGGGAAGTTTATTTTTATTAATAGCTCAATTTCTTTATTTATTATAGATATACTCAAATTTTGTATTTCTTTTTGAGTCAATTTTGTAGTTTGTTTCTTTCTCAGAATTTGTCCATTTCATTTATGTAATTTATTGACATGCTATTGTTTATAGTATTCCCATATAATTCTTTTTATTTTGGCAATGTAAGTTCCCCCTTTCCTTCCTGATTTTAAGAATTTGCGTCTCCTCTCTTTTATCTTTGGTCAGTATAGCTAACGGTTTATTAATTTTGTTAATTGTTTCAAAGAGCCAAGTTTGATTTGTTTGATTTTATTCATTGTTTTTCTATTATGTATTTCATTAATTTTTGCTCTAATCATTATTATTTCCTTCCTTTTCTTTGCTCTGGGTTTAAGTTGCTTTTCCTTTTCTAGTGTCTTAAGGTAGAAGTTTAGGTAACAGATTTGCTATCTTTTTTCATTTTTAATAAAAATATTTACAGCTGTAAATTTTCCTATAAGCACTGTTTTCACTGTATTTCATATGTTTTGGTGTATGTATTTTTGTTTTCATTCATCTCAAAGTATATTTGAATTTCCCTGTGATTTCTTCTTTGACCCATTTGTTATTTAAGAGTTGGTCTCCATATAGTTGTAATTTTCCCAAATTTCCTATTACTTTCTAATTTCATTCCACTATGCTTGAAATACATACTTTGTATAATTTTAATTCGCTTAAATTTACTAAGATTTATTTTATGACCTAATATATGGTCTAACCTGGATAACGTTTCATGTGTACTTGAGGAGAATGTGTATTCTGCTGCTGTTGGATGAAGTGTACTAGAGATGTCTTTTAGGTCTAGTTGATTTATAGTGTTGCTCAAGTCTTCTATTTCGTTGTGGATTTTCTGATTCCTGTTCTGTTTTTGAAAGTGGATATTGAAGTCTCCAAATTTAATTGTTATATTATCTATTTCTTCAATGCTGTGAAGTTTTCCTTCATACATTTTAGGACTCTGTTGTTAGATGCATACCTGCTTGGAATTATTTTGTCTTCTTGATGAATTAACCCTTTTATCCTTATATAATGTCCTTGCTTGTCTTTAGTGACAAATTTGTCATCTTAACTCTATTTTTGTCTGATATTAGTATAGCCATTTCATCTCTCATTTAGTTACTGTTTGCATGGTATGTTTTTTTTTCCATCTATTTACTTTCAACTTTTTTATATCTTTAAATCTAAAGTGTGTTTGTAAAGCATGGACATAATTGGCCATCTCAACAGAGGCCATGAATAGAGATGGGACTATTCAGCAGAAACACTGCCATGTGAGACTAAAGAAAACAAAGAAAATGTCATAAAATGAAGGAAGACTGTTGGACTTCTTAGACCTTATAGGACTGGACCATAAAGCTATTTCTATCTCTTTTGATATTCTCTGTTTGGTCAGACCTCATTCTCATATTTCCTTTAGTTCTTTAGAAGTGGTTTCCTTTGGTTCTTTGAACATGTTTAAAATAGTTTATTTAAAATTTTGTCTAACAAGTCTAATGTCTGGTTTCCTTAAGTATAGTTTCTATTCACTGCTTCTTTTCTTGCATATGAGCTACAATTTCATATTTCTTCTCATGTCACATATTTTTGGTTGAAAACTGGACACTTTAATAAATTGTGGTAACTCTCAAAATAAGATTATGCCCTCTCCCTAGGGTTTCTTGTTGCTGCTACTTGTTGTAGCTGTTATTATATCTTTCCTTAGTGACTTTTATGAATTGATTCTGTAAAGTTTGTATTCTTTGACATGTTTGGCCATAAGTTTCTGTTCTGTTAGCTTAGCGGTCAGCTAATTATTGGACTGAGATTTCCTTAAATATCTGAAATCAGTAATTCTCCCAGTCTTTGCAGAAAGGCCCTGTATGTGTTTTGGCCCATGCCAGCAACACTCAGGAAATTTACAGCCCTATCATAGCCTTTACTTCCTGCTTACGCAAAACCTCAATGTCAGCTAAAGGTGAGTGCTTAGAGCCTTCTCAGGCTCTTTCCTGTATGTAAACATAGCCTTGGGAATGCACACAGCCCTATGTATGTGCATGGCCTTCTTGGATTACTAGGAATGTAGTGGATCTTTCCAAAGTCCTCTGTGAACATCTCATTCTCTAACAATTTCTTTTGTTTTTTTTGGCCTGGTTCTTGTATGCTCCAATTGCTATCACTACTTCAGGCAGCTGCCTTGTTGAACAATTGCTGCTGATTGTTTTCACAAATGCCTCCAGGAATTTTTCTATACTGTCTGCACTGAGTGAAGTCTGGGTCAGGTCAAATAAAGGCAAGTCTTGCGAATGAGGGTTTACAGATAACTGCTAGATACATCAACTAATGACAGTTCTCTAAGAATGGTGTATTTAGGAGACTCCAAAAACATTCTGTCCTTTCAACTTCTGCTAGGCTATTGGGATGGGAATAGGGAAAGTTAAAATGTTCCAAAGCTTACTGCCCTTAATGAGATTTAGTAATTTTTCTTTAATAAATGCTCCTCATATTGTTGCAACCTTTTGGTTAATTTCCAGACTTCTGAAAATGTTGATTTTGACAGTTTTTGCCAGTGTTCTCTTTGCTTTTATGGGGGAACTGGCATTACGGAGATCCTTACTCTGCTTTTCCTGTTGATGTCATCACTGTTAATTTAATATTGGCTGCTACATCTGTGTTCCCATTTCACTTGACCTCCACCTGAATTTCCCTTGATACATACCTCAAATTTAATAAGTTGTAAATAGAACTAATAGTCTCTTTCCTCAAATTTGCTCCTGCTTCCAATGTTCCTGTTAAAGGCTTTACTGCAAGGCCAGAGAAAATTAAGCTGGCAAAGCAGATGGAGGAGTCATCAAAATGGCAGTAAAATTTAATTATAATTATCTGTGTTAATCTGGTGCTGCTGGGTGTGAAAGGAATGAAAAGATTATGAATTGGAAATTTAGGAATTTGATTCACAAGATTGACACCAAAATTCCCACTGCCTCTGTACTCTCAGACTCAATTGAATAATTATTTGTGCTGTGCAATTAATTGCTTGCTCCACAGACCAGCTGAATTATAACCCACTTCACTGAATTTCCTACACGTAGTAGGTGCTCAATAAATGACTAATAGCATAAAACTTAAGTAAATAACATAAATAGGTTTCTTTTATTCTCTCACTCACTCTGTTTCTCTGCCTCATAAACCAGGGATCTTGTCTCTTTCCCAGCTGGAAATTTCTCTAAAAAGTCATGAATATAATTACTTTTTAAAGTATTTCATTGACATGTCAACCTGAATTATATATCAAAGAGAGTCCAAATGAGAGTTTGGTATGAGATATAAGACCTAATATGATTTCATGCCTCCTTGTGGGCATTTAATAAATATTAATTGTGCTGGGAGCCAATCTAGCAAATGATGGCTGAATCTGTTATTGCCCATCTTTTACATTTCATACCTGTATACTTGACACAGAACACTGGAAATCAAGGACTGGCATTCACCACAATGAAATAAACAACAAAATTATTAGCAGGGACCATGGCCCATGGAGCTGACCTAAAATAGTAAAGTCCTTCATTTAGGCCTTTAAGGAAAAAATGGCACTGAAAGTCTCAGGACAGGCCCACATGACATAAGTATATCTAAACTATTTTTTACAGTGGAAGATTTTTACTTTACTGTTTCCATGTGCATGAATGTGTGCATGCGTATGAGAGAGAGAAAAAAAAGAGACAGAGGGAATTGTGTAGACATATCTGAATGTTATATTCACTGTTCCTCAAGCTGAAAGCTTTATACAGTAAGACAATGGAATGTAAAAATGAAATAAAAATTCATTAATAGATGCCTACATGAAATATTTCAAACATTTAAACATTATGTATAATTATTTTCCTTAAAATTAAATAAAAAATAAATATATGTATTTATCTGAGTAAATACATTCTTGGACAATAGTGAGTTCTCATCATTTGCTATGTGAATGAATGAATGAACAATGAATGAAAACAGTTTCTCTTAAAAATTAAATGGAAATACAATGTTGCATGTAGGTATTTAAGTAAATAATGTTTGTGTCTTTTGCAAAAACATAATCAAGTCCACTGTCTAGTGTGTTACTTAATGTCCCTTATTAAAGGAAAGATATTTTTTATCAGTCTCTTATAAAAACTGAGGCTAGGGTATTATGTTAACTGTCTAAAGATACAGTATTATGTTAACTGTCTAAAGATGTCTGGCCCAGGTTCAAGTACTTTTTAAAAAATTTTTTAACAAGGGATAGTTTACATATAGTAAGGTGCGTGTATCTAAAGGGTACACAACTTGATGAATTTTTACCCACTTTGAGAAATGAAACATTTACGTATCAGTAGACTCCCTCATGCCCCCTCTCAGTCAATACCCTTGCCCAAAGGCAACTACTTTCCTGACTTTTTACAACAAAAATAAATATTGTCTGGTTTTGAACTTTACATAAATGGAATTATATAACATGTATTCCTTTCTGTATGAATCCTATCACACCACATAATCTACATTGTTGCGTGTAGCACTAGTTTATTCTTTTTCATTGTTGTGTAGTATTCCATTGTATCAACATAACACATGTTATTTATTCAGCCTACTGCTAATGGACATTTGACATGGTCTCCGGTTTTTGGCTATTTTGAATACTACTCTATGAACATTCTTTTGTGACCATAAACACATTTCTTTGTTGGGAATAAAACTCTGTGTCATATGATATGGGTAAATTTAACTTTAGTAGATACTACTAAAGAGTTTTCCAAGGTGAGTCTACCAATTTTCATTACTACTAGCAATGTATGAGAGCTCCAGTTGCTTTACATCACGCGCATTATTTTTTAATATATCATTCAGGATCATAGGTCCTCTTTGTTCATTTGCATTTTATTAGAAGTTTTTTCTTCTAATTCTAAAATGATTTCAGTTGGTGGTGGAGGGTTCTCCCAAGTATACATTTTTTTTTTCCAACTGAGAAACAGTTTCCTTTTTCAATGGAAATGAAGGTACAGACTTCTACAAAATATTTCTTTGCTCTGCAGGTCTATCAATGAGAAGAAAGTGCCAACTGAAAACTTTTAGAAAATACCCAGTTTACTCAAGGAAAATAACATGCATTGAAGGTGATTGCTCAATAGAGAGAAGTTGAAACAGCAGACTAATTGCCTGTTTGTGACACCCATGTAATCAACTTGGTAAGTAAAAACTCAAGAATAATGTTCAATGTTCTCTAAAATGGGCCAGAAGCCCTTCAGTGCAGATTCAGGCTCTCTCTCTTTCTCTCTCTCACGCACTCTCTCTCTCTCTCTTTCGTTTACATCTTATGGCAGATCTTTCTTAGGGTCAGTAGAGCACATGCAGATTTCACACTATGCACTCTCTCTAGCTGATATCTGATATCGAGTCTCATGGGAGTGATTGGAGAAGAAAACCAAGCACAGACTCTATTATGCTGAGATCCTCATTTTTAGTTGTGGTAATTTCTATTATATTTTATAGTGCCAAACACTACTTTTAATCTGGAACTTTAGGTCATTATTTCCATTGTGGCTCCCTACAGTCTAGCTCCAACTATGAACAAGTACTAGTTGTTACTGTTAGCTCAATCATTATTTTTGCTTTGTTTAAACAACATATACTATACTCAGGAGTATATTCAGTTAATGGTTTGAAGTGCATCAGAAAAATTAGATGACATTAAAGTACAGTTACTTCTGAAGAAAGCTTGTGGTACTATATAATAGTGGAGAGGTAAAACTGTTTAACAGATTAAACATTTTTTCATGCTTCAGGGAAAATTTGAAAAACAATTCTAAATTCAGAGCTATTTCTTAGACTTTTATGTTGCTCCCCTAATCTGTTTATTCTAATTGTAAGTTAGACACTTATATTCTCCCTTATAAATTATATCTTGACATATAGGATGATCAATCCATGCACATGTGGACAGTAAAAATGGCCTGAAATTATATTTTGTGTTTTGTTTCACTCAGTCATTTAACATTTGTTCATCTATCAAATGTCACTCAGTCATGTCCCTTAGCATTGGCTCTGTCAATATAATGTGGAAAATCTAGCAAGAGATCCTTTATTTTTCCTCGGGAGCCTGGTTTTTAAACAGAGTTATATCTTCCCAGTGACCACCAGAGTCACATACTATCCAGCAGTACTCAAGTAAGAATGCTTTAAGCGGTATATTATCTTTAATACCTATAAGTAATAAATTATGACTTTGGAAATAGTAACATTTTTTAAAGATACATACAATTTGGGCTTCAAAATGCCCAGCTTGCCTATGTCCCATAAAGATCCCATTAACAGTTTATCTCATTAACAGCCATTTGTACTCATCAGTTCAGGCTGTGTTTTCCCACTGAGACATCATTTACAGTGCTCTAAACATATTTTCACAACATTCACCTGACAACATCAGCTGAGAGAAAAATTTTCAGACTGCCGAGAAACATCAGGAGGCCATGAATTCTTAATCAACACACCAAATTATGAAAATGGTATGTATATCTCTTTGAAAATATCCTTGGCAATAGTTAATCGGGAAAAGAAACAGTAGATAGTCCAAAGACTTTGGCTCAGTACCCTGCTCCCCAGTTGTTAAGAGGAGATTTCAAGGCGTTTGTGTGGTGGCAAAGGTTCATGACTTCTGTCTCCCTTGGGGATTGCCACTAGAGAACATGTGGAAAGAAAAACTGGTTTTAGTTTTTTGAAGTTCACAAAGAAGCAGAAACAGGCTAACCAAGAATCACCTGGTGAAAGGTCTCCTTTAATGAGCAAATAAAAATGATTTATAATTAGTACATATACATAATTTTAAAATGAGACCACACCAAAAAGAAATCTATTCCCTTAACCGGTAAATAAATAATTCTTCTTCTAATGTCCTTTAGCACATTTATTTGTACAATAATTTACTTTTACATTTCCTTATAAAGTGACCCTTAAACTTAAACCAGAGTTTCTGTATTGTATTTCACTCAGATTGCATTTCACTGTGCTGGGAACCTGGAGATGCCTGATATGATAACTTAGGGTGTGAATTAAATCTACAGCCACATCCCTTGGTGATGTGGTTGGTACCCATACTGGACTTCCTTGGAAAGCCTTTCATTGTGGTCTAGGTCCTTGCTACTCAAGCCTACTCAGAGTATGGTCTTCAAACCATCAGCATTAGTATCACTTGGGAAGTTGTTAGAAATTCTGGATCTCCTAACCAGATTTTATAAATCACAATCTTGGGGTGCAGTGGAGGACCAGTAATTGCTGTTTTAACAAACATTCCAGGAGATTCTCCTACATGCAAAATGTGGGAAGCACTTGTCTAGGATATCGTGTTCATAAAATCAAAACGATTTATTTTGCCACATTGCCTCACATGTCATTGCCTTTGGATGGGCTGTAGCCTCTATCATAAATTTACTTTTCTTTTTCTTTTTTTTTTTTTTTCACTGTAGCACTCCATGAGCCTTTTTGTGGGCTGGTTCTTACTTGTCGTTTGTGACTTTCTTTAAGGAATTATCTCCAGACCCCAAAATGCACTTATTCTTCCCTCCAGATTAAAGTAGACACTTTTCTGCTTCCTCCCTTGGCATACCACACACATCACAGCAACCATATAAGCCCATTGACAATTATAACACAGTATAAGGTCTTTCCCTCTACTGTGGTCAACTCCTGGAAGGCAGAGCTGCAACTTTAAAAAATCCCTGATAATAAAAATAGAGCTTGATTTTTAGTAGAATATTTTGTTGATAAAAGGTAGAAGGACCCTCATTGCCTTCAGAATCGTCCTCAGAATACTTCATTTTTGTTACTGACTGAATTGCTTTGCTTTTTATATTCCCTCTCCATCTCCTCATGGGACAGCTCTCTCTCCTACTCCAACTCCACCATGTATTTGTTTCTCCCATCTGCCTAGCCAAACTGGTCAAATTAATGTGCATCCTTTGATTTGTCCAGCCCCTTCCCTGAGGCCTGCTCCAAGCCTCCATTGTCTTTTGTCAATAGGTACAGAGTGGTGGGTTAGAAAGAGGTTGGTAAAGGAGACTGCAGGTGGCCATTTATCCTGCTGATTAAGAGATCTCGACTGGTTTGATGAAGAAGCACCATTAAAAACAATAGACTCAACTTCCATTTCAGGAAAGAGTAGGTAGACGTGCTTTTCTTTTTAACTTTTACTATATACAACTAGAAATTCTGAACATTATATAGAAAACAAATATAAGAATACTCTGGGCCAAGCACGGTGGCTCACGGCTATAATCCCAGCACTTTGGGAGGCTGAGGCGGGTGGATCACCTGAGGTCAGGAGTTTGAGACCAGCTTTGCCAACATGGTGAAACCCCATCTCTACTAAAAATACAAAAAATTAGCCAGGCGTGGTGGTGGGCACCTGTAATCCCAGCTACTCGGGAGGCTGAGGCAGGAGAATCACTTGAACCTGGGAGGCAGAGGTTGCAGTGAGCTGAGATCACACCATTGCACTCCAGCCTGGGCAACAAGAGCGAAACTCCATCTTAAAAAAAAAGAAAGAAAAAGAAGAAAAGAATGCTCTGCAATGTGGAGAGAAGAAGACAGTCCGGCAATGCAGAAATGCCCATGAGTACAGAAAAATAAAATCCCCAATAAAAGCCTTCTCTCTCTAGCCAAAGTATTAGAGAAAAGGCAGCACATGAAGAGAGAAAATTTTTGATACTATTTCACTCTAGACAAACATCACAGATAAAACTAAGGCCCCACCCTCACCAGCCACAGCAAAGGGTGACTGGAGAGCCAGGACTTTCATCACCACTGAGAAGTAATGAGGTCTTCCCCACATTGTCAGTGGTGGCCATGTGAGAAACACTAATGAACTACCCCTGCCTCTCCCAGCCAGGGTGGTATCAGCAGAGCCCTACTGGGCAGCCAGAAGTCCCACCTCCACCCAGCAGTAATGAGGAACCCCTTCCTTCTGGGTGCCAATGGAAGCTGAGTGGGTAATGTAGACATAAAACCCATCTGGAAGTAGCAAGGTGGTACCTGTACTTCTCTTTTTAAATAGTGTGAGAGGAAGCTTGCTAAAACATAAGACTTAAATAAGATCCAGAGACTCAAGACAATGCCTAAATGTCTAGGTTTCAATCAAAAACAATTCCTCATACAATGAACCAAGAGAATCTCACTGAAATGAGAAAAGACAATCAAAGGATACCAATGCTGAGATGATACAGATGTTAGAATTATCTGATGAAAACTTTTAAATAGCCATCATAAAAATGCTTCAATGGGCAATTACAAACATGGTTGAAGTAAGTGAAAAAATAAAAAGTTATAAGAAAGAACCAAATGAAAATTTTAGAACTGAAAAATAATTTTTAAAAAACTCGATGGATGGACTCAGCATGATAATGGAAGGAATAGAGGAAAGAATCAGTAAACTTGAAAACAGGGCAATAGAAATTACCGAATCAGAACAAGAGTGAGAAAATAGACTGCAAAAATTAATAGAACTCCAGGGACATGTGGGATTATAACAAAAGATTTTGTGTCATCAGAATCCTAGGAGAGGAGAAAGAGAGTGAGGCTGAAAAGTACTGGAAGAAATAGTGGCTAAAAACTCCTCAAATTTGTCAAGAAACATAAATCCGCAGAATCAGAAGCTGAACAAATCCCAAACAGGATAAACTCAAAGAAATCCATGCCAAGACACATCATAAATAAACTTCTGAAAACTAAAGACAAGGAAAAAAATCTTAAAAATAGAGAAAAACCATATCTTACTTATGGGGGAAAACAATTAGAATAATGGCAAATTTGTCATCAAAGCTGTGGACACCAGAAGGAAATGACACAATATTTTTTCAGGTGGTGAAAAAGAACTGTGAGTCAGTACATATTTATAGCAGTTTTATTTGTAATAGCCAAAAACTGGAAACACCCAAAATATCCTATAATAGGTGAATAGATAAACAAAAGATGGTACATTCCATAATTTGAAATATTACTCAGCAATAAAATGGAATGAACTACTGATATACTCAACAACTGGATGGCTCTCAAGGGCATTATGTTGTGTTTTTAAAAGCCAATCTCAAGAGGATACATGCTTCATGATCTTATTTACATAAGATACTTCATGTGACAAAATGATAGAGATAAAGAACAGATTAGTGGTTGCCAGAGGTTAGGTATAGTGGGGAGGAGGGCTAGGTATGACTAAAAAGGTAGCACTAGGGAGATCATTGTGGTGGGATAATAGTTCTGTATCCTGATTGCTGTGGTGGTTACACAAATCTGCACATCTGACTAAATGGCATAGAAGTATGCACGTACATTGTATCAATGTCAATTTCCTGCTTTTGATCTTATAATTTCATTATCTGTAACCACCGTGGGAAACTAGGTCAGTGTGTGTGGAACTTCTCTGTACTATTCTTCACAATGTTCTGTGAATCTTTAATTCTTTAAAAATAAAAAAAATTAAAAAACAATAGGCTTACTATTTGGCATTAGACAAAGAGATAGGAAATGGTATTGGAGGTGACAGTAAGACTTCAGGCATTTCAGTGCCAGAGCCAGAGAGAACTCAAGAAAGAATATATGCTGGTTGAAAGGAATCCTGGAGAGAGTTGGAAACTTTTTCTTTTGTAAGCACTAGGATGCAAAGAAGCCCCACATTGGACTGTGAAATCCCTAACAGCCATGATCATGATGTGATGTATGTGACCACTGCACAGAACAAATAAAAATATTTGTGGACTGAACAAATGAAAAAATGAGAGTGTCAGGTCCTAGGGAGTGGCTTGTTGGTGGCAGGCAGAAAGAAAAGCTAGAAATAGGCTTTGAGAGGACCAAGAATTACATCCAGTCTCATGCAGGTGCCTGTCCGAAGCTATCCTAAGTTAACCTTCTAGTTTTCAGAATGTGTGGATTCTAGTGTTTCAAAGTAGGAGGGAGAAAAGGAAAAGGCTTAAAACCTCAGTTAATGTCAAAGCAGTCAATCTCTGGCCAGACTTGTGGTGTCAGGATCAGGATTCTGTGCGCTTAGGCATTTATTCTACTTTTGTAACTTCTTCATTTCCTTTTAGATTCTTGGTGAAGTTCCTTATAAATTTTTAATTTATCATGACTATCGTAAGTCAGAATGACCTGCTTATGCCCAGAAGAACTCAGAAGACAAGCATTGAGGCCAGGCCATAGCAGCGGGAGTTTTTCAAGCTAGACATCAGGGAAGAATCTAAGGGAGATGATGCTGTTAATGAGGTGGACCCTCCTAAAGAGAGATGTCAGAGAAAGCTGTGACCTCTGCTTTCATTCCAAGAGGACTGGTCATTTTTATGGGCCCTGGATATTGCTCAGTGTGTAGATATATTAGTCCAATCTGATTTTCTTGGGCCTGTCTGCAATATAAAAGTACATAACAATAGAGTAAAATACACGTACAGTATTGCTGCTCTCATCCAGTAGGGATCAGCATGCAATTCAGAGAGAATAAGAGATAACAAGAATGTCTCATAAAATAGTCAACAACCTATTCAATGACTTCATGGAGAGTAACAAATACTTGATTTCAAAACCACAAAGCTGAAGTGGCCACTTGAGTTTTAAAACTAATGCAAAATGCATTAAGAATCCATCCTAAAACATTTTTGAAGTGAAGATCAAATCTACATATTTTCAGTCAATGCTTTTGTAACTGTCATGTGAACTTTAGGACATCAAACAGTCAGATATTTATTGAATACCTACTGAAGCAAAGAATTTTATGTATTAGGATCATAGAAAGAAGTAATTTTGCTGGAGGTTTTAAAAAGTGTGTGTGTGTGTGTGTGTGTGTGTGTGAGAGAGAGAGAGAGAGACAGAGAGAAAGGGAGAGAGAAAGGGAGAGAGAGAAAGAGATGTTCTTTCCTTCACCTTAGACATCTACTCCCACAGCCTTAAAAGTTGCATATGACTTCAGTCCATTTATTTATTCATTCATTCTACAAAATTGTCTCCAGAACTAACTATATATCAGATATTGTGAAAGGATAAATGGCTCCTAAATGACATGAAAGAAAGATTCAAGAAGAAAAATACATGTGAGCAGGTGGAGGAAAATTCAAACCAGGGAACAGGAGGCTAGAGGATGGAAGGATAAAAGGGGAACAACAGAAAAATGTAACCATTTCTGGAGATACTTAACAGAAAGGGGTTCTGACATCTTGAAAGAAGTTGTACAGGCACCAGCAAACATGAATAATCCAGTGACCATCCAAAAGGACAGTCAGCTCCTTAGATTGGGGGTTAAGTCCTCCTTATTTCCCTTTCATTAACCTATGCCCAGTATAGAATTTTATCCATAGTAAGCATTCAATAAATATTAGTTCAGTGAAGGAATGAATAAGGAAAGTTGGTACTTCTTTTCTGAGAAACACAGAAATGCTATGTACAAATCTGACACAACACATTTAGGGGTACACTGCCTTCCTACAGAATCTTTCAGGACTTATCAAAACCACAGGCTGATGCCCAAGCAAGAAAGTCAAAGAAGTGATGGAAACATCCTGGAACCCCAAGGTCCTTCACTTTTTCTTTACAGGATTTGACTTCAAAGTCTTTAGAGAAATTCTTCAGTTTTCTTCCAGGTTAGGTAAAGATTACAATTTTCAAAAAGAAAACTACTGTAGCCCATTGTTTTCTGTCTTTAAGTATTTGGAAGACTACTATGAATAATGGAAATGTATAGTAGGTGTTAATATACATAGGATTGGGGCTTTGGAGAAGCTGATCCCACCAAAATACAAAAGATCCTCAAAAAGTATTATGAACACCTGTATGCACATAAACTAGAAAAGTCTAGAGGAAATGAATAAATTCTTGGAAGCACACAATCTCCTAAGTTTGAGTCAGGAAGAAATTGAAACCCTGACCAAACCAATATCAGATTCCAAAATTGAATAAGTAATAAAAAAACTTCACCAAAAAATTCCCCACACCAGATGGATTCACAGTTGAATCAGATGTACAAAAAGATCTAGTAGTACCAATTCCACTGAAAACTATTCCAAAAAATCAAAGAGGAAGGATTCCTCCATCACTCTGATACCAAAACCTAGCAAGGACGCAATGAGAAAAGAAAACTACAGGCCTGCATTTCTGATGAACATATTCATAAATCTCCAACAAAATACCAGCAAACCAAATCCAAGAGCACATTAAAAAGTTAATTCACCATAATAAAATAGATGTCATTCCTGGGATGCAAAGTTGGTTCAACATACACAAATCAATGTGTGATTCACCACATAAACAGAATTAAAAGCAAAGGCTATCTGATAATCTCAATAGATGCAGAAAAATCTTTTGATAAAATCCAACATCGCTTCATGATTAAAAAAAAAAACCTGAAGAAACTAAGCATCAAAGGAACCTACCTCAAAATAATAAGAGTCAACTATGACAAACCTGCAGCCAACATCATACTGAATGGACAAAAACTGGAAGCATTCCCCTTGAAAAATGGAACAAGGCGGGGGCTGGAGCCAAGATGGCCGAATAGGAAGAGCTCCGGTCTACAGCAGAAGACGGGTGATTTCTGCATTTCCATCTGAGGTATCAGGTTCATCTCACTAGGGAGTGCCAGACAGTGGGCGCAGGTCAGTGGGTGCGCACACCGTGCGCAAGCCGAAGCAGGGCAAGGCATTGCCTCACTCGGGAAGCACAAGGGGTCAGGGAGTTCCCTTTCCTAGTCAAAGAAAGGGGTAACACATGGCACTTGGAAAAATGGGTCACTCTCACCCCAACTTTTCTGATGGGCTTAAAAAATGGCACACCAGGAGATTATATCCCGCACCTGGCTCGGAGGGTCCTACGCCCACGGAGTCTCGCTGATTGCTAGCACAGCACTCTGAGATCAAACTGCAAGGCGGCAGCGAGGCTGGGGAAGGGGTGCCCGCTATTGCCCAGGCTTGCTGAGGTAAACAAAGCAGCCGGGAAGCTCAAACTGGGTGGAGCCCACCACAGCTCAAGGAGGCCTGCCTGCCTCTGTAGGCTCCACCTCTGGGGGCAGGGCACAGACAAACAAAAAGACAGCAGTAACCTCTGCAGACTTAAATGTCCCTGTCTGACAGCTTTGAAGAGAGCAGTGGTTCTCCCAGCACACAGCTGGAGATCTGAGAATGGGCAGACTGCCTCCTCAAGTGGGTCCCTGACCCCGACCCCCGAGCAGGCTAACTGGGAGGCACCCCCAAGTAGGGGCAGACTGACACCTCACACGGCCAGGTACTCCTCTGAGACAAAACTTTCAGAGGAACGATCAGACAGCAGCATTTGCGGTTCACAAAAATCTGCTGCTCTGCAGCCACCGCTGCTGGTACCCAGGCAAACAGGGTCTGGAGTGGACCTCTAGCAAACTCCAACAAACCTGCAGCTGAGGGTCCTGTCTGTTAGAAGGAAAACTAACAGAAAGGAGATCCACACCAAAAACCCATCTGTACCTCACCATCATCAAAGACCAAAGGTAGATAAAACCACAAAGATGGGGGAAAAAACAGAGCAGAAAAACTGGAAACTCTAAAAAGCAGAGCGCCTCTCCTCCTACAAAGGAACGCAGCTTCTCACCAGCAACAGAACAAAGCTGGATGGAGAATGACTTTGACGAGTTGAGAGAAGAAGGCTTCAGACGATCAAACTACTCCGAGCTACAGGAGGAAATTCAAACCAAAGGCAAAGAAGTTGAAAACTTTGAAAAAAATTTAGACGAATGTATAACTAGAATAACCAATACAGAGAAGTGCTTAAAGGAGCTGATGGAGCTGAAAGCCAAGGCTCGAGAACTACATGAAGAATGCAGAAGCCTCAGGAGCCGATGCAATCAACTGGAAGAAAGGGTATCAGTGATGGAAGATCAAATGAATGAAATGAAGCGAGAAGGGAAGTTTAGAGAAAAAAGAATAAAAAGAAACAAACAAAGCCTCCAAGAAATGTGGGACTATGTGAAAAGACCAAATCTACGTCTGATTGGTGTACCTGAAAGTGATGCGGAGAATGGAACCAAGTTGGAAAACACTCTGCAGGATATTATCCAGGAGAACTTCCCCAATTGAGCAAGGCAGGCCAACATTCAGATTCAGGAAATACAGAGAACGCCACAAAGATACTCCTCGAGAAGAGCAACTCCAAGACACATAATTGTCAGATTCACCAAAGTTGAAATGAAGGAAAAAATGTTAAGGGCAGCCAGAGAGAAAGGTCAGGTTACCCACAAAGGGAAGCCCATCAGACTAACAGCGTATCTCTTGGCAGAAACTCTACAAGCCAGAAGAGAGTAGGGGCCAATATTCAACATTCTTAAAGAAAAGAATTTTCAACCCATAATTTCATATCCAGCCAAACTAAGCTTCATAAGTGAAGGAGAAATAAAATACTTTACAGACAAGCAGATGCTGAGGGATTTTGTCACCACCAGGCCTGCCCTAAAAGAGCTCCTGAAGGAAGCACTAAACATGGAAAGGAACAACCGGTACCAGCCACTGCAAAATCATGCCAAATTGCAAAGACCATCAAGGCTAGGAAGAAACTGCATCAACTAACGAGCAAAATAACCAGCTAACATCATAATGACAGGATCAAATTCACACATAACAATATTAACTTTAAATGTAAATGGACTAAATGCTCCAATTAAAAGACACAGACTGGCAAATTGGATAAAGAGTCAAGACCCATCAGTGTGCTGTATTCAGGAAACCCATCTCACATGCAGAGTCACACATAGGCTCAAAATAAAAGGATGGAGGAAGATCTACCAAGCAAATAGAAAACAAAAAAAGGCAGGGGTTGCAATCCTAGTCTCTGATAAAACAGACTTTAAACCAACAAAGATCAAAAGAGACAAGGCCATTACATAATGGTAAAGGGATCAATTCAACAAGAAGAGCTAACTATCCTAAATATATATGCACCCAATACAGGAGCACCCAGATTCATAAAGCAAGTCCTGAGTGACCTACAAAGAGACTTAGACTCCCACACAATAATAATGGGAGACTTTAACACCCCACTGTAAACATTAGACAGATCAATGAGACAGAAAGTTAACAAGGATATCCAGGAATGGAACTCAGCTCTGCACCAAGCGGACATAATAGACATCTACAGAACTCTTCACCCCAAATCAACAGAATATACATTTTTTTCAGCACCACACCACACCTATTCCAAAATTGACCACATACTTGGAAGTAAAGCTCTCCTCAGCAAATGTAAAAGATCAGAAATTATAACAAACTGTCTCTCAGACCACAGTGCAATCAAACTAGAACTCAGGATTAAGAAACTCACTCAAAACCGCTCAACTGCATGGAAACTGAACAACCTGCTCCTGAATGACTACTGGGTACATAACGAAATGAAGGCAGAAATAAAGATGTTCTTTGAAACCAATGAGAACAAAGACACAACATACCAGAATCTCTGGGGCACATTCAAAGCAGTGTGTAGAGGGAAATTTATAGCACTAAATGCCCACAAGAGAAAGCAGGAAAGATCCAAAATTGACACCCTAACATCACAATTAAAAGAACTAGAAAAGCAAGAGCAAACACATTCAAAAGCTAGCAGAAGGCAAGAAATAACTAAAATCAGAGCAGAACTGAATGAAATAGAGACACAAAATACCCTTCAAAAAATTAATGAATCCAGGAGCTTGTTTTTTGAAAAGATCAACAAAATTGATAGACCGCTAGCAAGACTAATAAAGAAGAAAAGAGAGAAGAATCAAATAGACGCAATAAAAAATGATAAAGGGAATATCACCACTGATCCCACAGAAATACAAACTACCATCAGAGAATACTACAAACACCTCTACACAAATAAACTAGAAAATCTAAAAGAAATGGATAAATTCCTCGACACATACACCCTCCCAAGACTAAACCAGGAAGAAGTTGACTCTCTGAATAGACCAATAACAGGCTCTGAAATTGTGGCAATAATCAATAGCTTACCAACCAAAAAGAGTCCAGGACCAGATGGACTCACAGCCAAATTCTACCAGAGGTACAAGGAGGAACTGGTACCATTCCTTCTGAAACTATTCCAATCAATAGAAAAAGAGGGAATCCTCCCTAACTCATTTTATGAGGCCAGCATCATCCTGATACCAAAGCCGGGCAGAGACACAACAAAAAAAGAGAATTTTAGACCAATATTCTTGATGAACATTGATGCAAAAATCCTCAATAAAATACTGGCAAACCAAATCCAGCAGCACATCAAAAAAAGCTTATCCACCATGGTCAAGTGGGCTTCATCCTTGGGATGCAAGGCTGGTTCAATATATGCAAATCAATAAATGTAATCCAGCATATAAACAGAACCAAAGACAAAAACCACATGATTATCTCAATAGATGCAGAAAAGGCCTTTGACAAAATTCAACAACCCTTCATGCTAAAAACTCTCAATAAATTAGGTATTGATGGGACGTATCTCAAAATAATAAGAGCTATCTATGACAAACCCACAGCCAATATCATACTGAATGGGCAAAAACTGGAAGCATTCCCTTTGAAAACTGGCACAAGACAGGGATGCCCTCTCTTATCACTCCTATTCAACATAGTGTTGGAAGTTCTGGCCAGGGCAATTAGGCAGGAGAAGGAAATAAAGGGTATTCAACTAGGAAAAGAGGAAGTCAAATTGTCCCTGTTTGCAGATGACATGATGGTATATCTAGAAAACCCCATTGTCTCAGCCCAAAATCTCCTTAAGCTGATAAGCAACTTCAGCAAAGTCTTAGGATACAAAATCAATGTACAAAAATCACAAGCATTCTTATACACCAACAACAGACAAACAGAGAGCCAAATCACGAGTGAACTCCCATTCACAATTGCTTCAAAGAGAATAAAATACCTAGGAATCCAACTTACAAGGGATGTGAAGGACCTCTTCAAGGAGAACTACAAACCACTGCTCAATGAAATAAAAGAGGATACAAACAAATGGAAGAACATCCCATGCTCGTGGGTAGGAAGAATCAATATCATGAAAATGGCCATACTGCCCAAGGTAATTTATAGATTCAATGCCATCCCCATCAAGCTACCCATGACTTTCTTTACAGAATTGGAAAAAACTACTTTAAAGTTCATATGGAACCAAAAAAGAGCCTGCATCGCCAAGTCAATCCTAAGCCAAAAGAACAAAGCTGGAGGCATCACGCTACGTGACTGCAAACTATACTGCAAGGCTACAGTAACCAAAACAGCATGGTACTGGTACCAAAACAGAGATATAGATCAATGGAACAGAACAGAGCCCTCAGAAATAACACCGCATATCTACAACTATCTGATCTTTGACAAACATGAGAAAAACAAGCAATGGGAAAAGGATTCCCTATTTAATAAATGGTGCTGGGAAAACTGGCTAGCCATATGTAGAAAGCTGAAACTGGATCCCTTCCTTACACCTTATACAAAAAGTAATTCAAGATGGATTAAAGACTTAAACGTTAGACCTACAACCATAAAAACCCTAGAAGAAAACCTGGGCATTACCATTCAGGACATAGGCATGGGCAAGGACTTCATGTCTAAAACATCAAAGCAATGGCAACGAAAGCCAAAATTGACAAATGGGATCTAATTAAACTAAAGAGCTTCTGCACAGCAAAAGAAACTACCATCAGAATGAACAAGCAACCTACAAAATGGGAGAAAATTTTCCCAACCGACTCATCTGGCAAAGGGCTAATATCCAGAATCTACAATGAACTCAAACAAATTTACAAGAAAAAAACAAACAACCCCATCAAAAAGTGGGTGAAGGACATGAACAGACACTTCTCAAAAGAAGACATTTATGCAGCCAAAAAACACATGGAAAAATGCTCACCATCACTGGCCATCAGAGAAATGCAAATCAAAACCACAATGAGATACCATCTCACACCAGTTAGAATGGCAATCATTAAAAAGTCAGGAAACAACAGGTGCTGGAGAGGATGTGGAGAAATAGGAACACTTTTACACTGGTGATGGGACTGTAAACTAGTTCAACCCTTGTGGAAGTCAGTGTGGCGATTCCTCAGGGATCTAGAACTAGAAATACCATTTGACCCAGCCATCCCATTACTGGGTATACACCCAAAGGACTATAAATCATGCTGCTATAAAGACACATGCACACGTATGTTTATTCCGGCGCTATTCACAATAGCAAAGATTTGGAACCAACCCAAATGTCCAACAATGATAGACTGGATTAAGAAAATGTGGCACATATACACCTTGGAATACTATGCAGCCATAAAAAATGATGAGTTCATGTCCTTTGTAGGGACATGGATGAAATTGGAAATCATCATTCTCAGTAAACTATTGCAAGAACAAAAAACCAAACACCACCTATTCTCACTCATAGGTGGGAATTGGACAATGAGAACACATGGACACAGGAAAGGGATCATCATACTCTGGGGACTGTTGCGGGGTGGGGGGAGGGGGGAGGGATACCTTTAGGAGATATACCTAATGCTAAATGACGAGTTAATGGGTGCAGCACACCAGCATGGCACATGTATACATATGTAACTAACCTGCACATTGTGCACATATACCCTAAAACTTAAAGTATAATAATAATAAAATAAAAATAAATAAATAAATAAATAAATAAATAAAATTTGTTGAATAAAATATTTATCTCATTGTTAAAAAAAAAATGGAACAAGGCAAGGATGCTCACTCTCACTACTCCTGCTTAACATAGTAATGGAAGTGCTAATCAGAGCAGTTGGGCAAGAGAAACAAATACAAACCATCCAAGTAGGAAAAGAAGGTAAACTATCTCTTCTCATGAATGATGTGATTATATACGTAGAAATCCCTAAAGATTATGCCAAAAGTCTCCTAAAAATGATAAACAACTCTAGTAAAGTTTCAGGATACAAAATCAATTACAAAAATCAGTAGCATTTTTATACACCAATAACATTCAAACTGAGAGTCAAATCACGAACGCAATCTCATTTGCAATAGCTAGAAATAAATAAAATACTTAGGAATACATTTAACCAAGGAGGTGAAAAATCTCTACAAAAAGAACTACAAAACACCACTGAAAGAAATTGTACATGACCCAAACATGTGGAAAAGCATTCCATTCTCATGGATTGGAAGAAACAATATCATTAAAATGTCCATACTGCCCAAAGCAATCTGCAGATTCAACACTATTCCTATCATGCTACCAATGTCATTTTTCACAAAACTAGAAAAAACTATTTTCAAATTCATATGGAACCAAGAAAGAGCCTGAATAGCTAAAGTGATCATAAGCAAAAAGAACAAAGTCGGAAGCATCACATTACCTGACTTCAAACTATACTCAAAGGCTATGGTAACCAAAACAGCAATGTACTGGTACAAAAACAGGCACATACACCAATGAAACAATATGTAGAACTCAGAAATAAAGTCACACACCTACAGCCATCTGATTTTGGACAAAGTCAACAAAAATAAGCAATGGGGAGATGACTCCCTATTCGGTTAATTGTGCTGGAGAGGCTGGCTAGCCATATGCAAAAGAATGAAACTGGACCCCTACCTTTCACTATATACAAAAATTAAGATGAATTAAAGATTTAAATGTAAGACTTCAAACTATAAGAATTCTAGAAGAAAACCTAGGAAACACCATTCTGGATATCAGCCTTAGAAAAGAATTTACAACTAAGTCCTCAAAAGCAATTGTAACAAAAGTGAAAATTGTCATGTGGGACCTAATTGAACTAAACAGCTTCTGCACAGCAAAAGAAACTATCAACAGAGTAAACAGACAACCTACAGAATGGGAGAAAATATTGGCAAACCATGAATCTGAGAAACATCTGTCATCCAGAATCGATATGGAATTTAAACAATTGAGCAAGCAAAAAGCAAATGACCCTATTAAAAAATTGGCAAAAGTCATGAACAGACACTTCTCAAAAGAAAACATATAAATGGCCAACAAACGTGAAAAAATGCTCAATATCACTAATCATCAGAGAAATGCAAATCAAAACCACAATGAGATACCAGCTCACATCAGTCAGCATGGCTGTTATTAAAAAGTCAAAAAACAATAGATGCTGGCAAGGCTATGGAGAAAGGGAAACACTTACACACTGTTGGTAGGAATGTAAATTAGTTCAGCCATTGTGGAAAGCAGTTTGGTGATTTCTCAAAGAACTTAAAACAGAAGTACCACTCAACCCAGAAATCCCATTACTGAGTATATATCAAAAATTCTACCAAAAAGACACACACATTCACATGTTCATTGCAGCTCTATTCACAATAGCAAAGACATGAAATCGACCTCGGTGCCCATCAGCAGTGGATTCGATAAAGAAAATGTGGCACATTTACACCATAGAATCTTACAAGACTGTAACAAAGAATGAAATCATGTCTTTTGTAGCAACATGGATGCAGCTGGAGGCTATTATCCTAAGCAGATTAACTCAGGAACAGAAAACCAAATGCCACATGTTCTCACTAAACACTGGGTATTCACGAACATAAAGACAGCAACAATAGACACTGGAGACTTCTAGAGGGAGAGTCAGGGGAGCAAGGGTTGAAAAACTATTGGGTACTATGCTCAGTACCTAGGTGATAGGATCAATTGTACTCTAAACCTCAGCATCATGCAATATATCCAGGTAACAAACCTGCACATGTACCCCTGAATCTAAAGTCAAAGTTAAAATTATGAAAATAAAAAATAAAGTCTTTAGCTTAAAAAAATGAAAAAAAAAATTCTAAATATTTCTTGCCTTTTCTATATCTTTAGCTTTTATATATTTTCTGGAAGATTGTATTGACTTTATCTTCCATCTTCAACATACTTTTTAGAAATTTCAGCAATTATGTTATTCATTTATTTTATAAAGCTCTTTCTTGTTCTTTGTTCATTTTCATGGTCTCCTTTTTCTATCAATTAAATAACATTTTAATCTTTCAAAATACTTTTTTTATTATTGTGCATTTATTTGGATCTCTCTGCTTCATGATATACACTTTTAAAAAATACCTGGTGATATGTGGTAAAAAGAGGTAAAAAAGAGAAAGAAAAATAAAACCAGACTGGGAGACTTAGGTAAATTATCTTCTAGGTAGAGGGATAATTTTTTATTCATTATTATGATTTTCCCTGAAAATAATTCCAACCACAGTCATCACTGGTCACTGGCTTGTGGCAATCGGGCCTCAGTGGGATTTTACCTGGAATGAGAGAGTCCCATTTCTGTGCAAATTTTTACTTCCTTTCATTGATTCTATTAATGCCTCATTTACCAATGATCATTAGATAATTATACTATTTCAAAAATAGCCTTGCTTGCTAAAGAGGGACTAAAAGTGTTTTCACAGTAAGATTAGCTTATTTTGCAGAGATAATCCACCTTGTAGTAGTCATGGAAAATAAATGTAATGTTAGCGGTGCCAGTTGCTTTTTTTCTGTATTGTGAAACTGAATCATCAATTTTGAATAATGAAACTTTAAGCTACATAAGAAATATCAAGCTTGTTCATTCATGTTCAAAACTTACAACCAAATACCTTTGTTTCCTCTTCACATTTGCTCCCTAATTATATCACTGGCCTCTCCAGGTGTATGTTTTAACTCCTGGTTTCTCCAAAATGGATATCTGACATTTTCTAAAACCCTCTATGAAGGGGCATTCCTGTGGGGATATATGTTTTTTGTGACTCTAGGGCCGTATGAGAAGAGAAGGCATTTGGGGATCCCTAGACGCTGATTCTACTCCCTCTCATGAAGATGAGATGTCACCTTGATGATGCTGAGTTTGTTTTACAAATTGGCTCTTTTGGTTAGCATTCTAGCTGAATAAAAGGGCCTACTCAAACTGGGCAATTTGAGGAAAGTGTAATAAAGGGAATATTTTTAAATTCATGGGCATAGGGATAAGAAAACCAACAAACGATAGTGTAGGTCTCCACATCTAGCAACAGTGGGGACCCATAACCATCATTAGACCTGAAAGTGCAAGAGGAGGGCACAGAGACAGGATCTATATTAAGAGGGCAGCCTGACAGCAACAGCTTTCCATAAAAGGAAGCAGCCAATCCATGGTGATCCTGTAGAGAGGCAGCCAGGGAAGTAAAATATCCCAGCCTGATTCTTCTTTCATCTTTCCGTCTCAGCCAGTGTCTCTCATTGGCTGAAGCCAACCAGAAGCCAGGCAATGAAGCCTGTTGACAGAGTTCATACAGGTCAGTTTCCTGGAGTGCAGAGAAGGGTGGGGAAGGCCAGAGTGGATTTGAGACAGACGATGGAAAATATTCAGCACACCATGAAAAGCTCATGCCTGTAAACAATTTCTTAAACAGAGTAGTTGGTGTCACTTCTTCCAGAATGATAATGTAAGTCCATGAATTCAGAAGGAAGTAGTATAGTGAGATCTGGATTATTTCTCAATTCTGGAGGACTACCTGCATGGAGAATGACATAGGCAGTTTCATATTCTGTAGAAAACCCAGGTATGACCGGAAAGCCATGTGAAGATATATTACATCTGCTCATACTCTGCACGGTCACCTCATTCTATATACTTGGTAAAATTATTGAAAACTTTTATCCTAAGTGTATATATGTCTGTCTGTGTATTTAGTTTTTTCTTCCCATTAATTCACAATGTACCTGAAACACTATACCTTCATATTTCTCAAACACATAAATATTTCACGGTACACATATACTTATTCTTTAACCATAGAAATAGATACCACTGGCTGGGCGCGGTGGCTCACGCCTGTAATCCCAGCACTTTGGGAGGCCAAGGCAGGTGGATCACGAGGTCAGGAGATCGAGACCATCCTGGCTAACACAGTGAAACCCCGTCTCTACTAAAAATACAAAAAATTAGCCGGGCGTGGTGGCGGGCGCCTGTAGTCCCAGCTACTCGGGAGGCTGAGGCAGGAGAATGGCATGAACCCGGGAGGCGGAGCTTGCAGTGAGCCGAGATCACGCCACTGCACTCCAGCCTGGGCGACAGAGCGAGACTGTGTCTCAAAAAAAAAAAAAGAAAAAAGAAAAGAAATAGATACCACTTAATTCTGCTAAAGATTATACTTTATGAAACACGGTGGAGTATGATTCATTTGATTACTGTTGACACTAGTATTTAATTTCCATAATTAACATCCATACTCATTGATAATGTTAATAAAAGCATCCTAAGTGTCTTTGGATGGAGAGGGAACCCTGGGTAGTGGCCAAGTGAAGGTAGGAGAGACAGCTGGGAGTAAAAGAAACGGATGAAAAAAGGGAAAGTATTTGAAGTAGAGTGCTGAATTTCTATTGCTGCAGAGTAAATCCTGACATGGCTGCATTAACTTGGGATAAGGATTGTTAGCCAGAAACAGATCTAGGTTTTGTGGGACCTGAAGATGATACAATTTGAAGGATCCTCTTTAAGAAAAACAATTCAAACTTATAAATGTGAAGTTCTATATGAAAGTAAAATGTCTTGAGAAATTGCATCGAATAAATTTTAAGAAATTAACATCACAAACCTCAAAGAATCTTGAAACACAACATAATATTACTATAAATTAGCTGCCTTACATATCTCTATAATACTTTTCTTTTTATATTTTGGCTGTGTACTCCTTTATTTCCTCTTCATATGCAACCTTTTTATAATACCATTTTCTATAAAGAGAATAGAAGGTAATTCAGTCTTTCCTCTAGTGTGTTTTTGTTCCTCTATCTTTATATTTCCCATGCTGGACACTATAGTTTGTGTTCTTATTTCATAAAAACTTTGGCCCTTCATTGGCATAGTAGTTCTGGGTTAGTTGGCACAATGGATGGCAGAAGTATTTCTGGAACCCATTCTTACCCTTGATTGGCTAACAATAGCTTAACTCTACGCAGTGACTGTCTCCCGCATAAATATATCTCGCTAACTCCAAATTAAAATTAAGCCCAACTCAAGTTCCCTCTGAAATGTCTGTGCCCACTCCATTGCTACCTGACATGAGTAGAAATGTGACAGAATGGAAAATTGTCATAAAAATAGTCAGTGGTTTTAGCAGAGCATGATTAAACTATCTTATTTTGCCATTATTCCAAAATACATAATGTTAATACATTGCTTATGCCTCTTCTATGGCCTTGGAAAGGAACTGTGTGAGTTTTACTTGCTTCATGATAAATCCAACTTTAGGTAATTGAAATAAACTGCACAGTGCTTCACCTTCCTCCTGTGGAGGTGACAAGAGGAGGATTCAGTGTGGAGTCAATTCTGCTGCTTCTCCCATAGAGTGAAGGTAGAATTGGGAAATTAAAGTTCTCATTTTTGCCCATTCATCACTCATCCTGGCAGGGGGCAGGGCATGGGGTTTGGCGGGGAGGAATGCTTGTAATACTAGCTATGATAACTTATTCATGTATTCAATCATTCAACATGTATTTGATGATTATGTGCCAGGCACTATTTGAGATAATAGTGTCATTCCTATCACAATGGTGAGTAAAACAGATGCAATCTCTGTCTTCAGTGATCTTAAAGTCTAAAGGAGGACAGACAACTTACCTTTCCATCTTTGAGTAAAACAAATATGTGAAAAGTAATAGAATAATTTGTCTTACCATCCTGTCCATATCTTGGCACAAAGCACTGGTAATCCCAGAAAAATAATTCTCTAAAGTCCCATTCATGGCCTTGGTATCTGTGGTCTCTTTCTGTTCCTAAAACATGGCAGAAAGGGAAGGCAAGAACTCCAAATTGGAGTGGAGAGTGTAGAACCTGAGAAATCAACCCATCTCCAAGTTTTTGTTCTTTGCAGTCTTGTGCTTCATTGGATTGTGGACAATATAGAAGGGGTATAATTTCCTATATTCAACCAATCAGTGATAAAAGATTAAGAGAATAGGTACCACATGAAGCTTCTCTTCTTCTAGTCTCTCATGTCATTCCTATCACAGTGGCTGTAAAACATTTGTTGGCAATGTGAAGGCTTCCGTTATTGAATAGAGAGGAAGATAAAAGATTTCCCTCTATGTTCATTCTTGCCACAGACTTTCAGAAAACTATCTAATTTCTTAGCACCTCAGCTGCATACCAGTGAAATGAGGTCAACTATACAAATTCCTTACTTATCTAATTGGGATACAAACTGCTGCAAGAATTACAGCTGTGAAGTAGTGGGTTCCAGAGGACTTGTCTGCGGTTACAGAAAATAGGCAGAACTCCGTGGGCCCTCAAGAAAGAATAACCATACAAAGTTGTACATACCTAAAGAGGAATAATTTTTTTTTAAAGAAAATCCTTAGGCAGAAAGGGTTTTTAATCAACATTGAATGTTGAATCAATACTAAAATCAGTACTCTCTATGGCCAAACCATGCATACTGCTCTCATTGGTCTCTGATTGACCTTTTTGTCTTGAGATATACCTTCACAGGAATGTCAGTATTCTGGAAATGGTGATGGGAATTCTACTCCCAGGTAAAAACTCAATGAGGTAATGAATATGCAAATGACCTATTGTATCCACCATGCACATTACATTTCTTAAAGTCTGTTAAGCTCTCCCTAGGCCAAGCCATGTGATCTTTGGATGAGTCAAAGCTCAGGAAAAAAACACTGAGTTTGAATCCTCGCTCTGCAACTTTCTGGGTTCCTGTGACCTTGGGCAAGTTATCTAACAGCTGTGAACTTGAGTTTCCTTGGCCTATGAAATAAGGATAGCAATAACTCTTGCAGAATTGCTTAATTATTTAAAAAATTTATACTCATATAAAGCATGTGCTATAAAGCAGGTGCTCAATGAATTGTAAGTATTACTAATTATAAACTTCAGCACAAGAATAAGCTTTTTAAAATTATTTTTTCTTTCCAGTATTTAAACTTTGGGCTGGGAGAGATTTTATCGTAAGATTATTATGATGTGTAAACATGAACCAACTTCTCTATAGCAATTATTTTGCTGGGAAGTAAACAAGGTCATAAATCAATAATGACTCTTGCAACCTCAGGACTTATTGATCTTGCTGTTTGTCTTCTGTAATGTTCCTGGAAAACCCAATTATTTTGGGAAGTTATCCAAACTAGTTTACCCAGTATTCTATATTAGTGTTATTAGTAACAAGTTATGAAAGCGTTTGATTGATTTTCTTGGAAAACAATCCCTTTATAGTATAATAGAGATATTTATTCAATAAATGTCTTAGCATATTACATTTCTTAAAAAGAACAAGTTGAGACAAGCAGCTAGAGATTCTAGAATCATGTGCTTCTTTTAAATTCCACTTTTCTGGGCACCATGGTCGAGAGTGCAAATAAGCACTTTAGGAAAAATTCTAGAGATATGTGAGTCCTGTCTATCTTATGGGGCTGGCCATTGGCAGTAATTTAAAGTAGAAGTATCTTTTAATATGTCTGGTGTTGTTCTCCAATACTCAGTATAGTGCTTGGTGTGGAGTAAATGCCCAGTAAATGTTGGTTAGATGAATGAATAAATGAGTGAATGAAAGTATAAGCAAATAAATCACAAATACATAAGTACTTACCCACTGTAAATGCTTGCGAAGGTGGCTCTACTTTCCTTCTCAGTACAAATGTTTTCTTGGATTTATAGTGATGTCTAAAAGGCCTATTTCATTAACACTGAACTCTATTGGCAAATTCAACTGCCTCTCTGTTCCCTTTTTCAATTTAGTCTGTTTGATAAGAAGTAGTCACTAAGATGCATAAGACTTTTCTTTATGATGGTGAGGTGGCTTGAATTTGAGCCTAATATTTGGAAGGCCAAAGGGAACTATTTATTAAAACAAAATGGAGTACAGAAGAAGTTAATGGTTCCCCAAATTTGTCTGATGGAAGAATCACTTGATGTACTTGTTAAAAATACGAATTCTTAGGTGTCAGCCAAGAATCTCCAAAAGCAATATACCAAGTGCTTCTTATGACCAGGCAGGTTGGGCAAAGACTGGGATAGGGTATGACTGTTACCTTGCTATCAGAAGACCAATGGAGCTTGCTTGAGGTAACAATTTTCCTTAACTTCTGTTTTCTCAGACTTAATATAGGGATATCAGTATCTCCCCAGACCACATCAAAGCGATTCTAGGAGAATCGTAAGAGGATTAATTTTCAAACCTTTATACTGTATGCAAACTTTTGAAATCTATCCTGAAGATAGTAACAAACCCATCAGAATTGCAATGTTTCTGTGAGAAGACACCTTCATAGTTTGACAAATCCTTGTTTGGCAACCTCTCATGTGACCTTTCCAAAATCACTATGGCCAACCCACACTAACTAGGAGCTCCCAGCCTACCTTGTTTGTCACTATTTCCCTGGAAATGAGCTACTATATTTGTGCAATAAATAAATATTTAAATGTAGCAAAATATGTGTCTTTGCCAAAGGAAAACAAGAACCTAGTCTATTAGCAGGTTACTATTAGAAATTAATCATTTATATTTGGCTGATTTTCTTGTCTAGACTAATATTCTGTCATTAGCAAATGCTCCTACAGGTATATTGAGAAGAAAATAAAAATAACAAAAACAGTTGTCACTACATTAATAACCATTGTAATATTAATACCTTTTTAACTCAGTATGTGTCCGGGCATTTTCACTAGAATTGGGAATTTGCATTACTGGAATAAGACTTCTGCAATGTAAAAATGAAGGTGATAAATGTAATGTTAACCTAGCCAAGAAAGTACGCTTGGTCCCTTCATGGTTATTGCCTAATAAGATCCAGGCATGAAGAAAGATTTTCCCTTTATTTTAACAATAAAAATTATTATTAATAAAAATATGAGAAAAGCTTTGAGCTAAGTGTTTTATATGCTGTATTTCTCTTAAACTTCATGACATCCTTCTGGAGCAAGTATTATTATTATCATCATCATTTTACAAATGAGGACATTGAGGCTAAAAAAGTTATAACTTGCCAGAGGTCTTGCAGCTAAATGACAAAGTCAGAATATGTATTCATCTCTGTAAAACTCCAGAAGCCAAATTCTTAATTACCATCATTTATTGATTTTTAACCAAAAACAAATAGAAACTTAATAGTTCATATTCCTGGTTTTTAAGATAATGTATCTTCATTTATTTATATTTCCTGCCTGATTTTCTTTAAGATCTCAAGAAATTGGTAATGGTACAATTACCAATTGCTTTAGGCTAAAACTATTTTTTATTTAAATAGCCATTTCTAATTATTGTTATTAATAAACAACTATATATTTATATATGTATATGTATTAATATATGTATATTTGTGTCTGTGTATATAAATATGTATTCATATTGTATAAATATGTATTCATAATGATGTGAAAACAAAAAACTCAAATTGTAACATCTGTTATCTTCATTCTGAAGCCTTTCTTCTTCTGGGTCTTCCTAGTTTAAATATCTATCCTAGTTGCTGCTAGGTACTAGTAGTTGGTGAATGATCCTAGGTTTGTGCTCAGATTTGACTGAACAGCTTTCTCAAGAGATTACAAGGTGACTTTATCCGGGTTTAAATTTCAATGTTGATGCATGTTGGATTTTCTGGAAGCATAGGGGAGATAGAATTTGGCATAAGAAGTATTTATTAGGGAGAGGGAGGAAGCAGGATTAGGCAGAGGGAGACGTTGAACAGCAAAGCAGACTTGGCAAAGCCTTGGCAGACCCCACAGGGGGCTTAGGGGACCATAGGGCCAATCGGGGTTGCCTGATTTAGCAAATAAAATACAGGACACCCAGTTAAATCAAATTTTTGATAAAATCACAAATCACTTTTTAGTATGTGTATGTCCCATGCAATATTTATCCCATGCAATATTTTGTCTGGCAAACCTACTCCCATTGGACCAAAATGTCTGGGTGTTTATATCCCAATTTTGATCAGTCATTGGATGTAGCCAAGGCCAGGAAAGATACAACCTTGGGAGAGGTGGCTTTTTGCAGTGGAGGCAGACCCTGAAGGAGCTGAGAGCTAGGCAACAAACCCTTCCACAAAAGGAGATCTGGGAGGCATGTGTCTGTGTTCACCACTAATTTATAGCCACGGGAAGTCTCAAGGCAACTGAAAGCTCCAGAAAAAGGGTTTTAATGAAGGGATTTTAGCAGCTCTGAATTTTGCTGCTTAGTGGTGGATTTGCATTGATACTACAGAGGATTTACCTAACGAGAAAGCTCTTCTCAGTCAAGTGTATAAGCAGTGAGACTGGACACATATCCATGGAAGAAATATGACAACCGAAAAGTTTGGAGCAGGGCCAGCTTTATGGGTGTGTGACCAATGCAGTCACACAGGGCCTGGGCTCGGAAGGGCCCTGAACTTGATTTAATGCTTTGATGACTCTGTCTTGAAGTTATTGGTAATTTTATCTCTTTTATTTTGTTAGTGAATTCTGATGGACAAAGGAACATGCATGTGAGCAGGGAAGAAGCACGCACGATATGTGTGTGTCTGCCATTGCTGGTGTCCCTGTTCACATGTAGTTTTCATGATGGCACATGAGTCCCCGATTCCTGTGGATTAGCTATCCATGGGAGTTCAGTGAGACTCAGAGTGAATACAAGATAAGCAGGCTACATTTACGAACAATAGGCCAGGACACTGACAGCCCCAGGAGGCCATGTTTTCTATTTGAATTAGAGCTTTCCTTGAATGCAGAAGGAAGGACATTGTATTCTAAGAAATACAAATCACCAGGAAAATCTACTATATTCTTTCTTATTCACATTATATTCTGGTATTAGCCAACCACTTATGCTGAAAATGATGACAAAGAAGGAAATGATGAGCAACCCATAGTTATTTTTTCTTTTCTCTCAGACCTTTCTAACTCACTAGTAAGCTGAGGGTAGAGAGTGCTGGTAGAATGTGTGTGTGTATGAAGAAGTGAAATAAAAACAGTTAAGTTCATTTTTCCAGTGTTTCTACTGTTCTGGTAAGAATAAAATACATATGCATGTATGAACTATGAAATATATATTGGGTGTTTTTAGTGATACCACATATGAATTAAATGTTCTTATATTTGCAGTTAAAACTAGCATTGTACAATATAAAAGTGAACAGTAAAATTCATGCAATAGTTTAAAATTTGAATTTTTCTTTGCTTAGAATCACATTAAATGGCTGATAAAAAATCTTAGCAAATCAAGAAAGAAACTGCAGAAGAAAGGAAAAGGCTTTATCTTTTAGTATCTTTATAGACACTTTTTGAACAGGAGGCCCTCATTTTCATTTTGTACTGGGGCTCAAAAATTATGCAGCTTTTAGGTCAGACAAATAGGATTAGCAAGTATAAATGGAGTGGAGTGAGGCGAGGATTCTGAAAAACAGTTTTAGGAGAGATTCTGGTCTTCCAGGATCATGACTGTGGATGGATGGACTTGCACTACTTCTAACAATTTGTTATTTGTATCTTGTGACCTAACATGCCAGCAATAAAGAATGCTCTTTATTCTGTGATCAATTATCAAATATTTATTGAGTCTGTATGGATATAGCAACGTATTAGGATATATGAAAGGGAAAAACTGGTGGTGAGTTACAGGGACAATAAATATCAGCTACCCTCAAGGAGCTTGCATTCAAATAATTGACTTTTCTAATTATTTCTAGATTCCAATATGTACCTACATCATAGTGCTTGTGCACATAAACACATACAAACACACACCCCTGACATTTTCCTTCTTTCCCTCTTAACCATATTTTGTTCCCTTTCTCTTTCAGCTCTCTGGACATTGCTAGGATGGTGATGATGACGATAATAGTGAACATTATTATAAGTACTTTACACATATTAATCCAGTTAATCCACATAATAGTCCTGTGAGATCTGTGCCATTTTAGTCTCCTTATTATAAATGAAGAAACTGAAGCCCAGAAAGGTTAAGTAATGTGTGCCCCAAATCAAAGAGCTAGAAAGTAGATGAGCCAGAGTTTGAACCAATATGGTCTCCACTATACTAAACTATGAAATTTCCTCAAAATTTTAGGCAATAGTGACCTTGAGCAGTGGTCTTCAAATTTACATATGTTTATTGCAGCAGGAGAGAGGTACTAAAAATTCCAGCAAAGTTTTAGGAAATTATTATTTCCAGATCCTCAGCCTCATTGAGCTCCTTTTTAAGTAAGTGGTCTGCCAAGAACAAACCTGAAGTTGAGGCTGGTTCCCTTTCCCACCTCCCCTTTCGCAATACCCATTATCCCTTCTTAGAGAAAAAAGGCCCTCATGCTAAATGTTATTATAGCTCATTGTCCTTGGGTATAACAACCTCCCCTCTGAGTACCAACTGAAGGGTAATTTAAAGTACTGGTAATAAAGTTGAGAAAGTGAATGACTTTTAAGACTGTGTAACAGTATCATTTATAATGCAGGAGTTTCAAATTCTTTATTATCAATAAATTAAAGGACATAAACAGAGTACTAGCTGATAGGTTATTAAAAATAATTTTTGATGATAAAACACTATGTGAATTTTGTTGTCATATAACTTAGAATGAGTTTAAGAACTAGGTGATGGTTTTATGACAAATCCATTCTCATTCTTTTATTTAAGTGACAAGTTTTCTCAGGGTTTATGTTTATAGAAACAGATCAGAGAAAGTGAGTTCTTGTTGAATTATTTCATTCTAAGAATAAGTACCATTCATTCAGAGATACATAAATTAATTGTATAAATGTAATGCCATCCATTCATTAAAAAGCACATTTCTGTTAAGATTGTACTTTTGTTTAACATATTAAAAAAAACTCAACATCCCTGATCATTAGAGAAATGTAAATCAAAACAACAATGAGATACCATCTCCTGCCAGTTAGAATGGCTATTATTGAAAACTCAAGAAACTACAGATGCTGGCAAGGCTGTAAGGCTGTGGAAAAATAGCAGCAATTTTACACTGTTGGTGGGAATGTAAATTAGTTCAACCATTGTGGAAGACAGTGTGGTGATTCCTCAAAGATCTAGAAACAGAAATACCATTTGACCCAGCAATCCCATTACTGGGTATATACCCAAAGGAATATAAATCAGTCTATTATAAACATATGTGCATGCGTATGTTCATTGCAGCACTATTTACAATAGCAAAGACATGGAATCAACCCGAATGCCCATCAGTGATAGAGTGGATAAAGAAAATATGGTACATATACACCACGGAATACTATGCAGCCATAAAACGAAACGAGATCATGACCTTTATAGGGACGTGGATGAGGCTGGAAGCCATTATCCTCAGCAAACTAATGCAGGAACAGAAAACCAAACATTGCATATTCTAACTTATAAGTGGGAGCTGAACAATATGAACACATGGGCACAGGGAGGGGAATAAAACATACTGGGGCCTGTCAGGGGATGGGGGAAGGGAGAACATCAGGATAAATAGCTAATGCATACTGGGCTTAAATTTTCTTTAATAATTGTTTATCAAAATCTGTAATGTATTTGTTGTTTCTGATCATTATTTCTAACAACAATTGTAATGACAATTCAACCCTGAAGAAAATTTTAATATGTAATGTTGTTTGATCAAATGAAGTTTTTAAAAAATAGATTTCAATTTAAATATGTATATTTACTGCATAGAAAAAATAGGTTATTAAAAGATTTTGAAAGGTAAAATATGGAAATAGTATAAAATTTCTGACAGTTAAAAAAGAGCTTGTTCACATAATGATTTTTCAAATAAATGATGAGTAACACTATAGTAACAGAATCGAATGGATACCTTTAAGAATGATGTGACAGTTCGTTTAAAAATGTCCAAATGTAAAAGATATTCTTCATACTTGCTTAACATTATAATGAAACAATTTAAAGGTCAACTTAAAAATATATAAAGGGGTATTTAGTTTAATGCAACTTTTTATAGGTATACTAACATAAAAGTTCGAAGACCTCATGACCTGGGGAAATTATCTTGTAACCTAAGTATGTTATGTTCAATTCATCTCCATTACAGACTACACACTCCTTCAGCTCTTTTTAATGCCCAAAGCATTCTTTGAAGTGATGAAAGTCTTGTGCCAAGAAGAAAGAAAGTATTAGAGAAAGGGGTGATAGAAACCCATCAATTGTAGTGTCTCCAGAGGGGCTGTTTAAATGAGCAATCAATTTTATTCTTCTCTTCATCGTGTTCAGGAAACTTTCAGCCTTCTTACTTATTTAATTTGAAAATTGCATCTCTCATAATTACTTTTGGACATACATACAGCATTGATAAGTAAAAAAGTATTTACCTTATAACTTCCCACTGGTATAGCCCTAGGGAAAAACAAGAATAAGATTTTATAAGTGAGAAAATTAAACAGGACAATTGTTTTCACCTTGGAAATGGAAAGCAAGATGACCAATAGAGGTGTAACCAAGATAGAATGAGGAAGCGAATCCTTTCTGACTAGTTGTGTGTGCCTAAAGTTACTTATTTAACCTCTCTGAGACTTAGTTTCTTCAAATAGGGAACGAAGTAATACCTGTCTTAGAAGTTTCTGTCAGGTATGAATGAGATTAAATGTGAAGAGCTTGGCAAAGTGTCCAATATTTTTAAAATGTTAGAAATCTGTGGAGTTGGCTAGGGAAGGAAAGAAAGAAATTTCTTGAAAAAAAAGTAAGGTCAGGAATTCACTTTAATATATCAGCGGTTTCCTATTCTAAGTAATGCCCTTTAAAGGCTATATGATTATTTCAGAGATAATAGTCATTGCTAAGATATTTTTGTAATTTCTCCTTGGGGATTGTCTTCCAAACAGTAGTTTAGAATATCCTCTCTTAAAGGTTTAAAAGAGGATATTCTAAACTTTTAAGAAACTTTTTTAGTTAGTTGTAGATTTGTATGCAGTCATAAGATAGAATACAGAAAGATCCTGTGTACCTCCTCCCCTAATAACATGTTCCAAAACTATAATACAATATCACAACGAGAGAGATGCAATCCACTGGTCTAATTCAGATATCCCCGGTATTATTTGTGTTCATGTGTGGATATTTGCTAGATGAAACCTTTCATAATTTTCAGTTATCAGGCCCTGCCTTCCTAATGAGAATCTGGATCAGAATTTGAGGACCCCTAAAAAGGAAAACAGATGAAAATCCAGCAAAATCTTACTTCTTGGTAAAATGATGTTATTACAAAGTTGAGAAAATCTTCTTCATAAAATACGAAAACCACAAAGCTGGAAAGGGAATGTTTGATATAATAGAGTATATCAAAACTAAAACTTTCTATACAAGAAAATAAACCATTAACGAAGTTTAAATACAACATAGAAGCTGGGTGAAAATATTTGCTACAGATATAAAAGACAAAGCTTTAGTATTAAGAATAGACAGAACGATTCTGTGAATAAATATGAACAAAAACACAATAGAAAAATGGGGACTATATGCTAACAATTCATAGAAACAGGTTCTTTTCTCTCAGGGTGTTAAAGCCATTATTCTACTGTCTTCTGGCCTCCATGGTTTTTGGTAAACAAACAAAACAGACAAACAAAATAAAATAAAAAACCCGAATAAGTTTTTTCTGTTGTTTTTATTTATTTTGTTTTTTTAATTTTTTATTTCCATAGGTTTTTGGGAAATAGGTGGTGTTTGGTTACATGACTAAGTTCTTCAGTGATGATTTATGAGATTTTGGTGTACCCATCACCCAAACAGTATACACTATATCCAGTTTGTAGTCTCTTATCCCTCACCCTCCTCCCACCCTTTTCCCCAAGTCCCCAAAGTCCATTGTACCATTCTTATGCCTTTGTGTCCTCATATCTTAGCTCTCACTTATGAGTGAGAAAATACGATGTTTGGTTTTCCATTCCTGAGTTACTTCACTTAGAATAACGGTCTCCAATTCCATCCAGGTTGTTGCTAATACCATTATTTTGTTTCTTTTTATGGCTGAATAGTATTCCATGGGGTATTTGTGTGTGTGTGTGTGTGTGTGTGTGTGTGTGTGTGTATGTATATAGTTGGTAGTATTTTGTTAAAGACTTATGTGTCTATATTCATCAGGGATATCAGTTTGTAGTTTTCTTTTTTGTTCTGTCCTTTCCTGGTTTTGGCATTAGGGTGATGCTGGGTTCATGGAATAATTTAAGATGGATTCCCTCTTTCTCCGTATTGTGGAATCATGTCAATAGGATTGGTATCAATTCTTCTTGGAATGTCTAATATAATTCAGGTGCGAATTGTGTGGTCCTGGACTTTTTTTTGGTGGCAAGTTTTCATTACCATTTCAATCTTGCTGCTTGTTATTGGTCTGTTCAGGGCTTCTAATTCTTCCTGGTTTAAGCTAGGAGGGTCGTATCTTTCCAGGACCTTATCCATCTCCTCCAGGTTTTTTAGTTTATGTGTGTAAAGCTGTTCATAGTAGCCTTGAATGATCTTTTGTATTTCTGTGGTGTTGGTTGTAATATATTCCATTTGATTTCTAATTGAGCTTATTTGGATTTTCTCTCTTCTTTTCTTGGTTAATCTCACTAATGGTCTATCAATTTTATTTATCTTTTCAAAGAACCGGCTTTGTGTTTCATTTATCTTTTGTATTTTTTTGTTTCAATCTCATTTAGTTCTGCTCTGATCTTGGTTATTTCTTTTCTTCTGCTGGGTTTGGGTTTGATTTGTTCTTCTTTCTCTGTTTCCTTGAGGTGTGACCTTAGATTGTCTACTTGTGCTCTTTCAGTCTTTTTGATGTAGGCATTTAGGGCCATGAACTTTCCTCTTAGCACCACCTTTGCTGTATCCCACAGATTTTGGTAAGTTGTGTCACTATTATTGTTTGGTTCAAAGAATTTTTTAATTTCCATCTTGATTTCATTGTTGACCCAGTGATCATTAAGGAACAGATTATTTAATTTCCATTATTTGCATGGTTTTGAAGTTTCCTTTTGGAGTTGATTTCCAATTTTATTCCACTGTGATCAGAGAGAACACTTGATAGAATTTTAATTTTCTTAAATTTATTGAGAATTGTTTTGTGGCCTATCATATAGAATAGCTTGAGGAATATTCTATGCGCTGATGAATAGAATGTATATTCTGCAGATGTTGGGTAGAATGTTCCATAAATATCTGTTTGTTAAGTCCATTTGTTCTAGGGTATAGTTTAAATCCATTGTTTCTTTGTTGACTTTCTGTCTTGATGGCCTGTCTAGTGCTGTCGATAGAGTATTGAAGTCCCCCACTGTTATTGTGCTGCTATCATCTCATTTCTTAGGTTTAGTAGTAATTGTTTTGTAAATTTGGGAGCTCCAGTGTTAGGTGCATATATATTTAGGGTTATGATACTTTCCTGTTGGATGAAGTCTTTTATCATTATATAATGTCCCTCTTTGTCTTTTTAAACTGCTGTTGCTTTAAAAGCTTGTTTTGTTCAATATATGAATAACTACTCTTGCTCTCTTTTGGTGTCCATTTGCATGTAATGTCTTTTTCCACCTCTTTACCTTAGGTTTATGTAAGTCCTTTTGCGTTAGGTGAGTCTTGTAAAGACAGCAGAAACGTGATTGGTGAATTCTTATCCATTCTGCCATTCTGTATCTTTTAAGTGGAGCATTTAAGCCATTTACATTCAATGTTAGCATTGAGATGTGAGGTACTATTCTATTCATCATGCTATTTGTTGAATACCTTGGTGTGTTTTTTTTTTTTGTTTTTTTAAATTTACTGTGTTGTTGTTTTATAGGTCCTGTGAGATTTATGCTTTAAGGGGGTTCAGTTTTGATATAGTTTGAGGATTTATTTCAAGATTTACAGCTCCTTTTAGCAGTTCTTGTAGTGCTGGCTTGGTAGTGGTGTTTTCTTTCAACATTTATTTGCCTGAAAAAGACTATTTTTCCTTCATTTATGAAGCTTAGTTTTTCTGGGTAGAAAATTATTGGATGATAATTTTTTTTTTTATGGAGGCTAGAGATAGGGCCCCAATCCCTTTTAACTTGTAGGGTTTCTGCTGAAAAATCTGCTATTAATCTGTTAAGTTTTTAGTTATAGGTTACCTGGTGCTTTTGCCTCACAGGTCTTAGTATTCCTTCCTTTGTTTTGACTTTAGATAACCTGATGACTATGTGCCTCGGCAATGATCTTTTTGTGATGAATTTCCCAGGTGCTCTTTGAGCTTCTTGAATTTGGATATCTATATCTCTAGCAAGGCTGGGGAAGTTTTCCTCAATTATTCCCTAAAATATGTTTTCCAAACTTTTAGATTTCTCTTCTTCCTCAGGAATGCCAAGTATTCATAGATTTGGTCATTTAACACAATCGCAAACTTCTTGGAGGCTTTGTTCATTTTTTTAAAATTCTTTTTTCTTTGTCTTTGTTGGATTGGGTTATTTCAAAAACCTTGTCTTCGAGCTGTAAAGTTCTTTCTTCTTGTTCGATTCTATTGCTGAGGCTTTCCAGTGCATTTTCCATTTCTGCAACTGTGTCCTTGATTTCCAGAAGTTGTGATTGTTTTTCATTTATGCTATCTATTTCATTGAAGATTTCACCCTTCATATCTTGTATCTTTTTTTTAATTTCATTAAATCAGACCTCACCTTTCTCTGGTGCCTCCTTGATTATCTTAATAATAATCAATCTTCTGAATTCTTTTTCTGTAAAATCAGGGATTTCTTTTTCATTTGGATTTATTGCTGGAGAGCTACTGTCATTTTTTGAGGGTAATAAACTTGCTTTGTCATATTACCAGAATTGTTTTTCTGGTTCCTTCTCATTTGGGTAGGCTATGTCAGAGGGAAGACCTGGGGCTCAAGAGCTGCTGTTCAGATTATTTTGTCCCATGGGGTGCTCCCTTGATGTAGTACTCCCTCCCTTTTCCTAGGGATGTGGCTTCCTGCAAGGTGAACTGTAGTAATTGTTTTTTTCTCTTCTAAATCTAGCCACCTAGCGGGACTATCAGGTTCCAGGTTGGTAGGCATCTGCACAGACTGGTGTGTCTGCACAGAGTCCTGTGATGTGACCCATCTTCAGGTCTCTCAGCTGTGGATAGCAGCACCTGGCCTGGTGGAGGTGTTAGGGGAGTAAAATGGACACTGTGAGGGTCTTTAGTTGTATCATTGTTGTTTATTACACTAGTTTTGTGCTGGTTGACATCCTGCCAGGAGGTGGCGCTTTCAAGAAAGCATCAGCTGTGATAGTATAGGGAGGATCAGATGGTGGGTGGGGCCCTAGAACTCCCAAGACAATATGACCTTTGTCTTCAGCTACCAGGGTGGGTAGAGAAAGACAATCAGGTGGGGGCAGGGTTAGGTGTGTCTGAGCTCAGATTCTTCTTGGGTGGGGCTTGCCCTAGCTGCTTTGGGGGATGGGGTTGTGGTTCCCAAGTCAATGAAGTTATGTTCCCAGGAGGATTATGGCTTCCTCTGCTGTGTCATGCAGGTTGCCAGGGAAGTGGGGAAAGCCAGCAGTACAGGCCTCACCTAGCTCCCTTGGAATACAAAAGGCTGGTCTCATTCCCACCATGCCCCCGCCACCAACAGCACAAAGTTTGTTTGCAGGCAGTGGGTGAGCAGGAAGCAAGCAGGGCTTCAGATTTCACACCTCCCCACCTGCCCATGTTTGCACTCCAGATTTACCCCCTTCCTCGAGTTCTGTCTAGGAAACTCTGCATTTGGTTGGAATTCTTAACAAAGTTGAGCTGGAGATTTCTTTCTCCCTGTGATCTTTTCCCAGTTCCTCTGGCAGCCCTTCCAAAGGACCACTGTGATATAAAATCAAAAATGACTTCCCTGGGGACCCAGAGAGCCCACAGGAATCTTCCCACTGCTTCCTCTACTCCTGTATTTTGCTTGGCTCTCTAAATTATCTCAGCCCCAGGTAAGGTCGAATTTTTCTTTTGTGATCTGGACCTTCAGATTCCCCAGTGAGGGTGTGTGTTCGGAGGCAGACAATCCCCCTTTCCCACTTTCACACTTGGGCACTCACAGTATTTGGGCTGTCTCCCAGGTCCTGCAGGAGCAATCCACTTCCTTCAAAGTAGCTGTGGATTCTCTTGGCTTTCCTGGTATGTGCCTGTAATAGTTTTTGGAGCAAAAGTTCACAATGTGAATTTCCACACCCTGCTCTGTTCATTTGAGTGGGAGCTGCAATTTAGTCCTGCCTCCTGTCTGCCTTTTTCCCCTGCATAAGTCATTTAAATCTTTGTTCCCCTGTATGTCATTTTTCTCTAGCTACTTTCAAGAATTTTTCTTTACTTTCATTTTCAAAAGTTTGATTATGGTGTGTCTAGGCATATTCCTATTTGAATTTGTTTTGTTTGGGGTCTGATGAGCTTCTTAAATCTACAAATGTCTGTATTTTACTAAATTTGGGAAAATTTGTCTCATTATTTATTCATATAGTTGTTGCATGTCAATTGTTTTTTGCTTTTATTCTGGTACTCCCAATGACATATATGTCATGCTATTTGGTATTATTCTACAAATACCAGAAGCTCTGTTCAATATTCATTATTTTTTTCTCTGTTCCTGAGATTGTATATTTTCTATTGCTCTATCTTTAAATTAATTGACTCTTCCCTGTCATATCCATTGTACTACTGAATCCCCATCCAATGATTTTAAAATTTCAGGTATTATAGTTTTCAATTCTAGAAGGTCTATTTAATTATATTTTATAGCTTATATTTCTGTTGAGAACTTTTTCTTCCTATATACTTCAAATATATTTACCTTTACCTCATGGAACACAGTTAAAATATCTGGTTGAAAATTAATTTTTCCCCAATATTTAGGTCATCTGGTGATTGGCATCTGATGGTCATCATTTTTCTTAAGAATTGATCACATTTCCTCTGGTTCTTTGTATGTTGGGTAATTTTAAATTGTATTACGTACATGTGTTCTGGTATACAGACTCTGAGCCCTGTTATAGTGTTCTGAAGGGTTATTTTATTTTTGTTTGTTTTGTATATTAACCCAGTTAGGTTCAAATTGCAGTTTCTGTGTTACCTGCTACGTGGTTTCAATCTCAGTTCAGTCTTCTAGCTAGGCCTTTGCTGTTCTGGTTTTGGTTGGGTGCACACATGCATAGCCCAAGAATGATCCTAAGATTATGTGGGTTTATATACAGAATTAGGAAATCCCTTTCTTTGCTTCTCTTCTCTCCAGGGTTCTCCTTACACTCTATAACCCCAATGTTCTCTTTCCTGATTTCTCTAGCCAGTAAGATGAGCTTTCTATGGGAATAGTCTACACTATTTTATAGTTTTAAAAACAGCCTACTCTCAGGGCAATTCTGTAAGATAAAAGTTATTTTTAAAACTCCGAAATTCAAACCCTTGTGGGTTATTTCTCTAAATTTACTTCCCTCCACAATCTGCCTGCCATTATTTATTCTTTGAAGTCCTCAGGTAGTTGGTTTTCTCTGTGTTTTGTCCAGTTTTTAGTTGTAATCAGCAGGATTTTGACATAGCAAGACAAAACAGACCTCATTTGTCTTTTTTTAAAAATCATAATCATGTTAAAGTATTTGTCAAACTGTCCCATAATATGATATTTGCTAATTATCAATTATGTTGGTTCTCTTTATTGCTAAAAGTTTTCCTCAGTATTTTGGAATTTTGTTTTGTAAACTCATTATGAGAGAGTAGTTTTAGTTATCTGTCTTTTTCTCTCTCTCATTTGATTGATGGAATCTATAACTTAAAGTCTATGAACTATTCAATGAACATTCACATAAGTGTAGTACTTCTATACTATTACCAATAGTAATATTAGCTAACATTTGTATATCTTTTACTATCTACCAGGTTCTAGTTGAAATGCTTTACATCAAATTTTTGCATTTTAGAGTAATGTTTTATATATCTGCAAAATATTGTGCTGGGATTTTGATAGAAATTGCATTAATCTATAGATCATTTGGGAAAACTGGCATCTTTACTATGTTCAGTGTTTAGTGAACACAGTATGTCTCATCATTTATTTAGATCACCTTTGATTTGTTTCAACAGAATTTTATACTTGCCATTGTACAAGTTCTGCACATTTTTTGCTAGATTTATACCTGAGTATTTCAGTTTTTGAGTGATTATAAATAATGTCATGTTTTATCTTTTGGTTTCCATGTGTTAATTGCTAGTATATAAAAATACAATTAATTTTGGTTATTTGTACCTTGTGAATGTGCTGACCTCAGTTATTTGTAAAAGTTATTTGGGGGAGCATTTTTTTTTGTTATGTTTTTTGGGATTTTCAATATAGACCATCATGTCATCTGCAAATAGGGATGGTTTTATTTCTTTCTTTTCAATGTATATGCCTTTTATTTTATTTTCTTGCTTTATTCCACTGGCTAGAACTTCCAGTACTATGTTAAGTAAGAGTGGTGTTTCAAGGTATCCTTATTTAGTTCCTGATCTTAGGGCAAAAGCATTCAATCTTTGATTATTAAGTATTGTGGTGGCTGGAGGGTTTTTGTAGATGAACTTTATCAAGTCGAAGAAGTTCTCCTTTATTTCTAGTTTGCTCAGTTTTTGTCATGAGTGGCTGTTAAATATTGTCACATCCTTTTTGCCTTGATTGATATGATCATGTGATTTTTCTACCCATTTTAAAACACAATGGTACATGAACATCCAAATTTGGTGAAGATAAATTAGAGAAAAATCATTTGTTTGACCAAACAATTGAATTCTTTAGTAAAAAAGTCTTCTAGGGCATTTAAAATTTGATGTTTTTATTTTATCCTTTTTAGCAGCATATCGACTATATAAATCCAGCTATACTTATTCATTATTACTGCCTACATTTTCTGGAATTTTCTAGAACATGTAGAATTTTCTAGAACATGACTTACAAAAGGATTTTGGATTGCTTCTGAATGTAAAAACCCATCACAGATATATAATTTGGAGATCAAAATTTTGAACATTGAAATGGGTTATGGATTTGCCAGAATAGAATATTTGAAATAAAACCACTCCAGAAAAATCTATGACTTATAGGGACATCATTACTAGGACCCACAAGAACCAAATGACAGACACTAAGGAGTAGCTCTTATTCTCACTGCCTTTTTATGAAGATTCTGCCTACTCTTGTGGTATATTAGGTTACCCACTGGAAATGGTTGCTACTTGCCCTGCAGTCTGTAATGCAACCACATTTTTCTTTTTAACATCCAGGCTAGAACTAGTTCTATCAATACAATGTTAGAACTGAGTTTTGGCTTTTTTTTCTTCTGTATCCTTTTTTTTTCCTTTTCTTTTTTTAGGTTGAGTGAGTTTCTACTTTTCAGGTTAGGGTGATAAATAACCCATGTTCACAAAATAGGGCATAGAAAGCAATGCCATAATAGTTTTGTGTCTTATAATTCACCTAAAATTTACAACATATGAATGTTTTGTCTTTCTAGTGTAAATAGACAGCATATCTCTAGACCTGTGGTTATCAAAAGAGCGTGTGTTAGAATCACCGGACAGACTTATGAACAAACGAAATGCTGGGCCCCATCTCCAGTGTTCTGACTCTGTAGGTCTGGAGTGGGGCTGAAGATTTGCCTTTCCAACGAGTTCCAAGTGATGCTGAGGCTGCTTCTCTGGGGACTATATTTTGAGAACTACTGAACTACCATTCTAGGAGGGTGGGAAAATGGGTTTTCATCTTGGAGCACAAATTATTTGCATGAATTTAAGCAAGTCATGAATATTCTATTCTTCAGTTTCTTCATCTGATAAATAAGATCAATAATACCAGTTCAGCCTACTTTGTTGAGTTCTTGGGAGGAGCCAGTAGAATAATGTATAAGAAAGTGCTTTTGAAAATTAAAAGAAACACTTGTGTGAAATTGTTAATGTTTTCAGAGATGTAATGATGATGTAAGAAATATTCGCTCAAGAATACCATGGCTCACACACAATATTTGCAATTTTATTTCCTTCATATTTTTCCCTCTCTTTACACTTTTAAAGCACATTAGTGCTTGCCTTCTGGTTATTGACAAGCAGCAGGTAAGTGGTTGGTGAATCAATAAATTCTTTGGCCTTGAGTCTCAGGCTCTGCTTTTTTCCACCTATGGTCGCTGGGTATCCCTCTCTTTTTTTCCTAATGCTTATTGTAGAAATATTTCACAGGAAATGGGGTGACACTAAGCCTCAAGATATTGTTTCTTTTTCCTAAACAAACACTTTTATCACTAGGGGACAATCTTTCCTTAGTTGATGACATATTAGTTGATATAAATAAAGGTGTTCCTGTTAGGCTAGCCCCTTCAGCTATTCAGGTTTCCTGCCTATAAATCAGTGAAAGATGCAATTTGAACTTGATTGCTTAGAAAGACACAAAGGCAGAGAGGATGGGTTGCACTTCAACACCGAAAATTAAAGGACAAGCTTGCTGTCAAAGCCAGACCACTAGCTTCATTTGATCTATTGGTTTTAAGCTAAAGGGAGGCTCGAAGAAGGAGTGGTTACCTCATACCAACAGCTAATAAGGAAACATTTTCAGCATTTTTTATTTGTACCAAATGTAATAATGGAGTGGTGGGGTTCTTTTGGTACAACAATCATTTCTTTCATTTGAATGCTAATTACATTCTCAATGTATGAATTAATTATAACTTCTATTGACTATGTTGATATTGTTTAGAAAAATCATCTCTCAGATCAGATGAAAAGTTTTCCCTGTGTATGAAAGGCTCAAGTGACTTGTTCTGCATATGGCATTAATATTCCTTGATGTAAGCTACATAAAACATTAAAACCCAATTAAACTCAGAAAGGGGGCCAGCCCTGCTGACTTATTTATTTAAAGCCAAGGGAGTGGAAATCCCTTTTCTTGTTGTATGTGTAGATAAAGACATATGTCTTCCCCACTCCCCATGCCTATTTGGAGCATATTTAAAGATTTCATCAAATTTACCTAAAATTATTATCTTCAAAGCTAGAGCAAGATTTATTAAACCCTGAAGTGTTTGAGCAAAGGCAGTAATTTTTGAGAGCTTTGACTAAAGCTGTTTTGAGCATTCCCCGTGCCAGAGAGCTCCCAAAATGTAGGAAGAAAAGCTAAGAGTAAATGAGAATTGACACTTTCTGCATAGATCTTGTTCAAAAAGCTAGAGGATTTTCAGGTGCTTCATTGCTCCTTCTTGCTTTCTCCCCTTGGGGACTGAAGTGTAGTGTAAAGCAGCCTATGGTGTGGGGAACTAAAATGTAAGGAAATCCATGATGAGGCCAGGATGGGAGGATTGCTTGAGCCCAGGTGTTCGAGACCAGCCTGGGCAACAAAGGAAGAACTCCATCTCTACAAATAATTAAAAAATTAGCTAGGCATGGTGGCACACACGGGTAGTCCCAGCTACTTGGGAGGCTGAGGTGGGAGGATCACCTGATCCCAGGAGGTCAAGGCTGCAGCCATGATCACACCACTACACTACAGCCTGGACAACAGAGCAAGGCCCTGTCTCAAAAAAAAAAAAACAAAAAAGAAAAAATCCATGATGATAATTAACCATGAATCATGCTTCTAGAAGAAAGACCATAGAATTTAGTTATCATTTGTTATCATTCCTTTATGGGCCAAAGAGATTCCTAGCCTGAGAAGAAGAGTTGGGACAAAGTCTATATTCTGATTCCTAAATGCATACATACATAAATACACACACACACACACACACACACACACACATATAATATCTTATTCATTTATTAATTCATTTGACAAATATTTATTAAATGCCTACCATGTGTCAAGCAATGTTTTAGGTACAGAATATACAGTAGTGGGTAAAAAATCCCTAATCCTAAGAAGCTTACACTAGTGGAAGGAGGTAAAAAATAAGCAAAAAAGTAAGTAAATTTGGAATGTGTCACATGGTGTGATGTGCAAAGGAGAAAAAACATGCAGGGTGGGAGGGACAGGCAAACAGGGAGAATGGGAATACAGTTACTGTTTTATTTAAAGTGGTGGGGAAATGCCTCACCTATGAGGAGGGAAAAGGGTGCTCCCAGAACAATCTTCTGGATGGGAGTGTTCTTGGCATGAATGCAAATAATAAAGAGGTCAGAGAGGCTGGAGAAAAGTGAATGAGTGGGAGAGTGGAAGGAGATGAGATCAGAGAAGTAGTGTGTATGTGTTTGTGTGTGTGTGTGTGTGTGATGTTAAAATGTCCCCACTAAATATAATAATAATGATAGTAGGTGCAATTCTTTTAAAATACACTTAATTGGCAAAATAAAAAGTCAATGGCTCTTTTTTGGCCCCATGCATTGCCTTTTTGTTAATTTTCCTCTTTAAGACATGCAGGTCTGGAAACCACCACTTGAAGCAATGCAAGCTGAATAAGGTGCAGTTGCTGTCGCTGAGAATCCAAAAAAGTAATGTGAAGGAATAAAATCAGGACACAAAGTTGAGGCCTGATATGAGGGACAATATTGGAGAAATACAATGTGTCATGCATGGGAGTACATAGAGGACAGGGAAGTGGTGGGTGGCTGGTGAACCAAGAAAATCTTCATGAAGTCTGAATTTTGAAATAGGCATGAAAGAAGAGAGATTTTGAGAGTTAGGGAGAATATTCCAGTCAGAGGACACACAGCAATAAATATGTAAGGAGGCTGGAAAATACGAATTGAATAAAGAAGCCAGCATCTAGAAGTCTAGCTTAGTTGTGTTTTTAAGGGATGCATACAGAATGTACTGAGAAAGAATGGCTGAAAGGCAAATTGAGGTCCAATGGCAAAGGACTAAATGAATGATTTCATGGTTTTAAAACATGGTCACAAAATCTTTAACATTCCTCCTATCAAGAGGTGAAGTTTCTGTCTCTTTCCCTTCAATTATGTGACAACATACAGCAAAATTTACAAGGTCATAAAAGGTCATATAGTTTCCTCCATGTTTGCTCTTGGATCTTTAAGATATTATGTAAGAATATCATGTAAGAAATCCAACTACTCTGAGGTTACCATACCCTGAAGAAACTCAAGCCACATGAAGAGGCTGCTTGGGGGCTTTCTGACCAACAGTCCTAACTTAACCCGGGATTTGAATCATTCCAGCCCAGGTGCCAGGCTTGTGAGTAAACAAACCTTCAGATGATTCCAACCCCCAGCTGTTAAGTCACCCCCAGCCTTCAAGTCTTCTCAGCTGAGGCCAAAGATATCATAAAGCAGATATAAGCCATCTTCACTATGCCCTCTTCAAATCCCTGATCCATGGAATCAGTGGTTGTTTTAAATCACTGAGTCTGCAGTAATTTGTTCCACAGTAATGGATACTTGGAACAAATGGGACTGAAGAATATAACTGGGAAGCAGATATCATCCTGGAGGCTTTAGTGATGGTATGTGTAAGAGACATCTCCACCTCTACGGTATCTAGTTCAGGGATTGGGACACCAGGCAGAAAATGTGATCCATGGGCTCTTGTACCATATTTTAAGTGAGCCTCACTCACTTTACTGGAGTTTGGAGTTTTACTATTTCTTTGAAGTACGTGGACTAGACAAGGGTGATGAAAAAATTGGCTGCAAATATCTTTGTGACTTAGGAACAGGGATTGATTTCTTTAAAAAACACAAATCACATAGCAAGAACATCAAAATCAGGAACATTATGGACAAAGTTATTGTAAGTTAAAAAATAAGAAAAGGTATTTGTCTAAAACTAACATAAAATTAATATCCAGAACATATAAGCAATTCCAGCAAATAAACAAAAAGGATAATAATTCTCATAGAAAATTGGGCAAAAATATCCATAAAATTTACAGAATAAAATATTCTAAAAGCCAAGAAGCATATGTGTGATAAAAATCAAGAGTAATCAGAGAAATGAATATGAAAACAATAATGAGAATCCACTTTGTACCTGGCTGACAAAAATTAGGAAACTTGGTAATGTTAAGTGTTGTTGGAGATATAAGAATGCACTATTGCTGGTTTGAGTGAGCACCAGAGCGGCCACTATGTTGGAGAGCAATTTGGTACTGCTTAGGATAAGTACGTTTAGTTTAAGTACACTGCGGCCTGGTAATTTTTTTTACCTGCGATTAATCTGAAAACATTCTCACGCAATTCCACAAGGGAAAATATATGAGGTTGCTTATTAGAGTATCACAGTCATAATGAGTTGCCGACTACCTGGGTGTCAATCACTGGGAGACTGGAGGAAAAGAATGTGGTGGATACTTATTGTGGAATATTATGGGACAAGTAGAAATAAGAATTTAGAACATGTATGGATCCTAAAAACATAGTGTAAAGTGAAAAAAAAAGTAACAAAAGAATGAGACATATAACAGAGTATTGGTTTCAGAAATCAAAATTTCATCAATACAAAATGATGATACCCATTTTACAAGAGCATTCAAAAACAATTAAGAAAATAGTTGCTGATGGATGGGTAGTGGGGGTGAGTAAGAAATGCAAAAAGAATAAATAAGTAAAGAAAATAAAAGAAGAGCCATACACAAACCAGTAATGATGATGTGTCCTGAACTGAAAGGTATGATGAATGTACCCTTCTGCCCCTGAGATCCAGATATCATAAATACAAACCAATAAACTCAGATAAAAGCTTCTGGAGTCTCTGACTATTCTGAATTGTTTTAAATACTTCCTGGAATCTGGTTCTTTTGTCCTCTCTACGTTTCTCTATGAACATACACAATCAAGTCAGACTAACAGGTGTGGGTTACTCATGTGCTATATATTTTTATCAGGAAATGTCATTACAGCTCATTTGGCAATTTCTGATTCTGTACCTTGATTCAAGTGACTTAAAGTTTTTTCCTTGATTATTAAGATAATCCATATTAACTGTGGAACATTTAGAAAATACAAGAAAAAGGCCAAAAAAAAATAATTCAAAAAAATCAAGAGGAAAATTATCTTTACTATAATCTCACCACTCAGAAATAATTACAGTTAATATTTGAATATATTTATTTTCAGCTTTTTAAAAATTATGTCTATGTGAGTATTAATATTAAATATGCATATTAATATGCAAATGTATATGTATCTTATATCTTCAATTGTAATATAGGTAAATTTCTCTGTTGTCAGAATTAGGTAGCATGTCTTTAAAAATCTTTGCTTTGTTTACAGGTGTTAATAATAATCTCATATTTCAGTTTGTGTTTATTTGATTACCAGTGAAGTTGTATTTCTTATGTTTTTTAGCTATTTCTATTTTCATTTTTGTGAATGATCTTCTCAAAAACTGTGTTCATTATTCCATAGGATTCTTGTTAAAAATCAATCTTATATTTTCCCTATATGTGAATATCATTAAACCTTTGCTATGCTTCTTGTTGTCATTTGATTTAATTTATGCAAAAAGTATTAGATTTTCTTTCATAGGTAGTCAAACCTATCATTTATTCTTTTCTATGTTTTTCTACATCATTTTAAATGTTAAAATGTCTTTACTCACCTATAATTTCTTCTCTCTTGTCTGTGTATCTGTGGTGTTTATTTATGTTTTTATAGATCTTATTCTTTGATCAAACCAGGAACTTATTTTATTAGACTGTATTAAGGAGATGTCTAAGTTGATTTTCTCAGTGCCTGTCATTACATAGTCCTTTATTTTTCTATTAATTCTCATCGCTTCCCTTATGGTGAATTAATTCACACATACACTTACATTTGTTTCTGTCTCTACTGATATTAATTAATTTGTCTCTCCTTGTACCAGAAATATAATATTTTAGTTATTATTGGTTTATAATATATTTTAATAACTGAACACAGTTATGGCAATTCCTGCAATACTTTTTTCAAAAATAACATTCTTCTTTGCAAATGAACCTTATAATTATTTTAAGTTTCAAAACAAACTCCAATTGGATTTTATTGGCAATTATTACATTTAAACAACATAATCATCTGGCGATTATCAGAATCTTTCAAGCATTTAGAAATTATATCCAAAACAATGCATCCCTTCATCATGCTTGAGTTATTTTTTTAATCTCTTGATGAAGTTGTCATTTTTTTCAAACGTATCACTCACATTGTCTTGAATAAGGTTATTCTTGTCTTCTACCAGTCATTGAGCACTATACAGCGTGGCCCACCTTAACTGACTGAATGCGGAAAGAAGGGTGTCAAGGAGACTGAAAGTCAGGAGACTTCTACCTGCTTTAGGAGGAAGTTTCAGTGCAAGACTGTGGTGGCTCTCCAGGTGTATTTTTTTTCACAGACCCTGCAATTTCTGGGGGAAGACAGTATGGGTGGGTCAAAGGCCCAACTAACATTCTGTCCTTCAAACCCTACTGTTATTTCAGAGGAGAGATTCTCAACATTTTTTATAAATTTAGTCCCACTCCAACCATATTTTGTGAAAATTCCTTGCAGGATTCAGCAAATGGTTAGGTATTACTCCTATTGTCATTGTGATTATGGCTTTGTATCTTATTTTGCTCTTTTATGAGCATTTTAATGGAAACATGGGTGAATTCAGGATAGTCTAAGGAATGCTGCAGTAACAATCGACCCTCAAATTTCAGGGACTTTATACCAGACAAGTTTATTTTTCATTCCTACTGTTTGTCCAGTCTGGTTGTCTGGGGGAATCTGATCATTGCAGGCTTGTGTAAATTCCATGTTATCACAGGCTTACACTATCACTGCAGCAGGGAGAAGAAACATGGTAAATCATATACTGGCTCTTACAGCTTCCATACAGGAATATCACTTCAGCACTCTCTCATTGGCCAAAGTAAGTCACATGGCCTTATCTGGTTTCAAAATGGGGAGAGAATTATACTCCTACTATGTTCCAGAACCAGAGCAGACTATTTTTGGACAACCCTAATGATTAGCATACATTCACATTCTGAAAGTCTCACTTCAGCAACTTTTAAAAAATGGCGGTCGTTTGGCTTCTTAATCTTTTACAATACATAGACTAAGTCACTTATCAGATGAGCAGTGCTTTAGAAGCTAGAAGATAATCCTTGTAGAAAAGCAATCTATTTCTAAAGGCAAAGACAAAATAAGATAGTAGGCGTTATGCCTTTGATACTGGAAGGTCTTAATTTCAGCATTTGGCGTTCAGATGCGGATTGAAGGGCATAAACGTGTCTCTGCTGTTCTATCCATGGGATGACTGTAAAGCACATGCTTTCAGAACTTTCTTTCATTGACTGAATACATTATTATGTATATTGACTTCTTTCTCTTCCTTCCAAAGGCAAAACCTTGGAGCATGAGTGTGATCACTTGAATGCAGAGTGTCATCTTCTACTAGTTTTTATGCATTCACTGTTTCTTTTTAACATCAGAGGAGAGGGAAGTCTTGTTGCTATAATATGCTACTTTAAACAATCCTGGACTGTGAGGCTGCCAACTCTGGCATCAGTTAAGTCAAGAGCAGGATACAATGGGTAGTGAGGGGGTGGGAAGAATCCACCTAATACATATCTCATATTGATTAAAATAAATGAATGCTCTATTTCTAACTGGTGTCAAAAGACATTTACAGTTTCCCTAGCCTGTTTCCCACGTCTGTTTGGCACAGAGACTGCCAGGATCAATGGTCCAATTTTAGTTCCACTTTCTTCTTCCATCATTCCCTGTATTCAGCTCTTCGGAAGTGAGTTAATAATGTAAAATCTGGCTGAATTAAATTCATTTAACTGTGCTGCCAATTCCCTTCCCTTCATGCATTTTTAAAAAGATCTCAAACCGGTGATGGATTTCTAATGCTCTAGGAAAAGAAAGCAAGGATGAGACAGTAAACCTGAATGGAGTGGATTGTTTATTATAATTACTCCAATGAATTATCTCACTTTGTACCCAGAAGGAAGAGGAAATATCAACCTATATAGGCTTTGCAAGTGGTAATATGCCTGGTGGAAAAAAACTGTAGAAACGGCCTCTTCAGTCAGTCAAACAAGTGACACAGTGCAGCTTCACATGGAAAGCTGTGAACAGTAAAATATGAGTTTTGGGGGGGCTGTTTCTATAGCAACCCAGCATATTCTAGCTAGGACTACGAATGCTTTTTTTTAAAAATTAAACTTACAGTTAGAAACATATTAGAAACCAGGCCTCAAACAGTGCCTGTATGTGACACTATAACTACGTGACCTAGACCTACCTGGAAAAATGGTCTAATTTGAATCCTGTTCCTTGTTCCCAGACTTGTCTCTGGTTCTTTCCAAATCCTCTTGGCTTGTTAAATTGACTGATGCAATTAGAGTGTATAATCTTAAAGTAATATTCAGAAAAAGATAGAAAGATGAAATTTTTGTCAAATATATAATAACAAATGGTAAAGATTTCAGCAGAGATCTTTTAATGAGAGAATGTTCCTAGAAATTAAATACCCATATGTCTATTAGTTTGGGTGAGTCTGTTAGCATTCAACTGTTAAAGTCACCTGCTTCCAAAGCAAGATGTTAGAACAAGAGATTGTTAATGGCTTTTTAAAGATTCCTTATAAGTACTGAATAGATTTTTCCTATCATGGCAAACAAACCACCTGGAATTTGGACTGTGTTTTATTACCTACCTCCCTGCTTACAGTCTCTGGTCCCATGAAGGTGTCTTGTTTATCCTAACTATAAAGTGGTTCTAATGGCCTAATTGGTTAATAACACAGCCAGTTCCCTAGTTTGTATTCTCATGACAAACCAGAGAGCAAAAGACTTCACATTCTGGTTGCATGCTCCCATTTTTTTGTTCCTTAAATGGAACCAGGGACCATCCTGCTACTAGATATGTTCTTCATCACCACAAACATCTAGAGACTTCATTTGTGCAGTATGGACAAAAGTTTCAATGGTTCCAGAAACCATGCTCCCATTAATTTCATGTTTAGCAAGATCACTCTGGAAATCCAGACCATGGCAATGACGAAAAGTTGAGTGGCTCATTCAGTGTATCATCTAGCAAAGCTCAGCATCCAATAGAGCTTTAGGAGTTCAGGTGCTTCTAATAAAATGGAAAATGCCTTTCCTATTAATAATGCAGCACACTCCTCTGTCCTCTTGTCTCTAGATCCTTTTGCTGACTCAAAACAACAACAACAACAAAACACTGTGTTGTGCTTTCACACAAATACCAAACACCTCTGGAGAGAGCACTATATTTCAGCCAATGACAGAGGGAAGATTTGAAATTCGAGATGCAGGATTTGAGAAGTTTTCTATTACTCTGAATTTCCTCCTTTTTTATTTTATTATCCACCAACCATCCCCCACCCCAACCTTGAGAGTTAAGATTCTGAAAGTGTCTCATGTAAACTCTGAATAAATTCTTGGTGTTTAGCATAGCCAGCTTCCCTTATTGCTTTCAGAGTCAAACCTCTCTGGAGCCAAATGGGGCTCTTTGCTACATCAGTGCAAAGACTGATAAAAATTAAGTTTGGCACCACAATGGCTTCTCCTGACAAGCAATTCATAACTCTGACAGGGCCACATACTAATGTTTTCACCTATGATTGGGCTATTGACATCAGTTAAACTGACCAAGTCCCCCATCTTGTCATCCCAAGCCATCATATGTATATTTGTTCTAATGTGTTCCTGTCCCAGTAAAATGATAGTTTTTCCTGTGCTCTCACTTGCTCTCTCTCACTTGCCGCCATGTAAAATGTGCCTGCTTCCCCTTCCACCACGATTGTAAGTTTCCTGAAGCCTCCCCAGCCATGCTTAACTGTGAGTCAATTAAACCTCTTTTCTTTATAAATTATCCAGTCACAGGCAGTTCTTTATAGCAGCATCAGAGCAGACTAATAATACACTTGGTCTTCCTTACAAGCAGGGTATGTCTCAGGATAAACAGTTTTGTTACAGAGTGGATGGCTTTTCTCAGAGTGTCTTCCAAGAGACTCAAGTGGAAGCCAGGAGGCTTCTTATAGCCCAGCCCAGAACATCACTTAGGCCGTATTCTATTAGCCAAGCAAATCATTAAAGCCCACTCAGGTTCAATGGCAGGGAAATTAAACTCCACCTCTCAATGGGAAGAGTAGCAAATAAATTTTGGCCATGTATAATCTACCATATCTCATATTTCAGAGATCAGAGATGGGTTAGCCTTCTCTCACCTCTCTTTTTTCTTACTTCCAACTAACTCCTCCATCCCCTCCAGTTTGGGCCCTGGTTCCATTCCTTCCTTCAAATACCCCTCCCAGTTATGGTAACATCTTATTCTGAATCACTACATCTAATAGAAGTTTTCAGTCTCAGCTTATTGATTTCAGCAACATTTGGCATGTTGCCCAATCCCTTTTTCTTTGGTTTCCATAACACAACATTCCTGGTTTTCTTTTTCCTACATCTGTGGCCATATCTTATTCCCTTTGTAGGCTCAGCCTCCTCTAACTGGCCCATTACATATTGAATTCCAGGAAGCAGGGTCACAGGGTCTCTTGTACTTTAGATCAGGAGGGATACAAATTACACCCCACAGGCTAGCACCTATTTTTTGTAAATAAAGTTTCAGTGGAACAGAATCAGGTCCATTTATGTATGCATTGTCTATGGCTGCTTTTAAGCTACAGAGGTAAAATGGCAGAGACTGTATGGTCTGTTAGCCTATAATATTTACTATTTGGCCCTGTACTGCAAATGTTTGCCCACCCCTCCTCTAGAACCAGTGGTTTTCAAGGTGTGGTCCCTGGATCAGCAGCATTCATGTCCCCTGGAACACGTCAGAAATGCAAATTCTTGAGCCCCTCCCAAGACCTGCTGAATCAGAAACTCTGGCTGTGGGGCCCAGCTACCTATGTGTTTGTTTACAAAGCCTTCCAGGTGACTCCAATACATGCTCATATTTGAGAATCACTGCTCCAAATAGTAAGAAAATCAAGGAAAGAGCCAGACATACTGAAGGTTGGAAGCAACCACCACATCTGCCATATTTGAGTTGAGGTGGTGGAGGCTGAGCACCCCTGTCTACTGGTAGGATCTGCATCAGCCCAGGGCTAGAAGCAGCAGCTATGGCAAAACCACTGGCCTATGGGTGTTTCCTTTTTTCTGTAGAGTGGGTGAAGGTTTAGGAGCTCCGAGCAGGACCCCAGCTCTGTGGCCTAAGGGGATTGTTTTTTAACTTAGGATTACTTTTGTAACTTCAAATGTGACCTAAAAAAATAAGCATTATAAGTTTTTATTTTCCTGTTATGTGCTAAGCACCATGTAAAGCACTTTGTATATTTTATATATACATGTTTAACCATTGTAACATACTAACAGAGAGCATAAGTCCTAAACTCAAGCTTCTGGCTTCCAATTCAGGCCTTGTTGCTTTATAGTTACATACTCCTGGCCAAGTTACTTACCCACTCTCTGTTTCTAACATGATTAACTATAAAATATGGTCAATGGCTGTATCCACCTTATAGAGTTGTTATGAGAATCAATGCATCTAAAGTGCTTAGATCACTTCCTGGCAAATAGTAAGTATTTAATCAATTAGCTATTTGTATTATCTTATTTAATTTTCGTATCAGTACCCCAAGGTAGATATCATTGCCCCCAGTTTACAGGTAATCTCTCTGGGCCTTTGATTCCTTGGGCTAAATTTTTGAGGTCACACATCTGTAAGTTTCAGAACCAGGATTCAAAGACAGGTTGTTTAAAAGCCAATGATCAAGCTCTTAACCACAATAGACACACACACATGCACACACATGCACACACACACAATTTACATCTTTCTGGAAATTAGTTTCTTTTGGTAGCCATATTTCCACACAGTTGTGTTAATATTTAAAATATTGATCAAATCTTAAAAAAACTAGAAATTCTTTAAAATGTCACATATAATTTAATTTCTTTTATTTCATTTCAAATAGCTTGCCAAACATATTGAACATGTTTTGATAATTTGGCATTAGTTACTGTTACACTGATCAATGTATATTAGCTAATGTAGAAATTGGTGATGCATAACATATGAGAGTCTGCCATTCAACCCTTAACAGCTCTTTTCTTGACAAATTCCTTTGTAGCAGTTTTTTAAATTATTATTTGCAGTTTTCTCACAAAGTAAAACATATACTCCTGTGTGGCCCCTTTGCTTACTTTTCACAAAATCAGTTAGTAAAACAAAGACGAGGACATCCTTCTCCAAAGTGGTTTTCTTACCTTCTAGAAAATCCTTCAAGTTTTTTAATCTTGGTAACAGCATTCTAATTCTTTTCAGTACAGTTAAAAATAAAATTTCATCACTATGGAAAATGGAACATGTTCAGTCGCTAACAATGTTACCTCACTTGCATATTGAGAGCATGAGGCAGGGCAAGGGGCATCTCTGGCATTTTGGCCATTTTAGAAAGTCATGCTGTAAGGTTATATGGAGGACTTGGTTTGAACTTCATTTGTTTTTTATGTGGAGAGAAAGACACCTAAACTGAATGGTACATTGGCTGAACCAGCATTTGTGAAGAACCAGGCAATCAGTTAAGTGTTTGCAATACACAGATAAATAAGACACAGTTCTTGCCTAAAGAAAATTCGAATCCAGAGGTAAGACATCACAGTGGGGTAAAGTGAAGGACTGGAGGGGACTTCAGATGCAGATGAAAGAGAATCTTCTGCAGGAGCCTCAGTGAAGGTATTTTGGAGATGAGATTTGGATGAGTGGGAATAGCCATAGGAAAACTGGAGGGTAAGAAATCAGGTAAAGGAGGCAGCACAAGCAAAGGTATGGGTTTAAGAAATCCCATGATATAGGTAGAGCACCATCATTACTGGAGCCATCTATATGAAAACGTGCGTGTGGCAGGAGAGAGAGCAGGAGAGGTCGGAAGGGACATCCTTGTCATGGAGGCCCTAGTATGTAGTGGCAGGCAAATGATGTTCAATGTGTGAGCTTGATATTTCTTATCTCACAGATGTATCTCCATTGCCAGTCTGGGAATTGTCTTGTCCATTCTGAGCAGATTTTATTTCTACTTTGTATATTGGCTTTTATTCCTTGATCTCTGTACTTATTTCTTCCACCATATTCACTTATCTCTGTATCTTCCCTTTTGCATTCTGGCAGAATTATTAAGCTTTCTATTTACATTAGGGATTCGATTTTCTTCTGAGTCATTTTTGATAGCTATTTTCTCCAATGCAGGTTTTTAATTCCATTACTACCTTTTTGATTATTTTGTCATTTATTTCACATAAAACATGCTTTCTTTTTATCTGATCCCATTGTTTTTTCCTGTTGCAGGTCTGTTCTAGATTAACATTGCTATGGTTTGAATATGTCCCCTCCAAAAGTTATGTTGAAACTTAATACCCATTGTGGCGGTATTAAGAGGAGGGCCTTTGGGGAAGTGATTACGTCATGAGGGCTCTGCCCTCATGAATGGATTAAAATCCTCATAGAAGAAGCTTCAGAGAGAGCTTTGTCATTTTTGCCCTTTCACCTTTGGCCATGTGAGGACGCAGCAAAGAAGCCCTCGTCAGATACCGACTGCTGGTTCCTTGACCTTGGACTTTCCAGCCTCCAGAACTGTGAGAAATAAATTTTTGTGGTTTACAAATTACCAAGTTTTCGGTATTTCATTACAGAAGCACATTAAGCACAGAAGGATTAAGACAAACATTAACAAAAATTTTATGAATTTTATTGAGATTAAAGTAGAAATTTCCTTAACATGTTCTTTCAGTTTCTGCAGTGATTTCACCAAGTGTTTTCCTTTCTTCTAAACTAACAGGGAATTAACTTCTCTGTAAGTAGAATAGAATGATTCCCAGGCCCTGAATTGTCAATTGTTTTGTTTCTAATCATACCAAATGAGGAGAAATCTATACTGGCCCCTGTTTATAACAGGTAGAGGCTTGATCACCCTAAAGCTAAGAGAACCCCCTTCTTGGCCATAAAGGCAGGTGCTAGTTTTATCTGCAAAATCCAAAGCTTGAAATTCATTGCTCTGTGTTAAATTTTTACAGATTTGCTGAGCTGGAGTGGAAACTTTTTCTCTTCAACTGTTTCATTTTTTGACTCTGTAGAATGCATGAGTGATGATGGTGTTGAAGAAAGAGAAGGAAGATGGCAGAAGTAAATAATCTTGACTACTCTACCAGGCACTTTTCTAAGATCTTTAATTACTTATCTCATTTTATTCTCTTAAGAACTCTTTGAAGTAGCTACTATTCTTGCCCCATGTTACTTATAAGGGAACTAAGGTATGGATAGATTAAATAACTCAAAATCTTGCAACAAGTAGTAAGAAGAGGTCAGACTACTCCAGGTCTGTCTGATTCCAAAGTCCATGCTCTTGATCTTTATGCAATGCTCTATTCTATATAGGCTCTTTCTTGAATAGGTTGGTGCATGCCAATCTACCCCTGACCTCTGAATATAGCTTGCTTAGCCCCAGAGGACATTTCAGGATTCAATGATCCATCATTTCTACTGCTTTCAACTGCTCATCATGTTGCACATAGAACTCTGTGTCTACTGTAGCTTTGTGCTTGGAGCTAGAGGCAGAGAGTCCAGTGGCCCTAATCTCCTTCCACTGACTTCTTAAATGTGTTATTCTGTTTAGAGTTTGGGCATGCTTTGGCTAGTGCTTGTGGGGTTTTTTTTTCTTTTTAAAAAAATTTTTAAAATAGAGATGGGATCTCACTGTGTTGCCCAGGCTGGTCTCGAACTCCTGGGCTCAAGTGATGCTCTTGTTTCGTCCTCCCAAAATGTTGGGATTACAGGTGTGAGCCACCATGCCCGGCCATGATTGTTTCTTAATTCATACTTATGTGATATAGTTAATGAAAATTTCTTCCCGCTTCCACACTGTACTGGACTCTCCTCCTTGGTTTATTTTGTTATCTTATTGTAATTATTAATCTATTGTGCTACCACAATTTTTCCCTTTTGTTATCATATATTTTTTAAGGGAATATGAGAAAAGATGGAATCCAAAACCTTTAGCTAGCTATCATTTTTTGTTTGTTTGTTTTTTGTTTGCTTGTTTGTTTTGTGACAGGGTCTTGCTCCGTTGCCCAGACTGGAGTGCAGTGTGCAGTCACTCACAGCAGCCTCAACCTCCCAGGCTCAAGTGACCCTCCCAAGTAGCTGGGACCACAGGCATGTGCCATTATTATTTGTAGGACGGGGTTTTGCCACGTTGTCCAGATTGGTCTCAAACTCCTGAGTTCAAGTGATCTGCTGGCCTCTGTCTCCCAAAATACTGGGATCACAGGCATGAGCCACCATGCCCAGTTGCTAGCTATCATTTTTTTATGCCAAACCTCCACTCTCTTTTCAATGTTTAATTTAAAATAATATCTTAGAAGAAACATTAAGAATTGCTGTCTTTGATGCTATAGGCATATTGATATTCATTCAAATTAACAAATGTTTATTAAGTACTAGGAATGTGCAAAGTGCAGTGATCAGCAATTTGGGGATATAGATACAGAGAAATCATAATTCTTACTTTCAGGTGCCTCGTGAGAGAAACAGGTATATCTATGATTCACTATGTCTTTTTTAATGTCCTGTATGACACTCTAATGTAACAAAATGTTATGGGAACCCAGGAGGAGAAGGAATTATTTGCTGCAGGGTTACTGGAAAAGGACTTCCAGGATATCTTAGCTTGAATTCCCCTGGAAGCATGTATCAAGAGTAGTATTTGGGCACAGGGTTTATTTGGAAGGTGATTTAGGAAGTCAAGCAGACTGCACTAATAAGCAGCTTACTGTTATGGGCAACGGGGGCTCATTCCTACTGGGGACCTCAGGGAGATAGTTAAGAATAAACCTGAGTGTTGTTCTTCTTGAGGTGGGCAGAGGAAAATGAAATTTTTATTTACCAAATTTTATGTATCGCTGTTTGAGGGCTTTGCCAGGGATGTTAACTTTCCAGTACTTCTCACCTGTCCCACATGTGGGCTGAGTCTGTGTTTGTGCAGCCAGTGAAAGGCCTCAGACAAAGAGTTATAAACTTGAGTAGTGCATGGAAACAGGATTTGGCTGAGACACAGACAGCATCTGCTTCACTGGAGGAGGTGGCATTTAAATTGAACCTTGGATGATGAGAAGGTTTTTCAGCAAGTCGTGATATGGGTGGGGGTAAGCATTTCAGCATGTAAGAGTAGGACGGACAAGGCAGCATTTGTGTGGTCCATGGCAAATAATAATAAAGCACCAAAGTTTGAAAATGATTCACATTTTTAAAATTAGAGAAAATTCAAGGTTATCCCTATAAATATTCATTCTCACTCCCTTGCTTTGAGTGGGAAGGAACGTAGCTCTCAAGAGTTTGCTCAGAGGGAATCGTGCTTCACCAGCAGCCTGTCTCCTTTAGTTAATATCTAGGTTGCTTTGACTTATTACGTTGTTTTACTTCTCGGCAGAATTTTGGGGTTCTGTCCAAATGTGGGCATGACTATGTGAATTGTGTTGTTGTATATGGGGGATGTCATTACTTACATGCGTCACAATGGGGAGAAGGTTAAGAATTGCTGATACAAGGCTTGGTGATGTGGCAGGCAGGTATAAGGAAGAAAAAATAATCCAGTGGTTGGAGCATAGGTTGTAGTGTATGGGGATGGGAACTGAGGGTGGATGAGGAAGGGAAAGGTGAGGTGGTATATCCTTATATATCTATATATATTTATCTATATGTATAAATATATTCCTAACTTAATATTTGGGCTAATATTTGGTGAGTGTTTTAAATTCAGCATCTCTAAAATAATGAAGAGAGGCTACACATCACAGGAGTGAAAATGAGTCATGTGAATTTTCCTTTTACTTGCATGTAGAATGAGGAGAAATATCGAACCATATTATCTACTTCACAAGGTGCAATTGCTCCCTGCTAATAAAATCCATGTGAGGTTTCACTTCAACCTTAGAGAATATTGAAATTTTTGACAAGGCAGGTTATTAGTAGGTTGAGAGTCTGCAACAAAATTTGCACCTGTTTGAAAATGCTTCATTCTGGACAGGCAGCTGACATCTCTGGTAATTCGGTAATTCACACCTGTGAGCTCCTGAAGCTTTGGAAAACTGAGTAAAAGCAACACCACATCACTGCAGTACTTATCCCGCATTTCCCATGGGGCACAAGGCTATCAACTGTGAGCAGGTGAGGCTTATTTAAAACATCTTCATTTCTAGTTTGCATAACACGGAATAGAGTATTGCATGCCATATGAGTACATGGAATACTGAATACATAGAATACTTGTATAAGAACTAGCCTTGTTTCCATAGACTATCATAGAAGTAGAAATGACATTCTTCTGAGGGCTGTTAATAAACAGTGACAGTGCATAGAAATTCTGTTTAGAGAGAAAGACAAAAAAAAAAGGATGAGCTTTGTTTCAAAAATAATGTCAAAGATGAAGGATAGTTCTTAAGACTCCATAGTTTGTTTTTTGTACTATTTTTTTCTTTTCTTTCTTTTTTTTTTTTTTTTTTTTGAGACATGGTCTCGCTCTGTTACCCAGGCTGAAGTGCATTGGTGCGATCATAGCTTACTGCAGCCTCAAACTCTACTTTCAAAGTTCAGCATCTTCTGTGGTAAGAGGAAGTTTTATGGCATTTCCATTCCAGTTGTCTACCCCACAGTGCTGCTCTTATCCCACTCCTGCTTGGCAGCTCCATGGCTTCAGGTTGAACATCTCAGCCCCCTGAGCATTATTCAGCTGTTTCTCCTTTATGAAAGCCAGTGGCAAGTTTGCACTGGGACCAGCCACACTTCCCTTTGATAACCTCTCTTTCTGTTCATCACTGTATCTCCACACAAGGTAAAAAGGATGGGATACATTTTACTGACGGATTGGGAAAAAAAAATTATGATGGAGAAAACTTCAAAATCAGTGCTATAGCATGATTTTTTTCCCACAAGTTTTTGAGACAAACTGGTAAATTAAACCTCTCACAGGGAAATTGCCAATTTTATCTCTGTTTCTGACTTGCTTTTCCCCATTCAGTCTATCAAAAAGAGAAAGAGAAGTATTTTTCTATTTTCTCTGTAATTTTTAAGTTCTGTCATTCAAATGAAATATTAATTTTCCATTAGCATTCAAAGAGTGCTGAAGTCATCTCTTTTATCCTTCACCACTGCTCCCCACCTCCTCCATGACTGTTGGCAATAATAAATAGGCCCCTTACTGAGTTTTTTTGCCCTTTATTAGCTATTTTCTTAGCTACCAATAGAGAAACTTGAGATTATCACCTTATTAGCCAATGACTTTAATTTTCTCCACCCATTCTCTTGTTTTTGAGGAGAGAAGAGGGAGGAGAGATTATTTGTTAATTTTTTTAAAAATAAGATAATGTAAAGGTCTTTTGGAGTGATTTTGAACAATACTGTTGTTTTCTAAACTTTAAATATTCAGTGAACTCTATTGTAAAAACTGGTCATAGACTCCTACACTACCCCATCCATTTTCTCTCACCTTCTGACACATATTCTACTGTGGCTCTTATTTCATTGGCTTAGACATACCTATTCATTGGTCTCCTCCTGGGTGCAATGTCAGAGACCATAGCACATTTGTTTTGGTTCCTCTGAAGTCCTGTATCGAGAAAGGCAAATAACAGGTAATAAATAAATGGTTGTTGAATATATTTGTATCCAATCTGCCAACTCACCTTCTGAAGCAGTTCCATTTAACAAATTCTAAAACAATGACATTCATATTTTGGAAAGCTTCCAGAAACCTGTTTCAATATTTGCTACCAAGGAGAAATGGGAAAGGAGAGAAGAAGATCAACATTTATGAAATATCAACTCTGTATCACATATAAGTATAACATACCTCGTCTCTTTTATTCTTTAAAACAGTTCTATTAGGTAAGATCTACTAATCTCCATTTTTCCAACAAGGAAATTGGGGTACATAAAAATTCTGGAGGTCATGGGTTATCATGAGACAAAACCAAGATGCAAACCTGAGACTGTCTGTTTCCAAGGCCCAGATTCTTTCCACCTTACTTCTTAATCATTGCCTAGCGAAGAAAGAAAGTAGACTTGACTCTTGAACAGCATGGTTTTGAACTGTGAGTGTCCACTTAGATGCAGATTTTCTTCTGTCTCTGCCATCCCTGAGACAGCAAGACTAACCCTTCCTCTTCCTCTTTCTCCTCAGCCTTCTCAACATAAAGATAAGGATGAAGACCTTTATAATGAACCACTTCCACTTAATAAATGCTTTTTTGTTCTTATAATAACATTTCTTAATAACATTTTTTTCTCTAGCTTATTTCATTGTCAGAACACAGCATATAATACACATAATATACAAAATAACGAAATATGTATCAATCGACTATTTATGTTATGGGTAAGGCTTCCAGTGAACAGTGGGCTATGAGTAGCTATGGTTTGGGGAGTCAAAAGTTATACATGGATTTTTGACTTCATGGGGGATCAGTCCCGCTAACCCCTGAGCTGTTCAAGGGTCAACTGTATTCGTTTCCACACCTCATTGACAGATCAATTTACTTGATGCTTTATTTTTGCCCAAATCCTGTCAGTCATTCCCCTTTGTCTAACAGAGTTCATACAACACAGCCTGAATAGCAAGGCAGTACATCCCAGTGGTAAACAAGTTATGTGGGCTTCTGTGTCAGTGATAATGGGAACTCTATAATTTCTTACTTGATCTCATAAAACTATTCTGTTAAATGGGCATAATAATAGTATCTACTTCACAACAAAGTTTTTTGAAAATCAAGTGATATAATACATATGAAATGCTCAGCACAGTACACAGTAAGGACTTGATAAATATAAGCTGGTACCACTATGTGTTGTCCTTGTTGTTGTTAATATAACTTTACCATACCCTTCCTTACTTTTTTTTTTTTTTTGAGATGGTGTTTTGATCTGCCACCAAGACTGGGGTGCAGTGGCATGATCATGGCTCACCGCAGCCTCAACCTCCTGGCTCAAGCAATCCTCCCACCTCAGCCTTCCGAGTAGCTAAGACCACAGGCATGCACCACCATGCTCAGCTAATTTTTTTTATTTTTGTGGAGACAGAGTTTCACCATGTTGCCCAAGCTGGTCTCAAACTCCTGGGCTCAAGAGACCCACCCACCTAGGCCTCCTCAAGTGCTAGTATTACAGGCATGAGCCACCGGGCCCAGCCCATATCCTTCCTTTCTAACCTTTGGTTTTTCCTATAAAAGTGCTCCATAGCACAAACTTGCCTCCAGCTGGGCTGGGTTCCCCAAGCTGTGCCAAACTCTATGATTATCCTTGCCTTTATTCTTTGGCTTAAACTAACACCTCTTCCTCTCCATCTGCTCATGCAAATCCAATCAATTTTCTCTCTCAGGCAAAGCTGGTACTCCAAATAGCCATCCTGTGGATGTTGGCTTCTTTCCCAAGCTACCCTGTGGGAGAGTGCTCAATGTGCAAAGTGGCTATGGCATCAGGAATGGGGGTTACACATGGGCTTCACAATGCTGACTTTGCCTGACTAATGCTAGTCCAGCTACCACCACTATTGAATGTCTGCTTGACAACATCAGAAATAAAGTTGAGCCCTGTTAGGACATTATTTTCTGAGGATGAAGTTGTGAGGAGTCGGGTCAGGGGAGCAGGGGAGTCCAGCCAGCTTCTTGGTGGCATATTGATTGATTACATTCAACCTCTTCCAACATGGAGGAAGCAGAAATTTGTCCTCACTGGAATATATATTCTAAATATGGATTGGCATCCCTGCCCATGATACTATTGCCAGGACCACCATTCATAGATTTATGGAATTCATTATTCACTATATTATTTTGCATAGCAGTGCTTCTCAACAAATATTGAATTTTTCAGGCAAAGAAATGTGGCTTGGCTTCATGGTCATGAAATTCATTGCCCTTACTATGTGCTCCACTCTTCAGAAGCAGGTGACCCCACAGAATGTTAGAATAGCCTGTTGAAGATACAGCTATAGTGTCTATTGCAGTAGAAGACTGTATCTTTGTGGTTGGAAAACTGTCCTCAGGGATATGATATATTTTAAACCAATGACCAATATTGTCACCATTTTCCCATAGCCATAATGCATAGGTCTCAGAACCAAAGGGTGAAGTCAATAGTGATTTTTCTCATCATTCCACCTAATAATACATTCACTGAATTTTGCCAAAAGTTCCCTCTGGAACTTTTATTTTGGGCCCTGCTGGTTGAGAAGTGTTGATTCCCCAGGGGGCTTGGGAAGACATTTCTACTAATGGACACAATAATGGTTCTGTTGAACACGAAGCTGAGAGTGCCATCTGATCTTGTTGGTTCCTCAGGCCACTAAACTTACTGCAGGCAAAGAAGGGGGTTACTCTACTAGACAGAGTGCTTGATCCTGATTATCAAGGGGAAATTGAATTATTGTACATAATGGGAGCAGAAAGAACTTTGACTAGAACTCAGCAGGTTTCATAGGACACCATTTCTTTAATTATAAAAGTTAATTGAAGACTACCCAGTTAATGCAGGATCACTAAGGACTCAGACTCTTTACAATGAAGATTTGAATCATCCAACCAGCTAAAAGTTTGACCAGGTAAAGTGAAGGGTAATTATAAAAAAAGCATGGAATATGCAATGAACAAAAGACCTTCAATTTCCACTATGGATTCGTGTCCAGTTACAGAAACAAGAACTATTACATACTTTGTGCAGTGTGTATATTTGGTTTTTTGCTTGATTTATATGCATGTGTGTTTTATCATTCACTTCCCCTTTTCGCACTATTTTGTATAAGCAGTGTTGGTAATACTTAATTTTTAAATTTAGTCTTCAGATATTAAATACCTCTGTGGGCTTTTTACTGATCTAGAAAAGAAATTAGCCTTTCCAGAAAGGGATATGGTGACTAATAGGATCCTGTATTTCACCCTTTTGGGAAGAGAATAAGTATACCTTAACTTGTGCAAGAAAGAGTTGTAGTGGTGATGTCATAAAAATGGTGGAGTAGGAAACTCCAAAAATTGGTTTGTTCATTGAAGCAAGCATTAAGCAAAACTAAAAGAATCATTTTTTTTTGGAACTCTGGAGTCTAATCAAAATCTTACAGCAACCAGGAAAGTGTTTAATGAAAACAGACACTGCTAAATTTTGATAAGAAAATATTGTGGCATTTTCGCTTGCTCGCCTAACATCTCCCACTTTCCAGCTCGATAGTGGCTGTGGGAACAGCAGCTTGTATACCTGGCATGGTTTGCTGGTGCTGAGATGGGGGACAATATGGATCTCATTCTCAATACATTTTGGTTTTGATCAATCTAATGTTTCCCTGAGGGACTGGCACAGAGACTGACCTTTGTTTGCCACTACCTCCCTGCCCTGAGGCTAGAGCGACGACTTTTTAGGTGACATCTATCAAAAGTATTTCAAAACATACTCTACATGTCTGCCTGGGACAAGGGACAGAAGATGGGGCAAGCAGCAGACAGACCCAAAAGTCTGGGAAGGAAAAGACTAAGGAGGAAATTTCTTCAGGGAATAAGGGCTCTGAAAGGTTACCACGTGTACTGGGAAATCCAGGGTGCAACATGCATACCCAGGGCCAGATGCATCCTCACAAAAAACTTGAGAGGATTTTAGGCTTGCACTTCTGGTTAATCTTTGGGCTTTGCACAAGTATGAGGTAAAAGCTGAAGCAGAGTTTTAGGTGGCCTGGCTTAGTGTTGAAGGAGTGCTCCAGCACAGAGCCAATCTTCAAAAACTGGGAGAGTAGTTTTTTTCTTTTCCTTTTTGGCTCCAAGTATTTAAAGAAATTTCTGGCAAGTCGACGACTGAATGCTGAGATAACAACACAGAGACTTCAGAGACCACATACAACAAGAACCTATTGCAAAAAATAGTTTAGAAAAGTCATTAAACCAGTGGACAATTGCAGCCCTCAGTAATCAATAGCAACAAACCCAGAGGATGGGGAGAATATGATTTACATAGTTACCATTTTATAATATTTGCATTTTCTGGTTTTCAAAAACAATTCAGTGCATACAAAGAAATAGGAAAGTATGGCCCATTCAAAGTGATAAAAAAAAAAAAAAGAAATAGACAGAAAGTATTCCTGGGAAAGCCCATACCTTGGACTTAATAAAGACTTTAAATTGATTGTCTTAAATATGCTAAAAGAGTTACAGGAAACCATAGACAAAGAACTAAAGGAAACAAGGAGCAAGATGTATGGACGAATAGAGAATATCAACAAAGAGACAAATTATAAAAAGGAACAAAATAGAAATTCTAGAGGTGAAAGGTACAATTACTGAAATTGAAATTTCACTAAACTAAATAAAAAATTTACTCTCAGAACTTCCAGAAGGAATAAGTCCTGCTGACACCTTAACTTCAGCCTAGTGAAACTGATTATGGACTTCTGACCCCCACAACTGTGAAACAATAAATTTATGTTGTTTCAAGCTACTAAATTTGTGGTAACTTGTTATAGCAGCAATAAGCAGTTAGTACAACACTTTTAAATCAATTCCAACCATTAAATTCCTCTGTCATTAAAATACCTAGAGTGGTGTCTGTTTTCCTGTCTGAGTATTGATAAGTAGGTGTTCTATCAATATTTGTGGAATAAACTAATGTATAAAATCTGTAATGTCCAAAGCTAAGGTCCAAAGTCCTCCACTCTCTTAGTTTGGGTTCCTTTAGAAGCTGACCCTGAGCTAAGAAGTTGGTTGCAATGTTTCCTGGGAAATATTGGTAAGGGAGTGTAGACATGAGACAGGGAAGGGAACACAATCGAGGTCAATGCAGGGAATGACATCAAGCAAGTTATCACGAGGGAAAATTGAAACCTAATCTTATGGGGGAACTCTGGGAGCCAGTGTTGAACACGCACCTCAGAGTTACTCTACCTGGGGGGCAAGGGAGTTGGAGAATTTCTTACCAGCCATCATCAGTCCTTCCTTGAGGGCTACACCAACTCACTGGCACCTCTGATCTGCCACCTGTAGGGGCAGAGCAGGTTCTGGTGGTCAGAGAAAGTTCTCAGACCACGAGATGCCAATTCTGGCAGTTGGAAGGTAGGTGGGCATGCACTGAAGTGGTAAGGGCTTGGAGTTGGGGATAGAACATCCACAACTTCATCTATACTCACAAAATCTACTTTAGCCAATCCAGTCCAGGTTTACCTCCTTCCTATTAACCAATAGACACACACTACATGCACCACTCCCTAGCAAAACAGTGCCTTGGAGGCAATAATGTGCGCATTTTGTCCCTTAGTAGGTCTGCAGGATTTCTGACAGCACGGGCCATGACTTGTTTTTCTTTTATGTTTCTCACAATGCTGGGTGCCATAGCAACATATATATTTTGGGCACTTAATATATATTGTTGAATTGAATTGATTCTCATAATTGTGTGATATCTATTTCTTATATTTGAAGGTGGCTCTCTGTTGAGTTTTCTATGTTTCTTCTTTTTAACCTTTTCCTTCATTGCAATATTTTAAGTACACATTAACAAGTGATAACGAGGGAAACAACCTAAAGATTTTATTTTTAATGTAAGTATCTCCCTACCTACCAATGTGTTCAGCCTTTGAGGAAATCAATGTTAATACTTACCATTAGCCTTTCACAGCCTTTTCCATTTTCTTACAAATGCACGTGAATGTGCACATGCTATGTTTTTGTTTTTACAAAACATATGATTATATTATGTACCTTCCTTTGCCAATTGTCAATTTACTTGATAATAGGTCATACACACCACCAGGTCAAAATAGATTTAGTTTATTTATTTTAACAGTTGCAGAATATTATCTTTTGTATGTACTGTAATTTATTCAACCATTATTTTATTGATGAACATGTAATTTGCTTCCAGTTTCTTTTTGCCTCCTTAAACGATGCTGCAGTAAACATCCTACTACAAATATTCATTTATATTCTTCAAAGTGCTATTACTATGTCAAAGAGTATGTGCATTTGGAATTTTCATAGATATTGCCAGATTATCTGCCTCTTCTTATCCATATTGAAAATTCTCATTTCTCTTAAACATTTCATATTTTATTTATATGTAATGGGATTTGTCTAACCAGCATTAATATATACACGGTTATGAATGATAAACTGGCATGGTACTGCTAGGAATCATTTGCATGTATCAATTGTCATGAGAATTTTCTGCTGAAGGGGAATTGTGGGGGTTTCTTTGTGTCTTGGAGTAGAGAAATGTGGCAGAATCTGAAGCAGAGGCTGTGCTTCTTTTGTCTAAGCAATAAAGTATGATGCAGCTTTGGGGAAGCAGACTTGTCCCCACTTCTAAATGGAACACAGTGTAGTTGTGGCAGCAAAGAATCTGGCACACAAAAATGCCTACTTAGCTTGGAACATCCTAGGGGATTAGCAGAGATAACTGGGTTGTACTTAGTTCAGCAGTGGGTAGCAAAAGCCAATGAGACAAGTGTTGTTGCAATTAAAGTAGCTAGCCACTTTCCTCCCCCTAGATTTGTACCCATTGGCTAGCAAGGTGTGGGAAACTTACTTTACATATAAATGGACTTGAATTCTCAAATTGGTCTAAAATCTTATACCACTTTGAATAGACTCACTTCCTGAAATAGCAAATTATTTTTCTCTGTTGATCCTTTTATTACTGTAAAAACATTTCAGAGTAGAGAAATATAGTGATGAGATGATGAAACACTTTATTAATATAGCACTGTGAACCTTTTAATTGAAGTTTGTGCTTTATATTGTTTGCAAATGAGTTTCAAAAATCATAAGGAAAACTTTCCTCCTTTCTGGAAAATTCCCACTTCAAAGCTAAAATGAAAGCATTTAAAAAAATTAATTTTCAACAACAAAACAGCGTTAATGGATATACCTAAGGGCAATTCAGTGGCGAGAGAAGGCATATATGTTTTATGTACTAACCCAGCTTTGCCAAGTTTCCCACTTTGCTGCAAAGTTCATTTTCAAAACATTGGTAATCTATCATTTGACAGCTTGTTGCTTCTGAAATTCTAAATTTCTGGTATGCAGCTAATGTATGTACATTTAAAAAACACTAGATCTGAATTCATATGTATGCAACTCTTAAATTACATGCTGCTGTCAGGTATTGACTTTTATGGTTGATAGCTTTAATATTACTATTTGTGTCTCTATAAATTATTTTATCTGAAGCCAAAAAAGATGAAAATCTGGGTTTTATTAATAGATGTACTAAGCATAACACTCAAGACATAATTGATATGAATATCAATAGCATGATTTTAATAACATCAAACATTTTGGTGTCATAGGGAAATGTCTTCTAAATGCAGAGTGTGAAAGGTGCAGTGAATCAGGGGCAGGCTCGTAGGAGGAAATACCTGACTTGAATCTATGAAAAGAATGGAAGAGTCTGAAAACCATTAGAGACAGCATTTGAAATAGTCCAGAAGATTCACATTTATCATAACCTTGATTTTTACAACCATAAAAATTACAAATTTTATGAACCAAAAACAAAAAATTGGCTGCAATGAGGCCATCAAGATTTCTAGAACTATGCAAACAATGGGGATTTGTTATTCTCCTTAAATGTTGTATGGAAAATATTTGTGTGTGTGTGTGTGTGTGTGTGTGTGTGTGTGTGTGTCTTAAGGGAAAATGAGGTGTTTAATTACAGAGAGAGACTCCTTTAGAGTATTTCCTAATGACAGGAATTTATAACTTTAGGGATGTTTGGTTTCTTTCCAAGTTTGGACCTTAGCTTTGTAGAGTGGCAGATGTATGAGGAAGGAGCTTTAACAGGGTTTCTTTGAGAGAGGACAAAGTAATGCAGATGTAACAGAGGGCAGAGAATCCCTTAATGAAACTCCTTGCTGATCAAGTTTGACAGAAGAAGACACAGAGGAAGTCCTGACACCAGAGCCCCACAAAGTGTTGAACCCCTGGCAGTTGACTCATGGAAAAAGGGCCATTGATTGACCCAAAGTGAGATAGAGCAAAGTGGTCTTTAACACTTCCCATTCAATCCCTTCTCTCCCTTTCTAACTTCAAGCTCTATGGCCTCAGCTTACTCTCCAGTTACTCAGAACTTGATGTGGTTTGGCTGTGTCCCACTCAAATCTCATCTTGAATTCTGGTTCCCATAATCCCCATGTGTCATGGGAGGGACATGGTCGGGGGGTGGGTGAGATAATTGAATCATAGGGGAAGTGCCCCAGGCTGCTGTTCTCGTGATAGTGAGTGAATTCTCATGAGATCTAATGGTTTTATAAGGGGCTCCCCACATTTTCTCTGCACTTCTCTCCTCCCACCATGTGATGGATGTGTTTGCTTCCACTTCTGCCATGATTTTAAGTTTCCTGAGGCCTCCCCAGCCATGCTGAACTGTGACTCAATTAAACATCTTCCCTTTATAAATTACCCAGTCTCCAATATGTCTTTATTAGCAGGGTGAGAATGGACTAATACGGTAAATTGATACCGGGAGTGAGATGCTGCTGTAAAGATACCCAAAAATGTGAAAGTGGGTAACAGGACTTTGGAAGTGGGTAACAGGCAGAGGTTGGAACCGTTTGGAGGGCTCAGAAGATGATATGAAAATGTGGGAAAGTTTGGAACTTCCTAGAGACTTGGAGCACTCAGAAGACAGGAAGATGTGGGAAAGTTTGGAATTTCCTAGAGACCCGTTAAATGGCTTTGACCAAAATGTTGATAGTGATATGGACAATAACGTCTATGCTGAGGTGGTCTCATATGGAGATAAGAAACTTTTTGGAAATGGGAGGAAAGGTCACTCTTGCTATGCAGAGACTGGTGGCATTTTGCACCTGCCCTAGAGGTCTGTAAACTTTGAAGTTGAGAGAGATGATTTAGGGTATCTGGCAGAATAAATTTCTAAGGGGCAAAGCATTCAAGAGGAAAAAGAGAGAGTTACATCATCATGGCAGACAGGAAGCTGGACTAGATTGCAGCTCTGGAAAGAGCAGTGTGTGGAGGCTCACATTGTGAATTTGAGCTCCAGATCCACTGCAAGACAAACTGACAATCCTGAGAGGACCCACATACCCTCCGAAGGAAACAGACTGCTCCTGCAGGACCCGGGAGACCCCCATATACTCTGATTGCCCCAACTGCAGAAGTAGGAATGGGAAGCCCTCCTCTCCCAAACACACACCCCACTGGAGAAACCGAAGGTCTGTTTGCAGGAAAAGTTTCCAACCTTACCTGGAGCTGAGTTAACTTGGGGAGCCGAGTGAAATACAGGAAGCAGCAGAAAGGCCCTCGGAGCTCGCTGGGTCTCCAAGTAGCCCATTCCTGCCTGGTACCACAGAGATCCATCAGGAGGGTAGCCAGAGGAGCAGGGGGTAAAACTCCACAGGGAGAAGGAAATCTGTAGCTGAACTTTGTAACAATTTGAATGGGGCGAGAAGCCTCCTGGCCAGAACTCAGGGGAGTGCACAAATTTGGCATGCAGACTCCTCCTCAAGCAAGGGAAGAACCAAGCCCTTTTCTTTTGTAGCTGGAAGGCAGGTAGCCTGGGACAAGTTTTCAAGCCTATCTCACCCACCACCTGCAAACAGACTCTGGGCTTTTGGAGTGGGGAACAGTGGGAGTGAGACTGGCCCTTCAGTTTGCATGGGAGCTGGGTGAGGCCTGTGACTGCTGGCTTCTCCCCACTTTCCTGACAACCTGCAAGATTCAGCAGGGGCAGCCATAATTCTCCTAGGCACACAACTCCAGTGACCTGGGAATCTCACCCCGATTCCCCACAGCAGCTGCAGCAAGACCTGCCCAAGGAGAGTCTGAGCTCAGACACACCTGGCCCTTCCCCCACCTGATGGTCCTTCCCTACCCACCCTGGTAGCAGAAGACAAAGGGCATATAATCTTGGGAGTTCTAGGGCCCTGCCCACCACAAGTTCCTCTCCATACTACCACAGCTGATGCTCTCTGGAAAGCACCACCAACTGTCAGGAGGCCAACCAGCATAAAAAGAGAGCATTAAACCAAGAAAGTTAAGAACCATCACAGAGTCCATTGCACCCCTCTATCATCTCCACTGGAACAGGCACTCATATCCACGGCTGAGAGACCTATAGACGGTTCACATCACAGGACTCTGTGCAGGCAACCCCCAGTACCAGCCTGGAGCCAGGTAGACTTGCAGGGTGGATAGACCTAGAAGAGAGACAACAATCACAGCAGTTCAGCTCACAGGAAGCCACATCCATAGGAAAAGGGGGAGGGTACTACATCAAGGGAACAAGAGAAAGGTGAAGCCCAGTGCAAGGAAATCCAAAAAAAAAAAAAAAAAGATACAAGAAATGAAGCAAGAGATATTCAAGGAAATAGATAGATTAAAGAAAAATCAATCACCAAAATTCAGGAAACTTTGGACACACTTTTAGAAATGTGAAATGCTCTGGAAAGTCTCAGAAATAAAATTGAACAAGTAGAAGAAAGAAATTCAGAGCTCAAAGACAAGGTCTTTGAATTAATCCAATCCAACAAAGAAAAAGAAAAAATAATAATAAAACATGAACAAAGCCTCCAAGAAGTCTGGGATTACATTAAATGACCAAACCTAAGAATAATCGGTGTTCCTGAGGAAGAAGGGAATTCTAAAAGCTTGGAAAACGTATTTCGGGAATAAGTGAGGAAAACTTCCCTGGCTTTGCTAGAGATCTAGACATCCAAAAATACAAGAAACACAGAGAACACCTGGGAAATTAATTGCAAAAAGATCATCGCTTAGGCACATCATCATCAAGTTATCCAAAGTAAAGACAAAGGAAAGAATCTTAAGAGTTGTGACACAAAAGCGATGGATAACCTATAAAGGAAAACCTATCAGATTAACAGATTTCTTAGCAGAAACCCTACAAGTTATAAGGGATTGGGGCCCTATCTTCAGCCTCCTCAAATGAAACAATTATCAGCCAAGAATTTTGTATCTACCAAAACTAAGCATCATATATGAAGGAAAGATACAGTCTTTTGCAGACAAACAAATGCTTAGAGAATTCACTACTACCAAGCCACCACTACAAGAACTGCTAAAAGGAGCTCTAAATCTTGAAACAAATCCTGGAAACACATCAAAACAGAATATCTTTAAAGGATAAATTACACAGGACCTATAAAACAAAAATGCAAATTAAAAAGCAAAAACAAAAAACAAAAAAACAAAAGTACACAGGCAACCAAGAGCATGGTGAACGCCATGGTACCTCACATTTCAATACTAACATTAAACGTAAATGGCCTAAATGCTCCACTTAAAAGATACAGAACCACAGAATGGCAGACAACTATCTGCTGCCTTCAGGAGACTCACCTAACACATAAGGCGACTCATATAAACTTAAAGTAAAGGGGTGGGGAAAGGCATTTTAGGCAAATTGACACCAAAAGCAAGCAGGGGTAGCTATTTTTATATCAGACAAAACAAACATTAAAGCAGCAGCAGTTAAAAGAGACAAAGAGGGACATTATATAATGGTAAGAGGCCTTGTCCAACAGGAAAATATCATAATCCTAAACATATATGAACCTAACACTGGAGCTCCCAAATTTATAAAACAAATACTAATAGACTGAAGAAATGAGTTAGACAGCAACACAATAATAGTGGGGGACTTCAGTACTCCACTGACAGCACTAGACAGGTCCACAACACAGAAAGTCAACAAAGAAACAACTGAGGGTGGAGCCAAGATGGCCGAATAGGAACAGCTCCATTCTACAGCTCCCAGCATGAGCGACGCAGAAGACGGGTGATTTCTGCATTTCGAATTGAGGTACCGGGTTCATCTCACTGGGGAATGTTGGGCAGTGGGTGCAGTGCACTGAGTGTGAGCCGAAGAAGGGCGAGGCATCGCTTCACCTGGGAAGTGCAAGGGGTCAGGGAGTTCCCTTTCCTAGTCAAAGAAAGGGGTGACAGATGGCACCTGGAAAATCGGGTCACTCCCACCCTAATACTGCACTTTTCCAATGGTCTTAGCAAACGGCACACCAGGAGATTATATCCCACGCTTGGCTCGGAGGGTCCTAGCCCACAGAGCCTCACTCATTGCTAGCACAGCAGTCTGAGATCAAACTGCAAGGCAGTAGCGAGGCTTGGGGAGGGGCGCCCACCATTGCTGGGGCTTGAGTAGGTAAACAAAGCGGCCAGGAAGCTCGAACTGGGTGGAGCCCACCGCAGCTCAAGGAAGCCTGCCTGCCTCTGTAGACTCCACCTCAGGGGGCAGGGCATAGACAAACAAAAGGCAGCAGAAACCTCTGCAGACTTAAATGTCCCTGTCTGACAGCTTTGAAGAGAGTAGTGGTTCTCCCAGCACGCAGCCGGAGATCTGAGAACGGACAGACTGCCTCCTCAAGTGAGTTCCTGACCCACGAGTAGCCTAACTGGGAGGCACCCCCCAGGAGGGGCAGACTGACACCTCACATGGCTGGGTACTCCTCTGAGACAAAACTTACAGCGGAACGATCAGGCAGCAACATTTGCTGTTCACCAAAATCTGCTGTTCTGCAGCCTCCGCTGCTGATACCCAGCCAAACAGGATCTGGAGTGGACCTCCAGCAAACTCCAACAGACCTGCAGCTGAAGGTCCTGACTGTTAGAAGGAAAACTAACAAACAGAAAGGACATCCACACCAAAACCCCATCTGTATGTCACCATCATCAGAGATCAAAGGTAGATAAAACAACAAAGATGCAGAAAAAACAGAGCAGAAAACCTGGAAACTCTAAAAATCAGAGCACCTCTCCTCCTCCAAAGGAATGCAGCTGCTCACCAGCAACAGAACAAAGCTGGATGGAGAATGACTTTGACAAGTTGAGAGAAGAAGGCTTCAGATGATCAAACTACTCTGATCTAAAGGAGGAAGTTAGAACCCATGGCAAAGAGGTTAAAAACCTTGAAAAAAAATTAAACGAATGGCTAACTAGAATAACCAATGCAGAGAAGTCCTTAAAGGACCTGATGGAGCTGAAAACCATGGCACGAGAACTATGAGATGAATGCACAAGCCTCAGTAGCCGATGCGATCAACTGGAAGAAAGGGTATCAGTGATGGAAGATCAAATGAATGAAATGAAGCAAGAAGAGAAGTTTAGAGAAAAAAGAATAAAAAGAAATGAACAAAGCCTCCAAGAAATATGGGACTATGTGAAAAGACCAAATCTAAGTGATGGGGAGAAGGGAACCAAGTTGGAAAACATCTGCAGGATACTATCCAGGAGAACTTCCCCAATCTAGCAAGGCAGGCCAATATTCAAATTCAGGAAATACAGAGAATGCCACAAAGATACTCCTCGAGAAGAGCAACTCCAAGACACATAATTGTCCAATTCACCAAAGTTGAAATGTAGGAAAAAATGTTAAGGGCAGCCAGAGAGAAAGGTCATGTTACCCACAAAGGGAAGCCCTTCAGAATAACAGCTGATCTCTCGGCAGAAACTCTACGAGCCAGAAGATAGTGGGGGCCAATATTCAACATTCTTAAAGAAAAGAATTTTCAACCCAGAATTTCATGTCCAGCCAAACTAAGCTTCATAAGTGAAGGAGAAATAAAATCCCTTACAGACAAGCAAATGCTGAGAGAATTTGTCACCACCAGACCTGCCCTAAAAGAGCTCCTGAAGGAAGCACTAAACATGGAAAGGAAAAACCGGTACCAGCCACTGCAAAAACATGCCAAATTGTAAAGACCATCGAGGCTAGGAAGAAACTGCATCAACTAACGAGCAAAATAACCAGCTAACATCATAATGACAGGATCAAATTCACACATAACAATATTAACCTTAAATGTAAATGGGCTAAATGCTCCAATTAAAAGACACAGACTGGCAAATTGGATAAAGAGTCAAGACCCATCAGTGTGCTGTATTCAGGAAACCCATCTCATGTGCAGAGACACACATAGGCTCAAAACAAAGGGATGGAGGAAGATCTACCAAGCAAATGGAAAATAAAAAAAGGCAGGGGTTGCAATCCTAGTCTCTGATAAAACAGACTTAAAACCAACAAAGATCAAAAGAGACAAAGAAGGCCATTACATAATGGTAAAGGGATCAATTCAACAAGAAGAGCTAACTATCCTAAATATATATGCACCCAATACAGGAGCACCCAGATTCATAAAGCAAGTCCTTAGAGACCTACAAAGAGACTTAGACTCCCACACAATAATAATGGGAGACTTTAACACCCCACTGTCAACATTAGACAGATCAATGAGACAGAAAGTTAACAAGGATATCCAGGAATGGAACTCAGTTCTGCACCAAGCAGAACTAATAAACATCTACAGAACTCTCCACCCCAAATCAACAGAATATACATTCTTCTCAGCACCACATCACACTTATTCCAAAATTGACCACATAGTTGGAAGGAAAGGACTCCTCAGCAAATGTAAAAGAAAAGAAATTATAACAAACTGTCTCTCAGACCACAGTGCAATCAAACTAGAACTCAAGATTAAGAAACTCACTCAAAACTGCTCAACTACATAGAAACTGAACAACCTGCTCCTGAATGAATACTGGGTACATAACAAAATGAAGTCAGGAATAAAGATATTCTTTGAAACCAATGAGAACAAAGACACAACATACCAGCATCTCTGGGACACATTCAATGCAGTGTGTAGAGGGAAATTTATAGCACTAAATGCCCACAAGAGAAAGCAGGAAAGATCCAAAATTGACACCCTAACATCACAATTAAAAGAACTAGAGAAGCAAGTGCAAACACATTCAAAAGCTAGTAGAAGGCAAGAAATAACTAAGATCAGAGCAGAACTGAAGGAGATACAGACACAAAAAACCCTTCAAAAAAATCAATGAATCCAGGAGCTGGTTTTTTGAAAAGATCTATAAAATTGATAGACCGCTAGCAAGACTAATAAAGAAGAAAAGAAAGAAGAATCAAATAGACGCAATAAAAAATGATAAAGGTGATATCACCACTGATCCCACAGAAATACAAACTACCATCAGAGAATACTATATACACCTCTATGCAAATAAACTAGAAAATCTAGAAGAAATGGATAAATTCCTCGACACATACACCCTCCCAAGACTAAACCAGGAATAACTTGAATCTCTGAATAGACCAATAACAGGCTCTGAAATTGAGGCAATAATTCATAGCTTACCAACCAAAAAAAGTCCAGGGCCAGATGGATTCACAGCCGAATTCTACCAGAGGTACAAGGAGGAACTGGTACCATTCCTTCTGAAACTATTCCAATCAATAGAAAAAGAGGGAATCCTCCCTAACTCATTTTATGAGGCCAGCATTATCCTGATACCAAAGCCTGGAAGAGACACAATAAAAAAAGAGAATTTTAGACCAATATCCCTGATGAACGCCCATGCAAAAATCCTCAATAAAATACTGGCAAACCGAATCCAGCAGCACATCAAAAAGCTTATCCACCATGATCAAGTGGGCTTCATCCCTGGGATGCAAGGCTGGTTCAATATACGCAAATCAATAAACGTAATCCAGCATATAAACAGAACCAAAGACAAAAACCACATGATTATCTCAATAGATGCAGAAAAGTCCTTTGACAAAATTCAACAACACTTCATGCTAAAAACCTCAATAAATTAGGTATTGATGGGACGTATCTCGAAATAATAAGAGCTATCTATGACAAACCCACAGCCAACATCATACTGAATGGGCAAAAACTGGAAGCATTCCCTTTGAAAACTGGCACAAGACAGGGATGCCCTCTCTCACCACTCCTATTCAACACAGTGTTGGAAGTTCTGGCAGAGGCAATCAGGCAGGAGAAGGAAATAAAGGGTATTCAATCAGGAAAAGAGGAAGTCAAATTGTCCCTGTTTCCAGATGACATGATTGTATATCTAGAAAACCCCATCGTCTCAGCCCAAAATTTCCTTAAGCTGATAGGCAACTTCAGCGAAGTCTCAGGATACAAAATCAGTGTGCAAAAATCACAAGCATTCTTATATACCAATAACAGACAAACAGAGAACCAAATCATGAGTGAACTCCCATTCACAATTGCTTCAAAGAGAATAAAATACCTAGGAATCCAACTTGCAAGGGATGTGAAGGACCTCTTCAAGGAGAACTACAAACCACTGCTCAAGGAAATAAAAGAGGATACAAACAAATGGAAGAACATTCCATGCTCATAGGTAGGAAGAATCAATATTGTGAAAATGGCCATACTGCCCAAGGTAATTTATAGATTCAATGCCATCCCCATCAAGCTACCAATGACTTTCTTCACAGAATTGGAAAAAACTACTTTAAAGTTCATATGGAACCAGAAAAGAGCCCGCATCACCAAGTCAATCCTAAGCCAAAAGAACAAAGCTGGAGGCATCATGCTACCGGACTGCAAACTATACTACAAGGCTACAGTAACCAAAACAGCATGGTACTGGTACCAAAACAGAGATATAGACCAATGGAACAGAAAAGAGCCCTCAGAAATAATGCCACATATCTACAACTATCTGATCTTTGACAAACCTGAGAAAAACAAGAAATGGGGAAAGGATTCCCTATTTAATAAATGGCGCTGGGAAAACTGGCCAGCCATACTTAGAAAGCTGAAACTGGATCCCTTCCTTACACCTTATACAAAAATTAATTCAAGATGGATGAAAGACTTTAATGTCAGACCTAAAACCATAAAAACCCTAGAAGAAAACCTAGGCAATACCATTCAGGACATAGGCATGGGCAAGGACTTCACGTCTAAAACACCAAAAGCAATGGCAACAAAAGCCAAAATTGACAAATGGGATCTAATTAAACTGAAGAGCTTCTGCACAGCAAAAGGAACTACCATCAAAGTGAACAGGCAGCCTACAGAATGGGAGAAAATGTTTGCAATCTACTCATCTGACAAAGGGCTAATATCCAGAATCTACAATAAACTCAAACAAATTTACAAGAAAAAAACAAACAACCCCATCAAAAAGTGGGCGAAGGATATGAACAGACACTTCTCATAAGAAGGCATTTATGCAGCCAAAAGACACATGAAAAATGCTCATCATCACTGGCCATCAGATAAATGCCAATCAAAACCACAATGAGATACCATCTCACACCAGTTAGAATGGCAATCATTAAAAAGTCAGGAAACAACAGGTGCTGGAGAGGATGTGGAGAAATAGGAACACTTTTACAGTGTTGGTGGGACTTTAAACTAGTTCAACCATTGTGGAAGTCAGTGTGGCGATTCCTCAGGGATCTAGAACTAGAAATACCATTTGACCCAGCCATCCCATTACTGGGTATATACCCAAAGGATTATAAATCATGCTGCTATAAAGACACATGCATACATATGTTTATTGTGGCATTATTCACAATAGCAAAGACTTGGAACCAACCCAAATGTCCAACAATGATAGACTGGATTAAGAAAATGTGGCACATATACACCATGGAATACTATGCAGTCATAAAAAAGGATGAGTTCCTGTCCTTTGTAGGGACATGTATGAATCTGGAAACCATCATTCTCAGCAAACTATCGCAAGGACAAAAAACCAAACACCACATGTTCTCACTCATAAGTGGGAACTGAACAATGAGAACACATGGACACAGGAAGGGGAACATCACACACCGGGGCCTGTTGTGGGGTCGGGGGAGGGGGGAGGGATAGCATTAGGAGATATACCTAATGTTAAATGAAGAGCTAATGGGTGCAGCACACCAACATGGCACATGCATACATATGTAACAAACCTGCACGTTGTGCACATGTACCCTAAAACTTAAAGTATAATAAAAAAAAGAAACAATGGATTTAAACTATACCTTGGAACAAATAAACTTAACAGTTATATACAGAACATTTCATCCAACAATTGCAAAATACACGTTCTATTCAACAGTGCATGTAACTTTCCTCAAGGTAGACCATATGATAGGCCATAAAACAACCCTCAATAAATGTAAGAAAACTAAAATTATATCAAGCAGTCTCTCAGACCACCATGGAATAAAACTGGAAATTGACTCCAAAAGAAACCTTTGAAACCATACAAATACATGGAAATTAGATGACTTGCTCTTACATGAGCATTGGGTCAAAAACAAAATCAAGATAGAAATTAAAGAATTATTTGAACTAAATGACAATAATGACACAACCTACCAAAACCTCTGGGGTACAACAAGGGCACTGCTAAGAGGAAAGTTCATAGCCCTGAACACCTACATCAAAAAGACTGAAAGAGCACAAATCAACATTCTAAGGTCACACCTCAAGGAACTAGAGAAACAAGAAGAAACCAAACCCAAACCCAGCAGAAGAAAGGAAATGACCAAAATCAGAGCAGAACTAAAGGAAATTGAAACAGAAAAAAAAATACAAAAGATAAATGAAACAAAAAGCTGGTTCTTTGAAAACATAAATAAAATCGATAGACCATTAGCAAGATTAACCAAGAAAAGAAGAGAGAAAATCCAAATAACCTCACTAAGAAATGAAACAGGAAATATTACAACTGACACCACTGAAATACGAAAGATCATTCAAGGCTACTATGAACACCTTTACGCACATAAACCAGAAAACCTAGAAGAGATGAATAAATTCCTGGAAAAATACAACCCTCCTGGCTTAAATCAGGAATAATTAGATTCCCCAAACAGACCAATAACAAGCAGCAAGATTGAAATGGTAATGAAAAAATTACCAACAAAAAAACAGTCCAGAACCAGATGGATTCACAGCAGAATTCTACCAGACATTCGAAGAAGAACTGGTACCAATCCTTCTGACCCTATTCCACAAGATAGAGAAAGAAGAAACTCTCCCAAATTTATTTTATGAAGCCAGCATCACCCTAATACCAAAACCAGGGAAGGACTTAACCAAAAAAGAAAACAACAGACCAATATCCTTGATGAACATAGATGCTAAAATCCTTAACAAAATACTAGCTAACTGAATCCAACAACATATCAAAAAGATAATCCACCATGATCAAGTGGGTTTCATACCAGGGATGCAGGGATGGTTTAACATATGCAGTCAATAAATGTGATACACCACATAAACAGAATTAAAAACAAAAATTACATGATCATCTTAAAAGATGCAGAAAAAGCATTAGACAAAATCCAGCATCTCTTTATGATTAAAACTCTCAGCAAAATTGACATACAAGGGATGTACCTTAATGTAATAAAAGCCATCTATGACAAACCCACAGTCAGCATAATACTGAATGGGGAAAAGTTGAAAGCATTCCCTCTGAGAACTGAAACAAGACAAGGATAGCCACTCTCACCACTCCTCTTCAACATAGCACTGGAAATTCTAGCCAAAGCAATCAGACAAGAGAAAGAAATAAAAGGCATCCAAATAGGTAAAGAGAAAGTCAAACTGTCACTGTTTGCTGACAGTATGAACATTTACCTTGAAAACCCTAAAGACTCCTCCAGAAAACTGCTATAAATGATGAAAGATTCAGCAAAGTGTCCGAATACAAGATTAATGTACACAAATCAGTAGCTCTTTTATACATCAAAAGTGACAAAGTGGAGAATCAAATCAAGAACTCAACTCCTTTTACAATAGCTGCAAAAAAAATAAAATACCTAGGCATATACCTAACCAAGAAGTCAAAAGGCTTCTACAAGGAAAACTAACAAAACACTGCTGAAAGAAATCACAGATGACACAAAAATTTGAAACACATCCCATGCTCATGGATGGGTAGAATCAATATTGTGAAAATGACCAGACTGTCAAAAGAAATCTACAAATTCAATGCAATCCGCATCAAAATATCACCATCATTCTTCACCGAATTAGATACAACAGAGCCCACATAGCCAAAGTAAGACTAAGCAAAAAGAATAAATCTGGAGGCATCACACTACCTGATTTCAAACTGTATTGTAAGGCCATAGTCACCAAAACAGCAAGGTACTGGTATAAAAACAGGCACATAGACCAATGGAACAAAACAGAGAACTCAGAAATAAACCCAAATACTTACAGCTAACTGATCTTCGACAAAGTAAACAAAAACATAAAGTAGGGAAAGGACACCCTATTCAACAAATGGTGCTGAGATAATTGGCTAGCCACATGTAGGAGAATGAAACTGGATCCTCATCTCTCACCTTATATAAAAATCAACTCAAGATGGATTAAGGACTTAAACCTAAGACCTGACACTATAAAAATTTTAGAAGATAACCTTGGAAAACCCCCTCTAGACAATGGCTTAGGCAAGGATTTCATGACCAAGAACCCAAAAGCAAATGCAATAAAAAAAAAAGCTAAATAGCTGGGACCTAATTAAATTAAAGAGCTTTTGCATGGCAAAAGGAATAGTCAGCAGAGTAAACAGATGACCCACAGAGTGGGATAAAATCTTCATAATCTATACAACTACATAGGACTAATATCCAGAATCTACAATAAACTCAAACAAATCAGTAAGAAAAAAATCAAACAAACCCATCAAAAAGTAGGCTAAGGACATGAACAGACAATTCTCAAAAGAAGATATATAAATAGCCAACAAACATACAAAAAAAACTGAGCATCACTAACGATCAGGGAAATGCAAATCAAAACCACAATGCGATATCACCTTACTCCTGCAAGAATGGCCATAATAAAAAAATCAGAAAACAGTAGATGTTGGCCTGGATACGGTGATCAGGAAACACTTCTACACTGATGGTGGGAATGTAAACTAGTACAGCCACTATGGAAACAGTGTGGAGACTCCTTGAAGACCTAAAAGTGGAACTAGTATTTGATCCAGCAATCTCACTCCTTTGTATCTACCCAGAGGAAAAGAAGTCATTATTTGAAAAAGACACTTGCACACACATGTTTATAACAGCACAATTTGCAATTGCAAAAATATGGAACCAACCCAAATGCCCATCAATCAACTAATGGATATATCAATGCTGGGGCATTGCCTAGTGGAGCTGTGAGAAGGTCATCGTCCTCCAGAACCCAGAATGGAAGATCCTCTGACAGCTTGCACTGTGCGCCTGGAAAAGCTGCAGACACTCAACACCAGCACACAAAAGTAGCCAGGAGGGGAGCTGTACCCTGCAAAGCCACAGGGGCAGAGCTGCCCAAGGCCATGGGAGCCCACCTCTTGCATTAGCATGACTTGGAAGTGAGACATGAAATCAAAGGAGATCATTTTGGAACTTTAAGGTTTAGTGACTGCCCTATTAGTTTTCGGACTTGCATGGGGCCTGTAGCCCCTTTGTTTTGGCCAATTTCTTTCCTTTGGAATGGGTGTATTTATGCAATGCCTGTACCTTCATTTTATGTAGGAAGTAACTAACTTGCTTTTGATTTTACAGGCTCATAGGCAGAAGGGACTTGCCTTGTCTCAGATGAGACTTTGGACTTGGACTGTTGGTTTAATGCTGGAATGAGTTAAGACTTTGGGGCACTGTTGGGAAAGCATGATTGTGTTTTGAAATGTGAGGACATGAGATTTGGGAGGGGCCAGGGGTGAGATGATATGATTTGGCTGTGTCCCTACCCAAATCTCATCAAGAATTGTAGTTCCCATAATCCTCACATATCGTGGGAGGGACCTGGTGGGAGGTAATTGAATCATTATTTCCACACTGTTCTCCTGATAGTGAGTGAGTTCTCATGAAATCTGATGGTTTTATAAGGGGCTTTTCCCCCTTTTGTTCAGTACTTCTCTTTGCTGTTGCCATGTGAAAAAGGACATGTTTCCTTCCCCTTCCACCATGATTGTAAGTTTCCTGAGGCCTCTCCAGCCATACTGAACTGTGAGTCAATTACATCTCTTTCCTTTATAAATTAACCAGTCTCAGGTATGTCTTTATTAGCAGCATGAGAACAGACTTACACAGAACTCTTCTGTTAGTTGTTTTGTACCAGTATATATCCTTCCTGGGCAGTATCAAATTTGGCTGGACATTTCACCACTAGCCTTCATTTCTTTTTACCCTAATAAAATCTTAGCCTTCCTGAAGTTTATTCCCTGAGTTTTACAATTAAAGCAATTTGGATCATCAGTCAATATGATGTTTCTTATCTAATATACTGATGTCCTAATAGAATCTCTCGGAGTTGTTCAAAGGACAGGTTTTGTTCAAATGGATAGGATAGGTTCAAATGGTGGTCTTTTAATTTGAACAGGTGGGTGGGGGAGCTTCTTTAGGGGTGAAAGATTTCTTGCTTGTCCTCAAACCACATCATGTACAGAGCTGCCTATTCTGCCTAAGCATAAGCCCATTTCTGATGCCTTGTCCACATGTGGTGTGTAGCTCATTGTCACATACTCAAGGTGATGCCCAGCATACTGTGCTCAGCTTATGTTACTGCCCATCTACTAGGTATCCCCTGTCCCCATGGGCCTTGGCTACTTGCCTTGCTTCCCAGTAAGAGTGGTCCTAAGGAGGACTTGGGCTTTTCCTGTGCTCTTTAAAGCTCTGGCTGCCCTCCTTCCATGATCAAAGAGGCCCTCATGCTCAGTTCTGACTGATAAGGAAAGTCTGTCATGCCTGCAAACTGGCTGGAGTGGGCCCACAGAGGGCCTGCTTTCTCAGTGATTTTCCAGAAGGCCACAGAAACTCAACCCAGACGTGCACGTAGGCTAGTGTCCTGTTGACCAATCAGATACTTTTTTGTATTTACTCTCCTTCCTCCCCTTCCTCGCTTTTATTTTTTCCCTCCTTCTTGCTTCCCTGGGAGAATACTCCCCAGTAAAGGGTTACAATATAAGCTTCTACCACTGGCTCTGTTTTCTAGAGAATCAGGGCTAAAAAAAGAAGTAAAAATAGATGATTGACAATGTCAAAGAAACATCCAAGTGTATCTCTATTTTCCTAACTATAAGCCAAACTTAGTCCTGTCACAGTTGCCCAAGGATTATGGGATACAGGAAGTGGTCAAGTGTCACATGATGTAGCATGGAGTGATGGGGGTGAACATGGCAGGAATGTCTGGAGCCTGGACTCCAAAGGGCAATGACCCAAAGGCATAAGAAAGTTCATATTAATGCAAGGTGCTCGGATGTGTTTGGCTACAACAGTAAGTGTCACTTGTGCCTCAGACAGTGTAGAAAAGAAATTGAGATAAAGGAAATGGTGAGCAAACCCTGAGGGTGATTTTTTTCTTTCCAGGCACAGGCTTTGTGGACATCTTGCCTTGTTGGCGTGGCCAAGGGTCTAAGAGCTGGGTCCAGCTGGGGGTTTCTAGGGAGTCCTGAGGAGCAGCACGCTGCTCCAGTTTTCCTCTGGGTCCACACGTTCTCAAGGTCAAGTAAAGCTTATGTGTGTATAGACTTGATAATTGACCTGCAAAACAAAGAGTCCACCTTTACATGTGGTTCTTAAAATACTTTCCACTTTACGACCAATTTCTACTTACCATTCTTAACAAGCAGAAGATTTGAAATGACCGTATGCATAACAGGATAAGCGTCTCCACAGGTTCATGCGTGAAGCTAGAGGCTTAGAGTGGACAGTGTCCTCTAAATGAAATGAAGGGGAAACGTAATAATGGCTTTTAACAAGGTCACATTGAAAGGGAATGACAGGATAAATTGGACCATTTGAGAACTTTGCCAAGTGTAAAAATTAAGGTAACATTACTAAAAAATCTATCTAGATAATCTTGGGCTCTGAAAAAAAGTTAATGGGAAGTGGACCTAATTATTTGAACTGAGATGCAGAAAATGTAGTTCATGTACCTATTAAGGATACATCAGATGCCCAAGGTATCTGAACAAAAATGCTGACAAAGATCAATTTAATATTGAATGATTTATTTCAGGAGACCCAGAATTTTTTTTAAATAAGAGACTTAGGGGAAAGTCTGCTAAAATAAACAAATCCTGAGATAATATTTAATTTGGATTTGGGTTAGTAGATAAGTTTGATTTTTAAAATATGTCTAAAGTTGAGAGTTTAAAAAAGACTTGACAAAAATAGACCAAGTGCTTTTTAACTGAAACCAAAGAATTTTAAAAATATAGAAATAATCAGGTGTAGCAATATGTTTGGTTTACTCCCTTAAAAGAAAAAAAAATCAACATATTTTAGGAATTTAAGGCTTTCAGGTGACTTTAGATGAATTTATATTGTTTGGACAATCTTCTTAAAATATAAAAATGGTAAAAAAAAAAAGAATCTTATGAAAACTCAGTCATTTAATTTTGAGGCATTAAGAAAAACCATTCCAAGCACTTGGTTAAGTCTTTTCTGTATATTATCTTGTTGATTTTTCAGAATAACTTTTTAAGGAAATAATTTCTGTAACCTCATTATAGATAAAACAGGTTTAGGGAAGTTAGCTAATTTGCCCAAAGTCTTACCTCTTGTAAGCCAGGACTTGAACTCAAGCCTCTCAGATTAAACGGTATGGTTAGACAGTGGGACTTAGACCCTGTGCTGTCACCAATCTGCTAAGTGCACAGAGCATTTCATGTGTGTAGTTCAGCCATGCAGACTAGCTTTTTAGCTTGTCATTCTTGGATAATTAACTGTCTTTGACAAAGTCTGACTGCTCTTGCTTCTCTAGCATTCATTTTTGGTATGACCACTTTTTCTAGCATGTGGAAGAAATGTTTGCATGTTTGGATGTGTCTTTTTGTTAATCAAGATACAGACTAATATGGCAAAGAGATGAAAAGCTTGTCTCCATTTGAGCAACTCCATAGATTTCTGACAAAGCAACAGAATTTGGCGATGCTGATGCTCTAAGAATGATTGAATGGATAAAGTTCCTAATGACAACACCCAGGGAGGTATGATTGGTTTTCTTTTGCTGCTTTCAAGGAAGCGTGTACTCTAGCCAAATTTAGGATGCCCCATAGGACACCAGGAAATGTTACAAAATTTTGTGCAGTAAAAAAAACCTTTAAAATGTATAAGATTCCTTCATACTTAGCAGCCTTGGATTCCATTTTTAACAAATTTTATAATATACCAAATTTAATGAGCTATTGTCTGAATATAGAGTTTGTCTATTTTAAAAAAGAAAGTAGTAAGACTGAATTTGTTGTGACCTATGGGATCATAAAATTTATAGTCATAGGCTTTGAAATTAAACTGAGTTTGAATTTTAGCTCTGCTACTTCTAGGCTGTGAGGCTGGGAGAAGTTATTTAGCCTCTGTTTCTTGTTTTTCTCATCTCATTGTAAGGATTAAATGAGATCATGTATTACAAATGCATCCATTGTGTTCATTTATTATTTTTTATAAACCATACTTGTACAGTCAGTGTAGCAAACTTGATTTTATAAGCAAATCAAGTTTCTTCAATGTATATATTTTGGATTCTTAAGTCAGTGTATTGATTTTAAGGGGTAAAGAACTTTAAAAAATAATATACAAACGTATGTTTTTCCATTTTCTCTTTTCCCCTACTTTCTTATCATCCACCCTCCACCTGTCATGAAAAGGAAAGAGAAAGAGAGAGGAATAAGAAACAGGAAGGAAGGAAGGAAGGAGGGAAGGAAGGAAGGAAGGAGGGAAGGAAGGAAGGAAGGCAGGCAGACAGGCTAGCAAAGAATGAAATAAAACAAAAATTAATTTTTTAAATTTCTTCATAATTTTTGGAAATTTAACTTCTTTAGATGCTGCTATTTAAAATACATACATAGGTCAATAAATTCAGGAAGGACACTAGGCTGAAAAATTTTCCCTTCGGTAAATCTGACACCAGCAACTCATACAGCTTGTCGGATCTAAGGTCTCACTGGGAAGCACAAAGGAAGCAGGCAGCAGAAGGAGACATCAAATGGTGCAGCCTGCAGTTCCCAGCAGTGACTCTCAATGGGACTGCATGCATTACCATGGTTCCTGCAGGAACTACTGCCCAGCTGATTGTCAGTGGAAGTGTGGACACAGGCTATCCTCATTTCTCCTACCCTTATCTGGTTTCCCAGCAGCAGATGGTGATGGTAGTCACGTTTTTCCAGCTGTCCACACTACAGAGGAGGACCCAAGTTTGTCTGTACACTCCCTTCCCTCATTTTGAGGAGTCTGAGGGCTGAAATGTTATGCAAGAGAAAGATCTGGTTTGATACTTTGGATCCCTCTAAAATTCTGTAATTTTTATCTTTAATGAAAATTGCTAAATAGTACAAGCTTGGATAGTGGCAAATTAATAAATTCAAGCACTCTATAAATAACTAAAGTATTAATAAGCATCTCTCTAAAAGTTTGGGCAGAAAATTATCTTAATCTTACATTATTATGGAGAGGGCATGAAAAATTACTTGATCATGAGATACATAATACTTATCAGTAAAATCAATCCAGGGGTAATGTAATAGCAAAATGTTCTATCATGATTTTAAAGCCATTATCCAAATTAGTTGCTGAAGAAAGAAACTAAATATAATAAGAACTGTAGAACCATTAGTAGTATTTTGGTCTCACTAAAAGTAAGCTGTAAGAATGCTCATCTAAAATTACAAGCATAATTAAAAAATCACAGAGGCCTTGAACCAAAACACAAAATGACAATCATGAAATCCATCAACTGCTCTAATAGCAACTTATGTTTATATGGTGACTTACACTTTGAAATGAGATTTCACAGATGTTATTGTAATACAATATCCTTTGAAGTAGATGGACATGCACCATTATTCCTGTTTACTAGATGAATATACTGAGACTCAAAGAGATTAGGTAACATGACAACATCAGACCTATAATCCAGTTTTCTTGTCTTCAGAGTAGGTCTTTTTTTTTCCATCTCTGCAGGTCATAGATGTTAATTTTTATTGTGTAGCAGCCACTGGAAACATCTCAATTTGCTCGAAGAACTCAAATACTCATCTATATTTTGTGTATATGTGTGTGGGGGGGATACTGGTGCTAATGTTGTGCTTCTCTGTTGCATTGGTGGCCCCAAATGAAACATATCTCTTGATATTCTTTTCTTTGCATGTTCTGCCCTTTGTATCTGAGCGTGACCTGTGTTTGCTTAAACCAAAAGAACACAACTGAATTGCTATTATTCCAGTTCTGGGCCTAACCCTTAAGAAGGCCTGGCATATTTTGCTTTGTACTCTTGAAAGCCCAAGATATTCGTGAAAGAAGCCTGACTAGTCTGCTGGAGAGGCCACTTGCATAGAGGGATAAAATGGAGAGGCTACTTGGAAAGAGAGAGCCTCTAAGGCAGCAAGGAAAGAGAGAAGCTCAGACATACCAGAACCCTGGCTGAGCCCCGTCCCCAGACAATCTGCCTGCTGAATTTAATCACACTAGTGACCCCAGGGGGTGACTAACAGAAGAATCCCCAGCTGAGCACAGCCGAGGCTGCAGGGCTGGGAGAAAATAAAACGAATGTTGTTTTCAGCTACTAGGTTTTATGGTGGTTTGCTACAGACAGATACCTGAAATAAATGTCAAAGCAATGGGCTTCAGGCTTCATTACTCTTTCCAAGTACACAGTTACTGAATGAGTAAGCATTCCACAATCCTACATCTCAAAATCCAGATGACAGTTCTATGAATTCTGCATTGGATGTGTTTCATCATCAGGGAAAAAGAAAGGCCTGCTGTGAAAGACCAAAACATTCACGAAACTGACTTATTTTGTATCAGAGCAATAATGCTGCTAATTGTTTAAACCAAAAACCCAGGCACGATGTGGCTGCCAAGATATGAAATGACACTCCGTAAACTTGCAATTTCATTTCACATCCATGAATGCATTTTCATCCTATGAGGACTGCTGTGTATGCGGGTGCTTTCAATTCTGGGAATGTCATCTGGGAAAAGAGAGCAGCAGCTTGGCCATGAAACTGCAGGTTTGCAAATTAGCAAATTTTCAGCACTCTGTTCATTAGTGAAATCAATGAGACTTTTAAAGGACTGAGAAAAATTGTCAAAATATGAGCATATGAAAATGATGACACAAATGGGACTTTAGAAACTCAGGGGTGAATTTGGGGGAGACACAGCACAGGAAGAATCCTTTGATAAACTCCCAAACAGGCTACAGTTGGTTACATCAACTGAAGTGACTGCTCTGCCTCTAGGTCATTTGCAACTTTGGAATTCTTGCTTGGAACTGGCTTTTTTGGGTCATCACTTGGTTTAAATTATGTTCTCTTCAGATTAAGAGCACACCAGATGTTAAGTGATTCTCTTCAACTGTGTAATTTTAAAGGAAGTTACTTTAAGATAGTTATTAACTTAACTGTATATTTAACACTTAATGCAAAAAACAATCATGGTTTTCATAATGGAAGCACATGATTCAGAGGGGGAGGGAAAGGCCTAAACTGGTATATGGTAAGATCTAGCTTTTCCAACTGTTTTATCTTGCCTGCCACTGGCTTGTGGGAATTCTTCCAGAGGCAGCTGATGCTTCTGGAAGTAAGTTAAAGATGGCCAAGAAAAGCCTAACATACAGCCCCTGCCTTCAAGGGGCTTAGAGTTTAGTTAAAAAAACAGTGATTTGGGAGGTTCTTAACCATTCTCACAGTCAGAGAGCCTCAGAGATGCTAGTGATGAAATCGGTCTTTCCATTATTTAGAAAAAATGGGTGCAAGTTAGATATACACATTGCTTTCCTCTCACTTTTTGTGTCAATAGGCAGCAGCACGATTCCCTAGTCCCCACCTCTTATTAGTCACCCCAAATACCTACAATCTTGAAATATATCAACTGCCCTATAGCGACTTACATTAAATGATGCCTTACAATTTAAAATCCAACTTCGTAGTTTTTTAAAAAACAAAATAATCCTAAAATGTAGGTGAAGCATAAACTACTATTCTTATTTTTTTTAATAAATAAACTGATTGAGAGAGATCCACACAATATGTGTAAAAGTCAGGAGGTTATACACTCATAGATAATAAGTTGTTGACTTTTAGCAAAAATTCTCCAGAAACACAATTCTTATTCTGTCCAGTTACCCCGGTTGGAAATCAGAGGGGGTGGCTGTGAAGGGGTAGAAGATTTATATGGAAAGAAAGATGAGTATCCTATGGTGTGCTGAGGATAACTTTTCTTGTGGAAAAAGAAAAGTCATAAGCTCAGAGGCCATGGGATTGCTGGGATGCCATTAGGAAGGAGTCAGCCCCTCACCCAACTTCCCACTTTTAAGTGGGTGTCAACCTGTATGTTAATTGCAGCACTATTCATAATATCTAGGATGTGGAATCAACCTAGGTGCTCATCAAGGGTAGATTAGATAGAGAATATAAGGTACATGTACACCATGGAATACTACACAGCCATAAAAAAGAATGAAATCATGTCCTTTGCAGCAATATAGATGCAGCTGGATGCAATTATCCTAAGCAAACGAATGCAGAAACAAAAAAAAAAAAAAACAAGCACTGCATGTTCTCACTTATAAGTGAGAGCTAAACATTGGGTACACATGGACATAAAGATGGGAACAATAGACACTGGGGACTAAAATAAGGAGGACGGAGGGAGAGGGATAAGGGTTGAAAAACTTCCCTGTTGTGTACTGTGCTCACTACCTGGGTGACGGATTCAATTATACCCCAAGCCTCAGCATCATGCAATATAACTTTGTAGTAAACCTGTATGTGTACCCTCTGAATCAAAAATAAAAGTTAAATAAATACATGAATATGTAAATCATTTCCAAAAAGTACACAGAAACTACCAACTTAAAGCAGAAAAGAAATGACAGGACCAACATGGCAGAAGCCTCCTTTTTTAAAAAAAATCCAGTGCTGAAATAATGCATGTTTTCTGGTGTGTAGGAGAGTTCCAAGGCTTACCCTGTCTGAGCTGTTTTCACTATGGTGTATGCATGCACACATACATGCATACTCACATGCATATGTGTATGCACATATGTACATGCACACACATATGTTATTGCTTTAATCTGCTGTATTTAGTGGACACATAACCTGGAGAAAACACTGTGCCTTTTCTATTTTCATCTGTACGATACCTGCTGAGAAGCTTTCAGTATCATTTTGAATAGAACTAGAACAAACGGCACGATTTTGTGCAATCTCAACTGTCCTCAAGCTTGAGCTATAGAGCAGAGAACACTTTCCGTCTTCCCACACCAAACAGCATCCTTCCGAAGTGTTTGAACAGGACATATTTTCTAGAACAAAACTAAGACATGAACTGGACTGATGGAACATTTAGTTTGAATTTCTGGTCTCTAGTAAATGGTTCAAACTCTCTGTGCCTCAGTTGTCTTTTTAGTAAATTGAAGAGGATTAGGATTCTTTCCTGATAGGAAATTTTAACCATGTGAGAAATTTTTTTATATTACTTCGACATGAGAGAAATAGGTTTACTGTAAATATAGGATTGTTATTTTTTCCCAATGGTTCTGTGAACTCAATTAAGAGATAATCTAGTATATACCCTGTGTGCACTGACATTTATTTTATCCTTTCTCATGAGAGCCAAAGGACAGACACAGTTAATCCAATCATGGCAAATGAATAAACTTCCTCCACAGCCCAGGCCAGACATTTCTCATGCTTTGTCTAGCTGTCTCTAATTTTCTGTTTGATTTTCTACCACTCACATGCAAGATAGAGGGTTGCTTTGGCAGAAATTAAATGTGCAAAAATGTTTTACCATCTGCTGGAATATTCTTGGATGTTATCCTTCCAGTAGCACTCATTATTAAAAATATTTATTGGACATGAACAATATATCAAATTCTGCTCAAAATATGGCTGCCTCACAGTTACTGCTCAAACAAGAATGAAAAAAAATCACATGATTTTAAAATAATGATTGCATTAGTTCTGTCCCTGAATTTTGCTGCTCTTGACACTATTTTTCTCGTCTGAGGAAGAGTGGTACTATTTTTCCCCTCCGAGGAAGAGGAAGTTATTTAAGGCAAGAATTGCGTTTCTCTTATTTAAAATATGAACAGCCCTTAACACAGTGCATGTTAGTAGAGGCTAAAAATGTTGATTCACTGATAAATTTGTAAAGCCTGTTTTACCACCTAAATTGCCAGTTTCTCAAGGGGCAATGACAGGATTTACTATCTCTTAGGTATGTGAACATCTGTTAGTTTTTGGTTTTGTATTTTATTTTCAATGCCCAGAATCTGACGCTGTAGTCTAGGTTTAGAAAAACACCCACTATAAAAGCTGAAACACCAGATACTTGTTTTTCCCAGCCTCCCTTGCAGCTAGGGTACTGGCAGACAACCTAGTTAGATCAATTAGGAGCTAATAATGTTAAGAATAAAGTACTGTGTAGAATTTATTTGCAGCAGAAACATTTGACATTACAGGAGTGGCAGTGGTAGCAGAGTTAATAATGAAGGCTGTAGTGGCCAGTGTTCATAGAAGTGGCAGAAATCCTTTTTCCAAATCCTTCATAGTTCTCATTGTTTTCCAAGCCTTATTTTATGACTTTGTAGGTAATTATCTAGCCCTGAGATACATTCAATGAATTATCTTCTGCTGAAATTAGGCAGGACAATTTCTGTGGCTTCCATGTTAAGAAACCTAGCTGATGTATTGGGCTTATTCTGAAGCCTCTTCAACATAGAGTTTTAGTCAACATCCTATAGTCCATTTACCCAACATCATTTTGTGTTCCACCCATGGAAAATTCTACATTCTGTTGTATTTTTAACTGTTTTTATGCATTAGTCTTTCCTGTCCCATGATATTATAAAGAACTTGCAAGCAGAAATCACATTATCCTTCTTTTTAACCTCAGAGTCATACAGGATTCTTTAAAAAGAGTACATGTTGAATACATACTTTACTGATTGATATCAGGTAAATAACATCAGAACAATAGTCATTAGCACTGTGGGTATATGACTCAATAAAAAGATAGATGCCATTTTTTTCTAGACCAAGATAGAGAATACATGAGTTGCTTAAAATTAAAATTCAGTGCCATATAAGAGGAACAAAAGATTTTTACTGAGTTCAAACTGCTTTGAATTTAATTTAGTCAAATCAATTTTTGTAACTAGACAGTCTTAAAATGGAGACTAATTGTAGGTGTAGCCTTCAGGCTAAAATTAGACAAAATAAGAATAAAAGGATGGATTTTCAATGTCGTTGGTCTAATGTCAGCATTAGATTAATGATAATAGTGCATGTTCTACCCCTTTCTTTATTTCTTCTTTTCCTGCCCCAAACACAATCACATAACTAAGTCAGAGGAAATTGGTTTGAGATTGAGTGTCAAAGGGATTCAAGAAAGGATTGAGGGATAGAACTTGATGCAGGGGAAAATCTCTGAAAATGTGGCCTTGGCTATGGAAATGGGCCTGGGAACTGAGCTGTATGTTTCAGGGAGGGAACTTTGGTAGTTGGTGGTGGGAGGTGGTGTAGAGAACTGCTTGTGTCAGAGCACAAAAGATTATATCTGTATTTAAATAATTAGAATCTGATTCTACAGATTTCAGTGTTATGATGAATCAATATCAAGCAGTTCCTTCTGTTATTCATTAATTCAACAACCATTTATGGAAGATCTTTTTTCTGTCATGCATTGCTCTAGGCTCTAGACCGAGAATAGTGAGTGAGACAGATAAAATCCTGAGCCCAAGGAGCATATATTCTAGTAAGAGAGATAGATAAAAAGCCATCAAGGAGGCAGAAATATATTCTAGGTATTAGACAGTGATAAGTGCTATAAAGAAAAATAAAGTAGGATAGGGAGATAGAGGGTGATAGTGCTGCAATTTTAGGCAGGGTTGTCAGAAAAGTTTTTCTCTGAGGTGGTTACATTTGGGAAGAGACTTCAAATGAGGAAGTAGGCCGGGCATGGTGGCTCACACCTGTAATCCCAGCACTTTGGGAGGCTGAGGCGGGCGGATCATGAGGTCAGGAGATTGAGACCATCCTGGCTAACGCGATGAAACCCTGTCTCTACTAAAAATACAAAAAATTAGCTGGGTGTGGTGGTGGGCGCCTGTAGTCCCAGCTACTCGGAAGGCTGAGGTAGGAGAATGGTGTGAACCTGGGAGGCAGAGCTTGCAGTGAGCTGAGATCGCGCCACTGCATTCCAGCCTAGGCGACAGAGCCAGACTCCGTCTCAAAAAAAAAAAAAAAAAAAAATGGTGGGGGAGTAATCCAATAAAACATCTAGGAAGAGGAAAAAACAAGAGAAAAGTCCCTGAGGCATGGTTGTACTGGACTTGCTTGAAGAAAAGCAAGGAGGCTAGTTTACCTGGCGCTGACTAAACCAGTGGAAGAATCATAGGAGATGAGGTAGGAAAGTGTATTGAACACTGTGATGCACTGACCAGATTCCCCTTCAACGAATAAATTGTTGCTCCAGCTGTTAAGAGTGCTATGGGCAGACAAACATCAGCTGTCAGGCCTTCCAGGGACTGCCCCAGCTGCTAAGAACCACCTCAACCAAGGTCTTGCCCCTTTTGGGGGCAGCCTACACCCAAACACTGATCAGTGAGGGAGTATAAAAGGCCAACATCTTGACCTAACTCAGGACAACTCCAAAGAGCCATTCCAGCTTCAGAGCTTGCCATGAAGTTGGCGAAAACTATTGTGCCTAAATCTCAGTTTGCCCTCTCCCTCTGCCCACTCTTCCTTTGTTTTCCTCCCTTCCGCAGATGTCGATTCCAAGGGCGTTCCTTAATAAAAACTCTGCCCTCTAAACTCCAGAGGGATAATTCAACCTGCTTCAACAATGAGGTAGGTGATTGGATTTCATTGAAAGTGTTATGGAAAGACTGTGGGGTTCTGAGCAGAGGAGTCATGTAATCTAATTTATATTTTACAGAAATTACTTGGCTGCTGTAAACTACAGGAGGAAAAGAGAGAAAGTTGGGAAGGTATTGAAGTAATCCAGGCAAAAGGTGATGATGACTTAGACTAGAGAAGCATTGATGGAAGTGATGAGAAATGAGTAGGTTCAACATGTTTTCCGAAAGGAGAGCTGAAAGGATCAAGCAATGTTCTTTAACTCGTCAAAGACGCTATAAAACTCAACAATTAGCATCAGAAACAAAAGAGTCAATTAAAAACATGGCCATTTTACAAGGATTAGTGTTGTTTAAAATGGACAAAAGCATTAATATAAGTCAAGTCATCTCTTATATTCATAATCTAAATGCTTTGTTTATGTCACAGAAACAAATATCGCTGGATTACCTGGTAGAGTGCCCAGTTAGTGCTGGTGGGCTATGCACTCTTTATATCAGGAGTTAGCAAATTACAGCCCACGAGATAAATCCAGCCTGCTGCATGTTTTCATGTGGCCCATATCCTAAGAATGATTTTTATATTTTTAAATGGTTAAAAAAATCAAAACAAGAATAATATTTTATAACACATAGAAATTATATGAAATTCAAATTGCAGCATCCATATAAAAGTTTTATTGGCACATAACCAAGCTCATTTGTTTATGTATAGTCAATGGCTACTTTCATGTTATAAGAGCAGAGTTGTGTAACTATGACAGAAACCATGTGGCCCACAAAGCATAAAATATTTACTAACTGGCCTTTAGAAAAAGTTTGCTGACCTCTAATTTATCTCAGAGAAGTACAGCCTGGTGAAATGCCCAGTTAATGCTGGTGGGGCTGGTGGCCTGTTCACTTACTCTAACTTTGTTCCTGCTAGATACCAGTGTGATGAGCAATCATTCAGGGTCAGTTTGTTTAGGAAGGGCCTACAAAATTCTGGCTTTTTCCATGGTTCCTTTTGTTTGTTTCAAGGTCTATTGTGATACCATGGCTGTTAGCAGTTTCTTGTGATAAAACATGGGCTTGAGACCTCTTCAACTGTCCTTGTAACTTTCAACTAATCATATCCATGGTGCAGCATGCAGTGACGAATAAAAGCAAATGACAAATATTTCAGTACCATTTTCCACAACTTTCTATGTGCTCCAATTTCTCCTTGTTCTCCTTGTTTTCCCCCTGCCCCAGCAATTTGGACTTGACATTTAAGCTTGATCTTCCAAGTATTGATCCTTAATATTCTCTATGGATTTTGCCTCATACTTGCCTTTATGTTCTTCCGCTCGTAGCTATCCTAGAGGAAGCTCTAGACTGGCTTTGGCCCCAGGACTCAATCCTAGTACTGCCCTTCCTAAAGGACTCTCCCTTCCACCAGAGTCTGCCTTACCAGTTGGTTGTTTTTCCACTGTGCTCCCACTGTTGCTCCATGGTCATCTTCTCTCCTCTTTGCATGAACACACTCTGCACCCAGCTTCACTTTACCCCATCTCCTTCCTTTGAGCTCTTCTTTGCATCCACTCTTAATTAATGCTCTTCTCTCTTGACCAGAGCACTATATCAATGAAGAGAGGCCTCTTGGGCTTCTAAGGGTGCAGGAACCACATCTTTTGCCAGGAGACCCATCAATTTACTTACTTTAATTATAACAAGAACCGTAGTTATTACAACTTACATTTATTGAGCGTATATCTCTGTCTCTGATGGTGCTTGTATTAGGCTGGTAGAGCTGCCATAACAAAATACCACAGACTGGATGGCTTAAACAATAGAAATTTATTTTTCTCAGTTTGGGAAGCTGGAGTTCCAAGATCAAGATGCTGGTAGGGTTGGTTTCTGGTAAGGCCTCTCTTCCTGGCTTGCAAATGGCTGCTTTCTTGCTGTGGACTCACATGGCCTTTTCTCTGTGCATGTACAATACTGGTGTCTCTTTGTCCTCTTATGAGGACTAGTCTGATTGGATTAGGGCTCCAACTTTATGACCTCATTTAACCTTAATTACCTCCCTAAAGGCCTTATGTACAAATACAGTCATATTGGGTGTTAGGGCTTCAACATATGAATTTTAGGGTACACAATTCAGGCCATAACAGTGCATTACAAACTTTACTTACAATGTCTCATTTATTTCTCTCAACAGTTGCATGAGGTAGGTGGGTGCTCTTATCATTCCCATTTTACATATGCAGAAACTGAGATTCGTTTTGGACAAGGTTACATTTGTGGTACCTTTGGTAGATTTCATGCTGAATCTCAGGTCTGATGAAACCCACAGCTCACTCCTTTAATCTTTTCTGTATATGGCCTCTCAAAGATTACCTAGCTATTTTAAAGGATTTACAGAAGTTAACTCTAATTCACTGGATAACTCTTTTTCTTTCATTGGTTATGAACAACTTAGCGACCTCTAGGACTATTTAGTCAGAAACCCTTGCTGCCCACATGATCTGCAAGGCCTATACTGCCTTAGGCTGATTGTGGAGGAGTCCTGGAAGACAGTGGAAGTCAATTCAATGTAAGGATGTTAACACTGGGGCTGTAGCTGTGTGCAGGATTCTGTGGTTCGATTTTGTAGCATTCTGGTAAAAGGACTATTTGACAAGCTTCCATGATTTTAAGTAAGAAGAAAAATGTGTGTGTGCGTTGTGAGGGAGTGAGGGTGGGTGGGTGAGTGTGTGTAAATGTGGCAGCAGGAAGGGTGGAAGGGGAATGAAAATGAAAAATAAATTAATATTTATGGAGCATCAATTATGTACTAGAAAATCTGCTTTGCTAAACTATAACATTTTGTTTCATCCTTGCTAGGCCTGCTTTTTTAATTAAAATTTTTATTGAGATAATTGTAGAGTCACATGCACTTGTAAGAAATAATAGAGAGACCCTGTATATTTATTTTGTGTTTGTGTGTGTGTATATATGCATGTGTTTGTGTTTAGTTCTATACAATTTTATTATACATGTAGGTTTATATCCACAACCACTGTTAAGACCCAGAAGAAATAGTTTCATCAAGGCAAGGACACCTTATGTTCTCCTTTTATAACATGCTTACCTCCTTTCCTGTCGCAAACCCCAGCAACCATTAATCTGTCCTCCATTTCTAAAATTTTATCATTTCAAAAATGTTTTATAACTGGAATCATACAGCATATAATATTTTGGAATTGACTTTTCTCGCTCAGAATAGGTCCCTGAAGAGTCATCCAAATTGCCGCATGTATCAATAATTCATTCTTTTTGTCAATAAGCAGTATTCCATGTATATACGTATCCCAGTTGGTTTAACCATTCTCTTTTTGATAGCTATCTAGGATGATTCCAGTCTGTGCCTATTACTATTAAAGCTGCTATTGACATTCATGCACAGGATTTTGTGTGGATATAAGTTTTCATTTCTCTGGAACAAATGCCTGAGAGTATAATTGCAGGATCCCTCTAGGTGAAGGAAGAGAGTTTGGGGCCCAGAGCGACAAAGAAACTTCTTGTATGGGGCCAATTGCTAGAGTTCCCTATTGCTGGTTCTTTTCACCCACTTCAGCATCTCTCGGTGGGGTGAGGGAGTCTAAGGCATGACTGAAATGGAGAGCACTTCTCCTGGCTGCTTATTGTTGGTAGGGCTCCTTGTTGATCTCCCTTGCGGGAGTTGCCAGGTCAGGGGTAGGGAAACTCCAAGTCTGAGTTGCCTTCTCTTCCATTGAGTGGGGGCACATGAGACACTGTGCTTCTGGGTTGTCCCTCCAGTGTTGTAGTCTCAGAGGGGTTCATCTTCGCATCACCTTTCAGATATCTCCTTTAGTTGTCTCTTTTATAATTTCAGGGGCTTAATGAGGAGAAGCAAGGCAAAAGGGGTCTATGGAGTCTTGCCTAGACAGGAAGTCTAAGTCTAAGTAAAGAGATAGGAAATTCAGGACAGAAAAAGTCTGAGCAATTGGCAATGGGTGTGTTCACTGTCCTTTATTGTCTAGTCAGAACAATGTTATAGAGCAGTGACCCTTACTGGTTTTAGCCTTTTGCATGTGACAGTTTTCCTAGTTTTCATATATCTAGATCACCATTCTCACACCTTTGATTATGGGGTGGACGTGGAGTGGGTAGGCAGACAATAGAAGGTTAATCTTCACACTGGGCATCTGTTTCAAAGCCAAGATTCATGCCCCTTTTATAATTTCTTTGAGAACAGAAATGATTGGGTATGATAAGACCCAACCATAACTCTATGGCCTTATTGAGGTGGATCAGTGGGCAGGTCATCCTTCCCTGTTCTTTAGAACCAACACTGAACATCAAGCTGGCACAAGCTTTGGACAAAAAAACCTGTCAGAGGCGTTGCAAGCATTACATGTTCCATTTGTTGCGAGAGCATGAAAGTTTACCTTTCTGAGAAAGGAGCACTCAGAATTTTGTTGGACTAATTTAATAAGTTACACAATTTTGTATGTCCGTCTTTTTCTTGAGAGACAGAAGACTAATAAATCTATGATAGAGGTCAGGGCACTTTCAGGTTCTATAGTAGAATTCGTGTAAGAATCTTGGGAACAATGATCGTAAGAGTATTATAAGGTAAGTATTATTTTCTCTATTTTACAGATGATGGAGCTCTATCTCAGCAAACATAAGTGATTTAACCTCTGGTTAATAAGGGACAAGAGAATCCACCTACTTTGAATCCTAGTGATGATTCAAAAGCCCATGCTGTTCCTTCAATTTAGTTAAACTTTTATTCAGTGTAATGTCTTGTGTTAAGATCCGAGGAAAAAATAAGGAGTCAGACATGGTCGCTACTTTCCAGGGAATCACAATCTAGTGGGTACCACGGACTCTTTGCTTTAACTTTATTCACACCCCATCCCCAGCCTTTCTTGTTTTGTCCATCCAATAGTAATTAAAGCTAACCCCTTTACCTATCATATGCTGGCCTTAGCTAAGAAATGTCCCATTGTAAATTTTCAAATTCTGTGATTTTTTTTCTGTTTCTTTCTTCAATTTTCCTTTAGGTGAAAGTTACATTGATACAGACACAAGCGAAAAATTTGATGGCCAATAGGGGACATGATCCATTTTCCAGTGTAAGGAATCTATTACTATCTTTTATATCTGATGTCTTAAAAACGATAGCAATGATTGTGTTTCCGTTAAAAAAATCGTTTTTACATGATTTCCTTAATAAGTGACATAAATAGCGCTTATTTAAATGGGAGCTTAATGGGAAGCTTTCATAACAGATTAAATATTTCAATGTTCAAAAATGTAAATTTTATCCATAATAAGAAAAAAGTATTTCTTACTTTTTGCATCATCACTCTCTTACCCTGCTATGGTAAATATTTTGTCTCTTTTAACTTCATTTAGATGTGGCAGCAGGGAGAGAAGGAAGACTCCAACTATAAAACTTTTATAGTCAAGGACATCTAGTTAGAATCTTAGCTCTGCCATTCACTTGCTATATGACCTTAGGCAAGTGACATAGCCTTGCCGAACATTAGTGTCTTTATTAAGAAAAGGCATGGGAGAAAATCAAGGTGTCAGCAGGACTCCCTCTGGAGGCTCTAGGGGAGAATTCATTCCTTTCCTCTTCTAGCTTCTGGTGGCTGCCAGCATTCCTTGGTGTTCTTTGGCTGGTGGCCACATCATTCTAATCTCTGCCTCTGTCATCACATTGCCTTCTTTTGTAATCTCCTTCTGCGGGTCTCTTATAAAGACATTAACACGGGCCGGGCATGGTGGCTCACGCCTGTAATCCCAGCACTTTCGGAGGCTGAGGCAGGCAAATCACCTGAGGTCGGGTGTTCGAGACCAGCCTGACCAACATGGAGAAACCCCATCTCTACTAAAAGTACAAAATTATCTGGGCGTGGTGGTGCATGCCTGTAATCCCAGATACTTGGGAGGCTGAGGCAGGAGAATTGCTTGAACCCGGGAGGTGGAAGTTGTGGTGAGCCGAGATCACGCCATTGCACTCCAGCCTGGGCAACAAAAGCGAAACTCCATCTCAAAAAAAAAAAAAAAAAGACACTAAAATTGTATTTATGGTTCACCTGGATAATCGAAGATAATCTCCTTATCTCAAAAGCCTTAACTACAACTTCAAGACCTTTTTGCTTATAAGGTAACATTTACCTGTTCCAGGGATTAAGACTTGATATCTTCAAGTGGCCATTATTCAGCCTACTACAGGATCCATTTAGGTAAAGCTTAGTGGGGTATGTCTATGTATTTTCACAGTCATTTTCTTGTGCAGTTGTTACTAGCCATCCTGATAGAATAATATAATCCTACTTCCCATGATGCTAATTTATCTCTCACTGTAACATGAAGGTTAAGGATCATATTGTGATATGAACTTGTCCTTTGGAACTTGGAAGCATGAGTATAAAGGTAGGTAGTGGAGGACAAGCAAATATAGGCAGCCAGAAACTGATCTGTGAAAAATAATTATAAATATCACAGTGTATCTATGAAAGAAATTCGATAGAGATTTTTGTAAATTTGGCAATCCTAATAATGCACCTGTCATTGTCAATAACAGGTTGTAAAGTGGAAAGAAACTTCCTAAACTATGGATTTTTAACAAATTTCCATCATTTGCGCTAGAAAAAAGGCTGAATTATCTTTCTGTTTTCCGTATAGAAAATATTATAAAAGATTAAGGAATATGCAGTCAAAATGTAGAAAATAATGTACAATACAGGTGTATCAGGCAGTTAATTCATCAAAAATATTAGTTAATTTTTAGAAATGTTCATGGTATCTGCCAGGTTTTAAAGATTTTGTAATTTGTTGTGTTTTCTCATTCTAAATAAAAATTAACTTTTGCAGTTGATTTTGTATGTATCTTCTAAAATGGCTCCCCAGAATTGTTCAAATTTTAGGTACAATAAAACCTAGAAGAGCTCAGGCCCTCTCCCGAATGCTCTGTGGTTCAGGCATGCTCTCTTGGGAGTGAGTGAAAGGACAGTTTCTCATATGCATAAAGGGGAGCTGCCTCAGGAGACAGAGCTCTTCAACAATGACAAGAAGTCAGTTTTATTTACAACTCGGCAAAGCTGGCAACACAGAGCAGTTGCTCTCCAGCTACTTGTCTGGGGTATCTTCCTGAACTTGGTGCTTCTCCCAAGTGTGGCCAAAAAACCAAATACTTATGGTGATTTGTTGAATGAGGGATGTGCAGTGCATTCATCCATTCTTTGCACATGCTCATCTCTTTCCCTGGACCAAGGTAGACCATCAGAGATGTGTGTGGATGTCCTTGGCAAATTGCTCTTCCTGGGTTATATTTATATGGTGGCACCAAGGGGAGTGTAAGAAACTTCCCTTTGAACCTGTTTCTGTATTTACTGTAGGGATGCTGTTGAGGAAGTTGTCCATTATATTCCTGTTTATGAGAATCCAGGGGAGACATTTCTCTCTGGCTCTTTTGAGTATCAAGTCTGATTTTTATTGTATGGATGTTGTAAGACATGTGCCTGGTTTTGTCTCTCACATCTCACATCTCTAGTGAAACAATGAGGACTTAGAACACGCATTTGGGGTATCAATATAACCCCTGGCTCTATCTCAACTACTTTTATTTTCTCCTTTACCCTGCTTTTCTTCTTTGCTTCTTATTAGTTTTTATCTTATATAATTAAATGTATTTATGTAAGCCACCCTAAAATCAGTATGCAACAATGTGGCCAGAAATAAATAATCATTTAAAAACCATGTTAAGTGATTAAAAAAACAATAAAACATCTAAAGCACATTTCCCCTCAAGGCATTATTAATTACCTGATATTTCTGCACAGGCCTTTTGCGAACAGGTCAGAACCATATTTAGTGAAAAAGGATCCAGGTTTTATTAATGAAACTTTAGATATTTTCAGCAGAAAAGAAAAAAATATTTTTTTCCCCATTCACTTTTTTCTTTTCCCCTTTGCATTATATTGTTCATTTAAGGGTACAGAGGTTCTCTGAAGCCCCCAGTTCTTTTTTATTTAAGTAGATTTAGTCAAATTACACATAACAAAGACGACAAAGGCCTTTCTAATCTTCAGTGCTTTCTGCTCCTGGGAAAACTCAGGCCTTGTGTTCTTGTTTCCCTTTCCTGAGTCAGCGCTTGGCTAGTCCAAGGCTATGGGGCTCCAGGTCAGACAGTTAGAAATAAGCATAGAGAGATAGAAAAAACAACAGCCCATAGTTTAAATTTGAAAAGGAGCCTTGCTCTTTAGGTGGCAGCATAACTTTGTTGTTAACACAATTCTGGAGAGAAGGACTAGGGCTATGGGATGTCAAGAACATGAAAAACATGGTGTTTCTTTAACCCCACTTAAATTAATTGTGATGCTAAACTACAGAGTGGGATAATACCCCTCTGGCTGAAGAGATACCGAAAATATATAGGTAAGATTATAAAGTACTAAGGTTATTTTATGTACCTGAGTCTGAATCCCTGTTTCTTATTCTCCAAGGAAAAGTTTTCTAGTCTTTTGCTGATAGTGACATAAGCTTTATAAGTCTTTTAATTCTGATAGTCTTATTTTTTTTTCCATGTTTGTTTTTAGCCCTGGTGAAAATAGTCTCTAGTTAATGGTTAATATAGTTTTTAGATTACTTCCAACTAAGATATAATTTGATTATTTTTTTCCTTTGTAGGACAGGAAAAGGTGCAGTAACCTTTCTTACCCATCATAAAAATCACAGCCAACACTCTTGTAACAAAAGATAGGTTAACAAGAGAAAAGCATAACAAATGTATTTAATCAAAATTTTACATAACAAGGAAGCCTTCAGAAATGAAGACACAAAGACTCAGGGAAAATTGTCTACTTTTATTCTTAGTTTTCATGAAGAATGGACAACCATGTAGAAATATGATTCCACACAAAAAATGTATGATCTAATGGCAATAGACGGAGTGGGAAACCCATTAAGTCCTGCTTGTTTGGCTTCTCCTTGACCTCTGTGTAGCATTCCTTTCTCCCAGGTATGGGGCAGGACCCCTCTGGAATAAGGATCTTATGACCTGCTATCAGACAAGGTAGGTCAGAGAATTTCTTTATGGCCAGCTCCTACTGTTGTGCCAGACCTACTGACTCCAATAGGGATAGCACCATGTCCTAGAAGCGGAAGAAGAGAGGAGACCCGGAACCAGCAGATGACACATAGGGTTTACTGAGGACTTACATATGGGGCAGTACAGTGGTGGTGGGCTGGACTGAAAACCTGCTACCACCCTCCACCTAACAACCTCCATATAACCCAAAACAAAGGACCTTAATCCCCTATATGGCCTGCATTCCAAGGCATGGGCCAGGGGGTCATATGTCCTTCATAGACAAGGAGCGAATCTCTAGGTTTGCCACTCCTGGATTTCTTAGCTCAGAACTCCAAACACACATTCTTCTTAGACTTGAGGGTCTTTCTCAGGGTATGCTTAAGTTATTGCTGTCAGATGCATCTGCTATACACCTACACAGAAAGGTGGGGGATAGAGTGGCTTTGCTTCTGAGGCATTCCAATCTCCTTTAGTTCAAAGTACTCAGCACACTAAAGTGCCATAATTTGGCATGTCATTTTCTGAGCCCTGACACCTTCATTACTGTTATTGCCAAAATTTCTTGCCTCATCAACATGGCCAATTTTTAATTACATAGCTACATTAGATTCACCTTGTAATTTATTTTTGACCTGGTGGCCATCTGATTTAGAGTTTAGGTAGTAATATTTTATTTCAGGATTTATGAATCAGTTTTCTATTTGTCATCTCCCTGACTGTCGAAGTTCTTATGACCTTGACATGGCATTATTTTATGTACTTCCCCAGGCTGAAACTCCATCTTATACACCATTCTCCACTTTATGATTTCCTGTCTGTTTCTATATCCTGTCTACTGGCCATTCACAGGAACACTTCAAATCAATGTTCGCTTTGTGGACCTATGCAAATTACCATCCCATTTTCTTGACAATCTCTGCTCATGCAGCACCCATTCATGATGGTTTCTTGTCTGCCTTTTCCTGGGCTGCCTTAGAGCTTTTCCAAGTTCACATCCTATATTAAATAAAAGGAATATAAAATTAAAATCCCAATACAAATCATCCAAACTAAACATCTACCAATGAACTTGCAGGACTGTTTTACTTAGAGTATCATTTCTGCTTCAGGATCGCTCCATCTTTGATTCATTAAATGTGTTTAAGCAATAATTGCTACATTAGAATCTTTTCCTTTTGGTTGCTCTGTTGTAAGGCTCTAGAAGTTATGTACACTATGTGTAAATCATGCTGCACATGCATTCTCTTTCTTTACCCCAATCCCCATAATCTCAGTGTACCACATTAACAAAAGCATCCTAAAAAGGAATCCAAGAAAAATGTTACACATCATTTGATCAGTAAAGACCGTATTATACAGTCAAAGGGACATTAAAACAAACAACAGCAATGCTTAACATGCTGAGCACTTACAAGGTGCTAGGCATGTACAAAGCAATTTGCATATAGTTTAACTAATCTAATAACAACCTTAAAAGTGTGTAATTATAGAAATACAGAAACATATGGTTCTTGTTCTCCACTCTAGAGGGGAAAAGGCCAGCTGGCTGGCTCCTAGAGGAATTCACTACCTTTGTGAATTTCTTGAGAACCAGGACCTGGCTCTCAGTCTCATAGCCCTAAACACCTGATCAGCTTAGTGAATGTGGATTCATCTCTCAGGGGTGAATCATAAGCCAAGAAGGAATCACCATCAGACAAACCCAGTACTCAAACCCACATGCTCAGCATATGCATCAGTCAGGGGCTCAACAGGAGACAGATGGCATGCTGAAATTAGGATATTTGAGGGAGGGCTTAATAAAGGGAGTTATTTATTAATAATACAAAAGTGTGGGCAGGATTAGAAAAACCATACAGGATAGTATGGAACTGAAAGCTAGTAAAAATTTCTCTGTTTCCACCTAGGCTTAAGAATGGTAGCCCATTCTCTAGGCCTAAAGGAAAGAGGAGAGGAAGCAGTTTCAATGAGAGAGTCTTGGGGTGAGAGGGCCACCTTGACAAGAGCTGCAATCTTTAGTCAAAGAATTCAGCCAGCCCAAAGCAACCTTACAGGGAGGGAATTGTGAGAATTAATGGCCTGAAATCACTTTTCGTCTCCAGCCACGAGGTAGGGCTTTCTATTGGTGAAGTCCAACAAGAAGCCACAAGGCAAGACTTTTTTTAAGGCAGTCTATACAGGTCAGCTTCCTGGAGTAAAGGGCAGGGTAGAAAGGGTAGAGGGTAAATATGGACAGGCAAAGGGAAGTCTTTCAGCATTGAATATCTTCTCCTTAAGCCAAACCTGGGTCAGAACCCACTTCACAAATTCATCATGAATAATTACCACATTAGGGGTAGGAATCCTTAAAGTTAATGTAGTCGGCCCATTGCCCACTATAGGCAGACTATGTGAGAGGCCAGATCATATTTAGAAATTTATTGGCAAGCATGGACTCAAGGGAAACTAGGAGAATGGAGTGATTTATGATGTCAACCCCTGGGGACTGGAATGCTAAAAGCTATAAAGCCCTGTGGTGTCTATTGCTACATAACAAACTACTATAAAACTTAGTGACTTAAAACAATAAACAAGTATTTTTAATAATTCCGTGGGCTATCTGGGTGTTTTTTTTGGGGTCTGGCAACTTCTTTGAGGCTGGATGGTCTAGGATGGCCTCACTTAGAGGTATGAGGCCTCAGGTAGGATGGTTGGACAGCTGAGGACTCTCTACATGTAGGTTCTCATTCTCCAGGAGATTGGCCCAGGCCTGTTCGTGTGATGTAGGAATAATTCGCAGAAGCAGAGAAGGTAACCCCACTATGTGAGCACTATTCAAACCTCTGCTTATTTATATTTGCTAATATCCCATTGGCCAAAGCAAATCACATGGCCAAACCCAGATACACGGGTGGAGGAACAGACTCCACCTCTTGATGAGAGGACCTTCAAAATATTGTGGCTTTTTTTTTTTTTTTCCAATTTACCACACCTGTAACTCCACATTAGCAATGGTCTATCCTGTTGAACAGGAAACACTCAAAGTTTCTTCGCTTATACTCTTTCTCCCTAACCCAGTGCTTAGGCAATTGTATTTTGTGATGTTCTGCTATGTTTCTATGGTTGATTACAACCCCTACTGTGATTGCAGTTGCTACCAGTTCTTACAGCCATTCTGTGTTTTGAGAGCTATTGGGCCATGAGTCATTGTGTTGATGCTTAAGCTTAATTCTCAAACATAATTTTATTTTCCTTGTTTCTGATTTTTAGGAGACTCTTACATTTAGTCCCCAAGTATTAATAATATGCATTATTATTCTCATTTTACATATTGTGGGATTAGGAACACAGACCGTAGAGGTTGGATCAGAATCCTAGTCTAATAGAATCCACAGCCTGCTCTCTCTCTCTCTCTCTCTCTCTCTCTATATATATATATATATATATATATATATATTTATATACAGTTGCTTCTTAAAATTTACGTGAAAACACTTTCTAAATATAAAGGAGCATTGTCATCATCATCACTCTTATTAGGATTGTCAGTATTATTGAGAGTAGAGCCCCCCCCCCAGTCCACAGTGAGGTAACAGCATTACAGCAGACAATTTCATCCTTCTTTTTTTTTTCTCCTGAGCCAGCAATAAGCACTTCATAAAACTTACATAAAAATCAGTCTTGATTAGAAGGTTCTGAGTTAATGGTTTTCCATTCTATTAAATTGCCACTTATTCTTTTAAATTAGCTGTCATTTCAATAGGGAAGCCAATTGGTTGAGCAACCAGGCTATAGGGTGTACAGATTAAGCCATCTGTAGAGCAAGCATGTTTCATGCTCCCATTATATTCCATATAAAGGACAAGAACAGGCCCATAGTTTGCTGAATACTTAGTCCCTGCGTTCCAGAGAATTACTGTCCAGTTTAGGGCCATCAAATTAAATTTCATTATGAGTTACCTGAGTCAATATTCCTCTATATTCAAATAAATTGTAGGTCTCTTAGTGGCAGGAATTGAGATGTATACTTCTTTTGTGTAGCACCTAACACATAAGGCACATATTAAGTGTCTGAGAATATTGTTGATTGATGTATTGACTGAAGGCTGAGAGAAGTTATGAGTAGGGGTTGATGGGGAATAGTGGCTCCTTCTATAAAATACTATTGGGTAAACATTAATCCTTTGGATCAGGAAAGAATTAGGTTTGCCTGCACTAATGGATGCCCAAATCAGAGTAGCTTGCAAAATATAGGGAGTTTACTTTTATTTCACATACCATTAAATTTAGCAGTAGACAATAAAGAGGTGTGGAGGCTTTGTGGATGACATCAGTGACACCATCTCCTTGGGTTTTTCTGCTGCATCATCTCAAGCACAAGTATTTACAACATGCATTATCAATTTATCAGCATCTTACAACGCATATTTTGGGAAATGTTAATCTAAATGAAATCTTTCATTTTGCAAAATCAACAGAATTTAATTCAGCAAATATTTATTGAACAAACACTATATGTCAAAAAACTGTTTTTGAAGCCCAGGAAAAGGATAGAGAAGGAAATCAAGATCCTAAGAGGTGAAGCAACTTGAAAGTTGACACATCAAATGAATGGACTGAGACAAGGCTAGAGTCTGAAGCATGTTCCCTTCTTTTAACAAACATGACCAAGCCTCAAAGAATTACACAGGGCAGGCTTTCAGGCGTTATTATAATAATTCTCCCTTTTCAGGTTAGTAAATGTGGCTCAGAGATAGTGAGTAACTTGCCCTAGGTCACCCAACTATCCAGATATTGAACAGAAACTTTTTCCTGACTCATGTGACCCCAGATTTCTTAATTTTTTACTATAGCATGTTTGTTGTTTTCCTATTTCATCTTTGACACAGCAAAATATAGAAACTGCTTCAGGTATGGGAGGTGGCAGGCTTAAAGGAGTTCAGTTCTTAAGTTTCAGGTTAGTTCCTTGTCCTAGCAGGGAGCTCATGCAGGAACATGGAAACAGAGGCTTAGACATTCATGAGGTCAGTGAGCTGGCCATCTTTGATGGCAGTTGGCCCACACATTAGGCTGTACCCTGCCCATCTGAGGTTACTGCAGAAGCCAGATGTGTTAGTGTCAGACTATTTCAACATTCCTATTGTCGAGACAGAGAGAGAAAGAAAGAGAGAGAGAGAGAGAGAGAGAGTCTTCAATGCAAGACCCAGACATCATTTCCTTAAGCCCTGGGCAGGGCTGAACTTGCCAGATGTATACAGCAGTGGCTTCCATGAGTTTTCCGACACTTCTTTCATCATCCTTTCATTCCTTACTATATACTGTCTTTGTTGTACATGCCTTTTACATCCCATCCACCACCAAATACTTTCTAAGATTTCTTCTTTAGATACGTATTTTGAAGTGTTTCCTTTTTCTTTTCCATTACCAGTCTTCAATGATGCATTCTAAGATTACCATCGTGGAGAGATCAAACAGGAGACTGTCACCAGACTCTCACATTCCAGTCTCTTTCTCTGTCCTCCCGGAAAAATCTTTAAACCTTATGCTATTTCTATGTTCAAAATGTCATATATAATACCTAGCCTATATTAACATCCTTTACCAAATGTGGCAAAGACTCCTAGTGTCTTATCCATAATTCTTCTCCTCTTATTTTTTCATTTAAAAAGCCCTAGTTTTGTTCAGGTTAGCAAGGTACCTGGTTAAAACAATAACAACAACAAAAACATTACATTTGTAATACTTCCTTGAAAATATGGATTGCCTACCCATTACAGTAAGAAGAAAACACTGGATGAGCTCCTAGAAAAATCTATTTAAATAGGGCTAACTTAGCTAGGAAAGCTAGACTGTGGACTTGACTGATATTCCAGCAACCATCTTGTAATTATGAGAAGAATGGAATTCATGCACTAAGGAGCAGAAAGATAGAAGGCACTTGTCTCTGAGGACTTCATGGAGCTGCCATGACATCTCTGAATTCTAGAATTATTTTTGCTAGAGAAATAAGTCTAAGCCAAATATAGGCATTTTCTGACTAACCTCAATAATCCATCATAGAAAATAAGACATGATACATGAAAATGCTAATGATGTCTAGTTCCCATTATTTTAAATGAGAAAAATCATGGGTTTAAAGGTCAACGAAAACCATCTGACCAATTTCTTGAAACAAAACTAAAACACAGTAAATTGCCAATATGCAAATAACAATTGTGTTGATTTGTAAAATACTCAAAATATCACTTTCTAATATACAAACAATCAATACTGTTGTTAACAAACAATTGGACCTTCCACTTGCAGCCAAAATTGAGTAAGGAGTACCAGATTCACTGAACCAACCAAAACAACCAAAAAAGTACACAAAAATATATGAAACAACAGTTTTTAAGACATTAGACATCATGTAAAAAAGGACAGTGATTCCTGAGATCTGAGAAACAAATGAGGTAAACCCTACCATTGGCCCAGCTTACTAACTTCAAATAAATTCCAGGCTGAAGTACAGAGAAGAGGAACTGAGGCAGAGCCAGAAAAATTCCCTGAGTTGAGGAGATGTGGCTGAAGATCTGGCAAGAATCAATGACCTCAGCTTCAACCTTAAGAAACTGGAAAAATACGAGCATTATCAAAAGTAAACATAAGAAAAAAAATAATAAAGTTCAGACAAAAAAATGGACTAGAAAAGAGAAAAACAATAGAAAAATAATCATAAAACTATTAGTTGGTTTTTGGAGAAAATCAATAAAATTGATAAAACTCTTGCCAGGTTGATCAGGAAAAAGAGCTAGAGCTAGAGGTGGAGGTAGAGAGAGACAGAAAGAAAGAGAAGACAAATTATCAACATCAGGAATGAGAGAAATGATAGCACTATAGATTCTATAGATAAAGAACGTTATGAACTACTTTATGCAAATAAATTTGATAAATTAGAATAAATAGACACATTTTTTGAAAGGAACAAACTACCAAAACTCACAAAGAAATAGATAATTTAAATAGCCATATATCTATTTTAAATATGTAGTAAAAACTCTTCTCACAAAAAATCCTCAGAAGTAGATGCCTTCATTGGAGAGTTCTACCAAACATGTAAGTAAGAAATAACAATTCTTCACAAACTCTTTCACAAAATGGGTGACCATAAACAAGTATACAAGAAAATGCTCAACCTGATTAGTCATTAGGGAAATAAAAATTAGAACCACAATGAGAAGTATCTCATACTCCATACTATGCTCCATACATATTAGCATAGCCCAAATTAAAAGATAGACCAGGCCAGGCATGATGGCTCATGCCTGTAATGCCAGCACTTTGGAAGTCCTGAGACGGGAGGATCACCTGAGCCCAGTAGTTTGAGACCAGCCTGGGCAACATAATGAGAAACCCTGTCTCTACAAACAAAACAAAATGAAAAAACAACCATTAGCCAGGTGTGGTGGCACATGCCTGTATTCCCAGCTATTTGGGAGGCTGAGGTGGGAAGATCACTTAAAATCAGTAGTCTGAGGCTACAGTGAGCTATGATCACACTACTGCACTCCAGCCCAGGTGACAGAGTGAGTGAGACCCACCCCCGCCAGCCCCCTCCTCTCTCTCTCTCTCTCTCCTCTCTCTCTCTCTCTCTATACATATATATAATATATGTATATGTATATATGTATATATACATATACATATATACACATATATATACACACACATATATATTTTATATATATATATATATATATTACTTCTGGTGGGAATTTAAAATGGTACAACCACATTGGAAAACATTTTTTGTTGTTGCTGTTATTTGAATAGCTTTAAAGGTACTAGTAGTTTTTGGCTACATGGATGAATTGTATAGCAGTGAAATCTCAGCTTTTAGTGTACCCATCACCCCATTGGTGTACGTTGGACTCAACAGGTGATTTTTCATCTCTCGACCCCCCACCCTCCCCACTTCTGAGCCTCCAATGTCCATTACACTATTCTGTATGCCTTTGCAAACCCATAGCTTACCTCCCACTTATAAGTGAGAATATGCGGTATTTTGTTTTCCATTCCCGAGTTACTTTAATTAGGATAATGGCCTCTAGCTCCACCCAAGTTGCTGCAAAATACATGATTTTATTCTTTTTTATAGCTGAGTAGTATTCCATGGTGTGTGTGTGTGTGTGTATGTATATATATATATATCACATTTTCTTTAGCCACTCATCTGTTGATGGGCACTTAGGTTGATTTCATATCTCTGCAATTGTGAAATGTGCTATGATAAACATATGTGTGTAGGTGTCTTTTTGATATAATGACTTATTTTCCTTTGCGTGGATACCCAGTAGTGGGATTGATGAATTGAATGGTAGATCTACTTTAGTTCTTTGAGAAATTTCTATTCTGTTTTCCATAGAGGTTATACTACTAATTTACATTCCTACAAGCAGTGTATAAATACTGCCTTTTCACCACAGCTGCACCAATATCTATTGTTTTTTGACTTTTTAATAATGGCCATTCTGGCTGGGATAAGGTGGTATCTCATTGTGGTTTTAATTTGCAATGGAAAACATTTTTGATGGGTTTTTAAAAAAAGTTAAATATACACCTAGCCATATGACCCAGCATTTTACAATAGGTATTTACCCAAGGGAAAAATAAGAGTATATGATTATGCAAATACTTGTATAGGTAGATCATAGGAGCTTTTTTTTTTCATAATAGCCAGAAACCAGATATAACCCAGATGTCCATCAGCTGGTGAGTTAAATAATCAATTATGAAGTATTTATATAATGGAATACTACTCAGCAGTAAAATGGAATGAACTATTGATATACAGTGAATCTCAAAATAAATATGCTGAGTGACAGAAGCTGGACAAAAAAGTGTATATTAGTATATATCGTATGATTCTATTTACATAACATTCTACAAAAGGCAATTTAATTTATAGTGATAGATAACAGATCAACGCTTTTCCAGGTAGGGAGGTTTGGAGCTGTGAGGGAAATGAGGGAGTTATTCTAAAGGAACACAAGGAGACTTTCAAAGTGATGAACATTTTTATTGTTTTGATTGTGGTTTTGGTTTCATGTATGTCAAAATTACCAAATAGTATACTTTAAACAGTTGCAGGTTATCATATGCCAACTATATCTCAATAGAGTTGTTTTTTAGAAAGCAATTGTTTTATTTTCAGTTTCTCAACTTTTCCTAGCATCAGTAGCATGATAGCTTTACATCCCCTTTGTCATCTCTTTTCAAAATGTCTGCTTCACATATTATGACATTTTACCAATTGTATTTGGAATGTTTCTTGAAACTTCCCTGACACATTATTTTGTTTTAAAATGTTACAAATGTTTAGATGTTAGAAATTGTCTTAATATAATTTTTACTATAGAAATATAAGGCAAAAAATGATCTACAAATGCAAGGTATAATACTTACATTTATAACTTGGGTTCAGCAGAAAGCAGAGCTGAGGCTTCTGGAGCTATTTGCTTGCACTTTATTAGGGATACAATTCTGGGGAGCAGGAGAGAAACAAAGAGAGTGGAGCAGCTAAAGGAGAACAAATACACAATTGTGCTGTTGAACTTACTGTTGCTAAGTGCAGCAGAATGCTAGATTTGTGAAACTCGGCCTCCAAGAAGCTATCTCTATAAAGTACATTCAAGGACTCTACTGGGGGCAATATGTGGACAAAAAGGAAGGATTTATCCACTGGTTCCTGTTTCCCACTGGCCAAAGGTTTACTCCACAGGATATTAATTTGTCTATACTTCTGGATTATGTAGGCCAGGGTGAGGGCACAGGGCAGTGAACCAAAAAGAGAGGCTTTAGGAGCAGGCAGGAGGCGATGACACTCTCTGCTTGGGACTGTGTAAAGAAAAGCCCTCATTGAGCTGCCTGCCACCACAAAAGCTGAAAAAATAAAGAAAGAAAGAAAGAAAGAAGAAAAAAAGAAAAATAAAAAGAAAAAAGGGAAAAAAGCGTGAAGCTAAGAAAGAGGATCTGAAATGATGCAGCAGAGATATCTGAAACATGTATGTTCTATAGCTATTAAGAACAGCAGTAAGCCTAAAACAAAGTTTTTTTTCTATGTCCTAGGTATCATATGCAACCTATAGCTCATCCTATTTGACATATGTATCCTACTAATTTGTTTTACGTGAGTACACTCTTAATCATGCTTGTGGCACTCATCTCTGAGGTACACTAAATTTACTTGGATCACTTTTATAAACCATTGACATCTGTGCTCCATCACACAGCAATCAAAACAGAACACCTGAGATGGGCTGAGTATCACTATTTGTAAAGACTTCCAAGTGATCCTAATGTGTAGCCAGGGTAGAGAATCATTGAATCACTTCAGTCTCCCAGGTGTCCACTGTATGTTCCATGTTTTTACCAATTCCAAATACTATTCACACCTTCACTACTTAATAGAATGCTACTTTCTTTCTCTAAGTTCTACCCATTATTCAGAGTTCATTTTAAATCTTATCTCACCTACATATCTTTTCCTAACCATTTTATCCTTCATGGTTTTTCCCTTATTTGACTCCATCATCTGTATTAGCAAAGCATCTTCTATATCCACCTTAGCAGTCTGTAGTAAAACCCTTTTTTATTTCTTTCCCAACTTAATTGCTTTCCTCTTACCTTCAACTTTTGGAATCCTCAATGTTAACACACACATGTTCTCAACACAAAGATTTCAGGATAAGATTCCCCTGAAAATTGTGTTAGTTCTGTTTATTTTGAACAAGTTCAATGGGGCCAACAGATTTTAAGATGGTCCAATAATCTCTGCTTTTGTAAGTCCATGTCCTTGTATAATCCTTTCCCCTTGAATGTAGGTGAAATCTGTGACTTGCTTCTGACCAAAAAAATATGGCAAAGGTGATAAGATGTCATTCCCATGATTATGTTTCATTATATAAGGCTCCATCTTATTAACAGTCTCCTTCAATTACTGGTTTTGAAGAAGTTTCTATGAATTCTACAGTCACAAAGAATACACCCTGGGAGAACTTGGAAGTAAATAATTCCTCACTTAAGCCTCTGATGAGAACCCGGTCTGGCTGATACTTTGATTCCAGCCTCGTGAAACCCTAAGCAGAGGACCAAGTTAAGCAGTGCTCTGACTTTGGACTTACTAAAACCAGGATATTACATGTGTGCTGCTTTAAGCCATTAAGTTTGTAGTAATTTGGGACATAGCAATAAAAAATTAATACATACTTTGGTACTAGAAATGGGATGCTTTTTATCTGAAGTGGAATTCTGTTGTAAAATACCTAAAAATGTAAGAGTAGCTTTAGAATTGGGTGGGTGCACACTGGAAGAATTTGGAGAACAACGGAGAAAGTATAAATTGCCTTGAGTGGACTGTTAGTGGAAATCTAAAATTGAAGCATGCTCCTGGTAAGGGTGAGAGCTCAGAAGAAGTGAGGAATAAGCCATTGAAAACTGGAGGAAAGAGAAACTCTTGCTAAGTAGAAGAAAACTCAGAATTGTCTCCTGCATTTATATGTAAAGCAGAACGTGTAAGTGATGAACCTGTTTATCTAGTTAAGGAAATTTACAAAAGAAGTATTGAAGGTGCTATCTCGTTTCTTCTTGTTGCTTACAATAAAATGTGAGAAGAGAGAAATAAATCAAAAGAAGAACAAAAATGAACAAGAACTTGATGATTTTGAAAATCCAGTCTCTTCAAATGGCAAAAAGTTAATGGCTGAAATTAAGATGGCTTGGTCTAGAGAAAAATTTGACCATATGACTCTACAACTTTTCACTAAAAGTTCAGAAAAATCAAAATATCAGAATATTCAGCCACACAAAGGACGCTTTCAAGAGATTAAGGGAGTGGCTCACAAATCTTAATCTGTAGGGCTTTCGTGCTCTGGTATAATCCCTTCCCCTTGAATGTTGGTGGAATCCGTGATTTGCTTCTAACCAGTAGAATATTGGAAAGGTGATAGATTACCACTCCTATGATTGTGTTCTGTTATATAAGACTCCATTTTGCTAGTAGTCTCATTTTCTTCATTGCTGGCTTTGAAGAAGAAAGCTTTCATGAATCCTACACATACAAGGAAATGAATTCTGCCAACCTAAGGGAGCTTGAAAGTAGATCCTTCTTCAGTCAAGCTTCTGATGAGAACTCAGTCCTGATAAACATCTTGATTGGAGCTTTGAGAGACACTAAGCAGAGGCCCCCACTAAGTCGTGCCCAGACTCCTGACCCACAAGAACTGTGAGATAATAAGCATTAATTAAGTTATTAAAGTTGTGGTAATTTGTTATGCAGAACTAGAAAACTAATACAGTCTGACTATTTATTGCTATATTTTAGTCACCATTTCTAGTCACTAAGCAAGAGGTAAATTATGAGATTATAGTTGCCTTCCACTTTTAGACATTTATTTTCATTTCTGTCTTATCCACAATCTGCACATGTGGACATTGAGAGTTGAAGCCAAATTTCCTGACCCTTAGAGCACTGGTTCTTAAATTTTAGTGTGCATCAAAATCACCTGAAAAGCTTGTGAAGATACAGATTGCTGGGCCCCAGCCCTAGAGTTTTTGATTCAGTAGATCTAGAGTGGGGCCCAAGAATCTGCACATTTAGTAAGTTCTCAGGTGATGCTACTGCTGCTAGTCCAGGACCAATACTTTGAGAACCACTTCTATGGACCATCTTTACCATAGTTCTTTCTGTGGCCTCCATGATATTCATTTCTGCAATTTACTCTGCCTCTCTTCTCATGATGATTAATATTGTAAGCTGCTGGAATTTCTAGGTTTTGGCTGGCAGTTGCCATGGCAACACACACAGCGTTGCCCAGTGCCTGAGGCCCTGAGTGAGGATGGCACCAGATGAATCACTGGAATAAGTGACTTGCAAGGGGCACAGACATTTTTCCCTGAGTTGTCCATTTCCTTCTGTGACCCTTATTCTTGGTCTTTTCTTTTTTTGGTAATGTCTTTTTTGAGACCCCCTCCAGATTCTTCTCTATGTAATGTAATAATAACAAAACCTTAGATTCATGTCATTCTTCACATTTATAAAACAAGCAATACCCTTTCCAGCACAAAATCAAATTTTATTTGCATAACAACCTTGTGAGGTGTGTTGTATAGGTCTTATTATTCCCATTGACAAATACTTAATGTAAGGCTCAAAAACATTCAGAAATAACTGATATCCAAAGTTACATAAGGTAGAGAGTGGCAGAGCCAAGTCTGGAGGCCAGAACTCCTGATTTCTAGCTCAGAGCTTGTATCACCCAGGGCCCTAGCAAGAAACAAATTTCACAGTCAAAAGGATAACTGAAGAGAGATTAACGAAGGGAACCCATGAGTGATGGTGACATACCCCAGCCTAGCAAGTAGCCTGGAGGGTCAATAGGATAGAGTGGTTAGTAAAACCTGGAAAGAGATATAGCTACAGGTGTAGCTGCAGGAGGACACCCAACAAAAAAGCTGTGGCCTTTAGTGGAGGAATGCAGTCACTGCCAACCCAAAGCCTATAAGGAAGGGTGCCAGAGCAGTAAACAACACAACTTCTCTCCCCAGGTTATGAGGGAGGCTTAAGATGAAGTAGAGACATTTTGACTTACCACTGTCTGATTAGGTCATTGCAGGTTTCTGAACAGGGAGCAATACATGAAAATGAGGCCCTAGGAAAACTGGACTGGCAGCACCATGCAGGGCTGGTTGGAGGGAGAAGCTGGAGCTATGGAGATCAATCAAAAGGATGCTACAGAGCTTAGAACATTTCCATTTCTGTCCACACTGAAGTGGGTCTGAACAAAACGGGCAAAGGCAGACATGAATGTTATGGAAGGGTGTTATGCCCCCATCCCTAGGGCATCTTTGTTTGAAGGAAATATCCCACTATACATGCATACTCAATATTGATCTTAAAGCCTTTCAGGATTTAACTGGGGTATGACTGGTCTTTTGGCCTTGGTTTGGGTTCTGGAAAAGCAGACTCAGAGATAGGGATTCAAGTATAAGTAGCTTATTAAGGAGGTGCAGGGAACACCAGCAGGGAAATAATAAGTGAGGGAGGCAAACCAAGAAAGGGGTATTACTAAATCAGCTATCACAGTCAGTGACTGCCACTTAAGACCAAGAGTAAATTCCAGGAACTAGTGTAAAATGCATACCTCAGAATCATTCCACTTGAGCGGTGAAGGAGTTGAAACATTTGTATACCAACTCCTAAGCATCATTGGTTAAGGCACGCTCCCGGGAAGCAATAATTCCTGACACTTCCAGCCTGCCACAAACAAAGGCAGAATTACCTTCTGTGGTTCTGGAAACAGCTTCCTGATGCAGAAATGCAGACACTGGCAGTTGGAAGTCATTCTGAGCACAACGAACTGGACATGGGTGGAGCATTGACAATACCTGCCACATTTTCATTTGCAGGATTGTGTTCATCAGCACTACAGTCTCTACCCACTTGATACAGCACCTACCCTGCCATGTCCACATGGAATTCAACTTGCTCATGCACAAAATCAAGCCAGCACAATTGTTTTGAAAGTTATAGCATTGTTGGATAAATACCATAATGGGCAGCGGAATTTGTAGTAAAACACAGGAGGTAAATTTTGGTAATTTTTAAAGGTTTCAGAGGAGAGAAAAGACATATTACCAAATGGCCAGGGGATCAAGGTAGCTAACATATCTGTTTTTGGCTAACAGGTGATCTGTCCCTGGGATTCAGGTGTCAACCCAAAAGAAAAACACAATAAGGAAATGCAAGTACCCATGAAAAAGAACTCATCCTGCATTGCACAGCATATCTGTTTATCGTCTTGAACTGGCTGCAAAAGATACCTAATTGCTCTTACTTCGCTCAAAAATAAAAGCTTCAAAGTGCTGTCATTTTCCACTGAGTTTCAGAACAGCTGATCATCTCATGCACTCGCTCTGTACTTAGACCACACTAAGTTTGCATCTCTCAATTCAGCCAGGACATCTGTCCTGCTCTGCATCAGAGCCCTCAGCATGATCTTGAATCTACACAGACACAAGGCAAAAAAAAAAAAAAAAAAAAAAAAAAAAGAGGCAGAGAGAAGCATTTTCTGTGCCACACTGTGCTGAATTATTTACTCCCAGCTCTGGGATTCAGAGAGCTAGTGCTTTCTCAGCCTTGAATTTTATTGCAATACAAAGAAATAAAATAAGTAAATAAGGAGAGAGAGGAAGTAAATCCCTTGGAGACCTACTGGCATATGAAATATCTTTTGAAATGGAGCTTGATGCTGAAATAATTGTGTCATTTAGAGTGCAATACTAATATGCTCACAACTATGGCTAAATGCTGGAGCAAAGAACAATTTTGCAGCAATAAATGTGTGGCCATTTGTTTAAGCAGAAAAAAAAATGAACCTAAAATTTGAATGGATTTATTTAATTAAGCATTGGCAAATTTAGACATTGACTACAAAACAATGCCTTCAAGCATTATGTGCAAAACAATAAGTACAGGTAATGGAAATTAGGGTATGTTTATTTCATCTGAGATCGGAATGAGAAAAAGGAATACAGTATGGTCGGGAGGTATTTGTATGGCCATAAAAGAGAGAAATCCGCCTCGTTTCACGATATGTGTCACAGACAGGGATTGTGAACATTCTCAATGTATTCTAAAGGGGCTGTAATCATGTAATCACATAAATATAAAGTAACTTTATTTTTGTCTCCCACTACTCCTTTACATATTTCAGAAGGAAATTTCTTCCCAGCCTCTAGGCAAAATCCTGCCCCACCGCCCCCACCCCCTCCATTTCTTTCCTGGGGTGCTTAAGTATTAAAAAATTCCTATGGTCTCTTTAAGTCCAAAGTACATTCTCTTTTTAGTGATTATCAGTAGCTATAATCTCCAGGTTCGTGTAATGCTCAAAACTTTGAACATTACTTGCTACTCTGATAGGAAGCCTGGAGAAGGGGAAGGGCAGGAGAGACACGGTCAGCTTTTCCTCTGGAGGAAAAGAAATAGTGCTTCTTTGTCTTCCTCCTCCAGCTGCTCACCTTGTTCCTCACTCCTCCTGCACCAGTGTGCAGGGAGAGAGAAATATACAGAGAAAGAAAGCATGTTGTAACTGGAATGCTTATGAACACCATCCATTTAGTGGCCTGGTTGGCATACAATTCTGACTCTTCCTCATGGATGCAGTTGTGATGTTTTCGGAGATCCTTTTCCACACCAAATATTGGGGACCTCTCACTTCCAGATGTCTTGCCCTTGATTGATGGACTCTCTCCTGTTTCACCTTTGCACTGTTTTCTTAGTCTCTAGCTGTCCCCTTGGGTTCACTGTTAGCTCTTTTCTCTGGAGATCTTTTCACTTGTCCAAGTGAGCCCTCCTGGCTAGTCCCTAAATTGATTTTATGCTCGTTTATTCTGTTTCTGTCCCTCGCTGTCTCTGGCTCTCTCTCTCTCTCTCCTCTCTTTTTCTCTCTTTCTTTTACACACATACATACACACTTGTCCAATTCTGTTTCACAGGAAACACTTAAACATTTATGCATTATTTTCTCCAATAAATTTCAGGATGTTGGTCAATCCCAATGCAGCCACCCATCAGAGCAGCCAGTCTATCCATTTCAGTTATGACGTAGACATTAATCCACTGCGTCTGCCCCTCAAATCTTGGGTAACAAATATTACCTTAAAGCCCCTCTCTTTTGACTTGAGGTAAAAAGAGAGGCACCTTCCGACCTTCTAAACAGAGCTTGCTCAAATACATTACATCTAAAAAATCTTTCTCCAAACCCCGACCCTCAACCATTTTTGCTCATGTGTTGGGTGAGAGTCATAAAACTCATAAAATTCATAACATTGGTGTTTGGTCATTTCTTTCTGGAAATCCTATAGGAAAGCCTATCTCACAAGTCACTTTGGTATCTGGTATCTATTAGTGTCTCAGCAGAAATTTCTATTTTAACATCCAATTATGAAATAAAAAGTGTGAGGAGGCTAATTTTCTCTCAGTCAACCCTTGGAAGTGCCCACAGACTTAGCAATAAGGAAATCCTTGGCTGCTATTTTTAGGTCTGCAGAGGGCTTCAGAACCATGTTTTACTGAAGGGTAGTGCGTTAACACTATTTATTAGAAAACCACCATGTGCCCCCAAGATAGTTATAATGTGTAAAATGCTATTTTCCTTTTTTTTCCCCAGAAAAAGAACTGGAGGTACAGACAAATAAAGTGACTGGTCTAGAGACATTAATGAGCTGTTAGAACTTGAGAAACAACTCCATTATTGTATGGTCAGCTAACTGGTTAAGTCTGTTAACAGACATGTGGCATAATTTAATCTAATAATTTTTTCTATTCCTCAGGCCTATAGGTTGAGGTTGATCTGAAAGATAGGACTATTTGTGATCCAGAATCAAAAGAGTCAAGAAAAGTCTGAGAATTTCATCCTTGGAGCAGAAAGTGAAAGTGTTCTGGAGCCAAAAGTAGTAACAAAGATGGAGGGCAAGAGATCATTGGATTAAATCATATTGGCAGACCAAATTTCAGAAGAATCAACACACCAGAGACAAGAAGAACTTGAAGTTAAAGCAAAGTTCCCTTATACTGGAGAATTCTTCTGCATTCTCTGCTCAAATATGATGCCCCCCACCATGAAGAAGAGATTCACCTTGGATATAACCACAATTTACCCCCCTCAACAGATCCCAGGAGGCTGCTGCTTACCTACTAGGGAGCCCACCTGCCTCGCTTTCTGCTTCCCCAGTCCTATCCATCTTGCTCCATATGAACTTTCCCAGGCCCAAGCTGCAGATATGAGAATGATAGCTACTCATCAAACCTTTTTCCTTGTCTTGTTGAGCACACAGCTGGACCCCATTTCAAAGCCTCTGTTGAGGTTAGATATGGTCATGTGCCTGAGTCCTAGCCAATAGAATGTAACTGGGAACTGTTGTGTGTCTCTTTGAAATCTGGCTGATGAATACCCACCCCCATGCTACCCTCCATGTTGTTTCCCTTTGTACTGACTTGATGCAATTGAGCCCAGGAAGCTTCAAAGCTATATGCTGAGGATGGATTTGATATCACAGAGGAAGCCTGGGTCCCTACATCACTGCTTTGAGAACTGCTGCCCACCTTTTGGACCACCCATTTTGGACTTAACATGAGCAAGAAATAAACTTTTCTGTTTGAACCATTATATATGTTTGGATTTGTATGTTGCAGCAGCTACAATTACCTTAACCAATATGGACCCCCTGAGAAAAGTTGTTGGACCAATATGCATTTAAGCTCAGGTTTCAATTTTTCACACATGAAAAATTATAAATACATATAACTTTGAGCTTCTTTAGGAAAGAACGAATACCCTAACTGGCTTGGTATTCTCCCAGTAAATAGTTCTTGAAAGGGTATTTCATATAGTAGAAATTCAATGACTGCCTGTTCAAAATGTTTAAATGTTCAAGTCTTAAGAAAAAAATGTCAACTACGAGAAGATTAAGGATTCATTTACATAGTGAGAGCTAAATGAAGTCTTACTGAATAAATAAATGAATGAGTGAATAAATGGTATATTTGATGAAAATAAGTCTCACCTTAAGATTCACAGAGAAATTTGCTTATCTGTAAGATAAGGATTGTGATACCTTGCGCTTTCTACCTCACACGAAATGTGTTAGTATCAAATCAGAGAATTTACTTTCAAGCATTTACTTTCTAAATTACCAAGTGCTAGACACATGTGAGTTCTCCAGTATAATTTAGATAGATTACTTTATGTTTTGTCAGTATGTTGACAGTTTATTGATAATGGAGTTGAAACTCAAGGAAGGAGAATAATCTGTGAAGCACTTCTGAACATCTTGGAGATTTTTTTAAAAGTTATATTGGTGACCTGAAGATTTTAGACCTCTTAAAATTCTGAATTACTATTAACTTGCAGATAAAATAATGCCATTATTTACCACTGGACTCAAGAGAACATCTTTGTGTATTATTGGTACCCTGAAATTATAACTAATCATATCCCCTCTGTATCTCCCTAAGATGTATCTGCCACTTCTTAGGTTCCTACTTAGTGATTAGAGTCAGAAAAGCATTAATCAACACTGCTGTGCCAAATACTATGGAAATTCATTTAACCATATTACATAATTGAAATGTCAGAATGTTTAAACACTTTCTGTCATATGAAAATATATTGGAAATGTCTAGAACCAAGCTGGCAGAGAAAAACACAAGGAATGTTCTTATAAAACAAATGAGATCTAGCTGGGCATGGTGGCATGTGCCTGTAGTTCCAGCTGCTCAGGAGGCTGAGGTGGGAGGACTGCTTGAGCCCAGGAGTTTGAGGCCAGCCTGGACAACATAATGAGATCTCCATCACTAAAAATAAATTTTAAAATAATGGATAAGAAAGATTTAATGATCCATGGAATGGTTGTTTGTGGGCTTTTGGTCAGAAGCCTGAGAGTGGGGATTAGACAAAAGTGGCTGTCCAATGTGTCAGTGGTGATGCCAATCTCTTGCCAGCTGAAATTGAGAAGTATATGCAGCAGGCTTCAATGACTGCCCTCACTGCTGAAAAGAATATATCTTGTATTGCCTGGGCAGGTGACCTTCACCAGGGGTTAAGAGAATTCCTGTGAGTTCATTGTGAGACTACCTCTCTTTCATTTCCCAGTCCTTCATCAGAAAATTCAAGAGGCTCCTATCACATCCTAGAATAAAGATTTCCTTTATGCAGGCTCCATCCTCCATCAGTAGGAGTCAAGTGGTAGCCCCAAATTCTGCATATTTCTCTCACTCCTTTCAAACTGTCCAATACTTACTAGCACTTTCTTCTTTGGAACATCATGTCCTATATTTCTGTCATTTCAGTCACAAGAAGTGTAGGGCCCTAGATCGTCCCCTATCCCTTGGCCTTTAATCTCCTTATGGCTCCAAAAATTGCCTTTTCTGCCACCATCTCCCTTCTGCCCCATCTCCTGAAAGAACTGGAACTTTCTGTCAAGCATCTATCAATTATCAACCAAATTCCCTACATCCCCTCACATTTCCTTATTTTATTTGCTGGAACTAAAACTCACCTCTCCTCAAAGGACCCTGCTTGCCTTGCAGCCTCCTCAAGGGGTGGCTGTTTTCTCTCCCAGACCCCTCAAAGCACTGAGTCTGGATGTGGGGTAGTGTCCTCCTCCCTCCTCATTGCTTCTTCCAGATCATTATTCCTCATTTCTCCCTAAGACTACACAGTTTGAATGACTTCAATATTGCCAAACCTCAAAGTGTATTTGAGTCTTCATTTTACTTGATAGATCAGCAGCATTTTACACAGTTGATCACTCTCTTTCTGCTGAGACAGTTTCTTCACTTGACTTCCAGGACACCACACTCTCCGGCTTGCTTCCTGCTTCACTAGTTGCTCCTTCTCTGTTCCTTTGCTACTTCCTTCTCATCCCACTTATCTCTAAGTGAGAGCCCCTGCACTTAATCTTTGAACCTTGCCTCTTCTCTGGATACACTTGCTGCCTTAACAATCTCATTTAATCTCATGATTTTCTATGCTTTCTATATGTTGATGACTCTACAAGTTATAGCTTTATTCCAGAACTTTCTCCTGAACTTGAGATGTATGTATCCAAGGGCTCACCTGACATCTTCATCTGGATATTAATAGGTATTTCAAAATTAACACATGAAAAACTGAGCTCCTGATTTTTTCTTCAGATCTTCTTCTCTTGAAGCCCCTCCAACCCACACCAATCTCAGCAAATGACAATCCCAATCTTTCAGTCATTCAGGCCAAAAACTTTGAAGGCATCCTTGACTCCTTTCTTTCTCTCACACTGCACATCAAATTTATCAGAAAACCCTAATGGATCCTCTTTCAAAATATATGTATGGTATCTGACCAGTTCTTACTGGCTTTACAACTACAACCCTGGCAACTGTTATCTGTTACTTGGATTGCTGCAATAACTTCCTAACTGATCCTTCTACTTCTGTCCTTGCCTCCTTCATTTCTATTCTAAAAAAAAGCAGCCAAAGTAATTCTGTTAAACATAAGCAGAATATATCACTCGTTTGATTATAACCCTACAATGGCTTCCTAGCTCACACTGTGTAAAAGTTAAAGTCCTACAATAACCCTTCAAAGTTTTTGGCTAAGTATGTAAGATATCTAGTGTGATAGCATTAAGTGCTGAGGTGGAAAATTAAAGCAGGGAATGGAAATAGAGAGCATCAAAGATAGAGTGATGATTGCATTTTAAATAGACTTGAAGGAGATAATAGAGTATGCCATACAGATATTTAGGGAAATAATATTCTATGCAGAGAAAAGAGCAGGTGCAAAGGCCCTAAGGCAGAAGCATGCTGGAATATACAAAGAACAGCAAGAAAGCTTTGCGCACTGGAGTGGCAGGAGATGAGGTGAGACAGGCCTATTGATAATGTCTCTTTCACTAAAATATAACATGCATGTGGATAGAAATGTTTGGCCTATTTTATCTACTGTTTTATAACTAGAACTCAACTCTCAGCTAGCATTCTACTCACACTGACCATGTGTTCTGAGTTACAGTGGCATTTTATGTTACAGAATCTTTTTTTGAGACCGGGTCTGGCCCTGTTGCCCAGGCTGAAGTGCAGTGGCGTGATCTTGGCTCACTGCAACCTCTGCCTCCCAGGCTCAAGCCATCCTCCCACCTCAGCCTCCCGAGTAGCTGGGACTACGCGCACACCACCATGCCTGGCTAGTTTTTATATTATTTGTAGAGACAGGGTTTCGCCATGTTGGCTAGGCTGGTCTTAAACTTCTGAGCTCAAGTGATCCACCTGCCTTGGCCTCTCAGAGTGCTGGGATTATGGGGTGTGAACCACCACACCCAGCCTATGTTACATAATTTCGGTTTTTAGTGTCCATAATTACGGTCTGAAATAGGTCAAGGGGACCCCATGATGGTCCTGGGAGATGAGCATTGAGACTACAATGATAGAATGGATCAGACCATGCTTGAAGGACCTCAGAAGGTCTAGTCAAACTGTCAACTAACCCTCATAGTTTGCAGAGCTGCTGGGAGACAAAATCATGTCCAGAACTCTGGAGCCACAGGATTCCTTTGGGTCCCCAGAACTTCTTTGGAAAAGATTATAATGGCTTTAACATCATTAACGTTTATTGGGTTTTTACAATGTAACAGGCATGGTTCTATGCACTTTACACAACTAATTCATTGAATTCTCTCAACAACCTAATGAGGTCAGAACTATTATCCTCATTTTTGATGTGAGAAAACTGAAGTACAGAGAGGTTATGTGGCTTCCAAAGTCACATAGTTTAAAAGTGGCAGAGACTGGATTCAAATGTAAACAATAACCACTGCCGGGGTACCATGGGAAGTTGTGGTCCAGACACTAAATCAAGCTGCACCCAAGGTGTCCTAATCCTACTCCTTCTTTCTCCACTGGATGAGAGAAAAGGAGCAGGACCTAAGCCTCCTGATTTTGTGGGAATTTGCTTTTCTGTTCCATGTTTCTCCCTCCGCTGCCCTTCTATGCATTGAAATGATGGGCAGGGGAACATTTTCCGCCTCTGGAGGCAGGCGAGCAAAGACTCGATGCACTTCCCCACCTCTTGCACTGGCTCATACTTTAATGGCTGGAAGTTTAAAATCACATCCCAAGCTTCTTGGAACTCAAAATTCAGTTATCTGACTCAGTAAAATGTAGCTTTCTCACTTAAAAGGATTTGCCCAAGGGGCCTCTGGGATTTCAAATATACTTAAAAGCAACAACTGTGTTGAATCATAGAATCATAAGGGATTGCATTTCCGCTGGAGAACAGACAGGATGTTTTAAACAGAGGGGGAAATGTTTGAAGTTCGCCAAGCTTTGAGTTTCATCCCACCCACCACATCTGAAAACTATCTGAGTCATTTGATGAAGGCAAAATACAGCTGGGCTCCCTTATTCTTAGTGTTATTGTGGCCTACCATCTTGACATTGTGATGCTATCTGTGCAAGAACATTTCACCTACATCTACCAACCCTTTTCTAAACTGGAATCAGGAAGAGTCTGTTCTCCAAAGTCTATCTGGAGTGGAGTGGGCTGAGGGTGGTGTGGAGTAAATATTCTTATAGACAGAAGGCAAATACAGCTCTAGACAAAACAGTGAAGAGAAACAGGTTTGTCCATGGCCCTGAGCTGCTGTCAAGGAGGTTACAGGGCCTTTATCTCTTTCATGGTGCTGCAGTATTGTGTAGTGTGTTTATGAACGTAGATTTGGGAGTCAAAAAGATACACGTTTAATCTTGACCCTACCCACTTATTTACTCACTGTGAATCCTTGGGCAGATTACTTAACCTTTCTAATTTGATGTTACTTTCCTTATGTAAAATGGGGAGAGTTATTGTGAGGATCCAATGAGAAAGTATTTGTAAGGTGATGGCAACAGTACTGGACCGATAATAAATATTTAATAAATGTAAATTATTAGTGTTGTTCTTATTGTTACTGCCTGTCCCTCAAAGGCCCATTGCTTTTTACCCTTTATTTTATTATTAAAATATGCTTTCAGATGTTATATTCAACCAAGGGATAAATGAAAACAATTCAAAGTCTTACTTTACATTCTAAATTCTTGATCCCAGATTACCACCTAACATAAAGCTCAGAGGGCAAGGAATAATAGAAATGCAGAGAGAAATTTACCTCCGAAGAAGTAAATTTGTTCCAGGCCTGCCTAGACCTCTACAATGAAGCAGTTAAAGAGCACTAGCTTTGGAGCCAGATTTGCAGGTCAAATCCAAGGAAATCCATATAACTTTGAATGTTGGACAAGTTACTTCAACTCCTTGGGTCTCTTTATAACTGATGAAAAGATCTAGGGGGTCTTAGATCAATGTTTTTCAAATTTATTTATTTATTTTTTTGCCATGGAACTATTAATTTGAATAAACTCTCACAGGGAAATACAATGTATAGATAAAATGTATTGGATACAGGAGGTAAGTTTCCTGAGCCGCTCTCCTTAGGCATTGGGAATATTTTGTGAACCCTCAAGCAATGCAGTAGCACTGCATACTACTCAACTGTGTGATCGCCAAAATTCCCACTGTGTCTAATGCACTAGGTATGCTGCCTTTTTACCTTAAACACCAGGCTACGGTCCCATCATCCTCTCAACCTGTTCTGCTTACATCTACCTGTCATCTTGGGTTTCCTCATACTTGAAACATATTCTGGTTTCTCTTCCCCATAGGATCCATATCAGTAGTCATAGCCTCTCACCCTTAGACAATTATAAATAGCATACATCTTTCATTTGATCAGCACAGTGTTAAAAAATGTATTGCAATCTCTTTAGGCAAACATGCATTCTCCAGCTAGGCTCCATTGCTCCCTACTACTTTCTCTTATCCAAGTCAAACATTTATATTACTTGACTGGCCCCAGAAGGCATCTGAATTCACAATGTCAGATCTTCCATGTCATTCAAGGCCCTCATCAAATCTAGCTTTTGGACTCCTCTAGTTAGTTGCTCTCATCTCAATGATTCTATTGTACTTACAATACAGTTATATAAATAAAAATAACAAAAATATTAAAAAGATAATAACTTAAAGGTTTAATTTCAGAGAACTAATTTCAAAAAGAGAGCAGCCAGTTGACTTCTTTTGGATCTCTTATAACAACTTATAACAAGCACACAATCTTCTCTTGATTGAGTAGTCAAATATGTAATCATGGAAAAAAATTAATTTGAAAAGATGCTGCTTAATAATAATGATCAGTAGTATATTAGGGTAACACTAATTTCAGTTAAGAAAAACCCTCAAAATTTCAAAAGCTTAACACAATGGAACTTAATTTCTTACATACAAGTCCAGTGTGGGTGTACTTAGCATATGAATAACTTAAAAAACTCTTTTATTGGCCGAGCACAGTGGCTCACATCACATCACTTTGGGAGGCCGAGGTGGGCAGATCACGAGGTCAGGAGATCGAGACCATCCTCGCTAACGTGGTAAAACCCCATCTCTACTAAAAATACAAAAAAAAAAAAAAAATTAGCCAGGCATGGTGGTGGGCGCCTGTAGTCCCAGCTACTTGGGACGCTGAGGCTGGAGAATGGTGTGAACCCGGGAGGTGGAGCTTGCAGTGAGCCAAGATTGTGCCACTGCACTCCAGCCTGGGAGACAGAGCGAGACTCCATCTCAAAACAAACAAACAAAGCTTTTATTTTAAAATGATTTTAGGTTTACAGAAGAACTGCAAATATAGTACAAAGAGTTCTCAGATACTCTTTCCTCACCTTCCCCTAATGCTAAGATCTTATACAACCATGGTACATCTATTTAAACTATAAAATTAACATTGATACAACACTACTAACTAAACTACAGACTTTAATCAGATTTCACCAGTTTTTCCTTTAATGTCCTTTTTCTCTTCCAGTGTCCAATCCAGGATATAACATGTCTCTTTAGTCTCCTGCAATCTGCTACAGTTTCTCAGTCTTTATTTGTTTTTCATGACTTTGGCATCTCTGAGGAATAGTGGACAGGTGTTTTGTAGAATGCTCCAAAATTAAGGTTTGTCTGATGTATTCTTATCATTAGACCAGGGCTATGGATTTTTGGGAAGAATATCATAGAGGTAAAGTGCCCTTCTCATCGCATCATATTAAGGGGTGCGTGTTATCCATAGACCTTTCACTGCTTATTAGACTTGATCCCCTTGATTAGGGAAGCATCTGCCAGATTTTTTCATTGCAAAGTTGCTATTTTTTTTCTATCCTACACTCTATTGTTTGGAAGCAAGTTACCAAGTGCAGCCCACACTCAAGAGAAGAAAAACTAAGTTCCACTTTCTGGAGAAAGGAGTAGAAAGAAATTAGGGGACATATGTTAAAACCACCACAATAATGAATAAATATTGGGTTCTGTCTGCAGCAATTATTATTGCTGTGTTCTGACACTGATTTTTTATTCCTCTAATTTCTTCAGTATATATTGTCTGGAATTGTAACAAGTTTTTCCTCTCTCCAATTTATTTATTTATTCAATGATTATATAAGTATGAAATCATGGCTATTTATTTTCCAGGTTATAATCCAAAATTAATATTTACTTTGTTGCTCAAATTGTTCTAGCTTTGGTCATTAGAACACTCTCAGGTGAGCTCCTGTGCCCTTTTTGACATACCCACATTTAAAAAATTTATTTTCTATTTACTTTTATTTTTATTTATTCACTAGAATTTCCTTACTCTCTATCACTACAGATGTGCTAAGATCATTCCCTGCCCTATCATTTCAATCAGTATATTCCAGTTAGAGTTGTGGATTTCTCTTTGTCCTCTCAGATCTAATCTTTTTTCCTTTTTTTTTTTCCACAGCTCTACTGTTAGGTGCATAAACATTTGGGATTATTGGGAGTGTTAAAAGATAAACTGAGATACATTAAAATATTAAAGAGTTTATTTGAGCAGATAGTGATTTGTGAATCAGGCAGTGGTTTGGGGCTACAGTAAAAGGACACAGGGAGGAAACTTTTATAAAGTGTTCTTGGAAGAAAGACAAAGAAAACATTTGATCAGTTAAAGTGAGGCAATAGCCTTATTTGGGTCATTCCAGCGGAAAAGTCCCTAGTTAGAAGTTAGATGATGGTTTCTGACTGGTCGATCTTAAAGTTTGTTTTACCATTTACATTGAGTTGGGTTTCAGTTTGCTTACACAGGAACACAAATTGCTGGAACCATCTCAGCCTAATGGCCTCCCAAGTAATTTTTTTTTCTCAGAAGCAGTGATCCCTTTATCATTATGTGATCCACCTTTATCCCTGATAATATTTCTTTTTTTCTCTCTTTTCTTTTTTTTTTTTTTTTTTTTTTTGAGATGGAGTTTCACTCTTGTTGCCCAGGCTGGAGTGCAACGGTGCAATCTCGGCTCACTGCAACCTCCACCTCCCAGGTTCTCTCAAGCCATTCTCCTGCCTCAGCCTCCCACGTAGCTGGAATTACAGGAGCCCACCACCATGCCCAGCTAACTTTTGTATTTTTAGTAGAGATGGGGTTTCGCCATGTTGACGAGGCTGGTCTCGAACTCCTGACCTAAGGTGATCCACCCACCTCGGCCTCCCAAAGTGCTGGGATTACATGTGTGAGCCACCACGTCCGGCCAGTGTTTCTTGTTCTAACCTTTACTTTGGTCATAATTGATATAGCTACTCTAGCTTTCTTTTGTTAGTGTTTGTACAGTGTATATTTCTTTATCATTTTACTTTTAATCTACCTATGTCTTCATATGTAAAATGGGTTTCTTGTAGAAAGTACATGTTTAAGTCTTAATTTTTAAATTCAATATGAAAATCTCTGTCTTTTGTGTTTTTAGACCATTCAAATTGAGCCAAATTATATATGGTTAGACTAAAATCTATCATCTTGTTCACTGTTTTCTATTTGTTTCATTTGTTCTTTTTTATTTCCTCATTTCTGCCTTCTCTAAGTGTAATTGAACATTTTGTAACTTTATTTTTTCTCATCGATCGAATTATTGTTTATACCTCTTTAAAAAACATGTTTAGTGGTTTAAAATATACATTTTAAAATAATCTTAGTCTACCTTCAAAGACTATTATACTGCTTCATGTGTAGTATAAGACCCACATAGTAGTATACTTCCAATTCATTTTCCTATCTCTTATGCTTTTGACCCACATACAGAGGAAAAGGCGGTGTGAAGACAGAACAGAGATATTTAAAGATGCTGGCCTTAAAGATTGGATTGATTCAGCCCCAAGCCAAAGAATCCTGGAAACCACCAGAAGTTGAAAGAGCCAAGGACAAAATTCTCCCCTACAGCTTCAGGAAGGGGAATGGTCCTTCTTTGATTCTGGCCTGTGATCCTGATTCAGCCTTCTGCCTTCCAGAACTGTGAAAGACTAAATCTGTTGTTTTAAATCACCACATTTTTGGTGATTTGTTACAGCAGCCAGAGGGTAATAATAACATCTAGGTTTCTTTTTCCTGTTGGTGTTTTCTGAAATTCTTGGAACTGTGATTTGGTGTCTGTCACTAATTTTGGAAAATGCTCAGCCATTATTTAATTATTTCTTCAAATATTTTCTTCTGCTCTGTTCTCTCTTCCCTTCTGGAATTTCATTACAAATGTGTTAGACCATTTGATATTGTCTCATAGCTCTTGGATCTTCTGTTTTTGTCCTCTCTTTTATCTCTTTGTGTTTCAGTTGAGGTAATTTCTGTTGACATGTTATGAAGATCACTGATTATATCTTTGTGTGTTGAGTCTACTGATGACCCCTTTGAAGGCATTCTTCACCCTTGTCACTGTGTTTTTCATTTGTAGCATTTCTATTTTGTTTTTTCTTATAGTCACTATCTTCCTGCTATAATTAACTACCTATTCTTTCATGTTATCTATCTTTTCATTTAGAGCCTTTAATATATTACTCATCGTAAATTGCCTACTAGTTTCAGCATCGGTGTCATAATTGAGACTGCTTCTGATGGTTGCTTTGACTCCTCAGACTGTTTTTTCTTTCCTTGTTGTATTCCTCTAAATTTTTTGTTGAAACATAGACACACAAGACAATAGGCACTAAGATTTTTTTTTTTTTATGACTGGAGATGAGCATGCCTTTCCTTCTGCTATGCCTTTAATGTGAGAGTTTGTAATAATATAATAAGAAAATGGGCTGAGTTTGAGGTTTGCTTTCCACTTGGCTTTGGGTCTTCTCTTTGTCATGCTCCCCAAAGAGAATTTTTCTTCTGCAGCCTCCCCAGTTCATTCCACTGCTAGTTTTACTTGACACCTGCTAGTGTGGCAGTGGAGGTATGGGGGATGGAAACGTTATCTAATGTTCTGACTAAGCCTCAGTCTTAGGCAAATTCTATGAAACTAGGTCAAAGCTTGTGTTTCTTTTCACAAGTATTCCTTTCCCCCCTCCAGACATAATGCTAGGCCAAGCATGCGTTCCCTTTTCACCCCAGGAGCAGAAGTATTTTTGTTTTTTTCCTGGCTTCCTCAGGGTTCTCCCCATCTCCCCTGTGTCCATCTACGAGGTTTCTGTAGGAAAATCTTAAAAGAAGGTGTGAACTTTTCTGTGTCTGCTTTCCCCAAGGGCTTTATACTCTTACACTAGCTGACACCAGGCATTTAACAATTTGACTTTTTAAAATTCTAGTTAAATTCTCTTTCTGGCTTAATTGGCTTTTGGCAGCCTCTGTGCCAGGTAAACAAAGGCTAGTATCCCATTTCTCCCTGCAGACACCAGTTTCTCTCTAGGGTTCAGGTTGGTTGTTTGCCCTGTGACTTCGGTTTTCTCATGTGTTCAAAAGAAGTCATTAATTTTATTCCTTTTTTTGTTCTTGTTGTTTAAAGGGCAGGAGCAATGTCTTTTCCAACTTTCTACATCTCCAAGCTGAAACTAGTGGTTGAAATTTTTCATATCTTGATTCAGGGACCTAGACTTCTTTCTCTTGTAGCTTTCCTATCCACTAGGGCTTGCATATGATTATTTATACTCATAGTTGACTTTTACTTAGAATAAACTAGTAGATGTTAAATTGCTGGGTGTTGCTGTGTGCATTCTCCAGGAAGCAGACTCTAAGACAGAGATTAGTATTCAGCAAGTTTTTTTTAAGGACATACTCTTAGGATTAAAACCGCTGGAAAGGAAGGGAAGAAGGCAGGATTGGACAAGACAGAAGTTCAGCTGAGATAGAATCTCAACAAAGGGTCGGTTGATCCCATGGAAAGCTCTGGAGCAGAGAGAGCTCTGAAGAGTTGTCCTGTATGCAGTGAGGAAGCTGAACTTTTATGTCTTCTCATCAGTCAGTCATTGAATGAGGGTATATCCAAAGGAATACCTTGTCAAGGCAAGAGTCTCCAGCTGAGGACAATTTCTTAAGAGGACTGAGAGCTGAGGACTATTATCTGGTAGCACTGGAGGAATAAGTCTTGAAGGGGATCTGGGCAATGCATCACAGCTTCCACTACATTGAGTCAAAGAATATGAATATTTTAAGGCTCTTGATAGGTATTGTGAAATTATTCTTCACAAAAGTTGCTCTAGAAAAGGTGTACTTAAGTACTCTTGTACTTAGTTTTCTCATTGGTAATGTAGAAATAATTTTAACAATTTGCCTCACAGAGTTATTGAGAGAATTAAATGAGTCAATATTTATGGTATGCTTAGAACAGTGCCTAGTATATATTAAACACCAAATGCTTCTTAGCTATCATAATTATTGCTATCATTTTGCACTGATACCAGAAGTACATAAAATTGCCTATTTATTTGCACTATAGCCACCTATGGGTATTTTCATTAAAACTAGAAATTTCCAATTTGAAATATGTCATGATGTTTTATTGACCACTTATATTTCTTCTTTTGTAGATTATTTTCTGATCCCCTTTGCCTATTTTCTATTAGAATGTAATTTTTTCTTACTAATTTGTGAGAGTTAAAAAAAGTCTTTAAGATATTTATTATTTAGCATTATGTGTCATAGAAGTTAGAAATATATTGCTAATCTGTGTATCTTTTAGCTTAATTAAGCTAGATTATTATATTTTTACATACTTTCTGTAGGAGGCCTAGTTAGTGGATCAATGTCAGAATAACATTAATGATGATGATAAAAATATTGTTTAATGACAACTAATATCTATTGAGTATTTACTACCCTATATGGTAAGAAACACTCATTCTTTCATGCATTATCTTATTAATTCTCAGCATACATCTCTATGAGTTAAAATATTCTATTATGCCCATTTAATAGATATGAAAACTAAGGATTAGAAAGATTAAACAACTTGCCCCAAAGTCATAAATGGTGGAGATGGTATTGAAACTCAGGTCTGTTAGATTCTAAAGCCATCATTTCCTAAGGTGTGTGTTTTGTGAAACACCATCCCATGAGACATTATGTATACATGTGCACAAATATGTACACGCCACATCAAATTGATCTAGTAGAGTTTTGAATATCTGATTCCAGAAATAGTCTATATAGATACCAGCATATGAAAAACTCAAAGGGACACTTTAGGAAAGAAACTTGTCTAACTTGTTTAACCCAGGATTTCCCCCAAATTATTTAATTATAGATCTTTTATTTCCCATTATATCACTAACAGACTGTAGAAACAGTGCTCTATTTCACACACCTGGTAAAATGCTGCACTACACTACTCAGTCCTTCAACGACTGAGGGCAGTGCCCAGCTGTCTGGGATTCTGTTCACTTATCATTGATACAGATGAAAACAAAGACAATGCCCTAATCAAATTAGCCGGTGACTCAAAGTGAGGAGGAAAAGCTGCTACACTAGGTAACAAAATAAGGATTTAATAATCTGGAACAATGAACAGAAGTAAATAAGATACAATCTGACAGGGATAAATGTAAAATCCCGCAGTTAGCTTAAAACAAAAATCAGTGACATGAGTGCAATTTAGAAGGAAGTTAGATTTCACAGTAGTTTGTGTGAGGAAGCCTGGGGGATTTAATTGATCATAAACCCAATAAAAAAGCAATTTAAATGTATTCAATAAGCAAGGGAACCACAGTTTTAAACCTACATTAATACATGATAGTGTTTAGATTGTCAAAGATTGGTATCCACTCCCCTGGTTGTTGTGCTAGTCAGAGAGTGTCTGGAACATTGTGATATATCTGGCAGCACGCTTTAAGACAAATAATGAATGGCAATCCAGAACCTATCCAAGTGGTGTTGACTTAGATAATGAGGAGTCCAGCAGCCATCACCTTTTGAGCAGTAGTAGAAACAGCTCAAGCTGTCTACTGTGGTAAGAGTAGGTTCAGGGTGGCCACTGGGAGTGGATGATTGTACTGAATATGTTTTGTTTGTTTCTATTTATTTTCCATTGTGCTTTGTACCCTAGGAGGCTCTCTGACCTCTATCTGCCAGTGGGAGGCACCAGGAGGAGATCAGAGATAGGAGGGGAATGAAGTAGGTATTTATTCTCTTGGCTGCCTCCCTGATGGATCACTGGGTGATTCTGTCCTCCAGCTTCAGCTACCTCTCAGCCTATCCTTCCCCTTGACACTTCAGGCTTAGGACTCTGTTCTTGCTGGCTCTAGAGTGGTCCTAAGTTTTGCTTAACCCTGCTCACATCTTTATAAATAACCCTTTTATCTTGCTCTCCTCAATTACTGCCTGAGCGTGTGATCCGTTGCCTGCTAGGACCAGCCCCAGACTAATGCTGGGATAATTAGGATGATTGTCTGAATATTTCAAGGGCTTTCACAAGGCAGAGGGTAGAATTAAGACAAGAGGGTGGAAGTTGTGGACAGATTGGATTCATGTACTCATTTATTCATTCAACTAATCTTATTAAGCCTCTACTATGTTCCAAGCCCTGTGCTATGCATAAGGCAGTGCTCTAAATGCTTATGGCAAAGAGAGTTAATCTAGGTTGAAAGTTAGGGAGGCTTCCCAGATTTAAAAAAAAAAAAAAAAGAACCCAAAAGATGAGTAGGGGTTGCAGGGTAAAGAGAGGAGAACCTGGGAAGAAATGTTCCAGGAAGAGGAATTTACAGGTGAGAAGGCTGGAAGTGAGAGAGAAAAAGACTTATTATAGGAGGTGAAAGAAGGTCCCAGTGTCTGGAGTTTCTCTATCTGCTGGTTGGGTGAGAGGAGCACATCAAGGGATGAGGCTGAGAGATGGGAGTGGGGCTGAACATGCAGAGCTATTGTGAACATGGACTTGATTTTAAGGGCCATAGGAGCCCCTTGAAAAGTTTAAAGCAAGGGAGACACCTATTATGATTTTCTCTTTCCATTGCAGAGCAAAAGGAACAAAAACACCCGAGAATATTCAGATATAAATCACACTACCTTATCAAGGAATGAGTAGCCAGCTCCTGGAAGTATCCAAGGAGAGACTGGATGACAGCTCTAGCATATTTTTAAGGAGGCAACTACACTGAGTGAGAGGTTGGACTACCAGACATCTATGGCCCTTTCTAATACAGAAAATTTTGAGCCTCCTCTGGCCCGTCCCCCATTCTCTATGGTGGGAATAAAGACATAGTGGTTTGAGAATCCTTTCACTGACATCCAAAACTGGCAGTGCAATGTGCTGTTTTTTTTTTTTTTTTTTTTTTTCAGCCCCTACCCTTGGGCCTAGAAGGAAAGATACACATCCAGACTGGAACTTCTGATAAGACACTGGGCTCTAGTGTTTGTGTTCTCTCATCCCAGCTGACACAGGAAGGACACTGGCCACAATGAGTTCCAGGGAATGGCTCAGCCAGCATCTGACTTTCAGGCCCGCTAACAGCTGGCTCTATAGTCTAGGGTATTAAACAAGTTCACCAGTTTTTTTTTTCTTTTAAAATTAAACTCTATGAAATATAAGAAAACAAACATCTCGGGCCCTGGGTCAGTGCCACACTCTGGCCACAGTGAGGACCGGGCAAGGTTCGAGGGCTCTGAAGGCAGAGGTGTTGTCAAGCACTGTGGCACTCTTGTTTTGGAACTCACTCTCAGGGACTGGGCAGATCTGTGTGTGATAACACAGCTGTGGTCCGATAATTACAGAAAGCTTCTCATTATGCTTGAGTAGGGGCCAAGGCATGGCCCTGCCACTGCCATGCCTTGGCTCCCACTCAAGTATAATGAGGTTTCTGTAATTGTCGGCCTGTGAGGCTGCAAAACTGGCACTGTTTAGAGCAAGTTGGCTTTTACAGCAAGTTGGCTTTTACAGCCAGCACTGGCATCTGAGGTGTGCCGGAGAGCTCCTGTTCCTGCTTCCTGCAGGCGAGCGCCCCTAGTGCCTGCTTCTCATCTCCTAACTCGGGCAATCTCTTTGTTCCTAAACCCACTGCATCAAACACAGCAGCTCCGTCAGTGGGGCTCAGTTTTCTAGTTGATATTCCATTCAACTTCTGTTCACATGACTCATCTTTCTTCCCCCTTCACATACTTCTCTTTTTTCTAACCCCGGAAAGGGATTCATTTTCTTTAACATTCCAGGTATAGAACATGTTTAATCAGAGCCTGGATAGTCCCTGCTGTCTGGGTACAATGACAGGAGAAGCAGCTTGGCTTTCTAAGCACTTCTTATGGCCTTAAATGAGGACAGATTGATTTTAGCCGAAATACCCATTAGCGAAAGATAATTAGAAAATTATCAATCTATACGTTGAGTCGTAACAATTTGAATGAGAGCACAGGATAGGTCATCCTGGCCCTGACAGATCACCAGGGCAACAGAAGAGGGCCTCTGGGGAAAAGAAGAGCAGGGAAGAAGGAGCTGACTTGGGCTCAACAGTCATGAAGGCGGGAGCGAAGCAGAGTGAAGTGAATGTGCGAGGGTTTAATTTGCCTCATGGAAAATATCCTATTATCAAGAAGCTGCTTCCTCTACTGGAATTTTTACTTTTTCCAATAAAAGGGAAGAAGTACAGTTTTATGTAACACATACAGCAGAAAAAGTAGAACGGTGACCCTGTGAAAATTACGGCATTAAAAGCAATAAGCTTGCCATTGCCAATAAACCACACAGACACCATGCCATGCCATCCTGAGTATAAAGATGACATTTTTACAGTTATTCCTATAGTAACTTCTCCCACCGCAACTACATTTTGAACATCATGCTTTCACAAAGAGACTCTTTCTAAAGTTTGAGGATTTCTGAGGTTTCATTATTCAAGGCCCAGGTCAGGCATCCCATTTTCAAGAAAGCCTCACAGCCTGGATTACATGCTCCCATAGTACCTTTCTCTCATGGCAGTTAATTCACTTCTGTATTTGCTAATTGTTTACTTATCTTTCCAACCACTAGACTATGAGCTTCCTGAAGACAATCATCATGGATTATTCATTTCTGAATCCCTGGTGTCTACCAGTACCTGGCTTTATAAATGTTTATAGAGTTGAATAATTAATAAGCCTTATTTCTTGTCCCATCCTTTAAGCCAAGGAGACTAAGTTAAGCCATAGCAACTGAGTTAAGTTAGATACCTTCACTAATCTCTCCTAACCCCAAGGTGCTATAATTTTAGAATCTGCTGTCTTCTGCCTAAATCAGAAAGTAGATGAGGTTTGGAAGCAAGAAAATTATTTGGCTGGATGAGAATGTTAAAAGGGAGAAAACAATTTCTCCTAAGCAGAATTCTTCATTTAAAATGGAGAGGAGAGGTGTGGCAAGGGTAGAATGGATTTGAGGCTAGGGGTATACAAAGATATATGCCCAAAATTATAGAAAGGCAGAAACATCAATTCTCATTTTCTTCTAAAGAAAAGTCAATAATTGAAGTCTATATTATAAGCAGTGATCACCAGAATCCTGACTACAGGAAAAAAATTGACAGCCCTTCTCCTTTTTTTCTGCAAATGAAAAATTCTGATTGTATAAAAATAATTTAAGGGTGAAGGCAAGGACTTGTTTCCTTTTAGAATCAGTGGCTGAAAAGATGGTAGAAATAATTGAAGATCAATTCAAAATAGGCAATTTAATTGGGTCTTTATTTTTCAAAAAAAAGGAGAAATTTAAAACATCAGGCTTACTCTTCTGAGTTGTATAAAAGGAATACAGAACATAAAAATTCAATATAGAACAAATCAAATACATACCGAACTTTCATTCTCTATTGTCCACACTTATAGGAATGAGAAAGAGAATTAAAGAGGCAGAGAGAGAAAGAGGTGAGTGGGGGAGGCTTTGGATAAAGTAACAGAAAAGAGAGAAAGACACTTGTAAGCCTAATGGCCATAAAAACATAGCTAGAAAAAGACACACACAATAAAGACCCAGATAGAGGTTTCCATGACCTAAAATATCTATTCTGTGTTATTTTAGAATAAGTTAGTAAAGACTTTTAAAAGCATGTTTTATTTTTGACTTTCAATATCTCTTGGTTTCAGAGTTTATGACAATTTGATATTTGTTCTTTGTGTGTTTGTGTGTGTGTGTGTGTGTGACAGAGAGAGAGAGAGAGAGAGAGAATGAAAGACTCTAAAGGAATTAACATAAGAGGTATGCTGAGAAAGTTTGTTCAGAGTAAGGAGTATTTCAGGAAGAAAATATTTTGATATTTTGAATGTATCACTGGGTAATACTACTTTGGCTGCTGCTGAAAGAGACACGATGGAGTGGGAGAGGGTCAGAAAATGGGTTTCATTGGCTGCTATTTGTTTCCTTCAAGATCTTCTGGATCATCTATTTGTTCTCACCTCATACTAGTCAGAGTTCCTGGGGTGCAATGGGGCTTGGGGATCCTTACACTGCTCTTAACAAGCTGTTTCCTTCATGACCCAGTGGAAGTGGGTAAATAAAATCTGCGTATGAGATTTTTCCATCTTATGAAAAATATGCTTAAAGTAAAACCATTCCTTGTAAGTAACCATGGCCTACCAATGTGTCAACTAAGTTTATTACGGGGAACATTTGTAGATTTATTCCATGCTGAATCTTCTAACTTTTTATTCTTATGTGACTATATACTGAAGAAATCCTAAAGATAAGCAGTTTTGCACACCTTTGTTACTCTTATTATTGTATGTATAAAAATATTCCATTTTCACGTATTTAATTCTATAGTTATTGATTCAGAAAAAGGATAATATGTAACATTGTGGGCTCACTGTTTTTCATGAACTTAATGTGCTCATGAATCATTGAATGTCTTCTCACTGACTGCTTCTTGTGTCCAAGTTATTGTGTATTATTGATCCACAATGACTTTGTAATAAAATCAGTTTTTTTCTATTCTTTATATTAATGCTCTTATTTAAAACTCTGTAACTCAATTGTTATTTTGTTTTGAAACGAAAACCTTTCATGAGTTTATGTTATAGGCAAGGCATCATGCTAGTCACTGGAAGTGAATGCCTTGTTGCAGTGACTCTGTGGAGCAAATGGCATCTAAACTCACTTCTTGATTTATAATCTGTTTCATTTCTCCTTAACTCCCCAACCTATTTAATTAAATGGATCCTTAATATAAAATGTTATTTAACAAAGGGAAAGAGACCTATTTAGGTGTGTGTTCTAAATCAGGAGTCCCCAACCCCCAGGCCCCAAACCCTGCCTGTTAAGAACCCAGCAGTGGGCCAGGGAGCATTGCCACCTGAGCTCCACCTCCTGTCTAAGGAACAGCGGCATTAGAGTCTCATAGGGGCGCAAACTTTATTGTAAACTGCACGTGTGAGGGATCTAGGGTGCACATTCCTTATGAGAATCTAACTAATGCGTGATGGTCTGAGGTGGAGCAGTTTCATCCCGAAACCATCCCCCATCCCCACCCCACCCCATCCATGGAAAAATTGTCTTCTGCGAAAAGGGTCCCTGGTGCCAAAAAGGTTGGGAACTGCTATTTTAAATAAACCAGCATCAAGTATCCATCCTCTAACTTTTTCCTCTTGGTCATACAGTAAAATATAATCAATAAAAATTTTTATAGACTGTGACCTCTTCCTGTCAGGATAGAAGTGGTTTACAGTAAAGGAGATATTCAGATCTTTATCCTAGACCACAGTTTGGCTGTGCTAGCCCTTGGTACAGGGGAGTCAGAGGCTTGAGTTTAGGTCCCTGAACAAGATGGAAGGAATCCCAGCTGTAGCGTTAGAACATCGATGAAATTCTCCACTAATCTACTCCTCTCCACCTGAACTGAAAAAGGTCTTCTTTCTTTTTTCTCAGTGCTAGTGTTCTATTAATAGAAGTAGAGACATACTTTAATATGGAGATAAACTTTAATAATAGAAATAAAAACATTTATTTGGTCATGTCATAATGACCAAGACAAAGTTAACTCTGATTCCACAGTATATTTTAAGCCAAAATATACTTGCTTTCTGAACCATAAACATGGCTAAAATGACCTTTCTTTTTTTCCAAAGAAGAGAAAATCCTAACAAATAGTCTATAAGAAAATATCTAAAACACTTTGTATGAAACTTGCTTTACTTTTTCTTAATCTCCAAGATTAGATAATACTGGAAGAATATTAGATCTTTGAATTCAAGTCACACTGAAATAGGCATGGCAAAATGAGTATTTAAAAAAAGGGAAGAAAGAGAAATTGATTATACTGGAGGTTTGAGATCTGTGATCAAGAATGTTTCACAGAGGAGAAGACCTTTAACATTTTTAGCTCATTCTTGGACCATGGAAATATTTTGACAGAGAGAGGAGGGAAAAATTATCAGGTTTAAGTGAAAATATGCCAGTGTTATAGTGTTTGGGTATTTGAGGAACGAGGATTGGTTTAATGTGGTCATGACATATCACTGGGAGTGGCTGGACACCAGGCCAATGACTTATTTTTAAGCTAATTTCTACGTGTTGCTAGTGGGAAATTGAAAAGGGTGTCAGGAGGTAAATAAGTGTATATAAATAAAGCCAAACTATTTTATTGATCTATATCCACAAAATCTGTGAAATCAGAAGAGTCTGTTCTCCTGAAGACCTATTTTATACTGGATACCAGGCAGAGAACTGGTACATAATTATTATTGGCTCAACTGCTTTAGACCTAAAGTATAAGTTATCTATTGCCTTACGTAATGCAGCATAACAACTCACTTCCTGTTTTACCTATCTCCATCAAACAAAACCGTAGCTCTTGTGTCTGTGGATCAGCTGGGCGGTTCTTCTGTTCTGGGCCAGGCTAAAATTATCTCATCTAGAAGCATTCATGTAAGCAGTTAGCCAGCTGGTTGGCTGGGAACTGACTGGTCTTTGATTACTTCTCTCGAGATGGCTCTCCTCCATGGGGTCTCTTATCCTCTAGTAGGCTGGTCCAGCCTTGTTCACAGAGCTCTCTAGGATTTGAGAGAGCAAGAAGTATACAAAGCCTTCTGAGTCCTAGATTTGGAACTGTAACACCATCACTTCCACTGTATTCTGTTATCTAAAACATGACACAGGGCTTCCAGGGGTGGGATTATAAACTTCACTTCTTTTTTTTTTTTTTACACTTTAAGTTCTAGGGTACATGTGCACAACATATAGGCTTGTTACATATGTATACATGTGCCATGTTGTTGTGCTGCACCCATCAACTCGTCATTTACATTAGGTATATCTCCCAATGCTATCCCTCCCCCCTCTCCACACCCACAACAGGCCTCGGTGTGTGGTGTTCCCCACCCTGTGTCCAAGTGTTCTCATTGTTCAATTCCCACCTATGAGTGAGAACATGCGGTGTTTGGTTTTCTGTCCTTGCGATAGTTTGCTCAGAATGATGGTTTCCAGCTCCATCCATGTCCCTACAAAGACATGAACTCATCCTTTTTTATGACTGCATAGTATTCCATGGTGTATATGTGCCACATTTTCTTAATCCAGTCTATCATTGATGGACATTTGGGTTGGTTCCAAGTCTTTGCTATTGTGAATAGTGCCGCAATAAACATACGTGCACATGTGTCTTTATAGCAGCATGATTTATAGTCCTTTGGGTATATACCCAGTAATGGGATGACTGGGTCAAATGGTATTTCTAGTTCTAGATCCTTGAGGAATCGCCACACTGTCTTCCACGATGATTGAACTAGTTTAAAGTCCCATCAACAGTGTAAAAGTGTTCCTATTTCTCCACATCCTCTCCAACATCTGTTGTTTCCTGACTTTTTAATGATCGCCATTCTAACTGGTGTGAGATGGTATCTCATTGTGGTTTTGATTTGCATTTCTCTGATGGCCAGTGATGATGAGCATTTTTTCATGTGTCTGTTGGCTGCATAAATGTCTTCTTTTGAGAAATATCTGTTCATATCCTTCACCCATTTTTTGATGGGGTTGTTTGTTTTTTTCTTGTAAATTTGTTTGAGTTCATTGTAGATTCTGGATATTAGCCCTTTGTCAGATGAGTAGATTGCAAACATTTTCTCCCATTCTGTAGGCTGCCTGTTCACTCTGATGGTAGTTCCTTTTGCTGTGCAGAAGCTCTTCAGTTTAATTAGATCCCATTTGTCAATTTTGGCTTTTGTTGCCATTGCTTTTGGTGTTTTAGACGTGAAGTCCTTGCCCATGCCTATGTCCTGAATGGTATTGCCTAGGTTTTCTTCTAGGGTTTTTATGGTTTTAGGTCTGACATTAAAGTCTTTCATCCATCTTGAATTAATTTTAGTGTAAGGTGTAAGGAAGGGATCCAGTTTCAGCTTTCTACATATGGCTAGCCAGTTTTCCCAGCACCATTTATTAAATAGGGAATCCTTTCCCCATTGATTGCTTTTCTCAGGTTTGTCAAAGATCAGATGGTTGTAGATGTGTGGTATTATTTCTGAGGGCTCCGTTCTGTTCCATTGGTCTATATCTCTGTTTTGGTACCAGTACCATGCTGTTTTGGTTACTGTAGCCTTGTAGTATAGTTTCAAGTCAGGTAGTGTGATGCCTCCAGCTTTGTTCTTTTGGCTTAGGATTGTCTTGGCAATGTGGGCTCTTTTTTGGTTCCATATGAACTTTAAAGTAGTTTTTTCCAATTCTGTGAAGAAGGTCATTGGTAGCTTGATGGGGTTGGCACTGAATCTATAAATTACCTTGGGCAGTATGGCCATTTTCACGATATTGATTCTTCCTACCCATGAGCATGGAATGTTCTTCCATTTGTTTGTATCCTCTTTCATTTTGTTGAGAGGTGGGGTGTAATTCTCCTTGAAGAGTTCCTTCACATCCCTTGTAAGTTGGATTCCTAGGTATTTTATTCTCTTTGAAGCAATTGTGAATGGGAGTTCACTCATGATTTGGCTCTCTGTTTGTCTGTTATTGGTGTATAGGAATGCTTGTGACTTTTGCACATTGATTTTGTATCCTGAGACTTCGCTGAAGTTGCTTATCAGCTTAAGGAGAGCTGGGGCTGAGACGATGGGGTTTTCTAAATATACAATCATGTCATCTGCAAACAGGGACAATTTGACTTCCTCTTTTCCTAATTGAATACCCTTTATTTCTTTCTCCTGCCTGATTTCCCTGGCCAGAACTTCCAACACTATGTTGAATAGGAGTGGTGAGAGAGGGCATCCCTGTCTTGTGCCAGTTTTCAAAGGGAATGCTTCCAGTTTTTGCCCATTCAGTATGATATTGGCTGTGGGTTTGTCATAAATAGCTCTTATGATTTTGAGATACATCCCATCAATACCCAATTTATTGAGAGTTTTTAGCATGAAGGGCTGTTGAATTTTGTCAAAGGCCTTTTCTGCATCTATTGAGATAATCATGTGGTTTTTGTCTTTGGTTCTGTTTATATGATGGATTACATTTATTGATTTGGATATGTTGAACCAGCCTTGCATCCCAGGGATGAAGCCCACTTGATCATGGTGGATAAGCTTTTTGATGTGCTGCTGGATTCAGTTTGCCAGTATTTTATTGCGGATTTTTGCATTGATGTTTATCAGGGATATTGGTCTAAAATTTTCTTTTTTTGTTGTGTCTCTTCCAGGCTTTGGTATCAGGATTATGCTCGCCTCATGAAATGAGTTACGGAGGATTCCTCTTTTTCTATTGATTGGAATAGTTTCAGAAGGAATGGTACCAGCTCCTCTTTGTACCTCTGGTAGAATTCGGCTGTGACTCCATCTGGTCCTGGACATTTTTTGGTTGGTAGGCTCTTAATTATTGCCTCAATTTCAGAGCCCGTTATTGGTCTATTCAGGGATTCAACTTCTTCCTGGTTTAGTCTTGGGAGGGTGTATGTGTCCAGGAATTTATCCATTTCTTCTAGGTTTTCTAGTTTATTTGCGTAGAGTTGTTTATAGTATTCTCTGATGGTAGTTTGTATCTCTGTGGGATTGGTGGTGATATCCCCTTTATCATTTTTTATTGTGTCTATTTGATTCTTCTCTCTTTTCTTCTTTATTAGTCTTGCTAGCAGTCTATCACTTTTGTTGATCTTTTCATGGGAAGCTTGATGGACAAAGTTATGGCCTTAGAAGAGCAGTGACAATTGTGTCATTTGTGCAACCAATCTACCTCAGAATAGCAAGCTTAAAAATTGAAAGGTAGGTATCAGGTTAAGGAGAATTAAGGTACTCCTAGGCAATGAGGAATTGCATCAGGTTCTGGTTTTGTATTTGTGTGCGCATATTTTTTTTTCTTTCACAGTGGCATCATGGAAAAATTAAAGATCGTAAAATAACTAGATCGAGAGCAACAAATTATATCAGAATTAGGATCTTATTTTTAGAAAGAAATCAACCTCTTCAAGCCTGCCTCAAAGTATGTAGTGAGATAATCTGTAATTTAAAATATTTTAAGAAGAGCTAATGTTTTATGAGGAAATATAAAAACACATTTTTAATCTCTATTTGAGCTAATCAAACTGGAAGTATTAATTTCATGAATGTCAGTTTGGGTACAAAGCAAAGTTTCATAGTTTGTGATTATAACAACAAATGGCAAGGTAGAAAAGAGACCATCTTCTCAGGAAAATTACACTTTATTCTTGGAAAAAGAACAAAACTGACCTTTTCCTGCCTCCTGATGGCAAATAAATTGCAGAGATCAGCGTAAAGCATGACCCATCCTATTATCATCATAGTTTTTGCAGCCCATTTAACTTTTGTTTTCAATATGTGCTTGAATAAAAGCCCTAATTTTACTCAGGGAATCTTCCAGCCTTTTTTCAAATGCCACTTGAGTGGATGCAATAAGCACTGTTATAAGAGAACAAGAAATACAAAAAGTGGGATTATAATTCTGGTATTAATGCTGTGTGCTCTTGATTCTTCTGCACCCTAATTTCCTCAACCACTTAATTTTAAACTTTTCCTGCATAAAAGTTATAAGTACACATGAAATCACATTTAAAAAATACCCCGTTCATTGTTGGGAGATTAGATTGACACAATATTTTTAGGGGGTAGTTTTGATGTCAAAAGCCTTAGAATTTTGCATACTTTTTAACCCAATGATTCTACTTTTAGGGATTTATTTTAAGGAAAATAAGTCACTTGCTTTAGCTGCAAGGATACTTATTTTTCTAATTTTATGACAGCAAAAATATTGGAAACAACCAAATGACCTGAATTGGAGGTTTGGATAAGTAAATTACAGTGTTTCCATACATTAAAATGCTAAGCAGCAGTGAAAAATGATGAGGTGGAGAATTTTTATGAGTATATGCTGAATAGTTTTCATATCACTAAATGAAAATGCATATAACAAAATAATATGTTCAATATAATTGTATTTTTGAATAAAGTATGTATATAAAAAGAATGAGAGAATATGTACTGAAATGTTATTAGTGGTGATCTATATTGGAGATAGAGTTGGGTTTTATTTTCTTATTTTTGTTTAACACTATTTTTATATGTATTACTTTTATATGAGAATTTTATTTTTTTTTCTTATAATAAAAGATTTATGGGATAAGATTTATAAATATAGAACATTTTTGTGCTTACCCCTTGAATCAGGACAATATAATAATGAGAACTCAAATTTAAAACTCTGCATCTTTAAAAGGTTTTCCAGCTGACATCTTGTCACAGACAAAACACTTTTCTATTTATGTTTACAGCATTGAAAAATGCACAGTATCCTACAGTACAAGGAAGGAGATTTATAATAAAGTTCTTCATCTCAGTGTATGAGTATACCTGTAAATCATTCACAGACTCACATTAAGTATAAGCCTCAAAGTAGCAAATGTATCAAGCAAACAAATTGTGAGCATGTCTGCACTATCTGCGTCTTTGTTTCTCTGTGTAAGCATGACCGTCTTGCTAAACTCTCATTCCACAGCCACCTAATTGTTCATTCAACACATATTTATTTCAGGGCTATATATTAACAGCTGTGTCTAGTACTATGATTCTGGAAAATTAGGCTGCCAATGGCTTCTTGGAATCAGAGTCCTTGCAGACACTCAACAATGCCTCCAGGATAATGCAGATTCTGCATGCAATATCAAAAGAGCAAAAAACATTTCCCCTGCCTTCAAGAAACTTGTTTTCTGAGCAAAAAAGGAAAAAAATACATGCATTAAATGAGTAGGAAAAAATGTCATTCATCTATTTGTTTAACAAGATATATTTTCAACTTACTGATGATGGGCAGCTTGTCAGATAAGAGTGAAGAAAATATATGTTCCAATTTTAGAATATAATTCAGGGTCAGTTAATGCCAGATACTGTAATTTAGGGATGGGAGAGAGTAATCTTAGTCCCACAAAACTTACTTCAGTGATGGAAGGGACCGCACGAGTATCTTGTCCAAACAAAGCTAGCATGATTTTATAGAGCTGGAAATTAGACAGATGGGGAAGGCTTTCCTGTAGAAATAGAGCTTAAAAGTGGAATTGAGATGATGGGTGGAATTTGCTAGAGAAGAATAACAGAGGAGTACTCTACCAGAGGAAGAAACAAGCAAAGGGACTGAACTGGGTGAGAGTATGCTATGGTCAGAATTTGTCCGCCAAAAACATGTGTTGGAAACTTAGTCCCCAAAGCAACAGTGTTGTGAGATGAGGCCTAATGAGAGGTGTTTAGGCTGTGAAGTCAGAGTGAATAAATTAATGACATTATCACAAGAGTGGGTTCATTGTCACAGGAGTGGATTTGCCCACTCTTGCGCTCTTTTTCTCCTTATGTTTGTCTTTTCACCATGTGATGCCTTCCACCATGATGCAGCAAGAAGGCCCTTTCAAGACGCTGGCACTTTGATCTTAGACTTACTAGCTTCCATAACTGTGAGAAATAAATATCTGTTTATTAGAAATTACCTAGTCTATGGTATTCTGTTACAGCCGTGCAAAACAGACTAAGACAGGGTGTGACTTATAAGTGGGCCTAAGAGGTAAGAGAGAAAGCTGAGCACTTACCCAAGATCCAAGCACAGACAGAAAGATTCTCTACTGATTCATAACATACTGCAGGCATCAGAGAATGGAGCTCTTGAGACATTATTCTCTCTCAAAAGAGAGATAGCAAGTAGATAAACAGTCCCAAATGGTTGTTCACCTTTATTCCTTAAAGAAAAAAAATAAGGGTTACACATAAAATGAACAATTATAAACAATCTGTAGACTGGAAAAAAAAGTCCTGTAGATTTTCCAGCTATGTAGGTGTTTCTAAGATCATGTTTTTGAAGCAAGAATAAAAGCAATGGATATAAATTCTACTTTTACCACTTACCGTAACACTAAGTCCTTTTGGAGTTCTCAAATCTTAGGACCATTCTTTATTTTATAATGGAAGGATCATATTTCCACTTCTGGGCAGGATAGAGTAAGAGGGACTAGATTTATATTCCCACCTGAAACAACCACAGAAACAAAACAAAATATGTGAAACAACTACGTTCAAGTAACTGGAAATCAGACCGCGAAAGATAGCGAGTCTTGAGAGATGGAAACAAATGAAGTAAAACTTTTGATTGCCACAACTTACCATTTTGAGAGGGTTTACATGCTGTGGTGCAGAAAGGGGAACCTAGACAAAGCCTGATGGTCTCACTGAGTGGAGACAGAGCTGAATGTCTGGGGAAATCAAGGCAACTAGAGATAGCTGGGCAGAGTACCAGAGAGGAGAAAGGTGCATAGAGAGAGGGACCTGAAGATTTTCAGAGCATTCTGCTCAAGTGCTTAGTACAGTATTGATCAAAGCACATGTATAGATAAAACACCTGAGGCTGGGGAAATACCCATAGATAGACAGATTTACAGATAGCAGTCTGGCATTCACGCTGAGCCAAGAATAGTGTGTTATCACCAACCAGGCTGAAAAAGTCACAACTTGTGGGGCACTGGGTAGAGTACTCAGGAAGTTCTTGCCTCAGTAGTGGGGAATAATTAGCTCTGATAGAACACCACACCAGACTTATCTAACAAATCTTAAAAGTGCTACCTGAAAAGACTGAACTGTTTCCAAATAACCTAATTGTATCCCTGAATAAAGCTTAAGAACACATAGGAATAGAAAAATATCCAGAACGCTAAAGAGCATGTGGTACATACACACCATGGAATACTGTGCAGCCATAAAAAAGAATGAGATCATGTCCTTTGCATGGACATGGATGGAGCTGTGGGCCATTATACTTAGCAAACTAATGCAGGAACAGAAAAACCAAATACCACATGTTCTTACTTATAAGTGGGAGCTAAATGGTAAGAACACATAGACACATTGTGGGGAACAACACACACTGGGCCTGTTGGAGTGTGGAGGGTAGGAGGAGAGAGGGGATCAGGAAAAATAACTAATGAGTACTAGGCTTAACACCTGGATGATGAAATAATCTGTACAACAAATCCCCATGACACGTTTACCTATGTAACAAACCTGCACTTGTACCCCTGAACTTAAAATAAAAATTTTTTAAAAATCCAAAACCCAGTAAAATAAAGCTTATTATAACTGGCATCAAATCAAAGAAAAAAAAAAGCATGAAAGAAAGCAGGAAAAAACATTCAGAATGAGGACAATCAATTGATCAAATCTAACCCAGACCTGACACAGATGTTAGAATCAGCAGATAAGTACTCTAAAATAGTTACTATTACTGTATTCTACATGTTCCAAATGTTAAGTAGAAACATAGAAGATATAAATAATGCATGAGAAAACATAGAAAGTGCCATGAAAATTATGATGTCTGAGATGAAATACATACACTGAATGAAATTATCAGAAGATTAGAAATGGCATAAGTAAAAATTAGTGAACTTTAGAACATAGCAACAGAAACTGTCCAAAATGTAAAGCATAGAGAAAAAAGATTCAAGAAAAAAAAGGAAAGGAAAGGAAAGGAAGAGAGGAAGAGAGATTCAGTGAGCTGTGGGATAACTTCAAGCAACATAAGAGATATGTAACTGGAGTCCCTAAAAGAGAAGAAAGGAGAGAACAGGAAAACTTTTTGAAGAAATAATAGGTATAAGTTTTCCAAATTTAATGAAAACTATAAACGCAGAGATTCAAGAAGCTCAAAGAACCCCAAACACAAAAAAAAGGTAAGGAAACTATTCCCAGGTGCATCATAATCAAATTAGTCAAACCCATTAATAAAGCGAAAAATTGTAAAGCACCCCCCAAAAATAAGATATATACAGAGAAATAAAGATCCAAATGACATCACATTTCTTGTCAGAAGCAATGCAAACTTGAAGACAGTGGAGCAACTTCTTTAAAGTACTGGAAAATAGTAAACTGTCAACCTCTAATTCTATATTTGGTCAAAACTAACTTTCAAAAATGAAGGCAAAGAAAGGCTTTTTCTGAATTAATATTAAAAGAATTCATCAACATTGGACCCACAATGTAAGAAATCTTAAAGTCCTTCAAGCAGAAAAAAAAAATGATACTAGAAGGAAATATGTATCTATGCAAAGGAATGCAGAGCACTAGACATGGTAATGTGGTAACTACCTGGGTAAATTTATAAAAATTTTGTTCATAATTTAAATATATTGAAAAGATAATTGATTATTTAAACAACAAAACCAACCAACAAACAAACTGAATGTATTATGGAGTTTATAACATATGTATAAGTAAAATGTATGACAACCATAACATAAAAGATGAGAGGAGAAAAATGGAACCACACTATTGCAAAGTTTTCATCCTATATATGAAATGATATAGTATCACTTGAAGGTAGACTGTGATAAGTTAAAGATGCATAGTATAAACACTAATGCAATCATAAAACAATAAAATAAAATTATAGCTAATAAATCAACAAAGGACATAAAATAAAATGTAAAAATAATAAAAAGAGGGAAGAAAAAGAGGGAAAAAGGGAACAAAAAGCAGATGGGACAAATAGGAAACAAATAGCAAGATGGTAGATGCAAACCAAGGAATGTCAACAATCACATTAAATGTAAATGCTCTAAAGATCCCAGTAAAAGGCAGATTGTCAGATTGTAAAAAGAGAACAAGACCCACTTGTACACCACCACCAAGAAACACAATTTAAATATCATGATACGAATCAGTTAAAAGGAAAAGGATAATGAAAGAACTTTATGCTAACACATTAGTCAAAAGAAAGCTTTAATGGCTGTATGATAATAAAGTTGATTTTAGGGCAAAGAATATTACCAGGGATAGAGAAGATCATTTCATAATGAAAACAGTGTTCATGCATCAGGAGAAAATATTGATCCTAAAAGTTCATTAACCCAATAAAAGAGTTTGTTTGTTTGTTTGTTTGTTTGTTTTGAGACGGAGTCTCGCTCTGTTGTCCAGGCTGGAGTGCAGTGGCACGATCTTGGCTCACTGCAACCTCTGCCTCCCGGATTCAAGCAATTCTCCTGCCTCAGCTTCCTGAGTAGCTGGGATTACAGGCGCCCACCACCATACCTGGCTAATTTTTAAATATATTTTTAGTAGACATAGGGTTTCACCAAGTTGTCCAGTCTGCTCTTGAACTCCTGACCTCAGGTGATCCGTCTGCCTCGGCCTCCCAAAATGCTGGGATTACAGGCATAAACCACCACTCCTGGCCAAGAGTTTTAAAGTTCATGAAGTAAAAACTGATATAGCTGTAAGGAGAAATAGACAAATATACAATTATAATTGAGGATTTTAATAGTTCTCTCTTAATAATTGATAGAACAAGTAGACAGAAAGGCAGCATGAATATAGAAGACTTGAACAACACTATCAAACAACTTTACCTGACTGACATTTATAGAACAACCCACTCAATAAGAACATCAAAAAACCTCTCTTTCAAGTAAACAAGAAACATTTATCAGCTGGACCATATTCAGGGATATAATACAAGTATCAATACATTTAAAAGTATTATAGGCCGGGCACGGTGGCTCACGCCTGTAATCCCAGCACTTTGGGAGGCCGAGGCGGGCGGATCACGAGGTCAGGAGATCGAGACCATCCCCGCTAAAACGGTGAAACCCCGTCTCTACTAAAAATACAAAAAATTAGCCGGGCGTAGTGGCGGGCGCCTGTAGTCCCAGCTACTTGGGAGGCTGAGGCAGGAGAATGGCGTGAACCCGGGAGGCGGAGCTTGCAGTGAGCCGAGATCCCACCACTGCACTCCAGCCTGGGCGACAGAGCGAGACTCCGTCTCAAAAAAAAAAAAAAAAAAAAAAAAAAAAAAAAAAAAAAAAAAAAAAAAAAAGTATTATAAGTAAGTCATACAAATTAAGTTCTCTAATGAAAATAGAATTAAATTAAAAATCAATAACAAAAAGATATTTGTAAAATCTCCAAATATTTGAAAACTAAATAATGTAACACACTCCTAAATAACACATGGATTAAATAAGAAATAAAAAGAGAAATTTTGAGATATTTTATACTAGATGAAAATGAAAACATAACATAGAATTTATGGGCCGCTGCCAAAGCAGTACTTAGGGAGAAATTTATAGCATGAAATTCATATATTGGAAAAGAAGGTCTCAAATCAATGACCTCAGCTTCCATTGCATAAAAAAAAAAAAGAGCAAAATAAGCATAAGAAAGGAGAAAATAAAGATCAAAATTTATATCGACTAAAAAGAAAACAGAAACAGAAAAGAAAATCAATAAAATCAAGAGTTCAGGAAAAAGAGAGACACGATACAAATTACCAACATCAGCAATGAGAAAGGTGATATTACAGATCCTGTATATATTACAAAGGGAAGAAGGGAATATTATGAATAACTCTATACTAATAATGTCAACTTAGATGAAATGGAAATATTTATTGAAAGACACAAACCACAAAAACTTACTCAAGAAGACATAGAGAACCTGAATAGGATTAACTATTAAGAAAATTGAATTTGGAACTTAATACCTTCCCGTGAAGAGAACTCCTGGCCTAGATGGCTTCACTGATAAATTCTGCCAAATACACAAGAAAGAAATAGTACTAATTTTATACAACTCTTCACAGAAATTGAAGAGGAAGGACTACTTTCAAACTGGTTCTATGAGGCCAATATTACGCTCACCCCAGAGCCAAACACTACAAGAAAAGAAAACTACAGACCAATATCTCTCATATTGCATTAACATAAATACAAAAATTATTAGCCAAATTTTACTAACAATATATAAAGAGGACAATGCATTATGACAAAGTGAAGTTTATCCCAGGAATTCAGTTTTGGTTTAACGTTTGAAAATGCGAACAAACTTACGAACTTCACCATATAAACAAACTAAAAACTAAAGGAAACCACATGATCATTTCCATAGAAATAAAATTCACTCGACATAAGTCAACACATGTTTCTGATAAAAAAATAAATAAAAGTAAAAAACTCTTAGGAAACTAGAAATATAAGGGGACTTCCTCAACTTGATAAAGGGAATTGTGGTAGGCAGACTCTAAGATAACTTCCAATGATCCCTGCCTCTTTTGTAATCCCTTCCCTGATTGTAGGCTAAACCTAGTGGTGACTCATTCATTTTTTTCTCTCTCTCTTTTTTTTTTTTTTTTGGCAGAGTCTCCCTCTGTTGCCCCGGCTGGAGTGCAATGGCAAGATCTCGGCTCACTGCAACCTCCACCTCCCGGATTCAAGGGATTCTCCTGCCTCAGCCTCCCAAGTAGCTGGGATTACAGGCATGTGTCACCACGCCCAGCTAATTTTTGAGACGGGGTTTCACCATGTTGGCCAGGCTGTTCTCGAACTCCTGACCTCAATTGATCCGCCCACCTCAGCCTCCCAAAGTGCTGGGATTACAGGCGTGAGCCAATGTGCCTGGCCGATTCACTCTTTATGATAGAATTCTGCAAAGTGATGGGGTGTCACTTCTGAGATTAGCTTGCAAAACGAGTGTGGCTTCTATCTTGCTTGCTGTCACTTGATCTGAGGAAAGCCAGCGGCCAAGGTATGACTTCCCTATGGACAGCACCATGTGGCAAAAAACCGAGAGTCCCCTGGCCAACAGCCAGTGAGAAACTGACACCCACAATCAGACAGCCTGTGAGAAAATGAATCCTGCCAACAACCACATGAGTGAGCTTGGAAGCAAATCTGCCCTGAACTCAGACTTCAGATGAAACAAAAGCCACAGCTAAGACCTTGATTACAGCCTTGTGAGAGACTCTGAGGCAGAGGCACCCAGCTAAGCCATGTCTTAGCTGGGATTCCTGACCTACATAAACTGTGAGATAATAAAAGTTTGTTAAGTTGCTATGGGTTTGGTTTGTTTGTTTTTTAATTAACTTATTTATTTTTTATTTTTGTTTAGATATAAGACCTCACTCTGTCACTCAGGCTGTAGTACAGTGGCATGATCCAGGCTCACTACAGCCTCAAACTCCTGGGTTCAAGTGATCCTCCCATCTCAGCCTCCCAAGTAGCTGGGACTATAGGCGCATGCCAACACACTTGGCTAATTTTAGAATTTTTGGTAGAGACAGTCTTAACATGTTGCCTTGGCAGGTCTCAAACTCCTGGCCCCAAGCAATCCTCCTGCCTTGGCCTCCCAAAGCACTGGGATTACAGGTGTGAGCCATTACTCCCAGCCTAAATTGTTCCTTTAAGGTAATTTGTTATGCAGCAATGGAAAATGAATATAGGCATAGCACGTGCAAAAAAAAACTACCACTAACATCATACTTAATAGTGAAAGACTACATGATTTCCCCCTAAGATCAGTAACAAGAAAAAAAATTTGCTCTCACACCTTCTATTCAACATTGAGTTAGAGTTCTAGCCAGTATAATCAAACAAAGAAAATTAATAAATGTCATCTAGCTTGGAACGGAAGAAATAAAACACTTTTTGTTCTTAAACAACGTGATAATCTGTGTAGAAAATCCTATTGCAGCTACAGAAAAAAAGCTACTAAAACTAAAACCCAAGTTTAGCAACTAAGTTTCAGGATACAAGTTCAATATACAAAAGTCATTGGTATTTCTATATATAGATGGTCCCTGACTTATGATGGTTTGACTTACAATTTTTTACCTTTAGGATGGTGTGAAAACAATCTGCATTTAGTAGAAAACAGTATGATAGTCTACCACAATGCTGGGCAGTGGCAGCGAAACACAAATCCCAGTCTTCCGTGCAAGAGTGAGGGTAAACACCCAATGTTCTAAAGTGTACTGTGTTGCCAAATGATTTTGCCCAACTATATAATGTAAGTGTTCTGAGCATGTTTAAGGTAGGCTAGGCTAGGCTATGATGTTCGGTAGGTTATGTGCAGTAAATGCATTTTCAATTTATAATGAGTTTATTGGGACATACACACACTGTAGATTGAGGAGAATCTGTACTAGCAACCATGAGAAATTGAAGTTCAATAAACAATAACCTTTATAATAGCATCAAAAATACAAAACAGATAAATCTGGAAAAAGATGTGAAAGACTTGTACACCAAAGATTACAAAACATTGCTGAGAGAAATTAAGCAAGAGACTTGGTATCATTGAGATATGAATTATCCTTAAATTGATCTATAGATTTAACATAATTGTAATCAAAGTCTCAGCAGGCCTTTTTAAATAGAAAATGAAAATTAGATTCTAAAATTTATAAGAAAATGCAAGAGACCTCAAATGGCCAAAACAACTTTGAAGAGCAACGATTTTGGACGAATTATAGTACCCGATTTCAAAATTTATTATAAAACTGTAGTAATCAAGAGAGTAAGAGATTAACATCAAGACAGACAAATAGATCAATGAAATAAAAAAGAGTTCAAAAATAGACTCATACATATATAGACACCTGATTTTCAACAAACGTGCAATGGCAATTCAATGCAGAAAGATAGCATTTTGACAAATAGTGCTGAAACAATTGGATAGCCTTATGCAAAAAGAAAAAAACTTTGGTCCATAATACCTCATACCATATACAGAAATTAATTCAATATTTATCCTAAACCTAAATGTAAAAACTAAAACTTCAAAACTTCTAGAAGAAAATCTTTGTGACCTTGGATTAGGCAACGATTTCTTATATACCATATCAATACCATGATCCATTAAAAAATTGATGAACTGGACCTCAGCAAAGTTAAAAACATTTGCTCTTCAAAAGACACTCCTAAGAGAATAAAAAGAGAAACCACAGACTGGGAGAAAATATATACAAAGCATATGTCTGACACAATACTTGTACTCAGAATATATAAAGAACTCTCAAAATTCAATAATAAGAAAACAAATGACCAATTAAAAAATGGGCAAAATATTTTGACAGACACTTCACCAAATATATACTGATGACGAATAAGCACACAAAAAGATGCTCAATATAATTAGCCATTAAGAGAATGCAAATTAAAACCACAATTAGATACCACTACACATCCATTAATTTAAATTGAAAGTACAAAGACTGATGACCAGACCAAGATTTGGTGAGAATGAATAGGAACTGAAACTTTCATAGCCTGCTGCTGAGAATGTAAAATAACGTATAATAATAATATGTTATAATAATATAAATGTTAAACATATACCTATCATTTGATCTAGCTGTTTTCATGTGTATTTACCCAAGAGAAAATAAAGCACATGTTCATACAAAGACTTGTAAGAATGCTCATAGCAACTTTATTTGTAACAGCTCAAAACTGGAAGCAACTCAGATTTCCATCAACAGATGAATATGTCAACATCGTGAGATTTCCATACAATGGAATGCTACTCAACAATGAAAATGAATGAACTGTGATACATGCAGCTGTATGGATGAAACTCAAAATAATTATGCTGAGTGAAAACACACAGACTTTCTCCATCCAAAAAAAGAGTACATAGTGTTTGATCTTATTAATCTAAAATTCTAGAAAATGCCAACTAATCTATCTAAACAAATTATCTAAACAAACTAAACTAATCTATGGCAGAGAGTAGATCAGTGGTTGCTTGGGAAAGGGCACAAGGAAACTCCCGGGGGTGATGTATATTGTGCTAATGATTTCACAGCTGTATACATATGTTAAAACTTATCAAATTATTTTAAATATATGCAGCTTATTCCAATTATGTCTCCACAAAACTATTGGAAATGGAAGACAAAAAAAACCCTGTAATGATTATAACTCTTACGTGAAAAGACTATTACAATGATGAAATTAAATACTGTATACTCAATGACTTTGGAAATAAACTGTACAATGTGAGCTGCTGTTATTTTCTGTGCATATTCTTTATCAATTTAAAGTGTTGATGATAAAGTTTACTTATACAAATTTTCACAAGACTTTTCTTGCTGTGTGAGGAGTATGCCTGCAATGATTATACCACGTATGGTAATTTTAGTTCTTTTAAGCCTAGTTTGGCATAAATCAGCATTCATTTGCCAGAACATGACATGTATTAAATCTTTCTTCCTCCCTATCTTTTTGTCTTTCAATCTTGACCCTGATTACCTTCCAGATGCTCTATGAGGATAGCTGGGAGCATTATTAGGTTCATCATTTATTCAGCATATATAACCAGCTATTTAAAAATTTACTGCAGAGATGCATATCATCATTGAAGTTAAAATAAAACACACTAAGTATAAGCTCCATTTTTCAAAGGGCTTATCCAATAAGTCAAACCAGAGAAAGTAGAAAGCCTGGTTTCTAACTGCAAAATCAGGAAAAATATCTGTGCCTTGTCCAATCAAATATTTGAGGCCAAGCAAACTCCTTGGGAAAGCTTAATTCTTTTTATAAAGCAATTTATGAGTTTAGGGCTAAAATGTTTTAGGAGCCTCATTGCTAAGCCAGAGGAATCAATATTTTTCTGTTAACAGGCAAGCTGTCACATAAACAAATCAGCTGAAAACCTCCATTTAGCAACTCAGGAAAAATGCCTGCTCCAGAGGCACACCAAAGCCAGTTCTTTGCTCTATTTTGGTCTCCTAAGCTGGGCCAGCAAAAACCTCACCAGTTTCTGTTCTAGTGAGTATACGTATCACTGTTCTACATCTATTTAAAAGATTCTAATTAATTTTGCTAAATAAAGTGTTTTAATTTATTGATTCAAGAACAAAGATTTTCTCTGTTATTTGGGAAAGGGGAGTTTAAGGCCTTATGTTAGTTCCATTTATTATGTCCTTTCTTCTTCTGGAGTTACGAATGTGATAGATCATAAAATCTCCTGGCAAGGCTGAGCTCATAACTTTTAAGATTTGGAGAGGAAAAGAAAGACCCCATGACTAAGACAACTACTTTTCTTAGGGCTTCCCATTTGCAGGGGTATTTCACTGTCCATGTACTTCACTGTCCATGTTATTATTACTTTTTGCCTTTCTGAATCCTAAAATAAAAGAAGTGCTTACAATCATTTAATGGAAATAGGAGTGAATGCTGTTAAGATGTGCTACGTGGTGCTGAGCAAATCTTTGACTTATCATCATGCTATGCTAAGACCTTCTCCCAGTTTGAATAAAGTGAATAGTCATTCATTTAAGCAACACCAAGTCAGCCAATTCTAGGCACCAAGAATTGTGCTAGGTGCTAAGGATCAAACAACCTTTAAGATGTTGTTCTTTCTTTGAAAGGAAATGATATGTGAATGTAACATATTTCATGTGTGAGCTGAGGTATAAAATGTGATACACATACATCCTTTTTGGAAACCATTTACTGCATAAAGCAAGATATTCCTCTGTGTGTGTATTCATGTGTATGACAGGTGTGTGTCTTTCGGCTTTTTGTTATAGCACAATACTGATAAGGAATGTGTCAGGTAGCATTTACCAAAGTTGGTCATGTACCACCTCCATCAGAATCACATGGAAGTGCTTGGGGAAAAAAATGGTCTTGGGCTCCACTCCAGTTCTAATTATCAGAATCTGGGAGGTAGGACCTGGGAATCTGAATATTAATTCAGTTCCTAGGTAACTTGGTACACATCAAGTTTTAAAAAATGCTGCTGGAATGGGAGAAAATGTTCTCAAATTAGGCATCCGACAAAGGCCTAATATCCAGAACCTATAAGGAGCTTAAGCAAATTAACACAAAAAAACTAAGAACCCCATTAAAAAGCAGGCAAAGGACATGAACAGACACTTCAAAAGAATACATACATGTGGCCAAAAAGTATATGAAAAAATGCTCAGCATCACTAATCATTACATAACTGCAAATCAAAATCACAATGAGATACCATCTCACACGAGTTAGAATAGCTACTATTAAAAAGTCAAAAAATAACAGATGCTGGTGAGGTTACAAAGAGGAAACTCATACACTGCTGGCAGGAATGTAAATTAGTTCAGCCATTATGGAAAGCAGTTTGGCAATTTCTGAAAGAACTTAAAATATAACTGCCATTCTACCCTGCAATCCCATTATTGTGTGTATACCCAAAGGAATATAAATCATTCTACCATAAAGACATGTGCACTATTCATAATAGCAAACACATGGAATCAAGTAAATGTCCTTCTACGGTAGACTGGATAAAGAAAATGTGGCACATATACACCATGGAATACTATAACTCCATAAAAAAGAACAAGATCATGTCCTTTGCAGCAACATGGATGGAGCTGGAGGCCATTATATTAAGCGAACTAACACACCAACACAAAACCAAATACTTCATGTTCTCACTTACAAGTGGGAGCTACACATTGAGTACACATGGACGCAAAGGAAGAAACAATAGACACCAGGGCCTACTTGAGGGTGGAGGGTGGGTGAAGGGTGAAGATCGAAAAACTACCTATCAGGTACTATGCTTATTACCTGGGTGACTAAGTAATCTGTACACCAAACCCTCACGACATGCAATTTGCCTATATAACAAAACTGCACATGTACCCCTGAATCTAAAATAAATATTAAAAGTAAATAAATTAAAAATAAATAACAATTTTAAAATAACCATTTTAAGAAGTGCTGTATGAACAAGTTACAAGAATGATATCAATTTTTAAAATGTGAAGGTGGCCTCTTGGATATAATGAGAGAAAAGTACAGATGGTCTCCCACAACTCCTGAAAAAGGCATACAAGCTTCGTTGTGTCCATGGTGGCTCAGGGTCACTACCTCTGAAATAGCAGTGTTATCTTCCCAGGGAGGAAAATAAATGTTTGCTAGGGGAAAGTTTGACCAGCAGAGACAGGCAGTGGGAAGAAAAGGCTAAGTACTCAGGAAATTAGTGCTTGGTTCTCACTCTGCTTCTACTGCCCACTGGTTTTGTGAGATCAGAAGAATCATTTCTCTGATTGTTACTTTTATTTTTTTAACGGAAGGCAAAAATTACATAAATACACTTTTGCCACATATAATATAAATCAGTGCCTTCCCTGCCTACCTGTTTAGGTCACTGTGAGGTGCCAAGGAAATAAGACATGGCAGTCACTTGAAAAGAATAAAGGGTTTAACAAATGCAAAGTATTCAGCTTATTCTCCCGTTACCATTTCTCCTTCTGAGAGTATCCGAAAGCAAAGTAATGTCCTTTCTATTTGGCTCATAAGTGGGAGATCTAGCTGGCTTTCCTTTACCTCTAACTTTCAAAGACTAAGTAATAGCTGCCCCTACTGTCCCTTCTCCTCAGTCCTGAAGCAACCACTGGAATTCAGAGGAGAGACCATTGTGGTAGGATTCTTGGAGCAAAGGCCACATGAGAGGCCCACTGTCTATGCCTTCCTCAACATTTAATTTCTCTTTTAATAGACGAAATCTGTGAGCTCCGAACCATTGGGATTATTATCCAATGTTTATACTGAGCATAAGAAACCTGTAACTCGTTGCCATGGCAACAAGATTTCCTGTGTAATTTTTTTTCAAATTGGACTTCCTTAAATGAAAACATCTACAGCACTGCTGCTCTTTGTCACAAAACGGAGGGGCACTGTATTAGTTATCTATGACCATGTAACAGATTACTCCAAAACTTAGTGGTTTTAAACAAAAAACATTTATCAACTCCCAGTTTCTGTGGTTCAGAAATCCAGGAGTTGCTAGATGGGATCTTCTAACTCACAAGGCTGCAATCAAGATGTAAGCTGAACTTGCAATTTCATCTTGGGAAGGATCAGCTTCTAAGCTCACTCACATGGTTGTCAGCAGGATTTAGTTTTCTGGGGACTGTTTGTTAGACTGAGGATGTCAAGTTCTTGCTGGCTGTTGGCCAGAGGCTTCCCTCAATTCCTTGCCACATGGACCTATTTGTAAGGCAGTTCACAACATGGCAGTTTGCTTCTCTCAAAGCGAGGACTCTCTGAGAGAGAGAGAGGACTAATCTCAGAAGGGACATCCTGTGACTTTTGCCATATCCTGCTAATTAAAAGCAAGTCACTAAATCCAGCCCACACTCAAGGGGAGGAGATTACACAAGGTCATGAATACCAGGAAGTAGGAACCACTGGGAGCCCTCTTAGAAACACTTATTTAAAGGTCAATTAAATAGTAAATTAGGCTCACTCATGTAATCTCAGCACTTTGGGAGACCTAGGCAGGTGGATCACTTGAGGTCGGGAGTTTGAGATCAGCCTGACCATCATGGTGAAACCCCATCTCTACTAAAAAAATACAAAATTAGCTGGCCATAGTGGCACACACCTGTAATCCCAGCTACTTGGGAGGCTGAGGCAGGAAAGTCGTTTGAACTCAGGGGGCGGAGGTTGCAGTGAGTCAAGATAGCGCCAGTGCACTCCAGTTAGGGCAACAAGAGTGAAACTCTGTCTCAAAAAATAAAAAAATAAATAAATTAGTGATTTGTCAGTCAATGAATTATATTTGTCATGTATCTCCTCTATGTACATGGTAAATAGTGAAGTGTTCAGAGTACAAAATATGCTTAATTCTCTACTAAAGCATTTGCCCTATCACATCCTGTTATCATATATAATCTATTTCTTTGTGTTCTTTAAATCTATAGTTATAGCATAGAGAAAGTAAAAGTTATTTGAGAACATGGAATGACTTATTCTAGGTAATCAAGTTGGGGAAGTATTCATGAGCACATAAATAGTAGGGAATTTATAGAGGCAATATAGTATAGAGCTTGATGATATTGACTCAAGGAGTCAAGGAGTTTTAAATTCAAATCCCCACTCAGCCATTTGGTAGCTGTGTGACTTTGGGCCAATAAGTTAATTTCTCTTAAGTCTTGATTTATTTGCCTAAATAATGAGGGTTAAAATATTTCCTCAATCATATGATTATTGTAACGACTAAATGAAGACATATATTTAAAAAGAGGAGCACTGGGCCAGACACATACTAAGTACTTAATAAATACCATGTTATTATATGATTTATTGGGATCCTGAAGTAGGATGGAGGTCACTAGATCACTTCTGTTTGAGGAATCTGGAATTAAGGGTTCATTCTACTATTAGTTAGAACTCCTGGGAATATAATATCATATTTTCCTTTATTTTCCCCATTGTATGAAGAGTTTGATTGTGCTTTAATGTCCTCTAAGAATATGTTTCAGTTTTTACTCTCACATATAACTTCTTCTGGGGGTCAATTTTTATAGTTTTGACATATTCCTTAGCAAAAAACCACCATTATCGTTTTATGGTGACCCATTTTCGGGTAAATATGATGTATTAGAGGAAGAATCCTGCCTCCACCAAGCTTGAAGAGTGATTTATGTACAATGACAGGTTAAAATTAGCTAGTTTTCCACACTGATATAAAACGGGTACTGGAAATTTTGTTCTTCCTGGTCCCTGACTCTGCTCACTTAAAAGGTGATTTATTCTGATTCACTTCTCTATTTTTTCTGACTTTGCCATTATTTTCTCATGAGCAGACATCACTTCAAGTTTTCTTAATGCTTTTGTCCGAGATGGGGGCAATTCTCTGGAAATCACTAGCCAAGCCTTCTTGAGCTTATTTTGATGAGGCTGTGTTTATTACCTGCAGCAGAGTCCAGTGTTTAGATTCTCTACTGAGTTTACTTCAGCCCTGATTTGGGGATTTTTTTTTTTTTGCCCCATTCTTCCTCTACTACTTCCCTCATGCTTTCACTGCATCTGGTACCAACGAGAGTGCACTGGTGGAACTAAGAGCCCCTGATGTGCTATACCTTCCCAGGAACCTGGTAACTTCACATTCCTGTTTATTTGCTCCTCCGAGTTCTTATTAGTTTGATGCCTTTGGTTGCCTAGGGAATAGGAAATAATACGTGTTTTGATTGATAGCCTTGAGTTGTAACAGATAATTGATACGGCTCATCCTCAGCCAGTTACTGACACCCAAACCATAGTTTTGTATGACAAGAATAGTATCTCGTTAAAAGAAAAGAACACTGGATATCAGCAGGTTACTTTTGCAGATACCCTTTCAGGTATTCCTTGAAAACAACTGAACTAGGCTTTCACCCTGAAACTTGAGTAAACTCTGTGTTTAACATTGCTGAAGAGTTTAAAACCAGCCAACCTCTTACTCTCTTCTGCTAAGAGATTTTTACCCTATGTGGATTCAAATAGGGTGATGGGGGTGCCAAAGGAGTCAACAGTTACTGAATGCTAACTGCTTCCCAGGCTCTGAGCCTAGTACTTAACCAGGTTAGCTCATCTAATTCTCACAAGAACATTAAGAAATATGTATTACTAGCCTCATAATACAAATGGAAAAATTGAGGCCCCGAAAAGCTCCAGAATTACACATACATCATTGATCTAGGATTTAATCTCATCTCTTACTAAATCTCAAGGTTATTCCTACTATGCTGACCAAAAGAGCCCTCTACAGGTTGCTATGGTTGAGGCCCAGCTACATGTCACAATAATAATAGTTAAAATCTATATAGCACCTCCTAAGTTTTAACCAATTAAATCCTCATAACAATACTGTGAGGTAGTCATTATCTCTATTTTACAGATGAGGAAACTGAAGCATGCATTTCTCAACAACATAGAGCTTACAAGTGGCAAATCCAGAAGCTGAAGGCAGGTGGAATGGCTCCATAGTCTCAATAATGTACATAACCTTCTATACTCAGCAGCATATTTGATTAATTAATCAGGTCATTAGCAAATCCTCTTGCTTCAGTTATCTACTGCTACATAACAAACTACTCCAAAAACATAGAGGATTGAAAGAATCATTTTATTTTGTTCATGGTTTTATGAGCTGGGGATTCAGGAAGGGCTCAGTTGTGCGCTTCCTGACTCCATGTGGCATCGGTTGGGATGACTGGGGCTGAAGAATCTATTTCCAACATGACTTCACATATATGCCTGGTGCCTTTTTTTTCCCTGTGTACTCTCTCTCTCTCTCCATATGTCATTTCAACTTCTATGCCACTGTCCAGCCTTGTAAAATTTTGTTATTGTTAATGCCCAAGAAAATAATCTAGCAAGAGATATCCATTCTTGACCAAGATTTGAAATAATTTTCAAAAGAATATAAAATCTATTGAGGGCAAGGGCCGTAGATGAGACAAAGCTTATTTTGTGAAATAGCAACAGACATAGACTTTTTGTCATTTGGACCGGCTTAACACAAATAAGTTTTCTGATCATATTGGGCACATATCAACCATCCCAGGGTGTGCAAGTGGGCTTAAATCTTCAAGAATATTGAATGCAGATTGTGCCTGAAGTTGGCCTCCCTTTGAAAGAATATGCTAATCAAAAGCTATTAAACTGACTCCAGGGTCTGCAGAGCTGGTCACATGACCTGGTTTCAGCACTAACATGCCTCTGCACCATGTGATATTTTCCATAATGTGCTTTAGTGTCTATAGATTCAATATGGAGGTGTGTCTGCTGTGTTGAGTCTATGATGCTTCCAATCTTTTTTTGTAAAATGTATTTTGCTGATGTTTTTAGAATTTCCAAATATCTGTCAAAATAACAATGAGAATCTTTCTATGAATGCAGCACACTGCTATAATCTACATTAAATTTGGAGAATTAACTCTGCTACCATCCCTAACCATTTAGGTGTTTCAGTAAATATTTATCCCACATACTCATACTGTTTGCTACCGGATGTTATTACAAAAGAACGTAGCAAAAAAACTTCTGGGATGTGGCTCATCTATCATATTGGACATCAGTGTTCAAGCTATTACTACTGTTGGAATTATGTGTCTTCAGGAATTTTGTAACAGTGTTCTCAAGGCATGGTGTGAGAACCTAGGAGCTCACAAGGGTAAACAAATCCATTTCAGCTGGATCCAGATCTTGAACCACCACACATGAAGGATAGAAGCATACCTCTTTCTTTAAGCCTAAGATTAAATATATAGATCTTTAGCATCTAATCATACAAGGCATCTTTGAACAAAAGATGTTGTCCAAGCTTTCTTGGATGCACTGACTCTGCCTTCCATCATGCTCAATAATGAGAATGAGTTTAATGTGATCATATGGGCTCTTTGAAGAACAGGACATCTAAGCAGCACTCACATCTTGTTTCTGGAGTGTGATAAACTCCTTGGTGTTCTTTCTGAGGGGAAGTATTACATGACTTAACCTCACCTGATGTTATCTCACCTGTTCTTTACCAATAATTAATACTAGTTACACTCAGTTATCAAGGACCTGTTTAAGTGTAGGACCTTTGGTTCCACCCTGAACTTGGCCATTGTTTCATTCTTGGATTCTGACTATGGCCGGGTGCTTTGATGAGGTCTGATCCAGGGACCAATGGATAAAGACTTTGCTGAAGAAGTTAAGAAATCCTTAAAGAAGATTGCAATAAGCACATTAATATATCCCTGTTGAAAAGGAAAATGAAATACCAGAATACCATGGCTTCATATCACTGTGGCTGATATATACCCTACTCAATATATACCTGATGCAGGTCACGTTTGCAAGAACTAGACTCTGAGTCAGATATTTGCCAGCAAGAGATTTATGGGGGAGTCCTTTTGGGATTAATAACTGGAAGATTGAATGAAGCAAGATTAAACAGAGGGCACTGTTGAATTGAGAAGCAATTACAACAAAGGCCTCAGCCAATCGTATGGAGACCTGAAGACCTGGGATGGCCCTGAAGAACTTTCTCAAACTGGGGCAAGTGGGTCGAGTCTTCATACACCCAGATATACCGATCACTGGGTATCAGTTCCCCCGCAGAAATGGAGCATGACTTTGGATGAGGCAGATCTCTTCAGCAGAAAGCAATTTCTAGAAAGAGTGAACAGCTAAAGGATGTATGTTGCCAACAATCCCAAAACCTGAGGGAGTGAGTACTTTAATCCTGAAGGCAGTATCTTAGCAGCATACCACAGCATCCTCTACAGTGTTTATAACATATAAAGTAAGGAATTAAGGATATTTGAGTCTTCCCTGTTCTTAATCTGTACCAAGTTTTTATTCTTCAGACAATGCCTATTCCTGAGCTACTTCATGATACACTGAAAAAGACATTTCATGAATGTCAAGCAGTTGTTGATTTCTCAGCCTATTAGTGCTCTTTCATGAATATATATTATTTTTTCTTACAACTCATGCTTCACATTAGGGGAAAAACATGCCAAATAGTTCTAAGGTATTGATTGCATTCTACTCAAAAAACAATGTCTTCTGCATAACCAAAATCTTACACAAATTGAAAAATAAAGATCTTGCTATTACTTCAGGAATCAAATGCTTTATAAATATCTCTATCGTCATGTCTTAACAATTTTTAATAATCCACTTACTATTTTTTTCTAAGATAAGCCTTCTTTCTTTATTTCAATGTATTTAGTTCTATAATGTTTACTATATGCTGGTATTGTTCTAAGTGGTTAACGTACAGTAATTTACTTAATTCTTACAATCACATGACTTAGGTAAAATTATTCAATTCATTTTACTGATGAGCATATCAAAGCATACAGAGGGATAAGTAACTCACACAGCTGGTTAGTAGCAGCTGGGATTTCAACCCAGGCAGTCTGCCTCCAGGGCCCCTGCTCCTCGACACTATGCTATACTACCTTTGTAATATCATATGCTAACACCTTGTGTCTTCTGATACTTTATGGAATTATGGATGTGAAATCTTCATTTCTCACCTCTTGATGCATATGAAACACTATGTTAATCCTATGGGATCCCAGACAATTCTCTTAAATGTATGTTTGTATATCTGATGTGTAGGGGGATGCAGTGGAGGCAAAATGGTGGTGATGGTGGTAAGGTTATCAGCATGTAGTATGAGTGAAGGAGACAAGATTTTTGTATGTATAAAATGTATGTTATTTTAAGAGGCAGTAATCATATTATCATGTCAAGATTACAGCCTAGTCCTAGAATTTAATTACTCCTGATGAGAAAATTACCTTTAAGCAGTTCCATGCAGTCCAGATTAGTCAGGATAGCCTATCAAACTCATCTACTTTTCCATGTAAGGTTAATTAAGAAACGTTAATCAAAAATACATACCCATTGGCCAGGCATGGTGGCTCACGCCTGTAATCCCAGCACTTTGGGAGGCTGAGGTGGGTGGATCACTTGAGCCCAGAAGTTCGAGACCAGTCTGGGCAACATGGTGAAATCCCGTCTCTACAAAAAAAAAGAAAAAAAAATATATATATATATATAAATTAGTTGGGCACAGTTGCATGCACCCATTACTTAACCAGCTACCTGGGAGGCTGAGGCAGGAGAAGCTCTTGAACCCAGGAGTCAGAGGTTGCAGTGAGCCCAGATTGTGCCATTGCCCTCCAGCCTGGGCAACTGGAGTAAAATCCTGTATCCAAAAAAAAAAAAAAAAAATTGATTTAACATACATATCCATTTTTCCAGACCATTTCATGGTAAGAATGTTTTCTTTTTTTTTTTTCACTATGCTCAATTCCTTCTCAAAATATCTTGGAGTTCTCCCAATTTCATCTTAAATGTCACAGATATGCACCAGTTATTGTAACAGATATTGCCAGCTACAATCATTCCTAATGCTGATGCCCTATGTACCTCTCTTATGTTATGCATTTTGGAAAACTTTCTCAGAACCTTCATCAAAACTAGTGCAGCTTCCAAAAGCATGGGCAAAGAGAGTTTTCATTGCTTCATTGGCCACTCCCACCTTAACCCTGAAGCCAGTCTTGCCATGTGACTAATGAGGCAGCCTCACAAGAATTATTTTCAGGCTCTGTATTCTGTCTCAGCTGCAGAATTGTGGGCTAATAGGAATGGTGCAGAAGCTGCTTTGCCCAAACTACTCTCCAATCTCCTCTCGGTGTTGCAAAATCAACAAAGCTGTTTCCTGCCTAGATAAGTATGGGCAGAGAATCTGGGCTGCACATGGTCTAAAATCACGGAAGCAATTCTCATAGGTGGGTATGACAACAGAAGAACTAAGATTGTTTTTTGGAACTTATTTTCTAGCCATGCACCCTGTACATTCCCCAAACCATGTGTTGAGTCATATTCACTAATATCATAGGGGCCAAAGTGAAGAAATCTTGTATCTCCATATTCACTAGTGTAACAGATGACCTCGAATCAACCAGTTAGAAGGCAGGCTTAAAAGGGGTCCTCCTTGTTTATTAAAGTGGGGTTCCTGGGGCCACAGAGCATCCGTGGTCTTGTTACCAGACATCTGTAAGCATATTAATGCAAATTTACTAACTCTACATTTAGATTTTGATAATATAAATATATTCAATTAAGCATAGTCTTTATAATGCCACCAACCAATTAATGTGGTCTGTTACTGTATTTCAATACCTGTGTGTGTATAATTAGGTTTACTATCTCATTACTGTTAAATAATATCACTTTACTGTTATTACCTAATTTTTGAAGATGAAGTAGATGTAATATATAAAAGATATCATTATCCTCCAGTAAAAGACAAATGACCTAACAGCCAACACAGTAAGAGCAGAGGTTTTACATTAGTTTGAAAAAGAGACAAGTCAAAAACAGGCTTACCTCAGCCTCAGAGCCTTTGCACCCACTGTTCCCTCTGACTGGAACACTGAGCCTTCCTCACCCAGTAACACCCAAATACTCACTCTTTCACCTGCTTCAAGTTTTCTCTACAAATACCACCTTCTCCATGAGGCCTTTCCTAAATTACAAATTGCAGCTCCCTTTTCTCAAATCTCCCTTCTCTAGATTTTTTCTCCTTAGCACTCAATATCATCTGACACACTACATATTTCACTTATTTATTTGGTTTTCTATCTATCTTATAACACTAGAATGTAAGCTTCATGAAGATGGGGAATTTTATTTTGCTCACAGATATATTTGCAGCACCTAGAAAAGCATCATTAGGAATAATAGGTGCTCAACCAGTGCTTGTCAAATGAACAAACACATGAATGAATGAAGATTTAAACTGTAAATACCAGTTTGCCTTTATTATCATCTTATTTGTCACATAAATGTCATTAATTTGTATTTTGTCACTTCCTAGTTTTGCTTACTTTTCATTTGGAAATCTATTTTTAATTTATACTGGTGTAATGACAATACATATAAGCAGCTTATTATACCTAAGTGATGTAGCTTGGATATTTGTCCCCTCCGAATCTCATGCTGAAATGTAATCCCCAGTGTTGGAGGTGGGACCTGGTGAGAGGTGTTTGGATCATGGGGGTGGAACCCTCATGAATGGCTAGGTGCCACCTCCTTGGTGTTAAGTGAGTTCTCACTCTGAGTTCACAGGCGCTCTGGTCATTTAAAAGTGTGTGCACCTCCCCCATCTCTCTCTTGTTCTTGTCCTCACCATGTGAGATGCCTGCTTCCCTTTCCATCATGATTGTAAGCTTCCTCAGGCCCTCACCAGAAGCAAATGCAGGCACTACACTTCTAGTACTGTCTGTAGAACCATGAGCCAATCAAACCTCTTTTCTTTATAAATTACCCAGCCTCAGGTATTACTTTATAGCAATGCAAAAACGGCCTACCACATCTAGTGCTTGTTCCTACATGTTTAAATAACACAAGAAGAAATAGTAAAGATAACACTTACATGCAGTCTTTCTTCCCCTTTAAAAGATATTTGTATGTTGTCCAAATTTAAAAAACTATGTTGGATAAGAAGATTGTTGGCTACTGAGTCATCAGGAAGGGATCCTGTTTGCTGGGGCACTCCGCGATTCCATCTTTGTGTTTGATCTTTCAAGTTCCTCCTGCCTCCCTGCACCCTACCTTGGGCAGCAAAAATTGTACAAAACAAGAAGTGGGATGTGGGCTGTTGAGTAGCATCTTTACAGAAAAATAAAGTACTGTTATGGAAGTCAGCTTCTCCCCTGCACATTAGTGTTACTCAAAAATTGCAACAGCTTTAAGAATCCATCTTTTAAATAAGATCTCATTTCTCTGAAATTGTAGCTATTGTAAAGCACATTCAGAGGTTTATATAGTAGTGTGTATTTTCCCCCTTAAGTTGATGGTTGTGACTATTAGGCAGTTGTTGAATGTACCAAAAAATCAATTGTTCTGGGGATGATTTCTCCACCAATTGTTCAATCCCAAAGTGTCTTGATGGTGCTAGCTCAGTGCTTCAAATGATTGCTAAGCTCTTTTATCAGCCATTTCTTTGATTATTCCAGAAGGCTCAGGACAGTACTTTCAGATACAGAAGGAATTCTATAATTTTAAAGGTATTTTATAAATAGGCTTTTTCAGCCTCAATCTTAGAGGTGGATATAAAACACTGTATTCTGGGGTTTAGAACACTCTCCCTCTGCTCACCCCTTATCCCTGTGTCAACCATGGATATACCACAGACAGAAATACTTAAATCTTTCATTTAGCTACAAAACAATAATGATTTTGGAGCTTAAGCCTCAGAAATATGAGTAAGAAATCCAACCATCACAAAATCGCAGAGAAAAGAGAAAAGAGGATATTTTAGTTCATATGTAGAAAGTATAGATTACAGACAGGAAAATTCCTCTTTCTCTTCTTCTCCTGAACACACAAAATATCTATTGCTATAGGATTCTGTAGCTAAAGAAAAATAAAATCAACCTTAGGGAAAAATTATTCCCACATGGTCCTGATCATTATACGGCATCTTTCTGCCACTTAGACATTCACGCTTTATTGTGTGCATTATCTTAGTACTGCATCAAATGCCAAAAAAAAGCACGATTAAAAAAAAAAAAAAGCACGATTACACTATCTCCTTTTAGAAGTGTGATGTTGGATCCCATGTGTCCAGTGGGAGCCTCCTGTCCTCTTCCTTCAAGAGTACTCCTGGTACAGGTAGCCAGCATAATGTATAGTTGGCTCTCTGTATCCCTGTATTCTGCATTGTCAGATTCTACCAGCCACGGATCAAAAATATTTGAAAAGGTACACTGTTGCTGGGAATGTAAATGAGTAAAACCACTATGGAGAACAGTTAGGAGGTTCCTCAAAACAACTAGAAATAGAGCTACCATACAATCTAGCAATCCTGCTGCTAGGTATATACCCAAAAGAAAGGAAACCAGTAAATCGAAGAGATATCTGCAGGCCCATGTTTGTTGCAGCTCTGTTCACAATAGCCAATATTTGGAAGCAACTTATGTGTTCATCAACAGATGAATGGATAGAGTAAATGTACTTATACACAATGGAGTACTATTCAGCCATAAAAAAAGAATGAGATCCTGTCATTTGCAACAACATGGATGGAACTGGAGGTCATTATGTTAAGTGAGATAAGCCAGGTACAGAAAGACAACCATCACATGTTCTCACTTACTTGTGGGAACTAAAAATAAAAACAACTGAACTCACAGACATAGAGGATAGAAGGATGGTTACCAGAGGCTGGGAAGGGTAGTTGGGAGTGGGGGTGGGAAGTTGGGATGGTTAATGGGTACAAAAAAAATGGAAAAAATGAATAAGACCTAGTAATTGCTAGAACAACAGAGGGAAAACAGTCAATAATAATTTAATTGTACATTTTAAAATAACTAAAAGAGTATAATTGCATTGTTTGCAACACAAAGGATAAATGCTTGAGATGATGGGAACCCCATTTTCCATGATGTGATTGTTACATATTGCATGCTGTGTCAAGGTATCTCATGTATACTATAAATAGATACACCTACTATGTACTCACAAAAATTAAAAAATAAAAAAATTTGAAACAAATATTTAAAAATAATAATACAAATAAAACCAATATAATATAACAACTATTTACATAGCATTTACATTGTATTACATATGATAAATAATGTAAAGGTGATTTAAAATATCTAGAGGAATGTTCATAGGTTATAAAAAAAAATACTATGTAGTTTTATATCAGGTACTTTCACATCCATGGATTCTGGCATCCAAGGGGGTCCTGAAACCAATACCCCATGGATACCAAGGGATTACTGTATACTTTTACCTCAATGCTTCCCCTTTCTCAGTCTCCCGTAGAGAGCATGGGTCTCATTTAACTGCTTCACTTAACTCCCAGTCCACCTATGTCGTTATCCTAACCATACAATTACTTACAGCAAACAGATATGGGCAACTCATATCCATCTGTGAAAGTCTTATTATGTGCAAAGCTTTTTGCAAACATGCTTCCTTTTTATTGTCTAATAGGATCTAACACATGAATCACACATTCTCATTGAACATTCTTGTCGAACATTTCTAATCACATTTTCCTAAAAATGTCTTTGCACTTGGCAGTAGCATTTCAATACCCTTCCTGTTGCCCAAAGGAATGATCAAATGTATACCTGATCAGGTATAGATTTGATTAGCCTGTTCCATTCTCCAGGTCCTTTTTTTTTTGAGACGGAGTTTTGCTCTGTCGCCCAGGCTGGAGTGCAGTGGCATGATCTCGGCTCACTGCAAGCTCTGCCTCCCGGGTTCACGCCATTCTCCTGCCTCAGCCTCCCCAGTAGCTGGGACTACAGGCGCCCACCACGCCCAGCTAATTTTTGTATTTTTAGCAGAGACAGGGTTTCACCATGTTAGCCAGGACGGGTCCTTTTTATCTCACACTCACACTTCCTAACACTCACCAGAGGTTCATCTTGTCACTAAACCAATCCTCTTAGCCATGTCTTCTAGGATGCTACATTAGTTATCTATTGCTGTATAGCAATATTACCACAAACTTAACAGCTTCAAACAATACACACTTAATATCTCACAGTTTCTGTGAGTCAGAGATTCTACATGACTTAGCTAGGTTCTACGTGTCATGGTCTCTCAGAGGCGTGGGTGTTGTCCAGGGCCAGAGTCTCATCTGAGGCTTGAATGCAGAAGAATCTGCTTCCAAGTGCATGTGGTTGTGGCAGGATTCAGTTCCTTGAGGAATGTTCACCGGAGGCCACCCTCAGTTCCTTACCATGTGGGTCTTTCTAACATGGTAGTTTGATTTTATCAGAACCAGGAAGAAAAAGAATCTGCTAGGATGACAGAGTCACAACTGTATGTAGTCTAATCATGTAAATGACATCCCATCACCTTTGCCATACACTATCGGTTGGAAGAAAGTCACACATCACTTTCATACTCAAGTGGAGGGGATCATACCAAGATGTGATAGTGAGGCAGGGATAATTTGGAACCATCTGTCCACCACAGATGCTCCACAACCAAAAAATGATCTCTCAAACTTTACTAATAGAAATTAAGGCCGGGTGCGGTGGCTCACGCCTGTAATCCCAGCACTTTGGGAAGCTGAGGTGGGCGGATCACTTGAGGTCAGGAGTTTGTGACCAACCTGGCCAACATGGTAAAACTCCATCTCTACTAAAAATACAAAAATTAGCCGGGCATGGTGGCACGTGCCTGTAATCCCAGCTACTTGGGAGGCTGAGTCAGGAGAATCGCTTGAACCCAGGAGGCAGAGGTTGCAGTGAGCTGAGATTGCGTCACTGCACTCCAGCTGGGTGACAAAGCGAGAACTTGTCTCCAAAAAAAAAAGAGAGGAAGCAATTAAAAATTAGCACATTTGCCAAATAACATTAGTTGTAGCAGATACTATTGATATCACCTTCATATTCCCCTAGACTCAACCAATTTTAGTGCACCCTGGCTGACTTCCAACTGCTAGCTTCTGTATCTCTGTGCTTGAAGCCTTCTCTTGTGGCAGGAGACTCCCCTGTCTATGCACACCGTTGGTTGCAAGTGAGGTAGAATAAACACTCCCTGAGAGAAGTCCTTAATCAATGCCTGATGGGATCTGGTGGATAAATACCCCAGCTCTCTTGCCCCTTGGTTGGAATAACTGAGGTGTGTCCTATACTGCCCCACAGAGTACCCCAGATGGATTGCTCTCCGGTTGCCCATATGCTAACTAGCTTGATAATACATCTGTGGTTGGCTGCCTGCCCTGCTGTGTTTCTCTTCCCCCATTATTCTCTGGAATTTCTTGGGATCACCTCCCAAGTAAACTACTTGCATGCTGACCTTTCTCTCTGTAATCTAAGCCACCAGTAGTTTCCTGCCATTTCTCGGGGCATTGGGCTGGGATGGAGCATCAAGGACAAGGCGTGTTTTAGAAATACAATTTCAGGAACTTTGTGATTAAAAAAAAAAAACGTAGTACAGTGTTGGTTTCATGCAAAATGATAAACCTGCCCCTCATTTCATTCTCCAAACTTGCTTCTCCTCTCTTCTGTTAAGTAGGATCTTGAAGTTGCCTTTGACATTTACAGCCAGTGTGAATTTTAACAAAGTGCATATGTAAGCCCGACTTCTTAAAACAATCTTCAAGAAACCTCGCTGCTCTGCCGAAAATGCACAATGAGCAGAATTAGCAGCTGTTATCTGCTTCCACCTCTAGAAAGTCCCCCAGCTTCCCATGGGTTCAGTGTGGATTTTTCCCAGTGCTCTGTACCCAAAAAGAACCTAAGAGGCATCAAGTAATAATCACATGATATGACTGCTTAGGCCACCTGTGTTCAGCAACCTTGGCTAAAAGCCTCAGGGGGCCAAACTATCCTCAGTGAGAATTCCTGACACTTGATACTGCTTGCAGAATCTGATCTTTCACTTTTTTTAGAAATACACAAAAACACATTAGAAATTGGTTAGTGAGGTCAAGAAAAGTGTTCTTTGAATAGGTGACATCTTGAAGAAATGGCTCATGGAAATCTTTTAGTTTTAATAGATTTAACACATACACAGTCATATACATGAAACACCCATGCATAGTGATATAATACATGTCCTATAATTTGGTACAATGCTCTGTAAAATATGCAGGCAAATCAGGCATTACTGTTCCATGTTATAGTTGAGGTTACTGACCCTTATAAAGTCAGGCAGCTAGTAAATAATGCAGCCAGAGGTATCTCTTTCACTTATACTTGAAGGCCATACTTAATTTCCTCTAAATTTATCTCCTTTTCCTTCAAGTCTACTGTTACTTAAACCATGATACTGCTAGGGGATGAGAGGAAAAGAACGGAAGGGAAGGGGAGTGGAGAGAAGGGGAGGGGGGCAGGAGGGGAGGGAAATCAATAGAAAGAGAGAAAAATAGTAGGGTCCTTTTTATTAAAAAAGGAGAGAAAACAGAGTGATATGGGAAGATAGAGGAGTTGGAAAACTACATTTTCCTCCCTTCAAAATTATATGTACTAGGCTCAGTTTGTGTGCCTTGCCAGAGCTTTACTCTGTCTGCTTTCTGTTTAGAGTGGCCCTAGCAATAGCTTGCCTTGTCCCTGTCATCATGGAGCCAAGTAGGTTATTGCTGCTGCCCTGTCCACTGTTAGAGATTAACTAGTTAAAAAAAAGATCATCCTATCTGTGCCCTGGATGATGTGGACCCATAGGACTGTGGCTTTCCCAACAGCTGATAAGAGCAATCCTGTGCTGGGAGTGTCTTAGGTTGGATTGTGGAGGAAGCAGACTCGGAGAAGGGGATTTGTATGCAGGAAGTTTATCGGGGGGCTCCACCAAAACAAAGTTGCTGATAAGGAATTGAGGGAAGCCTGCTTGCCAGAATGGGCATAGGGAAAAGTTTGAATTTCAACCTAATCACAATAATGACCTATGCCATAGGGAGCTCTGGGGCTGGGATGGTCCTTCAGAGATGTCTTGAATTAGGGGAATGGGAAGAGCCTTTGTTCACTCGTCTCTCATCAATCAGACATTGGATACGGGCTATCCCTGGGGAGGGGAATGACCTTAGAAAAAGCAGTTCCCTTTAGCCAAGGACAGGGGTTGGCCTGTGGGCCATAGCCTGCCTGCCTCTTTTTTTTGCAAATAAAATCTTATTGGCACACAACTACACTTACTCAATTATGTATTGCCTCCAATTTCCTTCACACTACAATGGCAGACTTGAGTAGCTGTGGCAGAGACTAAATTGCCTGCAAAGCATAAAATAGTAACTATGTGATGTTTTACAAAAAAGAAAAGAAAAAAAATTGTTTACTGACCCTGGGCCTAGGGCAATTCCCTGAGAGGGATCACTATGAGCCATTAGAACCCAACATTCCTGGCAACTGGAGGAAGGAGCACGTAGGTCCTACACACCACATCATCCACTATAGGAAATTAATACCCCATAAAGCAAACTGGACTAATGAAAGATAGTGGACAGATGGGAGCCAGAAGATAAATTCTCCTTTCTTCCACCATAATGGACTGTTCTGAGATGTAATGGTTCTGACAGCCTTTTTGAAGATGTCTCATAAGACTAAGTAATTGCCTACACTTGTTACAAAGCAATGGCTAGTTTAAAAACATATCCTTGAATATTTTTCTCCTGCCCTCCCTACTTTGGTACCTCCTTTCCCCTCACTCCTATTTTTTTTTTAATTTTCTCTCTTCAATAAAGTTTAGCACATAAGGTTTTTGCCTCAGACTGTTTCCTAGGTAACCCAGGATAAGACTTGTAAAATCAAATATTTAGAATTTGGTATGGAACTAGTATAAGGTTAGAATTGTGGGACATTCAGAGGAATGAGGACATATTCCGCCTGTCATCTCATTCCCAATCTCAGGGCACTTTTCAAAGATAACTCTCCTCCAACCCCCAAGTACCTATTGGGTGTAAACTTTGTCCTAAGGTTACTCTTAAGTATTAATACTTCTGCCCTTCTTGCTCCCATTTGCCCACAACCAAGATGGAATGCTTGTCCTTCTTCCCGAGGCTTCTGCTCCAGTTCTGGGAAGCATGTTTATTATATATGATATTCTTTTTACTTACCCTGAGGGTATTCCTGTTGATCTTTCAGGGTATCACCATTCACCTTGTGAGTTATAAAACCACCAAGGAAGAAAGAGTAGTTCTAGCCAAGATACAATTTTTAAGAAGACACACAAAATAAAATGGAGAAAAAGGGCCCTCAGGCTGCTCTGCACTTCTGAAGTATAGCTCTAAAAAATAAAATAAGCAGGCCACACACAAGGAAGCAAGCTAACTTTGTTTTGCTGAGAGGACTCTTTTCCTTGGGTTAATTCCAAGAGGGAACAGGCACCGAGTGAGTCACAGAAAAAGTAGGACAGAAGTTTGCCTTTCAGGGAATGCAATAGTGTGGGCGTAACCACGGCCCCTCGAGGATGCTCAGCAGGCACGACTTCCTGAAGCTCAGGCTATGTCAGGTAGAAGCCTACCATGCAGATCTCCCACGGCCATGTGAACTTGCTCCAGTTCTGCTCACATGCCTACCACAAGCTGAGTTTACAGGAGCTCAGCTTTGTGTTTAATCTGTCTTCTTGGTGAAGAGCTTGGGTGGGGCAAGGTTGGATCTATGGTTGATAAGGGAACTCCAAACCAGGAGTTATAGCAATCTGTGGGGCAGACAACATAGAAATTTAAGCGGCATGGGTTGAGAACTGCTCAATGAGATGTCACCGAAAGGGTATCCAAAGTGGGTCCTGAGACCAATGTGTGGCACCAAAGGTGAAATATGCTAGAAGAGGAATTCAAGGAGGAGATGATCCTAATGGGAAAAGGAAAGTAACCCTGGATAGTACCAGGTACAGAAAGTCACTGCCCTTGGCTGGGTATTTATGGGCCTCGGTGGTTTCATGTGATTCAAAGGATCAGTGGCAGCAGAGATACTGTTCTAAAGTCACATCATAAATTTCAGTGGGGGAGATAGACTCACAATCTGATTAACTGATGATGTAGTAGTTATTTTGTGGCAGCTTTTTCTTCCCAGAAGCAAACTCTTTCTTCAAATGCAAACTGACCAGGAAACATAATAGATAAAGCAGATAAGAGAGAAGCAGCTACAGTTAAGATTGAAGTAGTAGAGATGAATAGGTTAGATATACCTCCTTCCACTCCAAAATCTGGGCCTCTGAGGCCTTTCTATGCCATTTCTAGTACTCCATGTGATATTCTTTGAAACAAAAATTCTATGCTAACTTAGAGCAGGTGAGTAGGAGTTTAAGGTAGAGCATTGGTGGAGTGGGATGAGGAAAACAGTTCCCATTCTTCCTGCCACGGAAGAATTGATAAGTTGGATATTCTAGAGTGCAATTTCTACCTTTACAGTGCCCATGGAGAACATGTGTAAGTGTTCATAGTTCTAGTCATTGTTTTGAAGACACTGACCATCTCAAATGCTGCACTTCAGTATCGTGTGTGTGTGTGTGTGTGTCTGTGTACAGTAAAAGAAAGACCTATGTCCTGCTTTTTATCCTCCAGATAAATTACTCAATACTTACATACCTCATCAGGACAAGACATCCACAGTGACGACCTTTGATCAATGCAGGATCTTAACATTTTTTCTGCATCATCAAAGACTAAATTATCTTCAAAGTGGCTTTAGTGCTAAATGCATTTTATTATATGTGACTTGTTTGAAAAACTGTCACTTTCTGTGAGATGTAGTTAGTAACAGTCTACTTCTACTTAGTGGACATTTAGTTCCTAATAGTGTAGATTAAAAAGAATGTATTTGTGCTTGTTAGAACATCATCTCACAGCTTCTCTGTCATCCCTAAGAACGCCCAAATCTCCTGTCCTTGTTGCCTTCTCTACTTCACTTGGAGAAAATTATATAGCATTTTATTTTGCTTCTTTACTTTGACTGTGTTCTTTTTCATCTTTTTTTTTTTCTGCTCTGGGCTTTTTAATCACCCATCTTTTTTCCCTTGTTGACAAATGTAGCATATGTTTTCACCTAGTTACCAAAACCACCCACTTCAAAATCATACCCTTTGTCAAGATGAATCCACATGCTTAAGGAAATTCTTCAAAGAGCCCTCATATGTCTGTGTTTAATACTGACCTGTTGGCTTAGAGACTTCTATAGAATTGCCATCCTGGAATTTCTTTTCATTGCTTAGTGTATTGGCTCTCAAGTCTTCCCCATGTTTCTTATTCTTGGATTCTTTCTATTTTTGGTTTTGTTAAACTACATCCTCAAATAACTTATTTTTTTCAGAAGTATGTGTAATTACTAAACTTCCTCAGGCCTTTCCCATCTAAAAATTTCTTTGTTTGGTTTCTAGAACTGGTTAATAATTTTCCGGGTTATAGAATACTATGCTGAAAAAATGTTCCTTCAGGACTTTGAGACACTGCCCTCACTGTCTTCTAGCATCTAATGTTTATAATGTTAGTATCATTATGATTTCTTTTTCCATTCTCCACTGACGTCCCACCCCCTAAAAGCTTTTGGGATCATGCCTTTATCACCGTCATTCTGAGATTTTAGTTATGCGACACAGTGGGGGCTTTTCTGGGTTTATTCTACTGGACATTTATAGAACTCTTAAAAATTGAAGATATGATTTTATGAAACTCTGTGAAGTTTTCTTCTATTATTTCTTTATTTTCTTCCCTCTATTTTCTTGCTCCATTTTCCTGGAACTCTAGTTATATAGAAATTCAACCTCCTGGATGTGATCTTCATATTTCTTAATTTTTATTATATTTTTTCTTTCTTTTCTTGAGTATATTTAACATGTTCTATTTTTAATTTTCAGGAAAGTTTCTTTTTCTATATATGTTCCCTTTCATAAATTCTATTCTTATTTTATGTATGCAATATTTTCCCAAATATCTCTGAGGATTTTAAACAGCATTGTTTTAAACTATCTTCTATTTCTTGAATTATCTTTTTCTTCTCGGATCTTTTAAAAAAAATATTACATTGGGTGCTTCTATTGTGAGTTGGTTTTGTCAAATGCCATGTAATCCTGGATTATACATTTGAAATTAGAAATGTAAGAACGCATTGCGTTTTTAAAAAGCAGTTGTTATTGATTTCATCTGGTGCTGTGTCAGTCTCCTTCTCTGCCTAAGAGGGAAAGCGTATCATCCATGAAGGAGCTTTATTTTGGATGGTAAAGGGACAGAAACAAGAGAGGCAGGTTGAGTATCTCTCCTATTGTCAAAAGAAGAAGGCCTTTACTGTATGGTACCCAAGAACTATACAAAGTCTCCAGACCATTCAATTCCTTTATAAGAATAATTCTTCTATTTGAAAGTCGAGATTGTCTCCCCTTATGGGGGTGTTGGGTGGCATACCTGTTGTAGCTATTTCTGAGATGGTATTTCCATTAGTCATTGTGAGTTCCACTTCATTTCCCACTCCACCTCTTTATACCTGATAACTCCTAGCTCAGAATCCCTCCATCTTCAGAGGCTATGCAACTGCCTCTTCCCCTTCTGCTTTCTTCTGTGTCATAAGCTATGGCATCCACCACTGTTTCATCTGTCAAAATAACTCCTTATGCTTTCAGTCTTTCAGATACTTGTTAAAATCTCCAGCCAACCCCTGGCCCTTTATCCTCTCTTTAGTTCTGTATAGAAGTATTCTCTTTTATATTTCTTTACTGTCATTTCGGTGGGGTTTGGAAAGAAGAAGTAAAGTCTGCCATTCTGAAGAAGCCTGAATTAATTTTAGATAAACATTCTACTGAAGTCGGTTCCATGGCAAAGAGAATTATAGAAAGGAGTCAGGCTATTTATGCTAATTTTTATGTAGTAGTTCCATCTTTTAAACTTCCAGAAGTTCCCTTGATATTCTAAACATTAAAATGCTTGTTGACATACTCTATTACTAAATTATACATGATGTGAATTTAACAATTGTATGCAAATATTAATTGTTATTAAACTATACTGTGCAATTAAAATCTGTGCAATTAAAATCTGTATGAACATGTTTACAAAGCTTATGGTTTACAAAGTATTCACATATATCTCAGTTGAGCATCATTATTAGCCTTTAAGGTAGACATGTCAGGTTATACTAGCTGCAAAATGGTGGTTAAGAGAATCAGACTGCTTTGTTCCCAGTCCTGGAGTGGCTACTTAACTTGCTGAAAACTATCTTAATCTTCTGTAAACTACTTAACTTTCCTTGTAATCAATTTTCTTATCTGTAAACTTAGATTAATATTAACTCTCTCAAAGGGTAAGGAAAAGAAATTATAATACCTGTAAACATGTAGAAATGACATATAAAAAGTGTTCAAGAAATATTCCATATTGTTATTGTTATTATTATTTGCTTTATCATTGTCTCATTACCTTTTACAGATGATAAAACCACATGGCATGAGTCAAATCACTTTTAGACTCAGTAAATTAGAAACAGATTTTGGATACAAACTCATGTGTTGTGACTCCAAATTCAAGTTATTTCCAGTACACCATATTGTTTCAGCATGTATGAGAAGATTAAAGATCTTGTAAAGACTGTTTAAATTGGAGATGGTCATAAAATGGTTTCTCCTGTCTTTAAACGCTAACCAAAGATGTAAGGTTGTACAAATCCTATGGATGAAAGTGAGGTATCTATTTAAAATGGACATTCAAGATATTTTATCTGTGCTTCCTTAAAATTAGTTTATTAAATCTTAGCCACAAAGTCTCACAGTTATTAAGCAAACATTTGCCTTAGTTAACGGAAATCCTTGAGAATATGAAACAGACCATTCATCTTTGCATTCTCAATGCAGTATAAACAAAACTTATGTAAAAGTTCAAGCTCAGTGACGTTTGATTAAACTTACTTAAACAATGGGGCATTAGAAACAATACCAAACTCATATACTCATTTCTGTGTTCTTGGGCCCTTTAGAGGCATTTAATTTACAAAGGTGAGACTGTCACTGCGTGTACTTTTTAGGAAAGTTTATAGCATTACTTTTCTCTGGATCTCAGATGAGCTGAACTATCGACACATGAATACACAGAGGGTAAAAATTAAAAACAAACCAAAGCAAAAATCCCAGCTACAGGCCCAAGTGATCAAAAACCTTCCAATGCATGCGTCATCATCCACTACTAGTTACTCTCATTTCTGATCCTGAGATGAGATTTGAGGATATAAGTTCTAAAATACCTTTGCTTTGGTTTTTTTTTTTTTTAAATTTTTTTCCTTCTGCTTTTATGATGTGGACACACTCCAGAGTATTCCCACATATTCTTTCTGAAGCTTCAGGGCAGTGGAATCAAAGCCTTCCAGGGCAGGGAAGTTTTGTATACAGCAGAAAGAAAAAAGATGATATATGAACAGGTTTGGATATTCCAGGGATATTAATGGTATCACGTGAAAATAAATAAGTATTGCTAAATAGCATGCACATTTCTTTTATCCTTCTTCATCATATTTTTCAAAAATCCAATGTCACAGAGAAAAGATATGTTTTAGCAATAGAAGATGTAGACAGAAAAATTAGAGTTAATTTTTTTTTCTTATCACAAGGCACCAGAAAGGCACAGATTAGAGTCTTGGAGTTAATACGCTAAAACTATATACAGTATAACATTGAAACTATGATAGACCTTCAGTGAATTTCACAGGTAACACAGGAGAGCTTCCAAATCATGATGATAACTTGCACATATTTTCTAACAGATGGTGTGGTTGTCCACATTTTTAGGTGTGTTAGATGGATTTTTCAGAATGTAGCTTATATCTATTTGATGTCAATTGATTGAGATTGTCACAGCTCGGTGTCCACATTGAGAGTTATTACAAAACAGGGTCAGATTAACTAGTGGACCAGAAATCCCAATACATTATTGATTATAAAAAATATCTGGGGCTCCTGCAGGACCTGAATTAAAGGCTGATTAGAGCTCCAACAGAGCTGACTGAGAAAGGGCAGCCTTGACTCTTCCCAGTTCTCATGTCAAGAGTTGGGAAACAGAAGGTCCTACCAAAACAACATCTCAATATGGCAATATTTAAGGTGGGTGTACTAGCCTATTTATTTCTTGCTACTGACTACCCTCTGACACTAGCTCTGTATACTGCTCTCCCAAGAAAGAGCCGACAGCCAGACATAGCTCTAAAACGTCAGCAGCTACAGCAGACCTCAGAAGTTCCATTTCTAAGGACTTGGCACAGAGGTTTGGGTCTGCCATTAGATCACACCTACTTCAGCATTTTGTTACCAGAGGTCGGTCAGAGGTTGGTTTCTTTGGGAAGCCGACTATGAGTTGGAAATTAGCATACAGGAAGTTATTAGAGGGGGCTCTTGGGAGAAACACCGGTAGTAGGGAGGGGAAGGAAAAGGATTGGGCAGAGGAAGAATCGAGCTACAATCAAGTCTCAATGGCAGATCTCAGCCAGCTTCATAGGGAAATCTGAAGCTGGGATGGCCTTTCAGAATTATCCTGAGCTGGGCCCAAATGAACAGGCTTCTTAAGGTCACACATTGATCAGTCATTGGGTTTGGGTCATCTCAGGAAGGGGACATAAACTTGAGCCAAGTGTTTCTCATTAGCTGAGGCAATCCTAGGGAGAACGTAGGCTGACAGCTGAGGGCCATGTGCTGAAGGTGCTCTCAGCAGCTGTAATACTAAAGGGGAATCTGACAGAGCAGGAGCATTGCCATCTTGGACAAGTACAACCATTTTAAGTTTCACCTTGATCAAAAACCACCAAAATCCAAAGGGCATCAGCCTAATGGCTAAGGTCAGCATGACCATAAATCACAAATAACATCGCCAACCAGAAACATTCCAAAGCCCTTCCCAACCAGAGACATGCCAGCCCCGAGATAACTTCCCCTCTGGCCAGGAAGATGTCAGCCTCAAGATAACCTCCCCTCTGCCCAAAGACATTCTAACCCTGCCATAAATGTCTCCCCCACACAGAAACATTTCAAGCTTGTGATAAGCCCTCTCGCCCTAAAACCATTATATACTCTTAGTCTGTAAGAGAGAATGCTCCTGACTGAAGTTGGCCAGAAGCCCCTCTCAGGTGTTTTTCTCCAAAATAAACCTGTCTTTGACTGTTGAGCCATTTTTCATGTTTCTTTCCTCTTTCTTTAACTCTTACATTTGGTGCCAAAACCTGGGATGGGTGCTGGGGGTAGAGGCTCTCTTGCAACCCAGGAAGCAGTGGACCATGGTAGCTCATCTCACTGGATCCTGAGAGTCTCGGGCCATCCACCCCATCTTGTCTCTCACTTCATTTTTCAAGCAATTTGCATGAGGAAGAAAACTAACCTGAAGGGGACTGCGAGGCTCTGGCTGGGGCTACTCCCCAGTGGGTCCTCAAAACCCTCAGGTCTTGGGAATCCACCTCTGACCACCTGCAATGGGTATTTCACTTTCTTTCCTCCTCCTCCCTCATCCTCCCTTCTCTCTCTCTCTCTCTCTCTCTCTCTCAATCCCTCATGCAGCTCCAGTCTAAGAGGCCATTTGCCAGTTCCAACAAGGACATCCAACATCAGACACTAATCCAGACAACTGGTAAGATATGCCCTCCACTGGCTTTCTCACAGTACCCAGGAAAGTCAGGTCTGCAGTCCTGGTCCTCGGAGGACCAGTGGGACTAAGCTACAAAAAATCTTGGGGATACACAGTTTCTCTCAGCTTGACCATCCTCTTTAGAAAGAGGACTCTGGGTCTCTGCCTTTTGTCTGGGGATGCCTAGAACAAAAACAGACACCCTCAGTTTCTTCTCATCAGTCCACATGGGTGCCAAACAATCCCACATTCCTACGTCCTCTCCACTGGGCTGTCTCCTTCTCAACCTTGCCAAACTTGGCTTATAGGGAAGCATAAAGCCAAAGCATTTAGTCCTTTATTGCAACACAGCCTGGCCCCAATACAAATTAGATAATGACAACCAGTGGCCTGAAAATGGTACCTTTGACTTTAAAATCCTCAGGGACCTTGATAACTTTATAACCAGGAATGGCAAATGGCAAGAGGTTCTCTATATTCAGGCTTTCTTCTACCTTAGATCCTGACCCTCCCTATGTCAAGGTTGCATCCCTCATGAAATCCTTCTTCTTAATGCAAACCCTTTCTGTGTCTCTCCTTCCTCTGAAACCCCTTCCTCCAAAACCCTTTCCCTCAAAACCCCTTCCTTCAAAACCCCTTTTGACCTGGCAGATGAACCCCCTCTGTATTCTCATCCCCCTGCATCCGCTCCTTGCCTGTCTGAACCTTCTGCTGCTGTGGCCCCTCCTGCCCCCAAGCCTTTAGCCCCAAACCCTGCTCCTCTTCGTTCTCCACCTGTTATCCATTCAACAGCTACCAATCAAACCACCTCGGCCACTCCCCCTCTCTGGGAAGTGGTTGGGGTTGAAAGTATTGCTCATGTTTATATCCCTTTCTCCATGCCTGATTTGTTGCAGATCGAACAGCATCTAGGATCTTTCATCTAGATAGTGAGAAAATCCTTCTCACTATCTCAGGGAATTCCTGCATGTAACCCAATCTTTTAATTTAACTTGTCATGATATTTATATAATTTACATAATTCTAACCTCCACTCTCAGTCCTGATGAAAAAGAGCACATTGAGCTTTCATCTGAAACCCACGCAGGTGAACTCCATAACTAAGCCCCTATACAAAATCCAGTGGCCAGTGATGCAGTCCCCTGTAGAGATCCAGATTGGACTTATCAACATGGAGTCAATGGCATCAGGCAAAGGGACCACATGATTACCTGTCTCCTCACGGGCATGGGCAAAAATGCCCATAAGGCAGTTAATTCTGAGAAACTTAGAGAAATTACACAGGAGCCCCAGAAGAATCCTGCCCTTTTCTTATCATGCATCACTGAAGCTATGCTAAAATATACCAATCTGGACCCAGAATCTAGAGAAGGGCAAACTTTTCTCCACCTCCAATTTATTTCCCAATCCTCCCCAGATATCCGGAAAATAATTACAAAACTTAGAGGAGGGTCTGCAAATATCTCAGCAGGACCTCCTAAATGCAGCCTGCCATGTCTTTAATAGCAGAGATGAGGAACAAAAAATTTTAAAAAGATAGACATCTCCATTTAAAATACCAGATGCTCACCTCTGCTGTCCAAAAGTCAGTTACATAAAAGTCTCCCAATACCCCAAAGGGAAACTCCCTCACCTCTCTGGGAGTCTGTTTCTGACATGGCAACCCTGGACACTGGGCAAAGGCTTGTCCTAACCTCCAGTGCCCCACCAAAGTGTACCCAACTTGTGGTCTTTGGGGACACTGGAAAATGGACTGCCCCCAACAGGGACATCCTCCCCATTCAAGTGCGGCTCATAATGAGGCCCCCCAACCATCACAGGAGGAAATCTCTTCACTGCTGGCACTGACAACAGAAGACCGAGGGTGCCCAGGATCCTCCACTCCCACGTACAGTGAGTCCACAGAGCCCAGGGTAATTGGGACGGTATCCAGTAAGATTATTTCATTTCTCCAGGATACTGGGGCGAGTCTATCAGTATTAACTGAATATCAAGGCCCAATAGAACGTTCTTCCATTTCTGTTGTTGGCATGAAGGGCATACAAGAAACCCCATACAAAATGCCACCTCTATACTGCTCATTTCAGGGAGTCACCCTCACTCACCCTTTTTTGGTCATTCCTCATTGTTCCACTCCTTTGCTAGGAATGGACATCCTACACAAACTAGGGAGAATCATTCATTTATGGGCCCTTCACCAAAGCCACAAAGCCACACTTAGTTATTATTATGTCAAGAACAAAACCCTTCCTCAGACACTCCACATCAAATAGACATAAAACCCAAATTCCTCAACCAGGTAAATCCCACAGTGTGGAACACTGACTCCCCCGTAATAACTACCCACCATTCTCCAATTCAAATTTCACTGAAGGATCCTAAGTGCTATATAAGTCCCACAATATCCCCTCAACCCTAATGGATTACAGGGACCCAAGCCCATCATCTCCTGACTTTTGGCTCCCAATATTTTAATCCTCACTCATTCTCCCCACAATACTCCTATTCTCCCAATCAAAAAACCGGATGGCTCCTATAGACTGGTTCAGGATTTGCAATAAATCAACTCTGTTATTGTTCCTCTTTATCCTGTTGTCCCAAACCCCTACACCCTCCTATCGAGAATTCCTCCCAACACTAACTATTTCTCAGTATTGGACTTCAAGGATTTTTTTTTACTATTCCTCTACATTCCTCCTGTCAAAAACTTTTTGCTTTCACTTGGACCGACTCTGACACAGGCTACTCCCAACAACTCATCTGGACTATCCTCCACCAGGGGTTTAGAGACGGCCCTCACTATTTCAGTCAGGCACTTCAGTTGGACCTTTCCCAACTACCTCTATGATCCAGCATCTTGCTTCAGCACGAGGATGATTTACTTCTTTGCAGCCCCTCTCTAGAGCATTTATTCAACACACCACCAGGCTTTTAAATTTTGTGGCTGAATGCAGGCACTGAGTGTCCAAAAGGAAGGCCCAATTAATCTCTCCAAAAGTCTCATACCTAGGATTAATCATAACTCCAAATACTCGAGAAATTCTGCCAGCATGAAAGCAAGGCGTTCAACAAATCCCTTGTCCTAAAACAAAAAGGGACTTACTTTCTTTCCTTGGATTAGTGGGATATTTCCAATTATGGATAGCAAATTTTGCCATTATTGCTAAACCCCTTTATGAACACACAAAAGGAAATCTTGACCAACCACTCACTCCCACTCCAGACCTTTATCATGCTTTCTCTCACCTAAAACATTCCTTATTAGAAGCCCCAGCTTTAGGCCTTCCAAACCCCCTGAAACCCTTTCATCTATATTTACATAGTTCTCATAACCAGGCCCTTGGACTATTAGCCCAACCAATGGGAGATTCCCTCCAACCAGTGGCATATTTTTCAAGACAACTAGACCCCATTTACAAAGGCTGGCTCCCTTTGCTTAAAAATTTTGGCCACAGCTTCTCTGATTATCCCTGAGGCACAAAAACTCACGTTCTATGTACCCCTTCAGGTATTTTCTTCTCACAGTCTGCAAGATATGCTCAGCCATAAGGTGCTCACCTCCATCTCATCCTCTTGCTTGCAAGCCTTACATTCAATTCTCCTCCAACCCTCTATCTCTCTTCATAGATGCTCCCCCATAATCCCACCACTGTTTTGCCTTCAACACCAATTTTGGACCCCAATCAACACTCATGCTCTGATTTAATTGAAAGTTCTCTCACCATGTTTCACCACCTTACTTCCACTCACATAAAGGGAGCCCCAGATTTGTTTATAGATGGCAGCACATCAAAAAACCATCCCCTCCAAGCAGGATATGCTATCACTGAGGGATATCATGATGATACCCACTTTCTCCCACCTACAAGAGTCATAGAGGCTGCCCCCTTGCCTTTTGGCACATCCTCTCAAGAAGCAGAATTAGTTGCCCTAATAAGAGCACAAACCCTAGCAAACAAAAACAAAAACAAAAACAAAAACATGTAAGTTAATATATACACCTATTCTAAATATGCCTATAACGTCATCCATTACAATGCCCAAATTTGGAGTGAGCAGGGCTATCTCATGGCTAAGGGAACTCCTATCATTAATGGAAAACTAGTCCATCATTTACTAAAGGCAGCTTTACTTCCAGGAAAGGTTGCAGTTATCCATTGCAAAGGACATCAATCAGATGAAAGCCACATTTCTTTATGAAACCGTGAGGCTGACTATTGGGTAAAACAAACCTGAACCAATCATCCAATCCCTCAATATCTATTTCCCCTCATACAACATATCCCCTCCTTTTATCCAGAACACCAAATACAACAACTAGTAACAGCAAGGGCACAATTCAAACCCCAATACTAGTTCATACAAAACAAATCAGTCCTACCTGACCCCGAAAAAAACAACTCTTTTACAGGGCATTCACAACCTCTTCCACACCAGCCATTCCCCTCTACAGCATTTCTTAAGTTCCCATATACACATAACCCCAGATATAAAGGAACAGCTAAAAGCCATTTCCCATCAATGTTCTGTTTGCCAAAAAGCTTCACCCCACTCCAATACTAGACCCCCTTCTTACCCAAACCATCAAGCCAGGGGACACCTTCCAGGACAGGATTAGCAAATTGATTTTACCCATATACCCCCAGTTAAAAAGGTTCAATTTCTTATAGCTCTGGTTGATACCTTTTTGGGATGCATCGAGGCTTTTCCCACAACCAACAAATGGGCTTCTACTGTCACCTCCAAATTAATAACAGAAATCATACCCAGGTTTGGGGTGCCTCTTTCTTTTCAATCTGACAATGGTCCTGCATTCATCTCTCAAATTACTCAAACACTTGCACAAGCTCTACAAATCACCTGGAAGCTAAACATCCCTTATCGACCTCAATTTTCAGGAAGGGTTGAAAAATGAATGGCATTCAAAAAACACCTCACCAGGTATTCACTCCAAACACATAAAGACTGGGTTACACTTTTACCTTGGCTCTCCTAAAAATTCGGGCACTCCCATGTAAACCCTTAATGCTCAGCCCCTTTGAACTCATGTACGGGAGACCACTTGCCCCCTTTGTTCCACCTCACAGTCAAGCACCACCTCTACCAACTCCTCTCGTTTGCCTTCTTCTACATACTAGCTGCCATTTCATTTGGGAATATGCTGACAAATACCTGCCACAACCCGTAGCCAACTCCTCTAATCCCTTCCTACAGCCAGGAGATTGGGTCCTGGTAAAAGATCCCAGCCCTACCCCTAATACTCCCCTCACACCTAAATAGAAGGGACCTTACTAGATCTTCCTTACCAAACCCACAGCAGCAAAACTGCAGGGACTCCCTAACTGGATTCATTATACTTCTCTCAAGAAAACTGACTTTCCTTCACTACATACCCAAACAACCAAACCTAAAACCCCTTCAGCCTTCTCTTGTGTCTCCCCAGGACCCATTTCCCTTCAACTCACCCGAATCCCAGAGGAAAAGGAAAAGAAATTCACATAAACTGCTTATGTCTCTTTCTCCCCCAAACTTTCATCACTTCCTAACCAACCTTGTTATAGACCTTCAGTGGTAACCTTACGAAACTCCCATTATATATCCTGATCAGCTCCTTATTACTCTATGGGACCTATGGCTTGAGGCCATATGGCTTGAAGGAAATTTCCAGGACTTTTCTCCTACCTAGGTAACCCTTTTCTCTTTTTGCTTGTTTTTTTTTTTTTTCAGTATAAATTCCCTAAGTACGTCAACCTCACCAATACAACCACTCCTCACTGCTCTCAAGCTTGAACACTCTATAAACCTTACACAGTCCCTCTTGCTGCAAGCTAACTCTTCCTTTGCTCCAGAATGCTGGATGTGCTTATAGCTGTCTTCCTCAGCTTACTCAGCCCTTCCTGCACCCCTTCATGACCTTTTAACAGGGAGCATAACCCTAATTTATAAACTCCAAAAAGGAGCTTCCTTTTTTGAAAGAGCTGACACACTGGTTGGCGATTATCCTACTTCCAGGGCCAATCAAGCTAACAAATTATTTCAAACCTATTACAACCCCCTACAATGCCTTAAGCCCCAAGGCCCTCCTGTTAAAGGGCCTATAACTAAACATACCCTCCTTTTACAACAAGCCTCACTTTGCTTTTCAGCCTCTGAGGGAAATCTCCCTGTAGGATTCTTAACACCTAGCCAATGCAACTGCACTATCATTATTATACACCTCTCTGACCATCAAACTAACCGAGTTGACTACCAAGTATCACCTGAAGCAAACAAAGCATTTCTACATCTGGCTTGTTTTACGGCCTCTCCTTTAACCAATACCTCTGGCCTAACATGTGCTGTCTCTGGGGCCCACTTTTTCCATGGCTCAATATCAATGGTGCAATATCCAATCACATTAAATGTGTAAAAAATAACTCTTCTTATATCTCTACTATAGTAGGTGTCTCCCTGGCCTCCTCCTTGTCCATCTGGAGTAATGAACCACAAGAAAGAAAAAAACACCCATTTTTAATTCACTTATTCTCTTTCCATATTGCTACCTGTATTTATGACAAAGGCCTGTTCTTTTTTGTGTGGCACCAACACATATCTTTGTCTCCCCACTAACTGGACCAGAACCTGTACCCTAGTTTATCTATCTCCTTCCATGGGACTAGTTCTTCCTGGTCAACCTTTGCCCATCCCATCCGTCCAATACGTTAGGAAAAGAAGGGCCATCCACGTCATTCCTTTAATGGCCACCTTGGGTATAACCTCTGGACTTGGATTGGGAGCAAGCAGATTAGCCACCTCCATAACATACTTTAAGACTCTTTCAACAGAACTACAGGACTCATTAGAAGATATAGCCCAAAGCTTTATAAGAGTCCAAGACCAACTAGACTCCTTGGCTGGTGTAGTCCTCCAAAAGAGATGGGGACTAGATCTTATAGCAGCTAAAATGGGGGCCTCTGCCTCTCATTAGGGGAGGAATGTTGTTTCTATCTCAACCAAATGGGCCTAGTAAGAGACACTGTTAAAAAAAAAACTTAAAGAAAGGGCCGAAAAGCTAAGGAAATACCACAACAACCAAATAGATTCTTGGTTTGGAAACAAAATCACAGCATGGGTCATCCCATTCCTGGGACCTCTCCTAATAATAAGCCTAGGACTAATGTTCTTACCCTGCCTAATTAGTCTTTTTCAAAGATTTTTAACTGACAGGATCATGGCCATTTCACAGACAACTACCCCAAAACATCTACAAATGGTGTTACTCCTGCAATCAATCCAAGACCTGAAAACACTCCATCCCCCCATCAGCAGGGAGGAGCCAGAAAGAACACGCTCCCCCTCATCTTTTTTATAACTACAGGGTTTGGATTGACAGAGCAGGAGCATCACCATCTTGGACAAGTACTGTCATTTTAACTTTCACCTTGATCAAAAACTGCCGAAATCCAAAGGGCATCAGCCTAATGGCTAAGGTCAGCATGACCATAAACCACAAATAACATCTCTGACCAGTAACATTCCAGACCCCTCCCTGACCAAAGACATGCCAGCCCTGAGATAACTTCCTCTCCAGCTGGAAAGACGTCAGCCTCCAGATAACCTCCCCTCCACCCAAAGATATTCCAACCCCACCATAAACATCTCCCCCACACAGAAACATTCCAAGCTGGTGATAAGCCCTCTCACCTTAACACCAATATAGACTCTTAGTCTGTAAGAGAGAATGCTCCTGACCGAAATCAGTCAGAAGCCCTTCTCAGGTTTATTTTGGAGAAATAAATCTGTCTTTGACTGTTGAGCCACTCTTCATGTTTCTTTCCTCTTTTTTTAACTCTTACAGAATCTAGGTGGTGGATCACTGCATTCACTACAAGGTCTAATTTTGGAGCAGCCAAATCTCAGTTCAGACATAAAGCCTGGCCTGAGATTTGAAGAATGTACTACTGTTCCCAGACCAAAATGAGGATGGGGTTGCTTACTCTCACAGCCCAATAACGAGATGCAGGTGAACTGGGAAAGAAGAGAGTTTATTTCTGTAACTAGGTACATGGAGAAGGCTGGGAAAATATCACCAGACCAACTCAAAATTACAAAGTTTTCTAGAGCTTATATACCTTCTAAGCTATATGTCTATGTGTAGGTGTGCATTCATCTAAAGACATAAGTGATTAACTCCTTCTAATCTATAACTAAGGTCTGAGTTTTGAAGACCTTCCTCTGGAGCCTCAGTAAATTTACTTAATCTAGATGGGTCCAGGTGCCAGGGTGATTACCCTTATCTTGTCTCCCGCTAAATCATGGAGGTTTGAGGAGTTCCTTTAGACCACCAATAAAACTTTTTTGTGGAGGTCTGGGGAGTTTCTTCAGATCCCCAATAAAAATTTGCTTAATCCTAAACACATCCTGTTAAGAATTCCTTTGTTATCTTGTCATTCTTCAAGGCCCAGAAAAGGCCTGGGCAAAACTCTTGGTGTGCTTTTGTTACCTTCCAGCCTTTGAATAAGGGCACTGCCTCTCTCAGCTTTTAATATTTAACATCACCACTCAGTCAGTGCTGAAACAGTTGTTATGGAGGCCTGGGCTAGTGAGACCTGGCCTGCCGTACTACCCCCTGTCATGCATCCTGCCTATGTGTGAGAGGTAGAATTTGTCCTTGTTTAATATTAGGTTTAAAAGCAGAAAACTATCTGGCTTTGATAGATGTTACTGCCCCATACAGAGCTCCAAGACAGTGCTAACAAGAAGAATGTTAAATATAGCTAATATTGAATGGGTGTTCACCATGTGCCTGGTGTTGTTCTAAGCCCTCTCCATGTGTGACTTCATAAAATCCTCACTCCAACCCTATGAATAGGTAGTTTGGCATCTCACTAATGAGGAAGCTGAGGAGACAGAGACAGTGAGGGGACCATGAGTGCCTTCTCTTCTGTGACTCAGAGAAGATGAGGAATTCAGGGGTGGTGGGCTATCCCAGGTACATCACTGATCTTTGGTATTCTCTTACACCATCTTACACTCAGGTGTTACCAGGAGAGCAAGGTGTACTCTAGGCATCTTGAAAAGATAAAGTATCAGCCAGCAGATGTGTTGGGTGCTGGTCTGAGTCCAGGCTTTCTAAGAAACGTCATACTCTTCTGGAAGGCTTTTCTGAGTTCTAAATACAAGAGCAGCCTCCAGACCAACTCGAAAACATGCTTCAATCTGTTTTCAATCTAGGTTCCCTGTACATAAAGAGAGAGATCTTGTTGCTATATACAAACTTAGTCTCCCCTTGGCTTTATAAGCCCTGGGTGATAATTTCATCTCTGCTGCTAATGAGACAGAAAACCTCGCCTATAATGGGAAGCAGTTGGACTAAAGGGTCTTTAAGGCCTTTTCTAGCTCTAAAAGTTTTATGTTGCTATTAAAGTCAATAGTAATTAATAAAGGGAGTTCAGAAGGAAAAAAGAATCAAAAACACTCTGCAAATATAAAAGTGTCATGTGTTGCTATAAATAACTGAATGTGGTTCTTACCTGTGGTCTAGATTCACAAGACAAAATTAATTCCTTTCTTTTATAAACCTGGCTATGTCCTAGAAGTTTCAATGCATTTTAAAATTAAAATGGAGATTGGCTTTCCATCTAAATCCTGCCTGCTGTCCTCCCATTTCATCTCCTACTTTGCAGACTTAGTGATGATGAAAACACCAAGGACATCCTCAAAGAGAAGGTTATTTGAAGCAGCTGCCACTCAAGTCTTGCCCTTTGAGACTGTTATCTTTTCACTTTGTCTTCACCTGTGCCCCTCACAGCTCATGGAGCTAAAACTTGAGGAGCCTCAGGGAACAAGCTCTATTTGAATAGGTAAATTATAGACGAATTATAGAACACAATTTGACAGGAGGAAAAACTGCTCAAGTGCAACTTCTCAGTTCCGTTCTACAACATCTGTTGAGTACAAGACACTGTGCTTAGAGATGTCAGACACATGGGCACAGCTCCTATCTCCAAGAGGCCCTCAGTCCAGTGGGAAAAGAGAGATAGATTCAGAAATGTCAGAGAAATGATTGGTTTAACAGATGTAGAGAAAATGTGTGCAGATGAGAATAATAATAATAGCTATCACTTACTGAATACTTACCAAAAGCCTTGTGTTTTACTAGCACTTTTTTATTTAATCATTTCAACAACCAGAAATGGAAGGTATTGTTATAATTATCCTCATTTGATTGTAAGGTAACAGGCTTAAAGAGGTGAAATGCTTTGCCTCAAGTGACTCAGCTAATATATGGCAGAGCTTGAGTTCAAATCCAGATCTTTTTGACTTCAAATCCTTCACTGTCACTTACTGTACTTTTCTGCCTCCCCCAAGGCAGACACCCACTATTCTGACTTAGAAGTTTGCGGGATGAATTATACTGAATGTAGAAGACTGATTAAGACATGCAGTAAAAATAGGAAGACATATATTTTGGATAAAAGGAATAGCCCAAAGAAAGCTGAAGATATGGAAAAGTCCCAGGACTTTGTGGGTGGCAGTGGGAATGCCAACTCTACCAGTGCTGTGAGGAGCACAGTGTATAGCAAGATGTGGAGGAGGGACTACAGAAAGGGTTGCATTGGCGGGATGGGAACAGACTGAGTATAGCTGTGATTTCCATCTAGCAGCATACTTGTGAAAGTTTCTCAACAAATCTTTGTGTAGTTCTGACATTCAATGTAATGTATTTTTGCAAAATTGTATACACATCTCACACACACACACACACACACACACACACGCACACACATGAGTAGTGAGATCTGTCCCACAGAGTTGAGCTCAGCTAATTAAAAAGTTATATTGTAAAGCAGTGGTTCTCAAACTTGAACACTGGCCAGGTGCGGTGGCTCACGCCTGTAATCCCAGCACTTTGGGAGGCTGAGGCGGGTGGATCACCTGAGGTCAGAAGTTCGAGACCAGCCTGGTCAACATGGTGACACCCCGTCTCTACTAAAAATACAAAAATTAGCCAGGCATGATGCCACATGCCTGTAATCCCAGCCACTCCAGGGGCTGAGGCAGGAGAATCGTTTGAACCTGGGAGGCGGAGGTTGCAGTGAGCCGAGATGGCGCCATTGCACTGCAGCCTGGGTGACAGAGTGAGACTCTGTTTGTAAGGAAAAAAAAAAAAAACTTGAACATCCAGAACAATCCCCTGGAAAGGTTGTTAAAGCACAGAACGCTAGGCCTTAGCCCTAGAGATGCTGAATCAGTAGGTCTGGGATGGAGTCTGAGAATTAGGACTTCTAACCAGCTTCTGGGTGTTGCTTATGCAGCCAGTCTGGGGGCCACACTGCATGGCACTGATGTAGAGCAGGGTGTGACTCTGCTGTGAGTGCAAGGTAAGAGGTTCAGCACTTGAATATTATAGCCATAAGCTTCCTGTAACCCATGTCACACATATGTGCTCCTCTCTCCCTCTTTGTCCCTCTGTGCTGTTCGGTTTCAGGCCCTACTCTGCAGCGATAGTGGTCTTTCAAAAACATGAGTTTGATTATGTCACTATTCTGTTTAAAAATGGTGGCTCCCATTGCCTTTGTGTGGCATGTGAATCCTTTCATAGCCTTTCTTTCCTCTTTAGTCCTATGCATTCTCCCATAGAGAATACCTTGCAGCTCCCCAAAGGAACTACATCTCCTTACCTACATCTGGAATGCTAACTTCTATGAGTCTACCTCTCGTCACTTGGTTAAATTTCATGTCTCCTCTAGGTCTTATCCTCGATATCAACTCCAAGTGAAGGCCTTTCAAGACCTTAGGTGATGTCCCTCGAGGACCTCTGTAAAGCACTCTTGCACAGTATAGAAATGACCTGGTGACATGGCTGAGCTCTCCCATCCATAAACTGGTATCTCCTTGAAGGCAGGCACAGAGCCTTGGCACCTAGTGTATAAATAAATAATTTAATAAATTATAACATGATGTTATGTGAGATCTGGCAAAAATAAACCATTATGTCTGTTCTTCCTAAAGCAAAGGATTGTGTGCTTTCTTAGAGCCTGAGCTACCATGATAAAAACTCGCTCACAAATAGCATGAGAAAATGACAACATGCCATTAGTAACCCAGAAGAAGCTGTATGTGTTTTTGTATTTTTTTCATCTGGGCTTTAGAAACCACAAAAGCAACTGTTTTGCCTCCACAAAGAACATATTTTTAACAGCACACTTTCCCAAAAGGATACTCCTCCCTCTGTTGCATTTTGATCTATCCTGATTTAATTTAAAGTTTGAAGATGGCGTCTGACCTTATCTATCAGTGGCTGAGCCGTTGTCTCATGGAAATGCAGTTTGAAACTCATTAATAGGGTAGCCTGTATATTATAACTTAGAAGCTCTGGGTTATCACTGATGCTTGCAATTGCTATGGAAACCGGGTTCATATGCACCTTTCAAAGAGTCTGCTTTAAAACAGGAAAAAAAGATGAAGAAAAAGAAGGCTTTGTGAAAGAATAAGATATTTTGTACCCAGCATGGATAAGCAGGTTCAGTGATGCAAAAATGCTCTGCCTACACAATGATAAAAACAATTTTTTACCTTTTTCAGGAGCTAATAATGTATAACCTTGTCTTAGAGAACTGTGTTTATACTGGTAGAGAAGAATCCTCAAGGCAGCTTTCCCCAGTGCCCACACATAGACACACAAACACAGACACACACCCACAATTTTCAGTTTTCCCCAGACTTTTTGCAATCTGCATTCTTAATTCCTCCAAAGGCCTCTGCACATGCAGCTTTGGCTGCTAAAGCCCACCCAGTGTGGACTGGCTGAGAGCTCAGTCTCTTCTGCTTCCCCTTAAATGTGTATTGAATGTTGCATCTGTCTCTTATGGGCTGAATTTTTCAATTATAAAATGATAGTGCTAATTGGATCAAGTTTCTTATTAAAAATTCTTGGATGTATTCCTCCCCAAATTTGGGTTTTGGAGGCTTCATCCCTCATCTCCTTGCCCACATTTCTCCCTAATAACCTAAGTGTGGTATTGTGTTAGGTAAACAATAGTGTATCATCTTGTGGAAAATGATTCTTTAGACACACCTCCCTCCCTCATGTAGAACCATGTGTTACTCCCTCCAATGTTTTCATCTGCTTATCTCCCCACTTGTGAGTCATCTATTATTTTTCCTTATCACTTCTGCAACCCCATTCCTCCCCTAACTGTAGCCAAATGTGAGCTGGGTTTCCTTCTCTTCTGAGCAAGAACAGGTCACGAGGGCTGAGCTTTCTGTCTTCACCTTCAGACAGAAGGAACTTGAAAGAAAGAAGAACGCATCTGCAGGCAGCTGTTCACTCCGCAGGCATCTGGAAACCACTTCTTTGCATTCAAATAGTTATGTAACCCCACATGTTGGAAGGCTGAAGAGACCATCATACTCAAAATGGAAATGACACTGTTGCAACACATAGAATATCTGAGAGAAGAAAGGGTTTCTAATGTCTTGACTATCTATGATATTCCATAAAGTTAAGGGATTGATGTGCATGGGCTGGGAGGACTGAGGAACAAAGGACAGAGGTTGAGGTAGGTACAAAAAGGGTCTACTAACTACTTTAGAATTTGAAAAAACTATTGATACCAAATCTGCCCACCCTCTGTACAAAAAACAAAACAGCCATTGGTGCAATTTTAACCTGATAATGCATGAAAAATGGCTATTTTTGACGAGAAAAAGTTCAGTCATTTCCTTGTAAACCAAAGAAAATTAAGAGAAACTGTCAAGTTACTACAAGAAAATTCAACAAGAACTCTTATAATATATTCCCTCTCAATTAAACAGCAAATCACCCTAATGTGTTTTTCAGCCTGAATATTTATCAGCCTAGATAATCTACTTTAACAATTATGTTTTGCATTTTTAACAAAACCTTTTCTGCAAAAGTTAGTATAACTAGAAGTGAATATAAATTAGTTACCTTTCAAGTCTTTAACATATTAAAAAGCTATAGAATATATACATTAACCCATGGTTTTATAAAAGGAATATGGCTTTATAAAATTAAAAGCAATATCAGGATCTGTATTTGTGTTAAATAATTACAATAACATCAAGCAGACATTTCCCACTTAATCTATGACTCTCTAAGATTACCATTTAATTCTGCATTACAATTTAACTAAGTAATTTAGTACTCGACGCATGCGCTACAGAAAACAAGAAGCAGTGTATTACAGTAACAAGGTTTGTATTTCACAAACAATTGCAAGGGTGAAGCAGATATCTTCTAAGCGTCACATATTCACAAACAATTGCAAGGGTGAAGCAGGCATCTTCTAAGGGTCGCATGACTGGGTTTGCAGTCCACCGGTCAGAGGAGCTTCCTCTGATTCTTCCGCAGCAGTCTTCTCTTCGTTCGTGCCTTGTGGCGTTTCTTCGTTTTCATTATCTTCACTTTGTAGCTCTTTCCACATTAATTGTCTAGCTAATTTGATGTTCAATTCTTCGTTGTAGTGAAGCCTTCTTCTCATTTCGAACTGCCGCTTTTTCTCCTGTTTGTGGAGGAGGATTTTTCTCATGTAGGCCTCACTGCTCTCTTGCTCGTCCACCTCACAGCTGTGGTCGGAAGCATCGGTGGCTTCCTTTCCTTCGACACCACGCACTGAATCTTCTCCTTCGACATCGCGCACTGAATCTTCCCCATTATCTTGCACACTCATGTAGGAAGTGCCGGGCTCATTTGCCTTCATTAAATCGTAATCTCTGTACGTTGCGCGGTGTGCCGCAAGGATGCTTGATTCGTCCCACTTTTGGGATTTCTTTCTCTTCACATCTTGAATAGTCCCTCCAGACTGCTGACCGGAAGTCGCCACCGAGGAACCCGACGAGCTTTTGTTTTTCAGGATCCCCTTGATGGGCCGGTGCGAGGAGGTGGAGGCTGACATTTTGCGGAGAGAAGGGCTGCGAGAGAGTTGGGCCGCTGAGTAGCCGTCCACCGCCCTCCAGTCTGAAACTGCAGGGCGGTCTGTGTGGGCAACAGGTCCCAACGCCCTAGTTAAAGCACCAGGGCCCTGGTGTCACAAAGGGCGCTGCGTATGACGTCACTATGGTCGCCGCCTCCGCCACCGCTGCCGTAGTTGCTACGGTTACCGCTATGGTTACCGCTACCGTTGCAGTCACCGTTGCCGCTACCGCTGACGTCACCGCTACCGTTACAGCTACCGTTGCTTTTGCCGTTGCCGCTGGCTGTACCGCTGACGTTACCGCCTCGTGGCCCATGCTAACGTCATTTTTTTTCTCTTTTAACGGAAAATAAGGTAGGAAATACCCTTTGGTTGTACATGGAAAGGGGAAGCATTGTTTTAGAAACTTCTATACACCCTGTCTGCCCACAGGAAAGCTATGTAAAATATTTCTCATTGTGGGTCACTGTCAAAACTTTGAAAGCCACGACTTTGGTTGGAAAGATGAGAGGCCTCAGCTAGAAGGTGATGACCTTCTGCTCCTCCCTCCTGTGCCCATCCACACTCTCCCTCCACCACGCATACCTTGGTCCTCCTCTCTTCTCCCTGTCTTGGTGAATGACCCCAACATAGAGCTAATTATATCAGCTGGGAATCTGCGTGTCCTCCTCAGTCCCTTCATGTTGCCCATTCTCCAATCCAGCCCTCGGATGTGACCTAAATATTTCAAGAGGCTTATTTGATCTCTTCTGCCACCACCGTGTTTCAAATCACCATTTTCTCTTATGGCAACTTCACTCACAGTCATTGAACTGGGCCCCCAGTATCTCCTCCTCCTGCTGTCCAATCTCTTATCCACGGTCAAAACACCCATCAGATCTTCTTCATCTCTCTTTCAAACCCTTCAACGGCTGCCCACTGTTCTTGACATAAAGACCCAAATTCAGAAGAGGCTGAAAACAGCTGTTATGATATGCTCAGTTTACTCACGTGTCTATCTGCAGCCTTCTCCCCTTAAATTCTTCCCACTCTACCTCCAGCTTTCTATTCTGATCTTCCCATTGTGGGAGCATTCATGAACCTTCCTGTCCAAGAGGTTTTTTTTTTTTTTTTTTTTTTTTTTCCAGGTTCTTCATGCAGCCTGGAGCACCCTTTCAGATTTCAGTTCAATCATCATTGACTTTCAGAGGCCATTTCCTGACCCCCAACAGCAAATAGACCTCGCTTTGCTTTCATGGTGTCTCTTATTCTCTGTGACAGCATTTTGAGTCATTTGTAATTTCTTATCTGTGTACACTAGATGACAAACATCAAAACATAAAAGGAAGTGACAAAGATTCTCTCCTTTGACCAAACTTTAATCAGGCTCCTCTAAGCCCTCTGCTCGACTAGGCCTAAACTTGGGCTTGTAGAATCCAGTTTGAGCAAGAATCCTACTAAGTTAATTTAGTGAAAATTCCCCACCACTGATAACTGACTTCCCTGAGTAGCTGATCAAATTCCTCATGCCCCACACTAGATATCTTGTCACCCTGTTGGGTCAGTCTAGCAAGAATTCCCCTTAGCCCTGATGTTTCCTTTCAGTAATTTTCTATTCACTGAGTCTCCATCCTGCCCTTTACCTATTCTTGTTGGAGTGGCAGTCAATGCCAATTTTATTCCCCTACACGGACCCCATTGCAGTGGTTCGTGTATCTACTGTGATAGTCCTCCATGGAATAGAGTCTTTCTTACCATCTTTAACAAGTGTCATGAATAATTTTTTTAACAGTTGTGTTGGCTGTGACTCAGATAAGATCAGATTCACCATTGGACCCCTGGAGCTCTCATCCAGAACCTGAAGTATGCACCTTTGAAACCTTTGTCTTCACTCTTGGCTGACTGATCAGGAATCCATTGGTAAGCCCAACTCTTGAGCCAGTGCTCCAGATGGCAGTCTGTTGAAGCATGGTGAGGATACATTTTGATTCTTATGATTCTGAGTATACTCTCTGAAGCTGCGTTAGAGTCTGAAGCTTTTTATGAAAGGCACCTGAGCTTCCTGCACTCCAGCCTGGGTGACAGAATGAGACCCTGTCTCAAAAAAAGGAAAAGAAAAAGAAAGAGAGAAAGAAGGCACCTGTTGGGCTGGAAGTCTTTCTTCCTGGCTCTTTGTTTGGAATGGAGTTATATATATTCTCTGATTCCTGGGCCTGGTCCTGGCTAGAAAATTCTTCCTGTCTCCCACCCTTATTTAATTACTTCCTGGCTCCCTGGCCTGGAATATTTTCCTGACTCTTTTGTTTCAAGTGAGGATCCACTCCACAACTACTGGGCTGGAAATTTTATTTTTTCTGGCTCTTTGTGAGGCCTCTCTTTATAGAAATTGTTCAGTTGTCTGAAACTCCTCCTCTTGAACCCATGCTGAGGCCAGCTCTGTCTACTTCCTTTCTTATTGGCATGATTTTGCTGAGGATTATTTGGAACTCCAGTGGCCTCTTTGAGGAACTTGAGATCTCCTCAAACTGGCTCCTCTATGGTCTCTTCCTTCCCATTGCTTCTTCCTCTTACCACCTTCAATCCTCTCTTCAGCTCCCTTGAATTCTTTGATATGTTCCCCTCAAACCCCTGCCTGCTCCACTTCTCTGTCCACCCCTGCTAGACATTTTCCTTCTTGCTCCAGCTCAACTCCCTCAGTCATTTGAACTTTAATCCTCCCACTCACATCAGGGCCTCTCGAGGGACTCAGGGATACCTGAAAGCCACTATCTGAGGCTGAAAAAAAAAGGCTAATTAGAAACAGACTGGATATTTTATCTACTCAGATGGACTCTGGAATCATCTAGACATTTGCTTGACATGCCCTCAGTCCCTGATCTCAAATTTAGTCTTCAGCCTTTATAGGATTACATATCAGGAAAAAGAAAATCTTGGAGGTCCTTAGAGGTCTCCACAAAACTTCATAAAAAGCTTTAGCTCTTGTTTTTTTCTTCAGCCATTTACATTTTATTTATTCCTTTTAACATGTTCTTTCTTAAAACAATTACTTATTTTATAACTGATATTTCATCATATTCTTTTTTAACTTTCTTTTTTATTGTTTTTTTTAAAGTTCTGGGATACATGTGCAAAATGTGCAGGTTTGTTACATAGGGAAACATGTCCCATGGTGGTTTGCTGCACCTATCAACCCGTCACCTAGGTATTAAGCCCAGCGTGCATTAGCTATTTTCCCTAATCTTTAGCTCTTGTTGAGTAGGTAACCTCAATTTGTCCCATTTTTGTCAGAAACACAATTCAGATAAAAATATAAGTGGAGATAAACCGGTGAGTTTTGTATTACTGTGTTGCCTGATTCATGGCTAAAATTTTAGAATAAAAGCTGTAAGATCTCTGTTTGCATCTGTATGTTTATATATGCTTGTATGTATGCATGCATATTACATAAATGACATTTCCCTACTTCCAGATGGTATTACCAAATTAATTTATAAAATCTCTCAAGGAGTTCTATTCAAATTGGCTTACAAGATAAATGAGACATATAAACTAAATATTCCTAAAACTCCCAGAAATATAGGAACTAACTCAAATGGTTTTCAATTTTATATGACTTGGGTAAATCTTTGGGAAATTAGATTACTTTAATATTGTTGGTTTAATTAAAAAAGGGTATGTCCTCTGAGTTATCAGCATTAAATATAAGATGAGCATACATATTTATTCTACCTGGGTTTAGCAGTATGTTATCTCTACTAAATATTTAAAGTTATAAAAATTATAAATTTAACCTAAGAATGAATGAAGAAGTGCAGTATCCATCACTTCATGCATATCAAGCAGAGCAGTTAAACAAAACCCATGTATTTAACATTTTTAGGTTTTTGTTTTGTTGATGCTTGCCTAACATGAACATGCTATAAAATTAGTTAACAGAAAAATAACTTGAAGTGATGTTTTAGCCTTGTATGATGTTATAATTATTATAACCTAAAAACAGTTTCCAAATATTTGGTGATGTGAAACCTTAAGAGTTATCCTAAGTTAAATTAGGTAATAGATATTAATTAAATAACTAGATCATTTCTAAGCAAGATAAACTATTAAAACACTACTAAATCTAAGTTTATGTCTATATACTTTTGGGTTCTTATTTTCACATGGAATAGAGAGGCTAAAATATATTCGAGCCTCTTAATAAACATGAAAAATTGTATTATAAAATAATAGCCTATACCTGTAAGAAATGTGGGAGGGTATATTCATAAAATTTGCTAATGTGCACATACAGAATCCTGGTATGTGACAGACTTCACAATTGCCCACTTCCCAGTTTTTTTCTGTAAAAGAAATGTGAATGATGGCTGAAAAATATTATCTATCTATCTATATATATAATTAACACCACTGGAAATAATAAGACTGCAGGGAAACAACTTTGTATGCAAAATATACAAGGGTAGTAGGTTAGATTTTTAATAAAGTATATAAAATATGAAAAATGTGTTTTCATTAAGGAAAAAAAGAGTCATTTTGTCCTAAAGTAAGATGAGTGATTGTTCAAAATGAGAAAGGGGAAAAGAGTAGGACTGAAGCTAAATACATGTTTTTTAAAAGTTGTAGAAGTTGTGGAAAAGGAATTTTATGTGTAGTCAAGATGCTAATATTTTTATAAGGATTTTTTAAGCTCAATAATGTACTAATCCATATCTATAATTTGGTTTCCGCTCTGTTAAAAGGACAAAGTTTTCTTAAATTATTGTAAAAGATTTTTCTTTACCTGTTTAATAATTCATCTAGGAAGGAAAGATGCTGTGTCTTATGTAGATAAATTTCCTGTGCTTCATGTTGTCTTTATCACATATTTAATTACTTTTGAAAGCAAATCTTTTCAATATTAAAAAAGCTAGGGTTATTTTTCTCGAGTATGTTACTTACTATATTTACCTCTGGAATCTTTTATTGCCACTTTGATTAAATGGATAACTAAGTATATTTCATAGCGATCTGTAATCCTATTTAATCAAGTGCTCAAACCTTTTGACATTTTTGACAAACTTCCCAAAATCAAATACTAAATGATATCTTTTTGACTTGGAACTAACTGACATTTACCAGAGGGCTCTCTTATTAAAGAACTTGTTCTTTCACCTTGTAAAAGAGAGATATTAAAGTAATTAGGTTTATTTCATATGTTAAATTATATGAGAAGCATTGTCAAATAAGAAGTGATGCTTAACCTTCTATAGATGATATGTATATGAATATAACTTATTAATATGTGTTTCAGAAATTGTATGAAATTCCTAAAAATTTATCAATGCCCTTACTGACCACATAATGGTCATAATTGCAGTTATTATCTTAAAATACTGTATGCCACACAACTAACCAAATTTCTTGTCAAATGAACTCTCTTCAGATCTTTAATCATGATCATTTTAAGTCTTCTGTCACTCACAGACAGTTTTTGTTTTACTCTGATTCTTCTCTGAAAGCATCTACAATCAGCTACAGGCAATAAATTTCCATGATGGCATCAATTGAATAACTTTGCAGACATGCCACTGGACTGAGTAAGAACTTCCAGACTTAATGAAGAAACTGACAGACTCATAAAACTGCTAACCCTAAATCAAGGAAAACAAGGATTTGTGACATGGGACTGAGTGAACTAATGAGGATGTTTATACTTTTGTATATTTTTGTTTTAAAACATTGCTGGTTCTTTAATGTTAGTTTCCAGATTCAAGGACCCTTTTCCTCTATTCTCTTAAGCTATCTATAACTTATAGCAATTTAGGAGATTATACTTTTGTGAACAAAAATGAATATTTATCTTTCTCTCTACCTTATCCCTCCCAGAATTTGGAACCTTTTATTGAATATTCTCATTTTCATGGCAATATAGTTATTTGCCTAAGTTCAGTAAGAATATGTTTTCCTTGTAACTAGACACAACTGGAGAAATTGGTTATATTACCAAGATTTTGACCAGAATGTCATATTAGGGAATCATGGGTATAGAATTAGCTTTAAGGAAATAAAGTTGACTTTATAGAGCCAATGCTTACAAAACGCTCTTGGAAAAACTGGCCTGGTACCTGCCTTACAGGGTTCCCAGCATTACAGGTGAGTGAGGGAGGTTACTTTCTGGCAGATTGTATAAGTCAGGATTCTCTGGAGAAACAAAACCAACAAAAATACAGATAGATAGATAGATAGATAGATAGATAGATAGATAGATAAGAAGAGATTTATCATGGGAATTAGCTTGCATGATTATGGATACCAAGAACCAGAAAAGCCAGTGGTGTAATTAAGTTTGAGTTTGAAGGCCTCAGAACCAGGGGAGCCAATGGTGTAACTCGCAATTTACGGCAGTAGTCTCGAGAACCAGAGGGATGCTGATGTAAATCATGGAGTCTGAAGGCTCAAGAACTAGGAGCTCTGCTGCCCAAAGTCAGAAGATGGATTTTCCAGCTCAAGAAAAGAGAGAGAATTTACCCTTCCCTGCCTTTTTGTTCTATTCAGGTGGGCCCTCAAAAGACTGGATGATGCCCACTCACATCGGGGAGGGTGGGTCTTCTTTACTCAGCCTACTGATTCAAATGCCATTCTCTTCCAAAACCACCCTCACTGACATACCCAGAAATAATGGTTTACCAGCATCCATTAAGCCAATCAAGTTGATACATGAAATTAACCATCATGCAGGCCCAGGAACCTCAGGGTACCTTGGGGACCTCGAGAAGAGAGGAATTCATCTAAATCCAAAGATATTGCAGGTGAAATTTGGTAGGAAATTCTTGGCTTGGCTTCATAGTCTTGAGAAGGTTTTGAAAGTCTACTTTGAGATCACTTATGAAAAGTTCCAGCAAAGCAGACTCTAAAAGGCCTATGTGGTTAATTACCATTCTTTTTGTATTTATGTAAATAGGCAGGCTGAAGCTAATGAGATCGGATTTATTTTACAAACAAGGGAGATGACTATAGAAAGAAATTTTGTTTCAGTGGAAAACTATAGTGCACCCATTATCAGATTATAGTCCTGTTCATTGTGTTTGGTTTTATTATCTACCTGTAAACTGGACTGGATTCTGAATTTTTCTAGTTTTCTTTTTCTGGTTATAACTCTCCAAACTAATGCTTCCAATTTTTCTCCCACCCTCCTGACTTGGTATCACTGAGACCAAAAACTGCCCTTTCCATAAAGTCCTGCAGATTGAAGCTGGACTTGATATAAACTTCAAACGATATAAAACGCAGCAGATCATCTGTAGGTAATGATCATTACTTCATACCTACTGCTGTGTGGCCCACTTAGAAAGTTCACTGAAACACCTGATGTCATCAGCAAAGACATTAAAACTGCAAATCAAACCAAGAAATTTCTCATATTGCCACTGCTGTCCTCACTCCCCCATCTAAAAATGTTTTGAGCTTAAGTCTAGAAATCTTCTTGACTACCTGCCTACTGGATTCAACAACTGTTTCCAGCCATAATCTTTGTTTTTATTTTGTTTTAATGAAAATTCCCGTCATTAAATGCCTGACTTCTTGCACCATTCAGCAAATATCTGAATGTTTCTTCTTTCCTTGAACAAGAGAAGAATGACAAAGACTCTCTCCTTGATCTAACTTTAGTTAGGCTCCTCTGAGCCTCTTATTGATTAAGCCCGAACTTGGACTTCCCTCTGTCCTTGTAGAATCCAGTTTGAACAAGAATCCTACTGTTCTCAGACCAGACCAAGGGTGGGGTTGCTTATTCTCGCTGCCCAATAACAAGATGCAGGTGAACTGGGAAAGAAGCGAGTTTATTTCTGTAACCAGGTACAGGGAGAAGGGTGGGAAACTATCGCCAGATCAACTCAAAATTACAAAGTTTTCCAGAGCTTATATACCTTCTAGGCTATATGTCTACATGTAAGTGTGCATTCTTCTAAAGACATAAGTGATTAACTCCTTCTAATCTATAACTAAACTCTGAGTTTTGAAGACCTTCCTCTGGAGCCTCAGTAAATTTACTTAATCTAGATGGGTCCAGGTGCTGGGGTGATTACCCTTATCTTGTCTCCTACTAAATCATGGAGCTTTGAGGAGTTCCTTTAGACCACCAGTAAAAATTTTGTGGAGGTCTGGGGAGTTTCTTCAGACCCCCAGTAAAAACTTGCTTAATTCTAAACCGGTCCTGTTAAGAATTCCTTCGTTACCTTGTCATGCTTCAAGGCCCAGGAAAGGCCTGGGAAAAACTCTTGATGTGCTTTTGTTACCTTCCAGCCTTTGTATAAGGGCACTGGCTCTCTCAGCTTTTAATATTTAGCGTCACCACTCAGTCAGTGCTGAAACAGTTGTTATGGAGGCCTGCCTGTTCAGCTGTTAGTGAGATATGGCCTGTCATACTACTAAGTTATTTTAGTGAAAATTCTCCACCATTGGTACCTGACCACCCTGAACAGCTGATCAAATTCCTCATACCCCATTCTCCATATCTTGTCACTCTGGCCTGCCTTCAGCAAGAATCCTGTTGAGTCAGTCAATAAAGTCTCCTCCTTACCCCCGATGTTTACTCTTACTGATTTTCCCTCCACTGACCCCCCACATTGCTCCTTGGCTATAAATCTACACTTGTCCTTGTTGGATTGGGAGACAAGCCTCCTTTCTCTCCCTTACTGTGAGACCTCACTGCAGTTGTTCCTATACATATTGTGATAGTCCCATATTGATTAGTCTTCCTTGCTGTCTTTGATGAGCGTCATATTTTTTTTAACAGAAAGTTTCTGTTTTGCTCACTACTATTTTTATCTTTGTATTTCCATGACATGATGCTGTACCTGGCACATAGTAGGTATTACAAAAATATTTCTTAAGTGAAAGATAAGTGATAGATGATAAGGTATTGGGAGAATGAGATTTTCGAGTGGAGGAAAAGGAGCTCCAGAGCCCTTATAGTCAGTTGGAATTTGTCCAGTCACTCACGCGGACATATGTGGAATTTGGAGATTGTTACGAAAAGTTACTTTGGCACATTTTCTGTCCTTCATAGGCCTCATTTTTCACAGGCAGAAATATCCTTTGAAAAACAAAACAAAACAAAAATTAAGATCCAGTTTCACATTTTCCCCTCCAGGTAGCAGTCACAAGAATTTTTTTCCTTCTGATAACATTTTGCTTCCTCTTCTCTCCCTCAAGGTCTTTCTGCGTTTTAGAACACAAAAGCAAAAGCATGAAAGAATCATAAAACTTTTACAAGGGCCTTAAGCACCTTAAGTTCAAGTTGTCCTGTATTCTCTAAAGTCCTACTAACTTCGGGAACTCTGCAATCACTTTAAAACTGTGTTATTCATTCCAGAAAAAAAATGTACTGCTAACATACTCTTTGAAAAAAGCTGTATTGTGTGATGAGGGTTTTCAGGGATTCAAAAGCTGATACTCAATGCTATAGGAAAACCCTCTGGTATGTCAGGACAAACAAACAAACCTTCATTATTCAGAAATACTTTGGGCTCCTCTTAAAAAGCCTAACTGAAAGGCATCACAGACCAACACACACAAGACTTGTCCTCCTTGCTAGTGGGCACAATGGACCTGTACATGTTAAGCTGTAAACAGGATGTTTAGGGAGACATCAATTCTAGTGCATTGGAAGTTTGCCTTTGTGTGTACACAGCACCCACCCCCGACATGTATATTGTGATGTGAATATACAAGCTGCTCAATATATAATGAGTCAGCCATCCTGAAGTTCTTGCGTTTTCTGAAACTCATCATTCAGTGCACAATGGTAATTCAGGCTAGTGCAGGAGCACTGTGATTTGTGATCAGTTATGTGGGTCACAAACAAAATCATTTAAGGAAAAAAATTAGGTATTGCAAATTTAGGTTACACATTATTTTTAAATAATTCTTTTTCATTTACCATTGGCTAACTTTCTCCTTAATGAAAGTCACTCTAAGAAAAACCCAAATTTTGTGTTCTTGTCATCAAACTAAAAATTCTAAATATAGTCAACACAGAAGGATACGTGTCACTATTATAAGCCTAAAAGTTAGAAAACATCAGCCATCTTTCCAACATACCTCTTTACACAATTTACTGTTATTGCCGTGTTACAAGGGATGAGCAGATGTCTGAAGTTCCATTGCACCACATCTCTCTGCTCCCCCTCGCCACATGCTGGGGTAAACTACACCTATCCTACTCAGTGACACATTATATGCAATTTAGATACAGGCCTAGAAATTTCTGCTTTCAACAGATACTTAGTAGTCCTCTGTATTAGTCCATTTTCATGCTGCTGATAAAGACATACCCAAGACTGGGAAGAAAAAGAGGTTTACTTGGACTTACAGTTCCACATGGCTGGGGAGGCCTCAGAATCATGGCGGGAGGTGAAAGGCACTTTGAACATGACAGCGGCAAGAGAAAATGAGAAAGATGCAAAAGTGGGAACCCCTGATAAAACTGATCTCGTGAGACTTATTCACTACCACAAGAACAGTATGGGGGAAAGCCCCCCCATGATTCAAATTATCTCCCACCGGGTCCCTCTCACAACATGTGGGAATTATGGGAGAACAATTCAAGATGAGATTTGGGTGGGGACACAGACAAACCATATCACCATCCACTATATTTCCAGTGGGAGAACCTTTGTTTTGTAGAAAAAACTGCCTTCTTGTCACACAACCAGGAAAAGTTGGGCATGCAGACACTTTGAAGGGTGAGTGGGAATGGAATTTATTGGGTGAAAAGGGGGAAAAAAACTCTCAGCAAATTGAGAGGGGTTCCTGTTAACAGGCCCCCAACTCACAGATTTAATCCCAGGTTACAACAAAGGAACAGGAGAGGCCAGTCTCCTCCCCACTGCAAATGGCACAAACTTCCCGAGGCTCCACCCTGTCCTCCCAGTGCATGGCCTGGTTGGAGTTTCTCTGGGAACCCCTTCCCACCTGGCTGTCTCATTCCCACCTCTAAAGAAGTACATCTAACTGCCATTAGAATAAGGATAAGGATAAGGACGAAGACCAATTTTAACTGCTTTCTGCTGACAGGGGGCACTTTTTTGGGGAAAACGGCAGTCAGAGTTCCCTCAGAGGCCTATCTAAGGTTTCTCAGCAGAAGGAGCCATCATCAGAGGCTCTGATTCCATGACCATTTGGAGTTTGATGGCCTGAGGGAAAGAACAGACAAACCGGGTTATTAAAAATCATGTATCAAAATGAAACAAGGGGAGGGGTAAGGACAGTTCAAAAATTCCAAGGCCTTTTACTGGTTTGCACAGGGAGAGGGAGGCCAAAAGCCTGCCTGGTAATAAACTTTACCCTTTTGCCAGCATGTTGGGTTTCTGGGTTCCCTTCCCCTGATCCCAATCCTAAGCCAACCAGCGTAAGATCTGGGAAATTAACTTTTCCCATTTCGGAGGATGCATCTCAGGGGAGTGTCTTGTAGTACAGAGACACAATTACCTATCAGTGAAGAGAGGACAGAGAAGGAAAAATGGAAAAAGAAGGTTTTTTTCAGAGGAGTCCCAGGGGTTCATGATACATTTGAAAGGGGTACAGACTGAAGATTAATTGCTACTCATCTAGAAAGAGGGGAGCAGGTATCTCTGGTTCCTTTCTCTTCCTGGCAAATACTTGGGGTATGTGAGGGAGGGAAAGTGAGTTGTTCCTCTTTCTTTCCTCCATCCTTGTATCCTCTAGTCCTGGCAACCGTGACAGGCTGCTAGCCATGGGTGTTAAAGCGGCTTTCATCCATGTTAACAGGAGAACCTAGGGGGTGGGTGTATCTGCTCTTACCCATATACACCCTATCTCCCCTGCTGTCAGTAGCCTTGAATTACTTTGCCCTCATTTATGCCATGGATACTAATGTGACCTTTATCCATGAAACGGGAAGCTTGGCTTAATCGGCAGGAATTAGCCCTGCTCACCTGCACTGTGCTTTTTAACTTCCATTATCATCTGCCTCCAGATCCCTCAGATGCAGTTTTCTTTCCTAGGACTTTGACCAGAAGCTTGGAATTGAGTTTGGGACAAAAATGTGCCTCCAGGGGGTGGCATGGACTACTTATCATAAGCCAAATGCTAAGCTGAAGCTGTGGTATTGAATCTTCCTCCAACAATGGAGAGAAAAGGATGCGTTGTGAAATGCCCAGATAACTGGTGGCTATAGTTATGCTTGCTAAGATTTGGGTGCATTGTGCTTGACTTTAGTTAATTCCCTTGGTCTTAGTCTCCCAAAAAAGAGACCTCTGGGTGATGGGCAACCTATTTAGTCCCATCACCTGGCAGGATTTGCAGGATAATTGCTCAGAACTAGAATATTGATCCAGATTTCTACATTACTCATCCCTTTTCTTTCTGAGCTGCAGCCAGAGTTTGCTGGTTGGTTCACAGGAATAAGCAAAGTTAGTCTAAAATGTAGGCGAAAACTTAAAAATGACTAATGAGTTTAGAATTTAATGACAAATGTATAAGTTTTGAAGCATAATTTCTCTCTCTCCAGTCCTCATTTTTGTTTAAAAAACAAATCATGACGAATAGGACTAAGTTTTTTGCAAAATAGACTTTAGCATTATAGTTGACATCATTATGTGCATAAAATGCAGCAAGAATAACTATTTTTACATACTTGAGATTCCACAAGGAATCTCAGAGAAGACCTTTTAAAGTGGTGCCCAGACATGGGTTTGTATCCTTAAATACCTGTGAGTTGGGTGATCCTCTCCTCTTAAGGTCCCAAGATAAACTTGGAGCTCCTGGGCCTGTTAGAAAGTGACATCCTTTACTGACCACAGTTCAGGAACTCTGTATAGGAACTGTGTAGGCAAGGGTATGAGGCCAGTTTTCCCAAGGGGCTTTTATCAGCTCTGCAAGTTGAGCTTGACTTCTTAAAGGGAAGCATACTCTTTCAGTCAAAGCCTTGGTAAAACAACCAGTTTCTACAATTGTGTCCTGTTGCAAAAGAAAATGGATTCTTACTGCACTGATGCAAACAACTATATTGCCATAAGTTAAGAATACTCACAGATAGTTTCCAAATTCTAGAGGAACCAGGCAGAGAGAAACAAACATGCTCCAAATTTTGTTCACAAGAGTATATCTCACTCAATTATTGAAGGCCATAAATAGTTCAAAATAAGTTTCCTTGACTCTGAAAAACAAAACAATGATCAGCAATATTCCAAGCAAAAGTCAAAAAGATTGCTTCAGTTTTCTGAGTTCAGTCCATTTAGTTGACTCTTGTTTTCCTAGATATTCATGAACATTTGAGCTCTTCATGAATCCTGTATATTTTTCCTTTATTCCAATGTCACAGTCTCCAAAGTTATCAGAAACCTATATTTGAGAGCACCTGTCAGAATCCTATAGCTTATTATAAACCCTCTTCTAAAAAGGATCAAAACAAAATAACAATTGTTTGTAAATAACAGTGTCCAGGGTAGTAACAGTTAGAAATGCAATTGACAAAGAAGTTTGTTTTACAATAACTTAACATAACAACCTTAATTATGATTGATAGCATATACTTTAGACATCATAGTTTTAGAAATCCCATACAATTTTGGAACATATATTAGTATTGTTCACCAAAATATAACCTAAAGAAAATTGAACACCATTTTGGCAATCCCATGTACCTAAACATGTCAAATAATCCTGTTTACCTCTCTTTTGGATACTCCAGGGGCCCTCTGAAGCACCCAAAAGCCAGGCATCAAGAAAGGCAATTTTGAAACTGAAATCTAATTTCAGGAAGCCTGTTAAGTGTTAGAAATTTAGAACACTTGATGTTATGAAATAGAATTCCAGATTACTGTGAATTATTTATTTTGCCAAAATGATGACTCACAAATTTTAAAAAAGCAAAAACCTTTTATAACCCTTTACCAGTTTTGCTAAAGACCAGATTAGTGCCTTAAGAGTACCTTGTTGTGTTTTTATTTCGATGTTCAATTTACAGAAAAACCATATAATACCCTTTTGAATTTAGTCAATATGTTCACACACAGAATTTTTGCAAGAATAATTTTTGCAATCCTTCCACCACTTGTTTGAACTTTTAGCTTTATCTTGTCTAATTTAAAACAATTATTTACCCCGGGCAAGAATTTACATTTCCATGCCTTTTTAATAATCTTTTACTAAAAACACATTTTACTGTTCTTATATACCTCACATGTAAATCTATTTCCAGTAGTTTCAATTACATGTTATAATGGTAATGCCTAGCAATTTTTAACTTAAATGTAAAACAGGGTAAGTTGTTTTAATTATGTGCTGGGGCAGCCAAGGTTTGACTCCTTCCAGCTTAATTAAGGGTGTGGTTCATTCCATATGTCCCCAGGCCTTACCAGTTGTGAAGCAGGCAAGTCAAGTAGTTCTCAAAACCCCAAAAGCAGTTTCTAACCTTAAAATATTTAGCAAAGCTAGCACCTGACCTGCATAATTTAGTCCACCTATTTATATTTTGATGACATCTGCTTTTTACCAATAATCTTTAAGGCTGTTTTTATTTCTCAAAGATTAAAGTCATGTGAACTGAAAGGTACCACAGCTTTTATCTTCCCTTTAAACAATATTTGATCCAAGAGCTTATCTTCCTTTAGGCCAATTAATTAGAGCTCTTTTTATAGGCGTCACACACAGAGCACATATATAACTACACAGACAGGAAGAAGAAAACCCAGTCACCATAAAATCTTTTGTTTGCCAATCTCCTAACTGGATTATTGACTTCTGGGTGGAGCCCTTTAAGAGACAGGGCTAGGAAAACATGCAGCTTCTAAGGCCTAATAAATAGGCATAGATGCAGCAAAAACAGATTTTGAGAGGGATCTATTCGCTTTTAATTCCTGAGGTTCCGTGAGGAAAACTGAGGTCTCTCCCCTCTAATGTGTGCTTTGAGAGTGGCAAGGCAAAATGGAGAAAAATAATTCAGTTGATTGAGAAAAAAACCTTTTTTCAGCAAAACAAGATCAAAGAAAAGAAAAACATAAAGGCCTTTTAAATATACCTATAACTTGGGTATCCACTTTTAATTAAGCTGAGCACTCTTTAAGAAAGTCCTTTTGGCCAGGTGCGGTGGCTCACGTGTATAATCCCAGCACTTTGGGAGGCCGAGGTGGGTGGATCGCAAGGTCAGGATATCAAGACCATCCTGGCTAACACAGTGAAACCCCGTCTCTATTAAAAATACAAAAAATTAGTCAGTCATGGTGGTGGGCACCTCTAGTCCCAGCTACTCGGGAGGCTGAGGCAGGAGAATGGTGTGAACCCAGGAGGCGGAGCTTGCAGTGAGCCGAGATCGCGCCACTGCACTCCAGCCTGGGCGACAGAGCAAGACTCCGTCTCAAAAAAAAGAAAAAAGGAAAGTCCTTTTAACTCCTCTATTACTTGACTTTAGTCACACCAAGTGGCCAATATTTCTGGCTTTCAAACTTTACTAAAGGCTCAGAGAAAGGAAAATCCAAGGCAGTTTATGGAGGGGAAGAGAATCAACAGATAGCAAATGTTGCACAGATATCAAACCAGAAAGGACTCATTCCCTAAGCCAAGATAGAACCCTGGGCTGCCATTATAAAATTGCAGAGGACAAAAGAAAGGCATTGCCACATGGTTACAGGCCATGCTCCCAAGGATATAAAACAAGATGGAGGCCTACCACAAAGTTTGCTACAGAACCTGCAGAAAGACACACAAAGCACACCAGATTGGCTACAACTCAAGACCACCTTCACAAATCTTTTTTCATAATTAAAACTTTACAGAGAATATAAACAGTGATCTCCATCATTTCTGGCCCAGCAAAACATCTTCCAAAAGGAAAAAAAAACCTCCCTTAAAAGTAAACTGCTGGCTGGGTGCAGTGGTTCACGCCTGTAATCCCAGCACTTTGAGAGACCAAGGCAGGTGGATCACCTGATGTCAGGAGTTCGAGACCAGCCTGGCCGACATGGTGAAAACCCATCTTTATTAAAAATACAAAAAATTAGCTGGGCATGGTGGCAGGTGCCTGTAATCTCAGCTGCTTGGGAGGCTGAAGCAGGATAATTGCTTGAACCCTGGTGGCAGAGGTTGCAGTGAGCCAAGATCATGCCATTGCACTCCAGCCTGAGCAACAGAACAAGACTCTGTCTCAAAGAAAAAAAAAAAAGTCAACTGCTGACAGGGTAGAAAAAAGAAAAAGATTCCTGGGGAAGAACCTCTTATTCTTATGCAAATAGGTTCCTACACCAGGGAGAGAAAATTAATTGCTGCCCAAAGGAGTTGGACCCCTTGGCCAGGTTAGGGGAAGGCTCCCTTGCCATGCATCCCAGTCCTGGCCAGGAGGGGAGTGGGGGAGGCACCATTCACTGGTCCATCCCGCACGCACCTGCAACCGTTGGGGTTGCAGTTTCCTCTACCCTCAGAAGAGGTCCAAGGAAAAAAAGGCTTAGAAGTGAAAGGAAAAAAGATTTTTTGGTTTGCATAGTACTCAGCCTTCCTCAAGCTCCATGTCTGGTTGCCAAAAATGTTGTAGAAAAAACTGGGTTGTTGTCACACAACCAGGAAAAGTTAGGCACACAGACATTGTGAAGGGTAAGGGGAAACAGAATTTATTTATTGGGCAAAAGGGAAAAGAAAAAACTCTCAGCAACGCGAGAGGGGTTCCTGTTTACAGACTCCCATCTCACAGATTGAGTCCCAGGTTACCACACAGGAACAGGAAAGGCCAGGCTCCTACCCCCTGCAAATGGTGGGAAATTCCCGAGGCTCCACCCTGTCTTCCCAGAGTGCAGGTCAGTCAGAGGTTCTCTGGGGACTCCTTTTTTACTCGGCTGTCTCACCTTCATCTGAAAGCCACAAAACAATGGAGTTAGGCTTCAGTAGTCTTCATTGTGTTAATATTTGGTAAATACATCTAAAGATGCATTTAGTTCTGTTATGACAGCTTTTTAAATAAATAAAAACACATATCACTGATGTGTAAAATGTAATTTTAACTCTCAACTGTTTGCACAGGAGCCATGTATTTGGCAGAGCGCTATTGTTAATCATGGCAGTAGATCACTCCCACAGCTTTGTTTCTTCTGCTGATAATCACATCTCTTCCTCTATAGAAACATTCCCCAAATGCCCTAGGTATAAGAGTTCGTTCAGAAGGAGAACCCAGCTAGAAACGAAAAAATTCTCAACCAAAGGTGGGAATACCTATGAAACCAAGAGGCACCACAAACAAGGAAAGCATCCTAGATGTCCCACTGGGTGCCATTAGTGAGAGGTTAGTAAAACACTGAGAAGGCAGTGGACTCTTCCGGGAGCAATCATGCTGCCAGATGTGGAGATTAATACTCATTCAACCATGTGGTATCTGAAGTCATGCATCAGTACATCCAAGAATTGTACACTTGGAGAATTATGTTATATACTGCATGGTATCAAAATCAAAATGCTATTTGGTTTTGCATCTACGTTTCTTGCCCAAACTCTTTGTCATACTGCAAACACAAGTTTCTGATATTCTACCAAATAGATCTCTCTTAGAAGCATACTCTGAACAAGGACTCCAATGCAAGTAGTTTACTTGGGAGGAGACTTGCAGAAAACACAGGTAGGGGAGTGGAGAAGTAAGACAGGGAAGGGAAAAGGCAAAGAGTATCTTGTCAAAGCCGTTAACTACTGTGGGTACCTAGAGCTTAATCCTGTTGCTAAGCTCTGGGAGTCAGTGTAGGAGAGTTACCTTCATGGCCCCATCTCGACCCTCAAGTGAGGGAACTAGAGTATGTTTATACATCAGTTGTTGTCATCTTTACATAAGGGCTACTGGGAGAGGAGATGGGCATTAATTCCCTAGCACTGGCATCCCAAGTGTTGATTTTCTGGGTGGTCACTTGTTTCCAGATTTATGCAAGCACATTGCTTGAGAGCAGATGATAAAGGAGCTGGGACATCAATGAGAATTTCTGATGTTACACAGTAAACATCAACTTTCTCTTCCTCCAAGGGGATAATCTTATTTTGAAATGTTAAATAAAAAAGAAAAATGTCATCAATGGGAATGTCTTCCAGGAGTTACACAGAAAGTAATGTCAAAGATAATCAGAAAATAGGCCTTGCAAAGATTGGTTGAAGTCTTTTAAGTAGAGAAGTATTGTTCCTAATCAGAAACACTGAAATGTCTTGCTTTTATGAAAATGAAAGAAGGCCGGGCACAGTGGCTCAGGCCTGTAATCCCAGCACTTTGGGAGGCCAAGGTGGGCAGATCACTTGAGGTTAGGAGCTCAAGACCAGCCTGGCCAACGTGGTGAAACCCCGTCTCTACTAAAAATACAAAAATTAGCCAGGCATGGTGGCGGGTGCTTGTAGTCCCAGCTACTTGAGAGGCTGAAGCAGGAGAATTGCTTGAACCTGGGAGGTGAAGGTTGCAGTGAGCCGAGATGGCGCCAGTGTACTCCAGCCTGGGCGACAGAGTGAGATTCCGTCTCAGGAAAAAAACAAAAAAACAAACAAACAAAAAAAACAAAAGGATGTTCATCCTTTTGCACTTGATCCTGCTTTGTTATAGAAGGAGCTATTGATAAAATAGAAGATGCTCTTATCAACTATTTTTCTCCATAAACATCATAAACATCTACATAAACATCCTGTTGGTAAGCTCCGGGAGTCAGTGTAGGAGAGTTACCTTCATGGCCCCGTCTCGACCCACAAGTGAGGGAACTAGAGTATATTTATACATCAGTTGTTGCCATCTTCACATAAGGGCTGCTGGGAGAGGAGATGGGCATTAATTAAAGTATTACTTTGGCTAAGAAGGAAATTCTAAAAGCCATGCCATACAAACTCCTTATTGCCTAACTGAGAAGGCCGAGGACCAGAGAGGTATGGTGACTTGCCCAGGGTCACACAGGTGGTTACTGGCACAGCAGCCTTCAAGTCAAGGTCCTCAGGGACTGCCATGGCAGTGCACTTTTCTATTCCCTCCACACCCCCTCAAGAAGTGGTGGGAACCAAGGGACCTAGCACTTGTCTCATATTCAAATCAAATACCTACACTAGTTTAGATAAAATCCCCTTCTCATCTCTGCCTCCTTCAACTGCACTATTCATCAGTAGTACTGGCACAACTGAAGTAGCCAAACCACCCCTTTCAGAAGAATTAAAAACCTGAACCTCATGTTCTCTGAATAGCAAGTTAAAATGAAGTGTAATAGCAAGTTAAAATAGCAAGTTCAACTTGAGCAAGTTCAACTTAAGGCACAAGTGGAAAAGTTTTTTAGGCAAAGGATCTATAGGTCAGCTGACCGAGTTTTCTAGTTCTGGCTGAGCCGTAGTCAAATTAGGGCAACAATTATGTGATCCAGGGCAGCAAAATTCAATTTTGCCAACAACACTGAGATTCCTTGAGGCAGCCCTTTAAAGATGACATTAGAGACAGGATTATTTCCTATGTGTACAAATATGGCTGGGAAGAATAACACACACACGGAGATATAAGCTGATGTGTGATTCATTCTATTCTGAAAACAAATTTTCCTGTTATTATATATCTATATTTTTTAGAAAGAGCATTATAAAAACAGCAAGAGAATGTAATCGAAAAAGAAATGAAACGCCGCAAGTCTTTTTTATGATGTTTTACACACAAAAAGAAAAATAACTCAGAGAATCGTCAGATTTCTTAGAAGATGCAGTAAACATATTGTTAGCATCCCCATGACTCACTATCAAGATGTTGTCTGCAGGGAGGTGGGGCCGGAAAGCTGTCGCCAAATTCCAGTCAATGATTTATAGTATTTGTGACTACCACATGCAAAGAGTGTCAGCTGGCAATTTATTCTAGCTGATGTAATTCGACAGAGTTTTCTTCTTTTTTGACAACCAGTCCAGTAAGTAAGGTTAACACATTTCACCTCTAATAATCACAGGTAAACCTAGCAGTGGAGTTTGGTTCTGTCTTAGTCATGCCTATGTGTTGGTTGTGTTTAAACAGATCCAGCAAAGCAGTTCATGGCAGCCATTCAGACATTCAGACACTGTGACAGAAAGGAGGGAGTCAAAGGGAGTAGAACAGTGGTTGTCAAACTTCAAGGTACATCACAATCCTCTGGAGGACGTGTTAAAACACAGATGGCTGGCTTCGCCCCCTGAGTGGCTGACTCAGTAGGTCTGAAGTAGGCCTGAGAATTTTCATTTCTAATGAGTTCCCAGGTGATGTTGCTGTTGCTGGTGGTCCCAGGGCCACATTGAGAACCACTGGAGTGGAACCTGGTCCTGTCCCATCTGGCAAGTGACACAGACAAATGGAGGTCCACAGCTGGAGCCAATACTCTTTACTCTCTGGAAAGTTGAGTGAGTGCAGAAGTATGAGAGGGAGGAATTCATTCTGCCATAGGTACCAGCAAGGATATAGATATAGATATAGATATAGATATAGATATAGATATAGATATAGTGACTTTTGAACTAGGCACTGAGGTGGAGAAAAATTCCTCCACGGGGAGAAGAGCCAGGGAAGGGGACTTCAGGCAGAGGATGGGTAAAGGCAAATGGTCTTTGGGATTGATCCTAATATGCTGGAGTAATAGAATGGCTACTCCTTTTATAACTATCTACATGAAAGGGCCCATAAGTCTGTTTAATCAAACATTCACATTAACTACCTGAGGTAATTGCACATGTAGAAAAAACAGTAAAAGAAGTTGACAGGGAGGGCTTCCTGGCATTCACTCCAACTGATTCTCCGCTGTTGTCTGCACTTTCTCAATGCAAACGAGAGTTGCATGAATATTTTTCTTCAAAGGCAGAATAAATTCATCTTAGCTGAGAGGGCTTGATTATGCAGGGAAGCTTGGTTGTCCTCTTTTAAAATGATCAGAGTCCAGCAGTGGCTTATAGGCAGCTTCAATGGTGCCAAACAAGCAACAAACATGTGTAGGTTGGATCCATGTCCAAGCTGAATTACCTTAAGCAACAGTCATAACCTCCCTGAACCTTAGTTTACTCATCTATAAAATGGAATAATAATATCTTGCCCCTAACATATGTTACCTGGGACAAAATAAGAAAGGCAATCCTGAACTGTAAAGTGCTAAGACAGTGATTATCAGAGTGTGCTCTTGGATGGCTTTCAGCCTTTGATGTTCAAAGATTTAGAAAATCTGTCTGAGTGATAGTTATGATTATAATTGCAGACTTTACCATAGAACACTATAAAAAACAACCTGGAATAAACGGCTTGCTGTAAATTTGTTCATTTGAAGACAAAAATATTCATATATGTGGTTTAATTTAATATATAGAGACTGTTTATTTCCCCCTACTCTTCGCCCTCCCCTCTCCATGCAGCAGAATCCGAATTTATGCCTGTGTGTATTGCTATCCAGAAAAAATGGTTGCATGTTCAAGTCTTCTTTGCATCTAGGTGTGACCATGACACTAAGTTCTGCCAGAAAATGTCTCATCTGGGTCTTTTGAGAATTGTTTTTACAGGGAGCTAACTTAGCCAGGAAAGATGCTCTTTTGTCATCCTTACATTTGCCTGATGCTCACCAGGAGTGTGGATGTAATGGCTGGAGCTCCAGCAGCCTTCTTGGATCATCACACAACATAAAACATGGGAGCCACAAGCTAGGATGACAGAAAAGAATGAAGAACCTTTGTCCCTTATGGCAGGCAACTCGCTTTTGCCTAGCTCCAGACTTTTTTTTTTTTTTTTTGAGACAGAGTCTCACTCTGTTGCCCAGGCTGGAGTGCAGTGGCACGATCTCGGCTCACTGCAAGCTCCGCCTCCCAGGTTCTCGCCATTCTTCTGCCTCAGCCTCCCGAGTAAGTGGGACTACAGGCCCGCTACCGCGCCTGGCTAATTTTTTGTATTTTTAGTAGAGATGGGGTTTCACTGTGTTAGCCAGGATGGTCTCGATCTCCTGACCTCATGATCCGTCCGCCTTGGCCTCCCAAAGTGCTGGGATTACAGGCGTGAGCCACCACGCCCAGCCTCCAGACTTCTTTTAAGTGAAAAAAACAACAAAAACAAAAAATAAAAAACAACTTTTATCTGACATATTCAACCATTATTATTTTCCTATATTTGTGGCTGAACTTTATCTTATTCAATACACATGACTTAAATTACCTGTTTCTAATGGTTGTAGGACTTCATTATCGCTGCACTGTCACATCACTACATGTGTGACAATTGGTCTCCTCTGATGGTATTGGCATCTCAATTCACATTCTCCAGATGCATTAAAAAACATTCGTGATCCAAGAACTGTTCCATCTAGGTGCTGAGGGTCAGGCTTAACTTGACTTCCTTCCTAGTATCTTACCTGTCAGTAGACTTTGATGGTACGTATTAATAATATATCCTGATACCAAATTCAAGACCTTTTTTTTTTTTATTTTGAGATGGAGTTTCGCTCTTGTTGCCCAGGCTGGAGTGGAATGGCGCTATCTCAGCTCACTGCAGTCTCCACCTCCCGGGTTCAAGTGATTCTCCTGCCTGAGACTCCCGAGTAGCTGGGATTACAGGCATGTGCCACCATGTCAGGCTAATTTTGTATTTTTAGTAGAGACAGGTTTTCTTCATGTTGGTCAGGCTAGTCTCAAACTCCCAACCTCAGGTCCACGTCCGCCTTGGCCTCCCAAAGTGCTGGAATTACAGGCATGAGCCACTGCACCCAGCTGGCCTTTTTATTTTTTATTTTTTGAGACGGACTCTCTCTCTGTTGCCCAGGCTGGAGTGCAGTGGCATGATCTCAGCCCACTGCAACCTCCACCTCTTAGGTTCAAGCGATTTTCCTGCCTCAGCCTCTCGAGTAGCTGGGACTATAACCGCCTGCCACCACACCTGGCTAGTTTTTGTGTTTTTGGTAGAGACGCGATTTTCACCATGTTGGCCAGGCTAGTCTCAAACTCCTGACCTCAACTGATCTGTCTGTCTCGGCCTCCCAAAGTGCTGGGATTACAAGCATGAGCCATCATGCCCGACATCAAGAACTTTTTCTTTCCTTCCTTCTTGTGTCCTAAAGATTTCTTGAGAGACCCTGTGCCCTGATGTTTCCACCTTCTTCCCTTCAAATGCTGTTTGAAGAGAAGATGCTGATGTATTCCTAATTATGTTAATACTGCTCAATGTGATCATTTTCCCTAGGGGGTTGTCATTGTAATAGGCAGTCTATACATACTCATTGTAACATTGGGGTGGTGGTATTTTAGGCACCTGATAGTGGTTGTGGGATATATTCTTTTGGACAGTGTAATTTTCCTGGTACCCATGAGATCTCATCTCATAGATGGTTCCCTGAAGGTAAGGCTGGCCATATTTGTCCAAGAATGTTTCATTCAACAGCCAATCTCAGTGGCTCTAATGGCCCAATTTTCCCAGACTCCAATTAGCACTAGATGAAAAGTACTCCATATGTGGGGATCGTATTTCTGATGTCCTTTGTTTCTCCCTAGCTCCTGATACACACAGTAGGGACTTGATAAATGCTCTCATTAGTGAATATGAGAGATCAGTACAGGTGCATCCATCAGGCAGTGATTGTTTGGGGTTGTTACAGCAGATGACTGCCTTAGCCCTAATAGAAAATCCTCCTGCAGTGGATGGACACAACTTTTCAAGGAGATCAGCCCCTATCTCAATGGAAAATGCTTTCTTTAGGTAATTGTGCTCAAAATGGTATATTTTATCTGGCTTTTTGAGAAACATGCACTTAAAAGGAACAAAACAGAATATTGCTTCATGGCTCAGGCAATATATCTCTGTCTCTATTGTTTGTTTAAGTCTTATTAGGATCAGTCATGCCATGAATTATTCCATTTCCCATTTCTCCCTGCCGTTATACTTCTAAGTGTTTCAGAAATAAAGCCAATTTTTTTTTCATTTTACTTTTTTATGGGAAAGTGAAAGTATTGAGTATGACAAGGCCTGTCATCAACTAATGAGAAATGGCTCTTGGGGCACTTTTGACTATTATTAAGATGATGTTTTCCCTTCTGAGTATGAGCAAGAAACTGAGATGTATGGACTGTAAACCAAAACAATGAAGGACCATAGAGAATACAGTAGCCACAAAAATTGGGTTTATAAATTTAGGCTTGGGTTGCTAACATTTTCAAAGGCATCTTGAAAAATTTCCTTTAAAGAAAAACAGAGAAAAGCAAAGAGACATGAGGGAAGTGAGATTCAGTATATCATGAGGTTTATTACTTTTCAGTAGGCTTCTTGCATTAGTGACACAATCTTTCCACAAAGAAAAAATTTCCTCTTATTGTTTATCAAAGAACCTGTAGAAAAGTCATTTCCAGATTAGTTTCCAATGACAAGATGAAAATCATTAGCATGATATGCACGCATAAGTAATGCATTGCTGCAAAATGAGACTGGGTATCACACTACAGACATGGGGTGATGTATTAGAAAGCCACTATAAAGTATTGAACAGTTAAAAGCACCATTTTCCTTGTTCTTTTTTTGACAACGTAATGAAAAGTTTCAAAGCACTGTTATCTTTCAGATTATAGTACCACTTTATTTTTATAATTTCTTTTCTCAATAGATCTTTAGGTATATGCCAAAAGTTACAGGGATGAGAATGGGTATGAACATAAAAACTCAAAATCAAAACTGTCACAACTAATGCTTGGAATCTTGAAAGTTAGAGCAGATCCTGAGTTATGAATTGCAATTTTGTGTGGAAACAATCTATCAGCAACTGAACGCTGAGTAGCAACTGCTCTCCAGAAAATAGCTTGCCTCTTTTGGTATAGCTATACTTAAAGGATGAAAGGTCATCCAAAATTGTGGAGGCATGGAAGCAGGAATATATGGTTAGGCTTTATTACAGATGCTGACATCATATCTGGTCCTGTCATTTTTACCTACATTTCCATCTAGAAGGAATTCAACATTTATCTAGGCCAGTGCTTCTCAAACTTTGATATGCTTATGAATCATTTGGAGATCTTGTTAAAATGTAGATTCTGACACAGCAGGTCTGGAGTGGATGCTGAGATTCTGCAGGTCTAACAAGCTCCCAGGTAAGGCCTCTCCTGCTGGTCTGTGGAGGACATTTTGAGTAGTAGCAAGGTATAAGATCAGTTTTGGTATTTTTGCCTATAGTTTTTAGATATCCTAGTTTTTGTAATTAATTATGTCACAGGTAAATTGTTAGCAATACTAGTTAAATAACCAAGATTTCCTGCCAGTCTATTTCTATGATAGCTGCATCTATGGTACACTTCTATGTGTATTTCTATGCCTATTTTATCTATATCTTTCAATGGAAATAATTCACGGTTATCCCCTTAATAATGTTACTCTCCTTGACATCTAGCTTCTGATATGCTATTCTTAGTGAAAGAAAAAAAAAAAGGTAGATTCCTGCCAGACAATTACACATAGGTCTGGTTATGCCTCTTGGAATGTATTACACATGTGAATGTCATCTTCCATAAGTGTAGAAAATATTGGGAATTGCTAGTCTAGTTCAGTATTTCAACTGAAGCTTTTATTTCCTTTATAACATGCCCATTGCTTAATCTTGGCTTGACAGTCCCAGTAATGGGCAACTCCACATTCTAAGTCACCGTATCACATCTTTGAAGAGCTCTAAGGATTAGAAATCCTTCTTTATATTGAACAATCATTTTATTGTCTTGTAGCCTCTATCTATTACTTGTAATCCTATTATTTAAAATGGAAAGGAGAAAATCTACATTTCTTTATGAGAGGTTATCAATTATCAGCCATCAAACCCGCCCTAGGTTTCTTGTCTCCAAGTTGGAGACACTTCAGGTACTTCAACTCCATTACAAATGCATGATGTGAATACTCAGAGTGGGCATATGGGATAAAATATGCTTTTTTTTCTGCTCCATATCCCCCATTTCCAGATGTTCCTGTGTCTCCTCTCAAACATACTTTCAGGAAAGGCTGTGAAAAGGTTTTCTCCCAGCTCAGCTTCTCAGCCATCTATTTCCCCTCCCTGAGTAGCACATTAATCCTATGTGTCTGTGTGTGTATTTCTTTTGAACATAAATGCATATTAGTGCACAAAACGTTTTTTAGGGGGTGACATTTACAGTGCATTTAATTGATTAAATGTGCTTTAATTCATTTAAACAGTCCTTATAAAAGACATGTGGACTATTTTCAATATTTTACTCTTAGAAACATTCTGCATGAATACTTGGAATTGCTTAGTCAATTGCTATATTCATTTTTAATTTTGACAGATATTGACAAATTGCCTTATGTAGAGTTCTAACAAACTTAACTCCTAACAACACTGAATGAGAGTGTTTTCCACAAGCTTGCTACCACAGTTTGTTATAAAGGTTTTAGTTTTTGTCAAACTGGAGGATAAAAAAATGTCGATGTTGTAGTGGCCAAAAGAAACCTTCCCCTTCACTCTCTGAATGTTCACTGAAAATCAACTGACAAAAGGAAGATTAATAGGAGAAAAGACTTACAAAATGTATTAACATGCACATATGTACACGAGAAACATGTAAAATATGAAAGCTCAAAGAAAGGGCCAGATGGTTGTCTCTATTATACCATCTTGAGGTTACAGAAGAATAGGGGATTGGAGCATGGGGAGACAAGCTAAGGGAGGGAGAGAGAAAGAAAGGCAAGGAGTAAAGGCAGCCTTGTTATGTAGATGAAGACTCACAGGTAGCAGCTCTCAGAAAAAATAAGTGGCAGCCTGTGGTCGAGTTAATCATTACCAGATCTGGATAAAGGGGAGGACCTCAGAAAAAGTCTGGCTGTTTATTTCACTAATGTAGATTTTTCTCTACAGATGCAAATCTACTCCACAAAAGAAAGCTTTTCAGGGCTATTCCTGTCTGCAGGCCCTCTGAACAGCCATCCCAAAATATGTCAAAAAAGTATATTTTGGGGTAAAATATTTTTGGTTTTTATTAGTCCCCCATTTAAAACTTTATTTTTAGAAAGTTTCACATATTAAAGCCCAAGTGACTAGCTTTAGAGAGATTCAGATAAGAGATGTGAGATTGGCAATATGGGAAGGACAACACAGATTGGAACAAGCAGCCCATATCTTCTCAAATCAGTCTTAGTCCTGCAAATAGGTCAGTTCTGTTAAATAGCTGTGTCTCATTTCAGAAGGTGATATTGCAGATGAACTCTCAAAGGGAGGCCTCTGTTTATAATGCAGACAAACAGATCTTCAATAAGAGGTATTTCTGTGGAAACAGAAGAAAAACAAAGATTGATATCTAGAGTAGTCTATAAACTAGTTTTTTTCTAGAGTTTCTGAAAGATCCTCAGTAGAAGTGGGCAAGTAGTAGCAATATGACAGATTTTCCCGGATAGTACTTCAAATCAAGTGTTGCCATGAACTTTGGAGTAGTTGATGCATCAATGGGAATTAAATTTGTTTCTATGTAGGTTGCTGTGGTGATCTCTCCCTAAGTTTATATAAACTTGTCTAGCTTCAGTTTATAGGATTTAAAGAAAAGAACAATTTTAATTTCTAGTGATTTTAAGTCAGAAAAGTGGAAGGAAATTTGGAAACATTAGTCTGGAGATTCATAGCCAGATACTACAGAGAAATAAAATTTAGGATTTAGTCCAGATTACAGATAAATAATAATTATGGTGGAGAACATATACCAGGGCATGTCAGAATTATAGGACTCTCATATAATTTTGGAGCACATTATATTAATAACACATTTATACAAATATATCTCAAGGAAAGTTAAGCATAATTTCTTATTTGACAATGCTTCCTACATAATTTACCATATCAAATAAGCCTGTTTATTATTCAAAAAGTAAACCAAAGTATTTTATTATTTCTTATTAATACTATATGAAAATCTTATTCAAAAAGAAAAACCAAAATCTAATTGTGTATTAGTGTATTTTTGATATTACGGCTCAATATAAAAACACTTAAAATACACATATTTAATTTTAGTCAGTTTAACCACACAAGTTTTTCCCCAATTTTTGATATTCATTTAGTTTTATCTATATCTTTTTTCTTCATTTTGAAACAACCTTTAAACGACCTCTAAAATAGATAGAATTATTTTTTTCTCAACAAGCAGAAATCCTCATGCCTTTATAACTTTTCTTACCAAAAACATAACTTGCTTTTCTTGTACACTTTATGTAAAGAGTTATTTCTCTTATTTTAATAGCTTTAATCACATATATCAATTTGGATTTTAGCCATATAAAAATAATATGTCAAAGGATATAAGCCTAAACTTATATTTAATCATCAATGTTTCTGTATGTTAACTTACTTAGAAGTGATTATCTGTTACTTAGTTACATATTAAGTAATTACTAATGATTACCTATTAGTTACATATTAAGTAATTACATGTTAATAACATTGACTTGAAGATCTTAAATTACTGAACAAAATTTTCAAATGATGACAGTTACCCTTCCTAGTGTCTCCCCCAGTTGTGCTGGGTCCTGAATACCCACGTGGCACCTAGGATAGCTATGAAGGGCAGGGCTTATCTGGATCTTGAATTCGCATACCAGGTGTAATGCTCAGGAGAGGGAACAGAGATGTGAAGAGGATGTATCGAAGATCTGACCCCTCCTAGCATGGCCAGGAGGCACATCTGGGCCAGAGAGGATGGGACTATATTGAGCTTAGCTCTGCCCTGTAGCTCTTGGTCCAGGCACTGAGGACATGCATATGTCCTCAGGCCTTACCATGGCCATCTGTCTAGACCTCAGAATCTAGAGGCTCAAAACCAAAGATATAAGCTCACAGTAAGATGTGTACCTGTGTACCAGGCTTTGTGGGAGCACAGCAGCCAGCCCTTATAGCTTTAGCTTATAGACAAAGTAAGTAAGTATCAAAAACACTGCAGAATGAGCAGTTTTATGACTTTAAAAAATGTAATAGAGACAGCATAAGCCTGTCCAACAGTAGACACAGGTAAAAATGTCTGAATTATATTTGATACTGACAATTATGAAGACATTCTTATTTTGTCAACAATTTTAAAACTAGCTTTATTTGCCAAAGATTATCTCAGATTACATAGAAATATCACATACACATAACACACATAGACATATAGACATACAGACACAGCCAGAAACATATCTTTTAGTTTTCATTAAGATTCTTTATTTGCCAGCTTCTTTCTCCCATTCAGGTAATCAATCTTTCAATTACTTGTTTCTTGCCCTAAGCAATTGTTAACTTGGAAACCCTAAATTTGCCCTTCTAAAGGGATGATTTTTGGGTAAAACAAGGTAGAAAATTTACATATCAAAGACATTGAACTTAGATCTAAACATTATTATTTGCCAAGACAAAGAAGGGTATAGTTAAAGTCCCAGTTAAGGCAAGATAGCTAGGAAAAGTACCTTAAACAAAGGTAAGGTTTATTATGTAAAGTTTAAGTCAATGCCTTTCTCATAGTAAAAGCTTCTAGTGGTTGAGCTACAGAGAGGGCGATGCTCTTGCACATGAAAATTTTTTTATATATGTAAATTTATTTGACAAACAGCTTAAAAATAGCCACCCAGATGTCAGAAGGTTGTGCTTTGAAGATCAATTTAGTTGGATAGGTGGATTTTTAATTTAGTTTCTGTTTCTTAATGGTATTACTGAATTCAGGGCAGAGCCCATGAATAAATAAAGCTGAAACCACTCACAACTTTAAGTCTCCATGAGGAAGACAGGTGACATACATAAGGTTCAGTGGCACTTTGGCTGTGTTCCTCAAGGAGTCTCAGAGCCTCTAGAAGTCTCTTTTAGATTCCTTTATGTGATAACCAGAACTCTTATGTGTCCTTTCAGTAATTTTTCATCCATTGACTACCAAATGGAAGAAATAGAGACTTGAAGGGGGAACATATCGATGACTAAAGGAAAGTGGACAAAAGATCAAAGTTGGCAAAAGAAGGAGCCAAGGCAAATAAAAGAATGGAGTCCTGGAGAAGCCAGTTTGGAAAGCTTCCTAAAAAGGCCAATGAAATTTTACATTTTTTGTTTGTTTTGAGCAACAATTATGCCAACAAGAAAGGAAGCAAACAGAGGGACTGAACACACAATTAAAAAGAGGTTTCAGGCCAGGTGCAGTAGCTCACGCCTATAATTGCAGCAGTTTGGGAGGCCAAGGTGGGCAGATCATTTGAGGTCCAGAGTTCGAGACCAGCCTGGCCAACATGGTGAAACACCGTCTCTATTATAAATACAAAAATTAGCCGGGTGTGGTGTTGCACACATGTAATCCCAGCTACTCGGGAGGGTGAGGCACGAGAATCACTTGAACCCGAGAGGCGAAGGTTGCAGTGAGCCAAGATTGTGCCACTGCACTCGAGCCTAGTCAATAGAACCAGACTCTGTCTAAGAAGAATAAAAAAGTAAAAATAAATAAAAAGAGGTTTCAGTCAATTAAAAAAAAATTTCCATGGGAGAAGTAGTATCCAAAAGAGTACAGAGAAGTATATACATATGTGTGTGTGTGAATCTATAGTCTGAATATCAGCTTTTAATTAGGCCAATTTGTGACCATAGAGCTCTTAAAAAATATTTTCAAATCTCTCATGATCAGATTTTAGTTGGGACAAACAGCAAATATTCCTGTCTTTTAAACATGTTTTCTCTTCTTTCTTTTAAACCAAAGATATTTACCAAGTGACTGAAAACCAAAATCAATTAGCCTTTTGTGACTTAACCAACGACACATGAGGCATCTCCAAAGAAGGGCAAAGAGCAGTTTTTTTTTTTTTTTTTTTTAACAAATACAGAGCCCCTGCAAAGACACCTAGAAGAAAAAAGAGGCTTAGAGACAACCAGAAAAACAAAAGCTATCCATAGAAAGGGAAAGGATCAGTAACAACTGGGTACTACAAAAAGCTAAGAGTCACACAAATATAAATTCAAAACAAATAATTCAAACTAATTCTTATAAATGTTTTTTTTTTTTCTCCCAACTTAAAAGATTTACATCTCCAAGAGACTGATTCCCTGACAGAGAATTGAAACCCAGGCCACAGCAGTGAAAGATTGGAATCCTAGCCACTAGATTACAGGCTGGAGTGCTTTTTATGTAACTCCACCGCGGAATTCAAAGCAGGCAGTTAGAGCATACAGAGGATTTTAAACTTCGTTTTAAATATAATTTCTGCCTTTTTGTGATATTGCCAAGGGAGTTTCTAAAAGCTATATTCCTTTTGTGTCTTTTCATAGCTACCTATAAGATAGCTGTTTAAAACAATAGCACTCCAAAAGGTTTTTTTTTTAATATAGCTAATTTATTTATTCCATAAGTGACTTAAGTCAATGAGTGTTCTTAATGAAAGTCTCAGAGGTAATTTCTCAGGTTTAGAATACCATGGACATAAGTGGTGTTTTTAAAATGGCACAGAAGATGCAACCCCCCATGATCCCAAAGACAAATTTACTGCCAGATATAAGCTAAGATAGCAAAAGAATCTTGTTGTTATAGATGGTTAAGGATGGTGTCTCCAGTATTTCACAAATTCACAGGGGGCTGCCAGTCATGAACCCATTAATCCATGACATCAGGTAGGCCTTCCTGGGATTGGACTTTCCCAGGACTAATCAGGCATCAAAGGTTGAGACAACAAAAGCCCCTTTTGGACTGGACTTCCTATTATGACAAACTTTCCTGAGAGCTTACCACATTCAGAACAAAGAGTGTGCTCCTTAATATCTTATGTGTCTTGGGGTTCTTAGTCATTTCAGACTGGCAACTGGACGTTACCCAAAAATCACACCCTCTGATGGAAGAGACCAAGAGAATGTTCCCTCTTGGTCACATGTCAAGCTTTCAAGGACATAAAAGAAGATGAAAGGTCCTCTATGACAAACGACACAGAAAGACAGTGACAAAGGAAAAACTAAAGACTGCTTCTGAGAGGAAAAGGATCAGACAATATAAATGTCATACCAAAAAATACACCTGAGTTGCTACACTTAAGACTAGTCCATATAAATGTTTTTCTCACATTAATCTTAGTTTTAGAAAAGGAGAAATACACAGTTATTTTTACCATTTGCTTGACCAGATTCTACAGATAGACTTTCAGAAATCTGACTGGTAAGAAATTCTTACGCTTCTGCTGACTTGTCAGATACTGGCTTCCCTTGACTGTGGCTTCCAGAAGAGGAGAGGAGTTTTAGTTATTCTACTCATAGTGCCAAAACTGTAGGGGCCAAGGGAAATCTGTCCTTTTGTCCTCTGAACATTCAATGAAAGTCAACTGACAAAAGCAGAAGAAGAAGAAAAGGCATACAAAATTTATTAACATGCCCATGTGCATGAGAGTCATACAACATATAAAAATTCAAAGAAAGGGCCAGATGGGGCCGGGCATGGTGGCTCACGCCTGTAATCCCAGCACTTTGGGAGGCTGAGGTGGGCGGATCAGGAGGTCAGGAGATCGAGATCATCCTGGCTAACATGGTGAAACCTTGTCTCTACTAAAAATACAAAAAATTAGACAGGCGTGGTGGCGGGCACCTGTAGGCCCAGCTACTCCAGAGGCTAAGGCAGGACAATGGCATGAACCTAGGAGGCGGAGCTTGCAGTGACTCAAGATTGTGCCACTGCACTCCAGCCTGGGCGACAGAGCGAGACTCTGTCTCAAAAAAAAAAACAAAAAACGAAAGGGCCAGATGGTTGATGATCTTTTTTTTAATTATACTTTACGTTCTGGGGTACATGTGCACAACGTGCAGTTTTGTTAGGTATTTCTCCTAATGCTATCCCTCCCCCAGCCCCCCATCCCCTGACAGGCCCAGGTGTGTGATGTTCCCCACCCTGTGTCTGTGTGTTCTCATTATTCAACTCCCATTTATGAGTGAGAACATGCAGTGTTTGGTTTTCTGTCCTTGTGACAGTTTGCTGAGAATGATGGTTTCCAGCTTCATCCATGTCCTTGCAAAGGACATGAACTCATCCTTTTTTATGGCTGCATAGTATTCCATGGTGTATATGTGCCACATTTTCTTTATCCAGTCTATTATTGATGGACATTTGGGTTGGTTCCAAATCTTTGCTATTATGAATAGTGCTGCAATAAACATACGTGTACATGTGTCTTTATGGTAGCATGATTTACAATCCTTTGGGTATATACCTGGTAATGTGATTGCTGGGTCAAATGGTATTTCTAGTTCTAGCTCCTTGAGGAATCACCATACTCTCTTCCACAATGGTTGAACTAATTTACACTCCCACCAACAGTGTAAAAGCGTTCCTATTTCTCCACATCCTCTCCAGCATCTGTTGTTTCCTGACTTTTTAATGATCACCATTCTAACTGGCATGAGATGGTATCTCGTTGTGGTTTTGATTTGCATTTCTCTAATGACCAGTGATGATGAGCATTTTTTCTTATGTCTGTTGGTTGCATAAATGTCTTCTTTTGAGAAGTGGCTGTTCATATCCTTTGCCCACTTTTTGATGGTGTTTTTATCTTGTAAATTTGTTTAAGTTCTTTGTAGATTCTGGATATTAGCCATTTGTCAGATGGGTAGATTGCAAAGATTTTCTCCTATTCTGTAGGTTGCCTGTTCACTCTGATGATAGTTTCTTTTGCTATGCAGAAGCTCTTTAGTTTAATCGGATCCCATTTGTCTATTTTGGCTTTTGTTGCCATTGCTTTTGGTGTTTTAGCCATGAAGTCTTTGCCCATGCCTATGTCCTGAATGGCATTGCCTAGGTTTTCTTCTAGGGTTTTTATGGTTTTAGGTGTTACATTTAAGTCTTTAATCCATCTTGAGTTAATTTTTGTATAAGGTGTAAGGAAGGGATCCATTTTCAGCTTTCTACATATGGCTAGCCAGTTTTCCCAGCACCATTTATTAAATAGGGAATCCTTTCCCCATTGCTTGCTTTTGTCAGGTTTGTCAAAGATCAGATGGTTGTAGATGTGTGGTGTTATTTCTGAGGACTCTGTTCTGATCCATTGGTCTATATCTCTGTTTTGGTACCAGTGCCATGCTATTTTGGTTACTGTAGCCTTGCAGTATAGTTTGAAGTCAGGTAGCATGATGCCTCCAGCTTTGTTCTTTTTGCTTAGGATTGTCTTGGCTATGAGGGCTCTTTTTTGGTTCCATATGAACTTTAAAGTAGTTTTTCCAATTCTGTGAAGAAAGTCATTGGTAGCTTGATGGGGATGGCATTGAATCTATAAATTACTTTGGGAAGTATGGCCATTTTCACAATATTAATTCTTCCTGTCCATGAGCATGGAATGTTCTTCCATTTGTTTGTGTCCTCTTTTATTTCCTTGAGCAGTGATTTGTAGTTCTCCTTGAAGAGGTCCTTCACATCCCTTGTAAGTTGGATTCCTAGGTATTTTATTCTCTTTGAAGCAATTGTGAATGGGAGTTCACTCATGATTTGGCTCTGTTTGTCTGTTATTGATGTATAGGAATGCTTGTGACTTTTGCACATAGATTTTGTATCCTGAGACTTTGCTGAAATTGCTTATCAGCTTAAGGAGATTTGGGGCTGAAACGATGGGGTTTTCTAAATATACAATCATGTCACCTGCAAACAGAGACAGTTTGACTTCCTCTTTTCCAATTGAATACCCTTTATTTCTTTCTCTTGCCTGATTGCCCTGACCAGAACTTCTAATACTATGTTGAATAGGAGTGGTGAGAGAGGGCATCCCTGTCTTGTGCTGGTTTTCAGAGGGAATGCTTCCAGTTTTTGCCCATTCAGTATGATATTGGCTGTGGGTTTGTCATAAATAGCTCTTATGATTTTGAGATAAGTTCCATCAATACCTAGTTTATTGAGAGTTTTTAGCATGAAGCGTTGTTGAATTTTATCGAAGGCCTTTTCTGCATATGTTGAAATAATCGTGTGGGTTTTGTCATTGGTTCTGTTTATGTGATGGATTATGTTTATTGATTTGCATATGTTGAACCAGCCTTGCATCCCAGGGATGAAGCCAACTTGATCGTGGTGGATAAGCTTTTTGATATGCTGCTGGATTCGGTTTGCCAGTATTTTATTGAGGATTTTTGCATCGATATTCATCAGGGATATTGGCCTAAAGTTCTCTTTTTTTGTTGTGTCTCTGCCAGGCTTTGGTATCAGGATGATGCTGGCCTAATAAAATGAATTAGGGAGGATTTCCTCTTTTTCTATTGATTGGAATGGTTTCAGAAGGAATGGTACCAGCTCCTCTTTGTACCTCTGGTAGAATTCGGCTGTGAATCCATCTGGTCCTGGACTTTTTTTGGTGGTAGGCTATTAACTGTTGCCTCAATTTCAGAACTTGTTGTTGGTCTATTCAGACATTTGACTTCTTCCTGGTTTAGTCTTGGGAGGGTGTAGGTGTCCAGGAATTTATCCATTTCTTCTAGATTTTCTAATTTATTTGCATAGAGATGTTTATAGTATTCTCTGATGGTAGTTTGTATTTCTGTGAGATCGATGGTGTTATCCCCTTTATCATTTTCTATTGCATCTATTTGATTTTTCTCTCTTTTCTTCTTTATTAGTCTTGCTAGCAGTCTATCTATTTCATTGATCTTTTCAAAAAACCAGCTCCTGGATTCATTGATATTTTTGAAGGGTTTTTTGTGTCTCTGTCTCCTTCCGTTCTGCTCTGATGTTAGTTATTTCTTGTCTTCTGCTAGCTTTTGAATTTGTTTGCTCTTGCTTCTCTAGTTCTTTTAATTGTGATGTTAGGGTGTCGATTTTAGATCTCTCCTGATTTCTCTTGTGGACATTTAGTGCTATAAATTTCCCTCTACACACTGCTCTAACTGTGTCCCAGAGATTCTGGTACGCTGTGTCTTTGTTCTCTTTGGTTTCGTGGAACATCTTTATTTCTGCCTTCATTTTGTTATTTATCCAGTAGACATTCAGGAGCAAGTTGTTCAGTTTCCATGTACTTGTGTGGTTTAGAGTGAGTTTCTTAATCCTGAGTTCTAGTTTGATTGCACTGTGGTCTGAGAGACAGTTTGTTGTGATTTCTGTTCTTTTACATTTGCTGAGGAGTGTTTTTACTTCCAATTTTGTGGTCAATTTTAGAATAGTGTGATGTGGTGCTAAGAAGAATGTATATTCTGTTGATCTGGGGTGGGGAGTTCTGTAGATGTCTATTAGGTCCATTTGGTCCAGAGCTGAGTTCAAGTCCTGGATATCCTTTTTAATTTTCTGTCTCCTTGATCTGTCTAATATTGACAGTGGGGTGTTAAAGTCTCCAATTATTATTGTGTGACAGTCTAAGTCTCTTTGTAGGTCTCTAAGAACTTGCTTTATGCAGCTGGGTGCTCCTATATTGGGTGCATATATATTTAGGTTAGCTCTTCTTGTTGAATTGATCCCTTTACCGTTTTGTAATGACCTTCTTTGTCTCTTTTGATCTTTGTTGGTTTAAAGTCTGTTTTATCAGAGACTAGGTATGCAACCCCTGCTTTTTTTTTTGCTTTCCATTTGCTTGGTAGATCTTCCTCCGTCGCTTTATTTTGAGCCTGTGTGTGTCTTTGCACGTAAGATGGGTCTCCTGAATATAGCTTGCCAATGGGTCTTGACACTTTATCCAATTTGCCAGTCTGTGTCTTTTAACTGGGGCATTTAGCCCATTTACATTTAAGGTTAATATTGTTATGCGTGAATTTGATCCTGTCATTATGATGCTAGCTGGTTATTTTGCCCATTAGTTGATGCAGTTTCTTCATAGCATTGATGGTCTTTACAATTTGATATGTTTTTTGCAGTGGCTGGTACCAGTTGTTCCTTTCCGTGTTTAGTTCTTCCTTCAGGAGCTCTTGTAAGGCAGGCCTGGTGGTAACAAAATCTCTTAGCATTTGCTTGTCTGTAAAGGATTTTATTTCCCCTTCACTTATGAAGCTTAGTTTAGCTGGATATGAAATTCTGGGTTGAAAATTTTTTTCTTTAAGAATGCTGAATATTGGCCCCCACTCTCTTCTGGCTTGTAGGGTTTCTGTGGAGAGATCTGCTGTTAGTCTGATGGGCTTCCCTTTGTGGGTAACCCAATCTTCCTCTCTGGCTGCCCTTAACATTTTTTCCTTCATTTCAGCCTTGGTGTATCTGACAATTATGTGTCTTCGGGTTGCTCTTCTTGAGGAATATCTTTGTGGTGTTCTCTGTATTTCCTGGATTTGAATGTTGGCCTGCCTTGCTAGGTTGGGGAAGTTCTCCTGGATAATATCCTGAAGAGTGTTTTCTAACTTGGTTCCATTCTCTCCGTCACTTTCAGGTACACCAATCAAATGTAGATTTGGTCTTTTCACATAGTCCCATATTTCTTGGAGGCTTTATTTATTTTCACTTTTTTTTTCTCTAATCTTGTCTTCACGCTTTATTTCATTAAGTTGATTTTCAGTCACTGATATCCTTTCTTCTGCTTGATCGAATTGGCTATTGAAGCTTGTGTACGCTTCATGAAGTTCACGTGCTGTGTTTTTCAGCTCCATCAGGTCATTTATGTTCTTCTCTACACTGGTTATTCTAGTTAGCCATTCCTCTAACCTTTTTTCAAGGCCTTTAGCTTCTTGTGATGGGTTAGAACATGCTCCTTTAGCTCGGAGAAGTTTGTTATTACCCACCTTCTGAAGCCTACTTCTGTTACCTCGTCAAACTCATTCTCTGTCCAGTTTTGTTCCCTTGCTGGCAAGGAGTTGTGATGCTTTGGAGGAGAAGAGGCTTTCTGGTTTTTGGAATTTTCAGCCTTTCTGCTCTGGTTTCTCCCCATCTTTGTGGTTTTATCTACCTTTGGTCTTTGATGTTGGTGACCTACAGATGAGGTTTTGGTGTGAATGTCCTTTTTGTTGATGTTGATGCTATTCCTTTCTGTTTGTTAGTTTACTTTCTAACAGTCAGGACCCTCAGCTGCAGGTCTGTTGGAGTTTGCTGGAGGTCCACTCCAGACCTTGTTTGCCTGTGTATCACCAGTGTAGGCTGCAGAACAGCAAATATTGCTGCCTGATCCTTCCTCTGGAAGCTTCGTCCCAGAGGGGCACCTGCCAGATGCCAGCCAGAGCTCTCCTGTATGAGGTGTCTGTCAGCCCCTACTGGGAGGTGTCTCCCAATCAGGCTACATGGGGATCAGAGACCCACTTGAGGAGGCAGTCTGTCCATTATCAGAGCTTGAATGCTGTGCTGGGAGGACCACTGCTCTCTTCAGAGCTGTCAGGCAGGGACGTTTTAGTCTGCAGAAGCTGTTCCCAAAGCTGCCCCTACCTGCAGGTGCTCTGTTCTAAGGAGATGAGGGTTTTATCTATAAGTCCCTGACTGGGGCTGCTGCCTTTTGTTCAGATATGCCCTGCCCACAGAGGTGGAATTTAGAGAGGCAGTCAGCCTTGCTGAGCTGCGGTAGGCTTTGCCCAGTTTGAGCTTCCTGGCAGCTTTGTTTACACTGTGAGCATAAAACCGCCTACTCAAGTCTCAGCAATGGCAGACGCCCCTCTCCCCACCAAGCTCCAGCGTTCCAGGTCGATCTCAGACTGTTGTGCTAGCAGCAAGAATTTCAAGCCAATAGATCTTAGCTTGCTGGGCTCTGTGGGTGTGGGACCCACCGAGCCAGGCCCCAAAGGGAATCTCCTGGTCTGCTGGTTGTGAAGAGCATAGGAAAATCATGGTATTTGGGCAGGGGTGTACCGTTCCTCCCGGTACAGTCTCTCACAGCTTCCCTTGGCTAGGAAAGGGAAATCCCCTGACCCCTTGCACTTCCCGGGTGAGGCGATGCCCTGCCCTGCTGCGGCTTGCCCTCCGTGGGCTGCACCCACTGTCCAACCAGTCTCAGTGAGATGAACCAGGTACCTCAGTTGGAAACGCAGAAATCACCCATCTTCTTTGTCAGTATCGCTGGGAGCTGCATACCGGAGCTGTTCCTATTTGGCCATCTTAGAAGAGAGACCAGTTGATGCTTTTATTACATCTTGAGGTTACAGGAAGAATAAGGGCTTGTAGCATGGCAAGACAGGTTATGGGAGAGACAGAGAGAGAGAGAGAGAGAGAGAGAGAAAGGCATAGGGGCTTTATTATATAGTTGAAAACTCACAAGTAACAGGTCTCAGAAAGAATAGATGAAAGCCTGTGTTTAGTTCAGCTCTCCTAGATCTCCTAAGCTAAGTGGAAGAGGCTCAGAGAAAACCTGGCTGTTTATTTCATTAATGTAAACTTTTCTCTACAGATGGAAATCTACTCCACAAAAGGCAACTTTTCAGGGCTATTTCTGTCTGTAGGCCCTCAAAATATGTCACAAAAGTATATTTTGGGGTGAAATATACTTTGATATGATTATTAATATAATCTAATTATATTAATACAATTCCTTTAATATAATTTTAATTATATTAATGTAATTCCTTTAATATAATTTCACTTCTTTTAAGGGAGGCTGAACATCTTATTTATTTAAATGTTATTTTATTATACATGAACTACCTATTTATATCTGCTGCTAATTTTATTAGGTTATTCATCTGTATTTTATTGATTTGAGGAAACTATTTATTAGGCTAATATAGATATATTATTAGCTCTTTGTCTGTGATGTTAATTGCAAGAAATTTTCCCTAGTTGTCTTTTTAAAAAATGGTTTTCTATTTCAATTTTTAAAATGTAGTCTATTAATTATTATCAATTGGTAATTAATTATTTTATAGTAATTTATTTATTTGATCTATTTTGAATTTATTCTGATGCATTTGTAATGTATGTATTTAACTTTTAAGACATTTCAAGATGTCATCCGATTGTTATAATTTTTTAAATGAATTATGTTTTTTGTAATTAAGTCAAAATGCCACAATTTTTTCTGTGTATTTACACTATATGGACATTCTATTCTGTTGTATTGAACTGTCTCTCACATGCCAATATTGATAGCAACAAAAGATAGCATACATGAGAATAAACTTGAAAAAGGAATATGTAGGAATCATATAAAATAACTTTAAAATACTCTTAAGAAATCCAAATGAAAACTTCAACAAATGGAAAAGTATACTATGTTCTTGGATAAGGACACTCAATATCATCAAGATGTCAATTCTTCTTAATTAATTAATTTAACATAATAAAAACATTAATAGATTTTTGGAAGGATAACCAGAGAAGCTGATCCTAAAGTTTATGCTGAAAAATAAGTGAGTGAAAGTGACCCAGGGTTTTTTCTCAGTCACTTGTTAGCTGGAGACCACCAACCAGACCTTACTTGGACTCAGGTTTACCGCAGGAGACACCCCGTCCACTCAGCCTGCCAGTCCACACCCGCCCGCGCTCTGGTGCGGATCCTGTAGCTGCTGCAACTATGCACTCAGATCCTGGTGGGAGGGGGCGTGTAAGTGAGTGAGTGTGGGGTCTGTCTGGTCGTTTTTAAGCACCAGTACAGAAGCAGGCTCTGTGCAGTGCTTGAGGCTGGGCCAGGCATATCGCAAGCCACTCCTGTGGTGGACTCCAGCGTCCAGACAAGGGAATGTGGCACCCAGGAAGGGGTGCCCACGACCCCAAAGCCCCAGAGGGGGGGTTGCAGCATGCTAATTAGCTCTTTTAGTCCTGCTGTCCACAGCCCGACAGACAGAGGCTTGTTAACAGCTTTGTCAGCCCCTTGCCCTGCTCCAACCCATGGCTCTAGGGCTGGCTCAGCCCCGCCGCTGCTTCTGTCTCGTGGGGTGGCTGCCCTCCACCAGCAGAGGGCAGAGGGCCATGGTGTTACAGCTTTCTCTGTACCCACATTCAGTGGGTCCCAGGCTCTTGTCCCATGTCCAAGAAGAATGAGAATATGCTGAAAGTCGAAGGGTGAGGAGGATGGAGAAGAATTTTATTGATTGACGAAACAGCTCTCAGTGTGAGGGTGGTCCCCCAGCTGAAGTTGGGTGGTTTCTCCCCCAGTGTGAATGGATCTGGGGCTTTTATGGGCTCAGAATGGGGAGTGTGTGCTGATTGGTTTGTGAGTATGCTAAAAAGGTTAAAATAAAGATGGGCACAACAATGTAAAAAGCCAATTAAGGAAGGATAGGTATATGTAAAATAGGTGAAGGGTGGGGATCAATTAGAGGAAAGCATGCCAAATGGGAAGACAGGTTCTCAATCCAGTCTGAGAATTTACCCAGGACTTGTAGCTTGGCTTTAAGCCTTTAAACTATCTTTGGCTTGAGGATCAGGTTTCACCGGGGACCTGTCCCTGTCTGCCTAGGATTTGTCTGCCTTCTGTAGCTATCAAAAGCAGTCAGGAAAATTCTGATAAGAAAGTGTGATGAGAGGAGACTAATACTACCAAATACTTGAATGTATCACCAATCTACAATACACACAAAGTATTATATTGGTGCATGTGTGTACACTTTGATATGTATTTCAATCAGTATGTCACCAGCATTTGATTTTAAACATTTTTTTTAAATTATGGATTTAGCTATGTTCTTTTTTCAATGACTTTCAAATGCAGGGTATAGAAGAAGGATAGTTTTAGGTGGGGTGGGAGGCTGAGGTGAGACCAGAAATGCACATAAAAAGTATTGTCATCTTATGGACTATTGCTTTTTGAGTACATCTTGACTACATGGTGGTTTTACTAAAATTGAACCATGATTTGCTTCTGAAGGACATTTAAATGACCTAGATTATTTTACCTGACTTTTCTAGAAGTATCTTTACTTTGAAAAAAAAAACCTGCACTGTCTCTTTTTCTCATTTTAAATTCCTTTTCTGTTTCCTATCATACATATATCATCCAGTGAGATATAGACCATAACAAAGAGAATTGCTGAATGTCCTAGTCCTACAAATTCTATCTTTCAGAAACACGTATTCTAAGAGTACTTTTACTCTCATATCCTCTGGAAAGTGCAAATAGAACCAAAACAAATAAACACATTAACAAAAAGGAATGAACCACATGATTTGAACATAGGTCAAATTAAGCCTTAAATAAATCTGTATTGGATTTTTAAAAATTTACAGAAATAATACATTATCAGCCAACACATTTAAGCAAAAAATGTCTGTGCAAAGAAAAAAGTGATCAATTCTATGTACTCCCTTCAATCCTATGTTTAGTGTATGCACTTCTTGTTGGAGTTTTTTTTAATAATTGTATGAAACATAATTTTTAAACAAGATATATCTATTGCTCTGCAATTTTCTGTTTGTTTTTTTTTAATATTTTGTAGGCAACTATTGCAGGTCTATTTGAAAAATACTATCAAGTATTTTTCATTTAATATTTAAATAAGCTTAAAAATAATTTCCTTGGGCTTTCATTCCACTTTTGTGATCCACAAACTACTTTTGTTAAGAGGAAGATGAACACCAATCAAAGTGTTTTCTCAGGGCACTAAAATGAAAGTTTCAATGAAAGCCAAGGTCTTTGTCTGTATCAGATTATATACCAAGATGCTATAATGGTGCCTGATACATAGTAAGTGCCTGATAAATATTTATTTAATGAATCAATTTCAGCCAGTCAGTGTCAGAACAAGTGGAGATTGGGTGGGAAAATCAGGACAGGCTGTCAAGGGAAGGACTAAAAGGGCTAAAGCATGCCGTACATTTGTTAAATGTTTGCTCTTGACATCTTCCAGTAAGAGTGAACATATTAGTCAGGGAAATCGTGTCTGTGCCTAAATTTTTTTTTGATTTTGATGGCTGGTCTTGTAGCAAAATAGTTCTTATTGATGCTAGCAATGTGATAAAATGGATACATGTATTATTTGCCTTTTTAATGTACTAAGATTATCCCTGGGAGATTAAAAAAAACACAACTGGAAAACACTATATAATCAATTTGTTTTTTTTTTTTTTTGGAGATAGGATCTCGCTCTGTTGCCCAGGCTGGAGTACAGTGGCATGATCTCAGCTCACTGCAACCTCTGCCTTCCCGGGTTCAAGTGATTCTCCTGCCTCAGCCTCCTGAGTAGCTGGGATTACAGGTGCCCGCCACCATGCCCAGCTAATTTTTGTATTTTTGGTAGAGACGGGTTTTCCCCATGTTGGCCAGGCTGGTCTGGAACTCCCAACCTCAAGGGAACCTCCTGCCTCAGCCTCCCAAAGTGCTGGGATTACAGGCACGAGCCACCGCACCTGGCCTAATTAATTAAATTCTATCATGTGATTTATTCTCTTCCCTGATAAAAAGAGATAAAGGAAACCAGAATATTTCACCACAAAATATACCTCTTTGGCATATTTTGAGATGGTTGTTCAGAGGAGTTGCAAACACAAGAATAGCTCTGAAAAGCTGTCTTTTGTGGTGGAGATTTACATCTGTAGAGAAAAATCTACATTAGTGAAGTAAACAGGCAGGCTTTCTCTGAGGCCCTCCTTATCTGGATCTAGGAAAGATGAACTCATAGGGAAAGGGGACTGAAGTCTGACACTTTTAAGTTTTGACAGATAAACTTTACCACAGGCTACCACCATCAATTTTTTCGAGAGCAGCTCTCAGAGTACCTGAGAGGTCTTTATCTGCATTCCAAGACAGCCTTGGCTTTCCGTGCTTTCCATCTTTCACTCTCCCATAGCTTGTGAAGCCACCCACCCCATGCCTCATGCCACCCCGCAACCCCTCACAAGCCCACTCCTGTATTCTTTCTGTAACCTTAAGATAGTATAGAAACTTCAACCGTCTGACAACTCAGTGTCAGGACCAGGATCTAGTACCCTGTCTTAGTACCAGGATCTAGGGGACATGTATATAGATCTTGGCAGTAATAGTGTAACTGCCCAATGGGTTCACCTTGCCCCCTGCCTAGACAGAGCTGATTTATCAAGACAGGGGAATTGCAATAGAGAAAGAGTAAGCCACACAGCTGGCTGTGTGGTAGACCAGTTTTACTGTTACTCAAATCAGTCTCCCCAGCACTTGGGGACCAGAGTTTTTAAGGATAATGTGGTGGGTGGGTGTGCCGCCAGTGAGTCAGAAGTGATGATTGGTTGGTTCGGAGGTGAAATCATAGTGAGTCCAAGCTGTCCTCTTGCGCAGTCAGTTCCTGGGTGGTGGCCACGAGATCAAATGAGTGAGTTTTTCTGTCTGGGTGGTGCCAGCTGATCCATCAAGCGCAGGGTCTGCAAAATATCTCAAGCACTGATTTTAGGCTTTATAATGGTGATGTTATCCCCAGGAGCAATCTGGGAAGCGTCTGAATCTTGTAGCCTCCAGCTGCATGACTCCTAAACCATAATTTCTAATCTTTTGGCTAATTTGTTAGTCCTACAAGGGCAGTCTAGTCCCCAGGCAAGAAGGGAGTTTCTTTTGGGAAAGGGCTATTATCATCTTTGTTTCAAACTATAAACTAAGTTCCTTCCCAAGTTAGTTTGGCTTACGCCCAGGAATAAGCCAGAACAGCTTGGAGGTTAGAAGCAAGATAGAGTTAGTTAGGTCAGGTCTCTTTCATTGTCACACACACACACACACACACACACACACACACACACACACACATTGTGAGGAGCCTTATCCTTAGTGCAGCACTATCCCCTAGAAGTAGGAGGAACCTGGGTATTCATTTTGTGAATCAGGAGAGAAAGACACTTGGTCATATTTTGTGCTACTGCAGTGATGACTCTTATGTGAACTCTTCCATGGCCTTTGTCTCTATCTGGGGACAAAAATCATCAAGTCATGTGATTTTCAGATGATCTAGGACATCTAGAATTTTGAAGTTGTTACGCAAAGCAGGAGAACAAAGACTTCTTTGCTTCAGGGGAATTAGTTACAAAGATTCCCTCAAGTTTTGAACTTGTTTGTATGCAATTCTACACCTTTTAAGATGCAAATCATTTTGAAAAATACTGTGGACTTTGGCAGTTAAATAAAAGGCCTATTTTCAAAACATTGCCTTATGTGTGTGGGTCATATCAGGTGATCTCCTTTTGATACTACTTGGAGTTAATGAAGGGGCAATAACTTCTGGCATTAATCTAATGAAGAAGACAGTAAGGATGGAAAAGACCAGGTTCTGTCCTCTTCTGTGACTAGGAATCTTTATGAACCCAGATAAATTACTTAACTACCTTGAGCCTTGGTTTCCCTATGTAGAAAAATAGTAAATGCTAATGTCTTCCTGTAGAAAAGATCAACTGAAATAATGTGTGCAACACTAGCTCAGCACCTGGCACATAGGAATTGGTGAACAAGGCTGACTAGTATTATTACTTGTAATAATGAAATATATATTCTCAGCATGAAAGTATTTATGTTAGAATGTTTTACTATAAATTCTTTACACTCCTCTATTGAAGAGTAATCTAACCAACCTGTGGACTCAATTTCTCTGCTCTCATTTGGCCAGTACTATAGTTTGTTTTTAAACTCTTATTTTGGCTAGAACTTCAGTGCCAGAAAGCTTGATGGAGAAGAACATAGAAGAGAGAATATTGATTAACAATTGCATTTTCTTGCAATCTAGCCTTGAATCTATTTGGCCAGATCAGTCCAGAGTGGTGGATGAAGACATCTTTTGCCCTCACGTTGGCCCAAGAAAAACTGTTAAGAATTGATTTTCTGTTTCATTTTAATGAGCTCATTCTGAGTCATTATAGTTTCCATAGTTAAGTACTTCTGAAACATAGATTCTTTAATTGACAGATTATTTCAGCTCTCTCATTGCCATTGCCATCTATTATGCTGAGTGATCTTAGTATTCAACTGTCATTGAATTAATATGTATATATGTAGTAGAAACTGATATGAAGAAAAGTTACTGCACAGAGGCTTATTTATGACAGAAAAGCAAATATTTCAAATCTGTCAGAGTGTGACTGTGTGGTTATAAGGCATGCATTTTTGATGTATAATTTAGTAGTCATAATTTAGCATCTCTCTAAAATAACATGAATTTTTAGTCGTGTTATTGTCCTCTAAACATTTTTTTGTCCTTCATTACTATAGATTATAAGATATCAATAAACTTGGCCTTTAGCTCATTCTCTCTAGTCTTTCCAGTTAGGTCTGTACACAAACCAGAAATAAACAATCAAATAAACTAACAAACAAAGAAAACCATAAACCATTAAATCAGATTGCTTCTGTTCCTTCTAGCACCCATTCTTCACCTGTGTGTTTCTTGAACCAATTGACAATTTTTGGAAACTTCTTCAAAGCTCAGCAATGGGCTCTCCTCTCTTTTCCTCTTTACCCTGCTCCTAGGTCATCCCATCCATGCTCAAGGCTCTATGACCCACCTATATAGCCTCTTATTTTACATCTCTACTTTCATGTTTTAAAGATTTTCAAACTTAACAATTCCAAAGCCAAATTCTTGATAACTCCTTACTGGTCTTTTTCCATTGTGTTCTATTTCAGTGAATGCCATCATAGTCCTACTGGTGGTACAAAATCAAGCAGAATAAATAAAACAAACAACAAAGCTTGGAGTCACCCTTGATAACCTTCCCCTTCCTCATCCCCATACTCTATCAACTCTTGCTATCATTAAGTCCTTTAGATTTTTACCTCCAAAATATACTGAGTTTGTCTATCATCTCCATTTCTACCACAGTCTGTCCAGTCCAAGCTATCACATCTCCAACTTATACAGCCTCCTAACTGATCTCCTTGCATTCATGTTTCCCTTCTAATTAGTTATCCATCAAAGAGTCTGAGTGGGACTTTTAAAATGCAAGTCTGATCATGTTAGCCAAGCCTCCTCTTCCCCAACTACCTCAAACGGTAGAAGTGTTCCAGGACTGAACCGCGTCCAGCTGCATGTTCTCATGGCCCAATAATGAGATGCAGATGGACTGGGAAAGAAAATAGTTTATTTCTGTAACCAAATACAGAGAAAATGTTGGCGATAATTAGCCAGACCAACTCAAGGTGCTGAAGTTTTTTCCAGTGCTTATATATGTTTAGATTATATGCCTATGTGCAGTACCGTATTTGCCTAAGTCTATAGGTGATTAATTTTGTTTTAAGTTGAAGGTCAGAGGCTAGGAATGTCCTCTAAATCTATTTAATCCATGAGGGCCCTGGTACCAGGGTAATTAAGAAATGTCTCCTAAATCTACTTAATGCGGGCCCTGGTACTGAGTGATTACTTCTATTTTACCGACGTTTTGAGTCCGGAGAGTTGCTTCAGACCCCCAGTAAATTTATTCTACCCAAGATTGGTCTTGGTACGAGGAATGTAGGGCTGTCTTTGTTATCTTGACTCGCTTCAGGTTTCGTAGACCCAAGATGGGTTCTGGTACAAGGAATGTAAGGCTGTCTCCATTATCTTGACTTGCCCCAGGTTTCAGGAGAAGCCTGAGTGAGGCTCTTATGGAACATATGTTTCATTTCTGGCTTTGATGTCCAGGCATCCATTTCCCTAGGTTTAATTATTAACTTAATGTTAAGGCAAGCACTGTGGAAGTTTGCTTGTATAACTGGAGTGCTATGGAAGCTTGTCTGTGTGACCGTCAGGGAGAATTGGCCTGGCACAGAAGGGTTCTACAATTCATAAGAAGAAGACCACAATGCTCACAGGGTCTACACAGCCTTGTATGGCCTGGCCCATGGCTTTCCTTTCTTGTTGTGTTCATGCTGCTCTTGGAGTTCCCCTGTTCTAACCACACTGGCTTTCTTTCTGATCCATCAGCTGGCTGTATTCCCTCCTGCCTTACCCCCAGGGTAGATGATTTTCGTTCCTCCCTCAAATTCCAGCTTGGTCTCACTTCCTCAGGGAAACTTTCTCCAATTCCCCTGACAACCTCAGGTCCCCGTGGTATATGTGTCATGATGCCATGCATTTTCCTTTCAATTTAGAGTGGACATTTGTCTTTTTTTTTTTTTTCTTTTGGCCTACCACTAACCATTCTTCTTACTTGAGAAATTCCCTACTGTGGATATTCTGGAGTCAACATATTTGGGAACAAACACAGTTGACTCATGGTAAGCATATAGTTCAACATGTGGGGAAGAACATACAGTATGCCGTGGGCACCTGTCAGCACATTGAACAGTGGGAGTGGCGATCACTACCAGACATCTATGGTGGTGGATTTATACTGCTATAACAAGTGATCACCAACTTGATGTCTTAAAATAACACAAATTTATTCTTTCATATTTCTAGATATCAGAGGTCTGAACTGTCACTGGGCTGAAATCAAGGTGGCTGCAGGGCTGCACTCTCTGTAGACTCCAGAGGAAATCCTGTTTCCCTGCCTTCTATTCTAGAACTGCTTTCCTTTCATTTCTTGGTTCATGGTCCCTTCCTCCATCTTTAGAGCTAGCAGTGTAGAATCTTGCTTCAGTTATCACATTGCGTTCTTCTTCTTTAGAAGTATTTCTCTCTACCTTACTATTATAGGACACATGCATTTACATTGAGTTCACCCAGATAATGCAGGATAATCTATCTAAAAATTTTTAACTTAATCACATCTGCAAAGTCCCTTTGTCATGTAAAGTAACAGAGGCACAGGTTCCAGAGATTAAGACTTGAACATTTTGGGGCTATTATTCAGCTTATCACAGTCTCTCTCCTGTATTAGATTTTCAGCTCTAGGAAGGCAAGGCATGCATCTATTTTTGTTTTGCTCTGCTTAGCAGACTCTTTGACCTGTAGTAGACATTTAGAAAAAATTTCTAATGAGCGAACATATTTTAACATATCATTTTGGAGGGTTATCTGCCATATGTGGCTCACTTAAAAATTTTTTTTAAAAAAATTTGTGTGTTGGAATTAGAGCATATTAAATTTCTCATTTATTAATTCTTAATTACTTAATATCAACACTAAGATTATTGAGAAGGTATTCAACAAATGAAATATATAAATTTAGAGCTATGAGATAATTTGTTCCAAACTTTATTTCCCAGAAGTGGAAACAGATCTAGGAAACAGAAAATGACTGGCTTAAGAGTAGACTGTGAAAGAGAGGCCCAGTTAGTATTTGAATTGAGATCATGCTTGTATTAGTTAGCTTGGGCCACCATAAAAGAATACTACAGACTAAGTGGCTTAAACAACAAAAATTTATTTGTCAAGGTTCTGGAGACTGGAAGTCCAAGATCACAGTTCTGGCAAAGCCTCTCTTCCTGGCTTGCAAATGTCTGCCTTCTTGCTGTGAACTTACACGGCCTTTTCTCTGCAAGCACTTGGAGAGCTCTCTCCTCTTTGTATAAGGACACCAATCTTACGGATTAGAACCCCACCTTCATGACCTCATTTAACCTTAACTACCTCCTTAAAGGTCCTACCTCCAAATTCAGTTGCACTGGAGGTTAAGGCGTCAACATATGAATTTTGAGAAAACACAGTTCTGTCTATAACAATGCTGACTGAACCAAATGAGATCGTGTGAATATAGTGAGGTCGTTTCCACCACTTACAAGTTGTGACAGTAGGAGAAAGTTAGTTTTTATTTCTGTGCTTTAGTTATATCTTCTGTACCTTTAATATTTGTACTAAGGATTAAATACACACTGCATGTAAATAAATCTAAGATTACAATAAATGTTAGTGACTAGCCATTTCCTTAAATAATTGATGAAATATTTAGGCATCTGAATGCATTTATTTATTTGTGACTTTCCTTTAAGAGCAATCTCTAAACATAGAAAAAATTCGACAAAAGAGACTATGCAAGAAGGATGCAATGCAAGGAGGATTATGGATACTCCGAAATTCTTTAGAATAGATGTTTAGAACCTAAATGTTGACCAATTCATAGTTGTAATGGCTACAACAGTTAATTTATCCTGATAGCCCACATTGCCAAATAACTGAAAGCTAACAGACACAAAAGGTAAAGATTTAGCAGCTTGATTTTAACCTTTAAGTATTTGTCACAATAAGCATATTAGGGAGTTTAGTCCTAGCTTTGTCCCCTGAGATAGAAAATCATAATTCCATAGCACTGAGTAAATGTCTCCCTGCAGAAATAAATCATAAAAATGAGAGTTTAGAGATTTCTGTCAGAAGGTGCTTTAATCTTACTCATCACAACACAGAAGGAAAGAGAAGATGATGAGAAGGGAACCCTGTGTAACATAACAAAGTTTCCACATTCCCAGAAAGCTAAAATAGGGAAACAACGAGGTCTTGGGAATGTTTACTGTGATCAAAGAAAAAAGTAGAGAGCAGTGTATTTTTTGCAGAAAATTAGAGCATTGGGCACTAGGAGGCTTGTATAATTATGATCACTGTAGCACTGTTTATCCAAAAAAAAAAAAAAAAAAAACACACTGGAAACAGTGTAGCTCTCCACTAATAAATGAGTGATTAAGTAAGTCGTAGTGCATTTGTGCTCTGGAATATGACATAGCAGTAAAAACAATGATGTGGGTCCCTAGGAATATACATAGAAAAAATATAGATATGCTGTTAAGCTGAAAAGCCAAACTGCTATTTATGTTAAAAACAAAACAAAACTGAATATTATTTATTTATACTTTATATAGAGAAAAACTTAAAGCATGCACACCATAATGACAGAAGATTGTCTGTTTTTTTTGGTTTTAGGGGGAGGTAGTTCTGTGATTGGATGCAGTAGACAAGAAATATTTCAGCATTATGCATTTTACATGATTTTTTTAAATTATGAAAGTTTATGTTAGTTATTAACTGTTATATTATGGTGATTTGGCTGGAATAGAATTTTAGGTGAAAACCATTTCTTTTTTTAATTTTTTTTTGAGACAGGATCTTGCTCTGTTGCTCAGGCTGGAATGCAGTGGTGCAATCATGGCTCACTGCAGCCTCGACCTCCTGGGCTCAAGCAATCCTCCTACCTCCGTCACCTGAGTAGCTAGGACAACAGGCATGTGCCACCACGCCTGGCTAATTTTTTATTTTTTTTGTAGAGTTGGCATCTCACTATGATGCCCGGGCTGATCTACAACTCCTGGGCTAAACAATCTTCCTGACCTAGCCTTTCAAGATGCTAGAACAGGCGTGAGCTACTGCCTGTAATTATTAAGAAAATTTTTTCTTAGTGATACTTAGAAAGATTGTTCCATTGTCTTCTGACAGTAGATTTAGATGATTATGTTAGGTTTAAGTTAATTCTCATTCCTCATTTTCTGTATCTCTAATATTTTCTTTCATAATTTTATTCACTTTGCCTTTTGGGGTGAATATTCTGGGAAATTTTCTGAACTTCACCTACCAACTTTTTTTTTAACTCGATATTCCAGTAATTACATTTTTAATTCCAAAGAGATCTTTATTGATCTTGGATCATTTCTTTATCATTGCATTGTCTTCTTGTTTTATGTATACAGTATCACCACAAAACTGTGCACTGTGCTTTTGAGTTTTCCTCTGCTCCTAAAATTATCTCTCTCTAGAAGCTAGTTCTGTAACTTAATCTTTTTCATTCATGATTAGATTTCCTTTCTAATGTCTGAAGATTCTTGGCTTTTATTTCAAATATAAGAATTAACATTTATAGGAAGGCTGACTACAATGTTAATTTTATGTATCAATCACCTGACTGGGTTATGAGGTGCATGGACATTTGGTCAAACATTCTGAGTGTGTCTGTGAGGGTGGTTGTGGATGAGATTAACATTTGAATTGGAGTGAGTAAAGCAGATTGCCCTCCCTAATGTGGGTGGACCCCACCTAATCAATTGAAAAACTGAATAGAGTGAAAAGGCTGAGCAAGAGAGAACACCTCCTGCTTGACTGCTTGAGCTGTACATTGATTTTTTTTTTCCAGTCTTTAGAATCGGTCTGAAACAGTGCCTTGAGCCTGATGACTTTTGGACTAGAATTTACACTATTGACTCTCTTGATTCTGGCCTTCAGACTCACTGGAACTACACCATCAGCTCTTCTGGGTCTCCAGCTTGCCAACTCACCCTGCAGATCTTGGGACATAATCCATTGTCACTCCCTAATCAGAGCCTCACATAATCACTAGCCATCTATAATCCCTATAACTAATTCCTTATAATAAATCTCTTTATGCACACATGCACATATATACACGTATACACATCCTATTCCCATATGTTCACATCTTATTGGTTCTGTTTCTCTGGAGAACCCTGACAAATATACTGACCAAGAATATTTTGCAGGCTGGGTGTGGTGGCTCACATCTGTAATCCCAGCACTTTGGGAGGCTGAAGGATTGCTTGAAGCCAGGGGTTCGAGACCAGCCTGGGCAACAAAGCAAGACTCGATCTCTACAAAAAATGAAAATAAAAAATTATCTGGGTGCAGTGTCATGTGCCTGTAGTGTCAGCTACTCAGGAGGCTGAGGCGGGAGACTCACTTGAGCCCATGAGTGCAAAGCTGCAGTGAGCTACTGATGGCACCACTGCACTGCAGCCTGGGTGACAGGGTGAGACCCTGTCTCTAAAAATAATAATAAAAAAGAATGTTTTGCAAATGGCTGAGGTTTGTTAGTCATGAAATTTACATTAAAGGGATCAGGTGGAATGCAGTCTGGTTCAGAATGAGGAGGCTGTCTTCCAGGGCACCCTAATCCATCGCTGATGCCCTAACTTATCCCCAATAATTTGATTTCTTTTATTTGGATAACCCTTTCTTTCAATATGATAAGAGACAAAAAATGTACAATATATTGTATGCTGTTTTGCCTGCATATATGGGAGACAGACTGTGGAAGCCAATAATTCCATGTATAGATTTCATTTTATCATTACTTCTAACTCTTGTACCTTTTATGCCTGCAAGCTCCCATGTTGAATTCTTTCCCTGGTCTCTTCCAAACCAGTTACTCCTTTTGTCTTAGCCACTGCAACCGATTCCTGTGTATGCAGTCTAGGCTTTGATTTTCTCCTTTTTGCTTTATCTGTTATTATTTTTATATTCTCTTTCCATATTCTAGAAATTGTTGAAATCCCTTATCTGATAATAACTTGCATTTCCATTTTTTCATTCTTATTGGTTCACCCTTTTTTCAGTAGTTTTGATATCATTTTAATAAGGTTTCTTGAGGGACAAGAAAAACCTGTATGTGGTCATTTACCATCATTAGCAAAAGGAGGGCTTTGAGAGTCCTTTGGTTGTAAAAGAAAAAGAATGTTGAAAGGAGGGAGTTCTTTTGATTATTCTTATTCTGCAGTAATGCTATCTTTTAGGTCAAAACTAGCATGTGTCATATATGATTCTTAATAGTTCTGTAGTAGGGTAAAACTAGGCCTTTAAGAACATTAATAGGAGTGTGTGAGTCTGTGTATGTTTACCTATGAATGTGTGATTGTTTCCTTGTGTAATATTGGAGGCTTATCAAGAACCAGAGCTCTTACATGTGAAGTATTCATTTGCAGCAAAAGCTCTAAAAATATAAATGATACAAAGACAGACAGGCAAACAGACAGGTAGATAGATAGATAGATAGACAGATACTTCTTTTTTTCTTTTTTTTTTTTTTTTTGTTTGACATGAAGTTTCACTCTTGTCACCCAGGCCTAGTCGAGCAGAGGGCTTACAGGAGCCTAATTAAAGTTTGGTCAAAGGAGAGTCTTTGTGAGCCACCGTGCCTGGCCTAGATAGATAATTCTTGATATGAATCTAATCTTTGAGCTTGGGGTTAGAGTAGAGGTGGAGGTTAGTTTAAAGTAGGAAAGAAAAATAGTGGACTTTCTTGTATAACAACAGCATTATTCTAACTTTGGTTTACAGGTGTGGCAAAACTACAAAGGTCCAATTACAAATGTCTATTTCATTATGTTGCTTATGAGGCATAAGGACAGATGTGAGGCAACTCACAGGAAGAAAAGGGGTATCCTTTCTGATCCTATGATTAAGTAGCTCTTCTTGGCAGATTCAGGTTTTATTAAAACACCTCTTCTCCATCTTTCCTGCTGGCTAGTGACACACATGGTTTTCTGGCCATCCTTCCCCTCTACTTGAGTGTACTGGCCTCCATGATCTCAGAATATCCTTCTGAAATTCCTCCTAAGCCAGTATAAAAGTATGTAAGTATGTGGTTCCTCCCTTTCTGGATGGTTATTTAATCCTAAATTTCTACCATTCCTATTCATCACAGTCCAGGTAATAAAATGCAATTTAAAATTGAATCCACATTTCTGAACAAAACGAGGCTTTGATTTATGTATAAAACCACACTATCCTTCAAGACTTCTCTGACCCATTCTGGATAAGGAGAATGAATATCTTAATTTCAGTGGTCATTGTCTGAGAGGTCAAAGTTAGACTTCTCTCACATATTTCATAAATTGTTGGAATTTTAGAGCTGAAAGGGTTCTTACTCATTTCACAGATAAAGAAACTGAGGCCCAGAGAGATACTAATTTTCCCAAGGTCAAGCATTTAATTTGTCAAAGACTTGGGTCTAGATCTCTTGTCCTCTATTATATTAAGTTCTTAATAATCAAGATAATACTAGCAGCCAAGTTTCTATAGCTACTAAGTGCCACATTTACAGTTACATTTATAGCAGTTCCAAGGTAGTTATAAAATTTATTATCTCCATTTCCCAGATAAGAAATATGAAGCAAAGAGAGGTTAAGTAACCTGTCTTAGGTCACACGGTTACTTCCAGACCCATTTGAAAACCAAGCTATCTGGCTCCAGAATCTATATGTTGTGTCATGACACCATTCTGATTCTCTACATGGGAAGGCCTTCATTTCAGTGATTGTGTTTCTAAAATGAAAGTCTTGGCCGGGTGCAGTGGCTCATGCCCATAATCCCAGTACTTTGGGAGGCTGAGACGGGCAAATCACTTGAGGTTATGAGTTTGAGACCAGCCTGGCCAACATGGTGAAACCCTGTCTCTATTAAAAATACAAAAATTAGTCAGTCGTGGTGGTGAGTGTGTGTAATCCCAGCTACCTGGGAGGCTGAGGCAGGAGAATGGCTTGAACCCAGGAATCAGAGGTTGTAGTGAGCCTAGGTAGCGCCTCTGCACTCCAGTCTGAGCGACAGAGTGAGAGCGAGACTCTGTATCAAAAAAATAAAAAATTAAAAAAGAGAGTCTTATCACTGGTTCCCAGTGTGATAAATAGTATAAATAACACTGTAAGCACTGAAATACTTCACCTGAGACATTGTCAATAATAAATTGGGCAGGAAAACCAACAAAGTTGGATAAGAAAATGATAGAGGAGAGAAATCAGGAAGACTTACTGTTTTAGCCCAGATATAAGCTGCAAAGACACTGGTACACAGCTGGGACATTGCCATTGGAAAATGAAATAATCAAACATGGACAGAGTTACCTAGAGTTGCAAAGGTTTTTTGTATTCTCCTTTTCTCACTAGGCATTTTGCCAGTAGCCCTTAAAAAGCAGGTCATGTCTTCTGCTGCACTTTCAGACTCTACATACTAGTACAAACTGGAACAAAAAAACATTCATCACTGTAAAACCTTGCCTTTCAGGCTCAGATGAAAAACTTGGCTCCAGCTCTCTTTGTAACCTTGTGTGCATTTAGAAACCTTGTGACTGTGAGCCCATGCAGTTCCACCTTCTAAGGGAAGTCAGCTCCCAGCATCTGAAATCTTTATAAACAATAGCTGTATCAGTTATCTATTACTGCAGAACCAATCACGCCAGTGTAAAAAGTAAAGTAGAAGTTCCTCTTCAAAGAGACTTTCCTTCCCATCTAATTAGGAATAAATAGTAATTTCTCTTAGAAGCAAAATTTATTCAAAGACCTGTGCTAACATTCTTAAATATCTGCTAGCCGTAATAAAGAAATCAATGTACTTCATGTTCTTTGCTCCCACGATTTAGCCTAAATATTTGCCCTGGCATGCTTATACTAGTCCAAGCAAGCATTAGGTCATAGCCTGTTCCTCTTCCTTATGTGAAAGTGTTTTTACCTTTCTCAGCATTCCACAAGTTACTTCCTCCTTCCTTTGTTCTCCTCTGCCTTTGCCTCTTTTAAAAAGTTCTAAGTTGCTAGCCAATCGGGACAAATACAGAATGTGAGGTCCCGTTCCAGCCAATGGAAACCGGACACAGCAGTAAGGTGGACGCGTCAAGTTATAAATGACCCTGTCTCCTTTGTTCAGTGTACTCTCGTGGCAGAACTGCTGGTGAGTGTACCCTTTCTGCAGAAGGTAAAAATGGCCTTGTTGAAGAAATTAAATTTCTGTTCAAATGCTGTTTCTTTACAGCACTGAAGAACAAGCATTTCAAACACCAGTAGTCAAGGACATAAACAACAATTTATTATTTCTCATGATTCCATGAGTTGGTTGAGTGATTTTTCTGTGAATTTTGCCTGGAATCACTCATACAGCTGTATTCAGCAGAAGAGGCCAGTGGAGTCTGAGTTCTGCCGGAATAGCTGAGAAGGCTGGACCTTTCCCTCCACATGGTTTTTAATTCTAGACTTTTTGCAGCATAGTTGTCTCAGGTTTCTAAGAAAGCAAGAGCAGAAGATGTAAGACCTCATTGGGCCTTAGTTCAGAGCTTGTACAGCATGACTTCTATCACATTCTACTGGACCAAGTGAATTATAAGGCCAGTTTTCATTCAATGTTAAATGGGACTGGCCAGATGCAGTGGCTCATGCCTGTAACCCCAGCACTTGGGGAGGCTGAGGTGGGTGGGTCATTTGAGGTCAGGAGTTTGAGACCAGCCTGGCCAACATGGTGAAACCCTGTCTCTACTAAAAACACACAAATTAGCTGGGCGTGGTGGCACATGCCTGTAATCCCAGCTTCTTGGGAGGCTGAAGCAGGGGAATCGCTTGAACCCAGGAGGCAGAGGTTGCAGTGAGCTGAGATCATGCCACTGCACTCCAGCCTGGGCAACAGAGCGAGACTCTGTCCAAAACAAAGTGTTAGGTGGTACTGAATAAATCCATGAATTCAGGGTAGTATGATTCACTGGGGTCTATTTTGTAGTAATCTATCACTCAGGCCTTTTAAAGCCAGGTCAGTAGCAGCAGCTACTTTTGCCTGGAGTAGCAGCAGCTCAAGCAAGAGAAGAAGTAAGAATTCATTACTGAGGTTCCCTTATAGAAAAAAAATCATACCAAGGGAAATACAAGAAATATAGTTGTTTATTGAGTCTTTTCTTATTTTAAATGATTCTCATGGTATCTAAGTGGCTCTTATATTATTATGGCCATAAGAGGGTGGGAGCAGTATGGAGTTTACCCCAGGATGCAGTGGAATATTTCTGGCTTAAAGTTGGTTAAGGTTGAAAGAGGGAGGGAAGGAAATTGTACAGAATGCAATGTTGTCACTGAGCTGTCATACTTGGAAATCAGGGTTAACAAAATAAATACTCACATAGAGAAAGGGAAGGGATTACTGCAAGAGTATTAACTAAAGCTTTCTTTCCCCCACCAGCATGCTCAGTAGCAAAGCTGGAAAAAAATTTCCAGTGATACATTAGTTCTTCCCCATCCTTTATTGGGATATGCTTACAAGGACATAGAATAGCAAGGAATTGTGCTTGTATGTGTGTGTGTTGGGGGGTGCAGTGCTGAGGCACAAGAGAACTTCTGAAACAGATGCTCCAAAAGGATATATACATGTTTGGCATCATATAATCTTAAACTTTTACTCTGCAAAACCCTTAATATACTTCTTCTGATTGTGTAGAAAAAAAGCAAGAAGACAGGCATTTGGGTACTACAAATATATGCATTAGGACAAGGCTTCTTTCATTTATCCAGAGAAATCCTGATTATCCGCAAGGCAAGTGAGGTAGGTTTGATCAAAGACTGGTCACCCAGCCATTATTTCTTGTGGGTATCTACATCTGAGACAAGTGCCAAAGATTAGGGTCTCCCATAGGTCCCTGGAAAAATGCCTGGCAACCAACCACTTGGAGTACTTCTACAATTGACCTCTGAATGGAAGTTTCATGAATGTTGGAGGGGGATGGGGAAAAATCCTTTTCTGGAAGAAAATATCAGCTGTATATTTCATATCATTTGTATTGCCTATCAATCCACCTGAGATTAATCCCTAGACACAGAGGTGGCTGGGACCTGTCAAACGGCCCTTTAGGCCCATTGTTCATGGCTTGCTGCTTGAAGGAAGATATATCAACCATCCAGCTAATGCAGTTCATATATGCTGGTGTCTGCCCAGGTAAGAGGCCCTCAAAATTCAATAATGGGAAGAGAATCACACATGTTCTGCACTCATTCAATAATGCTTGGCAGAACAGTAATATTTGTTATTAAATACTATATAGTCAAGGGTAAAGAGAAAGGGGGAAAGAAGACACCTTAGAAGAAGTAGATTGAACTGTATCTTTTTAACCACTTAGATGCTACATGATTAAAATAATATTTTCATTTTTTTAATATAATTTTGGTAATTTACTACAGGGCTATAGTGATTAATTATGAACCTCCTCATGAAGATATCTTGTCTCCTCTTGGCACAATTTCCTTCATGCTTCTCGACTACTTTGTTCATGTTGCTGCTACAGGACTGGCTGCACTATTTCATAAAGATTATGAGCTAGTGGAGTTTAGGAAACATGTTCTATTGTTTGTACTTGGCTACTGCTTAGCATAGTGATTGGCACGTTTGTTTAAAAAATATATATTTGAATAGCTTAGATAATTATAGTTCAATTTGTGAAACTCCCATGTTATTATCTGAGATTCTTTAGTACATGACATTTGGTAAAAAGCAGAAGATACTGTATTATTTTAGAGTAATAAAAATAATAGTAATTTGATCAGCTGTAACTTATAAAGATTATAAAATCACAGTTTTTCTTTAATGAGAGATTTTGTGAAAAGTAAAAGACAATAGTATGAGGCTAAATGGGAATATTTTTTAGGTCAATGCTTATTTACCTACCTAAAAAAATATAAGAGGGGGCCGGGCACGGTGGCTCATGCCTGTAATCCCAGCACTTTGGGAGGCCAAGGCAGGTGGATCACCTGAGGTCAGGAGTTCATGACGAGCCTGACCAACATGGTGGAACCCTGTCTCTGCTAAAAATACAAAAATTAGCCAGGCGTGGTGGCACAAGCCTGTAATCCCAGCTACTGGGGAGACTGAGGCAGGAGAATCGCTTGAACCCGGGAGGCGGAAGTTGTGGTGAGCCGAGATCACGCCACTGCACTCCAGCCTGGGCAACAAGAGCAAAACTCCATCTCAAAAAAAAAAAAAAAAAAAAGGAAAAGAAAAAGAAAAATATAAGAGAGGAATTTCAATACTTGATTTATAGAAATATGACAAAGACCCAATTATGTATACATTCTTACAATCAAAGGATAAGATAAACCAGAACATGGTGGGAGCCCAGTCAAGTAGCAGAAAAGTTTCTGTGAATGCTAGGCTGTTCAAAACCCATGCTTCGTTGTCCTGCTTATGATTCTCTCCCCGATGTTAGTGATGCTATAATGAAAACAGCTGCATGCAAATGAGCTGTAAAGTAACCAGGGACAGTGAAATCAGGGTTGAGCTTACTTCAATTTAGGGAAAGACTGAGGAAAAATTTGAGAGATGTTTGGGTTTTGTACAAAGGGTTCAATCACTAGAGGAACTGGGTTATAATGAAAGAGATTTTTCAAGTCTGTGTATTGGTGCCAAGTTGGAGTGGGGTTGGGGGTGTGTGATGCTAATAGATGAATGAGAAAGTAAAACCATTCAATTCTCATTGTGTTGCTAACGTATCTCAAGGAGATTCTTCTTGAAGCAGAAAAAAATGTAGCAAATATATCATTTAGAGGAAAACTAAGTCTAACGTGATGAGACAGTAAATGTTTAGCTACTTTAATTAGCTGGCTACTCCACATTACAGATAATTTGCCTTGATAAAATCAGCACTAAACAATTATTTTTACTGAATAGAAGCAAATAGATAGATAAAACAATGAATAAAAAATAAATGTACAAATACATTTCATCTAGGGATATTAAAAGAAATTGTATGTAAGACTGCAGAAACACTGCTAGTAGCTGAGTCTTAGGTATCTTCAGAGGATTCAGTGGTTTCATTTAAGAGACCACATGCTCTGTCATTATGGTAAATAGAAAGGCCTTTGCATCTGATTTGAGAAGAATGTGGGGACAGGTGTCATAGTGCTCACTTCTCCTTGACTCATAGCAATGATAAAATTTGCCACTACACCAGAGAATCCAATATTTAAGGAAACAGATGACACCAAAATCTTGCTATGGAAGTGTGCTTTTTGCTTTGAAACAGACATTGCTTTGTTTCTACTTTCTCTATAATTCCTAAATCTTGTGCTTTCATTTCCCCTTAAAAATATTTCCGTAAGTCATTTTGTTCATAGGTTGTGTATTTCATGTAAAATTTTTAGGTTTTCAATTCATCAGTTTAACCCTTAATCACTTTAACCTGTCTAATTTTAATAGTTTTTTGGAGATGTAATTCACATACAATAAAATTCACTCATTTATAGCGTACAATTCAGTGTTTTTAGTATATTCATAGAGTTGTGAAACCATCACAGCTAATCAAATTTTAGAACATTTTAATCACCCCCAAAATAAACTTCCTAGTAATTAGCAGTCATTTCCAATCTCTGCCTCCCCGCGACCCCCAACAAACACACCACATAAATATTAGGTGATCACTAATCCCTCTATGGATTTGTCTATTCTGTACATTTTATATAAATAGAATAAATAGAATTACACAATCTACAGTATTTTTTGACTGGCTATTTCATTGAGTATAATGTTTTCAAGATTTGTTCATGCTGCAGCATGTATCAGTACTTTATTCTTCTTCATAGCCAAATAATCTGTTGTATTGATGTATCATATTTGTTCATGCATTTATCAGTTGATGGACATTTGCTTTCAATTTTTGGCTACTTTGAACAATGCTGCTATGCACATTTGTGAACAGTTTTTTATGGATATGTTTTCAATTCCCTTGGGTGAATACCTAGGAATGGAATTGATGGATCATATGGTTACTCTGTGTTTAAATTAACATTTTAAAGAATGTTAAACTTTTTCAAAACATCTATACCAGTTTACATTCCCACCAACAATGTATGAAGGTGCCAATTTATCGATATAATTACCAATACATTGTATTCATTGTGCTTTTTATTTTAATTCTATTAGTGCATCAAATTGTATTTTATTGTGGTTTTGATTTGTATTTCCCTAATGACTAGTTATATTGAATATCTTTTTATGTGTCTATTTATTGTCCATTTGTATATATTATTTGGAGAAATGTTTATTTAAGTCCTTGGATCGTTTTTAAGTGGGTTATTTACTTTTTATTATAAAGTTGTAGGGCTTCTTTATATATATCCTGAGTACGAGCCTCTTATCAGATTAGCAAATACAGTCGTGTGCCACATAACAATATTTCAGTCAATAGCAGACCATGTATATGACAGTGGTCCCATAAGATTGTAAAGGAGCTTAAAAATTTCTATTGCTTAGTGATGTGATAGCCATCATAACATCATAACCATCATAATATCTTAGCACAATGCATTACTTCACGTTTGTGATGATGCTGGTGTAAACAAACCTACTGCACTGCCAGTCATGTAAAAGTCTAGCACATACAATTTTCTGCAGTACGTAATGCTGAATAATGGTAATAAACAACTATATTATTGATTTTTGTATTCACCATACTATACTTTTTATTGTTATTTTAGAGTATGCGCCTTCTACTTAAAAAGAAAATGTTAACTGTGTGTCTTAGTCCATTTGTGTTGCTATAAAGGAATACCTGAGGCTGGGTAATTTATAAAGAAAAGAGGTTTATTTACATCACAGTTTTTCAGGCTGTACAAGAAGCATGGCACCAGCATCTGCATCTGGTGAAGGCCTTAGATGGTTTCCACTCATGGCAGAAGGAGAAGGGGAACCTACATACAGAGATCATATGGTAAGAGGAAGCAAGAGAGGGGGAAGGTGTCATTCTCTTTCTGAACAATCAGCTCTCAGGGGAACTAATAGAGTGAAAACTCACTCATTACTATGGGCACCAAACCATTCATGAGGGATCTGCCTCCATGACCTAAACACCTCCCACCAGGCTCCACCTCCAACACTGGGGATCACATTTCAACATGAGACTTGGTGGGGCCAAACAAACCATATTCAAATCACAGCACTGTAAAACAGGCTCAGGCAGCTCCTTCAGGAGTTATTCCAGAAGAAAATGTTGTTATCATAGGATATGAAAGTTACATGCATGTTATTGCCCCTGAAGACCTTCCAGTGGAACAAGATATGGAGGTGGAAGACAGTGATATTGATGATCCTGGCCCTTTGTAGGCCTAGGCTAATGTGTGTGCTTGAGTCTTAGTTTTTAACAAAAAAAGTTTTAAAAGTAATAAATAAATAAATTTAAAAATTAGAAAAAAGCTTATAGAATAAGGATAAAAAGAAAACATATCTTTGTACAGATACACAATGTGTTTGTGTTTTAGGCTATGTGTTATTACAAAAGAGTCAAAACGTTAAAATTTAAAAGTTTATAAAGTAAAAAGTTACAGTAAGCTAAGGTTAATTTATTATTTAAGAAAGAATAATATGTTTTTATAAATTTACTGTAGTCTAAGTGCACAGTGTTTATAAATTCTAGAGTAGTGTGCAGTAATGTCCTAGACCTTCACATTCACTCACCACTCACTGATTGACTCACGCAGAGCAACTTCCGGTCCTGTAAGCTGTATTCATAGTAAGTGCACTATACAGTTGTACCATTTTTTATCATTTATAGCATATTTACCATACCTTTTCTATGTTTAGATATGTTTACATACACAAATACTTTCCATTGGGTTACAGTTACCTACAATATTCAGTATATTCACATGGCGTACAAGTTTGTAGCCTAGAAGCAATAGGCTACAACATATAGTCCAGCTATGTAGTAGGCTATACCATCTAGGTTTGTATAAGTACGATCTGTGATGTTTACTCAATGACAAAATTCCCTAATGATGCTTTTCTCAGAATGTATCCCTATTGTTAAGTGATGCCTATTTTTTTCAATTCTTACATGGTCTTTTTACTTTCTTGATATCATTGGGAGCACAAAATTTTTTAATTTTCGTGAAGTCAAATTTATTTATAGTTTCTTTTTGTTGTTATTTCTGGTGTTTATATCTAAGAAAACATAGCCTAACTCAAGGGAACAAAGATTTGCTCCCATGTTTTCTATTAAGAATTGCACAGTTTTAGCTCTTATATCTAGGTCTGTGATCCATTTTTAGTTAATTTTTGTGTATGGTGTGAGGTAAGAATCCAACTCTATTCTTTTGTATGTAAGTATCCAATTATCCCACCACCATTTGTTGAAGATACCATTCTTTCCCCATTGAATGGTTTTGGCACCCTTATTGAGAATCACTGAACACAAATGTATGAGTTCATTTCTGAGCTCTCAGTTCTATTGAATTGATCGATATGCCTATTTTTGCATCAGTATCATACTGTTTTAATTACTGCAGTTTTGAAATAAGTTTTGAAATTGAGAAGTGTGAATCCCTCAATCTTTTTTTTCTTTTTCACAATCATTTTGGCTATTTGGGGTTACTTGCAATTTCATATGAATTTTAGGATTAGCTTTTCCATTTTTTGAAATAAAGCTATCAGGATTTTGATAAGGATTGCATTGAATCTCCAGACTGCTTTGGGTGGTATTGCCATCTTAACAATATTAAGTTTTCAAATCCATGAACATAGCATGTCTTTCTATTTATTTAGGTCTTCTTTCACTTCTTACAGCAATGTGTTGTAGTTTTTATCACAGATGTCTTGCAACTGCTTGGTTCAATTTATTCCTAAGTATTTATTCATTATAATAAATTAATTGTTTTCTCAATTTCCTTTCAGGTTGTTCATTTCCAGTGTACAATTGATTTTTGTGTGTTGGTCTTATGTCTTGCAACTTTGCTGAATTCTTTTGTTATTTCTAATAGATTTTTGTAAGGATTTCATTTACATGAGATCATGTCATCTGTGGATAAAGATAATTTTGCTTCTTTTCTTTCAAATTTTGTTGTCTTTTATTTTTTCTCACTGATCTGTCATGATCTTTCAGTACAATGTTGAATAGAAATAACAAGCATATACATCTTTGTCTTAGTCCTGATGTTAGAGGCAAAGCTTTTAGTTTCTCACCATTAAGTATGATGTCAGCTTTGAGTTTTTCATAGATAATCTGTAACAGGGGGAAGAAGTTCCTTTCCATTCTTAGTTTGAGGAGTGCTTTCATTATGAAAGTATGCTGAGTTTTTTTCAAATGCTTTTTTCTTTTTGCATTTACTGAGATTATAATGTGTGTGTGTGTCTTTTATTCTATTAATATCATGTATTACATTGTTTAATTTGTATGTTAAACTAACCACGCATTCCTGGAATAAAGCCTATTGGTCATGTTGTAAGTTCCTCTTATATGTTACTGGATTTTAGTTTCTAATATTTTGTTAAGAATTTGTGTGCCCCCATTCCTAAGAGATACTGATTTTTAGTTTCCTTTTTTGGGGGGTGATGTTTTTATTTGTAGATTTCTCTCTCTCTTTTATTTATTTATATATTTATTTTTGATGTCTGCCTGGATTTAGTATCAGGTAATTGTGGCCTCATAGAATGATTTGAGAAGTGTTCTCTTTTCTTCTATTTTTGTGGAAGAGTTTGTGAAAAAATGGTGTTGATTATTCTTTAAACGTTTTGGAGAGTTCATCAGTAAACCTATTTGAAACTGGACTTTTCCTTGTGAGAAGTTTAAAAAATTACCGATTCAATTTCTTTAGTTGTTATAGGTCTATTCACATTTTCTATTTCTTGTTAAGTCAGTTTCAGTAATTTGTGTCTTTCTAGGAATTGTCCATTATATCTACGTGTTGAATTTGTTGTCATACAGTTGTTGATAATACTCCTTTATGATCATTTTTATTTCTATTAGGTCAATAATGATTTATCATCTTTCTTCCCTCATTTTAGTAATTTCAGTTCTATTTTTTTCTTAGTCAGTCTAGTTAAAGGCTTGTAAATTTTGTTGATCTTTTGAAAAAAAAACAGCTTTTAGGTTTCTTGATTTTCTCTATTGGTTTTCTATTTTATATTCCAATCATAACTGTTTTAATCATTATTATTTTTATCCTTCTTGCTTTTGGCTTTTTCCTCCTCTCATTGGAATTTCTTAAAGCAGAATGTGAGGTTATGATTTGAGATCATTTTTAATGCAGGCGTTTACGGATATATATTTCCCTCTAAGCACTGCTTTGATATTTAGGTATGTTGGCTTTTCATTTTTGTTCATCTCAAATTATTATAGAATTGTACTCATAATTTATTTTTCATTTCATTCATTATTTAGGAATATGTTGTTTAATTTCCACATATTTTTTGATTTTCAAATTTTCTTACTATTGATTTATAATTTAATTTATTGTGGTTGTAGAACATAATTTATATGATTTCAATTCTTGTAAATTTATTGAGGCTTCTTTTATAGCTTAACGTATAGTCTATTCTGGAGAGCGTTCCATGTGTGGCTTAGAAGAATGTATTTTCTGCTGTTTCAGAGTGAACAGAAAATGTTAGGTTTACTTGGTTGATAGTGCTGTTTTGTTAAGCTTTTCTAGATAGACCTGCAAAATGGGTCACATAGTTAGGATGTTCTGAGAACAGGACTTTTAAGAGCTCCAAATTCAGTTTAATCGCCCTAGTAAGGCTGCTGGTTTTCTCAGCTACCATAGTTGTGAGGCTACTCATTCTCATGACTATGTGGAACTGAGGAGATGGGGATGGAAGTAAGGAAAACTAAAATGCAACAAAGACTGTTATTCTTATCAAGGTCCAGCAAATTTTTCTTGAATTAATGCTTCTCAGATTGTTGCAAGCATTTGGTTAATTTCTAGAGTTATGAAAATATTTATTTTAATAAATTTTGCCAATATTGTAATTACTTTTATGGAGGAGTAGTTTTGCAGAAGTCCTCACTTGCCTGATCCAGAAGTCCCTCTCTCATAACATATGAATATTTAATTTAGTTTTATTAGTTTTAACCATTTATCCTAATTATGTATCTTTGCCTCTTATATTTTTATTTTTTTGACACTCCTTTATCTTCTCCCGTTTTAAACTTTTAATCTGACTAGTTCTAAGCTTTTATTTTAAATGTGTCCCTTTTCCACTTTTTTAGTAGTCAATATTAATCTTTATTGGAATCATCTCTCAATTTAAAGAGCTATCTATTTTAATTCATTTTATTTTTCACTTCTGATTAATAATATATACTTTCGATGTTATTAATATTGTCTTTAACTTTTTTCTCTGTATTTTTTCTTTCCTCCTCTTTTCCATATTCATTAATTTTATTATTTGTGTTCTTAAGAGCTACTGAAAGTTTAGCTGCAGGAGTGGTAACACAATTGAAAATTCACCCCACAAATTGGGGAGAATATTGTACTAGGTTTGTGTGTGCATGTGTGTGTACCTTCTATGTTTTCTACCCCTCAGCCTTGGAAAGTTGCAAGGAAGCTAGCCATCTACCTGGGGCTGTGAATAAAGAGTTACCCAAGAGAAAGTAGAATCTCAGGCTTATACAATACATGGTATAAACTCTGCATGCACACTTACAGAAGATAAAGTAATTGTAAATGAAGAAATTAATTTTAAAGCCTTATTTGGAATCAGTGAGGCAAAGTTGCTACTGGCTTTCAAGGAATCAGGAAGTTATATTTAGTAGTTGTAATAATTTCCTAAGTCTGATATAACAAAGTATCACAGACTGGGGGTTTAAAACAACAGAAATGTATTCTCTCAAAATTTTGGAAGCTAGAAGTCTTAAGTGGAGGTATTAGCAGGGTTGGTTCCTACTGGAGAACAGATGTTCAATGAGTCTCTCCTAGCTGCTGGTGGTTGCCTATAATTCTTGATGTCCCTTGGCTTGTACATACATCTCCAGTCTCTGTCTCCATTTTCACATGGTATTCTCCCCCGTATCTCTTTACATTATCTTCCCTCTGTGTATGTCTCATTTTTCTCATCTTAACATCAGTCACTGGTAAGGCCCACTTTAATCCAATATGAGCTCATCTTAACTTGATTACATCTGCAAAGACTCTATTTCTGAATAAGGTCACATTCTGAGGATTGGGTGAACATGAATTTTTAGGAGACATTCTATCTAGTATAGTAGTCAAGAGATGCAGGAAACCGTTACTGATGCTCACAACTTCCTGCAGCACCTTGGCAAAAACACGAGCTAAGAATATTCTATCCAATCAAATTGTGTTTGAAGTATAAAAAGATAAAGACAAATAGTTTTTATCATGCAAGAACTCAGAGAATATCTTTGCCATGAATACTTACTGAGAAAACTACTGGAGGACAATCTTAAGTCAAAAAAATGACCAAGGAAATCCTAGAAAAAGAAGTCACAGTAAATTTTAAATATATTTAATAGTAGAATCAAGACTAAAACTCATAGGGGTATAAAGTATAAAATAGAATGTAAAAGTTATGTATAATAAGAACGGGGAAATCATACATGTGGGAGATTTTGTCAGTGTCCCATTTGTATCACTACAGCCTTACAATTTCAGTTCATTATAGCTGATTTCCATCTACCAATATATGCGTCTTTTTCCTGAGGGCAATGTTCAAGAAGTGCCAAGAAATTAAAATCCCCCCAAGGAGAAACTCTCAACAAATGATTGATTGGAGTTCATGAATAAATACGCTAGATTCCTTGATCCTTGTGTTGGAGGACTTTTCCTTAGTTCAGCTGATGACGGGGTTCTTTGTTCCATGGCCACGAAAATTCAGGCTCACAGACAATTTGAATGATGAGTAAGACAGGGTTTTATTGGGTGTAAAGGAAAAAAAGGGGGAACAGGGACTCTGCAAGGCCAGAGTTCCTGCTAGAGCACTTCCTGCCCACAGATTGAATCCCAGGTTCCACACAGGAAGAGGAGGTACCAGGCTCCTCCCCGCTGCAAATGGCACAAACTTCCAAAGGCCCCACCCCAGTGTGCAAGCCAGTTAGGGTTTTCTGGGGACCTCCTCTCACCTGGCTGTCTCACTTGGAGAGATACCTCTAAGGCCTGTGTATTACAGTCTTTCCCAGAATTTTCTCACAAGATTAAGCTTCAGTCACTCACAGAGATAGCTGGTTTAATATTTCTTTTATTGATTGCTTTGTCTTTCTTTCTGTGTGTTTCTTTACCTTCCTACTGGTGTTTTTGGACTTTCACAAATAAAGCAATTACACTTGAATTATTGTCTCGTAGTCTGCCTCTGAGGAAGCCCAAATTAAAATAACTACCCAAAATTGATTGAGAGGAGGAAAAAAAAGGTAGAAAGTATTGCACATATCTAATTGCTTTGTCTGTAACTGATGGGAGTCCAAGGAGATAATTTAAAGTTGCAAATGAAGTCATAAAAGCATAAGCATAATTAAATGGCAAACCTAAATGTAACATAATTAACTAAAATTGAGTAGTAGAGGTAAAGCAAGAAAAGGAGGATGAAGAAGAAATAACTTTATCATTGCTCGGGTTCAAAAAATAATAGATATTTTTGAAGAAGGAGAAGATTAAGAATATTATATAAATTTACAGTTATAGAGCTAAAATGGTAACGTAGGGCCTCCAAAAACTCTCTCCTCCATAAAAACAATGAGAAAGAACTGGCAAAAATGATCATAATCTGCTTTTTCAGGACTCTAGAAATTAACTAAAAGCATTCAGCAACCTGGGGAATGTTTATTCAAGAAAAATGGTTAGTTCTTGGTAAAAAATAGTGAGCTTTAGGGAATTTAAACTTGTCTTGGTTTCATTCTCTGCTTTCAAGATTTGCAGTATGGAAAAATAACATTCTCCATTAATGGGGAAAAATGGCAGCTACTGAAGAGAGGAGAACAGGGATGAATCTCATTCAAAGTCTCAGCCAAGAATTGTCCATATGTGGCCTGCCTCTTAGATTCCTGGAAGGCCATACTTGCAAGCTGTCTGTATCTTACCTGATTCACAGATTACCCGGAGTGAATAGCCTTATCCCTGGGGATATTTATCAAAAAGAAATTACAGGCAATTGCTTAACTTCTTGGCTGCTTGAGGCAGTAGATAACAGAGGAGCAAAAATAGACTTATAAGAAAGCTGGAAAGAAGCAGCTGATGAGTGTGATTTCATAGGGGCTTTCAAAAAGTTGTATATTTTTGAATATCTAGAAGGCCAGGCATATGCCTAAGGCTATTTGCATGCCCAGGGCTATGCACATCCTCAAGAAAGACCTGATAAAGCCCTAAACTTTCACCCCTGGCTGACCTTGAGGCTCTGCACAAGCCAAAAGTAAAGGCTAATGCAGAACTGTAAACTGCCTAGCTGAGTGTTGAAGGTATATCCAAACACATAAGCAGAGCTTCTCAGCAAAGACTAGAAGAGATTTATTGGTCTCAAATATGTAATACTTTTTTTTTTTTTTTTCTGAGATGGAGTCTCACTCAGCCACCCTGGCTGGAGTGTAGTGGCACGATCTCGGCTCACTGCAATCACTGTCTCCCGGGTTCAAGTGATTCTCCTGTCTCAGCCTCCCAAGTGGCTGGGATTACAGGCACTCACCATCATGCCTGGCTAATTTTTATATTTTAGTAGAGACGGGGTTTCACCATGTTGGCCAGGCTGGTCTTAAACTCCTGGCCTCAGGTGATCCGCCCGCCTCGGCTTCCCAAAGTGCTAGGATTACAGGCATGAGCCACCATGCCCAGCTGAAAATTTTTGTCCATTCATTAGTTGACTACTAAATTAACCAAGTGGAGACACCAGTGACCACACATGACAAAGATACAGACTTTACAGAAGAGTTCAGAAAAGTCACTAAACAATCAACAAAAACTGTAAATAGAAACAACAGACCCTAGGGAGGAAAAAGAATCTGATTTTCAGAGTTGCCACATTATGTTCCTTCAAAGTCCAGATTTCAAGCACAAACAGTATGAGACAAGCAAGAAAGGAAGAAAATATGACACATACACAGGAAAAACGCAATCAATGTAAGTCATCCCTGAGAAAACCCAGATATTTCACTTACTACACAAAGGCTCTACATCAGCTATTCTAATATGTTCAAAGAACTAAAGGAAGCCATGTCTAAAGAACTAGCAGAAAGTACAAAAATATCACACCAAAGTAGCAAATATTAATAAAGAGACAGAAATTATAAAAAGAAACCAAATAGAAATTCTGGAGTTGAAAGGTAAAATCACTGAAATAAAAAATTTATTAGATGGGATAAATTGTAGATTTGAGAAGACAAAGTAAATAATCAGCAAATTTGAAGACAGATCAATTGAGATTATACAGTCTGAGAAACAGAAGGAAGAAAGAAGAAAGAAAAATGGGCCTGGCACAGTGGTTCATGCCTGTAATCCCAGCACTTTGGGAGGCCAAGACAGGAGGACTGCTTGAGCCCAGGAGTTTGATAGCAGCCTGGACAACATGGCAAAACCCCATCTCTACAAAAAATGGAACTATTAGCTGGGTGTGGTGGCATGTGCCTATAGTCCCATGTAGTCAGAAGGCTGAGGTGGCAAGATTTTTTGAGCCTGGGAGGTTGAGGCTGCAATAAGCTGAGATTGTACCACTGCACTCCAGCCTGGGTGACGGAGTGAAACCCTGTCTCAAAAAAAAAAAAAAAGAAAAGAAAAGAAGAGTGAACAACAGAGCATCTGAAACCAGCGTACACAGAATGAGAATCCCAGAAGGAGAGGAGAGAGAAAAAGGGGAAAAATAATATTTGAAGAAATAATAAGCAAAAAAATTCCCAAACTTGATGAAAAAACAATAATTGACATATCTAATAAGCTCAACAAACTCCAATTAGGATAAAGTCAAAAATATCCACACAGAAGAACATCATAATTAAAGTGTTGGAAGACAAAGAGATAATCTAGAAAGCAGCAAGAGAAAAATGACTTATTATATAGAAAGGATCCTCAATAAGATTTCTTATCAGAAACCTGAGAGGCCAGAAGATAATAGGATGACATATTAAAAGTGCTGAAAGAAAAAGCCTGCTAACCAAGAATTATATGTCTGGCAAAACTACCCTTCAAAAATGAAAGAAAAGATAAGACATTCCCAGGGAAATAAAAACAGTGAATTTATTTCTAGCAGACCTGTCCTATAAGAAATACCAAAGAGTCCAAGAATGATATACAAATGGCCAATAAGCCTGTGAAAAGATGCTTAGCAGTATTGGTTATTTAAGAAATGCAAATCAAAATCACAATGGGATGCCACTTCATACCCACTCAGATGGCTAGAATCAGTAAGTCAGATAATAAGCATTGGCAAGGATGTGGAGCAATCAGAGCCCTTATACACTGCTTATGCGAATGTAGAATGGTGCAGCCCCTTTGGAAAACAGTCTGGTAATTTTTCAAATAATTGAACATAGAGTTGCCATATGACCCAGCAATGCTGCTCCTACATACCCAAGAGAAATAAAAACATATAGTGACAGAAAAACTTGTACATGAATGTTTGTAGCAGCACTATTCAAATAGCCAAGAAGTAGAAACAATCCAAATGTTTATCATCAAATGAATGGATAAACAAGAGATGGCATATCCATACAATGGCCTACTATTTAGCCATAAAAAGGAATGAAGTACTGATACTGCTGCAATATGGAGAAACTTTAGAGACATTATGTTAAATGAAATAAGCTAATCATGAAGTACCACATATTATATGATTTCATTCATATGAAAGTCCAAAATAGGAAAATCTATAGAGGTATAAAGTAGATTAATGATTACTTAGAATGGGGGAGTAAGTACGGAAATAGGTGAGTGCTGAGTAAATGGTAAGGTGTTTTTTTTTTAGGTGATGAAAATGTTCTAAAATTAACTGTGCTGATGGTTGAACATATCTGTGAATACAGAAATGCAACTGAATTGTACACTCTAAATGGGTAAGTTGTGTAGTATGTGAATCATACTCGATTAAAGCTGTTAAGAAAAATGAAATACTAAAGGTAATCCTTCAGGCTGAAATGAAAGGAAAGTAGACAATAACTTGAGTCCACATGGAGAAATATTGTGGACCAGTGAAGATTCAGACATCAATCTGTTCTTAGCACTACCATGCTTTCAGAGCATTTTAATGAGCATCTTCTATACACTAAGTCCTGTGTTGATGAGACTGGCAATCCCTGCTGCTTTGGAGCTTTTAGACCAGACATTGAACACACCCTTTCCCTTGTGGTGAGTGCTGAAACAGGGATGGACAGGGAACTATAAATTATTAGCTCTAGGCTAGAGCCTTTTCATACATCAGTTCATGAATTCTTAATACTCCCATGAGGCAGGGGCTGTTGACATCTCTGAAAATTTAGTTTCCCCATCCGTGAAATTAGCTCAAGAGATTTACCCCAGGTCTTAATTCAACAGAGGCAAAAGCTTTATTTTTAATAGAAAAATAGACTAAACTTATTGTGGTTTTGATTTGCATTTCTCTGATGAAGTAAAGATAAAATCTATGCGGGACTTATTGCAGAAGCTATTACACATTAGGTATTTTACAAAATGATTCCTTAGTTCTGTTGTGTCTTGTATTACTTGCTTTTTCATAAATGCTTATTTTTTAACCTTTTCTTCACAATAAATTTCTCAACTTCTTTAAAAAGAAAAGAAAATAGACTAAACTCAAAATTCCAGTAAGTTAATTATTATGTCACACCATTTCAATTTAATATTATGCAGGCATTTTAAATATAATTATTAAGACTATGTGGAAACGTGGCATAGAGCCCTTTACTGGTATTCTGACACATTAAATGAAAGAAGCACAATATAAGGTTTTATTTGTGTGATGTTTATAATTCCATAACATATGTAAAATTATATGTAAAATATATGTAAAAATGAAACACATTGCAGTTATAGATATCACTGGTATAAGAATATAGATCCTCCTAAAAATATGAAGACTATACAGAGTGAAAGACTATAAAAATTATAAATACAGAAAGATAAGATTAAGCATTGTGACAAAAATAATACAGAATATATTTTTCATGTCAATAAATCTAAATGGACTAAATTCATATGTTAAAAGACTTCTAGGTAGTTCATAAAGTAAATTTAGACACATAAAAATGAATGATTCAGAAAAGTTAAAATAAAGGGATTGTTAAATGCACACTAGGCAAATACAAACCAAAAGAATGAGGATTTGTGATCTTAATATCAAATAAAATTTAGGGACAAAATCACTTTGTAAAGCTAGGAGTACAAATCACAATGAGAATGTGCACAGATTATATTGCAGAAGCTAGTTTTAACCAAAAACTACAGGGGAAAACAATTAAGTAGGAGCTCACTATTAGTGGGAAGCGTGAAATATGCTCATTGTCCAAGGTAAAACGAGTTGTTAAAAAATCAGGAAGGCTATAGAAGACCTGTGCTGGATCTTCAATTTGCCCCTCCAGATCTATATTCTATCCTCTTCTACCTTGTTTTGGTGCCTTGGGAAGCTGAACTCTTTATCCACATTACTGGGTTCCCTTGCCCCTGGCTTCTGGTTAGGTTCAGTCAATGGGGTGCACTAGTAATAGAAGAGAGGATGGAAGAAGAATGAGATCAAGGTATTTATTTCCATGTGCCCCTCTCTCTTTAGTTGCTACAGGTTGGCTGCAACCTTCTGCTGCCTGTCAGGAGACCCTTTTTATACATTCTCTCTATCTCAAGGTCTGTAACCACTCTCTCTCCTGCACCTTCATGCTTAGGTGTAGTAATACTCTCCCACTCCCAGATATTTGAGTTACTGCTTTTGTGCAGTTACCCTTGTGCTTTCCTTCTACTCTGACAATAACTTTGTGAATTATCCTTGCAGTAAACTCTCTTCAAGTTACCCAATTTCAGTATGGCCCACCTGTTTTTTGATGAAACAAAAGCCAAACATAGCCAGGTATGGTGGCTCATGCCTTAATCCCAGCACTTTGGGAGGCCGAGGCAGGCGGATCACGAGGCCAGGAGTTTGAGACCAGCCTGGCCAACATAGTGAAACCCCATCTCTACTAAAAATACAAAAATTAGCTGGGTGTGGTGGTGGGTGCTGGTAGTCCCAGCTACTCGGGAGACTGAGGCAGGAGAATCACTTGAACCAAGTAATTCACACTCGGATCACAGTGAGCCGAGATTGCACCACTGCACTCCAGCCTAGGCAACAGAGAGAGACTCCGTCTGAAAAAAAAAAAAAAAAAAACAAGCCAAACATAATTAATCAGATATATCTAACTCATACATATCAAACTCCATTTTGAAAATGGAGAATATATCTGCTTTTCAAGTACTCATTAAACAGTCTTGAAAAAAATGAAGATGTATTGGTTTATGAAGAAAATATACACAAAAACCTCAGTAAATTAAAAAAATGCTTTTGTTCCAGTGCAAATAAAACTAGATATTAAAAATATAATCAGAAAAAAACCCTGTATCCTGAAAATTAAAGAAAAAAAAAGTCTTATCATTTGAGTCAAGGAGAAAATAGAAACTAAAATTGCATGCTGAGTCTCAGGCGGAATTAATAAAAAACAAATCAATACCTAGACACCTTGTAATACATGTGTAGAACAACAAAGGAAAAGAGAAAAAAGTTAAAGTAGTCGAGGAGAAAAGAGAGCTCAACTAGAAAGAAAGATAAACTTTTGGCCAGCTATCACAGAAGAATAGTATTTCCAAAGTACTGAGGGAAAGTATTTATTACACTAGAATTCTATGTTGAATAAAGGCATTAGAGTTATATGATAACCAGGAGAGTTTACTATTCACAGAACCTTGCAGAAAGAATGAAAGGATATCCTTTAGCAATAATCCAGAAGGAACATGTAGGATACAGGAACCAAAAGCAATGATGAGTAAAGAAATCAATCAGCATGGTGGTAATTTTAAACAATTATAGAATGTTAATAGAGAGGGAAAAAAACGCTCTAGTGTGTTTAAAACAAGAGGGAGCTAAAATCCAAAAACATGAAAATGGGAGAGCAGAGTAAACGTTTACAATTTTCTGAGCTTGTTCTATTGTCTGGTTAGAGATAAGGATGAATTTTTAAATTTTATTTTGTATGCATGTTAAAATCTGATTGCAAAGCCACAAATGCTAATTTACTTAGCATCCAACTGACATCCACATTTGTATTACAGTCAGATACTAGTAGATACCTAGCAATTAAAGGAAAAATGGAGGCCAGCCCACCTTCTGAGCTCTGCTTGATAGAATAGAAGAAAACACTACCACGTGTTGATACCCAGAATGTTCATTTTTGGCTCCTGTGGGAGAATGATTTTATATATCATACTCTACTGACTTGCTTCCTTGGTGACTTACTGGGTGTGAAGTTCAGTGGCCTGTACATCATTGGCACGTTCTCATTCTAAGCATCTGTTCTCGGAATGAAATGAGCGTACATAAATAAGCAGCCTTGTTGAAAAGGTTCAGTCACAAAACAAGTATTTGGAGCCTTGAGACGTAATAGGCTGTTTTCTAACTTAGTGTTGTTGGATGGTAGCTTTCTTTATGGTGGACTTTAATGCCATGTTATCTCCCACTGATTTTTCTTATGGCTGACTTAGTTGGCCTGCTGAGCTAACGTGTCTAGTTCCACAGACCAAAACATGATGAGTATTGTGTGTAGTAGCACAGCATTTTTTAGCCCTGGGGAAGAAAAGCCGGAACCTGTATCAGATGTAGCTTCCTTCTGTTCCAAATGAGTATTTAACTATCCAACTACCCTGAGTTTCAAAGGCCATGAAGGGCTGGAAGTTGCTGGGAGTTTTATTTGATGAACAGTTCTGATTGTTCTATAATGAAATTAATTACCTTGCCTCCAGGTATAGATGCTACATTTTATCTCCAGAGTCTGAGAAAACATTTGCCTCTTCTTTTAAAAGACGGTCCAAAGCCCCAGGAGCTCAATGCTCAGGCTTGCAGAAATTGGAAGGAAAATTGGGGAAACTCTCTGTCCACATTTCATTGCATTCTTTCAGATTCTTGGGATTTTGCTGAATCTGCTGGTGAGAAAGCTTGCTTATCTCCCACACCCCCATGTAATTAATCTGAAATTAACCTTCTCATTAACCCACAGATGGGGAAGGGCAACACACAAATTTTAAAATGTGTATGCTCACATAGGCTTTTATTGGCTGTGGTTAAGAACTAACTTCTAGTTGATATATGCAGAAGCAGTTAGAAGATGTTTGAATTGGAATTTTCATAACAAAAATTTGTTGCCAATGCATGTAGTTTTATGTCAACTAAGAGCCCACTCTTGTAAGATAATTGTTAATTGAGGATAATATTGAATCACCTCAAAAACCTGATCCACTTTTTTTTTTATTTTTTCCTATCTTATGTATCTAATCTACTAGGGAATACATACCCAATCTGTTACATGTAAGTTGATTTTCTCACTGCCTAGGAAACATGGGTCTCTTATAAACCCATGTTTATACTGATGTCCTTACCTCTGTTATTTTTTCCTGTGTTCAAAGCTCAATATCCCCTTCATCAAGCCTTACTTAACACAGTAGTTCTAATATTGACTGCCCACGATTGTGAGCACTAATTCTAAGGGATCTCTGTCTTTTGATGAGTACCAGGGAAATTTTCTCCTAATTAACACCTGTGTCTCAATTCTCTCTCCCTTTACCTAGTCTTTTGGAGTCTTACTGTCAAAAACCGAGCATAAAGGGCAAAAATAGCAGATAATGGATTTCTAGCTTTATGCCTGTCTTAGCAATTCTGTGAGAGATGTTTTGAAGCTCCTCTTGAAAAATCTGTGCCAAAGACCTAGTAATTGTTTTTTATGGTTTTCCAATGAAGTGTGAAGTCCTTCTAATAGCTGTCAATAGCCTTCTCTACTCTGTAGCTGTGAACACTAAGAAAGAGGCCTTTAACAACCTTTTTTTTTTTCTCTTGGTCTTCCATCATCACTACTTTGGTCCCGTGTCAGGCTAGAGACTAAACAGTTGGCATTATAACCTGAATAGCCTAGGAAGTTAAGGGTAGGTAAAATCAATCATATTGAGTCCCTCCTGACTTTCAAAATAATAATAATTTTAAAATCACAGGCAACACATATGTACTAGTTCAATTGAAAAAATCATTTATTTTTACTTTATTCCAGGCACATTACTAATAGCTGAGAATCTGTAGATAAAAAAGGAGGTCCCTTTCTCAAGTAACTCACAGCCTAATAATGTAGAGAGAGATGTAAATGAGAACACTATAAGGTCATATGCTCAGAGGAGACAGGTAACCAGAGGAGGCCAACCCTGAGGGATTGCAAACAGAGTTATGTCCTATCTTTAGTATGTTTCTAGTACTTAACACAGGCCCAATCTTTAGTAGATATGCAATAAATATATATTGAATTAAATCCTATTACCCTTCTCTTGTTAAAACGTTCATAAGGTCAGTGAAATAATCTTCAACACCTTATTGTACTATTGCAAAGTTTATTAAAAGAAAAAGAAGGGCATCTACTTAAGTGTTCCTAGATATCTTTTCAAAGAGATGAGTCAGCAAAACTATCCTTTAAAAAGCCCTTTAATTTTTTAAGAAGGCACATAAAATTATTGTTAAGTAAATGTTTAATTACTGTTTTTTATACTTAGCCTAACAGGTTAGGTCAAATTTATGATTCACGAGAGTTGTATTTTTATGTGTTGTGTGTATTTTTATGGTACATTGGAGTCTCTTGTGGGTAATTAATGTGCACACTATAATTGTGCCCATTATATAGGACTTGGCACATAATTTTACTCTTTTAAATTGTTATAGAGATCTGTAGTTGTTGTATCTTTGCTTTTACAATGTCGTGTTGTTCATATTTATAGTTTGCTTTATATGATATTCTTGGTTAGGAATTCAATCTGAATTATTACATTGTTCTTTGGGGGGAAAAGATTATCTGTTTTAGAATGATATGCTCTGTTCCCAAAACTGCGAGAATGCATTATGGTAGAAATTGGTAACTACCTATGCAGTCACATACCACTTGTTATTTTTTCACAGCAATGTTGGAGTTCTTTCCTCAATCTGAATGAAAACCCCTTCTGGGAATCATTACTTGCTTCATGACTCTTCTCTCCTGATTTTTCCTTCTCCTGTCCAACTTCCTATAATCATTGGCAGATTTTCCTCCTAGGCAAAAGTTGGTGTCAGGCCCTGAGCTCATCCTGGACACCATAATACCTGAAATTCCAGCTCAATCAACAGGAGGAACTTAGAATTAAGTTTTAATGCTGTAGACTCAGGAGTAGGTATGCTAGGGATGTGTGTTCTCCCCTAATCCCTACACAACAGCCCAGCCAAGTTAGCCCTACTGTCTCCCCCTGAATCCACCCACCACTTAACTGGGCCCTTAAAATTCTATTAAATTCTTGTCAATCTCTTTTCTGGAGTTACTGGACCTCACATCCTGTATTCTCCACCACTACCTGAGATCTGCCTTTGAATGGACAGTGTTCAGACACATGATGTAACTCTACTTTCATCCAACTAACCCCTGCTACCTGACTTTTCAACTGGAATTTCCCAAAGGCCAACCAACTTTAAGACTGGGCCTCCAAGGTTAGAATGCCTAGACTTTTCCAGAACATGCCACACTCTTAGGACAATAGTTTTCTCTCTGCCTAGCCATGCTTGCTAGGGCTTCCCCAGATTTACCAGTCCTGGTTTTGTTTCCTTTTTCACTAGCATGTGCTTCCGAGGTACCAAGATGTCTCACAGTAGCACTGGCTGGGACCCTGGTTCCACAGATATGAACATTCCATTAATCCTGCAACCTGCACAATATCTAGTAGAGTAATAAGCACACAGAACTTCTTACTGTGCAAATGCCTGGTCTGAAAAAGAGGAGCTTGTCTGCAGATCATAGCCCAGGGATCTGGGGCAAACAATGTTTGAGCCAATAAACTAAATGTCTCTACCCTCAAGACTTTATAACCTGTTGGGGAAAAGGAGATGAACACCCAGAAAACAAGAATAATGGAGACTGTCTGGTTCCTGTGCTTTCAATGGAGATTAATGTTACTTCTACCTACCTGGCCCCTCAAACAAGAAAATATCCATTCTTCATTTGGCTATTTCAATGATATTTCTTTTTCATTTATACCATTTAAAACAATCTTTTTCTGTATTATTATGTTTTTTTTAGCTGAGGACTTGTGTTATTCTTTCCAACAGTGTAGAATGACAGAAAATGGAGAATAACGGTCCCTGCCACCTCAGATGCTCATTTCTTTCCAGTGGAGATTCCAGAATATAAGAGGGCTTTCCTCACCTCCCACTCTTTTTTCCACTCAGTCCCATCTGGCTTCTGCTCCCCTCATCCAACTAAAACAGCTCTCACTGAGGACAGCAATAATATCCACATTTCTAAATGCAACAGACTTCAAACTTGCCATCTCACTAGCATGTGACACTACTGGCTACATGCTCCTTTAAGAAACTCTCTTCAACTGGCGCAGTGGCTCACGCCTATAATCCCAGCACTTTGGGAGGCCAAGGTGGGTGGATCACCAAAGGTCACGAGTTTGAGACCAGCCTGGCCAACATGGTGAAATGCGGTCTCTACAGAAAATACAAAAATTAGCCACGCATGGTGGTGGGCACCTGTAATCCCAGCTGCTCTGGAGGCTGAGGCAGGAGAATCACTTGAACCCAGGTGGTGGAGGTTGCAGTGAGCCGAGGTTGCATCATTGAACTCCACCCTGGGCAACAGAGCGAGATTCTGTCAAAAAAAAAAAAAAAAAAAGAAGAAGAAGAAGAAACTCTTTTCTTGGGTTCTGTGTTAGTTTCCTATTGTTGCTGTAACCAATGACCACCAACTTGGTGGCTTAAAACAACACACATTTATTCTTGCATAATTCTGGCAGTCAGTTCAAAATCAGTATTACTGGGCTGAAATCAAGATGTCAGCAGGGCTATACTCTCCCTGAAAGCTCTAGGACAGAATCCATTTCCTTTCCTTTTCTAGCTTCTGAAGGCTGCCTGCATTTTTTGGCTCATGACCCCTTTTTCTGTCATCAAAGCCAACCATGCAGCATGCACCTTTCTTCAACTGTCACATTGCCTTCTTGTTCTGAAGTCGAATTTCTTCCTGCCTCACTCTCATAGAAACACTTGTGCTTATATTTAGCACCCAAACAGATAATTTAGGTTAATCTCCTCATCTCAAGGTCTTTAACTTAATCACATCTGCAAAGTCCCTTTCCTCATATAAGATTGCATTCACAAGTTCCAGTGATTAGGGCATGGATATTTTGAAGGGACATTATTCAGTCTACCACAGGCTCCATGACATAACACTCCTAGTTTCCTTCCTCACACTTCTTTGGCCACTTGTTCTCTGTCTACTTTGCAGTCTTGTCTTGTTCCACACAAAAATTAAATACTAGATTTTCTGAAGGTTTAATCCTGGATTTTCTGTTTTTCATATGCAATGTTCTATTTACTTAGTATTTATGAGCCATAATTCTTTTGCAAAAGTATGTATTTAAATAGATAAATTTAGTTCAAATTTGGTAAGTTTAAATTAAATTGAATAAATATATTATTTAAATAAATAAATTTTAAAATTGCGAAACATAGCACACATAGAGAAAAGTGTAAAAACCATGAATATCTAACAACAAATTATTATAACATAAAGACATGTGTTACCACCACTCGGGTTGAGAAATAGAACATTGCTAGCAGCCTAGATACCCTCTGTGGGCCCCTTCCTAATTACATCCCCATCCTTGGTAAATTTATTTTCAAGCATTTTAATTTGTATAATGCTATTGTATGTGGGATATTTTATTCCTTTTGAGAAAGAGAAAAGCAGCCTCAATATCTGGGAGCTGGTCTGGCTCTTTCCTGTTGAACATGAACAAAAGCAATTTCACATGAAGGTAGCAGAATATGTGACCCCAAAATATGCCACTTTAAAATAAGGTTTATTTAGAGCTAAAGGCACTTAAAAAAAATTAGGTGCGAGAATGGCACTCTGACCCTTCTCTGATAAAACCCCTGTCTGGAAGATGTCCTTCCTATACCGGAAGGAAAGTAATATTCTTGTCATCAAAGATGTGAAGTTGCAACCAAGAGAATTCTACATAAGTAGACGTTGTTAAAATAATTCTTCTTTCCTTCAGCTTCCCAGTTTAGTTACTTTACTGCAATTGCCTCTTTTTGTTCAACCTAATATAAAAACATTTAAGGATTTTCACTTCTCTGGGTCTTCATTTCCTTATAAGGGTTTCTGTGTCATGTAAAACTTACATTAAACAAATTTGTATGCTTTTTTTTTTGTCTGTCTTAAGTCAGTTTAATTCCCAGGTTCAGATAAGACCGTAGGAAAGGAGAAGTCAAGTTTTGACTCCATGACACATGGAACAACAACATCAGACAAGGCCACTCTGCAATCCTGATGGATCAAGACAAATGCTAGAGTACCTTGTAATCATGACTGAGTGCAGACAAAAACATAAGCTCTGCCAACCCACAAAAAATGCCAAGGTATCCCACTCTGCCTTCTGAGAGAAGTAGACTGTTTTTTTTTTAACCAGTTAGAGCTCTGACCTCACTTTAATTTTTCATCTTTCCAAAGATGTATTAAGATAATAACAAAATTACCTCTGCTTCCTGAGAGCATGCAATTCAGAGCAAAGCTCCGCTTGAACTCTGCCCCAAGAGCACCAGACACAAGCCCAAATCCTATAATAAATCATTTCTTAACATCTTTTCAAAGAGATGTTTCCTTATGATATGCATTCCCTCTTCGCAATGAGCAATATACCCAAATCATTCAACTACATGCATGTTCCTGGTGGTCTATGCCTATAGGACACTGACATTTTGGACTTTCTAAGTTATTTTTATTTGTGTAAATATTGCTAATTTTTTGTGTATACCAATTGCATTAATTTTATGAATAATCTCCTTACTGATTTTTCTTATTGCTAAGCTTCCAAAAAATAACATTTACACAATTATGAAAAATATTTCTACCTTCTCTTTTCAGCATTTATTCCTCTTATTTCTTTTTCTTGTCCATTTTCATTGATTAGTACTTGCAAAACATAATAAATATTCCCGGTGATAATGGGTATCTTTGCCTTATTCTTACTTAAATGGGAATTTCTTGAGTTTCTCACTATTAAATATGATGCTGGCCTTTTATTTGAGATGTATATCATGTAAGGAATTCTGGTTCAAATTCTGGCTCTGCCACTTAAATGCTATGAGACCTTAGGCAAGCAGTTTACACTTTTGGCACTAATTTTCTCATCTGAATGTTATGGCAATAATATCACCACTTCACAGGGCTTTGCCAAAATTAAATTCATTAAAATATTTTCAGATTGTGAAAATGCTTACAGCAGTGCTTGGTTCATAATTACTACATAAATGAATTTCTATAATACCAATACAATATTCTCTAACACAAGATAGTTCTATAGCATATACTGTATAATACTACAAACAATAGTATTTCATGTATTGTATAAATACTATTTATTAATCCTCTATTCCAATTTAATTAAGAATTTTATCAGCACTAGAGGTTGGATTTGATCAAATGCCTTTATGACATCTACAGCAATGTTCATATAGCATTTCTCTTTTCATGGATTCATCTTTCTTAAACACCCATCTGATCAGGTAACACTCCTGTTCGGACTCCTTATGACTGCATAAAATAATGCATAATTCCTTAGCAAGGCATTCAAGAACTCCCATAATATAACCCCAGCTTTTGTTTCCTCAATGCACTCTCTGCTCTGGATATATTAAATTATCTGCTTCATAAAAGGGCCATGCTCTACAATAATAGTTTTAACATGTGGATTTGTTATGAAGATTTAACAATGTATGCATTTTAAAAATATATAAAACAGTACCTGGTGCAGAGAAAATGTAATATTAGTGTTCCTATATATTTTTTTTTATACTTAGGGTTTTGTCAGTAATAGGTGTTGAATTTTATCGAGATCCTTTGGGGCATTTGTAGAGATGTTCATATGGTATTTTTTCCTGTGATGGAGTCATTTTTTAAAACATATGTCTGATCATATGACACCTTCATAGCAATTTACTACTGACTACTGTTAAAGCGAAATAATATGGTCTGAGAAGGACTCCATACTTCTGTATTTAAGTCCTTGTGGATGAACTGCAACCTAACTTAATAGGTAGACAAGATTGAAAACCTAATTTAGGAGTATGCGCCTGTAACAATAGCTGAGTCTTGGCCAATCCCAGCAGCCATACTTCAACCACTCATGCACTGCTGAGTGTTCTAACTGTGTTCAAATAAGGCAAACGCTGAGCTGTAACCAATCCAGTTGTTTCTGTACCTCACTTCCGATTTCTGTATGTTATTTCCCTTTTTTTTGGTCTATAAATCTTCTACCACGTGGCTACACTGGAGTCTCTCTAAATCTGCTGTGATTCTGCGGGGGTGGGCTGCCCTATTTGCGAATTGTTCATTAATTAATTAAACTCCTTTAAATTTAATTTGGCTGAAATTTTTCTTTTAACACTACAAAGCAAGGCATTCAAGATATTCCATGATCTAACTGTACTGGGGGGACATGACTGTGGTCCTGTAAATAGGTTTTAAAATTTTCTCTTAATCCAAAGCAACTTTCACCAGGTTGTGAATTTTCATTTTTGTTTGCTACCTTCTTTTGTTCCTAGTGTTTGTGCAAATTATAAGACAGACACGTAGCATTATAGATGTTGACATTAATGGATCTGAAACTTTTTAATTTATTGGAGCAATTTCTTGCCAATCTTGTGTTCCTTCTTTGAGGCCTGAGCAGCCACTTGGTTAAATATTCATTAGTTTGACTTCTATACTGCATGTGTAAAAATTCCACATGTATTAAAAAAGACTTTCACCTCAATACCTACATCCTGTTCTAGCAGTTTCCTATTTACTATGCATACATTATAGACAACTAAACAATATTTGGAGATCCCCTTAGGGCTGCCTGAAAATTCAGAGATATATTGAAATCACATCAGCAATATATTTCCCATTTATAATATATTACGCCATAAGTTTGTAATCTCTCCTAAGGAAACAAAATTAATTTTTCAATGTTCTTCGCTTGTGAGAGAGGATAGCATAATAAATACTCCTCCTTTGTACATTTAGAGATAATTGGCTGGAAAACTATTGGGTGAAAATTGTTTTCTCACTCACGGTCATTCTGCTACACATTAGCACCATTGAGGCATGCTTTTGAATACCAGGAACATGCCCTTCAGACAAAGATTAATTAGATGCAAAAGTTAAAAGAGAGAAACAGATGAATCCTCGGCATGGCTTTTAGAATAAGAAGTGTGGTCCATGTTAATGGCTGTGCTAGTTTTCAAAGCTCGCCTTTTGAACTCATCTTTTTATGTATCTAGTTTAAAAGGCTTGCATTCCTATTAATAATGAAATTTTAAAATGAAAGAGAGCTATATAATGATCTACCATTCATGCAAAGGAAATCATTATTTACCATATAATAATTAATTCACAAATATCACCTAAGGAACCAAACTGAGGAGAAACTCCTGCTTTGCTCATCTTCTTTCATTCAATTATAACCATCCACTGTGTTGGAAGGGGCTGCAGTGGGGTTGCAAAGATGGCTATAATGTCGTCCCACTACTTGACGACAAGTTCTTTAAGAGCAGCAACCAGGACAAATATACAAATATCTTTGATGCAAGGCAGAAGATGTTACGGCCCAGAAGAAAAATTTCAAAAGAGGGAAAGATCACATCCTTGTTTTGCTTCTGATACTTTGTCTTGCTTTATTATTTTATCACAACTATTTTAAGTTACAAGAATAAAGAGATATTGCATAACAAGTCAAATAACACAGATGCTTAAAAAGAGATAGTTCATAATCTGCTCCTCCATCCCTTCAATCTCTGCCCCTGTTCAAGGTAACAAACCTGATATGTTTGATGTACAACTTCTATATCTTTCTAGATTCTCATTTTAAAATCCCAAACTTTTTATTCTTTTACCAAATAGGATCATCCGATATGTCTTTTCATGCTTCCTTTTTTAAACTCCAGTGTAAGATATAAAGAACTAGAAATGCCAATGCAGTTTGATGGAAGAAAAGGAGTCTTTTCAATGAGTGAATCTGGAGAAACTGAATATCTGTATGGAAAAAAAATGATCCTTGACCCCCTCCCTCACAGTTATTTAAAAATTAATTTGACATGGATCATAGATCTAAATGTTAAAGCTTGAACTATAAAACTATAAAGCCTCTAGAAGAACCTACAAGAGAATATAGTCATGACCTTGGAGTAGGAAAAGTTTCTCAACAGGATAGATAAAGCACTAATCAAGAATGAGAAAATTGATAAAACACACACACACACACAGACACACACACACACACACACACACACACACACACACTTCTGCTCTGATTTCCAAAGTAAACATACCAATTTGTACTCTCATCAGTAGCATATAATGGTACCACTTGTTCCACATCTTGGTCAGCACATGATATTGTAGGTTTCTAATCTTTACTACTATTGTTGTTGTTTTAATTTTAGCCATTCTGGTTGGTGTGAATCTCACTGTGGTTCTAATTATACTTCCTTGATAACAAATGAAGGTGAGTACCTTTTCATTGGCTGTTTGGATACTTTTTTTGGTGAAATGCCTGTTAAAATCTTCTGTACATAAAACAAAAAAGGAAAGAAATGGGTTGTGTGTTTCTCATTGATTTGGAGGCATTTAAACATATTCTGCACATTATATATAATATATAAAATATCTGGGCCTTCACTGTTCTAATAGTCTTTTGATAAAGAAAAGTTGCTAATTTTAATGAGTACAATTGGCCAGTTATTTCCCTTATTGTTAGTGTATTTTGTGGAAAGTAGCTAAGCAAGCCCAAAATCGATATGGCAGGCAATCAGGAAGGCAGGATCATGAGCAGACAGGAAACCCACAAGCATGGGTATACACTTGTCTACAGGCAGTCAGTTAGGATGGGAAGATGACCAACAGGCTGAAATAGCACATATGTGAGCTAAATCTTATTGTTCACAGACAGCAGTCAGGGAGGAAGATCCAGGAGGAAAGGAAGAACAATTGTAGATGCAGATGCTATCTGGGTCTCTAAACTCAGGGAAGGCCTAAGCCCTTTTGTAAAGCCCTTGAAACTAATTAAATCAGGCCAGCAAAGATGTTCCTCAACTTACAATGAGGTTATGTCCCAATAGTGCATATTCAGTCAAAAATTGTAAGTTGAAAATGCATTTAATACCCTGATAAACCCATTGTAAAGTCAAAAAATTATAAATTGAACCGTCATAAGGCAGAGGCAATCTGTAACACCGCTTTTGATTAACTTAAAGTCAACTGATTATGGACTTGAATCACATTTGCAAAATCCCCTTTCAGCAGCACTCAGATTATTTGTGTGAATGAATATCTGGGAGAAGGCCTGTGTATGTTATGTAATGACTGCTGCTTCCTTTCCATTCTCCAGCTCTTGTAAGAGAACCTCCCTCATAACCACCCCCCATCTAGAAACATACTAGAAAGCGACTTCTGAGAACTTGTTTTCAGCCTAATCCAATTGACACATCAAATAATTGTCATAAATATTCTTCTATGTTATCTTCGAGAATCACAATGTCCAATTGGCCATGCATTTGAATAGCCACATGTGGCTACTTAAGTTTAAATTAAATAAAATTTAAAATTCAGTTACTCAGTCACGCTAGCCAAGTTTCAACTGCTCAATAACTACATATGGCCACTGTGTTAAACAGCATGGAGACAGAGTATTTCCATCTCATATCACAAAGTTCTATCGGACAGTGCTATTTCAGAAACGATTATTTTGCCTTTAACATTTAGGTTTGTCTCTCATTTGGAACTCATATTTTACTAAAGAACAAGGTAGAGGTCAAGATTTATTTTTTTCCATATGGAAATCAAATTAATTGACCCAGTATTATTTCTTGAAAAGCCTACCCATTCGCATTGCATTTCAGTGGCTGTCATCTTTATTGTAAATTGGATGACCACATATGTGGTGACCTGAATGGCCTGTTTTGGGCTTTTTATTCTATAAGTTTTGTCTATTTATTTTATCAATACCTCCTGATCTTAATTCTTGTCTTTTTATAAGTATTGATATTGGTAATAAAAGTTTTCTAATTGTTTTTCTTCTTCAAAACTGCCTCAGTAATCTTTTACCTTTTGCATTTCTGTGTGCATTTTAGAATTAGCTTGTCAATTCATACAAACAATTTTCTTGGGTTTTCACTGGGATTGCATTAACTCTATACATGAATTTGAGGGCAAATCGGCATTTTCTTTTGCATTTAAATGCTATTAAATACTGTTCAACTTGTCCAATTATGTTCTTGGACACATTCCCATTGGCAATATGTGAAGTTCCTACTTCCCTGTGTCCTTATCACCACTAAATATTTTTAAAATTTAATTACATCAATTTATTTATTTATTTATTAAGGTGGAGTCTCGTTCTGTCACCCAGGCTAGAGTGCAGTGGTGTGATCTTGGCTCACTGCAACCTCCACCTCCCAGGTTCAAGTGATTCTCGTGCCTCAGCCTCCCGAGTAGCTGGGAGTACAGGTGTGCACCATCACACCCGGCTAATTTTTGTATTTTTAGTAGAGACGGGTTTTCACCATGTTGGCCAGGCTAGTCTTGAACTCCTGAGCTCAAGTGATTTGCCCACCTTGGACTCCCAAAGTGCTGGAATTATAGGCATGAGCCACCATGCCCGGCCACCACTAAATATTTTTAATCTTTAAAAATATATGGTATCTGATGAGAGAAAATATCTTGCTGTTTTAATTTGAATTTCCCTAACTTTTAATGATGTTCAGCATCTTTTTATATTTTTTCCACTTAAATTTTCGTTTCTGTGAATTGACTTCTCACTTTAAATCGTTTTTGCTAATTCAAATGCAGGTCTTTTCATGTATTATGGATGTAGTGGATACTATGCCATGCCACTCAGATTTTCTTTCAGGAAAGTTGCACTTATTTTACCATTTGCCTGGAGTGTTAGCTACTGACTGGTCACAGCTATGTCTTCTCTGGGAATTACCCCTGGCCAGAGGATGCTGCATCACCTAAGGTTGTATTTCATAATTGATTAATGCCAGTGTACAGAAGCCTGCCTTCTTTACCTTGTGGTGGGGAATCTCCAAAAGACCATGCCAGCTTTAGCGCTGCCCCTTTGGACTGGCTAAAGCTGCTGGTACAACTGTACTATAGTTCAACCTCTCCCTCTGACCAATCTTGCTTCTTTTGTTTTCCTGCAGGTATTTTTGCCTAAAAGCATCCCCCAGTAAACTTTCTATGTGCAAATCTCAGTTTCAGAGTTTGTTTCTCCAGAAACCTGACCTACGACAATTCGTGTAGGAAGTGGTTCTAATTGCTATTTTGGAAATAGATCACCTGGGGGTTTGCTGTCAATAATGACCCCAATGCTGGTGGTCAGTGGAATATGGAGAGTCCTTGGCATGCTATCGTGGTATAATTGTTATAACTTTCACCAGTGGTAAACTCTTGTGGAATATGGATGGAGCAGAATACATTGTTGGGTGCAATATCTTAAGCATTTGGGATATACAGGGGAAATAGTAATTTTAAAGATTGTGAGATTGGATAGCTGCAGTTGGGGGCCTTTTTGTTAGATAAAGGCAATGCAATACCTAAATGGATGAATTGGTAATTAAATGCTAAATGTGAAAGTCAGATGGTCTCCTTGGTAACATATAAAGAGGCTTCCCTATAGCCATGGGGCAAAAAAAGTGGAGAATCAGGCCTGGGACTTAATTATAAGAGTAGCAAAGCTCTGCAGAAAGTTGAATTCTCAAAAGTGTATTGTTGGAAGGCCACAGGTCAGAGATTCATGAGACTTTGTAGAAGGTGAGATTGAAACCATTATATTTTTAAACATGTACTCATGAATATAAGTTTTAGCACTCCCTTTTATCTCTTTTTCTGGCCCAATAAACATAAGTGTTATAGGTACTGAAATTAGGTGAATTTAATGATGTTACTGTAAAATTATTTATATCTTGATATTTGCCAAAGAACCTGAAATGGCAGTTCCAATTTTGTATTTTCTTCCTGTTTTCTTTCATCTGTTTTAGTTTTTAAAACTACCTGGAAAATCTATTCAATTTGATTATACAATTTTTGAGATGTGTCAGGAATACTTGAAGAATGAAGATTTAGGAAAATCTTTCAGTGGTCAGAGTAAAAAAAAATTACAATTCAGAGAAAATATAGCCCCCTTATGTTTTTCAATACTAAATAATCAACTCAACATAATGAAAAACCTGAAAAACAAGAAAATTCATTTGAAAGACAAGTGAGTGGAAAAAATGCATGACAACATGAGATTAAGAAAAGAAATTACTATTAAATAAAAAGTAAAATAAAAGTGTACAGTCTACAGGGTCCCAGAGTTTTATTACTAAATCTGCTTCACAGAGTACCAGCCTACATTGAAAGGAACAATTTCCTAAAAGTCAATATTGACAGAATAAGAGAAAAGATTACATTTACTTACCTCGTGAGTCCAATGCAAGACCTTTTTGTAATCACACAAGTCAGAAAGATATTACTTCTTAGTTTTTCGCTGTCCTGCTTTTTAAAAAACTAAACCAGAAATACAGAAAAGTCCATGAAAACTAATATTGAGAATCCTTCATGGACTTGTATTTTTCTAAATGCCAAACTTTTGTAAGATTAAATGACAAGAAATCCCTAGGAAGTTAACTTTGCTAGGACAGAAAGATCATCTGACAACATCGTTCTTTCATTATTTGGTATAACTCTAGGATGAGGTGTGCACAATATCTAGAACATATTCTTGCCTATCTAAGCCAAGTGAAACTATATTCAAATAACCATTAGGCATTGTATTTGAAAAAAAAGCAAAAATGACAATATCTAATATTACATAACCAGGCTGTACGGTACAAATTCTAATGTTAATGTGTATTATGCTATATTACAGTGTGTCTGAAAGAGACCAAATTAGGATCATTTTGCATTCTGCTGATGTGTATTTTTCAGTGATTTCACTGAATATCAGAATCTTGTGCATAGAGTGATATCAGGTGGAAAATATGGCTCTTTCATTTAGAATTTAAAATGATCTGGCCCCGAAGTGTCACTTATTCTTTAGAGAATTTCTACATAGTGCCTACAACGGCTTTGTAGCTGCATTTTTATTCAGAGTCTGGCTTTGAAAACACAAGTGTAATTAAAATCAGAATATAAGTACAGGAGCTGGCTTTGTTAATGTTAACACAGTTGATTGTTTAAGCCTGGTGCATCATTGCACAGGGCGCTCTACTTATTGCAATGTTAAGGCTCTGGGTAAAGTTCAGGGCTTCTTTCATTAAGTCGCCCACACCTTCCTTTACTTACTCCCTGCTCACTGCAGCTTCTGACGTTTGGAGACCCAGGAAAATTGTCTGAGGATGGAGGCATATAGGAGTTGCAACTGAGCTTTCCATTTGGCACTGTCTTGCCTGGTATCTTTTCAACAGTTTGTGAAAAATAAATGGGTCAATTAATTATCTTTCTGTGAGTATTATGAATCCAATGATCTTCTTTGTAAAAATGAAAAATGCTAACTGATATTTTCAGGCTGCAATACAGATTCATATTAAGATAATTTACCTTACAATAATCCTTCATCAGGATTTTAGTGAGTGCTGGTGGTAGACATTTGGGACATATCCCTTCTCTCAGAAAGTTTCCAATCTCAAGGGAGCAGCTAAATAAACAGAGAACTATATTAGTATAGATGAATAGAATTATTAGAAGGAAATTAGACAATCAAATTTTAGACTGAATCAGAATCACTCGGAGAGCTTGTTAAAACAGTTTATTGGGCCTACCCCACTATTTCTGATGTAATAGGTCTGGGGTAAGGCCTGATAATTTACATTTCTAACAGCTTTCCAGTTAATATTGATGCTGCTGGTCTGATGGCCACATTGATTGCCGTCAGATTCTGAGAATTCACTCTACTTAATGATGAGGGTCTCATACAAAGAAACCCGCATTTACAGGGGACCAATATGGCATAATCAGTGAGTCACACAGGAAAGAATGAGTAGAACTTTTGCAATGCTCTTTCCTAGGAACCTCCCTAACTTATTGTGTGGGTCAAATGAGTTTAAGTAGTATCATCCTCATTTTAATGATGAGCAAAGAGAGGCCAAGGCAAGCTAAGTGACTTATCCAAGATTACACAGCTGACACAGTCACAGACTGGGCTGCAACCCAGCCCGCTTGGTATTAGTACTGTTTCCACACATACCTGTGCAGAATAGCGTTGTAATGAGAAGGTTTGGAACAATATAGGAAGAGTCTTGGAGGAGATAAGGCTTTCAGTAAAATTTCAAGAATGGTGAGTTGCAAATGATAGGCAGCGTGCATGCACTGGTCTTATCATGCCATTAGGCAATCATGCCATTAGGCAATGATGTAGCAGTAAGATAGGAAGATCTATGTATAACAGGGGGCAACTAGGGACCTCTGACTATAAGGAAAAGTCAGACTAGGATGTAGCAAGGTATAGAGGGGACGGCCAGGTCAGAAGTAGTTAAGGAGGGGCCTTAGAGACCTAATAGTGTAGGTGCATCTTATCTGGAAGCAAATGGGGAGACTCTCTCAAATATGAAACAGAGAGGGGGTTTCCAAGGACCAGGTATGGAGGATACTTTGGCCTTAGTCTTGAGATGCATGGGCAAGGTTTCAGTGCAGAGGCACAGAAAGGTCATTTGTATAGTCGTGAGCAAGTCACTGAAAAAGGAGAGCTTAAAATTGATTGACAGTTCAATTAAGAATCCTGAACTAACAATACCACAACTCTAAAAGTTACAGGTGTGAATGGGAAAGCCCCCAAATTGCTGCAGGGCTGGAGGGTCACACAGGAAATGCCTAAAGCTTTCTTTGTAATCTAACTGAAGAATCTGTTCTTAGATTTGGGGCCAATCTGGAAATTACTGTTGCTGATAAAAGCAGAAGTGTTTACACTGCTACTGCTGCTTACCCATTACCGTACTAGGGCTGAGCATTGAGGTAGAAAGAGGTGCTTAGGAAAGGGGACGAAAGGACAAGAACCCTGAAAATAAATAGCTAAACCATTCTCAGGATAATAAATGAATAAAAAGAAATATGCAGAGTTCCCAGAATATTATTTAGAATTGGTTGCCTATGGTTTCTGAGAATTTACTGTAATTAATGTCTAAAACCTGCATTACACATAGGGGACCAAGTGGGGCCAAACCAACATGAGTCTTATAGGAAAGAATGAATAGAACCTGTAGAATAATAAGAAAAGATAATTTAGAACCAAGTTGAAAGATTCCATCATGGACTTCCCCACTGTCTAGATGGAAGAAACGCCCTTATCTCAACTGTGCAACATGTAAATATTGTCTGGCTGAAAAATAAAGTCATATTCAACAGTCAATTCTTTTGGGAGGGCTTCCTAAGATGTTCTCTTAAATTTAGGCATTGTATCTATCAACATATGTAACTAGCTATCAACCTGCAAACCTGCCTCCTCATCTGCTTATCTCTCTTTCCTCCGTCTGTATCTATCCTATGGTCATAGTTAGCATTTGGTAATACCAACTTGGAAGATTTTTAGGCTAAAATTCCTGCATGCCAGTTCTATGGGATGAATTTTGAGTTCTAATCACTTATAAATTCATATGGAAGAGAGGATCCCAAATTACTTTTTAGAAAATCCAGGGCCTTCTCTGCATATAGTTTCTTGGCTACCTCTATGAGCAGCTGAACACTTGTGTTCCTTTGACTGCCCAACTTCTACATTTTAAATTTTTTTAACTTTGAGATGTTCATTTTACTAGCAACATAGTATATATGTACTTTAGATACATTCAGGGAGTATAACCTTGAATTCACTCTCAATTAATATCAACAAAACCCTCATTCTACAAATGAAGGACAGCCAAGACACATGTAAACCTTTATTTCTCCAGAGGCTCTAAAATTATCCTTGGATTAACCTAGACCATAAGAGAGACATACATACCTGGACTGTGTTGTTTGTGCCCGTCTCTCTCCCCCACATCCTGTTTTTTTTGAATCACACTTTTTATGTTATTGAACAATATTGAAGAACACTGCAAGAAAAACTCAACAAAAGTAGTTGTATTTATTGTACAATGTTGCTGAGGCTGTTTGGATATTTTTATTGCATTAGATATCTCTTCTTTCTGTGATCCCATGGAAGAAATTCCTGTCTGGCCTCTGCTGTACTACCCCTGAACCCTTTGTTTGTTTTTATTTTCTGACCATCTTGAATAACTTTCTTCCTTCTTTGTGTTAATCTCTAGAGAACTTAGAAATTTATGCCTCCTATCTTGTGCGTACACAGGTCTTTACACTAAGCATTTTGTTTCCTAACCTCACATCTGGCTTCCAACTTACTTTTTTTTTTTTTTTAATGTACATTTTCTCATTTTCTCACTTGTTTTTTGCTGTGTGCGTGTGTGTGTGTGTGTGTGTGTGTGTGTGTGTGTGTGTGTGTGTAAAATAAGGCTGTTTTCTGCCTCCCTCCCTCGGCATAAATTTATCCTCAGGAATGAAGAGTGTTGGAATGGGTCAGGGCAGGATACACCAGTTAATCTTGAGGATTGAACTTTGACTTTGTAAAGCATATTCAAAAGATTCTTTTTCTTTAATTAAAAACTACTGAAGTATAATTGGCACTCAATAAACTGCACATGTTTAAAGTGTACAATTTGATAAGTTTTGACATATGTGTTGTCCATGGAACTATCACCAAAATCAAGATAACCATCATATCCATTACCTCCAAGAGTTTCTTCTTTCTACTTGCTAATCTCTTCCTCTCATATTTTCCAGTCCCCACTCTTGTCCCCAGGCAAACACTGATATGTTTCTGTCACTATAAACATTACATTTTCTAGAATTCTATAGAAATGAAATTATACTATATGTACTCCTTCTTGGTCTGGCGCCTTTTGTTAATACTTAGCATAAGTATGTAGAAATTCGTACATACTGTTGTGTGTATCAATAATTCATTTACTTATATTGCTAAATGATATTTCATTACATGAATATGCCCCAATTTGTTTATCCATTCACTTGTTTGTTTGTTTGTTTGTTTTTTATTATACTTTAAGTTTTAGGGTACATGTGCACAATGTGCAGGTTAGTTACATATGTATACATGTGCCATGTTGGTGTGCTGCACCCATTAACTCTTCATTTAACATTAGATGTATCTCCTAATGAAATCCCTCCCCCCTCCCCCACCCCAAGACAGGCCCCGGTGTGTGATGTTCCCCTTCCTGTGTCCATGTGTTCCCATTGTTCAGTTCCCACCTGTGAGTGAGAACATGCGGTGTTTGGTTTTTTGTCCTTGCCATAGTTTGCTGAGAATGATGGTTTCCAGCTTCATCCATGTCCCCACAAAGGCCATGAACTCATCATTTTTTATGGCTGCACAGTATTCCATGGTGTATATGTGCCACATTTTCTTAATCCAGTCTATCATTCTTGGACATTTGGCTTGGTTCCAAGTCTTTGCTATTGTGAATAGTGCCGCAATAAACATACGTGTGCATGTATCTTGATAGCAGCATGATTTATAATCCTTTGGGTATATACCCAGTAATGGGATGGCTGGGTCAAATGGTATTTCTAGTTCTAGATCCCTGAGGAATCGCCACACTGACTTCCACAATGGTTGAACTAGTTTACAGTCCCACCAACAGTGTAAAAGTGTTCAAAAGTGTTCCTGTTTCTCCACATCCTCTCCAGCACCTGTTGTTTCCTGACATTTTAATGATCGCCATTCTAACTGGTGTGAGATGGTATCTCATTGTGGTTTTGATTTGCATTTCTCTGATGGCCAGTGATGATGAGCATTTTTTCATGTGTCTGTTGACTGCATAAATGTCTTCTTTTGAGAAGTGTCTGTTCATATCCTTTGCCCACTTGTTGATGGGATTGTTTGTTTTTTTCTTGTAAATTTGTTTGAGTTCTTTGTAGATTCTGGATATTAGCCCTTTGTCAGATGAGTAGGTTGCAAACATTTTCTCCCATTCTGTAGGTTGCCTGTTCACTTTGATGATAGTTTCTTTTGCCATGCAGAAGCTGTTTAGTTTAATTAGATCCCATTTGTCAATTTTGGCTTTTGTTGCTGTTGCTTTTGGTGTTTTAGACATGAAGTCTTTGCCCATGCCTATGCCCTGAATGGTATTGCCTAGGTTTTCTTCTAGGGTTTTTATGGTTTTAGGTCTAACATTTAAGTCTTTAATCCATCTTGAATTAATTTTAGTATAAGGTGTAAGGAAGGGATCCAGTTTCAGCTTTCTACATATGGCTAGCCAGTTTTCCCAGCACCATTTATTAAATAGGGAATCGTTTCCCCATTTCTTGTTTTTGTTAGGTTTGTCAAAGATCAGACAGTTGTAGATATGTGGCATTATTTCTGAGGGCTCTGTTCTGTTCCATTGGTCTATATCTCTGTTTTGGTACCAGTACCATGCTGTTTTGGTTACTGTAGCCTTGTAGTATAGTTTGCATGATGCCTCCAGCTTTATTCTTTTGGCTTAGGATTGACTTGGCAATGCGAGCTCTTTTTTGGTTCCATATGAACTTTAAAGTAGTTTTTTCCAATTCTGTGAAGAAGGTCATTGGTAGCTTGACGGGGATGGCATTGAATCTATAAATTACCTTGGGCAGTATGGCCATTTTCACGATATTGATTCTTCCTACCCATGAGCATGGAATGTTCTTCCATTTGTTTGTATCCTCTTTTATTTCCTTGAGCAGTGGTTTGTAGTTCTCCTTGAAGAGGTCCTTCACATCTGTTGTAACTTGGATTCCTAGGTATTTTATTCTCTTTGAAGCAACTGTGAATGGGAGTTCACTCATGATTTGGCTCTCTGTTTGTCTGTTATTGGTGTATAAGAATGCTTGGGATTTTTGTACATTGATTTTGTATCCTGAGACTTTGCTGAAGTTGCTTATCAGCTTAAGGAGATTTTGGGCTGAGACAATGGGGTTTTCTAGATATATAATCATGTCATCTGCAAACAGGGACAATTTGACTTCCTCTTTTCCTAACTGAATACCCTTTATTTCCTTCTCCTGCCTGATTTCCCTGGCCAGAACTTCCAACACTATGTTGAATAGGAGTGGTGAGAGAGGGCATCCCTGTCTTGTGCCAGTTTTCAAAGGGAATGCTTCCAGTTTTTGCCCATTCAGTATGATGTTGGCTGTGGGTTTGTCATAAATAGCTCTTATTATTTTGAGATACATCCCATCGATACCTAATTTATTGAGAGTTTTTAGCATGAAGCGTTGTTGAATTTTGTCAAAGGCCTTTTCTGCATCTATTGAGATAATCATTGGTTTTTGTCGTTGGTTCTGTTTATATGCTGGATTATGTTTATTGATTTGCATATGTTGAACCAGCCTTGCATCCCAGGGATGAAGCTCACTTGATCATGGTGGATAAGCTTTTTGATGTGCTGCTGGATTTGTTTTGCCAGTATTTTATTGAGGATTTTTGCATCAATGTTCATCAAGGATATTGGTCTAAAATTCTCTTTTTTGGTTGTGTCTCTGCCAGGCTTTGGTATCAGGATGATGCTGGTCTCATAAAATGAGTTAGGGAGGATTCCTTCTTTTTCTATTGATTGGAATAGTTTCAGAAGGAATGGTACCAGCTCCTCCTTGTACCTCTGGTAGAATTCGGCTGTGAATCCATCTGGTCCTGGACTTTTTTTGGTTGGTAAGCTATGAATTATTGCCTCAATTTCAGAACCTGTTATTGGTCTATTCAGAGATTCAAGTTCTTCCTGGTTTAGTCTTGGGAGGGTGTATGTGTCAAGGAATTTATCCATTTCTTCTAGATTTTCTAGTTTATTTGCATAGAGGTGTTTATAGTATTCTCTGATGGTAGTCTGTATTTCTGTGGGATCAGTGGTGATATCCCCTTTATCATTTTGTATTGGGTCTATTTGATTCTTCTCTCTTTTCTTCTTTATTAGTCTTGCTAGCGGTCTATCAATTTTGTTGATCTTTTCAAAAAACCAGCTCCTGGATTCATTGATTTTTTGAAGGGTTTTTTGTGTCTCTATTTCCTTCAGTTCTGCTCTGATCTCAGTTATTTCTTGCCTTCTGCTAGCTTTTGAATGTGTTTGCTCTTGCTTCTCTACTTCTTTTAATTGTGATGTTAGGGTGTCAATTTTAGATCTTTCCTGCTTTCTCTTGATCCATTCACTTGTTAATGGTCATTTGGGTTGTTTTTAGTTTTTGGCTATTACAAATAAAGTTTCTATTGAACACTAGTATATAAATCTTTATTTGGGTATATTTTTTCACTTTCTTTGAGTAATTATTAATATAGTCACTCCAGCTTTTTTTAGTAGCATTAGAATGATATATTTTTTCCCATTATTTTACTTTTAACCTATTTGTGCATTTATATTTAAGCATGTTTCTTATAGGCAGCATACAATGGAATTTTTTTATTCTAATCTGACAGTTTCTGCCTTTTAACTGGAATGTTCAGACCATTTCCATTTAATGTGATTATAAATGTTGTTAAGTTTACACCTATCATTTTATGTTTGTTTTATTTCTCTCATTTTTTTGTTCCTCTTTTCTTCTGTCTCTGCCTTCTTTTAGAGTAATTATTTTTATAATTCCTTTTCAATTCCTTTGTTGGCTTATTAGCTATAACCGTTTGTTTTGCTCTTTTAGTGGTTACTTTAAGGTTTATAGTATACATTTTTAATTTATCCCAGTCTGACTTCATTTGATATTATTCCACCTCATGTGAAGTGTAATAACCTTAAACAGTATACTTTCATTTCTTTGTTTCTGGGCTTTGTTCTTTTGTTGTCACACATTTACTTAATACATTTAAAGTAAAATGAAGGTACATTTTAGTTTTATTACATTTTGAAGAATTGGGGCCATAATTTCTTCAAATATTTCTTCTGTTTCCTTTTATCTTTTCTCTCCTTTATGCATGTCAATTACATGTAAGTTAAATGTGTGAAGTTGTCCTACGTTTCATTGATGATCTGTTCATTTTTTTTTCATTCTTACATTCTCTCTGTGTTTTATTACAGATAGTTTCCATTGCTGTGTTTTTAAGTTTGTTAATTATTTATTCTTTAATGTCTTATCTATCATTCATCCCATCCAGTATATTTTTAATTTCATACATAATTATTTTCATCTCTATAATTTTGCTTTGGGTCTTTTAAAAAAATCCTTTAATGTTTCTACTTAACATGTTCAATCTTTCCTCTAGCTTTTTGGACATACGGAATAGAGTTATATTAACCATTTTAACATCACTGTCTTCTAGTTCAAATATCTGTGTCAGTTCTGGGTGTGTTTTTGTTGCCTGGTAATCTTTAATAGGACGTCAGGAATTGTGAATTTTTCCTTCTTGGATGCTGGATGTTTTTGTATTCTTATAAATATTCTTCAGCTTGCTCTGGGATAAAGTTAATTTACCTGGAAACAGTTTGATCTTTCGGGGTCTTGCTTTTAAGATGTTTGTCAGGAATAGAGCAGCATTTAATCTAGGTCTAATCTCTACTACTGAAGCAAGGCTCTTCTGATTACTCAACACTACATGAATTATGAAAATTACCAGTCTGGCCAATTAAAACAGCACAATTACTGGAGTTGTCTTAGTACCAAGTATTCCTTTCTCTAAAACTTTTCGGTGGTCCTTTCATTGGTCTTGGGTAGTTTTCTTAAATGCAACTGCTGATTGGTGCTCTGCTGAATACTTGAGGTGGATTTTCTGTAAATCTCCATAATTTCCTCCTGTGCAGCTCTCTTGTTATTGCTCTCTTTTGTTAACTCCAGATGTCTTGCTCTCCTAGGCCTCTTAGCAATGTCTCTTCAACCCAGGAAGTTTGACACATTCTATTTGAGTTTGCCACAGTGGCCTGGAAACTCTCTCAATGCAGTACATTGGGCAGTAGTAGGGATAATTCTGTTAGCTTATCAGGAATTGTATCCTTCGTAGCCTGATGTCCAATGATTTAATGACAATTGTTTCATCTATTTTGTCCCACTGTTTCAGATGGGAAGGTAGATCCTGTCCCTGTTACTGCATCTTGGTTTGAAGAAGTTCTTAGTCATCCTTTCTTTGGTGTTGGGTTTTAGCTTTCTTTTGAATGGACTCTCTCAGAGTAATTTCTTCCTCAAGTATATGGGCAGTCAGCACAGGATAGATCTGCTCTTGTTTCTGGAGGGAATAGGTACTTGTCTTGGTATCCTTTGCCTTGATTTAATGCTTCCTTAACTCTCTACTCACAGTCAAACGGAAAGATGCTGAAGCTCAAGATTAGCAATTGGGCTGAGTACAGTGGCTCATGCCTGTAATTCCAGCCATTTTGGAGGCTGAGGTGGGAGGATCACTTGAGCCTAAGAGTTCAAGACTGGCCTGGGCAACACAGTGAGACCCTGTCTCTACACAAAAATTTAAAAAATAGTAGGGCATGGTGGCACACACCTGTAGTCCTAGCTACCTGGGAGGCCAAGGCAAGAAAATAGCTGGAGCCCAGGAGGATAAGGCTGCAGTGAGCTGTGATCACACCACTGCATTCCAGCCTGGGTGACAGAGTGAGACCCTCTCTCAAAAAAAAAAATTAGCAATTGTTCCTGGGGATGAGGGGCCCTGGAGACCACCCAGTCACGTCTAAAATGTCTTCATATAGAAACACAAAGGGAAACCTTTGTTTCAATCTAGATCAGAAGGAACCAGAGCTCCCACATTTGACTGGAGCATCCTTTCATCAATTCTGCCTCTCATGACATCAGCAGCTTGGCTGAGGATTTAGAGATTCAGAATTCTAGCCAAATATCTTTCCATCCTCTATGACTAATATGGTAAATCCATTTTGGAGCAAAGTAGGAAGAAAGAATTTTTTACTTAAAGGCCAGTATTTATAGTTCGTTGTGTATGATTATGTTAATGTTAACTGTATATATTTATCTCCCCTTTGTATACATTCACTTTTTCTCAGTTTTTGTTATTTTTGGAGTTTTAATTCCTTCCAGATCTGTCCATAGATAAGTACTTGAACTCGGTGGGTCTAGATGTTAATAACTATAGCACAGATGAGCAGAATGAGCATACAAGGTAAGTAGCCCCTTTACAGGTGACTTGAACTAGAAATCTTTCTGCAAATGCTGTAATTCATAATAGTAAATGTGAGTGTGCACATACTTACTAGTCATGGAAATTGAGCTCAGAAAAATTTAACGGGTATCAAAATTTTACACTTAAAATTCTAGTCTTGCTCATGGGAGTAATTAGCCTTTACTCAGACAGAGATTATCAAGCAATTTTTCTTCATATACTTACTCTTATCATTTATAGCAAGAATATTTTGACAGTAGTGGAAAGTGTCCAAATGGGAAGAAGGTTGACTTTTATGAGACTATGACTTTAGGGTCAAATGACTGATAATATTCAGTCTTGCTTTCAAAAATAGACAACTGAAAATTAGTAAAGGGAAAAGTGTTCCTCAGAAGACAGGCTGATATAGATCTTCAAATACTTGGGGTGGATCACTAGAAAGCAGTGTTAAAAAATGTTTCCTCCCCAACCTCTCCTTCATTGGCAACAGAGGAAATCAAGTCTTTAGTCTTTGACCACTTTGTTGAGAGGAATTATGATCAGGTTGGGAAGTCTTAGGAAGGCAGTGTAGAAAGAGCACTATCAGAAATTTTTGTATCTGTGCCCAGATCAGCCATGAAAAGATGTGAGTTTTAAGAGACCATGGGCTGAATTCACAACATCCTACATGTTAGCATTTCTACCAAGAGTAAATTTCTCATTCATTAAATAGATAGTTTGCAAGCACCTACCAATGATCATGTACCATGAGCTAAGAGGAGAAGAGGCAAGCAAATATGAGTAAGGCAAGCTTTGCCTCTAGGAGCCCTCAAATTGGGGTCATCTTAGTTATTCACTTAACACATTCCATACACTTCATGTTTCTTCTGTGGGGAATTGATGGGGAGGACAAAGCTATAGCTTTTATATCTATAACTCTGTCTGATTAAGATGTATTTGTTTACCTTTTGTACTTGATTGCATTTGTTCTTCTCTACTAATTGTCAATCTTCCCAGAAATAGGAGTTGTGTCTGAAGTTACTTTTCTGGCCCTCCTCTCTATCCCCTCCCAACCAGAACCATAGACAGAAGATTCCACAAACCATATCAAGCAACAGTTTAATAGGTTTTAATGCCTCAAGCTCCTAGGAGTCTCCATTATGTCAGGTAACATCAGATATCTCTTATTTTTGAAAGACTTTATATGATCCTCATCTTGTTTAGATATTATACATTCTTGGAGCAGGCAAAAGACCCACTGTACCTTTGGGAAGAGCTTAAAACTGAATTCTAAAACTGTGGCATGTTCATACAATGGAATACTATTCACCAGTAAAAACAATGAACTACTGATACATACAACATGGATAAATCTCAAATGTGTTATTATATGTGAAAGAAGCCAGACTTAAAAGATTACATACAGTATGGTTCCATTTATATGGCACTCTGGAAAAGGAAGAACTATAGGAGCAGAAAATAGATCTGTAGTTTTCAGGGTAGGGGGGGTGGTGGAAGGAGGAATGATGACTATAAAGGGGTATGAGGGAATTTGGGGAGTAATGGAAATGTATATTTTGACATGGCAGTCATTACTATATGCACTTGTCAAGATGTACAGAACTGTACACTAAAATGGTGTATTTTATTATAAATAAGTTATACCTCAATAAACCTGGGCAAGAGGAGACATGGTCAATGCCCTTTAGGACCTATCACCTTGAGTCTGTGTGTGTTAGGGAGCTGTGAGCCCATACAAGATGCAGTCTTGGGGGTAATACGTATTTCTACTATACATATTAGTTCACACTCTGCTGTATCAGCCAGACAATAAAAGAATGAATAATTGTTTGTGTGTGCATGTATATATGCATGTATTTCCTATTTAAGGCAGTAAAGGAAAGCTATGCTGACTGAGGATAAGGAATAAAAAAAATGAGTTAAAAGATAAAAAGAGATAAACTGATAAATCTGGCTATATGTGAGGTACTCTTTTAAACATTTTACATATATAAATTATTTCACTCTCACAACAACTCTATGGTGGGTACTATTATCATCCGTATTTTACAAATGAGAAAACTGAAGTGTGGCTTAGATATGTGAATTGCTAAAGGTCACACAGTTACTAAATAATGAGTCTGGGATTTAAACCCAGGCAGTCTCGTTCCAGAAGCCAGGCTCTTCCTAATTCTACTCCACTGCCTTTCTAATCATTAGAGAATACTAGCTAGAACATTAGAAAATAATTGTCCCCACCTAGAATTCATGTCAAGTTTAATTTACAGGATCACTTCTAGTAAACAAAGAGCAATGTTTTCCCCACCCAAATCCAAAGGAGGAAATCAGGCAGGCAGAGTGTTCATAAGTTGTTCATTCCCAGTCATGCTATATCAAGCTACACTGGACTTCATTTTTGACAGGGAATAGAAAGATAAGACAATATTTTGGAAAAAGAAGAGGCAATTCGTTTGTGGGATGATCAAAGGGCAGGCTATGTCACAATTCATTTTGAGTGTCAGATATCTACAGAACTACTTTCTCCCCCACAATTCGGTTTCTTGTTACATAACTTTTTCATAGCTACAATTTATTCCATTAATCCCACATGTTCTAATATTACCGCAGTGTCTTTAAAACTGCAATCCAACAGCAAAAACATTGGCTCTACCACACACAAAAAAAATCCTCAGCAATAAAATCTGTTTAAAAAGATAAATCCATTTCGATATTCTTATTTATTTACACTTTACCTTGCTCCAAAAAAAAGATATATGATATGGTATTTTTTTCTGCAAAGCCCATAAACATTCACAATTTAACAAATCTATATTTCTGCAATCTTACCATAGATGATGTACTGACCAAATATTATGCATATTAGAATTCATACTGAACATCACATTCATCTTCAAGCTGCAATCTTTTCCCATGTTTCTTTGTCAAAGACTTTTGGAAATGTTATGCTAAAAATAACAGACTTTTAATGTGAGTAACAGGTTAACAAAATGAAAGTTGCTATAGAAACAGAATGCACACTTCAGAAAATGGACCTGTAAGGAGAAATTATATTTATTGGCTATAATGAATTGGCAAAAGCTTATCAATATATATCCTATAGTCTGTTGCAGATAGCTTTGGTAGCTACTAATTAACAATATTTCCCAATATTTTCCTGAGTTTTAAGAATGTAGGCAATCAAGGATGTTCATTCAAGAGGCAGGAAAAAAAAGATGGCTACTTCATGCATTCATGTACATAAGGAATCATTCCTTCAGCATAAGCAAAAGTGGGTCTATTAGGGTAGGGCCTTCATGTCTCCTTAATGCTGTGTTTTGTTTTGATGTCTTAACCATTACTATTTGCAAGGTTGTCAGAATTATTCACATCAATGAGGGAGCGCACGAATCTCTGAGGATTATAATTTACATGGGGTTTGGTATGCTTGGTTGCTCTGCGTAGTAATCCTGCAGTGTACTTAATGAAAGCCTTAATGATTGGATATCTCCTGTTTAACTGCTTTATTAAGGAGTATTTTATTTATTATTGCTCTCCAACTGCAACTTTTGACTGAATATTGCCAAGATTTGACTGTATTCTATTAAAGAGAAACAAATAGCAGTTTTTATAGAGCATGCACCACTCTGCTTTTATAGCCTGCATTTTTCATGCAGTAAATCCAGACACTTTGCAATCATTAAGGATATAGAAGAAGACTTGGCTCCATAACAGCTTCTCTCCAGAGCTCAACCTGTGCTATAAAACAAGCCACCACAGAAAACAGGCACTAAGGCTCAGCTCCCTAAAAGCCCAAACCCCCTGTTGTAAATAAGGTATTTCTGGTAGGAAAAGTCGTAGTTTATGTTGAATGTTTTGCTTCTTTGATCCTGATGGCTGTTGTTTCTTCCCTGCTCACCTCCTCCAAATTACAATTTGCCCTCTTTCTCAGATCATTAATAATGTAGCCTCTGGTAAGTGCACAGGCCTTAAGTGAGACGACTGTATTGCCATTGCTAGGACCCAGCTGGTTTCTGCACTGAGGTTATGTAAGGCTCTAACTAGGCAGGCTTTTTCTTCTCCTCATACATCTGGAAAGCTTTTCTCCAAGGAATATCGAGATGATTGTGATGAGCACTGCTTTGGACTTTACTGAAGTTGCCCTGGGACTCCCTTATTCCCATGCTGTCTCCCCAGCACCTGGCTCCTCCTGTGTGAGAGAGCAGTGATGGTAACAAATGGGGCTGTTTGGGCTAGACCGACAGAGAGAAAGTTAATAGGCTCAGACTTGATTGCTTTCTACCTGTGACTGCAATTTCCTTCAGGATATGCAAATGGCGCTCTGGAGAAAATGGAACCAAGACAGATCAGGGCGATTTTCAAACCTTATGGAATTCTGGATGTGAAACAGTAAAAATGACCTTTCTTTCTTCCCTTGACCCTAAAGAGCAGTCCTAACAATACAGGAGGATCATGTCCAGCAGCGACAATACCTGATGAAAATTGGGCCACATTGGAGTGTAGGTACTTTTATTGAGTCTTGACTGTATGCTGGGCATTGTGCCTTATCTCATGTCTTAGCTCATCCTGTTTTTACAACAGCCATGTGAGGTAAGAAGTATTCTCGTAATGGTTAATCAATTCCTTTTTCACCTCAATTCTTTTGAATGCTTGTTCTCTTTCTTGTTGAACACAGAAAAAATTCAGAACTACTGAATTCCCTTTTTCCTTCTGTCATTTTTTAAATGCTACATCTTTCTCAAACAAGAATCTTACTCTTTTTTCCCTCATAATGTTACTATAAAACTATAATTTTAAACATCCTTTTAATGGCATTGATCTTTCAGTTTAATACAGAAATCAGCAAACTTACTTTGTAAAGAGCCACATAGTAAATATTTTAGGCTTTGCAGGCTATACGGTCTCTGTCTCAGTGACTCAACTCTTCTGTATTAGTGTGCAAAAGCAATATAGACAAAACATAAAGGAATGGGCATGGCCATGTTCCAGTAAAACTTTATTTACAGAAATGAGAGGCCTGCCCATGAATTTTATCTTGTGAGACCTGGATTAAAAAAAAAGAAAAAAAAGAAAAAAAAAGGTGGTGGGGAGAGATGGTGGGGAAAGCAAAGGGATAGTTCTTAATTAATTCATTTCTAGGACCACTTTATTGTTTGGTTTTAGACAAGTCACTTCATTTCTCTGTGGCTTAGTTTCTTTATCTTTGAAATAAGAGTAACAGCTTCCTCATGGGATTATTGTGAAGATTAAAAGACAGAAACTTCCTCCTGGACTTCTCCCCTGTTTCAGTTTGGTTAGCACTGTTAGATTATTTACAATATTTTAGACATTTGTTTAAATGCTTATGATAGAACCATAAGACAAAGCCCTTGTTTCCTTTACCACCTCCCAGGAATTCAAAGAACATTAATCCTGGCTCAGAGGATAAAGGAAAGCTTCAGATAGGAGGCATTTAAGGTCAACCTTGAAAGATGAGTGGAATTTTTTAGGTTGAGAAGCAAGAGAAGGACATTCCAAGTAGAGATAACAGCAGGAGCAAAGAGATATAAAAGCTTTGTAAAATTGCATAGTATTTTCACAGAACTGTGAAAAATAGTCCGATATGGCTGGAGAACATGATGATGCATGGCGAGGTAGATACTGATAGACCCTACCTGATATCTATTCTCCTTCCTTCTTTACTCATAAGTCTTTTATTTTTTCCAAATCAGAATAAGACCCTACCTGATATCCATTCTCCCTCCTTCTTTACTCATAATTCTTTGATTTTTTCCAAATCAGAATATGCACCCAACTAAAAATACACAACCTTTCAGTGTCCCTTGTTTGAGGTGGTCCTGTGACACAGTTCTAGTCAACAAGATGTAGGTAGAAGTTTCTGGGAAGGGCTTGTTTTTCTGACTAAATAGAAAACAACAGCAAAGAATGAGGCTTTCTTTTTTTTGCCACCTGTATTTTGGGTTCAGGGGGTACACGTGCAGGTTTGTTTCATAGGTAAATTGCATGTTGCTGAGGCTTGGTATACAAATAAACCTATCAGCAAGGTAGTGAGCATAATACCTGATAGGTAGCCTTCTAACCCATACGTCTTTCCCATCCTCCCGACTGAAGCAGTCCCCAGTGTCTACTGTTCCCATCTTTGTGTCCATGTGTATTCAGTGTTTAGTGAGAATATGGGATATTTGGTTTTCTGCTCCTGAGCTAATTTGCTTAGTATGATGAACTCCAGCTGCATCCATGTTGCTGCAAGGGACATGATTTCATTCTTCTTTATGACTACATAGTATTCCATAGTGTATATGTACCACACTTTCTTTCTTTAGTCCACTGTTGATGGGCATCTTGGTTGATTCCATGTCTTTGCTATTGTTAATAGTGCTGCAATGAAAATACCAGTGCCTGTGTCTTTTTGGTAGAACAATTAATTTTCCTTTGAGTATATATCCAATAGTGGGATTGCTGGGTTGAATGGTATTTCTGTTTTAAGTTCTTTGAGAAATCTCCACACTGCTTTACACAGTGGCTGAACTAACTTACATTCCCACCAATAGTGGGAATGTACATAAGCATTCCCCTTCTCTGCAACTTTGCCAGCATCTGTTGTTTTTGACTTTTTAATAATAGCCATTCTGACAAGTGTGAGATGATATCTCACTGTGGTTTTAATTTGCATTTCTCTAATGATTAGTGATGGTGAGTACTTTTTCATGTTTGTTGGACACGTGTATGTCTTCTTTTGTCAAGTGTCTGTTCATGTCCTTTGCCCATTTTTTATGGAGTTATTCATTTTTGGCTTGCTGATTTGTTTAAATTTCTTATGGATTTTGGATATTAGACTTGTGTCAGATGCATAGTTTGCAAATATTTTCCCCCATGATGTAGGATGTCTCTTTACTCTGTTGATAGTATTTTTTCTGCTGTGCAGAAGTTCTTTAGTCTAATTGGGTCCCACTTGTCAATTTTTGTTTTTGTTGCAGTTGCTTTTAGGGACTTAGTCATAAATTCTTTGCCAAGGCCAATGTCCAAAGTGGTATTTCCTAGGTTTTCTTCTAGGGTTTTCATTATTGTTTTAGGTCTTACATTTAAGTCATTAGTCCATCTTTGGTTAGTTTTTGTACATGATGAAATAAAGGGGTCCAGTTTCAATCTTCTGTATATGGCTGAAGAAGGCTTTCTTCTGACCTGGAATGTGGATTTAACACCTGAAGATTCAGTAACCCATTCACAACCATAAAAACCAAAGCCACATATTATCAGTGACATAACAGTCTGTTTTCCCTGTGACATTTTTGAGCCGCCACACTGGTCCTAATGACCTGTTTCCAGATTTTTGCTACATGAGAAAAAAATAGTCCACTTATTTGTTTAAGCCATTGCACATTATGTTTTTCATTGTTCACAATGGAACAGAATTCTAACTTATTCACAATAAAGTTGGAAGTAATAAGAAAGATGCTAAAAATAGATATAAGTTCATATTGTTAAGAGTACTAATTGTTATAGTAAAGGGTTTAGACTATTCTGTGGACAGTTGAGAAACATCAAAAGTTTCTAAGCAAAGGAGAGATGTAAAATATTTTATTAAACAGTAGACCATTAAGTTCTGAGTATATGCCAGGTACTATGGGGAACCTCATAGACAAACAACAATAACAACAACAAGGAGACAGACTAACAAATACAATTATTACAAATAATATATTTATGAAGGAAACAAATGGTTTAGCTAAAGAGTAATCAGAGTGGCCTACTTTAGACATGATAAGAAAACCTCTTTGTGGAGGTAAAAATTGAATTCAGACCTAAAAGATGAGATGAAATTGATCATTCAAATACTGCTAATAGCATTCTAGGCAGACAGGCCAGCATTTGCAAAGGTTCTGAAGCAGGACAGAGGTTAACAGCTTATAGGAACTTTAAGAAGCTCAGTAGGACTAGAGCTTATTACTCAAATTGGGAGTTAATGGTTTGAGCTGAGGACTTAGAGATATGCAGTACCTTGTATCACTATGGTAAAGGGTTTTAAAGGCAACAGGAATCCATTGAGGGGTTTTAAATAAGTGGTATGATCCAAGTCATGTTTTAAAAGAGTGTTCTTGATATGGTATAGAGAATGCATTAGAAAGGAGTAAGAGTAGAATGATGTAAACCAGACATCATTTGTTCTAGTCTAGATGAAAGATGATGGTGGGATGATGATGGCCTTGTCTAAGGCAGTGATGATAGGGATGAAGAAGTGTGGATACTTGAGGTTCATCAGGATGACTTGCTGTATGGATTGGATATAGGGGGTTAAGAAAAAGGAGGAATCAAGGATGACTGTCTCTGAACTGAGTTTCTGGGTGGAAAATGATACCACTTACTGAGATGGAGAAGACTGACAGGAGGGGATAGATTTTGGATGGAAAATTAATTGTTCTATTTTAGACATGCTAAGTTTTCAATGCCTCTGAGATACTTAAGTGGAAACAAGTAGAATGTTGGATATGTGGAGTGTGTGAGTCTGAGATTTAGAGAATTCCTCTGGCCAGAGATAAAATTATGACTCATCAGCAAAATGATGGCATTTTAGTCCAAGAGAATAGATGGGCTTACTTTGGAATATTGTGTAGAGAAAGAGAAAATATGAAGTTTGTTTGTGAAAGGAAGATGAAGAATTGGTTAGAAAGAAGAGAGAGGAAGGGATGGATTTGAGAGAGGAAGGGATGGATTTAAGAGATAGTTTACAGGAAGAATCCACAGATGTTGGAGCCTGATTAGATTGCAGGAGTAAGAAAGTTGAAGTCAAAGATAGCTTGGAGGTTCCCTTTTGCTTGATTGACTGTATGCTGATGCTCTCCATCAGTATGTGATACACAGAAGGAAAGTGGAGTTTCAGGGTGAGATAACAAGTTTGATTGTCGTGCTGTAAGGCTGAACATCAGATAGGCTTAAAGCCTGGAACTGCTGGCTGATGCTTTTGAAAAATTGCTCTTTCTTCACCTATACCTGAAGCAAACACTCAGGAATTGTGTGTAGTTGCTTTGAAGCTGGTGGAAAGGTAGACAGAATGCCCAGAATAGTCATGTTGGTTGTGGAGGGCTTTTTGAAGGCTATGAACCTCCATAAGGATGGCAAGGGGAATTTCTTATGCCTAGTCCAATTCTTACTCCATGTTAGTTGTGTCATCCACAGCTGAATGTTCCTGTGGGGAAATTTGGGGACCTAGAAAGCCTTACCTTCAACTGGGAATATATTGCGTACCTTCGATGTCATTTACTGATCTTCACAGAAACTTCACTTTTCTAGCTGTGTCTATTGCTGTGTTCCTGAGGATCATATCACTGATTCACTGTTTAAATGGAATTACTACAAGGTCCTTGGATCCTGATAGCTGTGTTGATAAAGAGAATGAGAGAACCCCACAAAGGTATTACTATCAGAGTGCTAAGGTAACAAGTGGACCATCTTTGTTATTAAAATAAAAAGTGTGGCTAGGAAGAAAGGAAGAAGCATTACAGTGAAGTATGTCAATTGCCACCTTGGTTCCACATAGTTTGACTTTCTGGATTGAATATCAGAAATGGTCACAGTTATAATTTCCTGGTTGCTTCTATTGCTTCAAGCCAAAGGGTCAAATATACCTGAGGTATTATACCAGAACATGAAATTACTGAATCCAGTCTGAGTAGTCATGGAAATTGAGACCAAAGCTGTTTTCTGGCAGAAATTGAATACTTATGGCATTTTAGATGTGAACGAAAGAAGTGAAAATTAAGCAGAGCAAATTCTTTGCCTTTATTTTAGATTTTGTCAGAGGCAGCAGATTTTTATAACAAAAAGAATTTTAAAATAAGAAGTTTTAATTGTGGGAGGAAGTAGTGGCGATAATGATAAAATTAAGTAAAGCTCAATCTTCACTGATCTTGCTTGAAAAAGTGGATAAAGAATAACAGGGTCCATGTAGAGTTTTAATTATGAATAACTATGCTTTCAATTTTGTGTACTAAACGTTTTCCTTTATTATCAGCTCTGACCTTAGAACTCTGAGATTTATGCATACTAATTGGGTTTTTAAAAATGTGTTCAGAGACAGCCACTCAAAAATAATTTTCTCATTGGATCAGGCACTGTTCAAGTGGAAATCAAAAGTATTTCAATGAGGCGTAAAACATCCAACAATAAGGGGTAAAAGAAACTATTTCTTTTTAAAATTTCTGTTTGAGAATAGGAACAGCTCCGGTCTACAGCTCCCACCGTGAGCGACGCAGAAGACGGGTGATTTCTGCATTTCCATCTGAGGTACCGGGTTCATCTCACTAGGGAGTGCCAGACAGTGGGCGCAGGCCAGTGGGTGCGCGCACCGTGCGCGAGCCGAAGCAGGGCAAGGCATTGCCTCACCTGGGAAGCGCACGGGGTGAGGGAGTTCCCTTTCCGAGTCAAAGAAAGGGGTGACAGACGCACCTGGAAAATCGGGCCACTCCCACCCGAATATTGCGCTTTTCAGACCGGCTTAAAAAACGGCGCACCACGAGACTATATCCCACACCTGGCTCGGAGGGTCCTACGCCCACGGAATCTCGCTGATTGCTAGCACAGCAGTCTGAGATCAAACTGCAAGGCGGCAGCGAGGCTGGGGGAGGGGCGCCTGCCATTGCCCAGGCTTGCTTAGGTAAACAAAGCAGCCGGGAAGCTCAAACTGGGTGGAGCCCACCACAGCTCAAGGAGGCCTGCCTGCCTCTGTAGACTCCACCTCTGGGGGCAGGGCACAGACAAACAAAAAGACAGCAGTAACCTCTGCAGACTTAAATGTCCCTGTCTGACAGCTTTGAAGAGAGCAGTGGTTCTCCCAGCACGCAGCTGGAGATCTGAGAACGGGCAGACTGCCTCCTCAAGTGGGTCCCTGACCCCTGACCCCCGAGCAGCCTAACTGGGAGGCACCCCCCAGCAGGGGCACACTGACACCTCACACTGCAGGGTATTCCAACAGACCTGCAGCTGAGGGTCCTGTCTGTTAGAAGGAAAACTAACAAACAGAAAGGACATCCACACCGAAAACCCATCTGTACATCACCATCATCAAAGACCAAAAGTAGATAAAACCACAAAGATGGGGAAAAAACAGAACAGAAAAACTGGAAACTCTAAAACGCAGAGTGCCTCTCCTCCTCCAAAGGAACGCAGTTCCTCACCAGCAACGGAACAAAGCTGGATGGAGAATGATTTTGACGAGCTGAGAGAAGAAGGCTTCAGACGATCAAATTACTCTGAGCTACGGGAGGACATTCAAACCAAAGGCAAAGAAGTTGAAAACTTTGAAAAAAATTTAGAAGAATGTATAACCAGAATAACCAATACAGAGAAGTGCTTAAAGGAGCTGATGGAGCTGAAAACCAAGGCTCGAGAACTACGTGAAGAATGCAGAAGCCTCAGGAGCCGATGCGATCAACTGGAAGAAAGGGTATCAGCGATGGAAGATGAAATGAATGAAATGAAGCGAGAAGGGAAGTTTAGAGAAAAAAGAATAAAAAGAAATGAGCAAAGCCTCCAAGAAATATGGGACTATGTGAAAAGACCAAATCTACGTCTGATTGGTGTACCTGAAAGTGATGCGGAGAATGGAACCAAGTTGGAAAACACTCTGCAGGATATTATCCAGGAGAACTTCCCCAATCTAGCAAGGCAGGCCAACGTTCAGATTCAGGAAATACAGAGAACGCCACAAAGATACTCCTCGAGAAGAGCAACTCCAAGACACATAATTGTCAGATTCACCAAAGTTGAAATGAAGGAAAAAATGTTAAGGGCAGCCAGAGAGAAAGGTCGGGTTACCCTCAAAGGGAAGCCCATCAGACTAACAGCGGATCTCTCGGCAGAAACCCTACAAGCCAGAAGAGAGTGGGGGCCAATATTCAACACTCTTAAAGAAAAGAATTTTCAACCCAGAATTTCATATCCAGCCAAACTAAGCTTCATAAGTGAAGGAGAAATAAAATACTTTACAGACAAGCAAATGCTGAGAGATTTTGTCACCACCAGGCCTGCCCTAAAAGAGCTCCTGAAGGAAGCGCTAAACATGGAAAGGAACAACCGGTACCAGCCGCTGCAAAATCATGCCAAAATGTAAAGACCATCGAGACTAGGAAGAAACTGCATCAACTAACGAGCAAAATCACCAGCTAACATCATAATGACAGGTTCAAATTCACACATAACAATATTAACTTTAAATGTAAATGGACTAAATTCTCCAATTAAAAGACACAGACTGGCAAGTTGGATAAAGAGTCAAGACCCATCAGTGTGCTGTATTCAGGAAACCCATCTCACGTGCAGAGACACACATAGGCTCAAAATAAAAGGATGGAGGAAGATCTACCAAGCAAATGGAAAAAAAAAAAGGCAGGGGTTGCAATCCTAGTCTCTGATAAAGCAGACTTTAAACCAACAAAGATCAAAAGAGACAAAGAAGGCCATTACATAACGGTAAAGGGATCAATTCAACAAGAGGAGCTAACTATCCTAAATATATATGCACCCAATACAGGAGCACCCAGATTTATAAAGCAAGTCCTGAGTGACCTACAAAGAGACTTAGACTCCCACACATTAATAATGGGAGACTTTAACACCCCACTGTCAACATTAGACAGATCAACGAGACAGAAAGTCAACAAGGATACCCAGGAATTGAACTCAGCTCTGCACCAAGCAGACCATCTAGAGAACTCTCCACCCCAAATCAACAGAATATACATTTTTTTCAGCACCATACCACACCTATTCCAAAATTGACCACATAGTTGGAAGTAAAACTCTCCTCAGCAAATGTAAAAGAACAGAAATTATAACAAACTATCTCTCAGACCACAGTGCAATCAAACTAGAACTCAGGATTAATAATCTCACTGAAAGCCGCTCAACTACATGGAAACTGAACAACCTGCTCCTGAATGACTACTGGGTACATAATGAAATGAAGGCAGAAATAAAGATGTTCTTTGAAACCAATGAGAACAAAGACACAACATACCAGAATCTCTGGGACACATTCAAAGCAGTGTGTAGAGGGAAATTTATAGCACTAAATGCCCACAAGAGAAAGCAGGAAAGATCCAAAATTGACACCCTAACATCACAATTAAAAGAACTAGAAAAGCAAGAGCAAACACATTCAAAAGCTAGCAGAAGGCAAGAAATAACTAAAATCAGAGCAGAACTGAATGAAATAGAGACACAAAAAACCCTTCAAAAAATCAATGAATCCAGGAGCTGGTTTTTTGAAAGGATCAACAAAATTGATAGACCGCTAGCAAGACTAATAAAGAAAAAAAGAGAGAAGAATCAAATAGACACGATAAAAAATGATAAAGGGGATATCACCACCGATCCCACAGAAATACAAACTACCATCAGAGAATACTACAAACACCTCTACACAAATAAACTAGAAAATCTAGAAGAAATGGATACATTCCTCGACACATACACTCTCCCAAGACTAAACCAGGAAGAAGTTGAATCTCTGAATAGACCAATAACAGGAGCTGAAATTGTGGCAATAATCAATAGTTTACCAACCAAAAAGAGTCCAGGACCAGATGGATTCACAGCCGAATTCTACCAGAGGTACAAGGAGGAACTGGTACCATTCCTTCTGAAACTATTCCAATCAATAGAAAAAGAGGGAATCCTCCCTAACTCATTTTATGAGGCCAGCATCATTCTGATACCAAAGCCGGGCAGAGACACAACCAAAAAAAGAGAATTTTAGACCAATATCCTTGATGAACATTGATGCAAAAATCCTCAATAAAATACTGGCAAACCGAATCCAGCAGCACATCAAAAAGCTTATCCACCATGATCAAGTGGGCTTCATCCCTGGGATGCAAGGCTGGTTCAATATACGCAAATCAATAAATGTAATCCAGCATATAAACAGAGCCAAAGACAAAAACCACATGATTATCTCAATAGATGCAGAAAAAGCCTTTGACAAAATTCAACAACACTTCATGCTAAAAACTCTCAATAAATTAGGTATTGATGGGACGTATTTCAAAATAATAAGAGCTATCTATGACAAACCCACAGCCAATATCATACTGAATGGGCAAAAACTGGAAGCATTCCCTTTGAAAACTGGCACAAGACAGGGATGCCCTCTCTCACTGCTCCTATTCAACATAGTGTTGGAAGTTCTGGCCAGGGCAATCAGGCAGGAGAAGGAAATAAAAGGTATTCAATTAGGAAAAGAGGAAGTCAAATTGTCCCTGTTTGCAGACGACATGATTGTTTATCTAGAAAACCCCATCGTCTCAGCCCAAAATCTCCTTAAGCTGATAAGCAACTTCAGCAAAGTCTCAGGATACAAAATCAATGTACAAAAATCACAAGCATTCTTATACACCAACAACAGACAAACAGAGAGCCAAATCATGAGTGAACTCCCATTCACAATTGCTTCAAAGAGAATAAAATACCTAGGAATCCAACTTACAAGGGATGTGAAGGACCTCTTCAAGGAGAACTACAAACCACTGCTCAAGGAAATAAAAGAGGATACCAACAAATGGAAGAACATTCCATGCTCATGGGTAGGAAGAATCAATATCGTGAAAATGGCCATACTGCCCAAGGTAATTTACAGATTCAATGCCATCCCCATCAAGCTACCAATGACTTTCTTCACAGAATTGGAAAAAACTACTTTAAAGTTCATATGGAACCAAAAAAGAGCCCGCATCGCCAAGTCAATCCTAAGCCAAAAGAACAAAGCTGGAGGCATCACACTACCTGACTTCAAACTATACTACAAGGCTACAGTAACCAAAACAGCATGGTACTGGTACCAAAACAGAGATATGGATCAATGGAACAGAACAGAGCCCTCAGAAATAACGCCGCATACCTACAACTATCTGATCTTTGACAAACCTGAGAAAAACAAGCAATGGGGAAAGGATTCCCTATTTAATAAATGGTGCTGGGAAAACTGGCTAGCCATATGTAGAAAGCTGAAACTGGATCCTTTCCTTACACCTTATACAAAAATCAATTCAAGATGGATTAAAGATTTAAATGTTAGACCTAAAACCATAAAAACCCTAGAAGAAAACCTAGGCATTACCATTCAGGACATAGGCATGGGCAAGGACTTCATGTCCAAAACACCAAAAGCAATGGCAACAAAAGCCAAAATTGACAAATGGAATCTAATTAAACTAAAGAGCTTCTGCACAGCAAAAGAAACTACCATCAGAGTGAACAGGCAACCTACAACATGGGAGAAAATTTTCGCAACCTACTCATCTGACAAAGGGCTAATATCCAGAATCTACAATGAACTCAAACAAATTTACAAGAAAAAAACAAACAACCCCATCAAAAAGTGGGTGAAGGACATGAACAGACACTTCTCAAAAGAAGACATTTATGCAGCCAAAAAACACATGAAAAAATGCTCATCATCACTGGCCATCAGAGAAATGCAAATCAAAACCACTATGAGATATCATCTCACACCAGTTAGAATGGCAGTCATTAAAAAGTCAGGAAACAACAGGTGCTGGAGAGGATGTGGAGAAATAGGAACACTTTTACACTGTTGGTGGGACTGTAAACTAGTTCAACCATTGTGGAAGTCAGTGTGGCGATTCCTCAGGGATCTAGAACTAGAAATACCATTTGACCCAGCCATCCCATTACTGGGTATATACCCAAATGACTATAAATCATGCTGCTATAAAGACACATGCACACGTATGTTTATTGCGGCATTATTCACAATACCAAAGACTTGGAACCAACCCAAATGTCCATCAATGATAGAGTGGATTAAGAAAATGTGGCACATATACACCATGGAATACTATGCAGCCATAAAAAATGATGAGTTCATGTCCTTTGTAGGGACATGGATGAAACTGGAAACCATCATTCTCAGTAAACTATCGCAAGAACAAAAAACCAAACACCGCATATTCTCACTCATAGGTGGGAATTGAACAATGAGATCACATGGACACAGGAAGGGGAATATCACACTCTGGGGACTGTGGTGGGGTGGGGGGAGGGGGGAGGGATAGCATTGGGAGATATACCTAATGCTAGATGACGAGTTAGTGGGTGCAGCGCACCAGCATGGCACATGTATACATATGTAACTAACCTGCACATTGTGCACATGTACCCTAAAACTTAAAGTATAATAAAAAAAAAAAGAAAAGTAAAAAAAAAAAAAAAAAATTTCTGTTTGAAAGATAAATGTTTATTTGCATAAAAGTTGACCAGAAGGTGTTAAATTGTTTAAATGTGATTGAGAATGAGAACGCTATGTGCCATCATTTTCAGGATAACTCACAGTTCCTAACTGTACTAATTGAAATGACATGTGACAATGCAACTAAAATGGTAAATAATCGACTTGATAATTATAATTTTGCTTAGGAAGAAAACAGCTCCCTAAACTAAGATAAGAAGAAGATATTCAGCCTCTCCAAAGTTATAAATCTTGGGGCTGGCAACAAGGGACACATGTATGTGTTTTAAACAATCTCAGAGCTAGGAAATAAGGAGAGGTTTGACAAATTTTTCCTCCCTTGAAACTTCAGTAAAAGATGGAGAAATATCATGAAAGATTTTTAAAGTTACAGTCGTGGGGAAGGTCTCAAAAAATAATGCTAGTGAGAAAAACAAGTATCAAAGTGGGTTAGTAGAGAATCAGGCACTCTTGCACTGTCAGCCTGTTTTAGTCTGCTCAGGCTGCCATTACAAAATACCATAGACTGGGTGACTTAAACAACAGACATTTATTCTCTCACAGTTCTGGAGGTTAGAAGTCCAAAATCAAGGTTCTGGCTGATTTGATTGTGTGCCCAGGGACAGAAAAAGAGAGAAAGTGAGCTCTAGTGTCTTTCTTATAAGGACACTAATCCTATTAGATCAGGGCTCCACCCATATGCCACATTTAACTTTATTTACTTCCGTAAAGGTCCCATTTCCAAATACAGCCATACTGGGGGTTAGCGCTTCAACATATGAGTTTTGCGGGGACATGAACATTCAGTTCATAAGACAGTCCAAAAGAGGAGTGAGTGGAGGGACAGACTCACTGGGAGACTGGGGGCAGGACGGGGTGAGGTGTCCTGGTCTGTATGCAGGCCTAGCTGAGAACTACTCTGAGAAACAGAAGTCCCTTGAACTACCCATCACCCACCTGGCAATAAGGAAACCTGATAGTGGGGAGGAAAGGCTGCAAACCTGGATAAGAAGATGCTGTGAGGCCAAATTGTGGGCTAGCTGAGCCCACCCCTAACCCATGCAGAGCTGATTAAGCCTGAGACTAGGGTGTAATGGACCACCCAGCTGGAGACCAGTGGTGTCACTTGGAAAAAGTGACAGAAAAAAGGTCTTGGCAGTACCAAACAGAAACTTCAGGTAGAAGTGTTTTCATTCCCTAAATGAAGGTCTAAGAAGACAAGCAAACTGTAAGCCTCTAAAATTGCCAGTTCCAGCTGGGGTAGTGGCTTACGACTATAATCCCAGCACTTTGGGAAGCCGAGGTGGGAGGATCGCTTTAGCAATAGGAATTTGAGAACAACCTGGAAAACATAGACCCCGTCTCTACAAAAAAATAAAAACCTTAGCCAGGCATGGTGGCATGTGCTTGCAGTCACAGCTACTTAGGGGGCTGAAGGGGGAGGATCGCTTGAGCCTAGGAGGTCGAGGCTACAGTGAGCAGTGATCACGCCACTGCACTCCAGCCTGAGCAACAAAGCAACACCCTGTCTCAACAACAACAAAATGCCAATTCCTAGGAATCACTTGGGTAGGAGATACCTGGGACATTTAAACATGTCTAAGGTTATGTTAATAAGGATACAGAGGTTAGCTTAAAAAGCAGGGTTCCCCAACTACAGGCATTTTGGGCTGGATAGTTCTTTGATATAGGGGTCTGTCCTGGGCATTGTAGAACATTTAGCAGCATCCGTGGCCTCCACCCACTAGATGCCAGTAGCACCACTCCCCAAGTTTTGACCACCAAAAATGTCTCCAGATATAGCCAGTGTTGAGAACCTCTGGCCTAAAGAGAGGGCTGCTAGTGACCTAATAGAGACAATTTATACGCCCTAATAAAACGACCATTTACAGAATTAACTGAAATGCTAAATGAAGTCATAAGACCATGGCAATGCTGAAAAGGAAGCCATCATATAATATGCCCCAGGAAAAAGTCAAGCCACTGTGAGTCAGTTTCTTTCAAAAATGGGAGGGATTGACAAATTGTTCAATTAGAGAAAACGTTACCAAAACAAAAAAAAAAAAAAAAGAAAAAGTTACAATTAAATAATTATTTAGTTTTGTAATTTAGTTCTTTCACTGGATAGTTATTGTAGTGTGCCTGAAATGTCAAACATCCACACATTCACACTCATAAATATAATAATTTGACAGTGCAAAATTAATAACTCTGAGGTCAAGTTATGGAATAAGGAGTATAACTCAGACAAGTCGGAAGCCTCAGTACTTTGGGGGATTACTTTGGGAAACTGATCTTCACTTTGTCAGGTCTTGCTGTAAATTCTTGAATGTGCACTGGTATTTTTATATTATTTGCACCTGATGACTCTCAAAAGTCAAGCAGTACATCGCCAGTAAGGTGTAAAATTGTGCAGGGAGAGCTTTTCATGGCACCCCACCTCAGTTCCATGTCTCTGTGTGGAACTTTGGGGGAGCTGGGATATTACACTTTTAGCGGGGAGCATGATGTGGTAGCTTCTGTTTTCCGTAGCTACCTCCATAAATTTTTATGTCTTTTGCTATTGAAGAAACTTTGCGCCTTCTACAACAATGTCTGTTAGTGTCTTTCTGTCAATCATATCACTGTCCTGTTGTGATGACTGAGCAGGTGCCTTTTTTATCCTGTAGTGTTGTGTATTAGACATTAGGAATTGCAGAAATGAGACTTAAATTTGCACCAGTCTCTTGTATTTCCCTTTGGATTTTTCTCCTCCTTTTATCTTTGGGGTCATCAGAGGACCCCTGTGTAGTCACATTACTTTCTTTAGATTCCTCTCTCTTTTTTAAAAATTTCCCCTTAATCTAATTTCTTATTATATTATAAAATTTATAAAACTGCTCATCTCTCTTGAACACCTTTTAGAAACCTTGATTGTGAGATTATAACCACATTCTATCTGATATTTTAAGAATAAAGTCCCAGGGTACCTTTATTTCTATTGCCAATATTGCATTTTTAGAAACTCCTAGATCCTGAGGCTATATATATCTATATATACTCCAAGAAGATTACTTACTTCCAAAGTTTCTGTTGTACTCATTTTAAGAACTCTATTGGCCTAGTTGGTGAGAATGAAGCCCAGAGTAATAGTTCATCTTGATAGTTCCTCTACATGCAGATACAGCATTGTCAGTGAGAAAAGTCAAGTATGTGTCAAATACTTAGTTGAATGATAACTTATTTAGATATAAATACCTTGCCTCCAAAACAGATATAGAAATGGTATTAGGAAAGCACAGTCTATTTATGATGAATTCATAATTGCTGAAATGCTTTTTATTCTGTTTTAAGCTTATATACTGACATAATTTCAGACCTATATAAAAGTTGCTAAAATAGTACAAACATACACCCTTCATCCAGATGCCATGAATGTTAACATTTCAACACATTTGCTGTGTCTATATGAATCATTTTAAACAAAAGACACAGGCTGAAATACAAGATGCTCCTAGAGATGTGCAAACTATGACCACAAATATTGCCTCTTTATCCCTTCACACAAACCTCCTACCAGCCACACAGCCAGACATGGACAGTTTCCTAGTTGCCCCTTTCCTCTTACATTAGATGCATGGATCTGCCTCCCTCAGTAGATATCTTACCACCTTGGAGAGCAGGAACTACCTATTATTTATCTCTCAATCCTTAGCCTGCTATTCAGTGCCCAGCACATTGTAAAGGTACTCAGTGTGTGTGGAATAAATTTTTCCTTTTATATGGATGGGTTTGTCATTTTTGTTTGTTTGTTTTAATATTGGTTTGCCTCTAAAACAGATGTTCCCTTTTGTCCTCAAGTTCTTCCAGTAAATATAGACCTGTAGGCATACAAAGCCATAGCTGAAACTTTTAGGTCCAGAATCTATGAGGATGGTGCTAGAATATGTGGGCATGGGAAACAATTCTCATTCAAGAAAGAGCAAGTGTTTTGATGATGTTCCAGAATCCCCCCACAACCTTTTTTTTTTTAAAGACAGTTCAACAGGATAGCAAAGTTATAGAAGTGTAATAGATTATCATGTGTTTGAATAGAGTAGTATTGCTAGTTAACAAAAACCTGAAGGTTTGGCACATTCAACAGTGAGCTTTTAACCTAGTCATTACAGTTCGGATTATGGAATGAGAGCCAATTAGATTACACATGCGGATATTCAAATATTAAAATATTGGGTGAAAATAGTATGGATCTAGCTGATGAAATCATGGGCTAAAGAAGTGACTGGACCACAAATAGAAATGCCAGATTTAAAAAGATCTATCTATTCACTCTTTATTTTTATTATTTTTTTTTTAACTTTTTAGGATGGAGTCTCAGTCACCCATGCTGGAGTGCAGTGGCACAATCTCGGCTCACTGCAACCTCTGCCTCCTGGATTCAAGCCATTCTTGAGTCTCAGCCTCTCGAGTAGCTGGAATTACAGGCGTATGCCACCATGCCTCGCTAATTTTTGTATTTTTAGTAGAAACGGGGTTTCACCATGTTGGCCAGACTGGTCTCCAACTCCTGACCTCAAGTGATCCACCCACCTCAGCCTCCCAAACTGCTGGGAATACAGGTGTGAGCCCCTGCGCCTGGCCAGCCATCCACTCTTTTAATAGACGTCTGTTATAATCGTAACTTCCTATTATCTTTTGAAAAGTTTTTTTACATTTGAGGAAACCCCCACCTGTGATTCCTGTGTGTAGAAGTCCGAATTCAAATTACCAGCCTCCTTTACAGCAAGCAATGTGACTTAGACTCCATGAATCAGATATATCTATGACAGATTTAAATTTTGAAATAAACAAAAAAGTGAAACAATCTTGGCATGAAGTTTCTGTTTGTGCCAGCACAGATAATAGCCAGGGCACTTGCAACCTTGAGTGCCTGATGTGGAAGTAGCACTGTGGCTGGCCGCAGTAATGGTAGAAGTAAAGTCAAACTTTTGGCATTTTAGTGCTTAGCAGGGGCAGTAGAGGTGGTTTATTCTCAGGCCAATTCTGGGATATATTTTTTTACCATTTCTCAAGGAAATAATTATTTTAGTTACCTAATACCTTTATTTTTACCTTTAAATCTGTTACAGTTAAAACAACCGAAGTAGATTATTTGTTTGCAACTGCCTAATACACTATTAGAGATAATTCCCACTAAAAGGAGGAATGTAATCAACAATCAAGATTGAAGGTATCAATAAATAGGAAGAGTAAATACAGTCTTTAAGAAAAGCAAATACTGCAGAAACTTAAATGGAATCACAGCATTCTTGGGTAGCTCATATTTGGTTGACTCCTTGGCTCTTACCTCATGCTCACTTTGAATTCATAGTTGGCCCTTCATAGAGTGCACCAAGACAGAACCAACTCTACAACACATGATTGGAAGTGGATATTTTCTTGAGGATTTCATGGACACATAAAGGGGAGGTTGCATTCTACCATCTTAAAATGTTACACTGTGTTACTGTTAAACATCCCTATTCCATTCCCAAAGTCCTTATCTAGCTGACAAAAAAGATAAGAGGGTTGGATTCTGGTATCAAGAACATAAGGAAATTTTAACTACATTCTAAAAGGGGAGAGTGCCTTGAAAGTACACTTCCCATAGAATAAGCACCATATACTTACAAGTTCCTTTCCTTTAAAGACTTTGGAGAATCTCTTAGAACTCGTTATCAATTTTTAGGGAAAATGGGAACATAGGCATCAATAATTGTGGAGAAATGGCAAAGAAGAAAGCAGAAGCTGTTCTTTGTCTCAGTACACTGTTGTTTGCCTCTTTCAGTACATGTGTTTGTGTGTGTGTGTGCATGCATGTGTGCGCTAAGCAGGGATAGAAAGGTTACACAGAAGCGTTTAAGTGGCCATGGACCAGTGTACTTTCTGTGAATTCTCCTGGAAATTCTCCCAATTATTTACATGTTCCATGCTAACGGGCTTGCCCATCACAGCCCTCTGGAAGAGCGGACTCTGGTCCTTTATAAGAGCCAGAGAGTGTCTCTATTCCCTGGAGCTGACTGCCTCTGTTTGTTTTCATTAGTGGAAATGAAAACAAATGGAGTCCCTAGGTGCCCTAGGCAGAAGGGATGCTGTGCACCCACACTGCTGCTGCCTGCAGACTTCTAAGCTCATTCAGAAACCTTGCCAAGAGAGGATTGCTTCTGCCATGGCTCTCCCCTTCAGGGCCTCGGGACACGTTATTTTGAATTATATCAGAAGAGGAGACTGTTGGCCAATTAAAATGCAGCACTACTACTAACTTATTTCCAACCGAATGAAAGCTATGTAGAATCAGTCTCCTCAGATATTACCATTTCTAGGTGAATGCTGAATACTTGCTTCCTCAGCCTGAATTTAGCCACCATCCTCATACAACACTCAAGCTCTATTGCTGTCTATGGAATTTTGCATGAACAAAGGATCTCATAAATAGTCACAGTGATTTGTTGGAATTTGTGTTTACAAAAGTTTTTTTCCTGCTTTGCAAACTCAGGCTCAGATCTGCAGCATTGTAAAGCTGTTTGCCCTCAACAGATGTTCTGCCTCTTGCTGGCTGTGTTATTGGCTGCACTCATTTGCCTCACTCTGCTATTCACTTCCATAACACAGCCTGGAAATGTTATTTCTCCTCTCCCCTGTACAACCCTCTCTACTAGTGACTTGTCCACTGCTTCACTCCTGAAACCACAGCTACTGAGCTCTGTATCCTCCTCTGTATTGCAGTCATTTCTGCTTCCATGGCTCTTCACAGTTGGACACTAAAAGCAGTGATGACTAATGCCTTCATTTTTTCTCTTGACATCATCTCCCCATGTTTAAGCTTTTCTGTCACAGTGGGAGACAGCACCACTAGAAAAATTCGGTCACCCAGCAAGGATGTCTTAGAGTAATGTTGACCCTTCCCTCTCTTTTGTTTCTTTAGTATTTTAAGCAATCTCTATATGCTGCTGAAATGTGTTTACTCTAATCTTTATCATCTTATCCATTATTGTAGTCAAATACCTAGTCCTATCTCTAATCCAACCTGTTGTAATAGTATCCTCACTGAACATCACATCTGGGGCTATAATTCAACAAATGTTTACTGAGAAATGAGGAAACATTTATTGAGAAGTTGCTTCTGTATGTAGACTCCCTTTTTGTCCATATTCTCAAGCTTCTGGAGAAGTGATTTTTTTGTTTCACACAGACAAGTAACTCCTTTCTTATTTTCCTCCAAAGGGTTATGCCATTGGACCCTTTGGTCCTCTTGGAGGACCTCTTGGAGAGGTACCTTTGAGCATCAAAGATGAAAATAAGAGGATGAGCATATTATTTAAAGAGGGGGTTATCTGAGACAAGTCATAGCTCTGTGACAAGTCAACAGTACCTGGGTGTCAGTGGACCCTAAGGTAGTTTGCCTATGGTGAGTTGTGAAATTTGACAGTGTGTTATAAATCAAGTGTTTTCCCTGATTAATAAACTGTCTCTTGTATTCTGTGCCAAGCACTGTGTTTGAGGCTGTGGGAGATACAAAGATGTGGAGATGAGGTTTCTTCCTCTACTTATTTATTGTGAGTTCCCACTTTGACTAGGATCTCCACCCCTCTCTCCAGCAGCCACCTGCACAGACAAGCCTATAGCAGCTGCAAGAAGGGGCAGAGAGTTAGGAGGGTCAGTGTGACACCACAAGCCGCCCACTAAAGATATCAACATCCAGTCTAATGTTCTGTGGGGTTCTGAACACCTTAGTGTCTCTCCATTGTCCTCACTCTCTATGAATCTAAGTAGTTCTCAAGCCTGGGTGCACATTAGAATTATTGGGAAACTTAAAAAATAGATATAAAATCTAAAATTGTTAAAATGATAAGTATTATGTTGTGTATATTTAAGATAAGATATATATAGAATAAGATACATATAAGATAAAAAATGTAGTGGGCCTTCAGGCCTCAGTAATTCCTTCAGGAGGTGGAGCATAACTTTCCACTCCAATTGTGGGCTGCCCATTGTGTGACTTTCTTCCAAAGGGTACAATATGGAAAGTGGGGTAAGTATATAATGAAGAAACCTGCCAAACCTCAGCCAGGTGATCAAGGATCTCAACAGTGATAAGATATGTTGATAACATGTGCCATTGGAATGTGGTAGAAATGGTACTTTTCTCCTGTAGTCTTTCTCTCCAAAATCTGTAACTCAAATCTAATCATGAGAAAAACATCAGAAAACTCCCAATTGAGGGACAGTCTAGAAAATACCTAACCAGCAATCCTCAAAACTGTCAAGGTCATCAAAAATAAGGAAAGTATGAGAAACTGTCACAATCAAGAGGAGCCTAAAGAGACATGACAACTATGGGATCCTGATACAGAAAAAGAACATTAGGTAAAAATCAAGAAAATCTGAGTAAAGCATGGACATTAGTCAATAATAATGTATCAATATTGGCTCATAATTTTCCCAAGTGTCCCATAGTAATATAAGATGTTAATAATAGGGGATAATAATAAGCTGGGTGTGGGGTATATAGGAACTCTCTGTACTATTATTTCAATAATTCTATCAATCTAAAGCTGTTCTAAAAGAAAGAAGTTTATTAAATAAATAAATAAATATGCTTGGCTCTTACCCCAAGTAAATACAATCTATATCTTTGCATGGGGGGGTCTGGGAAACTTTTATTACAAGCTCTCCAGGTGATTTTGATGCACAGTGGGGTTTAAAAACCACTGGTTCACCTGGCCCTGCCCCTGCAGTCAAGATTCTGATGTAAGCCTGCTGTCTCATTTCACCTGCTTTTGCCTTCCTCAGCTCTTACAAGTAAATTTATTGATGGGCCTCCTTTCTTGGCCCAGGTCTAGCTTGTTTTCTGGGTCAAATCTGAGCAGGCCAAGATATCCAGCTTATAATGGGAGTGAGCTCAGGCTGGGGCTGGACATTTTCTTCCCTTACCCCGCATAGACTTGAGACAATGTTCAGTACTCCCTGGCTCCTCACAGCCAGCAATGACCCAGTGTGTAGGAATGTGCTTTTATGTTAATTCTTCTCCGTGGTCTCTTTGGGGAAACTGTTCCTACCAAGATTTCCTCTTGTGTAGGGGCCTCATACCTCTTATGTGGAGACCTTACCTTTGTTAATTTTCTTTCTTGAAGACTTTGTGCCCTCTCCTTGGTCACTGATTAGACACTGATGGGGGTATAAAGAGGCTCTAAATGACTCTGCCTAAATCTCATGTCACTGACTTTCAGTTTTCTGAAAGTTTTTCCTTTCGTGCTTCATCTGCCAGGTTAGACCTCCTGAGCCCTGTGCCATGAACTGCCCAACATTCTATCTCAAGCTCTGCAGCCTCTGGGTAAGGTTCTCCAGTCTATACCTAAATGTTAGAAATGATCCTAGCTCAACTTCATCTTGCTGGCCCTCTTTTGCTCACCATAATACATTGAGACTTGAATCCACTGCCATTATGACAACAGCCCTTCTGCCAAGTCAAACTTCCCTTTCTCTTCACATTCAATTTGTACCTCTAATGGATCTGCCACCCTGATATCCAAATACATGAGTCTGGGAGCAGCACTCTCACATCTACTGCTCTCCACTAAAACTTCTTTCTTATCCCACACTTATCCCATTCTGCTAGATTTCATCTATATATTCGCTTTGCTCTTTCTTTCTGCCATTGCCTGTGGAATTTTTTCAGTTCTTCTTCCTTGCCTCACCAATATCATCACCAGGCAAATGAAGAAAATCTGAAATTTGAAAAACAGACAAAAACAAACAGAAAGAAAGAATTTAGAAGAAACAGACAATATAGGAAGTAGAAGAAAACTTAAAAGAGAAATAAAAACCTCTAACTATTATCCTAAAAGTGATGAGAAACTATTTCATCCATGAAACATAAATAAAATGGTATATTAAAAATGTAAAAATAAGAGAGTTCTTAGAAGTTAAAATTTGATACAGAAAATTTAAAACACCATTAGAAAAGGTGTTTGTTTGGTTTTTGTTTGTGCTTTCACTTCTGGGTGGGAACTTGATAGGTACCCTTGACTTCTTGCCTCTTTTAAATGAACAAATTAGGCAGAATATTCTTTGGCTACTGCTATTGGGTGTGTGAGGCTGCTCTGGAGTGCTTGACCAAGTACCTGGTTGGATTAATGAACCTAAGTCTACACTGCAGGGTCATTCATATATCTGTAGGATCACCTGAGTTGGGAGGGGGTCTCAAGATCAAGATTTAGGTTGAGGATCAGAAAGTTCCCTTTTAGCCTCAAGTCCAAATCAGATTTTTTTTTAAATTCCAACTTTTATTTTAAGTTCAGGGGTATATGTGTAGGATGTGCAAGTTGGTTACATAGATAAACGTGTGCCATGGTGGTTTGCTGCACAGAGCATCCCATCACCCAGGTATTAAACCCAGTATCCATTGGCTGTTCTTCCTGATCCTCTCCCTCCCACCCCCTACCCTCTGACAGACCACACTGTGTTTTTTTCCCCACTATGTGTCCATGTGTTTTCATCATTTAGCTCCGACTTATAAGTGAGAACACGTTGATATTACAGAGTTGAAAAATGCAATTGACATAGATACTGCAGAGTATCTATGATGTTAGAGTGTAGGGGTTGCTTTTGTTACCTTTACTTTCCTTGTCATCAAAGTTAAGTCATTATCAGTTTAAAATAACCTGTTATAACTATAAGATATTTTGTAAGCCTCATGGTAACCACAAACAAAATCCTGTAATAGATGCACTATAAACAAATAGTACAGCATCAAAACATACTGTTAGAGAAAAACACTTAAGAGCAGGAAAACAGAAAGACAGAAATGGAGAAAGGATTTACAAAAGAAAAAAACAAAAAAAATAAGTATCAAAATGGCAGTAGAAAATCCTTACCTATCAATATCATTGAATGTAAATGGATTAAATTCTTCAATTAGAATAAATAGAGTGGTTGAGTGAATTTTAAAAAACAAGAACCAAATACATACTGTCTACAAGAAACTGACTTCACCTATAAAGACATGTACAGAAAGGGAAGGGATAGAAAAAGTGAAGAATGAAAAATATTGCAATCAAATAGACACAAAAAAAGAGCAAGAATAGATCTTTTACTAGTAACTCTTTTTTTTAAAGTAGAGTTTAAATAAAGAATGGCAAAAAAGGACAAAGAAGGCCATTATATAATGATAACAAGATCAATATAGCAAGAGACATACAATTTTACATATATATGCACTCAACCCTGAAGCAGCCAAATATATAAAACAAATATTAATAGAACTAAAAAGAGAGATTAGCTACAATACAACAACAGTAGGGGATATCACCACCTCACTTTCAGCGATGGACAGATCATCTAGAAAGAAAACCAAGAAATAAATTCAGAGTTAGACTGCACTCTAGACCAAATGGGCCTAATAGATATTTATAGAACATTCCATTCAGTAGCTACAAAATACATATTTTCCTCAACAGTATATGAAACATTTTTGAGGATAGACCATATGTTAGGTCCCAAGACAAGTCTTAATAAATTTTTTAAAAATGATATCATGTCAAATATCTTTTCTGACCACAATGAAATAAAATTAGAAATCAATAACAGAAGGAACACTGGAAACTAAAACTGCATGCAAATTAAACAACATGCTCCTGAACCATAAATGGGTCAGTAAAGAAATTTAAAAGGAAATTTAAAAATTCCTTGAGAAAAATGAAAATAGAAACAGAATATATCAAAAATCTATAGGATATAGCAAAAGCAGTTCTAAGAGGTGAGCTTATAGCAATAACTGCCTAAATCCAAAAAGTAGAAAGATTTCAAATAAACAACCTAATGATGCATCTCAAGGAACTAAAAGAGAAAGAACAAACCAAACCAGAAATTAGTAGATGAAAATAAATAATAAAGATCAGAGCAGAAATAAATGAAATTGAGGCTAAAATAAGATTAATGAAATGATAGTTGGTTATTCAAAATTAAGAAGAGTTGACAAACCTTTAACTAAACTAAGAAAAAGGAGAGAAGACCAAAATGAATGAAAGCAGAGACAAAAAGGAGACGTTACAACTGATACCACAGAAATACAAAGGATCATTAAAAAGTTTATCAACAAGGATATGCCAACAAATTGGAAAACATAGAAGAAATGAATAAATTCCTGAACATATACAACCTACCAAGATTGATTCATGAAGAAATAGAATATCAGAACAGACCAATAACAAATAATGAGATCAAAGCAGTAGTAAAATGTCTCCCATTAAGGAAAAGCCCAGGACCTGATGGCTTCACTGCTGAGTCTTACCGAGCATTTAAAGAAAAATACCAGTTGTACTCAAACTATTTCAAAAATTGAAGAAGAAGAAGAAATGCTTTCAAACTCATTCTAGGAGGCTAGCATTACACCGATATCAAAATCAGACAAGGACACAACAACAACAACAACAAGAACTACAAGGCAATATGCCCAATGAATGTAGACAGAAAAATCCTCAAAAAAAGCTAACAAACAATTAAACAATATATTAAAAAGATTATTGTACTTGGCCATAAAAAGTAATGAAATAATGTATTTTGCAGCAACTTTGATGGAACTGGAGACCATTGTTCAAATGGAAAACCAAAATACTGTATGTTCTCACTTACAAGTGGGAGCTAAGCTATGGGTATGCAAAGGCATACAGAGTAGTTTAATAGACACTGGAGACTCAGAAGCAGGAGGATTGGAGGTAGGTGAGGGACAAAAAGTCACCTATGGTGTCAAGGTACACTATTTGGGTGACAGGTACACTGAAAGCCCAGACTTCACCACTATACAACTCATCCATGTAATTAAAAAACACTGTACATTTAAAGCTACTGAAATTGTTTTAAAAAAGATGATTGATCATGATTATGTGGGATTCATCCCAGTGATGCAAGAATGGCTCAACATATGCAAATCAATAAATGTGGTACATCATATTAACAAAATCAAGAACAAAAACCATATCATCATTTCAATAGATGTTCAAAAAGCATTCAATAAAAGTTATCATAACTTCATGATAAAAACTCTTAACAAACTGAGTATAGAAGGAACATACCTCAAAACAATAAAGGCCATATATGACAATCCCACAAATAACATCATAGTAAACAGAGAAAAAATAAAAGCCTTTAGTCTAAGATCTGGACTAAGACAAAGATGCCCATTTTAACTGCTTTTATTCAACATAGTAATGGAATTTCTAGCCAGAGCAATTAGGCAAGAGAAAGAAATAAAGGGCATCCAAACTGGAAAGAAAGAAGTCAAATCATCCTTCTTCACAGATGAAATGCTCCTATATTTAGAAAAACCTAAAGAATCGACAAAAAAGGGTTAGAACTGATAAATTCAGTAAAGTTGCAGGATACAAATCAATATACAAAAATCAGTTGCATTTTTGTACGCCATCAGTGAGCATTCTGAAAAAGAAATCAAGAAAGAAATTTCACTTACGATAGCTACAAAAATACCTAGGATAAATTTACCCAAAGAGGTAAAAGAGTCTTACAATGAAAACTATAAAACTCTGATGAAAGAAATTGAAAAGGACACCAAAAAATTTAGATATCCCATGTTCATGGACTGAAGAGTTAATATTATGAAAATATCCATGCTATCCTAAGTGATCTACAGATTCAATGCATTTGATATCACAATATCAATTACATTCTTAACAGCATAGAATAAAATACAATGCTAAAATTTGTATGGAATCACAAAAAAAAAAACCCTAAATAGGCAAAGCAATCCTGAGCGAAAAGAGCAAAGCTGAAGGCATTACACTACGAGACTTCAAAATATTCTACAAAGGTGAAGTAACCAAAATAAGATGGTACTAGCATAAAAAACAGGCATGTAGACCAATGGAATAGAATAGAAAACCCAGAAACAATTCCCTGCATTTATAGTTTTTCAGCAAAAGCATTAAGAACATTCACTGGGGAAAAGACAGTCTCTTCAATAAATTGTGCTGGGAAAACTGGATATCCATATACAGAAAAATAAAACTAGACCCCTATCTCTCACCACATAAAAAAATCAAATCAAAATGGATTAAAAAATTACATTTAAATTTCAGCTTTCTACATATGGCTAGACAGTTTTCCCACCATCATTTATTAAATAAGGAATCCTTTCCCCATTGCTTGTTTTTCTCAGGTTTGTCAAAGATCAGATGGTTGTAGATGTGTGGTATTATTTCCGAGGGCTCTGTTCTGTTCCATTGGTCTATATCTCTGTTTTGGTACCAGTACCATGCTGTTTTGGTTACTGTAGCCTCGTAGTATAGTTTGAAGTCAGGTAGCATGATGCCTCCAGCTTTGTTCTTTTGGCTTAGGATTGTCTTGGCAATGTGGGCTCTTTTTTGGTTCCAAATGAACTTTAAAGTAGTTTTTTCCAATTCTGTGAAGAAAGTCATTGGTAGCTTGATAGGGATGGCACTGAATCTATAAATTATCTTGGGCAGTATGGCCATTTTCATGATATTGATTCTTTCTATCCATGAGCATGGAATGTTCTTCCATTTGTTTGTGTCCTCTTTTATTGCGTTGAGCAGTGGTTTGTAGTTCCCCTTGAAGAGGTCCTTCACATCCCTTGTAAGTTGGATTCCTAGGTATTTTATTCTCTTTGAAGCAATTGTGAATGGGAGTTCACTCATGATTTGGCTCTCTGTTTGCCTGTTATTGGTGTATAGGAATGCTTGTGATTTTTGCACATTGATTTTGTATCCTGAGACTTTGCTGAAATTGCTTATCAGCTTAAGGAGATTTGGGGCTGAAACGATGGGGTTTTCTAAACATACAATCATGTCTCCTGCAAACAGAGACAGTTTAACTTCCTCTTTTCCAATTGAATACCCTTTATTTCTTTCTCCTGCCTGATTGCCCTGGCCAGAACTTCCCACACTGTGTGAATAGGAGTGGTGGGAGAGGGCATCCCTGTCTTGTGCCAGTTCTCAAAGGGAATGCTTCCAGTTTTTGCCCATTCAGTATGATATTGGCTATGGGTTTGTCATAAATAGCTCTTATTATTTTGAGATGCGTCCCATCAATACCTAATTTATTGAGAGGTTTTAGCATGAAGTGCTGTTGAATTTTGTCAAAGGCCTTTTCTGCACCTATTGATATAATCATGTGGTTTTTGGATCCCTTCCTTACGCCTTATACTAAAATTAATTCAAGATGAATTAAAGACTTAAATATTAGACCTAAAACCATAAAAACCCTAGAAGAAAACCTAGGCAATACGATTCAGGACATAGACATGGGCAAGGACTTCATGTCTAAAACACCAAAAGCAATGGCAACAAAAGCCAAAATTGACAAATGGGATCTAATTAAACTAAACAGCTTCTGCACAGCAAAAGAAACTACCATCAAAGTGAACAGGCAACCTACAGAATGGGAGAAAATTTTTGCAATCTACTCATCTGACAAAAGGCTAATATCCAGAATCTACAAAGAACTTAAACAAATTTACAAGAAAAAAAAACAACCCCATCAAAAAGTGGGTGAAGGATATGAACAGACACTTCTCAAAAGAAGACATTTATGCAGCCAACAGACACATGAAAAAATGCTCATCATCACTGGCCATCAGAGAAATGCAAATCAAAACCACAATGAGATACCATCTCACACCAGTTGGAATGGCGATCATTAAAATGTCAGGAAACAACAGGTGCTGGAGAGGATGTGGAGAAGTAGGAACACTTTTACACTGTTGGTGGGACTGTAAACTAGTTCAACCATTGTGGAAGTCAGTGTGGCGATTCCTCAAGGATCTAGAACTAGAAATACCATTTGACCCAGCCATCCCATTACTGGGTATATACCCAGAGGATTATAAGTCATGCTGCTATCAAGATACATGCACAGGTAGGTTTATTGCGGCACTATTCACAATAGCAAAGACTTGGAACCAACCCAAATGTCCATCAATGATAGACTGGATTAAGAAAATGTGGCACATATACACCATGGAATACTATGCAACCATAAAAAAGGATGAGTTCATGTCCTTTGTAGGGACATGGATGAAGCTGGAAACCATCATTCTCAGCAAACTATGGCAAGGACAAAAAACCAAACACCGCATGTTCTCACTCATAGGTGGGAATTGAACAATGGGAACACATGGACACAGGAAGGGGAACATCACACACCAGGGCCTGTCGTGGAGTGGGAGGAGGGGGGAGGGATAGCATTAGGAGATATACCTAATGTTAAATGAAGAGTTAATGGGTGCAGCACACCAACATGGCACATGTATACATATGTAACAAACCTGCACATTGTGCACATGTACCCTAGAACTTAAAGTATAATAAAAAAAATTAAATTTAAGACCTAAAACTATAAAACTACTTGAGAAAAATCATTGAGGAAATTATCCAGGGCATTGGCCTAGATGAATATTTTTTGGGTAAGACCTCAAAAGCACAAATAGCAAAAGCAAAAATAGATAAAAGGGATTGCATCAAGCTAAAAAGCTTCTGCACAGCAAATGAAACAGTAAACAAAGTGAAGAAACAACCTACAAAATGGCAGGAAATATTTGCAAACTATCCATTTGACAAAGGATTAATAACCAGAATATAAAAGAAACTCAAATAACTCAATAGCAAAAAAAAAAAAAAAACAAATAATAATCCAATTTGAAAATGGACAGTAATCTGAATAGACACTTAACCAAAGAAGATATACAAATGGCCAACAGGTATATGGAAAATATGCTCAATATCACTAATCATCAGGAAAATGCAAATCAAAATCACAATGGGATGAAAGCTCATCCCAGTCAAAATGGCTATTATCAAAAAGACAAACATATATATATATATATATATTTTATATGTATATATTATATATATATTATATATAAAATATATACATATAAAAAATATATATATAATATATACATATAAAATATATATATATTAAACAAATGCCATTGAAGATGCAGGGAAAGGGAAATGCCAGTACACTGTTGGTGGGAATATAGATTACTACAGCTGCTAGGAGAAACTGTATAGAGGTTCCTTTAAAAACTAAAAATCTATCTACCATACGATTCAGCAATCCCTGCTGGGTATATATCCTAAAGAAAGGAAATCAGTATATCAAAGACATATCTGTACTCCCATGTTTATTGCAGCACTATTTACTATAGTCAAGATATGGAAGCAACCTGAGTGTCCATCAATGAATGAATGGATAAAGAAAATGTGGTATATATACACAAGAGAATAATATTCAGTTACAAAAAAGAATGAAATACTGTCATTTTCAGCAACATGGATGAAACTGGGGGACATTTTGTTAAGTGAGATAAGCCAGGCACAGAAAGACAAATATCAAATGTTCTCACTCATAAGTGGGAGCTAAAAAAGTTGATCTCATGGAAGTAGAGATTAGAATGGTGGTTACCAGAGGCTGGAAAGGGTAGCAGGGAGGAGAAATAAAGAAAGGTATTTTAATGAGTACAAAAATGCAGTCAAATAGAACAAGTTCTAGTACTGTAGCACTGTAGGGTGATAATTGTTAATAATAACTTATTGTATATTTCAGAATAACTAGAAGATTTGGAATGTTCTCAACACAAAGAAATAATAAATATTTGACATGATGGATATCTCAATTACCCATATTTGATCCTTACACATTGTATGCATGTATCAAAATATCACATGTAATCCAAAAATATATACAATTATTATGTATCAAAGAATTTTTAAAAAGAAAACAGAGGCACAGAGAGATCAAGTAAATTGTTCATGATGTATTAAGAGAAGGGCTCTGGATTAGAATACAGGAAAACTGCCTCTAAACTATATTCTCATTGCTAAACTTCTTAATAGTGCTTTAGTGCAATATTAGTTCTTTGGCTAGAGTCTCTCTCCTTTCCCTCTCTCTATGGAAAGCTTGTTTATTACTCAAATGCCAACTCAAATGTCATTTCTTCCATGAAACATTCCTCTCTCAGAATTCCTCTCTCTCCTCAGTATTCTCATCAATTTTTAAAAATACCCATATGACACAGATGGGGTTCCCCAGAAGCAGACCTAATATGAAGGATTTTGTGTGATTTATGAACTAAGTGGTCCCAGGAGAAACTGGTAAGGGAGTGGGGAGGCTAGACAGGGAGAAGGAAGAAGACAGGAAAAGGGGAGATTTCAGGTGAAGCCCTAGCCACAGTTTGATCCCACAGGAAAGCTCTAAAGTATAAGTTAATCCTCAGAGTTTGTCTTGACCTAAGGCAAAGGAGCTAAAATTTCACCTACACTTAACAATCGTTAGCTAAGCACCTCACCCCTGGAAGATATAAGCTTACAGATATTTCAGGCTTTCGATATGTCAAGACAAAGTGGCTTAATAGCCAAGAGAGTGCTCTCATAAGAACATGGAAGCTGGCCGGGCACGGTGCTCACGCCTGTAATCCCAGCACTTTGGGAGGCCGAGGCGGGCGGATCACGAGGTCAGGAGATCGAGACCATCCCGGCTAAAACGGTGAAACCCCGTCTCTACTAAAAATACAAAAAAAAATTAGCCGGGCGTAGTGGCGGGCGCCTGTAGTCCCAGCTACTTGGGAGGCTGAGGCAGGAGAATGGCGTGAACCCGGGAGGCGGAGCTTGCAGTGAGCCGAGATCCCGCCACTGCACTCCAGCCTGGGCGACAGAGCGAGACTCCGTCTCAAAAAAAAAAAAAAAAAAAGAACATGGAAGCTATGGGCTCTTAGAGGCAAAATCATCCAAAAACTGAGGAGGGGTTCACAAAAATGTTAAAAGGGATATGAGGGCATCAGGGCAGAGCCCCAATAGTGTCTGGTAATCTCTGCAATAGAAGTTACAGTATTACTACATCTGCACTAATCTTGATTTCAGTATGTGCATCCTTTACTATACTACTTGATAACACCTCCTGCATCTTTTTATTTGCACCTAACAAATGTTATTTTGATTAAATTCACTTTAATAATGAAGAGAGGCCATGACCAGACTTGTGAATTATCAATTCATTTCTTGGCTCCTCTGAAAATTATTGACTCTCTATCACCTATGATTAGTCCCATTCTTGTTAAAATCTTCAAAGATATCAACATCTACTGAATGTGCCCTTTTAAATCCTATGAGGATAAAGTTCAGAGGACTTAGCTAAAGACCACTCTCCAGGACTATTTTCATCTTAACAGAGAACTCATTATGAACAACCAAGTTAGCCATTGTACTACCCTTCTAGAACCAAAGAAGTTTCTACCCTCTCAACACCATCCCTTCCCGCTTCTTAATTTCAATACTGAATAAAGAAAATTTGAGGATAACTTTGTAGCTGACTTAAGGTAAAGACAGTGAGTGAATTCATATGTGAATAACTAATCTCACAACATCAAGATAGAGAGAAAGCTCTGCATGTTGAGTTGCTGCCATTGCAGTGTTGTTCATGAAACAACCTGCTTGCAGTCTCATAAAACCATTTCCTTTCAGTGCTTTCTCAAGGCTGGAAGGTGACCTTAGTGCAGAGTCATTTGATTTCCACAGAATACATATAGCAAGAACTGCAACGCAGAGAAATCCCTGAAATAACTTGTGCTATAAACATAAAGTAGAAGCAAGAGGTAGCCCTTTATGAAATTTCTACGTAATAATGCCCAACATTATTTAATACATATTGTGGGCCAGCCCATATGTGTTAGAGATGTCTTAGCTAGTTTACCCACGTAACTACACTTTGATGTGTTTTTTTAGATGAGGAAACTAAGATCTGAGGGCATGAATCGTGATCAAAGTCAGATTTCCCAAAAGTTATATAGTAGAAATCTGAGATTTGAGTACAGGAATAAATGACTGATGTCAGCATCTGAACTCAGAACCTTGTTCCCTTCTAGTTCCCCACATGGAATCAGAACATGGTGGGTCTTCAATCAAACTCTCTCAATACATATAGAGCCTGTTTAATATCAATATCATCAAATAGTTTTGAAAGTCTCACATTGAAGATAATGTTACTCCCAATGAAACCTTAAATACCTATCCAGCACTCAACACAAATGTCTTAAATACCTCTTTAGAATCCCTCATCATGTACAGCTTTGCTGAACTTACATGAATTATAAATAGAATATTGATGTATAAAAATAATAGAAATAAGGATACAAGGAAAATATTTATCCTATTAGACAAAATGACTTAGGGTTCATGTGTTTGAGAGCATTGGAACTGATCAGTAATGTTCACTAAAAGTAACAACTATGTAAATGGACCTCTGTTCTAGAACATGTGCTTAGCCATTAATCCATATTTGTGTACACATAGACAACAATGCATATATAATTCTCTAATTCAGACTTTTCATTACTTCAATCCAGCTTTATGTCTATTAATCCTTTTTAATCGAACTTCTAATTAAATAGTTTTCAATTGAACTATTAAACTGCTTGCTATTTTTTACTTAAAGTAATGAATTCTGGTATGTATGTCTGTTGAGAGTAGACAGAATTTTTAATTTTGTTTGTTATTTTAAATTTTGTTTCATTCTTTCTTAGGTTAAATGCCTGTCTTTCTTAGGGTATCAAGGTCCTACCAGGAAACAGAGGCATGCTTAAGTATGTGGGGAGAGTTTAATGAAAGGACAATATACAGAGAGGTGGACAGGATGTAGGGAAACCATTAAAAAAAAATGGCACAGTACCCAGGGCTAGTAAAAAGGGCCTGGGCCTATTATTTATTGCTAGCCCTTGGTCCAAAGGGAGGGAGCTATTATCAAGACCTAGAGATCTATAGGGTTGTATGGGAAGGCGGCTAACAGGCCCTGCGAGAAGAAAGCTAAGAACATAAATACCCAACCTTAGTCTTCTTCCTCCTTCCAATCTCCCACTACATGATGGCTTGCACCTGTAGTCCCAGCACAACATGGCGAGACTCCATTTCTATGAAAAAAATTAAAAATTAGCTGAGTGTGGTGGTGTGCACCTGTGGTCCCATCTACTTGGGAGGCTGAGGTGGGAGAATTGCTTGAGTCCAGGTCAAGGCTATAGTGAGCCACGATCATGCCACTGCACTCCAGCCTGGGTGACAGAGTAAGACCCTGTCTCAATTGAAAAAAAAAAAAAAATAGTGGGAGCAAAAGAGAGGGAGGGAGGAGATGAGGAGATGCCATACTCTTTTTTTTTTTTTTTTTTTTTTTTTGAGACGGAGTCTCACACTGTTGTCCAGGCTGGAGTGCAACGGCGCGATCTTGGCTCACTGCAAGCTCCGTCTTCTGGGTTCATGCCATTCTCCTGCCTCAGCCTCCCAAGTAGCTTAGGACTACAGGCGCCCGCCACCACGCCCAGCTACTTTTTTGTATTTTTAGTAGATTCGAGGTTTCACTGTGTTAGCCAGGATGGTCTCAATCTCCTGACCTCGTGATCCGCCCGCCTCGGTCCCCCAAAGTGCTGAGATTACAGGCATGAGCCACCGCGTCCGGCCCATACTCTTTTAAACAACCAGATCTCATATGAACTAACAAAGCAAGAACTCATTCATCACCAAGAGGATGATGCTAAGCCATTCCTGAGGGATCCACTCCCATGACCCAAAAACCTTCCACTGGGCCCCACTTCTAACATTCGGAATTACATTTTGACATTAGATTTGGAGGGGACAAATATCCAAACTATATCAAATGCTTTTGTTGGAAAGAGATGAAGTATTAGTAAATAGTAAATTAAAAGGATATCATTGAAACTAAACGTATTTATTTAAAAGATTTGAAACAATCTTTTTCTCATACAAATACTCCCACTCTACCAGAGATCCGGGCATTTGATTCTAAAATCAACATTATTATTTTCATGATTACTCATCACTAATTGTGCACCTATCATGAAATTGGCTCTTCTACTCACTAGCTGGGTATTTAATTCTGTATACCTCGGAGCCCTAATCTGTAAAATGGAGATCAAAATAATACATATCTCATGAGGTTGTTATAAGAATAAATGAGCTAATACATACAAAATGCTTGTATGACTGTGCCTGATCCTTACTGTTCTCAGTAGCAGCTATTATTTGAATCAATGTTAATATTACTATCACTTTGCTTTCTTTCAGTTCATCTGTGAAGATTAAATTAGCTATTATTATTCTAGTTTTACAGATGAGAAAAGTGAAGCCCAGAGAAGTTAAGCAACTTTCTCAAGGTAATACAGCTAATCGGTGTAGAAGTCTATCTGAAGAGTGTGTTACCAAGGACACTGTAATCTGAATTTCGTTGATATTGATCTAAAGGAAAACATTGTTTTAACTATGTTGAAAATAGACTGTTTTGGTACATTTATTCAGTGACATTTTCATTACAAAAAGATCTCTGCTTCCAGGTTTCCTTGGCCCCATTTGTTTTCCAATTTTTCCATCCCAGGTCCTCCCTCAGCAATTATAGATTGCAGGATGGAAGAGAAGAGGGAAAGGTGGCAAACAAGCAGCAGAATCAGGCTGGAGGAGGGTGTGATGCTCTTTGCCCATTTATATCCAGAACTCAAATGTTCAACTCAGCTTCAGCAACAATTCATCTTATAAATCAGTTTGGCAGGGCATCAGCTTTAAAATCCATTACATTGAATCAAGAATGGAGTTTGCAGCTAATTTGCCGACAGGGAACCCTTACATGGCAGTGACCTTTTAAGCTAGCATAAACCAATGTTCTTGCTCGCCTCTGCTTCTCTCCACACCACTGAGTCAGTTTTGCTCCTGCCTGTTTTTTCATGTGGAAAGAAGAATTGAAATGTTTACTCTCACTCTCCTTAGAAAAATAGATATTAGCAGAATGATTACATTGTTCCTTATTCTAGATTATCTCTTCGACTTTTACTTACCACAATAGCTGTCACCAAATCATTTTTCTTAATAAGAAGAGGCTTAATAACTATTTTTTAAATGCTCATTTATTTATTAGTTACTTAAAATCTGGCTTCCCCTCACCAAAACTTGACAGAAATTGTTTCTTGGAAAACCACCCATGATACCCTAATTACCAGACCCTGAAACTTATTTTTTCTTTTTTTCTTTGTCAGTGCTTCTCCAGCATTTGACCATTTGGACTACCAATCTTTTCTTCTGAAAATCTCTATTTCCTTTGCTTCCACAGCATTCAAATATTTTGGTCCTTTATTCACCCACCTGAAGACCACTCAATATCAAGCTCTTCAGCCTCTTGTAGATAACCCATGAGCTTATTTCATTAACTTCCATGGTAGACAGGATATTGACCATCCCACAGAGGTTCATATGTCCTAATCCCTGGGATCTGCAAATTTTGCATGGTAAAAGGGAGATTGCAGATGTGATTATGTTAAGGATCTTGAGATGGGGAGATATTCCTGTATTATCCAGATGGGTCAAATGTAATCACAAGGATCTTTATTAAAGAGAAGCAAGAGGGTTAGAGTCATAGCAGGAGATATAATATTGAAGCAGAGGTGAGAGAGGAGAGAGAGATTAGATTGCTTGCTTTGAAGTTGGTGGAAGGGGCCATAGCCAAGGAAACTGGACAATCTCTAGAAGGTGGAAAAGGCAAAGAAATAGATTTTCCCCTAGAGACTCCAAAGGGAATTCAGCCCTACCTATACCTTGACTTTAGGACTTCTGACTTGCCACACTCCCAGATGATAAATTTGTGTTATTTGGAACACTAAGTTTGTGGTGATTTGTTACAGCAGCAATAGGAAACGAATAAAACTGTCTTTTTCAATTTTTTATTTCTCACTGTGAAAATTCTTCCAAATTCCAGGATTGACAATTACCTTCTAGACATCCTTACCTGGATACTTCAGCAGCATCTCAAACACAACTAGTCCACCATTAAAATTATTGTCTTTCTCCAAAAATCTATTCCTCAGTGGACTTTTACAACTGCATTCATTCATTTATTTATTGACTCTTTCATTAATGTATTTATTCACAAACTAATATGTTTATGAGTGCCTACATGCTGATACCACTGAGACTCTTAGAATGCAAGTGTGAACAAAATATAAAGTTTCAGCCCCAGTGGGGATGATATTCTAGGGAAGAGATAGACAAAACCAGGAAAAAAGCAAACAAACAAATAAAATAGTTCCTGCTAGTGAAAGTTTTATGAATACTGTCAAGCAAGGTAATGGAATAGAAAGTAACGTGATGTAGGACAGGTGGGTGGTGGCTCTTTTAAATAGGATGTTCAGAGAATGTCTGTCTGAGAAGGTGATATTTGAACAGAGATCTAATTGAAGAGAAGAAGTAAGAATGAGAGTATATAGAGGACTAGCATTCCAGAAAGAAAGTACAACAAATAGAAAGGCCCTGAGACAAGAATGAATTTGAATTGTTCATGTTCAACTGATTGCAAGAAGATGGGAGTAGACTGGGCAAAGTGGGGAGGGGTAAAAAATGGGGTCAGAAAGATAGGCAGACTTTTTTGGGTCACGGTCATAATTTCGATTGTTATCTAAATGTGATAGGAAACCACTAGACAATTTTGAACAGGGGAGTGAAGTAAACTGATTTATAGTTTTTTTAAAAAAAATCACCGCAGCTTCTTTATAAAGAACAAAATGAAGACAGAAAGAAAAAGCTGTGATAATGGGGGTGATCTTCTAAAGAGGGGATAATTTCCAGAGCAAAAATATCAGGTGGTACAGAGGAGGAGGTTTACAGTGTAAGTTTAGTCATTATTATTATTCCTTACTTTTTACAGGTGGCATAGAGAGAATATCAGTTCTGGTAGAAGAGGTTGTAGATTTGATGACAGTAAAATAGAGTATGAATATGATGAAGGATTGGAAAAGAGAAAAGAAGACAGGAAATAGACTTTTCAACAAGTAGCACAGCAACTTTACCAGCGAGAGAAGTCACATTTGCTAGGCAACAGTGATGAAGGCCCACTTAGACAGTGGTTAGGAATTCTGATAGGATTTAAGAATAGTTGAAATGAGGGTAATAGAATTATGAGCTAGAAACATAGATGACTGTGGTCATGATGTTTGAGTTCAGATTAAGGATATTTTCCAATATGAATGAGGCTGAGTAACTAGGAGTGTAGTATACAATGACTGCTAAAATAATAAACTAGGAATTGTGATGTCTGGAGCAATGCAATTCAAAGACCTGTGGCTTTTGGTGGAGAATGAAGGTAAAATGATCTGGAAGTTGCAAGGACACCTACCTTACCTTGAGGTCCTATAAGTAGCATATAAGAGGGATGCAGAAAAAAACCATTATTGTCCTTAGGAAACAGCCAGATTATAATTAAAACAAGAAGGTGAAGGGAACATTAAGAGATAAAGTAAAGGAAACAGGGGATTGTGCTGATGGCAGGCCTTTGAATTTCAGAGGATGTGGAACTGAGGATCAGGGAAATGTGAGAGATGATATCAGACTTGCACCTGCATGGAGGTGGATGGAGAGAAAGTCTAGATGATGATGGATGACCTGGGAGATTTGGACTTCTGGTAGTAACTGATGAAAACACACATGGGAGGGAGGTTGATGGAATAGGGAGGAAAAAGAATTAGTCTTAATATGGTCTCTTAGAAGAAGATGAGGCATCAGTTCTATTGAGAGTGACAGTTGATATCAATGGCCTTCACAATGTTGAGTTGTGTTGTAAATATTGTCTTTCCTGGAGCACTCTGAGCCCCGTGGGCCTATTTTATAGTGGAGGAGGAGTCCACTAGAAACAGGTGCTTGTTAAGCTTGTTAACCTGTCTTGAATCTGGTTGAGAGTGATAGTGTTCTGGCCAAGGGATAAAGCTGATCTTACTAGGGCTTCTTGCCCGGATTTGCTTTTTGAGTCCTAGGCCTCCATATCCAACTCTCTGCTCAACTTCTTCATTTCAATGGCTCAAAGGTATCTCAAATTCAACAAGTTCAACACAGCACTGATAATCTCCAAACTCTATACCCCAAATTTAATCCTCTTTCATTTGTCTCCTCATGTATGGGACTATACAAATCAAAATTGAAGAGTCATCCTTGACACTCCTTTCTCCTTAACCACCGTGTCATATCTACTCTGGAGGAAAGTGGAGCAAGATGGCTGAAGAGAAACCCTACTGATCATCCTCCCCACAGGAACACCAACTTGAACAACTATGCACACAAAAAAGCACCTTCATAAGAACCAAAAATCAGGTGAGTGATCACAGTACCTGGTTTTAACTTCCTATCACTGAAAGTCACTGAAGAGGGTAAGAAAGGCAGTCTTGAATTGCCAACGCCAACCCTCCCCCATACCCTGGCAGTAGCTGTGTGGCATGAAGAGAAAATCTGTGTACTGGGGGGAGGGAGAGCACAGTGATCGTGGGACTTTTCATTGGAACTCAGTGCTGCCCTGTCACAGTGGAAAGCAATCTGGGAAAAACTCATCCAGTGCTCATAGAGGGCATGTTTAGACAAGCCCTAGCCAGAGAGGAATTGCCCATCCCAGCAGTTGGAACCTGAGTTCTGGCAAGCCTTGCTGCTCCAGGTTAAAGTGCTCTGAGGTTCTAAATAAACTTGAAATGCAGTCTAAACCACAAGAGTTGCAATTTCTATACAAATGCTGGTGTTATGCTGGGCTCAGAGCCAGTGGACTTGTGGGGCACACCACCCAGTGAGACACCAACCGGGGTGGCCAGGGGAGTGCTTGAGCTACCCCTCCCCCAACCCCAGGCAGTGCGGCTCACAGCTCTGGGAGAGACTCCTTCCCTCCATTTGAAGAGAGGAGAGGAAAGAGTAGAGGGGACTTATTCTTGCAACTTGGATACCAGATCAGCCACAGTAGGATAGGGCACCAGGCAGAGTCCCAAGACCCCCATTTCAGGCCCTGGCACCCTGAAGACATTTCTAGATGCACTGTGGGCCAGAAGGGAACCTGCTGCCTTGAAGGGAAGGGCTCAGTCCTGAAAGAATTAATTGTTTGCTGACTGAAGAGCCCTTGGGCCCTGAATAATCAGCAGCAGTGGCACCCAGGGAATACTCGCTGTGGACCTTGGGTGAGACTCAGAGATGTGTTGGCTTTAAGTGTGACCCAGCACATTTCTAGTTGTGGTGGCAATGGAGAGGGACTCCTTCTGCTTGAGAAAAGGAGATAGAAGAGTAAGGGGATTTTGTCTTGTAGCTTAGGTACCAGCTCAGCCACAGTGGGGTAGAGCAACAAGCAGCCTCCTGGGGCCCCTGATTCCAGGCCTTGGCTCTTGTATAGCATCTGAACCTGCCCTTGGCCAGAGGGGAGCCCACTGCTCTGAAAGTAGAGTCCCAGACCAGGCAGCAGTCAGCACAAGCTGACTGAAGAGCCCTTGTGCCTTGAATGAACATCAGCAGTAGCAGACAGTGTACAATCTGGGCCTGAGGTAACCGTGGCCATAGGGAGAAATTCCTCTATTTGTGGAAGGGAAGGGAAGAGTGGGAAGGATTTTGTCTTGTGGCTTGGGTGCCAGCTCAGATACAGTAGAACAGAGCACCAGGTAGATTCCTAACGTTTCCAACCCCAGGCCCTGGCTCCTTGGTGGCATCTCTGGATCCAACTGAGACTGTGAGGAACTCACCACCCTGAAGAGAAGGACACAAGCTTGGACAGCTTTTCCACCTGTTGATTATAGGGCCCTAGGGCCTTCAGTGAACATTGGCAATAGCCAGGCAGTGGTTACCATGGGCCTTGGGTGAGACCCAGTGCTGTGCTGGCTTCAGGACTCACCCAGCACAGTCCCACTGGTGGTGGCCACAGGGGTCCTTGTGTCACCCCTCCCCCAGCTCCAGGCAACTCATCATGGAGAGAGAGAGATTTGGGAGAAAGTAAGGGAAGAGAAAAAGTAAGGGAAGACAACGAGAATCTCTCCATGGTGAAACAGAGAATCCTTCCAGATCTTATTCAAGACCACCAAGGCAGTATCTCTACCAGTCTGCAAGAGCCACAGCGTTACTGGACTTGGGATGCCCCCTAATGCAGATATGGCTACAGCAACCAGTAAGTTAGATCACAACACCTAAGTCCCTTCGAATACCTGGAAAACCTTCCCAAGAAGGATGGGTAAAAGCAAGTCCCGACTGCAAAGACTAAAATAAATATCTCACTCTTCAATGCTGAGACACCAATGAACATACACAAGCATCAAGACCATCCGGGAAACATGACCGAAAAAATAAACTATATAAGGGACCAGGGATCAATCATAGAGAGACAGATATGTGACTTTTCAGACAAAGAATTCAAAATAGCTGGTTTGAAGAAACTCAACAATATTCAAGATAACACAGAGAAGGAATTCAGAATCCTATGAAATAAATTTAACAAAGAGATTGACATAATTAAAAAGACTCAAACAGATATCACAGAGTTGAAAAATGCAATTGACATAGATACTGCAGAGTTGAAAAATGTAATTGATATACTGAAGAATGCATCAGAATCTCTTAACAGTGGAATTGATCAAGCAGAGGAAAGAATTAATGACCTTGAAGACAAGCTATTTGAAAATATACACTCGGAGAAGAAAAAACAAAAAAAGAATAAAAAAGAATGAAGCACATCTACAAGATCTAGAAAATAGACTTGAAAGGGCAAATATAAGAGTTATTGGTCTTAAAGGGGAGGTAGGTAGAAAGGAAGACCAGGGTAGAAAGTTTATTTGAAGGGATAATAACAGAGAACTTTCCAAACCTAGAGAGAGATATTAATATTCAAGTTCAAGAAGGTTTTAGAATACCAAGCAGATTTAACCAAAAGAATACTACCTCAAGACATTTAATAACTAAACTCCTAAAGGTCAAAAATAAAGGATTCTAAGAAAGCAAGAGAAAAGAAACAAATGACACACAATGGAGCTCCAAAACGTCTGGCAGCAAACTTCTCAATAAATACTTTACAGGCCAGGAGAGAGTGACATGGCATATTTGAAATTCTGAAGGGAAACAAACAAACAAACAAGCAAAAAACTTTTATCCTAGAATCCAGTGAAAATACCCTTCAAACATGAAGGAGGAAGAGAGACTTTCTCAGACAAACAAAAGCTGAGGAATTTCATCAACACCAGAACTATACTACAAGAAATGCTAAAGGTAGTTCTTGAATGTGAAAGAATAGGACATTAAGGAGAGATAAGAAATCATCTGAAGGCAGAAAACTCACTGGTAATAGTAAATACAAAGAAAAATAGAGTATATTATAACACTATAATTGTGGTATATAAACTCGTATTTTGAGTAGAAAGACTAAATGATGAACTAATAAAAATAATAACTACAACTTTTCAAGACATAGACAGTACAATAAAATACAAATCGAAACAACAAAAGTTTAAAAGCAGGGGCATAAAATTAAAGTGTAGAGTTTTCGTCAGTTTTCTCTATTACTTTGGTTGTTTACAAAATCAGTCTTCTGTTGTCATCAGTTCAAAATAATGGGTTATAAGATATTATTTGCAAGCCTCATGGTAACCTCAAATAAAAAAAAATACAACAGATACACAAAAACTAAAAATCAGGAAAGTAAAACATACCACCAGAGAAAATCATCTTCACTACAAGAAAGATAGGAAGGAAGCAAAGAAGGAAGAGAATACCACAAAACAGCCAGAAAGCAAATAACAAAATGGCAGGAATAAGTCCTTACTCATCAGTAATAACACTGAATATCCATGGACTAAACTCTCCAATCAAAATACATAGAGTACCTAAATGAATTTTTTTAAAAAAAGACCCGAAGATATGTTGCCTACAAGAAATACAATCCATCTGTAAAGACACACATAGAAAATAAAGGGATGGAAGAAGACAGCTCATGCAAATGGAAACCAAAAAGAGAGCAGGAGTAGCTCTACTTAGACAAAATATATTTCAACAGAAAAACTATACAAAGAGACAAAGAAGGACATTATATAATGATAAAGGGGTCAATTCAGCAAGAGGATATAGTAATTGTAAACATATATACATCCAACACTGGAGCACCCAAATATATAAAACAAATATTAGAGCTAAAGAGAGAGATAGACCCCAATACAATAATAGCTGGAGACTTCAGTACCCTATTTTCAGGATTGGAAAGGTCATCCAGACAGAAAATTAACAAGGGAATATCTGACTTAATCTACATTAAAGACCAAATTGACCTAATAGATATTTACAGAACATTTCATCCAATGGCTGCAGAATACACATTCTTTTCCTCAGCACATGGATCATTGACAAAGGAAGACCATATGTTATACCACAAAACAAGTCTCAAAACCTTCAAAAAATTGAAATAATATCAAGCATCTTCTGTGATCACAATGGAATAAAACTAGAAATCAAAAACGAGAAATTTTGGAGATGATACAAGCACATGGAAATTTTAAAAATATGCTCCTGAATGATCAGTGGTTCGATGAAGAAATTAAGAGAGACATTGAAAAATTTCTTGAAATGAATGACAACAGAAACATGATATACCAAAACCTATGAAATACAGCCAAAGCGGTACTTAGAGGGAAGCTTATAGCTATAAGTGCCTACATCAAAAAAGAAGAAAAACCTCAAATAAGAAACCTAACAGTACATCTTAAAGAACTAGAAAAACAAGCAAAACAAAACAAAAAAAAATTGGTAGAAAAGAAATAATAAAAATCAGAGCAGAAATAAACGAAATTGAAACAAAAAACTATAAAAAGATCAACGAAAAAGTTGTTTTTTGAAAAGATAAAAAAGTTGGCAAATCTTTATCCAGATTAACTAACAAGAAAAAGACCCAAATAAATAAAACCAGAGGTGAAAAAGGAGACATTACAACCAATACAGTATAAATGCAAATAATTATTAGAAGCTACCATGAGCTTCTAATAATAGAATAAATTGGAAAAGCTAAAAGAAATGCATAAATTGCTAGACACATACAACCTACCAAGATTGAACCATGAAGAACTCCAAAACCTGAACAGACCAATAACAAGTAACAAGAGCCATGATAAAAAATCTTGCAGTAAAGAAAAGCCTGGGACCTGATGACATCACTGCTGAATTCTACCAAACATTTAAAGAGGAACTAATACCAATCCTACTCAAACTATTCTGAAAAACAGAGTAGTAGGGGATACTCCGAATCCATTCTATAAAGCCAGTATTACCCTGATATCAAAGCCAGACAAAGGCACATCAGAAACAGGAAACTACAGGCCAATATCCCTGATGAATATTGATGTGAAAATTCTCAACAAAATACTAGCAAACTCAGTTCAACAACACTTTTAAAAAATCATTCATCATGACCAAGTGGGATTTATCCCTGGGATACAAGGATTATTCAGCATATGCAAATCAATTAATGTGATGCATCACATCAACAGAATAAAGGACAAAAATTATAGGATCATTTCAATTTGATGCTGAAAAAGCATTTGATAAAATGCAACATCCCTTCATAATAATAAAAAAAACTCCCAAAAAACGCAGTGTAGAAGGAAAATACATCAACACAATAAAAGCCATATATGACAGTTCCAGAGCTAATATCATACTGAGTGGGGAAACACTGAAAGCCTTTCCCGTAAGATCTGGAACACAACAAGTATGCCCACTTTTACCACTGTTATTCAAGATAGTACTGAAAGTCCTAGCTAGAGCAATCAGAAAAGAACAAAATAAAGGACATCCAAATTGGAAGCCAAGAAGTCAAATTATCCTTGTTTGCAGATGATATGACCTTATATCTGGAAAAACCTAAAGACTCCACACAAAAAAAATATCAGGACTGATAAATTCAGTAAAGTTGCAGGATACACAATCAACATACAAAAATCAGTGGCATTTCTATATGACAACAATGAACAATCTGAAAAAAAATCAAGAAAATACCCCATTTACCTAGCTACAAATAAAATAAAATACCTAGGAATTAACCAAATAAGTGAAAGATTGCTCTAATGAAAACTGTAAAACATTGATGAAAAAAATTGAAGAGAACACACGCACACAAATGGAAAGATATCCCGTGTTCTTAGATTGGAAGAATCAATATTGTTAAAATGTCCCTAATGCCCAAAGCAATCTACAGATTTAATGCAATCTCTATCAGAATACCAGTGACATCCTTCACAGAAATAGCGAAAAACAATCCAAGTTTATATGGAACCAGAAAAGATCCAGAATATTCAAAGCTATTTAAGCAAAAAGAACAAAACTGAAGGAATCATGTTACCTTACTTCACATTATACTACACAGCTATAGTAACCAAAACAGCATGATATTGGCATTACAACAGACATAGACAGACCAATAGAACAGAATAGAGAACCCAGAAACAAATCCATACATCTATAGTGAACCTGTTTTCAATAAAGTTGCCAAGAACATACACTGGGGAAAGGACAGTCTCTTCAGTAAATGGTGCTGGGAAAACTCCATATCCATATGCAGAAGAATGAAATTAGACCCTATCTCTTGCCATATATAAAAATCAAACCAAGATTGATTAAATATTTAAATCTAAGTCCTCAGAATATAACACTACTATAAAAAAAAAAAAAAACATTGGGGAAACTATCCCACTCATTGAACTGGGCAAAGATTTCTTGAGTAATACCCCACAAGCACAGGCAACCAAAGCAAAAATGGACAAATGAGATCATATCAAGTTAAAAAGCTTCTAGACAGTGAAAGAAATAATCAACAAAGTGAAGGGAAAACCCACAGAATGGGAGAAAATATTTGCAAACTACCCATCTGACAAGAGATTAAGTAACCAGAATATATGAGGAGCTCAAACAGCTCTGTAGGAAAATATCTAATGATCCAATTAAAAAATGGGCAAAAGATTTGAATTGACATTTCTCAAAAGAAGACATACAAATGGCAAACAGGTATATGGAAAGGTGCTCAACATCACTGATATTCAGAGAAATGTAACTCAAAACCACAATGAGATATTTCATCCCAGTTAAAACTGCTTTTTTCCAAAAGACAAACAATAACAAATGCTGATGAGAATGTGGAGAAAAGGGAACCCTTAAGCACTGCTGGTAGGAATGTTAAATTAGTATAACCACTATGGAGAACAGTTTTAAGGTTCCGCAAAAAACTAGTAACAGAGCTACCATGTGATTCAGGAATCCCATTGCTAGGTATATACCCCAAAAAGAAATCAGTATATCAAAGAGATACCTGCACTCTCATGTTTATTGCAGCACTAGTCACTATAGCCAAGACTTGGAAGCAACCTAAGTGTCCATCAAAAGATGAATGCCTGAAGAAAATGTGGTACATATATACAATGGAGTACTACTATTCAGCCATAAAGAATGAGATCCTTTCATTTGCAGCAACATGAATAGAACTGGAGGTCATTACGCTAATAAGCCAAGCACACAAAGACAAACATCACATGTTCTCCCTTATTTGCAGGATCTAAAAATCAAAGCAATTGAAATCATGGACATAGAGAGTAGAAGGATGATTACCAGAGGCTGGAAATGTTAGCAGAGTGGGTTGTGGAGATGTGGGAATGGTTAATAGGTAGAAGAATATAATTAGATAGAATGAATAAGATTTAATACTTGACAGAACAACAGAGTGACTCCAGCCAACAATAGTTTATTGTACATTTAAAAATAACTAAAAGAGTATAATTCGATTGTTGGTAACACAAAGAAAGGATAAGTGCTTGAGGTGATGAAAACCCCATTTACCCTAATGTGATTTTTACACATGGTGTGCCTGTATCAAAATATCTCATATAGCCCACAAATATATACATCTATTATGTACCCACTAAAATAAAGTTAAAAATTTTTTTTAAAAATCTACTCCTACAACATAACCTGAATCTATCCACTTTTTTTTTTCCATTTCCAGTACAGACACCCTTCACAGATACTACCATAGAACAAGTCACCATGTTTTGTCCTCTGTTCTATTATAACAACCTCCCAGCTGGACTTACTCCTTCCATTCCTGCTCCTGATACAACTATCAGATTGCTTTTTGTAAAAAACATAAATCATATTGTATTCATCTCCAGCTGAACCCCTTCTATGATTTTCCAATGTATTTAAAATAAAATCCCAATTGTTTGTTCATAATATTTATGACCCAACAAGAACTGGTTCTAGCTCACCAAACTCTAGTCACACAAAACCTTCTAGCCATACAAACCCTTCGATCTTTGATCATCCTAAATTTGTTCCAAAGTTTGGACTTTTGCATTTGTTATTCCCTCTCCCTAGAACTCTCAGCTCTAGAGTTTCAAATGGATGGTTCTTTCTCATCACTCAGGCCTCAAAACAAATTTCACCTTCTCAGCACTGCTTTGTCTTACATGCAATATAAAGTAGCCAACCCTCACCCCTTGCCTGCTTCAGTCACCATCACATTACTGTTTTATTTTCTTCATCTCTGTTGTAATTTATTTTGTTTATTTACTTATTGACTTATTTTTTGCCTGTTTCTCTTTTCTAGAATGTAACCTCTAGAAAGACAGGAGCTGAATCATGTCCCCCACAATATGTTCAGTGCCTAGAAAAGTGCTTGGTACATAGTAGTCATTCACTATTATTTTTTGAATGAATATCAAAGATTTCTATTGTTAAATAATTACACTCCCCATGAACTGGGTAGACCCAGTCTCATAAGATTACCAGTTGAAAATTTTAATGTACCATTATTTAATAGGTCACTATTTAAATTGCTCCATAAACTCTTCTTTACCTTTACATTTCTGTTTTTGCCCTTTTACAAGGATGAAGCTACTCTGATTTTGAGGGACCTAGCAAAAGATTACAATATCATAATAACTTACCAGATCTAATCTGAAAAGCAATGTACTTTTTAGTGTGCAAAATTATTTGGATGAAATCATGTTCAAGGTTTAAATGCCTCTATTTACCACTAACATATTATAAAATATTTACTTAGCTCTCTTTAGAAAAAAGCAAGATCTCTCTGTCTCTCTTTCTACACAGACACACACACACACAGACACACACACACACATACACACACACGCTTTCAAAATAGCTATTTTTTAAGGTCATGTACACTCCAGAAAATAGCTTTATTTGATGGTAATAGCCACTTATTAGAAAAAGATCTGTTTGTTTCTAAAGGATTACTTTTTGTCTTCCAGAAAAATGTCAATAACCATTGGAGTATAGAGAAATCTTTACTTTCTTGATTTTTTTCACTGCACTATTTGATGTCATTTGCTGGGGAGGTTGAGATAACTGTTGGTGAAAGTACACATTTCTAAAAGAACCTGCTGAGGCTATGTGGAAAGATTCGTAATGGCTAAGAATTGCAGGCTGCTCAGTTAATTGATTTTTTCTATCTAGAGAATAGCCATTCCTTTATTTTCACTGTAGTTGGTGTATAATAGACTGATCTCAAGGTGCACAATTGAACTCTCTCCAGTTGTGAGAACATGTGCTTTTAACTGGAATGCTTGGTACCAATTTAATAAAGAAAATTATATGGGCTGACATTAACCCTTCCTATTTGTTCATGTCGGCATGTTATTATTCTCATGGCTTAGAGTTGACCCAGAAGACAAATAAGAAAAGGGCAATAAATAAGTGTATTTATGTCAAGTACCACATGCCTTTTTTCTCATTATATGTGGATTCTTTTTTCTTCTTAGGACTGGAAATAGAGCTATTTTTGGTCCTATTTCTAAGGGGTGTGGATAATATTCTTCTCTCAAAACTAATCATAATCATTATATACGCCATGCACTTTTATGAAACTGTGAATCTTTACAAACATTAATTCTCAGAGCTCCACTATTAAGCAACATAGGTTGACTCCACAAATCAGATATTCTCTTTCCTTGTTGCCAGGATACTACATAGAGTTTCCAGAGCTGGAGTCTAAGACAGCTGTCCTTTTTTATCACAGCTTCCTTAAAGGGTAGTTAACAGGCAGTTTATGGAGAAAACATCTCATTTATTTCTGGGATAGTTGAACTCTGTTGGCAGTTCTGAACTAAAATTCCACTGCAACAGTATAATATGCTAATTACAATCAATGCATTAGTTATAAGTAAAGCAAGTTTGGCCTAGCTATTTCATCCCTGGGATTCTCAGTTCAAGTAGACTTTTCAGATGAGAAGTCCAACTTAAATGAGAATGAAGAATTTCCAAGTCTCCTGGCTTGTATGGTCAGGAGATTAAGATTAGTGATTGGCATTTTATTCATGAAATGTGTCAATAATTCATTTTTTGTGTCTTTTCAAAACACTTGTTTAGGTGTTGAAGGAAGAGAAAAGGAATGCATATTTTGCAGGAAGTACAATTTTTTGGAATTCTAATAAAACAAAGATTTCTCTGTATATTAAATAACTCTTCTCTGCTATAAAGTAAAAGGACAATAGGGGAGGCAAAAATTTATCTGCATTCATGGAACATATTAAAATACCCATTGAAATTCCTGGTGGCTGGTCTTCCCTTCAAAAATACATACTTCAACTTATTTTCTATTTATTTTTTAGGGAAGCCCGCATTTTAATTAAAATCATAAACCTGAAATGTGATTATCAACTGAAAGAAGGAAAAATCACCTACTCTTCAGATACTAAACATATCAGTTAGCCTTTGCTGTATAGCAAACTACCCCAAAGCTTGGTGATTTCAGACAACAACAATTTAATGAGCAAGCAATTCAGGGGATTGGCACCTTAGATTATGTTCATCTGAGCAATTATTCTGGCCTCTGCTGGGGTCATTCATGCATTTGTGATCAGCTGCTGGGTTGCCTGGTGGATGGCTTTTTTCAGATGACCTCATATTAGACAGCTCATTCCTCCTCTGTGTGGGCTCTTATACTGCAACAGGCTGCTAAGGAATGATCCAAGAAGTTAAGCACAAGCACACAAGTCCTCTTGACGTCTAGCCTTGTAACTAACATAACATCACTTTAGTGGCATTCTATTGGTCAAAGCAAATCCCAAGACCAGGGGGTGAGACCTGGTGTATTACTTCATTCTCTCATTGCTATAAAGAACTACCTTATACTGAGTAATTTATAAAGAAAAGAAGTTTTCATCAGTGTGCTATGACTATTTTAAAAAAAAAGAAAGAAAGAAAGAGGTTTAGTTGGCTCACAGTTCCACAGTCTATACAGGAATCAAAGCAGGGGAAGCCTCAGGAAACTTTCAATCATGGAAGAAGGTGAAGGGGAAGCAGGAACATCCTACATGGTTGGAGCAGAAGAAAGAGAGAGAAGGGGGAGGTGCTACACACTTTTAAACAGCTAGATCTCATGAGAACTCAATCATTATCAAGAGAACAGCAAGGGGGAAATCTGCCCCCATGATCCAGTCACCTCCCACCAGGCCCCTTCTCCAACACTGAGGATTACAATTCAACATGAGATTTGGGTGGGGTCACAAATCCAAATTATATCACCCGGTAAATCACAAAAAAAGAAGATTCAGAGATGCTAAAGCAGATACCTTGCCCCAAGAATAGGTCTCAATTATTGGAGGTCAGATCCTAACGTCCTTCAGGTGTGAACATGTACAAATAACTCTCCCTGCTGTCATCTCATGCTCAAAATGCAACCTTCTGATTTAATTTGGTTTTTCATGTTGTATGCTGAGAATTTCCTGGTCAATGGATTCAAGTAGAATTTATATTTTTTATTACAAATGGGTAAATTGGCACTTAGCTCTACTTACCTCATTTCTGACCATCTTTTTTGCTTTCTTTCCCTCCCATTAGATAAAGTAGCTTCTTTCTTTCTCTGAACTCTGTGTTCTACGGTACCCAGATATTGGACGTATAGATCTGTTTCAGCACAGGCTCCATATAATCTTCCTCTTCCTTTTCCTTTGGAGGCAAGGGCTGGGCTGCAGCATGGCCAACATCATGTTTACCCCAAAAGGAGCCACAGTGGTTCTAAAGGTCTAGGTCTGATTACCTGGACCCACAGAGGCTCTGCCTTTTCCAGTGACTGTTTAGCGGGGTCAGATGGGGTGTTAGTGCCCCATGGGGTGGATTTTGATCAAGGAGACTGAAGGAAGAAAGGAACTGGTCGATAAATTGCTTTTCCTTCCTCTCTTTCCAATACAACCAGATGGTTCAGAGAAGCAATGATTCCACATATCCTTTCATGCATTCATAGTCTTGTAACTTTTCATGCATTTGTTAACTACTAAGTAAACGTGGAATTAGGGAATTTGTTTGTTTTGAGTTTTGACCAACAAATAAATAATGGCCTTATTTCAGAATAATCCTGACAAACTGGGGCATGTTTTGCTGAGGCATAACTCTTCCTGTCCCATGCTTTGAGACAGATTAGTGGAGTCACTTAGCTAGAGAATGACAGCACACTGCCTACAGCAAAGCCAGTTTGGATAAATTATGCTATGGGTGGGATTTTTAAAATACTTATAAAAGAAGATTTGTATTTTTTGTTTGTTTGTTTTTGTTTTGTTTTATTTTGTTTTGTTTTTATTGATACACAGTGAGGACAGAAACTCTGTTTGAAATTATAATGGCCTGTAAATATATATATGTAAACCTAGGGGTGAACTGCCTGTGCTATCATCCCTTTTACAACTATACAATCTAAATTAAAAGTTGAATTTATCACATCACACAACTAATAAAATTTAAATAAACCATATTAATTTTATATAGAAAATAAGTTTTTGCTGAAGCTATACTAGTGCTCACCATTGATATTACGTATACAAATATGATAGTGTACCATATGATGATTTGATTATCTCACTGTTTTCTCTGTTTAAATAATTTTAAGACCTTTTATCATATATTAATTCTGCCTCTGTATTTTTCCATTAACCCAAAATAATTGAAGTAGAACATTCCTACAAAACATAGTAGTTTTCAGGATAGGACATCCAACTCTTATGTAAGTAATTTAAGTCAAAATTCAATAATGTCATAGTTCAGTGCTTTTTAAAAGCAAAAGTCTAGGTTTTTTTTCCCTCATAACTGTTTAAGGAAGTCAATGTTTGCCCAATAGCAGGTGCTAAAAGTTTTCATTTGTGGCATTAGAGGGGGCTAACAAGAGCAAAGCAATGTGCTTACCAGCATATTAAAATGTAAATGCTGGTGCTTCATGATCCTTTTGTGCAACGTGGTCACCTAAACACAAGGGTAAACATGCACATTAAAATAAAGTAATGCTCAATCATAAGATGGTCATCTAGCAATGAGACAAAGACAAAAGGAGAAGGAAAAAAATGGGAGAGGTGGGGGATGGACAACATTAAATCCTGTAGAATATGTGACCTCCAAGATGTCTCCCCTCCAGGCTGTGCCCCAGCTGCAAGGTAGAGGATGGGTAATCCACATTGAGTACGGAAGAGAATGGGCCAGGGAGTACAGGGTCTGGGTACCAGAGCTGAGAAAGCTGAGACCCACATGTGCACCTTGGTGACTTCACCATGTGACTCCACATGCCATATGGGACAGGTCATATGGGAAACCCCAATGGTGCCTTTGCTGCAAATCTGGAAAAGACATGGTCATAGGGCACCTCCAGTGTCCTGCCCCTGCTTGGCCCAGTTTTATTTGCTGGTGTTTTGCCACCAGAAATAGCCCTTGCATTGTCCTAATCTGTATTTGTGAATTGTGCTGGTTTCCTGGAGATTGTCACCACCTGCCAAAGGTGGGTGCATTAAAAGGCACCACTGGTTCTTGGGCTTCGTGGTGTCTCATGAGTTCAAGCATACCTCTGGCCCAGGCCACTGTCACTGTCTGTTAGTTGAAGAAAAAGCAGTTCTCAGCTGCAAGCAAGGACCACCTTTTGTAACTGTCACTGTCCTGGCCTTGAGAAAAGAGTCCACCCTCCTTGGGGCACCCCACGGATGACACAGTCAGTACTAGAGGTTCCAGAGAGGGTGGGTGAAGCTGTTGATCTCTTCATAATTGGCACAGACTATTTTGGATATTTCTAGGTGGGCAGTTTCTTTGCATGTTTCAGGAGAGGTTAATTGATTTTGGGGTTGCATGGCAGGCCTTTAGTTTGGGTCTTATTTTAGTGGTTGTTTGGGGCCCCCAGGGAGAGAGATGGGCAGTGGATGGGGCTTTTCTATGTGCTCCTGTGTGCTTTTGTTTTCATTTCGCGTTCTTCCCCCTCCACAAGCCAAAGTCGTTTCCTGTGGTTTCCACTGTGTGGACAGTGCTCAAGCACAGTGCTTGCCAGAAGGATTAGGGGCTGGGTAAGCCCCAGGTCACAGACAGATGAAGCAGATAAACTGTTCTTCTGGTTCCTGTCCAACCTCAGAGGGGCAAAAACCCTCCCCAGGAAGGAGAAGAGTGTTCAAAAGCCAGACTTTTGGAGAAGAGGCAGCTGGGCATTGCTGAAAGCCTTCATTATGAACTGTGGAGAAGCAGCCCTTGCCCCTACTGTGGGCTGAGGGGACCACAGCTGGGTACCCTGGGTCAGACTGAAGCCAACAATGCCAGCTGCCCCTTTTGGCCTGCTGGCAATGCCACGGGTGCCAGAGAAGATGGAGGATCCCTGTGCCAGGAGCCCACTTGGACTTCGCAAGGGGCAGTACCCGGGTGAAGAGGGAAGAAAGAATATAAAGTTCCCTGTAGGTCCTCTGTCAAAAAAAGTAAAAATAAAAATTAGATGGCCATCCATATGATAGAGAACATGCTACTCTTATTAATTTTAAATATAATTGGAATGAAAATTCATACTCTTAAAAAGAATCTTGTAATAAACTCAAGGACACAAAACACTCCTGGAAACATGACGTCCACCACTGGGGAGACATGCTCTAGGGCAGTGGTTCTTAATTTATTTGTCATCTCTTTGTAAATCAAGTTAAAAAAAAAAAAAAACATTGGTTTTATCCCAGCAAAGTTTACATGTGTGCACAAACAATATTTTGAATATCGTTTCAGTAAGTTTATGAATGTCCTGATGGCAATCCAAGGACTAGCATAATTACATTATTTCATTGAATTCTTCCAATTATCTTGGTAAGTAGTATCCTGTAGAGAAATCTCAGAGTAGCATAATTATGCTCCCTTTTGTATGTTAATTGCTTTTTCTCCAAGATTTCCTTAGGATACTTTTTTCTTAATCTTCAAATATCAGTAACTTTACCAGTTACTTTCCCTAGGAAACAGCCTAATTTGCTCTTCAGAGTCAAACAAGACTTTTATTTCAAAAACACTTTCTTCTATTAAATCTTTGAATGCATTTTTCCATCTTTTCTGTTCTTTTCTTTCATCTGAATTCCATATCTAATGATCTTTTTATAATTTTATATCTCATTCATTTTAATTCTCATTTTGTGTAATTTTTTTGAAGTTTCACTTCCATGTCACTGATTGTGGCATCAAATACTGTTTATTCTGTTTATGATTGCATCCAATGTGACACTTATTTTTGTAAATATTTAATTTCTAATTTATTTTTATTTCTCATATTTCTCTTCATTGATGACTTTTCTTCATCTTCTGCTTCACATCTTTTTTAAACAAGACTGTGATACCTGTATGCTTTTTGAAATTATAGACAAATTTCTTTTCACCTCTTAGCTTTTAAGTCATCCTTGTTATAATACATGCTATTCATTTGCTTTTGAATTATGTTTTTCCTTTCTTGATTTTGTAATTTCTACTCATTGGTCAAATCGTTTTTCATTGATTCTTTATCTTTGTTTTGAAATTGGACCAGCTGTTGATGAATTTAAAGAGCACCCTTACTAGTGCTGGCCTTCCTAAGAATAAATTTTTTATCTTTCTTACTATTAGTAAGACTCTCTGTTACTCATGATCTAACATAATTTCTAATTGATGCATGTTCAATTGATAATGGAGATGTGACACTTGTGAATGTTTGTATACCAGATATCATTGTGTTATCATTCATAAAACAGAAACTGTAAGAAATGCAAGAAAAAATAGAGAAAATTACATTAGTATTAATATTAGTAAGTCTTGGTTTACTTGTCCTCATTCATATTACATCAACTATACAGAATTATACAAATATATTGACTAAAATAAATGCCATACTTCAATGAGGTAAAACTAATTGTAATATTTTGAACTCAAATTAACTGATCGAAAAAGTAAGCCAGGAGGGGTGGCTCATGCCTGTAATTCTAGCACTTTGGGTGGCTGAGGCAGGAGGATAGCTTGAGGCCAGAAGTTTAATACCAACCTAGGCAACAAAATGAGGCCCTGTCTCTACAAAAAATAAAAAATCAACCAGGCATGGTGGTGTACACCTATACCCGCAGCCCCTCAGGAAGCTGAGGCAGGAGGATCACTTGAGTCAGGGAAGTCGAGGCTGCAGTGAGCTGTGATTGTGCCACTGTACTCCAGTCTGGGCAACAGAGCGAGACCCTGCCTCAAAAAAACAGCAACAAAAAAACAAAACAAAACAAAACAAAAAACGCAAAAAATATTTTGGCAAGACCATAGAAGACGTAAATAATGTGATTCATTAGCTTGGCTTTGCAGTAACGAAAATGGTGAATTAAAATTTACCAAAATTCTTTTGAATTTGTCTATTGCTTCCATTTATTCTGTCACTTTTTGCTTTGTAGACTTGAGGAGTATGTTATTAGACATGTACAAGTCCAGAATTGTCATGTCTTTTTGATGGATTAACACTTACATCATTACAAAATATCTCTCTTTCTAGGAATGGTTTTGCCCTAAAGTTTACTTTGTCTGATATTAGTCCAGCTACACCAGATTTCTTGTGGTAAGTTGTTGTATCACTATTTCTGTGCTCTTTAAACATTTTTGCATACGTATATCTAAAGTGTGTATCTTACAAACAGAATATATTTGAGTTCTGTTTTTTGTCCAGTCTGGTAATTGCTGGAATATTCAAACCATTAACATTTAATGTGATTACTTACATATTTGTATTTAAATCTGCCATCATACTTGCTTTTCTACATGTTTCATATACTTCATGTTTTTTCTCTCCTTTCTTGCTTTCTTTGCATTGATTAAATATTCTTTTATTGTTCTATTTATCCTCTATTATTTTCTTTCCCCTCTATTAGCTTATTATTCTATTCCCCATTTGTTAGCTTATTACTTAGACATTTTTACTCTTCTTTTCAAGATTATCCTACAGATTAAAACATGGATTCTTTATTCATTAGTTGTAATATAAATTAGATGTTTTCCTACATCCCAGAAAATTCAAGGACCTTTGAACACATAAATTTCATTTATTCTTTGTGGTAGATTGTATTGTTTCTTTTTTCAGATTCAACATAAATAAAAATGTAAAAAATACATTTTTATTTCTGTATTCTGGTAAAAGATTGTATAAGTCTTTGGCTACATGACTAACATTGGTCAAAAGAATGTAAATAGAAGTGGCTATATGTGATGTTTAAGAAGAAACTTTAGCGGTATTGGATAATTCTTCCATTTCTCTTTTTGTTCTGCTATGAGAATAGAATATCTCAAATAGTGGTTACTTCTACTGGCTGGTTTTTGCAATGAAGACAATATATGGTGAAGAACTAAAGCCAACTCAGAGCTACTGTGGTCAACATAAAATGTGAGAAAACAATAATTGTTGTGATAATGTATTGAGATTTGGGTAATTGTTACTGTAGCATAGCTTATGGATGCTAACCAAAACACTCCTTCTTTTCTTTTGTGTTATATTGAAATGTATTTTACTTCTAAATGTATAAAAACAGTCTTGGACATTATCATTACAGCTTTATGCAGCCTATATTTATTTAAAATTATTTACATGTTTACCTCCTTTTTTTTTTTTCTTAGAAAACTTTTCATTCCTTCTGACTTCTCTGCGTTTCTATCTGGGATCATTTTCCTGTTACATGAAGAAATCCTTTTGGTAATTCTCACTATGTTGTTATGCTGGTGATTAATTTTCTTAGTTTTTGTTTCTCTCAAATCATTTTTGCTTTTTTTATTTTTAATTTTGTAGAGGCAGAGTGTCACTCTGTCATCCAGCCTGGAGTGCAGTGATGTTATCACAGCTCACTGCAGCCTTGAACTCCGGGGTTCAAGTGATCATTCTACCTCAGCCTTCCAAATATCTGGGAGTACAAGCATGCACCATCACACCCAGATAACTTTTTTTATTTTTCTTTCTTTGTTTTCTTTTCTTTTTTTTTGTTTGTTTGTTTGTAGAAACAGCATCTCACTATGATGCCCAGGCTGGTCTTGACCTCCTGGTCTCAAGCAATCCTACGTCAGCCTCCCAAAGTGCTGGGATTATAGTTGTTAATCACCATGCCCAGCCTTGCTTTGCTTTTGAAGAATGTTTTTGGTGGGTAGAGAATTCTAGGTTGGCAGTTATTTCAGCATTTTGAAGATTCCATTCCATTGCTTTCTGGCCTCCATCATTTCTGTTGAGAAGTTTGTTAGATGTTATAGGATTTCTCCTTTGAAGATAAATATATCTTCCCTCCGATTGCTGTCAAGATTTTATTTTTGTTTTTGATTTTCAGTAGTTTGATGCATCTGCATGTAATTTTCTTTACATGCGTCTTACTTGTGGTTTCTAGTACTTATCAAGTCTGTGGGTTGGTATGTTTCATCAGTTTTGCAAAATTATCAGTTTTTACCTCTTTAAATGTGTTTCTATTTCCTCTTTTTCTGGGACTCAGATTTTGTATATGCTAGATGTTTTCACTGTGTACCATGTACACTATATATACTTCGTACTATTTTGTTTTGTTTTGTTTTGTTTTTTTGAGACGGAGTCTCACTCTGACACCCAAGCTGGAGTGCAGTGGCGCGATCTCGGCTCACTGCAAGCTCTGCCTCCCGGGTTCACGCCATTCTCCTGCCTCAGCCTCCCAAGTAGCTGGGACTACAGGCGCCCGCCACCAAGCTGGCTAATTTTTTTTTTTGTATTTTTAGTAGAGACGGGGTTTCCCCGTGTTAGCCAGGATGGTCTCGATCTCCTGACCTCGTGATCTGCCCACCTCGGCCTCCCAAAGTGCTGGGATTACAGGCGTGAGCCACCGCACCCGGCCCATACTATTGTTTTGTATTTTCTATCCTTTTATCTCTTTATGTCTCACTTCTGAGCATGTTATTCTGAACTATATTCCAGTTTTATAATTCTTTCATTAGCTATATCTAATCTTTTAAATGTACTTAATGTGTTCTTAATTTTAGTTATTATAATTTTTCTATTAAAAAATTTCCATTGGCTTCTTTCTTAATTATAATTTCTAATTCTCTAGTGGAATCTCTGAACATAAGAACAGTTATTTTAAAGTAGTGCTTGGTAATTTTAATATCTGATCTCCTGGAGGACTATTTCTGCTGTTTCGTTTTTCTCTTATCTGCACACCAATTTTTTATTGTATCTGATCATTGTGTATAAAAAACTATAAAGACAATTTGAAGCTCTGGACTATGTTTTCTTCCTTCAGTGAGGATTTAACTTTGTTTTTGCTAGGTAGTTATGGTAAAGGTATATCACCTTTACCAATCAGGTATTGAGCTATTTTAAAGCTGGATTTTAGTCATTTGAATGAAGGCTAGAGTATTTGCCATTCAGCATTATTTTTAAATTAGAGGTCTTTGGGGATCCCAACTTAAAGGCTATGATGTTTAGCAAGCTCCCTCCTTTTTCACAGGCTCTGAAGTTTAGTCCTTCCCCCAAGCCTATGGAACTTCCAGAAGCCTTCCTCATCTTTTCAGCTTCTTAAGCACCACCATCTGCTTGTCTTCTTTGCTTCTCAGACACAGTATTTTGCTCAGCTTCCTGGCCTCTCAGAAGGCAGTTTGGATTTTCAAAGGCCTTGAAGTATGTATATTATCTTCCTATTGTGGCTTAAAACAAAACACATTTATTATCTCATAGTTGCTGTGGGTCAGGGGTCTGGGCCCAGCTTGCCTGGGTGCTCTGTTAAGGAACTCACAAATATGTGATCAAGATGTTATAGAGGCTACATTCTCATCTGGAGGCTTAACTTAAAGAATCTGGCAGAATTCATTTCCTTAAGGCTATATGATTGAGGGATCCAGATTTCTGCTGGCTAGAGGTCATCTTCAAGTCCTAGAGGCCACCTGCTCTTTCCTGCCATGTGACCTTCTCTGCTGGCAGTTCACAACATGGCAGGTTGCTTCTTAAAGGCCTGCATGAGAGTATCTGTCTCCAAACAGCTAAGATAGAGTCTTACATAATGTAACCTGATAATGAGAGTGACAGCCAGCACCTTTGCTATATACTATAACCAAATTAGGTTAGTGAAATCTCATTTCCTATTCCATATGCTATTGACTAGAAGCAACTCAGAAGTGCCATCCACACTTAAGGCCTCAGGGTCGTATGAATTCCTGTAATGCCTCCAAAATGTGGTACTGGTTTTTATTTATTATTTTCATAGTTAGAAGCAGTTCTAGTGGCTTTCATTTGGCCTTTTCTTCCATAATAGCCTTCTCTATATATGTCACAGAACCAATGTGGTTATTGTGCCAGTTACTGAGCATGTCTATTCCAGGTATATATATTTTAAATGGAGAAATAGACCCTTGATGGGTATGGATACCCACTGGGACCACTTTGGGATAGAACTGAGCTGAAATTCCATCACCTGACCTTTTACCTCCATAAGTGCGTACTCTAAGTGTGTGGACATCAGTGACATTTTGGGTCTTCAGGAATTAGTGTCAATTCAGAGCCAGCATCTAGTAATTCCCCCAAAGACTGATTATTTCCCCTTCCCAAATGTATAATCACCTAGGTAAATAGTAAAAGTCTGCAAGTAACTCTGGGGAAGGCTAGTAGGAAGACTAATAGAATAAATTTGTGGCAGTGTATTAGGCTCTTTCCTCAAGTGGGCCCGATCTCCCCTTTGTTCAATCAATTTTAGGTTGGTGAACTGGCTCAAATCTGGGAATTGACTCAAGGGTTATCATATTTTAGGGATTCAAGTAAGGCTTCCGTTCACTAAGGCTAGATCTGTTCTGCTTATATAGATCAAGTAAGAATTTAGTAAACTGTCCATCTATTTTTTTTTTAGAGGCACTGTGATCAACCAGCCAACACTAAAGATTTCTGGGAGCCAGACTCTTCTAATCACTGCTTTGACTCTGCTGGCAATTATGGTAACTATACTAATCTTGTCTTAGGCAATTTGTATTAGTTTCTTAGGTTTGCCATAATAAAGTACCACAAACTGGGTGGCTTAAAACTATAGAAATTTATTCTCCCACATTATGGAGGCTAGAAGGCTGAAATCAAGGTGTTAGCAAGGTTGGTTCTTTCTGAGGCTCTGAAAGGGAATCTATTCCATACCTCTCTTCTAGCTTCTGATGAGTGCTGGCAATCCTTGGCATTCCTTGGCTTGCAACTGCTTTGCTCCAACCTCTGCCTTCGTCATGACACAGCATTCTTCCTGTGCATCTCTATGTCTAAATTTCCCTCTTATGAGGACACCAGTCATTAGATTAAAGACCACTTTAATCCATTACAACCTCATCTTAATTTAATTATATCTACACAGATCCTATTTTCAAATAAGGTCACATTCACAAATACTGGGGGCTAGGACTTCAACATATCTTTTTGAGGGAACACAATTCAATTTACAAAGGCAATTAAGTGCTGCCACTGCCACTTGGCCTTTGTCGTCTCAAGAGTCTATCATTGTTATTACATTTAGGGATCCTAGTTTATGGTAGCAGTTCCCATGATAATTTCTGGTCTATAATGAATAGTCAGCACAAAGCTCATCAAGGATGCTGGAGCTCCCCTTACAGATTTATTTCTCATAGCCAGGGTAAAGGGTGTGTTCTGAGAGCCCTCTCAAGGTGAATGAGTAGGTCTTATATGATAAAGACACTCCAACATTCAAATGTTTCTAAGCCTTTAGATATCTTCCTCTACAGTATACCCCAAAAGTTCTGGCATATTTTGATTTCATTTATTGTAGGTCACTTTTGGGTCCATGTTTCAGCCAACCAACCAAGTAAACTGTCAAGCCCCTCAACCTGAAACACTGAATCTAGAATATTTGCTTAGTTGGCCCTGTTATGGACTGCATTGTTGCCTCCTCCCCAAAATGTGTATGTTGAAACCCTAACCCCCAATGTGACTATATTTGGAGATGGGGATAATTAAGTAAAATGAGGTCATAAGGGTGAGGCCTTAATTCCATAGGGCTGATGTCCTTATAAGAAAAGGAAGAGACATCAGCGCTGTCTCTCTCTCTCTCCACGTGAATGCCCAGAGGAAAGACCATGTGAAGGTACAGTAAGAAGGTAGCCATCTGCAAGCTGGAAAGTGCCCTCCACAGAAACTAAGCCTGTTGGCACCTTGATCTTGAACTTCAATCCTCCAAAATTGTAAGAAAATAATTTTTTTGTTATTTAAGCCACCCTGCCCATGGTATTTTGTTATGGCACGCCAAGCTGATGAATACAGGCCCATATCAACTAATTCTGCCCAATCCAACTTCATTTTCCTTTCACTTTGACTCCATATCTTTAAAATTGATTCCTATGCATATCCCCCAGGTTTCTGACTATATAAAGTGATAAAACTGTACAATGCTTTTGGTATGCATAGCAGCTCCTCATGGGTTACACTTTGTACTTTACCCCTCTGAGCCCGCTGGGACTTCAGGTAAGTTATAGGTTTAGAAGCAAAGAGAGGTGGTGGGGGTAGGTCTTAAAGAGGATCAGCAGTGCCTTACCAGTCAACTACCTCAGGAAAGGCAGGCAAAGGAGGGCCAATCTTCTCAAGACAGGAGTAGAAAGGCTGCTTCTACTGGCAAAAAAGGCTCAGCAGAACTCAGGGGTTAGAGTCCCCAGCTTTGTGAGAATCTGCCCATAGGATCCCATTCCAGCTTTATATTCATACAGAGGCTACAAGGCTGAGAAATCACTTTGCATCATTCAGCCACTGGCAGGGCGGAGACTCTGAATTTTGGTTTTCAGGGCCCTGTGGCTATGGAAGGAAGATAAGAATTTCTTTCAGGGCAAACAGAAGCTTTCAGTTTCTTTATGTGGACTTTGAGCTGATAATTCAAATTCCCGAGCCTATCCTTTCCCTACTTTCTCCCACGCAGTTAGGAGCAAACAGCCAACCTCATTGTACTCCTTGGTTTGACTAAAATGTGCTAAGGCATCAAATACATGGTCACCCAGAACCTTGTCTTCTGTAAGTGTTTGATTAGGAGTAACTGTAAGGGATAATTGGAAGGATGGCCGAGAAAGGAATGAGGCCAATAGACCCAAGTTCAGGCAAGCTGATTTATTGTCAGTCCTGCCAGGCCACCTCTTGACAAAAGCAGAGGAGGCAGCCCCACTTACAGGCTATAGCAAGGTTTTATAGGGTGTAGAACTGGGTCAAGGTGAAGGAAAAAGAAAAGAGACGGGGCGGGGGGGGGGTCCTTTGTGCCAGGTGTCTGACCACTTCCTGGAGATGTTTTTCTTGCCAGTTCTGTTGTGCAAGGTAGATGTCTTAACCACATCCTGGAGCAGCTGGCCTCTGGTCAAACAGTTACAGGAGGGTTTGGGGTAGGGTGTTTTGCTTTTGGCCTTTGGGGCTTAGATCTATGGGAGGGGGAAACAGTCCAGTTGGGTGGACCCTAACAGTAACCAGTGGGGATATTTTGTGTATCTCTATTGCCACATCATGCCATTGACTACCAGTGCCCTTCTTACTGCTAGAAGTAGACTCATTAGTGCTTTTAAATTTAATCATATTAGAGAAGACTCAAAACCAAGTCAGAGAATTCATACTTAAGATTCTATCCCCCTGGAACCACTCTTGGTATTAAAATCTGTATCAGTTAGCATTTAATCAGAGAAGCAAAAACTAGTATCTATCTAGATCTCTATATTTATATCAGATATTCTGCAGAGTGGCATTATTGACTTTTGGGCTGGATAATTCTTTGTTGGGGTGTGAGGGTGGGGGACAGTCCTGTGAATTGTGGGTTTATCTATGGCCTCTACTCACTATATGCCAGTAGCACAACTCTCTACCCTCCACCAAGTTGTAACAACCAAAAACGTATGCAGACACTGCCAAATGTTCCCTGAGGGTGAAAATTGCCTCCAGCTGAGAACTACTGGTATCTCTATATTATCTATATTTTTATTTATAGCTATATGTATCTCTTCCTCTATCTGAGAGAGAAATTGGTTATACGGAATTGGCCTTATGCAATTGTAGGAGCTGGCTAAGCAGTCTCTGTATGGCTGTTTTCTCACACATGATGCTGAGGCTTCAAGATCACAGGGATGGCAGTCAGAAAAGGAAAAACACAAGCAGGCTGGAACCAACAAGCTTAAGCTGGAACTCCGTGGAGAAGGACTAAAACCTGTGTTCATTCTTGTTGCCTCTAACCTTGGTAATGAGGGTATCCAGCAGAAGTGGGGCCCTTTGTCACAAAGTGAAACACACACCCCTGGTCTAGGAGTCTGAGAAGCTGAAAGAATATCAGCGGCAGGTAGAGCAGCCACAGAATCAGATGCTGCTTCACACCAGTAGGGTGAATCTACAGATCAGCAACAATATGTGTGAGCCACAAAATGGCCACTGCTTCTCTTTCAGCCTCTAAATGTCTCAAGAATCTTCCCTATGTCTTACCTCAACTCAAAACAAACAAGAGAAAAAATTCTGGGAAATGCAATTCAGCCTAGACAAGGTGACATATGAGAAAGCCATTACAAGATAGTTTGCTCAAAGTAGGATCCAAATTATGTCCATACTCAAATGAAAATATTATCCAAGCTGGGAGAATGTGTGGTTCCAAAGACTGACTACAAAATAAATTATGAGCTTAAATGGATTAAAATCATATTAAATATGTAGAAACTTCAAAACTCCACAAATCCAAAGTATGTCATGTACGGATAGAAATTTTTTCTTCACTGATGAGATAGAAAAAGAATTTGTCTGGCACAATGTATGACCCTTTGTCTATTCAAAAATGATCACAGCTAATGCAAAACATTTAACAGAAAGATAAATTTAATGTTAACAAGCACATTTGATAATTGTCCCAGGAAAGATTATAGGTAACTGGATGGAAGTATTTTTCAAGTAATCTAGGATAGTCAACATTTTAAATGCACCACAGAGACATTTATCTCAGCAATTCAGCAAAGCAGCATCAACTCTTGAGCCAGAATAAAAGCTTTCAGCTTCTCTTTTGAGAAGATTCTGAGCATTTACTTCATTTATAGTAAGGCTCTCTCAAATTTTTCTCTAAGATTTCCCAGAACCTTTCTGAGGCTTCATGCAATTTATATAAGTCACTTAACAAGCACTTGTTGAGCTGTTACCATGTGTCTGGCACTCTTCTAGGTGCTCTCTATAGACAAAGAATAAAATAGACAATCTATTCTCAAGAAACAAGCCTTCAGTGAATCAATAAACAAATATATATACACACATATAGTTGTGACAAGTGTTAGGAGGAAAAATATGACTGGGCAAAAGGATGGAGAGTTATACAGAGGAATGCTCATGCCTTTTTATATCAAGTATTCAGGTCTTTATACTTTATATCAAGTATTTACTTCAAGATACTTTATATCAAGTATTCAAAGTCCACTAAAGATTATCTGTAAGTAGAGATTTGAATCAAATGACGAAGTAAGTGAGTGAGGATTTCTAGAGGGGAAATCCTAGCATTCTAGGAGAGGGAATCATAAATGCAAAGGCCCAGAAGATGGGAGCTGTTAGCATGTTAGAGGTCCAGCAAGGAGTACCTGGAGTAGAAGGAGCCAGGGAAAGAGAGTTGGGAGGTGAAGTCAAGAGAGATCCAGGGGCCAGACTCAGAGACCATGGTTAAGATTTTCTTCTGAGAGACAAGAGAAGCCACTGGAGGATTTTGAGCAGAGTGGCAAGATGTGAGTTTTGTTTTTAAAGGATCTTTCTGTTTGCTTTCTGGCAAGTTGACATTAAGGGGACAATGGTGGAAACAGGGAGACCAGTGAGGAGGCTATTGCAATAATTCACTATACTAGGGTGGTAGTGATGAAATAAGGTGGGATAGTCAGATTCTGGAATTCTGGGTATATTTTAAAATAGAGATTATGGGATTTGCTTATAGATGCTATGTGGGATGTAAGAGAAAGGGGTCAAATAAATGTAATTATGTTTAAAAACTTCGTATTTAACTTCTCTCTTCCTTTTCTTCAACAGAGTTATCATTTCTCTCTCTCCAAACACTCAGCACCCTACCACTTGCCTCTAGCTGTCTAAAACTCTTACCATTCCCCCTACCCCTATAATGAGACATCCAACCCAACTCTACAACTTCTATTTGTCTATTTTTGCTATAAAAATCCTCCCTTTCTGCCTGTTCCTTATTCAATGCTCACCCCATCACTCCATTCAAAGCCTTTATGCTCTGAGACTAACTTTTTTCGCTCACATCTTAAACAGAAAGTATCTGATGTGAGTAATTCAGATTCGGGTAGAAATGACTAATAATTTAAATTAAAATAGTTTACTTTTCAGGGAGGTATTTTAAAAAGCTTTGAAATCACCCAAAGAAGCCCTTTTCTTGTAAACACGCCTAAGTTCTATGATCACCTACAAATTACACTTACCCTTTTCTTGTGGTAAACACTCCATGAGTTCTATGATCACCTGCAAATTACACTTAGTTGCTGACTGCCCCCCATCCATGCAGGCCTTATGCTGACATTATCGAGGCTCACGCTTTATCGGAAAAGGAAACTACAGGAAATGAATCATGAATCATTATTTTTAAAGAGCAACTCCATCACAGCTTGCTTATCATTATTAATAAATGAAGAAAAGAGCTAAACATGTGAACTTACATCACAAGAAGAAAGATTGAAGTCTCTTAACATACCCGGACAGACTTGTCATAAACTATTGCCTGCTCTGTGGACCCAGCAGACTTTGTCCCAGGCCATTGAATGTTCTGAGCCCATTGAATTCCCCTAAGAATCATTTACTACTCCCCCTAAAATCATCCATGTTTCCCTATCTCCCTTTCCACTAAGAAGAAGGGTAAATAAGCATCTCTACCCAATTGTGTGGTGGGGTAATCTCTCTGTGATTTTTCCCTTCGTGCACATGAATACATTTGTATGCCTTTTCTCTTACTAATCTGCCTTTTCAGTGGGGCTTCAGAAGGTGAATGGGAAGTTTTCCCTTGGTCCCTACAAGGTCTTAGTTACCTGGCCAAACCTAGCAGCAAAAGTTGGGAAATTTTTAGCCAACTTTAGAGAAGAAATGCTAAGTGAATATTATTTTGTTATCAAGGTAGCCCTGATGAAGTAGCTGGGAAAGTTCTTTTACTTACTGTTTTTCTTCAGCCCTTATTTATAGGTACAGCCACTTAAAAAAAACAGATGAGCCCCATGATGGAGTCAGAGCTTCCTGACCCCTGACCAGATACCAGAGGGAGATAAGACCCTGAAACCAACCCAAACTGGAAGAGATAACCCCAGTGGCCTTTAGATCATTAACATATCATCATAATGCTAAAATTCCCACTACAGAAAGAAAATTTCTGCCATTTTATGTACATGGGTTGTACGAAGATGTGTGTTTATGAGTTAAGTCTGCACATGTGTAGTCCCACCCTACACATGCTAACCTTCCTTCTTGCTCCTTGGACCCAGCCCTTAAAAACTCCATGTCTTCTATTGGTCGGGGAGAAAGGGTCTTTAGAGTGTAAGCTTACTCCTTCTTCATTTCTGGAAAGAAATAAAACCTGCTTGCCTTTTGTTCCAATTGGGTGTTCTTTCTCTGTGACCAATACAAAGTAGGGAAAAAAACTCAATTTGCCAGTGACAATACGAGCAACTAGCAATTTGAGCAAGTATAGCCAGCTTATTTTCCCTGTACCATTCCATTTGAGATAATGTGCGCTTCTAAGGATATATGCTTTTATTGTCATGATGGAACTGAAGTGGATGAAAGTGCCTCTAGCTGCTCTGTATCTAGTTATTCAGTGGATCCCCAAATCCGGTTATAAAACCTATAAGATTTTATTTGTTCATATTTCCCAAATGAAAAAAAGATTTAGTTTTATTTTCTTTTTGTCTCCTCAAACAAACAAACAAAAGCTAAGCTAGATTTGACACAAAAGTATCTAGGTTCTTCTCCCCATCGCACCCCCAACCCCCAAGAAACTTACGCTGAAAAGAGAGAATAATAGAGATTAAATGTCAGCTGTGTCAATCTATAATTCAAAGTGATAAAATGAAAAGAGACCCCCAATATCACCCTGGCTCAGGTGATATAGCAGGGTAAGTGGCAAACCCTTATCTAGGCATCTATTCCAAGACAGGCTACTGTGAGGTGATTTCAAAATTGCTGGCTCTAAACAGAGACAAAGATCTTAGGGGCTTTGTTCACATGTTTTACCTCTTTCTTCATTTATTAATAATGATAAGCAAGCTGTGATGGAGTTGCTCTTTAAAAATAATGATTCATGATTCATTTCCTGTAGTTTCCTTTTCTGATAAAGCGTGAGCCTCGATAATGTCAGCATAAGGCCTGCGTGGATGGGGGGCAGTCGGCAACTAAGTGTAATTTGCAGGTGATCATCACTACTTAGAAGTGTTTACCACAAGAAAAGGGCTCATTTGGGTGATTTCAAAGCTTTTTAAAATACCCCCCTGGAAGAGACCAGAGGTAATTGTTTTCTTCTTTGATGGGTCTAGACTTTGGGCAGATAAGAGAATTTCAGAGAAGAACTTCATCCAGTGCTTTGAGAGAGACAATGAATTGAGAGAAAAGAGTGGGGGAGGTCAGAGAAATCTTGACGCTTCTTATTCAGTTCAGCATGTCGAAGTGTCACATTTTGGGAGTATTAGTTTTTGCGACCCAGCATTCCCCTGTCTGAAACTTACCAAGAAGTTTCACACCTAGAGTTTGTGGCTATGGAGAAAAAATTGAGCCAGTAGCTGAATGGCAAAGGATCCCACCAAACCAGTCTCTCATTTTTGGGACTAGGCCAGTTCAACTAAACAGCTGTGCCTCATTTTAGAAGACGGTGTTGCAGATGGCTCTCAAAGCTAGGCCACTATATTATGTAGGAAAACAGATCTTTAATAAGAGGCATCTCTATGGAAATAGAAGGGAAAGAAAGCCAATGTCTGAAGCAGTCTGCAAGCTAGTCCTTCTAAAGTTTGGAGGGCAGCCAGTTGAGAAGACCAGTGGCAACCTGACAGATTTTCCTAGATTGTAATTTGCGTGTAAAGTGTGTCCAAATATGAGCTATTGCAATGATTTTTCTCCACAGCCAATTTGACTAGCCTCAGCTTGCAGGGCTTCAGGAAAAAGGCATTTTTAATTTCAGTAAGTCCAAGTCAGAAAAAAAATGAAAGGAAAATTTGGAAAGATTACTTTGAAGACTTGTCACCAGGAAACAATTCAAGATTCAGCCCAAATTGCAAGCAGATAATAAAAACTCAAAAACAATGAACAAGGCAAGAATCTAAGAACAGATGTACTATGGTTTTCTTCTGAAACATAATTTTTTCCCTCCAGTACTCCATTTTTCTAAAGATAAAACACGGTAGAACGAATCTATTTGCAAAATAAGCTTTAGTCTTATTATACTTGGTTTGATTATTTGTATAAAATACAGCAAGAATAGTGATTGGCTATACAGGCTCTTTTAAAGTTAGCTTTGGTGGGACTTTTTCGTAAGAAATCTCAGATTTGACTTTTAAAATCCAGTCAAGGACAAGAAACCAAGGCAAGGATTTGCCATCAGGCTGTACCTATAATACCTGTACAAATTGGGAAAATCCTTCTATTCCTAAGGTCCCCAGAATATCTTGAGTTTCCTGGGCCTGTGAGAGAGTAACATTCTTTACTTTCCACAAGGTTAGGAACCTTATAAAATAACTGCATAGACAAGGTAACAGGCCAGTCTTTATCCAAGTCTATTGGCTTAGTAAAGTCAATCCCAATCATTTCAAGCAGTTTGATCACAGATGAAAACATGCTATTCTAGTCAAAGCCTTGGTAAAATAATCAGTATCTCCAATTGTGTCCTGTTACCAAAGAAAACAGATTCTTGTTAAACTTATGCAAATAACTATTTTGCCATAAAATAAGAATTCTCATGAATAGTTTCTGAATTCTGGAGAAATCAGGGTAGAGAGAAAGGTATGGGTTTACATTTTTCTTACCAAAGTATACTTAACCCAATTGCTGTAAGCTATAAATAACTTAAAAAAATATTTTCTTAACTCTGGAAAATAAAACATACAAATAATAAGTAATGTTTCAAACAAAAAGATTATTAAAAAATCTTTTCAGTCCTCTATCGGTTCGGTTCCATGTAATTAATTTTTATTTAGCTTGATGTTGGCTTAGTAATCTTCATAAACCCATCAGTTTTCTTTTTTTAATTAGAGTTTTGGAAGGTTTTACCTAGTTCAATAATATAATCTCCAGAATTATCAGAAACCTATATTCAAGAGTACTTGTTAGGGTTCTTTCCATGAATTTCACTGAAGACACAACACTTCAGGATTTGCAAAATGCTTTTAGAAAAAAAAAAAAACAGAAACAACTTACTTCTTATACTAAAACATATCAGATTTTTAGAAATCTCATACAATTTTGAAACACATTTCAATAATATATCTATACAAATATAACCAAAGAATACTAAAGTTTTGTGAACTTGAAAAGTATTTGGGCTAGTTTCTTGGCACTCATTTATTTATAATTCAATTTGGTACAATAAGGACAATATACAAACAGACATCTATACACACGTATGCATAAAAATACAGACACAAATAAAGACCTTAAAGCTTTGATTTTAAAATTTTAGTTATGAAACACGTAAAACTCACTAGTTTAAAAAGACAGTTTAATTAAATTGTGCCTCTGTAAAAGGAACAAGTTAGTTTGTTTGTCCCACACTGCCAAAGCCCTTACTAAGTTTTAGAGAAAACAGGATAGCAAATTTCCATTTCAAAGCACAGAGACAGAATTTATGTTTTTCTTAAGAATGAGCTTGGGTTTGTTAGTTAGAGAAGGTTAAAAATGCCGAGGTGACACAAAATTATAGAAATTTACCACAGTATTTTCTAAGGAGATTGATTGTATTTAGATAGGTAGTTTCTAATTTAGTCTCTGTTTTCTAACTGGACCACTGAGCTTAGGGTGGAGCTCATCAATGAATAATAGGGCTGATGAAGCATTTGCAGTTTTCAGGGCCTAATATTTAAATATGAGAAAAGCAGGTGCAGCTGGAAGGCAGGGCATCTAGATCTCCAGAAATCAATAATTCTGTTTTTACACTGAATCTCAGCTCCCACAAAATCGGGCAATATCACAGGACAAGGCTGCACAAGACTTCCACAATGCATCTTGCTACAAGGATGCTCCAACACCAATCAGCCCTCTCTGTGATAAGTCCACCCCCATAGGAGTCTTATCCCTTGGTGCTGAGTGTTTCCACAGCCTCCAAGTATTCAAACTGTGCCTTTCTTAAATAAACTTGCAAAGAAACAAATAGACTCCTACAGTAATAACCACTCATTGAAACCACTGTTAGCCATCTCAAACACTGTAGCCCTCATCAGTGACACAGAAGCCATACCATATACAAAGGTCAAGTACTTTCTCACAGTACAAAATATCCCCTGGTATCCCACAATGCCAAACAGACCAGGTAATAGCATGCAAAAGAGGGCAGAGCTGTAGACCTAAGAGGAAACTGCCATGACTCCTGGGGTTCCATTTGGAAAACAGGAGAACTCAAAAAAGGAGTCTGTGCCACCTTTTTTCTGTGTTCCTCAAGAGGTCTCAGAGTCACTAGAAGTCCCTTCTAGATCTTTTCATGTGGTATTGAAGGTGGCAAAAAAGAAGGAGGAATAGAAGAAAATGGGAGAACAAGTCTTAGAACAGTCAATTTCAGGAGATTTTAAGCTTCCCAGAAGGCCAATGAACTTTTACATTTTTCTCAGCAAAAATTAGACCAAGAAAGAAAGCAAACAAAGGGACTAAACATATAAATAAAAGAGGGTTTTGATCAACTGAAAACAATTCTCAGAAACAGGATCCAAAAGAGAAAAAGCAGAAAGATGTTTTTAAAAAATTTTATCTTGAATATCAGTTTTTAATTAAGCAGACTTCTGACTATAGAGGTCTTGAAAAAAATATTTCCAAATCTCTTATTATCACATTTTAGCTGGGACAAACAGCCAATATTCCTGGCTTTTGAACTGTTTTTATTTTCTTTCTTTCCTTCTTTCTTTCTTTCTTTCTTTCTTTCTTTCTTTCTTTTCTTTCTTTCTTTTTCTTTCTTTCTTTCTTTCTCTTTCTTTTTTCTCTTTAATCCCCCTTCCCTTCCCTTCCCTTCCCTCCTTCCCCTCCCTCCTCTCCCCTCCCCTCCCCTCCCTTCCCCTCCCTTCCCCTTCCCTTCCCTCTTTTAAACCAAGGATACCTTTGCAAATGACTCACCAAAACCAATAAGCTTTAACCAAGGTTATGACTTAACCAAGAATGTACAAGGTACATCCAAGGAGGTGCAAAGCAATCCTCACAAGTCCAGAACCATCCCAAAGACAGCTCAAAAAAACCAGTTTTGCTAACCACAAATGGGGTACAACTCATATTTTTGTCTGGCCATGTTTTCTGGGGTCTCCACTTCTTAACTGACCCTAAAGCCTTATGTGCCTTCTACAAATGGAGGAAAACAGAAAATCCAAAGCCGTCTATGAAAGGGAAAAAGATCAATAACAAATGGGCACTCCCAAAAGTCAAAAATCACACAAATATCAAAACAAGTTTTCAATAAATGTTTCTTTTCCTCAATTAGAGGACATAGATCTGCAAGAATTGGTTCTCTGACTGAGAATCAAACCTAGGTCATGGTGGTGAACTTGTGGAATTCTAACCACTAGACTACAGGATGGAGTGCACCTTATTGTAAATCCGTCAGGGAGTCCAAAGTAGGTAGTTTTAGTGTACAAAGGATTTTAACTTTGTTTTAGGTCAGATTTTTTTCTCTTTAATTTTCTCAAGAGAATTTTTTTTTTTTTTTTTTTTTTTTTTGAGATAGAGTCTCTCTCTGTCAGCCAGGCTGGAGTGCAGTGACACGATCTTGGCTCACTGCAACCTCTGCCTCCCAGGCTCAAGCAATTCTCCTGCCTCAGCCTCCCAAGTAGCTGGGATTACAGGCGTGTGCCACCACTCCCGGCTAATTTTTGTATTTTTAGTAGAGATGGGGTTTCACCATGTTGGCCAGGCTGGTCTTGAACTCCTGACCTCAGGTGATCCACCTGCCTTGGCCTCCTAAGTGCTGGGATTACAGGCGTGAGTCACCACACCCAGCCATTGTCAAGAGAAGTTCTAAGGCTAGCCATGACACTAGTCATGTGTCTTTTTAAAATTTGATCCTCTCATAGATACAAGGTAATTGTTTAGAATGAGAGATCTCTAAAATCTTTTTTTTTTTAAATTAATCGTCTTTATAAGTTGAAGGATCCATCTTTTGCTCACTGACAATTAGAATTTCCAATCATGTACTTACTTATTCCAGTAGCAATTGAATCCAAAAAGCCTTTTCATGGAAAGCCTAAGAGGTGATTTTCCAAGTTTAGAATAAGTTTTTAGCACATAAGCAAGCGGTGTTCCTGGAGAGGGCATAGAAGAGATATTCTTAATAATTCCAAAAAAACTTATTCCCAGGAAGAGGCTAAGCCAGTGAAAGACTTGTTGCCATAGATACTTAAGGATGGTGTTTGTATGTCCTGTTCCACCAGTATCCCACAAATTTGTGGGGGCCTGCCAGTTCCAGACCCATTAATTCATGACACCAGGCTCTCCTGAGATTGGACTTTCCCAGGACAAACCAGGCAACCACAGTTGAAACAACAAAAACTCCTATGAATGGAGCTTCTTATTTAAGACAAACTCCCCTAAGAGATTGGTACATTCAGAACAAAACATGTGCTGCTTAAAATCTTATGTGCCTCAGCTTTCCAGCCATTTTCATATGTGACTTGAAAATGAGGACTGTGATGGTTATAAGTATTTATTCCTTATTTTGGTGTTTTTATTTAATAATTTAATTTTACATAAAATTTAATAATTTAATATTTTAATTTAATTTTACCTCTGTCATTCCCTTATCATCTAACATGACTTGTTAATAATTAACTTGATATTATATTTAAGTTACAAAATATAAAACAGGGAGTATGAACCAGGAAGAAGAAAATGAACATCACCCAAAGGCACAAAAGGGACTCTACACCCTCTTCTGGGAAAATAATTAGTTTGTTATGTAGGATTATTATATCATTTTTGATGGAAGTAGGTCTTTTGTTATTGTTTTTATTTGGAGATTAAGTGTGGTTCAAGGAAGCTTATTTGAGGTCAAAGTTGCCAAGAATGGACTGTGGTAGCTTTATAATGTGTCAGCTTGGTTAGGTTTAACTACATTTCACAGAATTTATCATTTTATTTCTGGTGAGGTTGAGCCACATGTATACTCTTTATACCAATTGCATTATTTCTCCACTGTTGTAACTCAATCATTAATGTATCTACGGTTGATAGAATAAAGGACCAAAAAATATACTTATTCTAATTCCTAGAATCTATGATACGGTATATTACATGGCAAAGGGAAGTTAAGGTTACAGATAGAATTAAGATTACTAATCAGATGACCTTAAATAGGGAGATTAGGATTATCTGGGTGGGCCCAATGTTATCTCAAGGTCCTGAAAAGTGAAAGTAGGAGACAGTGTCAGAGTGATTTCATGCGAGAAAGAATTGACTAGTCATTGCTGGCTTTGATGAAAGGGGGCTACAGTCAAGAAATAGAAGAGCCTCTAGAAGCTGGAAAAAGCAAGAAAATGGATTCTGCCCTAAAACCTCCAGGAAGGAACATAGCCTTACCTACATCTTGATTTTAGTCCAGTTAGCCTGGTTTCAGACTTCTGACATACAGACCTATAAGAAAATAAATTTTTGTTTTTGTAAGCTGCTAAATTTGTGCAAATTTGTGATGCAGCAATAGTAACCTAATGCAGTAACCTTTTATTGGCCTTCCTCCATTCGGTGCCTTCAACTACTCACTTTCTTACTATTTTTATTGGGTCATTTTCCAAATAAACAACTGTACTTAAATCATTGTCTCAGTTCTGCTTTTAAGAAATTCAAATGAAGACAGTCTTTCTCCACAACAAATTCTACTGGTATGACCAAGGGTATGTAAAAATAGGATATAATCTGTACAGTGATTAGGAGATATGGATAGATATTATTAGTAACAGGCCAAAAAGGCAGCGTGCAAATTGGCTTAGATTGAGGGAAGTGAAAACTATCTCATATTTCAATAAGATTAGTTGCAAGAAAAGGAAGTAAGCAGAACTAGGAAATCTCCACCTCTGAGAAGGAAGGGCTGGTAAAAAAAAAAAAAAAAAAGGGCCTTCGGGACAAAGTAGATGTGATGAAAGTCAAAGCACACTAGAAATCACACCAAAATTCCTCAGAAAAGTCAGCTACATGGAGAATTCACTCTCAGCTTTCTCTTGGTGCAAGCAAAAGAAAGTGAAAATGTCATTATACTGGATTTCTATATATGTGAATCTGACAGAAGCAGTATATTGGGCTCTTACAACATAATCATAAAAATTAAAATGAAATAATTCAAAGAAGAAACAGCTCCTTTTCTATTAAGTTGTCCTCTTACTAGCTGTATTAGAGTCAGGGTTCTCCTGAGAAACAGAACAGAGTGTGTGTGTGTGTGTGTGCATGTGTGTGTGTATGTGTCTTGGGAGAGGGAGGGAGATTTTTAAGGATTTGGCTCTCATGATTGTTGTAGCTTGGTGTCTTAGTTCACTTTGCTAAACAAAAATCCCATAAACCGTGTAGCTTTTAAACAACATAAATTTATTACTCACAGTTCTTTAGTCTGGAAAGTACACAATCAAGGTACCAGCAGATTCAGTGCCTAGAGCAGATCCTTTTCCTTGCTCACAGGTGGTGCCTTCTCACTGTGTCCTCACATGATGGAAGGGGCAAGAGAGCTCTCAGGCCTCTTTATAAGGGCACTAATTCAAATCATCTGGGCTCTACTCTCATGACCTGATCACCTCCTAAAGGCCCTGCTTCCTAATATAATCATCTTGAAGGTTAGGATTTTGACATATGAATTGGGAGGAGGGGGTTCACAAACATTCAGACCATAGCACATGGTAAATATAAAGCCTGATAGAATAGACCAACAGACTGGACATACAGAGAAGAGTTGCAGTTTGATTCCAAAAGTGCTCTCTGCTGGCAGAACTCTTTCTTGCTTAGAGGAAGTCAGTCTTTTTTCTAGTAAGGCCTTCAATTGATTGGATAAGGCCCACCAACATTATGGAGGGTAATTTGCTTTACTCACAGCCCACCAATTTAGATGTTAATCTTGTCCACAAAACACCTTTGTAGAAACATCTAGAATAATGTTTGACCAAGTATCTGAGCACCATGGCCCAGCCAAGTTGACACATAAAATTAACCATCACGCTAGTTCCCAGGCTTCTTCCTAGAAAGGAATATCTTCATGGGAAAATGTGGTTCTGTCCTGACACATGAACACCATGAACACCATGTCTCCAGTGTATATGAGCTAGTCTGTGGGGGAGGTTATTTGAAACCAATCTGAGTCCTACAAAGTTGTTTGAGCTGCACCCATCAGAACTCATATATGTAGCCAGTGAAAAGAAACCATTTGGAAAATCAATGAACTTTCCTGTCATGCAGCTTTTCTCTCCATGGCTCACTCCCCATTCATGTGGACAATTTAATTCAACCTGTAACAAAATATTGCTATAGCAAACAGGAACACCTTTATATTCCCATTTTCTGGGAATAAAAGATTTGAATTTTGACACAGAATCATCTCAAATTTCAGAATTTGAAGAAGTTGGAGTCTCCTCAGTAAAGCTGAGGCTACAAAAATACTATTGGACTTTTGAAAAATGCTCTGAACATCTAAACAAAATAAAAGGGCCATTTGGGGATTCAGAATAAGTTTATCTATGTGAAACAGCTTTATGCCAAGAAAAGTTAACAGTTAAAAAGTCTTATTTGCATTTCAATAAGATTTCTTGAAATTCTACACCCATTGGAAAAAAAATCATATAACATTAGGAAAGACAGCATTCAAATAAAAACTAAGATTACTAAATTTAAACATGTAATGGAAGCAGTAAAGAGTAGATTGAAAAATGCAAAAAAAAAAGTTCTCTCAGAACAATTAGGAAAATGACGACTGAAGGGATGAAGCAATAAAGCTTATAGATAAAAATATGTGCATGTTTTTCTAATATATTTTCCAAAAAAATCAGATGATGCAGACTAAATGTCATAAGAATTTCAGGAAAACATCTTGTTTTCTCCTTTAGATCCACTCAGCCCTTTCCCAGCCTGCTCTTTGTCCCATGAAGCTGACCTGTATAAATGGTTTCAAGGGACTAGATGCTTGGTTCAGTCTATGAGAAGCAGTCACAGGAGATGGGAGCGTACGAGGAGTGCAAGCCCCAGATTTCTCCAGTTGGCCATAGTTAACTGCCTACATTCCCCTAGGGAAGGTTGCAGTTCCTGCACATAGCCCTCTCACAGACACAATAACACGGCTGTGGTCTACAGCACTTTCCAAGTCCTGAAGACTACTTTTCTCAACCCTTTCAGATCCATGGGTGGTAATAGATCCCCGGCTATTTTGTTCTAGGTTCTTAACCATCCCTTTGGTTTCCTTTAACCTTTTCGATACCATTGCAAATCATTAAACTCTGCTCAATTTTCCTGTTTGAGAATTTCCACCATTTTCACGTTACTGACTGATATAAGCAAAAATTAATAGCAGGAATAGAGGAAAAACTTGAGGCTTTAGATCAGAGTGGCTCATGTAATAGAAGGAGTTAATAAAAGAAGTTCTTGCTTTAAAATTTAAAAAGCAATCCTTAGGATATAGCAAAGATTTTTTTTAACTGTAAAATCATCCAGGCAAGGGGAAAATAAGTTACCTATGGTAAAATAATCTTAAAAGGTCAGCCTGACATCAAAACTTTCTTCTGCAATACTAATTGTCAGAAGGCACTAAAACATCATCAACAAAATTGTGAGCCATTCATAGCCATGAAAGAACTTAAAAAGTATACAATCAGCAAAGAGCTCTGAATAACGTTTTTAGGAAAATGGTAAACTGACAAACCAAAAAAAAAAAAAAGAATCACAATAAATAATTCCAATAGAGAGAAAATGTAATTTAAAAGCAATTGTGGTTACTACTGATATCAGTAATATGTATGCATAATGTTAAAATATTTGCTAACATGTGAAACTTAATGAACATCAATTTTTAAAAGACATGATATGTAATTATAAAATAAATTAATCTAGTTATATTAACCGAGATTATTCCAACAAAAACTGTGATGTGAGGGGAGGGAAATAAAAATAAAATGTACAAGTATTTCTTTATTCTTCCTATTTAAATAAAAATAATTGAGCTCACCATTTTTCAATTGTGTAAAAGAAAAAAAATCTATGTTAGTGTATAGAGAATTACCAAAAAAAAAAATAAGACTTCTAAATTACAAAAAAAAAAGAGCAAGTTATAGTAAAATGTCTGAGTGTCCATATGGTAAACTATTAATAATGCATACTTCTGAATTGTGAGATCTTGGAGATTTTCACTTTTCATATTTTGTTTATCTATATTTTTATAATGCACATATGTTTATGAGTGTATGAATAAACATTTACATAAACTTCTATATCTTATAAAATGAAATTAAACCATAATGCTTTTAATTTCTTGTGTCTCTTGTTTTTCTCACAAGTATTTGAAGCAGTTAACAAATAGATTTAAAATGTGAGTAAGACAGACAATGGATCTGGATCAAGTTCTGTAAATTTTGGTCTTGAGGATTCCTTGGAATTTAAGAGCAAGAAGGAACCTGAAGTATAAGTAAATGTACTATTTAAACAATGTAATCTTTTAAAAATATATAAAAATGCCCTAGAAATAACTAAAGTCAAAAAAATTATTTCTAAAAATTAATAATCCTAAATGCTATGTAACTTCTTTTTTTTTTTTTTTTTTTTTTGTGATGGAATCTTGCTCTGTTGCTCAGGCTGGAGTGCAGCGGCGTGATCTCAGCTCACTGCAACCTCCGCCTCCTGGGTTCCAGCAATTCTCCTGCCTCAGCCTCCCAAGTAGCAGGGACTACAGGCATGTCCCAACATACCCAGCTAATTTTTTGTATTTTTAATAGAGATGGGGTTTCACCATGTTAGCCCGGTTGGTCTCAATCTCCTGACCTCATGATCCGCCCACCTCGGCCTCCCAAAGTGCTGGGATTACAGGCCTGAACCAGCACACCTGGCCACTATGTAACTTCTGCTAGACATTCTGTGGTGTACATATTTTGCATTTTCTGCTCAACTCTCCTTTTCTAATAATTTTCCTCCCCTCATATACAAAATGGCAGTATAAATGGCTACATGCCATGTTGTTACGGTGAGAACACATGGAACCAAACTGGTATCCAGACTCAGGCCTGAGAGAGTCAAGCCATTCTCTCTCCAGAAGTTTCACCTATTAAACACATAACTGTGAGACTTTGGTGGCAATGTAATCACCTGACATGTTCTTCCTGATAGCTGCATAGACAAAATCAACTCACTGAGACCATGGCATTGCTGTAAAGAAAGAGTTTAATTGATGTGAGGCTGGCCCTGTGGGAGACAGAATTTCTACTCAAATCAGTCTCCCAAGTTCTTGGAGGTTAGGGTTTTTATGGACAATTTGATGGCCAGGGGGCTAGGGAATAGGTGCTACTGATTGGTTGGGGATAAAATCATAGGAGTGTGGAATTTGTGCCACTGCACTCCAGCCTGGGGGACAGAACGAGTCTCCATCTCAAAAAAAAAAAAAAATCAGATGAGTCAGTTTATTTATCTGGGTGTGCCAGCTGATCCATCATCCATCAAGTGCAGGGTCTGGAAAATAACTCAAGCACTTATCTTAGGCTTTACAATAGTGATGTTATCTCCAGGAGAAATTTGGGGAGGGTGGAGGGTTAGAATCTTGTAGCCTCCAGTTGCATGACTCCTAAGCCGTAATTTCTTACCTTTTGACTACTTTGTTAGTCCTACAAAGGTAGTCTAGTCCCCAGGCAAGAAGGAGGTTTGTTTTGGGAAAGATTCTTATTGTCTTTGTTTTAAACTATAAACTAAGTTCCTCCCACAGTTAGTTCAGCCTACACCCAGGAATGAACAAGGACAGCTTGGAGGTTAGAAGCGAGATGGAGTTGGTTAGGTCAAATCTCTTTCACTGTCTCAGTTATAATTTTGCAATGGCAGTTTCAGAACTGGCTTGCACCTTTTGTTCTACCTTGATTTTATCTTTGAGGTTATGTGCTCTACTGGGATCTACAGTAGAACACATTCTACAGGGGTGAGAATGGTCAGAGAAGCATGGAGTTGGGCAGGGAGAAGAGGCTTCTTGAACTCTCGTTCAGGCATAAAATTGGAAAGCTGGCATTATTACAAGTTGTTGGAGCTCAGAAACCAATACCCCAAAATATGACATTTTGACAGACTGAACTGAAAAAGACTCAAGGTCCCTCTGACCTTCCCCCCTACCCCATCTTCTCTCCTGAAGCATAAGATAAAGTTGTTCTCTGAAGTTCTTTTATCTGCCAAAAGTCCAGACCCACCAAGAAGAACATTGTTTTTCTTTCCCCTCCCTGTTATCTTATTATCCTTTCCCTACTATCTATTATCTATTCCAGAAATGAAGGCCAAGAATATAATCACACCTGCACCAACCCTTTTATAAAATAATGTCTGTCTCTCAGACTTATCCAAACTCCAAAGAAAACTATGAACCAGTTAATCTCTGTTCCCCATTCATTCTCCCTAGTAATCCTTTATCGCTCCTCAACAGAATTCCTCTTCTTTCTCCTCCAATAACCTGTTTTGCCAGGATCTAATGCCCCATTTTTTCTGTAACCTTAAAATGGTATATAGGCTTCTGAGCCAACTTTGGGGAGTGGGGGCAGGATTGAGTCTTCATTCTGAAGGCTCCCACATATATGAGTTAAACAAATTTGTATGCCTTTTCTCTTGTTAATCTGCCTCATACCAGTGATTTTCAGCAAACCTACAAAGTGCAATGTGGTCCTAATTCCTCACCCCTCCCTGTATCCATGCCCTTTGACTTGTATCTTTGAAATACTCTCCCACTATGTGAAGGATGTTATACCTTACCTCTGGCTCTAAAGTTGGCCATGTGATTTGCTCTGGTCATTGGGATTTTAGCAAGTGTGAAACAGGCAGGGTCATAGGAAAGTGCTTGATATTTTTGTTAGATCTCTTGTTCCTAGGCATTTGCCATGAGAATATAGCCTACTGGAAATGTGATACGTAAATTAAAGCTAAGTAGCTGAAAAAGTTCAGGAAATGCCATCCCAAAACATATTGCTTTGGTATACTGATTACTTTGGTGCCGAAGGCACTTGAAAAGAAACAAATGCAGAGAGGCTTTCTTTCAACTCCCCTTATCTGCCTACACGGAGATTCTCCAAAAAGAATTCAATTTCCATAAAATCCCCTCCCTGGCAGTTTCATCAGCCAGGGAAGATTAACTCATATAACAGGGCAGAAGACTAAAAGTCAACACCACATCCAGACAAACTTTGTCGCAAGGTATCATCTATTCTTCTAAGGGCCCATTTATCTTTCCCCAAAATCATTTACTCTCTGATAAGTTGCCTAAGTCTACCTAAAAGGAAGAAGCTTAGGTGAAATTAATGTAAGCCGATAGTTTATTTGGTCCAAGCTTTAGGATTGCAGCCCAGGAGCATAGATTCAAGTTGCCCTGAATAAATACTCCAATTAGCAGCAGTTACAAGTGCATTTTTAAGGGAAAAAAGTAGGTGACTCAACAATTATTGAGTTGTTTACCAAGAATTTACATTAAAATAACATAAATTATTAATTGGCTATACATTGTTTCTTTGTATCACAAGTTCCAGGCACATGAAGATAATGAGTGAGGCAGCTAATGGGGACCAAATTACTTCAAACAATTTCCCCAAAGTGAGATAGCAAGGGATGGGGCATGATTTAGGTCCCATACACTTATATCTCTGGGCCTGCATACCTCATATAGCTCAGACTACTCTGACCTATTTTTCTTTTTCGTTTTCCCCCTGTTGATCAAAAATTTTCCCATGAAGCATTGATGATTGATCGCTGAATAGGTTAGAATGATAGACATTCTTCATCCCTCAGCATCGGGAAAGCTCATTCCTGGAAAGGCTCAGTCAAGTCACTGATTTATATAATGGTCATCACTTTTTGAATCATCTCTAGCCTTTGGAATTTCATGCTTTCGGTTTTCTTGTAAGAAGGAAAACAATGAGAGATACATAGTAAAACCTATTCCGTTGGGGATTCAGTCCACATTTTAGGAATATAATTTAAATGTTTTTAAAATGGTCAGGGCTGGAATCTAACAACAGGTTTTCTATAATTTTTTTCAGAACGTAATTTTTGTCTCCCAAGTTCCCCATTTCTATGGAAGATAAATCTTAGTAATCTTAGTAGGGCAAATTTACTAGTAAAATAAGTTTTAATATTATACTTGGCCTATTTGCATTAAATGAAACAAGAATAGTGATTGGCCACATAGGTTCTTTTAAGTTAGCTTTGCTGGAACTTTCATAAGAAATTTCAAATTAGATCTTTAAAAACCTTGAGGTTAGAAGCCAAGTCAAGGATTCACCATTAGATTGTGTCTGCAATTAGGTGAATTATTATCTTCTCAAGGTCTCCATATAACCTTGAGTTTTCCAGGCCTGTCAGAAAGTGACATTTTTTTACTTACTGCAAGTTCAGAAACCTTGAAAACTATCCATGTAGACAAGGTACCAGGCCAGTCTTTCTAAGCAGTTTTATTGGCTTTATAAAGTCAACCTAAATTCCTCACAGCAGTCTGGATATGTCTGAAAATATGCCATTCCACTCAAAGCTTTGATAAAATAACTAGTTTCTCCAATAGTGTTCTGTTACAAAAGAAAACAGATTCATACTGAACTTATGCAAGTAAGTAGATTCACATAAAATAAGAATGCTGATGAATAGTTTAAAAATTTTAGAGAAATCAGAGAAAAAGGCAAATGTTTCCATTTTGTTCACAAAGGTATATTTTTTCCAATTACTGCAAGCTATAAGTAGCTCAAAAGAAAGAAAAATTTCTGAGTCTGGAAAACAAAACATAAAAAGAATCAGCAATGTTTCAAACAAAAAGTCATAAAAATATTTTTAGCCCCCTATCAGTTCAGTCTCATGTAATTAATTCTTCTGTTTGATGTTGGGTTACAAAATCTTTATGAACTCATTGGTTTATTAGAATTCTGAAAGTTTTTGCTTAGTCCAATTATATGATCTCCAAAGTTATCAGAAACCTGTATTCAAGGGTACTTGTCATAGTCCTTTTCTATGATTTTTCTTGAAGAAAAAGTAAGTTTTGGAATGTAGCCAATTGTAAACAATGTTTTGAGAAAGAATTAAAGCAATAATTGCCTTTGGATGGCAAAATTTAGAGTAGCCATGGTTAAAGACACAATTGACAAGAAAACTTGGTTATTTGTGTGGCATACAACAATTTAACATAATAACCATAATTATATCTGACATACATTAAGACATACCAGAATTTTAGGAATCTTGTGTAATTTTATAACACATATTAATAACCTAACCAGACTCAAAGAATATTCAAACACCATTATTTTATTTGACAATGCTTCCCATATAATTTTAATATACTAAATAAACCTAATATGTCTTTCTTGGTATTCCAGTGGTTTCTTCCAGAAAAAAACTGAATTTTAGAATTTGAAATTGAATTTTGGGAAGAATGTCAAATATTAAAGATTTAAAACACTTGATCAAAATAGAATTCCAGGTCACTGTAAAATAATAGTCATTAATTTAGCCAAAGTGAAAATTCAAAATTCCGGGCACAGTGGCTCACACCTGTAATCCCAGCACTTGAGGAGAGTGGATCACGATGTCAGGAGTTTGAGACCTGCCTGGCCAACATGGTGAAACCCCGTCTCTACTAAAAATAGAAAAATTAGCTGGGTGTGGTGGCCGGCGCCTGTAATCCCAGCTACTGGGGAAGCTGAGGCAGGAGAATTGCTTGAACCCGGGAGGTGGAGGTTGTGGTGAGCCAAGATTGCACCATTGCACTCCAGCCTGGGCAACAAGAGCGAAACTCAATCTCAAAAAAAAAAAAGAAAGAAAAAGAAAAAAAAGCTTTTATTATTTGATAGAGAGGAATCTCAGCTTTTGAAACAATTGAAAGACCTAATAAAGACAACATTAGACCAACAGAATTGTTTCCATCTTTTTAATTTTTTTGCAGTTTACTCAAAAGGTGAACAAAAGTCTTATTATCTCCCATTAATATTATATAAATTTTTTTCAAAAGAGAAAATCAAATTCTACCTTTGCATCAGTACCATTTCTATCAGCTTTGATCCTATGAAATAATATTTCCGTAAACCTTTTATAATCTCTTACAAGTTTCTGTTAAAGAGAGCTCAGTGTTCTGAGAAAACCCTGTTATTTTGACACAGGCCAAGACACTGGCTCTCTATCAGTATGATTTTGATATTAACGCCCAATTTTTAGAAAAAGTAAATAATGTTCGTATTAGTCCATTTTCATACTGCTGTGAAGAAATACCCAAGACTGGGTAATTTATAAAGAGAAAGAGGTTTAATGGACTCACAGTTCCACATGGCTGGGGAGGCCTCATAATCATGGCAGAAGGTGAAGGAGGAGCAAAGGCACGTCTTACATGGTGGCAGGCAAGAGTGTGTGCAGGGGAACTCCTCTTTATAAAACCATCAGATCTGGTGACACCTATTCACTATCATGAGAACAGCATGGGAAAAACCTGCCCCCATGATTTAGTTACCTCCCACTGGGTCCCTCCCACAACATGTGGGGATTATGGGAGCTACGATTCAAGTTGAGATTTGGGTGTGGACACAGCCAAATCATACCAACGTCCTTTTAATTTTAGCCAACTTGATTATATATAAAATTTCTTTTACATGATTAATCTTCCACAAATCTTCTGCAACATGCTTAAGCTTTTAGTTTTTTCCTATATTTTTATGTATATTGACAACCCGCCTTATGACAAAAATTTACTTTTTTTCTTGCTTATTATATTGAACACACAAAATTCTCTCTCATGTATAAGAAAAGATACTCTCTCTTTTCAACTTTTTTTACATCTTACTTTCCTTATACATTTTTGATACAGTCTGGATATTTGTCCCCCACAAATTGCATATTGAATTGTAATCCCCAATGCTGAAGGTTTGGACCTGGTGATAGGTGTTTGGATTATGGGGGCAGATCTTTCATGGCTTAGAGCTGTCTTTGTGATAATGAGTTTTCATGAGATCTGGTCATACAAAAGTGTGTGGCAGTTCCTTGCGCCACTCTCTGTCACATACTCCTGCTTTTGCCATGTGACATGCCTGTTCACATGTCACATGGCATTAGACTCATTTTCTGAGTCTAATGACTCAGACATTTTATAATTATCTTTAATTTAACATAACATTAAGTTTCTGAAAAAGATTTTTGAAACTCTGAAAAGTTTGTTTATAAACTTTTATCTTAACAATTATTTATTTTATTTATTCTTAGAAATTATGCTTGAATAGTTCATTAAACAAAGCTAGCCATCATCTTAAGTTTTTTCTTTGCTAATCATTTCTATAGCTTGTGAAACCCTAAAGTTAAACAGGTAAGTATTTTGTTGATAAGAAGACACAGCTACTTTTATTAAACCAATAAACTAGTATTATTTACCAAAGATGTACCCACATCATGTGAACTAAAAGGCATTTGAGTTAGTTTCTATTTTTCTGATTTAATATTCAATTTAAGTGCTTGTTGGTTCTTTAAGCCAATTAATTAGAGCTCTTTCATACATTTTGGTAGTGAAATATCACATATGAATGACGCATTTAAACATATAGCTATAAAGACACACAGAAACAGCTCTTATAGCTTTTTTTTTTTTTTTTTTTGAGACGGAGTCTTGCTGTGTCACCAGGCTGGAGTTCAGTGGTGTGATCTCAGCTCACTGCAGCCTCCACCTCCCAGGTTCAAGCAATTCCCCTGCCTCAGCTTCCCAAGTAGCTGGGATTACAGGCACGCACCACCATGCCTGGCTACTTTTTGTATTTTAGTAGAGACGGGGTTTCACCATGTTGGCCAAGATGGTCTCTATCTCCTGACTTCATGATCCATCTGCCTTGGCCTCCCAAAGTGCTGGGATTACAGGCGTGAGCCACTGTCCCCAGCCAGATCTTATAGCTTTATAATGTTCTTCATTTGCCAGTTTTCAAATAATTTCTTTTCTACCCCCTTTAGACTATCAATTATTTTTATTTTTTTTTTAGATCCAGAGTCTTGCTCTGTTGCCCAGGCTGGAGTGCACTGGTGTGATCTTGCTTCACTGCAACCTCCACCTCCCAGCTCAAGCAATTCTCATGCCTCAGCCTTCAGAGTAGCTGGGACCATGGGTGTGCACCACCGCACCTGGCTAATTTTTATATTTTCTCTTTAGTAGAAACGGGGTTTCGCCATATTGGCCAGGCTCAAACTCCTGGCCTCAAGTGATCTGCCCACTTTGGCCTACCAAAGTGCTAGAATTACAGGCATGAGCCATCGTGCCCAGCCTAGACTAACAACCTTTTGATTACCTGTCCCATTACCCTAAACAACTGTTAGGTAGGGAACCCTAAATTTGCATTTCTAAAGACATGACTCTTAGATGAAAATTTATATCCCAAAGGCACTGAACTTAGCTCTAACACCATTATTTGCTGATACAAAAAGGGCAAGTGAAGACAAGATTACCAGAAAATGTATCTAAACAAAGGTACAAATTGTTATGTAAACTTTAAGCCAATGTCTTTCCCATTATAAAAGTTTCTAGTGGCTTGAGTACAAGAAGATACCCTTACAAGTGGAGAGTTCCTTTATAGATTTTCATTTCTTTTATAGATGTTCAAAATAGCCAGTGAAATGCCAGCAAATCATATTTTGGAGACCAAAGTACTTAGATGATCTTTTAAACTTAGCTTTTTTCTTAATTCCATTAATGATTTAAGGGTGAAGCCCTTCAATGAATAGGGCAAAGAAAGGATTTGCAGTTTTCAGGACCTGATATTGAAATATGAGAAGAGACACAGCTGGAAGGCAGAGCATCTGGATATTTTAAAGTCAAGAGTCTCACTTTTACATTAAATCTGTGTTCCCAAAACAGAGAAACACTATGAGACTGGGCCATACAAGCTTCTGCATTGGATCTCACTACAAAGACATTTCCCTAAGTGTTTAAACTGTGCTTTTCTTATCTAAATGCACAACAAACCAAGCAGCCCTCTGTGGTAATAACCATTAATTATAAACAACTTCTATTAGTGACCTCCAAAACTGTGGCTCTCATCAGTGACTCATCAGCCGTAACACACGTAAAAATCAAGTTCTGTCTCAATACAAAGTTATCTCTGGTACCCTCAAAAGCCAAAGAGATCAAGTAATGCAATACAAAGGATTGAAGAGTTTTAGACCTGAGAAGAGCCTGTCTGTGACTCTTCAGACTCCACAGAAAGGCAGAAGTTCCCCAAAATGGGTGAATGGTGCCTTTTTCTATGTTCCTTAAGGGGTCTGAGTCATTAGACATCTTCTCTAGATTTCTTAATGTGGTATCAAAAATGGGAAAAGGAAAGAGGAACAGAAGAGGAAGGAAATAGAACAGCAAGTCTTAAAGGAGTCAATTTGGGGAGATTTTAAGCTTTCTAAAAGGCTAAATGAGTTTTACATTTTTCTAAGGAAATATCATTCCAACCAGATAGAAAGCAAAGAGAGGGGTTTAAGTTGACTGGAAAAAAATTTTTAATAACAGGATCCAAAAGAAGAAGAAAAAAAGAGCAGAAAGACCTTTCCCCCAAAAAAATTATGGCTTAAATATGAGCTTTTAATTAAGCTGACTTCTGTCCCTACAAAAGAATCTTTTAATATCTCTTCTTAGGAGATTTCAGCCAGGAAAAACATAAGGTAGGTCTCCCATTAAGTTTGTCTGGTTATCCTTTTTTGCATGCAAATGAATTATTTTAGATATTTCAAAGGATTCCTATTTTGGCTACTGCTGCTCATGACTGTACTGGGTTGGGTGGGTCCACTTTCCTAGACATTTACAAGAGGATGCCCAATAAATATTATTGAAGCACCCTCATGGTCTGGGATGACACCCAGGGTTCTTGGTCTCATGGCCAAGGAAATCAAGAATGCAGAGACACCAAGGGTTAGGTTTAGAGCAGAAATTTAATAGAAGAAAGAGAGAGAACAGCTCTCTGCTTCAGGGAGGAATTCCAGAAAAAGGGTTGCCATTTTTACAGTTGAATGCAAAGCCTTTTATATATAGATAGATAGATAGATGTACCCACATCATGTGAATTAAAAGGCATTTGAGTTAGTTTCTATTTTTCTGATTAAATATTTAATTTAAGTGTCTGTGGGGGAGGTTATTTGAAACCAATCTCAGTCCTACAAAGTTGTTTGAACTGCACCCATCAGAACTCATATATGAGTTTTTTGTTTTTTCTGAGCTGCAGCCAGAGATTGCTGATTGGATTACAGAAACAATGTCATATAATATTATATGTTATATATATTATATATTAAATAAACATGTTTAGGTACATGAATATACATGTTTAGGTACATGAATATACATGTATATATACACATATATACATATACATGTTTAGGTACATGAATATACATGTATATACATGAGATATATATATATATATATATATATATTTGAGATGGAGTCTCACTCTGTTGCCCAGGCTGGAGTGTAGTGGCATGATCTTTGGTCATTGAAACCTCTGTCTCTGGGTTCAAGCTATTCTCCTGCCTCAGCCTCCCAAGTAACTGGGATTACAGGTGTGCACCACCATGCCCAGCTAATTTTTTTTTTTTGTATTATTAGTAGAGATGGGGTTTCACCATGTTGGCCAGACTGGTCCTGTACTCCTGACCTCAAGTGATCCACCCGCCTCAGCCTCCCAAAGTGCTGGGATTATAGGCATGAGCCACCTCACCTGGCCAATGCATGCAAAGGCTTTTATAGGAAACTGATGAAGGCTGGGTGTGTCATTTTAATCAGGTATGAATTTCTGGTAGCTCTACTCCATCTTCCTAATGCGCATGTGGGCCCTTAGCTTGCATTACTCCATATTGCTCTGTTCCCCTTACTGCGCGTGTGTCAGGGGACAGAATTTTCCATTGTGAGCATGTCTGGGCAAGACACCTAGGTAGCCTTACTTATCTGTGTGGCTGTGGGCATGTCTTAGGTAAGCCCCCCTGTGCAAGTTCCTCTATCTATCCCTGCAGGCTGTTCTTTTGTTTGAAAGGATTCAACCGAGGACTGACCAGATTTTTTCCTCTCTCCTCTCTCATTTCCCCCCTCAGGAGTGGAGACCCTGCTTTTAGGGGGAATGGGACAATGATTCTTTTAGCTACTTCCTGTTGGACAGGGATGCTGTGTAGGAGAACAGCATTAGGATTCCTCCTAGGGGCAATCTAAGGGTCCTTGGAAGGAAGGCACGCCCATGTATGGTTTCATTTGCATCACCATTTGGAGCAGGGCAGGATTTGCAGGCTTATTGCCCAAAACTAGAGTATTGATCCAGATTTCTACATGACCAATCCTTTTTTGTTTTTTCTGAGCTGCAGCCAGAGATTGCTGATTGGTTTACAGAAATAAGCAGGTTAGTTTAAAACATAGGCAAGAACTTGAAAACGACTATTGAGATTAGAATTTAATACCCAGCATGTAATAAATTTTGAAAAGTATTTTTTCTCTCTCCAGTCCTCATTTTTGTTAAAAACAAATCATGATTGGACTGAGTTGTTTGCAAAATAAACTATAGTCTTATACTTGGCCTGATTATTTTCATAAAGTACAGAAAGAATAATTATTTTTACATAGGTTTTTAAAACTGGCTTTGATAGAACTCTGTTCCACAAGGACTCTCAGACAGGACTTTTTAAAGTGAAGCCCAGCCATGGGTTTGGAACCTCAAATACCTGAGTTGGGTGAATTCCTCTCTTCGTGAAGCCCCAAGAACATGGGGTTCCTGGGCCTGTTAGAAATTGATATTCTTGACACATCACAGATCAGGAACCCTGCACTGGGACTGTGTAGGCAAGTTATGAGGCCAGTTTTCCCAAGGGGCTTTTATTGGCTCTGCAAGTTAAGCTTGATTCTTTAAAGGAAAACACGCCCTTCCAGTCAAAGTCTTGCTAAAATAACCAGTTTCTCCAATTGTGTCCTTTTGCAAAAGAAAATTGATTTTTATTGCACTGATGAAAACAACTATATTGCCATAAATTAAGAATACTTACAACTAGCTTCCAAATTACAGAGGAGCCAGGCAGAGAGAAACAAATATGCTCCAAATTTTGTTCACAAGAGTATACCTTACTCAATTGTTAAAAGCTGTAGATAGCTTAAAAGAAAAGTTTTCTTGATTCTGAAGAACAAAACAAAGATTAGCAATGTTTTAAACAAAGAGTGAAAAAGAACTACTTCAGACTTCTATTAGTTTAGTCCATGCAGTTAACTCCGGTTTGATATTCATGAACATTTCAGGCTTCATAATTCCTGTATGTTTTCCTTTATTCACCTGTCACAATTTCCAAAGTTATCAGAAACCTGCGTTTTAGAGCACCTGTACAAGTCCTATAATAATTGTAAATCATTCTTTGAAAAGGATGATTTATAATTAAGACAACAATTATCTGTGAATGATGAAATGTCCAGGGTAGTTACAGTTAAAAACACAATTGAAAAAGAAATTTGGTTATTTCTGTGGTTTACAATAGCTTAACATAATAACTTTAATTATGATTGATAGCATATACTCAAACATTAGAATTGTATACATCCCATACAATTTTGGAACATTTATTAATATTATTCGCTAAAATATAAACTGAAGAAGATTAAACATCATTCTGGCAATCTCATGTACCTAAACATGTTAAATAATCCTGTTTACCTCTCTTCTGGATGCTTCAGGGGCCCTCTGTGGCATCCACAAGCTAGGGGTTAGGAAAGACAATTGTGAAGCTAAAGTTTGATTTTTGGAAGCCTGCTAAGTGTTAAAGGCTTAAAACACTTGATATTATGAAATACAATACCAGATTATCATAAGTTATTTATTTTGCCAAAATTATGACTAAAAATTTGAAAACGTGGCAAAAACCTTTGTTCATTAAGAGGGAAGACTTAGCTTTCCAGTTTGTTTCCTGTTTTCTCATTCTTCTCCTTGGCAGTTTATCCACAAGGCAAATGAAAATTGTTCATTATCCTTCACTATTATATGAAGATTTTGTACAAGGAAGAAAAAGCCAAGTTTTGCCCTTACATTGGTTTCAAAACAATTCTTTATTCCTAGGCAAGATTTACATTTCCATGCCTTTTTATAATCTTTTACCACAAAAACATTTTACTGTTCCTACACACCTTACATGTATATCTATTTTCAGTAGTCTCATTTACATGTTATAATGGTAACTCTTAGTAATTTTTAACTTTAATGTAAAACATGGTAAGTTGTTTTAATTATGTACTAGGTCCAGATAAAGTCTGACATTTTTCAGCATAGTTACGGGTATGGTTAATTTTTTTATGTCTCCAGGCCTTATCAAGTTGTAAAGCAGGCAGTTTATGACCTTAAAACATTTAGCAAACCTAGTATGTGACTTACATGATTTAGACCACCTATTTACATTTTGATGACATTTGCATTTGACCAATTATCTTTGAAACATTTTTATTTCTTAAAGATTAAAGTCATGTGAATTAAAAGACATTAAAAGTTTTATCTTTTCTTTAAAAAAATTTGATTTAAGTGCTTAATTTTCCGTAAGCCAATCAGTTAGAGCTCTTTTTATAGACATCACACACAACACATATATAACTACACATACAAACAGAAGAAAACTTGGTTGTCATAAGATTTTTCATTTGCCAAGCTCCTAATTGGATTATTGTCCTCTGGGTGGGGCCCTTTAAGAGCAGGGCTAGGAAAGCATGTAGTTTCTAGGACACAAACAGGTTTTGAGAGGGATCTATCCACCTTTAATTCTTGGGGTTCCATGAGGAAAACCGAGGTTTCTCCAAAAATGGAATCCGTGGTGCCCTTTCTGTTTTTTACAAGAAGTCCCAGGCCATCAGAAGTCACTTTGGGGCCTCTTGTGTGTGGAAAACTGGAGAAAAAGAATTAAGTTGACCGAGAAAAAAAACGTTTCTAGAAAAACAAGATCCGAGAAGAGAAAAACCTAAAGGCCTTTTAAATATACCTATAACTTGGATATCTACTTTGAATTAAGCTGAGTGCTCTTTAAGATAATCCTTTTAAGTCCCTTGTTACCCAACTTTAGCTACACCAATCATTTAATATTTCTGGCTTTTGAACTTTACCAAAAGTAACCTCACAGGCTAAACCAACAAACGTCAATAAGATTATGACTTAACGGCTTGTGTATGGGGTATTTTCAAAGGGGTTGTAAGAAGCTTTTGAAACTGCCATTACAAAATTATAACTGAGACAGTGAAAGAGATCTGACCCAACCAACTCCATCTTGCTTCTAGCCTCCAAGCTGTGTTTGTTCATTACTGGCCATAGGCTGAACCAACTCTGGGAGGAACTTAGTTTATAGTTAATAGTCCAAAACGAAGACAATAACAAACCTTTCCCAGAACAAACCTCCTTCTTGCCTGGGAAACAGACAGCCTTTGTAGGATCAAGAAAACAGTCACAAGATTAGAAACTATGGTTTAGGAGTCATGCAACTGGAGGCTACAAGATTCTGACCCTCTCTAAACTGCTCCTAAGATCAGCACTTGAGCTATTCTGCAGACTTTGCACTTGATGGATTAGCTGGCACCACCCAGACCGATAAACTGGCTCATCTGATTTTGTGGCCCCAACCCAGGAATTGACTCAGCACAGGAAGACAGCCTTGACTCTCTACAATTTTGTCTCTGACCTGACCAATCAGCATTCTGGCTCACTGGCCTCCCCCTAACCATGAAGCCATCCTCAGAAAAGCTGATACTCAAATGCTTGGGGAGATTGACCTGAGCAACAACAAAACTCCAGTCTTCTGCACAGCCAGCCCCCGTGTGAATCACCCCCTCTTCATTGCAATTTCCTAGTCCCAATAAATCAGCTCTGTTTAGGCAATGGACAAAGTGAACCCACTGGAGACCCACACTTTTACAAAATCTAGAATCTTTAAAGGCAACTCAGAGAAAGAAAGATTTAAGAAAGGGAGCTAGAAGTTGTTTATGGAGGGGAAGAGAATAAGCAAATGGCAAAGGTTATACAGATATTAACCTGAAAGTACTTATTCCTTAAGCCAGGAATGAACTCAGGCCACCACTGTAAAATGGCAGAGACTGAAACAAAGTATTGCCACATGGTTACAGGTCACTCTTCCAATGATGTAAAACAAGATGGAGGCCTGCAGTAAAGTTTGTTACTGACCATTTTACTGGGCTGGCTTGAACAGCAGGCTTATGGAGTTTTAGACTCACATTCTGTTCTAAACAGAATCATACAGAAAGACATGCAAAGCACACCAGATTTCTGACAGAATCATACAGAAAGACATGCAAAGCACACCAGATTGACTACAGCTTAAGACCAACCTCACAAATCCTTTTTCATTAATTGAAACTTTACAGAGAATATAAAAAGTGACCCTTACCATTCCTTTTACCAGTTTGCACAGTGAGAGAGAAGCCAAAAGCCCAACTAGTAAAAAAAAAAAAAAAAGCCTTTTACCCTCTGGCTGGCATGTCAGGCTTCTGGGTTTCCTTTCCCTGAGCTCAACACTGAGCCAAGCATTTTAAGGTTTGGGAAATTAACTTTTCCCAATTTGGAGGGACATTATAAAAGAAGAGATAGGATCCATTTCAAACCATGAAAGAAGGATGGAAAAAATACCATAGAAAAGTCTCTGAGGGTTTGGGTGGTAGAACTGGAGGAGCTATGATGTGGATAGGGGGGCAAGAAGAGCCAGGGCATCTGGAAATTGCATTTGAGGGTTCCCCAGGGCTTTGTTTCTTTGACTTTGGGAAATTATGTCCTATGGGCTTGCCTGATAGGATCGCTAAGAGAGCAGGGTTAATTTTACAATGCTGACAAAGATCTGGATTGTCTCACAAGGTTAAGAAGCTTTGCACATAGGAGACCTCAGATCATTTGTCCTCTCACCTGCAGAAAAGACCTAATTGTCAGATAGTATTGAAATTAGCACTTCCCTGAGAAGACTCGCCCCCACACCCCTTTGTTCTGCAGTTGGTAAGATGGCCATGCCCTAGTGCAAAGGAATATGAGGTGCTTTTTCTTTTAGAGTCTGGGGGTCAAAGGAGTCCCAATGATCCAGGCTGCACTCGAGGAGAGTGTAGGCTGAAGACAGGTTGTTAACCATTTGGAAAAAGAGGGGAGAAGAAGGTGTCCTTTAGTTTCCTTTCTTCTTTTGGAGTGACCCAGAGAGAAAGACAGAAAGGGTGTTCCTCTTCTCCTCTTCCCTCCCAACTCCTCTGGGTCCCAGCAACATCATAGATGCCACCCATGGATGCAGGGATAATGCTCACCTATGCATCTGGAGGAGCTAGGTAGCAGAAATAGTCACGCTCACCTATGAGACCCCAGTTCTCCACTGGTGATTTCCCTTTAATTTCCTTGACTTGTGTAACCTTTGTGGCTCCCTGATAGATGGATCTCAGAAGAGACTATGTAACAGTAGCATTTAGTCCAGGACCCTTAATGGAGGAAGTATTCTGGGCTGAGCCCTATATTCTGCTATTATGGCCTGGGCTAAAATATTTATTCTTAAGCAGTGGTTCCAGTTGACTTCCAGACATAAAATCCCCTTTCTATTTAAATACTATTCTAATTGAATGCACATTAGGTGTCTTAAAAAGAACGTAGGGACTGAATGGCTGTCTTCTTGCTGATGGAGACAGTATTGAGGTTAAAATTTGGTTCAAAAGACATTTTTCTCCTCACTGTTGAAGACAGAGTTTTCCCATTCACAGAAGGGGCATAAAGCCTGGTATCTAGTACAGGGGCACAAAAGGGAGAAGAATTGGAAAACTAGAGGTTTTTGGCAAAGGACCGACAAGATCACCCATGGAGAGGATTCCCATTCCACTAGGTCACGCTGTGAACCTTGAAATAGCAGGCAGTAGCTGTGTTTCCTTGTGCTCTCCAGACAAAGGGTAGTGAGAGATCTGAGGCATGGCAGGCTGTCCCCACAATATGCCTCCTAGTGGGAGAAAGTTAGTTTGTCTCATAGAGGGGCTATCTAGTTCAACTGGGCACTACAGGCTTCTCGCATGGGAAAATGGAGAGAGGGACATTCACTGGGGGCTAAATAACCTCCTATTTCTAGAAAATTACAAAAACAGCAATCGCTTGAGCTATATTCCCAGTTACTATGGCACTTGCTGATCCTAACAGAATCATCTCCCTGGGCTATAAAAATTCCTGCAGCATTGCAAACAGACAGGTGATAGGAGATATAGTGGCCATAGTAAGAAGAAGGAAACTACTATAGGTAAAGCTTAGAGATCCTGATGACAACACCCACCAGGTGGTCAGGCACTGAGGTTAGTCCATAAGCCTTTGGGTAACACCAGGGTGAGGCCCCGGCCAGAAACCTTCAGTTGCTTTAGGATCTCTTCCAGCCCTACATGACAGCTAGGCTCTCTGCAAAAGAAAACCAGAACAGAGCCAACAATCCCAACACCCTGAGGGATCTGGGGGATTAGCTAAGTCCTCTCTGGCAATCCTGTCATCTGAGTCTTTAGACAAGCAGTCCATGCTAACCACATCTAGATGGCCAACGGATTTTCTGTGTTTTTGCTTGATTTTAACATTGAGGGCAGGAGGTCTCAAAAGTGAAGGTAAAGAGTTGAAGTTCCTTTCTATTACTCACTCTTTCAATGATCCTATCCTGGTAGAGCCCCCACAATGAAGTGATCTCATTGACTGGGATGACACCCACAGTTCTTAGTCTCATGGCCAAGGAGATCAAGGACATAGAGGTTTAGAGCAGAAATTTAATAGGAGAAAGACAGAGAACAGCTCTCTGCTACAGAGAGGGGTCCTGTAAAAAGGGTTGCCATTTTTGTGATTGAATGCGAAGGCTTTTATAGGAAAGTGATGAGGGCTTGGCATCTCATTTGCATCAGGCACGAATTTGTGGTAGCTCTACCCTGTCTTCCTAATGTACATGTGGACCCTTATTCTAAGTTACTCCATATTGCTTTGTTCCCCTTACTGTGCATGTGTCAGGGGATGGAATTTTCCATTGCAGGCATGTCTGGGCAAGTCACCTGTGTAGCCTTTCTTATCTGTGTGGCTGTGGGCATGTCTTAAGCAAGCTCCCCTGTGCAACTTCCCTTATCTGTGCCTGCAGGCTGTTCTTTTGTTTGAAAGGATTCAATCTAGGACCCACCCTAACTGCCTGCCTGACCAGGTTTTTTCCTTTCTCCTCTCTCATTATTACATAAATCCAGCTGGTATTTCTAAAAAGAACACTCAGATTTAGAAGATTGATTTCCTGTAATTTAGAAACTTTTCCAAAGTGATTAAGGCTGGGAATGCGTTTAGGGTCTAAGTGTGATGTGTCTCAGACGGTCTCTAACTGACAGGTGGCAGCAGAGTGCTCAAGGTGTGGGGGACCAGATCCTCATATTATCCCCATCTGGAATAGCAAAAGGGGGCACACTCTTTAGTTAAGAACTAACAGGAATTGGTCACAAATGAAAGGCTGTCTAAAGTTTTAAGTGATAGAAAACAGCTGCAATCTTAAAAGCATGATATGTAAAATGAAACCACCAGTGCCTAAGTGCCAGTTTTTTACCTTAATCTCTGCTGTGAGACAGAGGTAGAAAAACCTTGACCCAAACCTCTGGTCCTGAGACAGAGGCAGAAAAAAATGCAGTTCTCTGCAGAGCTCTTTACCTGAATCTCCTGTCCAAAGACGGAGATTGAATCTTCCACTCTTAATGAGAAACAAGGGTTTAAAAAACAGCCCAAATGAAGTTTAGACCTTCAATCAGAGTGGGAGGTGGTCCAATTTCAGGAGAACTCCCTCAGTACACTCCATAGGACTTCTGAAGACAGAGAATTTGTGCTGGTAACAAGCACCGCTTTCAGAGAGAAACACCAGGTGGTTGCAGGGAGTCACTCTGAATCATACTGACTACACTAGACATGTTGACCTAAAAGGAAGAAACTGAGGCAAAATTAATATAAGTAGAGAGTTTACTTGGGCCAAGCTTCAGGATTGCAACCCAGGAGCATAGGTTCAACTTGCCCTGAATATACACTTGATTAGCAGCAGTTACAAGTGCATTTGGGGTTTTTTTTTGTTGTTTGTTTGTTTGTTTTTGAGATGGAGTTTCGCTCTTGTTGCCCAGGCTGGAGTGCAATGGCATGATCTCAGCTCATTGTAACCTCCACCTCCTAGGTTCAAGTGATTCTCCTGCCTCAGCCTCCAAAGTAGCTGAGATTACAGGTGCCCACCACCATGTCCAGCTAGTTTTTGTATTTTAGTAGAGATGGGGTTTCACTATGTTATTCAGGCTGGTCTTGAATCCCTGACCTCAGGTGATCCACCCACCTCGGCCTAGAAGTGTATTTTTAAGCAAAAGAAGAGGCAGTTCTTGAGTTGTTTAACAAGAATTTACATTAAAATAATATAAGCTATTGATTGGCTATATATTGCTTCTTTGTATCACAAACTCCAGGAACATAAAGATAATAGATAAGGCAGCTAATCAGGAAAAAATTAGTATAAAAAAGTGCCCTCAGGAATGCAAGCACGGGCTGGGGCATAGCTGAAGTCCCATGTTCATATATCTCTGGGCCTGTAAACCTCGTATAGCTCAGACTGCTCTGAGTGATTTTTCTTTTCTCATCTATATCCCCTTTACCTTCTCCTCTATGAAGTAGATATATAAGGTCTTAAATATCACTGGTTTAATGGGTATTTACTTTTCTTTCCTGTGATGCCCCATGCACATAACAAATTTGTATACTTTTTTCTCCTGTTAATCTACCTGTTGTCAGTTTATTTCCTAGGCTCATTTACCAAACCCTCAGAGGGTAGAGGGAAAGTCTTTTCTCTTCTACATAATTAAATTGACCCAACTGGGGCTACTCTAAATAAGCTCATCATCAGCCAAACTCCAGAGCCTAGCCAAAAGATCAGAGCTGCCTAACCAATATGAAATTGACTATAGATGCATGAGTAAGCCCAACTGAGACCAGAAAAATTGCCCCACCAACCCGAGGTTTCATGAGTTGAGAAATTCTTATTGTTTCAAGCCATTGAACTGTAGAATACTGCATTCACAGCATTTTTAGCAAAAGATAACTGACGCACAAGAAAATCATGGTATAGACAAGGAACCATACCAATAAGAATTGTGTACATTTGAAAATTCTCTCAAGTTATTTTTCTGAACACACTTTATTATCTGTATCTTAGCAGGTTTTAATAATAAAATGCCTAAAATTGGTAGGGGCTCTGAGGGGTGGAGGTAGAGAGAATTAGGTATGAGTGGAAACACCTCTAAAGAGAAGAGGAAACTTGTGGTTAAAGGAATGTGTGGAATCTAGGACAAGAAAGAAGAATGTAGTCAGTGGGACTGAGCATGAAAAGTTGTCTTGAGAAAATAACAGTTAAAGAATCTGTAGTAGAACCTGATTTTTCACTTTGCTTTTTAACTATGCACTGATTCCTACTCGAAGTGATGCACTCAACCATTACTATATTCCACAGGTGTTAGTGTGATCCCAGATTGAGACCCTTAGTTGAGTCTTCAGTCTAAGTCTGCCAAGCCAATTCTTAGAGGAAGATCTTTAAGCATGTTCCCTTGCTGTAGTCTAGCGTATGAAAGACAGGGCTACTCTTCTTGGAAACAATAGCTGTGTGGGGATCTAGGTTGTTTCAGCCTGTTCTAAATCCCAACCCTTGAATTTAGAATGTCATGAAAGTGCTTTGGGCTGTAGCCTTTTTAGAAAACTGGATTCTGATTCCTTACTTTTATTATAGTTCCTTATTATTTTAAGACAAATAATAAAGTATTTAGAAGACACTATGTGTGTGTAATATTGGTGCATTATTCAATGGAAGAATCAATTAAAAATTATCAAGAGAATAATAGACCTGATTAAGTAGAAACAAAAAGCGTTTGCATTACAAAATGAAATAAATCAAAATTAAAAGCAAATAATGAATAAAATATTTACAATGTATATGACAGACATGGATTTGATATATATGAAACTTATCTAAAATAATGAGAAGTAACAAATTACTACAGTAGAAAAAGAAGTAAAACACATAAACTGCCATTTTACATAATAATAAATACTGTGGTCAGTAGGTATATAAGATATTCAAACTCACTAGTAATAAAGAATGCAAATTAAGACTTTTGCTTCTGGCCAAGATGTAGTAACAGGGACTGAATTTACCTTCATACCTGAAACAACTAAATAAAAGGGAAATAAATATATAAAATGATGGTTTTTAAGACACTAGATATCAGACAATGAAGGATGCAGATTCCTATGAAAAGGGAAACAAATGAGGTGAACCCTGTGATTGCACCAGGTTGCTGCCTGAACAGTTTCCTGGCTGAAGCACATATAGGGGCAATCCAGGGGGGTCATGAGAAACTCCCTGAGTCGGGGAGAGAGCTGAGAATCCAAAAAGACCAAGATGTCTAGAGTTTACAGGACAGAATACCAGAGGAGAGAGATTCACAGAGAGGGAACCCCAGAGATCCAGAGATCTATAGAGAGCCCTTAAGTACTCAGCAGCATGTTGATCAGAGATCCAATAGTTTGTGATAGGAAAGTACCCAAAGCCAAAAGAAGAAACATTTAGAAGGATTAAAGTATTACACAGTACTCACAAAAGGCTGGGAATAGTGCTGTTTTGCACAAGCCAGATGAAAAATAATTGTAATTCATGGGATATTGGATGGACCAGTTAGAAAGTTAAAAGTTAGAAAGTACAAGTTAGAAAGTACAGGAGAATAATTAGCCCTGCACAGGGCACAGCTCCAGACCTAACAAATTATAAAAGCAAGGCATAAGGCATCAAGTATTTTCAAGTACTGTAATTATATTCCAGTATAGAAAGCTTAAAAATATTTACAGAAATAGAAAAATATCCAGGACTCAACAAGGTAAAATTCACAATGTATGCATTCAATAAAAAATTTCCAACTCTGCAACTCACAATTTATTATAGACCTAAATGTAAAACTTAACCTCTAAAACTTTTAGAAGAAAATATAGGCAAAAATTGGTGAGACCTTGAGCTTGGTAATGAGTTTTAAGATACAAGACCAAAAGCATGATCTATGTGATGGTTAATGCTGAGTGTCAACTTGATTGGATTGAAGGATGCAAAGTATTGATCCTGGGTGAGTCTGTGAGGGTGTTGCCAATGGAGATTAACACTTGAGTCAGTGGGCTGGAAAATGCAGACACACCCTTAATCTGGGTGGGCACCATCTAATCAGCTGCCAGCATGGCTAGAATATAAAGCAGGCAGAAAAAAAAAAAAAAAATGTGAAAAGACTAGACTGGCCTAGCCTCCCAGCCTACATCTCTCTCCCATGCTGGATGCTTCCTGCCCTTCAGTTCTGGAACTCAGACTGGCTCTCCTTGCTCCTCAGTTTGCAGACGGCCTATTGTGGGACCTTGTGATCATGTGAGTTAATACTTAATAAACTCCCCTTTATATATATATATCCTATTAGTTCTGTCCCTCTAGAGAACCCTAATACAATCTATGAAAGAAAAAAATTGGTAAGTTGTACTTTATCAAAATTAAAAACATTTACTCTGCAAAAGACCCTGTTAAGACTATGGGGAACAAAACCAAGCTACAGACTGGAAAAAAAAATATTTGCAAATCACATATCTGATGAAGGACTTGTATCCAGAATATATAAATAACTCAATAATAATAATCATACAATCCAGTTAAAAATGGCCAAAAGATCTGAACAGATACCTCACCAAAAATGATACATATAGATGGCAAATAAGCGTATAAAGTGATGCTGAATATCACTTGCTACTAGAGAACTGCAACTTAAAATCACAATGAGATACCATCATACAACTATTCAAATGGCTAAAATAAAACTAGTATCTGACAACAGCAGGTGCTGATGAAGATGCAGAACAACTAGAGCTCTCATATTATACATTGCTGGTAGAAGTGGAATATGATACAGACACCTGGAAAATGGTTTCATAGTTTCTTTTTTTTTTTTTGAGACAAAGTTGCACTCTGTTGCTCAGGCTGTAGTGCAGTGGCATGATCTCGGCTCACTGCAACCTCTGCCTCCCAGGTTCAAGGATTCTCCTGCCTCAGCCTCCCGAGTAGCTGGGACTACAGGCGTGCACCACCATGCCTGCCTAATTTTTGTATTTTTAGTAGTAGAGATGGGGGTTTCACCATATTGGTTAGGCTGGTCTTGAACTCCTGACCTTGTGCTGGGATTATGGGCATGAGCCACCATGCCCGGCCTAGTAGTAAACATGTATTTTTCATATGACCCAGTAGTCTCACTATAGGTTTTTACCTTAGAGAAATAAACATTTATAGTTACGTAAAATCCTGTTCATGAATCTCTATAGCAGTTTGAATCATAATTGCCCTAAACGAGAAATAACTCAAATATGCATCCACAGCTTAGTAGATAAACAAACTGGTATATTCATATAATGGAATACTACTCAGCTATAAAATGTAACAAACTATTGATACATGCCATTACATGTATAAATCTCAAAGTCACCATCTATGTGAAAAAAAGCCTCAAAAGATTGTATACAGTATAATTTCAATTATATGGCATTTGAAAAAGTCAAAATTGTAGGAACAGAGAATAGATCAGTGATTTCCAGTGATTAAGGGTGAAGGGAGTTTGTGACTACAAAGGGTCAGTATGAGGGAGTATTTTGGGGATGATGAAGCAGTTCTGTATCATTATTCTGGTGGTAGTTTTATATGAATCTACACATGTGTTAAAACTCATAGAATTGTATACACACATACACAACAACAAAATACTACTATACACCCATCAAGATGGTTAAAATGCAAAAAATTGACAATATCAAATATTGGCAAGGATATGTAGTAATTGCATTTCTCATATATTTCTGGTGGGGTACATATTTGTAAAATTATTGTAAAACTATTTAGTATCATTTACTAGATTTGAACATATGCATGTCCTATTACCCAGCACTTTTATTGGCAAGGATGTGTAGTAATCTCATTTCTCATATATTTCTGGTGGGGCACATATTTGTAAAATTATTGTAAAACTATTTAGCATCATTTATTATATTTGAACATATGTATGTCTTATTACCCAGCACAGTTCTGGAGTCTAGAAAGTCCAAAATCAAGGAACTGGAAGATTCTGTGTCTCGTGAGGGTCATTTCTCACAAACAGTGCCTTCTCACTGCATACTCACATGGTGGAAGGGGCTAACTAGCTCTCTGCCTTCTCTTTTATAAGGACACAGTTCTATTTATGTGCACTACACTCTTAAGACATAATCACCTCCCAAAGGCCACACATTCTAATCCCATCACCTTGAGGGTTAGGATTTTTACATTTGAATTGTGAGGGACACAAACATTCAGACCATAGTAAATACTGTATATAACAAAGAGAATTAATAAATGACTGCTATATCTGACAGCATAAATGAATCTCAGAAACATAATATTAAGCAAAAAAGCAGACACACACTGCTAATGCTTTGCATGATTTTCCCTTCAAAATTCATGTTGAAATGTAATTGCCATTGTAATCATATTAAGAGGTGGGGCTTTTGAGAGGTGATTAGGACATGAGGGCTCTGCCTTCATAGGTGGGATTAATGCCATCATAAAAGGGCAAGTTCAATCCCCTTTTACCTCTTTGCCCTTCTGCTTTCTGCCATGTGATAATGTAGCAAGAAGGCCCTTGCCAGATGCCAGCAACTTGACTTTGGACTTCCCAGCCTCCAGGACTGTGAGAAAATAAATTTTTGTTTATTATAAATTGCCCAGTCTGAAGTATTCTATTATAACAGCACAAAATGACTGAGACACAAACATATGCTCCTACTATTGTGGCTCAGGATATAATACCCCAAATTATTCCACTTTTTCATGCTGAATTATTTGAACTAAAGATCAGAAGAGCCTCAGAAGCAAGAAGTTCTCTTACTTTCTCCTGCTCTTCTTTCTTCATCCACCATTTATCCCCCAAAGAAGATCATAGAAACTAGAATTTTTCTTCTCCAAGGTGGTTCATAGAAACTAGCTTCCCTAAAGCAAGCTATAAAACCTAGAGAGGTCACTCTCTGAACTACCTCTTCTGAAAGTAGACTATAAGACCCTCATTCCAGAAACGTCCTGCTTCAGAGTTGGGGGAAAGAATACTACACAGAGAGATCAAGAAGAATCTGAACAAACAGGCCTTGATAAGTTCCCCCCAGTTTATTACCATTAGATCATTTCTTTTTTGTCTACTCACATTTCTACATGGCTATCAATTCTTCATCAAACCTAAGCATAAAAACATTTAGTTTTCCCTGGGTCTTCAGATCTTCATTTGTGAAGGCTCTTGTATCTTGTAAAACTTTGTTCAATAAATTTGTTATGCTTTTCTCTTGCTAAGCTGTCTTTTTTTCAGAGAAGTCAGCTGTGGACCTTGAAATGGGTGAAGAAAAGTTACTGTACCTTTTTGTTCCTATACAACTGCACGATTTCATATATAGAAAGCTCATAAAAGAGGAATTCTAATATATTATAGATCAAGTTAGTGATTATCTTTGGAGAGAAAACAGAGTTTTTAGAGCTGCAGGCTGTGATGTAATGATACAGGATCATTCTTATGGTATTGGTAATATCCTGTTTCTTTTTCTGTCTGATTATGACCGTTAAGACAAAAAGTAAGCAAAGTAGATTGTCATATCTAAAGGTGCAACTGATTATCTATTTAATTTTTGGCCATTTGTTCTTCCATTAAAGCCAATAAGCTGGAGCCATTTTTGTTTATTGGTATTGTAGGGGAAGAAAAATATCTTTTCCTACTACACATTGTAGGACTATTGGCTGAGACCCCTGTAACAAAAGACAGATTAACAAGAGAAAGACAAACAAAAGTTTATTAACATGTATACCTTATGTATATGTGGGAGATATCCAGAAAATATGTGTAAGCCTCCAAAGAGATGGCTTTTAATTCAGGCTTAAATGCCATTTTCTGCTGAAACAAAGAAAGAAGAGTGTATGTGTGTCTTAGGGGGATCATATATGGGGAGGTGACCAGAAACACATAGTAAACAAGGGTAAGGTTTGTCATGCAGATTTAAGTCGGTGTCTTCTCCATTGATAAGAGTCTCTTGTGATTTATTTATCCTACTTTTCCTGGTACAGAGGGGGAGACATCCTTATAAATGGAAGTTTCCTTTATAAACATACATTTCTCTTACAAAAGAATAATTTCTTGTCTATTTTCAGAGCTTCTTATGTGTCAGTTATTTCTCAAAATAATAAACTCAAAATAATGTTTATGCCAAAGCAGCATAATTTGGAGTAGCACATTCTGGTCTCCTACTGTCATGTTTTGGGGTGGCATATTCTGGTTCCCTATAGTACCAATAAAATGTAAACTTAAACACTGCCTAGAAATACCAGTAATAAATATAGAACATGCAAAACTGCCTTCACCAGAGTAGTAGGACTTCCAGGTTTATGAAATCTTCACCCACTTCTGGGCATTCTACGTGCCCATAGTGGGTGGATGGGCCAAGGGAAAGCTTCCTGTCTGTCCTCTGAATTTTTGCTGAATATGGACTGACAATAGACCTATTAATAGCATAAAAAGTCATACAAAATTTATTTTAACATGTATAGCATGGGGGAATCACAGAAGAATGTTTAACCAATAACCCAATGAGGTCCAGATGCTTACATACCCTTCTTCATAGAAGAATGGGAGATAGAGCAGTAGAAGTGAATTATTTTCTGGGAAAATGAATGAGCCCAAGGAACAGTGGCCTGGGACAAAGTTCTGAGCTCTGCAGGAGGTAATGGGAAGGTGCAGGGAGGGGTGTGGAACTTTACTTTGAATGAAGGTTGTCTTATGTAGATAAAGCCTCCCAGGTAATCTCTCAGTATTTCCCTCAGAAGAATAGATTGAAAGTCTGTCTAGGCATGGTGACAACTTCCATTCTCTTCTCCTCTTTAATGGTTAATCTTTCATGATTATTTAATGAGACTCCTAGGAAGGGGGAAAGACAATTGCATTTCTTTTGGAAAGAAATTTTCCTAGTCAGATAAGGAGATTCCAGCAAGAGTACCTAGTGGTGCCTTGGAAAAATAAGAAGGTCAGAGAGACATGGAGGCAGGGGGAGATCAGAGAGAAAACTTGAGGTTTCTCTTCTTTAGTTCAGCATGTCAAAGCACCATATTTTGGATTATTGTCTTCTGAGCCCCAACATGAGTATGTATTCTTCATGGAAAGAGCCCTCCAGGAATTACTTGCATGAGTGTTTAAGTTGGGCCAATTGGCATGAATAATTTAGAAAGAGGGACTAAGGAACTGTATTGAAATTTTCTTCCATTATTGACCTGGACTGGTGTTGAGAAAAAAAAAAAACTTATAAGTAGAAGCTAAAGGGGATATTTTCTTGAGCATCACCCATTTTATTTCCATTCCAATGTCCCAAAGCATTTGGTTTAGTAATTTCAAGACCTCCATAACTTTGGGGTAGTATTTTAAGCCTTTCAGTGTGCATTGAACATAGTAAAAGTCCAGTGAATCTGAATTTATTTCATGGAAGAAAAAAATAAGAAGGATGAAAGGAAGAAAGTGAGGGACAAACATTTTTCATAAGAGTCCTAGAACAAGCATAGATGAAATGGTGGCAAAGCACTATTTGAAATAAAAATACTTAGAAGTTACTAGGACTGAAGAAAGACATGGGTCTTATCAAAAAGCATTCAAAGTACCAAACAAGATTAATAAAAATAATTTTTCTGGAAACATGTTAGTGAAATGACAGAAATCAAGGATAAAGATGATAACCTTAAGAGAGTAAAGGCAGGACAATTTTTCTGTATAAATGGAATGTACTTTTGCCTGGATGATATTTTAAATCTATGCTTTTAATGTCTCTTCTGCTTTAAGCACATAAGAGTGATGGAAATATATTAAAAAGAGAACATAAGAAGCTACAACTGGGCTTATAGGCAAGATAAGCATTGCAAAAAATAATAATAAGATGTGAAATAGAAACCAGAATTGGGAACAGGGCTGAAGTCACAAGCTGGCTGGACATTAAGGCTGAAAACAGAGATGACCAGGTTTAAAATCTTCATATAAGTAGGCAGCCAGAATCAAGGCCCATCCCTGAGATTATCCCTTCTGAAAAGAGGTTGAAAATTGCCTCTGCCAGTTTCTAACTAGGGCATCAGCTCATAAAACACAGAAGACCCAGGACATTATAGGACATAGAGTTGCCAGATATCCCTGTAACTGAATTAGCCACACTCAGAATAGCACCATGATACAAGTACTGCCAATTGCCAAATTTGACCTAGATGGGGAAACTAGGCAACTTGAGTGCAGCAATAAGAGGAGAGAGACAGCAAGAGGGAAAGAAACAAGTGAAGAGCTTCACTAGGCCTACATTGCTTGGGTGAGCTGTGGCCATCATCCCCATTGCTGTTAATGAGCCAAACTATGTGAGTACTCCTCCTAACATCAGCCCTGGCCCACAGAGGATAGCCACCACGGAACTCCTTAGTAGTGTTGGTGCTCTTCCCAACAGTGCACACCTGATGGCTTTGGTCAATATTGTGTCCTCTGGGCCTTTTCAGGGAATATAAACCTCTGGTAAGTCTTCTGGCTTCACATAACATACATATTCCAGCATGGCCATTTCTCTGACTTTTTAACTTTATTCTTCCATTCTTTGCTAGGAAATCTCAGGCATCTCTACTTTGTTCCACATAGGCTATAACTTGGACTCTTAAGAGTCATACTAGTAGAAACTTTGTTTCATCCCCTGAGAGTTCTTGCCTGGGTATTATTTTCTTTGTCCTAAAAGAATGGGCCCAAGTCAGTGAACTCTTGCTTATCCTATATTATATTCTGGCCCACTTGATCAAGCACCCTCAAAATCTAATTCCATGTACACCCCCTTGGTTCCTGCCAGTAAATACTAGCCAATTCTTGCAGTTCCTATTGGGTGCAGTCATTTTCTTTCCTTGTTACACGCAGCATGACCCCAGCCAGTGTATATTAGAATTTAGCCTTAGTTATCAATCTGGTACACAAAGGAGGAGATGGGAGAAGCTTCTGAGGGGAGCACCTTTTGCCCCACATGAGAGAGGCCCCTGTAGTGCTTTTCACACAGGGGAATTGTTGTCTTTTAACCTATTTATGCCTAGTGTTCCATTATTGGATGCTAAGCATGTGGGAGTTATTTATATCCTACTGCTCAAGGTCATTGCCAAGGTCTGATTGCAAAAATTCCAAAAATTACCAACTCAGGCATAAATGGGTTAATAAGGTGCCTGGGCCACCTATACAGCCTCCTTATGTTTCAGAGAAGTCTGTCTAGCCATAATCCTTGGGAATATACACCCAGAAGTCTTCATCTCACATGTTAGGGTTCTAGACTTTTCTAACTTTTTCTGTGACCTTCGTGTAATAGACTTACTTTGAGCATTGACTTGTCTTTGAAGCTCCTTAATCCTAACTATCAGATCTTGAGATTTTTTTCTCAGCTGGTGTATCTGTAAGCTACCAAAAAGGTCCTCATATTTAGTGTTAATCTATTTTTTAAAATGCCTTTATTTTCTCATTATTCTTCTGTAGGTTTCCCATGCAACTTAATGATAATTATTCAAGCTCATTATCCTAGTATATTTTGCTCACCTCATACCTTTCCAATATTTGTGACATCCCATTGATCAGAGTGTTTCATTTCATCAGAATGCTATTTGCAGTCATTGCCAATTAACGTTTTAGCAATTTTGCCACTATTTTATGCCCAGGATTATCTGTAGTACTCCACATACCACTTGAGATGGGGTTCTCTTTTCTAGCCAAGTAATAAGTTAGTCAATCTCTAAATTTTATCTTAATGCATGCTTTCTTGTACCACTTCTGATAATAAGTTGTGTCAGTTGAGGTCCTTTGATAAGTAGATGCTAAGATAGAATTAGAAGTGCAAGAATTTTATTGCAACTAACACCTTTGAAAGATAAGAGGAAATGAAACAAGTCAACAGGGAAAGCCTTCATGCTGCAATGCATGTCTGACACCTGATAAAGGAGTGGAGCAAGGATATTATGTAGAAAAAAAGTTCAGTCTGAGGAGCATCTCTGAGAAAATCATGGCCAGTGCAACAAGGCACCTCAGTGTAAAGGCTGTTTCTAGAGGAATTCTACCTTAGGTGGTAACGGCTAGGTCCTGGCACTCCTGTTGTGCTTAGTCTGCCACTGGAGCTGCCTGGAGAGAATGTGCCCTTGACTTATACACTGCAGTAAATCTCAAAGGTGCTGCAACAGGTTTTCACTGAATGGAAATCTGAGGGAATCACTTCTATGGCTGCCACACGATTTGAAAATGTAACTTAAAAACAATAATGTTCAAAATAACAAGAAACCTCTAGAAAAAAGTCTAACAAAATATGTGCAAGCAAAGTTATAAAACATAATGAAAGGACATTAAAGAAATACTGATCAAATAGACTATGTTCATGAAGAAAACAAATCAATACAATAGCATGTCAATTCTGACCTCTGAATTTAATAACATTACAATCACAACATTCAACAAAACTTTTCTTGAAACTTACCATGATAATCCTAAAATCCACATGGATTTTTAAAGGTGATTTTAGTGTCCAAAAATAATCAAGTTAATAAAAGAAATAAAACAAGTGCAGAGACTCACACTAGCAAATGTTAAGATTTATTCTAAAGATACAATAACTAATAATGGTGAATTATTGTCACAGAGATTGGCAAATAAACTCAACAAACAGAATAAGGAGGCCATGAACAAACGCATGCCTATGTGGAAGCTTGGTATATGACAGAGTTGTCATTACAAATCAATGGGAAAACACAGACTGATCTATACGTTTTGCTAGGACAACCGGAAATTTAAAAATTCTAGTGAATAAAATTGAGATTTACCCTCCCCCAAACTTCTTTAAAATGTCAGTTAATTTAGACATAATTATAGAACCTAATGGAAGTAAGATAGCCAGACAGAACCAGAACAGATGCTGCATGAATCAGAAGGGCCTTTTTATTTTCCACTTCCCCTAAATTTACAAAGTGTGAACACCTGCCAGACACCTCAGAGCAGAAAATGGCTGAATTCTTACTGGGTTCCTGTCCTGTTATATGCGTGCTTATATCAGTAGTCCAGAGGACTTTCATTAGCAATCTAGTGCTTCTGTTTAGGAAATAGTCTCTCTCTCTCTCTCTCTCTCTCTCTCTCTCTCTCACACACACACACACACACACACACACACACACACGATTGGTCTGCTTTCATAAAATTATAATCAGCAAGATCTAATCCAATCCCTTGTCTAGTGTGAGGAGGAATAATTATAGTCCAGATCAACACCTTTATCTCTATCTTGCTATAAACCTGTCTCTCCATAGACCTCCTCCTAACCCTAGTTTAATATCCTTTTACTTCAATGGACTTGGACACTACATATAATCTAAAGGCCATAATTTCAAATTCTTTCCTCACAGTTATTTATAAAAAATAACAACTAAGTGTGCTGAAAACTTTACAATATAATTAAAAATAAATTCCAAGCGGAATAAAACCCAAAATTTGAAAAAACAAACTAAAATTTCAAAATTACTTATGGGAAAATATGCATGTGACTTTGGGTTTGAGATTTATTAAGCTAGAAACAAAACATCTTCATAAGGCAAAACACTGATACATTTTTACTAAATTAACATTTTTTTTTTTTTATAAATCAGAATACCATTAGATAAGTGGAAAGATTAGAGATAAGGCACAGCTTGGGAGAATATATTTGCAATGCATGCAAATAGCAAAGTATTAGCTTCCAGAATGTATAATTATGCCTACAAATCAATAAATAACACAAATAACTCAATATCTAAATGAGCAAAGAATGTGAACAAGCAGTTAAGAGGAAACTAAAATTGCCGATACATTTTTAAAAATCCTCTACCTTGCTGGAAGTCAGGAAAATGAGAATTTAGAAAACAGTGCTACATCATGTCAGAGTTATCTGGTTAGCAAAAAATAATATTTCACAATATTTGTGGATGAAGATGTAAGGAAACGATAATTTTAGTACACCATCAGTGGGAGCTTAAATTGATAATACTAATTTGGGAAGTAATTTAGCAATGGTTAGAAAAGTTGAAGACGCGTATCCTACAACCCAGTAATTTCACTTCTAATTGTTTTCTAGTAAACACTTATGTCAGGAATTGAATATTTTCATGTTTTTGCACTGTTTGACTTCCTGAGGAGAGAAAATTGACTTGCTAGAGAAAGCCTCCCTAACCTCAGACCCATTGGCTCCTCAAATTCCTAGGGTATTAGATTGAAGCCATCTGCTCCTTTTCAAAAGACAAAACATCTCCCTTGTGCCATGAAAATATCTCAGGGGTTATAAACCTGAGGACAGAGATTTTTGTCTTATCTTCCTCTTGAAGACATTTATTTACATTTCAAAGTCTGGAGACCTTCCCCTTCTTTTGTCCAAGGAGAAATTGTTTATATTAGGGAGATTGCAGTCCCCCTCTGGGGATGGGGTATAATGTCTATATAAGTTCCCAGATTCATATTTTTGCGTTCCTCACCTACAGTACAGGACATGGTATCAGTAGGATGACACCTGGCTCTCATCGCATCACCTTAGAATAAGGAAGATTTGTGCCAAAGGGAAACCAATGAGGTTATTGCTGTAAGTAATCATAATCTACCTTGTTCCAGAAATCTTGAGTTTACTTTTAGGAAAATATGAATACATATAAATATTAAAAATGTATTGGTTTGCACATGTGCACAAGGAGAATGCATGGAAATTTTTTCTAACATTGTTTATAAGAAAAATTGTATAAATATAAAATGCCCATTCAGAGGAGACTTGATAGATTTTCTTAAATTCAGATAATAAATACATACAGCAAGAAAATCAATAGATTTAAGTTCTAAGTATAAATATTAGTAAACCATAAAAATGTAATACTTATTAAAAAAGAAAATTGTGAAACAATATATACAATATGATAAAATTTATTTCAAATTAAAAAAAGGTCAAATGTCTATCAGCTACTGATAATTAAACCAATTGTAGTTCACTTATTCCATGGCATTGTACAGGAGGAAAAATAAATTTCTCTTTATCTGTTCTGGGTTCTTAGCTGGAACCCTGTAACAAAAGACAGATTAACAAGAGAAAAACAAACAGAAGTTTACTGACATGTATACCTCATATATATGTAAACTAAAAGTCCTAAGCCCTCCACCAACTGCACAGACCCTCTCTTGGCCAAAAGGACCCCAAAGAAACCTTAAAAACTGAGTTCCCAGCTGTGATGGGAAGGGAGGTCAGACACGCCTCATTATACACCCTCCCTTTTGGAGTTTAGGCACAACTGACCAGCACTGATGTTAAAACAGAGATCATAAGAATGACAAAAGAGACTCTGTGGCAATAAGATACTAAATTATAAACAAGACCTAAGGCCATATAAGGCAAGGGTTAAGTCACATCTGAAGGCCATCAATCTTGCCACATAACATCCTTAACTTAAAACATTCCTTTCTGTTGACTCAAAGTGTTAGACAGAGCCTTACTCTTTTAACCAAATGCAAATTAAAGAATCTCTGAGTCCACCTATAACCTGTAAGGTCCTGCTTCAAGTTATCCCACCTTTTTGGGCCAAATCAATGTATATCTTCCATATATTGCTTTGTGCCTTTGCCTATACCTGCTGCCTCCCTGAAATGTATAAAACCAAACTATAATCTGACCACGTTGGGTATACTTTATCAGGATTCCTTGAGACTGTTTCCTCAAGCTGTGTTCACTCCTATTGGCTCAGAATAAACCCTTTAAGAGTCTAGCTTTTCCATTAACATATACATAGGAAATATGCAAAGAATTAGTACTTTTCAAAACAGTGGCTTAGAGTTCAGGCTTAAATACCACCTTCTGTTGAAACAAAGAAAGAAGGATATTGGAAGGTGAGGAGGAGTTATGAAGATATGACCAGGAAAAGTGTCCTTATCTCCAAAGACACAGGGAGAACGAGAAGAATCTAAACACACAGGCCTTGCTAAGTTTTCCCCAGCTCATATCCTTTCATCCTATTATAATTCTCTATGACTTTCTACTCTATCAAACCTAGCATTAAAAACACTCAAGTTTGACCACTTCTTTTGATCTTCATTTACTTATGAAGGCTCTTATGTCATGTAAAACCTATATTAAATAAATGGGTATACTTTTCTCTTGTTAATCTGTCTTTATTATAGGAGCCCCAGCCAAGAACTCAGAAAGGTAGAAGGAAAATATATTTTTCCTCCTCTACACTTACCTGGAATAAATTTGAAAATTTATATTCTTTGAGAAAATCAACCATTTTATGCAGAATCACAAATGTATTTGTATGGAGATGAGCAAATTAATGTCATACAATTCTTTTAATTTCCTTGGTATCTGTGGTTATTTCTTGATTATATGTATTTTTTATTTAGAGTATTTGTACTTTCTCCCTTTCTTCCTTGATTAAGTTAATTAATGATTGTTATAGCCATTTCACTGTAACCCACAGGTATTTAGTTCTGCTCTCTTTCCAGGGCATATGGAAGACCATACCTTTCATATGATTAGTTCTAGGCAACAATCAGGTAGCAGTAGGGAGAGGGGCATGTGTCACATCCAGGCTGAGGGTGAAAAGTCCTGAAATCTTCCAGAGTTTCTTCCTTACTTGCAGTGAGCATGGAGGGCATGTGTTGATAGAGCAGAACCCCAAGTCAAAGAAAACTGAGTCGTTGAGTTACTATATGGAAAAAAAAAAAAAGCTGCCTTGGAGAGTCTTTTAACCCACAGTAGACTTTGAGTGCATGAGAAATAAAATTTATGTGATAAGCCACTAACATTTAGGGATTGTTTACAATTAAAGTTGAAGCTCAGTTTATTCTGACTAATACAGTGATGTTATTCCTTTTATTGACATTTCTAAATAATTGGCTCTTTGATTTATTTTTTCAATCTAGCAGATTTGTTTTTACTTAATTTCCTTTCTCCTTACCTTAGATTTAATATGTTCTTTTCCTAACTTACTGAGTTTAATTTATATTTATTTTTCTTGATTATTATAATAAGTATTTGGGGCTAAGATTTTTATTCTGAGCAATGCTTTAATTTTTATCTGATATATAGCAGTTATATAATGGTATGCATTTATTTTTGGGCTGATAGTTTTCCCTCTTATATCGGTTGTTGGGAAAAAAAGTTGTATTTCACTTTAATTTAGAGGTGAATTTTTTTCATTTTACTTTTGTTGTCAACTTCCACTTCTGTTTTATTGTGGTCAGAAAATATTTTCTGCTTCTTCTATAAATGTCAAAGCAAATGAAAATTGTGTATCATATTGTTCAAATCTTCTGCTTGTTTCCTGCTTGTTCTAATTTGACATGCATAAAAGATTGACTCTTCAAATTGTAGATTATTTTCTTACAAGGACACATGAGTCATTTACGAAAATTTACCATTTAACATATTTCAAAGGAATAAAATTATTCAGAGTACATTTCTTATGACAATGGAAGCAAGCTAGACATTATTTTTAAAAAGATAACCAGAAAATTCCCATGTTTCAAAATTTAAAAACACACCTTTAAATAGACAATAGGTCAGAGAAGAAATAATAATATTAATTATAAAATATTCCAAATTGAATAACAATTAAAACACAAGCTGTCATAGCTTATGGAATGCATTTAAAGCTGTATATGTAAGGGAATTTGTAACCTTAAATGCAAATATTTTTCTTATTCCTTGGGATATGTGAAAAAGTAATTAACCTTATTCATTATTAAATATGCAAATTAGGCCAGGCCTGGTGGCTTATGACTGTAATCCTAGCACTTTGGGAGGCCGAGGTGGTAGGATTGCTTGAGCCCAGGAGTTTGAGACCAGCTTGTACAACATAGTGAGGGTCTCCACAGAAAAATAAAAAATAAAAAATTAGCTGGGTGTGGTGGTGCATGCCTGTAGTCCCAGCTTCTCTGGAGGCTGAGGCAGGAGGATGGCTTGGGCCCAGGAGATTGAGGCTGCAGGGAGCCATGATCATGCACTCCAACCTGTGCAACAGAGTGAGACCCTGTCTCAAAAATAAATAAAAAATAAAAATGCAAATTAAAAAGTCACAATGAGATATCACAACATACTAGAATGGCTAAAATTAAGAAGAATGAAAATATCAAGCATTTAAAGGATTTGGAACAGCTACAACCCTCATATATCATGGGCACTACTGTAAATTGGTACAACCACTTCTGAAAATTGGGAGTTTTACTATTTACTGCATATCCTATGAAAAATAATTTTTAGATATATGCCCAAAGAAATACATATCTATGTGCATCAAAAGTCATGTGCAAGACTGTTCATAGACACATCATTCATAATAGCCAAACACAAAAAATCACTCAGATATTCATTAGTCAAGTGGATAAATGAATTGAGTATATTCACGTAAAATATAGCAATAAAAATTAATGAACTATTGCTATGTGCAATGATAATGATGAATTGTCCCCATAAATATAATGTTGGGCAAAATATCCAGACATAAAAGAGCACATACTGCATGCTTCCATTTATATAAAATTCACACAGGAAATTAACATGGGGTTAAGAAACAAGATATTGGTTACATCTGGGAGGAGAGTGGGGTTTGCACTTGGGAGGGAACACAGGGATCACTTGCGGAATGCTGGTAATGTTTTGATTCTTATTTGGATGGTAACTCATTATTATTTTGTGAGCTGAAAACCTGTGATTTGTGCCATTTATTTCATGTATTTTATATTTCTTTAAAAATGTTAAGCAATTGAATTGGAAACTACTATTTTGTTATATATGTCAGATACAAAAAGGTAATACTGATCTGAACCAAATTTGAGGTGCAGAGACAGAGCAAGAGAATGCTTAGGCTGAAAAAAGGAACAATTTGAATTTGCAAGCTCTCACTGCATTAGCTCCTGGAATTGTGTTTTGAGTGATAATGTGCTACATGATCCTTCTTCCAAATAATTCAGTTTTAGTCACATTAAAGATTTGCTCTTTTATTTAACCTCCTTCTGTAATTTTACTTTTAGTGATCCTGCTAATTTGCATAAGCTAACTTTCTCCTGCATCTTGAAACATCTTTGGTCTACTCTCAAAATGTATTAAGAATACAACAAGGTCTCACCCTCTCCACCCCAGTTTGCCTGGTCAAAGACACTTTATCTCTCCCCTAAAGAGATAACATATACTCCTAAAAGTCTCTCTGCTTTCCCACTCCCCTCTGGTCTAGCCTACACAAAGAAGCCAGAGGGATTCCAGTAAAGGTAAGTTAGATAAAGTTACTATTCTACTCAAAACCAGAGGGATAACCATTAAAGGTAAGTCAGATAAAGTTACTATTCTACTCAAAACATTCCAACGGCTTCTCATTCACTAAAAGTCAGATTTGAAACCTTTACTCTAACTTACAAGACCATACAAATATCTGACCTCATATCTTACCCTTCTGCTCTCACTAACGCTATTTTAACATCACTGGTTTCTTTTCTACTCCTGTAAAGTGATTAGCAAAATTCTACCTCAGAGTCTTTGCACTTGATGTTCCTCCTACCTATTATTCTCTTCCACAGATGGCCATTTTGCTTACGCTTTTTTTCTGGATTCTGCCCAAATGTCACCTGCACAGAGGTCTTGCTTGACCACTCTATCTAAACTATTGCACTCCCTCACACACAAATCACCCACTGCTCCTTTTCCCTGCTTTATTTTGTTTCTTCACAGTATTTATTACTATATAGCATTATATTATAAATCTTAATTATTTAGATTTCTGTTTCCTGTACTAGAATGTAATTTCTATGAGACCATGGAATTTTTCCCATTCCAACTTATATCTTCAGCATGTAGAATAATACTGGGCAGAAAGTAGGACCCAATAAATAAGTATTGAATGAATGAATAGCTGAATGATAGAGTAAGTGTTAATGTGAGTGGTTAGACTGTGATACAAACAAAACTGGCCCGATTGTCTTATCTTAGTTTCTTCCTCAGGAAACTGACCCTCAGACAAGAAACTGAAACCCACCGGATCACTGCATCCAGACAATGAGATGCCAGACCCCTCATTCATCATGATTGTTTCCTTACCTCTCCCTATTTCCTGTTTTCCCACATGTAGTTACATGCCTTACCGGCTATGTAAACCCCCAATTTTAGTTGGTTTGAAGAAATAGATTTGAGGCTTGGCTCCCATCTCTCTGCTTTACATCACCCAAATAGAAAGCCTTCTTCCCTGGCAATACTCATTGTCTCAGTGATTGACTTACTGTGCAGTGAGCCATGGGACCTAGACCAACCCCCTGGTGTTTTGGTAACACAAATTTGGCAGATGTATTTTCTAAAATAATCTATTGAATCAACACAGCTCATTTCACACCAGGAGTAGATCATTTTTTAACAACCCTTTCCTTTATGTGATAACATTATTGCAGTAATAACTATGCAATAATAAATAATAATGACCATTTTCTTCATTTGGTCTTTAGTTTTAATACAAAGAATTAAAAATTAAGAAGATGAATATATTTTAATTTTAATGATATTATTTAAATTCAATAAGATGATTTCATCTATAAACTAAATTTCAGATTTACCAAACAAAAATATCTCTCCTTACAATTCACATCCTGTTTCATCATTTTAAAGTTTAAACACAAATGAAAATTCTAAGTGTTTGCAGAGATCGACAGAAATAGCAGAATTAAAGTAACTCAAGCTCTCTTTATTTTTATAATCATCATGCTATCATTGTTTATTTCAAATCTATTATATACACACAATAATGTGTAATAACACAGGGATTAGAGACGGAAACTGTGCTGAAGTGAGCTTGAATGATTCTGAACCATTATGGACTTATTCTTGAGAGGAATGTGGAGCTGATTCGGCATGTGTTGAGGACCCACCATATAAATGGGAGTTCTCTAAATTAATTTTCATTAATTTGAATACAAAATTTATTAAAGAAATGTTACAAAAATGTGCTAATTTGAAGTGTATATATAAATGATTGGAGCCTAACAATAAGCATAGTAATTGCTTAGAACTTAGACCAATAAAATATTTTGAGGGAAGAGAGGAATATTTAATCACTGACGTTGTGTAATGTTGTTGACAAAAGGTGAAACAAAAAACCTTGTCTAAGAAAGAAGAAAAAAGGCTGGGTATGGTGGCTCATGCCTGTAATCCCAACACTTTGGAAGGCCAAGAAGGGCGGATTACCTGAAGTCAGAAGTTCGAGACCAGCCTGGCCAATGTGATGAAACCCTGGCTCTACTAAAAATACAAAAATTAGCCGAAGGTAGTGGCGTGCACCTGTAATCCCAGCTACTCAGGAAGCTAAGGCAGGAGAATCGTTTGAACCCGGGAGGCGGAGGTTGCAGTGAGCCAAGATCATGTCATTGCACTCCAGCCTGGGGGTGACAAAAGCAAAACTCCGTCTCAAAAAAGAGAAGAAAAAACGAAAATTGAGATTTTAATGTTATACATACATAGAAAATAATACATAGAAAAAAAGTTATAATACATAGAAAATAGAAGGATAACTTAAATTACTCCGTGAAGAAACAATCAGACAAATCAAGCATGGATGATATTCTATAGAATAACTGGCCTAAAATCTTCAACAATCGATGTCATAAAAATGAGGATGGGGAGAGGCATAATAGCTAAATGCAATGCATAAATTGGATTGGACCCTCATTTGAAAAAAGAAAACCATAGAAGACATTATTGAGATACTTGGGGCAATGTTAATATGTACTGAATATCTGACAACATTATTAAATTATTGTTAATATTTGTGGGAAATTGTTTATCAATACTAGTAACCAAAATTCCAAATTTTTAAATTAGACACTATTTATTCCCTATTTATTGGCAATGATTAAAAAGAATTCTAGGCCACGTGCAGTGGCTCACGCCTCTAATCCCAGCACTTTGTGAGGCCAAAGCAGGAGAATTGCTTGAGGCTAGGAGTTTGAGACCAGCCTGGGCAACATAGCGAGACCTCATCTCTACAAAATGTTTTTAAAAAACAATTAGCTAGGAGTGGTGGCATAAATATAGTCCCAGCTGCTTGGGAGGCTGAGGCAGAAGGATCCGTTGAGACCAGAAGTTCAAGGTTGCAGTGAGTTAGGATCGTGCCACTGCACTCCAGCTTGGGCAACAGAGCAAGATCCCATCTCTTAAAAAAAAAAGTGTAAGAGTTCTAAATTATAAAGAATTTAGCATTCTAAAACTTGAAAAAGATTTTTAATTCTAAAGGATTAAAAAGAGTTTTGGTGGTATAGCAAAATGACTCTGCAAGGGAATGAGCTGCTAGTGCATATGAATAATAACTGTCCACTTAAACCACTTCCAGAAACTGAAAATAGTCATGGATATAAACATGGAAACAACCTCATGATAACCATTCTGTATTTACAAAATCAAACTTATTCAACATAGTATTAGTTAAATAGGAGACAAGTGTAGCCATCAAAAATGATAATACAGGCATATTTTTATTAAGAAGGATAGAATTTCATTATATATCAATAAGGTAAGACAATGGGTTACAAATAGTGCATAGCATTTCAGCCCATTTTATCATATATTTATTTACAGGTATATGCTCAAGAATAGAATAATATAAAATAGAAACTGCATATTTGAGTAGCAGAATTGCATTTGGCTTATTTTTGCTTCTCTGTATCTTTGAAATTTTTAACCTAGCATATATTTTCATAAAATGAAATTATCTAAAGTAATTAACTTCTTTTTAAAAGCCATTATTTCGGTTTCTAGGCATTTTAAAACATTAGTTAATTGAAAATGGAAATGGAAGTCTGAGACCCTGGCAGTTTGTAGGAAGGGCTAGTGGCCACTGCTGCAGTGGTTCTTGTCCCAGTGCACAGCAGAGATGGCGGCTTTGGTGCTGGCAGAACAAGTTGTAGTGTGTCACCCCCACATTTCTGGGGATCTGTAAGTCCTACCTGGCTCATGGTGGGGTGAGGAACCCACACTTGCCAGGGCTGAAGGGCAGGAGTGAACATGGTCCCCTTAGAAATTTAAACCTTCTCTCAGAAGTGTACAGTAGAACTAAAGAATACAAACCACCAAGGGTAATCTAAAATTGTGATTGGCTCACTAATAATCCCAGGACAAAATGAGAGGTCATTAATCAAGAATAAGTGAAACTGCTATAAAGATGTTTGATATAAAAGCTTGGGCTGAATACGTTGTATAATGGGGCTGCAAAGGACCCATATGGTTTTCTTACAAAAGACATTTTGGCCTTTCCTCCACTGTTACTGGCAGGTGCTGTACTGTTTTGGAAATTGGCCAAGATGATTGAGGCCAGTGAAAGGAGCAAAAGAAGAAACAAAAACATCAAGAAAATATTGCAAAAGCTAAACAACCATAAAAGGACTGAAAAAATGTGCAGGCTCTACAATCAAAGGAAAATAATTTGGAAAATTATGCAGCCTTGGAAAGACCTATTAAGATTTCTTCTTTCGAGTTCATAACAGTCTTATTTAGCAAACAAAATCTGACCATATGGAAGAACTGTGTTAGTTCTAACCTATTACTATAGCAACTTCTAGGCTTGGGTATAGAAGTTTGTTGGTATCTATTGACAATTCTTGTAAATTAGCACTTATTATGGTACAAATTATTTATAACTGACTTAGTCATTTGCCATTTTGCAGCTTTGTACTGAAATGAAAATATCTTTTGGAGAAAAATGACTTTTGATTATGAACTCTATTCAAATAATGGTTTAAAATGGGGCCCTGTTCTGCGTAAAGAAAATTAAGAATGTTAAAAGTCAGGATTGTCTTCTCTGAGATGAAAAGTGTGCTTTGGCTTAAAAGAGATACAGTACATTAATCACATATCTTATTATTATTGCTTATTTCTTGGAATAGAATCATTTCTGGCTTTATCAAAGCAAAGTAATATTAATCAATAAGTACATCTAATTGATGCATTTTTCTGATTTTAGTCTTTCAGACAACTAGTAATTATCAAGACATTCTGCATTTTTAAAACATAATTTTATAAAAAATTCTTTTATTTTGACTGTGTAGAATTTTGCCTACTAGATATAACAGTTTTTGTACCTAAAAGCACTGCCATTTTTTTAGAGATAACTTGTTGAGAAAAGTGACATTATTATTTAAAGCTTGCAATAAATATGCCAAACGCTGTAGTAACTTGGAACCAGTTTATTCTTTTTTTTTTTTTTTTCTTTTTTGAGACAAGAGTCTCACTCTGTCACCCAGGCTGGAGTGCAGTGGCGTGATCTCGGCTTACTGCAAGCTCCATGTCCCAGGGTCACGCCATTTTCCTGCCTCAGCCTCCCGAGTAGCTGGGACCACAGGTGCCTGCCACCACGCCCGGCTATTTTTTTTTTTTTGTATTTTTAGTAGAGACGGGGTTTCACCGTGTTAGCCAGGATGGTCTCGATCTCCTGAACTCGTGATCCACCCACCTTGGCCTCCCAAAGTGCTGGGATTACAGGCGTGAGCCACCGCATTCAGCCAAGAACCAGTTTATTCGTATGCTAAGTACCACTGTGAAATAGAATGTACTATCCCATAATTTGCTGTTTATATAGATTCCACTTTCGGTTTTTTATCCCATTCTCTGTTTTAATTTATGTGGTAGTAATGTTCAATATTTTTTGATCGAATAGGTTCAAGGTGAGACTTAAGACTTCAAATGATGTTTCAAGAACTCTCAAAGAACTCTCAAAGAGTTAACAGTTAAGTCATACTTCATAAGTAGTAAAGAACGTCTTAAAATTTGGAAAATTTCATTGGGCATGGTAGTAATTGGGTAAGAATAAATTATTTAAAAATAAAAATGTGCAATTACTAGAAGAGCTAAAGCATGCTTTCTTTTTTTTTTTTTTTTTGAGACAGAATATCGATCTGTCACCAGGCTGGAGTGCAGTGGCACAATCTCAGCTCACTGCAACCTCCGCCTCCCAGGTTCAAGTGATTCCCCTGTCTAAGCCTCCCGAGTAGCTGGGACTACAGGCATGCGCCAACATGCCCAGCTAATTTTTGTATTTTTTGTAGAGGCGGGGTTTCACCATGTTGGCCAGGATGGTCTCGATCTCTTGACCTCGTGATCCACCTGCCTCAGCCTCCCAAAGTGCTGGGATTATAGGTGTGAGCCACCGCGCCTGGCCTAAAGCATGTTTCTTTTAGCTAAGTAGTGTAACTGGAGCTTCTTACTATTAAACCTGGCATTTATAAATACTTGGTCCAGTAATTTTATCCACTGTCAGTATTTAATAACTGGTTAATGTTTTATGCACCTCTGATAATTAATTTTAAGTTACAAACAATTGTCCAACAGCTCTAATTTTAAAATGAAACTACATATTAAAATAAATTTGATACTTTTTTATGAAGAGAAAAAAATTAGAAGAGAAACCTCTTAAAATGCCATAAATGTACATCTAGTAGTGAACAAGAAGTCATATTTAGACTTCAGGAGGATTTTTTATTAGCACACAAATATTATTTTTTAGAAAGACAATGTAACACTCTGAGCATTTTTCTCAGGGAATGCAGAAACAACCCCTGAATCCCAGAACACCCAAAATAAGTTGGCATTTCAGATTCCAGTGGCATGTGATGTTTACTAGTTGTGCCTGCTTCTAAACTTACAGGGGCTCAGAACAAGAAACTTGGACTAGACTCCCAGACACCTGGGTTGGTCATAAGGGTGGAGATTAGAGCCAGGCAATGATGTAGAGACATAGATTACAACCAGATTTTGAGCTAGCAAATACTTAAAGCCAATGTCCTTTAGTTTTTTTTTATTGAAAGTGAGACAGAAGTTGCTTTTCTATTAGTCAACTTTGTATCCCGCTTTATGTTGAAAATAAAGAATTTCATAAAGTTTAGCTTATTTTCAATTGTGTTATTCTACACTGTTCTCACTATAAATAGTTATCAAAAGTTAATCATACTAAGAACGTGACAACTGCATTCCTGAACTGGGGCCTTTGCACGAGCTTCCTATTCCCTCTGCCTGGTCCACTTCTTCCAGATGACTGCACAGCAAACTCCCTCACTGCTTTCAGTTCTATGCTGAAATGTCACTTCCTCAAAGTTTGAACTAAAATGTCTCATTCAATACTTGAATGTTCTATTTTTCTGGTTTCAGGTTGAGAAAATCATTGCATTTTTTAGGTCATGCTTTCCACTAGTTTTCTTTCGTGATTTTTAAAAAAATTTTCAGACAACTTTTGGGAAAGCATATTAAAGGGTTTAAAATTTAGATAATAAAATAGGTAATTTGTCTTCACTGAACAAAAACTATACCACAGTTACTATGTTTGCAGAATTGCAGCTGATTTTGCCTACCAAGCCATGTGACTTAGCTGAACAGGGACAACTTGTACCTGCTTGTCACGAAAATGCTGAAAATAATAATACTCTGACTTGGGCAAATAGTATTTCTTTCTTTCTTTTTTCTTTCTTTTTTTTTTTTTTTTTTTTTAGAGACAAGATCTCTCTCTGTTGCCCCGGCTGGAGTACAGTGGCATGATCATGGCTCACTACAGCCTCCGCCTCCTGGGCTCAAGCAATCTTCCTGCCTCTGCCTCCCAAGTAGCTGGGACCACAGGTGCACACCATCAGTCCCAGCTACTTTTTGTATTATTTGTAGAGACTGCGTCTCACTATGTTGCCCAAGCTGGTCTTGAATTCCTGGGCTCAAGCAATCCTCCTGCCTCAGCCTCCAAAAGTGCTGGGATTACAGGCATAAACCACCATGCTCGGCCTCAAGTAATATTTCTGCTTCTATCACTTATCTATTGCTGCATAATGAGACACCTGAAAAATTATTTAAAATTAGTAATTTTAAATAACAACAAAATATTATGTCTCACCGTTGTGTGTAAGTTTACAGGGAAATCCCTTTGTTAGTTTCACCTGAGCTCACTCATACAACCGTTGTCAGCTGGAGCATCAGTTGGGCTGCAAGGCCCAAGATCCCCACTCACATGTCTGGCAGTTGATTCTAATCATCAGCTGGGGCTCTGTGGTTCTCATCCTTAAATAGGATAGATAAACTTCCTTATGTGACAGTCTCATTGCAGCATTCAGGGAGAGCAATCATAGAAGTTGCAATGTCTCCTAAGGTCTAAGGCCTACAGTTATCACAGTGTCACTTTCATTTTTAGAAGAGAAACCTCTTAAAATGCTCTAAATATATATATCTAGTAGTGAACAGAAAGTCATATTTGGAGTTTTACTGGATTTTTTATTACAGCATATAAATATTATTGCTCAGAAAGACAATATAACACTGAAAATTTTTTCAAGATATGCAGAAACAACACCTGAATCGCAGATATCCCAGAGTAAGTTGGTATTTGAGATTCTAGTTGCACGTGATGCTGACTAGTTGTACCTGCTCCCAAACGTACAGGAGCTCAGAACAAGAGACTTGGAGTATCTGAGGAGTGGTGGGGGCAGATTATGAGAAGGTGAAGGGAGGAAATACATAATGAATAAAAGTTGCCTTGGTATGCAGATATGTCTTCAGGTGATTAAAAAAAGTTCTTTCAGAGTAGTTCTCCTCTTGGTACAGATGCGTTTATTAACGAAAATTTCCTTTACAAACAGGGAGTTTTACAGTTTGCAATTGAGGGGGACGTGGGAAGCTTTTCCCTCTTTGGCCGGTTCTCAACTTCTTTTAGCTCAAAGTAATCAATATGCCAAAGTGGTATAATTCGGAGTAGCATATCCTGATCTTCCTCAGTCATATTTTGGGACGGCATATCCTGAACCCCATCAATACTTTCTCTATAGTCCAGAAATTTTTCTCCAAGATATATATTTTAAATTCTCACTTGGTAGATAAGGGAGCATAGGGGAGAGTGGGATTGTTTTTTTCAGGGGAAAGTTAGCCCAAAATCCAAAATGTACAACCGATAAATCCACAGAACTCTTGTTGAAGGGCCCTGCCTGGGTGTCCTCTTGCCTCTCATTTAGTCCATGATGCAGAATTAGAAATGGGCTCCTTAGAAGCAGATTCAGAAAACTGCTAGTTAACACCAGCACATGGGCTTTAGGAATCCTAAAGAAGGCACCAAAGCATGAATAAGTAGACATGAGGAATTACACATTATAGGATTGGCATGTGTACAAAGGAGGGGGTAGGTGAAGGATGAGATAGTGAGTGAGTCCTGGGAGTTGCATGTTCAAGTAGCTGGAAGATGTTGGGCGATGCATCTAAGCTCTTACTGAGAGACAAATGCTCAGGATTTATCTTGCACAGTGATGAGCTCATTCCCATTTTTACCTCCTTCACTCCATAACCTGGCTTGTGCTTGTAAAACAATGTACTTTTCTCTTCCATGATAGAATATTGGGATGCATAATTTAATTATTTTACTCCTTCAAATGCTCCAATTTCACCCTTGGGGTAGAAGGAGGTAGACAAGGAGGGTAAGTTGTAGAAACCCCAGCAACTTTTTAATTTCACAGAAATTAGTTTTAGACAACGTTGTGTGGCCGAGGGATCAGAACAGCTCATTCTTGCAGATGGCTTGTTTACTGCTAGAAGAGACTTTCAAAAGGAGAGTGGACCTTGTGTGAAATCCAAGTTAGCTGAACCTACAGTAGGTTCCTTCACTCGAATAAAGTGACCTGATGCCATTGCTTATCACTGTCTCATATCTTGGTCAGATTGTTCTGCCCCTGATAGCCAGATGTTCTCGCCATGAGTTCCCTTTCACCCTTTCTCACCTTCCTTCTTTTTTCTTCATCTCACAATGACTTAAAATGGCTCCTCTCCCACTGAAACAAGCAATGACATTAAGAGCCACACTGTTGGCATCCACCACAGAACGTCCTGTGGAATTTGTCTAAACTGCTATTTACCTGGGCCCCAAGTAGGAGGGGTGCTGGTGAGATAACTTTCACTCCAATTTGCAATTTTGAATGACAAAAGTGGTCAAAGTACAGTGGGAGATTGTTCTGTCTCTCAGGATCTCTATTTTTTTGTGTGTTTGTTTGCTTTGTTCTGATATGAGTGGAAATGCCTCTAGTGTTTTCTTTTTACATAAAATATTGGTTTTAGAACTAAGGAGTGTGTGTGTGTATTTAATTTATATATGTAATTTAGTAATTTATTTATATGTTTACAGTGTATATGTAAATTAGTGCATAAATATTTACACATATTATAGCCTCATTTTGTATTATAGCTTTAAAATTTTGTCAATGGCTTTTCCAGCATCTGTAGAAATAACCAGATGTACAGTTATTTTTTGGCAATATATCAATCTGGTGTATGTTACTAATGAATTCCTTAATATTGACCCATATTCTTGGAATATGGTATATTATTTTCTTACTGTAATGTTGAATTTTGTTTGCTAATATTTTGTTATTTCTTAAAATTTACACTCAAGTGATATTGGTCTGTAGTTTGCATTCATGTACTGTCTTTATCAGGTTTTGCATCACAAAATTAATAAGGAAGTTTTTCCTTTACTCTCAATGCTCTGAAACAATATGTAGAACATTAGAACTATCTTATCTTTAAGTGTTTGTTAGAGTCTTCTTGGGAAAACATCTGGACACTGTTTTTCTGTAGGGCTATTTCTTAATGATATTCTCAATATTTTTATATGAAAATCGATCTGTTTAAGCTTTATAATTCTAGTAGGGTAAATTTGGTAATATGTATTTCCATACGACATTACCCATTTTATCTTAATTTTCAAATTCATTTCTATAGAGAAAAATCTCTTCTGCTTCAACAGTTCTTGTCATTTCTTAATTGGTATACTTGTACTTTATCCCTTCATTTCTTGGACAAGTTAGCTAGTGGTGTTTCTGCTTTTTTTTTTTAATAAAGTGATTTTGATTTATTAATGAGGTCTATTTTATTCTATTCTCAATCTCTGCTTTAACCTTTATAGTTTCCTTTCTCGTGCTCTCTTTTGGTTTACTTTGTTCTTTCCTAGCTCTTTTTTAAAAACTTATGAGTTTTCCTGCAATCACTGCTTTACATATATCTCTTAGATTCTGATACATACTGTTTTCATTGTCTTTATTCATATAAATTCTGTAATTTTTTTCACTCGCGTCCGTGTGAAAAGACCACCAAACAGGCTTTGTGTGAGCAACAAGGCTGTTTATTTCACCTGGGTGCAGGCGGGCTGAGTCCGAAAAGAGAGTCAGCGAAGGGAGATAGGGGTGGGGCCGTTTTATAAGATTTGGGTAGGTAAAGGAAAATTACAGTCAAAGGGGGGTTGTTCTCTGGCAGGCAGGAGTGGGGGTCACAAGGTGCTCAGTAGGGGAGCTTTTGAGCCAGGATGAGCCAGGAGAAGGAATTTCACAAGACAATGTCATCAATTAAGGCAGGAACAGGCCATTTTCACTTCTTTTGTTGTGGAATATCATCAGTTAAGGCAGGAACCGGCCATCTGGATGTGTACGTGCAGGTCACAGGGGATATGATGGCTTAGCTTGGGCTCAGAGGCCTGACAATTTTACTCTATGTTTCCCCTTCACCCAGGAGTTGTTTCATAGAAGGATTTTTCATTTCCAGGTGAAAGAGCTAATTTGTTTTATATGTTTGCTCGTTTGTTTTTGTCAATAATTTCCAGTTTTATTATATTGTGATCAGATATGTTATTTGAACTATTTCAACATAATGTACATTACTGATGTTTTCTTTGTGATCTAATGTAGGATTGGATTTTGAGAATGGATTAATAGGTGCTTGAGCAGAAGGCATGTGAGGATGTACAGCTCATATATGTTCATAAAATCTACTTTATTAATCAAGTTGTTTAGGTATTTTTTCTCCTTATTTTCTTTTTGTCCTTTTGATCTGTCTTGCACTGACAGTGTTATAGTAACATCTGTTATGATTACTGTGTTTTTATGTTTCCTTGAATATTCTGTAGTTTTTTTTCAAAAATATGGATACTGTCTACATTTAGTGCATAAATATTCACACACATTATGGCTCGCTCCACTTTGCAGTACAATGTTTAGCCACACACACAAAAATGTCCTTTTTGTCGTATTTAATGCTTTGGGGCTTAAATTAAACTTTGATGATATCCGTATCTCTATGCCTATGCTTCCTTTGTTTCCGTTTAGTATACCTTTCTCATTTGTTTATTTTGGCCCTTCTAAATTTCTTAATTATAGGTATGTATTGTGTCCATGGCATATTGTTGTGGTGTGTTTTGTGAGAAAATTAAAAATATTTTAAAAAATACATGAATGTATTAGTTATTAGGGAGAAAAGTAATATATTTTTCTTACACATCACTAGGTTTATGGCTGAGACTCCTGTAACAAAATATAGATTAAAAAGAGAGAAGCGTAACAAATTCACTTAGTGTAAGTTGCACATGACACAGGAGCCTTCAGAAATGAAGACCCAAAAATTCAGCAAAAACTGTATTTTTGTGGACAGTCATGCAGAGGTACAATTAGAAGACAAAAGGGTAAATGGTAAGAAGCTGCAGGAAACTTAGCAAGGCCTGTTTTTTTCAGATTCTTCTTGGCCTCTCTGTGTGACATTCCTTCCCTCTCGGTATGGGGTAGTCTACTTGTCACATGAGGGTCTTCAAGGTAGGAGGGAGGGAGAAGATCAGAGAGTAGTAACCTTCCTAGGTTTTCTGGCCTGCTTCAGGGAAGAAGGAACAAGGGAAATTTCAGTTTCTATGGCCCACTTTATGAGAGAAGAGATAGGAGAAGGTCAGAGAGAACTTCCTGCTTTTTTGTTTGTTTGTTTCTTTGTTTTTCAGTTTACTTCAGCTTAAAATATTCAGTATGTCAAGATGCTATATTTTGGGATAGTGTTTCCTACCACATCATTATCTACTGCCAGACAAACAAACAACTCCACAACTTAGCAGCTTGAAACAACAAACATTTATTATGGTATGGTTTCTCTGGGTCAAGAATCAGGGAGCCTCTTAACTGGGATCTCTGGCTCACGATCTTCCATAAAGCTCCAATCAAGTTGTTGGCCAGGCTACAGTTATCTCAAGGTTCAGCACTTTAAAGATTCACCTCCAAGCTCTTCTAGTCGTTGTCAAGCCTCATATTCTTGTTAGTTGTTGGCTGGAGATGTCAGTTTCTTACCATGTGATCCTCTGTACAGGACAGCTCACAATATGGCATCTGGCTTCTCTCAGAACAAGTGAGCAAGGCAGTGAGAGAGAGTAAGACAAAAGCCACAATCTTTTTGTAACCTAATCTTTGAAGTGACATCTCATCACTTTTGCAATATACTATTCATTAGAAGGTAGTGGGTAATTTCAGTCTGCACTCAAGGGAAGGGAATTACACAAAGGCTTGAATACTAGGAGGTAGCACTCTTTGGGGATTAAAAGCTACCTACCACAGTTTTCCTTCTGGCTCTCAATGATTCACTTCCTTTCCACATGCAAAATACACTCACCCCCTCTGAAGGTCCTCAAAATTCATAAATCATTAAAGTACCAGCTCAAGGTTTAGAATCTCATTATCTAAATCAGGTCCGGGTGCTGCTACCTGGGTGAAGTTCCTCTTGTCTTGTGGACCTGTAAAACTAAATAGCCAAGTTATCTTCCTCCCAACACACCCAACATATAATTGTGGGACAGACATGCGATTAACACTGTAGATGTTCCTATTTAAAAAGGGAGAAAATGGGAAGCAAAAAGGAATCACCAGTCTGCAGAAATCTTCAATCCAGCCAGGCAAATGTTAGATATTCCTTGACTGGGTCTGGGTACTTGGCTTTACATGCCTAGCTTTTTGGTTTAGCCTTCTGAATCAGAATTTGCAGCTGAGTGGTTTCCTCAGTTTGCTACCTACTAGTAGAATTTTGGGGGATCCAAGAACCTCTTTTCATTTTGCTTTCTCTTTGTCCCTTTCAGTCCCAGCTGGCAATATTTTTGCTGATACGGTTTTATCAATAACTGTTTGGGTCTCCTGTAAATTTCATTGAGGTTTACTTCATTAGAGAAAAACTACACCTACAAATCCCCTTGAGATAAGTTCTTCTCTACCTTGTGTTCCTGCCCATAGGGCTATGAAACAGCACCTTTAAGCTTTTGATTTAAAGGATCTGTAAGGCATACTCTTAATCTCTTTAAAGTGCCTTTTGTGTGACTGAATATAACTTTGAAGATCTAAATAGAATCTTTGATATTTCTTAAATTTTAACAAGAGATTTTACAGTCACACTTTTCATTTTTGGACAACGATTCCTGGAAGTGCCATAGATTTGATCTTTACCCAGAAGTCATTTCTTAATTTTAGCATTATTTGCCATTTGGAGAGGCTAAGATTTTCAAAGCCGTAAGTCCTGGCTCTTTTTAAAAGAACACCACACCCTTCCCTCAATTTGTCTCTCCCCTGTCACATTTTACTATAAGTATCAAGAAGCAACTAGGTGGTACATTCAACACTTTACTTAGAAATAACCACAGTTAGACTACCCAGTTCATTAAGCACATTTTCTACTTCTCACATAACCACAGACAACAGTTACATTCTGCCACTACATTATAAGAATCCCAGCTTGGGCAACATAGTTAGACCCCAGCTCTACAAAAAAAAAAAATAATAATAATTAAGTAGAAAATAAAAATAAAATAAAATAAAATAAAAAGCCAGGTGTGGTGGCATGTGCCTATAGTCCTAGCTACTTAGGAGGCTGAAGTGAGAGGCTTGAGCCCAAGAGTTTGAGGTTACAGTAAACTATAGTCATATAATCATGCCACTGCATTCTGACCTAGATGACAGAGTGAGACCGTGTCTCTTAAAAAAAAAAAAGAATTTTTTTAAGAATTTCCTTCCTCTGAGATTCCAATAACATTTTCCTCACTTTCCCTTAAGCGCTTGCTAGTATCTTCCTGAAAGTCCCAAATTTTACAGCGTGTTCAAGGCACTTTAAACATTTACTGACACTTTCCTCAAAATTCACTGCCCAGTTCCAGTGTAATGCCCACAGTTTTAGTTATTTGTATGGCAGTACAAGACTTCCAGGTAACAAAATCTGTACTCATTATCTAGTGCTATGTAGCAAATTACCCTGAAATGTGGGGGCTTAAAACTGTAGACTTTTATCCCATAGTTTCTTAGGGACAGGAATCCAAGGATGAACTAGTAGGGTTCCTCTAGTTCAGATTATTCCATAGGGCTATAATCATTTTGTAGATGGGTTTAACTGACTGTGGTAGGTGCCTCTAATGATATGAGTATTATTCTTTTACTGTCATTCATTTTTACTAGTTTGTCTCTCATCCATTTTGCTTCTTTCTTTGTCTTCATTATCTTACTTGTTTTCTTGACTTTTTTCTATGCTCCTTATTAAGTTTCACTTGAGTCTATTCTACCTTGGGTACCTTATTACTAATTCTTTATTTCTAAGGTATTTTGTCTTCACTTTAGTTCTTTCTTAAGACAATTCTCTTTTCATATATCCTTGGTTTGTTGTTGTTGTTGTTGTTTTCCATTTTCTTTCTTAGTGTTTGAATTTCTTACAAGGAGGTTTTTCATATCCTCAAACACATATTTGATTATATATTTAATTCTTACAGTTTTCTTCTGCTTTTTTTTCAGAGAGTTCTCTTTGTATGTGTGAAATTTTCTCATTTGTGTGAAAGTTTGTCTTCTGATTCTTAAGAATAGTTCTATATGAATTTGCTGATTTTCATTTTGTTCATTTTTACTGCATTGGGATGTTTCACAAGATTCCTAGTTTAGTGATGCCCTTTCTCTTTACATAACAATTTCATACATTGTAAACAGATTTGTTTGTTTGTTTAGGTGGGGTGGCAGGGCTGTGTGTCCTCTGGTTTTATGATTCTCTTTTGTTCTGTAGGATCCTACATTTTTCCCTTTAGTTTCTTTTTCCTTTCACCACCTAATTACCAAGTGGAGTTTCTTACCTTCTTTATTGACTTTTTTTCTCTTTCAGAAGCTATGTGTTTCAAAGGTTGCCCCTTTAAACCATAGGTACTTTGAAATCCCTTCCCTGTGATCCATGTTCTGATCTAGTCAGATGCTTTTTTAGAATATTCAGATTTAAGGTAGAATTAATCTTTCTGAGGATAATTTTGGATCAGTTGGCTCCTTCCTTAACTTCCTTTTCTGTCTTCCCTACAGTTTTTCTCTTTGCCTCGTGGCTGGAGAGTGGGGATTAAGGTGGTAGCATGGAAGATTGTACTGGAATTTGGTAATTTTTATTTTTTTAACCTATTGTAACTTGGAAGTCTTCGCATTCAATGTCTTCAAGTTATGCAGAGGGCTTCTTTTGTGTAAATTTACATTTGCCATCTTGTTATTTGATATTGTTTTAGGAAGATACGGTGGGAGAGTGGTAGCTTGGTGACCACCATTGTCTTCAGCTACCTAGAAGTTCTCCTTTTAATTTTTTTAAACATTTCTAATTACTGTTTCAAATTTTGTGTTGGTTAAACTAGAAGTATTGAGAAGCCAGGGACTATGTACATCTTGTTCTGGTTTATTCCATTTGTCTAATACAGGTACAATTATTGTAGAGTCAAAAGAGCACTACACTTCAGTCTGACATAAGGAATACTCCATTCTGAAGACATGTGTTTACATACTTAGCCTATTTAGTCCTTAGATTCTTTATCAATAACCAAAGATCTCACACTATTGTTGTGGAAAAAGTTCAAGTATAAAAATATTTGACAATAGTTATTGTCCTATCTATGCTTAACCAACACTTATCCAACACACACACACACACACACTCTAACTCTACATTAATAACCTGTACAGTTTTCTGTTTTATCTTATGCAATCCTTAGTGTTTGATAATTACACTAAACCTTTTTATATGTAATTTTTCTGACTAATCTGTCATCATGCTTTTCTTGTAAATACCAGTGTCTCAAGCCCCATTTCTTAAGATCTGGCTTTGGAAAATTGCTCTTGCATTTTCTTAATTTTATAAAAATGTGAAATACAAATTAAAATGTTAGCGCATATTTTATTTTTCGTGAGTAGGTAGCCTATATTCATAGTTTATGTTAATGCAAAAAAGCTAGTACACTGAAAGCCTATTTTTAACTTGAAAATTTACGAAGTATAATAATCCTATTAGTAATAGTAATAACAGTTACACATATTGAAATTTTTACTATATGCCAGTCACCATTTTAAGTACTTTTAAGTTAAGCTAATTTTAATCCTTACAACAATACTATGAGGTAGGTATTATTGTTTTTATCCTTATTATACAACTAAGCAAACTAAGTTAAGTAACTTGCTGGAGGTCACACAGCTAGTAAATGGTGTAGCCTGTGTTTGAACCCAATGAAAAAGATGTTGTGAGTCAATTAGGCAAATGGTAAAATACTACTTATTCAGGTGGACGCCTCTTGAATCACTATTTAGTAAGCTAAAAATTTCTAAGAAATAGTAAATCACAAGCAGATAATATTACTTTAAAATACTCACCAAAAAAAGGTTTGAAGTCTTCCCTTTCCTGGACAGAGTAGGATACTAAGAAGCAAAGGGAAGAACAATACTCAAAGGGAGGGAATTGGAGGACATAAAAGGGTAAACCTTCACATAAAGTGGAAGAACTCCAACTTCAGATAATAGTTAAATTTTTGAATCAGTCCGTCCTCAAGAAATAGCCCAGCCTTTTTGACTGTGATGTCTGAAATGCATAGCTTCAAGGCAGCCAATTAAGATACTCTTATTTTTCACAGCAGTTCGTTTTGGGATTCTTTGACTTGGAAAACAAATGAAGCAAATGAACTTAATGACTCTTTCGTCAAAGTCTCCCAAATTATATCCATTGTATCAGTGAAAAATGCTCCAGGAGGAAAATAAGTTGCTCTGAGACACAGTGACAGAGGAAAGGAGGGAAAAGAAGCCCAGGTAATATGGTTTGGCTGTGTCCCCACCCAAATCTCATCTTGAATTGTAGCTTCCATAATTATCATGTGTTGTAGGAGGGACCTGGTGGGAGATAATTGAATCATGGGGGCGGTTCCCCCATACAGTTCTCGTGGTAGTGAGTAAGTCTCACGAGATCTGATGTTTATAAGAGGAAATCCCTTTCGCTTGGTTCGCATTCTCTCTGCCTGCTGCCATTTAAGAGATGCCTTTCACCTTCTGCCATGATTCTGAGGCCTCCCCAGCCACGTGGAACTGCGAGTCCATTAAACCTCTTTGTCTTTATAAATTACCCAGTCTCAGGTATGTCTTTATTAGCAGCGTGAAAACGGACTAATACACTAGGCTAAGTGAGATTCTAATGATGGCACAAAGTTAGTGGCTCCAGTCACAGAAAATGAAGGGTCTGACATTTAGTTTCCAACCCCCTGTCCCACACTTTCTTCCTCAGAGTCCAGTTGCAATCAGAGCATGCACAGCAACAACCATACCACCCATATTAGGAAATCAGTGCTCTAGCCATATTATTAGATTTGGGGAAAAAAATGAGAACGTGTCTGGACATTCATTAGATCTCTGGGCATATCTGACCTTTGTGTTATTGGTACAATTAGTAATCAAATCCTTGGCATTTTTCTGTCTTTACCCAGGAGGTTCACCTTATAATTTTCTCAAAGATCATTATTTAGGTCCCAAATCCCAGACTGAGCTGGCAACATGATTATAAAGAAAAAATAAACCTCAAGCAGATTACATTACTTAAAAATTCACAGAAGAGGCTTGAAATTTTCTATTCACTAGAAAGAGCAGGGTCTGTACTACCTCTGTCAGCTTAACATTAACCAAGATGTGTAAAATTTAGCCTTTGACTTTAGCTAAAGTTGCAGCTCTTACCCAGAAATTTATTGGCTATACTAGTATTCATCTCAGTCACTGGAAATCATAAAGACATGTTAGGAAGTTAGTCTGAATATCATCAAAATCTTATAAAAATGAACAGAATATGAAACAAATATGTTTATACAATGGAATATAAAATTGGAAAATAGATATCTTTTTCCAGATGTGCTGAACACCACATTTCAGAAGTGGTCAAGAAAAACAGTGAGGAAAAGAGTTTGTAGAAATTATTTAAGATGAGGCAAACAGAGAAGCAGACATGTTCATATTTTGCTATGTCTTAGAATGATGAAATAGGAGAGAGTGGTATTTTTCCTTTTCTCACCTTACCCCACAACATTAACTGAATTATGTGATTTTGAAACAAAACCTTTGATTAACTACAGACCAGTTATGTCTCCTCACTTTCTAAGCATGCTTAGAACTGCTTGTAAATGACAGATCTTTGTGATGGCAATGGGAAGCCAGTTAAAGCCCTTCCCCCCGACCCTACCCGCCCCCCACACTGATGGTCATCAAAGCATGATTATTTGTTAAAACTCCAGTGGCCATCAGATTAATGAAGGTCCTGCCAGCCCAGTTTACCCTTTAAGTTTCCCAAATTTGGAGAGAAGAAAAAAGAAAAAGTTTGAACAGCTCATAAGATAAATTTTTAATCTAGTAAGCAAGGTTAATTGGATAGGGGTATTGAAAATAGCCAGAATATGAACAAGAATTAGATTGGAAAACAGTAGTCATTTCACAGGTTCTATATGGTGAACATATTTGAGATGATTCTTTTTCAGTAGTCCTGGGACAACTAGATCTTTGACTTATTACTTCCGTCTTTTTGTCCTGATTTTTAGGGAATATTTGTTTATAGCCAAACTAAAAGATCAGGCTGCAGTACAGCCACAAGACCCATTTCTGTGTAATATTGCTGAGTGGAAAACTTAAATCCCCCAGTCAGAAAATAAGCATCCACTGAGAGATGAATCTTGTAGAAAAGTAGTGTTGAAAAACTCAATCCACACCCAGAGTTTGGTGAAGGTCACTTCTGGATGATGATGGGGTGAAATGAAGCTGTGTATTTGTGAACCAAATTAATACACGAATCTGTAAAGCATTCAGGCTGACCTTGAGACAAATGCATCTCCTTCTTCCAACCAAATTATAGTTTTTAACTCCTCAGAAGGATTGCCTTTCTGAGTGCTGACTCCAAGAAAGTCTGCTCCCTGTTGGGTTGTTCCTGACATGTATGAATGTTACCTTTTATCATCTCTTGTCCACTGATGACAAAAGGAAACTAATTAAAAGTAATTTCCAGGCTCTCAGAGTTAAGGTCCCCTCAGTGGCCTGAGAATTGTTTGCAGGTTTGGAAAGATGCCAACTGTGTGTTGGTTCTGGGCAATGATCCTGCACTCATATACATTCTGGAGTTAATGGTGAAATAATACAGTCACAACTGATGGGAAGCATATTTTTCTGTCTTGAAGAATGAAGTCCCTGCAGATGTGTAGTGAATGCATCAGTGTTCACTGCCATTGTGAATTCTCCTAAAGCCTCTTTCTGAATTCAGTGTCTCCCAAAGCATTTCACATTTGTGGCATTTTCTATTATTCTTAAATGTGGTGTATTCATGGCTTATTTACTTAAAGCCTCATTGTACATTTTGAAGAAATTTCTTGGCATAGTGTTTCAGTAATATCATTAGTTTCTCTGTATGAATAAATGCTCCCAGATGGCTTCATGTCAACCACATACAAAATATCCCACTGTCCCTTTCTCTGAATGGCAAAATTAATTTTGTTTATTTTTATAGCATTTCTATTCTAATTGTTCCAGAGAAGTCTTCCAACTAAATAATTAACTGGTGTTGAGCAATAACTCATTTACTCTCATTTGCTTACTTTATAAGGCACACATTATTGTATTGTGGCCAGTACTGGTCGTGTCATTAGTCTTTTTTTTTTTTTTCTTTATTTCTTCTTAAAAAAAACCAGGATGCACGTGCAGAACGTGCAGGTTTGTTACATAGGTATACATGTGCCATGGTGGTTTGCTGCACCTATTGACCCATCCTCTAAGTTCCCTCCCCTCACCCCCCACCTCCCAACAGGCCCTGGTGTGTGTAGTTCCCCTCTCTGTGTCCATGTGTTCTCAATGTTCAATTCCCACTTATGAGTGAGAACACGCTGTGTTTGGTTTTCTGTTCCTGTGTTAGTTTGCTAAGGATGATGGCTTCCAGCTTCATCCATGTCCCTGCAAAGGACATGAACTCATCATTTTTTATGGCTGCATAGTATTCCATGGTGTATATGTACCACATTTTCTTTATCCAGTCTATCATTGATGGGCATTTGGGTTGGTTCCATGTCTTTGCTATTGTAAATAGAGCTGCAATAAACATACATGTGCATGTGTCTTTATAGTAAATGATTTATATTCCTTTGGGTATATACCCAGTAATGGGATTGCTGGGTCAAATGGTATTTCTGGTTCTAGATCCTTGAGGAATCGCCATACTGTCTTCCACAATGGTTGAACTAATTTGCATTCCCACCAACAGTGTAAAAGCATTCCTATTTCTCCACAGCATCGGCAGCATCTATGGTTTCCTGACTTTTTAATAATTACCATTCTGACTGGCGTGAGATGGTATCTCATTGTGGTTTCGATTTGCATTTCTCTGATGATCAGTGATGTTGAGGTTTTTTTTTCCTTATCTTTGTTGGCTGCATAAATGTCTTCTGGGCCATTAGTCTTGAGTCCAGCATGTGTCCATAAATAATACCTGGTACTTAGTGTATGTCCAGTTAAAATTTACTACATGAATTAATGAATGGATTAATATGTATACACAGTTTAACTTATTATTTTGGATGTTAGCCTTGTGTTGATATGCATCGTGGAAGGATGTTTAAGGAAATAAAAACTATTTGTTTTTTCCTATCGTATATTCTCACAATACTTCTCAGATACCAATTGCAAGTAGTAGGTTCCCAGGTTACCCAAAATTTCTGTCTGACTTGACTGCAAATGAGAGCTTCCCATGACCCTCTTCTTAGGCTTGATAATTTACTAGAGTGACTCACAAAACTCAAGGAAACACTTTACTTACATTTACCCATTTGTTATAAATGGTATTACAAAGACTATAAATGAACAGCTAGATAAAGAGGTAATAGGGTGAGGCTCAGAAGGGCCCCAAGCACAGGAGCTTCTTTCCCCACGGAATTGGGGTACGTCACCTTCCTGGCACACGGATGTGTTCTCCAACCCACAAGTTCTCCGAAAGTCATAGATCAGAGATTTTGATGGAGGCTTCATCATGTAGGCATGATCGACTATTAACTCAACTTCCAGCCCTTCACTTCTTTCCAGAGGATAAGGGATGGGCCTGAAAGTTCCAAGTTTCTAATCAAGGCTTGGTATTTCTGGGGCCCAGGAACCATGCATGAACTCAACAAGAGTCACCTCATTACGGCAAAAGATATTGTTATCACTCAGGAAATTCCAAGGGATTAGGAGCTCTGTGTCAGCAACTGGGGTAAAATAGCAAATATTAGAAAAAAAAGATAAACCCGGCACCCCTAGTTTTTTAGAAGTTTACTGTTGATTGTTTAGGAGCTCTGTACCAGGGACCAAAAATAAAATCTATTTCTTATTATAAATCACAATATCAAAAAGGATAGTTTCAACACTTCTTCCAATGGATACCTTTGGGAAATTTGTCAGCGTGGAAGACCTAGAAATAGATCTTCTTCTAACTTTATTAGAGCATAGATGACCCTAGCTGACTTAATTGCTTGTCATGTAAATGAAGCCTTAGAAGCGAAATCTCGTCTTTTAAGTATGAGTTTAGAGCTGGAGTGTAACTTCTAAAATTGTGTACTGTACTGATGGGCATGGGCAAGAATTCTTATCACCACTTCCCCCAAGGGCAGTGATGCTTGCATTATTCCTGTAGGTAAGTAGACTATTAAAAAGTGCATATTTGTAGAACATTTTGTTATAACTGTAGGTAGTTTCTTTATAGACAGGTAGTTTCTCTGGAAGTGTTGCCTGTGAATAATCCTTTTTATGAATTACAAACAATTACTGGTTCCCATGCTTGAACAGTTTTATCTGCTTCAGTTCAATTAAATTTGGTAAGATAAATACTTGGGAGGGTGAAGTGTGTGGTTTCACAGGTAAATCTATGAATGTTGTTTCTTACTAAGGTTCATTGTGTACAAACTGCTTTTTCACTTCAACAGCATTCAACGTGCTTCCCTGAGCCTTCATCAAATAGGTTAAACATTGCTCCTTGTATTAAGCCTTCTAACCTATTTTTAGAATTTTGCTGCCTGATTGTATCTAAATAATGCATTTGACAGAAGGAAACAACCACATTGACTTCCTTAAAATCTATCACATATTTAGATACAGTCAACCAAAAAGCTCCATATTCAGGAGGCTATACTTAGATACCAGCTGTTTGTTTAGATTTCTAATTCATAGTTACTCATTGAGTGGATTTTTGCAACAGGAGATGGAAGAGGATTTCGTTTGCTTATATATTATCTGTATATTAGGGTTTCCTTTACTCTGCAATGAGGAAGTTAAATGCTTTCAAAGATCGTGAGTTTTTTTCTTTAAACTAAATTCAGCCAATTTTGCCCTTTTTTCTGCACATAAAATGAGCATTATTTCTCAGGTATTACCAAAGTCTAATGTTATATTTTAATATCATTGTAAAATGGGATTATATTTTTGAAATATTTCTATGTATTTGCAGATTCTACAACTAGGCTCTAGGGATTTCCTGCCTATTGGAGCACTGGGTTTCAGTGTTTCAGAGGAAGGGGAGGTACATCCACTAGGCGAATTCTGCCGTTTCTCAGCATCAAGGGTCAAATTTTTATTTGCATCCACAGGGAAATAATAACATTCCTAAAATAATCACGTTTTTGGGAGAGAGAGAATTTTTATAAATTCCTTTAGCATACGAAAGACCAAGCACGGAAAGGTCTTCATAGACATTTCCAGTGCTCACCAAAACCCTACTGAGCACCTTGAAGCTAGTGAGGCCATGAATCTACTACTGATTAAGGAACCATAAGAAGTAACAGGCTTCTATTCTGGACTGGCAGTGAAATTCTTCAATTCAATTCAGTATTTCCTTTCAGTGGTGAGACTAGAGTGGTGCATTAAAATGGCAGAACTGCAATAATGAAGCAGACTGCACTGCTGAGTCATCTCATGGAAGACAGTTGCACTGCTGGGTCACCTGATCTACAACAAACTTAGTGTGTTCAAGAAATAAACTTCATGTGTTAATCCCTCAAAATTTGAGGGTTGCTCATTACCACATCATAACTCAATTCTATTTTGACTAAAACAGGCTCAGACCATTGTATTTCTTCCATGAATTTGAAAAAATGCCTCTCCTGTTGTGTGAAGGCTGAGACATGAGTTTCACTCGTGGAAAGGAAGAAGGAAAGGCACTAAATCTACTCCTGAATGAAAAGGTTATAGAACAAAGAAAGGGGTCACAGGGAGATCAAGAAAGGCAGGTGCTATGATCTGAATGTTTGTGTTTCCACCAAATTTATATGTTGAAACCTACTCTTCAATGTAATAGTATTAAGATGTGGGGCCTATGGGAGATGATTAGGTCATGAAGGCTCTATCTGCCCTTATAAGTAGGATTAGGGCCTTTACAAAAGAGTCTTGAGGGAACCTGTTTGCTCCTTCCTGTATGTGAAGATGCAGCAAAAAGGTGCCATTTTTGAAGCAGAGAATGAGCCCTCACCAGACACTGAATCTGCTGGTGCCTTAAGCTTAGTGCCTAGCCTGCAGACTATGAGCAATAAATTCCTGTTGCTTGTAAATTACCCAGTCGAAGGCATTTTGTTATAGTAGCCCAAATGGACTAAGACAATAGGCATGGGTGAAGGCTTTTGTATTACTGTCTCTCAGTGTTGGTGGTAGAGTGGAAGTATAAGTTTTTGGGTTCTTCCAAAGCCTCTTTGTCAATTTCATTTCTTAATTCTTATTGTCTGTGTTTAATTCTATCATTTAACAATTTAAATTTATTCCTGCCCTGTCCTAGAATTTCTATTGTTCCTCTTATACAATCCAATTTTATTTCTCTTTTAGTCTTTATGGTCACAACACTCATTTTTTATTCATTTTAGAGTAAAAATCTAATGAAATAGAAGCATTGCTTTCCAAAACTGGCTTCATAAGATGATTTACTTGGATAAAGCACAGATAGTCAGTGTATGTTCAAACTCTGATTACTGAAATGAGTCACTTTACTTTCTATGTAAACTTTAGTATCTCTGACCAAGAAACACGCCATATTCTTTCCTCTGAATGCATTTTCAAAATGTTCTACTGTATCAGCAAATTCCATTGCATTCTTCATATTCTCAATATTTCATAGGCAAAATTTGTTCTTTCACTGTTTTGATGCTTTCCCAGAATGGTTTACAAGTGCTATTTTCTAAATTGCATTTGATTTGGCCTTTGCTACTTTGTTGATGTACTTATGAGGGAACAACAAAAAGTTTGTGAAAAAATGGAATTAAAAGATACAAATAAAAAATATAAACCTTATTTTTCAACATAAGCTCCATCAAGTTCAAGACAGTTGCAAGCAATGATACCAGCCATTTAGTGCATTCCTAAAGAACTGAGGATTCTGGGAATTTAACCATGTCAATGCAGTTTTTTGGTTTTTGTGTTTTTTTTTAAATGATTAACTGAAAAAAAAAGGGTGACCTTTAAAGTTGTTTTTGTTTGTTTGTTTGTTTGTTTTTAGAGACAGGGTCTCACTCTGTCACCCAGGCTGGAGTGCAGTGGTGTGATCATGGCTCACTGCACCTTTGACCTCATGGGCTCAAGCGATCCTCCCACCTCAGCCATCCAAGTAGCTGGGACCATGGGTGCATGCCACCATACCAGCTATTTTTACATTTCGTTTTCATAAAGATAGGGTCTCACTGTGTTGCCCAGGCTCATCTTGAACTCCAGGTCTTAAGCTATTCTCCCACCTTGGCCTCTCAAAGTGCTGGGATTATAGGCATGAGCCACTGCACCTGTCCCTTTAAAGATTTTTTAAGATTAAGAAACAAAAAGAAGTCAGAAGGAGTCAAATCAGGACTGTAAGGTGCCTAATGATTTCTTATTGAAACTCTCACAAAACTACCTTTGTTTGATGAGAGGAATGAGCACGAGCATTGTCATGGTGGAGAAGAACTCTCTAGTGAAGCCTTCTGGGCGTTTTTCTGCTAAAGCTTTGGCTAGCTCTTCTCAAAACACTCTCATAATGAGCAGATGTTACCATTTCTTTGGCCCTCCAAAAAGTCAACAAGCAAAATGTTTTGAGCATCACTAAAATCTGTCTCCATGACCTTTACTCTTGACCATTCTGCTTTTGCTTTGATTGGACCACTTGTACCTCTTGGTAGTCATTGCGTTGATTGTGCTTTGTCTTCAGAATCATATTAGTAAAGCCATGTTTCATCTCCTGTTACAATTCTTTGAAGAAATGTTCCAAGGTCTTGATCCCACTTATTTAAATTTTCTGTTGAAAGCTCTGCTCTTGTCTGCAGCTGATCTGGGCACAACAGTTTTGGCACCCATTGAGTGGAAAGTTTGACTAATGTTAATTTTCCAGTTAGAATTGTGTAAGCTGAACCAGTTGAGATGTTTATTATGTTGGCTATTGTGCAGTTAATCATCAGTCATCTTCAATTAAGGCACTGTATTAGTCCATTTTCACGCTGCTGATAAAGACATACCCAAAACTGGGCAATTTACAAAAGAAAGAGGTTTAATGGACTTACAGTTCCATGTGGCTGGGGAGACCTCACAATCATGGTGGAAGGCAAGGAGGAGCAAGTCATGTCTTTCATGGATGGCAGCAGGCAAAGAGCGAGAGCTTGAGCAGGGAAACTCTCATTTTTAAAACCATCACATCTCATGAGACTTATTCACTACCATGAGAACAGTACAGAAAAACTCACCCACGTGATTCAATTAACTCCCACTGGGTTTCTCTCATGACATGTGGAAATTGTGGGAGTTAGAATTCAAGATGAGATTTGGATGGGGACACAGCCAAACCATATCATTCTGCCCCGGCCCCTCCCAAAACTCATGTCCTCACATTTCAAAACCAATCATGCCTTCCCAACAGTCCCCCAAAGTCTTAACTCATTTCAGCATTAACTCAAAAGTCCACATTCCAAAGTCTCATCTGAGATGAGGCAAGTCCCTCTGCCTATGAGCCTGTAAAATCAAAAGAAAGTTGGTTACTTCCTAGATACAGTGGAGGTACAGGCATTTGGGTAAATACAGCTGTTCCAAATGGGAGAAATTGGCCAAAACAAGGGGGCTACATGCCCCATGCAAGTTTGAAATCCAGCAAGGCAGTCAAATCTTAATGCTCCAAAATGATCTCCTTTGACTCCATGTCTCACTTCCAGGTCACGCTCATGCAAGGGGTGGGTTCCTATGGTCTTGGGCAGCTCCGCCCCTGTGGATGTGCAGGGTACAGCCTCCCTCCCGACAGCTTTCATGGCTGGTGTTGAGTGTCTATGGCTTTTCCAGGCACACAGTGCAAGCTGTCGTTGGATCTACCATTCTGGGGTCTGGAGGATGGTGGCCCTCTTCTCATAGCTCCACTAGGCAGTGTCCCAGTAGGGACTCTGTGAGGGCTCCAATCCCACATTTCCCTTCCGCACTGCCCCAGCAGAGGTTCTCCATGAGGGCCCTGCCCCTGCAGCAAACTTCTGCCTTGACATCCAGGCATTTCCATACTTCCTCTGAAATCTAGGTGGAGGTTCCCAAACCCCAGTTCTTGACTTCTGTGCATTCACAGGCTCAACAGCATGTGGAAGCTGCCAAGGCTTGGGGCTTGCACCCTCTGAAGCCATAGCCTGAGCTCTATGTTGGCCCCTTTCAGCCATGGCTGGAGCAGCTGGGACTCAGGGCACCAAGTCCCTAAGCTGCACACAACATGGGGAACCTGGGTCTGGCCCATGAAACCATTTTTCCTCCTAGGCCTCTGGGCTTCTGATGGGAGGGGCTGCTACAAAGGCCTCTGACATGCCCTGGAGACATTTTCCCCATTGTCTTAATGATTAACATTCGATTCCTCATTACTCATGCAAATTTCTGCAGCCAGATTGAATTTCTCCTTGGAAAATGGGATTTCTTTTTTATCACATTGTCAAGCTGCAAATTTTCCAAACTTTTATGCTTTGTTTCCCTTTTAAAACCGAATGCCTTTAACAGCACCCAAGTCACCTCTTGAATGCTTTGCTGCTTAGAAGTTTCTTTTGCCAGATATCCTAAATCATTTCTCTCAAGTCCAAAGTTCCACAAATCTCTAGGGCAGGGGCAAAATGCCACCAGTCTTTTTGCTAAAACGTAACAAGAGTTATGCTCCAGTTCCCAACAAGTTCCTCATCTCCACCTGAGAACACCTCAGCCTGGATTTCATTGCCCATATCATTATCAGCATTTTGGTCAAAGCCATTCAACAAGTCTCTAGGGAGTTCCAAACTTTCCCACATTTTCCTGTCTTCTTCTGAGCCCTCCAAACTGTTTCAACCTCTGCCTGTTACCCAGTTCCAAAGTCACTTCCACATTTTTGGATATCTTTCCAGCAGCACCCCACTCTACTGGTACCAATTCACTGTATTAATCTGTTTTCATGCTGCTGATAAAGACATACCTGAGACTGGGCAATTTACAAAAGAAAGAGGTTTATTGGACTTACAGTTCCACGTGGCTAGGGAGGCCTCACAATCATGGCGGAAGGCAAGGAGGAGTAAGTCACATCTTACATGGATGGCAGCAGGCAAAAAGAGAGAGCTTTTGCAGGGAAACTCCCATTTTGAAAACCATTACATCTCATGAAACTTATTCACCATCACAAGAACAGCACAGAAAAGACCCACCTGCATGATTCAGTTGTGGGAATTACAATTCAAGATGAGACTTGTGTGAGGACACAGCCAAACCATATCAAGCATGCACAAGATTAATTTTTTCCTTGAAAATTGTTGTGGATGGTTTGCTGCTGCAGGCTTCATCTCCCACATTATCTCGTCCTTTGTTAAAATGAATTATCCATTTGTAAACTTATTTCTTTGGGGCATTATCCCCATAAACTTTTTGTAAAGCATCAGTGATTTCACTATTTTTCCACCCAAGCTTCACCATACATTTGATGTTTGTTTTTGCTTCAATTTTATCAGAATTCATGCTGCTCTGATGGGAGATTTTTTCAAACTGATGTCTATTCTTAGTGCCTCCAACTAGATTCTGTTCTGACATGTCATAACAAATTGGTATAAGCTATTTTGGTGCAAAAAATTTTTGAAATCTGTGCATAGTTTTTTTTATAATAAGCATTTTTCATGAACATATTGAAGACACCTTGTATAAGCACATGCTTGCAGGTTGCTTGCTGTTGGTATGAAAACTAAGTTATGATTAAGCTTGTCATTCTCATCTACATCTCACAGATGCCAAAGCTTTACTTCCTCCAATTGTAGGTTTAGTTGTTTAACCAGTTGTTACACATCTTCTTTACTTAACATTAACCAAGCTTGAAATAAATTCAGTGGTAATTGCTCTATTCTGAATTATCACACAAACTCTTTGATCTCCCTTAATAATATGTTTTATTTTAGCTATAAATTACACATGGCTTTAATAGTATCTTGTATAAATCAGTGCAGAGCAAGCTTGTTATCAGTACATAAAGATGAAGTATAAAAACTTACAGATTTTCTTCTCCCTTGTTTCATTTTCAAAAGGTTATTTTATTTTTAACACTTAATAGACAAAAATAAACATCTGTAGCTATAAACTAAGATATGGTTGATGTGGATGTAGGTGAGAAGATTTGGAAAATTCTTGAGTTCAAGTGATGAGGATACCTCTTCAGGGAGACAAGACTGAAATGTTTTTTGTAACCTAAGTTTTTGAAATCTGATCAATTGAATTGTATCCAATCTGAATAGATAGAGGAAAGCTGGACCTGGAAAGGAGGAGTAAAAAAGATGACACACTGGGCCTGAGGGGCATCCTTATATTACAGTCAACAAATAGATTCTGATGCACATCAACAAATAGATTCTGATGGACTGTGCCTGCCTACCCTACTAGATAGATGTATCTATTGCCAGAACTGTCTATCTCCTTTGTCTCTAAGTTTATGCTGACTATGCAAATTTTAAATTACTATTTTGAATTCTCAGAGACCTTGATACAGAGTAGGTAGGAGATGCACTGGACCATGGAGATGAGTATTTGAGTCATGGGCAGAGCGACCATATGTCCTGGTTTGTCCTGGACAGTCATAGTTTGTACCTCTTGTTCCAGCTTAATTATTAATAGCTCCCCATTTTCAATCTTAACTATGTCAGTTTGGACAATAAATAGTGTAGTCACTTTATAAGAAACTCTTTAGCAATACATTTATTTGAATGCAATTTATACATCTGTCTCTTGTAAGTTTGGTTGATGTAGTTTGTCTCTGACACCTTAATTAGCACAAAGCAGACTGAAAAATTAATTTGCCATATCTGCAAATATGAGTAACAGTGTCCAATCTATAGGATTCCACCAATATTGTTCCACCCTGTAAAATCCTGCCTTGATCTCTTCTTGGACATCTCTAACTCATTTTTCAGTTATTTGTATGTAAAGTTATAGTGGGCTTGCTTAGAGATTTTTCTGCTAAGTTACACTTAACTTACTAGGCAATTACCATATCTTTAATTGTTATAAGAGATTAAAATTTTAAGATCTAGTGTTCTTAAAATTAATTGTGGCTCTTTTGAAGGGTCTCAAGGATGTTTGGAATTACTAGGAACGGTATACTGAGATTAGTTCAGGGTGCTTGGGGAGTAAAGACAATTTCAGTTTCAATTCAGAGAAGCCATGTATCTTACGGCAGCAGAGACCAGAATGTGCAGCTGGCAAAAACTATGTAACAGCTGAGAAAGATAATTGTCCCATCATTAATACTTTGTCTGCCTAAGGTATAGACTATTGTCCTGATGATCCTTAGAAACTATCATGGTATATTTCATAAGGACTCATGTATCTAGCAATTTCCATGGACAAGCAGGACCAAGACCCAAGCAGGATCTGGGTCCTGGCTAGCCTGTGGTACCTGTTATCTATTGTTGCCAATGGTTATGATATTATTTTCCTTGCAGGTAGATACAATAATGAATATTTTTGGCTATTAGCATGTGGATGCATTCTTGAGGGGCTTGTCACAATCAAGCATAACACAGAATAAAATAAGGCTGCAATAGACCTACTCTTTGAGTTATGTAACTTTCGTTTTTGTTTTTTGTGTTTTTGAGACGGAGTCTTGCTCTGTCGCCAGGATGGAGTGCAGTGGCATGATCTCGGCTCACTACAACCTCCACCTCCCAAGTTCAAGCAATTCTCCTGCCTCAGCCTCCCGAGTAGCTGGTACTACAGGTGCGTGCCACCATGCCCAGCTAATTTTTGTATTTTTAGTAGAGACGGGGTTTCACCATGTTGGCCAGAATGAGTTATGTAACTTTTGAAGTACAAATTCATTGTTGTAGAAGGCATTTTAAAAAGTATTGTTTGTGACTATCTTCTTGATATAGGGTAGGAAAAGCATGAAGGAGTTATTATATATATTAAGAATTGTTGTTATGGATGTTTTTCAACTCATGAAAATGTGGTCAGCATTTGCTTGTAAGTGAGATGTTCTTATTCCTTTAATGGATAGCCTTTTTCAGACTTATATGATTGGTTTACCCAGAATTATTTAGTTCTACATATTAAAAGAAAATCCATTAAATACAAAGCTACAAAGGGGTTTTTCTCCATAATATTCTTGAATGGAAACTGAATACTGGCTGGGTGTGATAGCTCACACCTGTAATCCCAGAACTTTGGGAGCTGAGGTGGAAGGATAGCTTGAGTGTAGGAGTTCAAGACCAACCTGAGCAACATAGCAAGACCTCATCTCTATGAAAAAATAAAATAAAATAAATTAAAAGAAAATAGCCAGGCATGGTGGTGCCAACCTTTAGTCCCAGCTACTCTGGAAGCTGTGGAGGGAAGGTCACTTAAGCCCGGGAGTTGGAGGCTGCAGTGAGCTACGATTGAGCCACTGCACTTCAGCCTGGATGACAGAGGGGGACCCTGTCTCAAAAAACAAACAATCTAAGAAAACTGAATATTTCTTTCCTTCTTTAATTATGTATTGCGGGATCTGGCCAGCAGCCCGCAATGCAACGGGGCTCTCTATTTGTTCCCAGGCAGATCGGCAGGTTTAGAAATAATAGACACATACAAGATAGTGAAAGCTGGGTCCAGGGGGGCCACCACCTTCTGGTTCCATGGTGCCAACAATGCACTGGATATACCAGCATTTATTATTAAGTTTAGTGAGAGTGGGGGTAGGTTAGTGAGGGATTTAGAGTCATTTGATTATGAGGTGAGATGGTCACATGGGGATGAAGTAATTCTTTAACATAACATCTGTATGCAAAAGTACAGTATACAGTGATAAGAATTTACAATATAGTGTGTGCATCAGTAATTTCTAACAGAGCCTTAAAACAGAAACCCAGTCTTTCAATAACCTATGATTAGCAAGATATTAATCAGCAGTAACAGTTGCAGCAAAAGCTGGTTACAAACAATCCATAGATACAGGACGTGAAGCTAGACAACCGGTTAGACCAGAAATTCTCAGAAGGGAGTATGCCTTAACCCTAAAGAGGCCTAGAAAAGCCGTGGCAAGATGAGGGCGTTTATAGCCCTATCTTATCCATATGGAGAGGCACCCTCCCATGCGTCCGTTTATAGGCTCTCCACAAGGGTCGCATTCCATTCCCAGAGCTATGAACATCTGCTTTTCTGGGATAGAAATCTTGGTGATGTGAAACGTCCCTGACTGCACGTCCATCCATAGGCTCTCCGCAGGGGAAAGCACATCACGCACTGTTGGCTCATTCTGGCAGTCCAACCTGGCATTGTCTTTACACAATCCTGCATGCAATTTTGTATTTACAGTAATCGGGAGCATTTCATCTTTTATTCCGTAGCAGTAGTTTCAGGGGGTCTCCCTACAATTATGTTGTGGCAATTCCTCTTAACTGCTAGAAACATAGATGATGATGATGATGATAATCATAACCTATGATTTTAAATGATGGGAGTATGGAAATTGACTTGTTTATATCAACTGTCCAGACTAAGAGATAGAATACATCTAAATTTCTTTTGCACTCCTCAAATGAACTTCTATTTGTTCTATTTGATAATAATAATTTGGACTTCTAACTCCATATCTACTGTCATATGAATAAATGGACACTGCTAATAATGAGGCAGCAGACTGAAGAGTCTGAAACTTAGAATGTTCTTCTATAGGTGAGGCAGTTCTATCTACTTCATACGATCTGGATTGCATCAAATAGTTTGTGTGATCATTGTTTCTCTTTTTTCCCCTTTTATTTTCTTTTTATTTGACCAAAGACACAATTACTGAAAATCTGAAAAACTCCCTCTAAATGATATAAGCATAATCAGTAAGTCATATTAATCATAATGGTTCCTGTTGATTTTGAAGTTCAACTCTTGTTCAATTAATTTTTTCTGAAAAAATAAATGATTATTATTTTTAGTTAAAATCAACTTTAAGACTAGCTTTTCTATGAAATAGTTTTTGTTTCTGATTTTAAAAGTTGTATGGTAGTATGGTAAAAATATTTTACCAAAATACCTATGGTAAAACACTTAAAAGTTACAAAATCATTGATTAAAATAGAGAAACTACCAAAACAACAACTACATAGAGTTGGCTAGTCTCTATATCTAGACATCCCAGGAGACTTTAAGGCTGCTAAAATTAATTTTAAATAATTGGTAAAACTCTGTATATACTTATAAAATAAATATATAATAATCAATTCCTCTTATCTGCATTGGCAATAACCATTTAATATGGAAATTGCCTAATAATACATCTAACAAGAAAGGTATAGAAGCTGTATGAAGACACCTTTAAAAATTATTTTACAGAATGTAAAACAACCTTTAAAGGGAAGACACACTGTATTCACTTTTTTATTTACTTTAAAGTTGCTTTTTACTTTAACAAGTGCATTGAAAAAAATTAAAGCAATGCAAACATGTAAAAATAAAAGTGAAATTCCCTTACATCCCATTTCCCCCATTTCCCACTTCCAATGGTAACTACTGTTAACATTTGTTATATGTATTTCCAGGCCTTTTCATATGCATATATAAATTGTATGTATTATATACGTATGTGTCTGCAAAAATTTTACATCATAGGAATATACTGTGCATATTTTCTCTGCCATGTGCTTTCTTTACTTAACTAGTATACACTGGAACTGTTCCATATCATAATATATAGCTATTCTTTTAATGTCTATGAAAAAATTACAAAGTCTGTATATGTAATAACATACTTTTAATGACATTTAGATTGTTTTAACTTCCTCACTAGTCAAACCATGTTAAAGAGAACATCTTTGTACACAAATTTGAACATTTATACTTTGTAAATAATATAAAGGAGACTTAGGGCTCCTAAGAATTCCTTATAAACATTTTAGAAAATAGTTCACGAGAAGACTTACGAAACTGAGGAGGTTTTGAACACCAGTAAATCTGATTTGTTTTAGAAATTACTGTGTTTACACAATATATTTAATATTTTAATTTTTTTCCTAACTTCAATTTTCTGTGAGGCACAGAGAAAATGGTATTGAATGATTAAGAGCTTCTGCACAGCAAAAGAAACTACCATCAGAGTGAGCAGGCAACCTACAGAATGGGAGAAAATGTTTACAATCTACCCATCTGACAAAGGGCTAATATCCAGAATCTACAAAGAACTTAAACAAATTTACAAGAAAAAAATCAAACAACCCCATCAAAAAGTGGGCGAAGGATATGAACAGACACTTCTCAAAAGAAGACATTTATGGAGCCAACAGACACATGAAAAAATGCTCATCACCACTGGCCATCAGAGAAATGCAAATCAAAACCACAATGAGATACCATCTCACACCAGTTAGAATGGCCATCATTAAAAAGTCAGGAAACAACAGGTGCTGGAGAGGATGTGGAGAAATAGGAACACTTTTACACTGTTGGTGGGACTGTAAACTAGTTCAAACATTGTGGAAGACAGTGTGGCGACTCCTCAAGGATCTAGAACTAGAAATACCATTTGACCCAGCCATCTCATTACTGGGTATACACCAAAAGGATTATAAATCATGCTGCTATCAAGACACATGCACACGTATGTTTATTGTGGCACTATTCACAATAGCAAAGACTTGGAACCAACCCAAATGTCCATCTATGATAGACTGGATTAAGAAAATGTGGCACATATACACCATGGAATACTATGCAGCATAAAAAGGGATGAGTTCATGTCCTTTGCAGGGACATGGAAGAAGCTGGAAACCATCATTCTGAGCAAACTATCGCAAGGACAGAAAACCAAACACTGCATATTCTCACTCATAGGTGGGAATTGAACAATGAGAACACTTGGACACAGGATGGGGAACATCACGCACTGGGGCCTGTCATGGGGTTGGGGTGGGGGGAGGGATAGCATTAGGAGATATACCTAATGTAAATGACGAGTTAATGGGTGCAGCACACCAACATGGCGCATGTATACATATGTAACTAACCTGCACGTTGTGCACATGTACCCTAGAACTTGAAGTATAATAAAATAATAATAATTATTATGTGTCTGAAAGCTTTCTATTATATGTAATCTTACAGACAGTCCTAATTAATAGATTTTTGTTGAATGAATGAATGAAAACAAGGTGAAAGGAATTATACTTACTTGACCATTGCAATTATATATCTGAATTTACCTCTTGATTTTCCAGGATATGTAATAAAAAATATATATTTTTTGGCCTTTGTCCCCAGTTCCTGACACAGAGCCCCTGAACCTTTTGTAATTCCTGAGTGACAAGGGTGATATGAGTATCTTTTTTTGTAATCTTTCTTTTAAGTATATTTTTTAGAGATGGGGTCTCTTTATATTTCCCAGGCTGAACTCGGACTCCCAGCCTCAAGTGATCCTTTCACCTCAGCCTTCCAAGTAGCTGGGACTACAGGCACATACCACCACACCTGGCTTTCATTTTATATGAAATGTAAATAATCCTCTAATTAATGAAGAACATTATTGAAGTTCTAATTAACATTTCTGTTATGTGTGTTGCTTAAAAAAATTGTTTTACAGGCCGGGCGTGGTGGCGCACACTTGTAATCTCAGTACTTTGGGAAGCCGAGGCAGGTGGATCACCTGAGGTCAGCAGTTCAAGACCAGCCTGGCCAACATGGTGAAACCCCGTCTCTACTAAAAATACAGAAAATTAGCCAAGTGTGATGGTGGGCGCCTGCAGTCTCAGCTACTCGAGAGGCTGAGGCAGGAGAATCACTTGAACCCGGGAGGCGAAGGTTGCAGTGAGCTGAAATCACGCCACCGCACTCCAGTCTGGGCAACAGGAGCAAAACTCCATCTTAAAAAAAGAAATTGTTTTACTAGTTATATGCATGAGTAATAGCCAAAGATTGGTCAAGCACATCATCAAAAATAAAAATAGTGGCAGGAGGAACTTGCCTTGCCAAATATCTGTAAAGTTATATACTCAAAATAGTATTGACCCAAAAATAAACAGATTAGTGAAATAGAATAAAAAGTACAGAAATGGACCCAAGTGAATGTGAAGACTTTATATTCATCAATGGTTTTATTCTAACTTAGTGGAAAATGGAGGGCTTATTTTAGTAGAAGTGTTTGCATAGCTGACTTTCCATCTGGAGGAAAAAGGCTAGATCCTTATCTTATACCATATATAAAAATTAATGCCAGATGAATTCAGAATTTAAATTTTAAAAATACAAATATGAAAACTGGAAGAATATTTGCATAATCTCTATAGTGAGGGTGAAAATTATCATCCTAAAGAAGAAAGGAATTTTGAAGTCATAATGAAAAAAATCAGGAATATTTGAAAGCATTATGACACAAAAACAAAAAGCAAAAAGCATGATAAAAGACACTGTAAATGCAACCTAGAAGATGCAAATTAAAATAAAAATTAAGCATAATTTCACTATGCCAAAACAACCATGACTTAAAGCTTTAAATGCAAATGCCTTTAGACTTAAACATTGACTCTTCCTGGGTCTTGAGCCTTCCCTCATCATTCAGACTAGAACTACACCATCAGCCCTCCTGATTCTCAGGCCTTCACACTCAAACTGGAACTACACTATTAGCTCTCCTGGGTCTCCAGCTTGATGACTGGAAATCTTGAGACTTGTCAGATTCCACAATAACATGAGACAATTCCTTAAAATAAATCTCTTAATCTCTCTATATATGCATCCTATTGGTTCTATATCTCTGGAGAACCCTCACTAGTACACAATTTGGAATCTTATACAGCTTTCAAAAAAGAATGAAATGGAGTCATGTTTATTGACCTGAAGGATGTCCATAAGCTGTAACATAAAGCATATGGTATGATTCCACTAGTGTTAAAGCAAATAAAATAATAAAAATATACATGTGTGCACATGTATGCTCATACATTCTTATATTTGAGTGGGCAGAGTAAAAAAGTGTGAATGGACTCACATCAGGCTGTGTACATTGGTTGCCAGGCTAATGGGGGAGCATGAAAATAGAATAAAGAGATTATTACATTTTTACTGGAATAGTTGTAGTATTTCATCAATTGTGGTAAGTTATGTTTATTTTAGTTTTTTGAGCTAAAATTCACATAATATAAAATTCACCATTTCAGCAATTTTAAATTGTACAATTCACTGATTTTTGGCATATTCATAATGCTGTACAAACATAACCAGTATCTAATTACAAAACATTTACATCATCACTAAGAGAAACCCTGTACCTCCCAATCCTCACTCCCCCTATCCCCTGATGACTACTGATTTGCCTTCTATCTCAATTTTGTCTCTTCTGGATATTTAATATAAATGATATACTATATGTGGCCCTTTGTGTCTGGTTTCTATAACTTAGCATGATGTTTCTAAGGTTCATTTATGCTGGAGAATGTTTCAGTATTTCATTTTTTATGACCAAATAATATTCCATTGTGTGGACATATACCACATTTTGTTTACTTATTCATCAGTTGACACATATTTGAGTTGTTTCTCCTTTCTGGCTTCTGTATATAGTGCTGCTATGAACTTCCTTGTACAAGATTTTGTATGAGTATGTGTTTTATTTTTTAATTTCAGAATTCCTTCAACTTTAATTGTGGAGGTAAGATCAGGCTGCACACATATTTTAAATTCTCTTGGATATATATACCTGTTATGGACCAAACTGTGTCCCCACAAAATTTATATGTTGAAGTCCCAACTCCCACTGTACCTCAGAATGGGACCATATTTGGAAATAAGACGTTTAAAAAGACAATTGTGGTAATACAGGTGAGCCCTATTCCAATCTGACTGCTGCTTTTATATGACGAGTGAGACATTAGAGTTTGGTGCACAGAGAAAAGGTCATGTGAGGATACAGAAAGAAGGTGGCCACCTACAAACCAAGGAGAGAAGCCTCAGGAGAAACCAAACCTGCTGGCACCTGGATATCAGACTTCCATCCTCCAGAACAGTGAGAAAATAAATTTCCATTGTTTTAGCCACTCAGTCTATGGATACTTTGTTATGGCAGGTATTTCTTTATAGCTATGAAAGAGCAGCCTAATACATTGCCTAAACTAAGGTCAGAAGATTTACAGTTATGTTTCCTTTTAAAAGTTTTGTAGTTTTCGCTATTATATTTGGGCATTTGATCCATTTTGAGTTAATTTTTGTATATTGTGTGACATAGGAATCTAAATTCACTCTTTTGTATGTGGATATCCAATTGTCCTGGCACCATTGGTGGAAAAAAACTATCCTTTCCCCCACTTAATAATCTTAGTATTTTTGTCAAAAATTAATTGACCAAGATGTATAGGTGTATTTCTAGAAGCTCAATTCTATTCCATTGTCTGCCTTTATGCCATATGTCTATCCTTATGCCAGTATCGTACTGCTTTAATTACTGTAATGGCTTCCCAATTTTAAAACTTACTAGAAAGGTTTAAAATTGGTTAAGTGTGATCCCTTCAATTTTGTTCTTGTTTCTCAATATTGTTTTGGGTATCCAGGTCTCTTACATTTTTATATGAATTTTAGAATTAGCTTGTCCATTTCTGCAAAAAAAAAAGGCAGTTAGAATTTTGAAAGGGATTGCATTGAATCTGTTGGTAATTTGGTGTACTATTGCCATCTTAACAATATTAAGTCCTTCAGTCAATAACCACGGGATATCTTTCCATTATTTAGGACTTCTTCATTTCTTTTGCAATGATTTGTAGTTTTCAGTATACAAGTCTTGCCTTTCTTGGCTTAATTTGTTCTTAAGTAGTATATTATTTTTGATGCTATTGTAAATTGAATTGTTTTCTTAATTTCACTTTCAATTTGTTTATTGCTAGTGTATAGAAATACAATTAATTTTTGTATTTAATACAAAATATTGACCTTGTATCCTGAAACATGACTGAAATAAACTATTAGCTCTGTCAGAGTTATGACTGGTTGGTTGGTTGGTTTGGTGGATTATTTAAAGTTTCCTATATATAAGATTATGTCATCTACTAATATAGTTTTACTTCTTCTTTTCCAGTCCAGATGCCTTATATTTCCTTTTCTTGCCTAATGTATCTAGATAATATTTCCAGTACCATATTGAATTGAAATGGTGAGAGTAGACATCCTCGTCTTGTTTCTGTTGTTACAGGGAAAACTTTTAGTTTTTCACCATTAAGTTTGATGTTGTGAGTTTTGCATAAATGCTTTTCATCGGGTTAAGGAAGTTTCCTTCTATTCCTAGTTTGTTGAGTGTTTTTGTCATGAAAAGGTGTTGTATTTTGTCAAATGCTTTCTCTGCATCTATTGAGATGATCATGTACTTTTAAACCAATTTTACATTTCTGAGATAATTCTCACTCATGGTGTATACTCCTTTTAGTATGCTGCTGACTTGGGTTAGATAGTGTTGTTGATGATGATTGCATTGATATTCGTAAGGGATATTGGTCTGTAGCTTCCTATTCTTTTGGTGTATTTTTCTGACTTTAGTATCAGGGTAATACTGGCCATGTAGAATGGGTTAGAAAGTGTTCCCACACCTCTTTTATGTTTTGGAATAATTTTAGGATTGATATTAATTCTTCTTTTAATATTTAATAGAATTTATCTATGAAGTCACCTGGCCTTGGGCTTTACTTTATTGGAAATTATTTGATTACTTACTCAATCTTTTTAGTTGTTATAGCAGATTTTCTATTTATTCTTGAGTCTGTTTTGGTAGTGATACAGTTCAGTACATGCTACCCCAAAACAGGACACCTTGGCATTTGACAAAACAGTTGAAGCAACAGAGTTGCTATCACCTTCTCCTTGCCCCTTCTCTCCTGAAACAGGCCATAAAACCGAGCTGACTGTCTCTTGAAATAGGTCATAAAGCCATTCCAGAGGTACCCATCCTATACCTTAAGGAAAGGAATATACTTATCTCTGAAGACACAGGATGTAGAGAAGAATCTGTGCTAACAGGTGTTGCTAAGTTTCCCTCAGTTTATTACCATGGGATCATACTAGTTTGCCCTCCAACCGTACTTCTGCATGACTATCCACTCTTTATCAATCCTAAGTATTAAAAGACATAGGTTTTCCTGTTTCTTTGGATCTTCATTTCTGAAGCCTCCTATGTCACCTAAAACTTTTATTAAATAAATTTGCTATGCTTTTCTCTTATTAATCTGTCCTTTCTTGTATGGCACTCAGTTATGAACCTAGCAATGGATTAGAAAATAAATCTTTTTTCACCTATAATAGTTTGTGTCATTTTAGGAATTTGTCCAATACATCTAGGTTATCTAATTCACTGGCATATAATTATTCAAAGTATTTTTATGATCCTTTTCATTTCTGTAAAGTGAATAATAACATCCCCACTTTCATTCTCAATTTTAGTAATTTGAGTCTTTTTTCCCCCTTTGGTCCATCTAGCTCAAGGATGATCAATTTTTCATTTCTTCAAAGAACCAACTTTTCATTTAATTAATTTTCTCTATTATTTATCTATTCGGTACTACATTTGCCGTCACTGTAATCTTTACTTTCTTTCTTCTTGATTTGGGTAACTCATCATACTTTCTTAGTTTTATGTGTGCTTCATTTTTTTTCCTGAAGATTGGACATTTTGAATGTTATAATGTGGAAACTCTGAAAATCAGATTTCCTCGCTTTCTGGGATTTATTATCATTGTGCTTGTTGTAGCTGTTTGTTTGTTAACTGACTTTTCTAAGCTAATATTGTAAAGTTTGTATTGTTTATCATGTGAGCCAATTTTGTAAAGTTTGTATTCTTTCTCATGTGAATTAATTTTGTAAAGTGTGTATTTTTTATCACGTGTGCTCACTGAAGTTTGTGTTCCATTAGCTTAGTGGTCAGCTAATGATCAGACAGAGATTTCCCTAAAGTCTGGAACCAAAAAATATCCCAGTCTTTGCATATTGGTTCTGGGGAAAAAGCATGCCTTCAACACTTAGCCAGGAAGTTTACAACTCTGCCTTAACCTTCATTACCTGTTTGCACAGGGACTCAAAGTCAACCAGAGATAAGAGCTTAGGACCTTCTCAGATCTTTCCTGAGCATGGGCAGAATCCTGGCATGCAGAGGGCTTTCCATAATCCCAGGAATATATTGGAACTTTTCAAAGCCCTTATTCCCCCAAAACATCTCACTTTCCAGCCTTTCCTCACAAGCTTTTTGCTTAGTGTATTGTTTGCCCCACTGTTATCCATTGCCTCAGCAGCAAAGACCAAAACATTTATCTGTAAATGTTTTCAACAAATGTCTCCTGAGTTCAGGTTTTAGCACGTGTGAGTTCCACTCAGGCAAAATAAAGACAAATGTTTGAGTGGATCTCCCAGTAAACCACTTGACAGATCAACTAAGGATAATTTGTAAATGAGATCCATTGTCCTTCCTCCTATACAGATATTAGGAATGCAGTCTATTATTTTCAAGTCTACCACTGGGGAAGAGGGAATGGGATAGAGTAAGTTAAAATACCACAAAGCTCACTGTTCTTCCTGAGATTTAGCTGTTTTACTTGAATAAATAGTACCTGAGTTACTACAGCTTTTGCTTAGTTTCCAATGTCCTGAAAAAGTTGGTTCTGACTGTTTTTGCCAGTTTTTCTTGATTTTTTTTGGAGAGTAAGACTTTTGAAGCTCCTTACTCTGCCATTTTTTGGTGACATCATTCCTCTGAAGATAAATTTAATAAATAAAATGATGTATGTGCCTGGTAAAAATGAAAATTTAACAGAGTGTATATAAATTAGAAAGCAAAAAAAAAATCAATCTCAATCTACAGACATAACCTACCTTACTAGTTTGGCTTATATTAGATATAAGAAATTGGTTTATATAAAAATATATGTGAAATTATTCATATGTATAGATATATCTATATACTTATATATAAAAATAACTCGCTTTCTTTGCTGCCCAATATTTACCCACATAGATGTACCATAATTATTTTTTATGTTTTATTGATGGATACTTGTGTAATTTCTAATTTTTTACTGTTACATATATATTACAGTAAACATCCTTATATGTACCTCTTTGAATTATTTTTGATAGATTACTAGAATGAAATGGCTCAACATGTATATTTAAAATTTTTATCTATTATATCAAATTAATCTCAAACACTTTTTATCAATTCTACCCTCACAAAAATGTGATAGAGTGAACATTTCCTTGCCAATGTGAATTATTATTTTCATCTTAAAAATATACCCATCTCTTTGGAAAAAATATAAATTTCTGAGTTATTTTATTCTGCATTTCTCTGGTAAGGACTATAGTTTAACGAGTTTTCATGTGCTTTGGGGCTTCTTTTTATACCTGTAACCAGTTTCTATCCCTCTCTCTTTTGAAATTAAATAACATTTTTCTTACATATTCTTGATATTATTTCTTTGTCGTGTGTGTGTGTGGTGTACACGTGTATATACACACATGTGCATGCATGCATATATGCTTATATACACACATACATATATAAATATGCATGTACACTTATCTTTACAAGTATGAGGATAAAGAAAATTTTGGACATTTAAGGAGTTAGAAAGTTTGCAGTCCACAAAACCCTCTTTTAAAGCGACATCTTCTTTCTCTACCTTTTCTTGAGGTCAATATCTTCCTCTCCCAAGATTTAGTTTTCATTTTGCTAAGCAAAGTAGCAAAACTTTTATTTCTCTTTAAATATTTCCTAATGTATTGTGTCACAGAATTTAATATTAGTTTAGATTGAAAACTCCAGAGAATGTCAACTGGTTGCACATATGTGTGTACATGCGTTGTGGGGGAGGGGCATGGAGTGAAAAAAAGTGAAAGCATGACAACATTTTGTCGTGGATAGATATCATAAGTGATCAACCGTATTTTCCACATTTAAATATTAAGTAACATATATAATATTAATTTTATATGGATTAAAGTTTCAATTGAAATACAAAGGTACAATATGTTGAAAAGGAGCAGTGAACAAAAAGAAGTTGACAACTCAACAAAATGCAGAAAATATAATAAGTTAAAAGCTAAAATATACTAAAAATAGAAATTAACACAAAGCTTGGGAAATGGGGAAAATAAACAAGATGTAGACAGACTTATTTCTCCAATAAATGTATATAAACCCTCTGGGATGATGGGAAGGTTTTTCAGTTTTTAAAAAATATATATATTTTTGGTATATATATATAAATAAATATATATCTTTATCACATTTAATATATAATATGTATATATTTTATATATATACAATTGAGTTTTTGTTTTCTGAATGCTTACCACTTTGTAACATAATTCTAAAACTTTATTAACTAAACCACATAATCCTTCACACTTGCATTTGAGACGGGTAGAAAAAGCTAAACTTAAAGAAGCCAGATATAAAAGTAAAAGTGTATTCTTATAATCTTCGGGTAAGAAAGACATAGACATTAGAAAGGAAAAGAATGACTGATTTTATCAAATGAAAATTAAGAAAAAGTTCCATGCCCTCCAGAAAAAATACTTGGAAGGGTATGTTTGTTCTATATAACACATAGTGAATTAATATCAAGAAAATATAGATATCTTATACACTAACATGAAAAGGACAATCAATACAAAAGTAAAAAATAAGTAAAAGGGAAAGAAATACAAATATTGTGTTAACACACTGCGAATTGCATACATTTGAATGAGTAGAAGCATGAAATATCATTACTTGCCCATCAGGTAAAACCTAAGAATTAGTGATGTCAAGAGTTAGCACATATTTGGGAAGTCAAACTTTCTCATATACTACTGGAAGTTGTGTAAATTGGCAAAATAATTTTATAGGGCCATTTAGCAGCAGCATGTACAGTCAGCTTTTAATATCCATGGGTTTCATACGCATCGATTCAACCAAATGTGGATTCAGGAAAAAAAAATATTGCTTATGTACTGAACACGTACAGACTTTTTTTGTCATTATTCCCTAAGCAATAAATTGTAAAACTATTTACATAGCATTTATATTGTGTTAGGTATTATAAATAATCTAGAAATGGCTTAAAGTATATGGGAGAATGTGGATAGGGACTTGAGCATCCGTGAATTTTGTTATCTGTGGGAGATCCTGGAACCAATCCCCTACAGATATAGGTATGATTGTAACCGTGTTTAGATATTATACTGCTATACCTGGTATCTATCCTGAGAAAAACTGAGAGCACACAAGTGCACAAAGAGGCATGTAGAGATTAATTGTAGCACTTTTCTGAAAAATAATTTTGAAATATTGGAAACAAATTATCATGAGGGAATAATAAAATAAGTTATAAAATGTTGATGCAATTGAATATATGCAGCAGCTATAAAAAGTTAAGTAGATTTGTTTGTATTGACTGACAAAAAAACAAGTAGAAAATTATTCAGATAGCTAACCTCCCAAGCTAAATATCTAAATTTCAAATATTTAAATGAATTGACAAAAAGATGGAAGAATACCCATCAAACTTTTCAATGTTAAGGAATAGAGCAGGAGTGAGGGAAAAGTTTGCTGTGTTTACTTAGCTATAGTAAAACAAATTACAAAGAAAAATTTTAAATGTAAAAATATTTTGAATAATTTTTAAATTTGGTAAAGTATGTAATGATTCTTAATGTTGCTATAAAAAAGTATGGTTTTCATACACAGATTGGTGCAATTCACATTTTGTGTCCATAATATTAGTTCATAGAACTGGAATGGCCTGGGACTCAGGAGGCCTGGATTCTAGTGCTAACTTTTGCAAGTTCCTCACCTGCTCAGCTGTCATTCTATCATTTAAAGGGCATGGACTAGATGATCTTCAATGTCTAACAACCACTGATTCTGTGATAATCTTGAAATCAAACAAATGTATTGAAGGTATTTATTATGACTTTCATGTTCATAGATTCCATGTTTTGGGGAACCTTTCAAATTCAAGTTTTTTCCCCATTTTTTAATGAGCAGACTGATCACACCATATATCTGTCTTGGCAGAGGGAAATTGTCACCTTGATATAATCATCCTTAACAAAAAAGCTTGGGAAGTGGCTTACCTAGAATAAGATACTGGATAGATAATGCAGGTAGCAAAGTATAGTGAGAACATAACATAATTTAGGAGTCAGACAGGTGTATATCATCTGGAAGACCTTGAAAAAGCTATTGAAGGGATCTTAGCCTCATTATCCACATCTATAAAGTGGAGCTAATACTATCTATGATTATATTCCTCTATGTATAGTAATAGTTACCATTTTACTAGGCCCACGCTATATGACTGGCAACATATCAAGCACTTTATACAATATCAAATTTAATTCTCATGATAAATCTTAACTGTTGATGAAAGCCTAGTTACTTTGTGACTCATTATAGGAGAATGCTGATCTATTGTATGTAGGAGAACAGGCCTCTTATGGATGATGCCAGACCTCATTTTTGTTATCATGGGGATTCTCTGTGATATCCAAATACAGTTTATTGCAGTATATCAGTGTTTGTAGAATAATAATGTTCCTTTAGTGCCAAATAATGTTCCTTCAGGGCTAAATCTCATTCCTCTTGTTTTGTTTTAGAAACTTCCAATTAGGAGTCACTACACCAGCTCTTTTGTTTATACCTTTGCTTGGTATTGTAATATCTTCCAGGTGTGGTGGTTCACGCCTGTCATCCCAGTGCTTTGGGGGGCTTAGGTGGGAGAAATGCTTGAGTCTAGGAATTTAAGGTTACATTGAGCTATTTTTCACGCCACTGCACTCCAGCCAAGATGACAGAGAAAGACCCTGGCTCAAAGAAACTTAAATTTTACAAAGCACTATAATGTAATTCTTCTTTGTAAGTATTTTCATTTATTCTAAATGTTATGGCTGCATGATATCTGCCAATCATCATTTTAGGTGGGATGTGAGCCACTCTTCACTCTGTTTCTCCCCTACAACATCAGCCTCTTCAAGGATCTTGCTTACAGATAGATTCATCAATGTACAGAGAAACTCTTTTGCATAATACTTACAAAACTATATGCAATTTTCAATTCCACCATAATTACTTTGTAAATGCAATGTCATTTCAATCAAAATGCCTACAAAAATTATAAAAAAACTAAAGGAGGCAAGCTAATTATCAAGCTATCTAGAAGACAAAGTGCATAAGTGCAGCTAAGAATTTTTTTTAAAAACCATGATCAGGAGGACAGACAAACAGGAAATATATAAATTGTGATTTAGACTGAAAGTTTAGGAAGGAGCCTTCATGGATTAGAAGCATGTCTGTAATCATGCTCACTCTAATTATAATTAGAGCTAAAGTAGCAACAATTAGGTCACTGTTTACAACATTTTCTTTTGCATATGGTAGATAAGACTGGCTTAGGTTTTCTTAAATAGGGCATTAGAATTCAGACATTTATTTTTGCCTGCCCACTCAAAAGCTATTTCTCCTTCCTTGCTAAGGAAAATCTGCTTTAGGTAGCAAAACTCCAAGAGAAGTGGCAAGTTTAGGGATGAAAGCCATCATAGTAATAGGAAGCTCTCCTCAGATATGAAGAGCTTGGTCCTCAGGACATCATTAAAATGCTGGGCCACCACTGAGACCACTGACTTCAGGGATTTTTATTAAATAAACAAAATTATATTTGTACTTAAAAACATTTTAGTCAAGTTATCCATTACCTGAAGCTAAAAACATTTCTAATTAATACAAGTGATAGAGTGGCAGTGTAAAAATAAGTATTCTAAAATACTCTTTGCTTATTGAACATTTAAATAAATATACAAAAACTTGTTGATCTATATGATAATTAATGTCTTTACTGAAAAATCATTGAAATTCCAGAAGTATATATGGAGATAAAATGTAGAGAGCCAATAGGTTAATCATAGGGATTAGCAGCAGAAAATTACTCAACTATAAACTGATTTCCCTGTTTTCTTCATCAAGGTGAATTTAGTATTTTAAAATAGCTGAAAGGTTCTTCTGAAGATTTACATAGCTCTATTCAATCATTTTTTTTTAGAGAATTTAGCTGTCTTTAATTAAGCCAGGCATTAGAGAGATTTCCAGTCTTCTGATTAAATTATCTTTCATTTGGGAAGATACAGATATGTTTTAATTAAAATACAATGTTAACATATAATGAGATTATTTTTAAAGATACACATGGTTAAAATTTCAGTTTTAATTTTTTTGCTTTTTTTTTTGTACCAAAATACTTAAAAAAAGAGAAAAACCTTGAAGTTCAGGGCTACAAGTGCAGGTTTGTTATATAGGTAAATTTGTGTCATGGGGTTTGTTGTATAAATTATTTTGTCACCCAGGTATTAAGCCTAGTACTAATTAGTCATTTTTCCCAATCCTCTCCCTCCCCCCACCCTCTACCCTCAAGGAGGCCCCACTGTCTGTGATTCCCCTCTAGGCATCCATGTGTTCTCATCATTTAGCTCCCACTTATAAGTGAGAACATGTGGTATTTGGTTTTCTGTTCCTGTGTTAGTTTGCTAAGGGTAATGGCCTCCAGCTCCATTCGTGTCCCTGCAAAGGAAGTGATCTCCTTATTTTTTATGGCTGCATAGTATTCCATGGTGTGTATGTACCACTTTTTTCTCCATTGATGGGCATTTAGGTTGATTCCAAGTCTTTGCTATATTCAATCATTTTTAAACTATGCACACACACACACACACACACACACACACACACACAAACACCACAGATCTTTGGCGTTCAATGAATTTTTTTTGTTTTTGAGACAAAGTCTTGCTCTTGTTGCCCAGGCTGAAGTGCAATGGTGCAATCTTGGCTCACTGCAACCTACACCTCCAGGTTTCAAGCAATTCTCCTGCCTCAGCCTCCCGAGTAGCTGGAACTACAGGCATGTGCCACCACACCCGGCTAATTTTGTATTTTTAGTAGAGACTGGGTTTCTCCATGTTGGTCAGGCTGGTCTCGAACTCCCAACCTCAGGTGATCCGCCTGCCTCGCCCTCCCAAAGTGCTGGGATTACAGGTATGAGTCACCATGCCTGGCCGAATTTTAACAATTGTATACATCTGTATAATTAAGAGTCAAAACTGGATATGGAATATTTCTATCACCTGAGAAAGTTCTTGCAAAAGATAACCACTGATCTAATTGTTATCACCATAGAAATTATTTTAATTGTTTAATTAATTTAACAATTTCAATGTCATTTAATCAAACACATTAGACAATTCAATTAAACATTTGGTTAATTGTTCAAAGTGTTTAATTATCTTAATTGTTCTAGAACATAATATAAATGGTAATATAGTGTGTATTCTTTTGTGTCTGGATTCTTTTGCTCAACATGTTTATGATCCATCCATATTGTGTGTTTATCAGTAGTTTATTCATTTTGTTGCTGAGAAATATTCCATCATGTGAATATACCACAGTGTTTTTATCCATTCTTCTGTTGAATGATATTTGGGTTGCTCTTAATTGCTGGCTATTAAGAATAAAGATGTTATGAACATTCTTTTTTGTTAATTAATTAATTTATTTTTATTTATTTCAATAGTTTTTGGGGAACAGATAGTTTTTGGTTACAAGGATAAATTCTTTAGTGGTAATTACTAAGATTTTGGTGAGCCCATCACCTGAGCAGTGTACACTGTATCCCATGTGCAGTCTTTTATCCTTTACCCCCACTTCCTCCCAAATCCCAAAGTCCATTGTATCATTCATATGCCTTTGTGTCCTCATAGCTTAGCTCCCACTTATCAATGAGAATATATGATATTTGGTTTTCCATTCCTGAGTTACTTCACTCAGAGTGATAGTCTCCAACTCTATCCAGGTTGCTGTATTTGCCCTTATTTCGTTCCTTCATATGGTTGAGTAGAATTCCATGGTGTATATGTACCACATTTTCTTCAGTCACTTTGTCTATGGGCATTTAGGCTGGTTCCATATTTTTGCAATTGCAAATTGTGCTGCTATAAACATGCATGTACAAGTGTCTTTTTCATATAATGACTTCTTTTCCTCTGGGTAGATACCCAGTAGTGGGATTGCTGGATCAAACAGAAATTCTACTTTTAGTTCTTTTAAGAAATCTTCATACTGTTTTCCATAGTGTTTGTACTAGTATACATTTCCACCAGCAGTGTAAAAATGTTCCCTTTTCACCACATCCATGCCAGCATCTATTATTTTTTGAGTTTTTAAAATTATGGGCATACTCGCAGGAGTAAGGTGGTATCTCATTGTGGTATTGATTTGCATTTCCCTGCTGATTAGTGATGTTGAGCATTTTTAAATATATTTGTTGGTCATTTATATATCTTCTTTTGAGAATTGTCTATTAATATCCTTTGCCCACTTTTTTGATGGGATTAGTTGTTTTTTCTTGCAGATTTTTTTGAGTTCCCTGAGTCTGGATATTAGTCCTTTGTGAATATTTTCTCCCACTCTGTGGGTTGTCTGTTTACTCTGCTGTAATCAGAGTGCAGAAGTTTTTAGTTTATTAGGTCCCATGTGTTTATTTTTGTTTTTGTTGCATTTGCTTAAGGGTTCTTGGTCATGAACTCCGTGCCTAAGCCATGTCTAGAAGAGTTTTACTGATGTTATCTTCTAGAATTTTTTAGGGTTTTAGGCCTTAGATTTAAGTCTTTGATCCATTTTGAGTTGATTTTTGTATAAGGTGAGAGATGAGGATCCAGTTTCTTTCTTCTACATATGGCTTGCCAATTATCCCAGAACCATTTGTTGAATAGGATGTCCTTTCCCCACTTTATGTTTTTGTTTGCTTTGTCAAAGATCAGTTAGCTGTAAGTATTTGGCTTTATTTCTGGGTTCTTTATTCTGTTCCATTGGTCTATGTGCCTATATTTATACCAGTACCATGCTGTTTTGGTAACTATAGCCTTATAGTACAGTTTGAAGTCAAGTAATGTGATGCCTACAGATTTGTTGTTTTTGCTTAGTCTTGCTTTGGCTATGCAGGCTCTTTTTTGGTTCCATATGAATTTTAGGATTGATTTTTCTAGTTCTGTGAAGAATGATGGTGGTATTTTAATGGAAATTGCATTGAATTTGTAGATTGCTTTTTGGCAGTATGGTAATTTTCACAATATTGATTCTACCTATCCACGAGCATGGAACGTGTTTTCATTTGTGTGTGTGTGTCATCTGTGATTTATTTCAGCAGTGTTTTGTAGTTTTCCTTGTAGAGGTCTTCTACGTCCTTGGTTCGGTATATTCCTAAGTATTTTATTTATTTTTTGCAGCTATTGTAAAAGGGGTTGAATTCTTGATTTGATTCTCAGCTTGGTTGCTATTGGTGTATAGCGGTGCTGCTGATTTGTGTACATTGATTTTGTACCCTGAAACTTTACTGAATTCATTTATCAGATCTAGAAGCTTTTCGGATTATTCTTTAGGGTTTTCCAGGTATATAATCATATCATCACCAAACAGTAACTGTTTGTCTTCCTCTTTTATGATTTGGATGCTCTTTATTTCTTTCTCTTGTCTGACAGCCCTGGTAAGGACTTCCAGTACTATGTTGAATAGAAGTGGTGAAAGTGGGCATCCTTATCTTTTTCCACTTCTCAGGGAAAATGCTTTCCACTTTTCCTGTTCAATACAATGTTGTCTGTGAGTCTGTCATAGATGGCTTTTATTATCATGAGGTATGTCCCTTCTACGCCAATTTTGCTTAGGGCTTTAATCATAAAGTGATGCTGGATTTTGTCAACTGCTTTTTCAGCATCTATTGAGATGATCATATGATTTTGTTTTTAATTCTGTTTATGTGATGTATCACATTCATTGACTTGTGTATATTAAACCATCTCTGCATCCCTTGTATGAAACCAACTTGATCTTGGTGGATTATCTTTTCGATATGCTATTGGATTCAGTTAATTAGTATTTTGTTGAGGATTTTTGCATCTATGTTCATCAGGAAAATTGGTCTTCTTTTTTTGTTATGTCCTTTCCTGGTTTTGGAATTAGGGTGATACAGGCTTCATAGAATGATTTAGGGAGGATTCCTCTTTATCTTTGGGAATAGTTTCAGTAAGATTGGTACCAATTCTACTTTGAATGTCTGATATAATTCAGCTGTGAATCCATCTAGTCCTGGACTTCTTTTTTGGCAATTTTTAAATTAGTGCTTCAATCTTGCGACTTGTTTTTGGTCTGTTCAGGGTTTCTATTTCTTACTGATTTAATCTGAGAGGATTGTATATTTCCAAGAATTTATCCATCTCCTAGATTTTCTAGTTTGTGAGCATAAAGGTGTTCATAGTAGCCTTGAATGATCTATTGTATTGCTGTGGTATCAATTGTAATATCTCCTGCTTCATTTCTAACTGAGTGAATTTGGATCTTCTCTGTTCTTTGTTAATCTTGCCAGTGGTCTATCAATTTTATTTATCTCTTCAAAGAACCAGCTTTTGGTTTCATTTATCGTTTGTATTGATTTTCTTGTTTCGATTTCATTTAGTTTCCCTCTGATTTTGGTTATTTCTTTTCTTCTGCTGGGTTTGGGTTTGGTTTGTTCTTGTTTCTCTGGTTCCTTGAGGTGTGACATTAGATTGTGTATTTGCACTGTTTTATACTTTGTGATATATGCATTTAATGCTATGAACTTTCCTCCTAGCACCACTTTTCCTCTGCCCTATAGGTTTTGATAAGTTGTGTCACTACTATTGTTCAGCTCAAAGAATTTTTTAATTTTCATCTTGATTTCATTGTTGACCCAAAGATCATTTAGGGACAGATTATTTAATTTCCATGTATTTGTATAGTTTTGAAGGTTCCTTTTGGACTTAATTTTCAGTTTTATTCCACTGTGGTCTGAGGGTATACTTGATATGATTTCAATTTTCTTAAATATATTGAGACTTGTTTTGTGGCCTATTATATGGCCTATCTTGGAGAATGTCCCATGTGTTGATGTAAAGAATGTATATTCTGCAGTTGTTGGGTAGAATGTTCTGTAAATATCTGTTAAGTCCATTTGTTCTAGGGTATACTTTAAGTCCATTTTTAATTTGTTGACTTTCTGTCTTGATGACCTGTCTAGTGCTGTCAGTGGAGTATTAAAGTTCCCAAGTATTATTATGTTGCCATCTATCTCATTTCTTAGGTCTAGTAGCAATTGTTTTATAAATTCGGGAGCTCCAGCATTAGGTGTGTATATATTTAGGACTGTGATATTTTACTGTTGGACCATTCATTTTATCATTATATAATGACCCTCTTTTTCTTTTTTTTAACCATTGCTGATTTAAAGTCTATTTTGTTTGATATAAGAATAGCTACTGCTGCTCACTATTAGCTCCCATTAGCATGGAATATCCTTTCTACCCCTTTTCCTTAAGTTTATGTGAATCCTTAGGTGTTAGGTGAGTCTCTTGAAGACAGAAGATACTTGATTCATGGATTTTTATCCATTATTCCATTCTGTATCTTTTAAGTGGAGCATTTAGGTCATTTACTTCAATGTTTGTATTGAGATGTGAGGTACTGTTCTATTTATCATGTTAGTTGCTGCCTTAATACATTGTTGGTTTGGTTTTTTCTGTTGTGCTGTTGTTTTATAGGCCCTGTGAGATTCATGCTTTAAGGAGGTTCTATTTTGATAGATTTTGAGGTTTTGTTTCAAGATTTAGAACTCCTTTTAGCATTTCTTGTAGTGCTGGCTTAGTAGTGGTGAATTCTCTCAGCATTTGTCTAAAAAATACTTTATCTCTCCTTCATTTATGAAGCTTAGTTTTACTGGATACGAAATCCTTGGCTGACAATTATTTTGTTCCAGGAGGCTGAAGATGGGACCCTAATCCCTTCTGTCTTGTAAGGTTTCTGCTGAGAAGTCTGCTGTTAATCTGATAGGTTTTCCTTTAAAGGTTATCTGATGCTTTTGTCTCACAGCTCTTGAGATTCTTTCCTTTGTCTTGACTTTAGATAACCTGATCACAATGTGCCTAGGTGATGATCTTTTTGTGATTAATTTCCCAGGTGTTCTTTGAGTTTCTTGTATTTGGATGTCTAGATCTCTAGCAAGGCCAGGGAAGTTTTCCTCAATTATTCCCTCAAATAATTTTTCCAAACTTTAAATTTCTCTTCTTCCTCAGGAACATCAATTATTCTTAGGTTTGGCTGTTTAACATAATCACAAACGACTTGGAGGCTTTCTTCATTTTTTGAAATTCTTTTTTCTTTGTCTTTGTCTGATTGGGTTAATTGGAAAGCCTCAAGTTTGAGCTCTGAAATTCTTTCTTCTACTTGTTCTAGTCTATTGTTGAAACTTTCCACTGCATTTTGTATTTCTCTAAGTGTGTCTTTCATTTCCAGAGGTTGTGATTGTTTTTTTCTTTATAATATCTATTTCTCTGGAGAATTTTTCATCCATATCCTCTGTTGTTTTTTCAATTTCTTTGCATTGCTTTTTACCTTTCTCTGGTATCTTCCTGAGTAGCTTGATAATCAACCTTGTTAATTCTTTATCTGGCAATTCAGAGATTTCTTCTTGGTTTGGATCCATTGCTTTGGGGAGCTAATGTGATCTTTTGGGGGTACTATAGAAACCTGTTTTGTCATATTACCAGAATTACTTTTATGGTTCCTTCTCGCTTGTGTAGACTAATTCAGTGGAGGGGTCTGAAATTCAATGTCTGCTGTTCAGATTCTCTTGTCCAACAGGGTGATCCCTTGATGTGGTGCTCTCCCCCTTTCCCTATGGATGGGGCTTCCTCAGAGCTAGGGTGTGGTGATAGTTATTGCTCTTCTGGGTCTAACCACCCAGCAGGGTTACCAGGCTCTGGGCTGGTGCTGGAGGATGTCTGTAAAAAGTCTTGTGATGTGATGCATCTTCAGGTCTCCCAGCCATGGATACCACCACCTGCTCTGGTAGAGGTGCCAGGGAAGTGAAGTAGACTCTGAGAGTCCTTGACTGTAGATAGGTTTAGGGTGCTGGCTTTCTTGATTGCTGATTATGCTACTGGTGAAGTTGTCATGTGGACACATTCAGGACCTCTGGTTAGCCAGGATATTGCAGACAGTAGAATTTAAGTGTTGTCTTCTCCTTCCTGGGATCAGGGTTGTTCTGTCTTGAGTTGCTATGATGTTCTGAGTTAGTTGGCCTCCAGCCAGAAGATGGCATTTTCAAGAGAGCACCAGCTATGATAGTTGTAGAAGTCTCTAGGCTTGACCTAAGATGGCCAGGGTAACTATTTTGGTTTCTTAGGTGATGGGCAGGGCCATAAAGCTTGCAAGAATTTCTGTGTTTTGTGTTTGGCTACCAGGGTGGGTAGGGAAATACCATCAGGTGTGGGCAGGGTTAGACAGGTCTGGGCTCAGACCCTTTCTTTGGGCTATACTTACTGTGGCCACTGTAGGGGACAGGGAGTGGTTCTTAGGCCACTGAGGTTATGTTCTAGAGGGGATCTTGGCTGCATCTCCTGTGTCATATAGTTCACCAGGGAAGTGGGGGAAAGCTGGTAGAGAGAGGCCTCACCCAACTGCCATGCAGTTGGTGAGGCTGCTCTCGCTCCCCTGGTCCCCCCTATGTAGACCTTGCTCCAGGTCCTGAGCTACCCTGCTGAGAAAGCAAGCTTGGCTTTTAGACTTCATCCCTCCCAATCTGCCCAGTCTGTTAGCTGCAGCTCCTATGCTCCTTCCCTCACACCCTTGTATCCATAGTAGCTCCCATTCATCCCGCAGACTCCACTCAAGAACATTTTTGCCCAGCCAAAACCACTACCAATTTCAGTTGGGAGCTTCCTTTGCCCCACGGCCATGAATTAGCCTTCTGAATTTCGCTGACTGACTTTCCCAAGGGCTCCTGTGAGACATAGTCAGGCATGGCTTTTGGGGGCTTAAGCTGAACCTGCTGCTACCTCTACTTATATTTCCCACAAATCCTTAACCCATTTCTTCTCTAGGTAAGATTAAATCTTTCTCCCGTGATCTGGATTTTCAGATTCTCTGGTAGGGATGTGTGTTTGGCAGTAGGTTTTCCCCCATTTCACACTTTGGGAACTCAGCTTTTCATCTGTTTCAAGGAATTTGCAGTTGCATTCTGGTTCTTTCAAAGGATCTGTGAATTCTTTCAGTTTTCCTGGTACATTCCTGCAGCGGTTCTTGGTGCAAAAGACCATGATGTGAGTCTCCACACTGTTCTGTCTGTCCGTGTGGGAGCTACACATTAGCCCTGTCTCCTATCTGCCATCTTCCTCTCCTCAATTTATTTAATTGACAAATAGAAATTGTATATATTTATCATGTGCAACATGATGTTTTGAAATATGTGTACCTTGTGGAATGGTTAAATCAAGCTAAATAATACTTGCGTTACCTCACACACTCACCATTTTTTGTGGTAAGGACACTTAAAATCTACTCTCTTAGCAAAAGAAAATACATTGTTTTTGAAATACAGTAATACGTTATTATTAACTATAGTCACCATGTTGTACAATGTATCTCTTGAACTTATTTCTCCTATCGAAATAAAATTTTGTATCCTTTGACCAATGTCTCCTCAATCCTTCATCTCCCACAGCCCCTGGTAACCATCATTCTACTCTCTACTTCAATGACTTCAACTTTTTTAGATTCCACATACAGGTGAGATCATGTGGTATTTGTCTTTCCGTGCCTGGCTTACTTCACTTAACATAATGTTTTCCAGGTTCATCGATGTTGTCACAAATGACACAATTTTCTCATTTTTAAGACTGAATAATATTCCATTGTGTGTGTGTGTGTGTATATATATATATAATTTTCTTTACACATTCATCTGTTGGTGGACACTTAGGTTGATTCCATATGAAAACAAATGGGAATGCATATATCTCTTTGACATACTGATTTCATTTCCTTGGTATATATACCCAGAAGTGAAATTTTGGGATCATATAGTGGTTCTATTTTTAATTTTTTAGGATAGGAACCTCCATATTGTTTTCCATAATAGTTGTATTAATTTATGTTCCCGCCAACAGTGTGCAAGAGTTCCCTTTACTCCACATCCTAGGCAACATGTATTTTTCATCTTTCGATAATAGCCTTTCTAGCAGGTGTGAGGTGATATCTCATTGTGATTTTAATTTGCATGTCTCTGATGATTGGTGATATTGAGCATTTTTTCATATAACTGTTGGACAGTTGTATGTCTTCTTTTGAGTAATGTCTATTCAGGTCCTTTGTACATTTTTAAATCTGGTTATTTCTGGGGTTTTTTTGAAATTTGATTTGTTTGAATTCATTAGGTATTTTGGATACTAACCTCTAATAAGGTGTATGATTTGCAAATATTTTCTCTCATTCTGTGGGTGTTCCCTTCACTCTGTTGACTTTTTCATTGGCTATGCAGAAGCTTATTAATTTGATGTAATCCCATTTGTCTATTTTCACTTTGTTGTCTGTGGTTTTGGGGCAATATTAAAAAAAATATTGTCCAGACCAATGCTATGGAGCTTTTCCCCTATGTTCTTTCTTGTTAGTTTCATAGTTTTAGGTCTTATGTTTAAGTTTTAAATTCATTTTGATTAGATTTTTGTATGTGGTGTGAGAGAAGGGACTAAGTTTATTCATCTGTGTGAGAATATTCAGTTTTCCAAAAACCATTTATTTAAGAGACTGTCTTTCCCTGTTGTTTGTTCTTGGTACCTTTGTCAAAAAATCAATTGACCATAAATGTCTGAGTTTATTTCTGGGCTTTTTATCCTGTTCCATTGATCTATGCATTTATGTGCCCATTTAATGCCAGTACCATGTTGTTTTGTTTACTATAGCTTTGCAGTATATTTTAAAGTCAGGTAGTGTGATGTTTGTTTCGTTTTTGTTTTTTCTCAATATTGCTTTAGCTATTTCTGGTGAGCATTCATGTATAAATGTATTTTTTGTATATATATACTAATTTCTTTTGGGTAAATACCCAGGAGTAGTATTGCTGGGTCATGTAGTAGACATAGCTTTAACTTTGGGAAACTGAAAATAGTTCTCCAAAGTAGTTCAGTCATTTGCAGTTCCACCAACAATGTATGAGAGTTTTGGTTGCTTCACATCCTCACAAAACACTTGTATTGTCTGTCTTTTTTATTTTGGACATTCTAGTGGGGATGAAGTAGTATCTTGTTGTATCTTGTCGTGACTTTAATTTTCATTTTCACTGAAGATTGACAATGTTAAACACCTTTTTAGGTGCTTATTGGCCATTCTTGTGTCCTTTTATAATATATCTGCTTGAGTCTTTTGCCCATTTTTAATGGGATTGCTATCTTTTTAATATCAACTTGCAGGAGCTCTTTATAGAGGCTGGATATGACTATGTCATATACAGGTATAGATTTTGATATTCGTCTCTCAGTTGGTAACGTGAAGCCTAAATCTTGCAGAGTGTAAAGATGACTTGTTACTAGCAGGGGGCAGCAATAAAGGCAAATATGTTTCATTCTTTTCAAGTTTTTCTGGAAAAGTAATTTTTGAAGTAGAAAGGGAAGACAATTTACTTCCTAGATACACAAGGATTATCATAAAAGTAGTTTAACTTCTCTAAACCTCAGTTTATCATTTGTAAAATATCGTTAAAGTCATTTTGAGTTTCAAAAACTAACAGAGTTGTTTTGAAGCAGGGAGTCATCAAATTGGTATTAGCATCGGATGTCATAGACTGCATGTAGGTATGATGTTGCCATTCAACTTTACTACCCAGAAATTGTTACTCTTATTTTGGTTTTACAGATTCAAAATGAAGATTCTTCATGCAATATCATTTTTCTGAACAAGCCCACAGAAAACCCTTCGTTAAAACACTTCTGGGGACTTTTAAACCTAACCATTGTCAAGTATTTTAACTTAACTTTCTATTTTGCCCTAGGGGAGAACAGTTAGGGTGAATAAGTGAAATGGTTTTTGCCTTCATTGGGTCTAGACACTAGTTGCCCCTAGGATGATAAAGTTTGACCCCCAGTCACTAAGGATTTCCCAAGCACTGAAACTTACCGAAAGCATGCACTTCTGCCTGCACCTCAGTAAAGGCCGGAAATATAACTCCCCTAACACTCCTGGATTCTTTCTGTGCTTGACAATGGCCCCCAAGGGAGATTCTTGTGACAGAGTGCCTGTCCAGAGAGAAAGGATGATGTAACTAGAGCCCTGGACAAGGAGATATGGGACTTGAGGTCCCCTTATTTTCTACTACAAAGAGTAACTCAGTTAAAGATGTCAGGATTCACTGTTATGGTCAGAAGGGGATGGGGATAAAGCAGATTTCAGAGCATGTGTGGAGAGTTGAAAATTATTATAAACCAGTGTGGCAGGGTCATCTGTGGAGATGTCAAAGTCTGCCTTATTCTTTCTGCAGTAGGAGATAGGAAAGATAGGAGAATACTTTTTATTTCCATGCCCCACTCTGGCAAGAAGAGTCAATACTGTGTTTTAAAACCTAGGTTCTTCTAAGCTCCATCTCCTGGAAAGAAAACAGTTAATGTCTATGTTTTAGGTGGCCCAGAAAGAAACTCCTTGGCCAGGACTTTGCTGGGACTGTTAGTCCTCTAGTAGAATAAAGCTTGAGCTTCCCAAAGGAGAGGGGATGTAGAGAGGCTGGGCCTCAGACAAAAATTGATAAATGGCTCTTTAATCACATTTTCCGGACTTTACAAATTCCAGATCACATGACTGAGATCAGATTTTCTATTGGCCTTAGCCAGATGCTTCGGGTTTACAAAAATATCATATTAGTCATACAACCAGTTTTAATTGGTTACACAAATAATTCTGAAGTGGCTAGGATTGAGATCTATTCTCTATGGAAGATGCTTCAGTTCTGGGGCTAGCTCTGGCCATGTATTCTTTCTAACAGGATACCAATAGGCCATAGTCACTCCATTTCTCAGAGAGAGAGAGTTGTGCCCCTTCTGTGGGTGCTGTTTGGATTCATGTTGATGGTGCTAATAAAAATCTTTTCAAATTGCACAGTTGGTCTTGTTAAAGAAAAAATTATTCTGACACTTGTTAAAATAGTAAGGAAGAAATTATTCAGGGCTATTGTGATAGATGGCAAGACTATTACAATAGGGGAGAGATTGGGCTCAATTTCAAATACCCATTGAGCATACTAATCAAAAAATTCAAAATCAGAAATGCTTTAAAATCCAAAACTTTCTGAGTTCCAACATAATGCCACAAGTAGAAAATTACACAACTGACCTCATGTTATGGGTTGCAGTCAAAACATACTCAAAACTTTTCTTTATGCATAAAATTATTTAAAATATTATATAAAATTACCTCAGGCTATGTATATAAGGTATATATGAAACATAAATTAATTTCATGCTTAGACTCGGGGTCCCATCCCCAAGATATTTCATTATATATATTCAAATATTCCAAAGTCTGCAAAAAGCTGAAATTTGAAACATTTCTGGTTCCAAGCATTTTGTTTCAGGGATACTCAACCTATACAGCAAAGATATCTGGGGAATTATAGCCAATGAGAAGAATGAGGAAGTCAATAGATGAAAAGTTATTAACAGAGACATCAAGGGTAGGGGAATCCTTGCTAAACTAACTTCACAGGATTCTTGCTGATGGCGGGTCAAGGATTTATATATCAAAGTCAGAGGATGATAAACTTGAGCAGATACTGAGGATAATCAGATACGCAGGGTGGGGAGTCACTCTAAACTTATCTAGTAGGATTCTTTCTAAAACTGGTACAGGCAGGCCCAAGGACAAGGCCTAGTCAAAAAGATGGCTCTAAGCAGGGTAAGTTAGGAATTAAAATCGTGGAAAGGACTTTTAATGCCAAATTTGAGTAATTGAAGCTTACTCATTTAGCATTGGAGCAAGGGAATCATGTGATCAGATATGTTTTTCAAGAAGAAAAAGAGATAAGGTAGAGATGGATTGGAATGAAAAAAAAAATGGGATCAGAAGGCTATAGAGAGGCCAAATGAGTGATAAGGACTTTTTCAAGAGTGAGAGTAGCAATAGAGAAAATGATATAAGAGAAATACTTAACAGGTAGGATTGACAGGAAGTCGATTTTGTGGAAAGTAAGAGATAGGGAAAATTCTAAAATGATCAAAGGTTTATTGAGGAAGGGAAAAAGCATTGTCAGTTTATACTCCTGCCAAAGAAAGACGTTTACTCTCAGGTTAGTCTGATTCTATCCCCATCTCTCAGCTGGGCATTTTTCATTTTCCCTGGTAGAAAGCATTATGCATTGAAAAGGCCTCCATTGCTTGTTTATTCTCATGTCCAGAGACTTTGTCCCACATCCAATGTAGAAAAGACCAGCTGGCAAGACTAGATAAAGACTTCAGATAACTTTATCCATTTCTCTGCATTATCTGCTCACAGAAGTGGCCTAGGAGAAATTCAGGATTTATTCCTACTCTTTTTCTTTTCATTTAGGTCTCAGATATACAAAGCCTAGAAATCCAGTGTGGTAGGAGCATCTACACACATTTCTAATATTTTAATTTATATTTTTATTTGGAATCAGCTTTATTAGAGGCAAACAATTATTCAGTTTCCACTGAAAGACTTAATAGTATCTCAGAAGGTTCTATTAAACTCCCCTTATAGTAATCACAAGAATCACAAATAGTTTCCCTGTGCCTTGGGGGCATTTGAGTGTCATTAGTAATAAAGATCCTCATCCAGTTTTGTTCTAGTTTTTCCCAAAGCAAAGGCTCTTTATCTCTTTATATAGTTAAATGTTGCCCATACTTACATAGACATGTTCCTATGTTGACCAGAAATGTAAATTACGACCTTCTATTACCCATTGACCTTCCCTGGAGTTAAGTGTTAAATGTTCTGAAAGAAAGTTTATCAATAAAATGTCACTCACTAATCCTCTAAAGGAAGGTAAATCTACTGGAGAATGAGAAAGAGAAAATCACCAACTGAAGCTATTATTGACTAATTAGCTCAAGTAAAATCCCCCAACCTTCCATAGTTTTGAAAATGTAAAGAGGAAATGCTCTTGACTTAATTTGTGTGCAACAATCATCAAATACATCAAATTGACTCCTAAGTCCTACTGACCCAACTCCAATATCCTGTGCCAATGTCCCTACTTTATGGTATCTGTGTATGCATCTCAGTATAGGTGCATACACAGCGCCAATATCCTGTGCCAATATCCTTGCTTTATGGTATGACAACATATTCCAAGCTTATCTTGCACAATTCATGCCCCAGATATAGAATTAGCAATTTTTACAAATAACCCTTTTTCTTTGTAATGGGAAATGATATGTAGAGACCACAATTTCAGTGGTAGAAACACTTGTTGATATTATATTAGACTTCATTTCCATGCCTTTTTGTACAGAGCTAGGAAACAACCATATGAACCACATCGTTTTGAACCATATGAAATTGCCTTTTCTATAAATCAAAAATGATGAAATATCAGCAGTTTCATGTGGTCTGACCTCATATTTTTAAGAAAAAATATATCATGAGTATATTTAATTCAAATTTGGGTTCATAGGGTTTTTATTTAATGTATTTGATTTTTATTTATATTTTCTTTTACTTTCACTGAAAATCTTGGTTCCTAGTAATGTTAATATAATTACTAATTTCTTTTATCCTACTCTTGGTTTCAGAATATAAATACCAATATTATAATTGTCCATTCAATTAGAAAATAGTTTCTTCAATAAATAAATTGCGGCCAGGCACAGTGGCTCACGCCTGTAATCCCAGCACTTTGGGAGGCCAAGGCGGGCGGATCACCTGAGGTCAGGAGTTTGAGCCAGACTGGCGGACGTGATGAAATCCCATCTCTACTAAAACTACAAAAATTAGCTGGACGTAGTGGCGCATGCCTGTAATCCCAGCTACTCGGGAGGCTGAGGAGTGAGAATCACTTGAACCTGGGAGGTGGAGGTTGCAGTGAGCCTAGATTGCCCATTGCACTCCAGCCCGGGAGACGAGCAAAACTCAGTCTCAAAACTAAAAATAAATAAATAAATTGCAAGTAAAAATAGAAAAGAGTCAATAATCTAAGGACTAAAAGGTACTCGAAAGACACATTGACTAAATGTAACCTATGGCTTTTATTTGGATCTTGATTTGAACAAAGCAATTGCATTTTTAAAAAATCATGGATTTTTTTTAACATCAACTAGTAATTTTAATGACATTAAATGTTACAATTAACCTTTTTAGGAATTAATATATTATACTTTTGTTACAAAATGTAGATTCTTATCAAATACGATACATTCTGAAGTATTTTAGGATGAAATAATATGATGTCCACTTCAAAACAATCCAGTGGGGAACAAAGAAGGTAAATAGGTAGAGATGTAGATGAAATTGGCCATGTGTTGAAAATTGTTGAAGCCAGGCAATAGGTTTATGTAAGATTATAAACTTCTCTTTTGAGTATGTTGAAAAACTTTCATAATATAAAATATTTTTTTAAAATGTCTACTAATAGGAACACTAATGGTAGTGAGTGATGTTGAAGATGCATATAAAAGGTTTGAATAAGAGTGTTTAATAAAATGGAAGCAGAAAATATCATAAAGCATTATATTTGCATACAATGCTTTTTAAAATGTCCACTTTTATCTAAGTTAATACATTGAATATTATAATATACTTTTTTTTTTTTGAGATGGAGTTTCACTCTTATTGCCCAGGCTGGAGTGCACTGGCACGATCTCAGCTCACTGCAACCTCTGCCTCCCGGGTCAAGCAATTCTCCTGCCTCACCCTCCCAAGTAGCTGGTACTACAGATATGCACCACTACACTCAACTAATTTTGTATTTTTAATAGAGACGGGGTTTCACCATGTTGGTCAGGCTGGTCTCAAACTCCTGACCTCAGGTGATCCACCTGCCTCGGCTTGGATTACAGGCATGAGCCACCATACCCAGCCCTGAATATTATCATATACTTTGAAAATGTTATCTACATGATAGGGAGTAGATATATGATAGATGATAGATAGATAGATAGATAGATAGATAGATAGATAGATAGATAGATAGATAGACAGACAGATAGATAGACAGGTAGAGATGTAGATATGGTTAATGACCACATATATTTTGGGCAGGACATTTTACTTAAGGTCCCAAAAGGTTTTCTGTTAGGTAGTCCCTGCTTATTGCATTCAGAAGATTATTTGTGGCTTTCAGTGAAAGAAAACTCAACAGATTTTTATGGACCATATTTGATGCATACAGCTGTTTGCTAAGCTATGGGGTGGGATATGAATTCATTTATTTAAAAGGTTTATAAAATAAGACAACATTGCATAATATGGGCATAGGTGACGGAGAGAGGAAGAAAAGAAAGAACAAAGATAATTTTGGAAAATGAATCCAGAAATGAGCTTAGTAAAAAACTACACATTACAAACTCCTAAACCGTTGTTCTATATGGGTTTCAAGTTTAATTTTAAGTTTTCTAGTCATAAAAATGAAAAGTCAATCTTGATCTCTGTGTTATTTGGTTTAGTGCTGCTATAAAGGAATAGCTGAGGCTGGGTAATTTATAAAGAAAAGATTCTTTGGCTTACGGTTCTGTGGGCTGTACAAAAAAGCATAGCAGTGACATCTGCATCTGGTGAGGGCCTCAGGCTGTTTCCACTCCTGGCAGAAAGTGAAGGGGGAGCTGCAGGTGCAGAGATCACATGGGGAAAGAGGAAGCAAGAGAGATGGGGGAGGCTCCAGGCTCTTTTTAACAACCCACTCTCGTGGGAACTAATCCATTTCCCCAAGAACCAAGAACTTACTACCTAGAGACTGACACTAAGCCATGTATGAGGGATGCATCTCCACGTCCGAGATACCTTCCGCTAGGCTCCACCTCCAAACACCGCCACGCTAGGGGATCAAATTTCAACATGAGCTTTGGAGGAGTTAAATATCTAAACCATAGCATCAGCTTCTCAACTCATGGCAACCACAAAAGAAAACTAAACCAAATCCTATGGAGAAGCGCAACAATTCCTGATATTAAAAGAAGAAAGATTCTGAAGATACAACTTATCCACAGCTAAAAAGTTTCAGGTTTAATAAAGGAAGTGATGCAAAGGGGAAGATGGTGGTCTTCATTTGTTGTCATTTTTTAGATTAGAAAACCAAGAGGTGATATCTGTTCATATTACATTGCAAGCCTCTATGGTTGAAAGCGACAGAAAGTAACTTGCCATTAGTCAAATCAACCTAGGGTGATGAAACATTGTAAGTACTATATACAAGAATATTAAATAGGAAAAAAAACTGCCAGATCTCATGAGAACTGGTACAAGGAACTGAAAATCTGTAAGAGAATGACTCTTTTCTGACACTGGGAAAATGAGGTTGTTTTCTCTATCCCTGAAAAACTGAATTAGTTCTGTCTCAGGGCTCTTATGGGCTCTTGGTGACTCTGCAGCTCTCTCTTTTCTGAAAACCAGCATTTTCTGCTTCAAATGTCTCATTTCCTTGTGTCTTTGGCTTTGCATTGTTTTGACTTTAGCTCAGCAACTTCTAGCTAATTAGTTCACTGTAAGAGGATCAAATAGCTATGGGAGGGAGGGTGTGTGTGTGTGTGTGTGTGTGTGTGTGTGTGTGTGTGAAAGTGATTTCTAGAGGAAGAGGGGGCAATGGGTTGGCAAACCTTTTTCCACTATGCATTGTCATTCCAAATTCATGATATGTATTTAAAATTTTGACCTCTAACTGAAATGAGGCAGAGAGTTTGTATGTAATCCAGAAAAATCAGAAACTAATTTAGAGGGCCAGAATAAACTGGGGACTATGAGCAGAGGGAAGAACAATATTTCTTCTGAGTTCTGTCTTGCTAGCATAGCAAACACATTTGTTGATAAAAGACTTTTTTTTCAATAAAATGTCAAAAGTAATAGATGAAAAACCTCTTCCCAGTACCTCTATTAAGTAACTTCGGCAGTCAAGAAAAGGCAATTTAGACGAGATTTTTTTAAAGTCCTTAACTACAAAAAAAAAAAAAAAAACCTTTATATAACGTTAATATAAAAAGACTGATCCAGTTAGAAAGGAAAACCATGCCTTTTAATGAGTATGCTTACCATGTTGCAGAAGGAACTTATTTCTATGAAACCTTGGTGTCTAATTATTTCCCCAATAATTACATTGTATTGGAATTAATAAAGGTTTCTTTTTATAAGACCATGTTAAAAGTGTATTTTTTCCAAAATCGAAGCCAATATATGACACATATGATTATATGATATGGTTAATATCCACTATATGGTTAGTTCAGTTAATGATAAAAACAATTTGATCATTATCAAAATAGTGATTATGTCACCAATGACCATTTTCTTCAGCCTGAGACAAAAGCAAATAAAACGAATGTTTCAACTATCAACAATTTACTTTGGAAACCAGACCTTTATGCCTCCTGATGTGATACAATAAAAAGTACGTAGCACATCTATGGAATTCTTACAACAAAATATTTAACTTAAGAATAATCAGACCTATAGATCTTATTTCTAGGAAATACAGAAGATAAAAGAACAAATTAATCAAATCACCATGAGGAAACAGATACAGATGCTCCTAGACTTATGATGGAGTTATGTGCCAATAAACCCACTGTAAGCTGAAAATATAGCAAGTTGAAAATGCATTTAATACACCTAACCTACTGAAATTCATAGCTTACCTTAAACATGCTGAGAACACTTACATTAGCCTACAGTTGGGTAAATTCATCTAACACAAAGCCTATTTTATAATAAAGTGTTGAATATCTCAGGTAATTTACTGAATACTGTACTGAATGTGAAAAACAGAATGTCTTACTGCTGCTGCCCAGCATGGCAAGAGAGTATTGCACATATCATAGCATATCCCTAGCCCAGGAAAAGATCAAAATTCAAAACTGGAAGTACAGTTTCTACTGAATGTGTATTGCTTTCACACCATTGTAAAGTCAAAAAATCGAAGTCCAACCATTGTAAGTTGGGAACCATCAGTACTTCCAGAAGGTGGGATGTTTTAAGGATAACTGGCCTGGTATTTTTTAACAAGTCAGTGTCATGGAAAAAGAGGCTATGACAGCTATGGTAGATTAAAAGGATCTAGAGATCTTACAAATAAATAGAATGTGTAATCCTTGTTTAAACAACTTTACAAGACATTTTGGGAATAGTCGGAAAAATGTGAGTATAGACCAAGTATTAGATGATATTGGGAAATAGTTACTTTTTAAAAGGGTGATATTGATAATGATATTATGGTTATGTAGGAGTATGTCTTCTTTAGAGATGTAAAGTGAATCATTTTGAAATGAAATGTCATGAAGTCTATAATTTATTTTGAAATGATTTAGTGAAAAATAGGTGATAAAAATATGACAAAATATTAAAAATTGTTAACTCTAGAGTTTGGATGTGTTCATTATGCTATTTTCAATAAGTTTGAACATTTTCATTGTAAAGAATTCTTTAAAAGAATCCAAAATTTTATAAGCTATTAAATCCTAATTAGAAAATCAAATAAGAAAATACTGGGATTAGATAAATGCAGAGACTATTAGTTTCATTATCATTCTTTCTATCAATGAACCTATAATCTTTCATATTGTTGAGTAAGCTCAAAAGAACATTACAAATAGCTCTGGATTCATATTCTTTCCTTTCTTCATCAGTGTGCATTACTTTTTTACTCAAAATTCCACTTTCATTAAATATTTTATCTTCAACTTCACAAAAATGGAAGGGAAAACATGGTGATATCCTAAAATCTGTTAAAGTTAGTGTTCTGTGAACATAAATGTGCATTATTATTCTGTTTACTGAAGCACTTGACCATGTCATTGGTGGTTTTACAATCTGAAAATAAGCATTTTGGAAAGAAATCCTGGTTGAACTCATGGAATTCTTATTCAGTTATATTGCAAGGAGGCTTCTGAGACTTGAGTTCAAGGATTTCATATCTTGTTATTATCATAGCTTTCTGGTCACAGGTTTTCCTGATGGCAGTTTGACTGAGTTGCCCACTTTCCATCGTTGATATAATGTGGTCCATGTTTTTAATAGAATGGAAGTGATTTGGATATTGTTATGTGGGATATTACCTTGATGCAACAGTGACCTCTAAGTAGCATGCATGCTCTGTCAGAGACCATAAAACAGAAAGGCTTATGGGCCAAATTAAAATATGCAAATCACACAATTTATTGAACCAATTGAAAATGCAAGGTGAGGAGCAAGGGGCAAGAGGTGGGGTAGGTTCACACACACAAGTGGGTAGAAGAATCACACTGCTTGAATCCTGGGGTCGGCAATGGTCTTGTCTCTCTCTGCTTATCAGCCTTTCCTACTGATAGTGTGCTTATAAGACCAGAACTGAGGTTCAAACAAGAAGAACCAGAGACAGAAGTGGCCCCAGGCTAATGGCACAAAATTGCTCTATTGCAGAGATGCATGGACAAGTGCACCTGGCCATAGCTGTAGCTTGCCAGTAAACTTACTGAATAGTCATGGGTTTTATCTGCATTTCTAGGTAGAGCACATGTGGGGCCTGAATGGAACCTATACTTCCCAATGGATGATCAAGTTAGGAAATGACATAGCTGTCAGCTATGTGTAATGATTATGACTTGGTCCTTCTATTCCTTTCTGTCTCTGTTGTTATTTCCCCCATTATATATTGCATTTATTCCATCCTTAACATATCTCATAGGTTACTCATTACTCTATCGTTAACACATCTTTGGAATTCTGCCTGTGTCTCTCAAGTGATTTGCTTACTCATTATCTGAAGTTAACATAGTCATAAGAGTTTTGTTACCATCTTCAAGCTATGACTATTGGCTTGACACTTCTAGTGAGTTTCAGTCATCTCATTTGTTTGGCTGTAGTACCCCTACTGGATGACTGAACCTATCTAAACTTAAATTTCCACATCTGTAAAATGAAGTAGAGGTAGGAAATTCTGGAGACTCAAACATTTTGTCAACTGAGGAATGAGACCTGTGATGAGTCTATCATTTTGCTGAATGTGTTAAATGTATTTTTTGCAGATTATTTATGAATTGTTCAAATTGTATATTTGTACTAAATAATGACTCATCTACTCAATTCTTGTATTTGTTCAACAAATAGTATAGAATGTTTTCTCTATATTAGACAGAGTACTAGGTACCAAGGACATATTAGTAAAGACAGCGTACATGGATCATAGTTTCATGTTCTTTTGGAATTTAGATTCTATTAGAAGAGACAGACAATACATCACCAATTAGATAACCCCCTTTTTAATTATAATTATGATAAATGCCATGAAATAGAATATATACATTCAGCTGGGCTTCTGAAAATCTACAGACCAAACACTATGCAAACCAACAAGATATAGAATTATCGATACATTCTTAGCCTTCTTGAAGTGATTAACATACCTTATACCTATATCGTTTTTTTTACCACTTTGTCTCACAGTGGAAGAATATCATGCTGTGTTATTTCTACTTTGTTACTCTCAACAGCACAATGACTGTCAATGCTATTAACTGGTTCCATAGAAACTTTACTGCTGCCTATAGTAGCAGAGTGAATTATTGACGGGGTTAATCTTCTCCCAAATAATTTAGCCTTTCTGCAATTTACAGCAATAAGTTTCTCAAGTGTGTATTTACTACAAAACCGTCCATTTTTGGCTTCTATAAAAGCTGTAGGAGACATTTGTTACCTTGTCCTGTCACACTATATAGTGTTAAATATAATAGCGATGGTTTAATGTCATAAAACATAGTGGGGAAGACTACTGAGACTTGAATATAATCAATTTGCTCCAATTCTAGTTTAGGTGAAAATTTATTGCTAAATTGCCTTTTTAAGAACTGCTTTGGTTATTTAATATTGATCTCAAAATGATTAAGAAATGGAACACTATTGATTTTTAAATGAAAAAAGTCCTTGTAATGAGAGTAAGAACCAGATTGCAAAAATTTTAGGTGATAGAAGTAGATTTTAATAGTCTCCATTAGTTGCTAGAGTTGAATTTGCAAGCTATATAGTTCTTTTGCTTAGGTTGGAAAGTCTAACAAGGTAAAAAAACGTCCAGTTTGTTAACTGTAGAACAAAAGACACGTATATAAATGTTGATATACTAAAAAATCATGAAATAGAGCTATATTTCACTATGGCCAGCAAGGATTTAGATCTAAAGTCACTACCTCATCACTAAATCTTAGAAAGCTTCTTGGGCCTGGTGGCAGGCATACAATAACTCGTGTTAATTGTTGTTTCCTGAATTATTTTCTGGTCATGCCCCTGTCCTGATTTTCCTTGAGCTACAGTTGCCCACATAGTCCTTGATGTTTTAAAGTCATTTCATATCACCTAGGAAGTAAGATCAAATAACAAATTGTGACAGATATCTTTTTGATTCGGGATGAAAAATAATTTTCTAGAGGACAAATTTATTTCATCAATAAAGCAATTAAACTGTTTCAGATGAAAATCTTTGTAGAAGTTTCCTTGCCTTTCTTTTCTCAAAGAAGTAGGTTTTCAGGATCATTTTTGGCACTTCTGCTCTATTTCAGATAAAGGCCCTCTTCATAAGGAGCACGTTTGTACAACATTCCAAACAACTGTGCTTATCTATTTCCCCTATAAAAGCCTCTTCACTCCATGACTAAGAACTCTTGAATGGGCTATTGTGTTCTACTTTTATTTTTGCCTTACATAAATGTTGGTTTCACTCCTTTGGAACGAGTACATGAATGTTTTCTCTTCATTCTTACCTATCATCCTCTCTCCCCCAGCTGTCATTTAGGGCTAGATTTTTAAAAAACATTCCAGTGCTACTCAATTACACAATTTCTTATCCTTGACCAGACTCTTAACTTATAACAAGTTCCACAACCACCATAGAAATGAAAAGAAAAGAAACCTATATAAAAATTCTTCTCATCATTTTATAATTCAATTCCCATTCCTTTATATGATTTCTGTAACACTTGCTGAATTCTAAAAGTAATTTTTTTTCCAAAGAAGCCATTGGTTTAAAACAAATCTTTGTTTGCTATACACTCCTAAATTTTAATACCAGTGGTAAACTCCACCAGTAGCAATTTAATTTAAATTTAAAATGATGACTTTTCTTGAGTTACCTCATTTCTGTACAGGTATATGCATTAATATACCATCTATATTCAGCTTACTTTATATAGATGGGTGACTATAAATAAGGTAAAGATAGAAGCTCAGAAAAGAAAGTCAAAATAAAATGACAATTTTATAATCCAATTTTGCTTAATTTACACAAAGGTCTGAATTCAATCTTCACCTTCTACCTGAGGTAAACAGTATTTACATCAAACCTTTGAATCATGTGCTGTGTTAGCTATAAAGGGTTTGAAAGAGAAAGAAAGGTAAATAGACTGCAGGCTTTGTTTTCTCTGCAACACATTCAATGTTCCAGTTTCAGAGGACAACAGCAGTAGTAATCTCCGCAATTGGTAATTAACATTTCATCACCAGGTCTCACATCTTAGCCATCCATTATTATACAAATAGTGTGCTTTTGGCTTAGTTTTTATTCTTAAGTGTTTTAAGTTAGAAAGCAAAGTACATCTGACCTTATTCAAAAGTATTTGAAGAGGAAAGAGGTGGAACAAGATGGCTGAACAGAACCTTGCAGTGATTGTCTCCCCTGCAGGAACACCAAATTGAAGAACTATCACCACAAAAAACTATCACCACACAAAAAAAAAACACCTTCGTAAGAACCAAATATCAGGTAAGTGATGACAATACCTGGTTTTAATATTATATCAAGGAAAGAGGCACTGAAGAAGGTAGGAAAGACATTATTGAATTGCCTACATTGCTCCTCTACCATCCCCTGGCAGTAGCCTTGAGGCATGGAAAGCAAATCTGTGCACTTGTGGGAAGGAAAGTGTAGTGATTGTGGGACTTTGCATTGGAACTCAATGCTGCTCTGCCACAGCAGAAAGCAACATGGGGCAAAACTCAGCCACAGCTCACAAAGCAAACATTTAGACCAGCCCTAGCCAGAAGAGAATCATCCATCCTGGTAACTGGAACCTGAGCTCTGGCAAGCCTCACCACCATGGACTACAGTGTTCTCGGCCTCTGAATAAACTTGAAAGGCAGTCCAACCTACAAGGCCTGCAATTCCTGAGCAAGTCCTGGTACTGTGCTGGACTCAGAGCCAGTGGACTTAGGGTACAGATGACCTGCTGAGATACCAGCTGGACCACCAAGAGAGTGCTTGCATTACACCTACCCCAATCCCAGACAGCTCTGGGAGAGACTCTTTCTTTCCATTTGAGGAGAGAAGAGTAAAGAGTAAAGAGGACTTTCTCTTGCAACTTGGATACCAGCTCAGCCACAGTAGGATAGGGCACCAGGCAGATTCCCGAGGTCCCCATTCCAATCCCTAGCTCCTTGACAACATTTCTAGATACACCATGGGCCAGAAGGGAACCTGCTGCCTTGAAGGGAAGGACCCAGTCCTGGCAGAATTCATCGCTTGCTGAATAAAGAGCCCTTGGGCCCTGAGGAAACATCAGTGGTAGCCAGGCAGTATTCACTGTGGGCCTTGGGTGAGACCCAAAGCCTTGCTGGCATCAAGTGTGACCCAGCACATTCCCAGCTATGGTGGCCACAGGGTGACATGCCTTTTTTTTTTTGAGGAAAAAAGAGGGAAGAGTAAAAGGGACTTTGTCTTGCAGCTTGTGTACCATCTTGGGTGCAGATGGGTAGAGCACCAAGCAGGCCCCTGGGGTCCCCGATTCTAGGCCTTGGCTCCTGGACAGTATTTCTGGACCTTTCCTGGGCTAGAGAGGAGCCCAATGCCCTGAAGGGAGAGACCCAGACCTGGTGGCATTCACCACAGGCTGACTGAAGAGCCCTTGGGACTTGAATGAACATTGATGGTAGCCAGGCAGTACTTGCCATGGGCATGGGGTGGTGGTAGCCACGGGAGGAAAATCCTTCTGCTTGAGGAAAGGAGAGGAAAGACTGGGAAGGACCTTGTCTTGAAGCTTATGTGCCACTTCAGCCACAGTGGAGTGGAATAGAGCACCAAGTAGTCCTAAGGTCCTTAACTCCAGGCCCTGGCTTCCAGATGGCATCTCTGGTCTCCCCCTTGGCCCAAGGGAAGCTCACCATCCTGAAGGAAAGAACACAAACCTGGCTAGCTTTGCCACCTATGGACTGTACAGCCCTTGGGCCTGGAGAGAACATCAGTGGTAGCCAGGCAGTAGTTACCATGGGCCTTGGGCAAGACCTAGTACTGTGCTGGTTTGGGGTCTAACCCAGAGCAGTCCCAGTGGTGGTGGCCACGGGGGTGCTTGGGTCACCCCACCCTAGGTCCAGGAGGCTCACCACAGAGAAAGAATCCATTTGTTTGGGAAAAAGTGAGAGAACAAGAGTATCTACCTGGTAATCCAGAGAATTATTCCAGATCTTATCCAAGACCACCAAGGTGGTACCTCCATGAGTCTGCAAGAACCACAGCATCACTGGGCTTGGGGTGACCCTAATGCAAATTTGGCTTAGATCACAACACCCAAGCACCTTCTAATACCTGGAAAGTCTTCCAAAGAAGAATGAGTACAAACAAGCCCAGACTCAAAAGACCAAAATAAATACCTAACTCTTCAATGCCCAGACAACAAACATGCACAAACATTAAGACCAACCAGGAAGCCCTCACTAAATAAACTAAATAAGGTACCAGAGACTAATGCCAGAGTGACAGAGATATGCAACCTTTCAGACAGAGAATTCAAAATAGCTGTGTTGAGGAAGCTCAATGAAAATCAAGAGAACACAGACAAAACAAATTCAGAATCCTGTCAGATAAATTTAATGAAGAGATTTGAAATAATTAAAAAGAATCAAGCGAAATTCTGGAGCTGAAAAATTCAACTTACCTACTGAAGACGGCATCGGGATCTCTCAACAAAATTATTGATCAAGCAGAAGAAAGAATTAGAGAGCTTGAAGACAGGCTATTTAAAAATACACAGTCAGAGGAGACACAAGAAAAAAGAATAGAAAAGAGTGAAACATGCCTACAAGATCTAGAAAATAGACTCAAAAGGGCAAATCTAAGAGTTATTGGCCTTAAAGAGGAGGTAAAGAAAGAGATAGGAGTAGAAAGTTTATTCAAAGGGATAACAAAAGAGAACTTCCCAAACCTAGAGAAAGATATCAATATACAAATACAAGAAGGTTATATAACACCAAGTAGATTTAACCCAAAGAAGATCACCTCCAGGCATTTAATAATCGAACTTCCAAAGGTCAACAGTAAAGGATCCTAAGAGCAGCAACAGAAAATAAATGAATAACATAAAATAGAGCTCCAATACATCTGGCAATTGTCTTCTCAGTGGCAACCTTATAGGCCAGAAGAGAGTGGCATGATATATTTAAAGTGCTGAAGGAAAGTAAACTCTTACCCTAGAATAGTATATCTGGTGAAAATATCCTTCAAACATGCAGGAGCTCCAATACGTCTGGCAGCAAACTTTTTAGTGGAAATCTTGCAGGCCAGGAGAGAGTAGCATGACATATTTAAAGTGCTGAAGGAGAAAAGCTTTTATCCTAGAATAGTATATTCAGTGAAAATATTCTTCAGACATGAAGAAGAAATAAAGACTTTCTCAGACAAGCAAAAGCTGAGGGATATCATCAGCACTAGGCCTGTCCTACAAGAAATGCTAAAGGGAGTTCTTCAATCTGAAAGAAAATGACTTTAATGGGCAATAAGAAGTCACCTAAAGGTACAAAACTCACTCACTAGAAATGGTATGAACACACACACACAAAAAAAACCACAAAATATTATAACACTGTAATTGTGGCATATAAACTACTCATATCTTGAGTATAAAGACTAAAAGATGAGCCTATCAAAAATAATAATTACAGCAACTTTTCAAGACATAGTATAGTAAGATATAAATGGAAACAACAAAAAGTTAAAACACAGGGGAATGAAGTTAAGTGTAGAGTTTTCTCTTTGCTTGTTTGTTTCTGTAATCAGGGTTAAGCCATCATCAGTTAAAATGAGATATTATTGGCAAGCCTCATGGTAATCTCAAATTAGAAAACCTACAATAAATACACAAAAAATTAAAAGCAAGAAATTAAAACATACCACCTGAGAAAATCACAAGTATTTGAAGAGGTACTTTATTATTTGAGGTTTCATATCTTATTGTCACTTTTTGTGGTTTATATTTATTAGCAAATTCCTGTAGCTCTAAGTCCTAGGCTGTATTCGTATGCCTAATATCATTCCATTCACATTATGTTCAATAAGCACTAGTTTAAAATTTCAATAGCGATGATGATGAATATAATTCTAAGTGATGGCTGATGTAATAGCAATCATTTTACTTCTTTAATATTCCCTTCTTTGAGCCCCCTTCTTTATCACCATATGTTACAGTGAAACCTTTCCAAGTTAGTATGGCATTACACATTTTATTAAGTGGATTCTGAGTTAAAGGACACACTGATAAAAGATTGCAGATGAGAGGAATCATAACAAAGACAGGAGATTATTTAAATGAGTGTTATGATTAGGAAGTACATCGATAAGGACATCAGAATTTGAGAGATAGGAGGTCAACAAAACCTACTATAGAAACGTTATCCATTTGAAGAACAGGAAGCTTTTTTTGATTTTAATGATTATTATAGAGTAAGAATCTAAAAGAGTTGGAAGGGAAGAAATCTAAGCAATTCTCATTTTCATCCTATTGTCTCTCAAGGGCATGAGAAATATAGCAGTATCTGAAGCCAGGGTTCAGAGAAGATATTAATCAGTCCCTGAAGCTGCTACTCCCAGATCCAGGTAACTGGAGGCCCAGCAGGTCAGCCCAGCACTCTGAGGCCCAACATCGCCACTGTAGAGAATGGCTGTGCTCCAAATCATTCTCACCATTGTGAGAATCATTCCACCTTTTTCCTGTGGAATCATTATTTTTTGTTTGTATGTTTCACTCAGATAAAATGTTTTACTTCATGGGAGGGCATTTTGCCTGGGACTGATTCATGATCAGTGAGAATGGCAGTGATTTCTGTGTTTTGGAAACTCAGACAAGAGTCAAATGCTTTCAAATTCCAGAGAATCATATTTTTCTCTTCTTTTTATGGTACCTAATCACAACTTCTGGATAAGTGTGTGTGTGTGTGCAGTGGTGGGCAGTTTGAACTTGTGAGAGAAGAAAAGAGTGTAGGGAAGTGAGGAAAGAAGCCTCAAGTACATGCTGTTGGTGTACCACCTATTATTCCTTCAAAGCCTCTTAGTGCTGAATTTTTAACTGCCAGCACCTGAATTTCTTTGCCCGAGAAATTTCTCGCATCTTCAGAGACTGCTTTGTTCACCTTTAGAAAAAACTTCAAGTGCCCTGGAGTCATCCTCACCCCTACCACCTGCTAGATATATGTCCTTCTATGACAAATAGGAGTTGGACCAGTTCCTCAGGTAGAATACCTCTGAGCTGTCCATTCTACACCATCTCCTGGAGTTTCTAGTGGCCTTATCCTTCAGTTTTATGAAAGTTTTTGTCTATGTAATAGCATAATAAGATAGATAACCAAAATAACAGGGAAAACTTTCAGAAAGGTAAGAAATAACTATTATCTGCAAATACATACTTAACAACCCAAGAAAATCAACTGAAAACCTTTTAGAATTAAAGAGTTCCATAAAATGTCAGGATAAAGATAAATACGCAGAAATAAATCACTTGCATGCCTACCAGAAAATGCTATTAAAGTTAAAAGATTAAATCAATAATAGCATCAAATATTATAAAATCTAAAAGACACAAGTCTAACAAGAAAATGCAGAGTCTCTGTGCATAAGACTGAAAATTTATCAAAAAGGAGAAAATATTTGGAGAAAAATGGCATAATATACCATATAGCTGAAAGAGAAAATTCTTTAGAGATTGCATTCCTTACCAAATTTATTTAAAGTTTTAACACAATTTCATTCAAAATTCCTGTCTTTGTAAATTGACACAATTATTTTAAAGTTTAGCTAAAAGAGCAAATACACAATAACAATTGAAATAATGTAAGAAAATCACCAAGGTTTCAAAACTTACTATAAAGCTACAGTAATCAAGGCAATACTGGCAAAAGGATAGACACAAAGATTAATGGACTAGAATAGAAAGCCCAGAAGTAGACACACAAAAATATGGTTAATTGCAAACACCACATGTTCTCACTCCTAAGTGGGAGTTGAACAGTGAGAACACATGGACACAGGGAGGGGAACATCACACACCAGGGCCTGTTGGGGGGTCGGGGAATAGAGGAGGGATAGCATTAGGAGAAATAGCTAATGTAGATGACGGGTTGATGGGTGCAGCAAACCACCATGGCACGTGTATACCTATGTAACAAGTCTGCACGTTCTGCACATGTATCAACATTCGGTGTTGTCTCTATTTTTTATTTTAGCCATTATAATAAATGCACAGTGATATGTTATTTTGCATTTTAGATCATTTGGATAATTTGGTTTTAATTTGCGTTGATGGATGCCGATGTGGAATATCTTTATGTGTTCATTAGCCACCTGTATGCCGTCTGCAGTGAAATGTCTCTTCAAGTCTTTTGATCATTTTCTAATTGGAGTTTTTTTAATTTTTACTGTTGAGTTTTATGAGCTCTTTATATATTCTAAATACTAGTCGTTTGTCATATATGTGGCTTGGAAATATTTTCTCCCAGTCTGTAGCTTGTCTTTCCATCCTGTTCATGTGGACTTTCACAGAACAAAAGTTTTTAATTTTGATGAAGTCCAGTTTATCAATGTTTTCTCTTATTGGTTGTGCTTTTGGTGTCAAGTGTAAGAACTTTTTGCCTAGCCTTAAATCCTAAGATTTTATCCAGTGTTTTTTATAAAAGTTTTATAGATTTACATTTTACATTTAAATCCATTGATCTATATTGAGTTAATTTTTGTATAAGATATGAGATTTATGTCGAGGCTTTTGAAAAGGCTCTCCTTCCTCTATTGAATTGCCTTTGCATCTTCACCAAAAATCAGTTGAGCATATCTGTATGGGTCTATTTCTGTGTGATCTATTCTGTTTCATTTATATATTTCTCTCTCCCTTCACCAATATCACATTATCTTGATTAATGTAGCTATATAGTAAGCTTTAGTATATGGTAGAGTGATTCATCCCACTTTATTCTTCTTTGTCAAGATTGTTTTATCTATTCTAGGGTGTGCACCTTCCATATAACTTTAGTATAAGCTTGTCTATGTCTACAATAGACTTTGCTGACATTTTTATAGGGTTTGCGTTAAGCTTATAGATCAATATAGGGAGAATTTACATCTTTGCTCATGTAAATTGATTGATGTTGATTGATGTTGAGTCCTTTAATCAAAGAACATGGTATATCTCTCCATTTATTTAGGTCTTATTTGATTTACTTTATCAGCATTTTGTAATTTAAAGCATACAGACCCTATATATGTTTTGTTAAGTGTATACCTAAGAATTTTATTTTCTTTAAGCAACTGTAAATGGTGTATTGTATTTTTAATTTTAGTTTCCTCACAGTCATTGTGAGTATGTGAAGTACAATTGACTTTTATGTTGATTTTATATCCTGCAACCTTGCTTAATTTGTTTATTAGTTTTAGGAGTCTTCTGGTAGATTCCTGGGGATCTCTACACAGACAATCATGTTGTCTGCAAATATCAATAGCTTGTCTTCTTTTCCAGTCTGCATTCCTTTTATTTCTTTTCTTGCATGTTGCAGTGGCTAGATCTTTCAGTGCTATGCTGAGTTAAAGTGGTGAGAATAGATAAGTTTGCCTTGTTTCTAATCTTAGGGGAAAAGCAATTAGTCTTTCACCATTAAGTATGATGTTAGCTATAGGTTTCCTATAGATGCTTTTTATGAAGTTAAGGTAATTTCTCCCTATTTCTAACTTGCTGAGAATTTTTGTCATGAATGTGGATTTTTTTTCAAATAATTTCCTGTGTCAATTGGCATGATTATTCTTATTTAGCCTGTTGATATGGTGGATTCCACTGACTGATTTTTATTATTGAACCAGCTTTATATACCTGCAATAAATCCCATTTGGTCATAGTATAGATTCTTTTTATGAATTGTTGGATTTTATTTGTTTTAATATTTTGTTGAGGCTTTTCGCATCTAAGTTTATGAGATATATTGGTCTACAGATTACTTCTTTTGCATTATCATTGTCTGGTTTTGGTAGTAGTGTAACACTGTTCTCATAAAATGAGTTTGGAATGAGTTAGGACATGTTCCGCCTTTTCTATTTTCAGGAAGAGATTGTGTAAAATTAGTGTTGATTCTTATTTATATGTTTGGTAAAAATCTCTAGTAAAACCATCTTTGCTTAGAGAGCTCTCTTTCTGGAGCTTTTTAATTATAAGCTTAATTTCTTTAATGGTTATAAGGCTACTCAGCTGATCTGTTTCATCTTGGTCGTTTTGGTGATTTGTGATCTTCAAAAAATTAATCCATTTGTTGTAAAATGTATAAGTATAAAGTTATGCATAGAGTTTTCTTTTAATGGCTAAAAGCTATGTGGTGTTAGCTCCTGTTACATCCTTGATTTTGGTGATTTGCATTTTCTCTCTTTTTATCATCAGTATTTTCTATGATTTGAATGTTTGTGTCCCCTGTCAATTCATACCTTGAAACCTAATCACCAATGTGATGATAGTAAGAGGTGGGAAGGGATGTGAACTAGATGATGAACAGAAGATTCTCCAGCATCACTCCCTCCACAGAAATACAACAAGAGACAATTCAAAGACAAGAATACCACCTCACATTTTGCAGAACTCAGGAAAGAAGCAGAGCAACTCCCTGAGCTCACAGAATTGAGAGAAGCCATCATCAGTAAAAGAAATGGTCATGTCACACTGCACTTTCCCCTGCCCCAAGCCAGCATAATGCCACTCACAGAGAATTTCCCTAGACCTATTGTTTCTTGGGTAAGAGGAGGGGATGGAAGGAGAGTGTTCAATCTCCCCATGAATCTGGGAGTCTTTGTGGGAAGCTCACTTTGGTTCTATCACACAGAAAAGTATTTGAAGTGCCAGGAGGGCTGAACCACTGGGATGACTGGGGACAAAAAAAGCAGGGATCTGATTGTAGTGATTAGCATGCAGACATTGGTGGCTACTCTGAGCTCTGATAATCAGGAAGACCACATTTAAGCAACTGGCTGGAGCCACAGTGTTTCAGGGAACACAATACTCGAGAAACTTGAATCCCTTGCCAGATTTTACACAAATTCCAGGTGCTTGTGTGGAGCCTTCCTCTGGCCCCTAACAACTAAAATGTCAGGATTAACTTCCAGTGGGCACTAAAGTATTCTCCACACTGTGAAACAATGTCAGGGCAGTGAGCTACTTCCAGTTCTGACTCTAAGTCTTCCCCAGAATGGGAAGAAATAATAGGCCAGTATTTAAGTTCCAAAACTAAGTAGTAAAGGTCTGCCACCACCAAAAAACACCTGCAAAAACTAGAAGAGGTGGTTGTCTTCTTAACTAAGTAGACATTATTGTGAAGATGGAAGAATTGCTAAAACTCAAGGAAATATGACACCACCAAAGCTCCAACAATGGATCCAAAAAAAATTGAAGATATATGAAATGTCAGACAGGAAATTCAGAATTATTCCCTAAAAGGAGCTCGGGGAGTCACAAGAAAATATGGATAGAAAACCAAATAAAAAATCTCTTGACACAAATGATAATGGAAACACAACGTACTAAAACCTATGGGATACAGCAAGAACAATACTAAAAAGGAAGTTTATAGCAACAAGCAACTACATCAAAAAAGTAAAAGAAAATTAAAACAACCTAGTGATGCATCTTAAATAACTAGAAAAGAAATACCTAATTGAACCCAAAATTAGTAGAAGAAAAGAAATAATAAATATCAGAACAGAAATAAATGAAATTAAAGAAAACAATACAAAACATCAAAGAAATGATAAGTTGGCTTTTGGAAAAGATAATCAAAACTGACAGACTTTTTGCCAGACTAAGAAAAAAGAGAAGACTCAAAATCAGAGAAGAAAAAGGAGACATTACAGCCAATGCCACATAAATTCAAGGGATTATTAGTGGCTACTATGAGCAACTATATGTCAATAAATTGGAGAATCTAGAAGAAATGAATGAATACCTAGATATATGTAGCCTGCCAAGGTTGAACCATGAAGAAATTCAAAACTTGAACAGATCAATAACAACTAATAAAACCAAAGCCTTAATAAAAAGTTTCCCAATAAAGAAAAGCCCAGGACCCGATGGCTTCACGTTGAATTCTACCAAACATTAAAGAACTAATACCAATCTGACTCGAACTATTCCAAAAAAAACAGAGAAAGAGGGAATACTTCCAAATTCATTCTGCAAGGCCAGTATTATCCTGAAACCAAGACCAGACAAAGACATATCAAAAAAGAAAAACTATAGGCCAATATTTCTGAGGAATATTGATGCAAAAATCTTCAATGAAATACTAGCAAACTGAATTCAACAACACATTAAAGTGATTATTCATTATGACCAAGTGGGATTTATCCCATGAATACAATAATGGTTGAAGATAGACAAATAAATCAAGGTGATTCATCATATCAACAGAATGAAGGATAAAAGCCATATGATCACTTATTGATACTGAAGAATAATATGATAAAATTCAACATCAAATCCTGAAAACACTCTGTATAAAAGGAATGTACTTCAATAAAAGCCATATATGACAGACCCACAGCTAGTATCATACTGAATGGGGAAAAATTGAAAGTCTTTACGACCTGGAACATGACAAGGGTGCCCACTTTTATCACTGTTATTCAACATAGTAGTGGAAGTGCTAACAAGAGCAATCAGACAAGAGAAAGAAACAAACGGTATGAAAATTGGAAAGGAAGAAGTCAAATTATCCTGGTTTGCAGATTATATGATCTTATATTTGGAAAAACCTAAAGACTCCAGCAAATAACTATTAGAACTAACAAATTCAGTAAAGTTACAGGATACAAACCAACATAGAAAAATCAGTAGCATTTTTATATGCCAACAGCAAACAATCTGAAAAAAACATCAGGAAAATAATTCTATATATTATAGCAACAATAAAAAAATATACCTAGGAATAAACAACCAAAGAAGTGAAAGACCAATACAATGAAAACTATAGCCAAAGCAACACTAAGCAAAAAGAACAAAGCTGGAGGCATCACAATTACCCAACTTTAAAACATACTACAAAGCTATTGTAACCAAAACAACATGGTACTGGCATAAAAACAGACACATTGACCAATGGAACAGAATAAAGAACCCAGAAATAAATCCACACATTTACAGCAAAACTCATTTTCAATAAAGGAACCAAGAACATTGAGTTAAGGATGGTCTTTTTAACAAATGGTGCTGGGGAAACTGTATATTCACATACAGAAGAATAACACTAGACCCCTATCTCTCACCATATACAGAAATCAAAGCAAAATGGATTAAAGACTTAATTGGCAGACCAGAAACTATGAACCTAGTATAAAAAAAAAGAACTAAATACTGTTATTTGCAGCAACAAATTGAAGGACATTATATTAAGTGAAATAAGTCAGGCACAGAAAGATAAATATCACATGTTCTCATATATGTGGGAACTAAGAAAGTTGGTCCCGTGAAGGTGGAGAGTAGAATGATGGTTACCAGAGTCTGGAAAGTATAGGAGGTATAGGGGTATAAAGAGATTTTGATTAATGGGTACAAAACTACAGTTAGATAGAAGGAATACATTCTAATATTTGATAGCACAGTAGGGTAAAAATAGAAAATAACAATTTATTGTATATTTCAAAATAGCAAGAAGAGAAGATTTGAAATGTTTCCAACACAAATGACAAATGTTTGAGTTAATATACTAATTACCCTGATTTGATCATTATACATTGTATACATGTATCAAAATATCACAGGTACCACATTAATATGTGCACTTATTATCAGTCATTTTAAAAAGAGAGCTGGGACATTTCGGAGGTGATTAAGTTCATGAGGGCTCTACCTCCGTGAATGGGATTAGTACCCTTATAACAGAGGTCCAAGAGATCTACGCAAGGATGCAGCAAAAGGGCACCATCTATGAGGACTAGGCCCTCACTAAATCAAATGTGCCTGAATTTTAATCTTGGACTTCCTAGTTTCTAGAACTATGAGAAAAAAAGTTTGTTCTTTATAAGCTACCAAGTTTATGCCATTTTGATATAGCAGCCTTTACAGACTAAGACAGTATTCCAAGAGTTTTATCAATTTCTCATGAATTTTATATATCATATTTGATGATAGGATCAAATAATTAAAACACCATCTGACACTCAAGATAACATTTAAAGCTGAGAAAAGTGGCAGATTAGTGCCCTAATATTTAAAAAATTAATTAATTAATTAAAATTGAGAAAGGGAAAAGGACCTAAATAGAAGCAAAATTTCCAAATTTAACTCAAAGTCATAAAATGTTGATAGTTGTGGACTGTGATGAGGTACATGGGTATATTTAAATACCCAGAAAAAAACATTCCCAAAACTATTCAGAGATACATTATAAATAAATTTAAAAAATAAATCCAGATGGAATTTCAAAAAATAGACAGTTTAGCAAGAAAAGAGAAACAAAACCATAGGAAACAAACAGAAATCAAATACCCAAATGGCACACTTAAATGCTATCATATCAATAATTACATTAAGTATAAATAGCATAAATACATCAATCTAAAGATAGGGATTGGCAGAAGGATTTAAAAAAAACAACTGTATGCTGTTTATATAAGAAACTCACTTCAAATTATACTATACAGGTAAGTTAAAAGTAAAGGGATGGAAAAAGACATATTCTAGCCTTAATAAAAAATGGAATAAGAATGGCTATATTTATATATGACAAAGTATACTTCAGAGCAAATAAAATTACCAGAGACAAAGAGAGATATTTCATAGTGATAAAAGGATCAATCCATGAGGAAGCTAGAACAATCCTAAATGTGTATGCAACAAAAAGTAAAGTCTCAAAATACATGAAGCAAACACTGATAAGCTAAAAGAAGAAACACATGAACCCATAATTACAATTGAACTTGAATTTTCAGAACTTTAATTGCTGTGTGTCTTGTCCTGGACTTCTTTGGGTTGATCTTTTCGTGGTTCACTCAGCTTCTTGAATCTGTAGGTTTGTATCTTTTCCAAATTGAGGAAGTTTTCAGCCTAATTTCTTCACATATTCTTTAAGTCCCAACTATTCTTCTCTTTCTGGGAATCTGATTATATAAATGTTGTCTATTTTGTTATTGTACTCCAGGTTTCTGAGCCGCTATTCAGATTTTTCTCAGTCTATTTTCTCTCTTTTGTTCAGATTCTAGTGATGCATCCTTATGTTCACTCATTCTATTCTATTCTTTATCCTCTCTATTATTGGGCCCATTCAGCCAGTTGTTTATTTCTTTTATTTATTTATTTTTTTTATTATTATTTTTTTTTTTGGAGATGGAGTCTTGCTCTGTTGCCCAGGCTGGAGTTTAGTGGTGTGATCTTGGCTTACTGCAACCTCTGCCTCCTGGGTTCAAGCAATTTTCCTGCCTCAGCCTCCCCAGTAGCTAGGACTACAGGTGCACACCACCATGCCCTGCTAATTTCGTTTTTTTTTTTAGACTGAGTCTCGCTCTTGTCCCCCAGGCTGTAGTGCGATGGTGTGATCTTGGTTCACTGCAATCTCCACCTCCTGGGTTCAAGCGATTATCCTGCCTCAACCTCCCGAGTAGCTGGGATTACAGGCACCTGCCACCATGCCCAGCTAATTTCTGTACTTTTAGTAGAGACAGGGTTTCACCATGTTGGCCAGGCTGGTCTCGAACTCCTGACCTCGGGTGATCCGCCCGCCTCAGCCTCCCAAAGTGCTGGGATTACAAGTGTGAGCCACCGAGCCCGGCCAATTTTTTGTATTTTAGTAGAGACAGGGTTTCACCGTGTTGCCCAGGCAGGTCTCGAACTCCTGAGCTCAGACAATCCACCTGCCTCAGCCTCTCAAAGTGCTAAGATTACAGGCATGAGCCACCACTCCCGGCCTATAATTTCCATTTAGTTCTTTTTTATAACTTTTATTTATTTGTTCGGATTTCCTAGTTTTCATTTATTTTGAGAGAAACTTTAATTGCTGAACTATTTTCATGACTGATTTATTTCAGTGTTGGCATTTGTTCATAATTTTTCCTCATTAAGTTGTGATTTCCTTGCTTTTTGATATGATGGGTAATTTTCAACTGTGTCCTAAACATTTTTGTAGTATACTAGCAGAGTCTGAATCCCATTTAAATTCATCACTTCACCAGACAGTCACTCTTTTTAGATTTTGTGTGCAGGTCCTGGCCTACTTTTGTGGGCTGTCTTCCAATGACAGTTTAATTTTTGGAGCCTTTGCAGAGTTAGTTTGGTCTACTTACTTTATCTGGTGCTGCTGGAGTTCGTAATGGTTACTGTTGGTGCTGACTGAAGAGGCAGAAGGAGTTTCTTTAGTCTGGGCTGCCATGTGTTTCTCAGTGGGGATGAGATTCTTAGGCCACAGAAACAAAGTGTCTCTTCTGGCTGGGCGTTTGTTGCAATGGAGTCCCTTTTGCCGATGCCGCTTTTGCCAACTCAGTGTCTCTGGCCCAGTGAGGGGAATCTCAGGTCTAACAGGACAAAGAAACTTTTAAAATCTGGCCATTTGTTGTGGCAAGATCTCTTTTGCCAATTCTTCCTTGGTATCTCTCAGTGGGAAAGAGGAACCTTAGTCCTGGTGGGAAAAGATAATATTTCCCTGACTGCTTATTGTTAACAGGCCTCTCACCAAGCCCCCTTGCAAGTGGTTCTGTGCTCACTTAGTGTTAGAGGGACCCCCCCCCACCACCATTCAATACAGGGCTGCCTTATTTTCTTAGATTGGAAATTGGAAAATTCTGAGTCTGGATCAAATTCTTCTACTGGATATAGGAATGTAAGATGCCCTGCCACTGTGTTGTTTCTCCAGTCTTGGGGTCGCAAACTAGTTTTCCTTCTTCTTACCAACTTTCAGAGACCTTTCTTAGTTACTTCTTGCATTATTTCCAGGACTTATAATTGTATTTAATGGGGGCAAGGAAGAAAAAAATCGATCTATGTGATCTTATCCAGACTGAAGTTGATTTTTGACAAAAGTGTAAAAGCAATTCAATGGAGAAACAATTATCTTCTCCACAATGGTCCATATAGAGCAGGGGTCCCCAACCCCCATGCCATGGACTGGTACCAGTCCATGGCCTGTTAAGAACCTGGCCACACAGCAGGAGGTGAGTGGCAGGCAAGTGAGCATTACCACCTGAGCTCTGCCTCCTGTCACATCAGCGGTGGCATTAGATTCTCATAGGAGCAAGAACCCTATTGTGAACTGTACATGTGAAGGATGTAGGTTGCCTGCTCTTTATTAGAATCTAATGCCTGATGATATGAGGTGGAATCATTTCATCCTGAAACCATCCATCCCCCTACCGCCACAGTTCATGGAAAAGTTGCCTTCCACAAAACCGGTCCCTGGTACCAAAAAAGGTTGGGGACCACTGATAGAGAGGTGCATTGCAAACAAAACAAAGTAAAAGAAAACAAAACCTTGACATATAATTCATGCTTTATATGAAAATTAACTCAAACTACAAAATAAATGAGTCTATATTGAATAAGTAATTGAAAATAAATAAATGTACTCCCCCATATGATATCATGAGAAGGGCAGTTTATATTTCTAAGATTTTTCCTCCCACACTTGTAATCCTAGTTAATCATGGACTGAACATGAGACAAACCCAAATTAAGGGAGAGTTTACAAAATAGCTGACTACTATTCCTTTAAACTCTCAAAGTCAAAAAACTTTTTCTTAAAGACTTTAAAACCATCATAGACCAGAAGAGACCAAGGCGACATGACAATGAAACAAAATGTAGAATCCTGGATTGTATCCCATAACAAAAGACACTAATGGAAAAACTGGTGAGATCTAAATAACACAGAATTCAGTTTTAAAACTCGTGAAGGTACTAAATCATAAAATATGTCCCCATATCAGTAACGTGAACCACCACTCATTTAGTCTCAATGAATTTTAATTTAATGCTATGAACTTTGTTATTGAATATTTATCAATAAAAACCGAAATGAGTGTTCTCAAATGATTTCATTATATCATTATATTTAGTTATATCATAATTAAAAAATACTAAAATTTATATTGCCCGAACTAAGTGGAATATTTTCACTGGCTCCAAAAGAGAATATTCACCTGGCTCTTAGGTTGGTAAGATATCTCTTTTTCCCATTTTTTTCTTTCTCTGGGGGTGTTTCTCGTTTTCTTTGAACATACCTCGTTTCTCTATTTCCTGTTGTGTTTTCTCCCTTAGACACTCTACTCTGCCTTATAGCCTCATTTTAATTATTAGATGGGTGACTTCCTCTGTAATTACATAAATAGTATAATCTCCAAAGATTTTTCAGCCTCTCATTTGTTGCTCTGAACCCAGAATCACATTATCAAGGACTGCTGAGCATGAGGGATGTTATTATCTGCAGAGAAAGCAAACAGAACCTTTGAAATCACATAGTCATATACCTTTGCATTCCAGGCACTTAAAAAGAATGCAAATGGCTGTTTGATAAATGGAAAAATAAATTCATCATATGTTTAAATTTATTTGTTAACCACCCAGTAAAATAACTAGATAGAAAGTCCTGGGAGTAGAGGAGGCCTTTTCCTATTTGCCTATTTTCTTTGTTATATATATATTTTTCTTCTTCTATGAAATACATGGTGAGGTGATTTTGACAAAACACCTCTGTTTCTCAACTATATTATTTAATGTAATACCTGGTAAGCATGTTACACTCTGTGGTTTCCAGACATGTATTGCTCTTTAGACACATTCTTGGGGATTAAAGAGTAAAACTTTTTTAAAAACTTGGAAATTTCAATTTAATGGAAATCTAAAAATGTAGAAAGAGACTTATTCTTGGTCTGTCTGGTTGACTACTTTATCAACAAGTACTGCCAAAGAGTACCAGGATCCAAAGTTGTTTATGATCTTATTCACAAGTAAAGGCTGAATATGTTAGTGCATGCTGCACGAAGGACGTTTTGCAGTGGTTTAAATGGAGAACTGAGTCATCAAATAGCTCTTCGAGTATAAGTCTTATCAAATAAAAGAGATAAAGAGTCAGTCAATGTATTCAGGACAATGAATTCATTATATAATTATTTTTATATGGAAGAAAGAGAAAAATAGTAAGTAGTAAATTTGCAATAATAGATTTTTAATTTTTTAATATTGAATGGTGTAGTGCAGTGTTCAACTGATTATATCATGAAAGTAAAGGATTGGTAATTTAAAATTAGATCAGTTTTTAAAGTGAAAAGTTTCATTAGTAAAAATAGCAAAGAGAAATGATGGCCCATCCTTCTCAATATGAAAACAATCAACTAAACAAAAATAATAAAACATTTTCATCAAAATCAGCATAATCAATTTAGTTTTAGGGAAACATCCTTGATTATATTAATATTTTTACTTTTTTTGGTTCTTTATTTAACTTTTAATTCATTCTTGTTTGACAATTTTCTATTTAGCTTTATGGCTACAAATATTTTAGGAGCATTTTCAGAAATAAATGAAATCAAAGGTATAACAATGAGTATTAAGATGTTTTAGGACAGTAGTCCCTAACCTTTTTGGCACCAGGGACTGGTTTTGTGGAAGACAATTTTTCCACAGACCAGGGACGGGGGCCAGGGATGGTTTTGGAATAAAACTGTTCCACGTAAGATCATCAGGCATTAGATTCTCATAAGGAGGGTGCAACCTAGATCCTTCACATGTGCAGTTCACCATAGGGTTCGCACTCTTAAGAGAATCTAATGCTACCACTGATCTGACAGGAGGTGGAGCTCAAGCAGTAATGCTCACTCCCCAGCTGCTAACCTCCTGCTGTGTGGCCAGGTTCCTAACAAGCCAGGGACTGGTACCAGTCCATGGCTAGGGGTTGAGGACTCCTGTTTTAGGACACTAGGGAGATCAATGAGCATAGAGTGTAAATAAGCCCAAGAGTGGCATGATCAGTGATTTCAGGTGAAAGATAATGTTCAAAACTGGAAAGAGGAGATCAAATTCAATAGAAAAATGAATAGGGGAGTAGTGACAGGAAATTAATCCATCATCATTATACAGAGAGATGTGGAATGTGGAAAGCATAGAGCCAGGGAAGAATGATGCTACAAAAATCTAGATACAAGGTGATGGAGATCTGACCTAGCAAAATGACAAAGATAATGGAAAGAGAGACATTTTGAAATAAAATAAAGCATAACATAGAGATGGTACTATAAAGCCACCTGGAATATAAACACGATTATTCTGATTTGATTGTTGGGTTTCTTCTTTTCCACAGAGTAAAAGATAGTAATCCTGGAGCCATAGTAGGAAATCAAAACTAAAAGACCAGGGATTTCATGCTGACTCTGGTATCTACTTATTAGCATTTACATTTTATTTGTAGTCTTAGTTACTTCATCTATAAATAAAATGGTTTAGCTGGAAGGGTGGTTTTCAAATATCATCTCCCTCAAGTACTGGAACTTTTTCTTTTAAGACACTTGACACTTTACACAAAGCTTAAAAAATTGAGAAAGATAAAGCAGCCCAGCAGTTTCATGAAAATTTCTGCATACATCTACCATATGATCCAACCATTCTACTCCTACTGAAATGGGAAAAGTTCCCTTGTCCCCCTTGCAAGGCCTGTGATGGGGGTGTGGCTCGCTTCTTCGGTGTCCCACTGCTCAAACCTCTAGGGGGAGCATGCAGTCAGGCAGGCTGTGGGGCTCTGACCCCACCGCAATGTCTAGGGGTAAATGTTTACAGCTCCTGAGGCCCCAGTGGACATGTGTTGCCGTGTGCTCTTTTAGTTTTGCCGTCTGTAGGCAGCTTGTGTTAGTCAGCTCAATTAGCCCCTCCACCTTATTGGAAGGACAGAGGACTTTCTGTGTCCTGGGGTTCTTGCCTTGGTGTACTGGAAGAATCGGATCACACATGGGCATCGGATCACACATGGGCATCGGATCACACACGGGCTTGGAGAATGAGTGCAAGGTTTTTTACTGAGTGGTAGCTCTCAGCGAGGTAGATGGGAAGGCCAGAAGGGGGATGCAGTGGGAAGGTAGTTTTCCCTGGGAGTTGAGCCGCTCGGCAGCCGGGCTGTCCTCTTACTGCCCCTGCCTGCCAAGCACCACATCATTCTGCAGGTCGATGGTCTGCTGGCGTCTGCGGATGTCTGTCAGTATGCTCTTCTGTTGGTGTGTTCCTCTCAACATCCAGCCTCTTGTGTGCTTTTCTGCCAGTGTGTTCCTCCGCCAGTGTGTTCCTCTCAACATCCAGTCACTTGTATGTTCTTCCACCGGTGTGTTCCTCTCCATATCCAGCCACTTGTGTCTCTGCCCTCTAGGGTCTCAGGGTTTCTATAGGCACAGGATGGGGTCATGGCGGGCCAGCATGGTCTTTGGAAACGCAACATTTAGGCATGAAAACAGGAGTGTCTGTCCTCACCTGGGTCCATGGGTATGGGCCCAAGGGTGGAGCCCTTGCCAGGGACCACAACTTTCTCCTCCCAGCACGTCCCTGCCCTGCTGCCATGCCACTAGGTACTTACTCAAGAGAAATGGAAGCATATGTCAATACAAAGCCTCTTCAAGAATATTCATAGCTGCTTTATTTATAATAGCCAAAAACTGGAGACAACAAAAATATCCAAAAACGGATAAATAGATAAATAATTTGTGGTATGTCCATGCAATGAAATACTATTAACCAATAAAAAGGGATTTGCTACTGATACACACAATATGAGTGACTCTCAAAATAACTATGATTAGTGAAAGAAGCCCCCAAAAAAGACATTATATATTGTATGATTCAACTTATAAAACTCTAGAAAATGAAAACTATTTTATAGTGATATAAATTAGATCAATGGTCACTTCAGGCTACATGGAGAGACAAGGGGCAGCAGAGGAATTACAAAAGGATGCCAAAAAGTACTTGGAGGTGGTGGATGTATTCACTATCTTAATTGTGGTGATGGTTTCAAGGGTGTGTGTATGTCAGCATTTATCAAACTGTACATGTTAAATATGTGCAGTTTGCATGTCAATTATACCTCAATAAAGCTGTTTTTGAAAAAAACAAAAAGGCAATCTTGACAGCTGACAGCTAGTAGCTCGTGTAGTTGCTTCCAACTAGGGCATGGTGTTCCTTTGTTGGATGTGAGGATTTTACAGAATATCTACATCAGAAAAGGAGTCCTCATGACTGCGATGGAACAAAACAATAGAAAGACAACTCCACACTCCATAATCATGCCCAAATAGAGATATAAGTGGAAACTTTGGACAATCACAAAATGCCCAAATACCACTTTCTCAGTTAACATGAGTAACAACTGCTTATTCTTCAATGAATACTCTACCCCATTTTTCCCCTCTGACCTCCTAGATAAAAATTAAGGTAGTCAATCAACAAATTGCCTCAGATTTCTGGACTTGGCTAATTCAAAACAGACTCTTGCTTCCTGAACTTTCCCACAAAAAAAAAAAAAAAAAAAAAAAAAAAACCTGAACACAAGCCACAATCCTATAGTAAACCTCCCCACCCGTCAATCATTCTGTCTTTCAGAAAAGCCCCACAATTTCTCCATGGTGTTTAGTCTCCCTTGGCACAGCAATAAGAAACTTAACCTTACTGATTAGAAGTGATCCTGGTGATCTTTGGGGGTGAGCATAACAAAGAAAAAACTTTGAAAGTAGAGTTCTCTGAAATGCAGGACATTGGGAACCTCTCTCTCATGTTCCCCATTCCCCCAGGCCCTTAGAAGCCTTTTGGAAATCATTGCGGTAAATGATCTCTAAAGACTACTAAAATCCGTATTTTGATGGTGTTGATGATACTAATATCAATTCCTAGAAACAATGATGGCCTTTAGTAAACTTTTTGAGACAGTCTCTTGAAACAACCAAAATTTATATTTTAACATTAGTATTGTATCTGAGAATGGTGATCAACACTGTTAACATAGAGACTTATTATTTGTACGGAAAAGTCATTTTGATGTCTCTTTAAATGTTTATTATTAAATTGCCCTCTACACTTGGTCTGTGGCATTGGGGAGAAGAGCTCCATTTTTGCTGACTTAAAAGAGATTGATCCATGAATGTGCTTTCTTTAGCTTCCTGCTGATAAATACTCTTCTTCTGCTATTTTCCTGAGTTATTTTTGTCCCTGGATTCTCATCTTGAATAAGCAGACAGGGAATTGAGATGAAGAACAGACTTGAATATTTGGGATGCTTTCCAGAATGCACTGGCCAACAATGGAAAGCTGTGATGGGGCAAAGAAAATTTGATTCACCAGAAGGTATTTTTAGAAGTTTAAATGTACCCAAATGTCAAATTTACTTTTTTAAAAAAAGACTAGAGTATGTAAGAATAAGCCTCTTTTTCTATCCTACTAAAATCCTTCTAAAATTACTATCTGCCATCCAAATCTACATTGTCACTTTAAAGAGTTCCAGGAGGGAGTTTTTACATCATTTATGTTATTTAAATATGTGTAATAACACAGTCATTGAAATTCAAGACAAAAAGAATAAGCTACAAAAGTGGCTTTTGGCTTTTGACATCTACCTACAAATCTTTGCTTTTTTTTTTTTTGAGACAGAGTCTCACTCTGTCGCCCAGGCTGGAGTGCAGTGGCGCAATCTCAGCTCACTGCAACCTCCACCTCCCAGGTTCAAGCGATTCCTCTGCCTCAGCCTCCCAAGTAGCTGGGACTACAGGTGCATGCCACCACGCCTGGCTGATTTTTGTGTTTTTATTAGAGACGGGGTTTCACCGTACCGGCCAGGCTGGTCTCGAACTCCTAACCTCATGATCTGCCTGCCTTGGCCTCCCAAAGTGCTGGGATTACAGGCATGAGCCATTGCACCCGGCCAATTCTTTGCTTTTAGGACAAGCGCTGGGGGGCAGAAGTAACAGAGCAGAAGAAATAAACCATCTTTCTATATCATATTCATGCACACAAGCATGGCAGTTTTGGTGGCACTGCCTATATTTGGCACTGGGGCCCAGTTGGGGTGAGATGGATGGGGAGCAAAGTCCGAAGTTTGGCAATGGAGGCAGGGAGTCCAGGAAATAAGGAAAGTTTGAGCCTCACATACAGCCAGAAACTTTCTAAAGAATTTGCTCTTCCATACTTCTTAAATCTTTTTATAGATCTTCCACACTTGTCTCATTGAAAATCTAGAAAACTCCAGGAAGGTGAGTAAGACTGGTAAAACTATAAAATGTGAATATAGTTAGCACCCAGGGCCCTGTAGTCAGAAGGCCAAGATTCTTACCTTAGCAAAGCCACTAGCGAGCTATACTAACTTTGGACAATTTACAAAATCTCTCTAAGCCTTAAGTCCTTTTCTGAAAAATAGTACCTACTTCAAATGATACCTGTGAGGATTACATAAGATAATGGATGAAAAGCTCTCGGCATAGGACCTGACACCTTGTAGGCATTGTACAAAGATTATCTAGTACTACTACTGCTGCTACTGTTCACTAAAAGGAACTGTAATTATATTCCAGTACTGATCATTATTTTTATTAATATCAAATAAGTAATATACATAGATTAAAAAGTGAAATAGTACTAAAAACTTATAAACAGCAGGCTCACTACCTTCTGCCATATTCTGTGATTGTCTCTCCCCAGAAGAAGCAACTCAATTCTTCTAGCTACTTTTTAGTATTTATTTCCATATTTCTAAATAACATACTATGCTGCTATTTATTTTTTTTCCATTTTTGCACATCATATAGTAATTCCTTGTGATAAAAACTCAGCACTTTGCATTCTGACATTACTCCACAATTAACTTCCCCTTCTGTGCCTGTTTCCATTCTTCTAATATACTTATAGCATATTTTTAATAAATACTCTGAGTCTATATTATCATGATTACATATGCATTATTCAGAGTTAAGCCACTTGTATACAATAATTACATTTCTTTTCTTGTATACCTTTTTTTTCTGGAAATTAATGTAATTACATTTGTTCAATTGCTTAGTTTTCTATTTACCTATCAATAATTCCACACTCACCAATAAAACTATGAAATTCCTCAGTTTGGTCAAATATATCAGTTTATTTAAGGGAATAGTGGGAAGAAATATTCACTTGAAGACCTGTCTTCCTGATTAAATCTTGATTATGTGCTTTTCAGGTATGCTGTATTACTATAGTCTTCTGTTTCAATGAAAAAAATTTTTTTTGAGACAGGGTCTAGCTCTGTCACCCAGGCTGGAGTGCAGTGGCACAAGCTTGGCTCACTGCAGCCTTGACCTCCCGAGGCTCAAGGATCCTCCTGCCTCAGCCTCCTAAGTAGCAGAGACCACAGGCGTGCACCACCACGCCTGGCTAAGTTTTGTATTTTTGTAGAGATGGGGTTTCACCATGTTGCCCAGGCTGGTCTCAAAATCCTGACCTCAAGCGATCCTCCCACCTCAACCTTCCAAAGTGCTGGGATTACAGGCATGAGTCACCATGCCAGGCCTGCTGCCATTTTAATACTCCCCTTCTTTGTAATCTTGGAAATTACCTTTGTCTCTCTGCTCTTATTACTTCCTCTGTTATTTGGATCCCAGCTTTTTCTCATTCTTAGTTTCTTCTCTCAGCTAGTTTAGCTACAGCTTCCAGGAGCTTTCTTAGAATGATTCACCGGAACCATTTCGGATACCTTAGAAGTTCTCACTTTTATTAATTTTATCTTTAATTTTGATTGATAATTTGGCAGAAACTCCAAAAGTCCTAGCTTGTAAATCATTCTCCCTCAGAATGTAGAGCAAATTGCTCAATGACTTTCAGTTTATTCTTGAGAAATCTGATGCCATTCGGATCTCAGTTCGTTTATATAAGTGTATAATCTATTCTTATTTTCTCTTTGAAAGTTTTACAGACAGTCTCAGTGCCCACAGTTTTGTGATATTTAGTAAGGGGCATACTGAGGACATTTTAGGCTTTTTGTAATATAAGCATTTAATGATGTAAATTTCCCTCTAAGCAGAGCTTTATCTGTGTTCTGTGAATTTTCATATATTACATTTGCATTTTCATCCAGTTTAAAATATTTTCTAATTTCCCTGAGACTAACTCTTTGACACATAGATTATTTAGAAGTATGTTGTTTAATGTACAGGTGTATGGAGACATTCTTGTTAGCTTCCTGTTATTAATTTTTTATTTAATTATATTATGGACAAAGACCATACTTCATAGGATTTGAATTATTTTAAATTCTTTATGGTTTGTTTTATGCCTCAGGGTGTGAACTGTCTTGGTGACTCTTTTATGTGCACATAAAACAAATACATATTATGATGCTGTTGGGTGAAGTGTTCCATAGATGCTAGTTCGATCCAGTTGGTTGGTGGTAGTGGTCAATACCTTTGTTGATTTTTTGTTTACTACTTCTACTACTAAAGATGAGTGTTAAAATCTCCAACTATAATTGTGGGTTGTTTTTCTTTTTTTGCTTTTTTTGGTTCTGTAAATTTTTGCTTCATGTATTTTGAAGCTCTGCTTTTAAGTGAATACACACTTAGGATTCCATGTATTCACTTACAAATACATTTTTCACAAGTTGACTCTTTGATCAATATGTAATATTTCTCTTTACTTCTGCTATCCTTCTTTGTGCTAAAGACTATTTTGTCTGGTATTAATGTAGCCACTCCAGTTTTTTTGATTAGTATTTGCATGGTATGTCTTTTTTCATTTCTTTACCTTCTTTTTCTTTTTCCAAGACAGAGACTCACTATGTTGCCCAGGTTGAAATTCAGTGGTTATTCACAGGCACTATAGCAAAATGCAGCCTCGAACTCCTGGCTTTAGGTGATCACCTTGCTGGGACTACAGGCACAAGCCACCATGTTCAGTTCTATTCTTTTACTTTTAATCTACTATATAATTATATTTGAAGTTTCTTATGGACAGCATATGAGTCATTTTTAAAAAATTCATTTTGATTATCTCTGTTTTAATGAATGTGTTTATATTATTTACATTTACTTGAATTATTGATATGTTTACATTTAGGTCTATCACTGTATTATTTGTTCTGTCTTTGGCCCCTCTATTTCCTCTTTCCCTACCTTCTTTTGGGTTCTTTGACCAATTTTTACCATTCCATTATAATTTATCTATTGTGATTTTAACTATATCTTTTCTATAATTTATTTAGTAGTTGCTCTAGAGACTATAATATATGTACTTAACTTTTTACAGTCTACTTGGAATCAAAGTTGTACAACTTCAATAGGAATGTAGAAAGCTTACTTCCATGTAGGTCCCATTACCTTACCCCTTGCATACTGCAGTCGCCTTACATATATTGCGTCTATATACATTGGAAACTCACTCCATTAGACAATATTACACTTTTTGCTTTCAACCGTCAAATATGTTTTAAAGAACTCAAGAGAGGATAGTCTTCTATCTGAGAAGACTATTTACCCCAACATTTATCATTTTTGTTGTTCTTTCATCATTTTTATATTCCAAGTTTCCTTTCATTTGATCTGTAGAATTTCCTTTAGAAATTATTTTACGGTAGGTCTGCAGCTATATATTCTCTTAAATTTCCTTCATCCAAGAAAGTCTTAATTTCACTTTCATTTCTATAGGGTATTTTTAGTGGCTATATAATTTTGAGTTGGCAGCTCTTTTATTTCAGTGCTTGACAAATGTTGTGCCACTTCTGGCTTCACTGTTTTCAGATGAAAAATGCAATTTCTCGTACAGGTAACGTGTCCTTTTTCTCTGGCTACTTTGAAGATTGTTTTCATCATTTTCAGTTTTCAGCCTTTTCATTATAATATGTCTGAGCATGGATTTCTTTGGATTTATTCTATTGTAGGTTCACTCAGCTTCTTTTTTTTTTTTTCTTTTTCTTTTTTTAAGCTATGGAATCTCACTCTGTTCCCCAGGCTGGAGTGCAGTGGCATGACCATAGCTCACTGCATCCTCAAACTCCTGGACTAAAGTGATCTTCTCACCTCAGCTTCCCAAGTAGCCGGGACTACTGGCATGCACAACGATGCCTTGCTAATTTTAAAAATTTTTTCTAGAGATAAGGTCTTGCTATTTATATATTGCCTAGGCTGGTGTTGAACGCCTGGCCTCAAGCAATCCTCCCACCCTCAGCCCCCCAAGTAGCTGGGATTACAGGTGCGAGCCACAGAACTTGGCCACTCAGCTTCTTGAATCATCTTCAATCTTTGGAAGTTTTCAGTTACTATTGTATTTCAGGAGTCTTTTTCAGCAACTTATTCTGTTTCGTCTCCTTCTGAGATTCTAATGACATTGTTAGACCTTTTATTGTGGCTTCATAGTCCCTATGACTCGATACTGTTTTTCTATCTTTTATCTCTCTGCTGTCCAGATTAGATAATTTCTATAAGATCTACCTTCAAGTTCATTGAATCTTTCCACTGTCATTTTCATTCTACTATTGAATCCATCTGGTGAGTTTTTAAAGTTATTTTTCCATTCTAAAATTTTCATTTCATGATTTATATTTTCTCTTTCTTTGCTGATACTTTGTACTTTAACTTTTGTTTCAAGAGAGTCCATGATTATTTATTCAAGCACTTTTAAAATAGATTTTTAAAAGTCTTTTTCAGATAATTCTAAAACCTATACCATCTCAGTATTGAAATTTGTTGATTGTATTTTCCCATGTGGGTTGAGATTTTAATTATTCATTTTTAGAAATTTATATAGCACTTTTTATTTTTTATTTTTGTTTTCATAGATTTTTAGGGAGTATAAGTGTAGATTTCTTACATGCATATATTGCATAGCGGTGAAGTCTGAGCTTTTAGTGTACTCATCTGAATAGGTGAACATTGTACCCAATAGGTAACTTTTCAATCCTCACCACCCTCCCATCCTTCTACTGTTCGTAGTCTCCAATATCTATTATTTGACTGAGATTTTAATGATTCTTTATACATCACATAATTTTGGGTTATATCCTGAACATTTCGAATATTACATCATGAATCTCTAGGTCTTGTTTATATTTGATGGGGAATGTAGATATTTTTGTTTTAGCAGGCACTTGACCTGCTTAATCCAATTTGCAAGTTTTGACTTATATCCTATGGGCTCTAGTCCCAGTATCAGTCCAATTTTCAAAGCCTTTTCTGTGCTATTCAGATCTATCCCTCATGTATACAAGCCAGTGGTCCATCTGAGACCTGGGCAGAGGTCTATCTGTTGGTTCAGATTTTAATGTTTTTGGCATGTTAATTATAATGAGATTCATTCATCCTCAGATGAAGGATGATGAGCCAGAAGTTTATAAACAACTTTATAGTGCTGCTTTCCTGAGATTCTTCCTACTATCAACTTGATACTTTTCACTTCCTTGGAGCACTCTTTCTTGTCCAATTGTCAGAAGTCACCCACTTCTCTGGTTATTCCATAGCCAAGTGGTGGAGGACCAACAGAGTAAAACAAAACCAATGGCCTTTGGCTCTGTCCTCAGGAGCTACAGATGCACCAAATGGGAGAGTAAGTATACACAACCTCAAGGATTTTGTTCCTGCAGGTTCCCACTGCCAGGAGTTTTTGTTTTTGCCACTGCCTCCACCATGAAGTTGTCCTGGGGGGTGGGGCATGAAAGAACAGAGAAAAAGGGAGAGAAAAAAATAGAGGGATTTCATTTATAATTTGAATGTTAGCATTCCCCTTCCTTGTCCCATGAGCCACACGAGACACATTTTCCTGAAGCTCTCTGTATCTCTCCCCATACCACGGTGCTCCTTCGTGGGGTTTGTGCTTTGTTAAAGTTTAGGCTGAGAGATACTAGGAGGGAAATTGGTTAACTTAGTGCTGGTTCATGTTCACTGGAACTCTGAATTCTTTTTTTTTTTTTCTGAGATAGGGTATCACTCTGTCACCCAGGCTGGTGTGCAGCGGCACCATCTCTGCTCACTACAATCTCTGCCTCCCGGGCTCAAGATACTCCCACCTCCTCAGCCTCCCAAGTAGCTGGGACCACAGGGACATGCCATCACGCCTGGCTAATTCTAACTTTTTGTATTTTTGGTAGAGATGAGGTTTTGCCATGTTGCCCAGGCTGGTCTTGAACTCCTGAGCTCAAGTGATCCACCCTCCTTGGCCTCCCAAAGTGCTGGAATTACAGGCGTGAGCCACTGTACCCAGCCAGGAACTCTGAATTCTGATGTTCTTTTCCATTATGCCTACTGATATTTATTTTTCAGAGTTCTCAAATAGCTGCTCCATGAATTCTGTCCCGGTTTTATGATGCATTCTATAATGAAATAAACAGGTGACATGTGCTTACTCCATCTTACTCAGACACATAACCTTTATTAAAAATTAATTTTGCTGCATATTCTTTGGTTGTGTCCACATTTCCTGAATTATTTCTTTGATGATACCCTCTCTTCCCTTTTTTGAACTTCTATTATTCATATAATGGATTTCCTAGATTAATTTTATTTTCCATTCCCAAAGATATTTTTTCCTGCATTTCATGAATTTTTTCAACTTTATTTCAAACTTTCATAGTTTTAATTCCTAGAAGATCTTTGTTGTGGGATAAATTGTGTCCTCCAAAAAGATATGTACAAATTCTACCCCTACTACATGTGAATGTGATCTTTTCTGGAAATATAGGGTGTTTGCATATAAATTCAACATGAGGTCATACTGAATTAGGGCACATCCTAATCAAATGACTGGTATTTTAATAAGAACAGGGATATTTTGACACAGACATACACCAAGGGAAGACAGTCATATGAATACAGATGCAGAGATTGAAGTTATTCTGCCACAAACCAAAGAATACCTGGGGCCACCAGAAGCTAAAAGAGAAAGGGAAGGTTTCTTCCCTAGAGGCTTTGAGGACAGTGTGGCCCTGCTGACACCTTGACTTTGAATTTCTATACTCTAGAAATATGAGAATTAATTTCTATTACTTTAAGAAACCAGTTTGTGGTACCTTGTTACAACCGCCCTAATAAATGGATACGATCTTCTTTTAAGATCTTTCTCTGGAAGTTTTTGAATTATATTTTCATTTGTTTTCTGCTATTGCTTTCTCATCTCCAGGTTCCTGTTTTCTGTTTATTTTTATCTTTGTTTTTCATGATCTTTGTTTTTCTTGACTGTCATGTAATCCATCCTGTCTATTGATTTAATACAGGAACACATAAAAACTGACTTCATTCTGTAGACACAGGCAGGGCTTGATGGCTGTGGGGCGGTTTCATCTGGTGATTAGTTGGGATGTGGTCATTTTGTTTGAGGGTTCCCAAATTTAATGTCACTAGATGTGTCTCTTTAAATTAGAACAATATGTAAAATATCTGTTCTATCCTGAATAGCTGTCTTGAGTAGTGTGTGTGTATACGTGTGTGTTTATATATGTATATATATTTGCGTATATATATATATATATATATTCAAATATCCCATCTCAACTAAACATGTATAAGCACATCTATCAACACTGTTTTACATGACTTGATTCAAAAAGAGTATAACAATACAAATACACCCAATTAAGGAAGGTATTTTTTCGGGTTGGGCTTACACATAAACTTGCCAAATCTAAAGCTACATATAAAAAGTGATGTTTTGACTAAGGGAATAATATCCAAAAAGTGTCTTGCAAAGATCCTATTAATAATTCTAATCCTGTGTAGAACCTTAATGAATCTCAGTGTGCTAAACTCACCATTCTCCCTTTAAACAGAAATGAGGAGTCAAGATAAGTTTCTATTTAAAAATCTCATTGTATCTACTTCAATCCAGCATTTCAAGTCATCTTAATTTGCATCAAACTTATATTTCACTCTATTTCATTTTTAAATTTTATTATCAAACACATGAATAGAAAAAATTGGGAAATTATATGAATCTTAAATTTACAAAAGAGTAAAAACAATGACTACTAAAAAATGAATACATGCTCAGCCTCACAAGTAATAAGTTACACATATTAACATCATAATGAGATGTTATTCACATCTCTTTCACTCCAATGTCAGTGGAAAAAATTCTGACAGTATCAAAGATTGGTACTAATGTAGAACAACAAAAACAGGTAGACATGTCATTATAACACCACTTTTAGAAAATAACCTAGTAAACCTAGTAAAGTTGAAAATGAACATATATTATGAAGCAGCACATGCACCCTAAGTTATTTGACCTGGAGACATTCTAGCTCATATGTAAAAGAGGAAGTGTACAAAAACGCCCTTAGCAGAAGTGTTTGTAGTATCACAAAAAAAAGAAAAAATGAGAAACAATCTAAATCCTCATTAACAGGAAACTGAATCGACAAAACATGTTCTATTTATACAATGAAATATTATACAGCAGTAGGATGGATAAATTAGAACAAGAAATATCAACATAAGAGAATAAAACAAAATATTAATGGGAAAGGAAAAGTAAATTGCAGAAGTGTAAATATAACATATGGTCTTCCCATAAAATCCTTTTCATAAAGTTTAAAAATAAGTAAGCAATATTATATATAATATGTATTCATACATAAGCTATTGTTAATATAGATCTATAATTATATATGTCTATATGAAAGGGAAAGATTATATATATGTGTGTGTGTACATACATGTATATTATTCTTCAAATGTATTGATGATTAATTTCTTAAGTTGAATGGTGGGTACATGGTTATTGCTTTTATTACCATTTATACATTTGAAAAATTTGTATCAAAGACTAACAGCCTGAAGTTTGCTTGTGTTTCTTGTCATTCTAATGTGTCTACTGGTAAGGAGAGGACCAGTCAAAGCAGCTCCCAGCCATCTTTTACTATGGTTCCTTCTCTTCCTTCTTTCCACCATGTATGCTGGAGCCACCTATGCCGGCATACAAGGTGTTATTCAAATATATCTTGGATTTTCCCACATTTCTTTATTTTCTAGAATTTTTCCTTCTGTCTGGAATGCCCTTTCCTACACATATACCACACATATACCAGCATATTATCTTTTCTTCACAATACACCTCAGTCCTACTAGAAGAAGCTGTCCTCAATACTGTAGTGTTCTGGAACCACCTTGCACCAGTATTGCACAAGTCAATTGTTACATTTTCAGAAATTTTTGAGCCAGTAAACATACACTGGTAGTTAGAAATCAGTCATGGTAAAAGTGTTTATACCATGGAAATATGAACTGGTACAAGTCAGGGCTTTGATCCCCAGAGAGTGAGTTGTTAAACATTTAGCAGTACACCACTGCCAATTTTTCCCGATGGAATTTATCCCTCCTTTCCCTATACTTTCTGGGCAGTCTGTTGCACTTATTACTGTTTACCCTGCATTTTAGTTTTTAATGAATGCATCTGTCTCTCCCATGACATTGTTTGCCACTCTAGGGCAGAGAAGTGGTCTCATTCATACTTATATCTCCCACAGCACCTATCAGAATCTCTTCTATATGCTAGGTTCTCAATAATTTTGATTAACTTCAAAAAAGTTTAATTTTTCTTCTCTTCAACCAGGAATGAATTGTGGATGTACACTGTTCCTATAGAAGGTATGGTAAGTCATATGGCAACGAGTGGAGTCAAATAATCTAGTTACAGGGAAGAGGAAAAACAAATTAAAATATATAACGCAGTATATAATCCTTCCACTCATACATATTCTTAATCTTAATAATCATTAAATTTTGACTATCAGGGGAACATTATTTCTATAAAACCTATTTTTCTACTTATGTAGATCAAATTAGAAGCTTGGATCTGTTTTAATGGTTTTGTTGTTTGAAACAAGCAAATATATAAGAACGTTTATGCAGCCACAAAAAAAAATGAGTCGTGTCCTTCGCAGGGACATGGATGAAGCTAGAAACCATCATCCTCAGCAAACTAACACAGGAACAGAAAACCAAACACCCCATGTTCTCACTCATAAGCGGGAGTTGAACCATGAGAACTCTTGGATACAGGGAGGGGAACATCACACACCAGGGCCTGTCGGGGTGAGGGGGTGGGAAAGGGGAGGGAGAGCATTAGTACAAATACCTAACTCATGAGGGGCTTAAAACCTAGATGATGGGTTTATAGGTGCAGCAAACCACCATGGCATGTGTATACCTATGTAACAAACCTGCACGTTACGTTCAGCACATGTATCCCAGAACTTAAAGTAAAATTAAAAAAGAAAAAGAATGTTTATCAATTAACTATTTTACACAGTTGCCTGAAAACAATAGAGATTAAAAAATCTGGCCAGGCATGGTGGCTCACGCCTGTAATCCCAGCACTTTGGGAGGCTGAGGTGGGCAGATCACCTTAGGTCAGGAGTCTGTGACCAGCCTGGCCAACATAGTGAAACCCCATCTCTACCAAAAATACAGAAATTAGCCGGGGGTGGTGGCTCATGCCTGTAGTCCCAGCTACTTGGGAGGATGAGGCAGGAGAATTGCTTGAACCCGGGAGATGGAGGTTGCGCCGAGCCAAGATCACACGACTGCACTCCAACCTGGGCAACACAGTGAGACTCTGTTTAAAAAAAAAAAAAAAAAATATATATATATATATATATATAAAACAAAAGATCTTTACATAGTTATAATTGAGGGAGTTGAGAATAAATATATGTGAAAATCACTTTCCTATGCAGCAGTATTAGCAGTCTACATACCCTAAAAAACCTCCCTCACAGAATATAACTTTTAAAAACTTGTTACATGAGATATTTAATTATTTTAAATGTTATCAATGAGCCTGCAAATTAGTAGCAATTGCTCAGAGCTAAAATTAATTTAAAGCAGAAACTCAGAGAGGTGAAGAAACCATTAATCTAGCTTTGAAATTGACACAGCATTTGCTAAACTAGGTGAACTTCAACTTAAGATGCCCTGGCCTCACAGGCATAGGAAATATGATACAAATATTTGAGCCCACCTAGACCAGAGAGTCTGATAGGAGATTTCCCATATACCTGCATGTGTGTATAATGCTGGAACCCAACATGCTATGCCTTCAAAATAATAGTAAATTAAACAACTCTTACCACAAGGAGAGTAAAAGAAAATGCTTATATTAAAATTTGGTGACGAATGGAGTTGGGTAGAAGGAGAATCTCCTTTGAGAATATGTGTAACAATAGGTTATTGCTCATGTTGGATTGCAGTTGGAATTCATACAATCTAGTTGATCTAAGAAAATCTAAGGAGATTTAGTTAAAGTGATCCAGAGCTAAAAATGCTATAGGTACTTGACAGAAATAAATAAACTTTGAGTACATAGTTTCAACCCTCACCTCAAAGAATTCCCTTATATCAAGTTCCCAAAATTATGAGCTCACAGTCAAAAGAAGTAAAATATCAAACATGATGAGTACAAAGCAGCAAAAACAATAGAGCAAAGAAACAAACCGAGAGGGATGTGGATATTGAATTGTTAAACACACAATAGTTTTCTAAATAGGTTCAATAATTTTTTTTTTTGAAATAGAGTTTTCACTCTTGTTGCCCAGGCTGGAGTGCAGTGATGCAATCTCAGCTCACTGCAACCTCTGCCTCCCAGGTTCAAGCCATTCTCCTGCCTCAGCTTCCCAAGTAGCTGGGATTACAGACATTCACCACCATGCCCGGCTAATTTTTTGTGTGTTTTTAGTAGAGATGGAGTTTCACCATGTTAGCCAGGCTGGTCTCGAACTCCTGACCTCAGGTGATCCACCCGTCTTGGCCTCCCAAAGTTCTGGGATTACAGGCGGGAGCCACTGCGCCCAGCCTGAATACTTCTAAAAATATAAAAGAGGAGTTAAAATGTGAATAAAGAATAAGAAACTATGCAAATGAACAGTTTGATCTGAAAAATTAGTAAAGCATTTCACAGTGTCAGAAATATAATAATTGAAATAAAAACTCAATGAATGGGTTTAAGAGTTAGAGATAGTTGATGAAGAAATATAAACTCAAATATAAAACTAAATTAATATCATATTAAAGCTAATCCAAGAAAAAAATGGAAAAACTAAGCAGTTGTATTACTTAAATATTATAACTCAGTAACTAAAACTTTTACCACAACCTTTTTGTCAAGGTTACATTCTTTACTATACAATTCTTACATTCTTTACTATACAATTTCACACAAATCTGGAATATATTTTAATTTACCATATACTAGCATATAAAGCAAATTTATTGAGATAAATTTCAAAAAGCCCAAGAGACTATCTTGTCTGACTACAAAACAAATTAGAAATCAATGTTATAAAGATTACTTTAAAAATCCAAGTGCTTTAATATGAAGACATACACTACTTACATAAAACAAAGACGAAGTAATAGTAGACACTGGAAAATGTTTATAACTGAATTACAATGATGGAATTTTATCTACTATTACATAGGATGCAGCTATCACAGAACATACAGGGAGAATTTAAGTCATGCAGGTAGTCAAGGAAAAACTTCTCCTTTGCCCTCTGAAAGTTTACTAAAAATCGAGTGACTAAAGGCAGATAAATTGAAGAAAAGGCATACAATTTTTTTTTTTAAGACATAGTCTCGCTCTGTCGCCCAGGCTGGAGTATAGTGGTGTGATCTCAGCTCACTGCAACCTCTACCTCCCGGGTTCAAGCCATTCTCCTGCCTCAGCCTCCCGAGTAGCTGGGACTACAGCCGCACGCTACCATGCCTGGCTAATTTTTGTATTTTTAGTAGACATAGAGTCTCACCATGTTAGCCAAGCTGGTCTGGATCTCCTGATCTTGTGATCCGCCCACCTCGGCCTCCGAAGGCATACAAATTTTTAATGTCCATGGGAGAAGGGAATCACAGAAAGATTATCCTTTCCTCAATAAAACACAGATGCTTATATACTCTTTTTATTAGGGGAAAGAGAAATGGGGAAATGTGGATGGTTTTAGGGAGAGTAGTAAATGATTTTTAGGAAAATTCAATGGACTTGAAGAACGTAAAATGGCATGGGACAAAGTCTGTTGGGCCCGCAGAGTAGACAGTGTTTTATGACAAAAGTCTATCCAGCTGTGCTGACAGACTTCAGTCTTTCTTCCTGCAATATGAATTCAGTTAGTGAAAGCTCAGGGAAAGGACCAGAGATCATAGTTTTCTTCTTTGCTGGGTCTGGACTTTAGACAGATGAGGACACTTCAGAGAACAATTTCATCCCGTGATTTGGGAGACACAGAAGAGAAATCTTAAACAGGCACTTTACAGAAGAAATATTAGTGACCATCAATCATATGAAATGGTAATCAATTGCATTAGTGACTGAAGCAAAGCAAACTTAAACTACTATAAAATAGAAACTATTATATACTGGCCAGCTGGCCAAAATTTAAAATTCTGACAATATCATACACTGACTGGGAGTGAAGGAGGGAAATGTAATAAATTTTTAAAACTACCTTGGAAACAAATTCAAAGGTATTTGATAAAGTACAGTGTACATACTCTGTGGGCCAGAAATTGATTACTGTAAGTATATATCCTAGAGAAATTATGCACATACATATTAGAATACATTTACAAAAATGTTCATGTTGGTAATGGGCATTGTTTGTAATAGCACAAAACTCCCTCCAGGAGTATATCAATGGTAGAATGGAAAAATAACATTGTGGCACATTCATACTATGGAATAGTACTTAGTAACATAAATGGAAGAAATACAGTTACATGTAGCCATGTGTATGAATTTCTGAAATAATGCCCTGCCAAAAAAGTTGCAGAAGAATCTGTACATCAATTTCAAAGCATAAAGTCCAAAAGTCATGTAAAATTTAATCATTTTATTTTTGGGGATATAAACGTATATGGTAAACCATTAAGAAAATGAAGGCGTTACCTCTGAGGTGAGAGGAACTGGGATTGAGATTAAGGTAGTTCTCAAAGAGGATATTATACATATTATTCTTTTTCTTAAGTGGGGTGAAGGATACATGGTATTCCTTGCATTGTTGTTTTTAATCTTACATATATTTGATAAAGTCATATATTTCTTAGTATTTAGTAATAAGAATTTTAATAATTTTTCATTTTTTATTATTATTTGATAATTTTAGTTTTAAGTCCTCCTCAGTGGACTGTGCCTGAGATTTAAAACCAAAGAGTAGTATCTTTGCTCAATCATTATTTTCTCCACATTTACCTTAGAAAATGCCAAAGGCGACAGAGGAAGTAAATTCTGAACTTTTATTCATAAGGTCAAAATGACTTAAAGAAATCAACATGTATTCAACCATAATTTTTGCTTTTTGAATCATAGTTTAATCGGAAGTAAGTAAAAATTTGTATGTTATTGCGAGTTTTGCAGCTTTGGAGGAGAAGTATTGATGGTCTAAAAAGAGAACATCATTTTTTTGGTTGAAAATTTATGAGCTACTGAAATCACTCTTTTCCTCAAACACCTACTTTCCCCTCATTAGTGTAGTTCATTCTTATTGTTACTGAAGCTCCCATTTTTCCTATAGTCCAACATAAGTTAATGTGTTACTGAAACATGTTGTGAGAGAAACCAATTTGCCTGAATGTTGACAGTGTTAAAGTCAGTAAGGAAAATAGCAATATGTGGATTTGCATTTGAATAATTAATATTTACAAATCCCCTTCTTTATTTTGGTACTATGCCTTGATATGAAATTCAATTCTTTACTGCCAAAACTGGGTGTGGACAGTGAAAAAGAAAAGTATGTTAAATTTATTCTAAATATTGAGACAGAGTAGTATTACTTTGCCAAATTGAGGTATAATCTGAAGGTTTGGGTTTTTAAAAATTAATACATTCTTAGAAGGTTTGGGTTTTAAAAAATTAATATATTCTTAAAGTACATATTGAAGTATAACATATATACTTTCCTGAGTCTGAATCAATATTGACAATTTCAAGTATTTAACATGGTTGTTAGTACTCAGGAAAATAAAGAATAATGTAAACAAAAACAAAGCTTGAATATTGTCCTTTTACATGATAATTCTCCTACAGGAGGTGGGGAGTTGGGTGGGGTGGTGTTTACTGGGAATAAATATGGGAAGGAATGTTCCATCTGAAGAAGAATCTATTGGAAATTGAGAGTGTACAAATGCAATGATGGATTTAATTGGATTGTAGAGCTATCGCAATTAAAGTCCTTTTCAGAAATATTCAGTAAGTGGTTATATATTCACCCACTTCTGTTAAAAAGAGGACAGGAGGAGAGAAAATGTTTTTTTTTTTTTTAATTAGGAAAGAATGAAAGAACCCTGAATTAGTTCAATGAAATGATATTGGATCTCCAGAGCTAGTGCTCCTTTTAAGAGCTTTAATGCTAGACTACTGGGAACAGAGGACAAACAGTGCCAGCTCTGGAGCTTTGCCATGTCAATGTGGTGACTCTACCATGCTCAGGCTCTATTGTTGATGGCACATGGCTTTGTGACATCGATATGAGCCTGTGTAGTGTCCCCCTCCACAGCACTTGTGAACATTCAAGACAAAATAAAAGGCAGTAGTTGAACTTAAAGAAAAAAAGTTTACTGAGACTGTTTTGTTTTTCTTTTCTTTTTTTTTTTTTTTTTGAGATGAAGTCTCGCTTTTTTGTCACCCAGACTGGAGTGCAATGGCGCGATCTTGGCTCACTGCAACCTCTACCTCCCGGGTTCAAGTGATTCTCTTGCCTTAGCCTCCCGAGTAGCTGGGATTACAGGCACGTGCCATCATGCCCAGCTAATTTTTGTATTTTTAGTAGAGACACGGTTTCACCATGTTGGCCAGGCTGGACTCGAACTCCTGACCTCAGGTAATCTGCCCACCTCAGCCTTCCAAAGTGCTGGGATTACAGGCATGAGGCACCACGCCTGGCTGACTGTTTTGTTTGTCTAATAACTTTATTTCTCATCACTTTCTTTAAAAGTTACAAATTGTGAAAATGCAAATAACATTACTATATGAAAAGACACAACTGTCTCTCTTCCTGACTTTAGAATGGCTTTCATCCCATGTAATCTCATGTGACTCCCACAGGCATCCTGTGGAGTAGCCACTATCATTCCCATTTCCCAGATGGGGAAATGCAGGAGGTTGAGGTTCTTGTTCAAAGTCATCCAGCTAGCACTTAGCTGAACTGCAACCAGGTCTCTACCACCAGTCTCGAGTCCCTTTGAGATAAACAACCACACAAATACTGCTGAATCGTCACTGAATTCGAGGCTATTAGACATAGATTGTGAACTAACAGTGATGTTTTTTCAGAGTAAGATGCTACTGATAGAGCATCTTACTTACACCCCAGATAATCAAATTGGTTAACATTTGCTGTACATTTACTTGGTGTTGTCAAGCCTTGGGCTCAGTGAGCTATATACATTATCCCAATTGATTTTTAAAAGAATCCTGCAAGGAGATATGTTATCAATTTTTGACAGATGATGACAAAAGATTCAGAGAGGATAAATGGCTTAAGGGCAGCCATCTACTTTTGGATGGGAGTTGGAATGGTTACAACCTCTTTCTGGAACCTGAATTTGCATTGTTAGTACATGTTTTTACTTAGGTTGCTTATGAAAGAAGAATCAAAATGTAAAGGTTTTCCAAAGATTCTTTTCCTCATTGACATTTTACACAAAACCTAGGAAACATACATCTTGCAGTTCAATATTCTTTAATTTTCTCTGGGGTGTCACTTTTGGATATTTCAGGAAAGAATCTCTCAACTCACTCCTTGGCAATGCCACTGGTTGCAGAGCTGGGTTTCAAGGCCCAGCCAGTCTGAATCACCTTGCCCTCTGTCCCCCAGGCTCCAAGTATTCAAATATTACAATTTATAGTGCCTTTAATACGTGAAAAAAAAATTAAGGAAAATGAGGATGATTTTCCATACTATTGCTTCTTGTTACGCTTGTCTATAGATGTGTACAAATCACCCTAAACTTAGTTGTAGACAAAAAACAACAACTATTTATTACTGTTTTTCACAGTTCTGGGGGTTGTCTGGATTCAGCTAGGCAGCTCTTGCTTGAGTTATTTCTTGCAGTTACAGTCAGATAGTTGCTGGGGCTAGAGTCATCTGGAAGGCTTCTTTACTCAAATTTGTGCCTATTGGTGCTGGCTGCCAGCTGAGACCTCACTTTGGGGTTGTCAGCCAAATGCCCATATCTTGCCTGTCTGTGTGGGAGCTTTCTCATAGCATGGCAACTGGGTTCTAAGAGCAAAAATCCCAAGAGAAGCTGACAGCCCAGTGAAAGCCTTTACAATTTAGCTTTAGAAGTCACAGAAGCATCACATTGTTTTGCATTTTATTCATAAGAAGCAAGTCAGTCAGGCCACACCATATTCAAGTAGAAGGAGATTTGACTTTGCCTCTGAATGAGAGGTGTATCAAAGAAGTTGCAGACATGATTTAAAACCACCACTCTTCTCTTACTGATAAAGACAGGAAATCGTGTAGTTAACTTCAGCTGCTCCGATCGACAAGATTCTAAGGGATTAAAGAGCATAGATCAAGGAAGCAAATATGACTCTGTGGTACGATGATCGTTTCATTTAAAAAATACAAAGGTAGTTTACTGTATAACAAAGATTGTTCTTCTAACCCTTGCATGAGATCAACTATTTCCTTTCAAGCCCCAGCTTCAGCTGTGAAAGCAATCGGCTGGCTCATGTTGCCATTTTTCCTGGAGAGCACCTTTCTTTCAATGCCCACCTTTCTCCCATTATTGTGAAGGTCCCTGGCTGTTAGACTTCCCAAACATAGCTGTAATATCTGGCTATCCATTAGAGTTGGCACAAGGCCCACCCTCCTACCCTACACCCTGAAGTCTTAGAAACCAAAAGGACACAAAAGTTGTATAACTCAAAGTTTAGCCCTATCATACTAGTGTCTAATGGGGCTCATGGTAACTGACATTTAGGAGATTCTGTTTCCTTTGTGTTTTAACGGACCCTTGAAGCTATCTATAATTGTAACACATTTATTTTAAAATGTTCAGTAATGTTCTATAGAAATACATTGCAAAAATTTTAAACAGACATACCATTAGAAGGTCATTACCAGTTCTCACTTCTCTTGAGTTTTTATGTGCAGCACACTAGCAGGGGGCCCAAATGCTGTAGTGGAAACTACAAAAATTCAGTGTTAGGGTAAACTTTTGGGCCACGTGGGCCCTCTGTTATAATATTGTCCTCAAGAATAGGAGCAAGAAAAGACAATTACAGCAAACCACTAGTCTATGTTTACCAATCCTTTTTCTTTCCCCGCTGTACACAGCTAGACTACATTTCCCAGCCCTTTGAGGTTAGATAGAGTCCATATGGCTGAGTTCTGTAACCAGTGAAATACATGCAGAAGTCATGCAGGCCAGTTTTACACCAGGCCATAAAACTCCATATCTATCTCACTTTGTTTCCCTTCTGTAGAAATCTTGCAGGCCACATATTGAATATGATGGAATTATAAGGTAGCATTAAAAGGTGGAAGAAACCTATGTCTCAGAGTGGCCACGTGAAGACTTGTCCCCTGCTGACTGTATTAGACTATGATACAATTGACAAAATTAAATACAATTTAATTTTATTAAGCCTTTGAGAGTTCAAAAATTTATCTGTTATAGCAGCTGGCATCACCATCACTAACATCTCTCTCATTTATTTTTGTAGAATAAGAGTCCAGTAGAACTTGATACATGTGGAGTTGAGGCACAGAGTTTCTCCCCAAATCTCAGGAATAACCAACTGGATAAAGAGGAGAGTAATAATACACTAACAGCTAGTCATGACCTTTAAGACAGAAATATAAAATTGTTCAGGAAAGTGCATTACCATGCCAATGTGGAAGAAAGGGCAATCTACCTCACAGAAGAAAAAATGAGAAAAGAGACAGGCTATGGTGTATTGTTAAGACCCAGAGCAGAGCTTATCTAATTGGCCCACCACACAGGTTGCTGAGAGTGGAGGAGGAAGATGCTCTGTGGGATCTTCCTGCACACAATCATATTTCCACTATGGAGGGAAAAACAGAGTCCTTTGCACCCTTCACCTCAGTATATATCCTTGACTTTCTTGCGGGTGCAGTGAAGTGTGTGTGTCTTTGTGTGTGTGTGTGTACGTGTGTGTGTTCATGTATGTGTATCTGGAGAGTGGAGAATGGAGGACAGCTTCGCTAGAGATCAATAATAGGAAAAATTAAAAGTCAGCTCCCTTTGTCCCTTCTCAAATCATATCATGCCAGAGTCCCTTACTCTGTCATTCTATTGTACTCATCTTGTGAAAAAACATCAAGAAACCAAGTATAGACCAAGAGGTTCTATAAAATATACCAATATAAAAAAACACCAAGAAACCAAGTATAGACCAAGAGGTTCTATACATTTGAGTTGTGAGTTCCAATTAAATTATTTACATGCCTTCTTTTTGCTCTTCTGGGAACATACTTTCATTATATGTTGGGTATGTATACCTCTATCAATAAATTGTAAGGAGATATAAGTATATATAGATATAGATATAAATGTAGATATAGATATAAATCTGGAATATCTAACAAAAGCAGTAATAGCTACTCTGTTCAACCTTGGAAAGTGCCAGTGCATTATTTTCATAATGTTCCTGACAATGTTTCCAGTAGCAGCACTTTCATCACAGGATTAAAAACCTAAGACTAATAAGTTATAAATTAAATCGCTTTGCAGTTTTTCACTGTCTTTCAAATGAAATAAGACTTCCTGATACTTTCTGATAATCAAGATAAAATTCAAGTACACATCAAGCCCTTAGCCTACAATTTATTTTTACAATAATTTTATATGGGATTTGTGAAACAGAGTCCCTAGTTGAATTATCTAATCTATTTCCATTTTTCCAATATTTATTTTACTGTTCTGAGGGGGGAAACACAAATGTTTAACAAGAGATTCCAATCAGAATTCACTTATCACCATTTGTATTTGATGAGGCACAAAGCCACACTGGAAATTTAACCTTGCAATGCTGGATGCTTGTGTCAACTACAGGCACAGGCCAGCCATGAGCTCATATTGTACAGTCTACTGATTCCCTTCCCATTACCTGATTCCTATACCCCAGTAAGTTTAAGTTCCATCATTTCCATAAAATTTTTGAACTCCAGAGTAATTCTGGATATTTGTACAGTGTGTAGTAAGCAATTAACCAGACCCAAAGAGAGGTCTAGCCTTTGCCCTCAGCTCCTGGGAGTGATCTCTAAGACCTTGGAATGTCCTGCCTGATAAGAATGTCTTTGTTTACCTCAGGGCCTTGGGTCACACTGGATCGTCTAACAATGTGATTTATAGCGGGGGTTTTGGACCATTCAGTATCAGCTTGACCTCCAGAGGGACTGGAGACTAAAAATCAGCCATGTGTCAGCAGCTTACCATGTCTATGTAACTAAGCCCCAATAAAAACTCTGTATACCAAGGTTCAGGTATGTGTCTGTGGTTGGCAATATTCTGTATATACCATCACACATTATTGTCAAGAAAAAATTAGCACTGCTCATAACTCTACTGGGAAAGAAAAACTGGAATCTTCTCACTTGAAAGTTTCCTAAACTTTGCCTCATATATCTCTTCCTGTGGCTAATTTTAATCTGTATTCCTTTACTCTAATAAATTATATTTGTGAGTATATAGCTTTCAGTGAGTACTTTGAGTTCTTTCAACAAGTTGCTGAACATGAGGGTGTTTCTGGGTATCCCAAACTTGCAATTGGTTTTAGACATGAGGGTGGTGTTGGGGGTCCCCAGACTTGCAGTTGGTGCCAGAAGTGAGGGTGGTCTTGGGAATTTCTGAACTCTGCAGACACCATGCCAAATGTCTTCAGAATTAACATGCAAAATTAATCAGATTATGCCATAAATAGCAATAATTTCTGGCAAACCCTGATTAACTACATTATCACTTCCTATGGGTATTGTGTTACTAAAAAAATTTCTTGCTCTAATATGAATTTTTCATAGCAGAGTGTCCACAGTCTTACAGAAACATATTATGAAACTAGCTTTTAACTAAAATAATGACTCTTAGACTTTTCTTTCTCAACAGTTTTCCTTGTAATTGGGGATGGATTCCGGCAAAGAACAATGATGTTAGGGTATAATTCAATTATAGTTAATTGTGTAGCCAGAGACGCATGTATTATGGCAGCTGTTAGATAATGGAATCTCATTTGCCTTCCTGTACTTTCTCCATTTAAATACTGATACATAAAAACCATGAAGAGGCATGTAAATTTGCAACAACACTGGAACTTAATAACTTCCGGACTCTAGAAGGAACAAATAATCAAACAAAACAGTTTGAGAAATTAAACAGGTTGGGTCTAAGTCAAGAAAACAGGAGCATCTCTAGGCTTTCCAAAAGGAGGAATTTAATACAGGGAATTGGTGGCATAGGTGATGGAAGAACAGAGAAGAAAAATACAGTACAGTGAGACAACTCAGAGGTTGGCAGTATGAAGAAGCTGCTTTCATTCCTAAGAAGGGGTGAGCATTGGAATCAAGGAGGAATCTGCAAGGTGGGAGTGGATGGAAATGTCTGCTAAAATATGGGATACTGAAAGAAGTGAAGCTATGAAGGAGCCACAGCTGCTGCCAAAGCACTGCCTGAGGAACAGAAAGGGGGAAAGAAATACCGTGGCTTCTCATTTCCCTCAAATTCCTATCTGCTATGAGTATCTCTCTTTGGCAGAAACCAGGTAGAAGCCAGCTAACATGGAAATGTGGGGAGAATGGCCTGTAATGGTCTACTCCCTACAATATGAAGCAGAACAGGGCAAAGGTGAAGACTAGAACTAAAGAAAATAGGCAAATGAGCAGCATGTTACTAGAGGCTAAGGCACACTCTAACTTGTGAACCTAAACACTGAAAATATAAAAAGAAGAAAGTTGGAAAAATATCCACTAATTGCCACTAGGTATCCACCAGTATATCTCAAAGACATACCCCACCAGAAACAAGGTAGCACCACTATGGACTTGCATACAAGTTTGCTAGGGCTGTTGTTCCACCCCGTATAGTGCCTCTTAAAAAAATAAATTGAAGACTTTAAGTTCCTAGAAATGCAACATAAGCAGTGCTCAAATATCAAAACAGTGGTAAATTACCTTCTGCAACTTAAGCTATCAGAGAAATCACAGAAATCTTAAGCTATCAGAGATGCAGCAGGGCTATGCATGCGAGAAACTATAGGGTTTTATGCACTGTTAGTAAAATAAATAAATACATATACATACATGAATACACAAAGAAACACACACACACACACAAATCCTAAAATGCCTCTACTTATTCAGGAATAAGTTAAGCTTCATAACGTAAATTCAAAGAAGCAGGAGAAAAACACTTCTTGGTTAGTAGAAGTGCAATGAATTAATGATTTCCAGGCTTAACATACTTGAGTAGAAGCTATGTATATTCACTGTAATTTCAGCTAAATATCACAGAATGGGGTGCTCTTAGCACTCAATTGGACAGTGGGAAGGGAAAGAGGAGCTACACTGGGCTTGGATTAATATCTTTTCATTTACTAATAAGCGAAAATAAACCAAATAAAATGGATCCTTAAAAAATGATGTGATTAGATAAGGGGAAGGTGAGCATTAACTTGAAGGTAGAGGAAATAATCCTACTTTTTTAGAGCTGTGCTACATGTTACAAAAGACAACTCTAGGAAAAAAGCATTGGTTGTTCTTAAGGAAAATAAAGAAAATATAGATTGTAAGAAGAAAGAGGTTGAGATGAGAGGAAACTTAGCTGATATGACAAAGAATTTGATAAGATACAGGCTCAGATGAGGAAGGAAGTCGCTGAGAAAGAGAAAAACAGCAAAAGATATAAAAATGTAATAATAAAATTGAAATTCAGAACCCAATCGAAAAAGAATAGATTTAACACTGCAGGAAATTAATCAGTGATGAGGAGAACAAATTAAGAAGCATTCACTGAAGATAGAAAAAAATAGACAAGAGACAATATCAAAGAAAGAGAAGAAGATAGATTTGAAGACAAGAGTGTAGAGACTTGCTTTCTCAAAGAAAATTCACATTCCTGAAGAAGAAAGAAAAGAAATGGTACAGTAATTGGTGGTACAAGAAAAGAAAATGGTCTTCAATTGCTGAATATAAAACATGATTAATGGATAGAAATTCATGTCTGACATATTCTAGTGCAAGTTTTAAATTTTGAGAAAAAGGAAAATTGCATCTAAGTAGACAAAACAGGTTAACTAAAAAAGAATAAGAATATGACCAGCCTCATATTTTTCCTGCACCATTATATTCCAGAGAGCAAATAACTGTATCCAGGTAATTTTGAGGGGACAAAGTTGGAAAGATAAAAATTTTTTCTTTAGGTGAATTTGCTATTTGTAGTAGATGCTATGGATCTCCCATTATAGGACTCATTCTTCTACCTGCTGGGAGTGCTGGCTACTGAGAGCTCACAGCTAGACCCCACTCTAGGAATCTCCGCCCAACCAAGCCCAAGATTACACTCCTTTCTGAGGGCAGACCACATACAATGACTAGTCCATGTGGAGGTACAAAGACCTGGTCCTTTGGCCCTACTTCAAAGTTCGGGGCAACCCTGAAGGGTTATTCCATCCCATCCCTAATCAACCTTCTGCATGTATATCTCTGTCTCAGAGTCTGCTACAAGGGAACCTGCCCTAAGACAATATTCATTAAATAATAGGAAAATACTTATTCTAGCACCAATTGAGGAATAAAAATAAATAGCTAAAGAAAAAAATAGTGATATAATACTATAATTTTAACCATTGAAACTAGTTAGCCATACAGTAATTATCAAAAGTAGGCTTATAAAAGAGAATAAAAATATAAAATATAGTTTTTGAAAGAGATGGGATATGAGTTATGTATATATTTAATAGCAATCATTTCGCTATAAAAATCCAGATAACATTTTTTAAAACTAGGAAGTATGGAAGGAAAGACTATGGGAAAGAAAAGAATTTTACATTTCTTATTTTGTATAGATAACAGTTGAGGTTAAAGGACTCAAAAGAGACTATGTATTGCCTAAGTTGAATAAGCAAATAACTATAAACCCAAATATAATTCTGACAGAAGCACAAAAGTTGAAGAATTAAAATATCCAATTTTGTTGAAGATAATGAGACATGTTTACTATCTTACATGTCAGGAGAGGTACACATTGATACAGTCTTTCTGAAGATATGTGTGTGTGTGTGTGTGTGTGTGTGTGTGTGTATAAATATATATATGTATATACATGTTGCATTTCCAGTTATATGGCAATATATCCATATAATCCTTACACTAGAGTATAAAGATGCATGTAAAGCTTATTGAAGCATTTTTATTTAAGTGAAAAATTGGAAATAACTTAAAGAGTATCTTAGACCTATTTAAAGTCACTGCTACAGAATGATCTCTATGATGTCAGTTAATAAAAAAAGTTTTAAAATCTGTATCTATTTTAAATGACAGAAAATCTATATGTGTGAAAAATGGTAGAATATAACAAAGTAAAAAACAAACAAACAAAAATAACGAATAGAAAAAAGGACAAAATAGCCATCAAAATAAATGGTCAGTTCAAGGAATGGAAACATTCTGCCCATTTACAATGAATAAGAACAAGACCACAATTGTCATCGTATCACAACTTTGGCTCCAGGCATCCTGGTGACCAAAGTAAGCCAGAAACTTAACAATAACAGCAACAATTAAAAACGATAAAAAAACAACAGAATTGATTTTCTAGTTTCCATTCTTCATAAGTAAAAAATAAAGCCAATAGTATCTCAGAGGATGTGAAAGATGTACTCTAAAATATATTTCTGAGATAGGAGACACTTGAATTGTTGATGAGATGTTGGTTACATCAATAGGCTCTTATAACATCATTCTCTGAAATATGAAGACATAACAACTCAGTGCAAGCAGCTTCATAGTGAGGACAAGACAGTTCAGTACAAAGATACAGCTTTAATGGTCTAACTTGAACCATAGAGAAGTCATAGACTATGTAGCAAAATACATGGCTTGAATATCTGTATAACAATCCACCATAAAGACCAATTCTTTCAACTAGGATTTTGATAAACTTTGTAAAGTGGTCTCTTATGTCGTACTCTGTTTGGAAATATAAACCATACATACGAGTATCATGTGAGTAGAACCAATAATCAGCTCTAGAAAAAGTAGTTCAAAGGAGGGAGATGTCACTTACCATTGTACTGAAGGGGCAAACTATGCAGGAACTATACTTTGAGTTAGGCATTGAAAAATTAGGGAGGTTTTCAGTGGTTAAAGTTTAGGGGGATGGGAGTGAGTGATGGCATACCTACAAGTGAGAGAGCTATATTTAAAAGTACACTAGGCTTGAAGTTAACAAATATGGGTAATAAACTGACATTTTGTGATAGGCATGAATGAAATAGCTGAGCTGAGAAAGTAGAAGGAAAGTTTGGTGGAACACTTGAAGATAGGTCTGCTGGACTGAAGCAGATTGTTTAAGGGAACAGTAAGAGTTGAGAGTGGGTTGGTTTGGACCATGAGGTAGCAACAATCAATATGCTATTTTTTTACTGTGGTTTCAGATTCCACCTAAGGTTCCTAGGAACAATAATGGAATATTTGTTATAAATAAGCTACAAAGAAGCTTAGAAATCATTTAGTTAACTCCCTGATTTCAAAGAAGAAAAATATGAGCTCCATAGAAGTAAAGAAAATCACAATTCCTCCCGGAATGCTTCCCTTTTGAAGCTAGAACCATGCTGAAAAGATGTTAGAAGACTGGATGACGAACGAGGGAAATCCTGGATGTTCCAAATTCAGCTGAGCTCTGAGCAGAAATCATTGTTATTTTTAGTCATTCAGTTCTGAGATTGTTTGATACACATCACTAGATAATTGGAGGGACGTGACTATATGTTTTCTAGGCTTTTCCCACTTTTCTAGCAAAAACCTGCTTCACCCCATTCCTGTCTTCTCTCATCCCAGCAAACTTTTTCCCCAAGTGGCTGATTGTCCCATCACTACTTATTTCCCCAAAGTATTCTCTACTTCTCTACCCCATTATCTCAAATGCACCTTATCTATTCTCTCCTCTCCTAAGTTACACATTGTACAAAAATGGAAATATGACAAGTAGATGGTATTTCTCACGAAGAAAAGCACAGCAGGAGGAAGATTGGCCCTGCTCCATCTCATTACCACAATCATTAGCCAGCACACAGGTGAATAATTACCAGATGTTGGATATTCCTCAGATTTCTCCTCTCTCAGAATGTAGGAAAAGAGGGTACTCAGCCACATGTCGCTGATGATCTTCAGCAAGTGACCCTTCTGACATTCACTCCTCCTTCTCCCACCTCACTTCTCTCTGTCCATCCATGGTAGTCTGTGAGTATGACCCCTGATCACACCAAATGCTCCAGGCAAACCTAGTGCTGCCAAAGTAACTGTCATTACTTCACCCTAGAACAGAGTTTGTCAAAGACTCTCTTGGAGTTTGTCGGGGAAAGAGGGGTAAGAAGGCAGAAGAGCTTACCTTCCTTCTATTTCATATGGTAAAGCTTCTCTGCCAATAAAATATCTGAAAACCACAGCCCTAAACTTTTGTTCCCAAAGCCCTCAAACAGATGAACAAAGCCAAATTTCTGAAAGCAAGTCAGTCTTTCCTAGGGAGCCACACATAGTGTCATGGGTCCCAGGGCAACCCAGTTGGAACAAGCAAAGAGATATTGTCTCACAGAGTCCAGTTTATAGCTTACTCTCCTACCCTTGAAATGACTTTATATCTTCATTTTTATTTTCTGAGAAGTTAGTTCTGTTGGATAGCAAGAAGTTTAAATATATTATCTCACAGCTGATGTCTCTGCTTACATTCTCACAAAGATCTGAAAGAAAGGATAGATGTTCACAGGGAAATTCCCGTGAGTATGGCTAGGTGGTATTTTGACTAGGTTATTGTTGTTCCTAGGAACTTTAATCATTCAAAAGAACTTCTCTCAAAACGTAGAACTGAAAGTGAAGACTATTTGGGATTCTGAGTTAATTTTACATACAAATCAAAATAGCTTAGAGTTAAAAACAAATTAAGTATATCCCATCAGCAACAAAATTCAATCTGTTGTCAGTAGAGTGTACTTAATGGTGGGGATCAAAACTAGCCAGTAACTACCATTAGCTGGCTTCCTTGCCACTTCTGCACTTCCTTTGGGAAACCTCTATAAAACCTTCGTGAAGCAGGATTTTCCCCTAAGTGATTTTGGCAGTGTGTTCATATAATTTATCACACACATTGGGGTAATTTTGAGAGTAAAAGGGGGTTCTATGAATAATTTGCTCAGTGGTAACAGGCATAAAATGGAATTGTCCTGGGCAAGCTTGAATGCATGGTATCCCTAATCTTGGAGAATAAAAGAAAGATCTCTGTACTAAAAAATATCCCCACAACTGTTTGTGACACCATTCACCAATGGAGCACCATTCCAGAAAATCCTTTTAATATGCAATACCTTCAAGGAGAACAGCACTTGTTTTTACTGGTCAGACGTTAATATAAACAAGTATATGAATTGCTTCCTTTTTAACAGGTGACAAAAATTAAAGCACTGCATAAAGTAAAACCTTAAAAAGAGAAGTAAAAGATGTAGAACCATATCACTAGGCTCTATTTTAGAAGGACTGAACAGGTAGGGTGTCCTTGTTGGGGAATCACAATGGAGCTAGGTTTCTGAGAGTAGACTCCAATCAGAGAAATCTAGAAAGGGATATAAGCAGTGCAGAGGGCAAACTCTATTTAGGATACAATATTGCCTCAAGCTATTCTAGACAATCTCCCTTTTATTAAGGTCAAGCCCCCCACCATGTTCATTGCTGACAATAGGATGTTGAAATTAAAAATCTAAGAGAAAAGCAACTGAGGTTTTGGATTTGGTAGTTTACTTACAGTGGGTAGAGCAGACCTAGAAAAAGTAATGGAGCTGAAACATAAAAAACATTTTTAAAGAACTAAATTAATGCTGTTGGAAGTGAAAATCTAGTGAGTGCTGTGGTACCAATTTTATAAAGAGGTCCTCTAAAGTGACATTTCTTTGAGTTAATGCTGCTGCTGAGTTCTTAAGGGGGTGGAGGGGGTGGTGGCAAGTGGGGAAAGAAGTGTCCTGGATCTGACTGTAGAAAGCCACGTTAGCCAGCTCCATTACCACCCATATGCCAACTGGAGTTATGGCAAGCAATGCAGATTGGTTTAAAATTTAACAAATTTGATTCAGTTGGGGAGCTTCAATAAAATGTGATTTACAGGTAGGCAAAGGATTATTTTAGTTTCCATATTTAGTGTCCACCTCTTTCCCCAGGGAACTGATACAGTATGATTTGAATTGGCTTTAGTTCATTTTGTTAAACTTTTTATCTTAAAATACTTTTGGATTTACAGAAAATTGCAGCAATAGTATAGTATCGAGAATTCCTTTATACCCAATACTCTGTTTCCCTTATTATTAACATTTGAAATTACTACGGTACACTTGTCACAATTAATGAGCTGATATTAATATATTATTTACTGAAGTCCATACTTCATTTAGATTTTCTTGGTTTTTGCCTAATTTTCCTTTTCTGCTCCAGAATTCCATTCAGGCTACTATATAATAGTCATTATGTTGTTTAGGCGCCTCTTGGCTGTGCCAGTTTTTCATACATTTCTTGTTTTTGATGATCTTGATAGCTTTGAGGAGCACTGGACGTGTATTTTGTAGAATGTCCCTCAATTGGGATTTGTCTGATGTTTTCCTCATAATTAGACTGAGGTTTTGGTTTTGTTAGAGGAAAACCATAGAGGTGAAGTGCTCTTATTATCACATCTTATCAAGGGTATGTACTATACTGTCAACATGACTTATCACCATTGATGTTGACCTTGATCACCTGGCTGAGGTAGTGTTTGTTAGGTTTCTACACTGTAAAATGACTCTTTTTTTTCTCACTTTCCATATTGCATCCTTAGGAAGCAAGTCACTAGGTGTAGCCCATACTTAAGAAGTGAGGAATTATGCTCCATCACCTTGAGGGTGAAGTATCCACATAAGTTATTTGGAATTCTTCTACATGGGAAATTCGTCTATTCTCCTTCATTTGTTTATGTATTTATTCATTTATTTAATATTTTATATCGGTATGGACTCATGAATATTTATTTTATACTCTGGGCTATAATCTATTTTATTTTGTTGCTTAAATCGTTCCAACTCTGGCCACTGAGAACTCTTTCAGCTGATTCCTGTTCCTCTTTGATATATCCCATCATTGTGGCTACTTTTGTTTGAGCACTTCCTTAGTCTCTGGCACTGCAAGATACTCCAAATGTCTCTCATATAGTTTCTACCCGAGTCCTATAATCAGCCATTTCTTCAAGAACTCCTGGTTTCTTTCTTTCTTTCTTTCTTTCTTTTTTTTTTTTCTGAGATGAAGTCTCACTCTGTCACCCAGGCTGGAGTGCAATGGCACACTTTCGGCTCACTGCAACCTCCGCCTCCTGGGTTCAAGTGATTCTTCTGCCTCAGCCCCCCAAGTAGCTTGGATTACAGGCATTCACCACCACGTCCAGCTAATTTCTGTATTTTTAGCAGAGACAGGGTTTCGCCATGTTGGCCAGGCTGGTCTCGAACTCCTGGCCTCAGGTGATCCACCTGCCTCGGCCTCCCAAAGTGCTGGGACTACAGGCATGAGGCACCACACCCAGCCCTGGTATCTTTATTGAAGAATGGTAGTTAGAAACCAAGATCTGAATGTTTAATTTGTTTTGAAGGAAATTTTAAAGGAGTCTTTTCAGGTTGGCATGTTACTAGCAGCACTTACGTTGTCTAATTGCTTTTATATTTATTAAAGAAATACATTTTTAGGATGAGTAGAGAAGTTAGAAAATAATTCTTTGGATGCCAAGAAGTGAAAATTTATTGAAGATTTTAAGGAAAATTTTAATCTCATTTAAATATATCCACACAAGAATTTGAGAGATTGACTAAGGATTGAGGGAGAGGAAGGCGGGAAAAAGAATATCTGAGAAATAGCATGTAGATATGTATTAGGGTTCTCTAGAGGGACAGAACTTATACGGTGTGTGTGTGTGTGTGTGTGTGTGTGTATGGGGAGTTTATTAAGTATTAACTCACATGATTACAAGTTCCCCCAATAGGTCATCTGCAAGCTGAGGAGCAAGGAAAGCCAGTCCAAGTCTCAAAACTGAAGAACTTGGAGTCCAATGTTCAAGAGCAGGAAGCATCCAGCATGGGAGAAAGATGCTGGCTTGGAGGCTAGGTCAGTCCAGTCTTTTCATGTTTTTCTGCCTGCTTTATATTCTAGACATGCTGGCAGCTGATTAGATGGTGTTCACCCAGATTAAGAGTGGGTCTGCCTTTCCCAGCCTACTGACTCAAATGTTAATCTCCTTTGGCAACACCCTCAGAGACACACCCAGTATCAATACTTTGCATCCTTCAATCCAATCAAGTTGACACTCAGTATTAACCATCACAGGGCATTTGATTAATTCATGGACTGATTGATTTTATGAATATGTTATTAGCCTATGCAGTGTTTGAAAAATAATTGAAACACATTTCTTCAGTTGAATGTAAACCCTGAACTCTCATAAGGTGAGAAAGTGATGTTTCTGTTCCTAATTTCTCATTTCAATGGCACCATCAGGATTTTTATAGGTTAGACCTAAGATTCTCAAACTACATGAAAAAGGGCTAGGAGACATTGTTTTGACTAAGAAGTTATTCCATTGTCTTTATCAAATCCATGAGCAAGAGGCTTGTACGAGTCAGCTTTACCCTTTTACTGGCTGTATAACCATAGACAAGTCACTTGGCCTCTCTAGCCTTATTTTCTCATCTGCAGAAATGTAGGAACAAATTATTTACTTCTGTGAGGCTTAAAAAATGAAGTAAAAATCTAAAAGAACTTAGCAAAATACATAGCATAAAATAAATGCTAACAGATGCTTGTTATCTTTTAATGAATGAAGAAAGGCTTTGGGTCCCAGTGGCCTCCAGGTATACCAGGGTATTCTTAGTAGGTATTGTTGATCTTGAGCACCATTGTAGGAGACTTCAGCACAAGTGAGATGAATCCCATCCCCTTGCTTTTTGTCCATTAATGAAGTCTCTTTTAAATGGGAGGAGTAGGGAGTCTGAAGGGAATGCATATTAGAAAAGTTGTATTCCATACCACATTTAACACATTCCCCAAATAATCAAGAATCTGACTCAAAAGTCTGGGTATTGACTTAATGCTTTTTTTTCCTTCCCCTAAAGAGGTAGAACAGATTCCCAAGAAAAGTTTATTGCTTTCACTTGCCTAGTACAATATCCCCAGAGACACATTTTCGCAGGCTAGAAGCAGGCCCATTACTGCACTACAGTGTGTGGGGGAGGGGTATATGAAGGGAGACAGGTTCTTTTTCACTAACTGCCTGATTGATTCCAAATGACCATGGTGTACTGCTGTTAGGGTTTCAGGGTGTATTCATTAAGAAGATGATTTTTTTTATGACAAAGGTAATTTTAGTTAGAATTTTATAATAAAGCATTCGTGTAATTCTATGGCTCCTCGAAACCACCTGAGCTGAGAAGTCTTACTGTGTTAAGAACCACAAGACTGCTAAAGAAATAAGGTCATTAATATTTAATAATAGGCAGCCTATAGGTTTTAAGCACATGCTATCATCTTCTCTGAACACAGGCCCTATAACCCAGGAGACCAAATAGCACGTACCTGTTAGTATCTCTACTTTTTTTGTAAAGTATTTCTGTAAAAGTGTCTTCATCCTAAGACTCTAGGATACTGCCCAGAGATAAGGTGGAGTGGAAGAAGCATGGACTAGGAGTAATAGGGCTATTTTCTAGTCTAGCAATATCCTAACCTTGCAATTTGGGTAAATTGCTTTCCTTAATATGGTTTTCTAATTTTAAAGGCATAATCAGGACTAAAACCCCAAACTAATAACTGCTGGCCCCAAATCCACTGTTCTTTTCAATATGCCACTGTGCTGCTGTTTTATAACTATTTAAATTTCTTGCTTTTTTAATCCAAAACACTTCATTTTCTTCTCTTTCACAGCTCTAGTCATACTCAAGTAGTATAGTTATTTACATATGACAAGGATGTTCTTTACTTGACCTGATATTTCTACCATCTTGCATCGTATCTGAAAGTTTTTGGGTGTTCAATTATTGCTTATGGTATTAACGACCCTTATGCTTTTAACTATTTTTTGAATTTTTTGTATGAAAATTTGTGTTTACTCTCACCAAGAACATAGAATATTGCAGTTCTCCACACACACTTCCCATGTCTTATTCTCTCTCTATTGTTAATCCTCAGACATTTTGACAATGCGAGGTTTGAGTAACCCTAGCTTCTCCAGATTACAGCGTGTGAAATTGAGGAGGACTTGTGAATCTGTGGATGTAATGTGCATTAGAGTGGTGATAATTATGAGAATACTCACTAGCTCAGAGCACCCCCCAGAAGAGTTTCTGGGGCTTCAAGCCATTCTTTCCTCAGGTCCCCTCATTTCCCCTGGCTGAATCAGTACAGGCTCATGACTTCTTCTTGGTCATTACAACTCAGATATTGCAATTGATGGTGCCACATCTTTCTGGCTTCATGGGGCTTTAAGTTTTAAGTATCAGGCATTTCACTAGGGCTTGTCATTATCTTCACGGCCAATACAGACCTAGTGACACTGGGCCCTTTGGACCCCAACACACACACACACACACACACACACACACACATACACACACACACACACTGACTATGTTCTCAATTGAGAGGACTCACTACCACCAAGATTACAGCTCTTTTAATTAAGAGCTTACTCCTCCAATTTTTTATATACCTTGTACCTCCTACAGGCACAAAGATCAGCTCTCTCATGGCAGGTTAAAAGGTTTGAGGCTGCCATCTGATTCTTCAATCAAAGTTGGTCTCCTCTGCCAGTATCCAGACCTAGAACCTGGGTGCCTGAATTATTCTCTACCTCAAAGTCTGTCATCTGCTGCCCTCCTCAGGAGCTTCACTTATCCAGAGGGCAAAAGCAACTTTTGCGCCATTTTTGGTTGAGCCTTAAAAGTTCAAGGATGAAGCTGTGAGTACAAAGTTGCTTAAAGTTTTTTTCCTGTGGCACATCAGGATTGCACTCTAAAGGACACTTGTTGCTTTGCCATGGCATGAGCAGATTCTAGAGTTGAGCATGCATATCTGCTGCACCAATCCACAGTCTTCAAAAACTCTGCAAAAGGTTTTTCACCTGCCGTAAGTCACCTTACAAAAAAAAAAAAAAAAAAAAAAACCCTGCACAGTGTATATATTTCAAAAACTCTTTGTGCAATCACATTTTCTTCAGAGAATATTTTAAAAGGTTTTATGCTGTTTAGATGCAATCTGAAATGTCAACAATCCTTCCATGCTTTTAAAAACTACTCATGATGTTCTTCTCAATTCTAAAAATCAGAACCTCTATACTGGATGTTTGCAACATTCTCTCTTAAAGGTGTTTGCTTTTTCACACTATATTATGTTGCTAAGAGGCATACCTATTATGTGTTGTGCAAGTAGTTCATTCATTCTGACTTCTATATAATATTCCATCGTGTGAACATACCAAAATTTACACACTTTCCTGTTTTGGGGCATTGGGGCTATTTTCTCAGTTTGTTTGTTTGTTTGTTGCTATCATGAAGTGTTGTTATAAACAATCTTGAACATTTCTCCTGGTATAAATGTGAAAGAGTGCTTGTTAGTTTTTACTGAATGAAATTACTAGTTTGTATAAAATGTGAATGTTCAGTTTTAGAGGATAATCCCAACCTGGTTTCCAGAGTGATCATTAACAGTTTATAGGCCTACCACTAATGTTTAAGAGATTCTGTTAATACACATGCTAGCTATACTTGGTATGTCATACTTTTAAATATTTTAAATATTTGCCAATATTAATAACTACAAATTGATAAAAAAATAAAGATACGCAGGTTATTTCTGCCATTTTCCCTTAAACACATTCCTCTTTCCGCTCTCCTGAGATACATTGGCCTCAGTTCCTTCATTTGAGCTGAATATTTTAATATGATCTTCCTTTAGAGCCAAGAAAACCACTAAGTCAAAGAAAACTAAATAGGAAACAGGTAACATGTCACCATCTTTAAGGCTTCTTGCTAATGCTGGAGGAAAACCTTGGCAAGCAAGATATGAAAAACTCCTGTGTGTTAAGTAGAGGTCTCGTTACTGGTTGATGTAATCTAATAAGCACAACTCTTAGGAGTGTTCTCTGACTGGTTTCTGTTCCTTTCCCTATATTTTCTGTGACATATAAATGAATAGGGCTGACCTATAGCACTGTACGCCAAACATAGTGGTCTCTATTTCTGCCTCAGTGATGTGTCAGTTTAAAACTTTGCCCATTTTTTAAAAAATTTTTTTATTTCTAAATAATTTTAGATTTATGGAAGAGTTGCATGTTGAATTTATTTCATAGATATAGGATTATTCTGGTTATATATTTCTTCTTAAATGAGCTTTCAGTAACTCGTGTCTTTCAAGAAATTTGTCCATCTCATTTAAGTTGTTAAAATTATAGGCATAAAGTTGTTCACAATATTCCCTTATCATCTTTTAAAATCTGTAGATTCTGTAATGGTGAGAGAGTGAACTTCTCTTATTTATGATATTGATAATTTGTGTATTTGATATTTTTTTCCTGAACAGGGTGGCTAGAGGTTTATTAATTTTATCAATCTCAAAAAAATCTTTTGATTTCATTGATTTTCTCTATCTTTTCTTTATTAATTATTGATATCTGTTCTGATCTTTAAATTTTTTTCTTCTATTTATGTTGAGTTTTTTTGCTCTCTTTGTACTATTTTATGGTAGAAATTGAAGTAACTGATTTAACAATTTTCTGTTTTTCTACTATAAGCATTTAGTACTGTAAATGTCCTCTCAGTACTGCTTTAGTGGCACCCAACAAATTTGTATGTATGTGTTTTGTTTTCATTTTTATTTGATTCAGTATATTTTAAAATTTCTCTGTTGGTATATTCTTTGGACCATGGGTTATTAGAAGTATGATATCCTGTTCCCAAATATTTGGGGTTATTCCAGAGATCTCTCTGATATTGATTTCTAATTTAATTCCCTTGTGGTCAGAGAATACACTTTATATGACTTTAAACTTTTTAAATTTATTAAGACTTGTTTTATGGCCTGGAAAATGGTTTATCTTGGTAAATGTTCTATGTGCACTTGAAAAGAATATTACTTGGGTACAGTGTGATCTTTTGGGTCTTGTTTTTATGATTTATAATACAATTCCAAAGCAGTGATCAGTCTAAGGCTAATTATTTCCCAGCACTAAGTCAAGACCTTCTTAAGTACTTTACTTAATGTTCCATGAATTATAAGTTTTACAGTCTAACTGATGGTAACAAGGCACTATGCTTGGTCCTATATGAACACTAAGCACTGTTCTCCTTAATTCTTTTGGAGGGTTCTTCACAAGTCTTGGGTAGTTTCCTCACATACATGGGCTCATTAGTACTCTGCTGAATAATTGAAGTTGGCCCCTCTGTTGTTCCCTAGAGTCCTTGCTCTGCCCATTTCTCTCCTCACTGATATTTTGTCTTATAAACTTTATCTGCCTTCATGTCTCTGGACACTTGAGCTCATTCATAAAACTCAGAGTCTTTTAGGTTCTATTCCAGTTTCCCCTCTCCTTCCAATGGCCTAGAAACTCTATCACAGTAGTAAACTGGAATCTTTGGGCTCACTCCATTTGTTTCCCATTTCTTAAGGCTCACTTTCCTTTATTGCCTGTTGTCCAATGTCTTGAAAAACATAGTTTCATTTATTTTGTCTGGCTTTTGGCAAGTTTCCAGTGGTAGAGGAAACATAGTTTCTGTAATTCCATCCTGATCACAAGCAGAAGTTTCACCTTATCAGGTATGAAACTTTGGTTGTAAATATATAGTTGAGTTTTCTACATGTCCTACACCAAGAAGAAAATCCAAACAAAATTATGTGATTTAACATGCTGTTAATCACTTCTTCCATAATTTTAATATCTTTAAAAGCACTTTTCAAGACTCAGTCATCTTCTGTAGATTCAAATTAATAGAATAAAATGGTTTATTCAGATAGACCATTTGCCTGAGTTGGACGAGATCATATGTCTATATTTAGCCGTGATTTAGTGCTTGTTTGCAAATGAGGATAAATCTTCCTGAGTAGAGATACTGGCATCTGTCTGCTCTGTTCAGCTTTATGGAAGGTAATAATTCTCTGTAATGGCATAATTTACATTCTATATCTTCACACACAAAAAAAGGATAGCGCTCCTTTCCTAGCCAAATTGTCCCAGAAACATAATCACAATTCTAAGGCCTCCCCTCTCTTCACGGAAATGCAAAAAGTATGGAAAATGTTTTCCTCCAAATCGGCATCAATATTAGATATTGTTATGGACTGAGTACTTGTGTCTCCTCAAAATTTATATCTTGAAGTCCTAACCTCTAATGTGATGGTATTTAATTGTAAATACCATCTTTGTGCAGTAATTAAGTTTAGATTAAGTCATGAAAGTGAAATCCTCATGATAGAATTAGTGCCTTAATAACAAAAGGGAGAGAGAGAGAGAGAGAACTCTCTCTGTATTCATGTATTGAGAAAAGGCCATGTGAGGACACCGGGAGAAGACAGCCATCTGTAACCTAGAAAACGGGCTCTCACCAGACACGGAATATACTAGTACCTTGATCTTGGACTTCCCAGCCTCTAGTACTATGAGAAATAAATGTATGTTGTTCAAGCCATCCAGTTCATGGTATTTGTTTATAGCAACCCAAGCAAACTAAGAAATACATATAATATAAATCTAAGAAATTCTAATTTCAGAGCTGTCCAGAATTCTGTTGGGCTAATTAAATACCCAGCCTATTCCTCAGTTTTTGGTCAGCAGTAATAAGATAGCAGTATTGAATTAAATTACAGAGATGTTGTGTAGAATAATCTATAAAACACTTTCACAAAACAAATATAAGCAAGAATATTTTTAAATTGGGTTCCTAATATTTTCTAAAAGATTTTATATAAAACCTCAACTCAAGACCCAGGAATTCTTACACAATTATTAGTAATGTTGCATTTCTTTTTATTACTCCACAAGAATAACCACAATGTTATATTCATAGAGAGGACCCTGTCACCATGTTGTGTAGGTGCCATGTAGCCTATTATATACACTTCAGTGTTCAAGTTGAATAAGAATATCACAATTCTTACTTTCACCATCAGTGTATTCCTGATACATAAAATCCTTATGTATCAGGAATAAAAATATTTTGGTTCTACCCTGCCAGAATGAAAGAATTGTATCTAGAAGGGAACCCCTCTACCTTGTTGGTTATGAGGAAATTCAGAGACCCATAGGTGAAAATGATAGGTCTTGGATTTTTAGACACCTGTCTCTTTCATAGTTTTTTGCTGTTGTTATTTTGCATTTGAGGTTTGAAATGTCCACTGGCCATGTCAAGTGGAGATTTGAGGCAATTGTAAAAACGACTGGGGAGGAATATATGCAAACAAAATGCATTGCAGAAATACAGCCAAGCATTTCAGGCAATAACAGTGAGTTGTGGATTTGCTTTTGCTTGAATTAGATAATTTCTTCATCTTTTTAATATTTGATTTGCCAGTAGAGACTTGGCAAGAGAATATTTATTTCAACAGTGACTCCTGTGTCACATAGAAATATAATTAGTTTGATTATAATAATCTCTGTTAAGTAAATAAGATAATTCATTTGGAAATAAGTCTTTTTTTAAGAGCATTGGTCAGCCATATATTATCCTGAAATTGTATTCCTGGTTAATTCAAGCTTTAAATTTTAAAATTAGTTAATGGTAACCTGATTTCACCTATTATCATGTTGAAACTGTTGTTTGACCTGTCATTATAGTTAGAAATGACTGTCAATAATGATAATGAAGACCTCTGTCTTTGGAATACACAAATATGTGTAATAACCAGTGGTTGGCACAGATTAAAGTTGCCCACATATAGCCTTAAAGTCATTGGTTAGAGAAGTGTAAAGTTTAGAAATACATGAGTTCTGTCCAACTCATGAAAATGGAAACAATAGAATAAATGTGAAGAGCAGAAGAAATGAAATATTAGCCTTAAAAGTGGAAATTACTAAAATAGGAAAACTAAACAGATATGGTTATCAAAGCAAAATCTGTTTTGGAAAAGATTAATGAGATACATACACTTCTGGCTAGACAGACTGACCTATGAAAAAAGAGAAAAAAAAACAATATTTTTTATAAAATGGGGTTGCTATGAAAGATATAAATACAAACGTAAACACTAAAATAAAAGTACAAATTTCCTAAATGCCAAAAAGTAATTAAAAAGCTGTAAAGATCAACCAAAAAAGAACAAGAGGAGAAATTATAACACAAATCAATATGATAAATTGAAATATGTCAGTCATATTAATAAATATGAAAAGGCTAAACTCACCTGTTTAAAAAAATGTTTTTCAAATTGGCACATAAAGCAAACACAACTCTATTCTGTATATAGAGAAATATAAAAAATGTAAGGATTCTAATAATCTAAAAATAGAGATATGAGCAAATATTTACTATTGAAATGGAAAAAATAAGAAAACAGAAACTTACAATCCTGTCATTAAATTAGAATTCAGGATCAAAAGTAATAAGTGAAATGGAGAAAGATGCTTCATAGTGCTAAAAGTCACAATCCAAATTAAAGATAAAATAGATATGAATAAGTACCAAATAATAGCAATTACCTATATAAAAAAGGAACTATAAAAAGTGCAAAGAAAATAAATAGAAATGCATAATTAATAGAAGATTTTAACACACTATTCTCAGTACAAGACAAGTAAAGTGGACCATTAATTAATTAATTAATAATCTAAATAGCAAAAGCAATAAGGCATACTAGACACCATATGCTGATAATAGAAAATATAATTTCTTCTCAAGAACACGTAACTTTTTCAAAAATTTATGCTATATTACAGCACTCTCCTAAATGATCAATGGGTTTCATAAAGTACAAATATTACAAACAAAACTATATATGTAATCACAGTGCAATAAAACTAGAAATTAAATTACGAGACATAAACAAAAGAAAATAAAAAGATTCTTCCACCTGGAAATTTAAAAGCCTTCTATTAAACAAATCTTGGTGAAAACATAGACATACACACAAATTACAGAATCTCTGAAAAATAATCGTAATGAAAGCCCTACATACCAGAATCTATGGGATACATTTAAAGCAATGATCAGAGGAAATTTACAGTACTAAAAACCTACATCAATAAAAATAAAAGAATGAAAACAAAGTAATTAAATTTCTAACTCAAAAGTGTAAGAAAAACAAAGTAAACCAAAAAAAAGTAAAGAAATGATAAAGATTAAATTAGAAATTAGTGAGGTAGAAAACATAAAGATAGTTAATTAATTAATACCCAGTATCTTTAAAAAATCCAAAAAAGAAAACAAATCACTAATTTGAAAAATCAAGCAAATAAGAAGTAACAAGAAGGAAATAATTATTGCTACAACAGGAAAAATTATAAGAATCTACTTCGTACACACTTTTACAAATAAACTTGAAACCTAGATTATGTGGATAATTTTCACGAAAACACAGTTTACAAAAACTGACCTGGTAGAGACAGGAAATTTAAACAGACCAATTTACATTATAAAAATAGAAAAAGTTATCAAGAAACTACTCCTCGTAAAAGTACCTAGCTCAGGTGGTTTCACAGAGCAATTTTACCATACTTTTAGAGAACAGATAGTCCTAATGAGACATGCATTTAAAATGAAGGAAAGTGTCCAATTTTTTATGAAGCAAGTAGAACGCTGCTCCCATAAAAAATTACTGGATCAATATCACTCATGAATATTAATACAAAAACTCTGAATAAAATATTAGCAGAGTCCAAAGTCATACTATATAAAAAAGTTATACACCATAGCCAACTGGAGTTTATGCCAGGAATGCACTATACTTTTATATTATTTATTCTGCATTGTACGATGTGTTTAAGAGCTGTGTCAGGTAGGAGAGCTACAGAGCTCAGCTTGCTATCAGGTGATTTGCCTGTAGTTGTTCTTTTCTTGAATTTTAATTACCAGCGCCTACCCCAAGGTCCAAATTTTCTTCCAAATCTCAGTATGACTAACAATTAAAATTCAATTATTTCATGACTGCTGTCCTGAGATGCGAGTCTCTAAAATTTGGCAACAGTGAGATTTCTCAAAAGGCATCAGTTATAATAACTATCAGAAAATTGAGTTTATTCAATTCAAAGCAAGTTTTTAAAGATCTCCATGCCAAAGAAAGACTGGGAGTAATTGAGTTGCTATGTGGTTATGAACTTTATCTTATCTTATAAATATTGGACTAAAATGGGAAGTGTTAGGAAAATATACTTTCATTTACTGTAGTCCTTGGACTGCTTTTTGCAGAATTTATCTAAGTCTTAGGATCTAAAATCATCAATAAATTAAACTGGAAATATTCTAAACAAACATCAACCGAATTAGATATCTGATCAACTGATGATAACTTTGAAGCTTTATTGTTCATTTTTTAGGGAGGTATAATAAACATTTGTTGATTTTCAAGAGTTGTACCTATGATATGGTGAATCACAGCAAATGTGCTCTAATTCAACAATTTGGAGTCCTACTTGTTGCTGTTTGCTGAGCAATAACTTTGGAAGTAGGTTGGAAGTTAGTGGAAGAGGTGATTTAACCTGGTGAATTTAATAAGATTATTTAATACGAATTTAATAAGATATCTACAAGTAATTAGTTATCATACCTACCACCAGGCTTACCACAAACCAAAGCATGATTCATAGGACTGCATGTTTTCGATTTTTATATGAGCCCATTAGGATGGTTTTTGGTGACCTAATTTCCCTTCAGAGTTGTTCTTCATGTTACCATAAATCTACTTTTATCTATATAATACCACTGGGCACAGAGGGAAATGGAATAACCACTGTAGTTAGCCCAAAGACAATCACCCCTGAAGAATGACTCTGGAATCACCCACTCACATAAAGATTGCTCTACGTCTTGACATTTGCTGCAAATTTCTGAGACAAACTTGGAAATAAGATAACAATTGAACTAATCTGCATTACTCTGATTAGTGGTTCATCCTAGTTGAGTATAAAATAAGGCAAAATGACAAAAGGTGAAGTCACACAATATTCATTTGTCTCTGTGGATAGCTTGTTTGTGCTTATAAAGTAAAAACAATAAATATTTTTGAACAACCACTAACTGACAGATACAATGCCAGACAGGATGGTAGGCAAGCTTTATTTCTTGAGTTGAAAACCATTTATTTATGTTAAATGGTTCCTGTAGTGGACATTGGTGTTCTTCCTCGGTCCCCTCAGATCTTTTTTTTTTATTCTGGGCAACCCTCTTTCAGCCTTCATATACTTTTCTTCCAATATTCGACCCCCAAGGGACTCCTTGGGATCTGAAATCACTTTGTTGCAAATCATCTTGTTGCCTGGGAGTTTACTTCCCTACCTACTTCCCCATGGGGGGCCTTGGCCAGTGACAGGTTTGTGGAAAAGTATGAAAGCCCAGACCCCTTATTCCTGTCAGGACAGCAGGAATAGAGTTCCCCTTTGCAATCAACTGGTCTCAAAGGACTTTGCCTGAAATCTGAGATTGTGCCTTGACTTGTCCTCTTCATAGTCCCTGCTCACTTTTCTGTAATTCTTAACTGGTTTCTTCCATCAACATTTCCTTTATCAATCACTTGCACATCCATTCTCATCTTATAGTCTGCTTCTGGGGAATTCAACCTGAAATACCACTTCCATCCCAAATTTAAAAGCGTAAAAAATATGTGAAACTCCCACTAATTACCTAGAAACAGAAAGAATTTAAAATTATCTAAAGACTCATTCAAAAAGCAAGTAATTACAATTTCTTTGAATAGCTAATTGTGGGAGACAAAATGAGTCAGTGGGTCGTGATGCCATCAAGAAAGAATTAATCTCAATATGATGTCATTCCTTCTGCACATAATTATATGTGGGTGTGGGATAATGGAAAAATATACTAGATTTTTTTCAAGGGCAGAAGCAGGAGAAAGAAGAAGGTGAATGTGTACAGAAAGAGCATTTAATAAGCTCTTTTAAAAAATCCAACAAGAGAAAAATATGAGGACGGACAAAATAATAAAATCATTTTTATTCCCTCCAGACTTTCCATGATCTTTCTTTCTCACTCTATTTTAGCAGAGGCATCTTTTTATAGTGTTTATATGGTATAAATCTGGAGAGTGAAAAAGAGAAATAAATTGGCACTTTATAAAAACTTTAAAATCCTGAAGAGCAGCCAAAAGAAGTAGATTCAATTATATATTTTAATTAATCTATTAAGCAGGACTTTAGCTCTTACTTCTGGAGGTAGAGGAAAAAAGCAGTAAAGTCTAAGTGCACAAAGGAGAAATAGTTGCTTAAACATAGAAGACAAACCTGGACACTCATTGTTCATAACACAGAATATCAGTTGGATGGATAGGGCATATTGCCCTGCTTGAATAAAGGCATGATTAGGTCAAGAAATGGGTCTGTTGTGCCCATCACTGGAACACTGTAAGCAACCTATACATACTTGTTGAATGCATTATCTTATTAATTAATCATATTAAAACCATAATCCTAGCTTATTTATTTACAAAGGATATGTACCCTATGATCTAGCACATAGCAGGTACTCAAAAATATATTTTGAATAAATAAAACTCAAATATCAGAAATGGGACACATGGCCTCTGAAGTATAATTTCATTCACAGGAATGATGGAAACAAATGTTTGAAATCATGACTGTTTTGGAAAATTTGAGATGTATGGTTCTAATCAGCTCAACTTACCGAAAAAGAAAACCTATTTTTCCCCATAACCTACAGAAAAGTACTCTGTATTCAATCTTAGGCCTGAAAAAGGCCTAATATTGACCTTCTACCTTCCCATTTAGCCTAAATAGGTAATAGTAGCAGGAATGGTTATTATAACCCACCTAAGTTCTAGGAAATTTTAAGGAATTTTTTAAAGATGATAGAGTTAACATAATTTCCTAGATAGTTTTGAGACTAAGTGGAATGAGGCCTACTTAGAATATGACAAAGGAACAATGCAAGACAGTGGCTTTTTAATATACAATATCTAATCTTGCTCACACAAAATATCAAATAAATGGAGAAGAAGAGGCATACTAGGTATGAAGTAGTAGTAAGAGCATTAAGAGTGAAGGTACATTCTTAAAATTTTTAGAGCAATCTCGCGGCGTAAAATGATCTATGAAATTTAGAGTGCATTTCTTTCTTCTCCTTCTGAGTTGCATATTCAGCTACCTACTCCCTAATTTCCCTTGGCAGGTTCCAGATTTAAGTGCTTTTTTACAATTTAGATGCTTTTTACTGGACATATAGACTCCTCTCTAACAGTATACACACTGTCCCAATCAGAAGAGAGTTCAACCGTCAATTAACTCACTGACAGAATAGTAACATTTTCTTCATTAGCATAATGTGGTATGAGTCTAGTGAATGGAATTCAATCTCAATGGAGACCTACTCTAGCCCAGCACAATATATTCTCTCTCTCTCTCTCTCTCTCTCTCTCTCTCTCTCTCTCTATATATATATATATATATATATATATATATATATATATATAATCTGTCATCCCCATTTTTAAAATTAGGAAACTCAATTGTGATATTATTAAGTAATATACTCACACAGAATATTTCATACCAGCCCTGGGAGGTAGTTCCTATCACCATTGTATGGATAAAAAAAGCTGGCTCTCAAACAGGATATGACATTTTTGTACTTTCCCAGGGTTTATGATATCTGCTCCAACTCAAATATCTTTGCCATATCGGATGGCATTTTTAAAAAGGCTATTGTGTAAGAGGCTTATTAGAAAAAACCTCTATTATTACATTTTTCTTCTCCTTGAATAGGCGACACTGTCTCTTGTTTACTGAAAATTGGTACTAGAACTAATTAATTCCTTCTTGAAGAATTCAGTTAATATGCTTGACTTTTTATTTTTAGAGAATTGCAATTTTCAATACTGACTTGCCGCTAGCAAGAAGAAAACAGAAAGGAAAAAGCATACGAAGGAGTGGAGGAAACAAATTGTATATCCAGGATATACCTGAAGGTAAGAGGCACTGTTAACCAAACTGCCTGGGCTACCAGGTTAAGATTTTTCTCCACAGAAGCTGAAGCCATTCATTGATCCTTTCTAGTCTTCAGAGACGGTGTTTGCAAGAATCAAGGAAATGGGCAACAAGAGAGCTAGACATATTTTAGCATTTAGGTCTACTTTTTCTCCTCTAATTGGACAAAAACATTCTTACTCCTAAGAAATACTTTACCATACATGCCAATTGGATGAACATCAAGTCACAGAATAAAAACAGCTATCGTCGGTCAATCAGCAGAATATCTCCGAAATCTTGAATGTATCTTCCAAATGCAGCTAATAGTAAACATATGTATACTGCTCTCGGCAAAAATTAAAAATTAATCACACCAAAATTAAGAAAAAAATTATTTAAGGAAAAAAATTATTCTAGTTAGTGAGGTCAGACTTTTTCAGCTCAACCTAAATTATTGCTGCCAACTCTCAGATGTGTTATTTCACGTTAGTGCGTGGGAAAGAAAGGGTGTATGCTATTGTTGTGTTACTGTTGCAAAAGTAAGCACTTCTTTAAAAAATAAAGAATAATTACAGAAGAAAATAATAAAAAAGAATGAAAATGAGAACCTTCCCTTCCCCTTGCAAAAAAAGAGAAAAAAAACTATGAGAGTGACTCAAAAACACTCAAGCAGTATAAAAAGGTGATCCTTTTAACAAGTACCTATACTGAGTCCTGACATAACAGCCTGTATGTAACTGGGTCCTTTTAGATTTCACAGTAGAGGAAATAGAAGTTAAGTACAATTAGAGGAGATGTATATATGGTGTGGTGATCATGTCAGAAACAGACACTTCTGAAACTAGCAGATAAAAGATTTCTAATCATGATGGCGCACAGCCATTATAGGTAAGAATGCTTCTACAACTGAACCTGATCATGCCAGGAGACCAAGGTTTCCCTAGGTCCAAGTATTTGATTCACAACATTGAAATGCCTAGCTTTTATATTGTTTAGATAGTCAGTAAGATTTAAGAGAAAATAGGTAAAATAGCCACTCAAACCACAAAACCATTGGAAAATAGTTTCTTCTTTGGATATTTAGCTTGTTTCTGTCTTGCTACTCCCCATAGACATAACTAAGTATGTTAATTCACTTTTGAAAATGTATTTAATAACCCAAAGGTGGGCAGGACACCAACACATGACCACAAGAGCAATTCAGTCTTGACAAAACAGGAGAAATGATTACGATTTATTTATGTTTAATGTGACTCTTAGGTCACTTAAAAGCCACCAGCACATTAGTATCTAAGAACATGAAAGTTCAGCATATGTCTTTTACCTAATGAGCTGGTGATTTTTTATATAATTTTTATGTTGTTTCCCTCTTTTAACTGAACAAATGTTCCAAATGGAACAAAATTAAAGTTGATGATGTTAGTATGTTTATTAAATGGAAAACTACATTATTTTATAGGACTTATTTTTAGCAAAGAAGTATTTATTTTATTTTATTTTATTTTTTGAGACGGAGTCTTGCTCTGTCGCCCAGGCTGGAGTGCAGTGGCGCAATCTCTGCTCACTGCAAGCTCCGCCCACCGGGTTCATTCCATTCTCCTGACTCAGCCTCACCAGTAGCTGAGACTACAGGCGCCCGCCACCACGCCTGGCTAATTTTTTTGTATTTTTAGTAGAGACGGGGTTTCACTGTGTTCGCCAGGATGGTCTTGATCTCCTGACCTCGTGATCTGCCCGCCTCAGCCTCCCAAAGAGCTGGGATTACAGGCGTTAGCTACCGCGTCCTGCTGGAAAGAATTATTTTTAATTTTATTGCTACTTACTTTGTATTTGCTACAAAGGAGATATGGAAGATATTTTTTGAATTATAATGCTAACCTTCTCCCCCAAATGCTAATCTTTTCTCTTCTAAATGATAAATTGCTCAATTTTTATCTATTACCTCCTGCATTCCTTCACCACATGTTCCTTTTTCTTCCTGCTACTCATACCATTTTTCCATGAAATAATCAAAAACCTCATTAGGTAGGTCCAAAGCCAAACTATGTCTTTAAGTGCATTTATACATGTAGTCTTGCTAATTGTCATAAGAGATTAGTCTTTAGGTGGCCAGGCAAACCTTCTCTTCTTCAACATCTCCTTTTGGGCTCCTGCTTTCTTCAGATGTACAGAGCCCAGCATCAGTTTTTACAACACCTCATTCTGTATTCCAGCTTAGTCTGGGTTTGGATGACAGCTGAGAGTGGCTAGAAGCATGACAAAGCTCTGCCATATGGAAAGATTTCTATTTATGTAGACACCTTCTCTGAGTTAAGCTCATTATGGTGCAGCCTGAAGGACAAGAATTTAACAAGACAGCAACACGACTACTGTGGAAATTCTACCAACCTTAACAGGCCAGTTTCTGCCTCACTATCCCACCTACCGTACATCTGGCAGAAATCCACCCCTACTAACTAAGTGATTTGGGGCAAGTTCCTTGACTGCTCTAAGCCTTCTTTTTCTCATCTGTATAATGAGCACAGTAGTAGGGCCTTATCTTATCGGGCTTATTTTTAAAATTTTGTCTTGAAATAAATTGAAAATTACAGAAAAGTACAAAGAATTCCTGTATTCCTTTTACCCAGGACTCTAATTGTTAATATTTTCTTTTATTTGCTCCATTTCTTCCTCCCTCCTTTCTCTGTTCCTCTGTCTGTCACCCATTATTATGTATTTTCTGAACCCTTTGACAGCCACCTCCCATGTAATGTCCCATCACCTGAAAACATTTCAATACGTATTTCCCCATAACAATGACATTCTGCTACATAACCAGTATAAATTCCTCCAAATCAAGAAATCAACATTGATATAACACTAACATCCAGCACAGACTCCAATTCAAAGTAAAGGCTAGGAGTGCATCTTCAATGGCCTGATTTCCTGCCTACCTCACTGCTCTTCACCCACATTCCCTGCAGCTGGGGATCACTGATCAATCACCTGCAGCTGAAGCCCCCTTCGGGCATTGGGGCCCAATTCCGTGCCTAAACATTGAGATTATGAAAAGTCTGAATTCGGTAACTTGAAACTTTGTCTTGAGTCCAGCTTTCAGCACAGCTCTATTTAAAGCTCTCACATTTGTGACCAAGCTCATTTACTTTATCTTCCTATGTTTGAGGCCCCATCCCTAGGATTGGAGTCAGAGACAGCTTTCAATATTTTTGTTTAATAGTGAAAGCCTTTCAAATGAAATTACATTGAATCACTACATCTATGTACACGGAGATATTTGGGTTGGAAATTTGATTATTTCATTTCCTAGCCATCAGAGATTATTTTGCCTATTTAGGTCTCAGTTACCTCATTTGTAAAATGAAGCACCAGCTAAGGCAAAGCATTGAGGTTAAATGGTACAAATATGTGAAAAAAAAATTGTTAGTGCCCTGATAATTGATTCATTTCAAGGAAACTTGTTCTCACTAAGCAGTGGCACAAAATCTGATATATAAACAAGAATGCAAATTTATTGCATTCTTATGGTTCAATAGCCAAGGAGATCCCATCCTACTTGGTCAACCCATTATATTCCCCATAGGAAACATATGTGGGAAACCAAATTATAATAGCTGATTACTTACTAAGCATGAGGCCAGCCTTATCACACTGGCCATTTTGATCTTCTTACCATAATTTCTAATAACACTTATATGCTCTATAAGGCCAGAATTTTCAACTTCGACTTTCTAGATCCTTGTCGGTGTTGCTCAAGGAAACTCCTTCTTCTAGCTTGACAAGCTTTTTATCTTTGGGTTCTTATTTTTAAGCATTTATAAAGTCTTTTTTCCTTAATACATTATCATACTGATTCTTTTAATAGGAATTATATTGTGATACCTCCCTAGTAAACTTGATGGTGTTTGGGAGTTACTAAATCCCTTTTCATTATTGTAGGGTAAACTTGTTAACAGAGAAGTCAAAGCATTTTGAAGAACCGTCATGTAAAATTTTATTTGGTGTAATAGTCAAAGTCATGCAGAATTATGCAAGATAATCAATTTCTTAGAACAGAACAAAACGATATATACCTAATCATGGTAGACAGAGCCTAGGGTCATCCCCGTGATTCCTGCCTCCAGATATTCTTGCCTTCGTGACATCTCATCCCCTTGAGTGTAAACAGGACTTGTAATTTGTTTCTAACCAATAGAACACAGCAAAACTAATGAGATGAATATGACTATGTGTACATGATTATGTTATATAAGGTTGTAACTCCAATTTGCTGAGAAAATCTCTCTTGTGCTGGGTTTGAAGAAGCCACCTGTCATGGTGTGAGCTGGCTGAATGCACGAGCCACATGGTAAGCCCTCAGTGACCTCTGGCCAAAAGCCAGCAAGAAACTGAGCCCCCCACCCCCAACTTCAACAGCCTACAAGGAACTGAATACTGCCAACAATCATCAGAAGTTAGAAGTAGATCCTTCTTTAGTTGAGCCTCATAAAACTGTAGCCCTAGATGACACCTTGATTGTAGCCTTGTGAGACCGTAAAGCAGAGGACCTAGCTAAGCTATTCATGGACTCCTCACCCACAGAAACAGTGGGAAAAATCAATAGGTGCTGTTTTAAGAAACTGAGTTTGTGGTAATTTGTTCCACAGCCATAGAAAACTAGCACAGCATTAGACTTCCATTTTTAATGTAGTATGAGTTTCCACACAAGTCATGAAACTTCCACTAGATCTTAAATAAATGCTTCTATAGAAAACCTCTTTTACACATGTTCAACTCTCCCATAATTCAGTTTGTGGGGTGATGCTAGGAGAGCTAGAGAGTGAATTCATATGTTTAAGACTCTAGGAGATAATTCAATGACATGCTTCTCTCCCATCACAGTCTGAGCCCTGCCATTGGTTTGCAGACAACATCCAATGTTGCCATTTTCTTATCTGTCCAGGAATTTATACCTTTGCCTCAAGCATAAAGCAAAACAAAAACATTATATCATAGGTAATTAATTCTGTCCCTTCTAAATTGAGTTTTGATAGTTTTTCTTCCAGGGAGCAATTTTTTTCCAAGGTCTTCCCTCCAAATGGATAAATGCAAGTTCAACCAAGTGAAGGGAAGGAAGAAAGTTATAGGAACAAGTTCAGAGTGCTAATCCCCATGGTGTGAGGGCACATGATGTGAAATGAAGGCAGTGGTGGTACACAATAAAGCTAACTAGTTAAGATGAAGTCAGACCATGCAAAATTTTAATAGAGCACATTCAAGATTTACCTTCTTAACCTAGGAACAATGAGAATATGCTGAAGGGTTTCAGGAGTGTGGGGGAAGTAGTACGATCAAAACAGCCTTTTGAAAAGGTGAGTCTGGGCCGGGCGCTGTGGCTCACGCCTGTAATCCCAGCACTCTGGGAGGCCGAGGCAGGCAGATCACCTGAGGTTGGGAGTTCGAGACCAGCCTGACCAACATGGAGAAACCCCATCTCTACTAAAAATACAAAAATTAGCGGGGCGAGGTGGTGCATGCCTGTAATCCCAGCTACTCGGGAGGCTGAGGCAGGAGAATCACTTGAACCCAGGAGGCAGAGGTTGCGGTGAGCTGAGATCGCACCATTGCACTCCAGCCTGGGCAACAAGAGCAAGACTCTGTCTCAAAATAAAAAATAAATAAAATTTAAAAAAAGAAACAAAAGAAAAGATGAGTCTGGCCCAAATGAAGGAGAGTATTGTAAAAACATAGAGAACAGGAGGTGATTAAAGAAATCTGGTGAGAGATTCTGATAGCCTGGATTAGTATGGTAACAATGAAAATTGAGAAGAGATGGAGATAATTGGACAGAGGTTCCTAAAGTTATTGCTCACTATTGCTTCTTAGACATTTCATCTCCCCCATCTTGGAAACATTTTCTGATTTAATTGTAATTTGCTGGAGGAATTTTCCATTTCTTCAGAAAGGGTGCATGGTTAATATGCTTTCTGGCCCTTGCATGTGTGAAGCAGTATCAACATTACCCTCATAAGTAAATGAATACATGGACTCAAGCTGCTACATGTTTCTCTCAACATTTTATAAATGAGATACTATAACTTCCAGTTTTATATAGCAGAAAAGAAATGCTTCCCTGTGATTATCTGCCTTTTTTTGTACATACTTAGTTATTTCTGTTTTGGAAGTTTCCGTGATATTTTATCGTGATATTTCACCAGATATGTCTAGGAGTGTATATTTTGTTCATTAATCCTATTTGGTACCCAATGAACACTTTTTATCTGAAAACTTGATTACTTTTAAAGCTCAGATAAGTTTTCTTTCTCAAATTTCTTGAATTATTGCTTTCCCTCTCTTTATTTACCTTCTCTCCTTCTGGAAATTCTATTCTTGGCATAAATCTCTTGGCTTGTTCTGTATTTTCTTTTTTTACTCATAATTTCTATTTCTTTATGTTTATTTTTCTTTTTTAGATAGTTTCTACATTTGAACTTTCAAATCACTTATTCAGTTTTCAGTAGTGCTGATTCCAACTTCTTCACAATTTTGGAATCTTTAAACCTAAAAAGCATTTTTTTCCCAAAACCTTTTGCTTTCTCATAATTTCTTTATTTTATTTTTCATAATAATTCTCATTATGGTTTTTTAAAGTTTTTTTTCTGTTATGACTCCTTTCCTTTGAAGTACTAGGTTTCCTTAACTCATCTGTGAATTATCTGTCCATTCATGTCAGCAAGTTTAGTAATCTCAGAACTTTCATAGGTGAGATTGTTGGAGACTGTAGGGCTGTAGTGGCTTTACAGAAGAATACGGTAAAAAGTGTTTCATTAACCACTGGTAAAACAACTGGATTGATTGTTGCTGAGTACCCTACTATTTCAGTCTTCTCCAGGCATGAGCTTTGAGTGGCTCACCTTTTATTGGCCCATTGGAAGGGGATTAGTTCATAGTTCCCCTCAAGGGTGGTGAGAATCCATGGGACCAGTAGGGTATCTCAGGGATACAGTGGTGAGTGAGCAGGTAGAAATGGTTCATCTCCATGGTTTTAGGCAATCCCCAGAATCTCCTGGCTGCCCTCTCAGAGAGCCTTGAAGTCAGAGCTCCTTACTTCTTGCTGCATCAAGAAGAATGGTCTCTTTTCTCCTGGTAATTGAAATAATACTGCAGAGAAGGTACATTATCCTCCTAGCCTGGTTTCTGTAAGGCCATCTGGGAAGCCTAAAGATTCCAGATATATGGGATCCCCTACAGGGTTCTACAGTGAAATAGGATAATCTCTATACCACCTTCCCAACCCCTTCCACCCTAAAGACACACACACACACACACACACACACATACACACATACACATACACACACACACACATACACACACACACTTTCATGTACTGGTGATTCCCTCCAGCAGGAGGTTAGAGGAAAATAAGGAGTGAAAAACATTTTCTCAGGCTGTCATCTTAACAGAATCCTTCCTCTTGGTAGTTTTAAAATTAAAAAAAAGATTATACTGAAGTCTCCGTGAAGATAGAAATGCTAGGTGATTTTTTAAAGTAAATTATATGAGGATCACGTTACTCAACTCCAGTAGATATTCCTTAAAAATACTAATGACATTCTAAACATGATTCATAATTGGTAAGTGGGTGAGTCAAGGAAAAGTACATACCTTGGAACTAACAGCTAAGAAATATGATCACATTAGCACCAGAAATTGATTTTTTTCTCAAGCTGTTTGCCAATTGTGTATTGATTAGTCATTGTCCTTGAAAATCAAGCTACTATTGATCTGTATCAAGTACCTAAACTCCTCAAGAAATATTTGTGGGTTTTGATGAATTACAAAATAGAATAAGAACATAATAGTCTGGTCTATGCAATTTTCATTATTTACATTTCTGAAATAACTCTGTGCATCTTTCTTTCCTTGTTAACTGATATCACCTAGATAATGAAACCTTTCTTTCCAAATTACTTCTAGGCTTTGTGAAGTGGTTTTGGATAATTTCATGATAAACGATCTCAGGAGATGCTTGATCTACCTAAGGTCTTGAATGTCATAGGTTTTTTTGTTTGTTTCTTTGCTTGTTTGTTTGTTTGTTTTTTGAGACAGAGTCTTGCTCTGTCACCCAGGCTGGAGTGCAGTGGTGTGATCTCGGCTCACTGCAAGCTCCGCCTCCTGGGTTCACGCCGAATGTCCTAGTTTTTTAGTTGATCAATAGAAACACTCTTGAAGATGTACAGTTGAAAAAATAAAGTACTTAAGCCATAACTTTTTTTCTTCTGCAAATGTAATTGTCTCCCATTTTAAGAAAAAGTACTTTGAGAAAATAGAAAAATTGAACACTGCTGCTTTTTGGATATAGAAATAAAAAATGAGGACACTCTAAAGTCAGAAAGAAGGAGTGATAGAAATGAGGACAAGACGTATGTTTGCAAGATTAATTGGCTCACTACTATTGCTAAAAGCATATAGAATATCACTAAATGTTAAGTAAGGAAAATTACCAAACTGCCTAAAGCATTTTGTGGAAGAGTCAAAGGCCCATAAAATTGAACCGAGAGAATCTACTTTTCCCTTCTTCTAGTACAAATAAAATGGAGGTTTTTCTCTTTCTTTTCTACATTTGAATGAGACTAAAGAGGCTCAGGTGGCCTTGAGAGCCTTGGAACTGAGATTATTATGTAGAGATGACAGCTAAAGAAGTATCAACCTGAGGTTTGACTTAATTGGTTTCTGTCTACAGGACCCCATATTATTTATCCCAATATGGTTTCAAAATTCTTTGCTTCCCTGCAAAGTAGATGTTCCCTAAGATTACCTCCTGCCTACCAGGCTGAGTGTCAATTAGTTGAAATGTTTTGTAATAGTTACTGCTTCCACTTTAGCTCAGCTGGATTCAGAAAGGGAGGGGGACTGGGTAGCTGGAGTTGATTTAGGAAGCACTGGGCTGTATCTCATTGACATGTGCTTTAGGAAATGGCTTTGAGTGGTTCCCACTTGTCCTGATTATAAATGTCTGCTACCATACTGGGGACTAGTGGTCTGTTAAGAACCTGGCAAGGAAGATCCCTGACCTGGAATTCTATTTTTAAAGAGTTTCATACTGGTCCTCCCATAACTATACTCTGCTATACAAGATAGAGTCCATAGGGTCAAGGGGTCTGACAATTCTAATTAGAACCAGGATTTCCAGATTTTTATGAATTACATTTGTCAAGATAGGAGTATAAAATATATTTTAATTAACAGTTTGCTAGTTTGATTTATAAGATTTATATATTTGGGTAAATAGCGTGTGGGCTTTTATTTGTACTCTTCACCTGAACCCTACAAATGTTAGGAGCAGGCCTACTTGTCACTATTCCTTTAAGGCAAAAGAAGACGTCACCTGACCAATTCCTGGACCAAATCCAGTGCTGCTCCTCTCCCAAATCAGAATAAAGCATTCAACTGGTCCTGCCTCTCCCACTAATTAACTGTGGGACCTTGGCATGTCACTTCTTCTGAGTGTCAGTTTTTCCATCTGTGAAATGAGGCGGTTGGGCAAGATGAGCTAAATATTTTTTTCCAGTTTTTCCAGAACTAAGAGTGGCAAAGAGTACACAACTATTTTTGGCTTTATCAGGCTTAGTGGGACCTTGAAACCCTTTTGAACCAAGGCTTCTATGGGTAAAGCAGAGTGGACCCTCAATACACATTTGTCTCATGAGTGTGCAGTGGACTTGCTCTAGGTCTCATCGACTTCTGCATATGAAAATGAACTTGATAACATTTATAACCCCAGTTTCACCAGTTTCTATGTATATGCTTAAGGCAAGAGTCTCCACCCTCCTCAAAATTTCACTCAACTAGTTATGGGCATCCCTGGATTGTTACAAGTGAATTTCTTAATAGTTCTTAGGGTTTTCCACCCAAGGATGTCGTATTAGTGTCTGCTGGAGAGATCCTTTCTCCTTGAACCACCACATTGCACTTTTAGCTTCTGTGCATGACAAACAGAATGGATGGTGGTGCCAGTGCACCATTTTCCAATGCCACGAAGACTATGGTACTTCAGAATGAGCTGCAGCCAAGTCATACACCATATTGACAAGGAGGAGTGCCCCTCTTTCATTCTTTTCATTTTATTTTCTATTTTGTCCCTGGGATAGCAAAGCAGGGGTGAGTATGCTCCGCTCCCTCACGGTCACATGTGAAAGCAAGGTTTCTCTCAACAGCCCTCAGAAACAGATCCAAGGATCACACAACAGACCTTGACACTGGCCTCAAAATCCCCGTGTTTCCCCAGATGCTGAATGTCATCAGACCCACATGAACATCAGTCAGGCACAGGCCCATGGATTACCGGCCCACTAACCTGGCAGATATACCAGATATGAGAAAACAACTAAGACACAACAAATCAGTGAATGAATGAATGAATAAGATACTAGGAAAATGATGAAGTACTGTGATACTGTACTGAAGTACCCATTTAGTACAGCGATACTAAAGTACTAAAGTAAGTATAGTGATACAGATGAAATCAGATATCATTTCAGAAATTCAATTAGATGCACATTGTTTATGGATATTTGCTGATTGTTTTAGGCCTTAGTGAATGGGTCTTGCATTTTTGGCAAACCAGTAAGCTAATAATTAATATTCACTGAGTACTTTGATATGCCAGGAACTGGGCTACACATTTATACGCATTATCTTATTTATTCAATTAGGTCAGGGGCTAGAAGAATTTTTCTGTAAAGGGCCAGATAGCAAATTATTTTCAGTTTTATAAGCCATTATGTGTCTGTCACACTATTCAGCTCCAAAAGCTAAAGTGTAAACAATTGGGTATGTCTATGTTCCAATAAAACTTTCTTTACAAAAATAGGTTGCAGGCTGAATTTAGCCTGTGAGCCATCATTTACTGACTGCTGCTTTATGGAATTCATGAGGATGGTACTGCTTACCTCTTTATTTAACAGGCAAGTTGGTTGAAACATCTAAAGGGGGGCTAGGCAATTTGCCCAAGGTTTTAGATACTAAGGAGGGGAACTGGAATTTGAACGTAAGCAGTCTGATTCCAGAACTCATACTCTTTAGTATAGAGTCATTTCTGGTACTTGCCAGTAATTTGAAGACCGTACTTAGGTGAGAAAGTTGAGAGCTGGGACAAGCCTGTGAGCCTGCTTTGTGTGTGGGCTTAATGTTTCCTTCCTTATCATCATCGTCAGCACAGAGCTTGATATACGCTGACTATGTCAAAGAAAAAAAAATCTAGTAATAAATGAGAAGTCACTTTCTTGGTTTTTAACCATCAACTCATGCTTCGCAATATCAAGAAAGCGTAGTGTATGTTCCATGCTAACAACCTGTAATTAGAGAATTGCAGTGTTCATGACTTCTTAATTGCTCTAATACGGTGATTTCAATTCCTACTCATTAATTTTGTTTCCAACACAGCCCCTCAAGCCAGCTCCACCTTTCATTAGAAGGCCATGAGTCAGTAATGATAGTTATGATGATGATAATGATAATCATTCTATTAACACATTTATATAATATACTCTAAACCACTCACTCTTCTAAACACTTGAATACTTTAATTCATTTACCCTTCATAGCAACCATTTTACAGATGGATAAACTGAGACCAAGAGGTGTTAAGCAATTTGGCTAAGGGCAAAATACCAGTCAGTGGCCCACCTGGGATATGAAGACAGGCACTCTGGCTCCAGGGCCCATGCTTTTAAATTGCTACTCCTGATAGCCATACAAGGACGAATTTAAAGTATACTAAAAGGCACAACTTTTCATTTTGATTGGTCACCCCTGAGTAGATAGAATGTAAATTGCACGTGGTGATTGACTATGAACAGTCTGAGGGATTCTTCATTCTTAGAGGGACTGTAACATTCCTTGAGTGTGAAGGAATGGGACATCCTCATAACCAGTCTCTCTTGTTCACTGTTGACACTGGTGATATATACAGATGCTAGTGTCCATTCCCTAAGACAATTTAGAGGAGTGATCAACTAAGTGTGTATGTGGTGGCAGGAAACGGGGGAGTCATGGGGCACCTCAGGAATGCCCAGGGGCATGGATGAGGGCACATTCTTATTCTTATTCTTATTAATGAGACAGTGTCTCACTCTGTCATCCAGGCTGGTGTGCAGTGGCGCAGTCTCAGCTCACTGCAATCTCCGCCTCCCGGGTTCAAGCAATTCTCATGCCTCAGCTTCCGAGAAGCTGGTATTACAGGTTTGCACCACCACACCTGGCTAATTTTTGTATTTTCAGTAGAGATGGGTTTTTGCCATGTTGGCCAGGCTGGTCTCAAACTCCTGGACTCAAATGATCCACCCACGTTGGCCTCCCAAAGTGCTGAAATTATAGGCGTGAGTCACTGCACCAGGGAGGGCATATTAACATTTTGAAGTGGAGGAATTTTCCTTTATTATTTATAATTTTCCACTTCAAATTTTCTTTTTTGAAATTGTACTCCTTTATGAATACAGCAGATATGTTGCTGGAATTTCACTATGTCCTCAGAATTACCCTTTCCCTATATGCAGTCCAATTTCTTATTGTCAGCACCTTCAACTTTTTGCCTGAGAAACAGGGTGGAAGTGCCAGGGAACTAAGATTCCCTGAAAGCAGCTCTATGTTCTGACTCTCAGCACACCCCAGATGATTAAGTTCCACCGTGGAAACTGGCTTAATAATTGTATCAGTCAAGATTCCACCAGAGGTACAAAACCAGTAAGATGGATGGATGGATGGATGGATGCATAGAAAGATAGATAGATAGATAGATAGATAGATAGATAGATAGATAGATAGATAGATAGATGGATGATAGATAGATAGATGATAGATAGATGACAAATAGATAGATAGAAGATAGTAGCTAGCTAGATAGATGATAGATAGATAGATAGATAGATAGATAGATAGATAGATAGATGATAGATAGATAGATAGATGATAGACAGATAGATTTATTATTGCAACGAATTGGTTTACCTGATTGTGGGGCTTGGCAAGGCTGAAATTCACAGGGCAGTCCATCAACAAGGGTAGGCTGGGACTCTCAGGCAGGAGATGATGCTCCTGTCCACAGGTGGAATTTCTTCTTCTTCAGGGATATTTCTGTTTGAAGATCTTCAACTGACTGAGTTAGGCCCACACAGATTATTTACGATAATCTTCTTTACTTAAAATCATCTAATCATAGACAGTAACTACATCTACAAAACACCTTCACGGCACCAACTAAATTAGTGTTTGATAATTGTGGACTATAGCCTAGTTAACTTGATGCGTAAAATTGACCATTACAACAATGTACCATTTATTGGTTATCTTCTTTTCTTGATCTCACTCCTCTACAAGTGTTTTATTGGATTTCCCTCTTGAATAAACTATCTGTATTTGAATTCTTGTCTCAGGGTCTTTTTCTAGGAGAACCAACCTCAGGCAAAAGAACTGGTGTCCTCATGGGTTCTTCATCTTCCTAACAAAAATTGCATTCAAAGGAAAAAATCTGAATTCATAACTCATAATTGACTTAAATTCTAATAAAATGTGACCTTCATCAGAAATAAGGACATTTAAAACATTCCCTATTTTTGTAAACAATGATGTGCTCCATGAGAACTGTGGCTGGTGTGTACTACATGTGGAAAAGGCACGATGCAGATTTTTAAAAATCAAGACAAAACATTTATAATTTTTAACACATCTATAATCACAGATATTTACAGATTTCAGGAAATTAAGAAACCACCTCAGTGCTGATCAACTATGAGCTACTATAGGACAGAGTAGTCTTTTTTAAAATACAATCCTGATAATACCACATCTTCATGCAAATTCTTTCCATACCTACTTTCAATTTTTGGGAAAATTTTCAAACTCTTCAGTCTGACATTTAAAACTCACCATGGCCTACTCTCTACCCTTGTAATTACTTACTGCTTCCCATGCTCCAAACACATGGATCCAACACTTCTTGGACTGTGCCATGCCTCTACCTCACAGTAGATTGCTTGACACTGCTCTTGATGTAAATGTGCTCACAGGTCCCTACTCAGCTCAGTTCTAAGCTGGCTACTTGCTACTTGTCCTTTGAAAATCCAGGTGTCACTTCATTGAGGTCTTCCCTCACCACCCCACACTCCTATTTGGATTAAATGCTTCTCCTGTGAGTTCTATCACATCTATTTCATACCTATATGATAGCACCTCTAGTACAATTGTTTGTCTCCTGTTTGAGAACAACACTGCTATTTCTTGGTGCCTACCTTCTAGCTCAATGCCTGACACAAAATGGTAAAGAAATGTTTGAAATGAATTAAATGAACCCAGTGAGTCCCTTGAATCAACATCATTATGTGCTTCCTTTGAATTGAAAGAACCTAGAATATATTTGTACTTTAAGTGTCACAATTTTCATGGAGCATCTATCATTCCCCATATAGGGCTTTTAGCTCCATCTTTTCTTCTGGGTATCTGTGCTATTTAGGACATTTTTATAGATGGAAGGAAGAATTTTTCCACATGTTTTCAACTTCCATAGCATTCTCCTGGCTCCACTCCCAAGAATACCCAACAAGTTTATTACACTTGTAGATTTGCAAATTAGCTTTCATGAGTAAGAGTGCCATTCCTCTATGAGAACCCAGAGCAGGGTTTGCTAGAGACAGTTTGCCAGGAAGGCAAAGACACTGAGTGGTTGCTAGCTCATCAAACCATTTACTGTACTTCTCCATTTTAAATCAAAAGTATTGATAAAAATGGATTTCCAATTGGTGGACTTTTCACTTGAAACCTGAAAAAGTCCAGGAGCCAACTGAGGGTCTTTTCAAGACATTGTCTGTGCACGTGTCTTGCCCTTTTTCTGTTCCTACGAGAAAAAGACCCACTTGCCCTTTTTCTGTTCCTACGAGCCTCCTTTTCCCAGGGAGAGAGATCATCTTGAGCCTTACCTGTAAGCTCAGCTTATCCCAAGTTTTGAGGCTTAACCGCATGTATGCTGTGTGAATGTATGTAGAGAAGGGATGGGGATCCCTCCACCACAAAGCCTTACACTTTAACTTTCAAGTAAAGAGAAGGAAAGCCTGGCCTATTAGTTTGAATGGTATTTTACTGTTCATTGTTCTACCAGAGCTAATAACAATAATAGTAACAGCTTTTCATTAAGCGCAATTTACCAGACATTGCACTGAGGTGTTTATATACATGTCAATATATTAATATAATCTTCATAATCAGCCCATGCAGTAGACTCTGCAAGCTCCATTTTACAGCTGAAGAAAATGTGACCACATAGGTAATACATTGGGGAAAAATTTAAGAAATTTGAGTTCAATTCTTAGAAATCTGCTATAAGACTTACTATGAGTCCTTCTCTGACGTTTTGCTTTCATTCTGAGCCTGAGTCTCTGTTGTTATAAAAAATCTTGATGATGATGACGACTCTAACTTTAGTTTATTGAGGCACTGTTATGCACCATGTGTTTTACATTTAGTTAACCAAGTGACGGTGCTAGGATTGAAATTCAAGGCAATCTGCACCAGAGCCTGAGGTCTTTTCACTGCAGTGTGGACCACTGCTCTCTCAAGGCTGAGGCTTACTCATGTTTTCCTCAGTCATTCTAGTAACTGTGGCCTTGCCCGTGGACTCCAGCCATGTGATTAAGAGGTGGCTTCCTTCCTGGCCCCTGCTGCCTCTTTTTCAGTTTTGAATCTTAGCCCACCTTTTGTCCCAGATCTGCTTTGGTAAATCTTCTGACACCATTAGCTGCCTGTCTTCTGTGCTTCCCATTGCTATCTCCCTGCCCCAAGCACTTGGCTCCAGTATCTCCTGTCACCCAACATCATGCTCCCTTGCCTGATTGGTCTCCTCTCTTCCATACATATGGACCTATCCATAAGCTCCTCACCCACATCCTATGGAAAATATCTCATTTTTCAGGTCAAAGCCTCAATTTCTCTGGCCTAGCCCTAGCTTTCAAGTGTTGAAATCCCATTTTGGAGTATGAGGGGCAGCTTTGGTCTCTAAGATCTATACATTAATCAATGGCAAATAAAGAAATAAAGACTCTTTGGTATCTGACTTAAATATCACTTTGGAAGTGACTGAACTCCCAAAGTATTTTAAATCCACGTCTCTTGAAGCACACAACAATTTTTGTCATATTTAAATATAGATACATCTTACACACTGATTCTTTTCATTCAGACTGTATTAGTTCATTCTCACGCTGCTATAAAGAACTGCTCGAGACTGGGTAATTTATAAAGGAAAGAGGTTTAATTGACTCATAGTTCTGCATGGCTGGAGAGCCGTCAGGAAACTAACAATCATGGCAGAAGGGGAAGCAAACACGTCTTTCTTCACATGATGGCAGGAAGGAGAAGTGCAGAGCAAAAGGGGGAAAAGTCCCTTATAAAACCTTCAGATCTTGTGAGAACTCACTCACTATCACAAGAACAGCAGCATGGAAGTAACTGCCTCTATGATTCAATTACCTCCCACTGGGTCCCTCCCATGACACATGGGGATTATCGGAGCTACAGTTCAAGATGAGATTTGGGTGGGGACACAACTAAACATATCACAGACCACATCCCCCTTGAGGGCAATAAAAGTTTAATTCATATTTGTGATACTAAAAGAAACAGCAAACTGGGGAATAACTGGGTATCTTGAAATGTAATACCCTCAATGACAGATATACTCTTCATTCGAGTCACCGAATTCACAAACATTTAGAATTTACGGAGGAAACGCACTTTTCTCATACACAGTATTATTAATAACAAAAATTTGGTAATATGTTAAATATGCTAAAGTTAATTTAAATAATAATTCACAGAGACTCATTAAAAGAAGATAATAGCTTGTGCTAAAGAACGATATTAAGTAGTAGATATTTTTTCTAAGATTTGTAAAATCTTGGACTCTGTAAAGTCACACAAACTGTGAAATACAGTTCATTAAAAGTATTTATTCTATATTGAAAATGCTCGGTTCAATATCAGCAGCGAATGAGTAATGAAATTCAGGTAAAATGTGAGTCAAACTCAGAGTAATCAAGTACATAATGACCAAGGAGAAATTCACTGATATGTTTACTACAGTACTGATCTGTTTTATCCGAGTCATTTATTTGGGACAAAAAGGAATTCTGCCATTATACCTTTGATGTAAATCAAACGCAGTCGCCTGCCTCATACTGACAATACTGTCAGTTTCCAATTGATTATAAATAGAAAATGGCCCTCCCTGCTACCATCTCCATACGTGGGCTTATTTTCCTAGCCATAATCACCTGAAGTCTTTGTAATTTAAAGGCCTAATTTTCTGCCCTCATTTTCATAAAGACTTTTATAGCAGGCACAATACACTCCAGTGGGTAAGTAATGTATCATACCCTTGGTACATGCAAAGATTACTTCATTAATTACAAAGAAAAACTACTTAAAAGGCCATATATTTTCCACAACCTGTTCACAGAAAAGGCCATAGGTGGCCATTTAAAATCATTTGGGTGTACATAAAATTATCTTAAACATTATACATGTACATTAAACATTTTTACATGTACAGAGTTTTAAAAGAGAAACATTTCTATAAAGTTTATAAAGAAAACAGCAAATCCTTTCCTATTCCTCACAAGCTATTAACTGCTCTTAGGAGGCAACCACTTTCAAATACTTTGGCTCTTTCTATTCAGGTATACAGTATCCCAATTGCTAATTCCTGATTTTTTTTTTCTGTTTTCAACATTATCTCTTGACTTTTTACTATAGAAAATAAAGACTCAGCTGTCTTAGACACTCCCTTTCCACCTGTAGGAGAAAGAATAATAATTATTTTCAAAACTCATAAGTTCTTAGTTGTAGTGAACCACTGTAAAAAAAAAAAAAAAAGATTAACAAGAGAAAAACAGCTGGGTGTGGGGGCTCACACCTGCAATCCCAGCACTTTGGGAGGCTGAGGCAAGCAGATTGCTTGAGCCCAGGAGTTCGATACCAGCCTGGGCCACATGGCGAAACCCCATCTCTACAAATAATACAAAAATTAGCCAGGTGTGGTGCTGTGCACCTGCAGTCCCAGCTACTCAGGAACCTGAGGTGGGAGGATCAGTTGATCCCAGGAGGCAGAGGTTGCAGTGAGCTGAGGTTGCATCACTGCACTCCAGCTTAGGTAACAGAGCAAGACCCTGTCTCAAAAATAAATAAGAGAAAAACAAACAGAAGTATATTCACATATATATTTCATATATACATGGGAGACACCAGGGATTGAGTGGTTCTCAAAGAGGTAGCTTTGAATTCCAGCTTATATAGTATCTTCAACAAAAAACGGTAAATTTTTGAGAAGTGCCAAGATAATGGAAAAGGACCTCGAGTCTCTGGGGGCAGCAACTTTTGGGAAGGCAAAAAATAATAATAATAATAGCAGATAAAGGCTAATTATTAAAGAGTGTTAATGTAGATTTCTCTAGTACCATCTGCAAGCCAACAAGCATTCAAGCTGTCTTCAGTGGTTAACCTTTGTTCTCCCTGGTAGAGAAAGGGTAAGGATACCTTTAGTCTTTGTACATCTACGTATTAATTTTAGGAAAACAAAGGGAGGGCAGAGAGCTTTCCTGTATCTATCCTTAAATTCAACAATCCTTCATGATTTGGGGGAACATTCTGATCTCCCACATACCTCAACTTTCAAACACATACCTCCCAATTGGTATTTTTTCATTCTCTGTATTCTTTGGAAAGATAAACATTCTATGTTGTGTTATTATTACAAATTTAACATAATTGAGCTATGTAGTTCCCATGCTTGTATTTCATTTCTTGTAAAACTATAAAACTTTTTTTTAATGTTCCTGGACTTAATCTTTCTCTTTCTTTTCTCTCTTTTCTTTCTTTCTTTTCTTTCTTTCTTTCTTTCTTTCTTTCCTTCTTTCTTTCTTTCTTTCTTTCTTTCTTTCTTTCTTTCTTTCTTTCTTTCTTTCTTCTTTCCTTCCTTCCTTCCTTCTTCATTTCCTTTCCTTTCCTTTCTTTTCCTTGGTTTCTCTGAGCCATATTTCTCAGAGTTGAGTTGGAAAGCGAGTTAAGAAGGGTCTAAGTTCAGATGTTCATATTTTTCTCCCCTCTCCCAAATTTTGCATTTGTGACCAATCTTCCACAATGTCTGGTGTCCCTGAGGGCAGAGTCTTACTGGTTTAAGTTCTTCACAGAATAAAATATCTGGTCTTCATCACGGATCAGGGAGAGGATGTGAAATTCATTTAAGTGCTGCTTATGCAACCAATCAATCAAGTCTCCTCTTTTATTAAACCTACTTTCCATCTGATACTATTCCTTAGCGTTTTTGAGCTTCTGCTGATGGACTCCATTTGTTTCTGTGTTTCCTGTACTACAGTCTAAGATATCAGTTTTCTCTGATCTGTTAGGACAGTTTCCACTTGCCTAATTTGCTTTCTGGTTTGCACTTCTTCAGTGTCATTTCCTCTCTATTGTCTTCATCTTTTTGTGAAATAACTCCTATTTCCTTTTTACTGACAGCTTGGTGGCTTTGAAGAAAAAATAGCAATAAATGCATGTGTTCAATTTACTAGATATTACTAAAATTCCTCACATACGTAATTTTTATTTTCTTAAATTTATATAAATAAATCTGTCACCTAAATTCTCTCTGAATTCAGATTTAGGAGTTCTAAATGTAAGAAATAAGTTGGTATATCATGTTAACCTATATCGTTTTGGGGCCTTAGCCTCAAATGGCAATGATAAAAAGGAGAAGAAGAAAGAAGAAGAGGGAGAAGAAGAAGGAAGAACAAGAGGGAGAAGAACAAAGAGGAGGAGGAGGAGAAAGAAGAAGAAAGAAGAAAAGAAGAAAAAAGAAAGAAAGAAGAAGAAAGAAGAAAGAAGGAGGAGGAGAGGAAGGAGAAGAAGAAAAAAAAGAAGGTGCAGGAAAAGGAGGAGAAGGAAAAGAAGACAAACCCACTTCTTTACACATTATGATGAGGTAGTCCTAGGACACTGGCTTAATGACAGAACTAAATGATGAGACAAAATTATTTGCCAAGACATTTTCTTTACACTGGCTTATTATGCCCTATTGATGAGAGGTTTCTAGCCATAATAATACAAGTCTTTGTCATGTAAGAAAACAAAAAAGCAAGTCTTTGCAAATAGTGGGTTTTCCCTTAAGTTAAAGGGCAGTCTTTGATTTGTTTACTTCCATTCTTTATCCAATTGCTGCTACCCTGCTGGCACCACCCTGCAAGTGTCCCAGATGACTTCCCACCTGCTTATAACAACAGCTTGTTTGGGGGCCTCTGAGAAACATTTGACTTTGAGAGACCTCCTGCTTTCCAGAACTCTATAGTCCCACATGATTTCTCTCTGCTCTTCATTCATTCCATATTTGTTTTTCTTTTTTATTTTAATCCTACTGCTCATTTTCCCTTGTTGTCATTGTCACCAAAGTCTTCAGCCCCATTTCAGTTCACTTCGGTAGCATCAACTCTCACTTATAAGTATCAACCTTGCCAAGCTTTGGTTGTTTCTTTCTGAAAACACTGCAGAAAGGCTAGCTGAGGCCAACTTGAATTCTCCCTGACGTATTGAAATGCTTCCATCACATTAAGCAGCTATACCAAATGCTTAAAAAAAAAAAAGGCTCACTGTGGGGAGGCAATGTTGTGGTGGATACTATGGTGTGCCACCTGAATCTTCCGGCTTTCCTGCTTCAGGACTGAAGCACTCATTCCCCCAGCTGCTGGAAGTATTGTCAGCTGAAGGCTCTTTGCTAAGATCCTCTCCCAGAAATTTAGAATTTCTTGTAGTCACCCTGGCCCAGGGTAATTCCCTGTCTCCTGGGACAATGTGCTTCTGGTAACTTCTCTCACACCCTACAGTGTTGATGCCACAGGTACTCCCTTGTAAACTTCCTGCAGGTAAATCTCCACCTTAGAGTCTATTTCCAGGAACTGACCCAAATAGATGAATATTAATTTGAGCATTTGGGGCTAAAACAAAATAACATTGTCACAAATCCTATCCTCCAAGCGTAGGATATTTTAAGGACTGGACATCAAGGAACCAGTTTAATAACATTGCTAAAGTTATTTTGTCTGGAATCAGACTGTGCAAGCTTGCAACCTGGATTTATACCTTACCAGAGCTATGGCTTTACCATATTTTTGTTCAGTGTAACATGCCTCCTTCCCTTGCGTATATAATGGCAATGATAGTATTGCCTATGCCAACATAGCCGACGTCAAAATCACATAGAGAGCTTGTTGAAATACAGATGGTCAAGCCCCACCCCAGAGTGTCTGATTCAGTAGTTCTAAAATGGGGCCTGAGAACGGGCATTTCTAACAAACTCCCAAGTGATGCTGATGCTGCTGATCTGAGAACCATCCTTTGAGATTCATGGCCACAAGTTTACATAGAGATAAAATGAGAGAACAATTGCAACGTCCTGAGCTTCAGGCATAGTAAGTGTTCAAAACCTGGCCAGATGGGGTGGTACATGCCTGTGGTCCCAGATACTAAGGAGGCTAAGGAAGGAGGAGTACTTGAACTCAGGAGTTCGAGGCCGCAGTGTACTGATGATCATGTCTGTGAATAGCCACTACACTTCAGCCTGGACAACATAGCAAGACCTCATCTCCTAAAAACAATAACAACAACAATCTTAGTTGTCTTATCTGTTATTGGGAAAGCAGTAATTTTCCACTTATGAACTTTGTACTGAACCTCTGCCTAAAGACAGTTTCCAGAAATGAGAAAAACACAGAAAAGCAATAACATCCAAGGAACAGATGGTTGTGAAGAAATTCCACAGACCGTAGTTAACCAGGGCTAACCAATAATTACAAATATGTCAGAGGAATATTAAAAAACAAGCTGAAGATCACCTTCTTTGAATGGGAACAACGTAATACTAACTGCATCTTTGACTAGAGCCTAGCCTTGCATAGTGCCATCAGCACCCCTGTTCAAACTCGTATTTCTCCTTTTCTAATTTCAAGCTGTCAGAGTGGGGCTTGTAGAGGGGAGGTAGGGCATGAATTAATTATTTCTGGCTCAATGGTTTATGTCATTGAGAAAGATAATTTTAATAAATCAAAATATTTTTCTAGTTAAGTTGGTTTAATTATTTCAAATGCTACTTTTTATTCATGACAAGTGGAATAATTCAATTCAGGCAATTAACTACATTCCAATATAAAGCCCCTCCCTCTTCAATTCCACCCAAAAGGTGGTTCCATGAAGCCTGTACCCGAGGTAACAAATAATATCTGTTCATTGGGGTTGCAGCAGGAACTCATTAGCAAGGATTTTAGGTTCTTCTCTTTGTTTCCCTACAGCTCTGATCCAATAAGACTTTGATTAAAATCTAACAAACATTTTCTGAGTTTCTACTATGGGTCAGACCTTGTGCTAATTACTTATCCAAATGTATCTTGTTTAATCCTCACAACAATAAGCAAATCTAATACTATGCAGTACGCTGATAGAGGCTTAATATTATAATACAATGAAATAAAGCCTGCAGGAAGCACAAAAACATCAGAAATTTCTACCCATCTCTTATTTGCAGTGAGTGATTTGCTATTTCTTTTAAAGAAAAATTGGTTTAGATGTCAGGCATATGGACACTGACTTTCATTTTATTCCTTTTTTTAGTATAGCTCAATGGCTTGCAAAGTCTTGTGTGTATATCAATTAATATAAAAAATTGTACATTCAGAACCAGATGTACCATACCTTATGGTTGATTTAAGGGTCTTTCAAGGATATTTTTGACTATAGGGAATTTTCATCTCTACGGCTGACTTCCAAAACTCATTCCTTTATAAAATGAGACTTTTATGTATATTTTAAGCAAAAAATTTCTGGCTCTCTGAATCCTAAGCATGCCAATATGACTTTTGCTTTTTTTCATATAGTACAGAAATGAACCTCAGTCAGGAATAAAGCTGGGACTGCTGAGGGGATGGCCCTAAAGAAGTGTCATCCACTTGACTCAGACTTGAAGAAAACCTTCATGATTATATTAGAGTTATTTTCATCAATTTATTCAGCAAATATTTATTTGGCATTGAATACATGGCAGGTACTGCTCTAAGTGCTGGGAACACAGCAGTATATTATGCACGAATTGCTGCTCTCAGGAAGTTTACATTTTAGAATCTGAAGAGACAGACAAATACCAGATAAATATATATGTAATATGTCATGATGCATTTCATCATATGAAAGGAATAGAGAGTTCCTGTAGAGGCATTATTTTATTTAACACCATCGGAGAAGGAGGAGAATAACATCCCAAAAACAAAGTGAAAAAAGTATTTTACATAGGAGAGAGTAACCACCTCCATTGTATGCAGATGGCGAATCCAATAAGATGAAAACTGAGAAATGATCATTGGATTTGGCAATAGAAAAGTCATTGTTGACCTTGACAAAAAAGTTTTGGTGGACTGATGGGGATGAAAGTCTGATCAGAGTGAGCTCAAGTGAAAATAAGAGAAGTGAAGAGAGTAAATAAGAAAAGTCTACCTGGGAGTTTTGTTATAAATGGCCATAAAAAATGGTATGGGCAACTAAGAGAGAGAAACATGGTATATCTGCATGCTGAGAAGACTGATCCAGTGGAGATGGAGAGGGAAAAACTGATGATGCAAGAGAAAGGAGGACACATCCAGGACCCCTGTTTTTGAATAAGTAGTAAAGAATGAGAATACATGCACAAGTAGAGGGTTTGGCCTTATACGAGATGATAAATAGCTAGTTTTTGTGACACAAGGAAGATGTAGAAGAAAGACACAGATATAGGAAACTGAAGATGAATTTGGTGGAAAGATATCAATGTTTACTTTGGAATGTTTCTATTTCCTCAGTGAAATAAAAAGCAAAACCATCTATTGCGAACAAGAAAAGGCAGGAGATATTGGTGGTTTGTGGAAAGAGAAAAGGGCCTAAGAATAATCATCTAAAAGAACGGGAGAATAAATCGATTTGGAAAAAAATAGAATTTCCTGGCAGTTCTAAGGGTGCATTGGAAGTCAATGCACATGTAAATTGCATCTGGTGAGCAGGCTGGCACAAAGCCAGTCTCCAGAATGGCAGGCAGGATGGTGGTGCTAGGATGTTGTACCTCTGTCTGAGAGCATGCTGTGTTATTTCCTGCTTTATGTAACCATCTCCATAAATTTCTATGACTTTTGCCATGAAATAAAGTTGACATCCTCTAGCAGTGACTGATTGCCTCTTTGCATCAATCACAACACTGTCCATTGTGACAAGCAAGCAAGGAGAGACTAGCTCCAGATAGAAGCCAAGTAACCCAGATGCTCTTAATAGAAAAAATCTAAGGCTATTTTCATCAAAATACTTCCCCTGAATTAAGTAAGAGACGATATCCCTCCATGTGTTCTAGGGAAGTCTCTGAAACCCATTTCTCATTACACAGTTACATGGCTGTCAATATCTGTTTCATAACACAACTCAAACTAAGAGTACTTCTAAAATGGGATCCTTCTTGCCAACATCTCAACTTTGGTTCTGGGATACCATGGTTCAATTTATTTATTTCAACTAAAACTGTCTTAAAAACAAACAAAAACTCATCAGTTGTAGCACTGTATCAGTTCAGTTTCTCCAGAAAGCAAGTGCCAAAACAGAATTAGAAGTGTGAGAGATGTCCTGGGGGGAATTTCTGAGCAGGATAAAGGGGGAGGGAGCAGGAGTGGTTGGGGGGGCCTTCAGACCAGAAGGCAGGGCTGACCCCTGTGGAAGGAGAGAGAAAGGAAGGAAGGGTGGGTAGGGAGAGCCTCAGTCAGCAGCGCAGCTCTGAGAAAGTCTCAGCCAGGTTGATGGGGAGACCCAGAACACAGGCTGCCCATCAAAAGAGATTTCATATTAGGCTGGAATGACCCAACTCTACTTGCCCCCAGCCCCAGGCCACGCTCTGTCATCAAGTAGCAACAGCATGGCAAGGGTGGAATACTGCAGGGGACCTGAAGTTGTGGCAACTGGAGTGTCAGGCAATGGCTCTCCTCACGCAGGTTCTCTTCTGTAGGGTGATCCGTATGTGCACTTTCATGGCTGCCACAATCATCTGCATTATCCTTATTCCCAATGCTAATTTTTTATTTTGACAATCATTACCAACAAAGCATATTCTGGATTTCTACAAGCTTCAATATGTCAGGGGTCTTACTTACACTGTTTTCTCTCTCTGCCTCTCCTTTTCTCCTCTGTCAGGTTATCTTCTACTCAATCTTGAATAATTAGTCACATAATGCTTCTTTTATGACTTCTTCCATACCCCATTCCCTTTATGTCCCCCATAGATTTTGATGATGCTTCTAGTAAAGCATTTATAATATGTTCGTAAGGTGTTTGTATGTTCTATAGTGTTAGATGTAAAAACTCCTTTCGAAAAGAAAGCATGTTTTATTTTATTCTCATCCTTCTAATGCCATGGTTCCCAAACTGTATGCCTAAGTGCCCAAAAGTGCTGCAGAGAAGTCACAAGGGGTGTCCCGGGGTAATTTAAATTCTCAAGGAAAATAGAATGATACAGTATGAACTATGACTATTAAGGTACCTGGACCTAAGCACTTAATAAGCACTATTGCATATTTCCTTGGCCTAGTGTTGCCATGAAAAATCAATTGAGACACTAAGGTGCTAGGAGCTGAGAAAATTTGAAAAACTGTACTCTCAATGAGCACAGTACTTGGCACATAACATCTGTTTGGTAAATGACTTGACTACTGACTTTAGATAATTTACCTCACCTGTACACATTTATTTAGCACATACACTCTCTGTGCCAGGTATCACTCCAAGTACTTTATGTGCATTGTGTCATTTATCCTTCCAACAGCCCTGGGAGGTAATAATATTGTCCTCTTCATTGTAAAGATTTGGAAAATAACACATGGAGTAATGAAGTAAGTTTTACAAGCCCACACAAGTAAAACGTTGTATGTTTAAAAAGTGAATTCCAAAGCCACCACATACTACATATAATCTCCCAAAAGATTTTTAAAATAACAAATGATGAAGTTGATGGAAAATAATAAAATCGCATTCACTTTACTGCAGTATATAAAGTGACGTTTTCAGAGTTAAATAGAGGAATCCATTATTGAATATTTCTTCAACAACTATTCTGGAGTGTCTGCTGGGTGTAAAATACAACGAGGGATACAAAGATGAATAAAGAAATAGTTCTGAAACTGACAACTTTGAAGCAAAGTGATTTTCACAAGTTTCCTATTTTCAAGATACTTTGTAATTCTAGTATCAGTCTGCTAATGAACCTTTCCTCTTATGTCTACGTTTTCTCAGAGACATTCCTAGGAACTCAGTTTTGTCCCTTCAATTAGCTTCTTCAGACTGAGGTTGAAATTTTTACAATCTACGCCAGCAACTGAACCCACTTTACTCTGCGCAACTAAAAGGGAATCTTCTCTCCTTCCTCTCCTTCCTAATTTAAGAGGGGCTCCTAGTTGATAAATAAACAGCAGCAGAGGCCATAGGGATCCATGCATATTAAAAGTTGGTAAGCAGCAAGAAGGGGTAAGAGTTTTGCTGCTCTCAATTAGTAGGGATGGGAGTAACAGGAAAACAAGAGTTAGTCACTTTGTACAAGTAACTCATCAAGTAACCAATATCAGAATCATAAGAGGTCTTTTGAAATAGAGTCTGGAGCTTCACTTCTGACCCCCAAAATCCGAGTCTTGTCTGCCTTCCAAATGAGTCTCACACTCCCTAAAATTAAACTAGGCCAAATCCAGTACATTTGTACTAAAAATTCAGATTTTGCTATATGCTTATAGTCTGCAACTGGTTAAGGTCAAACTGTCGGCTACAAGTTTTATACTGTTCTGAGAGATAGGAAATCTGGTATCCAGTTAGATTCTTATGCTGATTCTGTGTTTAACCTAGAGCAAGTTACTTAACCAGACTGAGTCGGAGATTTCACTTGAGTCAAATGGCCATTTTACAACCTTGACGTTCTATGATTGTATTCTGCTGAACACAGTCACAAAATAATTTGAGAGGCTATTATTGGAGCCTTTAAAAACAGGAGAAGGTGTTATATAGATTATGTAAATAAAATAAGATAAACATAAAACTGAAAATATAGAAGAAAACTTTCAGAAGGTACAATTTTCAGCCCTGCATAAGCACGTATCCAAAGCCTTCTGGAATTCTGTATAAATAAATGTAAAATAAGGGACTTACTTTTATACTGAAATTACAATAATGCAAAAAAAACCAGACTGAGTTAATATCTATCTGGACAAATTGATGAATTCTATATTGTCTTATGTGATATATGTGATGTTATTAATATCAGTGAAGACATAGGATAAATTGAGGAATACAGTAAATAATTTTATCATTGTGTAATCATATTTCATTGCTTGATTATATTTCAAATCCATTTAAATTTTTGATGTAACAATGCCAATTTAACCTGTTACCACAAATATCAATGCAGTGCTGGTGATAGATAAGAAGATATAAACACTGGCTTTTCAAGTCTGTAATTCCTTTTCTTAGAACATTTCAAATCATCAGGAAAAGTAAACAACCAGATAGAGAAGGTTAATGTAAATTTCTAGCTGAGATTTCCAAGTGGAAATTAAGTTCTCCACTATCCTTCCTACCTTGGTGGTGGTGTGGAAGGTTGAAATGGAGGCCAATAAGTTGAAAAAATTAAGCCCTTTTAGAATCTACATTCTTAAAATGGAAGGCAGTTTTGGGGAATATGGCTGTGGAAACCACCTCTGAGAGTCTCTTGATGCTTTAAAAGTAGATGTAGAAAACTATAGATAAAAATCTGTCATGAACATAGAAGCAAAAACTTTTCACAAACTTGAGGCAAAAATCTTCAAAAATACCTTAACAAATTGAACCCAGCACTATATAAGAAGAACAGAAGCCACAAACAGATGAAGTTTATTCTAGAAATGCAAGGCTGATTTATTATTTGAAAAATTAATAAATGCAATATACTATATCAACTGAGTAAAAAAGAAAAATAACATTGGTCATATCAATCAATGCAGAAAAATATTTGATAAAATTCAATATCCATTTATTTTTTTTTTGAAACTTTCAGCAAAGTAGGAAAAATGGGGAACTTTTTCAGGTTGGTGAGGAAAATCTACAAAACATAAACAACAACAAACTATAGCTAATATTGTACTTAAAGGCGAAAGATTGATTTCCCCCAAAGATTGAAAACAAGGCAAGGTTGTTAACACTACCACTCATATTCAATATCATATAGAAAGATCTAGCTATTGCAATCAGACAAGAAGAGGAAATGAAGGCATGCAGATTGGATAGAAAGAATTAAATCCTATTTTCCAATGACACCATTGTCTGTGTACAAAACACCAAGTAATCTACAAAAATCTACAAAATAAAATCAAGGCTACACAAAATCTCCTAGAACTGATAAGTGACTTTGGGAAAGTCACTAGATATAGGCTGAACACACAAAAATCAATTGTATTCCTATATACTAACAACAAACTCATGGAAACCAAAATTAAAACCACAATCATTTATAATTGAATGAAAAAACAAAAAGGATATCTAACAAAACACATACAGGATCTGTGCACTGAAGGTACAAAATACTGAGGAAAGAAGGCAAAGAAGATCTTAATGAATGGAGAGACATATTATGTTCATGGATTAAAAGATTCACCATAGTAAAGATGTCAGTTTTCCCCAACTTGATCTGTAGGTTTATTGCAATTCCTATCAAAGTTTCAGGAAAGTTTTTTTTTTTTTCAAATATAGATAAGTATAGTCTAAAGTTTATATAAAGAGGCAAAGGAACTAGAATAGCTATTACAATTTTGACAAAGATTTAAGTGAGAGAAACCTGAGGTTATGACTTACTATATAGCTACAGCAATCAAGATAGTGTGTTATTGGAGAAGGAGTAGACACATAGATCAATGCAACAGAAAACAGAACCCAGAAATAGACCAACATAAATATACTCAATTGATTTTTGACAAAAGTATAAAAGCAATTCCATGAAGGAAGGATAGTTTTTTCAACAAATTGTGCTGGAACAATAGGACATCCATAGGCAAAAAACAACAACAACAACAACAAAAAAACCCACCTTGATCTAATTCTGTATCACACTGTACACAAAAATTAATTCAAAATGGATTATGAATTTAAATGTAAAAGATAAAACTATAAAATTTTTAGAAGAAAACATATCTTTGGGACATAATACTAGGCAAAAAGCTAGTGCTTAGATAAGACACCAAAAATATATTCCACTTTAAAAAATGTATAAATTGGACTTCATCAATATTAAAAACTTTTTTACTGTTTTGTAAAAACAGTACTGCAAAAGACCCTATTGTGAACATGAAAAGACAAGCTATTGACTGGAAGAAAATATTTGTAAATCTTATATCTGAAAAAGGTCTTATATCTAAAATATATAAATAACGCTCAAAACTCAACAGTTTGCTCTTTTACAAATAAATATAGATTTCAATTGCAAAATGGGAAAAAACACGAAAAATATTCTACAAAGAGAAGACACAGATGGACATAAACACAGGAAGTGTTCAAAATCATTATCTGTTAGGTAAATGCAAATTAAAATCACAATGAAATATCACTACACAACTTTTAGAAAGCTAAAATTAAAAACTAATGCTAATACTAAATGCTAACAAGGATGTGAAGAAACTAGATCTCCCATACATTGCTGGTTGGAATGTCAAATGGTACAGGCACTCTAGAAAATAGTTTGGTAGTTTCTTACAAAAGTAAACATGTGCTTACGTGACATAGCAATCACACTGTTGGACATGATCTCAGAGAAATGAAAATGTGTGTTCACACAAAAACCTATACATGAATATTCACAGTGGCTTTATTCATAGTAGTAAAATGCTACAAACAACTCAAATGTCCTTCAGTGAGAGAACGGTTGAAAAAAACTGTGGTACATGCATACACTGGAATACTACACAGCAATAAAGAGGAATGAACTAAAGATATATGCAACCCAATTGGAATTTACAGGCATTATGCTCAGTGAAGAATATCTCAAAGGTTGCATATGTATAATTCCATTTATAGACCATCCTTGAAATGACAAAACTATCAAAATGAATAACAGAGTAGTGGTTGTCAGGGGACAAGGATAGGAGTTGGGTGGGCTATGGGTGCAAATTCAAGAAGGTAGTGTGAGGGAGTTCTTTTGTGGTGATGGAACAGTTCTGTGTTTTGATTGTGTTGCTAGTTATACCAATATATACAAAAATCATATAGGAATATATATGCATACACACATACACATAAATAAATACAGATTTTAAAAATGGTGAAAATTGTAAAAGGTCTGTATTTTTTTTGTTAACAGCAATGTACCAATGTCCATTTTCTGGTTTGATATTGTGCTATACATCTATATGATGTCTCCATTGGGGGAAGCTGTGGAGGGGTACATGGGACCCTTTGTACTCTTTGAAATTTCCCATGAATTTGCTTTCAAAATAAAATGTTTTTAAAAAATGTAAATGTAATAAAATGAACTTTTCTTACACAAATACACATACCTGGCGTGTTTGTAGAGCCCCAGAGTTATTCACTCCCTAGAAAAAGTGAAGAACAGGTTCAGGTCACTGGTATCAGATGATCAAAAGACTCTCCATTATAATATGTACTCTGGGATCTGTACAAAATCAGCAAATCAATTTGGCAGAACTAGATCATGATTTAATATCAAGGCTCTTCATAACTACCTCTCAGTCTATCTTTCTAACCTCATCTCCATCCATTCACACACACAATATGACACGGGTAGATGAAATAGACTATTTGTTTTTCATCGAACAGAATGCATATTGTCAAAGCTCTGAGTTTTTCCTTCTTTCTTTTTCCAGGAAGGCCCTTTCCCTCATTCCCCACTAGTGAAATTCATGTGCATCCCTCTCAGAGGTCCTACCTTATTATAAGACCCCATCTTGGCCAGGCAAAATTATTTGCTTCCCCTTTACTGAAAAACTTACCACATTGTAAAAGAGAGTTGTTGGTTAGTTTGAACTTGTCCTTAAGAACATAAATTACCAGCGGGAGAGGACCTTATCTTGTTCATCCCTAAGATACAGTGCCTGGCAGGTATGCACAATAGATCTTTTGATGAAACTAATTTAATGTAATTAAAATTAAGACTGAAGAATTGTTGACTTTACCGGTTGGCACATGGGTAGGCTATGTGAATAAAAAGTTTAGAGATAATAAGAATGAAGAAATGGATCCTTTCTCTCTACAGAGATAAGCCAAAAGCTAATAAAAGTGAAAAACTCATTAATGGCCTGGATTAGACAAGACTTGGCACGAAAACAAGAAAGGAAGAAGGCCTTTGTAAAGAGAAAAATGAAGGTTAGTCTCATTCAATTAAAAGGGTTCATAATGTGTAGGTAGGAGGAAAGGAGAATCCCTGAGACATGGGGACATATCATGTTATTATCTCACTTGGAAAAATGTTAACTCATTGTTGGTTGTTTTTCCTTAATAAACAGACCAGTTGAGTCACAGAAACTGGAAAGAAAAAAACACTTAAGAGTTAAGAGAGAGGAGGAGTGGAAGAAAATATCCCCATGACAGATATTATAAGGATTTTGAGACGGACCTTAAAATGTAAGTGTGAGAGGTGGTGGTATGGAGAGGGCTTTTCTAGTGTAAGAAATAGTTGGGGCAAAGGCAAACATACAGGAAAGCCCAGCATGTTTTAAGCACATGGTAAGCACTCTAGTTTTACTGATACATTGGGAAATGGAGTAGTAGAATAAGAGACCAGTCATGCAGTGTGTCAGTTGAAAGAGATTTTACAGATTATTAAATCCAGCCCTCTCATTTTATACCTGGCAAAAAAAAACACAAAAAAAACAAAAAAAAACTGTTGTGCAGATTGTTGATGAGTCCTCAATCCCCCTCCCTCCCCCATATAGAACAGTTTTTGTCATCTCCAGAGGATGTAAGGGACCCTGAGAAAGGTACCTTGAAATCACTACCATCCCAATTCTATTAGCAACACTGCCAAAAGAGTGTCTTCCGCATCATTTCCTGGTTGAGGTGAAGTAGCAAAGGTGAAGCAATATGTAGCCACCAACACCGATTGATTTACATGATAAGTGACTGGGTCAGGGGGTAAAGAAAAAGAGATGATCAAAGAATATCCCAAATACTCAGGTTTACATATTGGCACAAAAGCAACCCCCCTCTTTTCTTTGCTTCCTCCGTTGAAGTCCATCCACGTCTTTACTCATTATCTACTAGTACTGTCCTGGATACAGACAGGGTCGCTGGAAATTCTTAACAGTGCTGCCTCCTCCAGGGATCACAACAGGCTTGATCACACTGGCCACCCGCTTTGTCATCAGTACCATCCTTCCTTATGTTTCATAATGTGAGTCTCTTTTTCCATGCATATACAAACTTTATTATGTTTCTGTGATTCACCTTTTGAAAAGAATCAGACATTTACTTTCCATTTTAACTTTGTAACTGGTGTTAAGTTGACCTCGGTTTTCACTATCATGGTACTTTGCCATTCAAGGGAAGCCTAGTCTGCACCAAAACTGAAACAAACACTACTTGTTTCTAAATTACTATTTAATTTTGAGCACACTAACATATTTTGTGGTCAGCTTTATCCCATATCATTTATTCTCCAACATAGTAATAGATAATATTGTCAATGAGATACAGGCTTGTAATATAATATTTTTAAAGTAGAGGCCACTACTATTTGGGCTCTGAATTAGGCTGCTTTGAAGCACTGCTTTCATTTCTACCAAAACCCAAAAATGATGCTATTTCTCAGGGCAGCTTTGCCATATTAGTGTGTCTCAGCAGCCTGAGAAAGGCAAGATTTTAATAAACTGACAGAGAAAAGTTTTTCTTTCGAATAAATATAGTAAAAATAATGTCTTGTATAAATATATGCTTGTCTTAAATATTTTAAGCCAGATTATCCACAAATTAAGTGCATGTAAACATCAAGAACATTTTAATTTTGTGACTTTGATACCAAATCATTTTTTAAAAAAGAAAATGTTAAGTCCTAGAATTTAGATATCTAGTCTCATATACATGGGATTAATGCATCAGTTATCTTAAGACTGACTGACATTTTCTCTGCTGTTTTCCAGCATGCCTTTGGGCTACTTCATTATGTTTTATAAACTCTTTTGCTATCAGTTTGACATACACATTTTATAGGCAAATTGGGTTATTTAAAATGGCAAAAAAATTGGCAAAAATAAATCTATACAAGATGAGATCAGTAAATACACCCAAGCAACTAAACTCTATGCAGATATTAAAAATAAATCAGCTAGCTGAACTTCCAGCAATGTTCTTTTCTTTCATTCATTCAAGAAATATTTACTGACACTCCATTTTGTGCCCAAAACTGTGGTATGTACTGACAATCACTGGTGAGCAAAACACTGTCCCTGTTCTTATGTAACTTCCTCTAAATTGACCAATAAATCATGTAAATATATAATCAAGATGTATAATAAATAAGTACCTTAGAAGGAAAGTATAAAATGATTTGGGAAAATATAACAGAGGTACCTGGTATCAACAGGGATAGAGAAGGCTTTTCTAAAGTAACTTTTAGGCTATAATAATGCTAATGAAAAAGTCTTTTAAAATTTGTTATATTTTTAATTGTGAAATCCTTCATGTTGGTCATTATTTTTGTGTGTGTGTTTGTTTTTCCCATTTGTTCCAAAATGCTCTGTGGAAACAAATCACTTATTACAGTCATGTGTCACTTAATGACAGGAATACATGCTTAACAATGTGGGTACTTTCTGAGCAATGTGTTGTTAGGCAATTTAATCACTGTGTAAACATCATGGAGTATTTACACAAACCTTCATGGTAATAGCCTACTACACACATAGGCCATATGGTATAGCCTATTGCTCCTAGACTACAAACCTGTACAGCATGTTACTGTAATAAGGTAGGCAACTGCAACACAATGGTATTTGTGTATCTAAACAGAGCTAAACACAGAAAAGGTATACTAAAAAGTCAGTATAAAAGATAAAAAATTGTACACCTGTATAGGGCATTTATCATGAATGGAGTTTGCAGGACTGGAAGTTGCTCTGGGTGAGTCAATGAGTGAGTGGTGAGTGAATGTGAAGGCCTAGGACATTACTGTACACTACTGTACACTTTATAAACACTATATACTTAGGCTGCACTAAATTTATAAAAAAAAGTTTCCTCTATAATTAACCTTAGCTTACTATAACATTTTTACTTTGTAAACTTAATTTTTTTAAATTTTTGACTCTTTGTGATAGTATTTAGCTTAAAACACAAACACATTGTACAGCTGTACAGAAATATTGTCTTATATCTTTACTCTATAAGTATTTTTTCTATTTTTAATTTTAACTTTTAAAAAATTTTTGTTAAAAACTAAGACACAAACACACACATTAGCCTAGGCCCACACGGAGTCAGAAAAAACAGAACTTTAAAGTTTATGAAATTGATTTAAGAATCTATCTAATGTGTATCCAAATAATTACAGAGTTTCTTCTGAATATTAAAGCCTAACAAAAGTTAGGAGGTTTGAAGCACACCTTTAACATTCAAAACTAGCACTTTAATACATGAGCCATCAAATCCCATGGCCCAAAATGCTTGATCTAGATTAATCTGGAAAATTTCTTCAAAAGATTATGTTCTTTATCAATAACGTATATAATTTACTGTATTAAACACATGTGCAAAAAAGTAACAATTTACTATAGAGAAAGGACATAGGCACAAGTTGAGTGCATTTAGAAAACACACGGATTTACAACCATTGCATTTAATACCAACTTGCTAAAACATGAAAGCTATGAAACTACCTTCTTTTTAACTAACACGAAACCTAGAGAAGTTAATTGATCATTCATTCAGTGAGTATTTATGGAGTGGGTGTATAAGCACTGTTCTAAATCTTCAATGACCATCCCACCTCCGAGCTTTTTTGAAGAATGACATTCTGTGCTTTAGAGGGATATTGGGAAGCCACTAACATAGTCTGCCCTTCATATTCAGTGGCCAATTTTAATGTTTTGTATTGTTATAGGCACCAATAAATACAGGCATCTGGGATTGTTGGGGTAGAACTGGGAACTTTCAGGTGAAGTGGGAGTCATTACTCTGAAACATTGTGAATTTAGAGGGAGCCATTGATAAACTATTCTGATGCTTCATGTGCTTGTAAGATGAGGTATCATTAGGAAAAGCCACATAAAGCTGTTGCAGCTGTTACATAAAAAGTGGAGATAATTTAATAGAAAATGTCATCCTTTGCAAAATGTTGATTGCCTTTTTTTTTTTTTCCATAAAGACTTCTCATCAGAGGGGCTCCAGCAGCTGCGAGAAGGCATCCCATCACCGATGTTCCAAGATATCCTGGCTTACAAAGCTCTCCATGTGCTGTTTGGCATCAAAAACATTCTGCCTCCTTTTCTTTTTTTCTTTCATACTCCACTATGGAATATGGAATGTTTTCTTTCTGTGAGGATAGAGCAAGGACTGGCTTCTTGACATAGGAAATTGACTATAAACAAGAAAAACATCTGCTGAAGTCATGAGGTGCTATTTTTCAGTATTCAGGATCAAGGAACCCTAAAGCTATAACAATTCTATAATTCTATAATGTTAAAGATTTCTCCTTAACAGATGGTAGTCATTACAAGTTACTGCAGGGCATAACTCTTCAAAGGCTAAGATGAAAATTTGTCCCATGCAAAAAAGAGAAGAGATTTGATGAAGAAAAGGCAGGGTCAAGTGATTTTTAAATCGTGTTAGAATTCTCCAACTCTTTTGAAAGTTCTATTTTCTCATAATTAGTTTTAGAAAGGTGACTTAGTCATAAATTTTACATCATAAAAATCACTGGGCTTCAGAAATGTAATAGCTACATGTCTTTACTGAATTCAAAATAATCCCATAACTCTTGTCAAATGCTTTTAGAATTTATTATCACTAAAAGGATAATGGTTTATGCTATTTCTGTATACAAAATGCTTCAAATTAAATATATCATGTAGTGACATGGTCCAAAACAATTGTCAGTGTCATGCACATATTGGGCTCATTAATTCATTTGTTCATTAATTCATTCCTTCTACAAGTATATATTGAGCATCTTTTATAATCCCAGGCATTGTTCTAGGTGCTGAAGATACGATTATGAACAAAAGAAACAAAAGTCTCTTTTTTCATAGAGCATACCACCACTCTGGAAACACATGCATACAGACACACACAGACACACATGCTAGTGTTAAATGAAGGAATAAGATACTTTTGGAGTTGCACAGTGTGGTAAACAGACTTTAAGGTGGCTCCAAAGATTCCTACCTCCTGGTATTCATGCCTTTGTGTAATCTTCTCCCCTTGAGTGTGGGCAGGACCTGTGGCTTTCTTTTAAGCAATCTAATGTAACAAAGATAATGGAATGTAGGTGATCCTATGTCCTTATTAGAATCTCCCTCCCTCTTTCCCTCTCTCTTTTTCTCTCTCTCTCTGTCTGTTGTTCAATCTCATTTTCTATCTCTCTCTCTCTCTGGCTTTGAAGAGGCAAGCTGTCATGAATCTTATAGCCTCAGGAGAAAGAATGCTGCCAATGACCTAAGGGAACTTGGGAGCTTATCCTTCCCCAGTTGAGCCTCTGATGAGAACTCAGTCCTGGTTGACACCTTGATTGCAGCTTTGTGAGACACTAAGCAAAGGACCCAGGTAAGCCATACATAGATTTCTGACCCACAGAAACTGTGAGATAATAAATACCTATTGTTGTAAGTTGCAAAGTTTGTAGTTGGTTATATGGCAGAGAAAAATATTAGAAACAGAATTGTCGTCATGCTTTTGGGCCATAGAGATAACTAACCCTCTAAAATAAAACACCTCAAAGGAATTTCTAGATAATTAGGCTATGTCTTCTGTGAAGGAATATTTTTAAGAGTATTACATCATTGGGTCAAATATTATTTTGTGTTAACATATTTAGCACACAAGTACTTATGGCCTGTACTAATCTGATGGACTGGGCCAACCATATAGGACCAGCCTTGTCTTTACCAAATGGACTAATTTATAAACAAGCCCATGCTAGTCCCATTTTTGCTCGCATACAATAAACCAGGACAATGGGCTCACTTAAATGACTTAAGTATAATTGTGCTTAATCTGTGTAGACCAATTTACCAAGAACTTTTACTAAACTTATATCATGTAACCTCATACTAAGTCAGTGAGAGGAGAATTTTCCTCAGCTTTTCAAGGAAACTGAGGCTGAGAGAAGTAACAAACTGCATAGTTAATAAGTGACAGGTGTGACTGAAGCCACCAAATGTCATCAGAAAATAATGCATGGCTCATTTCATTCCACCATGGCTATGACAGGTACCTGTATAGGAAATTAACTGCTCTGTGCTTGCAGTTTGCCCTGAGCCAACTGAGCCTATCAGAGCAGACTCTGAGCTGAAGCAGCTCCCTCCTCACTTTTTTACAGGAAATGTAAGCCAGCATCAATACTTTCTTTTCCATCAGAAACAGCTATAAGCAGCATCCGAACAAAAGGGAATGAACAAAACGGAATATATTCTCCTTAGAGTAACTAAGATAGTAAAAAACATTAGCTATATTAGAGGCACTGTGCCAGGTACTGGGAATAGAAAAACGGGTAAGAACTCGCCTCTCCTCCTTCCACCACCATCACTAAGAGCTATTAGTGTGGGAGACAGAACTTACATCATTTCAGCTTGATCCGTTCAGTCCTGAGAGAGGGGTCTGACTGCAAGACCACTATGGTACCGCAGTGGACCAATGGCTCTACCCTTGGCTTTCAGAGAAGTTTTCTGAGAGGAGAAGGAGCCTTAATGGAGGTCTGCAAAGCCAAGTAAAGTTTTAATTATGTGTTCCAAGCAAAGGAAATTAGTAGGCAACTTAGAGAAGCAAAAAGCAACTTGCAATGTACAGGAACTCTCAGCAGTTGAGTGTGAATAATAAATGAAGCATAGGGCATGAAGTAGCCAGAGAGTCAGCAATAAAATTTATAGATTAAATTGCATGTGTGCCTACTATATGGAAGACTGGTAAGAACCTTAAAGACAATCATTTAATTCTAACAACTGAGGTAAGCACCGTTAGGATCCTCATTTTCCGGATGAAGAAAATGAGGCTCAGAAAGGCAAGTAACTCATACAAGTTCTCACAGCTAACAGCTGTCTGAGTTGACATTTGAACTTCAGGGTCTCAGAAAACGATACCCCAAAATGAAGTCCTCAGAAGCATCTTTCTTGCTTCTCTTACCCTCTTGCTCTGGCCTTCATTTTCCCCTGAAGTAGCCATAGAAACTAGAATTCCTCTTCCCTAAGCTGGGCCATAGAAGTCAGAACCCCTTTTCCCCAGAACCAGCCATAAAACCTAAAATTATTACTCTAATTCCCCACCACCACCCACCTCTTCCTTTGTGTGTAAAAACTGTCTATAAAGAAATTATCTGATTCTACCCCCTTTATCATTTTTTATTGCATCTATTTGATTCTTCTCTCTTTTCTTCTTTATTAGTCTTGCTAGCAGTCTATCAGTTTTGTTGATCTTTTCAAAAACAAGAAATGGGGAAAGGATTCCCTATTTAATAAATGGTGCTGGGAAAACTGGCTAGCCATATGTAGAAAGCTGAAACTGGATCCCTTCCTTACACCTTATACAAAAATTAATTCAAGATGGATTAAAGACTTAAATGTTAGACCCAAAACCATAAAAACCCTAGAAGAAAATCTAGGCAATACCATTCAGGACATAGGCATGGGCAAGGACTTCATGTCTAAAACACCAAAAGCAATGGCAACAAAAGCCAAAATTGACAAATGGGATCTAATTAAACTAAAGAGCTTCTGCACAGCAAAAGAAACTACCATCAGAGTGAACAGGCAACCTACAGAATGGGAGAAAATTTTTGCAATCTGCCCATCTGACAAAGGGCTAATATCCAGAATCTACAAAGAACTTAAACAAATTTACAAGAAAAAATCAAACAACCACATCAAAAAGTGGGTGAAGGATATGAACAGACATTTCTCAAAAGAAGACATTTATGCAGCCAACAGACACATGAAAAAATGCTCATCATCACTGGCCATCAGAGAAATGCAAATCAAAACCACAATGGGATACCATCTCACACCAGTTAGAATGGTGATCATTAAAATGTCAGGAAACAACAGGTGCTGGAGAGGATGTGGAGAAATAGGAACACATTTACACTGTTGGTGGGACTGTAAACTAGTTCAACCATTGTGGAAGACAGTGTGGCGATTCCTCAAGGATCTAGAACTAGAAATACCATTTGACCCAGCCATCCCATTACTAGGTATGTACCCAAAGGATTATAAATCATGCTGCTATCAAGACACATGCACATGTAGGTTTATTGCGGTACTATTCACAATAGCAAAGACTTGGAACCAACTCAACTGTCCATCAATGATAGACTGGATTAAGAAAATGTGGCACATATACACCATGGAATACTATGCAGCCATAAAAAAGGATGAGTTCATGTCCTTTGTAGGGACACATATGAAGCTGGAAACCATCATTCTCAGAAAACTATCACAAGGACAGAAACAAATACCACATGTTCTCACTCATAGGTGGGAACTGAACAATGAGAACACTTGGACACAGGATGGGGAACATCACACACTGGGGCCTGTCGTGGGGTGGGGGGAGGGGGGAGGGTTAGCATTAAGAGATATACCTAATGTAAATGACAAGTTAATGCATGCAGCACACCAACATGGCACATGTATACATATGTAACAAACCTGCACAATGTGCACATGTACCCTAGAACTTAAAGTATAATAATAAAAATAAAAATAAAAAAAAGAAATTATCTGATTTACCTTGTTTAATTGTAGGTCATAAGAGCCCTAATCAAGAGAGGGTTCTGTCCCACACCCAGAAGGAAAGAATGTTGCTCAAAGAGGCCAAGAAGAATCCAGACAGAAAGGACGTGCTGGGTTTCCCCACTCAGTCTGTTGGCATTAGATCATACCTTTTGTCCAATTATATTTCTACAAAGCTATCCATACTTTGTTGAACCTAAGCATAAAAATGGACAGTTTTCCCTGTATCTTTGGGTCTTTATTCTGATGGCTCCCATGTCATGTAAAAAACTATGATCAAATAAATATGTAAGTCTTTTCTCCTATTAATCTGCCTTTTGTCAGTGATTTTCAGCAAAACTTCAGACAGCAATGGGAAAGTTTTCCTTTGACCGCTACAGAACCTACATAATTCCAAACTCTTAGCTAAGTCGCATACTGCTGTTCTTCCAGGTATGAGACAGGTCCGAAGAACATTGTACTTAATTTAGCCAATAGCAGGGGTCAGAATTTTTTTTTTTTTTGTAAAAGACAAGATTATAAATATTTTAGGCTTTGTGGTCCATATGGTCTCTGTTGCAACTACTCGATTGTGCTGTTATAGCAAGAAAATAATCATAGACAATACATAAATGAATGAGCATGGCTGTGATCCAATAAAACTCTGTGTACAAGATACAGGCATCAGAATGGATCTGGCCCTTAGGTGATAGTTTACCAACTCCTGACCAATAGAAAACTATTGAAGGGTTTAAGCAAGAAATGACATGATCAATTTTGGATAGCACTGCTCTAAACAGTCTGATTCATGCCAGAAACATCAACAGGGCATCCAAGTTTGGATTGGATGAAATGGCTGCTTCTAGCAAGTGTCAACAACTGAGACTCTATCATGTCTTTTTATACTTTCACTTGTCCCTCATTTCTTTATTTGTCAAATATTTACTTGATGAATTGTGTTAGTCTGTTCTCACACTGCTAATAAAGACATACCCAAGTCTTGGTAATTTATAAAGGAAAGAGTTTTAATTGACTCCCGTTCAGCACGGCTGGGGAGGCCTCAGGAAACTTAGAATCATGGCAGAAGGGGAAGCAAACACGTCCTTCTTCACATGGTGGCAGCAAGGAGAAGTGCTGAGCAAAAGTGGGGAAAGCCCCTTGTAAAACCACCAAATCTTGTGAGAACTCACTCACTATCATGAGAAGACCAGCATGAGGATAACTGCCCCCATGATTAAATTACCTCCCACCAGGTCCCTCCCATGACACGTGGGAATTATGGGAACTACAGTTCAAGATGAGATTGGGTGGAGACACAGCCAAACCATATAATGAATATTCATCAAATATTTATTCACAATAAATATATATCAAATATTCATCAAATAATATTAATCACTATGTTTCAGGCACTGTTTAGGTATTAGGGATATAATGACAAACAAAAGTAAAGTCACTTCTCTAATGATGCTTGCATTCTAGTGAGAGGAAGATAGATAAACATGTATATACACACACATAAAGCTATACAATAGGTTATAAGTGCTATAGAGAAACACAAATTAGGAATAAACAGTACTTGGAGGGTTAATTTTACATGAAGTGCTTAGGAAAAGTCACTCTGCTAATGAGACATTTTTACAAAGATGTGAATGAAATAAGGGAGTGAATCATGTGGATATACATGGGACAAACAAATATAAAATCCAGTGGTGTGAGTATTCCTGGAGCATTTGAAATGCAACAAGTATGTCAGTGTGGCTCCAATTAGCAAGTAAGGCATCATAGGAGATGAGGCCAGAAAAGTATCCAGGGGCCAGATCAGAATCAGATCAGGCCAGTTGCAGTGGCTCATGCCTGTAATCCCAGCACTTTGGGAGGCCAAGGTGGATGGATCACTTGAGGCCAGGAGTTCAAGACCAGCCTGGCCAAGAGGGTGAAACCCCATGTCTACTAAAAATATAAAAATTAGCCTGGCATGGTGGCACACACCTATAATCCCAGCTACTTGGGAGGCTGAGGCGTGAGAATCTCTTGAGTTTGGAAGGTGGAGGTTGCAGTGAGCTGAGAGTGCACCACTGCACTTCAGCCTGGGCAATAAAGCGAGGCTCTGTCTCAAAAAAAAAAAAAAAAAAAGAAAAATCAGAAGATCAAAAGAGGATATTTAAAGGATCTGGGGTCTGGTTTAAGGTGTGGATTTCAGTGTGGTATCCTGATCAAGACTGAGCAGTTTGTAACATAATGGTTTAAGATTGGTAGACACAAGGTCTTGAAGCACGCCTTGGTAAATAAACCGTTTAATATATAAATTGTTTTTCAGGAGAGCAGGCTGTTGTCTCAGATAAAGTGACTTGTAGGAATTTCCTGAAGCGAAGACTGAAACTATTTATTGGTTTGCAGTTTTATCATCCCTGGGAAAGGTTTTTTTTGGAACAAATAACTAAGTCATGTTGACACAGATGATCTTAGCTCTTAGTCCTAATTGCTGTGTCATATTGATATAGTTGGATGCATTTCTCACATATTGCATCATGATATGTACAAGTGATTGTCTTAGTCTGTTTGTGTTGCTATAGTAGAAAACCACCGACTAATAGACTGAGTAATTTATAGCAAATAGAAATGTATTGGCTCCCAGTTCTGGAGGCTGGGAAGTCCAATAACAATGTGCCACCATTTGGCAAGGGTCTTCTTGCTGCACCATCACATGGAAGAAGGGAAAAGAGAAAGAAGAGGGCCAAACTTGCCCTTGTATGAAAGGTATTAGTCCTACTTACGAGGGCAGAGCTCACATGCCCTAATCACTTCTTTAAAGTTTCATCTCTTAATACTGTAACAGTGGCAGTTAAATTGCCATATGAGTTTTGGAGGGAACAAACATTCAAACCATAGCAGGTACATTTCAAAGTACAAGGAAGAGACTCCAGTGCTAATACACTGAGCACCTATGTGAGGTCTTTTCCAAGCATCATCTAATTTAGTCTTTACAACATTCTTATATGGTAGGTACTAGGTTCAAAGATTCTACCTGAGAAAACTGAGGATCTGAGAGTTAACATGCCTGTCATAGTCCATTAATCTTGCTATAACAAAATACCACAGACTGGGTAATCTATAAATAATAAAAATTTATTTCTCACAATTCTGGAGGCTGGGAAGTCCAAGATCAAGATGCCAGCAGATTCAGTGTTAGGTGAGTGTTGCTCTCTCTGTGTCCAAGATGGTGCCTTCTTGCTGAAGCCACATGTGGCAGAGAGCAAAATGCAAAAGGACCTAGCTTGTTCCTTCCAGTCCTTTTACAAGGCACTAATCCATTCATGAGGGCAAAGCTCTCATGGCCTAAGAAACTTTCAAAGGCCAAACATCTTAACACTGTTACATTGGGGATTATGTTTCAACATAAATTTTGGAGGGCACACAAACATTCAAACCATAGCAATGCCCAAAGTCACATAATTAGAAAGTGACATAACCAGAATTAAAATCCAAGTCATTTTTTTTCTCCAAAGTTCATATACTTAGCCACTGTAAGACACGGCCTCCTATGAACCAAAACAATACGCAGTGTATTTTCAATCTTCAAAGGAAACTTGTCTGAAATTATGGGAAACTTCTTAGTCCTGGTGATAGTTGCAGGAGGCAGCTAAGGGAGGATCCCTGGAGAATCTCCCAACCACCCCACAAGTGTTTACATCAGATGCTTTTATGCACATGAGAGAACCTGCCCAGGCCCTTGTCTGGACATGCCCACAATGGACTGGGGGCCGGCCTGCTCACTGGAAGCATGGGGTGGAGCCACTGGGGATTCGTTCCTTATGCAGTGGGGAGGAGCGTGGCCTCTTCAGGTTGTGTGTGTGGTGGCCTGGCATTCAATCTGTGAGGTGGATGCGTGTTGGAAGGACCCCTTTTGGTTTCTTTTTGCTCAGAGCTTTCTTTTAATAAATTCCGCTCTCCTCACCTTTCAATGTGTCCGTATGCCTAATTTTTCCTGGTCCTGTGACAAGAACCTGATTTTAGCTGAACTAAGGAGCGAAAGATCCTGGATCATTTTGGTGACCCATACTGGTACATGAGGAAAGGTGAGTAAAATGCAGACCAAAAAATGTTTGTCCCTTTTGTTTCTGAGACTTTTTGTCCTTGGACTTCTTCTGAGGGTAAACTGTGCCCCACCTCGTTGCTCTCAGGGGTCAGCAGTGTCAGTCTCAGTCCAATCCAGAATTTCTATGGCATTTTCCTTCTTTTTTTGAGACTGTACTGGCACCTATCCTTTCTTTTACAATATTGGGGGTGTTTCACCCCCACCCCAATGGCTGCAGGCATGACTCCCTGCTCCCCTCCCCTCCCAGGTGGGGCTGGAGCACATGGCCCAAGGCCCCCACGTGGCAGGCTGGCCAGTGTTCCCCACCACACGTCCATGATGTCTTCCCCTCACCTGGCCTCCCCTCCCCTAGCTGAGGGGTCCAGCTCTGAGCCCCAGGGAAGAAACAGCAATTAAGTTTTTCTCCCTGTTGGAAGAAACCATTTACATAAGAACAAGCAGTTCTTTCCCCAGGCATCTTTCTGATATGATTTGGCTGTGCCCCACCAAAATCTCATCTTGGATTGTAGTTCCCATAATACCCAAGTGTTGTGGGTGGGACCCTGTGGGAGATAATTGAATCATGAGGGCAGTTTCTCCCATACTGGCCTCATGGTAGTAAATAAGTCTCACAACATCTGATGGTTTTAAAAGGGGAAACTCCTTTCACCTGATTCTCATTTTCTCTTGCCGCCACCATGTAAGAGGTGCTTTTCACTTTCTGCCATGATTGTAAGGCCTCCCCAACCACATAGAACTGTGAATCCATTAAGCCTATTTTTCTTCCCAGTCTTGGATATGTCTTTATCAGCAGTGTGAAAACAGACTAATACACTTTCCAACTCTGCACTTTAAGCTGTTTTTTTCTTTTCTCCACTAGGCCAGGCATTAACTTTTATGTGACAGGCTTTTTTATTTTCCTTTTAGAAGACGTTTGACTAGGCCAGGATCCCAACTATCACTGTTTATATTCTCTGTAAAGTTTTAATTATATTTAAAAAAAAAAAGGATTTTTGAGGTTGGTCTTAAGCTATACTCAATCTGGTGTGTTTTGCATATTTTTCTTTATGGTTCTGTCGGAAAGAGGGGTACCTTAGAATGGGATGTAGGCCTAGGATTACATAGGTCCACTGTTCAAGCCCAGCAAACTGGTCAGTAGCAAACTTTGCTGAAGGCCTCCATCTTGTTTTAAATTATTGGGAGTGTGACCTGTAACCACATGGCAATGCTTTGTTTCAGCCTCCACCATTTACAGCGGTGGCCCAGGTTCAATCCTGGCTTAGGGAATGAGTCCTTTCTGGTTTGATATCTGTGTGACCTTTGCCATTTGTCAATTCTCTTCCCCTCCATGAACCACCTTGTATTTTCCTTTCTTGGAGTAGTTGGGAGGTTACCTTTGGTAAAGTTCAAAAGCCAGAAATATTGGCCACTTGGCATGGCTAAAGTCGGGTAATAAGGGACTTAAAAGGATTTTCTTAAAGAGCACTCAGCTTAATTAAAAGTGGATATCCAAGTTATGGGTATATTTAAAAGGACTTTATGGTTTTCTCTTCTTGGATCTTGTTTTGCTGGGAAAAGGTTTTTTTCTCAGTCGACTGAACTCCATTTTGCCTTGCCACTCTTACTGAATGCATGAGAGGTTCTAAGATAATTTCTGATGGCCTGGGACTCTTGGGAAAAACAGAAAAGGTACCACAGATTCAATTTTTAGAGACACCTGTTTTCCTTATGGAGTGCCAGGAATTAGAGGTGTATAGATCCCTCCCAAAATCTGTTTTTGTCTTCCAGCTACACTTGTTTATTAGACCCTAGAAACTACATGCTTTCCTAGCCTTGCTCTTAAAGGGCTCCACCCAGAAGCCAATAATGCAATTAGGAGATTGGCAAAGGAAAAATTTTATAGCTACTGGATCTTCTTCTGCCTGTCTGTGTGGTTATACATGTGTTGTGTGTGTGATGTCTATAAAAAAGAGCTCTAATTAATTGACTTAAAGAAGGATGAGCGCTTGGATGAAATATTTTTGAAAGGGAAGATAAAAGCTACGGTACTTTTTAGTTCATGTGACTTTAATCTTTCAGAAATAAAAACAGCCCAAAAGATTATTGGTAAAATGCAGATGTTGTCAAAATGTAAATTTCTGCCTAGGTGTATCACATTTATTGACTTGTGTATGTTAAACCATCACCATCCCTGCATCTCTGGTATGAAACCCAGTTAATGATGGTGGATTATCTTTTTGATATGTTGTTGGATTCAGTTAGCTAGTATTTTGTTAGGGATTTTAGTGTCTATGTTCATCAGGGATATCAATCTGCACTTTTCTTTTTTGGTTATGTCCTTTCCTGGTTTTGGTATTAGGGTTATGCTGGCTTCATAGAATGAATTAGTAAGGGTTCCCTCTTACTCTGTCTTGTGGAATAGTGTCAAAAAGATTGGTACCAATTCTTCTTTGAATGTCTGGTAGAATTCTGCTGTGAATCTGTCTGGTCCTGGACTTTTTTTGTTGATAATTGTTTAATTACCATTCCAATCTTGCTGCTTGTTATTGTTGTGTTCAGGGTATCTAATTCTTCCTGATTTAAGCTGGGAGGGTTGTATTTTTCCAGGAATGTATCCATCTCTTCTAGGTTTTCAAGTTTATGTGTGTAAAGGTGTTCATAGTAGCCTTGGATGATCTTTTGGATTTCTGTGGTGTCAGTTGTAATAGCTCCCATTTCGTTTATTATTGAGGTTATTTGGATTTTCTCTCTTCTTTTCTTGGTTAAGCTTGCTAATTGTCTATCAATTTTATTTATCTGTTCAAAAAATGAGCCTTTTGCTTCATTAATCTTTGGGGGTTTTTTTTGTTTGTTTCAATTTCATTTAGTTCTGCTCTGATTTGGTTATTTCCTTTATTCTGCTAGGTTTGGGTTTGGTTTGTTCTTGTTTCTCTAGATCCTTGAGGTGTGACCTTAGAATGTCAGTTTGTGCCCTTTCAGTCTTTTTGATGCAGGCATTTATAGCTATGAACTTTCCTCTTAGCACCGCCTTTGCTGTATCCCAAAAGTTTTGATAGGTTGTGTCACTATTGTCGTTCAGTTCGAAGAATTTTTTAGTTTGCATCTTGATTTTGTTTTTGACCCAATGATCATTCAGGAGCAGGTTATTTAATTTCCATGTATTTGCATGGTTTTGAAGGTTCCCTTTGGAGTTGATTTCCAGTTTTATTCCACTGTGCTCTGAGAGAGTGCTTGGTATAATTTCAATTTTCTTAAATCTATTAGGCTCATTTTGTGGCCTATCGTATGGTCTATCTTGGAGAAAGTTCCATGTGCTGTTGAATAGAATGTGTATTCTGCAGTTATTGGATAAAATGTTCTGTATATATTTGTTAACGTCCATTTGTTTCAAGGTATAGTTTAAACCCATTGTTTCTTTATTGATTTTCTGTCTTGATGACCTGTCTAGTGCTGGCAGTGGGGTATTGAAATCCCCCACTATTAATCTGTTGCTGTCTATCTCATTTCTTAGGTCTACTAGTAATTGTTTTATAAATTTGGGAGCTCCAGTGTTACGTGCATATATGTTTAGGATTATATTTTCCTGTTGGACAAGGCCTTTTACCATTATATAATATCCCTCATTGTCTTTTTTAACTGCTGTTACTTTAAAGTTTGTTTTGTCTGAAATAAGAATAGCTACTCCTGCTTGCTTTTAAAGTTCATTTGCATGAAATGCCTTTTTTCCACCCCTCATCCTGGGTTGTAAATTCCCTTTTTCCTTGTTATATTTGAAGTTGAGCCCAATCTCTCTCCCCAAATGCAAAACCCCATTACAGTGGTCCCTATACCTATTGCAACAGTTCTGACTATAGTCTGCCTCACTGTTCTTTAACAAGTGTCATGAATAATTTTTATTTAACAATAATAAAATAATACAACATAATAATATATTTTATCTTTAGAATGTGCTAAAAACTTTATATACTTAACTCCTTTAATCTTCACCTTCATCCAGTAGGATAGTCATTATTGTTAGTTATCCCCACTATCCAGATAAGGAAGCTGAGGCACTGAGCTTTTAGGTACCTCACCTGGGTCACATAGCTAACAATAACAACAACAACAAAACCTCAAATGGACGTCTGCCAAGGCTCAATGCTACGCCTTCAAAACATTAAGCCAGGTGTTATTCAGACATAAAATAATCAGAAACGGAGGTTCCACCCATAGATATTCAACAAGTTCAAACAAACAGCTGCACTGAACCATTTTTACCTCTAAAAGTGTGGATCACAGGGGCATCTGAACCCTGCATTTCAAGTACAGTTTACAAATGATTTCACCAAGGGTTTTCTAATCTGAATAAAGGAAGACAAGGAAGCTGGGATAAAACACAAAACTTAAATTTAGTAAAAGGGCCACAAAAGGATGCTGTTGAATCCCTGTGGGGTTTCTTTGTGGGTGTCTGAAAATGGGAAGGAGATAGAAGGCAGAAGGGAGCTCTGTGTGTGATATAAATGACCACAACTCAATGTTTAGGAAGACATTCTAAAGGGAGAAACTTCCTCCTGTAGGACAAAAGAGGATAACAATAATAGCAAACATTAATTGAGTGCTTAATGCATGCCAGGCACCAAGCATGGTTCTAAGTGTTATTGTTTTTTAATCATTACATGATTTGGTCTGATTTGATCTTCACGACAACTCTATAAGGCATATTTTGAGAAATTAGCCCTGTCTTGTATGGAGAAACACAATGTAAGCTCAAAGGGAAATAATCTGAAAGGACAACTGCTGCATTTACACAAAACAATATTAGGAAAATAAAGATTAATGGCTCTTGCCTATAGATTTCTATTTGTACAATTGCAGGAGAAAAAGGTTTTAAAATTTACCCAAATAAAACTGTACCTATTAGTTTGCAGTTAATTATTGAAAATGAAAGACGATTATATCACACTCTTCCCCAACTCTTCAAATTGGATAGCATTTCTATAAAATGAGTGTTTAGAGATTTCTAAAATAAAAACAATACAATAGAGGAACAACAAAGAAAAACACCTCAAGGTATCTGAATTGTTTCCGGATAAATGAATGTGTTTTTAAGAAATATTCAAGCAAATATTGAAAATAATTCAAGCAGAGAGAGAGAGAAAGAGAGAAATGATATATTTTCTTCTTATAACTATAAATGTGTTATATATGTATAGTGTAGGAGTCCAGAATATGCCACCCCAAAATATGCCTCTTTGGCATAAGGACTATTTTCAGTTGATTATTCTAAGAAACTACAGACACAGGAGAAGCTCTAAAAACAGAGAAGTTACCCTTTTGTAAGAGAAATTCACATCTATTAAAAAAAAACTCCATTTGTAAGGGTGTCTCCCACTCCATACCAGAAAGAAAAGGCTTACTCTAAATCACTAGAAACTCTTATCAGTGGAGAAGGTACCTGCTTAAATTTGCATAAAAAATGTTACCCTTGTTTACCATGCTTTTTCTAGTCACATTCCCATAACTGCTTCCCCTCCACACCCTTCTTTCTTTGTTTCAACTGAAGATAGTATTTAAGCCTGAATTCAAAGCCATTTTTTTGAGATTTACTTTTTGCTCTCAGTATCTCCCAATGTATACATAAGACATACATGTTAATAAACTTTTTTGTTTTTCTCTTGTTAATCTGTCTTTTGTTACGGGGGTCTATCCCAACTAAGAACTATGAAGCATAGTGGTAAAAATATTTTTTTCCTCCCCTACAATAAAATGATCTCTTTAGGTTACATTGAAAAACTGAGGTGAAGAGATATTCTTCCCATATTAAATCAATCACCATAGACCTTCAAAAGAAAAAATATAAATGGAAGAAAGTTTTATTTTTAATGAAATAAGGAAGGAGCCACACAACAAACTATAACCAAAAAGAATATGTTGGAGCTCAAAAACTGATACCTCAAAATATGACATTTGGTTATGGTGAACTGAAGAAGCTTTAAGGTCCCTCTGACTTTCCTCACTTCCCATAATAGTCTCTCTTAAAGCATAAGATATGCCGGGCACGGTGGCTCACGCCTGTAATCCCAGCATTTTGGGAGTCCGAGGCGGGCGGATCACTTGAGGTCGGGAGTTCAAGAACAGCCTGACCAACATGAAGTAACCCCATCTCTACTAAAAATACAAAATTAGTCGGGCGTGTTGGCGCATGCCTGTAATCCCAGCTACTTGGGAGGCTGAGGCAGGAGAATCACTTGAACCTGGGAGGCAGAGGTTGTGGTGAGCCGAGATCGCGCCATTGCACTCCAGCCTGGGCGACAAGAGTGAAACTCCGTCTCAAAAAATAAAAAGTATAGGATAAAGTTGTTCTCTGAAGTTCCTTTATCTGCCTAAAGTCTGAACTCACCAAGGAAAACAATAGATTTTTCTTCCCCTCCCTGTTATCTCATTACCTATTGCAGAAAAGAAGACCAAGAATGTAACCACACCTGAACAGACTCTATAAGATAATGTCTGTCTCTTAGACTCATTCACATTCTAAAGAGAACCACTTACCAGGTAATCTCTGTTCCCCAACCATTCATTCTCTCTAGTAATCCTTTACTGCTCCTCAATAGAATTTCTCTTGTTTTGCAAGGATCCAAGCTCCCATTCTTTCTGTAACTTTAAGATGGTATATAAGGGCCTGATGTGGTGGCTCACCCCTGTAATCTAAGCACTTTGGGAGGTCGAGGTGAGATTGCTTAAGGCCAGTTCAAGACCAGCCTGGGCAACATAGTCTGACCCTGTCTCTACAAAAAAGATAAAAGAAATAGCCAGGCATGGTGGCATGTGCCTGTAGTCCCAGCTACCTGGGAGGCTGAGCAGGAGGATAGCTTGACCTACAAGTTGGAGGCTATAATGAGCTATGATCACATCACTGCATTACAGTCTGAGTGACAGAGCAAAACCCCATCTCTAAAAATAAATGAATACATTTTAAAAGATAAGCTTATATAAGCTTCTATACTTCACTGGGGGATTGGATCTTCATTCTGAAGGCTCCCTTGTATACACGTTAAATAAATATGTATACCTATTCTATTAATCAATATGCCTTATGCCAGTGATTTTTAGGGAACCTTCAGTGGGCCAAGGGCCTTGCCCCCTACAAATACCAACCAAATGCAGTGGAACTGAAACCTAAACAGGGATAGATTCCAAGATAGACCTAAAATTCTCCACATATTAAAGAGCATTGTTAAGTATCAATGATATACCATATACCAAGAAATATTCTAAGTGGTAACTAATTTAATCCTGACAACCCTGTGAGATAGGTAATATTATTTTCCCCATTTACAAGCAATGAAACAGAGGCATAGAGAAGGTAAGTAACTTGCCCAAGATCACAAAACTACTGGTTATTAAAACTGAAGTTTGAACTCTGGAACTTGAATAGAGCACAGAGCTCTCCAAAAAGAAGTGGCAGAAAAATCCCTCACTTAACAAAGAAAGTTCTAATATAAGGCTGGGCTGGACTGAGAGTGCCTCCTTGAAGCCACTCCAACACAGAGCGGCAAGGGAGGCAGCCTTGAACAAAAAAAGTCCCAGAAAAAACAGGTGGTCAGTATGGCAGAAAGAGGCTGGGGGTGGGGGACGGCAACCAATTCGTAGCTGTTAATCTTTGTCAGGAGAAGAAGAGCAAGTGCCAAGTCATCACTCAAGAAGCCTGTGGCACATGGGGCTTTACTGCAAGACTATCAGGCCAGTCTTGTCAGACTGTACTGCAAAATCCATGTAAACCATCTCTGAGACTCTTGATTTAAATCCAAGCAAGCTGAAACCTCATGTTCCCTTAACCACACAATTTTTTTTTTAGCAAATAAATGATCTATAAGAAATGTCTTACAGAATATTTTGAAGATAGTTTTTATAACATTAGGCTGAGGATGCGTTACTGACAATTCATAGAGTTGGTTTGGCCTTAGAAAATAAGGTGGTGGGGAGAGAAAACAGTAGAGGGATCCCTCCTTCACTCCTTTAGCCAAAATAAATTCCAAAGATGTGAAATGTTTAAATATAACGAAATGAAATTTTTAAAACCCTAGAAGATACCATGAAAGATTTTAAACGATAAATTTAGGATGTTTGATCAAAAAAGCTTAGAGACCTCTACAATGTCAGTTAAAAAGAAAAGCATATGTCCCCTTCCCCAGTGCATCTGTTTCTTTAGTGTATTTATTATACATATATATATAAAATATATGAAACATGGATTTATTTATACAATTATAAATAGTCACTCACCACACTCTAACATTTACGTATCTATATACAGCTATATAGATATAAAGATATAGATAGATATAAATGTAATCCTCACGACTCTAAGAGGCACACGTTTAGAAACAAGCTGCTCTGTCTTTAAAGAGTTAATGTGTAATAATGCTAAACTACAAATAATGCTTCCTTTCATCCTATATAATGTATATATAGTCATGCATCACTTAATGAGGAGGATATATTCTGAGAAATGCATTGTTAGGCAATTTTGTTGTTGTGCAAACATCAGAGAGTGCACTTACACAAACCTAGATGGGATAGCCTACTAGACACCTAGGCTATATGGTATAGCATGTTGCTTCTAGGCTATGAACCTATACAGTACATTACTTTAGTGAATACTGTAGGAAATTGCTACAAAATGGTAAACACTTGTGTATCTAAACCTAGAAAAGGTACAGTAAAAATATGGTATTATAATATTATGGGATCATCATCAATATATGCAAAACTATTGTTGCCTGAAATGTTATGTTGTACATAACTGTATATATGTATATATACAGTCCTCCCTCACTGTCCATGGGAGATTGGCTCCAGGACTTCCTTTAAATACCAAAATTCATGGATGCTCAAGTCCCTGATGTAAAATGCCTTAGTATTTATGTGTAACCTATGCACATCTCCCCACATACTTTAAATCATCTGTAGATTGCTTATAATACCTAATATAATGTGCTATAAAAACAGTTGTTTTATTATATTGCTTATAAAATAATGACAAGAAAAAATGTCTTTACGGACCCAATTAAAAAAAAATTCTATCTGTGGTTGTTTGAATTCATGGGTGCATTACCCACAGATACAGAGGGCCGACCTTACATAAAAAATGAACATAAAATATGTAATCTTAGGTTGAGGTGAACCAGCATTTACAATTTTAGGCATAAATCCATGTTTCAAATAGTCTTCTTGATAATCTTGAATATTTTAGGCCAAATTCTTATCAGATCTGATGAGACTGTATGTATTTTTCACCCTGCAGTACAGTTGAACAGAAACAAAGAGAGCATCAAAGGGCCAAGAACAGGAGGACAAATCATATCCTTGTAAGATTCTCTGGCTGGCATGCTGTTATTCATGTAGTGGACACCACTACTGTGTTACAATGTTGCTGACATGGCCTCAGTGACTGTGAGGACTCCCTAACATTCCCTGTGTCACTGAGTTACTCTTTCCAGTCTCAAATTGCAGACCCCCATGATGGAATCTGAATTAGTGGTATATGCCTGGCTACCATAGGGCAGAGAGAGGGAGGACAATTTCAACTTTCTAAATGCAAGACAAGGCTCCATACGAAATGAGAGAATCTCAACAATAGGAAGGAATTGGGTGCTATACAGCTGTGACAATGAACATTGTCCACTATTGCATGTCTCAGCAATTCATAGTGGCTGAGAGCATGGGCACAGAGTCAACAGACTGAGACCAAAACTATCATTTGCTAGTCCCATGACATGACTGCTCTTAATAGGGTTCCACCAGGGAATTAAGCACTAACACTCCAAAACAATTGTTCTATACAATGCATTAATTTATTTCCTATGTTACTAGAATGGTGTTAGTTATACATTCTTGGAAGAATTGAGGAAATAGTCACTCCAGTCGTTTTCTATAGGGCTTAATTATCTCACTGAACCTCTTGTGAGAGAAGCTGCAAGCTTAGATAAATTATTTACTTTTTCTACGCCCGTTTTCTCTTTTAATTTCTAAAGTATAGACAAAAATTGTACCTTGTTCATAATTATTTAAAGATAATGTAATAAGCTAAAACATGTAAAGAACTTAGAACAATGCAAGGCACAATAGTAAATGCCATTTCTATCAACATCATATCCATATTTATATTTTTCACTTCTACCTGTAGTATGGGTGCTCAGTAAATAGTTGAGGAATGAATGGATATATGCCTGGGTGAAGATGAACAGTAGTGGTGTGCAGAGTAAATTAGGTGAGACAGGAAGCAGAAAGGCTGTTTGGAACCTGCTTGAATAATAACACAAAAAGGTAAGTAAAGAGGTTTTGAAACAGGGAGACAGCACTGAAAATTGAGAGAACACAGAGATTATTCCACAAGTCTTGGAATCTGATAGGGTGTGGGGAGTGGAAATAACACAAACTTATGAGCTTGGGTAACTGAGTAAATGGATGGTGGTGTCATTCACAGAAAGAAAAAAAAAAACTTCCAGAGAGAGGTGATGAGCTGAGTTTGGAACATTCAGGTAACTAACCTTATAAGTAGTGTGAAAGAGGGGATATTTATTCAAAAAGATTTTTGTTACCTTTTTCCATTTATCTTTTTAACTTTTTTACTTTGTTTAAATCCAAAGGACCTTCCAAGCAGGACTGCATTCAAACCATTCCAAGAAAAGTGCCATATTTGGTGGTTGGGTTGTATGGTTGCAAGTCATAGAAACAACTGTTATTAGCTTAGGAAGAAGAAGTAGAAGGGGGCAGGAATTTATTGGGGTAATATAGGGGGATACTGTGGAAATAATTGGAAAGAATACATTAAAACCTCAGAAAGAATATAGTTGGGAAAGAAAGCCATCAGGTACCCAGAAAGGACTCTGTCATAGGGTTTTCTTTCTTGTGTTGGCCTCCTTATTCTCTCTCTGCAGACCTGTTATTTCTGCTACACAGTCCACATGCTGAGAGGTGGCCATGTGACTTGTAGCAGATATCAGTGTTCTGCCCAAATACCTTCCAATTCCAATTTGTCTTTTTTGTGGATCCCCTAGCTTTGGTATGTTTTTGAGGTAGAAGATCAGAGGACTTATTTCCTAGTCCCGACCGGATGAAACAAAGAAACTTGCTGGAACCAACAAATGGTGCTGAAAGCAACCTCTAATTGCCCTCATTGCTCATTAGCATAAGACACTCCCATCACCACCATGACAGTTTACAAATGCCATGGCAATGACCCAGATGTTACCACCCCTTTCAATGGCAACTACCTGGAAGTTAATGCTCCTTTTCTAGAGATTTTGGCATAGCCCACCCCTTAATTTGCATGTAATTAAAAGTAGATATAAATACAGCTAGCCAATAGCCCACAAGTGCCAACTCTGGGCACACTGCCTATGCATTAGTCCTGTTCCACAAAAAGCAGTACTGGTTCAATAAAAGGTGCTGTCTTTCACTGCTGGTTCATTATTGAATTCTTTCTTGAGAAAAGCCAAGAACCCTCCTAAGCTAAGCCCCAAATTTGGGGGCTAGCCCACCTGCATCCCTTTCCCTCCCCTCCCCAGTATACATTTTGTACACTGGCTCAAAGGGTGAATTTAATTTCCAGTCTCAGTGGTAGCTAATTTGAACCTGATTTGAAATTGATTGTTTTCAAGCAGATACTAGTATGTATGCATTTATTAATAGACAGGCACTGAGTCTCATTTTTCTTCTACTTTCTCTGCTAATCTGTTCATGAAATGTGATTTTCAGCAACCATGTACATACATGCAATGTATTAGTCTGTTTTCACACTGCTGTAAAGAACTACCTGAGATTGGGTAATTTATAAAGGAAAGAGGTTTAATTGGCTCACAGTTCTGCATGGTTGGAGAGACCTCAGGAAACACAATCATGGCAGAAGGCGAATGGGAAGCAAGACACATCTTACATGGCAGCAGGACAGACAGAGCGATGGAGGAGACTGCTGAATACTTTTAAACCATCAGATCTCATAGGAACTCCCTCATTATCACGAGAACAGCATGGGAGAAACTGACCCCATGATCCAATCACCTCCCACCATGTCCCTCTCTTGACACATGGGGATTACAATTAGAGGTGAGATTTGGGTGGGGACACAAAGCAAAATCATATCATGCAATGAGATGAAATGGAATTTGTTTATTTTGATATCCACCTAATTTTTTTTCTTTTTTTGAGACATAGCCTTGCTCCATTGCCCAGGCTAGAGTGCAATGGCGCAATCTCGGCTTACTGCAACCTCTGCCTCCCAGGTTCAAGCAATTCTCCTGCCTCAGCCTCCCAAGTAGCTGGGACTACAGGTGTGTGCCACCATGCCCAGCTAATTTTTGTATTTTTAGTAGAGACGGGGTTTCATCATGTTGGCCAGGCTGGTCTTGAACTCCTGACCTCAGGTGATCCACCCGCCTCAGCCTCTCAAAGTGCTGAGATTACAGGCGTGAGCCACTGTGCCCAGCCTAACTTTTCTTTTTAAATAACATTTATTTTCTCTTTTAGGGCATAGGAATTGTAGTTCACACCTACAATTCTGTTTAGAGGACTGCCAAGAGAGTCTTGGAGTCCCATTTGCTGGGATGTAGCAGAGATGAAAGTGCCTGGGGATTTACATTCCCCCACCACCCCCAAGGCAGTCCTTAGTCAATGATAATTGCTGAAAGCATAGGCATGCCCTGTTTGCTTGTCTCTAATCAGAAAAACTCCAAAATGTAATTCACACTCCAGGGTTCCGTTGCAGGATAAAATTGAGTAATCCAACCTTCTATGGAACTTTTGCTTCCTCCTTTATCCTGCCTTGTTTCCATTAGTGCCTTACTGATTTTTCCTGTGAGCACTTAATGATTTGATTGCAGTCGTATCCTCATCTCAGGGTCAGCTTCATGGGAACCCAACTGTTATGGCTTGAATTGTATCCCTCAATAAAGATATGTTGGAAATAACGTCCTTGCAGATGTAATTAGTTAAGACGAGGCAATTAGGGTGGACTCTATTCTAATATGACTGCTATCTTTATAAAAAGGGGAAATTTGGATATGGAGGCAGACATGCGCAGAGGGAAGATATACAAGGTGAAGATGGCCCTGTAACTAGAGTACTGCATCCACGAGTTAAGGAATGACAAGGACTGCTGGCAAACACCAGAAGCTAGGAGAAGCAAGGAAGGATGAGAGAAAACTCAGAGCAGGGCCATGACTTTAGACTTCTGGCTTCCAGAACTGTGAGAGAATAAATTTCTATTGTTTTAAGCCACCAAGCTTTTGGTACTTTTCTTACAGCAGCCCTAGGAACCTAATGCATTAATTAACAACAGCCATGTGCCCAAGATTTTACACCTTTTCTCTTTCAGAGTTCAGTACAGACTGACACAAGATTATCTTAGCTCCTATTCCAGATTCTCAGAGTATAGATTCTGACTGGATTACCCTGGTCCTTGAAGTATACCTAGGAGATGGAATAACATTGTATAAGCATCCACGTTGTCATTAAGAGGAAAGAGTTTCCATTAAAACAGGTAATTTTTTGTTCCATGGGCTGCAAAGAGATCTTTCAAATGGCCACTACAAAAAGATTTCTCAGAATGGAATTTTCTGAGAAAAATTGTACAGTCCTAATGCCAAACTAGCATGTATCCAACAAGAAATGATGAAGAAGTTTGATTACTTTTTCAAATTCGGATGATGTTATAAATGTATAGGGTTTCCAAAACATGCATTTTGAAAAAGCTTCAAAGTTGATTAGTGTTGCCATTTTGACTTCCTGATTTGGCTTCTGAATGGCAACAATGCATGCTACAGAATAATGTTAATTCAGAATGAACAACAAATCTTGCTGTGCAGCGGAACATGAAGTCAATTTATGTCAAATGTTGTTGCACAGGGATTGAAAATAAACAGAAATGTGATCAGTATATCTATGAATTTACTTAGCAGAACAGTATTTTATCTTTTAAGCCAATTCTAAAAGGGAAAAGAAAAGAGAGTTTCCTTTTCTTTTTTCTTATGATTCAAGCTAGAAGTAGAACATTTTGTACACTGGCTCAGAGGGTGAATTTCATTTCCACTCTCAGCAGCAGCCAATTTGAACCTGATTCGAAGTTGATTGTTTTCAAGCAGTTCCTCGTATATATGCATTTATTAATAGATGAGCACTGAGTCTTATTTTTCTTCTACTTCCTCTACTAATCCAGTTATGAAATGTGATTTTCAGCAACCCTGAACATACATGCAATAAGATGAAATGTAATTTGCTAATTTTAATATCCATCCAACTTTTCTTTTTAAATAACATTTATTTTCTCTTTTATGACAAGAATTTCAAAGAAGGGAACCTGCATACTTGAAGTTTCTTTGTGAGTGGAAGTAGTGGCTTTCCACTATCCATATATTTGTATATACAAATTTTTGATGATCATTGTCAGTTACCCAGAAACAGACCGCAAGATGAGGATTCAGGTGCAAGTTGTTTATGAAGGAAGTGCTGCCAGGAGAATCTTGTAAAAGAGTGAGAAAAACAGGAGAGGAAAGAGGAAGAAGCAAGCAATTGTGTGGTTTTAGGCCAGGTCCTTACCTCAGCCTAATCCTGCGTAAATCACAGCTCAGAGTTAGAGCTGTTTCAAGGAAAGTAGCTGGGCTTTATAACTCCTGCACCAGCCAGTCCTGGAATAAGGGTCACTGGATTTAGGGTGGGGGTAAAAGGGCAGTTTGTCAACTCCCAGGCACTTCAAACTTTTTGCTGTTGAGGCAGAGCAAACCCAGTAGCCCAAGAGTGGGCCTTCAAAGAGAAACACAGCTGTGCGATTTGAAGGAAAAACACACAGTAACTGGAAAAACGATGCTCTGAAATGCTAAAAGAGACTCAGCAGTATACTTAGTGACATCCCTATGCCAGGTACCTTCCAATTGATTTCATTAGGATAGAAAGTACAGCTTTTTGGTTTACCGTCTCCCCAAGCTTAGACAGCCTGCTTTAGTCTTCTGCACCATAGCCCCCACACTTAGCCCAAACTCCTGGGTTACCACATCTCAGCCTGGACTTCAATGTCCTTGGTCCTCAGTAATCTGGCAGGGTGGATCCAATATAGACTATTTTTTCCTTTTTAACTTGAAATCTGATTGACTTGTGACCCTGGCTTAATTGAAGGCAAAACTTTATCTTTGATAATACTGCAAAATTGAACTTGCCAAAATTATTATTTTAGACAATATGTTTTAAACATCAGGAAAAATTTAAAGTCTATTTATTAAGCCTTTCACTATGCATTCAGAAATTTCCATTAATAATATCATATTTCCTCAAGTCTCTCTGCCACAACCCTCATGTATGTATTCATTTCTGATGAAATCTGAAAAAAATATATAGGTCTGCTTCTACAGCAACCTTCCCCATAGGCTGCTACAGTCAAAAACAATAATCTAGATGGGCTATAAACACTGCACCTCACCATCACAGTGTCCAAGTAGAATTGTTATAACTTGGCAAGATGAACCCAAGTTTTGTCCTCAGCTCCTCTTTTCTTTCTAGGATTTATACATGCTTGGGAATGTCTGGAATCCTGAGGAGGCAGTCAGAGAAATATCTCCTTATGTGAGAGTTTGATTTGCCTCCTGGGAAGGACTTTCCATGAGGGAAAAAGAGTCAGATGGATAGAATATGGCCAAGGGCAGTGGACAGGATCTGAGGGAAAAGGACAATCTTATCACAATCCAAGAATAAAATCATATTGTTGGTATCTTTTGTGACCGTCTTCTTTAGCTTAACATTGTTTGTGACAGTTGGATATAGCCATTCTCCCTTCGTTTTCCTTTCTATACTTTCTGGATGCAACACAATTTGTTTGTCTAGTGTACCATTGAGTACATGTAGATTGTTTCCAAAAACAAAGTCAGTTATTTCAGTCCTGACTCAGTCCTCAAGTCCAGCTCCCAGGAACTCATGCATAAGCCTCATTATGAGGAGGCACTATTACAGGAGAAAGAAAGAGTTAATATGTAAGGACATTGGTGTGATAAGACATCAACCATGTTAGTTCCAGCATTTTTGTTGGTGATGCCAGATAGCATGGCATTGCTGGCTTATCTCTTCTAGCAATCCTAGGTGCTCTTTCTGTCACAATTTATAATCTGTTTATCTAAAGCCACCCCCTTTAACCTAGGAGACAAAATATGTTGTGTTCGGAAAATGCTCACTAAATCACAGTCCAAGATTGAGGGCCCTGAGGCAGCACCTCACAAGGATGCTATTAGAGGAGGCCTCAGTGATTTTGAAGATGAGGGCTGGGCACAGCCACCTCTGTTCAGACTTTGTGGGCATGTCAGTGGCAACAGGAGCAGCAGGTCCGTGTGAGTATGCACTGCTAGTTACCACCTTGTGCCTCATTTAACTGCTTGGAAAAAAAACAAAAGGGAGATGGAGTCAAGGGTAATAAGAAAAATACACAAAGTTTATAAAGTAATTAAGTATCAAACACTTGTTTAAAACTAGTAGGACACCTGAGTTCTGTTATTTTTATCACCTGTGTTAATAATAATAATCAAACAATGCCTACACCAAAGTACCCTACTATGGTCCCCCTTGCCATCACATTCTTCTCTCGTTCTCCCAGTGACAACCATGGTCTAGCCATCTGTGATGATTATTTTCTTCATTTTCTTTACAGATTTTCAACTTAAGTATGGATTCAAACTACATGACATAGTTTGGCTTGCCTTGCTTTTGAACTTTTACATGAATAAAATCATATTGTTAGTGTCTTTTGTGACTGTCTTCTTTAGCTTAACAATGCTTGTGACAGTTGGCTATAGCCATTCTCCCCTGGTTTTCCTTTTTGTATTTTCTGGATGCAACACAATTTGTTTGTCTAGTGTACTACTGAGTACACGTAGATTGTTTCCAGTTATTGGCTTTACGAACAATACTGCTTAAATAGTCTGTATTCAAGTGCACACATGAAAGAATTTCTCTCAGGTATATCACCAGTAGTCGGATACAATTTCAATTTTACTAGAGAATGCCGAATTGTTTCAAAAGTGGCTAGACCAATTTATCCTCCCTCCAGCAGTACCTGGGTATTCCTGTTGCTCCATGTCATCACCAGTCTGAATTGTCAGACTTTCAGTGTGTGTTAATCTGTTGAATATTGTGATGTTTAATGTTTATTTCCTTGATTACTAATTAGGTTATCAAATATATTTCTGAGTGCCTTGATTTGTATGCAATTGTAAATAGTATATATTATTTTGAGACAGGGTCTCACTCTGTTGCCCAGGCTGAGAGTCCAGTGGTGCAATCTTGGCTCACTGCAGCCTCTACCTCCTGAGTTCAAGTGATCCTCCCACCTCAGCCTCCCAAGTAGCTGAGACTACAGGCATGCACCACCACGCCCAAGCTAATTTTTGTATTTTTAGTAGAGACAAGGTTTCACCATGTTGTTCAGGCTAGTCTTGAACTCCTGATCTCACCTCAGCCTCCCAAAGTACTGGGATTACAGGTGTGAGCCACTGCACCTAGCCTGTAAATAGTATATTTATTTGAATTCTATTTTTCTATATCTCTAAGTGCTTTGATTTGTATGCTATTATAAGTGGTATCTTTATTTGAATTCCATTTTCTATTTTTTAAAAAATCAACTTTTGAGATATAATTTATATAATAAGATGCATCAGCTGGGCGTGGTGGCTCAAGCCTGTAATCCCAGCACGTTGGGAGGCTGAGGTGGGTGGATTACCTGAGGTCAGGAGTTCAACACCAGCCTGGCCAACATGGTGAAACCCTGTGTCTACTAAAAATATAAAAATCAGCCTGGCGTGGTGGCACGCGCCTGTAATCCCAGCTACTCAGGAGGCTGAGGCAAGAGAATCACTCGAACCCAGGAGGCGGAGGTTGCAGTGAGCTGAGATTGTGCCACTGCACTCCAGCCTGAGCGACAGAGTAAGACCTCGTCTCAAAAAATAAATAAATAAGTAAATAAGATGAATCCATTTTAAATGTTTTATTCAATGAGTTTTGACAAGTATATGCGCCCATGTAACCACTATCCCATTTCTATATAAATATTCTATAGAAATTCAGAACTTCTCTTATGCCCCTTTTCAAACATTCACCCTTAACTACCATCACTGTGCAACCACTAATCTGTTAGCTTTCACCAGCTTTAGATTAGTTTTGCCTGTTTAAGAATTTTATATAAATATAATCATACACTATGCCCTTGGGATAGCCAGTATCCAAGATGATCCAAAATTATCCCTGGCTTCTGGTATTCATATCTTTGTGTAGCCCCTTCCAACATTGTACCAGTGTTGGTCTGTGTGACCAATCACATACAGCAGAAGTGATTGTATATCACTCCTGAGATTAGGTTATTAAAACACAGTTGCTTCCATCTCAGTCTCTTTCACTCTCACTCTCTTGGATCACTTGTTCTTGGTGAAGCTATGCCCTGAGAAGCCCCATGGGGAGGCACATGTGGCAAGGAACTGAAGCCTACTGCCAATAGCCATATATGTAATTAAAAATGGAAGCAGATCCTTCACCCCTATCATGTCTCGGATGACTGAAATCTCTAGATGAACCTTCATTGCAACTTTATGAGAGACACTGAGTTAGAACCATCCAGCTAAGCCACTCCTAGACTCCTGACCCAGAGAAACTGAGATAATAAATGTTGCTTTAAGTCACTGAATGTCTGGGTAATATTATGCAGCAATATATAACTAATATGGCACTCTTGGATTTAGCTTCTTTCACTCAGGATAACATTTTTGAGATTCGGCAATGTTGTTTCATGTTTCAGGGGTTTATTCTTTTTATTCTTGAGTGATATTCCATTATATTACTGTAATAATATTTATTATCTAAATATTGCTCATCATGTAGTTCAGGACATGTTACTCCAAAATTTGACATTTTGTCTTACTGAATATTTTAAGCTGAAAAAACTTGAGAAATGGCATATGTGGTATGGACTTTCTGACTGTTTCCTGAAGCAGGTCACAAAACCCTCCTGTGAGAGGAACCCTCTGTGGAAGAACAGAATATGTCACCCCAAAATATGAAGAATTGTTGAGCTGAAGATGATTAAGAAGAAGCGGATGCAGGAAAGCTCTCTGCTCTCCCTCTATTTGCTTAAAAGCAGGATAAACACTTACAAAGACTAAAGGTATCCTTGCCTTCTGCCAGGAAGAAAAGGGTTAACTGCCAGAACAGCTTTAGACCCTCATTGGCCTGTAGATGGTACTAGAGAAATCTACATTAACAAGCTTTATTAATTCGCTTTTATCTGCCATTTATTTGCCCTCCCCCAAGTTACTGTCAAAGTCCTTTTCGTTTGTCTTGTCACTTCTCTAAAAATTGACTGTTCTTTATTGAAGATGCTATATAAGCTGTAATTTAAAGACATACTTCCATTTGTTTTTCTCCCGTTAATCTGTTTTTTGTTATAGGGGTCCATTCCAACTAAGAAACTATGGGGGACCAGGCATGGTGGCTCACGCCTATAATCCCAGCACTTTGGGAGGCCAAGGCCGGCAGATCACGAGGTCAGGAGATCGAGACCATCCTGGCCAACATGGTGAAACCCCATCTCTATTTAAAAAATACAAAAAATTAACTGGGTGTGGTGGCATGCACCTGTAGTCCCAGCTACTTGGGAGTCTGAAGCAGGGGAATCACTTGAACCCAGAAGGTGAAGGCTGCAGCAAGCCGAGATCGCACCACTGCACTCCAGCCTGGTGGACAGAGCAAGACTCCGTCTCAAAAAAAAAAAAAAAAAAAAGACTATGGGGTTATTTTCCCCCTTCACCTCCCTATATTCTAAGGAAAGAATCATTCTTATTTGTGAAGACAAAAGGACACAGAGGGAAATATGAACTAAATTTTTGCTGTGTCCTCCACTTTACTACCCTTAGCTCATACCCCCTTTGTCTTATATTTCTTTGTGACTCTCCACTCTTCATCAAATACAGTGTTAAAAACACTCAGGTTTAATCACTTATTTGGGTCTTCATTTCCTTATTAAAGCTCTCACGGCATGTAAAGCTTATATTTTTAAAATGTGTATGCTTCTCTTTTGTCTTTTATATGCTTTTCTCTGTCTTCTGTTACAGACGCCACAATCAAGAACTCAGAAGGGTAGAAGAAAAAGATAGTTTCCCTTCCCTACACAGGTAAATAGAAATGCAATTTTTTATATACATTTGTATTCTACAAACTTTCTGAACTCTTAATTCTAATAATTTAGCTATAGATTCTTCTTGATTTTCTTTCTTGTTTTTTCCTTCAACCTTTAAGCTCTGGGGTACGTGTGCAGGATATGCGGGTTTGTTACGTAGGTAAACGTATGCCATGGTGGTTTGCTGCACAGATTATCCCATCACCTAGGTATTAAGCCTAGCATGCATAAACTATTTTTCCTAATGCTCTCCCTCCCCATAACTCCCACCTTCGACAGGCCCCAGTGGTGGTGTTCCTCATTATGTGTCCATGTGATCTTGTCATTCAGCTCCCACTTATAAGTAAGAAAATGTGGTGTTTGGTTTTCTGTTCCTGCATTAGTTTGCTGAGGATAATGGCTTCCAATTCCATACATGTCCCTGCAAAGGACATGCTCTCATTTCTTTTTATGGGTGCATAGTATTCCATGGTGTGTATGTACCACATTTTCTTTATCCAATCTATCAATTCTGGGCATTCAGGTTGATTCCATGTCTTTGTTATTGTGAACAGTGCTGCAATGAACATATACGTGCATATATCTTTATAAGAGAATGATTTATATTCCTTTGGGTATATACCCAGTAATGGGATTGCTGGGTCAAATGGTATTTCTGTCTCTAGGTCTTTGAGGAATTGCCACCCTATTTTTGCACAACAGTTTTGCACAATAGTTGAACTAATTGGCCAGGTGTGGTGGCTCATGCCTGTAATCCCAGCACTTTGGGAGGCCAAGGCAGGCAGATCACGAGGTCAGGAGATTGAGACAATCATGCTAACACGGTGAAACCCTGTCTCTACTAAAAATACAAAAAATTAGCCGGGCATGGTGTCAGGCGCCTGTAGTCCCAGCTACTCAGGAGGCTGAGGCAGGAGAATGGCGTGAACCCAGGAGGCGGACTTTGCAGCGAGCCAAGATCGCCACTGCGCTCCAGCTTGGGTGACAGAGCGAGACTCTGTCTCAAAAAAAAAAAAAAAAAAGTTGAACTAATTTACACTCCCACCAACAGTGTAAAAGCATTCCTTTTTCTCCACAGCCTCTCTAGCATCTGTTGTTTTTGACTTTTTAATAATCACCATTCTGACTAGTGTGAGATGGTATCTCATTGTGGTTTTGATTTGCATTTCTTTAATGATCAGTGATGTTGAGCTTTTCTTAATGTTCGTTGGCCACATTTATGTCTTCTTTTGAGAAGTGTCTGTTTGTGTCCTTTGCCCACTTTTTAATGAGGTTGTTTTTTTTTCTTGTAAATTTAATTTCCTTGTAGACTCTAGATATTAGACCTTTGTCAGATGGATACATTGCAAAAATTTTCTCCCGTTTTGTAGGTTGTCTCTGCACTCTGATGATAATTTCTTTCGTTGTGCAGAAGCTCTTTAGTTTAATTACATTCCATTTGTCAATTTTTGCTTTTGTTGCAATTGCTTTTGGCATGTTGGTTATGAAATGTTTGCCCATTCTTCTGTCCTGAATGATATTGCCTAGATTTTCTTCTAGGGTTTTTATAGTTTGGGGTTTTACATTTCAGTCTTTAATCCATCTTGAATTAATTTTTGTATATGGTGTAAGGAAGGGGTCCAGTTTCAATTTTCTGCATATGGCTAGCCAGCTCTCTCAGCACCATTTATTAAATAGGGAGTACTTTCCCCATTGCTTGTTTTTGTCATGGGCAAAGATCAGATGGTTGTAAGTTTGCGGTTTTATTTCTGAGTTCTCTATTCTATTCCATCGGTCTATGTATCTGTTCTTGTGCCAGTACCATGCTGTTTGGGTTATAGTAACCTTGCAGTATAGTTTGAAGTCAGGTAGCATGATGCCGTCAGCTTTGTTCTTATTGCTTAGGATTATCTTGGCTATTTGGGCTCATTTTTTGATCTATATGAATTTTTAAATAGTTTTTTTCTAATTCTGTGAAGAATGTTGATGGTAGTTTAATGGGAATAACATTGAATCTATAAATTACTTTGGGCAGTATGGCCATTTTCACAATATTGATTTTTCCTATCCATGACCATGGATTGTTTCTCCATTTGACTGTATCCTCTCTGATTTCTGTGAGCAGTGGTTTGTAGTTCTCCTTGAAGAAGTTCTTCAATTTCCTTGTTAGCTGTATTCCTAGGTATTTTATTCTTTTTGTAGCCATTGTGGATGAGAATTCATTCATGATTTGGCTCTCTGCTTGCCTGTTGTTTGTGTATAGGAATGTTAGCGATTTTTGAACATTGATTTTGTATCTTGAGACTTTGCTGAAGTTACTTATTAGCTTAAGAAGCTTTTGGGCTGAGATGATGGGGTTTTCTACATATAGAATCATGTCATCTGCAAACGAAGATTTGACTTCCACTCTCCCCATTTGAATACCCTTTATTTCCTTCTTTTGCCTGATTGCCCTGACAAGAACTTCCAATACTATGTTGAATAGGAGTGGTGAGAGTGGGTATATTTGTCCTGTGCTGGTTTTCAAGGGGAATGATACCAGCTTTTTCCCATTCAATATGATATTGGCTATGGGTTTGTCATATATGGGTCTTATTATTTTGAGGTCTGTTCCTTCGATACCTAGTTTATTGAAAGTTTTTAACATGAAGATAGGTTGAATTTTATTGAAGGCCTTTTCTGCATCTATTGAGATAATGTGATTATTGCTTTAGTTCTGTTTAATGTGATGAATCACATTTATTCATTTGCATATGTTGAACCAACTTGGCATCCTGGGGGTGAAGCCAACCTGATCATGGTGTATAAGCTTTTTGATGTGCTGCTGGATTAAGTTTGCCAGTATTTTATTGAGGATTTTTGCATCAATATTCATCGAGGATATTGGCCTAAAATCTTTTTTCGTTATATCTGTGACATGTTGTGATATCAGGATGATGCTGGCCTCATAGAATGAGTTATGGAGGAGTCCCTTCTTTTCATTTTTTTGAAATCATGTCAGTAGGTATGGTATCAGATCTTCTTTGTACCTCTGACAGAATTCAGCTGTGAATATGTCAGGTCCTGGGCTTTTTTGGTTTGTTTGTTTGTTTTTGTTTTTGTTTTTTTTTGGTTGGTAGGCTATTTATTACTGCCTTAATTTCAAAACTCATTATTGGTCTATTCAGGGATTTAATTTCTTCCTGGTTCAGTCTGGGGAGGTTGTATGTGTCCAGGAATTTATCCATGTCTTCTAGATGTTCTAGTTTATGTGCACAGAGGTGTTTTTAGTATTCTCTAATGCTTGTTTGTATTTCTGTGGGGTCAGTGGTGATATCTCCTTTATCATTTCTGATTGCATTTATTTGATTCTTCTCTCATTTCTTCTTTATTAGTCTAGCTAATGGTCTATTTTATTGATTTTTTTTTTCAAAAAAAAAAAACAGTTCCTGGATTTGTTGATTTTTTGAACAGTTTTTTATGTCTCTATCTACCTCAGTTCAGTTCTGATCTTGTCTTCTGCTAGCTTTGGGGTTTGTTTGCTCTTGGTTCTCTAGCTGTTTTAGTTGAAATGTGAGGTTGTTAACTTGAGACTTTTCTAGCTTTTTGATGTGGGCATTTTAGCGCTATTAATTTTTCTCTTAACACTGCTTTAGTTGTGTCCCAGATATTCTGGTACATCATCTCTTTGTTCTCATTAGTTTCAAAGAACTTTTTGATTTCTGTCTTAATTTCTTTATTTACTCAGTGGTAATTCAGGAGCAGGTTGTTCAGTTTCCATGCAGTTTTGTAGTTTTGTGTGAATTTCTTAATCTTGAGTTCTAATTTGATTGTGTTGTCTGAAAGACTGTTATTTCAGTTCTTTTGCATTCATCGAGGAGTGTTTTACTTCCAATTATGCAATCAATTTCACAGCAGGTGCCATGTGGCTATGAGAATGTATATTCTGTTGCTTTTGGGTGGAGAGTTCTGTAGATATCTATCAGATCCACTTGATCCAGAGCTAAGTTTGTGTCCTGAATATCTTTGTTAATTTTCTCTCTCAGTGATCTGCCTGATATTGTCAGTGAGGTGTTGAAGTTTTCCACTATTATTTTGTGGGTGTCAAAGTCTCTTTGCAGGTCTCTAAGAACTTGCTTTATGAATCTGAATGCTCCTGTATTGAGTGCATATTTAGGATAGCTAGCTCTTCTTGTTGAATTGAACCCTTTACCATTATGTAATGCCCTTGTTTGTCTTTTTTGATCTTTGTTGGTTCAAATTCTCTTTTGTCAAAAACCAGGATTGCAACCCCTGCTTTTTTCTGTTTTCCATTTTCTTGGTAAATTTTCCTTCATCTCTTTATTTTGAGCCTATGTGTGTCTTTGCATGTGAGATGGGTCTCTTGAAGACAGCATACCAGTGGGTCTTGGCTCTTTATCCAGCTTGCCATTCTGTGTCTTTTAATTGGGGCATTTAGAACATTTACATTTAAGGTTAGCATTGTTATGTGTAAATTTAATTGTCATCCTGATGCTAGCTGGTTATTTTGTCAACTTGCTTATGTGGCTGCTTCACTGTGTCACTGGTCTGTGTGCTTCAGTGTGTTTTTGTAGTGGCTGGTAATGGTTTTTCCTTTCCATATTTAGTGCTTCCTTCAGGAGCTTTTGCAAGGCAGGCCTAATGGTGATGAATTTCCTAAACATTTGCTTGTCTGAAAAGGATCTTATTTCTCCTTTGCTTATGAAGATTAGTTTTGCCAGATATTAAATTCTGCATTGGAAATACTTTTCTTTAAGAATGTTGAATATTGGCCCCCTGTCTTCTTGTAGGGCTTCCACTGAGAGGTCTGCTATTAGTCTGATGGGTTTCCCTTTGTAGGTGACCTGGCCTTTCTTTCTGAATTGCCTTAACATTTTTTTTTCCTTTCATTTTGACCTTGGAAAATCTGCAGATTATCTGTCTTGGGATTGATCTTTTCATGGAGTTTCTTACTTGGGTTCTCTGTATTTCCTGAATTTGAATGTTGGCCTGTATTTCTAGGTTGGGGAAGTTCTCCTGGCTGATATCCTGAAGTGTTTTTCAACTTGATTCCATTTTTCAAGTCTCCTTAGTGTACCCCAATGAGTAGTAGGTTTGGTCTCTTTACATAATCCCATATTTCTCAGAGGTTTTGTTCATTCCTTTTCATTCATTTTTTTTAATTATTTTTGTCTGCTTGTCCTATTTCAGAAAGATAGTCTTCAAACTCCAAGACTCTTTCCTCCACTTGATCTATTCTGCTATTGAAACTTGTGATTGCATTGTGAAGTTCTCATGTTTTTCAGCTCTATCAAGTCGGTTATGTTTTTCTCTAAACTGGCTATTCTGGCTATCAGCTCCTGTATTGTTTTATCAAGATTCTTGGCTTCTTTGCATTGGGTTACAACATGCTCCTTTAGCTCAGCAAAGTTTGTTATTGCCCACCTTCTGAAGCTTACTTCTGTCAATTCAGTCTTTTTAGCCTCAACCCCAGCTCTGTAGCCTTGCTGGAGAGGTGTTGTGGTCATTTGGAGGAGAAGAAGCACTCTGGCTTTTTTATTTTTCAGTGTTTTTGCATTGATTCTTTCTCATCTTTGTGAACTTATTTACCTTCGTTCTTTAAGGTTGTTGACCTTTGAGTGAGGTTTCTGTGGGGTCTTTTTTGTTGATATTGTTGTTTTCTGTTTGTTTGTTTGTTTGTTTTTTAACTGTCAGGTCACTCTACTGTAGGGCTGCTGTTGTTTGCTAGGAGTTCACTCCAGACCCTAGTTGCCTTGGTTTTTCCCATACCTGGAGGTTTCACCAGTGAAGGCTGTGAAACTGCAAAGGTGGTAGCCAGCTCCTTCCTCTGGAAACCTTGTCCCAGGGGTGTACTGATCTGTCACCACCCTGAACGCACCTGTAGGAGGTGGCTGGACACCCCAATTGAGAGGTCTCATCCAGTCAGGAAGAACAAGATCAGAAACCCACTTGAAGAAGCAGTCTGGCTGCTTTTTGGTAGAGCAAGTGTACCATGTTTTGGGGGACCCTTCCTCATCCAGACCATTTGTATTCTCCAATGCCAGCAGGCTGGAATGGCTGAGGTAGCCAAATTGCAGAGGTAGTGGCGGCCCCTCGTGCTGGGAGCTCTGTCCCAGAGATAAGAACTCTGTCCATAGAACCCTGGCTGGAGTGGCTGAAGCCCCCACAGGGAGGTCTTGCCCAGTGAGGAGGAATGGATTGAGGTCCCATTTAAAGAAGCAGTCTGGCCACAATCTGGCAAAACAGCTGTACTGCATTGTAAGGGACTCTTCCTCATCTGGACCATTTGTATTCTCCAAAGCTAGCAGGCTGGAACAGCTGAGACTACCAAACCACAGAGATGGCAGCTGCCCCTCCCCCTGGGAACTCAGGCCCATCTCAGGCGATTCCAGCTTGTTCCCATTGGCTGGCTGGAATTCCAAGCCAGTGGGTCTTAACTTATGACATGTCATGGAAATGGGGCCCAGAGAAAGATGCTGCTTGGCTCCCTGGATTCAGCCCCCTTTCTAGGGATATGTATGGACAGATTTCCCACCTTGCCAGGGATCCCAGGGCCAGAGTATGTAAAACTCCTGTGTCTTTGTGTATGCCTAAGCAGCTGCTCTGCTGAGACTCCACACAGCTCTGTGTATCTGACCCAAGGCCCTGGTGGCATGAGCTCTTGAGGGGGTCTCCTGACCTGCAGGTGGCAAAGATCTGTAGGAAAAGTGTGGTTTCTCAGGTGGGGTTGCACTATCAGTCACTGCCTCCCTTGGCTTGGGTGGGGGTTCCTTTGGCTCTGTGCCACTCCCAGGTGGGCCATCACCCTGCTCCCTGCTTTTCTTCATTCTCTGTGGGTCGAGTTGTTTGCCTGGTCAGTCCCAAAGTGAGAACCTGGCTATTTCAGTTGAAGATGCTGGATTCACTCACCCCTTTTAATTTCTTTCTGCAAGTGCTGCATACTGCAGCTGTTTCTAATCCTTTTCTTGATTTTCTAAATGTACATTGTGTCATCCATGAAAAATGATAGTATGATTCTTCCTTTCCTAGACCAATGGCTTTTATTTCTTTTTCTTGTTCTGTTTCACTGACCAAGGCATCTGATAAAATAAAGGATGGATGTAATGATAGGAGATATCCTTGTCTTACTTCTGATACCAAGGATAAAGTTGGAACCTGAATTTACCATTGAGTATGATTTAGGTTTGCTCTTATTCAGTAAAAATGTTTCAAAAATGCATTTGCTCTTGTTCAGTAAAGATGATTAAAAAAAGATAACGGATGTTAAATAGCATTGATTTTTCCAAATCTATCGAGGTGAGTATATATACAATATATGTGTGTGTATACATACATATATATCCTTTTTAATATGTTAATGTGGTGGATTATATAAATTGGTTTCTCATGTTTTACTGTACTTTCATTCCTGGGATATAAACACTATAGGCTGATGTAGTGTATTTTCAAATATTGTTTGATCGAATGTAATATTTTGTCCAGGATATTTGTATCTATATTAATGAATAAGATTTACCTTTAATTATTATTTCTTGTATTTCCTTTGAATTATCTTAGAAATCAAGGTTATACTAGCCTTATAAGGTAATTCAGAGTATATTCCCCCATTTGTTTTATTGGCATAATTTTTTTTTAACATTGAAGTTGAGGGGTACATGTGCAGATTTGTCATATAGGTAAACTTATGTCATGGGGGTTTGCTGTACAGATTACTTCATCACCCAGGTATTAAGCCTAGTACTCATCAGTTATTTTTCCTGATCCTTTCCCTCCTCCCACCCTCCACCCTCCAATAGACCCCAGTGTGTGTTGTTCCCCTCTATATGTCCATGTGTTCTTATCATTTAGCTCCCACTTGTAAGTGAGAACATGTAGTGTTTGGTTTTCTGTTCCTGCATTAGTTTGCTAAGGATAATGGCCTCCAGCTCCATCCATGCCTCTGCAAAGGACAAGATTCCATTCCTTTTTATGGCTTCATAGTATTCCATGGTGTATATGTACCACATTTTCTTTATCCAGTCTATCATCGATAGGTATTTAGGTTGATTCCATGTTTTTGCTATAGTGAATACTGTTGCAACAAAATTCTGTGTGCATGTGTCTTTCTGGTAAGATAATTTATATTCCTTTGGGTATATACCCAGTAATGGAATTGCTGGGTCAAATGATATTTCTGTCTTTAGTTCTTTGAGGAATCACCACACTGTCTTCCACAATGGTTGAGTTAATTTAAACTACTACCAACAGTGTATAAGTGTTCTTTTTTTTCTCCACAACCTTGCCAACATTTGTCATTTATTAACTTTTTATAATAGCCATTCTGACTGCTGTGACATGGTATCTTATTGTGGTTTTGATTTTCATTCTTTAATCAGTGATGTTGAGCATTTTTATCATATGATTGTTGGGGGCATGTATGTCTTCTTTTGTCTGTTCATGTCCTTTGCCCACATATTAATGGAGCTGTTTGTTTTTCTTGTGAATTTGTTTCAGTTCCTTATAGATGCTGGCTACTATACCTTTGTTGGATGCATAGTTTGCAAAAATTTTCTCCCATTCTATAGGTTGTTTGATTTCTCTGTTGATAGTTTCTTTTGCTGTGCAGAAGCTCTTTAGTTTAATTAGATCTCATTCGTCAATTTTTGCTTTTGTTGCAATTGCTTTTGGTGTTTTCATCATGAAATCTTTGCCTGTGCCTATGTCCTGAATTATATTGCCTAGATTTTCTTCTAGGGTTTCTATAATTTTGGGTTTTACATTTAAGTCTTTAATCCATCTTGAGTTAATTTTTGTATATGGTATAATTATGGGGTCCAGTTTTAATCCTTTGCATATGGCTAGCCAGTTATATTGTGATGAATTTGTAACAGATGAAAAAAAAAATTATTTGTTGACTATTTGTTAAAACTTCCCATTGAAGACACCTGAAACTGAATTCTTCAAATTTCTTGTCACTTATATTACTTTAATGGTTTTAGGAGACTTTCAGTTTTCTAGCTTTTCTGAAATATGCTTTGGAAAGTGTATTATTAAGGCTGTAAACAAATAGTTCAGTTCTCCTCCTTTGAGGTATCTGATAGAATTGCATTGTCCCATTGTCCTTGAAATTAGCTGCAGTCCTCTACCTGCCTGGGCCAATGAAATGTGAATAGAAGCAGTAACTGTGGTTCAGTCAGCAGAGAAATTTTGTATCTAAAAATATAAAAATAAAAATTATTTTTTAAAAGATGGTTTATAAGCTTTTGTACCTCCTTGGGGGGTTGGTTTTTCATTTCCGAAGGCTTTGTGTCATGTAAAACTCTTACTAAATAAATTCATTATCCTATGGTGTTCTTGTGATAGTGAGTGAACTCTCATGAGATCTGATGGTTTTTTAAGGGGCTTTCCCCTGCTTTGCTTGGCATTTCTCTCTCCTGTCACCATGTGAAGAAGGACATGTTTCCTTCCCCTTCTACCATGATTATAAGTTTACTGAGGTCTCCCCAGCCATGCAGAACCATGAGTCAATAGAACCTCTTTCCTTTATAAATTACCCAGTTTCAGGTATTTCTTCATAGCAGTGTGAGAATGGACTAATACATTTCCCTTTGCTGTTCTCGTCATAGTGAGTGAGTTCTCATGAGATCTAGTTGCTTGAAAGTGTGTAGCAGTTCCCCCTTCACTCTCTCTCCTGCTCCACCATATGAGGACAGTGCTTGCTTCTTATTTGCCTTCTGCCATGATTGTAAGCTTACTGAGGCCTTCCAGCCATGCTACCTGTACAGCCTGCAGAACTGTGAGTCAAATAAAACCCTTTTCTTTATAAATTACCCTGTCTCAGGTAGTTCATTATAGCAATGTGAGAATGGATTAATACAGAAAATTGGTACCAGAGAGGTAGGGCATTGCTATAAAGATACCTGAAAACGTAGAAGTGACTTGGATACTGGGTAACCAGCAGAGGTTGGAACAGTTTGGAGGACTCAGAAGAAGACAGGAAGATGAAAGAGAGTTTGGTATTCCTAGAGACTTGTTAAATTGTTGTGACCAAAATGCTGATAGTGATACAGACAGTAAAATCCAGGCTGAGGTCTCAGATTGACATGAGGAACTTATTGGGAACTGAAGTAAAAGTCACTCTTGCTATGCTTTAGCAAATAAACTTCTGGCATTGTGCCCTGCTCTAGGGATCTGTGGAGATTTGAACTTGAGAGAGATGATTTAGGGTATCTGGTGGGAGAAATTTATAAGCAGCAAAGCATTCAAGATGTGACTTGACTCCTTCTAATAGCATACATTCATGTGCATTTGTGAAAAGATGGTCTGAAATTGGAATTTTTATTAAAAAGCAAAGCAGAGCATGAAAATTTGGAAAATTTGCAGCCTGACCACGTGGTAGAAAAAAAAAAAAAACATTTTCTGGGGAGGCATTCAAGCCTGCTGCAAAAATTTGCATAAGCAAAGAGGAACCAAATGTTGATAGCCAAGACAATGGGGAAAATGCCTCTATGACATTTCAGAGATTTTTATGGCAGATCCTCTCATCACATGCCTGAAGGCCTAGAAGAAAACAAATGGTTTCCTAGAAGAAAAAAATGGTTCCTCTTATCACAGACCTGGAGGCCTAGAAGAAAAAAATGCACAGGCCCCTCTGCTCTGTGCAGGCAAACATGGTATTCTGCATTATGGCAGCTCCAGCTCCAGCCATGGCTAAAAAGGGCCAAGGTACAGCTTAAGACATTGCTTCCAAGGGTGCAAGCCCCAAGACTTGGTGGCTTCCATGTAGCCTTGGGCCTGTGGGTACACAAAGGGCAAGAGTTGAAACTTGGGAGCCTGTGCCTAGATTTCAGAGCATATATTGAAAGTCTGGATGTCCAGGCAGAAGTCTGCTGCAGGGGCAGAGTCCTCATGGACAACCTCTACTAGGTCACTGGGGAAGGGAAATGTGGGGTTGGAGCCCCCACACAAAGTCCCCACTGGGGCACTGCCTAGTGGAGCTGTGAGGAGAGGGCCGCTGTTCTCCTGACCCCAGAATGGTAAATCCACCTACAGCTTGCATCATGCACCTGGAAAAGATGAAGGCACTCAATGCTAGCCCATGAAAGCATCTGAGAGAGCTATACCCTGCAAAACCACAGAGGTATGGATGCCTAAAGCCTTAGGAGCCCACCGCTTTTATCAGTGTGGCCTGGATTTGAGACATAGAGTCAAAGGAGATAATTTCAGAGCTTTAAGATTTAATGATTTCCCTGTTGGGTTTTGGACTTGCATGGGTCCTGTAGCCCCTTTGTTTTGGCCAATTTCTCCCTTTTGGAACGGGAGAATTTACGCAATACCTGTATCCCATTGTATCTTGGAAGTAACTAACTTGTTTTTTATTTTACAAGCTCATAGGTGGAAGGGACTTGCCTTGTCTCAGATGAGACTTTGGTGTTGGACTTTTGAGTTATTGCTGGGATGAGTTAAGACTTTGAGGGACTGTTGGGAAGGCACGACTGTGTTCTGAAATGTGAGAAGGACATGAGATTTGAGAGGGGCCAGGAAGGGAATGATATGGTTTGGCTCTGTGTCACCACCCAAATCACATGTTGAATTGTAATCCTCAGTGTTGTGAGAGAGACCTAGTGGGAGGTCATTGGATCATGGGGGCAGATTTTCTCTTTGCTGTTTTCATAATAGTGAGTGAGTTCTCATCAGATCTGGTTGTTTGAAAATGTGAAGCACTTCCCCCTTTGTTCTCTCTCTCTCCCTGATCTGCCATGTGAGGACAACGCTTGCTTCCCCTTCACGTTCCACCATGATTGTAACCTGAGGGCTCCCAGCCATGCTACCTGTACAGCCTGCAGAACTTTGAGTCATTTAAACTTCTTTTCTTTATAAGTTACCCAGTTTCAGGTAGTTCTTTATAGGAATGTGAGAACAGACTAATACATAGTCATGAATTTAGCAATGAGTAAGGAAAAGTTATTACTTTTTGTCCCTTACAATAGTGATATATTTGTACAACATTTGGCCCAGAAAAATACAGTTCTTTTGGTATTTTCATGCTGATGAAGTTTATTTAATTGGACTATTTAATATTAGTATCATACGTGCTTTTCAATTTTAGATTGTGGAAATGGGCCATAAGTATTTTGAGGGCAGAACTATTTTCTTGCTTGATTCCCCACACAGAGTATTATGGACATTACAGAGTATTATGGACAGTTCCCAACTTACAATGGGTTCAACTTACAATTTTTCAACTTTACAACTTTACTACGATATGAAAGCCATACACATTCTTTATACTCCTTGACTTAGGATGTGGTTTATCTGCACATAACCTGATCATGAGTCGAAGAGCATCTGTACTCAACAGATATTTATTGAATAGATTAATAAAATTGGTGAAGTGTTGCATTATGCTTTTTCTGCTACCTCTACTGGCTACCATTGAGGTTTTTCTTTTTCTTTTGCGGAGGTAAAATTGTTTTCAAATATCTGTCTAAAATTATGCTTTCGTCTAATATAATCTAAGAGTTTTCTCTGTGGTGGAGGAATAATGTAAGCAGTTAAAACTCTTCAAAAGAGCAAAAAGCAGAGGCATTGTAGGTGTTCCTTGAAATTCTGATTAGCTGGGAAACTCCTGCAAGGAGATTGGGCTACTGAAAGAAGGACTCCTTGTCCTACCTCTCTTTGAATAATGTACATGAAAAGCATGTATGAAGGAGGGGAAGTATAATCTTAGAAAATATGCTGCTTCAATATTCGTTCTGTGATGAGCCATACAGCCATATAGTATCTTCACTATCTATACCATTTTTACAAAATGTATTCATTCAGCAAATGAACAGCAGGCATTTGGGCTTCCTTGGGAATATGTAAATAAATTAATTTTCTTTCCACAGGGTCCATGCATTCAGTGGAGTAATGATTCCTGTCCATGAAAAAAAAAAAAGAAAGTAGAAAATTTCAGAGAAGAGAAAAATTTTCCACTTGGGAGCAAGGGCATGAGGGCAGCGGGGAAGTGGTAGATATACTGACATGTTAATATATTAGGTCTTGTATTTCTTTTGTACATAGTCTTTCTTCTTTGACTGCCTCGTTCATGCATCTCCACTACTTGAAAAATTATTTAATTTACAAGCATGTGCCAAAGTCCTACATCATGCTTCCTCTAAGATTCTATGCAAGCCAATTCAAAGATTTCTCTCTTAAAAATATTTGTATGAAAAAAAGACATGGCTAGGAAATCACTGTTCAGTAGGATAAAATAAAAGTGCAAGCAAACAAGTGATAGAGAACCTCTGGTTAAAGAGCTTTACCCCCCTGACTGATGGACTGATATGGAAACGTAAGATGAAGAATTTCCTAGCAGTTGTGAATCTCATTTAGGTTTATCAGAAAATTGTGGAGCAGGGAGAGAGCCAAGATGGCTTACTAGATGCACCCACCAAGAGAGACAAGATCATCAGGTAGACAAACACACTCCAAACAGATCTTCAAAAATAAGGCATTGAGTGTGGACAGAGGGAAGATGCAGGCCCCAGGCTGAAAGTGAAGGAAGCTGGGGACCCTGCACAAGGTTGCCAAGCACCAGGACATGTTTCTGACACTAAGTGGCGCCTAGAGAAGGGATAAGTGAAATAGGCATAGAGTGGCCCACTCTTGCCATGAACCTCCAAGATCCCGGGTCCAGGAGACCCCATGACCCCCTTGGACATCTGGTCCAGCAGGGAGAACTGCCTTAAGAGTTGGCAGAGACAGAACTCCAGCCTGTGTGGAGTCCAGAGGGTTTGGTGCAGGAATGGCTGGCTGCAATGCAGCACAACCATGGGCACTCATCACTCAAGGCTCACCATATTCTTCTAGGTGGCTCTAGTCTGTTACCAGCTGCATCCAAACAGAGGAGGGTTGTCTTGCCCATGGGATGGAGGCAGTCTGACCTGAGTAACCCACTGTCTGCTGGCCTCTCCCAGGGTCCTTGCCTTGCAGCACCTGCTTGCAGGGCAGCCTCAGTTTGCCAGCAGCCACTGCCACAGCTCTTTTGCCAGCAAACCCCGCCTAACCATCCATGTGCTTTTACAGATTGACTCCCACAAGCACTCACTCACCTGCACATTTCACCCTGCCAGCATTTTTTTGCACCACCAGCAGCACTTCCCCACCAGCACACACTTATCCACAGCATCTCCCTGCTCCCTCACCAGCACACACATGGGTAGGGATCCCCACCACCCCACAAGCATGCACATGCAGGAGCCCCACAGGACCCACTATCATCTCTTCCAGGGCACATGCACACAGGGACCCCTTCCACATCCTGCCAGTGCATGCATGCACACACACACACACACACACACACACAGAGACCTGCCACTGCCCTGGTGGCATGCATACACATGGGGACCTCTCACTGCCTCACTGACATGCATGCATGCAGGGGTCTATTGCCATCCCTCCAGAGGACTCTTGCCAGCAGCCCCCATCAGAGCATCACTGTCAGCAGACTGGGAACACCTTGGCCCTTCCAATGTATCAGGTGCTTAACTCAATGGGCAAGAGAATAAAGCTGCAGGCCTGTTCCCAGCCCCTCAGGGATAGAGCACATAGCCAGAGTGCTGAGCTGAGACTTGGCTCTCTGGAAGCAGTTAGAAATGAAGCCAAACAACTAAACCTAAAGTATACTATAGTCAAACCCTCAGGAACATTAAAAAATATGAAAGCAAAAATTTTCATCCAAAAAACAGTAGCTTCAAAGATGAAATGAGCATCAGCCCACACAGATGAGGAAGAGCCAGTTCAAGAACTCTGGCAACTCAAAAAGCCAGAGTGTCTTCTCGTGACAAAAAAATGACCACACTTGTTCCCTAGCAATGGTTCTTAACCAGACTGAAATGGCTGAAATGGCAGACATAGAATTCAGAATCTGGATTGCAAGGAAGCTTATCAACATACAGGAGAAAGTTGAAACCCGATCCAAGGAACACACTAATATGGTCCAAGAGTTGAAAGACAACATAGCCAGTTTGATTTTTAAAAAGAATCAAACTGAACTTCTTGAAGTGAAAAACTCACTACAGGCATTACAGAACGAAAATGGAAGCATTAATAACAGAATAGACCAAGCTGAGGCAAGAATTTCAGAGCTTGAAGGCTGCCCCTTTGAATCAATGCAGGCAAACAAAAATAAAGAAAAAATAATTTTTAAAAATGTACAAAACCTCCAAGAAATATGGCATTCTATAAAGAGATCAAACCTATGACTCATTGGCATTCCTGAAAAAGATGGAGAGAGAGAGCAAGCAGCTTAGAAAACATATTTGAGGATACTGTCCATGGAAAACTTTCCAACCTTGCTAGAGAGGTCAACATACAAATTCAAGAAATTCAGAGAACCCTTGTGAGATAACACAAAAGATGACCATACCCAAGACACATAGTCATCAGATTCTCCAAAGTCAATGTGAAAGAAAAAATCCTAAAGGCAGCTAGAGAGAAGTAGCAGGTCACTTACAAAGGAAACCCCATCAGGCTAACGGTGGACCTTTCAACAAAAACACTAGAAGCCAGAAGAGATTGGGGGCCTACATGCAGCATAATTAAAAAAAAATTCTAACCAAGAATTTCTTATCCAGTCAAACAAAGCTTCGTAAGTGAAGGAGAAATAAAATCCTTTTTAGACAAGCAAATACTAAGGGAGTCCTTTACCACCAGGCCTGCCTTACAAGAAGTTCTTAAGGGAGTGCTACACATAGAAAAAAAAGACGAACACCTGCCGCCACAAAAACACACTTATGTAGATAGCCCACTGACGTTATAAAGCAACTGTACAATCAAGTCCACATAACAACCAGCTAACAACATGATGACAGGTTCAAATCTTGATATATTAATATCAACCCTGAATGTAGACGGGATGAATGCCCCACTTAAAAGACATGGAGTGGCAAGTTGGATAAAGAAACAAGACACAACTGTATGCTGTCTTCAAGAGACCCATCTCACATGCAATGACATCCATAAGCTCAGCAGATGTAGAAAGATCTATCAAGCAAATTGAAAACAGAAAAGAGCAGGAGTTGATATTCTTATATCAAATAAAACAGACATTAAACCAACAACAATAAAAAAGGACAAAGAAGGGCATTACATAATGATAAAAGGTTCAATTCAACAAGAAGTCTTAACTATCCTAAATATATATGCACCAATACTGGAACACATATATTCATAAAATAAGTTATTAGAGACCTAAGAAAACCTTCCTACTATTATTGTGTTGTTATTAGTGAACAACACAATAATAGTGGGAGACTTCAACACCCCATTGACAGTGTTGGATCAACAAGAAATAAAACAAACAAAAATATTCAGGACCTAAACTCAATGCCTGACCAAATGGACTTAACAGACATGTACAGAATACACCACTCAACAACAATAGAGTATACATTCTCATCTGCACACAGCACATACTTTAAGATTGCCTGCACACTTGGCCATAAAGCAATTCTCAACTAATTTTTAAAAACTGTAATCATGCCAACCACACTCTCAGACCACAGTGCAATAAAAATAGAAATCAATACCAGTAGATCTCTCAAAACCATACAAGTACATGTAAATTAATCAACCTGTTTATGAATGACTTTTCAGTAAACAATGAAATTAACACAGAAATTTTAAAAAAATCTTTGATACTAATAAAAACAAAGATACAACATACCAGAATCTCTGGGCCATAGCTAAAGCAGAGTTAAGAGGAAAGTTTATAGCACTAACCACCTACATCAAGAAGTTAGAAACGTATCAAATTAAAAACCTCATGTCACACCTAGAGGAACTAGAAAAACAAGAGCTAGCCAAAGATAGCAGAAGAAAAGAAATAGCCAAAGTCGGAGATGAAGTGAATGAAATTGAGACATTAAAACCCATACAAAGGGTCAATGAAACTAAGAGTTGGTTCTTAGGAACAATAAATAAGATTGATAGACTGCCATGTACATGAATAAGGGAAAAAAGAGAGATCCAAATAAACACAATAAGAAAAGACAAAGGGGACATTACCATCAACCTTACAGAAATACAAAAAAAAAAAAGCCCTCAGAGGCTATTACAAACACCTCCATAAAACACAAACTAGAAAACCTACAAGAAATGAATAAATTCCTGGTAACATACAGTCTCCCAAGATTGAACCAGGAAAAAAAAAAAATTGAAACCCTGAAAAGATCAATAACCAGTTCCAAAATTGAATCAGTAATAAAAAAACCTACCAACCAGAAAAAGCCCCAGAACAGATGGATTCACAGCCAAATTCTACCAGAGGCATAAAGAAGGGCTGGTACCAATCCTACTGAAACTATTCCAAAAAATTGAGGAGGAGGGACTCCTCTTGAACGCATTCTATGAGGCCAGAATCATCCTGATACCAAAACCTGGCAGAAACACAATGAAAAGAGAAAACTTCAGATCACTATCCCTGATGAATATAAATGCAAAACTCCTGGACAAAATACTAGCAAATCTAATCCAGCAGCACATCCAAAAGCTATTCCACTATGAACAAGTAGGCTTTATCTCTGAGATGAAAGATTGTTTCAACATAGACAAGTTAATAAATGTGATTAATCACATATAGGGGACTAAAAACAAAACCCACATGATCATCTCAATAAATGCAGAAAAGGTTTTCAATAAAATTCAACATCATTTCATGCTAAAAACCCTCAACAAACTCAGCATCGAAGGAACATACCTCAAAATAATAAGAGCCATCTATGATGAACCCACAGCCAACATCATACTGAATAGGCAAAAGCTAGAAACATTCCTCCTTAGAACTGGAACAAGAAAAAAATATCCAGTCTCAGCACTTCTATTCAATATAGTACTGGAAGTCATAGCCAGAGCAATAAGGCAAGAGAAAGAAATAAAAGGCATCCAGATAGGAAGAGATGAAGTCAAACTATCTCTTTTTGCAGATGATATGATTCTATACAGAGAAGACTCCATAATCTCTGCCCAAAGGCTCCTAGAACTGATAAGCAACTTCAGTAAAGTTTCAGTATACAAAATCTGCATAAAAATCATTAGTATTTCTATACACCAACATTGTCCAATCTGAGAGCCAAATCGAGAATGCAGTGCCATTCACAATAGCCACAAAAAAATAAAATACCTAAGAATACAGCTAACCAGGGAAGTCAATGATCTCTATAATAAAAATTACAAAACACTACTCAAAGAAATCAGAGGACACAAACAAATGAGAAAAATTTCTATGCTCATGGATAGGAAGAATCAACATTGTTAAAATGGCCATGCTGCCCAAAGCAAGTTATAGATTCAATGCTATTCCTATCAAACTGCCAATGTCATTTTTTACAGATTAGAAAAAAAACTATTCAAAATTCACATGTAACCAAAAATAGCTCAAATAGCAAAGGCAATCCTAAGCAAAAAGAACAAAGCTGGAGGAATCACATTATCCAATTTCAAACTGTACTACAAGGCCACAGTAACCATAATAGCACGGAATTGGTACAAAAATAGACACATAGACCAATTGAACAGGTTATAAATCCCAGAAATAAAGCTGCACATCTACAACCATCTGATTTTTTACAAAGTTGACAATAACAAACAATGGGGAAAGGACTCCCTATTCAATAACTGATGCTGGGATAACTAGCTAGCCATATGCAGAATATTAAAACTGGACCCCTTTCTTTCACCACATACAAAAATTAACTGAAGATGGATTGAAGACTTAAATGTAAGACCTAAAACTATAGAAACCCTAGGAAAAAAACCTAGGAAATATCATTCTGGACATAGGCCTTGGCAAAGATTTCATGATGAAGATGCCAAAAGCAATTGCAACAAAAACAAAAATAGACAATTGGGACCTAATTAAACTAAACAGCTTCTGCACAACAAAAGAAACTTTCAACAGACTAAACAGACAACCTACAGAATGGGAAAAAAATTTGCAAGCTACGCATATGACGAAGGTCTAATATCCATAATCTATAAGCAACTTAAATCAGTAAGAAAAAACCAAACAACCCTATTAAAAATGGGCAAAGTACATGAACAGACACTTCTCAAAAGAAGACATACATGCAGCCAACAAACACATGAAAATAATTCTCCACATCACTAATCATTAGAGAAATTCAAATCAAACTACAATGAGATACCATGTCACACCAGTCAGAATGGCTATTATTAAAAAGTCAGAAAATAACAGATATTGGTGAGATTGTGGAGAAAAAGGAACACTTATACACTTATATACTGGTAGGAATGTAAATTATTTCAGCCACTATAGAAAGCGGTTTGGAGAATTCTCAAAGAACTTCAAAAAGAAATATCATTTGAACCAGCAATACCATTACTGGATATATACCCAAAGGAATATACATTGTTTTACCAAAAAGACATATGCACTCATATGTTCACTGCAGCACTGTTCACAATAGAAAATACATGGAATCAACCTAGATGCCCATCAGTAGTGAAATGGATAAAGAAAATATGGTACATATACACCATGGAGTACTACACAACCATTAAAAAAAGCAATCCTGTCCTTTGCAGCAATATGGATGGAGCTGGAGGCCATTATTCTAAGCAAACTAACACAGGAACAGAAAACCAAATACTGCACATTCTCACTTATAATTGGAAGGTAAACATTGAGTTCACATGAACACAAAGAGGGGAACAATAGACACCAGGGTGTACTTGAGGGTGGAGGTTAGGAGGAGGGTGAGGGTTGAAAATCTACCTATCAGGTACTATGCTCACTACCTGGGTAATGAAATCATTTGTATACCAAACCCCAGTGACACAAAATTTACCGATGTAACAAATCTGCATATGTACCCCCTGAACCTAAAATAAAAGTTGAAGAAGAAGAAAAGTAAATGAAAAAAGAAATTGCCTAAGCATTTTATTAGAGATGTGAATTATTTTTCAAAAGATTTTGAAATATATTAGGTTAAAATATTTTTTCTTAGACCAAGTCTGGTTCAATTTTTCTTTCTCAGATTCTGCTTTTGAAGGAAACAATCATAAAGGAACTGGTTTTGTTAGAAAAATATCTGAATATATTTTTGTGCTAAATTTATTAATTGAATTTCTTGCTTAGTCAAATTTTATATTTAATACAGATAGCAGGAATGGGAGCTGGGCTGAATTAATACAATACAGCCCTCTCAATAGAGCTGGGAAATATATGTATGTATGCTAACCCATGTATACATATTTATCTACCTTTCTGTATCTATCTATATGTATATTAAATATGAATTTATACTGATGTCTCCAACTCTAATCCAGCAACACAGGGTATATTCTGGTCCTCCCTTTTTGCTTATTTATAACTTATTTCCATGACACTGAGAATTCTGGCTCTTATTATCTACTATAAGGGTCAGCAAACTTTTCATGTAAAGAGATAGTTTTTCCTGTAAAAGTAAATATTTTAGGCTTTGGGGGCCATAATGTCTCTATCACAACTCCTCAGCTTTGAATTTTTTAATAATTTTCACGTATTATAAAGTATAATTTTTCTATTGATTTTTTTAGCCATTCAATAATGAAAAAAAAAGTTTTTTTGTGGGCCATAGAAAAATAAGCTAAATTTGGCCCACAGTCCATAGTATGCCAATCCCTATTCTACAGTACACTTATTTGTTCACTGTAGTGCTTACATAGTTTCAGAATTGCTAATCCATATCCCATGCTAGACAAGTTTACCAACTAAAGCACAGTGTTTGTACACGGTACTTTTTGCCTTTATCCTTACAGTCAAAACACTATATTACAAAGTTATCAGGTCTGCTCCTTTCTTCCTCATTTGCATCAATATAATAACGTTATGGGGCACAGGACTACCCCAAAATGTGGCACCTTGGCATTTGAGAAAGTAGCAGGAGCAGGAAGGTCTCTCAAGCCTTCCCTTGTCCTTCTCCCCTGAGGCAGATTATAAGATCTAGGAAGGATTTTCTGAGCTGTCCCTGAAGCAGGTTATAAGACCAACATTCCAAAGGTGCCCTCTCTTATCTTCAGAGATAAGGAAAAGAACATTCTTATCTCTGAAGACGCAGGGACAGAGAAGACTCTCACATGAGAGGAAGTCTACACTTGCTCATTTAACCATTTCTGGCAGTGTTGGAGGTTAAGCCACATTTTTTTCTGTGGTATTTTGGTAGAGGAGCTATTTTCTAATAATAAATATTTTCTATCTATCCATCTAGGTTGCTCCTCTCCTGGCTCTTAGGCTAGATAGACTATAGAAAGTAGGATTTCTTGTTGTTGTTGTTGTTGTTTTCCCTTGGTGTTTGCCTATTGATGTTTCTGAGTTGCTGGCTTCTCCAGTGCCCGGTTTGGAAAATATGTGTCAAACACACACACACACACACACACACACGATTCACCACTAATCACTCCTTTGATCCTGAAGTTGCTAGCTTGTCTGACTTCTTTCCACCTTTCAGAGTAGTACACATCTATTTCTCCCCTGCTGACCTTGGTACTTAGGTTTTCATACATTTTGCTTTAATTTATGCTATAAATCTCAGGCTACATTCTTATTATTTTTGAAGAGTAAGTTATCCTTTAAAGAGATTTAAATAATGAGGAAAAGGTGTTACATATTTACCCATGTAGTCACCATTCTGATGATTCTTCATCTTTTGTGGAGATCAATATTTGCATCCTACCCAAGACTTCTTGTTATCTGTCTTTTTTATTATAGCCATGCTAGTAAGTATAAAGTAGTATCTCATTGTGGTTTTGATTTGCATTTCCCTAATGGCTAATAATGTTGAGTATCTTTTCATGTGTTTGTTGGCCATTTATGTATCTTTTCAGAAAACTATTTGTTCATATAATTTGTCCATTTTTCAATTGAGTTATCTTTTTATCATTGAATGGTAAGTATCCTGAATACAAATCCATTATCAAATATAAGATTTGAAAATATTTCCTCCCATTTGTGGTTGCCTTTTCATTTTCTTCATAGTATTCTTTCAGGGACTAAAGTTTTACATTTTGATGATGTCCATTTTATCTATGTTTTCTTTTGTTGCTTGTACTTTTGTTTTCATGTCTAAAAATTTTTGCCTAGCCTAAGGTCATGAAGATTTGCTCCTATATTTTCTTCTAAAAGTTGTATAATTTTAATTTAGGTCTAAGATCAGATTTAATTTTCTTGTGTGGATTTAGGAGAGTGTTCTTCTTCCTTCTTTTATGTGTGAATATTCAATTATACCACCACCATTTATTCAAGAACTATTTTCCCCTATTGCATTGTCTTGGCATCTTTTGACCATAAATGTGAGAGTTTATTTCTGGACCCTCAATTCTATTTAGTTTATTTATACTTCTATCTTTTTGCCAGTACCATGCTGTCTTGATTACTGGAGTTTTGTGGTAAGTTTTGAAATCAGAAAGTGTGAATTCTCCAAATTTGTTTTTATTTGTCAAGTTTTTATTTATTTATTTATTTTAGCTATACTGGGCCCTGTGAATTTCCTCATTGATTTTAGAATCAGCTCTTCAATTTCTGCAAAGAAGCCTGGTGAAATGTTGCTAGTAATTGTGTGGATCTGTAATCGATTTGGGAAGTATGTCTATGTTAATAATATTAAGTCTTTTTATCCATGAACATAGAGTTTTTTCATCTATTTAGGTCTTCTTTAACTTCTTTTAACAATATTTCGTAGTTTTCAGAATACAAGTTTTGCACTTCTTTTGTTAAATTTATTCCTAAGCACATTGTTCTTTTGGGTCCTATTGAAATGTGAATACAACCTTATTTTCTTCCCTCTTTGTATGACTTGTCTTTTTTTTATTGGATGTCATAAATTGTTAATTTTACCTTGCCGGGTGCTGGATATCTTTGTATTCCTATAAATCTTCTTGAAAATTTTTCTCTTCATAGAGTTAAGTTACTTGGAAACATTTTGGTCATTTCAGATTCTGCTTTCAGATTTGTTAGGTGGGCCTGGAACACTGGTCAGTTTAGGACTACTGCCCATTATTGAGGTTAGACCCTTCTGTGTACTGTATTTAACCCCCCATGAATCTTAGTTACTTATTTATTCATTTATTTGCTTACTTACTTATTTCTTTACTTAATTAGTAACAACAGGGTCTTGCTATGTTGCCCAATCTGGTCTTGAACTCCTGGCCTCAAGCAATCTTCCCACCTCCACCTCCCCAAAGCACTGGGGTTATAGGAATGAGCCACTGCACCCAGCTTAAATCCTATGAATCTTGAGGTAAAGCACTATTTCTGGCCCTTTGGGAGCATTTTTTTTCTCTAATCCTTTCATCTGATTCTTTCTCCATCCTCAGGTAATTTTCTCACACACGTACTAATTGATACTCAGTGGGGAACACTCTGCACTGGAATTCTTTTCCTAGAGTTCTCTTACAGCCCTATCCTTTCTGGCACTCTGTCCTACCAACTCTAGGCCACTTTGTTCTCCAAGATTCTCAGCTCCTCTTAAATTCAGTGCGTCTGTGGACTCTTCGTGATCCCCCTCTCTGTGTCATGGACTAGAAATTCTCTGAAGATAATTATAGTGCTCTCTTCATTTGTCTCCCTTCTCTCAGGGTCACTGTCCTTCACCTTCTCAGACTAATGTAAAATCAAGATGTCACTAGCTTGGTTCCATGACCCACCATGGATAATAAAATCTACAGATGCTTGGGCCTCTACTATGAAGTGGCATGGTATTCAACCATAACCTATGCACATCCTTCTGTATACTTTAAATCATTTCTAGATTACTTTTTGGTTGTATTTTTCTAAATTTGAGGTCTGAACTCGAAGGAAGGTGATGTCATAATAGTTTTCAGATGGGAGTACAATGTGAGGATAAGAAACTTCCAGAGAGTAGCAACACCATGTAACAACCATAACAGAATTGTTTCATAATAAACATTCAGGAATTTAGTTCTTTATGTCACTTTGCTTAGAGTTGTCTCTAGTCATGGAATTCCCAAAAGTAGATAGAAACCTAAAAATTAACAGACTCTTTTGAGAATGCACAGTCAGGGTGGGTGAGGCAAAAATCATTTGCCATCTGGGTAGAATATGCTGAAAGCAAATGATAACTTTTTATTGTCTCACATTTAGAACAGACATTACTCTAAAGACCCTTTTATTTTGTCTTCTGAGCTACCAGTGTCTTCTCTCACTTAAATATAAAATTTGTTAATAAAAAAAATTCATATACAATCACACTAAAAAATAACAGATTATAACTTAATTTAAAAATGTAAGCTGTAGCTTTTAACTTTTCTAAACACATAAGAATTTTTTTCTATAGTGTCAACTATATTTAAATATAAATGAGAATACATAAATGAAAACTATTGTTTGGTGACCAATTACTTTTGCTGTTTTCATCTTTATTCACTTAGATTTCTTTAACAATTTTCCAGATAACCTAAGATTATTTTTTAATGACACCAATATAATACTTAGAGAAGACTTTAAATTATAATTGCTGGCCGGGTGCAGTGGCTCACGCCTGTAATCCCAGCACTTTGGGAGGCCAAGGCAGGTGGATCACCTGAGGTCAGGAGTTCGAGACCAGCTTGGCCAACATGGTGAAATCCCGTCTCTACTAAAAATATAAAAATCAGCCGGGCGTGGTAACACACACCTGTAGTCCCAGCTACTTGGGAGGCTGAGGCAGGAGAATCACTTGAACTGGGGAGGCAGAGGTTGCAGCGAGCCGAGATCGCGCCATTGCACTCCAGCCTGGGTGACAGAGAGAGAACTCCGTCTCTAAATAAATAAATAAATAAATTATAATTTCAAGATCCTTATTTAGCTGTAAGTTAATTAAATAACAGTGTAGTCACTGTTGATATTAAAAAAACTTCCCAGAAAAGTATAACACCCTGAAATTTCACCTGGTACAAGTTAAGTAATTCTTGGGTTCACATAATTTGAAACTGTGCTTGGAGTTTACAAGAACAACAATAGCAAAAAATCATAAGGATATTAGTTATTGTAAATCAATTTAGTTGAACATCCATGTTTAAATTTACATGTCCTAAAATTTTTGTATCAGTAATGATTATTTATCTGACCCCATAAGACAAGTATAGAAAAGTTCCAGTTAACCAGACACTTTTGTAAGAAAATAAAATCAAGTACTGTATATATAAAGTACTTTATATTATATTCTACACTGTGATAAAGTAAGAAAGAAAACATGTAACTATCTTTTAAAACAAATCTATCAAAACAGTTTAATTTGCCCATGACTTACTATAACTAAAAGTAATAAAAGAACCTTTATAATCCTCTCATATTTATCAGAAAAGATTAAAACTATTTTAATTTTGCTTTAAAGTCATCATTTAGAATAGTTTCTTAAAACTGGCCTTATACCAATGTATCAATGCTCATTTCTTTGTTTCTTATCATAGTAACCTAAAGTTCACCCATATACCTAAAACTTAATTGTTCCCTTTTAGGCACAGTTTTTTTGTTTCTTCCTTTTTGTCTATGCATTCTTGAGACTATTTATTCTAAAATTATATGAACTTAGTTCCTAGACCAGTTACAATATGAGCTCCATTAAATGTGATAAATTTAGCAATATTGTTCATTTCCATCCAGATTCGTCAATTTAGTTCCACAAAAATGTATAACTAAGGAGGGAGATCCCTTTATGCTCTACCTAGATCCTACCTCAGGGAAAGATTTGCCTCAGCTTCTGGGAGAGATGTCAAAGATGTGTCAGCCAAAGGTAGCCACAAATTTCCCCCACTACCCTGATCCAAATGGAGATGGCAATGTCCAGACCTCTCTACCCAAAAAGGAACAACTCTGAAGAGCTATTTTAACTGTAGAGTGCCACCATAGGGTTGCCCCAAATCTTTGTTAGGCTGGCACTGCAGGTTGGCCTTCTCCCTCTGCTCATGCTTATTTAAACCTCTTACCTCCCACAGGTGTTGATCCCTTCATAAATATTATGCATGCTAAGCCCTATCTCAAGGTCTACATCCAGGAGAACCCAACCTGCAACATTAAGTAAGTAAATAGTTTGCCTTTGATAACATTATTTATATCTCCAGAGTTGGTTCTATCTCTGCCTATTCTAGCCAATCCCTCAGTCACTGTGCCCAGCACAGGGAACTGTCTTTCTCTTTAATGTCACAGAAGAAGATAGGATATTTTTGTGATATTAGTTGAACAGATTTTCCATTGCTTCTTCATCTCAAAATGGACCTGTCTGTTTGAACTCATGTTTTCATGGTGCACACAAATGACCAATTCCTGTGATCAATTACCTTTAAGTTTCCAGAGATATTTTAAGCAAACAGGCAGTTGTGTATCTAGAATCTCTCTGACCACAAACACAAAGAATTATAAATGACTGTTTATAGACATAGGCCAACATGTGAAAAATTGCTGGGCAAATTATACAATTTTAGCTAAAAGAAAAATGAAAATAAGACACAAAATCCCTATGGAAGAAACACAAAATAACTTCCTGCAACCAAAAGAAATAATCGATTATTTGCCCACTATATCTTTTCTAGGGGCTTTTGTCATCCCTTAGTAATATAATTGCTGACCAAAAGCCTATGGTACCACACCCGAATCTCCTTTCCTCCAGTCTTATGACATCCTTCAGACATCAAATGACATTTCCAGGCATTCGTGGGAGAAGCAGGGGTGGTGACATTTATTGTAACTGTCCAAAACATGAGAACACCCAGTACTCTAGCTCCAAACTTTCTCTAAAAGTTTTCACCATGAGATTTTGAAAAGCAAAAGCTCTAAAATTGAGTCCAATTTCTATGTCTCATTAAAACAGTCAGTGGCAGTAGCTGCAGAATAGTAAAGCCACGGAGATCTGAAGTTTTCAGTGTCATTCTTGGTTTGGTGTTACTTGACTCAGAGCTGTTCTTACTTCACTCTAGTGAGTACCAAGATAGTGACTTGAGCCATCTTGGTAGTGCCTCCAAATTCTTAAGGAAAATATATATAACAAATTCATTATTTCAAAGTTTTATTTTAAGTTTGATGCAAGAGACTAAGCCTCTAACTCAGACAAGTGAAATATTTCACTCTTAGTGGAGACACAGGAAAAAAGACTGATTGGAAAAAGAAATCATTGTTAGAAAGAGTAAAAAATGAAAAAGAATGTTTGTTTAAAGATATTTAGACTGCTGCTAGATACATAACTGAGTAGGTAGTAAATAATATCACCAATTTTTTAAAATTTGTAGATAGGTTTAGCAGAACAACCCCCAGGCAAATTATCAGGCATAACAATGACTGCTCTGAAGGAGGCTGGTAATTACATCACACTGGGTTTGAGTCATTTTTTTCCCTTACTCATCTGTAATCTAAATTATGTTACCCTTCAAGATCTAGCTCAATACTTCCTTTGGAAATAGAAATGGCATTCCAGGGTGAAGGTGGAGGACAGGAGCAGGGAAGTATGGTTGGGAACATGAATACACAAAAATATAGAAGAAAAAGCAGTATGATAATGCAGAAGTCAGGATGAGATCCACCTAACTCAGGTGGACACTGCTTACTAGAGACACAGGAGGAAAATATTCCAGAGATAAATGAAAAATTATATGGAGTCCTCATATTTTTTCAAGTGGGAGAACTAAGGTTGTTTGCTTTCTCATTCATATTTACCAGGTTACTGACTGTGCAAGAACCCTTTGATCACGTACCTTACAGACCAAGATAAGTGAGGATGCCCATGTATAACCTGCTGTCTTTCTGGTCTCTTATGTTTTTGTACCAGAAAGGGACAACTTTTTGGGTAACCATAGGTCTCTAGTATATCTGTGATTACAATAAAGATTTTTGATATACCAAAACTGATGAACCAAAATTCCACTGAAATAGCGAGTAAATGGAGTTCTTTTATCCTTTGCAGTATACCAGGGTGAACTTTTTACATGATTTCTTGCTCCAAAGGGAGAAGTGTTATGACAAAGTACATTTAAGGACCCTAACTGATCACAGAAAAAATATTAATGGCATTGGGAAAAAAATGCAGACTAATGAATCCACTACTAAATTTTATCTATCTTGTAGCTCTAAAATTGCACTGTTTAGAATACACTATGGTAGCCACTAGACATATGGCTACTTGAACTTGAATTGGTTAAAATCAAAATTAAGAATTTAATTTCTCACTCACATTAGCCACATTTCAAGTGCTCAACAGACACATGTGGCTAGTGTCTACCATATTGGACAGCATAGATTTAAAGCACATTTCCATCATTGCAACACTGCAATATGGAGGATGTATCCTCAATACATTGATATTGCCCCCTCAAAATTCATAACCCCTAGATATCTTATCTCTGTATGTGAGGATAGTGTATTAACTTGCACCTGGACTGAGATAGATAAATGCTTATCTCCAGAGATGTCTGAAAGTCTGGTACTGACCCTTGTCTAAGATAAGGATGGAATGTGCTGGTTAATGATTTATACTGTGCTATACAAAGTCCAAAATTCCTTTGGAGGTATCCTCTGCTGGCTTGTCTACATTGTTTAAGGATGGATAGGTTGATGGTTTGCACCTGCTTTAATCATTTACACATTCTGATTTTATTTGTGATCAGTGGAGGATAAAACCTTCAATAAACTTGTGTCTTAGCTTCCTTGATATTAAGATATCTTGCACATATCTTAGATTTTTATAATCTGAATGCAAAGCACATCCTTTGCAATTGAGAAAGGACTCTGTGAGCTGCTCCTGGATATGTGAAACCCCTCAGTGACTGACCGTATTTTCTTTCTTCTGCTGTACTTGCCCTTATTAAAGCCTTACATGTGAAGTAAGTCCTTTCAATTGTCTGACTCCGGGTGATTGTTATACCCTTTGATATAGTTTGGATATTTGTGCCTTCCAAATCTCATGTTGAAATGCGATCCCCTATGTTGGAGGTGGAGCCTAGTAGGAGGTGTTAGGGTCACGGGAATGGATCCCTGATGAATGGCTTGGTACACAGTAATGAGTGAGTTTGTGCTTTATTAGTTACTGTGAGATTTACTTGGTAAAAAGAGCCTGGCAACTCCTCCCTCTCCCTTGCTCCCTCTCTTGCCATGTGACATGCTTGCTCCAGCTGCACCTTTTGCCACAATTGTAAGCTTTGTGAGTCCCTCAACAGAAGCTGAGCAAATGCTGGCACCATGCTTCTTGTACAGCCTACAGAACTGTGAACCAAATAAAACTTTTATTTTTATAAATTATCTAGCCTCAGGTATTCCTTTATAGCAATGCAAAACAAACTAACACACCCTTAAACCCTATATTTAAGGCTGAGATCTTGGACCCTCCTCCTAAAATTTACCTTAAAAGGTGAAGCAAGCACTAGTCTTGGAGACTATAAATTGGAAAAAATGGCAAAGCAGTAGGTGTTCCAATCTTTGCTTTAGGCCTGAGTAAGAGGCCATAAAGATGCCTGTGGAATCCTAGATCTTAGTTCTGGGTGTAAGTAGAGGGAAATTGGGGAATAACATAGGCACAGCATAGACAAAATTTGGCCAACAGATCCTAGTCTCCCCACTTCTGTCAGGAATATAACTCAAAGGTGGAAGGAGGACTGAGCTTACAGATGAAATTCAAATAGGGACTGACAGTTATTTCTGTTGGTTCATATGACTTCTATTCTAGAAACTGTCTCTGAGGCTGAAAGCATTGTAGGATATAAGGGAATGAAAGCTGCAGTATAATGAAAATTGCACAATTAAATCAAGATCATCCACCAAAGGCGCACAGTCTAAATAACTACAAAATCCACTGTCTTCCATAAACTATTTGTTTTGAGTGTTCTTGGATTAACTTAGAGACAGCTTTCTGTTCTGGGTACTATAAAGGCTCTAAATGGGATATTCATTGTAAAGCACGTGTGAATAAAGGAAATAATTATGAAATATAAGAGAACAGCAGAAACATTTACACACAGAAAATGCCTTGTAACCTTAATCAGGATAAAGAAAGAAAGAAACACTAAGAAAAAGTCTAATATTAGAGAACTGGTTGAATGAATTATGGTATAGTAAAGTGATGGAATATTATGCAGGCATTAAAATGATAGGTTTATGTAGAAACATAAACAAAATGTTTCATATAATGTTAAGTAAAATCAGCAGAACACAAAGTGGCATATCATATATGAGAGCATAAAATATATGCAAGTTGAAGGAAATATATTAAAATAAGGTATTATGATTGGGAGTGGACTATTTTTTATATTAAAATGTACTGTTATATAGACTGCCTAAGGGTATACATTAATATATACACCTTCTGTATGTGTACATGTATATGTAAACATAAGACATAAAGTGGTAGACACATTAGTCTGGATATTGTTTAGACATTGTCTTTTTTGTAGACATTGTCTAGCAACACTTACCAGTAGAACATGTTGCAATGATGGAAATGTTCTTTAAGTCTATGCTGTCCAATATGGTAGACACTAGCCACATGTGTCTGTTGAGCACTTGAAATGTGGCTAATGTGAGTGAGAAATTAAATTCTTAATTTTGATTTTAACCAATTCAAGTTCAAGTAGCCATATGTCTAGTGGCTACCATAGTGTATTCTAAACAGTGCGATTTTAGAGCTACAAGATAGAAAAAGTTTAGTAGTGGATTCATTAGTCTTCAATACATTGGTTTTCTCCATCTGTCCCCATTGCTTAAGGTGAAAAGTACTCTTGTTTAACATTAAGTTTGCTGAAGGACACATGAGAAGTCTCACAAAAGTTGCTTGGGTTTATTTCTTTTCTTCAGGTTGAGGATTTTCAATTTAATAAATCCTTTGAACTTTAACTGATTAATTTATTGAGTAGCTAGAAGAAGTTAGGATAAGAAAAAAGATCTGGGAGCTACAATCAAAGAGACTCTCAGTTGCCATTGGAAAAGTGCTACAGGGCATCTTAGAGCAGATGAGTAAATAGCTATGCAATTCACAGTCTTATCCAACTCCGAAAGAGAAAACTATAGGGAAATCTTTCCAGCAGCTTCTCCATGTACTTTTCTCAAGAGACCAGAGTTATCCACAGGAAAATGAAATGTGCTGAACTATACCTGGGGGCTATGACGTTTGAGGGGACACAATTCACCCCATAACAGGCACATATTGAAAACCAGGCTGCTTATCAAAACATCTAAAGCATTCTTTTCTTTGCACTCCTCTTCCTCCACTTGACATGAGCTGTCATCAGGATAGGCTGTGGTTGACACTGCTTTCTGTCATGGAGGAATAATTTCCTCATGGCCAAAGTAACAAGACGTGTATATAAGGAGGTAGACATAACATAGTCTTCTGGCCAGGAATCAACTGTGACATAACTAGATGGATTATGTTAAACATGTGAGTTTTCAAAACATAACAACCAAGGCAACTTTGTTGCGATGAGTGACCATTCAATGCTAAATGGCACATGAAGCCTTTTAGCTCTTAAAATGAACAGGGAGGATGCTTATCTGTGCTTTGAGGAGAGAAGTTAAACAATAAAACACAGAGCTGGTTCTTTGAAAAGATCCATAAAATTGACAAACTTCTAGCAAGACTGACAACAGAAAAAAGAGAAGACACAAATAACTAATGTCAGGAATGAAAGAGTGTATTATTACAGACCCTGCAGACACCAAAATGATAATAAGGAAATACTTCAAACAATTCCATACTCATACATTTGACAACTTAGATGAAATAGATCAACTTTTAGAAAAACATAAAGTACCTCAGCTCACCCAATATTAAATAGTTGATTTGAATTGCCTTATGACTATTAAATAAATTGAATTCATAATTTTTAAAACTCCCCAAATAGAAACTCTAGGCCTAGACGGTTTCACTGGAAAATTCTACCAAATGTTCAAAAAGAATTAAAGCAATTATATACAATCCCTTGCAGAATATAGAAGAGGTAACACTTCTCAATTAATTTTATGAAGCTATTATTACTGTGACACCAAAAGCAGACAAAGATAGTGTCCAAAACTAAAAGTACAGATCGATATCTCTCATAATCTTTGATATAAAATTCCTTAACAAAATATTAGCAAACTGAATTCTATGATGTAAAGAATTATACACCATAACCACTGGGGTTAATTCCAAGGATCGAAGCTTGGTTAAATATTTAAAAACAAATAATTTCATTCCACCATAATAACAAGGTAAAGAAGAAACATTAATGATTTTGTCAATGGATACATAAAAAGCATTTAATACATTTTAACACTCATTTATTATAAAGTCTCAGGAAAATAGAAACAGGACAACTTCCTTAACTTGGTAAAGAACAGCTACAAAAACCCTACACCTAACATTATACTTAATGGTGAAAGAATGAACGTTTCCCAGCTATGCTCAGAAACAAAGTAAGGATGTCTACTGTCACTGCTATTATTCCGCATAGTGATGGAAGTTTTAGGCAATGCAATAAAGAAAAGTAAAGAAATAAAAAGGTATACAGGTCAGAAAAGAAGAAAGAAAGAAAATCTATTAATAAAAACTCCTAGGTCTAAGTGAGTTCTTCAAAGTCACAGGATATTATGATATTAGAACAATACATCAAACAACAAAAATCAATTGCATATCCATATATTGATAAAAAACATGCAGAAACCAAAATTTAAGACACCATGCTACTAAAATTGCCAAATAAAATAAAAGAGTTAAGTATATAGTTAACAAAACACATATAGGGTCTGTTTGCAAAATTACAAAATGATGAATGTAATCAGAGAAAACCTAAATACATGAAGAGACTTGCCATGTTCATGAATTGGGAGACTCAACACAGTATAGTTGTCAATCCTCTCCTAATTTATATAGAGAGTTAACAAATTTCCCATCAAAATTTAAGCAAGGTGTTTTATAGTCATATAGAAGCTTATTCTAAAACTCATAGGGAAAAGCACAGGCCCTGGAATAACTAAGATAACGTTGATAAAGAATAATAAAGTGGGAGGATTTACTCTACCCAATATTAAGACTTACTATATAGTCCAATAATCAAGACAATATGATATGGTGAAGGCACAGATGCATAGATCAATGGAATAGAATAGAGAACACAGAAATTGCTTCCACACAAGTACAACCACTTGATTTTTGACAAAGGTGCAAATACAATTCAATAGAGGAAGGATAGCCTTTTCAAGAAATCGTGTGGGAGCAATTGGCCCTCCATAAGCAAAAAATGAACCTTGCCCTAAACCTCACACCTTATACAACTATTAACCTAAAATGGATAATGGACTTAAGTGTAAAATATACAGAAAAAAAAAACAAGAGAAAAAATCTTTGGGGTCTAATACTAGACAAAGTTTTATTAGCCTTGACACCAAAAGCATGATTCATAGAAGGAAAAATTGATAAATTGTACCTCATTAAAACTAGAAACTTTTACTCTGTGAAATCCCGTATGAGGAGGATTAAAGACAGTCTACAGACTGGCAGAAATTATTTGCTAACCACATATTTGACAAAGGGCGATTATGTAGGATATAAAGAAGTCCCAAAACCCAACGGCAAAACCACAAACAATCCAATTAGAAAATGGGCAAAAGTCTTGAAAAAACATTTCACCTAAAGGGATACACAGATGGAAAATAAGCACATGAAAAGATGTTCAACACTATTAGCTAAGGAAATGCAAATTAATACTAAAATGAGATATCACTACACATCTATCAGAATGACTAAAATAAACAAAAAAATAGATATAGCACCAAATGCTTGAGATGATGTAAACACTGAATCGCCTGCGTTGCTGATGGGAATGTAAAATGGTATAGGCACTGTGGAAAACAGTTTGGCAGTTTCTTATACAGCTAAACATGCAACTACCATACGACCCAGCAATTGTACTATTGGATATTTATTCCAAAGTTATGAAAACATGATCATACAAAAACCTGAACATAAATGTCGTAACAGTTTAATCTGTAATAGTCAGAAATTGGAATCGACCTAGATGCCCTTCAAGGAATGAATAGTTACACAAACTGTGATATATACACACTCAGCAATGAAAAAGAACAAACTATTGATACTTGCAACAATTTGAGGAATCTATGAGAAATCATGCTGAGTGTAAAAAGCCAGTCTCAGAAGGTTACATTGTGCACTATACTATGCTATAAAATTTTATTTTTAATAACAATTGTATATGTTTATAAGGTATCAATGTCAATATCTTGGTTGTGATACTATACTATACTTTTGCAAATTGTTATCATTGTTAGAAACTGGGTAAAGCATACAAAGACTCTCTCCATATTGTTTTTTACAACTGCATGTGAATTTACAATTATATCACAATAAAAATTTCAAAAACATTTTGCAAAGCACTGAAACATACACTTCACCAAAGAAAATACAGAGACGGCAAATAAGTATGTGAGAAAACATTTAACATCTTTAGTTATTAGAGAAATGCAAAGAAGAAGGAGGAGATACCACTACACATATATTACAACAGCTAAAAAATACTGACAATATCAACTGTTTGCAAAATTGTGACACATCTGGAACCTTCACCTGGGAATGCAAAATGGTGTAGCCACTCTGTGAAATCATTTGGCAGTTTTCTTATAAAGTTAAACCTACATTTACCATACTATCCAACAATCTTATTCCTTGGTATTTACTCCAAAGAAATACAAACTTATGTTCATACAAAAACCAGCAAATTAATATATATCACAGCTCTATTATAATTGTCCCAAACTGGAAGCAACCCATATACCTTTTTTAAAGTGTGAGTAGACAAACAAACTGTGATATACCCATGCAATGGAATAATACTCATCAATGAAAAGGGATAAATTATTGATACATGGAACAACATCAATGAATCTCAAAGACATTATGCTAAGTGAATGAAGCAATTTTGTAAAAGTTACATAGTATGTGATTCTGTTTATAACATGTTCTGGGGAGACAAAACAAATCAGTGGTTGCCAAAAGTTGAGAGGGGGGAAGAGGGTGTGATTATAAAGGAAGAGCATGAAGTCATTTTCGAGGGCTGATAAAACTGCTATGTATCCTGATTGTGGTGGTATTAATAGATACATTAACCTATACATGTGTTGAAACTCATAGAAATGCATGCCAAAAAGTCAGGAGGGAGTAGAAAAGATTCATATGAAACCTTTGATAACCTATAGCCCATCCTAGCAATTTGTACTCAATTCTTTCAATGTCTCTGAGTAGTGACTCAGGGACTTGAAGACTCAGTAACTAGTTATCTACATATTTTGTCTTGAACTGAAGCGTCTATTGTGCCTGCCCATGTCATTAGAGAACAGGAAAATTGGAGATGCCATTAGAGAACAGGGAAATTGCAGTTGCCTTTTCAAAATTCTGGTTCCTTTCTTCACACATGACATAGAGACAAAATTACATGATAACTTTTTTTTATGTAGTGCAAGCTTCATTTTTCATGAATTTATCTTCTCATCTAAAAATTGTATATTTCCATTGAATGCTTCTTAGTTTCCCTCTTATATAAGCAGTTTGCCTTATTTAAATGGAATTTTATGCCCCTCGAATGTCACAGAATCTTTGTAATTAGAAAACCTTTCCTATTAGAAAAATTGTATTGTTACAAATAGTGACTTAAAGTCATATTTTTAGGTAGCCAAAATAAGTCTTAAAATACCTTGTTTTCCTAGAGTTTTAATGCATAAATATGGTGAGAAGTTTTTGGCTACAATTTAGACTAATTTCATTAGAACAGCAGTGTGGTTATTCATTTCCTAATTTGAAACCATTTTCTTGGTATAGGTAGTTTCATGTTAACCATTTTGAAACAAATTTGCACAGCGTGAATAGTCAAGTGTTTAGAAATATCAACAAAAGCATACAAATTTGTTGAAAATAACATCAGAATTACGGTATTCTCTTTCCCTCTGTCTTCCACCCATTTTAACCTTGAAATGGGAGTATCATTGAAATAGTTTGCCCCCTCATAGTTGTGAAGCCCTGTTCTGTGTGTACCTGCCACCCATGGGACCCTAAGGAACACTTTATTCAGCCAAGGAAATAGAGGGGTCACTGCCATCCTCAGTTAAAAGTGCTATTTTACCTCTTCACATCACTGCCGAGTGTCATCGTTGCTTTCAAAACCCCATGTACTCAATAAAGCTTTCATGAATTAATTGCCTGAGTAAAAAAGTTTTCCCATTACCATGTCCAAACATAAAACATATGTCGGCTTTCCACTCACTAATTTCTATATAAATTCAGTAATTCCTTACTTCCACATAATGCAAACACCTGAACGTTATGCTTATTCATTCAGATAAATGTTTATTATTCAATTATCTATGTATCATAAACGTATTCAGTCTACCATAGTGGTGCATTGAAATAAATTAACCATATTCCAAAGGAAGTTATGATCTGCCTTTCTCTGCCAAGCGTGGCTCCATTTATAAATTGATACTTAACAAATACTTTCAATAGCTGATAAGGATGACTTTATATAACTGAAGAGGCAAATAGATTTTATGGCTGTGACAAGAGATACAGAGAAATTAAGAAATTATATTTCCAATTATGCCATGAGCCATTATCAGATCTGAATATAACACTATCAAAATTTACAGTCTTTAAGATATTTAAGATTCTGATAGAATAAAGCCTTTAGTATTGCTTTGATTATCCCAATACAGTTTCAGGACAGTAGTTGATTTTAGGAAGGGCTGGCATCAAGAAATGATAAGGATCTTTGAAATAAGGTTTGCTTGGTTTCTGAATGCAATTTTACCTTTCCAGAAAGAAAAATAAACAGCTATGAGAAAGCAAGTGCAATAGATCCTGATCAAACTTGGCATTTACTTCAAAACAGATATCTGTCCACAAACATCAACACCTAACTTGTGTGTTGAATGGAGCATATTGGAAAGCTTTCTATGTGAAAGATATTTTTGAAATTAAAAGCAAGTGAGGGGATAAAAACAAATGAGTCATCATTTAAAACCTTGTGGCCATATGTGAACTGAAGTATTTCTGACCCTTAGAGATAAATTTTTCATTTAGAATCAAGTGTCAGGCTCTGCATATTTGAGATTTGCAGGACAGGGGGAAAACAGATTTCATAATTTTATCACATTTACTACAAAACATTTCCAAATGTTGGCCATTATCTTTTCCTTTGATTTTCTTCTCTGAACCTCTCTTACCTCAGCAAACACAGGTTTTATAATAAAAGAATATGATTTTCTCAGCTGTCTCTCAAGCTTAGGAGAGTGGCCATGCACCCACATATTACTCACTGTCTTTCAAGATCTCATAACTTGGGACAGCAAATTTCTCTTTATTCTCCAGAACTAATTTCAGGCTTAGAGCATGGGAAACCCTCTGGGCTGCTACCATTTCTGAAAAGACAACTAAGGCAGTGATCACCTGGTAGACAAGTTTAAATAAATCACTTGACTTTGCTTTTTGCTTTTGCAAGATTATCACATCTTCAAGAAGATTGATTGAAGGAACTGACAAAGACAAGCTCTTTATTCATTTGGTACAAGGGTCTCCAAAGGGTTCAATCTTTAATTTGGTTTTGTGGAATGTTAACAGGGAAAACAGATCTTTCACGGTCAGGCTATAACACTGGCTACTAGAAATATGATTTTTGTGTTTTATCTACAATGTCAGATACTGATTCCTAAGCTTTTAAATAAATCTTTTAAAAAATTTTCTGTCTTAAGAGGGCTCATAGTTGCTTCCTAAGTAGTACTTTACCTTATTCTAATTTATTTCAAATGAGATTGCAAAAATAAACACATGTTCTTTGTCTTACTTTGGACCCTCTCGAAAGCAGACTCTGAGGTGAGGACACAGGTGCAAATTTTTTATTTGGGAGGTGAGCATAGGAAGCAGAATGGAGAAGTGAGTGAGAAAATACAAAAGGAAAGCTAATGAAGTGGGTATTCATTAGCAGGTTATCGCTGTGGGCAACTGGAGCTTAATTTTGCTAGGGCACCTCTGAAATATCACATGGAAGAGGTTTCCCAAGGACTGTGGTGGAGGTGGGTGGGGTTGAGAGGGACGCTGGAGCACTTATTCACAGATCCCATACTTCATTGGCTGAATTTGTCTCAAATAGCATGAACTCCCCATACTTCCATGTTGTGCCTGTATATAGTAGCCTAAGTTTCCATGCTGGATAAAATCCTCAGCCCGAGAAGACAGACTGGTGATTGGGCTGGGAAGCTAACAGGTTCTGGTAATTGTCTTTATTTGCATCTGCAGGTGAATTTATGTAGGCCAAAGAAATATGAAACAGAGCATCAACAGCGTCTACTCTGTGCTTTGTTCTGTATCTAAAAGGGGCTTAGTAGAAGTTATTGACAATGAGAGGGAGTAATGTAAATATGCCTTTCAAATCATTAAACCTGACCTATAAAGAAGCTGACTTTGCCGGGCGTGGTGGCTCACAACTGTAACCCCAGCACTTTGGGAGGCTGAGGTGGGCAGATCACCTGAGGTCAGGAGTTCAAGACCAGCCTGGTCAGCATGGTGAAACCCCGTCTCTACTAAAAATACAAAAAAGTAGCCAGGCATAGTGGTGGGTGCCTGTAATCCCAGCTACTCAGGAGGCTGAGATAGGACAATCGCTTGAACCTGGGAGGCAGAGGTTGCAGTGAGCCGAGATCGCATCATTGCACTCCAGCCTGGGCAACAAGAGCGAAAATCCATCTCAAAAAAAGAAGAAGCTGGCTTTTGAAAAATGAGCCCTGGTCTTACTACAAAGCATTAATGTTTACAAAAGTTCCCATTTGACTAGTGTTTTATCCTTACTGATGGAGTTCCACTTGGGTCAAGATTCATAGTTAGCATTATATATGAGTTGATGGTACAGTTGTAACTCTCCTTCCTCCAACTGCCTCTTTCACTGATGGCCAATGATATTATTTAGCAAGAAGTACCAACTGGAGGAACTAACCGAAGGTACTAACTGGAGGAACTTTGATCCTTGCATGATTGATTCTTTAGGTTGGAACTTTTGCATTATGGCTTAGTTGTATTAAGTGACACCCCCAAGAAACAGCTCTAATGAATTCACTATTTCATTTAATGTAGATGTGTTCTGAAGAAAATTGTCAGGTACATTGCTCAATATGCCTACTTAGAGACTCATATGAAAAAGTTATTCATATTTGAAAAGTGTTTTTCCCCTGACACTAAATATGTGGTAACTTTACCAACACAAATTCACTGATTCTTGACATAAACTGAGTGTCTGACACTTCAATCCAATTCAGACCCTACCTATCTAAAGTTAGCATAGACCCCACAAGTTAAGGGCTCATTTCACAAGTCTGCCTTCACTTCAGATGTCAGTCACAAGTTCAATGTTTCCACCCATATTTATTGACAAGCCATAAATTTGGGGGTTCACACAATCCCCTTTTTAGATTCAATAATTCATTAGAATAACTCACAGAACTCGGGAAAGTGCTTTGCTAGTAACAGTTTATTATAAAGGATACAACTCAGGAACAGCCAAATGGAAGGTATGCATAGGGCAAAGTATGGGGTCAGTGGGCACAGAGCTCGCATACCTTCTCTGAGCACACCACCTTCCCAGCATACTCACTAACCCAGAAGCTCTCTGACTGTCATTCAGAAATTTTTATAAAGGTTTCATTATGTAGTCATGATTGATTAAATCATTGGCCATTGGTTTTTGAACTCAATCTCCTGTCCCTCTCCCTTCCCCAAACATGGTAGGGGAATGTGGTGAGGGGGCTGAAAATTCCAACCCTCTAATTGTGCCCCCATCCTAAAGCTATTTAGGGGCCCTTAGCCACCAATCATCTCATTAGCATACAAAAACACCCATCACTCAGGAAATTCCAAGGGTTTCAGGGGCTCTGTGCCAAGAACCAAGGACAATGACCAAATACTTATTTTTCATTATACTACAATACAATAATACCAGGTAAAATGTTTATGCCCCAGGTAATTGGAATCTCCCCCTTCCCATGGACAAAGCAAACTGAAATGGAGGATATTACCATTTTTGGTCATTAAGGACTTCAGAACCAAATTTGTAGATCACATGGGCTACTTATTTATATTCTAAAGCCTCATCTTCTCCATAAATTTAATAGCTAAACACAAATATAGTCTTATGATAATAGATTTATACAGTGAGAGTTGTAGAGAATTAAATGTGAATGTTCCATTTACTGTGCCCCAACACTCAATATAGTCTTACCTAACTAAAAGTAAGCAAATGTATCATATGGATATATATTTTTTAGTCCTTTTCTATGTATAAATAGAGAATAATATGTATATACTTACATATATGTTTATGAATATGAATAGAATCATGCTATTAACTTTCAAACACATATGTGCATATAGGTATATATATATTTCTGTCTTGAATTTGTTTACATAAAGACATGTTAGATACTATTCCTTGCTAACACATACAGAACTTTCTCAATCTTTTTATTATTACATAGTATGCCAAAGTAAATACTTTTCGTTATTTAATTAACCATTTCTCTAATGATGGGTATTTAGGTTGTCCTTAAGTATTTACTAATACAAATGATTTTATAGTTATGCATGAGGCAGGCATGAAGTTGAACATTTGAAGTTGATATTTGACCTGTTTTCCAGAACTTTTTGAGCATCTTTGAAATGTCTAGAGAATTAGAGTCTCATCTCCATAATTTAGAATTCAGGCAACTCACCTCCACAGGTTCCTTTCAGCTAGGGCACAATCATGTGACTTAGATATACCCCTGCTTAAGTTTGATTGGTGAAGAGCAGCTTCCCTACTTAATCCACTTTCCTGGAGAGGATTATAATGATAGTGGCAAAAGACAGCCAAATGCCTAGGCAGATAGGAGCAAGTCCCTGGTGAAACCTCACCTTCAAGCCAAAAACAGCCTGAAGGCTGAAAGACTAGACTGCTGGTCCCAGATATCAATAGCAGAGTCCTCTGGATGTCAAGGGAGATAGTAGCAGGCAAGTTGAGTTCCTGGTATAGAAGTGAGTTTGGGGCTAACAGCAGCAGCTACTTCAGTCATTTCTAGTAGATAGCAGCTGTTCAATCTGCAGCATCTAGGATTTGGTAGCAGCAGGGGAAACAGCTGTGTTTTTCTCCATTATCGAATTCTGTAGGTTGCTTTCTGGCATTGACCATGGAAACTTAGCCTAAGACACTCTCAATAATTCTATGAGCTATCCAGTACCCTTTTTAAAAAACTCTCTTTTTGCCTAATCAGCCAGTCAGCTTCTGCTATATGCAGCTAAGAATCTGGAAGGATACAGAAATTGGAACCAGAAGTTGATGCAGGCAACAGAACCCCTGGGAAATGGGGAAGTTTTGTGATTGGTTATCTGGCATGGCAGCCATGGAAACATGCTGCTCAGCTCTCTTTCAAGAGAACCTGCTCCATGAGCAGTGAACATAGTGACTGACAGCTTCCAGCTGCTGTTCCTCCTAGCCAATGCCTGAGCATGGCAGAGGTACTAGGGCTAGCTCACTCCTGCCTCAAACTGGGATTCCTCTAAGGAGCAACTTTGGTTTGGGGAGTTCCTTTCAGCCAAGTGGAAACTTTCTCAGAACTGCCCTATGGTCTGAGGCTCTTCTTACCCAATTCTTCCTTCTTTCTCTTTTGCCACACTTGCATCACAGACTGAAGCCTCTCACCTCCTAAAATGCTTCCTCTGCTTTACCCTTCATAGGCATTTCCCCCTATAAATCTCTCACCCCTGATCCCATCTTGGCATCTGCTTCTCAAAAGACCTAACTAAACTAACTGACAGTGGTCAGGAAAAATTCATAAAAATGGGATATGGCCACTGGCTCACTAAGTACCTGTCTGAAAAGCAGGACACCATACTGAGTGCCTCTGTAAGAGCATGAATAGTCCCAGATACAATGTGTCAACCCAACTGTTGGCGATTTCACCTGTAGTGATCTGGGAAAATTTCACAGTGGAGGGGAATGCCCTTGCTGGTTTGGTGATTCAGGCACTTGAAAGAGACAGGTAAAACAATACCTGTAAGGACAGGAGAGTTGGCTTGATAGGATTAAGTTCGATTGACATCCTGCAGAGAGATAATGGAAGTCTGCAGGCTGTTAACAAACAGTTAAAGACTAACTATGAGAGCCGGAGTGCCTCTGTAGTTGCTTGAAATAAACCTTACCTCCTGCAGCGGAAGCGCAGACATAGGTGTTAACAGGAGTGGACACAAGATCTGATTGAGCTGCAGAATTCCAGAGGCATTTAAATGCTGAGCCAAGGCAGGCCTGTTATATGAAGTTCTAGCCCCTGATAGGGACAATCTGGGCCCCTGAAACATGAAATGGAAGCATCAGGATGCTTGCATTTGAGGATTATAGCTCTTCAGACCTCCCTGAACCCTTAGAGCTTCTAGAGATAACCATTTCTTTTTTTTTTTTTTTTTTTTTTGAGATGGAGTCTCGCTGTGTCGCCCAGGCTGGAGTGCAGTGGTGGGATCTCGGCTCACTGCAAGCTCTGCCTCCCGAGTTCACGCCATTCTCCTGCCTCAGCTGGGACTACAAGTGCCTGCCACCATGCCCAGCTAATTTTTTGTATTTTTAGTAGAGATGGGTTTCACCGTGTTAGCCAGGATGGTCTTGATCTCCTGACCTCGTGATCTGGCTGCCTCGGCCTCCCAAAGTGCTGGGATTATGGGCGTGAGCCACCGCACCTGGCCAAGATAACCATTTCTTCTTAAGACTAGCATTTCCCCCACATGGGAAAATGCTGCAGGCTTTTGCCCTGTAAGACAATAGGTGGCACACATCAGGAGCTGCCCCACCTCCTCTCCTGGCTGTTAGGCCTATTACTAAGGTTAAATCTCAGTATAACCTGTATGGAAAAATGCTAGGTCTGATAAGGGAATAAAGAGATTATACACAGTAGGAGCATCAAGAATTACCCAGCATGCACTAGCAGGAGCCAGAGAGTATCTATAGAATAGGATTTTAAGGCGTTTGAAAGAAACTGGAATATATGACTAGGTAAGCAAAAATTAACTCACTTGGGAACACTTTTTCAGGACATGAAATTTAATGACCTGGCAGAGACCCTAAGGGATGGGGCAAATGTACGACAAGTTAGCTTTTAGAAGCCTGGAAGAAGAGATAGTCAACAAGGATCAAGTGAAAACTGCCCTGGCAGACAGTAGAGAAGGGAATGAAGAGACTGAGGGAAGTGAGCACGCTGGAATTAATATGTTACATGAGACCAGAAGATTCATCATAGGCTTATGGTTCATTAGAGGACCCAAAGGGCACCCTCTTCCACCCAGGCCATCAGGAATGTGCTGGTGAGATGGGAACCAGCATCACTGACTTCAATGGTAGTTATCCTCTCCAAGTCGGGGCAGACAGTAGGCAAGGCAGTGACAGAGGTGGGCTCACTGATAATTATGGGAATTATGGTGCCTTGAAGTAATAGAGCATATATATGAATAGAAGAGGGCATAAGTGTAAAGATTTTTGTATCACACCTTAAGGGTCACCAGGAAGCATTTACCACAGAAGTGTGGCTGAAAAATCAAACAGACAAAATGTCTTGGCCAGTTGATGTTAAGCATCCTTCATCAATGGCTATGATGATTCAACAAAAAGGCTCTTCCTGCCTATTCCTGTTTCTGCCCCCATTATCCTTCACAGGAATCCCCCACATCCCATTTCTGACCAAATCTATTGTACATCTAATTCTATCTGCTTGTTGGGACACCTGGTTAGTATTGAAAGATTGGACTTAGTAGTTCATAGTACATAGCAAGCAACAACTTAAATTATCACCTATGATCACTAAAAATAAAGTACCTAGTGAAGGCACAGCTTTGAGGGATATAGTAACTACTTCCAAAAAAATGTGAATAAAGCCAATGAGGAATTCAAGGATTGTAGGAGTGATCTTAAAGTTCTAAATTCTTGGTTTAATGCAAAAACTTAAAATGATAGAATTATTATGACCATGTTAAAGAATCTCTTGTTTGTAGCTGTAGAGAGGAAGTGGCTGAAAACTATAGTCAAAGTTTGGACACATATATTGGGAAATTAATATCATTTAACTCATCACTTCATCAGGTCTCATATATATAAAATAATGATTAGCAAAAAGTGGAATGCCACGATAGGAACACTGTCATATGAGAGGATTCAGAGTACTGAATCTAGCATAGTGCTTCTCCCATATTGTCTTTTGACTTTGCTCATGGTGTATTTTTCCCATGTGAAAAAAGTTTTCAAAGAATGTTTATGAGTTCAAATTTATCAGTCTTTTTAATGGCTGCCTTTGAATTGCGAGTCATAGAACTTCATATACGGGTTATAAAGTAATTCACTCAAGTTTTCTTCTAGTGTGATTTAATTTATTTACTTTTACACTTAAATATCTAATCCATTTGGAATTCATTTTAGTGTATGGTATAAAGTATGAACCCAGTTTTATTTTTTTTCAAATGACTATCCATTTATCTCAACCCAATCTAAGTCCCTCTTCTCCCTAGTGATGCAAGATGCCACCTTTATCATATCCTAAATTGCCATATGTTCTTGGGTATATTTCTGGACTGCTCTGTTCTATTCTTCTGTTCTGCCTGCCTTTTCATGTGCCAGCACTAACAGTTTTAATTATAGAAGAGTTATAATATGTTTTAATAACTGGTAGGATTCGTTCAGCTCTTTGCTCTTCTTTTCCAGGGCTTCCCGAGATTTTGCATGCTATTTTTCCAAACAAATGTTAAGAATCAATTTATCTAGCTCTTTTAAAAAGTAAATATTTTATTTTTATGCACACACACACATACACACACACATAAACAAACATGGAGAAGATTTTATTTCTTTATGATATTGAATCATGCTATCCAAGAAAAAAGGCTTTCTTTGCATTTGTGTGTCTAACTTGCATCTCTTAGTAGTTGTATTAATATTTTCTCATACAGGTTTTATAATTTTTAATTGTGTACTTATAAATATTTTATCATTTTGTTGTTATTGCAAATTGGGTTATCTCTTTCATTGCATCATTTCACTAGTTGCTTTTATATATGAAGGATATTGATTTTTATTTATTAATTTCATATCCTACTAAATTATCAACTTGTTTTACTATTTGTGTTAGTTTTGTTGTTGTCCTCATGGGTTTTCCAGGTAAACTATCTATCATATCATCTACAGATAGTGATAGTGTTCTTTTTTTGATTCAATTTTATACCTCTAGTTTTTCTCTTTTCTGATTTCATTTCTAATAATTACAATAGAATGTAAAATAGCAGAGGAGATAGTAGGCATTAAGGTTTCATTTCTGACCTTTGAGAGAATACCTAATATTTCCTCATTATATAATTTGCTTGCTTGAGAGACACACACACACATACACACACACACACACATATATTTAAGGCTAAAATACTAAGCAATAAAAACAAAAAATGCATATGGATGAATTTGAATCTATAAGATGAACAGCATCATAATTTAAAAGGAAGCAGACTGAAGGAATTAATATAGATAAAAGGGTATACGATTGAGGTAGAAAACAGAAAAAAATTAGAAATAATAAATAAACCAAAATTCTGGTCCTGCAAAATTCAATAAAATAGACAAACCACTAACTAACCTAGCTAAGAAAAAAAGTGGGAAATCTCAAATATAGAAAATAAAAATTGACAAGGAGGAAATAAAAATGAGATGGAGAAAAATTTTTGACCATGAGACTGCTTTTCAACATTTTATGCATAGAAACTTGAAAACCTAGATGAAATAGCTTATATATTCTAGGAAAATACAATCTACCCAAATTAACTTTATTACAAATAGAACATTTAAACAGAGAAATTTCTTGGTTTAGTAGAGAGTAGATGAATAAGCTTCACAAAGTAGATTGTTGATGTTTTGATGGTGATGCAAGTTTGTTTTTATCCCTCAAAGATCTGCTGCTCTGGTAGCACCAATAAGTATATACCATCTTTTTTTTTTTTTTGAGACAGAGTCTCACTCTGTCACCAGGCTGGAGTGCAATGGCGCGATCTCTGCTCACTGCAACCTCTGCCTCCCGGGTTCAAGCGATTCTCCTGCCTCAGCCTCCCGAGTAGTTGGGACTACAGGCATGCGCCACCATGCCCAGCTAATTTTTGTATTTTTAGTAGAGACGGGTTTCACTATGTTGGCCAGGATGGTCTCAATCTCTTTACCTCGTGATCCACCCACCTCGGCCTCCCAAAGTGCTGGGATTACAGGCATGAGCCACCACGCCCGGCCACATATACCATCTTGAATCCTGTTCTCAACTTCTTAGAAAGGAAAAGATTGGAAGGTTTCCCCCCCTTGTGGTTTCCATATCCTTTTTAATATTTCCCACGATTTCTCCCCCTTCCAATCACTCATGCCACCACCAACACATCTATCCAACCCATCCTAGTATCGGCTACCACCTTTTCTGTCACTTATCTATTAATTTGACAAATATTTACTGAGGTTCTGAGATGTATGATGAGACTGGGTGTAGGAAGACACAAAAGACATGGTACTCATTTCAAGTCGTGTTCCCCCCCAAAAAGCTCTGGCATGGAGATTAGCATGTAGAAATTGTACTAGGGAGTAATCTTGAGATGAGTGTCTGTGAAAGAAGAGAACAAAGCAGGATTGGGCAGAGGGTAATGTTAGGCTGTGACATAGTAACAAGAAAGACCTCAGCCAAATTGATGCTGAGCTCTGAGGCTGTAATTGTCATATAAAATTGTCTCCAGTATAGAGTTGTCCCCAGTTGAAGTGATGAGGCTGGACTCTTATATTCCCAAATCAACCAGTCATTGGATGCAGGCTTCCCCCAGAAGGATGTGATCTTGGGTGAGGTATCTTTCTCCAGCCAAAGGCAATTCTCGGAAAGAGGGCTGACAGCTGAGGGTTGAGTGCCTGCAGCACTTCCAACATGAGGGGAAATAGGTCCTTCAGTCCTGAAGGAGGACCTGGTCAGTATATTATAGGATCCACTACAGTCCCTTTCCTAAAGTAGTCACTGTCTGGGTCAGGGAGGTGGTGGTGGCGTAGACAAACAAATGGATGACAACTCTTCACTGTTGTCCAGTCTAATTTGGTCAGTACCTACTGAGCTCTTTGCTCACCACACTTCTGACATCAAATGTGTGGGGTTTTTCCACACCAACAACCAGTTCTCAACTCTTTGGACACCAGCTGGGCATCCTATAATTGAATTAAATTCTAACACTAACTACTCATGGTATCAGACTCAAAGTTCTAAGGCCTCAGTCCCACAGAATTACCCTCACTTTAGATGCCAGTAGCAAGTATTGGAGGCCAAGGTACCCATACTTCCGCCCACTTTGGCTATAAAATTGGAGGTTCCCACACTTCCCCCTTTTATATTTGATAATTTGGTAGAATAACAGAAATCTGCAAGACATTTTACTCTCACTGGTTTATTAAAAACAATACAAATGAACAGCCAGATGAAGAGGTATACATAAGGCAAGGTCCAGACATGTCTTAAGCCCAGCTTTGTCTCTGTGGATTTTGGGTGCACTAATCCTGGCACGTGAATATGTTTGCCAGTTCCAAAGATCTCCAAACCCTGTTGTTGAGGGAATTTGTGGAGGTCTCATCACATAGGCATGATTGATTAAATCACTGGCCAATCTTCAGGCCCTCTCGCCTCTCCAGAAGTAGGGAGTGGGACTGAAAGTTCCAATCCTCTAATCAGGTGGTTGGTTCCTTTCGTGACCAGTCTCCATCCTGAAGCTATCTAGGGCTCACCAGGAGTCACATTATTAGCAAAAACTCAGGTATGGTTGAAAGGGACTTGTAGTGAATAATAAGACACCCCTATCACTCAGAAAATTACAAGAATTTTAGGAGCTCTGTGTCAGGAACCAGGGACAAAGGCCACATATGTATTTCTTATTATGCTACACTTATCTCTCAGCCTTCAAACCTACCCTCTTCACTACATTGTAAACACACTGGCCTTCCCTCTGTTTCTGTAATAAGCCAAGCTTTTTCTCCACTACAGCCTTTTCTTTTCTTTTTTTTTTTTTGACAGGGTCTTGGTCTGTCACTCAGACTGGAGTACAGTGGCGCGATCTCGGCTCACTGCAACCTCAGCCTCCCAGGTTCAAGCGATCCTCCCACCTCAGCCTCTGGAGTAGCTGGAACTACAGGCATGTGCTACCATGCCAGGCTAATTTTTTTTTTTTTTTTTTGTATTTTTTTGTAGCGTCGGGGTTTCACCCTGTTACCCAGGCTGGTCTTGAACTCCTGGGATCAAGCAATCCTCCCTCCTCAACCTCCCAAAGTGCTGGGATTACAGGCGTGAGCCACCACACCCAGACACCTACTGTTGATATTCTTAATATTTCGGAAGCTGAAATCTATGCATTTTTACATGGGTAAATGGAGTTCTCACATTTAGCTGACAATTTTTTTTTTTTTTTTTTTTTTTTTTTTTTGTGACAGAGTCTTGCTCTGTCTCCCAGGTTGCGTTGCAGTGACGCGATCTCAGCTCACTGCAAACTTTGTCTCCCAGGTTCAAGTGATTCTCCTGCCTCAGCCTCCCAAGTAGCTGGGACTATATGCACCCAGCAGCATGCCTGGCTAATTTTTGTATTTTTAGTAGAGACAGGGTTTCACCATGTTAGCCAGGCTGGTCTCGAACTCCTGACCTCAAGTGACCCGCCTGCTTCAGCCTCCCAAAGTGCTGGGATTACAGGCATGAGCCACCTCACCTGGCCTGATTTGTTTTTCTATTTGTCTGTAGGGGTGGCATTCTGGTTCTTCAGAGCTAGCTTGTTCTCAATATTCAGTTTGAATCCAGTTTGAATGATGAGAAGATGAACAAATGTCAGCTTCTTAATAAGGTGTTTCCCTAACCACCTACTTCTTTGCCCTGCAACAATAATGAGAAAAACAGCTAACACTTTCTGGAAACTATGTGCCAAGCATTCCTCAAATCAGTTGAAACAATCCAAATTAACTAATTTAGTCCTTACAACAACTTTGTAAAGTAGCTACCGTATTCGTATTTTATAGATAAGTAAACTATAAAATGAGGCACAAGGGTTTTAATTTGTCTCAGGTCTTAGCAAGTAATGGTAGTGCCAGGTCTGGACCTCAAGCAGTCAGCCTCCAGAATCCATGCCCTTAAGCATGACATTATGCTGCCTCTCCTAGCCACTAACATTTAAAATTTTTAAAATTTTCATTAATAGCATTAATCCTTCTCACTAATTATCTTGCTTCTATGTTTATATGTTTTTTCTGACTTCCCCAACTATCAAGTAATTATGTCGGCCTGGCGCGGTGACTCACGCCTGTAATCCCAGCACTTTGGGAGGTCAAGGCGGGCGGATCACAAGGTCAGGAGTTTGAGACCAGCCTAGCCAATATGGTGAAACCCCGTCTCTACTAAAAATACAAAAATTAGCCAGGAATGGTGATGTGCACCTGTAGTCCCAGCTACTCGGGAGGCTGAGGCAGAAGAAACGCTTGAACCCGGGAGGCGGAGGTTGCAGTGAGCCAACACCGTGCCATTGCACTCCAGCCTGGGTGACAGAGCAAGACTCCATCTCAAAAACAAAACAACAAAACAAATTCATGATGTCAGCGACTTCCTCCATCCTGTTTATTGCCCGGTGTCATGCCCCTTTTCCTGAGGAGCAGCCACATCTAAGGACTAGTTATTGCACAGGAACTGTGGTGCAGCTCCCTTGCTCCAATTCAGGACAACTCCGAAGGGCCATCTCAGCCTGAATCTCCCTATGGGGTCACCTGCAGCCTTTGTTGTGACTGCATTACAATTCAACTTCTCCCTCTGCCAAACCTGATTCTTCATTCCCCTACTGATGCTGAGCTCTAGAGTACTCCCCAATAAACTTTCAGAATACACATCTCCATCTCAGAATCTGTTTCCTGGGAAAACCCAGCCACCTAGATATTAGAATTCCCTAAGGATCTTTTAAAAATTTCCCAAGCCCATGACCCACACCAAACCAATTAAATCAGAATATCTGAGGGTGAGTCCTAGATATTTGTAATTTTGAAACTTCCGAGATAATTCTAATGTGCAAAAAGGATGGAGAATGTATCATATACAAAAGCTGCAGAATCATACACAAAAGCTGCAGAAGCAATAAGGGTCTATATTGACTTCCTTGACCAACTCAAAATAAATAGAAATAGAATAAATGGAATAAAATTATTTGTTCTAACCACATAGTGATGGTAAGAGGGGTGTGAGAACTGAGGATCTGCTCAGAGCACATAACAGAAATCTCTCTCAATCTGTGTATAACCTCTACCTATAAATATGGGTGAGCAGCATCGTATGTGTGCTAAAGCAGGGACCAAGTGAATCGAAGGGCTCTGACTTCCAAACTCATCATTACCATTAGAGCTGGAACATCCATCTCTAATTTGACTCCAGCAGATAATGCAGAACCTGGCCTTTCCTAGCCCAGTTTTTAACTGGAAGAAGAGGCCATTCTGCAGTTCACTAACAGGCTCTTTTTCCATTTTCCTCTTCACTAGACTTTTGAGGCACTGAGGGAGCAATACAAACAACATATTTGTCAGTAGTTAATATACTGTAAACCATTCCAAGATGATTGTCACTTGTAAGCAAATTCCGTACTTGAATTAGAGATGTCTGGCACTTTGTTATGCACAAGGAAGAGAAGCATGAAGGAAGGAAGTGCCACTTAGACAATGCTATTTCATTTGGAGTAGATACCATTTCACATGAAAGTCAACTTCCCTCAGTACTAAGTATATGTGAGGAGGGGGGGATTGAGGAGGGGTTAAAGCATACCTGCATGTATCAAAGAGTAGAGGCTAGGTTATGCTATAGTGACAGACACCCTCCAAAATCTCAATGGCTTAAAACAACAAAAGTTCTTGTTCCCATTGCATGTTTGCTGTAGGTCAGCAGAAGGTTCACATCTATGCCATCCTCAGTAATCCAGTTCTGAGGGAGGCTCCACCTCTGTTCTCACACAATTGCTGAGGGAGAAACAGAGAATGTGGTGAACTGTGTACTAGTTCTTAAAGGTTTGACCCAGAAGTGACACACATTTCTTCTGCTCATATTTCATTGGCCAGAGCAACTCACATGTATCCACCTAACTACAAAGGGTCAGGGAAATTCAATTCTGTGATATACCCAAGAGAACTGGGAGTGTTTGGTAGCTGGATGACATGGTTTTGATATGTGTGCCCACCCAAATCTCATGTTGAATTGTAATCCCCAATGTTGGAGGAGTGGCCTGGTGGGAGGTAATTGGATTATGGGCAGATTTCCTTGCTGTTTTCATGATAGTGAGTCAGTTCTCATGATATCTGGTTGTTTAAAAGTGTGTGGCACCTCCCCCTTTTCCCTCTTCCTCCTGCTCCAGCCGTGTAGAATATGCCTGCTTCCCCTTCACCTTCTGACATGATTGTAAGTTTTCTGAGGCCTCTCCATCCATGCTTCCTGTAGAGCTTGTGGAACCATGAGCTACTTCAACCTCTTCTTTATAAATTACCCAGTCTCAGGTATTTCTTTATAGCAGTGTGAGAATGGACTAATACCGAAAATTGGTACCTGGAGTGGGGAATTGCTATAAAGGTATCTGAAAATGAGAAAGTGACTTTGGAACTGGGTAACAGGCAGAGGTTGGAACAGTTTGGAGGGCTCAGAAGAATACAGGAAGATGAAGGAAAGTGTGGTACTTCCCAGAGACTTGTTAAATTGTTATGACTGAAATGCTGATAGTGATATGGACAATAAAGTCCAGGCTGAGGTGGTCTCAGATGGAGATGAGAAACTTTTTGGGAACTGGAGAAAAGGTGACTTTTGTTATGCATTAGCAAAGAGATTGGAGGTATTGTGCCCCTGCTCTAAAGATCTGTGGAACTTTGAACTTAAGGGGGATGATTTAGGGTATCTGGTGGAAGAAATTTCTAAGAAGCAAAGCATTCAAGAACTGATCTGGCTGCTTCTAGCAGCATATGCTTATATGTGTGAGCAAAGAGATGATCTGAAACTAAAACTTATATTTTAAAGGGAAGCAGAGCATAAAAGTTTGGAAAATTTGCAACCTGGCCATGTGGTAGAAAGGAAAAACCCATTTTCAGGAAAGGAATTCAAGCCGACTGCAGAAATTTGCAAAAGTAAAAAGGAGCCAAGGGCAAATACTCAAAGGTATTTCAGAAAACTTTGCAGCAGCCTCTCCCATCACAGGCCTGGAGGCCTAGTGGGGAATAATGATTTTGTGGACCAGGCCCAGGGCCCTGCTACCCTGCACAATATAGAGAGTTAAACCAACAGCACTAGACTAAGAAGAAGTTTGGTTCCTATTTTTTGTTTTATTCATAACTAGTTTGACAACATCATTTCTCCACTTTAAAGTATAATAAAAGGCTTAAACTAAATCAGTGTCCACTAAATACCCAAATGCTTGTTCATGATAAGGCATTCATTAGGACCCAGAGAACTAAAAATTTAAATTAAATTAAATTTAAAAGGGAAATGTAGCAATTCTATGTGTATTGTTAGTTCTCACTTCATCAGTATCACACCTTACTTTACTCATAAGAAAATGTCAGTAATAACACATACTATTATTTAAGACCTTTAGTCATAGCAATAGTCAAATGTATACAGGGCTTTCTAGGTGCCAAAAACTGTTCCAAGTACTTAATATAATTAACTCATTTAATCCTTATGAAGTAGGTACTGTTATTATCCCTATTTTATAGATAAGGTATAGATAAATTAAATCCCTTCTCAGGTCACACTGGAAAGTAAAGAGTAGAATCTGAATTCAAATCCAGGCAGTGTGGCTTTAGAATCCTCACTCTTTATCACTAAGTCATACTAAACTAGCTTGGCAAAATCAAGTTTGGTAACTGTATTAGTCCATTTGTGTTGCTGCAAAGAAATACTTGAGGCTAGGTAATTTATGAAGAAAATAGTTTTAATTGGCTTGTGGTTCTGCAGGCTGTACAAGAAGCATGATGCTGACATCTGCTTCTGGTGAGGGCTTCAGAAAGCTTACAATCACAGCAAAAGGTAAAGGAGGAACAGGCATCTCACATGGCAAGAGCAGGAGCAAGAGAGAGAGGTAGGAGGTGCCACACACTTTTAAACAACCAGATCTCACGAGAACTCACTCACTATCATGAGAACAGCAACAAGATATTCATGATAGATTTGCCCCCATGACCCAAACACCTCTCACTAGGCACCACCTCCACCATCAGGGATTACATTTCAATATGAGATTTATAGGGGAGAAACATCCAAACTATATCATTCTGCCCCTGGCCCCTCAAATCTCAAGTCCTTCTCATTTTGCAAAATATATTAATCTCTTCCCCCCAAATCTTAACTTGCTCCAAAATCAAGTTCAAAGTCTTAAGTCTCATCCGAGACTCATATCCTTCTGCCTATGAGCCTGTAAAACCAAAACAAGTTATTTAATCCCAAGATACAATGGTAGTACAGGCATTGGGTAAACATTACCATACTGAAAGGGAGAAATGAGCCAAAAGAAAGGAGCAATAGGCCCCACACAAGTCTGAAACCTAGCAGGGCAGCCATTAAATCTTGAAGCTCCAAAATAATCTTCTCTGACTCCATGTCCCACATCTAAGGCACACTGGTGCAAGGGGTAGACTCCCAAAGGCCTTGGGCAGCTCTGTCTCCTGTGGCTTTGCAGGGTGCATCCCACTTGGCTGCTCACATAGGTTGGAGTTTAATGCCTTCAGCTTTTCTAGATGCAGCATAGAAGCTGCCGGTGGAGCTACCTTTCTGGGCTCTAGAGGTTGGTGGCCCCCTTCCCATAGCTCCACTAGGCAGTGCCCTAGTGAGAACTCTGTTTGAGGCTTCCAGCCTCACATTTCCCCTTGGCATTGCCCCAGCAGAGGTTTTCTTTGAGGGTTCTGCCCCTGTGGCAGGCTTCTGCCTGGGCACCTAGGCTTTCTCATATATATCCTCTGAAATCTAAGTGGAGGCCACCAAGCCTCATTCATGCTTGCATTCTATGCACAGGCTTAACACCATGTGGAAGCCAAGGCTTACAGCTTGCACCTTTCAGAATAGTGGCCCAAGCTGTACCTGGGGCCCTGTGAGCCACGGCCACAGCAGCCAGGATGTGGGAAGCAGTGTCCCAAGGCTGGATAGGGCATCCTGGTCCTAGCCTTGAAACCATTCTTTCCTCCTAGGCCTCTGGGTCTGTGATGAGAGGTGCTGCATCTGAGATCTCTGAAATGCCTTCAAGGCCTTTTTCCCATACTCTTGGATACTAGTACTTTGCTCCCTTTTTGTCATGCTAATCTCTCTAGCAAGTGGTTGCTCCACAGCCTGCTTGGATACTTTGTCTACCACAGAGCCAGGCTACAAATTTTCCAAACGTTTGTGCTTTGCTTTCCTTTTAAAAATAAATTCCAACTTTAAGTCATTCCTTTGCTCCTACATCTGATCATATGTTTTTAGCCAGGCCACATCTGAAATGCTTTGCTGCTTAGAAATTTCTTCTGCCAGATACCCTAAATCATCACTCTTAAGTTCAGACTTCCAAAGATCCTTAGGACATGAACACAGTGCCACCAAGTTCTTTGCTAGAGTGTAACACAGGTGACCTTTGTTCCAGTTCTCAATAAACTCCTCATTTTCACTTGAGATCTCATCAGCCTGGTTTTCACTATCCATAATTCTATCAGTATTTTGGTCACAATCATTTAACCAGTCTTTAAAAAGTTATAAACTTTCCCTCATCTTCCTGTCTTCTGAGCCCTCCAAACTCTTCCAACCACTTCCCATTACCCAGTTCCAAAGTCACTTACATATTTTCAGGTATCTTTATAGCAATGCCCCACTCCTCGGTCCCAATTTTCTGTATGAGTTCATTTGCGTTGATATAAAAAAATACCTGAGGCTAGGTAATACATTAAAAAGAGGTTTAATTGGCTCATGGTTCTGCAGACAGTACAAGAAGCATGGTGCCAGCATCTGCTTCTGGTAAGGGCCTCAGAAAGCTTGCAATTATGGTGAAAGTCAAAGGGGAAGCTGGAATCTCACATGTTGAGAGTGGGAGCAAGAGAGAGAGTGGGGAGGTGTCACACACTTTTAAGCAACCAGATATCGAGAGAACTCACTTGCTGTCTTGTGGACAGCACCAAGCCATTCATGAAGGATCTACCCCCACGACCCAAACACCTCCCACCAGGCCCCACCTCCAATATTAGGGATTGCATTTCAAAATGAGATTTGGAGAGGACAAACATCCAAACTATATCAGTAACCAAGTATTATGTACCAATTCTGGGTTTTATTGTGTTTTTTTTTATTCTTAGTTCTTTTAAAGTTCTACTTTAAGACATTAAGAAACATATTGAGAAGTTAGTATGTCCCACAGAATCACTGGGTTACACTATGTATTATATTAAGACAGACTTGCAAATTTTGATATATCATGCACCCATATTTTAAAGCTTCTTACATATTATGAAAATCAATTTAACTCTAAATTTTTATAATATTCATTGTATTGCAATGGTAAGAGAAATAAGCAAAGATAGCTGTAATTTTTCATATATTTGGGAGGAGAAAATTCCAGTGGAATAAGTAAATATTTGGTTCCATTCTCTTTAAGTTAGACTTAAATTATCTGCACTTTCCTTTTTCCTATATTGTAGCATTTTATTTTGTCTCCTGATATGATTGTGTGCATCTTTCTCAACAGACAGATTTTTGGATACAAAGACTGTTTTATATTTTTGGCTGTGCCTCCAAATGAACCTTACATGGTGCCTTGCCCATTCTAGGTACCCAATTCAAATTTGCTTGGCTGATTAAATAAATATTTGTCTCTTTTGAGATGACTTCAGCACAAGTTGGGGAAAACAGGATGGAGTCTGGATGTTCTCTTTCTAAGCAAAACAGTTTAACTCTTAGCAATGATAGTAAATAACCATAAACATTTTAGAACCCAAGGGGGCAGCTAACATAGCCTGAACTTTGGGGAAGTAAACTAGGTTTCTGACCTCTCAAGTGTCAGCCCTGGGGAATGGATATTAGACAAGGAACTCTGCAAAGTTGGCAGAAGACTGTCCAGGTGCAGCATAAATTGATGGAGCCAAGGCATAGCACCTGAACCCACCAGCAATGATCCAGCCAGTAGAGACAGAGCATCTAGCAGGTTGGAAGAACAAAACTTCTTAGTATGTAAACTGCTGTCAATTGAAGACAAGGCTTCTGTCCTGCTTTCTCTACAAGCACAAAAATATACCTGTCTCAGTAAGAGGATATATAGGAATAACTTCTTATAGAATTTGGGCTTTGGTTGGATGATTTGGAGGAGGGTCTAAGAAAGCAAGAATTCACTCTATATTGGATACTGCAAGAAAGTGAGGGCAATTCTATGATTAGGTGTTTCATGGGTGGCACAGTGACCTTGATTTTGTCTGTGCTTAGACAAAATTATGAACATGGCCTTGTTTTGTTTCATTTTATCATTGTCTCAGAGTAACCTTGTCTGTGGTTGGTGTTCCGTGAGATTGTATGTCTCCAAAGAAAGAACAAAATAGCCTTGCCTTGAATATCAGAATAACTTATAAATAATATTGAGGTCTAGCTGCGAATGTCAGATCAATTCTGAATGTGAGAGCCTGCTTTTTTCTTTCTCACTCATTATGGTAGTAGGCCTGAAAGCAAAGCTGGTGACAAGTTGGTACTCATAACTGAGTTAAGATGTAAGAGACTGAGGAAGAAGGAGGTTTCTGACACTACACCCTAAGCATAAGTTGCTTCTGCATACATTAGGTGTTTCTGGAATTTCTGGGAATATCCATCCTTTAATAAAACCAGGGCAACAGCTGAAAAGCCCCAAATCCCTGTCAATTTAGCTGTAGATAAAGCTGACAAGAAGCAAGAAGCACCCTGTTATAGACTGATTTTTGTTCCCCCAAAATTTATATGATGAAGCCCTAACCCCTAGTGTGGTAGTATTTGGAGGTGAAGCCATTAGGAGGTAACTAAAGTGAGATGACATCATGAGTGTGGAGCCCTCATAATGGGATTAGTGCCCTTATAAGAAGGGACACTAGAGAGCTTGCTCTTTCTCTCTCTCAGAAGTCATGTGAACACACAAGATGGCAGCCATCTACCAACCAGGAGGAGAACGCTTACCAGAACCCAATCATACTGGCACTGATCTCAGACCTTCTGCTTCCAGAACTGTGAGAAAATAAATGGGCCGGGTGTGGTGGCTCATGCCTATAATCCCAGCACTTCGGGAGGCCAAGGCGGGCAGATCACTTAAGGTCAGGAGTTCAAGACCAGCCTGGCCAACATGGGAAAACCCTGTTTCTACTAAAAATACCAAAAAAAAAAATTAGCCAGGCGTGGTGGCGGGCACCTGTAATCCCAGCTACTCAGGCGGCCGAGGCAGGAGAATCACTTGAACCTGGGAGGCAGAGGTTGCAGTAAGCCAAGATCATGCCACTGCACTCCAGCCTGGGCAACAGAGCGAGACTCCATCTCAAAAAAAAAGGAAGAAAGAAAAAGAAAATAAGTGTTTATTGTTTAAGCTACCTATCTGTAGTATTTTGTTATGGCAGCTGTGGCTAAGACACATCTGTAGGTGTTACATTATTTAATTATGTGGGGTAATTCTATTTTGTCCCTGAGTGAACCACCAGGCCCAGGTGCGGGAGTTTGTAACTTTACCTCATCAGAACTGAGAGTTAAGCTGCTTATGAAATGGTAATCAGTGTTACAATATAAACCTAAATTTTAAAAATAGGATGGTCTTGAAAGTATCTGAATTGACTTTCTGTCTCTCTTCATAGTTCGAAAAACGGAGTCTGAGCTGCAACAGACTCAATATTTTGCTAGATTTTACAGCAATTTCCCAGGTGAGTTGGGTGCCTGCGAAGCACTGTTTTCATATAAGACTTCACTGGGATCAGGAGAGACATTTTCTTTACCCACATTCATCCCTCATCTTGTTTAAACACAAAATAACATCAAATGGCTGAGTTTAAAACATCCCATTTTGCTCTAAAACACGAAACAAAATCTGTTTATTCTTGGCTTCTCAGGCAAAGTGAGCTTTCTGTATTTCCTGACTTCATATTAGTCGGAAGTGCTACTCCCATTTATCTACCATCTTAAGGATATGCAAAAGAAATGGGCAGCCCTGGTAACCTGAAAGAAGGGGCAACAGAGGACATCTTTCATTCTTAATCTTGGTAAACAGGATCTTCTAGAACTGCATGGTGCAATTACGGTGCAAGAAGACTATTTCTGCTTCTTGACTAAACTTTGGTTTCCTAGCACCTTCCCTGGCCCCTTCTCTTTCATTGGCCTCCAATCTGATCATATTCTTGACTGAGCTCAGCAGGTGGCAGCTTACTAATGGTGCCTATGTGCCCACACTCCTCCCCTCCTGCTTCAACACACACATGCCACACAAAGGGTCATGCTCACACATCAGTAAAAAAATGCCCTCATCCCTTTTCTCTGCTAAATTTAGTAAATGGGGCTTTGACTCCCCTGCTAGAACCAGTTGGTAAACTCCAATTTTTCACCCTCAACTGCCCTCCCCACAGTCATGAGTTGTGACACTCACTTTCACAGAATTGCTTGTCTTTTAATTACATATATGTCAAAAATAAATGTAATAACAGAATTACAGTCTATTAGAGAAATAATCTTGTATGACCACTATAATGTACCTCAATTTCCTAGCAGAGTCCTTGTCATATAGAAGGTACACAATAATTATTGCTTGTATGAATGAACCCATGAGTTTTATAACTGAAGCAACTGAGGTTCACTGATATATCAAGTTTCTTACTCTGGCAAGTTAGTGTAGAACCTGTATTTTAAACTCACAGAAACATTTGTAGTGTTCAGTGAAGGGTCACAAATCATTGAGAGAGAAATATAAAACATTTTTGTTTTTTCAATTACTGTTTCCAACGGTGCTCTAAATCTCTTCTTTCTTAGTGAGGAGTTTAATAATATCTTAATTTTATGCCTTTCCAGCCGCTTTCAGTTATCCATTCAAGTTTCCATTATTCAACCCTGTTCATTTTACAAAGTCAATGCCATATTCAGTCCAAAGCTTTTTTCTTCTCCAGAGGAAAAGATAAATTTGTGTCACTATCAGCTTGCATGAAGGGGATTCTAAGGGTCTGAGAGTGAAGGTGAAGCACCAGATCCACTCTTATAACCACCTTCCACTTCATCTTCTTTGCAATAGCTTGTACATAGAAGAGTGAGGAAAGCCTAATGTGCCATTACATAATGGTCCATGGTGGGGTTGATTTCCTTTCCTTGCTTAGTTCTAATTGCCACTGTGACTTCTTGGCTTCGGATTCTGTGGGCAGGTGGTAGCTCTCATAAGCCACACTGATGAAGACTCTCCTTATGCTGCTGCCCTAGGCATTGGTCAGCTGCTTCCCCCCACATTCTGCTAAAGTTTGTGACTCTGCCACATGCAGTGACAGACCCCAAAAATGTTATAGTCTTTAATTTCTTCAGTGGCTCCAAAATCTAGGGCCTTTGAAAAGAAGAAGAAGAAATGACTCTGATCACAAACACAACAATCTTCCTAAAGAAGACTCTTTCTTTAGGACTTCTTATTTGAGTTTATTGGGGAGAAGAATGGCCATTTCTGCCCAATAGTACATCTCAGCAAGCCATAGAGGGAGGTGGCAACCTCTAACATCAAGTCAGGATAGTTTTCTGTTAGGTGCCTTGAATACACACACATGAACATATATATATACACACACACACATACACATACACATAATGCAAATGTATCATGCATAGATATGTTATGGTATATGTGTATATATGTATATATTCACACATTCATCTTATATATACACACACGTGTGTGTGTGCACGTCTACATATGTATTCAGTGAGTTGGGATGAGGAACGGAGAACCATCAACTGGGTTGTGTGTATAATGTAGATTCATGGATCCCCTTTCTCCTGTTTTTCCTATTTATTTAGTGTGGCTTAATTTTCTTTAAGTAAGAAGGTTCTGATATTAAGCTTAATCAAAAGAAATTGTCAAATGGAATCTTTTTAATAAGGAAAGAATTTGAGAGTATTAAAAGAGGAAGACAAAGTGAAAAACTCTATATATAGAAACAAAAGATGACGAATTGTAACAATGAAGGAAAATAAACATAGATAGACCCGAGTGGGATGAATGGTATGAATGAGCTAATAGTGAGAGGGGCTGGATATACTAGGACTTTATGCTTATAAACCTTCTGTACTAGATCCTAGAACCTATGAAAGACAGAGGAAAATTAGTATTTAAATTCAATATTATTCCTATCTCACCATAATGGCAAAAATTAAGAACTGTAATAAAACAACAGAAGGTGGATGATGTAGATCAAAGAGAGCTCTTATATATTGCTAGCATGAATATAAATTGGTACAACTTCTTTTGAAAATAACTGAGTATAATCTGACAAACCTGAGCACGTGCACATCTTACAGTTTAGCAATCTTACACCTAAGTATGTATAACTAAGAGAAATTCTCACACATATGTTCTAGAATATATGCCACATTTTTTTAGATTCAGAGGGTACATGTGCAGGTTTGTTACATGGATATATTGCATAATGTTGAGATTTGGGGTACAACTGATCATGCCACCCAAGTAGTAAACAGAGTACCCAACAGATAGTTTTTAAACCCGTGCCCTCATCCCTCCCTGCTTTTGGAGTCCTTAGTGTCTATTGTTTCCATCTTTATTCCATGTATACCCAACATTCAACTACTACTTATAAGTGAGAATATGTGGTATTTGAATTTCTGTTTCTGCATTAATTTGGTTAGAATAATAGCCTCCAACTGCACCCAGATAGCTGCAAAAGACATTTCATTCTTTTCATGGCTGCATAGTATTCCATGGTGTATATATACCACAGTTTTTAGCCATTGCACTTTTGATGGGCACATAGGTTGATTCCATGTCTTTGCTATTGTGAATAGTACTGTGATGGATATGCGAGTGCACGTTCCTTTTTGGTAGAACAATTTGTTTTCCTTTCAGTGGATACCCAGTAATGGCATTGCTAGGTCAAATGGTAGTTCTCTTTCAAGTTCATTGAGAAATCTCCAAACTGCTTTATGCAGTGGCTGGACTAATTTACACTCCCACTAGCAGTGTATGAAAGTTCCCTTTTCTCCACAAGCTCGCCAACATCTGTTGGTTTTTGACTTTTTAATGCTAGCCATTCTGATGAGTGTGAGACCATATCTCATTGTTGTTTTGATTTGTATTTCTCTAATAATTAGTGATGTTGAGCATTTTTTTCATATGTTTGTTGGCCACTTGTATGTCTTCCTTTGGTAAGTCTCTGTTCATATCCTTTGCTCAATTTTTAATGTTTTTCTGTTTCATTTCTTGTTGATTTGTCTAAATTCCTTATAGATTCTGGATATTCATCCTTCATTGCATGCATAGTTTGCAAATATTTTCTCCCAATCTGTAGGTTGTTTGTTTACTCTGTTGATAGTTTATTTTGCTGCACAGAAGCTCTTTCATTTAATTTAATTAGGTTCCAATTGTCAATTTTTGTTTTTGTTGCATTTGCTTTTGGGATCTTCATCATAAGTTCTTTGCCTAGGCCAATGTCCAGAAGAGTATTTCCTAGCTTTTCTTACAGGATTTTTATACTTTGAGGTCTTATATTTCAGTCTTTAATCCTCTTGAGTTAACTTTTGCATATGGTGAAACTTGGTAAGGATCCAGTTTCATTCTTCTGCATATGGTTAGCCAGTTTTCCCAGCACTATTTATTGAATAATTTGATGCCTCTGGCTTTTTTTTTTTTTTTTTTTTTTTGGCTTTGGCTTTGGCTTTGGCTTTGGCTACTCGGGCACATTTTTTGGTCCATATGAATATTAGGAGAGTTTTTTTTTTCTAATTCTGTGACAAATGACATTGGTAATTTGATAAGAATTGCATTGAATCTACAGATTGCTTTTGGCAGCATAGGCATTTTAATGATATAAATTCTTCTAATCCACAGGCATAGAATTTCAATTTTTTTGTGTCATCTATGATTTTTTTCAACAATATTTTGGAGTTCTCCTTATAGAGTTATTTCACCTCCATGGTTAAAGGCATTCCTAGGTATTCTATTTTTGTATGTGTGTGCCTATTGTAAATGGGATTTATAACTTTTTGAGTTATAAAAAATCATTTATAACTTTTTGAGTAAATTGTAGGTGTGTATATTTATGGGGTACATGAGATGTTTTGATACAGACATGCAATGTGTAATCATCACATTATGGAAAATGTGGTATCCATCCCCCCAGCATTTATCTTGTATGTTACAAACAATCCAATTATATTTTTTAGTTATTTTGAAATGTACAATTAAGGTATTATTGACTATAGTCACCCTTTTGTGCTAGCAAATACTAGGTCTCATTCATCCTTTCTAACTAATTTTTTTGTATGCATTAACCATTCCCACTTCACCCCCCTACTCCACAACTACGCATCCCAGCCTCTGGTAACCATCCTTCTACTCTCTGTATCCATGAGTTCAATTGTTTTGATTTTTAGATCCCACAAATAAGTGAGAACATGCACAGTTTATCTTTCTGTGCCTGGCTTATTTCACTTATACTGACCTCCAGTTCCCTCCATGTTGTTGCAACTGACAGGATCTCATTCTTTTGTATGGCTGAATATTACTCCATTGTGTATAATTAGCATGTTTTCTTTATCCACTCAACTGTTGATGAACACTTAGGTTACCTCCAAATCTTGGCTATTGTGAACAGTGCTGCAACAAACATGGGAGTGCAGATATCTCTTTGATGTTCTGATTTCCTTTCTATTGGGTATATACCCAGAAGTGGGATTACTGAATCATATGGTACGTCTATTTTTAGTTTTCTGAGGACCCTCCAAACTGTTATCCATAGTGGTTGTGCTAATTTACCTTCCCACTAACAGGGTGCAAGGGATCCCATTTCTCCACATTCTCACCAGCATTTGTAATTTCCTGTCTTTTGGATATAAGCCATTTTAACTGGAGTGAGATGATATCTCATTGTAGTTTTGATTTGCATTCCTCTGATCAGTGATGTCAAGCACCTTTTCATATGCTTGTTTGCCATTTGTATGTCTTAGAAATGTCGAGTCAAATCATTTGCCCGTTTTTTTGATTGGATCATTAGATTTTTCCAAGAGTTGTTTGAGTTCCTTATATATTCTGGTTATTAATTCCTTGTGAGATAGGTAGTTTGCAAATATTTTCTCCCATTTTGTGGGTTGTCTCTTCACTTTATTGATGTTGCCTTTGCTGTGCAGAAGCTTTTTAACTTGATGCGATCCCATTTGTCCATTTGTGCTTGTTTTGCCTGTGCTTGTGGGGTATTGCTCAAGATATCTTTGCACAGACTAATGTCCTAGAGATTTTCCTCAATATTTTCTCTTAATAGTTTCATATTTTGAAGTCTTAGATTTAAGTTTTAAGCTATTTTGATTTGATTTTCATTTATGGTGAAAGATAGGGGTATAGTTTCATTCTTTTGCATATGTATATCCAGTTTTCCCAGCACCATTTATTGAAGAGACTTTATTTTAAACAGTGTATGTTCTTGGCAGTTTTGTTGAAAATGAGTTCCCTGTTGGTGTGTGGATTTGTTTCTGGGTTCTTTATGCTATTTCATTGGTCTATGTGTCTGTATTTGAAGTTAGGTAATGTGATTCCTCCAGTTTTGTTTCCTCCCCGCCCCTCCCCCGCCAGGATAGCTTTGGCTATTCTGGGTCTTTTGTGGTTTTGTATAAATTTTAGGATTTTTTTTTCCTTTTTTAACTTTTATTTTAAGTTTGGGGGTACAAGTGCAGGTTTGTTACACAAGTAAACTTCTGCCATGGGGATTTGTTGTACAGATTATTTATCATCCAGCTATTAAGACTAGTATCCATTAGTTATTTGATCTGATCCTCTCCCTCCTCCCACCCTCCACCCTCCCAAAGTTCCCAGTGTGTGTTATTTTCCTCTATGTGTACATGTTTTCTCATCATTTAGCTCCCACTTATAAGTGAGAACAGGAAGTACTTGGTTTATGTTCCTGTGTTAGTTGGCTAAGGATAATGGCCTCCAGCTCCATCCATGTCCCTGCAGATAACATGATCTCATTCTTTTTGTGGCTGCATAGTATTCTATGGTGGATATGTACCACATTTTCTTTATCCAGTATATCACTGATGGGCATTTAAGTTGATTCCATGTCTTTGCTATTGTGAATAGTGTTATAATGAACATACTCATGCATGTGTCTTTATAATAGAATGATTTTTATTCCTTGGGGTATACACCCAGTAATGGGATTGCTGGGTCAAATGATATTTCTAGTTTTGGGTCTTTGAGGAATTGCCCCCTGTCTTCCACAATGCCTGAACTAATATACATTCCCACCAACAGTGTATAAGAGTTCTTTTTTCTCCACAACCTTACTAGTATCTGTTATTTTTTGATATTTTAATAATAGCCATTCTGACTGGTGTGAGATGACATCTCATTGTGGTTTTGATTTGCATTTCGGTAATGATCAGTGATGTTTTATCTATTTCTGTAAAGAATGTCATTGGTGTTTTCATAGCTATTGTACTAAGTCTGTGGGTTGCTTTTGATAGTATGGACATTTTAACAATGTTGATTCTTTCAATCCATGAACATGGCATATCTTTTCATTTTTTGGTGTCCTCTTCAATTTATTTCATCAGTGTTTTGTAGTTTTCATTATAAATATTTTTCACTTCTTTGGTTAAGTTAATTCTTAAGTATTTAATTGTATTTGTGGTTACTGTAAATGGGATTACTTTTGAAATTTCAGATTGTTCACTGTTGGCATATGGGAATGCTAGTGATTTTGTATCCTGCAAAATACTGAATTTGTTTATTTGTTCTAATAATTGTTTGGTGAAGTTTTTAGGTTTTTCCAAATATAAGATTATATCATCTGCAAACAGGATAATTTGACTTCTTCCATTCCATTTTGGATTCCCTTTATTTTCTTTCGCTTGTCTGATTGCTCTAGCTAGGACTTCTTGTACTATGTTGAATAATAGTGGTCAAAGTAGGTATCCTCCCCATATTTCAGAGCTTAGAAAAAAGACTCAATTTTTCCCCATTCAGTATGATACTAGCTCTGGATTTGTCATATGTGGCTTTTATTATGTTGACATATGTTCCTTCTATACACAGTTTTTATAGGGGTTTTGTTGTTAAGGGATATTGAATTTTATCAAATGCTTTTTCAGCATCAATTAAAATGATCATATGGATTCTATCCTTCTTTCTGTTGATATGATGTATCACATTGATTAACTTGTGTATGTTGAGCCATTCTTGCATACAAGAGATATATCCCACTTGGTCATAATGAATGATCTTTTTAGTATATTGTTGAATTAAGTTTGCTAGTATTTTGCTGTAGATTTTTGCATCAGTATTCATCAGAGATACTGCTCTGTAGTTATCTTTTTTTTATGTGTCTTTGTCTGGTTTTGGTATCAGGACAATACTGGCCTTGTAGAATGAGTTTGGAAGTATTCCCTCCTCCTCTATTTTTCAGAATAGTTTGAGTAGAATTGGTATTAGTTATTCTTCAAATGTTTGCTAAACTTCAACAGTGATGCCATCAGGTTCCTGGCTTTTCTTTACTAGGAGAGCTTTTATTATAGCTTCACTCTTGTTACTTGTTATTGATCTGTTCAAGTTTTGTATTTCTTCCTGGTTCAATCTTGGAAGATTGTATATGCCTAGAAATTTGTCCATTTCTTCTAGATTTTCCAAATTATTGGCATATAGATGTTCATAGTAGCCACTAATGATCCTTTGAATTTCTTTAGTATCAATTATAATGTCTCCTTTTTGATCTCTGGTTTTATTTATTTGTGTCTTCTCTCTTTTTTCTTAGTCTGGCTAAAGTTTTGTCAATTTTGTTTAACTTTCCAAAAAGTTAACTCTGTTTTATTGATCTTTCTTATTTTTTTCTTCATTACAATTTCATTCATTTCTGCTCTGATCTTTTTTTTTTTTCATTTGCTAATTTGGGGTTTTGTTTGCTTTTGCTTTTCTGGTTCTTTAGGATGCATCATTAGTTTATTTTTTTGAAGTTGTCCTTCTTTTGTGATGTAGACATTTATAGCTATAAACTTTCTTCTTACTACTGCTTTTGCTGTATCCCATAGGTCTTGGTATGTTTTGTTTCCATTGTTATTTGTTTCAGGAAATTTTTCAATTTTCTTCCTAATTTTTTCATTGATCCATTTGTCATTTAGGAGCATATTGTTTACATTCTATATATTTGTATACTTCCAAAATTCCTCTATTATTGATTTATAGTTTTATTCTATTGTAGTCAGAGAGGATGCTTGATATTATTTCAATTATTTTGAATGTTTTAAGACTTGTTTTGTGAGCTAACATATGGTCTAACCTTGAGAATGATCCATGTGCTGTGGAAAATAATGTGTATTCTGTAGTCATTGGATGAAATGTTCTGTAAATATCTATTAGATTCTTTTGGTCTGTAGTGCAGATTAATTTTAATATTTATTTGTTGATTTTCTGTCTGGGAGATGTGTCCACCACTGAAAGTGGGGTGTTAAGGTCTCTAGCTCTTGTTGTATTGGGACCCGTCTCTCTGTCTCACTTTAATAATATTGTCTTTATAGGTTGGTGTGCTCCAGTGTTGGATGCACATATATTTAAAATTATTATACTCTCTTGATGAATTAACCCCTTTATCATTATATAGTAACCTTCTTTGTCTCTTATTGTAGTTTTTGTCTTGACTTCTATTTTATCTGATATATGAATAGTGACTCCTGCTCTACTTTGGTTTCCATTGGCATGTCATATCTATTTCCCATCCCTTTAGTCTATGCGTGGCTTTGTGAGCGAAGTGTGTTTCTCGCAGGCAACAGATTAATGGGTCTTGTTTATTCATCCATTCAGCTACTCTATGTGTTTTGATGGGAGAGTTTAGTTTATTTACATTCAATGTTATTATTGATAAGTAAGGACTTCTGCCATTTTTTTATTTGTTTTCTAGTTGTTCTGTTGTCTTCTCTTCCTTCTTTCTTTCCTTCCTGTTTAACTTTAGTGAAGGTGATTTTCTCCAGTGATATGATTTAGTTTCTTGTTTTTTATTTTTTGTGTACCTATTGTAAGATTTTTGGTTTGAGGTTACCAGGAGGCTTGCAAATGCTATGTTATAATTCATTATTTCAACTATATAACAACACTGTTTGCATGAACAAACAAACAAGCAAAAAGAAAACAAATAAAAATTCTATGGCTTAACTTCATCTCCCTGCTTTTTAAATTTGTTGTTTCCATTTATACCTTATTGTACTGTTTATGTCTTGGAAAGTTGTTGTAGTTATTATTTTTTATTGGTTTATTGTTCAGTCTTCCTATGTAGGATAAGAGTAATTTACATGCCACAGTCACAGCGTAGTAATATTCTGTGATTTTCTGTGTACTTAGTATTACCAGAGAGTTTTGTACCTTCAGGTGATAACTTATTTCTCATTAACCTTCTTTTATTTCTGATTTATGTACTCTCTTAGCATTTCTTGTAGGACAGGTCTGGTGTTGATGAAACCCCTCAGCTTTTGTTTATCTGGGAAAGTCTTTATTTCTCCTCCATGTTTGAAGGATATTTTTGTCAGATATATAATTCTAGGGTAAAAGTTTTATTCCTTCAGCATTTGAAATGTGTCATGCCACTGTCTCCTGGCCTGTAAGGTTTACACAGAAAAGTCTACTGCCAGATGTTTTGGAGCTCCATTGCATATTATTTGTTTCTTTTCTCTTGCTGCTTTTAGGATCCTTCCTTTATTCTTGACCTTTGGGAGTTTGATTATTAAATGCCTCGAGGTAGTCTTCTTTGAGTGAAATCTGCTTGGTGTTCTACAACTTCCTTATACTTGGATATTGATAAATTTCTCTAGGTTTGTGAAGTTCTCTTATTATTCCTTGAAAAAAACTTTCTACCCCTGTCTTTTTCTTTCTCTTTCTTTCTTTTTTTTTTTTTTTTTCTTGAGTTGGAGTTTCACTCTTGTTGCCCAGACTGGAGTGCAATGGCGCGATCTTGGCTCACCACAACCTCTGCCTCCTGGGTTCAAGTGATTCTCCTGCCTCAGCCTCCCAAATAGCTGGGATTGCAGGCATGCGCCACCATGCTCAGCTAATTTTATATTTTTAGTAGAGACAGGGTTTCTCCATGTTGGTCAGGCTGGTCTCGAACTCCTGACTTCAGGTGATCCACCCGCCTCGGCTTCCCAAAGTGCTGGGATTACAGGCATGAGTCACTGCACCCAGCTCACCCCTGTCTTTCACTATAGCTCTTCTTTAAGGCCAATAACTATTAGATTTGCCCTTTTAATTTGCCTCTGGAAGCTATTTTCTAGATCCTGTAGTCATGCTTCATTGTTTTCTATTCTTTTTGTCTTTTGTCTCCTCTGACTGTGCATTTTCAAATAGCCTGTCTTCAAGCTCACTAATTCTTTATTCTACTTGATCAATTTTGCTATTTAAAAACTCTGATGCATTCTTTAGTATGCCAGTTGCATTTTCCATCTCCAGAATTTCTTCTTGATTCTTTTTAATTATTTTCATCTCCTTGTTAAGTTCATCTGACAGAATTCTGAGTTCCTTCTGTATTATTTTGAGTTTTTTTGAGTTTCCTCAACATAGTTATTTTGAATTCTCTGTCTGAAAGGTCACATATCTCTGTTTCTCCATGATTAGTCCCTGGTTCCTTATTTAGTTCATTTGGTGAGGTTATGTTTTCTGAGATGGTCTTGATACTTGTAGATGTTCTTTGATGTCTGGCCATTGAAGAGTTATGTATCTATTGTAGTACTTACTGTGTAAGCTTGTTTGTACCTGTCCTTCTTGGGAAGGCTTTCCAGATATTTGAGAGGACTTGGGTGTTGTGATCTAAGCTATATCTGCTTTAGGGGGCACCCCAAGCTCAGTAATCCTGTGGTTTTTGCAGACTCATAGTGGTACCACCTTGATAGTATTGGATAAGATGCAGGAGAATTAGCTGGATTACCAAGCAGAGACTCTTGTTCTCTTCCTTTACTTTCTTCCAAACAAATGAAGTCTCTCTCTCTGTTCTGAGCCACTGAAGTTGGAGGTGGAGTGACACAAGCACCCCTGTGCCACTACCTATATGACTGTGCTGGGTTAGACCTGAAAGCAGCACAGTACTGGGTCTCATGCAAGGCCTGCTGTAACCACTCCTTAGCTACTGACTATGTTCACTCAAGGCTCTGGTGCTCTGCAATTTGCAAGTGACAAAGCCAGTCAGGCCACTCTTCAGGTTGGCAAAATTACCCATGTCCCAGGTGGGTCCAGAGGTGCCATGTGAAGCCAGGGACTAGAGTCAAAAACTTTAGAAGTCTACCTGGTGTGCTATTGTACTGTGGCTGAACTGCCACTCAAATCACAAGACAGTTCTTACCACTCTTCTCTCTCTTTCCCAAAGGCAGAGGAGCCTTATCCCATGGCCTGCACCACCACAGGACCAGAAGGAGTACTGCCAGACTACAGGTGATGTTCTCTTATGGCCCAAAGGCTCTTCAGTCAGCTTATGGTAAATGCTAGCTGGCCTGGGACTCACTGTTCAGTGAAGTGGGTTCCCCTCTCACCCAGGGCAGTTCAAGAAATGCTGTCCAAGAGCCAAGTCCTGGAATCGGGGACTTCAAGAGCCTGCTTGGTGCTTTACTCCCCTGTGGCCAAGCAGGGAAGTACCTAAGGTGTAAGACAAAGTCCCCTTTACTTTTCCCTCTGCTTTTCTCAAGTGGAAGAAGTCTTACCCCATAGCCACCACAGTTGGAAATGTTCTCTCACCTGATGCCAACAAGCCTCAGAGTCTTACCCAAGGTCCTTGATGTAGTACCTGGGTATTGCTGCTGGTTTTCGGGGGCCCAAGGGATCTTCATATAGCCTGTGATGAATGCTGCCAGGACTGGATCCATCCCTTCAGAAGGCATTAGGTTCCCTTCTAGCCCATGGTATGTCTAGAAATGTAATCTGAGAGCTAGGGCCTGGAATGGGGGCCTCAGGACTCTGAGTGGGGCCTTATCCTGCTGCGGCTGAGCTGGTATCCAAGATGCAAGACAAAATCCTCCCCACTCTTCCCTTTCCTCTCCTCAAGCAGAAGGAAGGGATCTCTTTTGGAGCCATGAGCTGTGTAGCCTGGAGCACACAGGGAAGGGGTGATGCCAGCACTTTCTTAGCCACCGTAGCTGGTGTCTCAGTATGTCACGAGCCCCCACAGTCCATTGCCTCTGGGCCTAGTTCAGCGCTAAGTCTCACCTAACAGTTGCAGTTATTATGGCCTAGCCTGCCTTTCAAGTTTATTTAGAGCCCCAGAGCACTTCGGCCCTCATTGGTGAGGCTTGTGGGAACTCAAGTTCCAACCACTGATATTAGCAATTCCCCTCTGGCTAGAGCTGATTTAAATGCTCCCTCTGTGAGCAGGTGTCACCTGAGCTTGGTCCGATTTCCCTTTTGGCTATAACTGAGGACAGCACTGAGTTCAGTGCCTCACAATTGCTGTGCTCTCCCTCTCCCATTACACAGAAATGCTTTCCGCACCATGCAGCTGCTGCTGGGGGATAGGGTAGGGGTGGCGTCGGCTATTCAAGACTGTTTTTTCTACCTCTTTAGTGCCTCTTTCAGTGATACAAAGTTAAAAACCAGGTATTGTTGAGTGCTCATCTAAGTTTTGGTTCTTATGAAGGTACTTTTCTGTGCAGATAGCTGTTAAATTGGCGTATTCCAGGGGAATGATCAGTGGAGCCTTTTATTCCACCATCTTGCTCTACAACTTGGGATTTTGTTCTTGATTTTGTTCTCAGCTTGAATATTATTGCTGTATAGAAATGCTACTGATTTTTGTATGTTTCTTTTGTATCCTGAAACTTTACTGAAGTCTTTCATCAGGTCTAGGAGTCTTTTTGCAGAATTTTTAGGGTTTTCTAGTTTATATATACCAAATTCTTTATTGCAGCAATACTTGTAATGGTAAAAACAAAAATCCTAAAACTCAGAACAACCCAAATATTCACTGACAGGAGAATAAATACAATAGACTGTGGTATATTCACAAAAGAACTGTCATAAATCAGTAAAAGTCAATGAGCTAAATCATGGCAGATACTGGGTGGCTATTCACTGAAGCTAGTTCCTCTTCTTCCTGGGCACTCACCTAAACTATGTTTTCCAGCCTCCTTTGTGTTTATGTGTCAGCATATGTCTCAATTTGGATCCTGTGGAAAGCCAACACAAAGATGGAATTAGAAGTACAAGAATGTTATTGAGGATGAACTCTGTGAGCAACAAAGGGAAGAGGGAGCAAAAGTAGGTGGAGAGAGACTTCAGACCAGGATGCTTGTCTAACCTCTGTGAAAGGAGAGGATAACAAAGGAAGGGTGGGTAGGAAAAAGTCAGACTGCAATAAAGCTCTGAGAAAGTTTCATACTCCCAGTGTTGGGTTCCAACACGAAGATTACCCACAGATGAATCCTACATTTGGCAGAAATGTCCAGGCCCTAGTATACTTACTGTTCTCAGCATCGCCTAGAAACTGCCTGAGAAAAGCCTGGCCTCAGCCTGAATGTTGTGAGAGATCCTGAAGGAGCTGCAGTCAGCTCACTGGACCCTTTCTAGCATCTTCTCTCTTGGAGGGTGATCTGAGAAGCCCACCTCCATGGCTGTCACACCATGTGACTGAGCTTACACAAATGAAACAAGAGAAGAAATGATATGTGCCACTTCTAGTACTGACCCATAGCAATATTTTATATGGATCCTCCATGATGTTCCTCTCTCTGCAGCTTAGAGGAAGATAAGTATGGCAACATAGGAAGCCATATGCTGAGGACAGCAGAGAGTAAGATGAAGGAATGCTAAGTTTCTGACTCACCACTTGGATGAGAGCCATCCACTATTAATGCAGTACATTTTAGATCTTATATGGGAAAGAAATGAACTTCTATTGAGTTGTAATATTGAGATTTGAGAGTTTACCTATTATGACTGATAATTATACCCTAAATCATGCTTTTAGCAACTTATTAAATTTCAGATGAATCTTGGAAACCTAATTTTGAGAGGAAAAAAGCAGATCCCAGAATATAAAGTGCAACTGTATAGACTCCAAAACAAATAAATCTGACAATGTATTGCTTGAGTCATATGTTCAGAGCTATGAAATTATTTTAAAAATTAATGATAATGGTTAATTCTGAGGGGAGGCCGGGGGTGAGACTGGGAAGAACATATAGATAGATGGGAAATGTGTATAGTAAGATTAAGCACAACTTAGATAATAATTATTTCATCCTTTTCATTTCTCCTTTGCATGGGCATACTTGTTAAAGGCAGAGGCTTCTTGTTATATAGAGAATCACTGCTATGGTTTCTTCAGGACTATCAAGTGTGCCTATCAAAAATCTCCTATTTATTGGGGGAACAACTGACATTTTGAAATGAAAATTTTTCTCTAGGCCAGGCGCAGTAGCTCACGCCTGTAATCCTAGCACTTTGGGAGGCCGAGGCAGGTAGATCACCTGAGGCCAGGAGTTCCAGACCAGCCTGACCAACATGGCTCAGGATAATTAACATATCAATCGTCTCAATTATCCTGATCTGATAACCCCATCTCTACTAAAAATACAAATAATTAGCCAGGTGTGGTGGTGGGAACCTGTAATTCCAGCTACTCGGGAGGCTGAGGCAGGAGAATTGCTTGAACCTGGGAGGTGGAGGCTGCAGTAAGCGAAGATCGCACCATAGCTCTCCAGCCTAGGCAACAAGAGTGAAATTCTGTCTCAAAAAAAAAAAAAGTTTCTCTAAAACATATCAAGAAATCACCAAACTTGAGACATAAACTGAAAATTCAAAACACTGTTTGTATGCTCAAATATCAGATACAGATTATGAAATTAAATTTCAAAGTGAATTCAGTTAGGAATTGTGTTTGGCTGCAAGTACACATACTCAAAATAGTGGCTTAAACACACAAGGATTTATTCTCTCACATCATTAAAGGAGTCTGAAATTTGAAAGTCCAAAACTGGTAGGAACGTCAACAGTGTCCTTAAGGAACCAGAATATCTTTGTCTGCTCCAACATACTAGTACATGGCTTCCATCCTTAAAAGTCAAGATGGCAGTTGGATCTCTACTATCTAACTTGCATTTCAGGTAGCAGGAAGGACAAAAAGCAACCTTGCAGCATCAGCTTTCTTTAAGCAGTCTCCTCAAAACTTCTACCCAACATTTATGCTCTCATTTCAGCAAGGGGGCTGAGAATAGTGTCTATTCTGCATGGTCATGTGTGCAGCTAAAAATCAGGGTATCGCTAAAGAAAGAAGAGGAGAATGTCTATTGGGAAGCAACCGAAAGTCTCTGCCATTGAGTGGAAATAATTAAAATGTTCCCAGAAATAAAAAGCACCTTGAGTAAAATTGACCATATACAAATCTCATGACCCAGCGCTCTACTACTATTTAAACACCTTAGAGAAATTCTTGCAAATACACACTAGAAAGCATGTACAAGAATGTCTATAATAGCAATGTTCATAATATGAAAAAACTAGAAACAATGAAATGTCATTAATAGTAGAATGGATGAATAAATTGTAGTATACTTCATGTAATAAACTGCTATAGTGAAGTGGAAATCAACCACATATTTCAATATACCACTGTAGGATTACTGCAGTTCACAATAATATATTACATAGTTTCAAATAGCTAGAAGGAGCATATTGAACATTCCCAACATAAAGAAATGATAAATGTTTGAGATGATGGATATGTTAGTTATCCTGATCTGATAAGTAAACATTATATGTATCAAAACATCACTATGTATCCCATGAATATGTACAATTATTATTCATCAATTAAAAAATACAAAATAAATGAAAATAAACCTATTATAAAAGTTCAAAATATACATAATTACCATGACAGAGGCATGTCCCAGTGTAATAAAGTGTTGGTTCCATTGATATAAAGTTCAAAAATTGGCAAAACTGAGTCATGTTTAAGTATATACACATAGGTGGATATATATATATGTAAATGATTAACACAAAAGTCTGTGTTATGAGCTGAATTGTGTCCTGAAAAATTTATGTCAAAGCCCTAGCCCCCAGTACCTTCCAATATGACTGTATTTGGAGATAGGGCCTTTAAAGAGGTAACTTAAGTAAAAATGTGCTCATTAGCGTGGACCCTTCCTAATCCAATACGACTGGTATCCTTATAAGAAGAGATTAGGACACAACATACACAGGGGAAAGATCATGTGAAGATGCACAGACATGAACATGTGAACACACAACAAGAAGACAGCTATCTGTAAGCCAGAAAGAAAAGCTTCCCAAGAAACGAAACCTACTGCCATACCTGGATCTATCTCATATTTTTAGCTTCTAGAACTGTGAGAGAATGAATTTCCATTGTTTAAGCCACCCAATCTGTGATATTTTTATTATGGCAGCCTGAGTACACTAATAAAGTCAGGATTATGGATTTGTCTGGTGGTAAGGGCAGAGGGATGCAATCATGAAAGGCCATAGATAGATTTTCTAAGGCCATCATGATTTTTTACATTTTCATGTGAATTATGGGCATGTAGAAGTTTTCAAATTTTTATTATTTTAACTTCAAATATATTTTATATTTCATCTTGTGTATATGGTATTTTTCACCATTTAAATATGGAGAAAAAGAAAGGAAGAGAAAGATGTGAAGATAGGCATTTAAGTAAATAAAAATAATCATAACTAGAGGCCTGAGAACAGAAATCTGTATTACATAATTAGGACAAAGATATAGTTTCGATTCAGAACCACAGCTTTAAAACTAAACTTAAGAGCTCCAATTACATTAAAACTTGTAATGTATTTTATTCAAGGAAAAAGTTGAGTGTTAAAAGTGTTAATTTAATTTTGTAGTGTGAAAACTAATTATCCTTCATTAGCAGTATATTATACCTACTGTTACTACTATCTCCTTGAGTAAGAATTATTATCATAGAAAGATAAATTTAGAATAGGTAGAGTCTTTAGAGATCATCTACATATGTGTATAGTACAGGAAGGCTAGCCCAAAAACAAACTATTATTTTAGTCAAACTAGTCTCTGTTCATGATTTTAGTCAAACTAGTCTCTGTTCATGACCACATTATTATGATTATTGTCCTAGATAACATAACCTAATGGAAGGCAGACTAAAACAGGAATCAGAAGGATGTGTTCTGATTCTTATTTTACTTAAACTCTCTGAGATGTAATTCCTTCATCTGTACACATAGGTAACAGTATGCCTGTCTGCCTGCCTGATGGTTCAATGTGAACCTCATAATAAGTGAGAGGTGGAAGGCAAGTTAAGCATTATATAATTCAACTTATTCCTTTTAAAAATAAGTTTTATTTTGTTTTTAATTGACACATAATTGTACATATTTATGGGGTACAGTGTAATTTGTTTCTTTGTTTTGAGACAATGTCTTGCTTTGTCACCCAGGCTGGAGTGCTTTGGCACAATCATGGTTCACTGCTGCCTCAAACTCCTGTGCTCAAGCATTCCTCTTGCCTCAGCCTCCCAAGTAGCTAGGACTACAAATGTGCACCAACACACCCAGCCAACTTTTTTTTTTTTTTTTTTTTTTTTGTAGAGATGGGGTTTTGCTATGTTGCCCAGGCTGGTCTTGAACTCATGGCCTCAAGCAATCCTCCTGCTTCAGCTCTCAAAATACTGCGATTACAGGTGTGAGCCACCACACAGGGCCCACTGTGATGTTTTGCTACATATATACACTGTGTAATGATTCAATCAGGGTATATCCATCACCTCAAACATTTGTCATTTGTGATGATAACATTTGAAAACCTCTCTTCTATTTTGAAGTACACATTATTGTCGACTATAATCATTCTCCTGTGCAATGGAACACTAGAACTTATTCCTCTTATCTGACTACTACTGTGCATATCAACCAACCTCTCCCCATTCCTTCTCTCCCGCCTACTCTACCCAGCCTCTGGTAAGCAGTATTTTACTCTCTACTTCTATGAGATCAACATTTTTAGATTACACTTATGAGTGTGATCATGCGATATTTGTCCTACTATGCTTAGTTTATTTCACTTAATATAATGTCCTCCACATTCACCCATGTTGTTGCAAATAACAGGATTTTGCCTCTTTTTTTTGGCCTAATAGTATTCCATTGTGACTATATACCAGCCCTTTATATCCATTCATTTATTGATAGACACATAGTGGGATTGTTGGATCATATGGTAGATCTATTTTTAATTTGGGGGAAACTTCCATATTGTTTTCCATAATGGCTGTACTAATTTACATTCCCATCAACAGTGTATTACTTCCCCTTTCTCCACATCGTTGCTGGCATTTTTTTTTTTAATAGTAGCCATTCTAACAGATGTGAAGTGATATCTCATTGTGGTTTTGATTTGCATTTCCCTGATGATTAGTGATGTTGAGTGTTTTTTTCATATACCTGTTGACAATTTGTATATCTTCTTTTGATAAATGTTTACTTAGATCTTTTGACCATTTTTAAATCAGACCATTGAGTCGAGTTCCTTACATATTCTGGATATTAACCCCCCTTTTTTTTTTTTGCTATTGAATCGAGTTCCTTACATATTCTGGATATTAACCCCTTGTTAGATGCATAGTATACAAATATTTTCTCCCATTATATAGGTTGTCTCTTCACTCTGTTGACTGTTGCCTTTGCTGGGCAGAATATTTTATGTTTGATGTAATCCTATTTGTCTGTTTTTGCTTTTATTGCCTATGATTTTGAGGTGTTATTAAAAAACATCCTTGCCCAGAACAATGTAATAAAGTATTTCTCCTATGTTTTCTAGTAATTTCATAGTTTGGGGTGTTACATTAAAGTTTTTAATTTATTTTGAGTTTATTTTTGTCAGTGATGAGAGATAAGGATCTAGTTTTATTCTTCTGCATGTAGATATTTAGTTTTCCCAGCACCACTTATTGAAGGGACTGTCTTTTCTCCAATGTGTGCTCTTAGCAAGACATTTTTCACAGAAATAGAAAAACAATCCTAAAATTTGTATGCAACCATAAAAGACATTGAATAGCCAAGGCAATCATGAACAAAAAAAGTTGGAGGTATCATACTACCTGACTTTAAAACATACTACAAAGCAACAGTAACCAAAACAGCATGGTACTGGCTTAAAAACAGACACATAGACCAATGGAACAGAAATGATAACCTAGATATAAACTCATGTACTTACAGCCAACTGATTTCTTTTAAACCTGATGAAACTGAAATTTAGAGAGTGACCAAGATAATCATTGGGATATTGTTGGGTCTAGAATTCAAGTTCCTTTAGCTAATCTCCCCAAAATTAGAATAATAAAAAGGAAATGGAAAGTTGGAGTGAAAAAGAAAAAAACTGAGCACAGTCCAGGCATTTATTTTATAAGCAGAATAATAGGAATTATGGAAAGATAGTAGAGAGAAAATGGAGGGGAGGAAATCATGAATGAAATAATTCAACAAAATTGATCAGAACAGAAGGAAACAAGTTTTCATTTTGAAAGAACCCACCAAGCGCCCAGCACAATAGGTGAAAATATGCCTACGTATGGATTCCAGAAATGAGGGGAAAGTCATTTGACACTGAAGAACCATGAGTCAACGAGGTTTCAGGTGTTTCATTAGCAAGACTTAAAGCTAGAATAAAATGGATTAATATTTTCAAAGTACTGAAGGAGAAATATTTCCAACCTGGAATCCCATACTCATACAAACCATCAATGAAATTTGAAGGTAGAATAAATACATAAATGAAGGTAAGCTAGAAAGAAAAGCTAACTAATAATAGCGGTTATCTCTAGCGATGGGAAAGAAGATGCAATTAACCTAGGAAGAACAAAGAAGGAACTTATTAAGTTGTGGTAATGGTGTATTTCTTTAGTTGAGTGGTGAGTGCATGTCTCTTCATTTTATTCTTTAATAAAGAATAAATAAACACCAAAAGGGCAAATTGAAAAATGATTATCAATGAAGGGCTTGCAAGGCAGTGGGGTTAATGGGGCTGGAATAGGAATGAGATTTCTCATGAATACATTTTTACATAAACCTAAGCCAAATTAATATATTATCAATTTTTAAAAAAATAAAAATTAGAAAAAGGTATCCTAAGGATTAGGAGAAGATGTGAACAATTAATTAAAGTCCCATTGTCATAAAAACATAAAATATCTAAAGTTAAGAATTTAAATAAGCATTTCATAGAAGGAGAACTCTGAAAGGTCAATTAACATATGAAAAAATAACCACCCTCACTAGTAATCAGGGAAATACTAATTTAAATAATAAGATATGGTTTTATATCTATCATTAGTTTGACATTACCTAGTTTGGACTAGGATGCAGAAAAATGAAGACTCTCATATGCTGGTGGCGGAATGCAAATTGATACAATTTGGCAATAACTAGAAGACTGACAATATGCATAGCCTTTAACCTAAATATTATTTTGGGGCTATATCTTAGAGAAACACATTAGCACAAGGAGACATATAAAATATTTATGTCAGGATTTATTTTTATAGTGAAAAATTGAAAACAACATAAATGCTCATCAACTAAGGAATTGATGAATAATTTATAGTATATTTATACCATGGAATATAAAACATCAATACAATCAGTGAACTTGGGCTAATCCATATGCATCAACCTGAAAAAAACTTATAATAACTAGAGAGAAAAAAGCAATTTGCAAAAGGATATGTGCAATCATTAATAAACAATATAAAATTATCTACACATTTTAATTTTTTAAAATTTTCTATTATTTTACATTCAGTGGATACATGTGCAGGTTTGTTACATAGGTATATTGTGTAATAATCGAGATTGGGTTTCTAGTGTACTCATTACCCAAGTAGTGAACATTGTACCCAATGGGTAATTTTTGAACTCTCACCCTTTTTCCAACATTTCTAATTTTGGAGTCCCCTGTGTCTATGATTTCCATCTTTATGTCCATGTGTACCCATTGTTTAGTTCCCATTTATAAGTGAAAACATGTGATATTTGATAATTTGTTTCTGAGTTATGTCAATTAGGATAATGGTCTCCAGCTCCACCCATGTTGCTACAAATAACATAATTTCATTCTTTTCTATGACTGCTTAATATTTCATGGTGTATATATACCCACATTTTTTTTTATCCAATTCACTGTTGATGGAAACTTAGGTTGATTACATGACTTTTCTACTGTGAATAGTGCTGTGATAAAGATATGAGTGCAGGCTGGGCGTGGTGGCTCTTGCCTGTAATCCCAGCACTTTGGGAGGCTGAGGTGGGCAGATCAATTGAGGTCAGGAGTTCGAGACCAGCCTGGCCAACATGGTGAAACTTCATCTCTACTAAAAATACAAAAACTTAGCCGAGCATGGTGGCACATGCCTGTAGTCCCAGCTACTCAGGAGGCTGAGGCAGGAGAATTGCTTGAACCTGGGAGGAGGAGGTTGCAGTGAGCCAAGATCACACCACTGCACTCCAGCCCGGATGACAGAGTGAGACTCTGTCTCAAAAAACAAAAAAAAAAAAAGACATGAGTGCAGATATCTTTTTGAAAAAAATATTTATTTTCCATTCAGTGTATACCCAGTAGTGGGATTGCTGGGTTGAATGGTAGTTCTATTTTCAGTTCTCCGAGAAAACTCCATACTGTTTTGTGTACAAGTTGAACTAATTTATATTCCCACCAACAGTGTATAAGCATTCCCCTTTCTCCACATCCATGCTGACATCTGTTCTTTTTTTTTTTTTTTGGAGGCATTGAGACCTGCTTGATTTCTTCCATTAATACACAATGACGCAACTATGATCCCAAAGTGTGCAAAGTTAAAGTCTTCAACTGCAGCTGAGGAGAGGGTAGGAATGGTACACCTGGGGACAGTGGTGAGTCAGGAACGACGGGCAGGCAGCCATGACCAGGGCAGCCTCCTCCCCAAGGCCAGGGACAGGGGAGTGGCCTGAGGAGCAGGACCCAAGGGTAGCCCAGGGCCGGAGAAGGGGGCAGAGACCTCCCCTTGGCCTAGGTCAGGAGTTCAGAAGTGCCACGTGGCTGAGGGGGAAGGGGCTTGGGAAGGGCCAGAGGCAGGACCAGGACAGCACAATTTCCTGGGGGGCTGGGGACAAAGAGGTGCCCTACAGGAGAAGCCAGGATGGGACGTCTGCCCCTGGGGTGGGGGCTGGGCTGGAGCAGGCTGCAGCAAGAAAGACCTGAGGCAGGCTCAGGGCCTGAGAGTCCGGCTGACTGGGGCGGGCGGCGGAGGGGCGGGGAAGGAGGGGGCTCCCAGGGCAGCCTGGCCCAGGGAGCAGTAATGACTCTGCAGGGGATGCCCAGTGAGGGACCCCAGACCCCTCAGGACCTCCCCTCCTGTCTCCCTGGAAAGGAGCTGGGGAACCCGTAGTGCAAATCTGCGGACCACTCAGTTATGGAGGGAGGCTGTGCCCGAAGGTGGACACTGGGGTGTGCCCCCTCAACCACCTCGGCCTCCACCACTGTCCTCAGTACAGCCACTTCTCCTAAGAGTGCAGGCCATGGACACCACGCTTGATCTGAGCCAACATGGTCCGCTTCTCAAACTTGAGCTCTCCTGAGTACATCATGGACCCAAAGACAGACAGGCTGTGGACCCCGATATCCTGGTAGCCATGCTGGATGCCCGCTATGAGGTAGGGCACAAACTTCTGAATGGACCCTTTGTCCTGGATGGAGCCCGAGATACCCTGTGTGATCTTCACCTTATCCCCCTCGCTGAAGTATCATTTCTGGGTGCTGCTGCTCTTCTCCATGGCATCCAGCGAGCCCATGCCCCGGTACTTCCTGAGCCACACCCTGTCTGAGAAGAAGTACTCGCCAGAGGCCTCCGTGGTAGCGGCCAGCAAGGAGCCCGTCATCACTGTGGAGGCTCCAAGGGCCAGCACTGTGGAGGCTCCAAGGGCCAGGGCCTTGACCATGTACCCCACGGTCTGGATGCTGCCATCGGCTATGACGGGCACACCAAAGCGCCAGACATACTCGGCCACCTTGTACACAGCAGTGCCGTGGGTCTGACCACAGGCCATCACTTCCCCGGTGATGCAGATGGAGCCGCAGCCCATGCCCACGCTGGGCTGCTGTCACCACGTTCCCCGCAATCACCTGGAGGTGGAGGTACTTCTGTTTGATGTAATGCACCGTGGCGATCTGATACACCGAGTTCCCTTGGGACGAGTCCAAGACTATGACATCGACGCCCGCCTGAGTGAGCAGGTCCAGGCAGAATTTGTCATCTTCACGGGTGCCCACAACTGCCCCGCACAGCAGCTGCTTGTGGAAATCCTTGGAGGCCAGAGGTAGTCTCGGTTCTTCTTCAGGTCGGTGCGGGTGATGATGGCCACCAGCTCATTGTGATCATTGACGATAGGCAGCTTCCCTTTCTTGCTACGCTGCAGGATCTCATTTGCTCTTTCAATGTCACGCCTGCTGGAGCCACCACCAGCTCGGTCCTTGGCGTCATCATCTCACTGAGGAGGATGGTGTCCTTCTCAGCAAGAAAGTCGATGTCTCGGGAGGCGATGATACCCACCAGCTTGCTGCCGATGGTGCCCGTCTCAGTGATGGGGATGCCAGAGAAGCCATGCCGCATCTTGGCCTCCAGTACATCACCCACGGTGTGCGAGGGGCTCAGCACCACGGGGTCCGTGATGAAGCCCTGTTCAAACTTCTTGACCTTCTGCACCTTATTGGCCTGAAACTCTGGGGTGCAGTTGTGGTGAATGAAACTAATACCTCCTATCAGAGCCCTCCCATCAGAGCCATCACGATGGCCATGTCGGCATCTGTCACAGTGCCCATGGAGGAGGAGGTCAGCGGAGTCTTCAGCGTGATCTTCCGGGTCAGGGCTGAGGTCAGGTCCACCTCATCAGTTATGAAGCCTATGAATCCTGGGAGAATCAGGAAGTCGTTGTAGGTGAGGCCATCGGCGCTGGCGAAGAGCTGCTGCGCGGTGAGGCCGGCCTCGGACACGTAGCGGGTGCTGCCGCTGATCAGGTAGTCCGCCATGCTGCCGCAAGACCCCGACATAAACACCCGCGCGGCCGCCAGCCGCTGCAGCCGCCGCCGCCGCCACTGCTGCTGCTGCTGAGGCCGCGCGGCGGACACGCTGCAGCCTCGGGCCGGGCGGGCCGGGGGCGGGGGCTGTTCTTTTTTGACTTGTTTTTTTTTCTTTCCAACTTTTATTTCAGGTTCAAGGAGTACATGTGCAAGTTTTCAAGTTTTTTACCTGGGTAAGTTGCATGTTGTGGGGATTTGGTGTAAAGATAATTTTGTCACCCAGGTAATCAGCATAATACCCAATAGGTTGTTTTTAAATCCTTACCCTCCTCCCACGCTTCACCCTCAGATAGGCACCAGTGTGTATTGTTCCCTTCTTTGTGTCCATGCATAGTCAACATATTGCTCCTATGTATAAGTGAGAACATATGACAGTTGGTTTTCTGTTCCTCCATTAATTCACGTAGGATTATGGCCTCCAGTTCCATCCATGTTGCTGCAAAGGCCATGAACTCATTTTTTATAGCTGCGTAGTATTTCATGGTATATATGTACCACATTTTCTGAATCCAGTTTACTATTGATGGACATCTAGGTTGATTCCATGTCTCTGCTATTATGAATAGTGCTACAATGAATATATGTGTGCATGTATCTTTATGGTAGAATAATTTATATTCCTTTGGGTATATACCCAGTAATGGAATTGTTGGGTCCAGTGGTAGTTCTATTTTAAGTTCTTTGAGAAATCTCCAGACTTACCACAATGGCTGAACTAATTTATTTTCCCAGCAGTAGTGTATGTGTTTCCTTTACTTTGCAAACATGCCAGCATTTGTTATTTTTTGACATTTTAATAATAGATATTCTGACTTGTGTGAGATGGTATCTCATTGTGGTTTTGATTTCCAATCCCACAATAATTAGTGATGTTGACTATTTTTACATATGCTTGTTGGTCGTGTGTATGTCTTCTTTTGAGAAGTGTCTGCTCATATCCTTTGCCCATTTTGTAATGGGGTTATTTTTTGCTTGTTGATTTGTTTGGGTTCCTTATAGATTCAGGATATTAAACCTTTGTTGCATGCATAGTTTGCAAATATTTTATCACATTCTGTAGGTTGTCTGTTTACTCTTAATTTTTTTTTTTTGGCTGTGCAGAAGCTGTTTAGTTATAACCCACTTTTCAATTTTTGTTTATTTGTTTTTCAATTGCTTTTGGAGTCTTCATCATTAAGTTTTTACCTGGGCCAATATACAGAATGGTATTTCCTAGATTTTCTTCTAGGGTCTTTATAGTTTTACATTTTATGTTTAAGTCTTTAATCCATTTTGAGTTGGTTTTTGTATACAGTGAAATGTAGGGGTCCAGCTTCAATCTTCTGCATATGGCTAGCCAGTTATCTCACCACCATTTATTGAATAGAGAGCCTATTCCCCATTGCTTGTTTTTGTCACCTTTGTCAAAGATCAGATGGCTGTAGGTGTGCAGCCTTATTTCTGGAACCTGTTCCATTGGTCTATGTGTTTGTTTTTATACCAGTACCATGCTATTTTAGTTACTGTAGACTTGTAGTATGATTTGAAGTTGAGTAGTGTGATACCTCCAGCTTTGTTCTTTTTGCTTAAGATTGCTTTGACTATTCAGGCTCTCTTTTAGTTCCATATGGATTTGAGAATCCTTTTGTTCCAATTCTGTGAAAAAGGTTGTTGGTTGTTTGATAGGTATAGCATTGAATCTGTGAATTACTTTGGATCATATAGCCATTTTAACAAGATTGATTCTTCCTATCCATGAGCATGGAATGTTTTTCCATTTGTTTCTGTCATCTCTGATTTCTTGTAGCAGTTTTTTGTAATTCTCATTATAGAGATCTCTCACTTCCCTGGTTGTCTGTATTCCTAGGTATTTTATTCGTTTTGTAGCTACCATGAATGGGATTGCAACTTTTACTTGGCTCTCAGCTTGGATGTTATTGGCATATAGAAATGCTACTGATTATTATATGTTGATTTTGCACACTGACACTTTGCTGCAGGTGTTTATCATATTTAGAAAACTTTGGGCAGAGACTATGAGGTTTTCTAGTATCGTGATGCTTTTTTTATAGTATCATGTTATCTAAAAAAAAGAGAAAGTTTGACTTCCTCTCTTCATAGTTGGATGCCTTTTATTTCTCCCTCTTGCCTGATTGCTTTGGCTATGATTTCCAATACTACGCTGAATAGGAATGAAGAGAGTTTGCATATTTGTCTTGTTCCAGATCTAAAGGGGAATGCTTCTAGCTTTTGCCCATTCAGTGTGATGTTGACTGTGGGTTTGACATATGTGGCTCCTATTATTTTGAAGTTTGTACCTCCAATGCCTAGTTTGTTGATAGTTTTTAACATGATGGGATGTTGAATTTTATCAAAAGCCTTTTCTGTGTCTACTAAGATGATCATGTGCTTTTGTTTTTAATTCCATTTATGTGACAAATTACATGTATTGATTTGCAAATGCTGAACCAACCTTGCATCCCAGGAATAAAGCCTACTTGATCATGGTGTATTCACTTTTTGATGTGCTGCTGGATTTGATTTGCTAGTATTTTGCTGAGGATTTTTAGACCAATGTTCATCAGGGATATGGGCCTGAAGTTTTCTTTTTTGTTGTTGTGTCTCTGCCAGGTTTTGGTATCAGAATGATGCTGATCTCATAGAATGAGTTTGAGAGGAATCCCTCTTCCTCAATTTTTTGGAATAGTTTCAGTAGGATTGGTACCAGCTCCTCTTTATATGTCTGGTAGAATTCAGCTGTGAATCTGCCTCGTCCAGGGCTTTGGTTGGTAGGTCTTTAACCACTGATTGAATTTCAGAAGTGGTGATTGGTCTGTTCAGGGTATCAATTTCTTCCTGGTTCCATCTTGGGAGGTTGTATGTTTCCAGGAATTTATCCATTTCTTGTAGGTTTTCTAGTTGGTGTGCATAGAGGTATTCATAATAGTCTCAGAGGGTTTACTGTATTTCTATGCAGTCAGTTGTAATGTCCCCTTCGTCATTACTACTTTGTTTATTTGGATCTTTGCCCTTTATTCTTTATTAGTATAGCTAGTGGTCTATCTTATTTATTGCTTCAAAGAACCAACTTTTGGTTTTGTTTATCTTTTGTACGGTTTTTCTCGTCTCCATTTCATTAAGTTCAGCTGTGATTTGTATTCTTTTTCCCTGTTAGCTTTGTGTTTTCTTTGCTCTTATTTATCTAGTTCCTTTAGGTGTGATATTAGTGTTTTTTAAAATTTGAGATCTTTCTAACTTTCTGATGTGGTCATTTAGCGCTGTAAACTCCTCTCTTGACACTGCTTTACCTGTGTTCCAGAGAGTCTGGTATGTTGTATCTTTGTTTTTATTCATTTCTAAGAACTTTTCAATTTCTGCCTTTATTTCATTATTTACCCAGAAGTCATTCAGGAGCAGATTGTTTAATTCCCATTTAATTATATGATTTTGAGAGATCTTCTTGGTATTGATTTCTATTTTAATTGCACTGTGTTCCAAAAGTGTGATTGGTATGATTTTTGTTTTTTTGAATTTGTTGATAATTGCTTTATGGTCAAGCATGTGGTCAATTTTAGAGTATGTGTCACGTGCAGATGAGAAGAATGTATATTCTATTTTTGTTGAGTGGAGTGTTCTGTGGATATCTGTTAGGTCCATTGGTCAAGTGCCAAATTTATGTCCTGAATATCTTTGTTAGTATTCTGCCCTGGTGATCTGTCCAGTACTGTAAGTGGAGTGTTGAAGTCTCCTACTATTATTATGTGGTTATCTAAGTATCTTCATAAGTCTCTAAGAACTCACTTCCAGTTTTGGGTACATATATTCAGGATAGTTAAGTCTTCTTGTTGAATTGATCCTTTTATTATTATATGAGGCCCTTTTTTGTCTCTTTTTTAAAACAGGTTCTTGCTATGTCATTCAAACTGGAGTGAAATGGTGCAATCACAGCTCACTGAAGCCTCAACCTCCTTAAGCAATTATTGCACCTCAGCCTCCTGAGTATCTTGGACTGCAGGTGTATGTCACCATGCCTGGCTAATTTTGTATTTTTTGTAGAAACAGGGGTCTCACCATGTTGCCCAGGCTGTTCTCAAACTCCTGGACTCAAGTAATACACCCACCCCGGCCTCCCAAAGTGCTGGAATTACAAGCATGAGCCACCATGCCCGGCTCTGTGACTTTTTATCACTGTTGGTTTAAAGCCCACTGTTTTCTGGAATAAGAATAACAACTCCTGCTCTTTTTTTGTTTTCCATTTGTTTGATAGATCTTTCTGCATGTCTTTACTTTGAGCCTACAGGTATCCTTGCATGTGAGATGGGTCTCTGGAAGACAGTGTACAATTGGGTCTTGCTTCTTTATTCAACTTGCCACTCTGTGCCTTTTAAATAAAGGTGTTTAACCTGTTTCAAGGTTAATATTGATATGCACAGGTTTGATCCTGCCATTGTATTGTAAGCTGATTGTTATGTAGAATTGATTTTCAATAATAGCCATCCTGACTGGTGTAAGATGATATCTCATTATGGTTTTAATTTTTATTTCTGTGATGATTAGTAATGTTGAGCATTTTTTCATGTGTTTATTGGCCACTTGTATATTTTCCTTTAAGAGGACATGACTGTTCATGTACTTTGTCCACTGTTAATGAGGTTGTTTGCTTACTTCTTGTTGAATTGAGTTTCTTATAGATTTTAGATATTAGTCCTTTGTTGGAACCATAATTTTCAAATATTTTATCCTATTCTGTAGGTTGTCTGTTTGCTCTTCTGATTATTTCTTTTGCTGTAAGAAGCTTTTTAGTTTAATTAAGTCCCATTTGTATATTTTGTTTTTGTCGCATTTGCTTTTGGGGTCTTTGTCATAAATTTTTTGCCTAGGCCAATGTCCACAAGAGTATTTCCTAGATTTTCTTCTAGAATTGTTTAAGTTATGTTTTGTAATTTACATTTTTAATTCATCTTTAGTTGATGTTTGTATATGGTGAGAGATAGGGGTCCAGTTTCATTCTTCTACAAATGGCTAGAAAAATTTCCCAGCACTATTTATTGAAAAGGACGTCCTTTCCACAGTGTTTACTTTTGTCACCTTTGTCAAAGATCAGGTGGTTGTAGATATGTGGCTTTACTTTCGGGTTCTCTATTCTGTTCCATTGGTCTATGTGTTTATTTTTGTACCAGTACAATACTGTTTTAGTTACTTTAGCCTTGTAGTATAATTTGAAGTCAGGTAATTTGATTCCTCCAGATTTATTCTTTTTGCTTAGGATTCCTTTGGCTATTTGGGCTCTTTTTTGGGGTTTGTATTAATTTTAATTTTTTTTTGTTATTGTTCTGTGAAAAATGATGTTGGTGATGTGATAAGAATTTCATTGAATCTGTAGATTGCTTTGAGTCACATAGAGGGAGTAGTCAGAGGCCAACGGTGGTGAACTGGGCTAGGCAAACCTCTGATCCCAAGGCCCCCAGATGGCCCACTAAATGGCATGTATGAGTCCTAAGGGCACTGAAACAGGAATAGGCCTGTAGACTTGTTCTTGGAAACCACAGAATTCACATGCTGGCTGTGACAGAGAGGAATGGGATGGTTCCTGGGTCACCAGCAGAACTCTCAGGCAGGGGCAAGAAGAATGCTCAGGCAGCAGCAGAATGCTCAGGTGGTGGGAACCCCAGAAAAGATCACAGGCCTATGGGGCTAGGCTCTCAGAAGGGCTCCAGACCACTGCTGAAATGGTCAGGTAGGAGCAGAGCACCTGTGCTGCAGGCCTTTCACTGGGGAAGGCAGGGCCCACTCACCTGGGGCAGTGGAGACTAGCAGCTCTGGGATCTACTAGCGGCATGGCCCAGTCACACTTTCCTTCCCAGAACCCATAGTGGATTTTGCTATTGGCGGCATGTGAAGATGCCCAGTGATATGGTCTGGCTGTTTGTCCCCACCCAAATCTCATCTTGAATTGTAATCGCACTATAATCCCCATGCATTGGGGAAGGACCTCATGGGAGGTGATTAGATCATGGGGGTGGTTCCTCCATGCTGTTCTTGTGATAGTGAGTGAGCTCTCATGAGATCTAGGAACTTTCCCCCTTCACTTGGCACTTCTCTCTCCTGCTGCCATGTGAAGAAGGATGTGTTTGCTTCCCCCTTCATGATGATTGTAAGTTTCCTGAGGCCTCCCCAGCCATGTGGAACTGTGAGTCAATTAAACCTTTTTCTTTTATAAATTATCCAGGCTTGGGTATTTCTTCACATCAGTGTGAGAATGGACTAATACACCCAGCCTCCATGCACTTTCCCTGGCCTGGGGGTGTCAAAAGTGGTAGTGGCGGCATTGGTGGTGGCAACTGCTGTGGGAACTGAAGGGTACGTCACTGGCCTCTGGGGCCTGGGCTCTCAGAATAATGGCGGGCTGCAGCCATAGTGCTCACATGGGGGTAGAGCTGCTGTGCTGGGGACTTGACACCAAAGCAAGTGGGCCCTCTTCAGCATGGAGCAGTGGATGTGGGGAGTTGTGTGGTGCTAAGTCTGCCCTCTCCTCCATACTGTGGCTGTGGTATCTGTGTTTGGGGTGTGCAAAAGTGCCCAGCCTCCCTTCTTGGTGGAGTGGGGGCAGATGATGTTGGGCAGCTCGGGGATAAAGCCTGTAGGATTCCATGTGAGCTCAAGCAGTGCCTCTGCAGTCTCCAGGCAGTCCCTGTGTTAGTATGTAGGCCTGGGAGGGTCCAGGGGGCTCCCTCATGGCTAGGATTATAAAGGTCCATGGTGGAAGTATGAAACCCCAGGGGTCTCTCACTCACTCATCCCTTCCTTACATTAGAAAACCTCTCCTGGCTCTGTGCCAGTCCCAGCTCAGCAGGCTGCCTGGCTTCACTCTCCTCTGCTTTCTGTGATTCCTGTCACTTCTCTGATCAATTCCAGCATGCTCTCATAGATGATCTACTTGAAGTGTTAGTATTTACTCACTATTTTGATTCCTCTCCATGAGAGAGGTGCCCCACTGGCTGCTTCTAGTCAGCCATCTTGAACTGAAACCTAGATATTTTTAAACTGAGGTGGTTTCAGGTGTCCACATGTCTCCCAATTACAACCGAAAAACCTTTAAACCCATTAAAAATTTTTGTTTTGTAACGTCTTTTCTTGAGGTTCCTCTCTCTCTTTGCAATTTTCCATACTTAATACCTAAATTCACTAGTACCATTTTCAGAACTGGATAAGAGGGGCACCTGCCCTGAGGCTCATGCTTTCAAGGACCCCAATGCCACAAATATACACACATAAAAAATGTTAAAAAGGACACATGGGAGCCTCTGGCACTCCTGATCTGGCATTCAGTATTGGTACAACACAATTCACTATGGTAAGTGTCCACTTTTATAACTGATGCCATTTTGGCCCCATGGGAGTGCTTCTCCACATCTCTTCTCATGAGTTTTCAAAACTAAAGGCAAGGCCGGGCAGGGTGGCTCACGTCTGTAATCCCAGCCCTTTGGGAGGCCGCAGTGGGAGGATCACCTGAGGTCAGGAGTTTGAGACCAGCCTGGCCAACATGGTGAAACCCCATCTCTACTAAAAATATAAAAAATTAGCTGGATGTGGTGGCATGCACCTGTAATTCCAGCTACTCGGGAGGCTGAGGCAGGGGAATCGCTTGAACCTAGGAGGTGGAGGTTGCAGTGAGCCAAGATCATGCCACTGCACTCCAGCCTGAGCAACAGAGCAAAAAAACTGTCTCAAAACAAAAAAACAAAAAACGAAAACAAAAAAAACTAAAGGCAGTCACATCTCCTTTCAATGCTGTGAAAGTTTGTGGTTTATGCCATTGGCAACATTGTAGATGGATACTTCTTTTCAGATCTGAGAGAATTTGAATGGAACAAACAAACAAACAGAAAACAGAACGAGATGCAAGAGAACAGAAAGGGATGCAAGAAAAAGGATCCCCAGCATTACTGGAACATATTTCAAAATGCACAAATCTGTTGTGTTACTGGTATCTGAGGAGGATTTGAAAAGTGAGCCCTTTTGTTTTACTTTAGAGCTTCTGTATTTTTAGTAGAGATGGGGATTCGCCATGTTGGCCAGGCTGGTCTCGAACTTCTGGGCTCAAGCAATCCACCTGCCTGGGTCTCTCAAAGTGCTGGGATTCCAGGTGTAAGCCACTGCACCCAACTGAGGTTTTTTAATCAGTGTATTAATTTATTTTACCGAAAGAGATCCAAATTCCTAATCCCAGGGCCATTCCTCAGGAAGCCTTTGAAGTGTGTGTTTACCTTGTTTCCAGCTCTCCAGATTCCCTCTGCTTAAGAGACATCGCTGCTGTAAATTTTCTTTAAAGTACTGATTCAGCCTTTCAGCCACTAAACACCACTTATTTATTACTTCTTTCCCCAACAGACTTCACGTTTTGAAAGACAGTGTCTAGAAAACAAACTGCATTCATTAAGACATCATTTGCTTTTCTGTTTTTAGTTAATCACAAACATCTATAACTACCAAACACAGCTTCTGAACAGCATTGAGTGTTTGTCATTCTACCCTGAAATAATGTGATTACAACAGAAGCAAGGTAAGGTAACTTTTTAAGTTATTCTGGACATCTTTATTGAAATGAATATGTTATTTCAGTTAGGCCTTTTAAAAATATTGAAAATAGCCTGCAGATCTGACTGGTTTTTACTGGCTTATTACTTCCTTTTACTTCTTGAAAATCCTCTAGTTTTTGACATCAAAAAAATGCTGGCCTGAGGCCAGAATTCTGGTTATGGCCACATGAGGACATGGGTAAATTTTCTCCCTAAATAACAACCATGGAGCTGTACAAAATTGACAAAACCACCATTTCAGTTCTCTGGAAATTGACAAAGGCTTATAATAGTCTGAGGGGCATTTATGCTTAAAAACCTGCTAGACTTGTGGTAAGACCCATGGGAGTCTGTAAGCACTCTTGATGCTCGATGGGATGGCTATTCCCATCAAACTTCGCCGCTCCCCTCCCCAGCTCAGATAAATGCAGAAGTTCCACCAGCTTCTCAGCTGCAGTTGAAGGGAACTCACTCAACTTAGAGTGGTGGGTGCTGTCCATGCCCGACTGTGTTTTCAAGAAAAGTGATGATTTCTGAGGTCTAATTCAGAGCTGGGACCAGGATAAAGGTAGGTGAGGCGCCCACCTTGGGTGCAAAATTTAAGAAAGTATGAAAAAACACATTAATCAAGATAAAAACTATTTTGATGCAATCATTTTAAAAATCAAAATTAATGCAAAAATGTTATGATGAACAAAATATTAAAATTTTAAATAAGGATAAGTTCCAGCTCTAGCACTGTATCTACTGCAGTTGTGGTTGAGGCAATTGGATTTCTGGCTGAGGCAGTTATGAAGAAAAATATATATTCGTTTTATTTGTATAAGTATTTAAAGCTATAAATTTTCCTCTGGTAAGTGCTTTAGCCGTAACCATATATACTGATCATATGTTTTCATTGTTATTTTCAAGAATTCTGCAATTTTGGGTCTGCATTCTTCCTTTGATTCAAAAGTTGTTTAGTGGGGTTGTCGTCTTTTGTAATTTCCAGGTAGAAAACATTTTTTTAATTGTTATTAATTTCTAGTTTTATTGCACTGTGATCAGGAAATACTTGTTTGTATTATTTCTATTCTTGGATTTTATTGAAGCTTTTGTTGTGGCATTAAGATCTAGTCAATTTTTATTAATGATTCATATATAGTTGAAGAACGTATATTCTCTATTCTATAGGTTAAGAGTTTGCTATGAGATATATATTATTAATTGCTTCCTGGATCTTTCTAAATTTTTATTGACTTATTCTTAGATTCGGAGTTATATAAAGGTCTATTAGTGTGTATCTGTCATCTATTTTTCCTCACATTTACACAAATACTTTTTTATATATATGCAAACACATACATATAATCTTTTTATATGTATGTGTACATATGCATGTATACATATAAGGAGACTTCAAAAACCTCATGGAAAATTGAATTCAAAGATGAAAATAAGAAATATAAACTTTATTATTCAATGTAAGCTCCATCATGTTGAAGACACTTTTGTAAGCAATCATACCAGCCATTTAATCCATCCCTAAGGAACTGAAGGTCCTGGAAATTTAACCATATCAATGCAGTCTTGTTTTACATTATTAATTGAAGAAAATGGGTTCCTTTTACAGAGTTTTTTTAAGATTAGGAAACAAAAAGAAGTTAGAAGGAGCCAAATCAAGACTGTAAGGTGGATGCATAATGATTTTCCATGAAAACTCTCACAAAATTGCCCTTGTTGGGTGAGATAAATGAGTGAGAACACTGTTGTAGAGAAGGACTCTCTGTTGAAGCTTTCTTGGGCATTTTTCTGCTAAAGCTTTGGCTAACGTTCTCAAATCACTCTCACAACAAGCAGATGTTATCATTCTTTGGCCCTCCAGAAAGTCAATAAGCAAATTTCCTTGAGCATTGGAAAAAAAAAAACAAAACTGTTGCCATGACCTTTGCCCTTGCACTTTTGCTTTGACTAGACCACTGCCACTTCTTGGAAGCCATTGCTTTGATTGTGCTTTGTCTTCAGAATCATACTGGTAAAGCCATGTTTCATCTCCTGTTACAATTCTTTGAAGAAATACTTCAGTATTTTGATTCCACTTGTTTAAAATTTCCATTGAAAGCTCTCCTCTTGTCTATAGCTGATCTGAACGCAACAATTGTGGTGCCCGACCAGTGGAAAGTTTGCTCATCTTTAACTTTTTAGTCAGAATTGTGTAAGCTGAACCAATTGAGATGTCTATGATGTTGGCTATTGTTTGTGCTGTTAATTGTTGGTCTTCTTCAATTAGGATACAAACAAGATAAATTTTTTTCTCACAAATTGGTGTGGATGGACTGTTGCTTCAGACTTCATCTTCAATATCATATCATCCCTTTTTTGAATGAGCTACCCATTTCTAAACTACTGATTTCTTTGGGGCATTGTCCCCACAAACTTTTCATAAAGCATCAATGTTTTCACCATTCTTCCAACCAAACTTCACCATAAATTTTTTTGTTCTTGCTTCAATTTTAGCACAATTCATGTTGCACTGGCAAATGCTCTTTTCAAACTGGTGACTTATTCTTTTTTTTTTTTTTTTTTTTTGAGATGAAGTCTCACTCCCTCGCCCAGGCTGGAGCGCAGTGGTGCAATCTCGGCCCACTGCAACCTCCGGCTTCGAGTTCAAGCAATTCTCCTGCCTCAGCCTCCCCAGTAGCTGGGACTACAGGTGCCCGTCACCACACCCAGCTAATTTTTTGTATTTTTAGTAGAGATGAGGGTTCACCGTGTTAGCCAGGAGGGTCTCAATCTCCCGACCTCATGACCTCGGCTTCCCGAAGTGCTGGGATTACAGGTGTGAGCCACCATGCCCAGCCCGTTTTCTTCTTGTTTTTTTGTTTTTTTGTTGTTGTTGTTGTTGAGACAGAGTCTCGCTCTGCCGCCCAGGCTGGAGTGCAGTGGCGCGATCTCAGCTCACTGCAAGCTCCGCCTCCCAAGTTCACGCCGTTCTCCTGCCTCAGCCTCCCGAGTAGCTGGGACTACGGGCACCCACCACCATGCCCTGCTAATTTTTTTGTATTTTTAGTAGAGACGGGGTTTCACCGTGTTAGCCAGGTGGTCTCGATCTCCTGACTTCATGATCCACCCATCTCGGCCTCCCTGTTGTCTTATTCTTTTAGTGCCTCAAACCAGATCCTGCTCAGACATGTAGCAACAAGTTGGCATGCAAAAAATTGTGAAATCCATGAGTAGTTTTTTCATAATACACATTTTCCATTAATGTTTTGAAGACTCCTCATATATACAATATTTTACTTGGAAGTATGTTTTAATTTGCTCTCTTTTTGTTATATCGTTTGATATTTAAAAAAGGTTGTAATTTTGTACTTATGGTTACTTTTATACTAATATCATTTTATATACACACATACATATATATAGTCATCCCTTGGTATACACAGGGTATTTGTTCCGGGACACACCCTCTTTGTGTATACCAAAATCCCCACATACTCAAGTCCAGCAGTTGGCCCTATGAAACCCACATATATAAAAAGTCATCCCTCTGTATATGTGGAGCTCACATCTAGGGAATACTGTATTTTGTATCTGAGTTTGGGTTGAAAAACACCCAGATATAAGTGGACCTGCACAGTTCAAATCCATGTTGTTCAAAGATCTATACACATTTCCCCATTTTTGGATGCTCTCTACTGGTTCCTTGCTATGAACACTATAGAAACATGTTAGTTGTATTTTCTTTTCCCTTACTTTCCTCTTAATCATGGTCTTATATGAAGTATTATGTTTTTAATCCCTATTACTACCTGTGGTTGGCAGAATAATACCTTCCCCAAAGATGTTCATGTTCTAATTCCCCAAATTATTACCTTACATGGCAAAAAGAACTGTGTATATGTTATTAAAGTTAAGTGCCATGAGATGAGACGATTATTCTGGATTATACAGGTGAACTCAATGTAATGACAAGGGTCCTTATAAGTGGGAGGAAAGAAAGTCAGAGCAAATGCAATGTGATGATGGAAACAGAGGTTGGAGTGATGCACCCAGAAAGCCACAAGCCAAGAAAGGTAGGCACACTTCAGAAGCTGGAAAAGGCAAGGAAATAGATTCTCTCGCTACGGCCTCCAGAAGGAATATAACCCTGAAGAACCATTTTGGACTTCTGACTTCCATAACTATAAGAAAATTAATTTGTGTTGTTTTAATTTGTGGAAGTTATTACGGCAGCAATAGGAAAATAATACAGTATGTACAAAGCAATCAGCAAACTTATTCTACTTCCGATATACTCTCCCTCTTGTCCATCTTCCTAACATATAAATATTTTGCACTATAATGTTTTCTTCTACATCTATTATTTAGACTCAACTCTACTGGAAATTATATATTTGATGCTTAAAACTAGTCTGTATGCAAATGTCTCTTCAGTCATTTTGGATTTTTGAAATTCATGCTCCAGTAGGTTTCTGAAAAAGTGTTCATGGGAAAAATATCCCCTGAATTCTTGTATGCTCAAAATATGTCTGTAGCCTTTATACTTGAAAGTCAGCTTGGCTAGATATAAAATCCTTGGCTCATATCTTCTTTCATTGAGTATTTTAAATATGTTACTCTATTCTCATTTGGCTTAAGGCCTTCATGTCAAAAAGGAAATCTGATTTTTCCCCCTTAAAAGGTCTTGATCTTTTTGCAAAATAATAAATTTCAAAGAAATCAGAGATTTAAATATAAAATATCAAATTATGTAAGTAATTTCATAAATACAAATACAAATAGATTTCTTTACAACCTGGGGGTGAAAAAAACTTCCTTAATTATAATCCAAAATTTAGAAACAATAAAATAAAAGACCAATAAATTTTATTACATTATAATTTTTTGCATGGCAAAAACACTTTAAGCAAAATCAAAAGACAAACTTGGGAAAATGTATTTGCAATTTATATCACAGAAATAAGACTAATGTCTCTAATATACAAAGAGATCCCAAAAAGCAAGCATAAAAGACCAACAATATGAGAGATAAATGGACAAAGATATGATCTTAAACTCACAAAGGAAATAAGAAATAAATTTTAAACGTGAATATATGCTCTGTATTGCTTATGATATAAGAATTGTTAATTAAAACTACACAGAGATGCTACTTCTTACATGCTAGTTGACAAAACTCTAAAACTCTAACAAAATACTCCATTTGTAAAGCCATAGGGAAACGTTCATAATCATACATCACTGGTAGGGGTGCAAAATGATACAGCTCCTATGGAGGTGAATTTGACAAGATCTAAAAAAATTATGTTTGTGTACAGCTTATGTCTCAGCAATATCACTTCTGTCCCAAATATACACTATCGTACACCTGAAATCATTTATGCATAGTTATTATTTACAACATTATTTGTGATAGGAAAACAGCAGACATAATACATGTTTCTATCATTAGGGAGCTGATTTACTAACTGGAGTACTAATACAGCCATAAAATAAATGCAGACAATCATTTTACACTGATCTGGAATGATTTTCTGGATCTTTTATTAGTTATGACCAGTACATGTAATATGCTACATTGTGTGTAAGAAATGAGGAAAAAGGAAATATATATATATACATCATGTGTATATTTTTACCCCTGCCACCAAAAAGAAAATTGTGAGGGTAAACCAAAACTAATAAAAATGCTTGTCTTTAGTGTGAAGAAAACATATGGTAGATGGATGAGTAAAGAAAGACACTTTTCTGAATATGCCTTATTACATAATTTTGACTTTGGACTCCTATAATTGTTTTACATGTTCAAACATAAAATTAAATGTAAAAGGAAAGAAGCAATATCTAAATATTTTAAATAATTTAAAATAAATTAACCTAATTACATATCAACTTGGTGACATAACCAAAAGGAAAACAAGTATTTTAAGTAACTTTAGAACCTGGCACTTTACTGTACATCTTTAGTGGAATATATTCATAAGAAAAATAGAGCTGCAAAGAAATCTTTAATTCATTAACCAAATTGTTAGTGATGGTATCTGTATTATTTTGAATCTATTTTTAATATTATAAATAATGCAAATAAGTAATTATGGGAATCGTGTTGGGAATATTATAAGAGAAAAAGATTGAAGTATAAAATCAAATATTTTAAATAAAAAGATAATGTTAACTTTGAATTGAAATTATTAAGAATAATTATTACTTTTTCTTTTAATATACATAGGTCTTAGCTCCATCTACTGAAAAGACCTAGAAACAATAATAGTTCACACTATAGTAAGCACAACTAAGCACCCAGATTATGGTCTCAAAATATCATTCCTCACCAAAAGAAATCAGGGTTCCCTGGAGTCTATTACCAGATTTGGGTCAGAAAACATACAAACATCTTGTTGTGCCAGAAAGGAAAAAGCTATCAAAGACTAAAAGGTAGAGACAAGAAGAGACCAGAGCCAACAAAAGTGATTTTCATTGGCCACAATGGGACAATTTGAACATTAAATTGAATAATGAATACAAATGATAACACATACTGAATATATTATCATGTGTCTAATGGTATTTAAAAGTAAATAAGAGAAAAAATAGGATGATTGGATGAAGATGAAAGAAACAAGGGTATAAAGTCTTTATCCAAATTGGCAAATAAATAAATAAGCATTTACCTTGCCTTTCCTCTATGAACCATTTTTTTTTACAGTAACCAATTAGAAAATAACCACTTTTCAATCCCTAATAATTGATTCTTCCATTATTATCAGTAGATGAAACCATTAGATGAAGTTTGGGTAGAAGATTGACAATGGCAGGAGCAGGTTATTGGCAACTGAATTCACTGATTAATTGTAGCATCATGGATAGTAAAGACAACTTACTCTGTAAACCTTCTGAGGTGCTATGCAATATCAAGCACATAGCCTCTCCTATAAAAGATTTTTTACCAACAATATTGGAGCTGAATCTAATCAAGCCTCTAGTACTAAGTCCCACTTACCAAACATACAAGTGATATAAAAGAACAAGTTAAGTGACACAGCAAGCGGCAATCTGCTGAACTTATAATGTAGACCATTCTACAGGAAAATGGGCCTGACTTCTGCAACCAGAAAATGGCAGGAAAAAAAAAATAGAAGCACAGAAGGAGAATGGAAGGAATGACTAACGTACATTAAAAGAAATCTAAGGAAAATAACCCATGGCAATGTGTGGACATTGCTTCCATCCTGCTTCAAATACGCTAACATAAAAGGACAATTTGAGATCATTAAAGACGTTTGGATATGACTGTGTACTAGTTGACACCAAAGAATTATTGCTAATTTTGGTAATCATGCTAATTGTGATGAAGAATACATCCATAATTTTTAGAAATGCATGCTGAGACTGGGTGCAGTGGCACAGGCCTGTAATTCCAGCATTCTGGGAGGCAGGGGCAGGAAGATCAATTGAGGGCAGGAGTTTGAGATTAGCCTGGGCAACATAACAAGATCCCATTTCTACAAAAGTTTTTTTAAAAATTAGCAAATCAAAACCACAATGAGACACCATCTCACGATAGTTAGAATGGTGATCATTAAAAAGTCAGGAAACAACAGATGCTGGAGAGGATGTGGAGAAATAGGAACACTTTTACACTGTTGGTGGGAGTGTCAATTAGTTCAACCATTGTGGAAGACAGTGTGGCGATTCCTCAAGGATCTAGAACTAGAAATACCATTTGATACAGCAATCCCATTCTGGGTATATACCCAAAGGATTATAAATCACTCTACTATAAAGACACATGCAAACGTATGTTTATTGCGGCACTGTTCACAATGGCAAAGACTTGGAACCAACCCAGATGTCCATCAATGATAGACTGGATAAAGAAAATGTGGCACATATACACCATGGAATACTATGCAGCCATAAAAAAGGATGAGTTCGTGTCCTTTGCAGGGATATGGATGAAGCTGGAAACCATCATTCTCAGCAAACTAACGCAGGAACAGAAAACCAAACACCACATATTCTCACTCATAAGTGGGAGTTGAACAATGAGAACACATGGACACAGTGAGGGGAACATCACAAACCGGAGCCTGTCAGGGTGTGGGGGGCTAGAGGGACAGCATTAGGAGAAATACGTAATGTAGATCATGGGTTGATGGGTGCAGCAAACCACCATGGCACGTGTATACCTATGTAACAAACCTGCATGTTCTGCACATGTACCCCAGAACTTAAAGTATCATAATAATAATAATAAGCCAGTTGTGGTGGCACATGCCCAGTTACTGAGGCAGGAGGATTGATTGAGCCCAGGAGTTCCAGGTTACTGCACTGTAGCCTGGATGACAGAGCAAGACCCTGTGACACACACGCGTGCGCACACACACACACGCACACACAAATGCATACTGAAATTTGTAGAGTTAAAAATGATATTATATCTGGGATTTGTTTTAAACTGCTTTAGTGAAGGCAAAAACAAACAAACAATTAGATAAAGCAAATATGGCAAAATCTTGGTAACCATTTAATCTAGGTGAAGGGAATATAGGGATTTATTATGATATTCTATCTACTTTTGTGTATGTTTGAATTTTTTCATTATAAACCCTTTTTAAGTATTCAACTCCCCACAGGAAAATAAACCAAAACAATATTTTTTCAGGGTTTTGATTGTGATATTAAGTCAGATGGGGTCCAACATGATCACAAGAGACAAGGTTCCCTATTGTTTAAGCACAATTTATAAACCAAGTGGTACTTTAAGTAAAATTATATGAAATAGTTTTATGAAAAACAGTAATTTGTGGAATAATCTTCTTTTTAAGAGTAATTTCTGTTCACCTACCTACTTATTTAGCTATCTATCTACCCATACACACTGAGGTTTTGATGACTTTCTGGTGTTTATTTAATGTTAATTATGAAAATTTCTGAGTGCAGGATTTGGGGTGAATTTTTACTGTCTTCTCAAATTCTGTATCATAACCACAATGGTAGAGACATTATGATAAAATTTGCTGGCTATGAGCCACTAAGATGATTTTGTAATACACTAATGGGGTACAACTCACAGTTTGAAAAATACTGCCTTGGAAAACCCAACATAATGTTTAATTGCTAAAATAAAGTCAATAATCTAATTAAAAAGATAAATACTTACTTTTGGATGTACATTATAAGAGACATGTGGTTTAGGGTGAATGAATATTCTAAACTAGTGTTACAAGATATCAGAGAAGGGCAAAAATCACTGTAAAAAGTGGTCAGCAATTATTTAATGGTGTAGTAGAGTCAAGGAATATGGGTGATATATACGTGAGCAGGAAGGGATGGAGAATGTTTCTGGTAAGGTCATGAAGGGGAACAGCATGAGTACAGACATGGAGAAACGTAAGTGACATGTATTTGGATAATGGCGTAAACCTGTTTGGCCTGGAGTCACACAAAAGATAATAAAGAAATTATCTTTTTATCATATGTTTTGAATTTTTCCTGGATTTATCAGATTCTTCAAATGTACTTGAATTAGGATTTTATTTACTCCTCAAACCCTAACAACAATGATAACCTTCTACTAGCTTTTCCAGAATACATTTATGATCAAAAGAAAAGGTCATCTTAATATTCATGAAGGACATTGGGACTTTTTTATTATTAACTTTCTGGAAAGTTCAGATATATTGCTCTTCTGCACTCCCATATCTTTCTAAACAGAAGGTTTAAAGGTGACTATGTTTTGCACATACTACTCATACACTGATTTGATTCATGATGGTACTGTTTAATAACCTTTATCCTAGAAGGATGGCCCTGTGGCCCCAGTGGAAACACCAGAAGCCTCAAGATTTATTTCTGACAATAATAGCATAGCTGGGATTTTTATATTCAGGAATCCATCATGCACAATAGAAAAAAATACTCTTTTTCTTTGAGCCCTCACTGATCCCCTGAAAGAAGCCAATATAATGTAAACAAAGCTCATTTAATACTTGTGGGTTTCAAGTAAGTATGAACAAAGATAACCTTTTTTACAGAATGTTATCTGCTTTTTTTTCTCTTTCTTACCTGAATTAAACACCTCTCCTAAATGCAAATTTAGATTCTAGAAAAAATTTCATGGTACCCTAGAATACTCTCTGGTAAATTATTTAAGTATATATATTCTTTAAACTTAGAAGGCACATCATCTGCTTAAACCTATGGAAATGTTAGAGACATTAAAGAAAACAGTTAAAATAATACATAACCGCAACTACTGTACATGTTATAAAATAAATATTCTATATAAAACTACAAAAGTAAAATTATTTCCTTATATAGTATCTTATAAATTAAATGAATATGATAGTCTAATGATGGAGACAATTATTTTAATATTGGAGAGAAAATAATAAACAAAAATTAACATTATGGTAACTTAAACAAGAAAAAATTAAAGAAAAATAATCGATAGAAATAGAATTTTGATAGAACTGCATAACGAAAGAAAGAATTTTTCCCGAATGAAAAATTTTTTAGATTGTATTCTTTTTCTAATTTTTCATTGATCAGGCACTTTATCTCACTTGCTGTTGGACAGTAGAATAAGCCAGATTCATTTTTATGTTTACAGTGATAAGGATATCCCCTCATTGATTTCTCTATTGTTTTTCTGTTTTCTCTTACATTAATTTCCACTCTTATCATCATTTTCTTCCTTCTGCTTGCTTTGGGCTTAATTTGCCCTTCCTTTTCTAGTTTCTTAAAATGGAAACTTACATGGCTTTAGGCATGAACAACAAATTTTGATTTGCTGTTTTAAATTCTTTGAATTAAAAATTACTAATTTATTCTTGAAAAGTCTTATTTGATAAATGGGTTGTTTAATTTCCAAATATTTGGGGATTTTTCTAATTACTTTTCTCTTATTGATCTTTAATTTAATTCCATATTAGAAATGAAACTTTTTTGATGCTTTAAATAATTTTAAATTTGCTGAGATTTATTTTGTGGCCCAAAATATAGTCTAACTTAGTGAATGCCCCACGTACTCTCGAAAAGAATGTGTATTCTGTTGTTATTAGGTAAAGTGTTGTATATTAATTAGATCAAGTTGTGTGATTGTATTATTCAAGTCCTCTATACTCTCAGTGATTTTTTTTTTTTTGTCTATTCGTTCTATCAATTAATGAGAGATAAAAGTGTTGAAAATGCCAACTAAGATTATGGTGTGTTTATCTCTTGTGTCATTTCTTTCAGTTTTCGCTTTAAGTATTTGATGCTCTGGTGTCAACTGCATATACATTGGGAATTGTAATGATGTCTTGAATGATTAATCCCTTCATATAATATCCTTATTTACCACTAGTAATATACCTTATTGTTAAATCTACTTTGTCTACTTTGTCCAGTGAATCCAGCTTTCTCTGGATTTGTGTTTGCCTAGTCCATCTCTTTCTATCCTTTTATTTTTAATGTTGCTATGACTTTATATTTGAGGTAGGATCCTGATAGATTGCATAGAGTTGAATTTTACTTTTTAAAATCAACCTAAAAACTTCTGTCTTGTAAATGGAATGTTGGAGGTGCATTGATTTTACATAATTGTCTATATGGTTGTATTATAATCTTTACTCTTGCTAGCTGTTTTTTCACTACTTCCATAATTTCTTAGTTCTTTATTCCCTTTTTCTGTGCCTATGTTTGTATTAATTGAATATTTTTGTTTCTATTATACCTACACTATTGATTTATTAGTTATGCTTTATTTAGTTGCTTTAGAGTTTACAGTGCACAAATTGAATTTATCACATTATACCTTCAAATCATATTATATATTTCATGTATACAACCCTTATAAGAATACACCTCTATTTTCTTCCTTTTCTTCCTCTGTGGTACTGCTGTCATACACTTTACTTCTACACATAGTATATGTTATTTCTAACATAGAAATCCCACAATACATTGTTACCCTTCTTGATTTCCTTTAAAAATAAGAAAAGGGGGCGTGTTTTTATATTACTCCCATTTTTACAATTTCCAGCAATCAGTATTTATTTAGGTAGATTAAAATTTCTGTATGTTATCATATTCCTTTCTCCTGTAGAATTTCCTCTTACATTTATTGTAGACCAGGTCTGTTGGCATTAGACATTTTTTCCTTCTTGTTTGTCACCTTCTGAAAAGCCTGTCACCTTCATTTATGAAAGGTAATTTTACTGAGTATAGAAGTCTAAGTTGATAGCTTATTTTTTTTCAATACTTTAAAGAAGTTGGACCATTGTTTTCCATTTGCATAATTCATGACACAAAATCTACTTTAATTTTCACTTGTTCTTTATGTAGTGTTTCCTTTTATTCTAGTTGGCTTCAAGATTTTCTCCTTATTTTTTGTTTTCATTAATTTGATTATGTCTAGTGGTATTTTTATACAGTTGTCCCTTGGTATCCATGGGGGATTGGTTCCTGGATCCCCTATGAATACCAAAAGCGGTGGATACTCAAGTCTCTTATATAAAACGGCATAGTATTTGCATATAACCTACACATATCTTCCCATATACTTTAAATCACAATGTAAATGCTACTAGTTGTTGTACTGTATTGATTTTTATTGTTATTTTTATTGGATTGTTTGAATATTTTTGATCTGTGATTAGTTAAATTTATACATGCAGAGTTCACAGATACAAAGGTCCAACTGTATACATTTTATTTTAAAATTTATCCTGTACTTTTGTTTTTCTGTGATTCTTGGATCTATAATATATTATCTTTCATTAATTTTGGAAAATTCTCAATCAATATTCTCACACACTTCTTCTGATCTATTTTCTCTCTGGGACTCCAAATATATTTGCGTTAGCTCTCTACTATTTTCCCACACCTCTTGGATGTTCTGTTTCTATACTCTTTTTATCCATTTGTATTTCTGTTTAGATCATTCCTATTAGCCTATATTTAAGTTTACTAATTTGTCCTCAGTTCTGTTCAGTTTTCTAATGAACGCTTTAAACAAATTCTTTATTGCTAATTTTTTAACTTTTGAAATTCCATTTAATTCTTTTTTTTTTTTTTTTTTTTTTTTGAGACAGAGTCTTGCTCTGTCACCCAGACTGGAGTGCAGTGGCACCATCTCTGCTCACTGCAGCCTCTGCCTCCCAGGTTCAAGTGATTCTCATGCCTCAGCCTCCATGGTAGCTGGGATTACAGGCGCCTGCCACCATGCCCGGCTATTTTTGTATTTTTAGTAGAGACAGGGTTTCACCATGTTGGCCAGGCTGGTCTCGAACTCCCAACCTCAGGTGATCCACCCGCCTCAGCCTCCCAAAGTGCTGGGATTACAGGTGTGAGCCACTGTGCCCAGCATATTCCATTTAATTCTTTCTTAGAGTTTCCATCTCTCTGCTCAAAATCTCCATCTATTCATGGGTGTTTTCTACTTTTTGCACTAAATACTTTAATATACTGTTTATTTTTAAATAATTACAGTTATTTAAAACATCTTATTTCATTGTTCTAATATTGGGATTATCTCAGGTTCTGTTTCTGTTTATTGTTTTATTTTTTGACCTTGAGTCACTTTTGCTTTCTGATATGGTTTGGATCTGTGTCCCTGCCCAAATCTCATGTCAAGCTGTAATCCTCAATGCTGTAAGTGGGGCTTAGTGGGAGGTGATTGGATCATAGGGGTGGATTTTCCCCTTGGTACTATGACCTGATAGTGAGTGAGTTCCAGTGAGATATGGTTGTTTAAAAGTGTGTGGCATCTCCCCGCCACTCCTGCCACCTTGGTCTTGCTCCTGCCTTATAAGATTCCTGCTCCTGCCATGTAAGATTCCTGCCCCTGCTTTGCCTTCTGCCATGAGTAAAAGCTCCCTGAGGCTTCCGCAGAAGCAGATGCCATCATGCTTCCTGTAAAACCTGCAGAACCATGAGTCAATTAAACCTTTTTATTTATAAATTACCGAGTCTCAGGTATTTCTTTATAGCAATGTGAGAATGGACACATACTTACTTGTATGTGTCTTATAATTTTTGTTTGAATCGTAGACATTGTATAGAGAGTGGCATAAGTGATACTTATACCTAGAAATGATCACATCTTTCTTCTGTCAGGCTGTTAGTATGTAGTAGTCTAAGTCAATCTATTTACTAGTTTAGCTGGGTTTACATCTTATTTGTTAATTTAGTCATCTTCAGTGTACCATAGACTTAAAATTCCTCCAGTGGTAAGCTGCTGTTACTTTTTTCTTCATATGGGGTCTTGGGCATTAAGGGATTTTGCCCATGCTTGCCTGTTTCACCCTCAGCTTTCAACAGACCCTGCACATCTTTTATTACATGGATCTCTGTCCATGCCCTTGCCTCTCCTCCAGAGCAAAGTTGCTTGTTACTTGGTGTAGGGCTCATCTTGGGAGCAGGAAATGGGGAAATTCTCAGTTCTCTTCTTCCAGGTTCAGTCTTTGGCTATGTATGCCTGAGAATATGGAGTGGAAATTTCTGAGCATTCCTGTTTTTCCTACCCCTGTGGCAACAAAATTCTTTCTTGTATCTGAAGAGGACCTTGGGTGGAAGAAGCTTTCAAATTTAGTCTTCCTTGAACAGTAGTGTATTTTAGGGAAGGAACTGTAGTGAGAGGGTTTCTTGTTCCTTATCCACATGGTAGATTGCTATTCCTTGTCATTTGGTTCAGGCTAATGGTTTGTTCATGACAAGTTTCCTGCACCTCCCACAATGGCAGTTTACTTTTGCTTGTGACTAGGGAGAGGATGATTTTTAAAAATCTTTTCTCTTATGGACAAATGGCCTTTGTTCTACCCCTCTCTCCAAAGCAATGAATCTGTCTGGGCCACAGAAAGGGTTTCTACCTTTATCCCAGTGATGGACAGTTTTTTTTTCTACCCTTCCCCAGAAGCAATGCATCTTTCCCAGGACCATGAATAAAAGAGTATTTTCTGTCTTTCTGCCAGGGGCTTAAGGCTTTTGCTTCATAGGAAGAAGGGTCTAGGAATTGGGTGGTGTTTCATACCTGCACTCTTAAGTCTCCTGCCCCCTAGTCTTTCTCATGAGTACCTGGCAGAGACCCATGGAAAAGACCTTGGGAAGGAGTGGGGTTCTGAGGTATTTTACACTATCACACTAGTTCACATTTTGATTTCAGGAACTTGTTAAAATTTTAGCTTCCTTCTCACATATATATTTGTAGAACATCTCTTCTTCCTGTGCCCTGCCAGGGTAAAACAGTTTGTGTGTTTGTGTGTACCTCTTTCCTTGGTGGGGCTTGTCATTCTTTGGAATTCATTTTACATTGTTGCCTTGAGACCTTCAATTGGCTCAAGAAAAGTTAAAATTTTGTAGATTATCTTGTTTCTTCTATTACAGTGGCAAAGATATTCACTTACAGCTTTCTACATTTTTAGCACTGTCATGGCATTTTTAGCAGATGATATAAAATGATAAGCATAATCCTCCATATACACTGTTTGCCATTAAATATTCCTCAATAGTCTCTCAGGACAGAGGGTAATCATCGAAGTTAAAATACAGAATTAAAAAATCGCTAAAATATTCATGTCTTGCAAAGAGAAATTCAGTAATAGGAATTAGATATTTTTCATCATGCAGAAAGCAGAACTCTGAGAAAACAGTACTTAGGATTATTAAATTTTGTATATGGGGGATCAGAAGAGGTCTAGGATACAAGGGGTCAAATGGAGACTCTTTGGACAGCCCTTAGTACTCTAGTTATCAGGAAGAGAATGGAGTGTACTTTTAGGTAAACTGATGGAGTGGGGCACTTTTCTTTTCTTTTTTTTTTTTTTTCCTTTTCTTTTATTATTATTATACTTTAAGTTCTAGGGTACATGTGCACAATGTGCACATTTGTTACATATGTATACATGTGCCATGTTGGTGTGCTGCACCCATTAACTCATCATTTACATTAGTTATTTCTCCTAATGCTCTCCCTCCCCCCTCCCCCAACCCTATGTCAGGCCCCAGTATGTGTTGTTCCCCACCCTGTGTCCAAGTGTTCTCATTGTTCAATTTCCACCTATCAGTGAGAATATGCAGTATTTGGTTTTCTGTCCTTGTGATAGTTTGCTCAGAATGATGGTTTCCAGCCTCATCCATGTCCCTACAAAGGACGTGAACTCATCCTTTTTATGGCTGCATAGTATTCCATCCACCCCATTTTAAACATATTTTTTTCATCAAAAGTTTACATAGTTGTAAAGTATATAATTCTCAAACAGCTGTAAGTTATATAATATCCGGCACTGACGTTTTTAAATAAAACTCTTGTTTACCGTAAAGTTTGTGGTAAAGAAATTTACTTAAAGAATTCTTTAGCATAAATTTTTTCTTATTTATTCTTCTCCTTCAATTTCATGCTTCCTTTCCATATTCCCTAGGGAATTTTATTTGAATGTACACTTTTATGTTTTAATGTATTTTACTGCTCACCCCTGAATTTACTTCTCTATGTTGCCCAGGCTGATCTCGAACTCCTGGGTTCAAGTGATCCTCCTGCCTTGGCCTCCCAAAGTGCTGGGATTACAGGAGGGAGGCACCACGCCCAGCCTGTTAACACTTTTGATGTTAACACTGGAAGGGCCATGGGGCTCCTCTTTAACATTTCTGCCCTTATCTTTTTGTTGGCTATGATTCCAACAAATTATACAAAAAATTATAAATAAACTGTACTTACTATTAAAAATTTTCTATGAGCATGAGTCTTTAAGACATTTAAATAATTCTCCTGGATTGAGTTTTTATTAATATTCTTATGAATACAATTGATCAAGCTATAGAAATATATTACACATTTTATAGGTAATAGACTTAAGAAAGAAAATTGTATTAAAATGCATTTCTTAATAAGATGGATGAGATTTTCTTTTCAATTGGTGTTTAAATATTTGTTGGTAGTATTACTTATTATTAGAATGAGACATGGCTCAACATCAATCCTCCCCACCTTTCTAATAATCAATTTTATGTGCTAAAACCTTATTCACATAAATATTATCTTGGAATGGAAGAACTTTGTTATAGTAATGTCACTCAATTCTTTGGACTCCTTCCAAGTTATATACCAAAAATATATAGCAAACTATCAGCAAAATTTATTGTAATAATCTATCGGCTGGCAATTAAGTCTTTTTCCAATTTTATTGAAAGCAAAGAACTGAAAACTCAATTTGCCAAAAGATTTGTTATCTACACACATTCCCTTTCTTGATTTCTGAGGACATCAAAAAGCTTTATTATTTACTAATAATTATGTGGGTTATTCTCACATGAGTTACTCTTGTACTTAAAGGAAGCTCGTTTAACCCAATAGATGGTTGAAATGATCAAAATATTATTAATGTCTTTCCATCATTGCCAACATTTATTTTTAATATGATTTTATCTTATCACATGATTTAAATATATTTTCATCAAAATCTACCTTAAAGTCACAGATTTAGCTCATTTCTGAAAATGTTCAACCACATGATCTAATGAGCAGTCAGTCCTCAATGTCAGAGCAATTGGCTAAATTAGATTTATTTTCATTTGAAAAAGCATGATCCCATTTTTCACTGTTAATAAATGTATTAGTATGTATTGCAAGGGCAACAATCTCCTGAAATTAAAACATCTCAACATCCCCAGTTATAATTCTGTTTCACTCATAACAGAAATATGTAAAACAGAAATATGCCTCAAACCCCTGGGCTCAAGGCATCCTCCTGCCTCAGCCTTCCAAGTAGCTAGGACTACAGGCATGTGCCACCATGCCTGGCTAATTAAAAAAAAATTTTTTTTAATAGAGATGGGGTCTGTATGTTGCCCAGGCTGATCCTGAACTCCTGGGTTAAAGTGATCCTCCTGCCTTGGTCTCCCAAAGTCCTGGGATTACAGGAGTGAGGCACTGTGCTCAGCCTGTTAATACTTTTTTTTTTTTTTTTTTTTTAATTTTTTTTATTATACTCTAAGTTTTAGGGTACATGTGCACATTGTGCAGGTTAGTTACATATGTATACATGTGCCATGCTGGTGCGCTGCACCCACTAATGTGTCATCTAGCATTAGGTATATCTCCCAATGCTAACCCTCCCCCCTCCCCCGACCCCACCACAGTCCCCAGAGTGTGATATTCCCCTTCCTGTGTCCATGTGATCTCATTGTTCAGTTCCCACCTATGAGTGAGAATATGTGGTGTTTGGTTTTTTGTTCTTGCGATAGTTTACTGAGAATGATGGTTTCCAATTTCATCCATGTCCCTACAAAGGATATGAACTCATCATTTTTTATGGCTGCATAGTATTCCATGGTGTATATGTGCCACATTTTCTTAATCCAGTCTATCATTGTTGGACATTTGGGTTGGTTCCAAGTCTTTGCTATTGTGAATAGTGCTGCAATAAACATACGTGTGCATGTGTCTTTATAGCAGCATGATTTATACTCATTTGGGTATATACCCAGTAATGGGATGGCTGGGTCAAATGGTATTTCTAGTTCTAGATCCCTGAGGAATCGCCACACTGACTTCCACAATGGTTGAACTAGTTTACAGTCCCACCAACAGTGTAAAAGTGTTCCTATTTCTCCACATCCTCTCCAGCACCTGTTGTTTCCTGACTTTTTAATGATTGCCATTCTAACTGGTGTGAGATGATATCTCACAGTGGTTTTGATTTGCATTTCTCTGATGGACAGTGATGATGAGCATTTCTTCCTGTGTTTTCTGGCTGCATAAATGTCTTCTTTTGAGAAGTGTCTGTTCATGTCCTTCGCCCACTTTTTGATGGGGTTGTTTGTTTTTTTCTTGTAAATTTGTTTGAGTTCATTGTAGATTCTGGATATTAGCCCTTTGTCAGATGAGTAGGTTGCGAAAATTTTCTCCCATGTTGTAGGTTGCCTGTTCACTCTGATGGTAGTTTCTTTTGCTGTGCAGAAGCTCTTTAGTTTAATTAGATCCCATTTGTCAATTTTGGCTTTTGTTGCCATTGCTTTTGGTGTTTTGGACATGAAGTCCTTGCCCATGCCTATGTCCTGAATGGTAATGCCTAGGTTTTCTTCTAGGGTTTTTATGGTTTTAGGTCTAACATTTAAATCTTTAATCCATCTTGAATTGATTTTTGTATAAGGTGTAAGGAAGGGATCCAGTTTCAGCTTTCTACATATGGCTAGCCAGTTTTCCCAGCACCATTTATTAAATAGGGAATCCTTTCCCCATTGCTTGTTTTTCTCAGGTTTGTCAAAGATCAGATAGTTGTAGATATGCGGTGTTATTTCTGAGGGCTCTGTTCTGTTCCATTGATCTATATCTCTGTTTTGGTACCAGTACCATGCTGTTTTGGTTACTGTAGCCTTGTAGTATAGTTTGAAGTCAGGTAGTGTGATGCCTCCAGCTTTGTTCTTTTGGCTTAGGATTGACTTGGCGATGCGGGCTCTTTTTTGGTTCCATATGAACTTTAAAGTAGTTTTTTCCAATTCTGTGAAGAAAGTCATTGGTAGCTTGATGGGGATGGCATTGAATCTGTAAATTACCTTGGGCAGTATGGCCATTTTCATGATATTGATTCTTCCTACCCATGAGCATGGAATGTTCTTCCATTTGTTTGTGTCCTCTTTTATTTCATTGAGCAGTGGTTTGTAGTTCTCCTTGAAGAGGTCCTTCACATCCCTTGTAAGTTGGATTCCTAGGTATTTTATTCTCTTTGAAGCAATTGTGAATGGGAGTTCACCCATGATTTGGCTCTCTGTTTGTCTGTTATTGGTGTATAAGAATGCTTGTGATTTTTGTACATTGATTTTGTATCCTGAGACTTTGCTGAAGTTGCTTATCAGCTTAAGGAGATTTTGGGCTGAGACGATGGGGTTTTCTAGATAAACAATCATGTCGTCTGCAAACAGGGACAATTTGACTTCCTCTTTTCCTAATTGAATACCCTTTATTTCCTTCTCCTGCCTGATTGCCCTGGCCAGAACTTCCAACACTATGTTGAATAGGAGCGGTGAGAGAGGGCATCCCTGTCTTGTGCCAGTTTTCAAAGGGAATGCTTCCAGTTTTTGCCCATTCAGTATGATATTGGCTGTGGGTTTGTCATAGATAGCTCTTATTATTTTGAAATACGTCCCATCAATACCTTATTTATTGAGAGTTTTTAGCATGAAGGGTTGTTGAATTTTGTCAAAGGCTTTTTCTGCATCTATTGAGATAATCATGTGGTTTTTGTCTTTGGCTCTGTTTATATGCTGGATTACATTTATTGATTTGCGTATATTGAACCAGCCTTGCATCCCAGGGATGAAGCCCACTTGATCATGGTGGATAAGCTTTTTGATGTGCTGCTGGATTCGGTTTGCCAGTATTTTATTGAGGATTTTTGCATCAATGTTCATCAAGGATATTGGTCTAAAATTCTCTTTTTTGGTTGTGTCTCTGCCCGGCTTTGGTATCAGAATGATGCTGGCCTCATAAAATGAGTTAGGGAGGATTCCCTCTTTTTCTATTGATTGGAATAGTTTCAGAAGGAATGGTACCAGTTCCTCCTTGTACCTCTGGTAGAATTCGGCTGTGAATCCATCTGGTCCTGGACTCTTTTTGGTTGGTAAACTATTGATTATTGCCACAATTTCAGAGCCTGTTATTGGTCTATTCAGAGATTCAACTTCTTCCTGGTTTAGTCTTGGGAGAGTGTATGTGTCGAGGAATGTATCCATTTCTTCTAGATTTTCTAGTTTATTTGCGTAGAGGTGTTTGTAGTATTCTCTGATGGTAGTTTGTATTTCTGTGGGATCGGTGGTGATATCCCCTTTATCATTTTTTATCGTGTCTATTTGATTCTTCTCTCTTTTTTTCTTTATTAGTCTTGCTAGCGGTCTATCAATTTTATTGATCCTTTCAAAAAACCAGCTCCTGGATTCATTGATTTTTTGAAGGGTTTTTTGTGTCTCTATTTCCTTCAGTTCTGCTCTGATTTTAGTTATTTCTTGCCTTCTGCTAGCTTTTGAATGTGTTTGCTCTTGCTTTTCTAGTTCTTTTAATTGTGATGTTAGGGTGTCAATTTTGGATCCTTCCTGCTTTCTCTTGTAGGCATTTAGTGCTATAAATTTCCCTCTACACACTGCTTTGAATGTGTCCCAGAGATTCTGGTATGTGGTGTCTTTGTTCTCATTGGTTTCAAAGAACATCTTTATTTCTGCCTTCATTTCGTTATGTACCCAGCAGTCATTCAGGAGCAGGTTGTTCAGTTTCCATGTAGTTGAGCGGCTTTGAGTGAGATTCTTAATCCTGAGTTCTAGTTTGATTGCACTGTGGTCTGAGAGATAGTTTGTTATAATTTCTGTTCTTTTACATTTGCTGAGGAGAGCTTTACTTCCAACTATGTGGTCAATTTTGGAATAGGTGTGGTGTGGTGCTGAAAAAAATGTATATTCTGTTGATTTGGGGTGGAGATTTCTGTAGATGTCTATTAGGTCTGCTTGGTGCAGAGCTGAGTTCAATTCCTGGGTATCCTTGTTGACTTTCTGTCTCGTTGATCTGTCTAATGTTGACAGTGGGGTGTTAAAGTCTCCCATTATTAATGTGTGGGAGTCTAAGTCTCTTTGTAGGTCACTGAGGACTTGCTTTATGAATCTGGGTGCTCCTGTATTGGGTGCATAAATATTTAGGATAGTTAGCTCCTCTTGTTGAATTGATCCCTTTACCATTATGTAATGGCCTTCTTTGTCTCTTTTGATCTTTGTTGGTTTAAAGTCTGTTTTATCAGAGACTAGGATTGCAACCCCTGCCTTTTTTTTTTTTCCATTTGCTTGGTAGATCTTCCTCCATCCTTTTATTTTGAGCCTATGTGTGTCTCTGCACGTGAGATGGGTTTCCTGAATACAGCACACTGATGGGTCTTGACTCTTTATCCAACTTGCCAGTCTGTGTCTTTTAATTGCAGAATTTAGTCCATTTATATTTAAAGTTAATATTGTTATGTGTGAATTTGATCCTGTCATTATGATGTTAGCTGGTGATTTTGCTCATTAGTTGATGCAGTTTCTTCCTAGTCTCGATGGTCTTTACATTTTGGCATGATTTTGCAGCGGCTGGTACCGGTTGTTCCTTTCCATGTTTAGTGCTTCCTTCAGGAGCTCTTTTAGGGCAGGCCTGGTGGAGACAAAATCTCTCAGCATTTGCTTGTCTATAAAGTATTTTATTTCTCCTTCACTTATGAAGCTTAGTTTGGCTGGATATGAAATTCTGGGTTGAAAATTCTTTTCTTTAAGAATGTTGAATATTGGCCCCCACTCTCTTCTGGCTTGTAGGGTTTCTGCCGAGAGATCCGCTGTTAGTCTGATGGGCTTTCCTTTGAGGGTAACCCGACCTTTCTCTCTGGCTGCCCTTAACATTTTTTCCTTCATTTCAACTTTGGTGAATCTGACAATTATGTGTCTTGGAGTTGCTCTTCTCGAGGAGTATCTTTGTGGCGTTCTCTGTATTTCCTGAATCTGAACGTTGGCCTGCCTTGCTAGATTGGGGAAGTTCTCCTGGATAATATCCTGCAGAGTGTTTTCCAACTTGGTTCCATTCTCCACATCACTTTCAGGTACACCAATCAGACGTAGATTTGGTCTTTTCACATAGTCCCATATTTCTTGGAGGCTTTGCTCATTTCTTTTTATTCTTTTTTCTCTAAACTTCCCTTCTCGCTTCATTTCATTCATTTCATCTTCCATTGCTGATACCCTTTCTTCCAGTTGATTGCATCGGCTCCTGAGGCTTCTGCATTCTTCACGTAGTTCTCGAGCCTTGGTTTTCAGCTCCATCAGCTCCTTTAAGCACTTCTCTGTATTGGTTATTCTAGTTATACATTCTTCTAAATTTTTTTCAAAGTTTTCAACTTCTTTGCCTTTGGTTTGAATGTCCTCCCGTAGCTCAGAGTAATTTGATCATCTGAAGCCTTCTTCTCTCAGCTCGTCAAAATCATTCTCCATCCAGCTTTGTTCTGTTGCTGGTGAGGAACTGCGTTCCTTTGGAGGAGGAGAGGCGCTCTGCGTTTTAGAGTTTCCAGTTTTTCTGTTCTGTTTTTTCCCCATCTTTGTGGTTTTATCTACTTTTGGTCTTTGATGATGGTGATGTACAGATGGGTTTTCGGTGTAGATGTCCTTTCTGGTTGTTAGTTTTCCTTCTAACAGACAGGACCCTCAGCTGCAGGTCTGTTGGAATACCCTGCCGTGTGAGGTGTCAGTGTGCCCCTGCTGGGGGGTGCCTCCCAGTTAGGCTGCTCGGGGGTCAGGGGTCAGGGACCCACTTGAGGAGGCAGTCTGCCCGTTCTCAGATCTCCAGCTGCGTGCTGGGAGAACCACTGCTCTCTTCAAAGCTGTCAGACAGGGACACTTAAGTCTGCAGAGGTTACTGCTGTCTTTTTGTTTGTCTGTGCCCTGCCCCCAGAGGTGGAGCCTACAGAGGCAGGCAGGCCTCCTTGAGCTGTGGTGGGCTCCACCCAGTTCGAGCTTCCAGGCTGCTTTGTTTACCTAAGCAAGCCTGGGCAATGGCGGGCGGGAGTGGGGCACTTTTCATCCTGCCTTTGCTTTTTCTTATTTCCTAACCTCCACAACTCCCTCAAGCACAAATGAAACTTGAACAAAGATAGAAGAAAAGAACCATTTACACTCACTGAAGCCTTGCCCCAGAACATTCTTATGGCCACAGTATAATAGAATAAATCAGAACCCACTTTCATAACTGATGTTTCCCGTGAACAGAATATTGTGCTATGAGCTAAGGAATGTATAGTGTATATAGATCCTGCTCTATTCCAAACTGTAGGATATTTAGTCTTTCCTGACATCATTTTTTTTCTCACAGGGTGGATGATTTTATATATCCATTAAAAGTTGTCTGTGAAAAAGCCCTGTCTCAGCACTTCAGCTATTTGTCTAATGTTGCAATTGAAGAGGCAATGAAAGCAGGAATAGCTCTCAGGTGCTATTGGGCTATGAGGCAACAATGATAAGCAAGCTTTTGATAATATAAGTTTTGATACATTATACCAACCTTCTCACTGAAAAACATTAAAAACAAAACAAATCCAAACAAAACAACTGGACAAAATATAAGCAAGTAAACAAACAAATAAGCAAGCGAGCAACATCATCTGAGATGCTTAAAAGTACTAACACAGTAGAAGCGAGTTAGTGAGCCAAGATCAAGGGGAAGAGAGATGAGAGAGGTGAGCCTGAAGTGTGACCCAACAATTTCACTTCATGAAGTATACCCTACATATTGAAGTGCTTATGACCATCAGGGCACATACACAAGAGAGTTATTAGGTGAACTGTTTATAATTACAGATAACTGGAAATGACCCTGTTGTCCCTCAACAAAAGAATTGATAAACTCTGATATATTTATATAATGAAATTAGGTACACCAATTGAAATGGTTTAACTGCAGTTAAATACACTGGTGTTCTGACTAATGTTTAACGACTGGCTTTTGGAAAGAAAACACTGATTTGTTATATGTGACCATTTTCATGGTGTAAATGCCCCTACTGTGGCCAAATTCAAGCTACCAATATAATGTTACTAAACATAAGCTGAGAAAAAATACATAGAATCAGCTCTCACAAACTGGTATGCACCAGCTCCAGTACACCACTGGCTAAACATCATTATATAGGTGAATTTGACAAGTTTTAATGTTGAGCATAAAAATCAAGAAAGAAAAAAATACATAAGTACAAATCTACTAATATAAAATTCAAAAACAGGTAAAACTAAAAGATAAATCTATTTTTATAAAAAGGAAAACAATGTAGAGGTGGTAAAAGTATGAAGAGAAGGAATTTTAAAATACTGAAAAAAACAGGATGGTAGTTGACTTGTGCATATGTTTGTGGTTGAGGAAACAGTGGATTATTATCTGAAAGGAGTACACAGGAAGTTTCTGGTGATTTTCTATTTCTTGACCTTTGGAGTATTTAAACAGTGTTTGTTTTACAGCAAGTTGTTAAGCCATATATTTAGGTTTTATGCAATTTTCTCTCTGTTATATTGCGCAATATTTTTAAATGATGAAAGGGATTCTTTTGTCAAAAAGGTGCTATAAAGCATCAAGGAGCTTTTCTAAATACCACCAAGGGAGCTAGGAACTGACTCTTGTAATTTAACTCAGTTAAGGGGTTCTCTCAACTAAATTTCCTCACATTTCCACAAGGTACATGAAAACTGCCAGAGTTAATGGTAAATTTCTTATAAAACAAAAAGATACACAAAAGTCAAAGCATTATTTCCAGAGTTAGACATTTTAACATAGATGCATTTTTACTTTATATTTTGTTTCAATTACAGGGGAAAAAAATACCTCTTGTATCATCATTCAAAACCTATTTTTATTCTTGCTTTCATAATCAAAAATCTGTATATATGTAAGTATAGAAAGAGAAAAATGGAGAGAGAAAGAGTAGATAAAAACACCATTATATTATTTATTTATTTATCTGAGATAGGGCCTCATTCTGTCACCCAGGTTAGAGTGAAGTGGCACAATCATAGCTCACTGCCGTCTCGAACTCTTGGGTTCAAGGGATCCTCTTGCTTCAGCCTCCCAAGTAGCTGGGACTACAGGCATTTGCCACCATGCTCAGCCTCATTATTTCTATCATTAATTTTGCAACCATCTTTTGTTATGCAAAAGTCTGAAGTACAAGAAACTAATAACTGGCTGTATTAAAATGGTCTGTAGAAACTATTTCCTGAAGATAATTTCCAGATATTAACAGATCATTGTTTAAACAGCGAAGTGGGCATTAACACATTGCATCACAAAGACTATTTCAGCTAGCATTTATCGCCTTCAATGTGAGGATGGTGATGAGGTTAGAACTTAAACAGAACAAACTACAGTGTAGGAAAAACACTCTGGAAATAATCTAATCCTACCTTCCACTTATTAAAGAGATCATGTCAACTTCATCCCTAAAACAGACAGATAGTCCTCCTATTTCTACCTAAACACTTGACATGGAGAATGTACCACCTCTGAAGAGCTCCTTAGTAGATAAAAGGATATCTTTACCTCCTTGGTCTTGGTTCTCTGGTTCTTTTTTAAAAAAGTAAATAAAAGTGAAAAAGAAAAGGATGGAAGTTAATCTTTATTTACAGAAAACTGCAAATAATTTGTATTCCACACAGAAATTTAGAAATCCATTCATAGGACAAGCATCATAGAGTATGTACAGTTTGTAACTGTTCAAATATAGCTTCTTGTAAAAAGTGTTACAATAACAAACCACATTTAAAAGAAGTTCTTAGTAGAGAAATGGTAAGACAAACTTATACCAGACATAGTACACACTGGTTCTAACTTCTGAGAGTGCACAGAGAAAGTGTACTCTCTTTTCAATACTAGCCCTTCATACACTTGAAGAAATGACCTCAGCACTCCCTGGGAAACCTCCCCAGTTTCTTCACACACACTGCCTGTGACGGCATTTTTAGACCTTTTGAATTTCTTGCCATCTGGTGGAGAATTTTTCCCAGCATTATTGCATAGACACTAAAACAGTAGCTTTTTTAGTACCCAGAGACTTCGAAAAACTACATTTCCATACTAATTCAAATCGTAAGGCTCCAATAACCTCTAATTTTATAGTGAATATTCATAAACATTTATACTGTGTTCAGTATAATGGAATGAGATTTTAAAAATTCATTTTCATTCTCCAGTGGAAAGCAGCTCCAAAAATTTAGGAACTAGTCCACCAGAGTGGACACAATTTATGAGTAACAGTTCTAAATTGCTTGGATGTTTGTCATGTCTGAGTTGAAAAATGCAAATGAACATGTTGCTAGTTCCATAAATCTGGTACAAGAATATTTTATATTTGCATTGAGAAAAACATCTTCTACTGTTTTAAAAATAAGTCAGCACAGAATAAGACTAGATATCCGCTCTAAAAGAAAACAAAGAAACAAACAATAATCCCTCTTGGTTTACTACTTTTCATATGTTCTAATTGGTAATTAGATATTAAAAGTGAATAGATGTGACTCCTAATCTTCAGAAATATCAGATAAAACAGTTATTCTCTTTGAGTTAATATGCATCTTTAGATAAAATCTATGAAGTCACTAAAATATTCTTACCAGCCTTTTAATATTTACTTCAGTTATTATGCAACAAACCCAAACATATGGCAAACTGTACATGTATTCCAAAGGAAATACGAAGTGATATTTTTGAATTGTTTCCTCTATAAATGTGTTACTCAAAATATCCAGATCAATATAGTGTGTTGCATACAAGCAGGAAAAGCAGAATCTAAATTCAATACTGGTAAAGAATTATATTCAAACTGGTTTTTAGGTTGCGAATACACAAGAGAAGAAATGCCCAATTGCTCATCTCTTTATACTTTGAAATAATTTCTGTCAGTAGTACAGCATGAACCAAGCCAATTTAAATATAAAAATGACTCATTTTTTCTTGGATGGCAAAAATAGGTTCAATCATTTCTGTGTCATCATTAAATTAATCTACATATTTACCTTTCTTCAACATGCTTCTGTGTACCTGTTGAACTGGATCAGTGATTACAGGCTTCGTAAAACATTGCTGCTGGTATGTTTGCCATTTTCACCTAAAAGAGGGCGTTAGAGTGACATATTTTAGCTATGTCATTATGTGTACTACGTGTAGATCACAACATTTTGTTTTCAATAGTTCTTTACGGTTTTACCAATTGTTTTCAATATAGTAAGATGGATGCATATCAGGTAGGATCTCCTATAAAAGATGAATATCGCTGGTATCAGTCACATGAGGAAGGGCAGCCTTAGGAAGAGAGTAGAAGTAACTCCTGTTGCTTTTTCAGACTCTTTAGAGCCTTTGAGGACACTCCAGAGCAAAAGGAGAAGGATGGCACTTGACACATGAAATAACTTAAGTAGAAGAAGCAAAGATTAAGATAAATAAGCCTTACTGTATAAGCAATGTGTTCATGCTATATTTCTCCCAGGGATTTCTTCCTTTTGCTATCTATGGATCTGAACAAAATCTTGGAGCAGGATAGAGTAGTCTTACAAGGACAGACTTTGGAGTCACACTGCCTGGGCTGCGATCCTGGCTTGGCACTTCCTGAGTAAACTTGAGCAAGTTACTTCACTATTCTGTGTCTTGTTTCCTGATAATTTTAGGACCTACTCTCCTCATGTTTGTGTGAGGATTACATGAGTTAATATGCATAAAGTGTTTAGATAGTACTTACTATGTGTCAGGCGTTGTTTTAAATGCTAGCTATTCAGTATTTCATCTTACTCTCAAGTGTGATTTGCAGTATTTTAGAAGGAGCCATGAGTTCATTTTTGGGAGAGCAACACTCCTTGGGTCAGAACATTGACAGCAGAAATTACTGAGATCCCATTAGGAAGGTGAATATTGGAGGTAAATGTTGGTGCTACAGAGTCCATCTTTTTTTTTTTCAAGTGAAGATTGTCTCTCCATTGCTAAAATTGAAAGTATAGTGTTTTAATTATATTAGGAAGACATTGGATTAACTTACAAGCTCTTAATTTAGTAAATATGTGTCAAGTATTTGTTATGTGTGGAGCAGTATGCCGAATGCTAGAGACACTTACAATTTGTTAATCATGTACACTTTATGTTGCAAGCTTCTATAACACAGGAACTATGTCTTATTATTTTTGTATTCCATGAAAAACTGTATTCATAAAAGGAGAATAATAAATATTTTTAAAGCTTAATACATCATTTAAGTATAAATTGACAAATATATGAGCATTTTGTTCACTTGCATTGATTATTTATATTGCAATTCTAGAAATATATGTGCCTATGATTCAGTTGGAGAAATATGATGGCTGAATAAATTCAGTTCTTCAAAGATATCAAGAATTTGTTTCACCGACAAATGTCAGGCTCTGATAGACTTCTCTGTTTGGGCATCCTCCTTCTCCCCCGCCCCTGTGCCCTACCAAGTGACACCCACCTGCAGGGTTCTATCAATACTAGCTGAGTTTGGAATTAGTTGAGGTACTCTACTCTCACATCAAATGGAGTTCACCATCAGGCAAAATTCAGCGACCACAGATTCCCAGAGTGTTTCTTTGGTTCACGAGCTGTAATTCTCTGCCCTGTCTCCCAGTTTAGAGAATGAGGCTTCTTCAGTGGGTTTGTTCAAGCAATCTTTTTAGGCACCTAATACTCTCTTGAGCTTGAGAACCTGCCTTACACTTGCAGTTCTCCTTTTCTAGACAGTGGGATTACAATCTTAACACAGAAGCTGTGGCTTCTGATTCAGAATGGCCAACTTGCCTCTCTGCCTGACCTTATAAGGACCAAGACTCCTTGACATATTAATTGCTCTGCTTGTTAGACCACTCACTCTCACCGTAGCCTTCCTCTCAGGCTCCAATACCTTATATCCACCACTGTCAATCATGTACTGAAAACAGCAATTGCCCTTACCCTTGAATGTCATACTTGCCACCAGGTCTGAGCTTGGGCTGTTACTTCCAGCCCCTACCTAGAGTAGCCATTTTGATTAGCAACCCACAATGCTCATAGCAAATACCAACATATGACAACATGATTTTTCCTTAATAAATTACTATCTTTTTGCCTCACTAGAATTCTTATTTCTTTAGGCAAGAATAAAACAAAGCAAACCTTTACCGATGAGGGATGAGAAATGGTGGATAAATATGTCAGCCTCCCCATCTTCTGGGGACATCAGTTCTGAAACATATTTCACATAGTTTCTCAGAGGGATTCCCAGTGGGGTTAAAGTTCCAATTGTTGATAAATGTGCTACCCCCATTAATGCATTCTTATTTTGTTCTTCCAGGGATCAACTCCCAAATAAACTACCTGTACCCAAGTTCTTGTCTCAAGATCTGCTTAAAGGAATCCAAATTAAGACATCTTTCAAATTGTGTGAAACCAAAATTATTTTGTTCCCTTTCAGTTATGATAACATATCTGAAGAGACCTTTCTGAGAACATTTTTTTAGCATAGTACAAACACATCCTGTTTCCAAGGAACTGATAATACTCAAATTTAAATACATACTGCACCAGCCAGGTTTTTCATTACAAATAACTATTTCATCTTTAGCAGAAAATGAATTTATTCAAGAAGTACCAAGAGATGAAATAATTGATAAGAATACTGAAGAATTGGGCTCAGCCAATACGAAAATTTGTTGGAATCATAGTAATTCTGGGTGCTTTTCTCCAAAATTTGCGTGCCTTTCTTTTATTATCTTGCTAGTGCTGGAGTTTCCATCAGCAAATGAAATGTTGTAACACAAAATACAGCATGTAATGTATCCTATGAATTATTTTTAGAATATACAACATACATTCAGAAACAGCATATATTATCCACAGTTGCCGTAAATGTAGCAACTAAAAGTATAAAAAGAGGGCTAGATTCAGAGTGCCAGAGACGGCTTTTGTATTTGATGGGCTAGAAGTCAAGGTGGGGCTGGACAAAACCAAACTTCTGGGCTCCTTTGATGTGAATTCATCAATTGTGCTCTAAGTATGGTACAATAGGGAACCCAGCACACACACACACACACACACACACACACACACAAATGTGTGTCTATGCATATAATTCTTTAAAGGAGAACTTTGGTCTTCCTAAATAATAGTGCAGAGGATCAGAGATACAAATGTCTTTTCCCTACATTACTCCATTTTCATGTGATTTCTACAAGAGATTTTCTACTTTTTTTTTTACTTGGCTTTACCAAATTTCTATTGATGTTGAAAGGAACTCCATGGTGGCTCAGAGGAAAACAAGAAGAAATGGCCCCTCAGAGTTGAGAGAGATCACTGGCCTTTCTCTCCAGTCCTATCAGGTCCTGCTATCTAATTTTTTATGCTTTTGCTCAGTGTCTCTCAGGATACTGGACTTTCCAGCTTCTCTCTCCCACAGAATATTTGTGTTTCAGTTTACTTTGCCTGGGCATAGCAGTTTGCATTTTCCCCTGGTTGAATTTAATTTTTTTTCCTGCCCTGACTGTAACCTTTCCAAGACCAAAAGAAAGATTTCTCTGTTTTTGCTGGTCAAGGCAACACCTTCCAATTTAGTATCTTCTGTGGATTTAATTATCTCTGTTTACACGACAAGATATTGCTTCAATTCAATAAGGTGCTGTTTGTCATTCTCTTCTGTTAATTTTTTCTCTCTGCCCTTTAAATTCATTTTAGTCTCTATAACAGTATTTAATTAATTTTTCAAGGACTATTTCTCGATTCAATATCGTAACTGTGATTAGCAGGGAGTCAGACTGCAATGGCATTTGTCAAAGTTATAGACTCACAACTAATTCTGCTCATTTTGACAGTTTCGTATGTCATTGATTGATAATAAGATTGCTTATACAAAACCTTGGCATTCTAGAACAATAAATAAATATTGATGAAAGAAAAGAAGCACCCACAGTGCAAATTAAATCACAATATCTAATTGGCTTCATAACCCTAAAATGAATGTGATATAAAATACCATCCCCATCATATACTAGAATAAAAATAAACAACAATAAACAAAAACAATAATAATAGCAATAATAATGAAAATGAATATGTAAGACTCAATATAGTCTACTGGTTTTCAGGGTTATTTTAGTGTCTTTTTAAAACCTTTATTAAAGTACAATTTACATATAGAAAAGCACACAAGTTATAAGTATGACGTTCAATGAATTTCCCAGACTTAATCTGCCCACGTACTTAGCACCAAGTTTAAGAAACAACTTAGCACAATGGCAGCTCCCTTCATGATCTCTTCATGCCACTCCCCTGCTATAGGAAAACCACTATACTAACTTCTAATAATACAAATTAATATTTCTTGTCTTGGTATTTTATACAAATGTAATAAAACAGTATACATTTTGTGCCTGGTTTCTTTTATTTAACATTATATTTGTGAGATTCACCTACACTGTTGCATGGTGTTATAAATTGTTCCTTCTCATTACTGCAAAGAATTCAATTCAATTGTGTGAATATACCACAATTTCTTTATTCACTTTAGTTCTGATGAGCATATGAGTAGTTACCATTTTTGGCTGTTTTTTTTGAAGAATTTAATTTTAAAGGAATCTTTATTTTGACAAGTTATTAGTAACTCAACATTACAAACTGTGTGACCCTGAGTATAATACAAAACATATTTCTTTTTAAAATTTTATTTCAATAGTTTTGGGTAACAGGATAAGTTCTTTAGTGGTGATTTCTGAGATTTTGGAGCACCCATCACCCAAGCAGTGTATATGTATCGAATGTGTAATCTTTTATCCCTCACGCCCCTCCCACCCTTCCCCTGGAATCCCCAAAGTCCATTGTATCATTCTTATGCCTTTGTATCCTCATAGCTTAGCTCCCACTTATAAGTGAGAACATACAATTTTTGGTTTTCTATTCCTGAGTTACTACACTTATAATAATGGTCTCAAACTCCATGCAGGCTACTACTAATGCCATTATTTTGTTCCTTTTTATGACTGAGTAATATTCCATGGTATATATATATACACACAATATATATACAACATATATATGTGTGTGTGTATATATATATATATATATACACACACACACACACACACATTTTCTTTATCTACTTGTTGATTGATGGGCATTTGGGCTGGTTCCATTTTTTGCAATTGCAAATTGTGCTTCTATAAACATGCTTGTGCAAATGTATTTTTCATATAATGACTTCTTTTCCTCTGGATAGATACCCAGTAGCAGGATTGCTGGACCAAATGGTGGATCTACTTTTAGTTCTTTAAGGACTCTCCATACTGTTTTCCACAGTGGTTGTACTGGTTTACATTCCCACTATTAATGTAAGAGTGTTCCCTTTTCATCACATCCACGTCAACATCTATTTTTTTTTTTTAATTATGGTTGTTCTTGCAGTAGTTAGGTGGTACCACATTGTGGTTTTGATTTGCATTTCCCTGATAATTAGTGATGTTGAGCATTTTTTTATATGTTTGTTGGCCATCTGTATATCTTCTGCTGAGAATTGTCTATTCATGTCCTTAGCCCACTTTTTGATGGCATTATTTGTTTTTTGTTTGTTTGTTTTGCTGATTTGTTTGAGTTCCTTGTAGATTCCAGATATTAGTCCTTTGTTGGATGCATAGTTTGTGAATATTTTCTCCCACTCTGTGGGTTGTCTGCTTACTCTGCTGGTTTTTTGGGGTTTTTTTGTTTTTTGTTTTGTTGCTGTGCAGAAGGTTTTTAGTTAAATTAAGTCCCATCTATTTATCTTTGTTTTTGTTGCATTTGCTTTTGGGTTTTTGGACATGAAGTCTTTGACTAAGCCAATATCTAAAAGGGTTTTTCTGATGTTATCTTCTAGAATTTTTATGGTTTCAGGTCTTAGATTTAAGTCTTTGATCCATCTTGAGTTGATTTTTGTATAAGGTAAGAGATGAGGATCCAGTTTCATTCTCCTACATGTGGCTTGTCAATTATTCCAGCACCATGTGTTGAATAGGGTGTCCTTTCCCCACTTTATGTTTTTATTTCCTTTGTCAAGGATCAGTTGGCTGTAAGTATTTGGCTTTATTTCTGCATTCTCTCTTTTGTTTCATCGGTCTGTATGCCTATTTTTATACCAGTACCATGCTGCTTTGGTGACTATGGATGTTTGGTATAGTTTGAAGTCAGGTAATGCAATGCCTCCAAATTTGTTCTTTTTGCTTAGTCCTGCTTTGGCTATGTGGGATCTTTCTTGGTTCCATATGAATTTTAGGATTGTTTTTCCTAGTTCTGTGAAGAATGATGGTGGTATTTTCATGGGAATTGCATTGAATTTGCAGATTGCTTTTGGTGGTATGATCATTTTCACAATACTAATTCTACCCATCCAGGACAATGGCATGTGTTTCCATTTGTTTGTGTCATCCATAATTTATGTCAGCACTGTTTTGTAGCTTTCCTTGTAGAGATCTTTCACTTTCTTGGTTAGGTATATTCCTAAGTTTTGTTGTTGTTGTTGTTGTTGTTGTTGTTTTCCAGCTATTATAAAAGGGATTGGGTTCTCTATTTGATTCTCACCTTGGTCACTGTTGGTGTGCAGCAGTGCTACTGATTTGTGTACATTGATTTTGTGTGCTGGAACTACTGAATTCATATATCAGATCTAGGAGCTTTTTGGATGAGTCTTTAGAGTTTTCTAGGTATACAATCATATCACTGGTGAACAGTGACAGTTTGACTTTCTCTTTACTGATTTGGATGTCCTTTATTCCTTTTTCTCATCTGATTGCTCTGGCTAGGACTTCCAGTACTATGTTAAATAGAAGTGGTGAAAGTGGGCATTCTTGTCTTGTTCCAGTTCTCAAGGAGAATGATTTCAACTTTTCGCCATTTAGCATAATATTGGCTGTGGGTTTGTCATAGATAGCTTTTATTACCTTAATGTATGTCTCTTCTAGGCCAATTTTGCTGAGGGTTTTAATCATAAAGAGAGGTTGAATTTTTGTCAAATGCTTTTTCTACGTCTAATGAGATGATCATATGATTTTTGTTTTTAATTCTGTTTATGTGAAGTATCACATTTTTTGACTTGCGTATTTTAAACCATCCCTGCATTCCTGGTGTAAAACCCACTTGATCATGGTGGATTATCTTTTTGATATGCTGTTGGATTTGGCTAGCAAGTATTTTGTTAAGAATTTTTGCATCTATGTTAATCAGGGATATTGGGCTGAAGTTTTCTTTTCTTGTTATGCATTTTCCTGGTTTTGGTATTAGGGTGATACTGGCTTCATAGACTGATTTAGGGGGGTTCCCTCTTTATCTTTTGGGATAGTTTCAGTAGGATTGGTACCAACTCTTCTTTAAATGTCTGATAGAATTCAGCTGTGAATCCATCTGGTCCTGGACTTTTTTCTTGGTGATTTTCTTATTACTGTTTCAATCTTGCTACTTGTTATTGGTCTGTTCAGAGTTTCTATTTCTTCCTTATTTAATCTAGGAGGGTTATGTATTTCTGGAAACTTGCCCATCTTTTTTAGATTTTCTAGTTTGTGTGTGTAAAGGTGTTCATGGTACCCTTAGATGATATTTTGTATTTCTGTGGTGTCTGTGTAATATCTCCCATTTCATTTCTAATTGAACTCATTTGGATCTTCTCTATTCTTTTCTTAGTTAATCTCACTAATAGTCTTATCAATTTTATCTATTCAAAGTACCAGCTTTTTGTTTCATTTATCTTTTGTAATTTTTTTTGTTTCAATTTCATGTAGTTTTGTTCTGATCTTGGTTATTTATTTTCTTCTGCTGGGTTTGGGGTTGGTTTGTTCTTGTTTCTCTAGTTCCTTGAGGTGTGACCTTAGATTGTCTATTTGTGCTCTTTCAGAATTTTTTATGTATGCATTTAATGCTATGAACTTTCCTTTTAGCACCATTTTGCTGTATCCCAGGGGTTTTGATAAGTTCTGTCACTATTATCATTCATTTCAACATTTTTAAATTTCTATCTTGATTTCGTTGTTAACCCAAACATCATTCAAAAGCAGATTATTTAATTTCCATGTATTTGTATAGTTCTGAGGGTGTCTTTTGGAGTTAATTTCCAGTTTTATTCCACTGTGTTCTGAGAGGATACTTGATATGTTTTCAATTTTCTTAAATTTATTGGGACTTATTTTGTGGCCTATCATATGGTCTATCTTGGAGAATGTTCCATGTGCTAATATAAAGAATGTATATTCTGTAGTTGTTGGGTAGAATGTTCTGTAAATCTCTGTTAAATCCATTTGTTCTAGGATATAGTTTAGGTCTGTTGTTTCTTTGTTGGCCTTCTGTCTTGTCCTATCTAGTGCTGTCAGTGAAGTACTGAAGTTCCCTACTATTATTGTGTTTTCATCTATCTCATTTCTTAGGTCTAGTAGTAATTTTTTTATGAATTTGGGAGCTCAAGTGTTAGGTGCATATATATTTAGGATTGTGATACTTTCCTGTTGAGCTAATCCTTTTATCAATATATAATGTTTCTCTGTCTTTTTTACTGTTACTGCTTTAAAGTCTATTTCGTCTGAAATAATAACAACTACTCATGCTTGTGTTTGGTTTCCATTTGCATGGAATGCTTTTTTTCACCCCTTTACCTTAAGTTTATGTGAGTCCTTATGTGGCAGGTGAGTCTCTTGAAGACAGCAGATACTTGGTTAATAGATTTTTATCCATTCTGCCATTCTGTATCTTTTAAGTGGTCTATTCAGGCTATTTACATTCAACATTAGAATTGAGATGTAAGGTACCGCTCTATTCATCATGCTAGTTGTTGCCTTAATACCTTGGTTTTTTTATTGTGTTATTTTTTTACAGGCCCTTTGAGATTTATGCTTTAAGGGGGTTCTATATTGGTGCATTTTGAGGTTTTGTTTCAACATTCAGAACTCATTTTAGCATTTCTTGCAGTGCTGGTTAGGTCATGGCAAATTCTCTCAGCACTTCTTTGTCTGAAAAATACTTTATCTCTCCTTCATTTATGAATCTTAGTTTTGCCAGATGCAAAATTCCTGGCTAATTATTTTCTTTAAGGAGGCTAAAGATAGGACCCAATCCCTTGTGGCTTGTAATGTTTCTCCTGAGAAATCGGCTATTAATCTGATAGGTTTTCCCTTATAGGTTACCTTATGCTTTTGTCTCACAGCTCTTAAGATTCTTTCCTTCATCTTGACTTTAGATAACCTGATGACTATATGCCAAGGTGATAATCTTTTTGTGATAAATTTCCCAGGAGTTCTTTGAGCTTCTTGTATTTGGATGTCTAGATCTCTAGCAAGGTCAGGGAAGTTTTCTTCAATTATTCCCTTAATATGTTTCTCAGAGTTTTAGATTTCTTAGGAATACCAATTATTCTTAGGCTTGGCTGTTTAACATAATCCCAAATTTCTTGGAGGCTTTGTTCATTTTTTAAAATTCTTTTTTTCTTTGTCTTTATCTGATTGGGTTAATTTGAAAGCCTCAACTTTGAGCTCTGAGGTTCTTTCTTCTACTTTTCTAGCCTACTGTTGAAACTTTCCACTGCATTTTGTATTTTTCTAAGTGTGTCTTTCATTTCCAGAAGTTGTGTTTTTTCTTTATGATATCTATTGCTCTGGAAAAATTTTTATCTATATCCTGTATTTTTTAAAATTTCTTTAAGTTGGTTTTCACCCTTCTCTGGTGTCTCCTTGAGTATCTTAATGATTGATCTTATGAATTTTTTATCTGGCAATTCAGAGATTTCTTCTTGGTTTGGATCCATTGCTGGGGAGCTGGTGTGATCTTTTGGGGGTGTTTTAGAACCCTGTTTTGTCATTTACCAGAATTACTTTTCTGGTTCCTTCTCATTTGGGTAGACTATTTTTTAAAATTGTTCTTGAATTTATTTTTGATTGGACTGTGTCTTTTTTGTAAATTGAATTTTGTTTTCCCTCTTAGGGATTAGACTTTAATGTTTATTTTAGCCTCATTTGATTCTTGGTGCTTGTAGGGGTGAAAACTCTGTATGAAATCCTTAGTTACAGAGAGTCTTTGTGCACTGGCTTTCCCCAGTGCTGGTTTTAGTAGTTATATTCTTGGTGTGTGGGTGAGTTTACTGCCTCCTATGATGTTGGAATGGCAGGGATCTCTTGAAACTGATCTTGTTCTCTTGTCATATATACTTTATGTATTTGTTTGTTTGTTTATTTATTTATTTACTGGTGTTTTATTTACTGAATTGATGATTCATGCTTCAGGTCAATAGGGGACGTATTCCTCAGTAGGCACCAGTTGTGGCTAAGGCAGGTAGGTAGATGTAATACCCAATGGTGGGCCAAGGTCCTGACCTTGATGTGGGTGCCTGGGGGAGCTCTCAATTACATGTGCTGAGGTTTTATCAGGGTGAAGAATGGGAGCTACCTCAGCTCCCCTGCCAGGTAGGTAGAGAAGCTATTCACCTCACTCCTGTCCTAGTGTATCAGCTATTCAGATCAGATGGGCATCTATAGGAATGCTGATGTTCCAACTAGGGAGGCATTGTGACTCTGCCTCTTGAGAAGTCCTCCTTCTGGGGGATGCTGCTCCTGTGGGGCTGCGCTCACCCTGGATTTTTCCAGAAAGGTTGTCTATAGGTGCTTCCACACTGCATTCATGTAGGGGAAGCTCCAGCTGTTTCTTCAGTGGAGAGCCAAGTGGAACAAGGACACCTTCTCCAAGGCCCTTCATGATCACAGAGGCTGCCTGCCTGTTGGGGTATAGGTGCAGACATTCCCTACTGCACCCAGCACTGCAATTGTGTCTCTGCTGTGAGAAACTGCTCACCAGCAAAAAGATCTATAACTAAAAGCCTGCTGTTCCAATTCCTTTGTCCCAAGGGGTGATTCCTTAATGTGGTGCTCTCCCCTTTCCCCTAGGGATGGGGCATCCTAAGAGCCAGACGGCAGTGATTGTTATTGCTCTTTTGGGTCTAGCCACCCAGCAGGGCTACCACACTCTGGGCTGATGGTAGGGAATGCCTGCAAAGGGCCCAGTTATGTGATCAGTCTTCTGGTCTCCCAGTCATATATAACAGCACCTGCTCTGGTGGAGGTGGCAGGAAAGTGATATAGACTTTGTGAGAATCCTTGGTTGTAGATAGGCTTAGTGTGCTAGCTTTCTCAAATACTGGTTGGCAGCATTGAATCCTGGCTAGCAGCAAAGTTGTCATGTGGACAGATTTGGGACCTGTGGTTAGCCAGGATATTGCAGCCAATGGTGTTAGCTGTTGTTTTCTTCTTCCTGGGAACAGTGTTATTCTATCATGAGTTGCTGTAATGGCCTGAGTTAGTTGGCCTCCAACCAGGAGGTGACACTTTCAAGAGAGCACCAGCTGCGGTATTAGCAATGGAATTTGAGACTGCCCCAAGTTAGCCAGGGGAAGTATTCTGGTTTCTCAGGTGATGGGTGGGGCCATAAAGCTCCCAAGTGTTTATGTCCTTTGTGTTCAGCTAGCAGGGCAGGTAGAGAAATACCATCAGGTGGGGCAGGGTTAGGCGGGTCTCAGCTCAGATTCTTCTTGGGTGGGGCTTGCCACGGCCACTGTAGGGGATGAGGGGGTGGTTCTCAGGTCATTGGGGTTATGTTCCAGAGGGGATTATGGCTGCCTCTGCTGTGCAGTATACTTCACCAGGGAAGTGGGGAATAGCTGGTAGTGAAAGGCCTCACCCACCTCCCACACAGTTGGTGAGACTGGTCTCGCTCCCACAGTGCCCTGCTAATAGTTTAGATCCAGGCAACCTGTGTGTGGAACTCAGACCTTTACCTGGCCATTAGCTTCCCTGCTGAGAAAACAAGCATGGCTTTCAGGCCATGCCCTTCCCTGTCTGCTCACAATGTCAGTGGCTCTGTGCTTATATCTGCAGCAGATCCCACTCGCCACACCCCCACTCAGGATTCTGTTCAAGGAAGTTTGTGCACAGTCAAAATTATCACAAAATTCAGCTGGAAGCTTCTTTCACCTTGTGACCCCTCCCTAATTCTGCTGGCTCCCTTCCCCAAGGGCTCCTGTGAGATATAGTCATGGACGGCTTCCCTGGGCTGAAGCTGAAGACTGGGAGTATCTACAAAGCTCTTTCTGCTGCTGCCTCTACTTTAATATTGCACATGGCTCCATAAGTCTGTTCCAGCTGTAGGCAAAGTTAAATCCTTCTCCAGTGATACGGATTTTGAGACTCCCCAATGGGGAAGTGTTTTCAGAGGCAGGTTTTCCCCCTCGTACACTTTGGTAACTAACAGTTTTTGCCTGTCTCGTAGAGTTTGCAGCAACATGACACTTCTTTCAAAGGATCTGTAAATTCTTTCTGTTTCCCTCATACATTCCTGTGACGATTCTTGGTGCAAAAGTTCACAGTGTGAGTCTCCACACGCTGTTCTGTCCGTTCAAGTGGGAGATGCACATTAGCCCTGTGTCCTATCCACCATCTTCCTGAGTTTTACCTTGACTATTTTTAATACTGCTGCTTTGAGTGAAGCAGAAGTTAAAAAGGGAAAAAAATTTTCTTCCTTTCCTTTGGTATGAGCAGCTTCCCCATCGAATCCCTCCCTGCTCTGTGCCATTGTACCCTGAGCTACACCATTGTACCCTGCTCTGCAAGTTTTTATGAGTTTATAGATTCCTGTTTTCTGTAACTAGTATCTGTAAATCTCTGTAGCACTGCAGAGGTCATGCGACATGCTTGAGTAAGATATGATTGCAGCCATCTGGGCGCTGTAGCGAAGGACACGAGATAAGATTGTGCAGGCATCTGAGCAAGCCTAGATAACAGCCACCTGGCCCACATAGCAGGAGTCACATGAAAGCCTGAGTTATGAGCCTGTCACTGTTTGATAAACTGTCTTTGTTCTACGTGCTTTTGCGTCACTGCATTTCGTGCCACAGATGCATGTATAAAAGTCAAGCCCTGTCTTTTTCTAGGGTTCAGCCTTTTGGATGTGAATCCGCTGAGCAGGTGCCCCTAAATAAAATCCTTCTGTTCCACCCTATTGGTCTCTCCGGTCTCCTGATTCCCACAATATGAGAAACCCAGAATATGTCTTTTGGTTAACATGTGTGTGCATTTCTGATGGGCATAAAACTAGGAGTTTAATTTATAATTTATAGGGTATACATATGTTTAGATTTACTAGGCATAGCCAAACAATATTCCAAAGTAGTTGTACCAATTTATAGTTCCACCATTTTATATTTTAAAAAAAATATGTGTCTTACTTATATATATACTTTAAATACCCTCCTCACCCCTTCAACTTTTTTTTTTTAAACAAAGCATGATATTTGATTTTGTTCTTTAACCAGTGGATCAAAAAATTGTCACAAAATGCCAGATGGAAATTTTCTGTATGTGTATATAATTCTTTTCTGCTGCTTCAGAAAATGTGAGAGTCTTCTCTTTAGATCATAAAGCGACATATGACAGCACCTCTCATGCAATAGGTGCTCAGAAGTTTGTAGAATCAATGAAGTCAAAAGAGAAGAATTAGAAAGATTCATCATTTTATGATTCAACTGTTAAAGTTTATTTAAATATCCAAATGGATCCAATAAAAGAACAAACATAGAAAGAAATAATTCAATTTCCTTTATTTGTATGTTTTCAATGACCAATCATTTGTGGGGAAGAAGGTTTTGATGCTGGCACAGATTTTTTAATGCAGTCAGGGAGGAAAAAACTACAGACTAAAGATGATGTATTTGATGTTGGTATCATTATTGGCAAGAAATAATACTGTTGCAAATAGTTTTTTTAAAGATGATCAGTGGGTGAATATGAGTCTCTTCAGGACATAATCTGTGCCATATTCAGTTTTTATCTCCTATGGTGTTTGGCGTAAGTAATGAATACAATGTGATTATTTATGAAATAAATAGTTTTTAAAAACCCAAAATAAAATAAACAAGCAGAAAATTATCTGCAGTTTATTACATCTAATTCGATTTTATTTAAACCACCCAAAGTGATGGTCAGCAAACAAATAAGAGCTTTAGAGAAAAAAATAAAACAGGAGATTAGGAGAAAAGAGATGGTTATATGATAAGAAAACTTATTTGTGGGCTGTGCTTCAGGTAATATTTAACTTTTAACCTTTCTAACCCTATCATTCCCCAAATAGTTTCCTGGCATCAATGATTAAACTAAAAGGAGTATTTTTATTTTTAATCATTTATTCTATGGGAAATTATAAACTTTTATACATCTAAGCACAGCATCTTATTTTAAAATTTTTTTCAAGAAGTTTTATTTTATTCTTCTTATTGTTCTTAAAGTCTAGGTTAAGTTCACCTAAATTAATGCCTTTTAAAATAGTTTAATAAATAGGGCATTTTATAAAATTCTAATCTCAGAGGATAGATCCAGGCTCCATATTTTCTGGTTATAACCAACATCCAGTGCCCTTTAAAGAAGGGACTATATGTTGCCCTAATGTTTTCAACTCAATCTTTCAGGTAATCTAATAGCTGTACAACATTTAGACAATCCTCATAGGATGTGACAACAAGCAAAAACAAAGATGAAGTGCTAAGATTTGGAATCATTCCAGAAATGGAATGATTATCTGAGGACTTTCTCTATGTTATTTTCTACTTGGCTGTCAAGAAGATATGGGTGTTGTGGGGCAAGGGGCAGGGTGTTTGGTGGTGTTTTTTTTTTCTCTCTCTCTCTCTCCTAAATTCAGAATGTATCTAAGATTTTCTGGATATCAGAGATGCTGATGAGTCATGAAACCTTCAGGATTCTGAGATGCAATTTAATGAAGGGATTCCAAATTCCAAATTATGCAAGAACTCACTGACTAATCAGTAGATTGACAAGATTATTTGATTTTTTTTCACCCTCCTCGTTTTGAAACTGAGGGCTAACCTGATTAAGCCTGCCAAACTTAAGCAGCCTTGGCTGCTTTTAATCACTTACTTCTAGTTGATCTTAGAACTCCCACTAGCAAATCACATAGCCAAACAATACATATCTAATATTGGACTAACTTCCTTGTTGATAACATTTCTGACTGTGGATCATTACAGTAATGGTTGCTTAAAGTTGTTTTTTAGAAACTTAGGGACAGCTCCTGTCCAGTTCAAACTAGTTGAGATCACCAACCCTTCAACCAGGCTTGTGCAAATGCTCAAGAGGTAACCTTTTGACATCACATGACCAAAAACTCCTTTTTCAGATCATGCTAATGCCATTATCTGAACATGTGTCCAGTGAATAGCCATGTAGCTTGATTACACTTGCACAGAAACCCTAATTACCTCACCTTTCTTACTTGCCAATCACCTTTTCCCACACTTTAGACCACCTGTACTATTTTGGGGAAACCATATTTGAGAACTGGTCTCCTACCTCCTCGCTTGGCTGCCTCATGAATAACCCCTTTCTCTTTTGCAAAACCCATTGTTACAGTGATTGGCTTACTGTGTGTGAGCAGAAAGAGCCTGGTTAGGTATCAGTTTCTAACCTACAAATGTTTCCCTATTCATTATAGCTCCAGAGGGTATGAATGAAAAAAGAAGGAAAATATAACTCTAATAAATCTTTACTTAGGTAGAATTATCATAATTAGATTAAGATGGTTAAGTTTAAGAAACGTGAGAAGAAAACCACTGTTGACTTTAGTAATAATTATCCATGTAATTTTCTATGGGTTTTAAATATTCTTAGCATAATAAGGTAACAAAAAAATATGAAACAGTGCCTCAGACTTGTGAAAATGTTGAAAGTTTAACTCTTCTGTGATTATGTTATTAGAGCCTTGAGGCAAGAAAACAGACTGGTGGATAGGGTTTGGGTTTGTGCTTTTAGAAATGTAGTCTTGCTCTGTCATCCAGGCTGGAGTGCAGAGGCATGATCATAGTTCACTGCAGCCTCCAGCTCCTGGTCTCAAGTGATCCTCCCTCCAAAGCCTCTGGAGTAGCTGGGACTACAGGTATGTACCCCACACCCAGCTAATTTTTAAAATTTTTTGTAAAGACGGGGTCTCACTATGTTGCCCAAGATGGTCTCAATCTCTTGGCCTGTCCTCAAGCAGTCCTGCCACCTCAGCCTCCCAAAGTGCTGGGATTACAAGCATGACAAGCCCAGCCCAGGTTTGGAGTTTTACTGTGAAGAAATGGATGCTTCTATCCACAACTGTTTTTGGAAAGAAGAGAATTCAGCTGTGCAGAGAAAGAGTTATTTTTGTGGCTCAGCAGTGGAGATTCAGTGGTGTGGGCAAGAAGGAATTAAATTGCAAGCCAGAGATAGAATGAATTGGAAGTGTTAAGGAGGAAAATATAGAAAGGAAAATAAGTAGGAAACCTGACATGCATTATGCAGAACTTAGGGTTCCCAGGCATTCTGTCTCAGAAACCTTAATCCCAGCTTCCAATTTACCATGAGATCTTAAGAAAGTCACTGAATTTAACCTGCCTTCTTAAATATTTTAAACGTGACCTGAAGATTTCTCTGTACATGGTGAACTATAACCTAATTAAATGTTTAAATAGACTATAACTTGCTCTTCTACCAATCACTGAGTTTCAGCTAAAAGGTGGCCAACTGTTCAAGCCATGTTGAATTAAGGCAAATGCCAACTATAACCAATAAGCTGTTTCTGTGCCTCACTTTCTTTTCTTTCTTTTCTTTTTTTTTTTTTTTTTGGGATGGAGTTTCATTCTTGTCACCCAGGCTGGAGTACAATGGTGCGATCTCGGCTTACTACAACCTCCATCTCCCAGGTTCAAGTGATTCTTCTGCCTCAGCCTCCCAAGTAGCTGGGACTACAAGCACCTGCTACCACACCTGGCTAATTTTTATATTTTTAGTAGAGATGGGGTTTCACCATGTTGGCCAGGCTGGTCTGGAACTCCTGACCTCAGGTGACGCACCAACCTCAGCTTCCCAAAGTGCTGGGATTACAGGAGTGAGCCACCATGCCCCCGGCCCACATCACTTTTCTTTTTCTGTCCATAAATCCTCTTCGATGATGTGGCTGTCCTAGAGTCTCTCTGAATCTATTCTGGTTCAAGGGCCTCGTTAATTCCTGAATTGTTCTTTGCTCAATTAAACTCTGTTAAATTTAATTTGTCTAAAGTTTTTTGTTGTTGTTTTGTTTTGTAGACAGGGTCTCACTCGGTCACCTAGGCAGAAGTGCAGTGCCAGGATTATGGCTCACTGCTGCCTCAAACTCTTGGGTTCAAGTGATGCTCCTGCTTCAGCCTCCTGAATAGTTGGGACTACAGGTGTGTGCCACCATACCTGACTAATTTTTTTTTATTTTTTGTAGCACCCAGATTCTTGCCCAGTCTGGTCTTAAACTCCTGGCCTCACGTGATCCTCCCACCTTGGCCTCCCAAAGTGCTGGGATTTCAATTGTCAACCACTGCACCTAGAAGGTTTTTCTTTTAACACATGGCATCAGAAGTGAGACCCAAAGTGGAGCTTCCCGCATTCCCCAGGAGCATTAAGTGACCAAGCAATGTACCTACTGGGACCATTGTGTTCATTGCTCTCTCACATCAATTGGGGATCATGAGTAAGTTCTTGCTCAGATTCTGAAGCTCTATGGATTTGTGTTTTCAGCTATCTAAATTTGTTTGAGCAATTTTTTTTTAACCAAATTGGGTTCAGAAGTCATTGTATAAACTGGACTGGATCCAGGATCAGTCCTGGATTATTATATTAGATCTGATAATTAACTGGCTTGGATCCAGTTAGAGGCTTCAGATGTCTGAGTCAGATAGGAACTGGCAGTAAATGGCAATACTACAGCAGGTAAGAACTGTGACTTTAGGAAATTCGCAGAGATTTTTGTGTTCTGTTCCCTTTGTTTCTTTTTCATGCATGCTTAGGTAGGGAAACATCATTGGCTACATTGATCAAGTGGATCTGAGAGCCAAAGCCAAGATTCAATATAAAAACAGAATCCATAGTTTCTGAAGAACTGACTACTCCACCTTGTGGCAACACCTACCTATACATGTATATGTATTAGGTCCCAGAAACAGCAAACACAGAAATGGTGAAATCTGATTAAAAATAATTTAAAAGTACAGTGGATGTTACAAATGAAAAACACTGGACTTTTAGAAGTGTATTTTTAAAATGAGGGCTCCTGAAATAGGGTAACCCAGGGATGCCTGTTGATAGGATTAACCAGGGATGCCTGTTGATGTGCAAAAGCTTCTAAAAAGATTTCAGTATTTTAAAGGCCGGGTGTGGTGGCTCACACCTCCAATCCCAGCACTTTGGGAGGCCGAGGTGGGCAGATCACCTGAGGTCGGGAGTTCAAGACCAGCCTGACCAACATGGAGAAACCCTGTCTCTACTAAAAATACAAAATTAGCCAGGCGTGGTGGCACTCGCCTGTAATCCCTGCTACTAGAGAGGCTGAGGCAGGAGAATCTCTTGAACCCGGGAGGCGGAGGCTGTGGTGAGCCAAGATCGTGCCATTGCACTCCAGCTTGGGCAACAAGAATGAAACTCCATCTTGGGCTAGGTGCAGTGGCTCTTGCCTGTAATCCCAGCACTTTAGGAGATTGAGGCGGGCAGATTACCTGAGGTCAGGAGATCGAGACCAGCCTGGCCAACATGGTGAAACCCTGTCTCTACTAAAAATACAAAAATTAGCCGGGTGTGGTGGTGGGTGCCTGTAATCCCAGCTACTCAGGAGGCTGAGGCAAGAGAATCGCTTGAACTCAGGAGGGGGAGGTTGCAGTGAGCTGAGATTGTGCCATTGCACTCCAACCTGGGGGATAAGAGTGAGATTTTGTCTCAAAAAAAAAAAAAGATTTCAATATTTTTATTCCCTCTATGAGAAGACACTTTATAAAAGGCAAGTAAAAATTGTAAGTGACTAATTGATAAGAAAAATAATATGCTAAGTTTCTGGCTTAGTTACTAGCTAATCCTAAAGTCTAAAATAAAGCTATCCTGGATAAACTGTTTATAAAAGGCAGGCCCTCAGGTAAAGCAGGCTTACTTCTTTTTCAGAGTTATCCATGCTTAGTTAATGTATAGAGAATGGGTTCTTTGCCCTATTCTTTAATTGGCTCTACCCTGAACTCAGTAAATTTAGCTAAGAAATAGTAGCTAAAAGATTGCCTATTGAACTAAATTGGTTTCCAAGATATACCTTTCTGGCTTTTAGCTGGATATTTTGAAATATTTTCATAAAAGAAATTGGTATCTATTAAAAGATCACCATTTGAAGGGGGCCTGCCTGCCTCTGTACCCTGGGAAAGAGAGGGAGGACTAAATGACTAGAAACTCTTACCTTTGCTTTAAATTTACATAAAAAGACTTACTTTGTTTAAGGTACTTTCCTCAGGCCATCTTTATCTTAACTGGATCTTTACCTAAAACCTTTTTGTTTCTTTTTTTTTCTTTTTTTTTTTTTCTTTGGTTTGAGCAAATGATGGTACAATATTTAGGCCTGGAGACTCAGAGCTATGCTTTTGAGTTATAAATTTTCTACTTTGTTTCATGTAAGAGTCATCCCTTTAAAAATGCAAATTTAGTGTTGCTTAGCTAACAATTGCTTAGGTCAATGAAACAGGTAATTGGAAAATTGATCATTTGAATGAGAAAAAGAAAAACTATTTGGAAACTGGCAAATGAAAATTCTCTGTGAAAGCTATAAGATCTGCTTCTGTCTATTTGTATGTCTATATGTCTTTATGTATTGTGTGTATGTGATAATATTTGGCAAATAAAACTGGTTTTAAAATTATCAAAATAAAATAGAAATGGCTCTAAAATTTTCAGTGAAATATAATTCAGATATTTTTGCCTGTGTTTACTGGTCAGACAGGTTTGTGCCATCTCTACTACATGTTCTAAGGTCATAAAACTGCTGCTTCTGTAATATTTTTGATGCTTGATTTGTCTGTGAGTTTATGTTTTTGGTTTTGAGACTGGATTCTGGGGTCTGGACAGGTTGATGTGGTGAGACCTGGGGACATATCCTCAGTGCCTAGACCACCAGCTATAAGGCATAGTAAAGCCCAATCCTCATCCTCTCTGGCCTAACTTTGCCTCCTGGCCATGCTGAGAACAATCAGATCCTCCAGGCATCTTTTTCACAGCTCTGTGCTCTGTCCTGAGCTCTACACCTGGTATGTAAATTTAGGATGCAGATAGGCCCTGTCCTTTATAGCCATCCTTGGGTGCCATATAGGTACTTGGGACCCAGGATAACTGTGGGACACATTAAGAAGGGTACTTGTGTCATATTTTCAATTATTTTTCACTAATTTAAATTTTTAAAGTTATGTTATATAATATTAAATTAAGTAATAGTCACAAAGTTGTCTGAGTCATTTCTAGGTAAGTTAAAGTACTAAAACAATTATTAACCATAATTTTAAGTTTACATACTTTGGTATCTCATTTTTATATGGTATTAAAAAACTAAATATATTTAGATATCAAACAAAACAAATAAGGAAAATGGCTTTCTAAACATTTTTAAAGGGTTTTTTAAATCTACAAATACTGATATAAAACAGTTCAAAATTACTTGGTCTCTAGGTTTTCACTAAAAAATGGAATTACTTGGTGAAACCCCATCTCTACTAAAAATACAAAAATTAACCGGGCGTGGTGGCAGGCACCTGTAATCCCAGCTACTCGGGAGGCTGAGGCAGAGAAATGCTTGAACCCAGGAGGCGGAGGTTGCAGTGAGCCGAGATTGCGCCACTGCACTCCAGCCTGGGTGACAGAGTGAGACTCGTTCTCAAAAAAAAAAAAAAGAAAAAAAAGTAGAATTACTAAGAGTTACATTTGTAGTTAATATATGTAATTAAAACTACTAGATATAAGAGAAACAATTCTGTATACAGAGTGTAAAAAGAAAAACAAGATATATTTTTGGCAAGGAGGGTTGTAAAGGCATAAACATGTGTGCTTGATGTAAAAAGTATAGTTAAAAAGTTACTTTAGGCCAGGCACAGTGGCTCAATGCCTGTAATCCCAGAACTTTGGGAGGCCAAGACAGAAGGATCACTTGAGGTCAGGAGTTCAAGACCAGCTAATCCCAGCTACTCGGGAGGCTGAGGCAGAAGAATCACTTGAACGCAGGAGGCAGAGGTTTCAGTGAGCTGAGATCATGCCACTGCACTCCAGCCTGGGTGACAGAGCGATACTCTGTCTCTCACACACACAAAAAAGTTACTTAAACTTGTTTTAAATTTAAAAAATACAGATAAAACCAAATGAGATAGAAAGTTGAGAAAAAAGAAAATAGAAAAAATTTTGTAAGATTATAAAGGTTTGTGAAGATCTTATGTGATCAAAAGCTGACTGACATTAGATTTATTTATAAGGTTTTATTAAAATAGCTTTAAGATTAGTATTTATAATACACTAATACGAAAGTAATATTTGCTTTTGTCTTTCAAGCAAGAACTTTGTGTAGTATTAATAAGAGGCAGTAAAATATTTTTGTTCACCTTTTGAGTAAACTGCAAAAAAGGAGGGAAAAGGAGAGATAAATTCTGTCTCATGCTGTCTTTATTAGGTCTTTTGATTGTTTAGAAAACTGAGTTTCCTCTCTATCACAAAATAAACATTTTTGCTTTTTACAGCCTTTTAATTAGCACTCTGGATAAATTAATGACTATTATTTTACAGTGACCTGTGATTTTATTTTTATTAAGTGTTTTAAACCTTTGAGTTACTTGACAGGCTTCCCAAAATTGAACTTAAATTTTAAAATTAAGTCTTTTGACCTTAAACTAAATTTGAGGTGTTACAGAGGGCCCCTTCAGCATCCAAAGGAGAGATAGTAAACAGGCTTATTTGACATGCCAAGTTATATGGGAAGCATTATCAAATACAAAATGATATTTAACCCTTTTTGAGTTATATTTTCATGAATTTGTTATTAATATATGTTCCAAAATTGTATGAAATTTCTAAAATTCTGATATGTCTTAGTATGTTGTCAGTTATAATCATGGTTATTATGTTAAGTTGTAGGCCACAAAAATAACCAAATTTCATTGGCACTTGTGCCTTTAAGATAATGTTAAGTAATTTCCACAGTTAATTGCTTAATTCTGATGCATTTTCTGAAAGCTCCCTACAAGTAAGAAAATTCCTAGAGTATTATGTCTTCAAGAAGGTTCATAGAGAGGATAAAAAAAGACAAGCAGTCTTGAATATAGGTTTCTCATAACTTTAGGATCATATTATTTGAACTGTGTAATAATTCCCAGAACTGTAATGAAGAGACTGACTTCTGTATAAAACTGCTAACTCGAGCAGTATAACAATTAATTGAATACCAATGAAATACTCTGCCAGATTCTTATGCTAAATCAACCAGTGCTGAAATTATTAAGATATGTAATTTGAATGAACTCCATGGTCCAAGTCAAATTACCTATGATAACCCATTAATAAACAGTGTTATGCAACCAAATTGGAGAAACAAAATTGGCATTTAAGAAGATATGTATATTGTTAATCATGGACTCATGGAAAGCCTGTACATCTGCCTGGTTTGTCCTGAGTCCTTAAAGCTTTCATTATTATAAGTTCAGCCCTCCATGACTCATCATGGAAGAGATAAAATAAGCCAAATATGAAATACGTGTGTGCACATGTGTTTTTGTGTGTGTGTGTGTGTATTTAATGGCTGTTCTAAATTGAAAAAATGGTATATGACAAGTGTTTGTTTTGTCAAACCCATAATCCTGGGAAGACAATAAAAACTTCAGGTATGTTTCTGCTACCTGATGGGCCATTTGAACACTTATAGAGGGATTTCACTCTAGTGTCATTTTAAATGCATGTTTTCTTTTTTTATCCTCTCTATGAACCTCCTTTAAGACATAATACTCTAGGATTTTCCTTGCTTATAAAGAACTTTCAGAAAATGCATCAGAATTAAGCAATTAACTGTAAAAATTACTTAAAATTATCTTAGAGACACAAGTGACAATGAAATTTGTTTATTTTTGTGGCCTACAACTTAACATAATAACCATGATTATGACTGATAACATAGCAAGATATATCAGAATTTTAGGAATTTCATACAATTTTGGAACATATATTAATAACAAATTCATAGAAATATAAGCTTTCCCACGCAAGAAGGCTGATGCTATAATAGTAGCTAAAAGGCTATTGGAAAATGTGTTTTCCTCATGGGGCATTCCTAGAGAAATCTCTAGTGATAAAGATACTTGTTTCACTGGACACATTGTAAAGCAGTTAAATAAGATATTCCAGATACAACAGCATTAGACAAAGCTAACTAAATGACTGAATTACCTTAACCAAAGGTATTGCAGATTGATGACAATCAAATCCACTGCCAGTGGAAAATATAAGTTGACTCCTTATGAAATAATCACTGGAAGGCCTATGCTCCTAATAATAGAAACTCATATATCTTCCACTCCTAAACTCTGATATGACTAAATGCTGCAAGATGTTAATGCATTATGCTGAAGTTTATTTTTGCCAAGTAAAGGAAGCTTTTCACTATCCACTAACCGAGGACAATTAAACCCTCCACAATCTAAAACCTGGAGATTGGGTCCTGTGTTAGTCTGTTCTCACGCTGATAATAAAGACATAGTCAAGACTGGGTAATTTATCAAGGAAAGAGGTTTAATTGACTCACAGTTCTGCAGGGCTGAGGAAGCCTCAAGAAACTTGTAGTCAGGGTGGAAGGGGAAGCAAACACATCCTTCTTCACATGGTGACAGCAAGAAGTGCCGAGCAAAAGCCCCATATAAAACCATCAGATAGGATGGACGCGGTGGCTCATGCTTGTTGTAATCCTAGCACTTTGGGAGGCCGAGGTGGGCAGATCACGAGGTCAGGAGATCGAGACCAGCCTGGCCAACACAGTGAAACCCCATCTCTACTAAAAATACAAAAAGTAGCTGGGTGTGGTGGCGGGCTTCTGTAATCCCAGCTACTCAGGAGGCTGAGGCAGGAGAATTGCTTGACCCCAGGAAGTGGAGGTTGCAGTGAGCCGAGATCATGCCACTGCACTCCAGCCTGGGTAACAGAGCCAGATTCTGTCTCAAAAAAAAAAAAAAAAAAAAAAAAATCAGATCTCATGCATGAGAACTCACTCTCACAAGAACAGCATGAGGGTAACTGCCCCCATGATTAAATTACCTCTTACTGGGTCCCTCCTAAGACATGTGGGGATTATGGGAACTACAATTCGAGATGACATTTGGATGGGGACACAGCCAAACCATATCAAGTCCTCTGGAAATGGCATCAGAGAAAGACTTCCCTTGCCACCCACACTACACCAAAACTTTGGGACCTCAATTCTTGGATCCATAATCTCACAACTCAGAAGTTCCCCTCCAGACTCTCTGAATTGTACACACTTTGGAGATCTTAAGGTCAAGTTAATCATGGAAGTTTCTCCCTGGAAGCAGATGGCAGCCCTGATGTGGACAGCTTTCCCAAGATCATAGACAAAGATACCTCTGCTATCATGAGAGACCGGTAATAATTTCCTTGCTTATGCCTTTATGAGCAATGGAACTGGAAAGGAAGTCTTGTGTGCACGCATGAGGTACACTTTTATTTGTGAAGGATTTTACAGCCGACCTTATACAAGGCAAACTTATGCCTTGATAGGTGGAAGATGAAATTTCAATGTTGTTGAGAATTTTTAATTTATTGGTACCTTTGTTGCTCCATGATCAGTCAGAAACAGGACATTGGTCCACTCCTCTTAACCTACATCATAATGTTAAAGAGAACATTGCCAGGAGGCCTTCACCCTTCTGGATAGGCATCATGTATTGGATCTTTTGTTCCATGATTTGGAGTAAATGAGATGATTAGAAATTTATCTTTCATAATAGGTTCTATAGCAGATTCTCCTGCAAAGGCTGTGGTTGTACAATAGACTTCTTCAAATTCTTTTGCTAAAGTTGTACTAGATAATAGACTTGCTCTAGATTTCTTATTGGCTGAACAGAAAATAATCTGTATAGTTGCTGACACTTCTTGTTGCACAAAGATAAGTACACTGTTCTATTTCCCAGTAGTATTTGAGAACAAATAAGTACATTTATGATGGTGACAGAGTGACATCAATACCTAGTTTTGGTCAACCTCTCAAAATTGAGAGGTTCCCCCAAGGGGGTGGGGGGAATTGTTAAGTTTAGACTAAAGCTAAAGCTCCTTACATATTTTAAGTTTGACCTAAAAGTTTCTCTATTCATAATGAACTGTAACATAATTGGATGTGTAAACAGACTAACCTACTCATGTGCCAGTCACTGAGTTTCAGCCAATCAAAAGTGGACAGCTCTTCAAAACATGTTTAAATAAGGTAAACACCAAGATGCAACCAATCTAGATCTTTCTGTTCCTCACTTCCATTTTCTGTTCATCACTTTCCTTTATCTGCCTTTATCCTCTCCAACCATGTGACAGTGCAGAGCTTCTCTGAACCTTTTCTGGTTTGGGGGCTGCACAATTCATCAATCAGTCTTTGCTCAGTTAAACTCTGTTCAATTTAATTTGTCTAAAGTTTTTAACAAAAGTTATAAAATTATAATAAATTCTGACCTTATTCTTAATTTCTCCTAATCAGTTTTACTGAATAAAGAAGGCCAGGCGTGGTGGCTCATGCCTGTAATCCTAGCACTTTGGGAGGCCGAGGCAGGTGGATCACTTGAGGTCAGGAGTTCAAGATCAGCCTGACCAGTATGGTGAAACCCCATCTCTACTGAAAATACAAAAATTAGCCAGGCGTGGTGGCGGGCACCTGTAGTCCCAGCTATTTGGGAGGCTGAGGCAGGAGAATCACTTGAACCCGGGAGGTGGAGGTTGCAGTGAGCCGAGATCGTGCCACTGCACTCCAGCCTGGGCAACAGAGTAAGACTCCATCTCAAAAAAAAAAAGAAAGAAAAAAGAAAAAGAAAATGAGTAAAGAGATCATTTGTCATTTGAAATCTCTTTCTACATGTGCTATCCGTACTTTATAATAGTAATTATTCTTTGTTTAGGCTTTGTCATCATTTAAATTCTTCCCCAATGTGTTTATGTGTCTGTGTTTTAATTTTGTGTGTTTGTATACTATTTTCTCTTTTTCTTCACTTGGCTGTTTTTAGTGTCACCTGGAAAGTTGTGGTACCTGAAACTGTGTGCACTAGAGGTACGTTTTCATCATCTTACATACAAAGCCTAAACAGCTCCTATATATTATATTTGTATAATACCTTACGGTCAAGTAGCTGTCTATGTTATAGACAGTACTCTGTATCTTGCAGTCAAATTAAGCTATTTAAAAACTCCTCTCTGCCATTAAGTAATTGTTAGCATGGACAAGTAGCTTGATCTTGCTGAATCTCAGTTTCTAAATCTTAACTAACATGCAGGATTATTGTGATAATCAGTTATCAATTATTTTAAATGCCTGACACTTAACAATCATTGTGCTGTTTTGGAGAAGAATCACACCTTATATTAACATTTGAAGGAGTGCGGGGAAACTTCACCCCAAAAAATTGTCCCCTGGTATAATTAGTATTTTGAATTAAAGGCCCTTAGCAATCAACAGACACTGAAAGAGACTTTTTCCCTATCTACATAAAGACCTCATGGACCCACTAAGGAGAACAATTGTTTTCCCTTTCCCTCCCTGTTCTCTCACTATCTACTGCAGAAAAGGAGACCAAGAATTTACATTACACCTGAACAGATTCCTTAACAAGATAACATATGTCTCTCAGGCTCATTCAATTTCTAAAGAGAACCATTTACAAGTTAATCTCTGTTCCTCAATCCATTCATTCTCCCTGGAAATCATTCATTGGCCCCCAGTAGAGTTACTTATATTCACCCACCCTGAAATAAGGTTATATAAGTGTCTGGGCCACATTGGGATACGGGGTAATCACTCTATGGTTCTCCCCAGTGTGAAGATTAATAAATGTTTATGCTTTTTATCCAATTAATCTTCTTTTGTGAGTTGATTTTTCAGTGAACCTTCAGAGGATGAAGGGGAATTCCCCCACTCCACTTGGCCTCTACAAAATAATTTCCATGCTTCTATGCACGAGAAAATGCTATACTGTGCCAATTGCAACACAGCTAATACACTCAAACACTTTATAGAGTAAACTGCCAGTAATCTCAAATATTATTCAATCTAGGCTTCACACCTTATTTTGAAAAAACAATTTTCATTTATACCTTTGATAGTTTGAAAAGTTAAATACCTGTGCTGGGCTTATAACAAAACAAGCAAACAGCAGTCCCTACTCTCCTTTCTACTCTATTTTCCAGAGGGTTTTTAGCCATTTCTTCTGTTTACCTCCATATTTCTGAAAATTATGTCTCTACTGTTTATCTTTGATTTGTCTATGTAGGAGCCCAAGATATGCCATCCCAAAATATCTCTCTTAGGCAGAAGGATTATTTTGAGCTGATTATTTTGATAAACTGGAGACACAGAAGAAACTGTAAAAATAGAATAAACATTAGCCTTTTGTAAGAGAAATTTTACATCTATAAAAGAAATCTCCATTTCTAAGGGTGTCTCCCTCTCTATACCAGGAGGAGAGGGAAGGATAAATCACTAGAGATTCTTATCAATTGAAAAGGCTGGAGTTAAATCTACAAAATAAATCTTACCCTTGTTTATTGTGTCTTTCCTGGACATCTTCCCATTACTGGCCTCTCTCACCCTCTTTCTTTGTTTCCACTGATAATAATAATAATAATTATTATTATTATTTTCGAGACGGAGTCTCACTCTGTCGCCCAGGCTGTTGTGCAGTGGCACCATCTCGGCTTGCTGCAAGCTCCGCCTCCCGGGTTCACGCCATTCTCCTGCCTCAGCCTCCCAAGTAGCTGGGACTACAGGCGCCCGCCACCATGCCCGGCTAATTTTTTGTATTTTTTAGTAGAGACAGGGCTTCACCATGTTAGCCAGGAAGGTCTCGATCTCCTCTCCTCATGATCTGCCCACCTCGGCCTCCCAAAGTGCTGGGATTACAGGCGTGAGCCCCCACGCCCAGCTGGGTCCACTGGTAATATTTAAGCTTGAAGTCAAAGGCACTTCTTTGAGATTTCACATTCTCTTGGGTATTTCCTATGTATACATGAGTTATACATGTTATTACTTTATTTTTCTCTTGTTAATCTGTCTTGATTACAGGGGTCCATCCCAACTAAGAACTATGAAGGGTAGAGAAAAAAACTATTTTTCCTCCCTTATATCTGGTTCAGATATGCTTCTATTGTTTTCCAACTTCTAACATTGCTAAGAAGTTAAATGTTATCCTTATTTTGTTTGTTAGTGATCTAATTTTTTTCTCTAGTGTATTTCAGGAACCTCTTTTTATCTCTGGTATTCTGGGGTTCCAAAGAAAATGCACTGAAACTGACTTTTTAAAAATCCATGATGCTAAACTCTTGTGGAGCTCTTGCAGTTGATGACTAAAGTCTGCCCATTTTAGGAAATGTTCTTGAATTATATTTTATATCACACAGAAAATTACTCTGGCAAAGAAATTATCACTTTGTGAAACTCTTATTTGCCTATTGTACTTCTTGTTGTTGTTTTTCTCTTAAGTCTTAAAAAAAACAGATTCAGTGGGTACATGTGCAGGTTTGTTACATGGTTATATTGCATAATTCTGGGGTTTGGGCTTCCAGTAAACCCATTACCCAAATAGTAAACATAGCACCCAATAAGTAATTTTATAACCCTTGCCCTTTCCCTCTCTCCCGACTTTTGGAGTCCCTAATGTCTGTTGTTTTCCATCTTTATGTGCATATGTACCCTTTCTTTACCTCCCATTTATAAGTGAGAATGTGCACTATTTGATTTTCTGTTTCTGAGTTACTTCACTTAGAATAATGGCCTCCAGCTGCATCCATGTTGCTGCAAAGAACATGATTTTATTATTGTTATGGCTGCATAGTATTCTGTGGTACGTATATACAACATTTACTTTATCCAATACACCATTGATGGACACTTTGTTTGATCCCATGATTTTGCTATAGTGAATAGTGCTGTGATGAACATACAAGTGCAGGTTTCATTTAGATATGACTATTTCTTTTCCTTTTGGTAGCTGCTCAGTTGTGGAATTGCTGAGTCAAATGGTAGTTCTATTTTTAATTCTTTTTTTTTTTTTTCTGAGACAGAGTTTCACTCTGTTGCCCAGGCTGGAGTGCAGTGGTGTGATCTTGACTCCTGGGTTCAAGTGATTCTCCTGCCTCAGCCTCCCGAGTAGCTGGGACTACAGGCACCTGCCACCATGCCGAGCTAATTTTTTTAATTTTTAGTAGAGACAAGAATTCATTATGTTGGCTAGGCTTGTCTCAAACTCCTGACCTCAAGTGATCCACCTGCCTCAGCCTCCCAAAGTGCTGCAATTATAGGCGTGAGCCACCGCACCCAGTCTGTTTTTAATTCTTTGAGAAATATCCCTACTGTTGTTCATAGAGGTTGAACTAATTTATATTCCCACCAACATTGTATAAGCATTCCTTTCTGTCCACATCTTCACTCACATGTCTTATTTTGTGACTTACTAATAATAGCCATTCTGACTGGTGTGAGATGATATCTCATTGTGGTTTTAATTTTCATTTCTCTAATGATTAGTGATGCTGAACATGTTTTCATTATTTGTTGGCTGCTTGTCTGACTTCTTTTGAGAAGTGTCTGTGTCCTTGGCCTACTTTTTAATGGGGCTACTTGTTTTCTCTTGTTGATTTGTTTAAGTTACTTACAGATCTGGGTGTTAGTCCTTTGTCAGATGCATAGATTGCAAATATTTTCTCCCATTCTGAAGGTTGTCTGTTTACTCTGGCGATAGTTTCTTTGGCTGTGCAGAAGCTCTTTAATTTAATTAAGTCCCAATTGTCAAGTTTTATTTTGTTGCATTTGCTTTCAAGGTCTTAGTCATAAATTCTTCAGGCCAATATCCAGAATTGTTTTTCTTAGTTTTTTTCCTTATATTTTTATCACTTAAGGTCTTACATTTAATTCTTTAATCCATCTTAAGTTAGTTTTTGTGTCGGGGTCCAGTTTCATTCTTCTGCATATAGTTAGCCAGCTTTCCCAACACCATTTATTGAATAAGATGTTCTTTCCCCACTGTTTATTTTTCTTGACTTCGTCAAGCATTAGTTGGTTATAAGTGTGTGGATTTATTTCTAGTTTCTCTATTCTATGCCATTGATCTATGTGTTTATTTTTGTATTAGCAGCATGCTGTTTTGGTTACTATATCCTTGTATTATAGCTTGAAGTGGGGTAACATGATGGCTTTGGCTTGGTTCCTTTTGCTTAGGACTGCTTTGGCTATTCAGGTTCTTTTTTGTTCCATATGAATTTTAGAATTTTTACTTCTAGTTCTGTGAAAAATAATGTTGGTAATTTGATAGGAATTGTGTTGAATCTGTAGATTGCTTTAGGAAGTATGGTCATTTTATCAATATTAATTCTTTCAATCTGTGGGCATTGAATGTTTTTCCATTTGTTTGTATCATCTATTGTTTCTTTCATCACTGTTTTGTAGTCCTCCTGGTAGGGATCTTTCAACTCCTTTGTTAAATGTATTCCTAGGGGTTATTTTGTGTGTGATTATTGTAAATCAGATTTAGTTCTTTATTCGATTATCAGCTTGAATGTTATTGGTGTATAAAAATGCTACTGATTTTTGTATCTTCATTTTGTATCCTGAAATTTTACTGAAGTCATTTATCAGGTCCAGGAGTCATTCAGATGAATCTTTAGGGTTTTGTAGGCATAGGATTATATTGTCAGTGAACACAGATAATTTGACTTCTTCTTTTGTAATTTAGATGCCTTTTATTTTTTTCTCTTGCCTGATTGCTCTTGCTAGAACTTCTAGTATTATGTTGAATAGGAGTGGTAAGAGTGGACGTCCTCATCTTGTTCCAGTTCTTAGGAAGAATGTTGTTAACTTTTATCCATTTGGCATGAATGTTGGCTGTGGGTTTGTCATATATGGCTCTTATTATTTTGAGATATGTTCCTTTGATGCATAGTTTATTGAGGGTTTTTATCATAAAGGGATGTTAGATTTTTATCAAATGCTTTCCAGGAATTTATCCATTTCCTCTAGGTTTTCTAGAGTGTGTGCACAGAGATATTTATAGTAGTCTCTGAGGATCATTTTGTAATTCTCTGGTATCAGTTGTAATGTCAACTTTGTCATTTCTGATTTTGCTTATTTGAATCTTTTCTCTTTTTTTCCTTGATTAATCTAGCTAGTGGTCTATCGATCTTGTTTATCCTTTGAAAGAACTCACTTCTCCTTTTATTGGTCCTTTGTATGTGATTTTGTTCTGAATTTCACTTAGTTCTGCTCTGATTTTTATTACTTCTTTACTTGTGTTAGCTTTGAGATTGTTTGCTCCTGTATTTCTACTTTAGTGTGACATTAAGTTAATTTGAGATCTTTCTGTATTTTTGATGTAGGCATTTAGCACTGTAACCTTTCCTTTTAACATTACTTTTGCTATATTCCAGAGGTTTTGGTAGGTTGTGTCTCTATTTTCATTTATTTCCATTTTTTAAATTCCCAGCTTAACTTTATTTTTTACCCATTTTATTCAGGAACTAATTGTTTAGTTTCCATGTACTTATGTGGTTTTGAGAGTTCCTCTTGGTATTGATTTCTAATTTTATTCCACTGTGGTCCAAGAAGATGCTTGATATGATTTTGATTTTTCAAATTTATTGAGACTTGCTTTATGAGCAAGCATGTGGCCAATTTTCAAGAATATTTCATGCACAGGTGAGAAAAATGTATACTCTGTGATTGTTAGGTATTCTCTAGATGTATATTAGGTCCATTTGGTCAAGAGTCCAACTTAAGTCCCAATTTTCTTCGTTAGTTTTTTGCCTTGATTTGTCTAGTGCTGTCAGTGGAGTGTTGAATTCCCCCAATATTATTGTATGACTATCTCTTTTATTAGGTGTAGTAGTATTTGTTATATAAATCTAGATGCTTCATGTTGGGTGTACATGTATTTTGTATAGTTAAATCTTCTTGTTGCACCCTTTATCTTTATATAATGACCTTTTTTGTCTTTTTTTTTTTTTTAACTCTTGTGGTTTAAAGTCTGTTTTTTCTGATACAATAGTGACCCCTGCTCTTTTTTGTTTTCCATTTGCATGATAGATCTTTCTCCATCTCTTTACTTTGAGCCTGTGGGAGTCATTACATGTGAGATGGGTCTTGAAGGCAGCAGAAGGTTGGATCCTGTTTTTGATACAATTTGCCAGTCTATATCTTTAAAATGATGCGTTTAGGCCATTTATGTTCAAGGTTAATATTGATATATGAGGTTTTGCTCCTGTCATACTGTTTTTAGGTAGTTGCTTTGTAGTCTCAATTATGTAATTGCTATATGAGTTCTGTAAACTTTGTATTTATGTGTGTTTTTATGGTAGCAAGTACCATTCTTTCATTTCCACGTTTAAAACTCCTTTGAGCATTTATTGTAGGGCTATTCTGGTGGTGATAAATTCCCTTAGTGTTTTCTTGTCTGGGAAACACTTCATTTCTTCTTCACATATGAAGCTTAGTTTGTCAGGATATGAAATTCTTGGCTGGTATTTTTTTTTTCTTTAAGAAGGCTAAAAATCGGCCCCCAATGTCTTCTAGCTTGTGTGGTTTCTCCAGAGAAGTCTGATGTTAGTCTGATAGGATTTTATTTATAGATAGTTTTGCCCTTTTCTCTAGTAGCCTTTAACATTTTTCCTTTTGCCTTGATCTTGGATGCTGTGTTAACTAAATGTCATGGGAATGGTTGTCTTGTATAGTATCTCACAGGTTTTCTCTGAATTTTTTGTATCTAGATATCAACTTCTCTAACAAGATCAGGGAAATTTTCCTGAATTTTTCCTGAAATTTCCCTCAAACATGTTTTCCAAGTTGCTTACTTTTACTTTTTCTCTCTCAGGAATGCCAATCAGTCATAGGTTTGGTTGCTTTACATAATTCCACATTTCTTAAATACTTTGTTCATTTTTTAAAATTATTTTTTATTTATTTTTGTCTGACTGTGTTAATTCAAACAACCAGTCTTCAAGCTCTGACATTCTTTCTTCTGCTCAGTCTAGTCTATTATTAAAGCTTCCAACTTATGTTTTGAAATTCCCTTAGAGAATGTTTGAATTCCAGAATTTCTATTTGTTTTTTTCTAAATCTAGCTGTCTCATCTTTCACACCCTTAATAATTTGTCTGGTTTCTTTGCATTGTATTTCAACATACTCTTGGATCTCGTTGAGTTTCCTTGCAATCCGTATTTTGAATTCTTTGTCTGTTATTTCAGACTTTTCCATTTTTTAGAATCCTTTGCTAGAGACCTAGTGTGATTTTTTGGAGGTGTCAAGACACTCTGGCTTTTTGTACTGCCAGAGGTGTTTCACTGATTCCTTCTCATCTGAGGGAGCTGTTGCATCTTATATTTGAAATTGCTATTGTTTGAAGGAGACTTTTTTTATTTTTTATTCTTTTTTTCCTTGAGGGTATTACTGTGACATATGTTATGTGTGATCATTTGGCTTTGTTTCTGGGTGCTTGCAAGGGGCCAAGGCTCTGTATGGGTTCCTTGGTTGTGGGTAGCTTCTGTGTGATGGCTTTCTCAGATGCTGCTTGTTACAGTGATGTACTGGATGTATGAGCCAACATACTATCTCCTGTGGGATGAGGGTCCATAGGTCTCAGGAAGCTTATCTTATGGACTAACACTAAGCCTTTCTGGCAGCAGGTTTTCTATTTGGTGGTGCAGTTCAGACTGCAGTCCAGTAGGTGGCACTTAAGAGTAAGAGCTTGCCCCACTTTAGGTAGGCTGGCGAGGAGTGGAAGCACTCACCCTGATGGGGAGGTGGCAAGAAGACTAAAGTATACTGAGGTTTCAGGGAAAATGGGGGTGAACCAGCTTCTCATCCTGAGCCACCAGGAATGCAATCTTATTCCCTATCATGCCTGGCACAGGACCCATGACCTTCAGTTCATATACACTTTGTCCTTTGGTTCCCAGCTACAATGCATCTATGGACCATGGATATACCTCTCTGACTGCTACCACCAAAATGGGCTCAGGGCAGAGCCTCTTCCCTGGATCTAGGGAAGGTAACTCTGCATCTTGTCTGTCTTCCATTGCTGAGACACTACTGCTCTGTGTGTGGGGTGGGGGTGGGGAGTTGGGCCCCACCCTTCATTCAAGCTTAAGTGGTCAGGCTCACTTTCAGCAGAGGTGGAGCTGCCACAAAAAGCACAACAAATGCTTTCTCTGAGTGCATACCTGCCAGGTCCCAGTAGGAAGAACCATTTCTGCATCTGCAACAGTGGACGGGGGTGGGAAATGACCCCCTCTTCACGTCTGTTCCTGGCTGTCGGTGTTGTCCCCTTCAGCAATTGTTGCCACACTGTAAAAAGTAAAGTAGAGGTTCCTCTTCAAAGACTTTCCTCCCCATTTAATTAAAAATAAATAGTAACTTCTCTTAGAAGCAAAACGTATTCAAAGACCTGTGCTAACATTCAATATCTGCTAGCCGTAATAAAGAAATCAATGTACTTTATGTTCTTAGCTCCCACAATTTAGCCTAAATATTTGCCCTGGCATGCTTATACTGGTTCAAGCAACCATTAGGTCATAGCCTGTTCCTCTTCCTTATTTGAAGGCGTTTTTACCTTTCTTAGCATTCCACAAGTTACTTCTTCCTTCCTTCGTTCTCCTCTGCCTTTGCTTCTTTTAAAAAGTTCTAAGTTGGTAGCCAATCAGGACAAATACAGAATGTGAGGTCCTGTTCCAGCCAATGGAAACCAGACACAGCAGTAGGGTGGACGCGTCAGGTTATAAATGACCCTGTCTCCTTTGTTCGGTGTACCCTCATGGCAAAACTGCTGTCGAGTGTACCCTTTCTGCAGAAAGTATAAAAATGGCCTTGCTGAGGGAATTAAATTTATGTTCAAGTGCTATTTCTTTACGGCACCAGGGGACAAGCATTTCAAATACATACCCACATTTCTTTGGCCCAAGGGGGCCTTTAGCAGGCTACCCTCCTTCTACCTTAGGGGCAACCTGAATAGAGGGTTAGATCTCCAGAGGCCCTGCAGCTCCCTGGGGATCTGCTAGTCCCCTGTACTTGCCAAAGTCAGAGTGCATTGTGGGGTACATTTGCAGGGAATCTGGTGGTGTGGTGACTTAAGAGCAGAGAATTCATCGGGCAAAACAGTGACCCATGACAGATGCACAACCAGTATGCTGCCCACCATCTCAGTTCGGGTCTGAGAGGAGTGTGGGCACACCTGCATGAGGTGGTCACCTAGTTCTCTGTCCATGGGAAGTTGCTACCACTAGTATTGCCCTGGGTCACGAGGGCAGAGGGGCTCCCCAACTATTTGACAGTCAGCAGATTGTCACAGGGACGAGGGCAGCAGATAAGAACATGCACCTACTCTTTCCATGGGACTCAGAGTTCCTTGAGGGTCCACCTCTGGCAGACTCTTGCTGCTTTCCTTTTCTGGATTCTAGCTTCTTTCCATGGTCACTTTGACAGACTCTCTTCCCTCAGTTTTCCATTCAGAACATGTCCATTCACCATTAACTTTGATCTTCTTTCTGAGGAAAACTGGCATCTGATGCCCCTAGTCACTCATCTTGGCTGGGTGGTGTGGGGGGAGCCTCCTAATTGTAAATCTTTTTGCCTTTTGGTTCCAATTGCTAGGAAATTTCCATGACTGAAAGTTCCAGTTTTTAAATTAAATTTCCTATTTTTAATCATATTTATAATTTCTGATAACTCATTCTTAATCTCTGACGATAAAAATTTAATTCCTCTGCTCTCTGCATTTCCTCTCTGTTTTTGTCTCTTTTTCATGTTGATGGCTATCCCCAACCATCTGATAATCATTGGCGGGCCATTCGTATTTAAAACTGAAGTAACAATGAGTTGATTGGAAGCTCTTTGACCATAAGTGGGCCTTGTTCATGAATGGACTTCACAATTAAATAATCAAATGGCCAGACAGATTTTTCACTGAAAACCCCAAAATGTCAGTATTTATGGATCTTCTTTCTAGAGAAGTTTAGTCTTATCAGCAAATAATCTTCCAATCACCTGCCTGTGGTATCTGAGGCTGCCTGCCTTTGTTGTGGTGTTGAGTAAAAGTAGGGGATTGGAGTTTTACCTTTACTATACAGACTCTCACTCAGTGCCCTTTTATGCTCTGGCATTTCACTCCTGTTCTCCCTTATGTGTTAGCAAATTCCAGATTCTGGGATAGCCAATTCCAGAATCTCCTTGGTTCAAGTAACCCAGAAAATATATCACCTGTGCTTTGTGGGAGTGGGGAAGGACAGGAGTGATGACATAAAAAATCTCACCATTCTTGCTGATATTCCCCTGCCTGACTCCTACTGGCGGTGCTGTCTAGTGCCTCCATTTTCTAGCCTGTTCAGAGCAATTCAAGGTGAACTGGCTATATGTCACTAGTTTGCTAAATTATTTACCATTTCTCCATCCTTTTTCCATCTGTATTGTGGTTTGAGGTTAAAAAGTTCTTCTAGTTTTATTGAAGGTGAAATTTGTGTTTCTCTTTTGTTTCATCCTTGTGTTCAGAGATGGTTTTCAAAAGAAGAGTGTGGAAATTACTTTGCTCCATCATGTTAAAACCATATGTACCTCCTAATTTTATAAATACAGAAACCGAGACCATAGAAGATGAAATGATTTTCCTTCTATTTGTCCCATTGCTGCCATAGCCCGATTGGAAGCAAGTTATTTAATTATTAACCCTGTGCTTTTGTCAGCACACTACACTAAAATAGGTTCCATAAGGTGACACTAAAGTATTGCTTTCTTTTCTGATTAAATATATAGTACATATTCATCCACTGAAACCACTCTTGGCAAAGTCACAAATGATCTCCATGTTGCCAAATCTAATAGTCAATTATTAGTCCTCATCTGTTTAACTCATCAGTGGCATTTACAATATTGATGACTCCTTCCTCCTTGAAACACCTTTGTTCATTTAGCCTTCAGAACACTATTCTTAAATTTTCTTTTAACCTCACTGCTTCCTCCTTTTCTATCCTTTGGCTCTTCCTCATTTATCAAACCTCCAAACATTGAAGTGTACCAGAGCTCTATTTTCTTGTCATTATTTTCCTCCATCTGCTCTCATTCCTTAGGTAATCTGATTTGTCCCATTGCTTTAGATATTGTGATACTTCTACTTTTATACATCAACTTGAGCAGATTGCGGATGCCCAGACATCAGGTTAAACATTATTTCTAGATATGTCTATGAGAATGTTTCTAAATAAGATTAACATTTGAGTTGGTGAACTAAGTAGATGGTTCTCCCTAATGTGTGTAGGCATCACCCAGTCCACTGAAGGTCAGAATAGAGTAAAGGTGGAGAAAGAAACAAATTGCCCCTGCCCTTTTGCCTTACTGCTTCAGCTGGTACATCTCATCTCATCTTTTCCTACCTTCAGACTGGGATTTACATCATTGGCTCCCCTGGTTCTCAGGCCTTTATACTTGGTCTGAATTATACCACTAACTTTCCTGGGTCTCCAGCTTGCAGATGGCAGATCATGGGAATTCTCAACCTTCATAATTGTATGTGAGACAATTCCTTATAACAAAACATATGTGTGTGTGTGTGTGTGTGTGTGTGTGTGTGTGTGTGTGTGTGTATCCTATTAGTTCTGTTTATCTGGAGAACACTGACTAATACAAATATCATATATATACTTACAACTTCTAAAAGCCTGTCTTCAACCTCAATTTATTCACTGAATTTTAGACTTGTATATTCAACTAACTTAATATTGCTGTTCATTATAGTGACTAACCTCAACTTGCCTTTGGTGATTGAGTTCTGCCTCTTGGCTTTGCCAGTCTGGGATCCAATTACTCCTATTTCATTTAGGTTTTCTAATTGAGTGACTATGGTTCCCACTGTAAGTTCTGGCCTACACAGAAGAGTGATCATGGAGCTCTTCAAGATTGCTGGAGCTCCTCTTACAAATTTAGTCATCAATGTATTAGTGAAAAGTATGCTGCCTGGACTCTTCTGATATAAGTCTCAAATAAAAAATCCACTTTAACAGTCCAGTATCCCCAGCCTTTGTATTCCTTTCTCTGCATTAAACCAAGAAAGATTGGGCTTTTGTGTGTGTGTGTGTGTGTGTGTGTGTGTGTGTGTGTGTGTGTTTTTGAGACAGAGTTTCGCTCTTGTTGCCCAGGCTGGAGCGCAATGGCGTGACCTCAGCTCATCACAACCTCCACCTCCTGGGTTCAAGCTATGTCTCCTGCCTCAATCTGCCGAGTAGCTGGGATTATAGGCATACACCACGATGCCCTGCTAATTTTTTGTGTGTATTTTTAATAGAGACAGGGTTTCTCCATGTTGGTCAGGCTGGTCTCGAACTCCCGACCTCAGGTGATCCGCCTGCCTTGGCCTCCCAAAGTGCTGAGATTACAGATGTGAGCCACCACACCTGGCCAAGATTGGGCATTTCTAATTCACTTGTGGTGGGCCATCTTTTGGTTCATATTTTAGCCAACTAACCAAATAATTAAAGTCCTTTCTAACTCCCCAATCTGTAACATTAAATGCAGAATTCCTGATTATGGAGCCCATATCAATAAATTCAGCCTGATCTAACATTATGTTCCTTCCAGCATTATCCCATATCCTGAATATCCTTTCCCACACATATTCCCTGGATTTCTACTTGTATAAATTAGAGAAATCAAGAAGTTATTTTGGAATATAGTGCATCTCCTCATGGGTCACACTTTGACTTTAAAAGTCTTCTGTAACTTGAATCTAGTTATAGGTCTAAACACAAAGAGGGGTGGTGGAGGTAAGTCATGAGGAGAATCTGAATTGTCTTGCATGGGAACTGCCTCAGTGGAGGCCATTAAAATTTCCTAAGGCAATGCAGGCTTAATCTACTCAGACAGAAATGAAAAGGGTGACACTACTGTGAACTGGGAGGACAATTCCACTGGGGATTGGGAGGCTGCTTCCACTGGATGTGGAGAAAGCTCTTCTACTGGCAAAGAAGCCTTATCAGAATATAGGGGCTCAAAGTCCCCAGCTTTATCAGGGTCTTCTCAGACATCTTCATTCCAACTTACAGGATCCCATTCTTTACCATTCAATGCCCTCACTTTAACAGTAGATATCCTGCGAGGCTGGGAGTTAAATTTGCATTGTAATTCAGCCAATCTCAGGATGAAGTCCTGCATTTTATTTCCAGCAATTTCAGCCCTGCAGCTACAGGAGATCAGGTTCTCCCTTGGGGCATACCTAAAAGCTCTTAAGTAATTTATGTAGTGCTTGAGGTGGGAATTTTAATCCCTGAGCTCATTCTTTTATTTCACCACTTTGTCTAACAACATTAGGAGCAACCAACCAATGCCATTATATTCCTTATTTTTCCAAATATGTTCAAGACTATCATACACAGAGTCATTTAACACCTTGCTTTATATAAGTGGTTAACTAGGAGTATCTAATGCAGATATTTTGTGTATCTTTATAAACAAGTCATGCCATGAACTATCAGTGATCTTTTTACTACTGGAAAAAGACTCATGAGCATCTTTAAATCTAGTCAGATTAGAGAGTCAATTCCAGAAACCCCAGAATCAATTCAGAAAACTCATCTTTAAAATTATCTTCCTCTAAAATCACTGTCAGTACCAAAATTTGTATTAGCCAGTATTCTTCAGAGAAACAGAACCAACTGGCGGGGTGGGAGGGAGGAAGAGAGAGAGAGAGAGGGAGAGGGAGAGAGAGAGAGGGAGAGGGAGAGAGAGAGAGAGATATTATTATGGGAATTAGCAAATTAGTTCATGTGGTTAAGGAGGCCAAGAATTCCCATGAACTGACATCTGCAAGCTGGAGAACCAGAAAACCCAGTGAGGTAATTCAGTTTCAGTTAGAAGGGCTGAGAATTTAGGGAGCCAATGATGTAACTCACAGTCTGAGTTGGGGTTGTGGGGAGTAGCACTGGTTTAAGTCTTGGACTTTGAAGAACTGAGAATCAGGAGTTCCAATTTCCCAGGGAGGGAGAAAATAGGCAATGGATGTTCCAGTTCAAGAAGAGACAACAAATTCGCTCTTCCTTTGCCTTTTGTTCTATTTGGGTTCTTAATAGATTAGATGATGCCTACCCACATTGGTGATGGCAATCTTCTTTGCTCAGTCTACCAATTGAAATGTTAAGCTCTACTAGACATAGACACATCTAGAAATATTTTACCAGCTATTTGGACATCCATTAGCTCAGCCCAGTTGACACATAAAATTAACCATCAGAATACTGCATAATTTAAATTATATGACACCCTGGAAAAATAAAAACTATGGAGGCAGTAAAAATATTAGTGGTTTCATGGGGTAGGGCAGAGGGAGATATGAATAGGTGGAGCATAGAGGATTTTCAGGGCAGTGAAACTATTTTGTATGATACTGTAATAGTGGCTGTATGACATTATGCATTTGTCAAGAAACTTAGAACTTTAAAGCACAAAGAGTAGCATACACAAATTATTTAATAAAATTATGTAGGAGGCCAGGGAATCCCAGAATAAAATACAGAATCTAACTATATCGCAAATATATAAAAGAACCTCACTGAACTGAGTGGGATGAAAAAGTGCTAACCTAAGACACTTTGGGAATGAGTGGATTCTGTAAGACAAAAGGAAAAAAAATACACAAGCACTGTGCTCTAGTTAATAAAGTTGTTACACATGGGGATATGAGCTAATAGTTTCTATACTGCCATATTTCTGTCTTAATTTATTTGTGCTGCTATAACAAAATACCTGAGACTGAAAAATTTATAAAGAACAGAGATTTATTTTCTGACAGTTCTGGAGGCTGGAAAATCAAAGATTAAGGTGCTGACAAGTTTGGTGTCTGGTGAAGGCCTTCTTATTGCATCCTTACATGGCAGAAAGGCAGAATGGCAAAAGAGGCTGAATTCATGACCTCAAGACCTTTTATAAGGGTGTTAATCCCATCCATGAAGGTGGAGTCCTCATGGCTCAATTACCTCCTAAAAGCCCCACCTCGTAATACTATCACATGAGTCTTAGGTTTCAACATGTGCATTTTGAGGGGACACATACATTCAAACCATAACATTTCATCCCTGGCCCCCCAAAATTCACATCCTCCTAACATACATTCAAAATACATTCATTCCATCACAATAGCCCCAAGAATCTTAATTCATTCCAGCACCAACTTTAAAGTGTAAGTCTCATCTAAATTAGATATCGGTGAGATTCAAGATATGATTCATTCTGAGGCAAACTAATCTCCAGCTGTGAACCTGTGAAATCAAACAAGCTATGTGTTTGCAAAATACAATAATCAGACAGGCATAGGGAAGACATTTCCAATCCAAAAGGGAGAAATAGGCAAGAACACAGGAATAACAGATTCTAAGTAAGATCTAAACCCAACAGAGCAAATAACATTACATTTTGCAGCTTAAGAATAATCTTGACTCCTTGCCCACATTCTGGAAACACTGGAGTGGGGGTTCAGTCTCCAAGCTTCCATGGGGGGCTTTGCTGGATACAGCCCATGCCACAGTTCTCATAGTTTGGAGCAGGTAACTGTAGCTCTCCTAGGCTGAAACTTCAGCACACTGATGGCTCTAGATGTCTGCAGTCTCACGGGCAGCCCCACCTCTATGGATCTGCTAAGTAAGCATTGCCCTAGTTGGGACTCTAAGCTGTGGTTCTGACCTCTTAGCTCCACAAAGCATTGTTCTAATGGCAGCTCTCTGTGGCAGCCCTGCCCCTATAGCAATCCACTGCCTGGGCTTCAAGGTTCCCAGAAGCATCCTTTGAAATCTAGGTGGAGGTAGCCATACCTCCACAGCCCATGTACTCTGTGCACTTGCAGAATTAGCACTGTTTGGATGCCATCAAGGTTTATAGTCTGCACCTTTTGGAGTGATGGTCTGAGCTGCACCTGGGCCCACTTGAGCCACAGCTGAGGTGACCAAAGAGTGCTGCATCAGAATGTGAGAAGCAGAGACTTGAGGCAGCCCAGGGCAACAAGTCTCTCAAGTTTCCATGGGGGCCCTGAACCCCTCTTTTGGAACTGTTCTGCTCTAGAGGCTCTGGCATTCTGTAAGTGGGGAAGCCACAAAAATCTCAGAAATGCCTTTGGGGTCATTCTTCCACTGTCCTGATGAATAGCATCTGGCTTCCTTCAATCCATACTAATCTCCATATCAAATGGTCAATTAGTCACATCCTTGATATTCTCTTCTAAACGTGCTTTTTTATTCTTCATAATTTGGCCAGGTTGGAAATTTTCTAAATATTTACCTAGTTTCCTTTCAATTATAAATTCTATCTTTAAATCATTTCTTTATTCTTGCATTTTACTATAAGCAATCAAGAGAAGCCATGCAACACTCTGGACTCTTTGCTTAGATGTTTCTTCCACCAAATAGTCTAGTTCATTGTTCACAAGTTCTGCCTTTCACAAAGCATTAGGGTATAAAGAAAATTCAGCCAAGATCATTGCCGCTTTGTAACAAGGATGGTATTTCAGTTTCCAATATCTTGTTCCTCATTTTCATCTAAAACCTCATCAGCTTAGCCTTTACCATCCATGTTCCCACCAACATGCTGTTCATGACCACTTAGATAGCTCTAAGATTTAGGCTGTCTGTACAGTTCTCTACTTCTGAGTCTTCACCAGAATTGCGGTTAATGTTCCATTCATGGTAATCTAGGCTTTTTTTTTTAGCATGAACTTCAAAATTCTTCCAGCCTCTACCCATTACCCAGTTCCAAAGCCACTTGCATATTTTTAAGTATTTGTTCTAGCAACACTTTTAGGTATTCTAGCAACATTTCCTCTTCTCAGTACCATTTTCTATCTTAGTCCATTTGTGCTGCTGTAACAAAATACCTGAGAATGGGTATAGTAATTTATACAGAACAGAGGTTTATTTTCTCACAGTTTTGGGGGCTGGGAAGTTCAAGATAAAGCTGTTCACAGATATGGTTTCTGGTGAAGACCTTACTGCATGCTTATGTGGCAGAAGGTAGAAGGGCAAAAGGGACCAAACTCACAGCCTCAAGCCCTTTTATAAGGGTGCTGATTCCATCCATGAGGGTGGAGTCCTCATGGCCTAATCACCTCCTAAAGGCTCCACCTTTTAATACTAGCACCTTGGGTCTTAGGTTGCAACATATGGATTTGGGGGGAACATATACATTCAAACCATAGCAATATGTATACTGGACTTATGTGTATATGGTAAATGGTGGGAGCCATGTTTCTCACTTTTGAAGTGGTAGGTTACACATATGCAAGGGAAGGAGTCCAGAATGATCCATATGGTAATGGATTAGAGTTAGAGACACCAATATGAACTCACATTTAGCTTAATATAAATATAAATTGCTACTTATAAAAATATTTAAGATTTGTATATACTCACAGGTTAGTATATAAACATAAATTTCCTTGCTCTGTCAATATTAGGGTCCTGAAGCAAAACTACCCTCAATAGCAATGAGCACACAGGGTACCCAGATTTGGCTTTCTATAAACATTCTCCAGTAAAAGGAACCAGAGATCCTTGAAGTAATTGATGATTCTAGGACTGAGGCAGGAAATTATATAAAATGAGCTGGATCATTTTATGTGCTAGAAAGTAATGAAATAACTTTAAAAAAACCAAACATACCCTTCACATTGATGGATTATGTCAAAGGGACATAGGAGTCAACTGAAAGAACTCCCAGTAGCAAAATCTGGAATAATTTAAGCAACAAAATATATAAAATAGTATTAGATTATGACTCAAAATATATAATAAATATTAATGAGTAAATACTGACATAAATAAATGAATAAATATGAGTGAATAGATAAATCTCCCATGAAGAAGAATTCCAAATAATTTATGCAGATACTCTGCTCTCAAGAAAACAGAGCATAACTCCCCATTGAGTAAGTGTGGGCTGCATAGTAACTTTCTTCCCAGTACTATGGTATGAAAAGGAGGAAAACAAATAAGTAGTTTTACAGTGGAGAAAACTGGCAAACACTACCTCAGCCAGGTGATCCAGTTCAACCTCAACAGTGATGTTGATAGCATATATACATACTATATATGTATGTTGATAGTATGTACTCTTGGCTATGATGTGATAAAAATAGCACTTTACCCTTTGGCCTTCCTCTCAAAACCCCACAACCCTAGTCTAGTCATGTGAAAAATATCAGACAAATTCCAATTTAGGAATACTTAAAAAAATACCAGACCAGCACTCCTCAAAACTGTTAGGGTGATCAGAGAAAGTCTGAGAAGCTGTCACAAAGAGAACCCTAAAGAAACATGACAATTCATGTAATGTGGCCCTGAATGGAATCTTGGAACAGAAAATGGACAATAGCTAAAAACCGAGGAAGTCTGAATTAAGTATGAACTTTAATAATACTGTGTCAATATTGGTTCATTAATTTTGACAAAATATACCATAGTAATTTGTGATGTTAATAATAAGAGAAAGTGGTGTGGGTTATAATGGCTACTCTTTGTATTATCTTCACAACTTTTCTGTAAGTCTAAAATTATTCTAATATTAAAAGTCTATTTTTTAAAACACCCATTTACAAAGTGTCATATTGTCAAAGATAGAAGCTATATACTTGGTGGCAGATTGATTACTTTGGATTACTGTCCTCATGGGAATGAAAATGTCTTATTCTCACAGTTATTCACAAATTATTCACTGAATTTAGATGCCCTAGTGACCAATAGAGAAATCCTTTCAACAAAGAACACAGTTATGACCCCATTAGTGAAAGCTGAGTGAGGTACCTGGCCATTTTGGGCTTATCATGCCATTGAAACACATGTTAGGATTATAAATTTGGCCTCCAAGCCCACCACATGGCCAGCACCACCATTTTGTACCTAAAGAATGCTTTATCTATTGCTGTGGTATCCACACAGCATTGCCATTATATATATATATATATATATATATATATATATATATATATATCTCCTACGTACTGTAAAGGAAGTACAATAATATCTTCCAATGCTCACAGAGTTCACTGGCCTTATTAAGTGCTTTCACCAAGAAGCATCTGGCTTTATGTGGAGTGTAGTAGACTGCTGAAGGTTCAGTTACAGTGCCAGCTGGGAAGAATGCCTTGCAACTCTCAATATATGGTGCTTTCTTCACCATAATTGTGTAAGTCCAGAAATTAAGGAGTACATAAACAGGAATGGCCCCTCTGTTATACTCACTGAAAGTATTTTTGCTTCATTCACTGAATTTAGATGCCCTAGTGACCAATAGAGAAATCCTTTCAACAATGAACACAGTTATGACTCCATTAGTGAAAGCTGAGTGAGGTACCTGGCCATTTTGGGCTTATCATGCCATTGAAACAACAAACATAGAAGGGGGTCACTATACTGAGAAGGTGATTTATTCTGATTATCGGGGGAAACTGGGTTATTGCTACACAACAAGGGCAAAAAGGCCTATTTTGAGAGCTAGGGCATTTCCTAGAGCACATCGTATTTCTCTCTTGTACTCAATAGTCCTGATCTATGAAAATCTGCATCATTGCAATGTAAACCAGACATCAAAGACTCAACTTCTTTAAAGTTTGCACCATCCCCCGGTAAAGATTACCATCCAGCTGGCATGCCATCAAAGGATAAAGGCACAGGTAATATATGGTAGAAGATAACTATACTAATCAACTTAGCCCTTATGACCAGCTATAGAAATGGGGTCTAACACATCTACATTTTGTGAAATTAATCCCTTTTCCCATATTGTATTATATGAACTCTGGCGTTGATTAATGTTTTATATTTTATGTGACAGTATGATGAGATTTTATCATCCTGCAATGATACAGTAGTTGATGGGACTTCATGCACTCCTCTGTTGGGAAAATGAAGGTTTCATCCTAATGAAATGCAAGAATGGATATTGCAAATCAAAAAGAATGGGCTGTATGAGATGACTTCTGCTTGACTCCCTTCCAGATTCATTTTTTACTATTCTCTAACCCTTTCTCATTCACTACTACCTCAACTTCTGTCCACAACATTAAGTTGATTTTGGCCCTAGCAGTAGACTGCAAAGAAGGGAGGGGTGTGAGACAGGGTATTTACTTCCTTGGTTCTTTCCCTGAAAGTTTGCCTTGGGCTGGCTATTTCTCTCAAATAAAAGTTACTTACTGCTCCTCTTAAGGAAAACCAACATTCTCTGTCCTCTCTCATGCTTTCAAGCCTGTAGTCATGATATTTTGGCTGCTACTAGCCCTATGTTCCTGCATATAAATAAACCCTTCTTGAATTATCCTATTTCAAGTATACTGTGTTTGTGTTTCTATTTCCTGTGGGGACCAGGCCTGATTCCATATATATACATATATGTATATATACACACACAGTCACATCATCATATATTTTAGATAAATAGATTTATCCAAATTTCTGTTGTCGAATATTTAGTCTTCTCCCCTGCCCCTCCACATACTATAAATGTTTTGCTATTGTAAATAACACTGCAAATATTACACTTTGGCTAAATCCTAGTGGAAATTTGTCTTAATTTTCCTAGGATACATTTTTAGAAGAGAAATTGATAGCTTAAAATCAGAAAATATTTTTAAGTGTCTTAATACAGATTTCCATTTTGCCCTCCAGTAAATTGGTGACAACTTATACTGATTTATATCAGCCATATATGAGGCAACTTAATTCATTCCACTTTAGTTAAAGCTGGGTATTAATATGTTATAATTGGAAAATTTATGGATGAAACATAATTTTATTATTGGTTTAATTTGCATTTATGTTATCTCTTAAGTTGAAAATTTTCATATTAATGTACATGTATATATATATATATATTTTTTTTTGTAAATTGCTTTTTTGTCTATTTGGGGATTCACCTTTATTTCTTTCGTTAAAATACTTGCTCCTTGTGAATGTTTATTTTGATGACAAAAAGAACAAAAACCAGGAAACAAGGGGCACAATGACTATTTTTCATGATAGGATTTCTGAAGGACTGAATTCAATATATTTCTAGGGCAAATTTTATTCTATTTTCGAAAAGTACACTATGATTATCATTAACATCATGAGGAACTGCATGAATAAGTTATCAGCAGAAAAAAAATATCTTCAAGTAGATATCAAAACTTACCACACAATGTTATTTAAAATGTGAGGCTTTTAAATGCAGTCTTTTTTCACAGGAAGTGCCATTGCTTTGCATTTCTTTTCCCCAGGCCACATAACTCTTTGTTTTAATGAAGAGGAAAAAATAAAAAATCCAAGCTACCAATAATAAAAAAGAAAAACCTATTCCTTGCTAGAGAAAAATTTGCAATCATGTGTGATAGAAAGTAGAAATAGGCAAAGTCACAAAGCAATAGCCTATTTACATATTATTTCCATGAAGTTTCTTTCCCCATTGGATATTGTTTAAAAAAAAATTGTTTCACTACCCAAATACATGGGAGATTTGAAGCAGAGATAACTCATTCTTCCCATTTTAAAGCAATAATACACACTAACACATTGTTGTTCAGTCTCCATTAGGGAAGAGTATTTATTTCCAGACTATTATAGACAATTGAAAATCAGCTTATGCTGTTCCCAGCATTCAAATGCCATTCAGGAATTACAGTTTCCTCTTGAACTAGTACCTTCCTATTGTCCTGATGACTCAATTGACAACATCTTCAAATCAGTCCCCATCTGTCTATCTCTTATTATCATCATCATCATTGCCTACTACTTTAATTCAAGGTGTTTTCCCTTCTCACCTGATCTATTATAATAGCTGCTTAAATTGACCTTACTGTGAGTCTCACTTTTTTCCAGTGACCCTCCAGGATACTGTCAGACCATCTCTCTGAAATGTACATGTGGCCCTTCACATTCCTCTAAATAGCCCTTTGATAACTTGGATGTTACTATAGAGTAACATCCAAACTCTTTAGTATGGCATGTAGTTTGGACTTAGCCTCTGAAAGCTTTGTCTACCCTTCATGCCTTTCTTTAGTCATGTGAAAAGTGAGCCTGTGATCACACATTTTTACCCTGTCAACCCAGTGAATACCTCTCTCAAAACTCATTTCAAGTGTCACTTTTTTAGCAAAGCCTTTCCTGGCTTCCTAGGTTAAAAATAATCAAATTCTCCTCTAGGCATTCATAGTTCACTGGGTATATTTCAATCTCTGCCCTCTTGTTGCTTCACTATACTTTATGCCCTCTGCCTATGTTCTAGGCTTCTCTTTGAGGACTGACCAGTATCCCTGTGTACAGTATCTAACATAGCACATGGCACATAGTAGGCCCTAAATACATCATTGTTTAATTGAATGAATAAATGGAGAAATAAACAAGTATTCACAGAAAAAACTATGTTGTATAAAAGATGTTTGTTTATTAAGAATCCAGTGTAAGTTGCAGGTTCTGCTTCAAGTTGCTTCTGTAAAGCTAATTATGTAGAAATGGCATATGCATTTAAAAATTAAAAAGCAAGTGCATGAGTCAGGGTCCCAACTGAAAACAGATGGCACACTCCAATTAAGATAATTTCAGGAGTACTGATTTACAAAGGATCTGATAACAAAGGTTTGGGCAGGGTATAGGGAAACTACCAGGGGTAGAACAGAAACCTGCCTGCACTGTTAAAGGCAGTTGTAGCTGTTTCTACTCCTACATCTGAAGGGATGAGGAGATAAAGAGAAAGAGGTTATTGGAACTTAGAAGGAGAGAAAATTATGCAGAAAAGTCTTGAGAGGAAGAGTGACCTTTGGGAAAGGGACATAGCTGACCTAAGGTGACCTCAAAAGGAGACGTTCAGGGGAAAATTTCTTTTTTATTCTTCTCACTCTTTTCAACCTATTGCCAAGGCTCCTCAGTAGTCATATCCAACTGAGAGTCAAAACGCACTGAAGCCCTGTGCTACATTCCATATAGGTCAGGCTCCAGGAGCATAGAGCAAGGTAGAGAAGTGGGGAAAAATAGAAGATAGCCAACATGTTAGTAAGTGTCTCACACTTCTTTCAAACATCAAAGAGCCCAGCAGATCAGTTTATACATTGTAGAGACTCAAGAAGAGCTTGTGGACAATTTGATCACTAACATGACTGAAAATCATTCAGTGGCAGCAATAGAGGTGCACCAGCCAGATGTTCCTTTAAGAAAGACCTTGCCATTAATCTGTGATACGAACAGTTATCTCATAGCTCCTATCTGTAGTACCTTTGGGATCCATTGCAGCATTTGCATCAAATTCGCACCCTTCCCAGGCATCTCCCAGTGCATGACCGATCCTGGTGAAGATACTAGGAAATGGTCCTTTTTTGCCTAATGCAATACTCTAATGACAATCTTTTCTCAAAAACTCCTCATGAGTTTGCCAAAACTTTGAAAGATTTGTTTCATAGTCTGAGGCTCTTCCTCTCCAATACTGCTTAATATCTTATTATATGTCATAGGCATTATCTCCCAATGAACCACTTGCACTCCTAACTCTGTCTAACCATCTGTTTATCAGAGGATCTAAATGGACACACATACCTACTAAATTAATGATGAGGAAAATAAAAGTTTGTTTAGGAATATAGTGAAGTGGCCCAATTTCAAGGAGAATTGTGATATGAGCCTTAAAAATGGGAAGAAAAAAATAATAATAGCAAAGTCAGAACACCTGTCCCTCAATCCGCATCAGACTGCTTATCTCTTTCTTTGTCAGAGAGTTGTGGTGAGGATCAAATAAGAGAGTACATGGTTTCTGAAATTTGGGTGAGCCCATCAATAGAGGCTGCCACCATGCATTATCCCACATTCATTTTCAACCTCTTCTCCCTAGTGCAGTTCCTAGAGAGATTACAAAAGTTGTACACTCATTTTCTCAGTCTCTCTTCTGCTAAGGGTGGCCATGTGATATAAGTTGATATAAACAACTAGTTTATGGGTATTTCTTTTTCTTTCCTGATCAAAGGGATAGATGTACATGGGGCAGCCATCTTGAGACCAGGATGCAAAAATCTAACACATTGGGTACGACAAAGTAGAAAGGTATTTTATCTTTTTTTTAAATTTTTTTTGAGATGGAGTCTCACTCTATCCTCCAGGCTGGAGTGCAGTGGCACAATCTTGGTTCACTGCAACCTTCGCCTCCTGGGTTCAAGCGATTCTCCTGCCTCAGCCTCCCAAGTAGCTGAGACTACAGACACGAGCCACCACACCCGGCTAATTTTTTTGTATTTTTAGTAGAGACGGGGTTTCACCATGTTGGCCAGGCTGGTCTCGAACTCCTGACCTCAGGTGATCCGCCTGCCTCAACCTCCCAAAGTGCTGGGATTATAGGCGTTAGCCACCGCACCTGGCCCAGAAAGGTATTTTTTTTAACTGTGTCCTTGAAATGTTGCACAATCCTGGCCTGCTCAACCCTGGACTGGCTCCCACCAGACTTCTGGTTATGTAAAAAATTGACACAATTATTTGTCACTTGCTGTGACCGGTGCAGGCCATGATATCCTGACTGTTAGAAACATTTAAGACAGATGCTCAGTTACCCCACTACCTAATCCTTACTTTTTATGGGCTTCAGTTCCCCATGAAAAATATTTAAATTAGGTTCTCAGGATTCATACAACTTGTCTGATATCCTAAAGGATCCTCCCACCTCCACAAAAAGAGAAAAATGTAAGAAAACATAGTGAAACCTCTGTGAGAAAGTACATATGAATATTTCACAAAGGCATGATGAAGAAGATTTCATTGTAGGAACCAGTTTTGAGAAGTAGCAGGATTTCTAGGTACAGAGTAAGGTTGTACTTGACCATCCCTTAACACTGTGCATTCCAAGAGGCAGATGGCCATAATATACAGAAGACTGTTTCCAGAGGCAAACAGCTCTGCTAAGAAAGCCCTGTGAAAAAGGTTGTAAGAAAAAGAGGAAAGGATTTCCATACTAGCTGGGAGAAAGGAGAAAGCAAGAAGAGGTTGATTTTTAAAAGATTAGTAGAGCTTCTAGTTTTTGCCTTGACATATAAAAAGCTTAGACAATATCACCCCAGTCCTTACAATAAGAAAAAGCTAGACAAGGGCCGGGCGCGGTGGCTCATGCCTGTAATCCCAGCACTTTGGGAGGCTGAGGCCAGTGGATCATGAGGTCAGGAGTGCAAGACCAGCCTGGCCAATATGGTGAAACCCTGTCTCTACTAAAAATATAAAAAATTAGCTGGGTGTGGTGGCACGTGCCTGTAATCCCAGCTACTCGGGAGGCTGAGGCAGGAGAATCGCTTGAACTCAGGAGGCGGAGGTTGCAGTGAGCCAAGATCACACCACTGCACTCCAGCCTGGGTGACAGAGTGAGACTCCGTCTCAAAAAAAAAAAAGGCTAGACCAACTGAAAATGAATAACTTTTCTTAGAAGGGCAAACAGCCACCCTGAAATCTGGAGACACAGGTGAACCCAGAGGAGTATAGCTGAAATCTTCTACCTGAAGCAAAAGCTGCAGGAACCGTAAACTGGTAGTAACACTTAATGATAATTTGATTAGTTACTGAAGGCTGAGTCTGGACTAGGGTGAAAATAAAAAATGATGTGGGCTGCAGTTTTGAGGTACTCCCACACTTTCATGAGTTTTATTTCCAAAAATGCCACCAGCTCATCATAATGAAGATCTAAAAGATTCCCTTGTGGCTTTGGCAGGGGTAAGAGAAGAGTGACTACTATGATTTCTGTCCAGAGTTTTCTCCATGAGAAAGGTCTACTCTACATGAGGAAAGACTTTACTAGAGCCATGTCGCCAAACTTTGGGAAAAAGTCACTCCTTTGACTGTAGTCCTTTCTAGACCTCCTGTCTCACTTAAGGCAGTGGGAAGCAATAGAAGAAGAAATACAGGTGAAGACCACAAGTCAGAGACAAATTCCCACTAAAAGACTGATATTTAATCAGAATATTATTGAATATTCCCCTCCCCTACAACTTACTACCATACCAACAGTATAATAAGAGTGGATAATAGCTAAGAGCTGTAAGACACAGTCTCTGAGAGGGAATACTTAGGGAAGCCCAAGGTTAAGAGGGGAAACAAAAATGACATTAGAGGAATTTGGAACACAGTGTTCACACTTAGAGCAAGAGCAAATATTAAACAAAGCCCAATTCATGGCCAGATTAACACAAATCCTCAGTTGCTATTAGCTGAAACAGCATGTACTGCTTTCAATTAAAACTTATAAGGTATGACAAAAGACAAGAGAAAAACAGTCTAAAGAGATAAAACAAGTATCAAGAACAGACTGAGATATGACACAGATGTTTGCATTATCAGACAGGAAAATTAAAAACCAATGATTAATGCAATAAAGGCTCTAACAGAAAAAGTAGGCAACATGCAAGAACAGATGGGTAGTGTAAGCAGAGAGATGGAAACTAAGAAAGAATCAAAAGGAAATACTAGAAATAAAAAAATACTCCAACAGAAATGAAGAGTGCCTTTGTTGGGCTCATCAGTAGACTCAACATAGCTGAGGAAAGAACCAGTGATCCAGTGATCTCGAAAATAGGTCAAAAGAAAGTTTCCAAATTAAAATGCAAAAGAAAACAAAGAATTGGAAAAAAATGAAACATCCAAAAACTGTAGAATGATATCAAGAGGTGTAACATATGCGTAATTATAATACTTAGTGCTAGTAGGAGAAAAAAGAGAACAGAGCCAATAAAAAGTTTGAAGTAATAATGGCCAAGAACTTCCAAAATTAATTGCAGACATCAAATCACAGATCTACGAAGCTCAGAAAACACCAAATAGAATAAATGTAAGAAAAATTTACACCTAAAAGTATCATATTCAAATTACAGAAAACCAATGACAAAGAAAATCTTGAAGGAATACAAAGGGAGAAAAACTTATCTACAGAAGAATAAGAATACAAGTAACAATGGATGTCTTGTCAGCCACCATGCAAAATAAAAGAGTGAAATGAAATATTTAAAATATTAAAAGAAAAAAATCAAACTAGAATTCTGTCTCCACTTTACTTCTATCTCTATCTCTACTTTAAAAGTAAAGAAGAAATAAAGACTTTCTCTGAAAAACAGAAATTGAGAGAATTCATCACCAGCAAACCAGTCCTGCAAGAAAAGTTAAAAGACTGTCTTCAGGCAGAAGGAAAAGCATAAAGGTCATAAACTTGGATTTACATGAAGAAAGGAAGTGCATAGGAGGAGAAACAAATAAAGGCAAAATAAAATCTTTTACTTTACTTATTGATTAATTGAATTAAAATACCACTGTTTGCTTAAAGTAATTATAATAACACATATGGTGATTATAACATATAGATATATAAAATGAAAGACAGCATGTCATAAGGGATAGGAGAGAGGAACTGGGAATACTGTTATAAGGTAGCCACACTATATGTGAGGCAATACAGTGTTATATGAGGGTGGACTTGAATTAGTTACAAATATACATTGCAACTATAGGGTAGTCACTAATTTTTCAAAGTATGATTGATATTTTAAGAGAGGAAATGGAAGCATATAAAATGCTGAAATAAAATGAGAAAAAGCAAAAAAAAAATGAATTCTCAGGCAATGACTATAAAACAATTATAAATATGAGATATTAAGCAAAGTATATGAGTAACTACATTAAATGTGGAAGTCAAAATACACCATTTACAAGATATATTTTTGGAGTGTATATAAAAACAAGGCCTAACTATATATTGTCTATGAGAAATATACTTTAAACATTAAGACTCAAGGCCAGGTATGGTTACTGATGTCTATAATCCCAGCACTTTGGGATGCTGAGGCAGACAGATCACCTGAGATCAGGAGTTCAAGACCAGCCTGGCCAACATGGTGAAACCCTGTCTCTTTCTATACAAAAATTAGCCAGGCATGGTGGTGGGTGCCTATAATCCCAGCTACTTGGGAGGCTGAGGCAGGAGAATCACTTGAACCTGGGAGGTGGAGGTTGCAGTGAACCTAGATTGCGCCACTGACTCCAGCTTGGGTGACAGAGCGAGACTCTGCCTTGAGAAAAAAAAGAAAAAAAAAAGAAAAATATTAAGTCTCAGTTTAAAAGCAAAGAGATGGAGAAAATATACTATGCTGATGACTAACCAAACAAAAGCTGGAGTAGCAGTATTAATTTCAGATAAAGTAAAGTTCAGAACAAGAAAACAGGAATACAGAGCCATGCTACATAATACAAAATGGGTCAATTCTTTAAAAAGACACAACAATCCTAAACACGTATGAACCTAAAATACATGAGACTCATGTATGAATACCAAAATACATGAGACCCAAACTGATTAAAGTGAAAGGAGAAATAGACAATTTAGTATTATAGTTGGAGACTTTAACAGCCCTGTCAGTAAGTGATAGGTCAATCAAACAGAAAATCAATTAATATATGGTTGACTTGAACACCACTATCAGTTAACTTGATCTAATTGACATTAATAGAATGCTTCATCCAACACCAGCAGAATATACATTCTTCTCAAGTTTTCATGGAACATTCACCAAGACATACCACATTCTGGACCGTAAGATATACCTTAACAAATTTAAAAGAATACAAATTGTACAAAGTATATTCTCAGACCACAGTAGAATTTAAAATAGAAATCAATAAGAGAAAGACACCTGGAAAATCCCAAAATATTTGGAGATTAAGCAACACATTTGTAATAACAGATGGGTCAAAGAAGTCTCAAGATCTTAATATAAAAACATTTTGAATTAAATAAAAATGAAAATATAACTTACCAAAATATGTGAGATGTGATGAAAGCAGAGCTTACAGAGAACTTTATAGCATTAAATGCATATGTTAGAAAAAAATTTAAAATCAGTAAGCTAAGGTTAAACCTTTGGTAACAAGAGATAAAAAACAGCAATTTAAGCCTAAAGCAAGCAGTAGAAAAACTAATAAAAATTAGAGTAGAAATCTGTGAAATTTAAACCAGGAAAATAATAGAGAAAATCAGTGAAACCAAAAGCTGGGTCTTAGAAAAGATAAATAAAATTGATAAACCTCTAGTTAACAGAGAGTGGGGAGGGAGGGAGGGAGAGAAGGGGAGAGGGAGAGGAGGGAGGGAGGGAGAGAGAGAAGGAAGAGAGAAGACCCAAATTACTAATATCAGAAAGGAAAGAGGGTTCATCACTACTGATCACATGGCCATTATTAAAAGGATAATAAAGGAATACTAAGAACAATTCTATGCATGTAAGTTTGATAACTAGATGAAATACACTAATTTTTGAAAGATACAAACCACCAAAATTCATAAAAGGAGAAATAGTTAACTTGAATAGTTCTATTTCCATTAAATAAGTTGAATTAATAATTAATAGGTTTTTGTAAAAGCACCAGGCCCAGATGATTTCACTGGTCAAATGTACCAAACATTTAAGAAAGAAATGATACCAATTTTTCACAATCTCCTCCAGAAAACAGAAACAGAATAAACAACTCACTCGTTTTAGAAGAACACTATGTTTCTCCTATTTAACCCTCATATGCCTCCTCCTGAGTCCCTGGAAAACAGATGTTTTTACTGTCTCTATAGTTTTGTCCTTTCCAGAGTATTTGATACTGTAATGGTGAAAATAAAACAATGAGCATTTGTCAAAACTTGTATAACTTTATAGCACAGAGTAAACCATAATAGATACATCTTTTTTTAATTATTGAAGAGGTCAGGAGATTGCAGGATGGAAAACAGAATGTGACAAAAGAATCTAAATGCATTACAAATGTTTTAAACAACTTCACTGAAGAGGGTGGGTGAAGAGGTGTTAACCTAAGTTACCTTGGAAATGAGTGGCGTTTATAACACAAAAGAGCAAAAAGACCTGTATTTAACAACTGTGCTATAGCTGATAATGTTGTTTCCAATGGGGGTATGGGTTAACAATTCTAAATATATATGTATACGGGAATCAAATACTAAATGGATAGTGGATAATGGGAGCCAAATCTCACTGTTGGAGTGGGAGGTTACAGGTAAGCAAAGGAAAGAGCCTAGAATGATCCACATGGTAATGGCTTCCATAGAGTTAGAGACATCAGTATGAATCTAATTTAGCTTAGTATAGACCCAGATTTTTACAATAGAAATATTTATAGTTATATATATTTAATACCATACTAATGCCAGCTGTTAATAGGAGAAACAATGTGGAGTATACATACAGGAACTCTCTGTACTATCTTCAAAATAATTCTGTAAATTTAAAACTGCTTTAAAATAAAAAAAGTTTAAAAAATACCAGTCACAACTTAGGGAATAACTTCACATGTCATAGGAATAGTGGTTAATGAATCAGATAGCAGAGAAAATTAACTAATAATTTTTCCCACTTTTTCTTAAACATAGAAACACCAGCTATGCTGTGATGTTAGGTATTCAGTCCAGTGATGCCTCATGGAATGGTGAAAACCACCTTATAATCTAAGTTAGAAAACAGGGATGTAGTTTCTAATTCAATTGCTTGCCAGTTGGGGGACCCTATGAAATCACTCTTCCTGCTTAAAGCAAGGTTATTGGATATAATGACCCTAAAAGCCTATCCAACTGAGACATTCCATCACTCTTCATCCTCTAATCTAGAAGGAAGATTGGGCTTCTCTCATGTTCATAAGGCTGACACTCCCCTCTTTGTCATAGCTGTGTATCTGTAAACAGAATATTGGTGCCCATCCAGATAGCCACTCAGAGTCAAGACCTCTATGTGGTGCAGGACAGACTCCAACCTGCTAACAGGGGCTAAAAGGTTAGAGGAGCCTCCACATTCCCTTTATCATCTGTACAGTAGCTGCTGTCAATTCTCTACCCAGATCCCCTTCACCAGGCTATTGTGTCCATTCTCCAGCTGCTATGAATGCTACCTGCTAACAGGTCATAGTTCACCCATCTTTGAAGAATTATACTAGGTCAACAGAGACTGCCTTGTACAGAGAGGACTAGGAAGTTACATTAACTCCTTTTCTGGGAGTTGCCTTGTTACTAATGACCGACTGATATTGGGGTATTAAAGTCCAGTCTCCTTGCCTCAGGGTGAGACATCTCCACGGTATTCTTAATGCTGCACAGCTCCCTGTGAGATTCAGCTGAGTCTAGATTTCAGCCGAACCCACATCTTTGCCTGGCTTCTTCTCCTGCCCTTTCCTGATTTCCTTACTCCATTAGAGGTTTCACCTGGTAACACTTCCCCACTAACTCACTTGCAACATCATCCCTCCCTCAGACTCTGCTTCTTGGTAACCTGACCTCAGAAAACGTGGGAAAAGTTGTTATAATATCCTTCCAATGTCCCAGAGAAATCATGGGTGTGGCTACTCCCATACAGCATTCTATAAAGCAAGAGTCAGCAGCTTTCTAGGTCACATGTGGTCTCTGCTGCATATTAGTTTTCTTTTTCTCTAATTCTTTAAAAATGTAAACACCATTCTTCACTCTTAACTCATACAAAAACAAGCAGCAGGTGAGATGTGGTCCGTGGGCTACAGTTTGCTGACCTCCGCTCTAAAGCACAGGAGTAAGTAAAGTTGGCAGTCCCATACCAGTGCAGACTGGAGGTTAGGAGACCTCAGTCATACTTAAGTCTTCTTTTGGGAGGATTAAGGCAGAAGCCCATCTGACAGAAATGCAGCAGGAATTAACTAATGATCGTTAAAGCCTTTGAAAACATAATGGGCTTTACAAAACTAAGTATATAGGGATTTATCATTAAACATTCACCTCTTCTGTTTGATGAATTGTCTTCTGCTTATTGTTATTATGAGAAAACGTTTAACAAAATAATTTAGAAAACCTGAAAGTCTCTCAAGAAGCAAAATAATTCCCAGTGAGCCTTAGTATGTTACCATGAAAAAAATAGAAAGACAGGCACACAAGAGATAGAAACCAAGGCAGAGACAGAGAGAAAGAGACATATACACACAGAGATAAAAGGGAAAGAGACAGAGAGAGGGAAAAGGAAATAAATATAGACAAAGAGACAGGTTGGAGAGTCAAAGACAGAGAGAGACCGAGATATAGGAAGAAATAGAGGCAGAGAGGGAGAGACAGTGATAGAGAATCAGAGAAAGAAAAGAGCTCTTAACAAACAATATTTTTAGCAGCAACTCAAAGCCTGTTCTCAACAATGGAAGTTTAATTTACAAACACTTGTCTCATTTTCGCCTCTACATTCACAAACCAACATCTATGGTAAGGATCAAGTAGGTGTGTGTTGTTTGGTTTCAAGAGGATAAACATTTTATACCTTAGAATTCTGGAACATATTTGCTGGATTACCTACTGTAGAGGGCATTGATTATGTAGTGATGTACCTAATGGATGTCTGAAAACAGATTCTGAGTAAGAGAAAAGAGCAGAAAAGGTTGGACTTAGAATACAAACACTTAAGTTGAAGTCTATATATTCTATCATTTAATGACCTTAGAAAAGTTACCTGTGCCTGAAATTCAATTTTCTCCTCTGGAAAAAAAATTATATACATATATACATATACACACATACACACACACATACTCTAATGTAGTTGTAAGGATTAAATAAGAGCATAAGTCATAAATGGTGTTTAGGGACAGTAAGGTAGAGGGTAAGGTGGAGATAATTACTTCTCTAATCGTCCTTTTACATCCTAATAAGCCTCAGCAATGTCTCAGAAAAGGAAAGCTTTGAAAATGTCAGAAATGCCATTTTAAAAAATTATGAAATCATCTATATAAATTTTGAAACATAAATCCCCCTCCTTTTGTGTTTTGCTTGCTTACTTTTATTTTTGCTCTAAGTAGCTGAAGAATTTGGTAAAGATTTCTATAGAGCCACAGGAAATGAAAGAAATAAAGGTACAAGTCCAATCTTCCAACACAGTTGTATGGATTATGAGATAATATATGTAAATTGTTTTTTCAATGATTAAGCACCATATGTATTGGTTATTTGTGGACTAATTTTAGACTAATAAAAGCAAAAACTAATTTTGGCTGAGCTGACAGTACAGTTCATTCAAAAGAGTGAGACTTTTTAAATATAGTATCCCAAATCTTTTACCTCTGATGCCATTAGCACAATGCAGTTCTTCCATTTCAAGGAAACAAGGCCAAAACTGTGAGTTTTTGAAGATGAGAAAAGGAATTGTGTAAAGCAAGTTTAATTTCTAGGGTTTTTTTTTTTTCAAAGGACAGTATTAAAAATTCCTCTTGCCAGGAACTAGGACTGCATTAGTCTGTAGTAAGTCAGAAAATATTTTGCTAGTTTTTGCTCAAGTTTCAGCACTGTAGTTTCCTCTTACTTTGTTTCTACTTCCCATCTGTAATGGACGCCAGGATGATCCTCTTCAAGGAAGATCCCTCTTCAAGGAAGGAGGAGCTGCCTTAGCTGTTGAGACTACTCTAGACAGACAGCCTCCAGCTGTCAGCCTTTTCAGGGTCTGCCTCAGCTGCAGACAGCAGCTGTGCAATGACATGCCCTTTCTCTGGGTAGCCTACACCCAATGTCTGATCCATGTGGGAGTATAAAGTCGTGGCCACTTCAGCCCAATTTGGGAAAATTTCTGCAGCACCTTCCTTGCTTTAGCACTTTCCACAGGATCAATACAGGCTCTCGCTGAGCCTGTATCACAGCTTGACTTCTCCCTCTGCCCAATCTTGCCTCCTTCCCCCACCTTCCACGGGGTTTGAATCTGAGGATACTCCTGAATGAATACCTTTGCATGCTCAACTTTGTCTCAGAGTCCCATTCCCAGTGAACCAACCAGCAATGCTTTCTCATTCTACTTCTATTTTGTTGCATCACACTGTGTATCATGGCTTCATGAAGTGACAGGTCAGTAAGAGCTGATACCAATCCTAGGTGGTTGTTGATAGGCTGAGAGAGGACCCTATCAGAATTGCCCAGTCCTAGTATGTCCATAGGGCATCTGATATCTAATGTGTAATGATAAACTTGGTAGCTGCAAGGGACTGTTGGATAAGTGAAAAAAAAAAAAAGAATAGTGACAGAGTACTTATGACAGGCATTGTATAGACACTTTTACAGTTAGTCTCTCATTTAATCCTCATTAAGAATAGCGTCATAGGTTATGTTCTCCCCATTTTACAAATAAGGGAGCTGAGGCTGAATGTGTGTAAGGGACTCACTGAAGGTCAATAAACCACAACTCAAGACCAGATCATCTAACTCTGATTAGGAAACTAAACTTTGGTTTACATGTCATCTGAATCCAAAGCCTAAAGGTACTTTCCTCCCCTTTATTAGATAGGAATTGAGCTTGACTGAATACTTTTTTAAATCCAGTAACAATGATATAAACAAGATACAGTTTATGTCTCTCAATATGGAAGCCCTAATTTAAGTGGTAGCTGACATTGGTTCAGGAGCTGAAGGATGTTAGAGCTGAGGTTTCAAAATCTGTTGGGTTTTTCCTCATGTCCCTTTCTAGCATTAAAAATACTTTTCAGGGAAGAAGAAGAGCGAGGCTAAAGGGTAGAAGGAGATGTATCCGCTCACTTAGCCCTTTTGAAAGACAGTGACTTCTGCTTATATCACATTGATCAGAGCTGTGTCACATGGCACCCCTGACTGTCATGGAGTCTGGAAAATATATTTTTTAATCCAGTCCTCTGTTGACAGTCTAAACAAATGGGAGTTCAGTTTGGAAGGAAGAAGAAGAGAATGGCTATTGACTAAGAGGCAACTAACTCTCACACCTGAAGATTCATCTCAGGGATTTCTTTCTTTCTTTCTTTCTTTCTTTTTTTTTAGATGGAGTCTCACTCTGTTGCCAGGCTTGAGTGTAGTGGCACAATCATGGCTCACTGCAACCTCCGCCTCCTGGATTCAAGCGATTCTCCTGACTCAGCCTCTCGAGTAGCTGGGACTACAGTTGTGTGCCACCACGCCCAGCTAATTTTTGTATTTTTAGTAGAGACGGGGTTTCACCATGTTGGCCAGGATGGTCTCGATCTCTTGACCTCGTGATCTGCCTGCCTTAGCCTCCCAAAGTGCTGGGATTACAGGCGTGAGCCACAGCACCTGGCCCATCTCAGGGATTTCTAAAAGTTTTGCAAGTAGTCAGATAGAGTTCTTGGGAAATGCACTCAAAGACAAAGATTTGTGTGCAGGAGGTTTTAGGGGAGTGCTCTTATGAACAGCACATCCAACAGAGTATGGGAGAAACTGAACTATGATATAGTTGCAACCAAGACCCATCAGTTTTGTGGAAGGCTTTAAAGCTGGGGTCGCCCTTCAGACATGTCCCAAGTTGTGTCAAGGAGGTTGGCCTTGTATCCTGCATCATCTAGGCAGGCATTCAATGCTGGGTGCACCTGGGAAAAGAATGTGACTTTCAGAGGGGCAGCCATTCAGCCAAGGGCAATTCCTGGAGATGGACTCAGCTCTAAACTGGCAGGAACCAACAATCCTGGGAAATAAGTGCCTTAGACCTAAAGAGGAAATTTGGATGGCATATCTCAGCATTCACAACACCAGGCTAATAATAAGTTGAACCTCACAGGGTGAAGTGTAGATTCTTCATGCAGATCTTACAGAATGTGTTAGACATAGTAGCAAGGGAGACACAAAATGAGAGCAAAGCATTCCCAGATATACTACTTTTGATGCAAATGCTACAGCATTACCTTGTGCAAAACCCCAAATACTAATGATTATTGTTATCTTAAATAACCATGTATTAATAGTTCCAACAAAAACAGGGCTCTTGTGAATGTCTGCTATTTGTTCATCAATTGGTGACTTCCCAGGAAGGAAAACAAGTGTTTAATCTCACCAGCATTTTCAGGATCTTAGCCTACAAAATTGTCGATATAGAGAAATGCATTTGGATAATAGCATTGCAATTTATGAAGATAGTATTTTAGAGATGCAACTAACCCTTAAGAAGATTTTGTACAAATGAGAAAAAGTCACCCTCTTTGGGCAGATACAGCCTTGAGCCAAGGTGATCAGCTTGGTAAATTCAGGCTTTGTTAACCTGGATATCTTTCTCCAACACTTTACAATCATACATGAGTGTGACACAAATTTTCCATACTTCTGATTAAAATTGATTCTAAAAACTATATTGGCTAGTTATGAACAAGGGTATTCTATTATATTCCACAAATGAAGTGGTTCAGATTGTTTAAATAGCTTACCTTAGGCCATATTGCCAGTAATTGTCAGAGTCTAGATACAAACTTTAAAATTTTGATGTCAATTCCAGTGCCTTTTCCAGGAAACTATGTTGCCCTTGTGGACCAGATACCAACCACAGCAAAATTGTGTAAAACAGTGATTAAAATAAGGGCTGTGCAAGATAGGACAAAAGGAAAACATGCACCTATATGAAACATAATAAGATAACTAGCTTTGTGTGCTAAAACTGCCAACAAATTGTAGAACTAATATACTGTGTAAGAATGGATGCCGTTATAGAGAAATATTTTAAAATCTCAAAAACTGAGTTATTCTATACTCGCCTTTAAAATGTGGGTGGGTGTGTGTGTGTGCCCCAATTGTTCTACTGTTCTAAAAAAGATTGAACATTGGCTGGGCACAGTGGCTCATGCCTGTAATCCCAGCACTTTGGGAGGCCGAGGTGGGTGGATCACGAGGTCAGGAGATCGAGATCATCCTGGCCAACATGGTGAACCCCATCTCTACTAAAAATAAAAAAAATAAAAAAATAAGTTAGTTGGGCATGGTGGTGCATGCCTGTAATCCCAGCTACTGGGGAAGCTGAGGCAGGAGAATAACTTGAACCAGGGAGTCGGAGATTGCAGTGAGCCGAGATGGTGCCACTGCACTCCAGCCTGGTGACAGAGCGAGACTCCATCTCAAAAAAAAAAAAAAAAAAAAAAGAACATGGATTAGAAGGATATGTTAAATACTAGAAAACACAATACATTGACAATAGAGGCCAGGCACTGTGGCTCATGCCTGTAATCCCAACTCTTTGCAAGGCTGAGGAGAGAGGATTACTTGAGGCCAGGAGTTCAAGACCAGCCTAGGCAACACAGCAAGAGCCTGTCTTTACAAAAAATAGCTGAGTGTGGTGGTCTTTACCTACAGTCCCAGCCACCCAGGAGGCTTGGGCAGGAGAATCGCTTGAGTCCAGGAGTTCTAGGTTGCAGTGAGGTATGATTATACCACTGCACTTCACCCTGGGCAACACAGAGAGAGACCCTGTCAGAAAGAATGAGAGGGAGGAGAGGGGAGGGGAGGAGAGAGGAGAGGAGAGGAAAAGAAACATAAAAGAAAGAAAAAAAGGATGTTTTTAATGATGGACAAGAAATTTGCCTCTAAGCTTTCTAGCAGTAGAAGAAAGAAGGGAAACTTGGTCCTTTATATAATTACCAGTGTCAAACAGATTTAAAAGGCCAGTTTATCATGAATAATACTCTTAAAGTTCTTCAAAAGTAGAACACTTATGTAATAAGCTACATCATCCTCAAAGATGAAACTACAACTTACAAATTGCTTATTAAATTAGTCTTTTTTAACTTTTAAGTTCCAGGGTACATGTGTAGGTTTATTACACAGGTAAACTTGTGTCATGGAGTTTGTTTTACCAATTATTTCATCACCCAGGTATTAATCCTGGGACCTGTTAGTTATTTTTCCTGATCCTCTCCCTCCTCCCACCCTCTACCTTCTGATAGTCTCCAGTTTGTGTTGTTTCCCTCTATGTGTCCATGTGTTCTTAAAACCTTTATTATTTTTATCAGGTTGCAAAGGGAATGTGTTCATAATAAAAAATTTCTAAAATCTATAAAAGCTCGAGAATAAAAAACTATCCACCATGGAGAGATAACCACTTTTAATACCACAGTATATACTATACCTATATATATGCTGTGTGTGTATATGCTTATGTATTACAAAATTATGTTGATGTGTTACAAAACTATATTTTGTTTGTAATATTCATATATATATTTTATAATATAAATTGCAATATATAGTATTACTAAATTGGACTCATACATTGGTCATTTATTTATATGCTTTGCATATTTCCTCATTCTGTATATGCATTTATATGTGAAATATGCAGTCATTGGAAATTGTTATAATTTATTTTTCTAAACTTATATGACAGGATATATATGTATGTATGTATATATATATTTCTCTTATAAACAAAAATGTAAATAATAATTCATTTTTGTTGAATTCTGATTATTTCCATATAATCAATTGCTCAAAAAAGAATAAGCTAGGCAACAAGGCATAAACTTTTTATAATTTATATTTACATTCATAATCTGCACTCTGGAACAGTAGAACATTTTACACTTTTTAAAAATGTATGAGAAATCGAGAAAGTAAGGAAAAAATGTGGATAGGAGGCAGGACTAAATTGCAGCTCCCACTTGGACGGAGAGAGCAGCATGTGGAGACTCGCATCATGAACTTTTGCTCCAACAACTACTGCAGCAATATACCAGGAAAGCCAAAAGAATCCACAGACCCTTTGAAGGAAGCAGATTGTTCCTGCAGGACACAGGAGACAGCCCAAATACTGTGAGTGCCCAAACTGTGAAAGTGGGGAAGGGGGACCATCCGCCCCGGAACACACACCCTCACTGGAGAATCTGAAGGTCTAGATCACAGGAGAAGGATTCAACTTTAACTGGAGCTGAGTCAATTTAGAGAGCTGAGTGAAATACAGGGGTAGAGGAAGCAGCAGGAAAAGCCCTGTGGGCTCTCTGGGTCCCCAAGGAAGCCATTTCTGATTTGTCTCACAGGGGTCCTTGGGGAGAGCCACAAGAGGAACTGGGAAAAGACCACAGGGAGAAGAAAACCTCCAGCTGAACTTTATAACAATTCCAACTGAACACAAAATTTCCTGGCTAGAACTCAGGAGGGCGTAAATCTGGTGTGCAGACTTGACAGGCAGGGAAGTGCAAAAGCCCTGTTTGCTTTCTCAGCCAGGAGGCTGGTAGCCTGGGGCAAGTGCTCAGCCCTGCTCGCCCACTGCCTTTTCTTTCTCAGCCAGGAGGTTGGTAGCCTGGGGCAAGTGCTCAGCCCTGCTCGCCCTCTGCCTGGAAACAAACTCGGTGCTATTGAGGGCGCACAGTGGGAGTGAGACTGGCCTTTTGGGTTGCGTGGGATCTGGGCAAGGCCTATAACTACCATCTTTCCCCCACTTCCCTGACAACCTGCATGGCACAGCAGAGGCAGTCACAATCTTCCTGGGGTAACTCCATTGACCTGAACCACACCTCAATCCCGCATGGCATCGCAGCAAGACCCACCCAAGGAGAGCCTGAGCTCAGACATGCCCAGCCTTGCCCCCACCTGATGGTCCTTCCCTACCCTCCCTGGCCACTCAAGACAAAGGACATATTCTCTTAGCAGTTCTAGGGCCCACCTACCACCTGATCCTCACCTATACTACCACAGCTGTTGCTTTCTTGAAAGTGCCACCTCCTAAAAGGAGGCCAACCAGCACAAAACTAGTGCATTAAACAACTACAACTAAGGACCCTTACAGAGTCCATTTCACTCTCCTGCCACCTCCACCAGAGCAGGTGCTGGTATCCATGGCTGAGAGACCTGAAGATGAGAAGGAACCAAAAAAACAATTCTAGTAATATGACAAAACAGCATTCTTCAACACCCCCAGAAAAATCACACTAGCTCACCTGCAATGGATCCAAACCAAGGAGAAATCTATGAATTGCCAGAAAAAGAATTCAGAAGGTCAATTGTTAAGCTAATCAAGGAGGCACCAGAGAATGGTGAAATCCAACTTAAGGAAATGAAAAAAATGATACAAGATATGAGGGGAGAAATCTTCAGTGAAATAGATAGCATAAATAATAATCACAACTTCAGGAAATAAAGGACACACTTAGAGAAGTGCAAAATGTACTGGAAAGTCAGCAATAAAATTAAAAAAAAAAGAAGAAAACTTCAGAGCTCGAAGACAAGGTTTTCAAAATAACCCAATCCAACAAAGACAAAGAAAAATAATTTAAAAAAATGAACAAAGTCTCCAAGACGTTTGGTATGAGGTTAAATGACCAAACCTAAGAATAATAGGCATTCCTGAGAAAGAAATCTAAAAGTTTTGAAAATATATTTGCAGGAATAACTGAGGAAAACTTTCCCCGGCCTTGCTAGAGATCTAGACATCCAAATACAAAAAGCTCAAAGAACGCCTGGGAAATTCATCACAAAATTATCATCACCTAGGCACATAGTCATCAGGTGATCTAAAGTCAAGATGAAGGAAAGAATCTTAAGAGATGTAAGGCAAAAACATCAGGTAACCTGTAAAGGGAAACCTATCAGATTAACAGCAGATTTCTCAGCAGAAACCCTATAAGCTAGAAGAGATTTGGGGCCCTATCTTCAGCCTCCTTAAACAAAACAATTATCAGCCAAGAATTTTGTATCCAGTGAAACTAAGCTTCATAAATGAAAGAAAGATATAGTCTTTTTCAGACAAATACTGGGAGAATTCACCACTACCAAGCCAGAACTACAAGACCTGCTAAAAGGGGCTCTAAATCTTGAAACAAATCCTGAAAACACATCGAAACAGAACCTCTTTAAAGCATGATTCTCACAGGACCTATAAAACAAAAATATAATAAGTAAATTGAAAAAAAAAAGGTATTCAGGCAACAAGTAGCACTATGAAAAACAGTGTGGTGATTCCTTAAAGAACTAAAATTAGAACTACCATTTGATCCAGCAGTCCCACTACTGGGTACCTATCCAGAGGAAAATAAGTCATTATATGAAAAAGATACTTGCACACGCATGTTCATAGTAGCACAATTTGCAATTGCAAATATATGGAACCAGCCCAAATGCCCATCAATCAATGAGTGGATAAAGAAATTGTGTGTGTGTGTGTGTGTGTGTGTGTGTGTGTGTGCATATATATGTGTATATATATATATATATGATGGAATACTACTCAGCCATAAAAAGGAATGAATTAATGGCATTCACAGAAACCTGGAAGGAACTGGAGACTATTATTCTAAGTGAAGTAACTCAGGAATGGAAAACGAAACATCATATATTCTCACTTATAAGTGGGAGCTAAGCTATGAGGATACAAAAGCATTAGAATGATACAGTGGACTTTGGGGACTCAGGAGAAAGGGTGGGAGTGGGGTGGGCGATAAAGGACTATAAATTGCATTCAGTGCCTACTGCTCAGGTGATGGGTGCACCAAAATCTCACAAATCACCACTAAAGAACTTACTCATATAACCAAATATCACCTGTTCCCCAAAAACCTACAGAAATAAATTTTTTTTAAAATGTATGAGAAATGAAGTTGATTTCCAGAATGGCAGAGTGAGGACCTTGGTGAATTTCCTCCCGATAAAAACAAAGAAAATACTGACAAAGCAATCAAAAACAATCATTTTTGAACCCTGAAAATAAACCAAAGGAACAGAATAAACTGCAAAGAGTTTATTCAAGAAAAACTATTTAATGTTGGTAAAAACAGTGGGGTCTATGACATTTTAATTTGAGTTTTCTCTTATCCTCTCACCTTCCCAGCTCAGTGGCATGGTAGCCATGAAAAGCTGACAGCTTTGTAGCCAACAGAAAGAAATGATGTCTTTTTGGAGCTCTGTTAAAAGCCCCTCCCCAGATTATAGTCAATATTTTGACCTGACCCATAGCTCCCTACAAAAACTTCAATTCTGGCCCTGTGCAGTGGCTCACGCCTGTAATCCCAATACTTTGGGAGGCTGAGGCGGGTGGATCACCTGAGGTCAGGAGTTGAAGACAAGCCTGGGCAACGTGGTGAAACCCCGTCTCCACTAAAAATACAAAAATTAGCCAGGCATGGTGGCACGTGCCTGTAATCCCAGCTACTCAAGAGGCCGAGGCATGAGAATTGTTTGAACCTGGGAGGTGGAGGTTGCAGTGAGCCAAGATTGCGCCATTGCACTCCAGCCTGAGCAACAGAGTGAGACTCTGTCTCAAAAAAAAAAAAACAAAAACCTCCAATTCCAGCAATTCCAGGATATCCTTGCTGCTTGATTTGACTCAGAGCTCAGATATGTAAAACAAACCTTATCTCCAGGGTGTTAATGAAAGCAATAGTAATTAGCTGAAATCATTAACATGAGAGTTCTCTAAGACTGATTTCAGTTGGAGCAAACAAGAGCCTGGCCAAAAATGTTAAAGGTAGATCTGGGAAACTAGACAACCAGAGAAGACTTTGAAAAGTTTTACAATATTTCTTGGGCCTAGAATATTGTGTGTATGTACAAGGCTGAACTGAAAAAGGGGAGGTCCCAAGTCATTCACTTCTGGTTGAACTTGAGGTTATAGAGCTCTTCAGTACTAATGAATCCACACTAAAGATCAGAAGAGAAGTGCTATTTGAGGATCCAACACCCAGCAGATCAATCCTCAGATCTTGCTTATGTAGCAAGATCAAAAAGAGATTCCAAAACCATGGAGAGAACATATAATTTTTACAGTCTTCAAGGGATTCCCCACAAACGTTGTTTTTCTTAGCTGTACTTTTGTTATATAGTAAGAAGCAATTAAATAAGATGCTATAGATTGAATGTCTGTGTCCTCTCAAAATTCATGTCAAAATTCTAACCCCTAAGGTGATAGTATTAGGAGGTGGGACCTTTGGGAGGTGATTAAGTACTGAGGGTGGAGCCCTCATGAATGAGATTAGTGCCCTTATGAAAGAGAGCCAGAAAGCTCCCTTGCCCCTTGTGCCATGTGAGGACACAGCAAGATGATCCTCTACAAACCAGGAAACAGGCGATAACCAGACACTGAATCTGCCAGTGCCATGATCTTGGACTTAGCATCCAGAACTGTGAGAAAGAAATTTATGTTGTTTATAAGCCACCCAGTCTATCATAGTTTGTTATAGCAGCCTAAACAAACTGCAACACAAAATTACCCTCACTATTGGGTACTCGCTGTGTAGACATTCCATGGGGTCAGTTATAAACCTTATCAGACATATGAAATAGGAAAAAGGTTCACCCCCTTTGTCATGCTGCCCTCCCTTTTTGCTCTCCAGCCTCCCTGGCTTTTTGTTTCCTCCTAATCATCTGACTGGTCCACTGCCAGTGTGTCTTTGGACTTGCTATTCCCTCAACCAGAGAGGCATTTCCCACACCTCTTTAACACTACTCCTTTAGATCTCAGTTCAAATGTCACTTCCTGGAGAAGCATTCTTCTATTTCCCTCACTAGGTCAAATCTCCTTTTATACGTGCTCTTGTAGTACTTCTACATCCTCACTTGCCAAAGTTGAAATTTTCATTTGTGAAATTATTTGATTAATTACTGCTTCTCCCACTAGACTGTAAATTCCTTGAGAGTAAAGACTAGATTTATTTTGTTTATTATGAAGGGTACCAGCATATGCCACCCCAAAATATACTTCTTTGGCATATAGATTATTTTGAGCTAAAGGCCATTGAGAACCTGCAGATACAGACCAAGCTCTGAAAACATGGCACAAGTTTTTCTCTTATAAAGAAAATTTACATTTATAAAGCAAATTTTTGTTTGTAGACATGTTTCCCTCTCCCATACCAAAAAAAAAAAAAAAAAAAAAAGACTCTTAACAACTGTTGTCCATGTTGAAAACATCAATTTAAGGCTTAAATCTACACAACAACCTTATTAAACAACCCTTGTTAACTATACTGTTCTTCGTCGCCTTTCCATAACTTGCATCCCCCATCCATCCAAAAGAAAACCTCCCTTTCCTTTTTTCTTAGCCTAAGATGATCTAGAAACCCAAGTTATAACCACCTCTTGAGTTACTCCTCTGGGTACTCCCATATGTACGTGTCATACACATGCTAATAAATTTCTGTTTTTTTTTTTCTTGTTAATCTGCTTTTGGTCAGTCTTATTTTCAGGGGCCCATCTGGAGAACCAAAGATGAGTCGAGGAAGAAGTTTTCTTCTTCCCCTCTAATTATTATAATCCCCACCCTGGAACTGTGTCTTGTACCTAGTAGGTGCTCAGATTATTTGTTCAATGGATTAAGGCATCCTCTTCCACTAATGGACATATCACCTAAGGACAGTGCACTACACCTTTAGAGCATAGTTTTAATTGATATTTAATAGGTGCAAAGGCTTTCACAAGCACATTTAATCACCAAAAAATCTCTGTCAGGTATTATTTACCTAATTAAAAAAAAAGATACTGAGGCTCAAAATGAGTGAATAACTTTCTTGGTCCATTTATGCCTCACAGGTCTCCATTCATAAGCCCAATCTTCCTCTCACAACTGCTTTGCAGCTAGTAAGGGATCAATCTTAGACTAATATATAATTTGTTTCTTCACTTTCAACCATGAGAATGGCCTTTTGCTTTATATAGCTTTGCTGAAAGCAAAAGTTAGAATCTGAACCACCTACTGGATTATAGGATGGGAAAAATTATTTTTCCTATTACCCTCCTAGATTCTCTCACTGGGGCCCTTTAAATTGGACTGATGAAAAACAGATTAAGAAGAGAAAAACAAATACAAGTTTATTAACATGTACATCGCAAATGTAACACATGGGAGTACCCAGAAATGAGAAACTCAAAGGTTTGGTTAGAACTTATGTTTATATAGCATCAAGCAAGAATACATTTTCAGAGAAGTGACAAGACAAAGGAAAAGAAACCTGAGTCTTTAGGGGTGGCAAATTGTAGGAAGGCAAATATATGAGAAACTAATAATAGATAAATACTAGTTAGTAAAGTTTGTTATATAGCTTCCTCTGGCGCCTTCCCCAGGCTGGTATCAGTCTAAAGTTGTCCATGGTGATTAACTTTTTTCCTTCCTGATAGGAGGGAGGAGGGACATCTTTGTAAATTTATGTACTGCTGTTAGACAAATTGGGAGGGCAGAGAGCATTTCTTGTATCTACTTCATCTCCATTGCCTTCAGCTTGAGATTATCATTATACAAAGTAGCATATTTTAGGGTAACATCATCTATCACCCTAAGGGTAAATAAGAGATTGATTGCTTTTAAATAAAAGGATCAACTATCAGAACAGAGAGGCTACATGTACCATGAACAAATGTCCCAGCCATGATAGGTCATATATGTAAAGGTTCTCTCTTCTACTTCTGTTGTGTAGTTACATCATCTGAAGCACAGGCCCAAAGTGGTGCTCAGAGGCCATGCCTCATTGTTGAAGTGACACAGGATCTGTCATTCATATCCACAGCAATTTCAAAGAGAAACCTTGTTTCAGTTTGATCTGTGGTTTCAACGCCAGGGAAAACTCCTACCCAGAAAGGTCTTATATTAGTCATCTATTGCTACATAACAAATTACTCCAAAATTTAGCAGTTCAGAACAATCAACATTTATTGTGGGTCAGGAATCCAGAAACAGTTTGACTGAGTAGTTGTGGCTCAGGGTCTCTAATGGGGTTGCAGTCATCTTAAGGCTGGAGAATTTAATTCTAAGCTCACTTATATGGTTTTTGGCAAGACTTAGTTCCTCACTGACCATTGGCTAGAGACCTCGGTGCCTTGCTACATGGGTGATAGGGTTTGGATCTATGTCCCTACCCAGATCTCATGTTGAATTATAATCCCCAATGCTGGAGGTGGAGACTGTAGGGATGTGATTGGATCACGGGGGCAGTTTCTCATGAGTGGTTTAGCACTATCCTCTTGGTACTGTCCAAGTGATAGTGAGTTATCCTGACACTTGGGGGTTTAAAGGTGTGTGATACCTCCTTCCACTTTCTCTTGCTCCTGCTCTTGTTAACAGTGGAAGGTATCCAAGTTACCAGTGGCAAATCTGTACAGGTCTGCAGCAACTTCAATTCTTGCCTCCCTAGAAGAAAGAATTTTACTAAGAGGCATAAGGTAGAAAAAGAGACCAAGGCAAATTTCAGAGCAGGAGTGGAAGTTTACTTAAAAAGGAAAGGAAAGTATGCTTGGAAGAGACCCAAGTGGGCAACTTGAAGAACAAGTGCAGTGTTTAACCTTGATCCTAGGACTTTATACGCTGGCCCCTTTCCCATGATTGTTCCTTAGTGTGGGCTGCCCGCATGCTCGGTGCCCTCCATACTCTTGGGAAGTGGGCATGCACAGTGTGTTTAGAAAGTTGTACACATGCCCATCTGAGGCTTTCTTCCCTTTTCCAGTGGAGTGCCCTCAGAAGGTCATACTCTGCCATTTTGTCTCTTAATGCACATGCCTGGGAAGTTGCATCTTCCTGGCACCTGCATTCAATTAACCCTTTAGTGCAACAGGTGTGGACCATCAGAAAATGGCCTCTTCCTGGCACCAGCTGCCAATTTATCATTTTCAGAGAGGCAATGTGATAACTGCCAGACCATCAACTGATATTCCCAGTGGGTGGGGGAAGAGCCCTCTCCTGACCGGCTCATGCTTATCTAACTACTTGTAACACTCTCGCTTTGTGATTTGCAAGCTCCCCCTTCGCCTTCCACCATGATTGGAAGCTTCCAAAGGCCTCCCCAGAAGCAGATGCCACTATGCTTCCTGTACAGCCTACAGAACTATGAGCCAATTAAACCTCTTTTCTTTATCAATTACTCAGTCTCAGGTATTTCTTTATAGCAATGTGAGAATGGACTAATACAATGGGCATCTCCATACACTGCTTGTCCTCACATGACCACTGGCTTCCTTAAGAGCAAGTGTTCCAAAAGAGGGAGAGAAAAAGCCCAAGAAGGAAGCCATAGTCTTTTAAAACCTCATCTCTGAAGTGACGTACCAACACTTCTGCTGTATTCTATTTGTTATACTGAATAAATGTTATACAGTTTTGGAGGGAACTATACAAGGTTGTGAATACCAGTATGAACCCCAAATATCTGAGATCTCAGTCAATTTAGGAAGTTTATTTTGCCAAAGTTAAGGATGTGCACCTATGACACAGCCTCAGGAGGTCCTGATGACATGTGCCCAAGGTGGTTGCGGAACAGCTTGGTTTTATACATTTTAGAGAAACATGAGACTTTAATCAATATATGTAAGATGTACATTGGTTCAGTCCTAAAAGGTTGGATGACTCAAAGCAGGGAGGGGGCTTCAAGGTCATAGGTAGATAAAAGACAAATGGTTGCATTCTGTTGACTTTTTGATTAGCCTTTCCAAAGGAGGCAATCAGATATACATTTATCTCAGTGAGCAGAGGGGTGACTTCGACTTCTGTCTGTCCTTTGTCCAGAAGGAAATCCCTTGTGAGGGACGTATTTAGCTTTTTTTTATCTTAGTAGCTATCTTTTTCAGGAATAGAGTGGGAGGCAGGTTTGCCCCAAGCAGTTCCCAGCTTGACTTTTCCCTTTGGCTTAGTGATTTTTGGGGTCCCAAGATTTATGTTCCTTTCATACCAAGATGTAGATATCACTGGTGGCCATTCTGGGGGTGACCATCACAGATTCCTTCTCATCTTGAGGAGGAGGTAAAACTGTTTCTCTGAATTCCCATCATCAAGGTGGAAAGAGACAGTAAAGTCAACTATTGCAAAATCTCTGCCATAATCTGGAATTGGCTACTATTATTGGAAGCATGGTTAACATCTCTGTAAGCTGATAATGCATGTGATATTCAAAATGCATGATGTTTAAGGGATTAGTTGTGGTATTACATCTAAATATAAAATAGGAAACTACTTTATTAGCTTCCCTGATTACAAAGGCATGGTTACCTTGGTGGAGGACAGAATGGGCATGTGAAAGGGAAAAGGTCCAGTTAGTATGTATGTATGCATGTGTCCACATGCACACATATGTGTGAGTACTTCCATGATAAACATTTGACAGATATCTCATGGGATATTTGGCTGAGAACTAACATTTGAACTAAGATCTTCTCTCCCCCAGACCCACTGATATAAAACACAGCTGCTATGCTCTTTTATGGTTCTTGTATTAACATCCAGTTTAATGTGATGTAGCCTAAAATGTCCATGAGATACCAGATAACAATTTAGGCAATTTAGACAGCTCCTATGCCCTAGTTCATGCTTTATTCTTGCTTAAAATTCTGTATCCACTCCCAAATCAAGGGTCTCTTTTCTCTCTGTTGAAATCTTATTCATATGTCACCTTCACTATGATTTTTCTAGTTTTCCTAAAATCAAAACAAATTACCACTGCTTTTCAGTACTTATTCACACATCTATTATATATATTGGACTCCAATAGATGGAGCATTCATTGAGGGAGCGGAGGCAGCACATCTTGATTCTATAAATGACCCTGTGCATCCAGCAGAATCCTTGAACACAGCAAGTTCTTACACACACACAAAAAAGGCTGATCCTGAGAGCTTGTTCATTAACAAAGCTCCCTGTAGGGAAGAGAATGCAAGGTGGTGAAAATACTCAAGATATATGGTTGATTAGAATATATAACTTTCACATATAGTAACCAAATATTCAGTGACATTATAATACTCATGTCAAGTGACACTATCCGTATTTGTTTCACATTTGTCAATATCAGAACATTATTTTCCAATAAAAAAACTATTAGATACAGTACTCATCACACTTAAAATAAAGAGGAAAACTCAAGATTTACATTAGGTGTTTAATATACCCAAGAACTGCCAACTCACTAAAAATCTTTTAAATTTTATAAGAATTAAAAAGTAGTTGTCCTATAGCAAGTAATAAAAAGGAGTCATGTTCTGAATCTTTTGTCATAACAGGAGAATTATCTGGAACAAACAGATTCCAAATTCAATAGAAGTCCACAGATTTACTCTACATTTCTTGGGGGTAAACATACTATTTTTCTCTTCCATGTAATTTCCCCTCTGTTAGGTTACCTATCAGCAGCAGAAATCCTGAACTTCTGTAAGTAGTAGAGCAACAACACAAGAAAGAAGGATTTTTAGTACTTGAGATAACAAATCCTGGCAATGTTTACCTATTCGCATTATCTAGAGGATTGTTATTTACAGTTCCTTCTGTTTTGCAAAAGAAGAAGGAAAAATTAGCTGTCCCCCTCCCAGGACCTTGAAAGCAATGGACTTGTGTTTTCACAACAGTCAGGGACTTCACAGCAGTAAGAAGGACTTTCTTAAGTTGCCAGATGGCCTCCCAAGCAGCCATAGGTTTCCAAATGTGTGTACTATGGATTTAGTCTAAATCGGAAAAGTCCCAGCATGAGTGGGACTTTTTCTGAAATAGAGCATTTCTTTCTGCACTCTACGGAAAGGAATCAAAACGGCTGAGAAACAAGACAGGGAACTGGGGACTACACTAATAAATTGGGTCTAAGATTGAGCCAGTGAATGCTAGGCACTGAACCATATGTTTAGCAAAGAAGATATAGGTGTTGCATCTATTTGAAGGAGAATACAACAGATGAGAATTGTAGAAATAAAACAAATTCTTTGGAAATTGTTCCCTAAAAAAATGCATACAGGAGCTACAAATCAGCCTGGTGTAAGATGAATGAAACTAAAGTCCTAAGAGAAGACTGGATTCAAAACAGGAAATATCACTAAGGCGTGACTTTAAAAACATTCTCTCCTATATAATTCATAATCTCTTGAACATTGAAAAGAGCCAACTCTAAGCTAGTGATAGCCTCTAGAGCAATTAAAATTCTTGAATAACTTAAATCCAGAAATTGTGAGCTGATGGAAATCAAAACCAACTACAAGAATACATTAAAAAATCTAATTAGAGAATGTTGCTGAATTATGTTATTGGGGCTCAGAAAATGATACTCCAAAAGCTCAGCCCTTTGGCATGCTAAACACTTTGAACTAAAATAGGAAAGCCTCAGAAATAAACCTCGTAACTAAGGTCTCCCTCTGTCTTTCTCTCACCTCCCTGTCTCTCTGATCCTTTCTTTTCCCAAGCACAGGAAGAAACTGTCTGTGGAACCTCCTTTTCTGACAAAGAAAACTTTTCCAAAAGATATTCAATTGTCATAAGACCCCCTCTCTAGGACTCTAGGAATCTTATCAAATAACTACTGGAGAATAGAACAGACTAAAAATCATCACCATGCCCAGACAGACTTTTCTTCTGTTCTTCTGAGGGCCGCTCTGAAAGACTGCCTGGGAGACTATCTGCATAAGACAACCTTTTCGTTCCCAGTGAAGTTCCATCCCTCGCCTTCTTGCTACCTCCCTGAGGGCTTGAGAACTTCCTCCCAGGCCACTGCTCTTTGGGTTCATCCATTTTCCCTAAAAATCATTTACTATCCCTCCAAAATTACCAACAGTGCCCCCCAACTTTTCTCTCCCTATGAAGAAGATATTTAAGCCTCAACCATATGGCCCATCTTTGAGTTTCATGTTTGCAGGACTCCCATTTCCATATGCACCTTAATATATTTGTATGCCTTTTTCTCCCATTAATCTGTCTACTGTCAGTCATTTCAACAAACCTTCAGTGGGTAGGGAGAAAGTTTTATCTCAGCTTCTACAATATTATGTAAAGAATATTACAAGGATACAAGGAAGTAAGTTGAAATGAAAGGTTTTCAGTGTTATCTCTCCTAAATTAAAGGTTCTACTCCTCTAACCCACCACCTTATAAGACATAATAAAGCTCCAAGAACTCAACACCTTGATTCAAATAATATGTAGAAAGTATCTAATGTTTTTACTGGAAGGTAAATATGACCATGTGGACACATTGAAAAATCCCAGTTACAAAACTTCAGCCTCCGTAATACCAGCTTGTCCTTAACGTGCTCCTCTGGCCTATGACCCAGCCTCTCATTTCCTCATCTTTCATCCACCAATACTACTTTTCCCTCTACTTTCATCCCTATTTCATCTCTTTATCCTCAGATCCACTCACTTTTTGCAGAATTCCCTACCATTTCCTCTTCCTTTGCCTTCTTGGATCAAATTCCAATGCATCCTTTTATTTTTCTACAATACCATTTAACTAAAAATCACAGCCCTCAAGGAAATATCTTCTTGATAAGCTACTCCATCTTTCACAGCAAAGAGATATAGATAAAAAAACTGTTTGATGCTATTTTCTTCCACCCTTGCTTGAAAACTCTTTCTCTTTTGAAACACATCTTGTTTCATACCATCTTTCTCCCATCTGTATTGCTGTTGTTTCAGCACTTCCAGATCTTTGTCACTGAGTAGTTTATTGCTAAAATCACCTAAGAGGATTACCCAAATGGACACTTAACAACTTAGTCTTATGGTCTTTTTAACCCTATAATTCCAACATCCCTCATAGTCACTTCATTTGAACCCCATTCTTTTCAAGCCTTGACTCTCATCCCCACCTTCAGCATATAACCTCAAATTCTCCTTAAATTGGAAAAAAGAATCAGGCCATTTTTTCCTTTCCCTCTCTCTCAAAAGATACCACACTCCACAGCTTCCTTTCGTAGGCTTTCCCATTTATATGTGTTCTTAATGCCATGTCTTAGATACCCTTGTCATAGATACCCTTGTTCTCACTTTCACTGATCCCTAAAATTTTTCTACCACCAATCTCATGTATATTCGAAACTTCTCTAAAAACATTCCCTGGGGTTTGCTAGCTCACTAAGTTTCTGACCTTTTTCTCTTTTCTTTCATTGCTAAATTCCTTAAGGAGGAGTCTCTTCTACTTTCTTAATGACTTTTTTTTTTTTTACCTCATAATCTAAGTATTATTCTTATCCCCTTTCTAAATCTACTCACTCAATTTTCATAATTATCTTCCTAGAGATGAGGTCATGTGGTTCTTTCTGGCTCTTGCTTCTCCTTAAACTCTGCAGAATTTGATTAAGTTGGCTACATTCTTCTTGTATCTTTCTCTGTGAAACTGTAAGTCTTCAATTACCTTCCTATTATAATGACAATTTCTTATTCTCTTGTACTACTTTACTTTCCTTATTTGTATTGCCTTTCTAAAGTTCTCATTCCCTTGGTATTCCAAGCTTTCAAAAATTTTATACTACTTGCTCCTGAATCCTAAAATCAGAGTGAAAGGTTACTATTAGATAATGTCTCCTAAATATTCTTCCAGCAGCTAAGGTACAAAATAATTAGAACAGAACTCATGAAGGGAGTTTCTCTTTCTAGCTATGAAGGATTAGCTGATGTCAACAAAATCTCCAAATGAGAACAAGTACAAAAAGTATTTCAATACAAAAACAATCGTTTGAAGGAATTCAAGAACGAGAAGTTGAAGGATCATTATGCCAGAGAGAAGGGAAATATATTGTGATGTGGCTGCCATCACACATCATCCTCCTTTGATGTTTTGCAAAAACAAATGAAGCATGGTTGTCAGGATTCAAAAACAAAGCAACTGCTAAGAGGAGTGTATTAGTCCATTTTTATGCAGCTGATAAAGACATACCCAAGACTGGACAATTTACAAAATAAAGAGGTTTAATGGTCTTACAGTTCCATGTGTCTGGGAAGGCCTCACAATCATGGCAGAAGGTGAAAGCCATGTCTCACACAGTGGCAGACAAGAGAAGAGCGCTTATGCAGGGAAACTCCCCTTTTTAAAACCATCAGATCTCATGAGACTTATTCACTATCATGATAACAGCACAGCAAAGACCTGCCCCCATGATTCAACTACCTCCCACCAGGTCCCTCCCACAACATGTGGGAATTCAAGATGAGATTTGGGTGAGGACACAGCCAAACCATATCATTCTGCCCCTGCCCCCTCCCAAATCTCATGTCCTCACATTTAAAACACAATCTTGCCTTCCCAACAGTCCCCCAAAGTCTTGACTCATTTTAGCATTAACTCAAAAGTCCATAGTCTGAAGTCTCATCTGAGACAAGGCAAGTCCCTTCTGCCTATGAGCCTGTAAAATCAAAAGCAAGTTAGTTACTTCCTAGATATAATGGGAGAATAGGCATTGAGTAAATACAGCCATTCCAAATGGGAGAAATTGGCCTAAACAAAGGGGCTACAGGCCCCATGCAAGTCCAAAATTCAGCAGGACAGCCAAATCTTAAAACTCCAAAATGATCTCTTTTTACTCCATGTCTCATACCCAGGTCATGCTGATGCAAGAGGTGAGCTCCCATGGCCTGGGGCAGCTCCACCCCTGTGGCTTTGCAGGGTGTAGCCCTCCTCCTGGCTGCTTTCATGGGCTGGCGTTGAGTGTCCATGGCTTTTCCAGGTGCAAGGTGCAAGCTGTCAGTGGATCTACCATTCTGGGGTCTGGAGGACGGTGGCTCTCTTCTTACAGATCCACTAGGCAGTGCCCCAGTAGGGACTGTGTGGGGGCTCTGACCCCACATGTCCCTTCTGCACTGCCCTAACAGAGGTTCTCCATGAGGGCCCCGCCCTTGCAGCAAACTTCTTTCTGGGCATCCAGGCATTTCCATACATTCTCTGAAATCTAGGCAGAGGTTCCCAAATCTCAATTCTTGACTTCTGTGTCCCCGCAGGCTCAACACCACATGGAAGCTGCCGATGCTTGGGGCTTCCACCCTCTGAAGCAACAGCCTGAGCTGTACCTTGGCCCCTTTTAGTCAAGGCTGGAGCAGCTGGGATGAAGGTACGAAGTCCTTAGACTGCACACAGCATAGGGACCCTGGGCCCAGCCCACAAAACCATTTTTTCCTCCTAAACCTCTGGGCCAGTGATGGGAGGGGCTGCTGCGAAGATTTCTGACATGTCCTGGAGATATTTTTCCCATTGTCTTGGGTGATTAACATTCAGCTCCTCATTACTTATGCAAATTTCTGCAGCCAGCTTGAATTTCTCCTCAGAAAATAGGATTTTCATTTCTATCACATTGTTGGGCTGCAAATTTTCCAAACTTTTAGGTTCTGTTTCCTTTTTAAAACTAAATGCCTTAACAGCACCCAAGTCACCTCTTGAATGCCTTGCTGCTTAGAAACTTCTTCTGCCAGATACCCTAAATCATCTCTCTCAAGTTCAAAGTTCCACAAATCACTAGGGCAAGGGCAAAATGCTGCCAGCCTCTTTGCTAAAACATAACAAGAGAGTTACCTTTGCTCCAGTTCCCAATAAGTTCCTCATCTCCATCTGAGACCACCTCAGCCTAGATTTCATTGTCCAAACCATTATGAGCATTTTGGTCAAAGCCATTCAACAAGTCTCTAGGGAGTTCCAAACTTTCCCACATTTTCCTGGCTTCTCCTGAGCCTTCCAAACTGTTCCAGCCTCTGCCTGTTACTCAGTTCCAAAGTCACTTCCACATTTTTGGATATCTTTTCAGCAGCACCCCACTCTACTGTTACCAAGTTACTGTATTAGCCTGTTTTCATGCTGCTGATAAAGACATACCTGAAACTGGGCAATTTACAAAAGAAAGAAGTTTAATGGACTTACAGTTCCATGTGGTTGGGAAGGCCTCACAATCATGGCAGAAGGCAAAAGTCTCATCTCACATGGTGGCAGACAAGAGAAGAGAGTTTGTGCAGGGGAACTGCCCTTTTTAAAATGATCGAATCTCACGAGACTTATTCCCTATGTGCTATTCTCGAGAAAAGCACAAGAAAGACCTGCCCTCATGATTCAAGTGCCTCTACCAGGCCTCTCAGACAAATTCAGGATGAGATTTGGGTGGGGACACAGCCAAATCATATCAAGGATGAAATCCAGAAGTCAAGACCACCATAGAAAAGGTGTTCTAGGTAAATGTGCCAGATTTTAGTTAATGTTCCAGAATGACTATACCTTAATAATAACAGTAAAGTGGAAATAGAGGAGTTTCAACTAGAACAAGGCAATCTTCCTAGCTTCATCTTTTATCAGAAGAAAATTAATTTTTCTCTGGAGGGAAATAATATTATCCTGAGCCTCTACAAATTTTCATACACAATGCTCCATATTCAACCAAACATTAAAAGTCAGGGCAAGAAACAGAACCAAATGACCAAAAAGCAAGAAAAATAAAGACAATTAGCACCAGAAATGACTCAGAAATTGAAGTTACAATACATGGACATTAAAACTTTATAAATATGATTAAATCATTCAAGAAAATAGATGAAAAACAGAAATTTCTCCCCAGAGAGCTGAAATTTATTTTAAGAGAATCAGATAAAAATTCCACAATGGAAAGTATAACATGAAATTAAAAGCTATCTAAATGTAATCAACAGCAAATTAGCACAACAGAAGAATGGAGTAGTAAACTGCAAGGTGGTTGGTGGACAACATGCACATTGAAATACAGAGAGACAATGTTAGAAATGAGAAACGCATATAAGAGATAGACGGAATGTGGGAAATGGCCTATCATATGTATAATTTGTGTTTCTAGATGACTGGAAAGAGAGAATTAGGTAGAAGAAATATTTGAAGAGATGCAAGTTAGTAAGTTTCTCAAACTTCATTATCATAAAGTTCTATGAACCCAAACTGTAATTACAAAGAAAATCACACATAGGCATAAAATCATTAAAATGAAGACAACAAAAGACAAAAAGAAAAAAATTTTAAGCATACAGAGAAAAAATTACATTTTCCTCCAAATGAACTGTCAGCCAGATTCTCAAGAGATACAATGGAACCCAGAAAATAGTAAAATGATATATTTGAAATGCTAATATAAAACTGCCAACTTTGAATTTTATACTCAGTGAAAATACCCTTCAAAAATAGAGAATATAAAGATATTTTCAGGAAAACAAAAAGAACTTGATTGAATTCTTTAAAGAAATACTATGGGAAGAAAGAAGCAGAAAGAAGGAAAAGTTATCTGAGTTGTAATCATGTTAATGCAAGAAGGTATAAAGAGCCACCAGATAGGATAAATATGTGCATGAATTGTTCAAAACAATAGACTGTCTATGGGGTTTAAAATATATGGATAATTAAAATGCATAACCACAATAGGCCAAAGGAAAAATGGGGATATGTGGAATTTTTTAAATTGTAAGATTCTTGGATTGCTCAGAAAGTGGTAAAAAATCTAACTTAGGTTATACTTAGATAAGTCAATGATGAGTTTGTAATCTCTAGGGTAAAAATTAAAAGAGTAATAAAATAATACAAAATTAATTGTTGAAATGAAATATTTAAAAATACTTGATTAAGTAAAAAATAAAAAAGGTGGAAAGGTCAAGATCAAGGAATAAAAAGGGGAAGAGGAAAAGTAGTAAATAATACGTAAAAATGTAAATATATCACTAGTTAAGTTAAACAAAATTAAACCAAATGCTCAAAGTGAAATACTAGGGTTGTCAAACTAAATTAAAAAGCGCATACAGACAGAAAAAGTCTTTGCTGCTTATAAAAGACATGCCTAAAATATAAGTGGATCAAAAGTTTTAAAGAAAACGGATGACAGAATTTATACTGAAAATATTACTAGAGATAAACAGGAATAGGAACAGTGCAAATATGGAATGGTCAATTCAATAACATATAACAATCCCAAATAGGAATATATCTAATAACATAGCCTCAAAATATTGAAACAAACACTGAGAGACCAACAAGGAACTATAGACAATCCAAAAACAATAATTGGAGGTTTCAGCACACCTCTCTCAGTGGATGGAGCCAGCAAATTCAAATAAGAAATGATACTGTAGTTTTGGCCAATACAGCTTAAAAGCTTAACTTAATTGACATACATAGGTACAGGGTATCTACAAAAAAACCCCCACAGCTAACATCATACTTAATGGTGAAGGGATGGAAGCTTTCCTCTTAAGATCAAAAACAAGACAAGAATGTCCCTTCTCACCATTTCTTTTTCTTTTTTTTTTCTTTTTTTCTTTTTTTTTTTTTTTTTTGAGATGGTTTTGCTCTTGTTGCCCAGGCTGGAGTGCAATGACATGATCTCGGCTCACCACAATCTCTCTGCCTCCCAGGTTCAAGCGATTCTCCTGCCTCAGCCTCCAGAGTAGCTGGGATTACAGGCATGCACCACCATGCCCAGCAAATTTCGTAATTTTAGTAGAGACAGGGGTTTCTCCATGTTGGTCAGGCTGGTTTCGAACTCCTGACCTCAGGTGATCCACCCACCTCGGCCTCCCAAAGTGCTGGGATTACAGGCGTGAGCCACCAGGCCAGGCTCACCATTTCTATTCAAAATTGTGACATTCTAGCAAGAACAATTATCCAAGCAAAATAAATAAAATGTATCCAGATTGGAAAAGAAAGTTAACTATTTCTATTCACATATGACATGACCTTGTATGTGGAATACCTTAAGGAATCTACAAAAACATATTAGAGCCAGTAAATAAGTTCAGCTAGGTTGCAGGATACAATATCCATATATAAAAATCAATTGTATTTATATATACCAGCAATGAACAATCAAAAAATGAAACAAAAATTCCATTTAAATAGTATTAAAAAAAGTAAAATAGTAATAAATTTAACAAAAGAAGTATGAGTCTTATACCCTGAAAACTACAAAACATAATTGAAAGAAATTTAAAAGACCTAAAAAATGGAAAAACCCTATGTTCATGGATTAGAAGACTTAATATTACTTTTATTTTTTATATTGTCTCTGATTATAAGGTTCTAAGAATAAAAATATTTCAAAAAATACTAGTACACAATTGTTTAAAATCACAAAAAAGATGAAATACTGTTATACATTTTAAGAATGAAAATGTAGAATTTTATTAGAAATGCAGCTCTTAAAGATAAACTCTAGAAAAATTTTAAAAATTAAAAAAATTAAAAACATAGTATTGTTTAAATGACAATATTCCCAAAATTGATCTACTTATTTAATGCATTTCCTATCAAAATCCCAATGGCCTTTTTTGCAGTAATTGATAAGCTGATCTTAGAATGCATATGGAAATGCAAGAGACCACAGGTAACAAAAACAATCTTGAAAGGAGCAAAGTTGGAAGACAGATTTTAAAACTTACCTCAAAGCTAGTGTAGAAAGAGAGACAGAGCAAGATGGCAGAATAGAAAGCTCCACCAATCATCTCCCTCCCCTACACCACCCCCACCAAGGACACCAAGTTAACAACTATCTACACAGAAAAAAACACCTCCATAGGAACCAAAAATCAGGTGAGCACTTACAGTACCTGGTTTTAACTTCATGTCGCTGAAGGAGGCACTGAAGAGATAGCAAAACCAATCCTGAATCCCCAGTGACACCCCTCCCTCATACCCAGCAGCGGCCGTGTGCTGCAGACCATGTGTCTCTGGGTGCTGGGGAGGGAGAGCACAGCAATTGTGAGGCATTGAATTGAGTGCTATCCTGTTAGAGCACAAAGGAAAACCAGACCAAACTCGACTGACACCTGATCACAGAGGAAGCATTTAATCCAACCCTAGTCAGAGGGGAATCTTTTGCCACTGAGGGCCAAAGTGCTCTAAGTCAGTTGTGAGGCCCCTGTTCCTGGCCCTAGCTTTCAGAGGATATTTCTAGACACACCCTGAGCCAGAAGAGAACCCACTGCCTTGAAGGAATGATCCAGTCCTGGCAGTATTCATCACCTGCTAACTGAAGAGCCCTTGAGCCCTGAATAAAGAGCAGCAATACCCAGGTACTACATCATGGGCCTCGGTGAGCCTCTGAGAATTACTAGCTTCAGGTGAGACTCAGCACATTACCAGCTGTGGTGGCTACAGGGCAAAATTCCTTCTGCTTGAGAAAAGCAGAGGGAAAAGTAAAAGGAACTTTGTCTTGCACCTTAGGTACCAACACTGCCACAGGGGAGTAGAGCACCAAGCGAGCTCTTGGGGTTCCCAATTCTAGGGCTTGACCCTTGGATGCCATTTCTGGGTCTGCCCTGGGCCAGAGGAGAACCCACTGGCCTGAACAGTGAGTCCCACGCCAGGCAGCATTTACCAGAAGCTGTAAAGGTTTTAGCTCACCTTCAAAACACTACTAATTTCTTTATGCCGTCCAGGACGTGGTTAGAGCACCTTGTAAGAGCTCAATAAATATTGAGTTGAATATATCTTGAACAATAAGCCACAGGACCCTATTCCCTCCTCTTGGAAAAAAAAACTCCTTTATAGCATTTGTGGATCTGCAAAACTCCCTTGAGTTTAAAGGCTCAAGTTATATTTGACAGCTTTGGTAAGGCAGGTGAAGGAGAATAAGCTTATGTTATCAGAGACAGTGACGTATTTATCATGTTTCATAGTATATGGATCAACTCAGAATCAGAGCCAGATGGCATGAAGTTTTCCATATGGATGAGGACCGGTATAAGAAACTAGCAAACTTATAAAGTTAAAAATTGTTGGGAGCAAGCCCCCCAAAATCTGGCCATAAACTGGCCCCAAGACTGGCCATAAACAGAATCTCTGCAGCACTGCCACATGCTCATAATGGCCCTAACGCCCACGCTGGAAGGTTGTGGGTTTACGGGAATGAGGACAAGGAATACCTGGCCCACCCAGGGCACAAAACCACTTAAAGGCATTCTTAAGCCACAAACAATAGCATGAGCGATTTATGCCTTAAAGATATGTTCCTGCTGCAGTTAACTAGCCCAACCTATTTCTTTAATTTGGCCCATCCCTTCGTTTCCCATAAGGGACACTTTTAGTTAATTTAATAGCTATAGAAACAATGCTAATGACTGGTTTGCTGTTAATAAATATGTGGGTAAATCTCTGTTCGGGGCTCTCAGCTCTGAAGGCTGCGAGATCCCTGATTTCCCACTTCACACCTCTATATTTCTATGTGTGTGTCTTTAATTCCTCTAGTGCTGCTGGGTTAGGGTCCCCCCGACTGAGCTGGTCTTGGCAAAAAATGATCGAGGAGGGACTTAAGTGATATCTACAATATTAATTCTCAAATATCTGAATCCCGAAGAACCATAGCTCTAAAAAAATGAGGGAGCCAATTCCAGAGAATATTTACTAGAGAATACCTGCAAAGTAAATACCAGACATAATAGATTTAACAAAGTTCTGACCCACTCACATAACTCAATGACACAAAATAACAGTATTTAACTTGGAATAATGTTCAAGACACTTTTGATTTTGTTTAGCACAAATCATCTCTTATCTCTAAGGAGAGAAGCACAGATGTCCAGCTTATTAGCATAATAGAAGAATTGCTTCAAGATACATACAACATTGATGATTTTTTAAATTCTATTCAGCCTAGCATATTTTAAATTGGAGTGGGATGAGAGGATTCTTTGCTAGCATTACATTTTTATTTATTTATGTTTTACTTCTTAGAATAAAAATTTTCAAACCTACAAAAGAGTAAAAAGCATAATGCAATGAATATCTATATAGATTTCACCTAGATTCACCAATTATTAATATTTTACTACCTTCTGTCATTAACATTGAACTTTGTTACAAGGAGAAAACAACAACAAAAAATAAAGATGAATTATGTGGCTATAAAAGCGAATTATGTGACAATGTCAACAACTCTGGAATATTCTGAAGACACATAATCATCAGTGATCCATGGAAGGGAAGGGCTTTCAGCTTACACATTTTTGAAAACATTCTGTAAACTGTCAGTTTTAAAAAATACAACCAAGGACATGTGCTGATATCTTCCTCCAGCTCTGTATAGATTCATACACAACTAATGATGTAGCACAGTGGGAAACAGACAAAATGAACACCAAAAAAACCCACACATACCACAATTATTTATTTATACTCTAGATTGTCCCACAAAGGATTTAAGGTTGTTTCAAAAAGACATGCTGTACAAAAGGATACAAATGAACACTTGAGGGGGTTGGTACAAAGGGAGAAAACCACAGATAATATTAGGATTGCAGGGCATAGGGTCTTATATAGTTGCAACAATATAGTTGCTTGCTTTCTGGTGACTAAAACGGGTCCAGAAGATTAAAAAAGCCAAGTTTTTTCTAGGTGACTGGATTGTTTGGGATGTATAAATCCAAGAGCAGTTTCTTCGGTGAGTCCTGAAAGAGAGGATACTATGGGAAGCTGTGGAGGAAGTTTATGATAAGACGGGACCATGAGTTTCATTTGGTTTCTTCCAACTTACTTAGGCTCAGTCAATGGCCTAGTGCCCAGGTTTCATTTAGTAAAATCAATTCCTTTACTGAATGGTTATTAGGCACTAAATAAAGCAATCCAAGTCTCTAGCTCTGATAATCTTGCAATCTGACTCTAAGGTAGCATTTAGAAAATCCAGAGCAGATACACAGACTAGGGTACATGAATGGATTGGGTTGGGGGCAGAAGGTAGGGGAAGATGGAGAGTTCATGAATTAGGTGCAAAGATTTTTCTTGGCAACATTTATTGTATGTCAAATTAGGTTGAAACATTATTATTATGTGGAAACATTCTAACTCTCCAAAGAGGAAGTGTGCAAGAATGCTACCTTACCCAGTCAGGCAACGTATAATTTCTACTGTCTTCATAACAAGTCAAGTAGAATACTTGAGAGGAATGGAGGAAAACATACCTTGCTATTACAATTATTGCATCTATATTTGCATACAATGGGTATAGCTAAAGTTTACAATTTTCTAAAGGAAAATATGACAACCTTTATTATATGTTGTGACTTTCATTATTAAATATGATGGGACAAAGAGATCTGGTTCACACGTTCTTCATGATGGTTACAGAAAGCCAAAGAAACTTCTAACGCACATTGGTTCTCTCCTTTCTGAAATACCCTGCAGTCTGTGGATCTTTTTCATTAGAAGGTTTAGTCTAAAACTATAGACCTTTACTGAAAATTAGATTTACCACAATGCAAAAGCTTTATCTTAAAGTACACTACAATATCAGTTACCATATACATTTATTCATTTGATGAATGTTTGTGGAATGCCTGTTATGGGCCAGTAACTATTCTAGGCCCTGGGAGTCAGTAGTAGACAAAATAGTCAAGAATACCACCTTATACTCAGGTTAGTGAAGAAAAACCATAAGCAAATACATGTCTGGTGATAAATGCTGTGAAGAAAAATAAAATGAACTAAAAGAGATGGATTGAGATGAGAAATGGGGGCGCAGCTCTTTTATATAGCATGATTAAGGAAAGGCTTGCCTATAAGACGCATTTGAGCAGAGACATGAAGGAAGTGAGGGAGCAAGTCTTTTAGATATTTGGAAGAAAAGTGATGCAACAGAAGGAACAGTAACTTAAAAGTCACCTGTGGCAGGAGCAAGCTTGGTCTGTTCGAGGAATAGCAAGGAGGTAATTGTGGCTCGTGCAGAAGGAGTAAAGGGTAGAATGGCATGAGCTGAGATCTGGTGGTATGCAGGGACGTGGCCAAGACTTTGATTTTACCCTAAGGGAAATAAGAAGCCTTTAGAGGGTTTGAACAAGGAAGTGGTATGATCTGACTTGTGTTTTAAGAGGGTCATTCTGGCTTCTGCAAGTGTAATACTAGACTGTAAAGGGCAAAGATGGAAGCAGGAAAACCAGTTAGGAGGAACCTATAACAATCTACATAACCTAATGGCTTGAACCAGGGTAGTGTTAAATAGTGGTGGAAACATTAAGAAGTGGTCAGACCCTGGAAACTTTTTTAAGATAGATATATAGGATGTTAATTTTATGTAAGGTTTGAAAGATAGGAATCAAGCCAAGCTATTTGAAAGAATGGAGTTATCGTTTAATTACTATGGGGGAAGACTACTGCTGGAGAAGCAGATCTGGGGTTGGGGATGTAGATGGGGACATTTTAAGTTTGAGGTATATCAATTAGGGTTCCAAAGGGAAACAGATGGTACAGTCAAATTAGGTTAATTTGAGGAGAGGCATAATAATGGAACTATTTATAAATATACAAAGACAGGAAAAGCACAAGAGATAGTGCAATAGCCCCAGGCTAAAATATGTTGAACGTTTTACAACCCTAGGCCTGACAGGATAAGGAAACAGACTAGGGCCATGTGGTACTGTGCAAAGGGCTGAGGAAGGGGCTGAAACCCTTCTGAGGAATGCAGACAGTACTCAGCAATGCTGCTGGGATGGAATCAGGAATAAATACTCCAACCTCATCTCCTCCTTCCTGTTTGTTCTTCTATTAGTGTTCCCCATTGTCTAAACCCAACAGGAAGTCAGAAAACAAGCCCTTTAATGTAACCCAGAGTTCAGCCTTCCATGGCACAGAGCGGAGTAAAGAGGGGTATAGAATATATTGGGAAGGGCAAATGAAAGATATTCAATACATCGAGGAGAAGATGTTGAGTTGGTTAATAGACATGTCTTTTCAGGAGAAAGATGCCACACTCAATTTAGGAAGATTTTGAAGCCCTGTGCTCTGGGACTGGTTACATTGATAGGTAACGTTGAGTAGAAGCAGAATTCAGAAATAGCGTCTCTATCAAATACTATCATTGACTCTATAATTACTGATGTTTCTTGCTATATTAAGAAGTAAGTTATGGGATAATTGGCAGGTATGCTACATCCCAAAATTATGCAACTGGACTAAAACTGCCTGTGTTCTGTCCAGGAAGCTTCTAATGATATCACTCAAGAAAATATCTTATTTTGTAAGCCTTTGTGAAACTTCATTTTTTTTTTTAGTATGCTGACACATTTACAAAATTTCTTTGCCAAAAACAAATACAAACGTTGATGCTCTGTGGGTAGGTGGAATTTATTCAATGCTTTTGCAACACTTCTGGTTATGTTTCTTGGATTTAGTGGAGCTCCATCCAAAACCCTGACTCATTGCTTTTTGTTTTTAAATAAACTGCATTTTTAGAACAGTTTTAGATTAAAAAAAAAAAACATAAAGATTGTATACAGAGTTCTCATAAACTCTGCACACAATTTCTTCTATTATTAACATCTTCCATTACTATGGTACATTTGTCACAATTAATGAATAAATATTGATACATTATTATTAACTGAAGTTCTTACTTGATTCAGATTTCCTTAGTTATTACCTGATGTGGTTTTTTTCCGTTTTACTTTACCATTTGGGACACCACATTATATTTAATCATCACATCTCCTTAGGCTTCTGTTGGCTACTATGTTTTTTCAGACTTTCTGTGTTTTTGATACTCTTCACAGTTTAGAGGAGAACTGGTCAAATATTTTGTAGAGTGTATCTTAATTGGGATTTGTCTGATGTTTTTCATGATTAGACTGGGACTGTAGGATTTCGAGAAGAAGACCTCACCCATAAAGTGTCAATCTCATCATGTCATACCAAGTGTATATAATATTATCAGCATGACCTATCACTCTTGATATTGACCTGGATCACTTGGCTGAGGTATTGTTATATTTCTCCACTGTACATTTACCCTTTTATTTCCCCTTTTCCATACTGCAACTTTGGAAGGAAGTCAATCAATGTGCACAGTCCACGCTTAAGAAGTGGGAAATCATGCTCCACCTCCTTGAGGGCAGAGTATCTACATAATTTATTTGGAATTCTTCTGCACAGATTTGTCTATTCTCCCACACTTATATATTTATTCAATGATTTGTTTATAACAGTATGGACTCACAGATATTGATCTTGTACTTTGGGTTATAATCCAATACTACTGTATTTCATTGCTTGAATTGCTCCCATTGTGGCCATTGGGAGCTCTTTCAGTTGGCTCCTGTGCCCTATAACATACACTGTGGTTTGATTTTGTTGTTGTTGTTGCTTAGCACTTCCTTGATTTCTAGCACTACAATATGCTTCAGGCTCATCTTGTATATTTCCTGCCTCAGTCCTAGAATCTGGAATTTCCCCCAAGAAGCCCCGGGTCCTTTTATTGGAGAATAATATTAGAAAACAAGATCGAGGCACCAGGTGAGCTTGTTGCTACTGGGGTGTTGTTGCTCCTAGGTTCTCTCGGCTGATAGAGGGAGAAGAGATATGTGTGTATACTAACCCATGCATATACACATATCTATGAATATTTCTGTATGTAACCATATGTATCTATATAAACCTAAATATGAGTTCATACTGTTGTCTCTGACTCTAATCTATTACCACATGAATCACTCTAGCCTTTGCCTGATGCTTATCTATGAACTCTCACTCCAGCAGTGAGATACCTGGCTCCCACTTTCTGTCATTCATTTACTTAATTGTTCAATTCCAGTATACATATATAGCAGTACTAGAATTGTTAATTCACATTTACAATTTATCAACAAGAATACAGGCTTATATACAGTTTTGTTTGCCTTTAGTTTTATAGACCGTTTATTTCCAAAGTTACTTTGGTCAACAACCTATTCCCCCACTGACTTCATTCATGTCATTTTTAATATTTGTAATACATTCATTTTTTTAAGGAAAAATGGTTGTTTTATTCATTTGTACTTATACCAGCCAAAGTAGTACTAATGTCATTATGATGCAGCAAATATAAGACCTCTTTCTACAAATATTAGCATAACCAACAGAATGGGGGCTATAGTAAAACAGAGCCAAAAAGGGCTGAGGAAATAAATGTAGTATGTTACAGCTTAACCCTTCACCTCAATAGAGTTTTTAAAAAAATAGGTAAAGCCTCCCAAACCCAAAAAACAGGAATATACCTTCATCACACCAATTTGTACTTTTATTTCTTATTATTGAGGTTAGATTGTAAACCCTAAAGATATCCAAACTAGTATTATATCTACTTATCTATAGCCAGAGACAGCTTCTATCATGTTGTCCTTAGCAGCCAAGGTTATTAAAATGTCTTTTCTCCAGGAAGATTCAATAGGAATAAAGAAAGAAACCTCTCTGATTAGGCTCCAGTCATACCCCACCCTCCATCAAATTGACTGGATAGGCATAATGGAAACCAGAACACATGGTTTCCAACCAAGAAAAATCCTATGAGGGAGGGGAGGCAAGGAGAGGTAGGATTCAGCCAGCGTCCACACTGAAATTGAGTAATATCAATTTCACTCATCTTCAGGTATCTTCAGGTTGCATGTTCGTGGAGTAGTTTAGGAATAAATCTATGGCTTGTGGAGTACTAAAATACGTAGTGGTCTGCTGTATTACATTATGGCTTTCCCCAGCAGTTTCCAAGGCAACCTCCAAGTCACTGGCAGGAGAATTTGGCTGGAACTGCATGCAGGACTGCAGAGATTCATCTCCACAGTTATAGAAGGGACTGTTCCAGGCCTGATTGTTCCAGGACTGGGTGCACCAGGAGTGGTTGCTCCAGGAATGGATGTTCCGGGTGTGGTTGCTCCAGGTTGAATTGCTCCAGGTCTGGTTGCTCCACATTGGAAGGTTTCCAGTCATGTTCACCAGGCATCCCTTGTGGTAGGAAGAGTGGAGGCTGGGGTAGGTAGGTGCTGAGGCCTTCTGAGTCACACCACTACTATTCTTTGGCCAGTTGTTTTTCTGTCACCTCTTAGATTTCATTCTCTGGTTCTGGAACCAGGTCTTAACCTGTTTGTAGCTAAGGTTCAGGATGTTGGAAAGTTCTTGCATCTGCTGGAGGCTGAGGTATTTCTGTCCGTGAAATCTATCATTGAGTACACACAGCTGGGTGGAACGGAACACAGTTCTGGTCTTCTGTTTCTTGACCAGGACCTTGTCTTCCTTTTTTGTGGTGCTCTTCTCTGCAGAAGTGGGTTTTTTGCCTTTAGGACTGGTAGAAGAATCAGGGCTGTCCTGGATAAGCAGATCCATGGCGGAAGGAAGAGGAGAGACAGTCTCTGAGTGAGGCATCTCAGCAGAAGACATTTGCAGGGATGGATAGTTTTCTTCAGGCCCACAAGTCACCGGCGTAGGTGAAGATTCTTTACAGTTGGATGCTTCAGAACAAGGCAGGCTTTGGGCATAGGTTGGATTCATGATCATGTTATTATTGGGGAATAGGAGGGAAAAAATTAAGAGCTGGACTGTAAAAAAAAAAGGCTAAGGCAGCTTTAAGACTTTTTTCTGGAAGATCTTAGAGAAATATGACTTCCAGAAGTGAAAGTATCAAGAAGTTGGGATGAAGTGAGTCACCCCCACAATAACAGGAGGCAACCAGCTCAGTCCAGCCTATATTTGTAATACACTTAGATGATTTTGTCACATTCCTCATTCCATCCCGAGATGCTCCTAATTCCTAAATGATTGTTTAGTTCGTATACATTAAGTATACAGTTAGTTTGTATACATTGTGTTTAGACATACTGCACAGTGCCATGTTATTACAATTACAGTATTGTAGAGAATATTTTCACCATCCTAAAACACAAACACGAAAACCTTGTGCATTGTCTTTTGAACCTTACATTCCTTCCCACAAACCCTGGATACCACTGATGTTTTTATTGTCACTACAGGTTTGTTCTTCCTAGGATGTCATATAATTAGAATACTACAGTAATTTGCCTTTTCATACTGGCTTGTTTCACCTAACAATATGTGTTTAAAATTCATCCATGTCTTTTTATGACTTCATAGCTCATTTCTTTTTTAAAATTTTTGTTTTGCTTTGTTTTTTGAGATGGGGTCTCAATCTGTCACCCAGGCTGGAGTGCAGTGCCATGATCATAGCTCACTGCATCTTCCAGCTCCTGGCCTCAAACAATTCTCTTGCCTTAGCCTCCCAAGTACCTTGGACTACAGCATGCACCAACCACCCTGCCCAGTTTCATTTCTTTCTATCCCTAAATAATATTCCATTGTATAGATGTCCCCCAGTTTGTTTATCCATTCTGCTATTGAAGAATTTCTTAGTTGCTTTGAGTTTTTGATAATTATGAATAAAACCGACATAAATAATATTGTGCAAGTTTTTTGTTTTTGTTTTGTCACAGCGTCTAACTCTATTGACAAGGCTGGAGTGCCATGGTGCAGTCACAGCTCACCACAGCCTCAACCTCCTGGGGTCAGGTGATCCTCCTGCCTCAGCCTCCAAAGTAGCTGAGACTACAGGCATGTGCGACCATCCCCAGCTAATTTTTTTTGTATTTTTTGTAGAGATTGGATTTTGCCATGTTGCCCAAGATGGTCTCCTGGCTTCAAACGATCTGCCTGCCTTGGCCTCCCAGAGTGCTGGGATTACAGACATAAGCAACCGCACATGGCCCATACAAGTTTTTGCATAGACATAGGTTTTCAAATTAATTGGGGAAATTTTTAGGAGCATGATTGTTCCATTGTATGGTAAAATATGTTTAGCTTTGAAAGAAACTGTCAAACTATTTTCAAAGTGGCTGTACCATTTTGCATTCCTGTCAGCAGTGAATGAGAGTTCCTGTGTCCCACATCCTAGTCAGAATTGGAATTGTCAGTTTTTTAGATTTTACCATTTCAGTAGGTGTGTAGTGGTATCTCACTGTTGTTTTAATTTGTAATTTCCTGATGACAAATAATGTTGAACATCTTCTTGTATATTTATTTGCCATTTGCATGTCTTCTTTGATGAGATGTCTGTTCAGATCTATTTTTTTTAAATTAGGTGGATGTTTTAGGTGTTATTTATAAATTTTGGGTACAAGTCGTTTATCAGATTTTTTTTTGAAAATATTTTCTCCCAGACCATGGCTTGCCTTTTCATTCTCTAACATAGTCTTTCACAGAGCAAATTTTTTTCATTTTAACAAAATCCAACATCAATTTCTTTTTTTTCATAGATCATGCTTTTGGTATTGTATCTAAAAATTCATCATCATCCTAAGGTCACTTATATTTCTTCCTATGTTTTCTTCTAGGAGTTTTATAGTTTTGCCATTTTCATTTAGGTCTATAATCCATATTGAGTTCATTTTTCTGAAAGGTGTAAGGTCTATGAGTAGGTTTCTCCCCCCATGGTGGGGACATCCAATTGTTCTGGCACCATTTGTTTAAAACAATATTCTTTCTTCATTAAATTGCCTTTGCTTCTTTGTCAAAAATCAACTGACTATATTAATATTGGTCTGTATATGGGCTATCAATTCTGTTCCATTGATCAGTGTGTCTATTCTTTCACTTACACTATGCTTTCTTGATTGTTGTAGTTTTATATTAAGACTTGAAATCAGGTAGCGAGAGTGTTGCAACTTGTTCTTTTTCTTCATTATCATGTTGGATATTCTAGATCTTTTGCTTTTTATATAAACTTTACAATCAGTTTATAGATATTTCAAAATAATTTGCTAGGAATTTATTGATATTGCATTGCATCTGTGGATCAAGTTGGGAAGAATTTATATTTTAATAATATTGAGTTTTCCAATCAATAAAAATTAAAATATCTTTCCATTTATTTAGATCTTTTCTTTTATCAGAGTTTTATAATTTTCCACATATAGATCCTGTATCTACTTGTTAAATTTGTACCCATTTCAATTTTTGGTGCTATTTTAATTGTTGTTATTTTAATTTCAAATTCCAGTTGTTCTTTGCTGATATATAAGAAAGTAATTGACTTTTGGATATTAAGCTTGTATTTCAGGACCATGCTATACCCTCTTGTTAATTGCAGAATGTTAATTCTTTGGAATAATCTGCACAATCCAGTCATCTGTGAACAAAAACAGTGTTATTGCTTCCTTCTAAATCTATATACCTTTTTTCTTTTTCTTCCTTCCTTCCTTTCTTTCTTCCCTCTCCCCCTCCTCCTCTATTTCTTATTCTGTCTTTCATTTTTTGTCTTACCACACAAGTCAGGATTTCCAGTGTGATGTAAAATAGGAGTGGTGAAAGATCACATTCCCACTTTGTTCTGAATCTTGCATGAAAAGTGTCTACCTTCTTATTATTACATTTGATGTTAGCTGTAGGTTTTTATAGGTATTCTTTTAACCAAGTTGAAAAAAAATTGCCTCTATTCCTAGTTTGCTAAGTGATATTTGGATTTTGTAAAATAATTTATTTGCATCAATTGACAGAATCATGTGAATTTTCTTCTTTAGCTCATTGAAATGGTAAAATGCATTCATTTAATTTCAAATGTTTAACAAGTCTTCCATACTTGAAGTAAATCCTACTTGGTCATGGTGTATAATTCTTTTTATACATTTTTGGGGTTTTTTTTTGCTAATATTTTACTGACAATGTTTAATCTATATTCATAGAAGATATTGGTCTTTAGTTTTTTTTTCTCATAATGTCCTTTGGAATTAGGTTTTTTTATTAGGGTAATATTGGTTTCATAGAATGATTTTGGAAGTGTAAACTTTGTTTTTATTTTCTGGAGGACATTATGGAGAATTGGTATCATTTCTTCTTAAATGTTTAGAGGAATTTACCAGTGAAACTATCTAGGCATGGCTTTTTCTTTTGGGTGGAGATTATTCATTATTGATTCAATGTCTTCATTAGGGCTATTCAAGTTATTTGTTTCTTCTTGTGTGAGCTTTAGTAGTTTTTGTCTAAGAATTGGTTTATTTCATGTGAATTATCAAGCTTGCGGGTGCAGAGTTGTTCAGAGTTATTCATAGTACTCCTTTTATTTTCCTTTTAGTATCCACAGGCTCAGTAGTGATGACCTAAATGTATTACTGATATTGGTAATTACTGTTTTTTTTTCTTTTATTATTGGTCAGCCTGTATAGAAGTTTATAAATTCTATTGATTTTTCTAAGAAACATCTTTTAGGTTTGTTGATATTTTTCTATTGTTTTCTTGATTTTAGTTTCATTGGTTTCTGCTCTAATTTTTGTTATTTTTTTCTTCTGCAAGATTGCTTGAGGCATACATTTCTCTTCTATCTCTAATTTTCTAGTATGAAATGTTGTGTTGCTGAGTTTACAGTTTCTTTCTAATATATGCATTTAATGGTATATATGTCCCACTAAGCACTACCTTCACCACATTTCATATATTTTGATAAGTATTTTTAAGTTTTCATTTAATTAAAATATTTTTAATTTATCATGAGACTTCTTCTTTGATTTATGTGTTATTTAGAAGTGTGTGGTTTTATTTCCAAATATTTTGAGGTTACCAGCTCTCCTGTTATTGATTTTTAGTTTAATTCCATTGTGCTTGGAGATATACATTGTATTATACCATTTTAAATTTGATAAAGTGTGTTATGTGGTCCAGAATATGCTTTATCTAGGCAAATAGTCCATGTAAGCTTGAGAATGAATGTTCACTTCAATCACTGCACTTGGATTGAATGTTCTATAAATGCCAAATCGATCAAATTGATTGATAGTTCTATTCAGCACTATCCTTATTGATCTATCCTTGCTGATTTTTTACTTTCTTAGTGTATCAATTACTGAAATTGAAGTGTTGAAATTTCCAACTATAATAGTGAACTTTTTCATTTTTCCTTTTAGTACTATCAGTTTTTGCCTCACCTATTTTGGCACTTAGCTGTTAGGTGCATACACAATAAAGATTGTTATGTCTTCTTGGGAATTTGCCCCTTTATCATGAAATAATGCTTCTCTTTATCCATGATAATTTTCCTTGTTCTGAAACTGCTTTGCCTGAGATTAATATAGCTACTCCAGCTTTCATTTTATTAATGTTAATATAACATATTTTTCTTCATCCCTTTACTTGTAACCTGTTTTATTCATGATGTTATAGCAGATTTTTTGGAAACAATAAACAGTTGGGTCTTTTGTATCCCAACCTCTTTATTTTAATTGATATATTTAGACCATTCATATTTTAAATGATTATTGATATAGTTGGTGCAATATGCTAAATATCTGTGTCCCTCCCAAATTTATATGTTGAAATAATAATCCACAATGTGATGGGATTAGGAGGTGGGGTGTTTGTGAGATGATAAGATCATGAGGGTGGAGCCCTTATGAATGGAATTAGTGTGCTTATAAAAGGGATCCCAGAGAGCTCTCTCACCCTCTTTCCACCATGTGGGGGTACAGGAAGACAACAATCTGCAACCCAGAAGAGGGCTCTCACCAGAACCCGACCATGCTAGCACCCTGATCTCAGACTTCCAGTGTCTCTGGAATAAGTATATGTACATATGTATCCCTTATAAGAGAACCTTGAGAAACAAATTTCTGTTGTTTATAGGCCACCCAGTCTATGGTACTTTGCTATAGTAGTCTGAACTGACTAAGACAGTGATATTGGCAGTAACTCTCTAGGTTCACTTGTCTCTCTGTGTGGCAGGTGGGCTTGCGGCCTTAATTCTCTGATTGGTTCGAGACAATTCATTAATTTTCAGTTTGCTGGGCTTTTTTATCATTGTAAGGATGGGAGTAATGACTTAGAGAATCTTTATATGTTGAGCTAAAACCAGAAATCTGGTTTATTGCTTTTTGTTCTGGCATTCCATCAAATAAAAACCTCACCACTAAGCCAGATGGAAAACTAGTCTCTGTCTGTGAAAGTCATTAACATCACACACACCAAAGCCTCTAAAGGCTCCATAAACCAAACATTTTAAGAAACCAGTGGTATAGACTAAAGAATAAACCCATTCTTGAAAGTATTATCTGCATATGATGAGCCAAAGTGGTTTCTGCCTCAAGATAAGTTTTAATCCTTGGACTGAACTGAAGTTCACAAAATGAATTCATCCAATGGCTTAGGGCTTGGATCTAGAATTTTCTATCAGTGGCCTTGTTCAAGTTTACTTATTCTCTCTATGCCTAAATTTCTAACTATAAAATGGGGAAACTAATAATTATTTTGTATAGTTTTATGAATATTAAATAATATATTTAAGAGTGCAAAGTACTCAAGAATTTGTCTCCCACTCTTTAATTCTTAAGTATTACAAAAATTAATATAGTAGATATGTAACTCCACATTTTATATAAATGTTTGAAAATAATAGGAATGGCCAGGTGCAGCAGCTCATGCCTGTAATCCCAGCACTTTGGGAAGCCAAGGCGGGAGGATCGCTTGAGCCCAGGAGTTCAAGACCAGCCTTGGTAGCAAAGTGAGACCCCAGTCTCTACAAAAAAATTAAAAAATTATCCGGGCTTGGTGGCACAAGCTTATAGTCCCAGCTACTCAGGAGGCTGAGGTGGGAGAATCACTTAAACCCAGGAGGTTGAGGCTGCGGTTGTTCATGCCACTGCATTCCAGCCTGTGCAATAGAGTGAGACATTGTATCAAACAAAGAAAAGAAAATAATAGGAATGCAGCCAATGTCAGCCAATAATGCCCAAGATGCTTTATGAAATCTGGAATCCCTTACAAGAAAAACCATAACCAAGAAAATAACAAAAAAAGAGGCTCTCCTGTAATACAAGCCATATCTGTTATGGACTCAACGTTTGTGTCCCTTCAAAATTCATATGTTAAAGCCCTAACCTCCAATGTCATGGTATTTAGAGGTGGGACCTTTGGGAGATAATTATGTTCAAATGATGTTATGAGGCTGAGGGCCCCATGATGGGATTAGTGCCCTTATAAGAGCAGGAAAAGAGACCAGACCTCTTTCTGTCTCAGTGAGGACACTGAGAAGATGGCTGTCTGCAATCCAGAGAGTACTTATCAGGGGACCAAATCAACTGTCATTTTGATCATGTACTTCGGAGTCCCCAGAACTGTGAGAAATAAATTCTTGTTGTTTAAGCCACCCAGTTCGTGGTGTTTTGTTATGGCAGCTTTAGTTGACTAGGATAATCAAACCACTCCTTGTCTGAAAACCTTTTAAAGACAGACAACCTGATGGAAAAATAGGCAAAACACTTGAAGAGGAAGTTTGAAAAGAAAGGATATCCAAATGGCCAGTGTGTGAATATATGAATACAAGGGGACTTTTAAAAGTTTGTGAAAATGGAATTAAAAGATAAAAATAAAAATAAAATAAAAATACATACATTTTATTTCTCAACATAACTTCCATCAAGTTCAAGACACTTTTGTAAATGATAATACCAGTCCCTTATTCTATCCATAAAGAACTGAGGGTCCTGGGAATTTAATCACGTCAATAGTCTTTTGTAGATTATTAACTGAAGAAAAGTGGGTGCCCTTTAAAGATATTTTAAGATTAGATAACAATAAGAAGTCAGAAGGAGCCAAATCAGTATTGTAAGGTGTATTAGGCATACACCTTACAATACTGATTTCCCATCAAAACTCTCATAAAAATTGCCCTTGTTTGATGAGAGGACTGAGCAGCATTGCCATGGTGCAAAAGGAGTCTTTGGTGAAACTTTCCTGGGCATTTTTCTGCTACAGCTTTGGCCAGCTGTCTCAAAACATCCTCATAAGTAGATATCATAATTCTTTGGCCCTCCAGAAAGTCAACAAGCATAATACTTTGAGCATCCCCCAAACTATTGTCATGACCTTTGCTTTTGACTGGTCTGCTTTTGCTTTAATAGGACCACTTCCACCTCTTAGTTGCCACTGCTTTGATTGTGCTTTGTCTTCAGGATCATACTGGTAAAGCCATGTTTCATTTCCTGTTACAGTTGTTCAAAGAAATGCTTCAGGATCTTGATCCCACTTGTTTAAAATTTCCATTGAGGCTGGGTGTGGTGGCTCATGCCTGTAATCCCAGCACCTTGGGAGGCCAAGGTAGGAGGATTGCTTGAAGCCAGGAGTTTGGGACCAGCCTGGGGAAGCTCTACAAAAAAAAAAAAAAAAAAAAAAAAAAAAGACACAAAAAAAATTAGTTGAGCACAGCAGCATGTACCTGTAGTCCCAGCTACTCAGGAGGCTGAGGTGCAAGGATCACCTGAGCCCAGGAGGCTGAGACTGTGGTAAGCTGTAATCTCACCACTGCACTCCAACCAGAGTGACAGAGTGAGACCCTGTCTCAAAAAAAAAAACAAAAACCCATTGAAACTCTGCTCTTATTTACAGCTAATATGGGCACAACAGTTTTGGCACCTGTCAAGTGGAAAATTTCCTCAACTTTAATTTTTTAGTCAGAATTGTGTAAGCTGGACCAATGGAGATATCTATGGTATTGGCTTTCATTTGTGCTATTAATCCTCGGTCCCTCAATCCTCTTCAATTAGGGCACGAACAAGATAAATTTTTTACTAGCAAATTGATGTGGATGAGCTGCCACTGCAGACTTCATCTTCAACATCATCTCGTTCCTTATTAAAATGAGTTATCCATGGTAAACTGCTGATTTTTTTGCAGCATTGCCCCCATAAACTTTTTGTAAAGCATCAATGATTTCATCACTCTTCCAATCAAACTTCATCACAAATTTGATGTTGGTTCTTGCTTCAGTTTTAGCAGAATTCATGTTGCTCTGATAGGGGTTCTTTTCAAAGTAATGTCTTATCTTTCTTAGTGCCTCAAACTAGATCCTGTTCAGACATGTTTTAACAAGTTAGTATGAGATTATTTTGGTGCAAAAATCTTTTGAAATTCATGCATAGTTTTTTCATAATACACATTTTCCATGAACTTTTTGAAAACCATTCATATGTGCTCAATGTCATCAAGCAAGTGCAAATTCAAACTTCCAATAGGTAATATCAAGAATTGGCAAGGATGTAGAGCAATTGAAACTCTCATATGCTGCCAGCAGGGGTATAATTTGTGAGAATTTCTTTGGAAAACTCTTTTGCAGTATTTATTAAAGTTTAATATATGCATGCTAATGACCCAGAAAGTCCACTGCTAGGCATAGAGCCAACAGGAATTTGTATACATGTTCACCAAAACATGTATAAGAATGTTCATAACAGCACTATTCATTATAGCCCAAACCTGGAAACTATAGAATTCCCATCAATGGTAAAATGGATAAACAAATTCTATTAAATTTACACAATAAATATTATACAGCAACAGGAATGAATGAATTATACACAACTATATGCAACAATAAGGATGACTCTCATATCCATAATATTAAGTTAAATAAGTCACACAAAAGAATACAATATATTATTTCATTGGTATAAATTTCAAAAGCAGGCGAAAAATAGGTGTTAGGAGTTAGGTTTGCAGTTACTATTGGGGAAATGAAGTATTGAAAGGACAGGGCACAAGGTGCGGGGCTGCTTTTGAAATGCTGGTAATGCTCTAGTTCTTGGATCTGGATACTGGTTATATAAATGTTCTCATGTTGTCAAAATTCATTGATCTGCATACTTATAATTTGTGCCCTTTTCTCTACATATGCTATACTTCAATAAAAACATTCAAAAAATTTTAGTAAATTACTAGGTTCTCAGAATGCTGCCCACACATCTCAATTTAGCATTTGGGGGAATCTATGTGTGATCCCTGCCATGTCTCCAGCACATCATCCTTCAACACTCACCCCATGTCAGTCATTTCTTGCTCCAGCTGTATTTCACTTCTTGAATGTTCCAAATTTATAAATGCTGTTCCTTGCCTTTGACTCTTCTTTTTTGTAAAGCAAACCAGGATTATACTGGGGCTGTTGGGGTGAAAATGGGGAGAGAGTAGAAATAAACCAGTCTTACAGAAAAACAACCACAACCCATCTTCGAGGTCCTAGCTTAAGTATCACCTAATCTTCAAAACCTTCCTTCAATCTTTACATGGAGATGAACCCATCTTTTCCGGGCCACCAGAATTTTGAATATGTCTCTACTGCAGCTCTTATATTGCTATATTTTAAAAGCTTCCTTACCTGTATTTTCCTTGTAACTGTGAACTTAAGGTGACAATAATGCCTTATTCATTTCTGTATTTCATGTTTAGAGAGTACCTGTTTCATGCTAAGCACAATGCTATATTTGATGAAAGAATAGATACTTAAGTGTATGAATGAATTATCAAGTCATGGAATATTAGCTCTGAAAAGCACCTTGGCAATCCAATTCATTGATTTCGCTGTTCCCAGAAAACATGGAATTGTCCATAGTCACATAGCTAGTTATTAGGAGATAGGACTGGAACCTAGTCTATTCTCTGGTACTGTTTATTTCCGTAAATTTTTTAGAATTTTATTTTAAAGTAATATTTGACTTACAAAGAAGTTGTAAAAATAGCCCAGAGAGCTCCCATACACCCTTCACTCAGCTCTCCCTAATGTTAACATCTTATATAACCATAGTACAATGATTAAAACTAGGAAATTAACAGTGACACAACTCTATTAACTTATAGATTTTATTTGAATTTTACCAACTTTTCCACTAAAGTCCTTTTCCTGTTCCAGGATCCAATCCAGAATCCCATATTGGATTAACCTTTCAAGATTCTTTCATTTCCTCCAATCTGAGAGAGTTCCTGTCTTTCTTTGTTATTTATGACGACATTTTTGAAGAATACTGGAAAGTAGAAAAGTCACTACTGAAGAGTACATTTTGTAGAATGTCCCTCAACATGGGTTTGTGTGATATTTCTCATGATTTTATTGAGGTTATGCATTTGGCAGTATGGAGTACCATAGAGTTGTTGTTCTCTTTTTTGTGTATCTTATCAGGGCACACATGAGGTCAATATATCTTATAACTAGTGATGGTCACCTTGATCACTTGGTTGTGTGTCTGTAGCATTTTTCCTCCGTGAGGCTACTATTTTTCTCTCTGTAATTAATAAATATCTTAGAGGAGCTATTTCAAGACTGTGCATGCCCAAATGTGGTAGTTGTTGCCTCCAGAATCTAAAAAGGCTGATTTCCAATGTATTTTCCAGAGACTCTATATTAACATCTATAATAGACAGCTCACTGCTAAGCAATAATCTCTTTGTCTAGTCCACATATCTGGGAGCGCCTTTAGAGCAGGTTGTGTCTTTCTCTGTCTATTGCTGTGGCTTACTTAGCATGGTCCTTAGTTTATTGAAGCTACTTTCTAGCTGTATGACCATGTGCCTCACCAACAACTACATTTGGGCATGCTGTTTAGCCCCATTTGCCAACATACCCACAAGGCTGCCAGTTTCAAGTGTGTTTTCTAGAGCAAGAAAGGGCTTTGCAGCATATGCAGGTTGATATATTAGCTTCACTGTTACTGGGGCCTTGTGAGCCAGCAAACTTAAGGGAATTTGAAAATGTCTGTGGCAAATAGGGATTGTATATGGAATCACTAAAAATCTCCCCTAGGATTACTGTGAGAGTTAAAGGAGTTAATGCATTTGAAGTGCTTAGAAAATGGACTGGCACAAAGCACCAAATCAATACATATTAGCTTTTATTTATTATTATTGAAGGTGCTCTTTACAATCTTGTTGAATGAATGGATGAATCAATGACTAAGAGCAAGACAAAAACTAGAAAGCAAAGAAAAAGGGCCTCATTCTTGGGTGATGTCTAGTAACTACACCAACTAAGTTTTATAGTGCTGCATGGACTTGAAAATATTGGTTCTCAATTATACAAATAGTTCAGTCGTGTACCAGTGATTCCTAACTAGCAACAATATATGATGCATTATCAGTAATATACATTTATACATGGTGATGATTAGGTTGCTATTGTTTTAAAATTTCAGAAAAAAACTATACTTAGTAATGCTTTCTCATTACTGAAGGGTTCTACTTACTCTGTAGAAAGAACTCTCTCTAACCCACTGTTCCAGAGAATTGCTGGACAGCAGACAACAGCAGAAGCTAATCAGAGTGTCAAGACCAGGAAGACTTTTGGAGCAGTGGTCTCTAAAGTGGGATGCTTATACTCAAGGGTGATACACTTGGAGAGAATACACTTGGAGGAGGGAAGTGTATTAGTCCATTTTCATGATGTTGTGAAGAAATACTCAAGACTGGGTAATTTATAAAGGAAAGAGGCTTAATTGACTCACAGTTCCACAGGGCTGGGGAGGCCTCAGGAAACTTATAATCATGGGGGAAAGGGAAGCAAACATGTCCTTCTTCACATGGCTGCAGGAAAGAGAAGGGCCAAGCAAATGGGGGACCCCTTATAAAGCCCTCAGATCTCATCAGAACTCACTCACTATCACAAGAACAGCATGAGGGTAATTGCCCCTACAATTCAATTACCTCCCACTGGGTCCCTCCCACGACATGTAGGGATTATGGGAACTACAATTCATGATGAGAATCGGATGGGGACAGAGCCAAACCATATCAGGAAGAAATATTAGAATTTCAAGTTATATTGATGTATGAATTAAAAAGCAGAAAGCTCTACCATTATTTACTATAAGGCATCCTTATTTGATCCACAAATCTAGAGTCATGGGTCGCTCATGGTTCAGTGCCTCTCTCATCAGACTGCATAATGTAGCATGTTACAATAGATTGCTGTTTACATCTACACAGTTAAGAAAATTAATGGCTCATATAATCTGGTTTTAGCTAAACAAACCGTCATAAAGTGGTTAAGGGTCTAGAAATTATTTCTGCCAGATGGATGGATGGATGGATGGGTGGATGAATGGATAGACAGATAAACAGGCAGAGACAGACAGATAGATTCATCAAACACGATTTTAAGGTAACACTAATAATGTAAGCTCAAGCAAACAAAAATAAAAAGGCAGGGCCAAAACTTCTACTCCTAGTACAAACTCTTCTTTGGACAGTAAATGAGATTTTAAAAAAACAAACAATGAGGATTTACTCAGACTTGCCCAGAAGCTAACGAACTTGTAAGATTAACAATGAGATTATTTGAAATATGAATTCACATATACAATTATTAACAATAAACATCTCCCAAAGTGTCTATTTTATATTATAGCCCTTGTGAAGGATGATTTCAACCATGGCAATAACGAAAACCAAAGACATAATTGAACTAAACCTTGAGCTCAGTTCTGAATCACTGTATTATAATATTATCCTGAAATTTCAGAATTATTCAAATTTGTAATGAAATTCCTTAACTCTAGGAGTGTCTAGAGAGACTCATTATGCATAAATGCATTCAATTTAGCAAATTTAGAAACAGTTTAAATATTAAAAAATAGAGAAATGGACAGTAAATTATAGCATTACCATATAACAGAATATTATGCAGATATTTAAAATCACAGTTCTTAATACCTATGTATCTATGTTGAAATACACTTACCACATTTGTAAACAAGCAAATTTAGCAGTATAAAAATGTTAATATTATAGCTATAAAATTTCTTACAGACAAATAATATTAAAAACAAAAAACAGTTTATTTGGAAATTAAAGGATTATGGATCATTTTATTTATTATTGTTGTCATTGTTATGGTTACACTGTGCATGGTTTAAGACAGAAAAACAAGTAAAAATCATGAAATTAAAAGGAAATTGAACTGTATCATGAACCTAATCTGTCAGCTTTATAAAATGTGCTGCAGCTGAAAATAGAGTATATTCAACAATCAGAGAGTTATATAAATGCACAGGTTTATCCTTCAGTTACTAATTCCCCAAGGGTAGCATCTCCCTTACAGAGTGTTTTTCACAGATCCTCTTTTTGTTTCCAAGTGGAAGTGAACCATTTCTTCCATTACTCTGAAATCCTTAATTTTCCCAACAGGAAATTTCCTGGGGCTATTCTTTTTTTAATTTTTCTCCTTTCCTTCAGTTGTCCCTGTTCAGTCTCTTAGTCTCCTTTGCAGCCATTCTTCCTTTGTCCATTCCATAAAATCACTGCTCCCTGGGGTCCTGTTCTTGACAGTCTTCTCTTTTCACTCTATACCCATCCTAGGCAAACCCATTAATTTCTGTGGATTCATTCACCATGTGGTTGTATGCTAATGACTTTTAAATCTGTTCCTCCAGACCTCTCTCTATATATTTCATCTGGTTGCCTTACAGGTTACTCCAGTGTAATAGGTCTAAAGCTGCATTCATTTATCACTGTGCCTATCTCTTCCACCCTTCTCCCTCCATCCTCTGCATTGCTTATTTGTGTGAAAGGTGACATTACCCCTGCCCCCAGCCATCACAGATTACCAGTTTTACTTAAGTTTCCAAATCTAATCAGTCACTAAGACAAGACAAATGTACCTCCATGATATATCCTGAATCTATATTCCTGTCTATGTACTCCCCACCATTACCTATGTTACTATAGTAATATAAGTATGCGTAACTTCTGTTATAGTAAGCCATATCTTAACTAGTGCCTCTACCTTCATACCTTTCCCACTCCAAACCAGTTTCCAAACTTTAGCCAGAGTAATCTTTGCAAATGCAAATCCTTACATATCATATTCAACCACACAATGCTCAAATGACTCCCTACAACCTACAGAATAGAGTTTAAACAGCGCAGCCTAAGAAGAATGTCAGCCCTACTTCAATTTTTAATCAGCCTCCTCTCATACCATCCCTTGTTGTACTGCAGGCTCCAGCCATTTTGAAATATGAGAAACCCAAACATTTTCCTATGGCTGGGCAGCACAAGTCCTCTGCCCGGGTGCCCTTCCATACAGCCATTTACTCGGGAAATCCTTACCTACTACAGGGCCACCCCACCTCATCCTCAAAGCCACTCCTTATTTCTCAGTTTGGGTTGGCTGCCTCTCCTCTGTGGTCCCACAGTATCTTACTTTTATCCTTATGTTTATCACAACAAACACATCCATTTATTTGTCTGGACTTTTCCCACTAGATGGCAAGTACCTGGAGAGTAGGGAGTGTGTCATTTCTTGTTGCCAGTGCATCCCAGAACTTAGCTCAGAGACTTAGAGACAGACAAACAAGAGACTAGTGGTTATGGAAGTGGGGAGTCTCTCCTTTCCCTGAGGGCTTCTGAGAGATGAGTAACTTTTCTGCACTCTGCACTTTTCCCTATGAAAGCAACAAGGAGGACTAGCTACATGCAAATTTGAGAGGTAACTCTTCTGTCCCCACATATCTCCCCTCACACTTTCCTGTCCTAAGCACCCAGGTCTTGCATGTTCTCTGATTCCTCCAGCCCATGGTGATCTGCTCTAGTCTGGCTATCACATTAAAAAACATCTGAGGCCAGGCGTGGTGGCTCACGCCTGTAATCCCAGCACTTTGGGAGTCCGAGGTGGGTGGATCACGAGGTCAGGAGATCGAGACCATCCTGGCTAACATGGTAAAACCCTGTCTCTACTAAAAAAAAATACAAAAAAAAATTAGCCGGGTGTGGTGGCAGGCGCCTGTAGTCCCAGGTACTCGGGAGGCTGAGGCAGGAGAATGGTGTGAACCAGGGAGGCGGAGCTTGCAGTGAGCTGAGATCGCACCACTGCACTCCAGCCTGGGCGACAGAGCGAGACTCCGTCTCAAAAAAAAAAAAAAACAAAAAACAAAAAACAAACAAACAAAAAAAAAATCTGGGAGCATCTATGATATACTGATACAAGATTGATTTCCAGGAGAAGTTGTGTTTTGATTGGTAACAATGTTTGATTTAGAAGAATGAATCCTAAGTAGTAGTAGTATTTCAAAATTTTTGACAATTATGTGTTGAGAAGGGCATGGTTGAAAACACTGCTCTAAATTCTTGTGACATTTTCAATCAAGAGGTTGAGTCCTTTCCCTTGAATCTGGGTGGACATGTGAACACTTACAGAGTGATGCAATGTTTCTTCTAAGCCTGAGTCATAAAAGGTCATGCAACTTACAACAGGTTCTTTAAACACTCAGTCTCTAGACATCCCTCTTAGGATGTTTCCTCTTGGATCCAACTGCCATGGTGTAAGAAGCTCAAGCCCATGGAGAGGCCATGTGTAGTGTTCCAGTTGATAGCTTCAGATGAGCTAGGCTTTGAGTCATCCCAGCCCAGATGTCAGGTATGTGAGTGAAGAAGCTTCCAAATTATTCCATCCCTAGCCATTCAGTTCATCCCTAGTCATTCAAATATTTCCATTGGGGGCTCTGTGTATGGTGTGGCACAGACAAACCATCCCTACTCCGTCCCATATGAACCCCTGACCCACAGATTCTGTGAGCATAACAAATTTTGTTGCTTAACATCACTTAGTTTGGGGTGGTTTGTCACATAGCAACAGTGGAGATGGGGAATTACAGGGCAGGAGGCAGATCTCTATGCCTCTCATATCGTACCACAAACATCAAATCTGATCCCATAGAACAGTGGATTTCTAAGATCCCACAGAGTACCAAGGGAAGAAATGCATTTCAAGAGCTATGGAGGTAAATTTTAGCTAACACTGAGAAATTGGCTCTTTAGCAAGCTAGGGGATGGGGGTGGGGGCAAAGGCTTATGTGTAGGTTTTCCCAATATTCATGGTGCAAATACTCTGCCCTAATCAATTTCAGGCTATGAACATTTGCAAAATTCCAGAAAATTTACAAATCAGCACTCATGAGCCAAAATAGATAGGCTGCAACACAACACTGGGACCATGACACTCTGGTGACTCAGTTGCCTCTTTCATACTCCTCAGCTTACCCTTAACCATTCCATGATATCTGAAAAGAACCATATCGGATACCTGGGATACCTGGAAATCTGTGGTTCTTCATAATAGTAGGAAACCAGAAATTAAAAGGAATAAGATATAATGGGTTGGCCTTGGGTTCATTTTTCTGCCAACTATGTCACCATCTTAATTTAACAAACTATACTCCATGAACTTCTGGAACTTCATCCAGAAAATATTTAATAAAAAGTAAGTCAGACATGGCGGTGGGCACCTCTAGTCCCCAACTACTCAGGAGGCTGAGGCAGGAGACCTCATCTCTAAAACAAACAAATAAAAACAAGCAAACAAACACTTAAAAAAAAGAGTACTGTCCTGGCAAGGGCCCTTTATTGTAGCCATCAATCAGGTTCTAGCTGTTTTAAATAGAAAAAAAGATATAGATGTTTAAGGAGTTTTCAGAATCTCCAGAAAGACCAGGGAACCAGGTTTGAATGCTACAAAATGAGAAACAACAATAGCCAGGAGACACACCTAATCAAATTACAGGATTCCCTTAGCAGAAACTTCATTAGTATCTTGCCTGCCACAAATTTGTATGATACCAGAGCTGAATCAGGAGAATCAAATGCCTCCACTTCAGATAAAACTGAGCTCAAATCCTGGAAACTAGACTTACCAGCACTGTCTTTAAATAATTTATATAATGTATTGAGTATCTTTTGCATATCTTAAATGGGGACAATCTTTTATCAGACATATCTTTTGGACTTCCTCAAATTTTCTTCTCTTCACTTGTCTCTTGATCTCATCTACTGGCTTCACTTCAGCTGCCTTTGTAGCCAACTGTGGCAGCCATGGAGGTACACTGCTCTGATCTCCCTTTGAGAAAGAACTTGCTGATGGGCCTCAAGGAACGCAGTTAGGTGACATTGTCCAAGTGTTAGCACTCCAGCTTTCGAGCTGAGACCATGCTCTTCCTTGGAGGCCCTTAGCCAATGTCTGAGCATGGTAGGCAAGGCCCTGGCTATTTTGAGGATTGGCTGAGACTTTGTCAGATCTGCACCAGTTCATGGCTCTCCCTCCCCCTTATCTTATTCCTCCCACTTGCCTTTCGCAGGTGTCAGTTCTACATTATGGTCTGAAAGCTTTCTCTGCCTGATCCTTCTTTTCGCTTCATTCATTAGGAATTGCACCTCCAATAAACCTCATGCACTCCTAATTCCATTTCAACATCTGCTTCCTGAAAGACTCAGTTGATATACTGACCAACTTTATGAAGCTGATAAATCACATTTTTGTAGTTTGGCTCCTTCAGCCACTTCCATACTCCAGTGAAGTGCCACACCAGAAGGAGCAGAATCTGGCATCCAGAGCACCTACTACAAGGGCTTGATGAAACAACCTGGAGGAATGAAGGAGTTAAATCCTGCTGACCCTCAGGGCAAATGTTAACCAATGGGAGACAGAAGACTAAGTCAGGCAAATATATTTCCTCTCCTTTTCTCCCTCTGAAGCAATCTTCTAAAACATGGTTTCTCCATACAGCTTGTGAAAAGATACCCCCCATATATGACTGGGTGGACATGCTGAGCAGTCAGTCAGCTGTGTCTCTTCAAGGCTTGTGATGAAACAGTGGCCAGTGAAATAATAACTCTCTTTGCTTGTTTCCTAGCCTTTCCTGTCTGTTGGACATTTCCCTCACTCTCACTGCCCTGAGAACACCTCTTCCAAATGAAGCATTAGCCCCTTAATCCTTGCTCAATGCTCTGTTTTCTAGGGAACCCAGCTAATAAAAATACTCTCTGTATTACAGAGTTGTTAAGAAGGTTAAATTAGATAACATTCCTAGTATAGGCCTGGAATGCAAGAGGCACTCAATAATATCTAGCTTAATATTTGTTTGGCTGTCCTCCAGGCAGGAGGATAGGAGCTAGAATGAGAGAGTGAGGGCTTTGGAGTCCACATAGAATGCACAAGTAGTGATTCCAGCTTCTCTCCGCCCTGTCTGTTCTGAAACACCGTGAGTTGCATCACTGCATGGCAAACTAAAGTCCAGGGCTTTAAACCCCCGTGAAAACAAGACTTCTCCATATGGGGACCCTGTGACGGCACACACACAGTCATCTGCAGTATTAGAGGGTGGGGGAATTTTCTTTCTGAGCCAGAAAATTAGCTTCTTTATTGATTACCTTGTGCAGTTGGAGTAGAATACTTCTATATGTGGAAATGCTCTATGAATCCCTATATTGTATCTATAAACCATACACAGTTTGTGGGATGCCACATGTGCATTTAGGAGAAATGATCCAAAGTTAGCATTTATTCTAGTTCAAGCACTAGGAAACCAAAGATCAACGTGCTTTTTAGAACAGAAGGCTTGACTACTAAGGGTATATGCTATCTGCATCTGTTTCTAATTGGCATGTGTGATTCAGGTGCATGAGAGTAGATAGCTGAGGAAAGACTAGAGCAGTTCGTCTCTCCCAGACACTATATAGATTTGCCTCCCCTGGGGTTAATTTCTGTCTTGTCTCAGGACTATGGAGCACTCAGTGAGAGGTGACTGCAGAAATAATAGGTGAAAGCAGCAAGTGAACAGGCTACTACATTATCTCTGTGCATTTGTGAAGCACTCATTGTAGAAAGATAAGTTGGGGCCACTTTTTATTAGTTTGTTCCCCCCAGCAATTTAGGTAGAAAGCAACTGTTAGAAAAAGAATCAAATAGTTCCCACTGTCGTGCCTGTTCAAAAGACAGAAAGGTTAGCTCTATGTTTCTCAAAATGAAATCTATGGACCCCCTGTATTAGAATCCCTGGGGTGGTCCAGATGATCCCTTTCAAACAAGCACCCTGGGTGATTCTGATGAGTACTAAATTTAAAAGCCTTTGATTTAATTGAACTAAATGATTATCCAGTCCAACTTTTTACATGCAGTTCTCAGGAGGAGAAAAAGCACTAAATGAGAAAGCTTCCTGATGGACAAAGCTCTCTCTCTCCTCCTGGGGAGGTGAAATGTAACAGAGGTCCCTGCTGTGACTCCCTCCAGAACAACTTGTAACTGGCCTTTTCTTAAGTGCAGACAGGCTGGGCTCCAGATTGCAGGCATTTTAGTGCCTTACCAACGGGAAACTGAGTTGAAATATACTTAGTTTATCAAGAGAAGGCAATATTGATGTAGTTTGCAATCTGACCAAGTTAATTGTTGATGCGCCTAGTATAGCAATGGTTTCCAGGCATACTCTACTGCCTACTATACCAACTTACCATGGGTAATAAAATAAAGGAGTAGTAAATAAACGTACTAATAGTTGTATGTCATCTTATTACATGTGTAGATTCATACAACACAATCACAATGAAGATAGAGAACTGCTTCATTACCATAAAGACTTTCCTAGTACCACATTCACACCCAGCCCCCTTTCCTCCACTGTCTCTAAATCCTGGCAACTATTAGTTCTCTATCTCTATAATTTTGTCATTTTTAGAATGTTCTTTAAATGGAATCATACAGTATGTGATCTTTTGAGATAACTTTTTTTCACTCAGCATAATGCCCCTGGGAGCCATCTAAGTTATTGCATTATCAATATTTCATTTCTTCTTATTCCTGAGTACTATTCCATAGTATGATATAATATAGTATGTTTAACCATTCACCCATTTTTATTGTTTCCAGTTTTTGGTAATAACAAATAAAAGTGCTATGAACATTCATGTACAGGTTTTTGTGTGGACATAAATTTTCATTTATCTGAAATAAATGTTTGTTGGCCACATGAATATCTTATCTTTGAGAAGTGCCTATATGTGTCCTTTGCCCGCTTTTTAATGAGGTCGTTTGTTTTTTTCTTGTAATATCCAGGATCTACAAGGAACTTAAACAAAATTACAAGATGGATAGATTGTAAAAATTTTCTCCCACTCTCTAGGTTGCCTGTTCATTCTGATGATAGTTTCTTTTGCTGTACAGAAGCTCTTTAATTAGGCCCCATTTGTCAATTTTTGCTTTTGTTGCATTTGCTTTTGGTGATTTCATCATGAAATCTTTGCCCATGCCTATGTCCTGAATGAAACTGCCTAGATTTTCTTCTAGGGTTTTTATAGTTTTGGGTTTTACATTTAAGTCTTTAATCCATCTTGAGTTAATTTTTGTTTAAGGTGTAAGGAAGGGGTCCAGTTTCAATTTTCTGCATATGGCTGGCCCACTCTCCCAGCAATATTTATTAAATAAGAAATCCTTTCCCCTGTTGCTTGTTTTTGTGAGGTTTGTTGAAGATCAGTTGGTTGTAGATGTGCAGTCTTATTTCTGAGTTTTCTATTCTGTTCCATTTGTCTATGCGACTGTTTTTGTACCAGTACCATGCAGTTTTGGTTACTTAGCCTTGTGATATAGTTTAAAGTCAGATAGTGTGATGACTCCAATGCTAAGCAAAAAGAACAAAGCTGGAGGCATCATGCTACCCAACTTCTAAAAGATCATCTTTCCTCCATTGAATTGCCTTTGTACCCTTGTCAAAAATCAGTTGGCCATACTTGTATAGAGCAGTTCTGGGCTCTCTATTCTGTTCCAATGATCTATGTATCTATTCCTCCACCTGTACAACACTAATACCAATTGTTCTTTGTATCTATCTCTACACCAATATCATACTAATATATAGCTAGAGTGTTCACACATAAATACTCTAGCTATAAATCCGGCCTAAATGTTAGGTAGAGCACTTTCTCATAGTTCTTCAAGATGATGTTGGCTATACTTGAGCCTGTGGCTCTCCATATAAGTCTTGGAACAAGCTTAAATATGTCTACAAAAACTTGCTGGGCTTTTGATAGGAATTGCATTAAAACCTATAGATCAATTTGAGGAAAAGTACCATCTCTGCTATGTTGAATCTTCCAAACTATGACCATGTTATACCTTTCCGTTTAAGCCATCTTTGATTTCTGTCATCAGCCTTTTGTAATTTTCAGTATATAGATGATTGACATATTTTGTTAAGTTTATACCTGAGTATTTCACTTTGTTTAGATTGATTATAGATGGTATTGTGTTTATAATTTTGGTTTTCACATGTTCACTTTTAGATGTACAAATATAATTAATTGTTACATGTTGATCTTGTATCCTGAAAAATTGTTAAATATATTTTCTAGTTCTAGGAGTACTTTTGTAGATTTTTGGCATTTTCTATGTAAACGATCATGTGATCTGCAAATAGGGATAGTTTTATTTCCTCCTTTACAATCTGTATGCCTTTTATTTTATTGTCTCTCCTATTGCTCCTGCCAGAACTTCCAGTACTACACTGAATAACAGCAGTGTGACTGGACATCTTTGCCTTGTTTCTCATCTTAGAAGAAATAATTTAGTCCTTTATTCTTTTTCTTATTAGTTCACTTTTTAAGAAAAACTTTTTTTGTTTGTTTGTTTTTTTGTTTTGTTTTTTCCCTGAGACAGAGTCTCGCTCTGTTGCCCAGGCTGGAGTGCAGTGGTGCGATCTCAGCTCACTGCAACCTCCACAACAAAGTTGAAAAGATAGTACAGAGAGGTACATCCTTCCTTCAGTTTTCTCCATTGGTGTTATCCTACTTAACTATAGTACAATATTAAAACTAGGAAATTGACATTGGTACAATGTGAATATATAGCTCTATGCCATTTTGTCATATGTGTAGATTGATATAACCACTTCAATTAAGATACAGAAGTAATCCATTGCTACAATGATCTCCCTCTTTCTACCCATATGTAATCACTCTTCCCCCTCCACTTCCTCCTCCCATGCTTAACCCCTGGAAACTTCTCCTCTTTTCTATATCTCTATAATTATGTTATTTCAAGAATGTTACATAAATGGTATCATATAATGTATAGTGCTTTGAGATTTAGCCTTTTACTCTTAAGTGTCATTTTAGTTGTGCATTTTTTTTGGTAGATTTTGTTGTCAAGCTCAGGAAGTCCCCCTCTATTCCTACTTTGTGAGAGTTCTTATCACGAGTGAGTGTTGGATTTTGTCAAATGCTTTATCTGCATCAATGAGTAGGATCATGTGATTTTTTTTAGCTTGTTAATATGGTGGATTACATTGATTTTCAAATATTGAGCCAGCCTTGCATTCCTGGAATGAGCCTTTCTTGGTTATGGTGTATAATTCTTTTTATGTATTGCTGAGATCAATAGATTTGACTAGAGTAAAGCAGTTATTACGTAAAAGTTGTCTGTCTTGCCAGGCTTCTTTTTTCTGTCCGTTTAGCTAGAGGGAAAAAAGGCTTTACTTAGGACTTCTTCTTTTCTATGCCAGTTGGTGTTTCTGGGTTGCTAGCTTCTCCAATACTCATTCTGGGGTCTACAAGGGAAAAAACAAAACCCAGGGAACTAATTGCCATGTTGTTCCTGAGACCCGAAAGTCTGTTTGGTCTTTGTCTTTCCATGTTTCAGAGTCTTCTTGTGTTTGTTTTATCCATAATGTCCAAGGTTTTTAGCTGTACTTAGCCATAGAAATAGGGAAAAGTACATCTATTCCATCTTCCTAGAAGGAGTATATAATACATTACTTTTAAAAATATTTTACTTTAAAATAGTTTTAGACTTAGAAAAATATGCAACAATAGTACAAATAGTTATCATGTACCTACACATAGTTTCCCATCCTATTAAAATTTTATATCATTATGGTACATTTACCACAATTAATTTACCAATATTGATACATTATTATTAACTAAAGTTGGCACATTATTCAGGTTTCCTCAATTTTTCCATTCCAAAATTTCCTCAAATTTTGCCCAATGTCCTTTTTTTGTTCCTATTCAATACACCATATCACATCTAGTCAAGATATTTCCTTAGACTCCTCTTACTGTGAAAGTTTCTCAGTCTTTGTTTTCAATGACCTTGACAGTTGTATGGAGGGCTAAACAGATATTTTGTAGAATGTACCCCAAGACATCTTAGTATTTTTCTGATTTTTTTATCATTATACTGGGATTGTAGGTTTTTCAGAAGAATGCTGCAAAGATAAAGTGCCAGTCTCATCATATCATATCAAGGGCACATGCTGTCAAAGTGAATTATCGCTGATGATGCTAATCTTGATCTTCTGGCTGAAGTAGTGTTTGTCATATTTTTCCACTGTAAAGTTACCCTGTTTCCCCTCTCATATGGTAATCTTTGGAAGGAAGTCACTATGCACATCCCACACCTAAAAGTAGGGAGTTATATCTACTTCACTAAGGGCAGAGTATTTACATACAGAGTATCTTCTGTGTGAGAGATTTATTTGTTCTTCCCCATTTCTTTGTATATTTAATCGTTTATATCATAATGGACCCAGGGATACTTGTTTTATGCTTTGGTCTATAATTTAACAGTATTTTATTTCCTTCATTGCTCAAACTGGTCCAGCTTTTGCCATTAAGAATTCTTTCAGTTGCTCCTGTATCACATTGATATACTCCCATCGTTGTGTGTGAGTGTGTTTGTTAACACTTCCTTATTTTCTGTCACTATAAGATGCTCCAGGCTCATCTTGTGTATTTCCTGCCCCAGTCCTAGAAACAGCCATTTTTCCAAGGAATACTGGTTCTTTTGGTTGGAGAATGGTATTAGAAACCAAGATCTTTGTTCTAAGTGTGCTTGTTGATATTGGGGTGTTGTTTTTCTAGATGCTCTCACTGACAGAATAAGGAAATGTATGTGTGTATACCAACCCATATGTATACAGACACATAAAACAATGGAACATAATAGAGAGCCCAGAAATAAGCCCATACATATATGGTCAATTAATTTTCAACAAGGGTGCCAAGAGTACACAAAGTAGAAAGGACAGTTTCTTCAACAAATAGTGTCGAAAAAACTGGATCTCCTCAGGCAGAATAATGAAATTGGATCTTTATCTTACACTATACACAAAATGAACTCAGAATGGACTAATGACTTAAACATAATACCTGAAACCACAAACTCCTAGAAGGAAACACAGGGGAAAAGCTCCTTGACATTAGTCTTGACAATAGTTTTTTGAATATGATTCCAAAAGCACAAGCAACAAAAGCAAAAATAGACACATGGAATTACATCAAATTAAAAAAACTTCAGCACAGCAGAGTAAACAATCAACAAAATAAAGAGAAAATCTATAGATCGAGAGTATATATTTACAAACCATACATCTGGAAAGAGGTTAATATCCAAAATATATAAGAAACGCAAAGAACTCAATAGTAAGAAAACAAATAATCTGATTTTGAAATGGGCAAAGAACTCTGTCTTAGTTCATTTTGTGCTGCTATAATAATACCACAGACTACTTTATAATGAACAGAACTTTGCTAGGAAGTCCAAGATTGAGGCCAGCATGTGGTGAGGCCCTTCTTGCTGTATCATCCCATGGTGGAGGAGCAGAGAGGGTAAGAGAGAGAGAGCAAGAGGGGGCCAAATTTATCCTTTTTAAGGAACCCACTCCTGCAATCCCTTCACTCTGCACTCCTGGCCTAATTACCTCTCATTAGGCTCCACTCCCAACACTGTTACATTGGGGATTAAGTTTTCAACACACGTTTTTTGGAGGACACATTCAAACCACAGCAGACCTGAATAGATATTTCACCGAAGAAGTCATACAAATGGCCAACGGGTATATGAAAAAATGCTCAATATCACTAATCATCAGGGAAATGCAAATCAAAACCATAATAAGATATCACTTCACACTTGTTAGGATGGCTATTAAAAAACAAAAGATAACAAGTGTTGGGAAAAATGTGGAGAAAAGGGAACCCTTATACCCTGTTAGAGGGAATGTAAATTAGTACAAACATCATGGAAAACAGTATGGAAGGCCCTCAAAAAATTAAAAATAGACCTACCATACAATCCAGCAATCCTACTTCTAAATATATAGCCAAAAGTATTGAAATCAGGATCTCATGGAGATATCTGCACTCCCATGTTCACTGCAGTATTATTTACAAAAGCCAAGATATGTAAACAACCTAAATGCCCACCAAGAGACAAATTGATGAAGTAATTATTGTATATACATACAATGGAATATTATTCCACCTTAAAAAAGAGAGAATCCTGACATTTGTGACAACATGGACAGTCCTGGAGAACATTATGCTAAATGAAATAAGCCAGACACAGGAAGAAAAATACTGCATGATCTCACTTATATGTGGACTCTTAAATAGTCAAACCCATAAAAGCAGAAAGTAGAATGGCAGTTGCCAGGCACTTAAGGAAGGGGGAAATGGGGAGGTGATGTTCAAAAGGTGCGAAGTTTCAGTTATGCAGAATGAGTAAGTTTAGAGATCTACACAGCGTAGTGCCTATCGCTAACAATACTGTATCGTGTGCTTAAAATTTGCTAAGAGGGTAGATCTTATGCTAAGTGTTCTTACCAAAAAAAGAAGAAAAAATATAATAATAAAGAGAGTAAGGAAACTTTGGGAGGTGATGGATATGCTTATGGCCTTGATGATGATGATAGTTTCACAGGTATATACTTATCCTCAAACTCATTGAGGTGTATACATTAAAAATGTGCAGCATTTTATATGTCAATCATACCTCAAGAAAGTGGGTTTTTTAAAAGAAAGAGAAGATAAAAACCTTGAAAATCCTGTACAAGTAAATTTCTTAAGTGCAAGCACTTTAGTGAGTTCAGGAATTGCTCTAATGTCCACTATTAGAAATTAACTGGGGTACTTGCAAAGGCAGGTAAAGAAGCTGCAAAGACATTTTCCTTTATGTTCATAGAAAATTATGAAGGAAGCTCCATCTTGGATGAAATTTTTAATTTTGATGAAACAGCTCTCTAGGACCCGTCTTAAAGGGGGAAACATAAAGCTCTGTGTTTTAGAGTGCAAACGTTTGGCTAATTGTGATGCTGGAGTGCGAATATCTGTGCAGATTTCCCCACACCAGTATTTTATTAGTCTCACATACGTGTTTGTTGGTGCTCTGATTAATACTTGACGCAAGTCTTGAGTGATATGCCTCAAACCTATTTTTAAGGCACAGATTTAAACATATAGTATAACAGAAGAAAAATTATATATTACAGTTTGGTGTTGACTTCTCTGATACCAAATCACTAAATTGTGAGTATTTCCTTTCCAGGCAAATATTTTATCTCATTCACATTTGTAACCTCAACCTATAGTACAGTGTCTGCTCAATGGTTAAATATACATTATAATATAATTTAGCACCTCCACCTGATTTCCTTTGGGTCTTACTGAGTTCTTAGCCCCTGGGCATGCCTTTTTCTTCTCCAACCACTCATCTTCACATCCTGGTGAAGTAAGGTGGCCTTCTGCCTTGACATCCTTGAGATCTACCCATCAGTAATTCAAAATTAAAAATTTCATACACACCTGCCAGTTAATAATTGATTTGGTTCAATATTTTCATGGCAGGCACTACTTCTGTATTCTGTTTGCTGTCAGGTTCAGTGATGGTTGTGAGAATGCCTAATTTGTGGTGTCTGCCCTCTTGAAATTGTTCTTATTCTGAGATGGAATTCCTTTCAGCCTGAACAACCAGCTATAGTAACTTGCACTTGAAGAACACTTAAGTTTCCAATGCATCTTCCCATATGTTATCTCTAAATGCCCCAAATGACACTGAGGATCAGACAGGGCAAATACTATCCCAGTCTTCAAAGAAGCTCCAGAAAACTTCAATTTCTTAGGAAGCTTAGGTTCTATTCCCACATCTGCCCTTATTTCTAAATTTTGACTCCTCTAATACAGTGACTGTATGGTGCACATAATGTAACTATGCCATGAATTGATCTCCTATTTAAAAAACCTCATTCACATATAGAAATAACAATTTTTATAAGCACAAGGTAAAACAAACTCATTTTTATGTAAGAGTTTATTTAGAAGGTAGTTGATGATTTTTAGACATTCTCCATGAACCATCTTGATTTTAGAAATTGTTAAAGTGAGAGTCAAACTTTATAAAGCAAACACATGACTTATTGCTCAAAGCTTACTATCTGCTAGATATGGTATCTATCCCAGAGTTAGAAATCTGACTGACACATCCTTTGCAAACTCTGACTGAGAACTGAGGATAGGTGATTCAGGGCTTGTAACCTGAGCATTTCAACCCACCTCTTAAGTAGAATATAAAATGAAGCCTGGAGAAAGCTGGGCTATTCAGTCGCCTAGTAATTCATCTTTATATATTGAGAACAAAATAGCATGAGTCAGTTTAACTATATATATGGACTAACGCAATGATGGGCAGAAGAGTGCAAACAGATTCTTGCTGAAGACAGAGGAAATTGTGAAAATATGAAAGTACCAATAATCAGGGATAGATAGATTGATGCTGAGGCCTGATCTTCATCAAACCAGATCTCTTTGGGTACGTATTTTGATGGAACTTCCCAAGGAAGACCTTTCATTTCGGTATAAAGAGCACCAACTACTAGATCCCTCTGATTGGGTCTCTCAGACACTATTGATTATAAGATATATTATGCATTTGATAACATATCTGAGAAAATAAAAAACATTTCCTTAAAGGCACACATTGCTTTTAAAATGCATAATGATTTACAAACTTTAAAAGGTAAAAAAGTGACCACTGATAATTGAAAAAAAACTCAGTTGAATTTGTTGAATAAACGGTTGAATGAATATTGGCTTTGATGGATAAAACTTCAAAGGGCTCTGATTCTTATCTCGTTTGTATTGGTTAAACACCAGGAAATGAATCTTTGAGCCACAGTTTCCTTCTAAAACCATGCATCTTTTGATGAAGATGTTCAGAGGAATATATGCAATTTCAGTCTTTGGGAAGCACAGATGCCAGGGAGCTCTGAGAGGCTCAGCAACAAGAACTCATGCTCAGTTCTTGCTTAGCATCAACTTCGTGACTCAGCTCTGGACACCTCCCATCCTTGTGTCATTGTTCTCAAGTTGCAGATCACAGGAGAGCCAAATTCATCCAGCTTAGCCCATGGGTGTACCCCTAGGGTGGGAGGAGTTGAGCCAGTAGAAACAAAAATCCCACCAGCCCCATCTCCAATGGCAGGGGTGGGGAGAGAAATTTCCAAAGAAAAAATAAAGCGATGCCGTACCAAAATGAAATGGGAATTCAGCCTTAGGGAAAATTAGAAAAACTTGCCCCTTTATGTGAGTATAGTAGAAAAGGACACCTTTTCTCCATTCCAGAGGCAGAAAATTCAATTCCCACCTATCCCTCCTTAGGGGCCATTTTTGTGCAGTGGACAAACTGTACATATGTAGACGGTGGCCATAAGGGGGAAGAGATGTCAGATGTTTGCTACTTATGGATGCTCAGTGAAGTAACTTTGATTAAGAAACCTAGTATTTCCCTACCATTTGACCCAGCAATCCCTTTACTGGGTATATACCCAAAGGATTATAAATCATTCTACTATAAAGACCCATGCATACATATGTTTATTGCTGCACTATTCACAATAGCAAAGACTTGGAACCAACCCAAATGTCCACCAATGATAGACTAGACGAAGAAAATGTGGCGGCCGGGTGCTGTGGCTCATGCCTGTAATCCCAGAACTTTGGGAGGCCGAGGTGGGCGGATCACAAGGTCAGGAGATTGACACCATCCTGGCTAACACGGTGAAACCCTGTCTCAACTAAAAATACAAAAAATTAGCTGGGCGTGGTGGCGGGCGCCTGTAGTCCTAGCTACTTGGGAGGCTGAGGCAGGAGAATGGCGTAAACCTGGGAGGCAGAGCTTGCAGTGAGCCGAGATCGTGCCACTGCACTCCAGCCTGGGAGACACAGCTAGACTCCATCTCAAAAAAAAAAAAAAAAGAAAAGAAAAGAAAAAGAAAACATGGCACATATAAACCATGGAAAACTATGCAGCCATAAGAAAGGATGAGTTCATGTCCTTTGCAGGAACATGAATGAAGCTGGAAACCATCATTCTCAGCAAACTAACACAAGAACAGAAAACCAAACACTGCATTGTCTCACTCATAAGTGGGAGTTGAACAATGAGAACACGTGGACACAGGGAGGGGAACATCACACACCAGGGCCTGTCGGTGGGTGGGGGGCTAGGGGAGGGACAGCATTAGGAGAAATACCTAATGTAGGTGACAGGTTGATGAGTGCAGCAAACCACCATGACACGTGTATACGTATGTAACAAAAACTGCATGTTCTGCACATGTACCCCAGAACTTAAAGTATATAAAAAATAAAAATAAAAAAAAAAGAAACCTAGTATTTCCCTAAGTACCAATTGTCTCAAATATTGCATTGTTCATTCAGAGTCCCTCAATGCCCAATTCACTCTGGCCGTGCTTTTATGTATCTTGAATTGCGTCAGATACATTTTCCCTTTAATCTTTGAAAACATCTGGGGATCCAAGTTACTATCCACTCGTACTCCTGGACCATAATTCAGATTAACTTCCTGTGATCCTGGAACCTTTTTAATCATTTTTTTTTTTTTTTTTTTTTTTTTTTTTCAGATTTCTTCCAGAGCCAGTGTCACCAAAGTATATACTTAGATGACAAACCAGGGGTTCCTGCCACAGTTTTGCCACTGTGCCTGCTCCTCAGCCACATCATTCCATGTAGCCATTTTAGCCAGGGCATCATTGACCAAGGTCTGACAATTATGAGAAGAATAGAAGATCCTGTGAAGCCATTATTAGCTCTTGACTCAATGGCAACAGCCCTTTTTTCCATTTGAACTAACGCAGTTGTAAAACCTTGGGCAAGTAGTTCAATGTGCCTGGACCTCAGTTTCCCTCAACTATGCAATGCAATTAATAAATCCTACCTCTCAAAAGCAGATTGTTCTAAATATTTACTGAGATTATGTATATGGGCCTGAGGGATCTCTAGTGAAACTCACTGGCTTCCCCTCAGTTTTTGCCTGTGTGCTGAAAAATTAGATTCTCTTTCTACAATCTCTTCTGTCTACACCATATAGAATGTCTTTTCCTTTTATAGATTTGCTGGCATCCAATGTCACAATTCCACATACTCTCATTAGAACACTAGAAGCTTTAATAGATTTTTAAAGAGGATAAAAAAGAGCAAAGATTTCTTGTAACATTCAGGTAGGCAAAGAAGATACCACTCAGCCAGTATATATGTCTCCCCAATGCTGCTTTCTGTCATTGTCACATATTCGAGCAAAGTCAGGAATCTGACTTTCAAAAGCTAGCTAGAGAAGAAAATAAGAGTTCTGTTGCCAGAGAGGAAATAAAACACCCGTATGTCCCAATCAGGCATTGCCAAGAGTTTTTTGGCATTTAGTTTTATAATGCCTGTGAAATTAATGGGTGCCCTTCAAAATAGTCTCTCTCTTTATCCCTTATATAGCCATGCCCATGTCATTGTCCAGTTTCAGCAGGTTCTAGATCATTTCTAATTACTTGCTAAGCAAGGAGGAGAAGCATAAATCAACCATTTGGTGGACCTCAGGTAATAGGGAAATTCTTGGCTTGGCTGCTGGCTGGTATTTTTCACTGGTGACATCAGGGAAAGGAACAGAGGAAGAAGATGTCATGGAATTGAGATGACATCCCTTCATTCATGAGAGAGAGGTTCTAGTGCAAAATGATTTATTTTCCTATCTGCTCTGAGACACTACCTCCTATTTTTAGGGTCCTGAGATTGAAGGCCATGTACCCTAGAAAGGGGCCTTTTTGATGTTGGAAAGGATATGTGTATTAGACCATTTTTGCATTGCTATAAAGAAATAGAGGCTGTGTAATTTATAAAGAAAAGAGGTCTTGGAGGGTGTATGTGTCCAACAATTTATCCACCTCTTCTAGGTTTTGTTTGTGTATATAGATGTTTTGTAGTAGTCTCTGATGGTTGTTTGTATTTATCTGAGGTCAGTGACAACATCCCCTTTGTCAGTACTAATTGTGTTTATTTGGATCTTCTCTGTTTTCTTTTTTTGAAGATAATGAATCATTTTATTTCTTTTTTTTTAAAATTAGCAAATAATTTTACCACCACTGTGCACGTTGTACATCCAAGGCTTTCAAAATTAATTTTTCTATAGTATTTTGCAGGATGTCCATATTCATACCTCCCCCCCAAAATCATGAGCTAGGGCTGGTACACTGAATAGCTAAAGGACAAACTGGGAGCAGCGAGGAAGACTGGCATTATCTTAAGGCTTGATACTTTCAGTTCCTGAAAACATTACTTCTTACATTTTCTACAGTTTTATAGTTGTACTTTTCAGGTGGCCCTATTGATATAAGTTATTCTGGTATTCTCTGAACTGTCTTTGATATAACTATATATTTTTTTTCTTTTTTTAATTTTATTATTATACTTTAAGTTTTAGGGTACATGTGCACAATGTGCAGGTTAGTTACATATGTATACATGTGCCATGCTGGTGTGCTGCACCCATTAACTCGTCATTTAGCATTAGGTATATCTCCTAAAGCTATCCCTCCCCACTCCCCTGACCCCACAACAGTCCCCAGAGTGTGATGTTCCCCTTCCTGTGTCCATGTGTTCTCATTGTTCAATTCCCACCTATGAGTGAGAATATGCGGTGTTTGGTTTTTTGTTCTTGCGATAGTTTCTTATTATTAGTCTAGCTAGTGGTCTACTATGAATTTTTCTAAAAAGACCAATTCCTGGATTCATTGATCTTCTGAATTTTTTTGTGTGTCTCAATCTCCTTCAGTCCAGCTCTGATTTTGGTTATTTCTTGTCTTCTGCTAGATTTGGGGTTGGTTTGCTTGTGCTTCTCTAATACTTTTAGTTGTGATTTTAGGTTGTTAAACTGAGATCTTTCTAACTTTTTGATGTGGACATTTAGTGCTATAAGTTTTCCACTTAATACTGCCTCAGCTATGCCCCAGAGATTCTGGTATGTTATATCTTTATTCTCATTAGTTTCAAAGAACTTCTTGATTTCTGCCTTATTTATCCAAAAGTCATTCAGGAGCCAGTTGCTCAATTTACATGTAATTGCATGGTTTTGAGTGATTTTCTTAGTATTGATTTCTATTTTAATAGTGCTGTCATCCAGCAGTGTCATTGGTATGATTTCAGTTGTTTTGCATTTGCTGAGGATTGTTTTATGTCTGATTATGTGGTCGATTTTAGAGTATGTGCCATGTGGTGAAGAGAAGAATGTACATTCTGTTGTTTTGGGGTGGAGAGTTCTATAGAAGTCTATCAGATCCATTTGGTCCAATTTTGAGTTCAGGTTCTGAATATCTTTGTTAATTTTCTGCCTCAATGATCTCTCTAATACTGTCAATGGGGTGTTGAAGTCTCCTACTATTATTGTGTGAATGTCTGAGTCTCTTGGTAGGTCTCTAATAACTGACTTTAAGAATCTGAGTGCTCCTGTGTTGGGTGCATATATATTTAAGATAGTTAGGTCTTCTTGTTGAATTAAACCCTTTACCATTATATAATGCCCTTCTTTGTGTTTTTTGATCTTTGTTGGTTTAAAGTCTATTTTGTCTGAAATTAGGATTGCAACCCTGCTTTTTACTGATTTCCATTTGCTTAGTGGATTTTCATCCATCCCTTTATTTTGAGCCTGTAGGTGTCATTGTGTGTGAGATGGGCCTCTTGAAGACAGCATACCATCAAGCTTCTTATCTAGCTTCTTACTCTGTGCCTTTTAAATTGGTCATTTAGCTCGTTTACATTCAAGGTTAGTATTGATATGTGTGGATTTGATTCTTTCATTATGTTGTTAGCTGGTTATTATACAAATTTGTTTGTGTGATTGCTTTATTGTGTCACTGGTCTATGTACTTAAGTGTGTTTTGGTATTGGCTGGTAACATCCTTTCTTTCATTTCGACCTTGGAAAATCTGATAATTACGTTTCTTGGGGATGATATTCTTATGTAGAATCTTCTAGGGGTTCTCTGTATTATCTGAATTTGACTGTTGGCATCTCTAGTGAGGATGAGGAAGTTTTCATGGATGATATTCTGGTACATATTTTTCAAGTTGTTTGCTTTCTCCCCATCCATTTCAGAAATGCCAGTTATTTTGTTGATTTGGCCTCTTTATATAATCCCATATTTCTTGGATGATTTGTTTACTCCCTTTTATTCTTTTTTCTTTATTTTTGTCTTTCCTGTTTCAGAGAATCAGTCTTCAAATTCCTAGATTCTTTCATTACCATGGTCTATTCTGCTGTTAATACTTGAGATTGCATTGTGAAATTCTTGTAGTAAGTTTTTTGGCTCTATCAGATCAGTTAGGTTATTTTTTATACTGGCTATTTTATCTGTCAGGTCCTGTATCATTTCATTGTGATTCTTAGTTTCCTTGGGTTAGATTTTACCATTCTTCTGAATCTCAATGGTCTTCATTCCTATGTACATTCTGAATTCTATTTCTGTCATTTCAGCCAACTCACCCCAGTTAAGAATCCTTATTGAAGAACTAGTGCAACCGTTTGGGGGACATAAGACACTCTTCCCATTGGAGTTGCTGGAGTTCTTGCATTGGTTCTTTTTCTTCTCCGTGTGTGGGTATTCCTTTAACTGCTGAGCTGCCTCTGGTTAAAGTGGTCAGGCAGGGGCAGAGTGGGTGTGCTGGGGTCCCAGGTCAGGCAGCCCTGCCCAGTGAGGAGAAGTGAGGACCAGGATGTAAAAGTCTGGCCAATTTTCCATAAGGCTGCTGCAGTATGCTGGGGTTCCACTGCAGCACCTAGTCATTTTGGGTTTCCCAGCACCTGAAGGTATCAACAGTGAAGGCTGTGAAACAGCAAAGATGGCAGCCCACCCCTCTCTGGGAGCTCCATCCCAGGGAGATATAGACTTGTTACCAGCCTAAACACACCAGCAGGAGATGGCTAGACATCCTGGCCGGGAGATCCTGCCCAGTGAGGAGAAATGGGATCAAGGACCCATGTAAAGTAGCAATCTGGCTCCTTTTTTGTAGAGCAGTCGTGCTGTGTTGGGGGTCCACTCCAGCTCCCAGTCACTTCAGACTCTCCAAATTCCAAAGATAACAACAGCTAAGGCTATGAAACAGCAAAGATAGTAGTCCACCCCTTTCTCTGATAGCTCTGTCCCAGGGAGATTTGAAACAGCTGCCAGCCAGAAGACATCAGCAGGGGTTGTTATAGACTTCAGTCAGGAGATTCCGCCCAGTAAAGAGAAATGGGATCCAGGAGCCACAGGAAAAGGCAGTCTGGGCCAGGTGTGGTGGCTCAAGCCTGTAATCCCAGCACTTTGGGAGGCCGAAATGGGCGGATCACCTGAGATCAGGAGTTCAAGACCAGCCTGACCAACATGGAGAAACCCCGTCTCTACTACAAATACAAAATTAGCCAGGTGTGGTGGCTAGCCCCCAAATCTTGATGTGTAAGAACAATTTCCCACTAGAATGAACCTACATGGAGAAAATGGCTGAATTCACATCCAGGAAAAGGGAAAATAAAAGAGGAGCCTGAAAGATTTTGTGGTAGCAAGCGAACAAGGGCTCAAAGAATAATGGGGACATGTCAAAATGATACAAGAGCCAGTGTGAAAGTGTTTGCACTGGCCAAACTGGGGACAATCTGAGTATCAAAAAATTAGGAACTCTTGGGCTGGGTGCAGTAGCTCACGCCTGTAATCCCAGCACTTTGGGAGGCCAAGGTGGGCAGATCACCTGAGGTCAGGAGCTCGAGAGCAGCCTGACCAACATGGAGAAACACCATCTCTACTAAAAATACAAAATTAGCCAGGCGTGGTGACGCATGCCTGTAATCCCAGCTACTCAGGAGGCTGAGGCAGGACAATCACTTGAACCCAGGAGGCAGAGGTTGTGGTGAGCCGAGATCATGCCATTGCACTCCAGCCTGGGCAACAAGAGTGAAATTCTGTCTCAAAAAAAAAAAAACAAAAACAAAAACAGAAAAGAAGAAAAGAAAAGAAAAGGCAGTCTGGCTGCTTCTCCATAGAGCTGCTGTGCTGTGCCAGGGGACTGCCCCAGTCCCTAGTCACTTCCTACTCTGTAGAGCCCAAAGGCAACAATGGCTAAGGCTGTGAAACAACAAAGATGGTGGCCCATCCCTCCCCCTGGGAACTCTGTCCCAGGAAGGCTCAGAACCCTGCCAGCTGGAAAATATGAGCAAAGGTGGCTGGTGACTCCAGTTAGCAGGTCCCACCCAGTAAGGAGAGGTGGGGTCAGGGACCTGTGTCAAAGAGCAGTCTGGTCGCTTTTTCATAGGGTGGCTGCACTGAAGGCAGCAATGGCTAAGGCTGTGAAACAGCAAAGATGGTGGCCTGCCCCTTCCCCTGGGAGCTCTGTCTCGGAGGTGTAATGCTGCCACTGGTAGCTGGCTGGAGTTCCAAACCAGTGGGTTTTATCCTGCAAGGATAAGATCCCGTGGAAGCAGAGTATGCAGACCATCGCTGCTCAGCCCCCTGGATTCAGCCACTTTCCTAGGGTTACATATGGGAGTCTAACCTCCCACTCTGCTGAAGTTGCAGCCACTTTTGCCAGGAAGCCAGGGCATCTAAAGCTCCTGGGGGTCCATGTGTGCCTGAGAAGCTTCTCTACCAAGACTCCACATAGTTCTGCATGTCACACGGCACACACGGCACACCCTGGTGGAGTGGGTTCACGAAGGGATCTCCTGACCTGAGGGTTACAAAGATCCATGAAAGAAGCATGGGTACCCAGGGTCACTTACTCATTCTCTGCTTCCCTGGGTGAGGGAGGTTCCCCTGGCTCTGTGTTGCTCCCAAGTGGGTGGTTGTCCTGCCTTGCTTTTCTCCATTCACTGTGGGTTGAGTTGTTTTCTTGACGAATCCCAATGCATGTACCTGGATGTTTCAGTTGAAGGTACTGAATTTACTCGCCCCTTCTATTTCTCTCCATGAGAGTGGTGCACACTAGCTGCTTCTAATTGGTCATCTTGGCCAGCCTCTCCTGATGTTGGATTAATTATGTCACTTACTGGAGTCTGTTTCCTCATATATAACTTGATAATGATTTCATGTTGCATATTCACCAAATGGCTTGTAATTAAAATAAAATGTAAAGGACTTTCTAGGGTTGTACATATGTGAATGGAATCTATTCTATTGGAATAATATTAAATTTAGTTTATTTATTTACTCATTTCACAAATACTTAGTAGGCACTTGTTACCAATATGGAGGTAAGGAAACAGAAATGCAAAAAAGTCTGTCTCCTGCAATTGAGAAGTTTCCAGTCTAGCAAAAGATATTAATAGTTGTGTGAACAAACAAACAAACAAAAATACAGTGCTGTGTGGGCCAAGAGGAGGGACCAAACAGCAGCAAAACAATGTCTGGCCAGGTTTTTCAAAAGAGTTGATGTTTGAAATAGCCTTGAGTTTTGTTACTACCTTGCAGAGAAAAAAAAAGAGAGAGAGAATTCAAAGTTGAAATGGCACAATATGCAAAATTACTCTGGCATATTAACATGGAGTGATGAGGAAATGAAGAAAAGTGTAGGATATCTGTATAATTGGGAATGTGGGAACAAAACGGTAGATCAGATTGATGGTTATCCTAGGCTGAATTCCCCATAAGCAAACCCTATAATATAGATTTATGCACAAGTAATTTATTAAGTAAGTGCTTCTAGGAGACACCATTAGGCAAAGGGAGAATCAGGGCAGAAAAAATAAAGAAGGCGTGCAAAGGTCTGATTTCAGGCAAAGTCCCACACAGGGTAGTTTCAGTCTTGTCCTCAGGAGAATTCTGAAACATAAGTAAGTCATTCCTTAGAACTGTCTGACCTGAAGGTAAGTACCCAGGCTTTCATACTTCTGCACACAACATCAGCCCATTACCTGAGGTTCACCCAGGAAGATTCAAGCTCCCAGCTACTTCTTCTTCTCTGTTGCTGCAAGACAAGAAGCTCTACTAGCCAGTTAGTTCTCTGAAAGTAAAGGTGCAGGTTTTTGAAGGCAAAAACACACCAAAGCTGGAAGAGGGAGTGCCCAGAAATCGTAAAGGTATCCAAAGGGCTCTTTGGTCTACAAGCTGACACTGGCAGTATATGCTAGAGCTGGGGTTGGTAAGATAGTCAGAGTTAGATTGTGGATAATCTTATATGACAATAGACTTCAAAATTTTTTTCTTCACATACCTGCTGAAATAATTTTTAAAAATAACATATGCTTCCTTGGGCACTTTTAAGTTAGCATCTATATTTTATTAAATTAAGATGACAACTAATATTAGGTCAGCATTACTCTAATACTCAAGCCAGACAAAGACATTATGAGAAAGGAAAATTATACATCACTATCTCTCTAAACTTAGATATAAAAATACTTATCAAAATATTAACAAATCAAACCCAGCAATATATAAAACAAATGATAATATATTGTGACCAAGTAGGGTTTGTCCAACAAATGAAAGCCTGGTTCAACGTTTGAAAATCAATAAAGATAATTCACCATATTAACAGGCTAAATAAAAAAATCCATATATCAATAGATGAAGAAAAAGCATTTGATAAAATACAACATCAATTCATAATAATACTCTCAACAAACTGGGAAAACAAGGGAACTTCCTTAATCTAATAAATGATGTCTAGAGAAAAAAATTATACCTATAGCTCTTTTCATACTTTATAGTGAGACACAAAATGCAATTGCCTTAAAATGAGAAACAGGGCAAATATGTTGTCTTTCACTGCTCCTATTCAACAAAGTACTGGAAGGCCTAGCCAATGCAAAAAGGCAGAAAAGGGAAATAAAAAGCAAGCAGATTGAAGAGGAAGACATTAAACTATCTTTATTTGAAACAATATAATTGTCAATGTAAAACAAACCTGAAGACAAAAGAAATCTTTCTATAACTAAGTAAATCTAGCATGAATGCAGGATACAAATTTCATGTACAATAGCCAGTTATATCTTTAAATAACAGAAAATAAAAATTGGAATTATAATTAAAATACTGATATGGTTTGGCTGCATCCCCACCCAAATCTCATCTTGAGTTTGTAGCTCCCATAATTCCCACGTGTTGTGGGAGGGAGCTGGTGAGAGATAACTGAATCATGGAGGCAGGTTCCCCCATACTGTTCTCATGGTAGTAAGCCTCACAAGTTCTGATGATTTTACAAGGGGTTTCCCCTTTTGCTTGGCTCTCATTCTCTCTGGCCTGATGCCATGTATTAGTGTGTCAGGTTGCCTAGGCTACAGTCTTCTGTCATTCGATCAATCTAGTTGTTGCTGTGAAAGGACTTTGCAGATATAAAGTCTCTGATCAGTTCATTTTAAGTATAAGACATTATCCTATGCAACCTGGCTGGGCCTGAATTAAAGTTGAAAGGCCTTAGAAGCTAGTCTGAGGAAAGAAAGAAAAAAAGAGAGAGAAAGATGAGAGAGGAGAGAGTAAGAGAGAGAAGAAGAAGGAGGAGAAAGAGGAGGAAGAAGAAATTCTACTTGTGGACAACAGCTTCAGCTTGTGCCTGTGGAGTTTCAACCTGTTGGTGATCTTCCCTTCCTTACTAAGGTCTACAATTACTTATGCCAATTCCTTGTAATAAATCAATCGATAGATAGATAGATAGATAGATAGATAGATAGCTATAATATGCAAATGTTTTAGCAGCTGTTCATAATCTGCAAAAACTGCAAGCAACTAAATGTACTTCAGTGGGTAAATGGATAAACAAACCATGGTATATCCATATAATGGAATACTATTCAGTGATAAAATGGAATAAATTATTGATTCACACAACAACATGGATAAATCATAAATAAATTTTGCTAAGTGAAAGAAACCAGAAACAAAAGGTTATACATTATATGATTACATGTATATGGCATTCTGGAAAAGGCAAAACTATGCAAATGAAACACAGATCAGCTTCCCCAAGTTATCAGGGTTTATGAAAGGGGGAGTGGTTGATTAGAAAGGAGATGCACAGGATAATTTTTATTGTGATAAAACGTTCTGTATGGTAGGTACTAGGATGGTAGATACATTACTAGGTGCATGTTTTAAAACCCTAAGAACTGTTCATCACAAAGATTAAGCATTAACGTATGCAAATAAAAAAATCAACAAGAATTTCAAGGGATCTCTGATGGGATTCAAACTGTGACAAATTAATGTAACCTTACAATAAATGTATTATATAACCTCAGTGAATGGTGTGGCTGGAAAAGGAGCTAACCTAAATAACTTTGGAAAACTGTGTTTTGACCAAAAAATGTAAGCTAAAAGACGAAACAAACTGTACATAAAATGTACTCTAATTGTCAAATTTGTTTCTCAAAGGGACATGGGTTAAGAAGTTTGAATACTTTAAGTACATACTATGATTGAACCTATAAGTACATAAATGAAACATAGTGGAGTCATGTTTCTCACTGTCAAAGAAAGAAGTTACAAATAAAATAAGGGGGAAGACTAGAATGAACTCTGAATTAAAGTTGGAGACAGTAAGTATGAATTCATGTTTATGTTAATATACATACAGAGACAGAATAATTACAGATATGTATGTATACTCTGGTTAGTGTGTGTGGGTGTGGGGGTGTGTGTGTGTGTGTCCTAGCTCTTTCTTCTGAGAGGGCCTAGAAGTAGCTATACTTCCAGTAGCAAGAAAATACACTTGGTGTTCAGACTTTAGTTTCTAAATACCATTCTTTAGTAAGGGGAACTAGGGCTCCTTGAAGAAATGACTGATTCTAGAACTGGGGAAGGAAATATACAAAATGAGCCTGGAGCATTTTGTAGTGCCAGAAATTAAGGAAGTGCTCAAACGAAAGGATGGGAGTATGTGAAAGGAAAACGAAATAACTCCCAATGGCTAAATCTGGAAAAATTTGAATAAGAAAATAAGCTGAAAAAAAAGATATATATGCTTGGATTACAACTCAAATATAAAATATACATTGTAGAAATAAAGAGCTCTCAAATGAGAACAAGTACACAGGCTATTTACTCAGAGCTTGCTATAGCAAGGGAGTTAGCCATCATCACTTGTGTTTTGGCAGAGACTCAAAAGCCAGTAAGAAGAGTGGGAGAACTTTGTGTTAGAAAAGAGAGAGAGCTTCAGATGTGCCCTAATTGGAAGCTGTTGACATGGGGAAGCAGGAAATGGGCTAAATGAAGCTGGGCATCCTGTGTGATTCGTTTGAGGAGCAGATTCAGGTTGATCCTAAGTTGAAAGCAGGGATAAAAATTAGGGAAGCTGTCAGTTATTAATCAAGTCCTGGCCATTTGGAGCTGATTGCTACAGGAGTTATTGTTTGGCTTCCTGGGTTATTAGCGACAGCAGCTTGACTGTCTACAAGTCTGACTCATAGATAGTAGGTTGGCTTCCTGGCTGGTTACTGTAGATAATGTGTTGGTTTCCTGGGCTGGTTGCTGCAAGTTAGTTATTTCTGTTGATGTTACATTTTTAGTTTGAGAAATGTGAAGGCAAAAAGAAATACTCTGTACTATCTTTGGGATGCTTCTATAAATCTGAATGTATTTCAAAGTAAAAAATTTATTTTAAAAAATATGTATCTCCTCAGGCACTTTTAAGTTGATGTCTAAACTTTTTCATCACAAGTTTAAATATTTGCAAAGAATATCATTTCCAGTATATTGTAAATATTGTTATTTTAAATTAAAACTGTCACATCACTCTTTTAAATATATTCAAAGGATTATAAATACGAATGCAATTTGAACCATAATCTTCAATTTAAAAAATACATGAAAAAGCTATTCTCCTGTCAGAAATATTAAATTATTCCTTTTTTTCCTTGAACTTATATATCCAAATTACTTCCCCTCTATAATTTTATCCTATTGAAATACATTTTTGTGCTGTAAAATTCCATTGATTACCCTAACATGCCAGCCTGCAATAAGAATGTGTATATTAAATTGAAACTTTAATTTTTAAAATTACCTGTGACCTTAAGGCTCAAGTGTTAATTATATTTCAATCAAAAAGAAATCTTATTCTTAGTACACGTTTGATCAAAATGGAATATATTACAAAATTTGATAATTATCAAACCCAAAAAACAATTATTTATTGGAAATGCATATCTCCTTAAGAAGGATAGAGGTTACTTTTGATTTAAGGAGAGCCTTTGACACCAACATTTGTAATTGTCTCTGTGTTTGTTACCCAGGAGGTATAACTCAGGGGAAAACTCTATGACAGGATTTTTATTGAGTAAGAAATGTGCCTTTCTTTTGTAAATAAGATAAAGGAGATTGTGAAATAAAAGGGGGGGATGTAAGAGAACTCAGCTTGAGGCCTTGACCCCAAGTGACTTTTTCTACTAAAAGAAAAAGTAAATATGGAAGTTTAGGATTTATAAGTGACTGCTTAAAAACCAACCATGCCTGTGTCCCACTTGGCAAGATGTAATGTATCCCTGGGAGTAAAAATTCCCCAGTCTACTTCATATAGCCCTGGGAATACAAATTCCCCAGTCTGAAAGCCACCCTCATGAGAATACTGAAAGAGTTGGAGTTTATTCTGAAGCCAGTGGATAACCGAGAGCAATTGGAGTTGCCAAGCAGAAAACATCTGTGCTTTAGAAAGAGAATCATGGCCATTATTTCCTGGATGGATGAAAGGAAAAAGAAACTGAAGGCGCTGAGTTGCTACAGTAGAAACATCTCGCAAAAGTCCCTATGTGTGAGTTCCAGCCTTCCTCCTAATCAGGTTCTTATTTATCAGACAATGAGGCCCATTAAGTGGTAATCATCTCGCTAAGGAGGCATTTCCCCTGGTATTCTAGTTCTGTAAACATCAGGTAATTCTCATTCCAACAAGTTGAACCTATTCAGACAGAACAAAGCATATTATAGAACCGCAGTCCCTCTGATGACAACACAGCATGATGAGCCTAAAGGATCCTTTGTCTCTATGTATTTGGATGGAGACATTTATCCTTAGCACTTTCCACAATAGAGTTGGGTCCTAATTTAAGGAAACTCTCTCCAGATAGAATCTGCTTCAAATGAATGCAAGAACAAAACCTGGAGCCTTGCAGAGAGCCCTTTATATCCCAAAAGTCTGTACCAATATTGTTTTTCTGACATGAGCAAGCCTCTATTTTCAAATTCCCTGGAAATCCTTTAGGAGGAATACTTATGTAGTCCAAATTTAGATACCTGCTAAATATTTAATATAAATAATCCCTTTCAAAATATTTTTCTGATTATGGATAGATAAGAATAAATTTTCTCTAGGTAATACTAAAAATATGTTTTAAGTGTTTCACACCTGGGTTAAGGGAAAATTATGTTGCTGTAGTAAGATGATATCTTGACAGGTGTTATACAACCCAAGCCCTGGAAAGCCTAAAAGGGTTTAGCACTCACAGATGGAACAATGGCAAGAGCACACCTGGACAGGGGAGGGGAAGGAGTTCTTATTCCTGACACAGGCAGCCCCTACCACTGTGTCATTCCCCTATTGGCTAGGGTTGGCCCTCACAGTCTAAGCTAATTCCGATCAGCTATTTTAAAGAGAGCAGGGATATGAGCCAGAGTGGTGGGGTGAGTAGTTTGGTGGGAAGGATGGTTAGGAACAGGTAACTAAAGGTGGCTTAAGTCAGAACAGGTGACTAGGAGTGACTGGTTTTCCCACCAAAGAAGCACAAGAAGACTCCATGAATCTTCCTTTCAATCGAATTGGCAAAGAAGGCAAAGCCTCTGAAGTCTAGACCCAGCCTGCTTCTTCAAGGGAATTGTGGGATTTCCATAACAGGATGGAGGTCAAGATAGTAAACATTATGAATAAACTGCCCTTGAGTTAATGCACAGTCCAATGGACTGCATGCTCTTGAATGGCAGGGGCTAGATCTCACATAATCTTATACTATTACACCCAACAGAGTGCCTGGAACTGTTAAAGAGAAATTGTACCAGACAAGTTAAACAGGCAAGGAGGACTTTATTCAAGACGATTGCAATACAGCAGATTGAATTTGACTCTGAATACAACATGGGCAGCTGGACATTTATAGCCAATAGGCAGGGTAAGAGAGTCAATGGATAAAAAATTACCAAGAAGAACTTGGTTAGGTATCAAGGATCTGGGGTGAATTCTTGCTAAACTGGCTTGGCTTGATTCTTGCTGAACTGGGCTAGACCAGATGTGGCTTAGTTGAGAATAGGGCTCAGAGAAGCCTGATGAAAGTTTGGTAAAGGAAGAAGTCCCTTTTAGCACTTAAAACCATCAGTATGTTCAGCTCTTTTATTCTTTGATTCTCCATTTTAAAGTTTAACTTCCTGGTTCTCTTCACTCCCTTGCTTTTAGTTTCAGGAAACAACTTTCCCACCACTCCTAATCAGTAGTTCATATCTGTTCCCTGGTCACCTCCTCCATCCTGACTCATCCTGGTCACCTGCTTTGACCTGAGTCACTCCTAGTCACCTGCTCTGACTTAAGCCACCTTTAGTTACCTGTTCCTAACCATCCTTCCCACCAAACTACTCACCCCACCACTCTGGCTCATATCCCTGCTCTCTTTAAAATAGCTGATCGGAATTAGTTTAGACTGTGCGGGCCAACCCTAGCCAATAGGGGAATGACACAGTGGTAGGGGCTGCCTGTGTCAGGAATAAGAACTCCTTCCCCTCCCCTGTCCAGGTGTGCTCTTGCCATTGTTCCATCTGTGAGAAACACCCTTTCTGCAGAAAGTAAAAATTGCCTTGCTGAGAAAATTATGTTCAAGTGCTATTTCTTTGCAGCACTGGGGAACAAGCATTTTGCATTTCTAACACAACTTAACCTCCTGAGAAGCTGGAACCACAGGTGCATACCACCAAGCCCAGCTCATCGTCGTGTGTGTGTGTGTGTATGTGTGTGTGTGTGTATGTGTGTGTGTATGTGTGTGTGTGTGTGTGTGTGTGTAGATGGGGTCTTGCTATGTTGCCTAGGCTGGTCTCAAACCCCTGGGCTCAAGTGATCCTCCCACCTCAGCCTCCCAAAGTGCTGGGGTTACAGGCATGAGCCACTGTGCCTGGCCAACATTTTCTAACAAAGGCATTTCTTCTAATTAGTCCTTTTTACTGACACTCACAAGCTGATCAGTGTGTCTTATACCAAAAAGGCCTGCAAACCAAATCACTGCTGACCATGCTGCTCTCAGTCTGAAAGTATGTAGTTGGGTCCTCCAGGAGGGAGATGCTGAGACTAAATTGGAATACAATAGTGAAGCAGGATATTTCCCTGACCCCTTCACAAGCAGGAACTGGAGTATGTGGGTGCTGGCAGGGGCAAACTCCACTCACTTGACCCACTGTGCTCCACCCCTCATGGGAGGGGGCACACAGGTAAGCAGGTGCAGGAGCTGGGGCGAGTGCTTTTGGGTACTGGCAAGAGTCCCCTTACTGGGGACCCATCCTCTTCTGCCCAGAATTTCCCTGCCTCCTGTTGCTATCAATAGGTTTATTAGAGGAATAGCTCCCTGAAAGATAAAAGAGCAGAAAGTAGAATTTGGCAGGGAGCATCTCCAATGGCAAGTCAGATCAGACAGTCATGGTCAACCCAAAGAGGGTCTCCAGATCAAAAACTGCCCATTAGAGGAGCCTCACACTGGACAGAAATGGCCATGTCCTAGTAAGCCCAACCATGCTCAGCCTTTGGCTAAGAGTTGCACAGGATGAATGCAAAGTCTACTCTGAGGTAGCTCTTGAAGGTGCTGCAGTTGAATGGCAAGTGCATTTTTGAAGGGAAATCTGAATGGCACAGCACCATGACTGCCAAAAAGAAACATTGCAGAGAAATCAGGAATTTTTCTTAAGAGGTAAACTGCTGTGAAGCATGGATTCCCTTCTTTCTAAGTACTAAGTATAAGAATGAGCATGAGAGTGAAGGACAATATGCCATCCCAAAATATGCCAGATAAGTATATTGATTATTTTGAGTTGAAAACATTGGAGAAATTGTAGTTTCAGAAAGGGCTAGTTGACCTGTCTCTTCCTGCATGTGACAAGCCATAAAGATTCCTCTGGGAGGGGTACCCTCACCATACTAGGGTGAGAAAACAGCCTTTATCACCAGACTGGAAATTGGGGGAAATTAAGATGAATAAATATATTCAACAAAGTATATTTCTCTATGCTTAATGAAGTAACCCTTGTTCCACTAGTTTCATAAACCCCTATATATCCACCTCCTAGAGACTCCCTTAGAAAATTTACTGCCCCTAGCCAGATTTTCTTTATCCTGTCACTTCTTCTCACATTTTTCATTCTTTGTCTAAAAAGTATAAAAGCGTCTTGCTTTGACCACTTCTTTGGGCTTCACTCTGTTGTGAAGATCCTCATATATGTGTAAAACTAACACAGTTTGTATGCTTTTCTCTTGTTAATCTGCCTAGTGTCAGTGTGGTTTCTAGATCCAACCAAAAAGCCTGCATAAGAGCCTAAGAGGAGTTGGAGGTAATCTCTGACTCCCATACGGAAGTCATTGCCCAGTGTGGGGCAATTCTTCACTGGCTGGAACATTGCTTACTCCAGAACTGCTACAGCTGAGATCCTGTACCTCTGACAAAAGACTGTCAAAGGTACGATTTCTTACTGTCAGATTCCTGGATCGCTGTGGTGGTAGCTGGTCAAGGCAAGAATGGTAAGACTCTCTGCGTCTTTTTCCCTCTCCAAACTGGGATCGACAGGAGGAAACACTCGTGAACTAGTTCTTTGGGTATAAAGTGACTTTTGGTGTTTTTGTGAGTACTCTAGATTTCTATTTGATCCTTTTGCTGTTAGATATAGTCTTTATCTTATTTTCTCACTGTCTTTTTGTGTTGTTTGCCATAAGGAGAGGAACCGTAGGCATAGGTAGAGAACACAGGCATAGGTCCTTATAATCCTGCTGTTCGAATCGGCCTTCACAGATCAGTGAGTTTACAGTTCTCATCAGGCCAGTGTCTGTCTAAACAAACTTTGCTCTGGGTCCCTGAAACAAACAACAAATAAAATGAATGAGGTTCCCCTCTTGTCTTGTTTTATGTGTCCTGAGGGCTTGGCTTTGCAACCAAAGAAGACACCCTCTCTAATCACTGCCATCAGAGGGGCACAAAGAATTGGGTTTGTGTTAGGCAGCCAGTCTGAAAAGACTGGGGATTTGAGACACATAAGATATTAAGCAGCACTTTCTTTGTCCAAATGTACCAAGCTCTCAGGGAGTTTTATAAGAGGCCAACTCATGAAGTCTTTTGTTGTCTGGATCAGTGCTGGGAAACTCCCATCCCAGTATTGCCTGCCTGATGTCAGAGATTAGTGGATTTATAAATAAAGGCGACTCACATTCCATGAGAGACCAGAGACATCGTCTGCACACTCTCCTTAATTTCCTGTGGCAACAAAGGTCTTTGCTTTCTTAGTCTATTTCTGAGAGTGAATTTTTAGATCATAGGGGCTGCATCTTCTGTGCCCACTCCAGAAATGTCCCTTGCATCCCTGTAAAGATTTATTCTAAGCCTGGAAAGTTACCTTCTAGTCTCTCCATCAAAAGGCTTAAGTGAACATTGGAATATATACACTAATGAAGATCCCAATTGTCAATGACCAAAAGACAGATCCTTTGAAATAGAAAGACTACTATATTTGAAAAAATTTTGAGAGAGCTTTCATTCTAAAACATCAACCTTTATGGGAAGATCAGGTAGAATGAAGAACCCAGAAAATTATGGCTAGCCTTAGAAATTCCCTTAACAAAATTAAAGAGCAAAAAACAGACCTAGAACACAAATTGAAACTCGATCCCACTATAAATCCTCCTTCTCCACCCACTTACACCCTGCTTTATCCCCAGCTCCCTGTCCCTGACCCACCAGAGGATCTATTGGATCTCAGGGTCCCTGATTTGAACCCCCCTCCTCAACATCCAGCCCTATCTCCTCAGCCTCTCCCTCCTATTCTGTCTCCTCAACAAAATTATTTGACTCCTTCAACCTCCCCAGAAAGCCCCTTAGATATACAGCTGCCTTCTTTAACCTTCTTTTCCCAGGGTGATTTACAAAAAGCCCTCTTGATCTCAAAATCCAAGGCATACAGTCATTTGTGTAAAACTTAACAACCAAGAAGTAAAACTGGCACAGATTCCAAGAACATGCGGCAAGGCTCACTTTTTTTCTGTCCCTTACAACCTCTCCTATTTCCCAGGGCCTTGGAATCAGACTCCATCAGCTCCAAATCTTCCTACGCAATGTTCTCTGTGAATGTATCTTAGACCCCCTACTCAAAGAATTTTTGTTTCCTGGACAGCAACAGATCTTTTAAATTATAAAGCCATTTTGTCTCCACTTTCAGAAGATCCTACCAAGTTTAGAGAAGAATAGGAGAAATCAGTGGCCATCCGTAATCCCATTCATAGGAACCTTGACTGGCTGCTAAGAGGTGTACTTCCCTCTCATGATCATACTGCAGTTAATAACTGGCCAGACAGGCCAGACAGCCCTCTGGGGAAAACCCCCTCCACAGAGGGAACAGATGGCCGGAGCCCCTCCCTGGCCCTCCTGCCAATGAGGAGATAGCTCAGCTAAGATGCTGATATTCAGGGCCTGATAGGGACAATATTAGAGGCTTTCCCTCCTAAGATGAATTGGTCTAGGTCAAATTGTGTATCCAGGAAGAGAGTGAGCACCCCAAGGCATTTGTCGAGAAATTTATGCAAGGTTTTCAAAGGCATACGGCATTAGATCCAGTAGCTCCAGAGCATAGAAATCTTCGAATTTCTGCTCTGGTTGGGAATCTTCTTCCTGATATAAAAAGTCAATTCAAAAATAGTATAGTTGTTTCGGTTGGTCAGTCTCTAAGCATTATAATAGAAGCAGCTACTCAATTCTTTGAAAATAGCTTGCAAGAAAATAAGGGGAAAAAATAAAATCAACAGTTCTTGTCTTGGAGCTTGAATTCTTACAAAAACAAAGGCAAGCCTCTAAGAATGATTCAAAGTCCTCTCATACCTTTGGTCAGCTACAAGGCTTTTCTAGTTTGCCTTCAGAAATTTGCAGATCCTGCAAAAAGCTGGGGCATTGGAAAAACTGCTGTCCTATAAAAAGAAAGAAAGAGAGAGAGAGGGAAGGAAGGAAGGAGGGAAGGAGGGAAGGAGGGAAGGAAGGAAGGAGGGAAGGAAAGAAGGAAGGAAGGAGAGAGAGAGGAAGGAAGGAAGGAAGGAAGGAAGGAAGGAAGGAAGGAAGGAAGGAAGGAAGGAAGGAAGGAAGGAAGGAACTCTCCCTAAAACCCAGCACCCTCAGAAGGCTCATTTTTCCCCTCCTGTGGCACGATACCCCATTGATTGGTGGGGTCAGCCGATTCTCCCTTGCACTCCAAAGCCCACCATTCAACTTAAAGTAGAGGATCAGGAACTGGATTTAATTGACACTGATAGGACTTCCTCTACTATTTGCTCAGTGGAATTATCTCTGCTTGTTACCTCTGATTCTATTCAAGCTACTGGGGTCTCTGGGCAACCTATTTTACTGCCCATATCTCAGGACATTCAAACATCCTTAGGCCCTCTTAACACCCACCGTGCCTTTCTAGTTTCTGACTCCTCACCTGCAAATCTTTTAGGTAGAAATTTATTATGTAAGTTTAGTGCTATGATACAATATAATAAAAAAGGCATTTTTATTTCCCTACATTCAGAACAAACTTCAAGCTTCCTGCTCTCTCAGGGAAACTCTTCTTGATTTAAATTCCTCTAAAGAAGATGCAATCTTAAAAGATGTCCCAGCTAGTCCCTAGGCTTCACATGCAAATGAGATTGGACTGCTACTGAGTACAGAACCTGTATGCATTGCAGAGAAAAGGAACAAATATTTCCCATCAGTAGCTCAGTGTCCCCTCTCATGAGATGCAGAGCAAGGAATCAAACATATCATAGACTCCCTTTTGCAATAAGACATGCTTATTTTTACCACTTCACCCTGTAACACCCCAATCTTACCAGTAAAGAATGAAGGAAAATTTGATTCAGATGGAAATCAAATCTATTGATTGGTGCAAGATATAAGAGCCATAAGCACCTTTGTAATTCCCCACCACCTTGTAATCCCCAATTTGGCTGCTATCCCTACCTCAATTCCTGGTGATACAGCCTGGTTTACAGTAGTTGACCTCTGCTCAGCTTTCTTTTTGATTCCATTGCACCCTGACTCACAGTTTCTCTTTGCATTTAGAGGAAGACAATTAACATGGACTCTCATGCTTTAGGGATATTGTGAGTACCCTTCAATATTCTCTCCAATCCTTAAAACCACTTGGATTGTAGCCTCTACCCAACGCTCCACCTTGTGCTTTGTAACCAAACTAAAGAAGATACCCCTACAGACTCTCTCAGTCTACTAAAAGTACTCACTGAACCATGCCATAAAGCCTCCAGGTCTAAACTTCAGTTTGTGCAAACAACGGTTACTTTCTTAGGACATGAAAGATCTCAGGGCACTCAGAAGTTCACCCCAAAATGCATCCAGTCAATTTTGTTCATCCCTTTCCCCAAGACAAAAAAGCAGCTGTGTAAGTTTCTAGGGGCAGCTGGCTATTGTCAGCAATGGATTCCTAATTTTGAGGCTATTGCCAAACCACTCTATGCCCTCTTTCTAGATGCCACTCCAGAGGCCACTCTGTGGCCTTCAGAAAAATTAACTTCTTTCAAAGCCTTGAAATTAGCATTGTCCTACCCCCTGCTCTTGGCTTACCTAATTTTGATAAGCCTTTTCACCTCTATTGTCATGAAAATAGTGGGGTTGCTGCAAGTATTCTAAGGTAACCCTTTGCCTCTCAAATACAACCTGTAGCATATTTCTCATGCCAATGGGATCCTGTGGCAGCAGGCACGCCCCCATGCCTGCATGCAGTAGCAGCGGCTGCCGCCCTAATTACTAAAGTCAGCACCCATACATTAGGCTCCCCCATCCACCTCGATGTTTCTCATGCTGTGTCTGCTCTCTTCCAAGTTCTTAAGATGCAGCACCTCTCTACACATGGACAGAGCACCTAGGAGCAAGCCCTGTGAACCAATCTCTCCATCATCTTATGCCTTTGTGACATTAAATCCTGCTACACTCCTACCCCTCCCTGATGATGAAGAGCCTCATTCCATTCCACTTGATTGCCTAGCAGCTATAGAAATGGGTTCAAAGCCATGAGGGGATCTCTCAGACTCTCCTTTAGACAACCTAGCCTTGCTGCTATTTTGTAATGGCTCTTGCAAATTTAATTTTAAGGGAAACATAATAACTGGCTATGCCATAGTTTCCCCACATGAAACGCTTGAGGAATACTCTTTGCTGACTATAAAGTCAGCCCAGGCTGCTGAACTTATAGCTGTTATTAGAGTTTGCACATTGGCAAAAGGAAAAACTGCCACTATTTACACTGACTCCAATATGCTCTTGGAGTCTGTCATGCTGTTGGCACAATCTGGAAATCCCGTGGATTCTGAACCTCTGCTGGTACTCCTGTTGCTAATGGACATATAATTGCTGCCTTATCACAGGCTGTTCACCCTCATACTAAAATTGCTATTGTTCATTGTCCAGCCCACACTAAGGAGACTGATACTATATCTTTAGGGAATGATAGGGCAGAAAAGGCTGCTAAGTACACAGTCAAAAACTGACCCCTTTTCATTTTTCCACCCAATTTATGAATTCGCCTTTATTCCTGACTGATATTATTGATTTTCAGGTAAATGCCCCAAAATACGAAAAAGATAAATGGATACAAAAGGGTGCCAAGCAGTTATCAGATGGATTGGGTATATTAGGCCAAATGGACTTCCTGTGGCCCCTTTTCTTTTAACCTTTTGGCTTGTACTTATGTCTCATCAGATGGGACATATGTGCATATGGGGGATAGTTGAGGAACTAAAGAATACTTGGTTTTGTCCTGGGATTTACAACATTTTTGTCCAAATTATTTTCCCATGCATTACTTGTAAATCTTACCAAATTTCTGGAAGAAACCAACACTCCTCAGTCAGCCCAACAGGGTGACTATAGTCAATAATAATTTAATTGTACATTTAAAAATAACTAAGAAAGTATACTTGGGCCGGGCGCTGTGGCTCACACCTGTAATCCCAGCACTTAGGGAGGCTGAGGTGGGTGGATCACCTGAGGTCAGGAGTTCGAGAACAGCCTGACCAACATAGTGAAACCCCATCTCTACTAAAAATACAAAATTAGCTGGGCATGGTGGTGCATGCCTGTAACCCCCAGGTACTTGAGAGGCTGAGGTAGGAGTATCGCTCGAACCCAGGAGGCAGAGGTTGTAGTGAGCCGAGTTCACACCATTGCACTCCAGAGCGAAACTCTGTCTCAAAAAAAAAAAAAAAAAAAAGAGTATAATTGGATTGTTTGTAACACAAAGAATAAATGCCTGAGGGGATACATACCCCATTTTCCATGATGTGATTATTACGTAATGCATGCCTATATCAAAATATCTGATTACCCCATAAATATATATACCTAATAGGTACCCACAATTTTTTTAAAAAGTAAGTCTACTTCCACCTATTTTCTCCACTTTTTTGTTATTTTCCCACTACTCTTGTTTAGGTAAACGAAAAACAAAACAATACAAAAAGACCTCTTTTTTTCATTGACCAAATCTTTTCCCTGTCTGTTGATAGACTATTAAAAAGCTGACTGGAGACTGTCTCACTCTATTCTGTTCTCCCTCTGATCCTCTACTGTGCACCATTTTTCAAACTGTGTCTTGATCTTATTAACTCTTATTTTTTTCAACAAGTCAGGTACAGACCTGGTACCTCTTTGTACCAGTCTTCCAAATCCTGTCTATGATAACTAACCAATCTGATTGTTGGTTATGTCAACATATTTGAATGTCAACATTATTTGAAAGAACCTGAACATATTTTTGTTCCTGCCAATGCATGTCTGGTGGATAAAGTCCAGAGAATAAACATATGCCAAGAGAAAACAATCTCATGCTAGTTATCCTTTTGCCACCAACTCAACTTTTAATGTTCAAAACTTCTAGTGATGTTTCAAACTGGGAAAATGAAGGAGTAAAGTAATGTAAAATGAAGGAATATCCCAAACTACGCAGGACTTATATGTTGATTATTTTAAGTTGAAAACATTGGAGAAATTGTAGTTTCAGGAAGGGCTAGCTGACCTGTCTCTTCCTGCATACAGCAAGCCATAAAGGTTCTTCTTGGAGGGGTACTCTCACTGTACCAGGGTGAGAAAATAGCCCTTATCACCAGAGACTGGGAACAGGGGGAAATTGACCTAAATAAACATACTTAATGAAGTAACTCTTATGTTCCACTAGTTTTATATCCCCCATATATCTCCCAGTGACTCCCCTAGAAAACGTACTGCCCCTAGCCAGATTTTCTTTATCCAGTCATTTCTTCTCAAATTTATCATTTTTTGTCTAAAAAGCATAAAAGCATGTTGTGCTTTGACCACTTCTTTGGACTTCACTGGCTTCACTCTCTCATGAAGAGCCCCATGTACATGTACAACTAACACAATTTGTATGCTTTTCTCTTGTTAATCAACCTGTCATCAGTTTGGTTTCTAGAGCTAGCAAGAGCCCATATAAAAACCTAAAGTAGTTGGAGGTAATCTCTGACTCCCCTACAGGCAAAATGATCACCATGACTATTTTAATCCTTTAGTTTGTGAAATATAACACGCATACAGAAACTTACACAAGAAAAAGGCATACAACTGAAGAATTTGTCACAAAATGAACACTCATGTAACCACCATCCAAATAAAGAAATAGAACACTGCCAGCATCCCCAAAATCTTCCATGTCCTGCCCACCCCAAATTCTACCCCTCCTTTTACCACAAAGATAACCACTATTCTGATTTTATTATTATTATTCTCTAGATGGCAATTTGATTGTTCAAGCAGGTTAAAGAAAGCTTCTGGCCGGGTGCAGTGGTTCACGCCCATAATCCCAGCACTTTGGGAGGCCGAGACGGGCGGATCACCTGAGGTCGGGAGTTCGAGACCAGCCTGACCAACATGGAGAAACCCTGTCTCTACTAAAAATACAAAATTAGCTGGGCACGGTGGTGGGTGCCTGTAATCCCAGTGTAATCCCAGCTACTCAGGAGGCTGAGGCAAGAGAATTGCTTGAACCTGGGAGGCGGAGGTTGCAGTGAGCCGAGATCGCACAATTGCACTCCAGCCTGGGCAATAAGAGCGAAACTCTGTCTCAAAAAAAAAAAAACAAAAAAAAAAAAAACAAAAAAAAAACAACCTTCTGCCCAAACTCAAGAAAAAGTAAGTAGATTTGGTGGTCGTTAGTATTGTTAATTATTTCTTCTGATACAGGACTCCCTTGCTGTCTTAGGTCCTTCTAGTAGATCAGAAAGAAGCTGATGGGCAGAGTGAAGGTAAAGTAGTAGAGTCCTAATTTAGTCCATTTGAACTTGAAATGACTGCTGTAAACTTATAAGGTACGCAAACAGAGAATATTAAAGTAAATAGTTCACTATATTTGATTCACCATTAGGTCTTCAGAAACACTTTTGGCAAGTGTTAACAAGGTGAACTTGTTAACACAGACTATTGTCAAAGGCAGAGTTCCCTCAGAGACTCACGGGCTTAATTCTCCAAAGTGCCAGAGTTGTCCTTCCTTCTGTTAAGACTATTCTACGAGTAGCTGGTTCAGGCTCCAGGAACCAGGATTCATCTCCCATATGCTCTTTATTAGTTTTTTCTTTTAAAAGGTTTTAAAAGAATATGTCCTTGTAAAATTAAAGTTAGAACTATACAGAAGTAAAAGGTAAAATTGCTCTCTTAGATTGGATTCCCCCAAAAGTACACCCTGATATTAGGATTTGGGGACAAGCAGTTTATTTGGAAGGCCAAAGAGCACAGTGAGGGAGTGGGGGAAATTATACAGGAGAGGGAAGAAGGAAAGTCAGTAAACGATGTGCCGATGAGTAAATTCTCAGGGCTCAGTTGGGGCTCAATTCCCCTATGAACTTCTAGTAAATAGTACAAAACAGAGGTTGAAAACTACAGCCATGAGCCAAATCAGACTCACTGCTTATTTTTGTAAGTAAAGTGTTAATGGAATAGAACTATGCCCTGTTTTTGTTCACATGTTTTCTATGAGTTGACTAATTATGACACACAGTGTTATCTCAAAGTTTGCATTATTTACTCTCAGTCCCTACAGAAAAAGTTTGCCAGTCTCTGGTATAGAACATGTCTCAGAGTCGTCCCATCTGAGGGTGGGGAGCTGAAATATTTATCTACCATCATTCATACCTCATTGGCTGAGGGCTACTCTGAGTGTGACAACTCCTCAGACCTTCTGGCTGACTCTGTAGGCAGACCAAGCACACTCCTGTATCCAGAGAAAGCCCTCTTGGAGAGAGATGCATGTGCTTGCAGTATGAAACTATAGGCATTTACAGAAATAATGAATGCCAAGGAGGTATGATCAGGACAACAATAGTATCTGCTACAATCCCTATCCCACATATACATCAATTCCAATCCCCATAGGTAACCACTTTAAGATGTAGTTTGGTGTGTATCTTTCCAAACGTTTCTCTATGTATGCAGAATGTATTACACATATTTGAATGCACTGGTTTATTTGGCAGTTAATGCCAGGGCAGGTATGAAAAAACAGAGAGAGTGAAGGAAGGAAGGAGAAAAATCTAATAAAGGTTTATGTTATTGTGTCGGTAACTGCAGTGGGCAAGTGGGGACCCTCTGAGTGCCTTAGAATTGTCCCTTGGTGCTGACTGAACCTGAGGATGTTAACATCTCCCTGCTCTATGGCTTCCCTCCATAAGGACTGAATAAGCCTCTACAACTTTGGAGAAAGCTCTGAAGCCAAGCAACAACAACAACAAAAACAAAAAACTAGCAGGCAATATAGTAGGCATTGAGACAAGATGTTGAAAATACACACAGAAACTGTCCAACATAGCTGCACTTGAAATCAAGGATAAACCATAGGATTCTGGCTAGGGGAACCAAAAGTTTCTACTACAACCCTAAATCATGTTCACATGGTTAATTGCTTATATGATCCAATAAATCTAACCAGATGAGAAAATAGTCAACTGTTGGATCAGTGAGTTATAAGATACTCGGAAACAACAACTTGTCCATTCACCTGCCTTTGGATAGGCATACTCGTCAATTATCTTAGCCAACCATTACAATAGACATAACATCACTACCTTTTTTGTTCAGTTATTTTTTATCCAGCAAGTTGTAAATACCATCATGCTTTCCTTACCTTTTTTGTTCGGTTATTTTTTAACCAGCAAGTTGTAAATACCATCATGCTATACGAGGTCAAAACCTTGTATACATTTGTGGTCCTAATGTAAAAGGAAATGATAACTGTATTATTTATTCCTCTGCCTCGTTTATACGTGATCATTTTTCCCAACTACAGATAAAATGAGTTGTATTTAATTTGGATGATTCTTGGTTCTCTGACAAATTTCAGGGGGATTCTTTTTGAGATGGAGTCTTGCTCTGTCACCCAGGCTGGAGTGCAGTGGCATGATCTTGGCTCACTACAACCTCCACCTCCTGGGTTCAAGTGAGTCTCCTGCCTCAGTATCCTGAGTAACTGGGATTACAGGCACCTACCACCAGGCCCAGCTAATTTTTATATTTTCAGTTTCACCATGTTGGCCAGGCTGGTCCCGAACTCCTGACCTCAAGTGATCCACCCGCCTCAGCCTCCCAAAATGCTGGGATTATAGGCATAAGCAAACACACCTGGCCTCAGGGGAATTTTGCACCCAGGCCTATTGCCTCCTCTGGTTTTTGTTTTTTTTTTTTTTTTTTTTTTTTTGATAAGGTCTTCCTTTGTAGCCTAGGTTGGAGTGCAGTGGTGTAATCATGGCTCGCTGCAGCTTCAACTTCCTGGACTCAAGTGATCCTCCTGTCTCAGCCTTGAAGTAACTAGGACTATAGGTGAATCCCACAATGCCCACCTAACTTATTTTTTCTAGAGATGGAGTCTTGCTATTTTGCCCAGGCTAGTCTTGAACTCCTGGCCTCAAGCAATCCTCCCATTTTGGCCTCCCAAAGTGCTAGGGTTACAGGCGTGAACCGCCATACCCAGCTTCCTATCTGGTCTTATACCTTTAGAGAGCATGCCTTGGGTGCCATACTCTTTGCCTAATACTGTGACTTGGGCTTAGCAGATGTTCAACATCCGTTGCTGAAACTAAGGGTTAATTCCTTCATCAGTATTTTATTGTATCCAACTGTGACTCTACCAAATACATCACCCTGTGCATTGTCGGTTTTCTATCCCTGCTTATTCCAGGCAGCCAAGGGATGCCTTGGGCCAAAAATAAAATTCTTCCATGCAAAGTGGTTAGTGTTTCAGAGACAACACTGCAAAGATGCTGTAAACTTAATTCACATCACTTGATTTGTGATGTGTGACACTCAGAAGGCAGAACATGTTTAAATTTATTTTACCCATTGATCTGTCAGCACAGATTAGAATGAGGGAAGTGTACAAAGGATGATGCAGTTGGGCTTCTGTCCATTTACATCTTGAACCTCACACAATGGTCCCAGACAGAAGCAAAAGAGCCAGGAACTCGATAGAGGCTGGATCTAGGAGTGTCTTGAGTTAGCCTGAGTTCAGACAAAGGACCATTTAGACCAGCAGCATGGAGAGCTGATGATGGGGAATCGTGGCCCAGAGAAATAAAAGAGAACATCAGATTATCAGGCAGTTCCTCTTGTATGCTAAGAGGAGCCCATTCCTACAGTGGAAACCTGTGAGTACCAGCTGTTACTATAGCCCTTTGGAGATAAATGACTATGTAGTTATTTTGGAGGGGGAACGATTATAGAAAGGGTGGTAAATGTCAAAGGAGTTGCTATAATTAGGCCAAGATTAAATACAATTTTTTCAATAAAAGATTAAAACAGATAATTAAAACAGATAAATACCTCGAAGGTGGAAATGACTTTTTTCATTAAAGAAGTCATAGCATTGAACTCTCAAGCTGTGACAAAAATAAAAATGAAAATGGTACAATATAAAAATGACCAAGTGGGGAAAGTCATGACTGGGTTTCACTTCAGCTCCATGGGAGATTTGGAAATGTCTTGGGGCCCAACTGCCTTTAGCTCTATAGACTCGTAGAAGCAGACACGGTTTTGTTGTTTGTTTGCCAGACATAAGTCCTAGCGATGCACTTCTTGTTGTGGCAAATAAGAGAAGGAATTGTACTACTTTAGATCATCTCAATTGCATGCCAAATAAGAGAGCTACCTGTAGATGGATTGATCACTAAGTTACAGGTGCGTGTGGTGTTCGGTGAATTTTTTTAACAAAAAAGAAGACACTTATGAATGGAATATTGTGTATTTATGGAAACACAAAGTTGTGAATTGTGTAGTGTAGGTAGCCTTTGGGAATGAACTTTTATTCACCACCTCCCCTGCTGAAGCTTGGGGTTGTTTCTAGCATAGAACAGATTTAAACTACAATTAAGAGCTATTTGTAACATTCATTTGCACTGAATTCCTTGTGGCATTGGCATGTCTTCTTTCTAATGCCATCAAGGTTGTCATGAGAACAAAGAATCAGCAGCTTAGAGCATCCAATTCTCCTTTCACATACTCGCCCATCAGAGAAGAAACAAAACATATAAAAACTTGAGACAAAAGAACTCAGTTTTGGGTATAGAGGCAAATTTTGACACCTCAGGAAGAATGAGGGACTATGCATAAAAGAAGGGCCAGAGAGAGAGGAATGAGGATACTCGCAAGAAAGAAATCAATACTCAGCAAATGAAAGTATTAAGAGATCATATTGTTACACCTAACTTCTTTACTACAAACCAAAAGAATATCTGTTACCTCTCAACCTGATAATTAAAAACAAGAAAATAAGTGAAGTACAACCACAGCAGAAACAAAGAAACAATTAAGAGGCAAATTGTCTTGTGGTCTCAATTACTGGCAAGGTGACCTAAGAGAGGTTCAGAGCAGAAAAAATACATAATGACTCTTTTTAAAATAAGCCAAGCATATTATTTTAAATGAACCATTGGAAATAAGAAAAAAATTGATAGCATAAGCAAAAATTGAATTGCATGGTGGAGTTTAAGAACAAATTACCATTTGTTTATATTTCAGTCCCTTTTACAGGAAGGTCAGAGAACTCCATACTGTATTAAAATGCAATTTTTATGCCTAGGAGTCTAATATTGCTGCTTATATAATAATCCTCTTTAAGTGGAAAAGACAGATCAGCCTAGCTATGGGCTTCAGCACAGTCAATGTTTGTCTCACAAAAACGTCCAGACTTCCTGAAGATTTTCCAACCATTCTGTGTTTTGCCTGTGAAAAAATACTGGTTATGGAAAATCTATTCCTTGGAGAAATGAGACTAACCAAAAGCTGTTTGCTTTGCTATCAATTCTGGGGATCATGTTATAGATTTACAGCTTTGCCTTTTTGGGGTATATGGAAGAGAGGGGAAAGACAGAGAAGGGAGGTAAATGCTATTTTCTTCTCATTTAAGAATGTAGTTAGTGGGTAGATTGACATTTTAATCATTGGTTTCAACTGGTTGCTTTTTTGATTAAACAATGGTCTTTAAATGCCACCTGAGTTTTAAATGGGAGAGGATGTGGGTTTTAGTTTGTTTTCAACCCTGCTTATTTATTTCTAGATAATAGAAAAGTGAACTGTGGCTAGCTGTAAAAATGTATAGAAAATCAAATCAACATAACACATTATCACAGTGGAGAAAGGTGTAGTATATGTAAGGGTAAGGAACTTATAACTGAAATATTTTAAATTCAAGGATATGTGAAAGTGATGCAGGATTTTTCTCAGCCCCTTAGCCAGACTCACAGTAGGGGTGCCCTGTCTACTTGGCTTGCTGCGTTCAACCCCTTGCAGGAGGGAGCACATGAGCCAGTGAGTGCAGGATCCTGCTAGCCCCTCAGGGTGCCAACACAGGAACAAGCCCCATGCAGGGCCTACGCCACAGACCAGGTGTGAGCAAGAGAGTGCGGGACCTGGCCAGCCACTCTGAACGTGGACACAGGAGCAAACTCTGTGCAGGGCCCACGGCCAGACCAGGCATGTCACCCCAAGGGGAATGCAGCAGCACCCAAGTGATGGTGCCTGTGACCCCAAAGACCCAGAGTGGGTGTTACAGTGCTCCTTTAAATCTGCTGTTCATGGATGGTGTTGTGTTGGCAGCTCAGTTGGCCCCTTGTCTTGTCATATGGGGCGGCTGCCCTCTACCGGTGAGGGCAAAGGGTCAGTGTGACAGCCTTTTCTGGGTATCTGCACTCGGTGGGTCCCCCAAGAAGAATGAAGTCACATGGACAGTTGAAGGATGGTAAAGGTGGGGAATTTTATTGAGCAATGAAAATGGCTCTCAGCAGAGAGGGGAGCTGAAGAGAGAAGGGCAGGTTGTCTTCCACAAAGTCAAGTTGTCTCTTCCCCAAAATCAGGTCATCTCCCCCTCTACCGACTGAGTCTGGGGTCTTCATAGGCACAGGATGGGAGTGTGTGCTGATTGGTTTGTGAGTATGCAGAAAAGGTTAAATTGAAAACACTCAGTGGTAGGCACGACAGTGTAGAAAACCAATTCGAAAAGAGTAGGTATATGTAAAATAGGCAAAGGGTGGGGATTAATCAGAGGAAAACGCACCAAACAGAAGGACAAGTTTTCAACCCCAATCAGGGGATTTAAGTTGTAGCTTGGCTTTCAGGCTTTAAATTGTCTTTGGCTTGGAGGTGGGGCTTCACTGGGTATCTGCCCCTATCTGCCTAGGCATTTAGCTGCCTCCTGTCACTATCAAAAGTGTCTATCAAAAATGACTCCATAGAAAACATAACTAGGCAAGGATTCAGAAAACTTGTTTTGGGGAGTCTCTGCCTTTATGATTTTTCTATTTTCAAAAATTATTATATGTAATAAACCATTTTAAAACTCAGTGAATTAAAACCACAATAATTTATTCTCTCTTACATATCTGTGGGTTGTTTGGGGGGTTCTGCTTCAATCAGTGGCTTCAGCCTGGCTTGATCCCTTTTTGCCAGGGCATAACTCTGATACTGTAGAGTCCAGGCTGAAGGGATAGCAGCTAGCCAGGACAATGACAGAGAAACTGGAAGATGAGCTCAATTGTAGAAGCACATTTCACATCTCTGCTTGCATCACGTCTACTATTATATCGTTGGCTAAAGCAAGGTACGTGGTCAAGCTGAAACACAAGGGACATAGAGAATAACTTGTCCCACTTAAAGGCCAAAGCATGGACAAGCCCAAAGTCAATGTATCAGGGAAATGTATTTTTCCTGTGGATGAGAAGAAGGGAGTAAATATTATTGAACAATAATATAATCTGCTAAAGTTCTAACTGGCTGCATGACTTTGGACATATGTAACCTTTCTTGGCTAAAATTTTTTCAATAGAAAAAGTAAAGATAGAAATACAACATGATATCACGAATAACACGAGTTCTAGAATTCTATAGACCTTGTTAAAATCTCAAGTTTGTCAAGGATTAGCTATAGCTCTTGAATAAATCACTAAATCTGGTTTTCAGAGTATTCCTGACCACTAGGGAAAATAATAGCATCTGTTGTAGGAAAAAAAAAATTCAAAACAAAATTCAGTGGCAATACAATAGAAGTGTTTTTTCTCATGTTTGATATGATCTGATGCAGTTTGAACATTGATCCTGGGTAGCTTTCTCCTCTAAATGAGGGGTTAGCAAACTCACAGGCCAAATCTGGCCAGCCCCTGTTTTTTTATAAATAAAACTTTATTAGAACACAGCCACACCCATTCATTTATGTATTGTCTATGGCGACAATGGTAGAGGTGAGTTGTTACAATAGAGACACCATGGCCAACAAACCAAAAATATTTACTATCTGGCCTCTGTCCCTTTATAGAAAAAGTTTGTTGACCCTTGTTCAAAGCAGTAAATCAGGAATCTAGGCTCCTTTAATCATGATGCAGTCTTTCACCTTTAGCTACTCAGAGGAGAGAGAGAACATGAAGAAGTCATACTATCTACTACACTGCCTTCACCCGAAAGTGAAACATACCACACAGTTCATTAGATAGAATGAGTCACATGGTCAAGAAGGTTGCAAAACAAGCTGGGAAATTTGCAGGGTATTTTTAAATTTTCTGTTAAATGGAGGAGATAAAATGAAAATGCAAAATTTATTTTAAAAATATGACATTGATGATAGAAATATTCAGACCCTTAAACACTAAAATTGATAAAGGTGAATGCATAAAAGTAAATTAAACATTCAATTCAAAAAACAAGAAACAATCCACAAAACAGAAATAAGAAAATACTAAAGTAAAATTTATGAGTTAGGAAAAACAGTACAACTAATATATAAATAACAAGCTAGTTCCTTTAAGAAATGGAAAACTAAAATCTGAACTAGTGAAAAGAAAACAGGAAAAAGCACAAATGCAACAGAAAGACAAGGTAGATGTAACCACTGAAACAGAGGAATCATTTTTTGAATTATAAAAGTTAATTATACAATTGGGTCATTCTTGTCATACTCAACTAAATCAGAGTTGAGGGGCCAGGGGGAAAAAGCATTCAAGGCATATTACATTGCTCCAAGAATGTAATTCTCTGCAAGCTTGGCTGCTGAAATGGCCTGCTGTAACCCAAAGACCAGTTTTACTGAAACCACCTGTAGTGACTCTAAGACAAGTTTTATCTACCACCACTCACCAATCAGAGCTTGCCGGATGCCAAAAGCTTCTCAAGTGCCAATGAGCTTTCTTTCAAAACAATATGTAACATTTCTATTTCTAATAAAACTTCCAACCTTCTCTTTGTTCTTCGGACATACCAAAGATCAGTCTGTGTATATGCCCCAAACTGCAATTCTTCCTTACCAAATAAAATTTCTTAAATTTAGAGATTTGGCTCTATATTTTATTTAACTTCAACAAAATCATAATGGATTGAGTTGCAAAACTCTATGAAAAGGAAATTTGTAAATTGAATTAGATAATTTTCTAGAAAATTTTCTAGAAAAATATAATTTACCGTCTCACCCTAAGAGAGAGAAAAAGTTTAAATAAGCCAACTTCCACAGAAGAAATACAGCAAGTTATTAAAGGGTTACTCCCCAGTAAAGCAAAAGGTCCAGATATTTTCAATCGGGATTTCAACCAATCTTTCAAAGACTATAAAATTCCAATGGTTCTTAAAAGGTTTCAGAGAATAGAAAAAGTTTTCAAGTATTTTTTATTTAATCCATAAAATATTGATACCTAAACCTGATAATGATTTAAGAATAACAAAATAACTGTACATCAATCCAAGTTATGAATTTTGATAGAGAAATTCTAAATGAAATATAAGCAAATTCAGTCTAACAACATATTTAAAAAATTGGATGCCATGACTAAATTGGTTTATTTCAGGAATAACAAAATAGGTATTCAGTATATCAGTAAATCTAAGAATATTTATATGATCATCTCAGAAGATACTAAAATTGTAGTTTAAAAGTTCAACACATATTCCTAAAAACATTGAATTACATAGGCTTGATGGATGCTTCCTCAGTGTAATACATCAGCTTCAAAGACAATATCTTCCTTAATGGGGAAACACTGGACCATTCCTGCTGAAATAAAAAATAAGGCCCACACTCTTCTTTACTATTCAGCATGGCATTAGAACTATTTTCCAGTGCAGTGAGACACAAGAAAATAATGAGACACATAAAATGGAAAGGAAGAAATAAAGCAATCTCTGTTTGAAGATGATATTATAGTATCGATTTAAAACACCAAGAGAATTATTTTTAAAAGTCGAATGATAAAAATTCAGTTAGGTAGCAAAGATATGAAATAAACATATAAAAATCAAATTCAGACACACATATACAAATAATAGAAGATATAATGAATGAGAAAGCTACATTAACAATAGCAGGCCAGGTGCAGTGGCTCACATCTGTAATCTCAGCACTTTCGCAGGCTGAGGTGGGAGGATTGTTTGAGCCCAGGAGTTTGAGACCAGTCTAGGCAACAGAGCAAGACCCCATGCCTACAAAAAAATTTTAAAATTTTAAATATTTTTAATGGCCGAGCATGGTGGTGCATGCCTGTGGTCCCAGCTACTCGTGATGCTGATGTAGGGGGATTTCTTGAGCCCAGGAGGCCAAGGCTGCAGCGGATCATGTTTATGCCACTGCACTCCAGCCTGGGCAACAGAGCAAAACCCCGTATACATATTTTTAAAAAAGCAAAAAGAAAATAAAATGTCATGGAAAAACCTTAAGCAATTTACAAAACACTTGTAAAAGACAGAAAAGTAGATTTGAACAAATGGAAAAGTATGTTATGTTCTTGCATAGAATGATTTAACATTATACAAATGTCAAGTCTCACCCAAGTTAATATACATTAGTTTGACCCATATAAAATTACTAATAATTGACCTTTTTTTGTTTGTTTGTTTCAAAAACAAAATTTTATTCTCTCACAATGTGGGAGGCCAAAAGTCTGAAATCAAGGTGTGGGCAGGTTTGGTCTTTCTGGAGGGTCTGAAGGAGAAACAGTCCTATGCCTCTCTCCTAGCTTCCGGTGGCTGCGGGTAGTCCTTGGTGCTCTCCAACTGGTATCATCAGTCTTGACTTCCATCTTCACAACACCTTCTCCTCTGTGTGTATCTTCTCTTCCTATGAGGACACTTGTCATTGGATTTAGGGCCCACCCAGATATTCCAGGATGATCTCATCTCAAGATCCTTAATTACACTGCAAAGTTCCTTACTAAAAATAAAGTCATATTTGTTACCAGTGGAGGGTATACAGGTTCTTGGCATCTTGAACAAAGAAAGAATTGGACAAAACGCACAAAGCAAGGAAAGAATGACGCAACAAAAGCAGAGATATATTGAAAATGAAAATACGGTCCACAGGGTGGGAGCAGGCCCAAGCATAGGGGCTCAAACCCCCCACTTACAAAATTTTCTGGGTTTTAAATACCCTCTAGAGGTTTCCACTGGTTACTTGGTGTACGCCCTATGTAAATGAAGAGGATGAAGTAAAGTTACAAAGTAATTTACTCAGTGTACGCCCTACGTAAATAGAGAGGATATTTCTTGTCATAGCTGAAGTGTTTCCATTTGATTTAGTTCTAGGAAGTCAGCATGAATCCGCCTTATGTTCCCAGCCTCCAGACCCTATTCTCCTGCCTCACATTCACACATTCAAGGTGAACACATTCTCAGGTTCCAAATGGACACCTATTTTGTTGCGGGTAGGGGGGCGGGGGATGGAGGGAGTGCAGGGGGTCAGGAGAGGGGCAGCCATTCAACCCACCATACATAGTTTCCTACCATGAAGTGAAAGAGACCAGATACAGAGAGGTAATGATAATCAGCAGTACCTTGGGCAATATTTTTGAAGAGTAAGGTGATCATTATCTGGGTTACAGCATTTTTATCATCTCCTTTACACATCTAAATCAATAGAAAATGCAGATATTGAAATTTGTGAAACCCTGAGGGGTAAAAATGATTGCCTGTGTACTATATCAAAAGATCAAAAAGTACATCTTTGGAGGAATTCATGGTCACCTGCTAAAAATCCCAAAGATAAACAAGTCAGGAAATCCTCCCAGTTTGTTCTGAAAAGGCATTCCCAGCTCGACAAGGATTTCTCAGTTCTTTCTGCTGCTGGCACTTCTATTGATTGGGAAGGAAGATCCCAGGAGGGAAAGCATCAAGGTGATCTGAATAATATTCTTGAAAATGCCGGTGCTTTTGTAAATGCTAAAGATAAAACATGCCGACTATAGAGAGGAACAAGAGGTATCTTTTGTCAAATGAAAGAAATCGTTTATGTTGTGTGCTCCACGTTTACATTTTTTTTACATCCTCTTTCATGGAGTGTTTTGTAAATTAGTTAAGGTAGTTATAACTGTGGTTCCTCAATTTCAAGACCCATTTTCCCTTTTCCAGGTCAACTTCACACAAACTAACTTTAAGGAATTCCTCTCTATGGGAATTTTGTAATACTCAGAAAAATGTGACTTTTATGAAAGTGTTAGACGAGAAATTTAATGACTTAAAATCAGCTGTGTTATTTGAGAACATAAAGAGAATTTCAAGTCCAAAAAAAAAAAAAAACAGGCCAATTATTGGTTCGTATAAATCATTGAGCACACAGATAATGAATAAACACCTACATGTGTTTACATAATTTTGTATGAACAAATCTCAGAATCTATCCATTCTTTTCAGCAAGTTTTACTGAGTGCCTGTTGGGCCAGGGACGATGCTACTCTTTTACTATTTAGGAGGTGCAGTGGGAGAGTGAAACACGTGCCCAGTGTTATCAGTCCTAGGCTGCCCAACTTCTTCTAGACCTTCTATAGTGATGGGTATTCACTACCCTTCTAGAGCAGCCCATGCCACTGTTGAATCTTCCTAGTGTCCATAGGAAACAAGTAGAAAGTTGGCGAAAATGCAGATTCCTGGAGCCACTCCAGAAATTCTGATTTAGCTAGTGTGCTGTGGGACCCAGGAACCTGTCATATTAACATGCACCTTGGGTGACTCTGATGCAATTGTTTCCCAGGTGGTCCACACACCACTATTTTGAAAACTACTTGTCCAGTGGAGAGAGAAAGTGTCAATCATGCTGTCAGACCTGATGGGCGAGCTTGAGGCATGCACAGGACTGAGCCTCCTGGTGGTGAGTCAGAGGGCAGGAATGGGTGCCTCAGACAGTCTCCCTGGAATTAGCATCCACCATCACCAAGAAAACGTCACAGTTTTGCAGCCACACAGAAAAAGTCATAGTTCACTCTCTCATTAACTGCTTATTGAGTACCAGTTACATGCCATACACTGTTCTTGGTGCAGAGGCTAAGCAAAGAATCAAACAGTCAAAAACCTCATCCTTCTTGGAGCTTACATGCAAGTGGGGGAATAACCCTCATTTGTGCTCCATTAGTTTCACTCATGCATGCATGCATTCATCTGTTTCACAAGCACGGATTAGACCAGGCATGGTGGGGGAAATTGACCATTTTTAATGTACCAAAATAACTAACTCATGGTTCAATCTATACTTTTTCATAAAAAAGGAAAGGAAATAAGTATTCATTTATAATTTGTTCAAAAAAAAACTAGAAAAAATAAACCAGAGATTTTTAAAAAATGGCTGCTTATGGAGGTAGGGTAAAGGAATAAAAGGGCTGGACGTGGATCTTCTCTGAATATAGTTTTTAAAATAAAGTTTTGACTTTTGAATCATGTAAATGTCTTACATACACAAAATAAATTTTCATCAAAAAAAAAGTGAGCAAAACTTAAAACTAAGCACAGATGGGAACAAATAAACCCAATTTATATAAAATTTATAATAATCACACAAAGAAAAGAGCTATTTCAAGGGATTTTTTGCACAGATGTCTGTATATCCTTAGATATTTACAAAGCATGTATAGACATATTTGTATTTGTTAACACAAAAAGAACTGCAAAGAAATCTTAACTTAGTCATTAAAAATGGGAATATTGGTATTTTCCATTTGCTATTGTATGTATATTATAGAATACATAAGAAAGCAAAGAGTTAACTTTTTAAGGAGTAAAATTTCAAGTGTTAAGAGAAAAGAAATATAAAATCAAAAAATGTTTTTAAAAACTGTGATGTTAAATTTGAGTTCAAAATATATTTTAAACAATTTAGTTCATATTTATACATGCTAGGTCTGTCTCTGAATTGTACTAGAAACAATGGCATTCTCGGTGGTATTAAAGATAGCTAGCACCCAGATCTTGATGTGTAAGAACAATTTCCCACTAGAATGAACCTACATGGAGAAAATGGCTGAATTCACATCCAGGAAAAGGGAAAATAAAAGAGGAGCCTGAAAGATTTTGTGGTAGCAAGCGAGCAAGGGCTCAAAGAATAATGGGGACATGTCAAAATGATACGAGAGCCAGTGTGAAAGTGTTTGCACTGGCCAAACTGGGGACAATCTGAGTATCAAAAAATTAGGAACTCTTGGGCCGGGTGCAGTAGCTCACGCCTGTAATCCCAGCACTTTGGGAGGCCGAGGTGGGCAGATCACCTGAGGTCAGGAGTTCGAGAGCAGCCTGACCAACATGGAGAAACACCATCTCTACTAAAAATACAAAATTAGCCAGGCGTGGTGACACATGCCTGTAATCCCAGCTACTTGGGAGGCTGAGGCAGAAGAATCGCTTGAACCCAGGAGGCGGAGGTTGTGGTGAGCTGAGATCGCGCCATTGCACTCCAGCCTGGGCAACAAGAGCGAAACTCCGTCTCAAAAAAAAAAAGAAAAAAAATAGGAACTCTTGATTATGAAACACTTTAAAAATTTAAATACATGAACCCATAATGATGAAATAACTTATTTTTTAAACTGCTGTTTTTGCAGGACCTTAGTTCATTCCCAGCTAAAAAGGGAAACTCTTCTTTATAAATGATAGCCAACTAATAAAATGAGAGCATTAGAAAATTATCATTCTGCAACATCCAGTGAAATAATTTGATTCGGCAAATATCACAGGTCAATGAAAATCGCTGTAGTCAGGCATGTGGAGAACTGAGCATTTTAGAGCTACTTTTGGGGAGGAATCCAGGGTCTAAGGGCATAAGATCATGGTTATGTGCCCTTAAAAGAAGGGCTAGAAAGGATAGGAAGGTTGTCAGGGCTCCAGTCAAGGCGCTAATATTCTAATGACTTAATTCTGAGAAGGAAATAAAAGTAAAGTCAGGAATGGGATGGCAGGAGCTTACCTACAGACTGGGTTAGTGGGGAAAGCTGCAGCTCAGTGAGCATGAGTCATGTCCAGCAACAACTCACTCAGGCATACCAGCTATCCCAAAGTGGAACAACTGTAGAGCCCACCGCTTGTGAGCCTGGGGTTCATTCGGAATAATGGTGGGTCATGGTTCTCATCAGCAAGGTATTCTTGAAAGACTCTGGTCATGCTCTTCTTTATAGTTCTGAAATTCTCCAAATGCTCACCACATACTTACTAATATTTTTTTCTTTCTTTTGGGAAAGAAAATGATGTAGCACCTTACTACTCAAAGTGTGGTCCATAGACCAAAAAACTTGTTTAAAAAGCTTCTTAAAAATACAAATCTGGAAGAGAGGACTTGAAACGTACCCAACACATAGAAATGATAAATACACAGGTGACAGATATACCCTAAAGACTCTGACTTGATCACTGTACATTCTATACACGTAACGAAATTTCACATGTGCCCCATAAATATGTACATATATAATGTATCAAAAAATAAAAATAAATACAAATTGCAGGCTCCTCCCCAGATTCTTACTGAATCTCACTCTTCAGTTTAACAATATCCCCAGGTGGCTCTTACACACATAAAATGGCTTGAGAATCCCAGGTGGGGCAGGCACTTATGAAAAACTTAGCAGAGATTGGTGGTGTGGGCCCAGGTGGTGCCACTGCACTGTGGAGGATGGCTCATAACACTTCTCGGAATCCTCCATCAAATGTGCACTCCACTCTCCTCTCCTTCTCTCCCCTAAATCCACATCACCAGCTTGGGAACAGATGCTTCCTGCTTGTGAGAATGTGAGTTGAGTTTGGGGAGGGATGGAAGGAAGAAAATGTGTCAAGAGAAGAGAAATTACCCTGATGACAGATAAGGAAAAAGACTGGCAGATATGGATGGAAAGGGAAAAATGATTGATATGGCAGAGATAGAGGATGGATTTCATGTTTCTCCCCTACATCCTTGGTTGAAGTTTTCATTTTAATGACGGCGTCTTATGTACCAAAGTCCTAATCAAAACAATTACATGTTTTAATGAAAAAAAAAGAATTTACAGAAACTAAGGAAGTCAAGGAATAAAAAGACCAAGTCCTGGATATATTGTTCATGTGGGTAATGCATAGGCCTTAATTAAGTGACTTGAGTAGGTCTGAAGTTACTGGAACTCTTGTTTACAGTCCTGAACCAAGTCTCCAATACCTGGATTCCTAATGATGGATATGGGAACAAGCAGACATCTAGAAACCATGAGCAACAATCTAGAAAGTGTTGTAAGGTTAGTAAGTATACATATTAGAAATGTACAATGCCTGCCTATTGCAATGTATTTCCACCTATCTAAAGAAGCACCCGTAATTCTCACCATTGTGTTTCTCCTTCAGATAAAGATATTGTCTCTCACAGTCTTTCTACAAAGTAAATATATCTAGCATAAGAAGCAAATGGTAGGATACCAACCTTTACAGGACATGGAGCCATGACAATTTAAGTAATTAACTAGTTGTCACCTAGTCTGGGGCAAAACTCTAGAAAATGAGGTAACTGGAAAACAACGAGGAGAAGGTAAGGAAGGCCAACTAGGAATGGCAGCTTAGCTAGGGAGCCCTGGTTTCTCCCTAATACAAAGTAGCACAGTTACACTTTGGGAAACAGCAAAGTGTAATTGTGAGTGCATGACTCAAGTGTAAAAAAGAGAAAATATTTCTCTTGGGGTATGAAGTTGAAATGAAATAGTGCATGTCAGGTGTCTGGGGCTCATTAGGTGGTCCATATATATCAGCTTTCTTCCTCACCTGCTCTTTTTAAATAGAATATATATATATTTTATATATATATATATAAACACACATATATATATTTTATATATATAAACACACACATATATATGTGTATTTCAAGATGATTTTACCCACAGAAATACACACGCTAATATTACTCTGAAAGCTATAGACAAGAGAAATTATATCTTTCTACTTCTTTCTTTTTTTTTTTTTTTTTTTTTTTTTTTTTTGAGACAGAGTCTCACTCTATCACCAGGCTGGAGTGTAATGCGCGATCTCGGCTCACTGCAACCTCTGCCTCCCGGGTTCAAGCGATTCTCCTGCCTTAGCCTCCTGAGTAGCTGGGATTATAGGCACGTGCCACCACGCCCGGTTAATTTTTATTTATTTATTTATTTATTTTGTAGAGACGGGGATTCACCATGTTAGCCAGGATGGTCTTGATCTCCTGACCTCGTGACCTGCCCGCCTCGGCCTCCCAAAGTGCTGGGATTACAGGTGTGAGCCACCACACCCGGCCATATCTTTCTATTTCTATGCACTTCTTCTTGAACCATTCATTTGACTGGGTCTTTAGAGTCAAATAAGTTAGTCTTTTGGCTTCCTTATGAAAGCTCTTCTGTCTTCAAATAAGATATTTTTCAACAGCACAGTGAATGAAGGCTTACACAAATGAGAAAATAGTGCAGGATTCCATTTATACAAACTTCTAAAGCAGGCTAAACTAATTTATAATGAAAAATATCAGAACAGAGGCTACTTTTGGAATAGGAGTGGAGGATGAGTGGAAAAGAGCACAAGAGATCTGGATGATGGTAATGTGACAGTAATGTTCTATATCTTGATGGGGGTTGAGTTGCACTATTCCCAGCGCATATTTCGCAATGCACATTTCAGATTTGTTCATTTCATTGTACATAAATCAAAAGAAAAACTATAAACAAATATTGACCTGTAGTTAGTCATATAAATGCTGAAGTATTTAGGAGAAAACTGATGTTGATAACTTACTTTAAAGTGCATTCGAAAACAAAAAAAGATAGATTGATGAATGTATAGAAGGGTGTATAGATATACAATAAAACAATTATAATAAAAACTCATTGGTAAAATCTATGTGGTGGATATACAGGTATCTACTGGAAAATTCTTTTAATTTTTCTGTATACTAAAATATTTTCATAACAAAATATTAGAAAAAAATATTGATTCTGACACCCCAAATTTCAAGACTCAAGGAGATGCCATGGATATTACATTGGGCAGGTTATATAAACTCTCTGTGCCTCAGTCTCCTCATCTGTGAAGTGGGGATAATGATAGTACCTACATCATAGGGCTGTTGTGAAGGTTAAATGAATCAAGTAGTGTGTCCAACATCACACAGCTAGTAAGTAACACAGCTGTGATTTGAACACAGCAATGTGGCTCGAGCAACCGTCAGTGGTTCTGAACCGCTATACTATGTTGCTACTCTGAAAAATGCAAGGAGAAATGACACAACTGAGAAGCAGTCGCTCCTTCAATCATAGCTTTGATGAACAGTCATTTCCAGATCTTTCCCCTTTGTGATAATCCAGATAGAGAAGCCTATGGGTTTTTTTTGTCTGTTGTTAAAAGTCCCATCATTGTGACTGTCCTCTGAGCACAGTGGGGGTTTCAGTTAGTTAACTCCCCGTTAACAGAGTGTTTCAGTGGGAATAAAAAAGCTTTGTTAGTGACCATGATGTGATTTGTAGAAATGTTTAATCAAAGGTTGACAACGATTTTATTCAGTTACCACAGGGAAGATCTTGGGGCTGAGTCTCCTGAACTAAAATGAAGTAGCATCATTTAACTCTGATCTTTGTGCCTGTTGAAAACTATCATCAAAACAACACAAGACAAGAAGGAGGAAAAAAATCAATAAATAGAATATAAAGTGAAGACAGGCGTGAGACAAAAACAGGAAGAACTGCAGTGTGATATGGTAAACAAACCCATAAGCTTTAAAATCAAGCGGGCCTGAGTGACAGAGAGGTGTGACCTTGTTAAGTACCTTCATCCTTCCGAGCTTCTATTTCCCCATATCTAAAGTGAAGATAATACCATCCACTTTACAGAGAATTTGCAAGTTCCAGAAGACAAGCTATGTAAAGTTTTTATACAGAGCCCTACAGATTGTAGCCACTCAATAAATGGTAACTGGTATTCTTTAGAGTATGTCACATAATATCATATTTTTAAGGAGCTAATAGATCCTGCTCTGCACTCACAGCAACAAGGTATAGAGGCTGCACATGAAGCCTTTATTTGGTGAAAAATAGACTTGCTAAAAGTAATACTTACAAATACACATTGTTTGTGCTAGCTGCTCCTTATTTATAGAGGAAGTGAAGGGGGAAATAAAATCTCCACTTCAAGAGCTTCTAGTCAGCTAAGTAAGACAACACAATTACAGACCTAAGAGAAAAATTACATTTGTGTGTAACCAAATACAAAGGAAAGCCTTTCAGAAATAGCTTGAGAGCAAGGGTGAAAAAATGACCTCAGCTTAAATTCTAAGCTTTACATTGTATACTTGTCCACTGCAGTTCTTGTGTCATTTCAGCTAATACTATGACTAAAAGTTAGAACAAGGTCTAGATTATGGTAAACTCTATGTAAGTGCTTTATATTTATTAACCTCTTTAGTACTATAACAACCATATGAGGGTGGTCATTTTATTATGCCTATTTTACAGATGAAGATACTAAGGCAAGAGAGGTAAAGTAATTTATCCAGGGTTACACAGTTAGTGAGAGATAAAGCTAGGATTCAACACCAAGCAGTTCACTCCAGAGTTCAGGTCTTAGCCTGACGCCATACCATGTCAGATGTTGAATCCATTTCCATCACAAAGATAAAACCATCTGCATATATATATATAAATGAAGATAAAGGCAAACTAAAGAAAGATGAAATGTTGAGGTTTTTTTTTTCTTGTCAAATATAAAGTTATATAACTAACATGGAGACAATGCTGGTATGATAGTAGTTCAAAATTTAGTCCATATAATGTGAAGAGTGTTTTTCTGCTGTTGAGTTCACTCAGTTTCCACATGGCCAAAGATAATTCAAAGCATCTATGGAAATGCTATTCTGTACTGCTCCTCCGGCCTTGAATAGTAGCTCTTAGGCTTGTTAAGCCAGCTGCAAAGTGTAGCTAGTCAATTATGGCAGCCAGAAATAGTGTATATTCATGAGTACAGCAGTGGCCTTTAACCCACAGAGCAAGGCCATTGCAGAGGATAGAAAACCAAATCTTGCAGCTCAGCCTCAACTTTCACCCTGATTTCCCATCCTCGGCAGCCCCAGAGAAGTAATTTTCAGCTTAGTATCTTGCTGATAGCCATCTGCGTCACAAAGCTATTATCCACCCCACGCCTTCTTACTTAACTCAATGTGTTCTGAGCCTGATAACCGAGACTACTGCAGAGGCACTCAGGACTGAACTTAATAGAAAGACTCAATTGCATTTCACCCCAGAGGGGGCTGCTTACAGGTCAGTGCTAAGATAATCAAGCAGCTTACGCCTCTGCCACCCCTGCTATTGCCACTGGTTGTTTCATAACCTGAGAAAATTCAAACACATTTATTGACAAACAAAAGTGACAACTGAAATGCTAGGAAAACCACCTTCTTTTTATTTTTTTTATCAAGATTGGACACAGCAAGTAATATTTCCCTAGGAGCAGTTTTGTTTTTCCTTCCAATCTTTCTGCCCAAATATTTTATGTTAAATCTCAGTTTTTGAGACTGAGGAACAATGTTAAGTCAACAACAGCTTTCCCAATTTGAGATAGCCATAGCTTGATTTGCAACAGAAAATGTCAGTGATAATAAGGCCTAATTGATTGCTTATAAGGAGAAATACATGATTGGTTTAATTCATTGCTTAAGGGGAAAAAGATATGATCCATGTTTTTATATATTTTTAAGGTCTTAAATTTATGTCTTGCTAAGCCAAGAAATATTTTTATAGAACTATTATGTAAATCGTTTTGTTCTAGGTACTGTGATTTATACAGACTATATCTTTATCAAATATATACCTGTTATCATGAGTTTTGACTGTCAGCTGTGTACTTCTCCACTGTCTGACCTAGATTATACACAAAAGGGCTACTGTTCCAGGAGGCAGATCCCTCAAATGGAAAGAGAAAAGGTGTCAATGTGATTTCCTTCTCTTTCTCCTCCCTTGGTCCAATGGAAGGAAAAATAAAAGGATGAGATGCTTTTCATTTTACTAGAAGGCCTTAAACATCAAAAAAAGAAGTTTGGATATAATCTGATCATTCAACATTTTTAAGAAAAGCAGTGGCTTCATTTCTTAGGGAAGTGTTTTAGACAAGATAATTTAGAAGACATGTAGAATTGGTATAAATAAATATTAGAAACAGGTTGATCAGTTTAAGAACTACTGTGGAACATAGGTAATTAGATGTAGTTGAGAAGAGACATCTGCTTCTGGTCAAGATGGAGTAATAGGAGTGTATTGACACTTCCACCTGAAACAACTAAAATATCAGACAAAATACATGCTACGATGTTGTTCTGACATGGGATATCAGTGAGCATAAGACAATGATTCCTATGAAAGGGGAAATAAATGAGATAAGTCCTATGATTGCCTCAGTTTACTGTCAAGACAGAGTTCTCAGGCCACATCACAGGCAGAGAAAACACAGGAGGAGCCTAACAGTCTCCCTGAGTTAAAAAGATGGAATTCAGAGCCCAAGGATGGCTAAGTTTGCAGGAATAACAGAGAGGAGATAGATGCACAAAGACAGAGCTCCCAGAGATTTGCAGAAGATCTTCCTCAAATCTTCAACTGAGTACTGATCAGCACAGTAGTGTAAGGAGGAAACCACCTGAGACTGAAGACAGAACCATCCCAAATCCCTAGAGAACATATAGGTATTTCCATTAACCAGAGTGAAAACACCTTGTAATTCACAAGACAATGGATTGAATGAGTACTCGGAAGGGTATAGCCTCAGTAGTAGGGGTGAAAAAATTAGTTATAGACTAAAAGTTGATCTGGTTCCACCTAACAAAGCTTTAAAGTAAGGCTTGAAAGGATTAAACTGTTTTCAAGTAATCTAACCACATTCAAGAACAAAGCTCAAAAATATTTATAGAAACAAAAAATAATCCAGCATAAAACAAAGTAAAATTCACTATGTCTGGCATCCAATCAAGAATTACAAGATATGCAAAGGAGCAGGAAAATGAAACTGATAATGAAGAGAAAGTAAATCAATATAAACAAACTAAAAACAACATAGGTGTCAGAATTAGTACACAAAGACACTAAAACAGATATTTTTATTATATTTGATGTGTTCAAGAAGGCAGAAAAAAATTGAGCATGTTAGAGACATGGAAGCTATACAAAAGACTCAAATCAGCTGGGCACAGTAGCTCACCTCTGTAATCCCAGCAACTCTGGAAGCTGAGGCACAAAGATCACTTGAGCCTAGGGTTTCAAGACCAGCCTGGGCAATACAGCAAGACCCCTATCTCTACAAAAATTTTTTAAAGTTAAAGAAAATAAAAACTCAAATCAAAAGTTTACAGATAAAACTACAGTGTCAAAGATTTCTTTAAAAATGCACTGGATAGGGTTACCAGCCAAATAGACACTAGAGGAGAAAATATTAAACTCAAAACCCTAACAATAGAACTCATCAAGAATAAAATATGCAGAGAAAAAATACTGAAAAATGAACAGAGTATTAGTAACCTCTAGGACAATCAAGGAGCCTAATATACATGCAATTGGAGGCCACAAAAGAATAGAAAAATACTTGAGGAAATAATGGTTAAAATTTTTCTAATTTGATGAAAACCACAAACTCACAAATCTAAAAAGCTGGATGTTTCCTAACCACCAGAAATATTTAAAAAAATCAAGATACATTATATTCAAATTATTAAACCAAGGCTAAAAAGAAAATCTGAAAACTAGCCAGAGGGGGAAAAAAGACATTATATAGAGTAACAAAGTTAAACAGGTAGCAGATTTTTCATTAGAGATAATCCAAGGCAAAAGACAATAGAGGAACATATTTAAAGTACTGAAAGAAAAACATAATTGTCATGTAGAAGGCTATACCTAGTGAAAATACCTCTTGAAAGGAGTGATTTTCTCATACATGCAAAGGCTGAAAGAATTAATTATCAATAGACCTGGACTACAAGAAAGACTTTCAAGCAGAAGAAAAGAAACAGATTTATATGAGGAATGAAAAGTACCAGAGATGGTAAATATAAAAGACCTCTTTGTTATTTTTGAAGCTATTAGAAGATAATTGACTATTTAAAGTGAAAATAATAATGTATTATGGGTTTATAAATTATGTATCAGTAAGACATATAAATCAGTGACACAAAGGTTAGGGTAGAGAGATGAAAATATGCTGTCATAAGATACTTATATGTAAAATAGTATCATATTATTTGAAAGTAGACCTTAAGTTAAAGATTTATGTTATAAACCCTAAAGAAACCAAAATAAATTTATAGCAATAATCCAACAAAGGAAATAATTAGAAAAATATTTTTAATCTCCTCAATCATAAAGGCTGCAGGGGGAAAGGAAAAATAAAACAAATTACAGATGGAAAAAATAGAAAAAAAAAGGGCACAAGATTTAAATGCAACTACATAAACAATCATGTTAAATGTATAATCGTCTAAACACTTCAATTAAAAGCCAAATTGGATTGTCAAATTGGATTGAGAAGCAAGGAGCAACCATCTATATGATGCCTACAAGAAACTCATTTTAAATATAGAGACAAATAGGTTAAAGTAAAAGAATAGAAAAAGAGCATGCTAACGCTGATGAAAAGAATGTTGCAGTGGTTATATTAATATTAGATTAAGTAGATTTGAAAGTAAAGATATTACCTAGGATAAAGAGGGGCATTTCACAATGATAATGGCATCAGTTTATCAAGAAGACGTAACAGTTATAACATTTATTTATCTTATAATAAAGCTTCAAAATGCATGAAGCAAAATCTGATAGGACTGAAATGACAAATAGAAAATTCAACAATGATAAGTGGAGCCTTTCAACACTCCTGTTTCCACAACTGATAGAATAGACCAAAAAAAGTCAGCAAGGACATAAAAAATGAATATCACAACCAATTTGATCTAATTCATATTTACCAAGATAGATCATATTTCCAATTATAAAATAAGTTTCAATAAGTTTCAACAGACTCAAATTATATCAAGCAACTTCTCTAACTGTAATTAAATTAAATTTAAAATCAATAAGAGATATCAGAAAATAATATATTTGGAAATTAAATAACATGGATCCAAGAAGAAATAACAAAGAAAATTAGAAGGTGTTTTCAATCGAATGAAAAATAAAAACATCCCATATCAAAATTGTGGGCTGCATTCAAATGTCTATATTAGGAAAGAAGAAATGTCTCAAATCTATGACTTTAACATATACCTTAAGAAATAAGAAAATATAAATTAAACTTAAAAATAAGCAGAATAAAGGAAATAGAGTAGAAATCAATAAAATACAAAATCAAAATAACAGAGAAAATTTGTGAAACCAAAGGCCTTTTGAGAGGATCAAAAACCAGTGAAGGTGACAAACCTCTAGCCAGACTAATCAGAAAAAAGAAATCCAAAAATACCAACATCAGGAAGAGAGAGGTTATATAACTACAAATTCTGCAGATATTAGAAGGAGAATACAACTAACTAATGGAGGTTTGAGGCAAGATGGCTGACTAGATGAAGCCAGGAGTAACTCCTGCCACTGAGGGACCAGGACACTGTGAAGAATAGCATACTCTGAGCATATCTTCAGAGGTAAGGCACTGAGAATGGATGGAGGGAGGACACAGATGCTGGGCTGAAGCAGGAGGAAGCTAGAACCCTGCGTGAGGCTGTAGCACACAGGGACTCATTTCTGACCCCCAGTTACTCCTGGGGAAGGGGTGAGTTGAGCTGGCAAGGAGCCACCCACTCTTGCCACAGACCTCTGGAATCCAGGCAGAGGAGACTCCACAGCCCGCATGGACACTTGAGCAGACAGGAAGAGCTGCTTAGAGAGGTGATAAGGGCAGGACTCCAGCCTGTGTGGAGCCCAGAGGGTTTGATACAGGAAAGTCTGCAGTAGAGCACAGCCACGGATGCCCATCCGCCAAGGCTCCCCGTGCTCCTCTAAAAGATGTAATTATGAGGACTGTTGGCCCTGAACAGAACAAAGGTAATCTTGCCCATAAGACAAGTCAATCCAACCTGAGCATCCCACTGTCTGCTGGCCTATCCCAGGGGCCCAGCCCGGCCACATCTGCTTGCAGTACAGCCTCGGATGTCTAACTGGGGTGCCTCCTGGGAATTTTCATCATAGCTCCTGCTTTGACAAACCATGCCTGACTATTGGAAAGCTCCAGCAGAGTGGCCCCCACTGATGCACACCAGCCCACTAGCACCCTTCCCTCACCACAACCTCCCCTGTGCCACTTTGCCAACATGCAATTCACCACAGCCACCCTCTCCATTGCTTTGATGGTGCATGTGTCCACACGTGGGCCTTTCCTCCTCTTCCCTGATGGCATGCATGTGTGCATGCACCCCACCATGCCACTGTTGCCAGCATGAGCACACCCCATCCCCGACTCAACCATGCCACCATTGCCAGAGCAAATGCACACACAGAGGCCAGTGGCCCCACACTCCAATCTTGTGCTGTCATTGCTGCTGGTGTGAATGCATGCACAGAGGCCAGAGGTCCCGCATTGACACTGCTGCTAGCATGAATATGTGCATAAGGTGCTGCCAGCCTTGCACATACCAGTGCTTTGACCCTGCACTGACACCACTGCCAGTGCAAACGTGTGAATAGACTCGAGTGGCCCTGCCCCTCAGCCAACGCTGGCACTGCCACTGCTGTGAACACCTGCACTGAGGCTGGTAGCCCCACAACTGCCAATGCCCTGCCACAGCTGATAAGCATGTATGCTGCCATGCTGCTGCAGCTGCAAACAAGCATTAATCCCACTGCCACTGCCTGACAAAGTGATTTGGCTGGCACCACCCATCAGTGTTTTGTCAGTGGTCCAGGAACACCTCGGCCCCTCCAGCACAGCAGATTCGTAACCATGAGGGGAGAGAGAACAAAGCTGGGGAATTGAGACTAGCCACCCCCAAAGTTAGAGCACACAGCCCAGGAGTGCAAAAAAAAAAAAAAAAAAAAAATCTAAAGGACAGTAAGATCAAAGATTGAAGGAACATCAGCCCACACAGATGAGAAAACCTGAGCAAGAACTCTGGCAACTCAAAAAGCCAGAATGCCTTCTTACTTCCAAATGACCACACTGGTTCCCCAACAATGGTTCTTAATCAGGTTGAAATGGCTGAAATGACAGAAAAAGAATTTGCAATATGGATAGGAATTAAGATTATTGAGATTCAGGAGACAGTTGAAATCCAATCCGAGGATTCTAAGGAATATAATAAAATGATACAGGAGATGAAAGATGAAATGGCCACGTTAAGAAAGGAGCAAACTAATCTGATAGCGCTGAAAAACTCACCTCAGAAATTTCAGAATATAATCACAAGTATTAACAGCAGGATCAACTAAGCTGAGGAAAGAATCTCAGAGGTCAAAGACCAGTTCCCTGAAATAATTCAGTCAGATAAAAATAAGGAAAAAGCAAAAAAGAATGAACAAAACCTCCAAGAAATATGGGATTCTGTAAAAAGAGCACATCTATGATCCACTGGTGTCCCTGAAGAGTGGGCAAGAAAGCAAGCAACTTGGAAAACATACTTCAGGATATCATCCATGAAAATTTCCCCAACCTTGCTAGAGAGGCCAACATTCAAATTCAGGAAATGCAAAGAACCCCTGAAAAACACTACATGAGAAGATCATCCCCAAGACACACAGTCATAGTCATCAGATTCTCCAAGGTTGTAATGGGAAAAAAAAAAAAAAAGCTAAAGGCAGCTAGAGAGAAGGGGCAGGTTGCCTACAAAGTAAATCCCATCAGGCAAAGAGTGGACCTTTCAGCAGAAAACCTACAAGCCAGAAGAGACTGGGGCCTATATTCAGCATTCCTAAAGAAAAGATTTAGCAACCCAGAATTTCATATCCAGCCAAACTAAGCTTCATAAGTGAAGAATAAATAAGATCCTTTTCAGACAAGCAAGTGCTAAGGGAAATCATTACCACCAGACTTTCCTTATAAGAGGTACTGAAGAGAGTGCTAAATATTGGAAGAAAAGACTGTTACCAGCCACTACAAAAACACTCTTAAGTACATAGACCAGTGACACTATAAAGCAACCACACAAAAAATCTGTATAATAGCCAATTAACAGCACAGTGACAGGATCAAATCCACACACAGCAATACTAACCTTGAATGTACATGGGCTAAATGCTCCAATTGAAAGACACAGAGTGGCAAGTTGGATAAAAAAGTTGTGTAAGACACAACTATATGCTGTCTTCAAGAGACCCATCTTACATGCAATGACACCCATAGACTCAAAGTAAAGAGATGGAGAAAAATCTATCAGACAAATGGAAAAGAGAAAAAAGCATCAGTTGCTATTCTAATTTCAGACTAAACAGATTTTAAACAAAAAAAAAAATCAAAAAAGACAAAGAAAGGCATTACACAATGGTAAAAGGCTCAATTCAACAAGAAGACCTAACTATCCTAAATATATATGCACCCAACACAGGAGCACCCAGATTCATAAATCAAGTCTTTAGAGACTAAGAAGAGACTTAGATAACCACACAAAATAGTGGGAGACTTCAACAGCCCACTGACAGTATTAGACAGATAATCGAGACAGAAAACTAATAAAGATATTCAGGACCTGAACTTGACACTTGAACAAATCGACCTAATAGACGTCTACAGAACTCTCCACCCCAAAAAAACAGAATATACATTCTTCTTATCTGCACATGACACACACTCTGACCACACAATAGAACATGAAATAATCCTTAGCAAATTCAAAAAAACAGATCACACCAATCATTCTCTTGAACCACATTACAATAAAAATAGAAATTAATACTAAGAAAATTCACTCAAAACCATACAATTACATGGAAATTAAACAACTTGATTCTGAATGACTTTTGGATAAATAATGAAATTAAGGCAAGAATCAAAAAATTCTTTGAAATTAATAAGAGCAAAAATATAATATACCAGAATTTCTGGGACACAGTTAAAGCAATGTTAAGAGGAAACTTTATAGCACTAGAAGTCCACATCAAAAACTTAGAAAGATCTCAAATTAACAACCTAACATCACAACTAGAGGAACTAGAAAAACAAGAGCAAACTAACCCCAAAGCTAGCAAAAGACAAGAAATAACCAACATCAGAGCTGAACTGCAGAAAATTGAGATACAAAAAACTATATAAAAGATCAATGAATCTAGGATTTGGTTTGTTGAAAGAATCAATAAGATAGATAGACAACTAGCTAGACTAATGAAAAAAAGAGAGAAGATCCAAATAAACACAATCAGAAATGACAAAACAGTTACCACTGATTCCCACAGAAATACAAAAGACTCTCAGATACTACTATGAACACCTCTATGGACACAAGTAACAAAACCTAGAAGAAATGGATAAATTCTTGGAAACATATCACTTCTCAAAATTGAACCAGGAAGAGACTGAATCCCTGAAGAAACCAATGAGGAGTTCTGAAGTTGAATCAGTAATAAAAAGCCTACCAATCAGAAAAACCCCAGGACCAGACAGACTCACAGCTGAATTCTACCAGATGTATAAAGAAGAGCTGATACCAAGCCTAATGAAACTATTCCAAAAAAGTGAAGAATGGGACTCCTTGCCAACTCATTCTATAAGGCCAGTATAATCCTGATAACAAAATCTGTTAGCAATGAACACAAAAAAAGAAAACTTCAGGCCAATATCCTTGATGAACATTGATGGAAAAATCCTCAACAAAATACTTGCAAACCAAATCCATCAGCACATAAAAAAGTGAATCCACTATAATCAAGTAGGCTTTATCCCTGGGGTGCAAAGTTGGTTCAATAAATTGGTTGCAAATCAGTAACTGTGATTCCTCACATAAACAGAACTAAAAACATAAACCATACAATCATCTCAATATATGCAGAAAAGGCTTTTGATAAAATTCAACATCCCTTCATGTTAAAAACCCTCAACAATCCAGGCGCGGTGGCTCATGCCTGTAATCCCAGCACTTTGGGAGGCTGAGGCAGGTGGATCACCTGAGGTCAGGAGTTGGAGACCAGCCTGGCCAACATGATGAAATCCCATCTCTACTAAAAATACAAAAATTAGCTGGGCATGGTGGCAGAAGCCTGTAATCCCAGTGACTTGGGAGGCTGAGGCAGGAGAATTGCTTGAACCTGGGAGGTGGAGTTTAGCAGTGAGCTGAGATCACACCATTGCACTCCAGCCTGGGCAACGAGTGAAATTCTGCCTAAAAAAAAAAAAAAAAAAAAAAAAAAAAAAAAAAAAAAAAAACCTAAACAAACTAGGCATTGAATAAACATACCTCAAAATAATAAGAGCTATCTATGAAAAACCCACTGCCGTCATCATACTGAATGGGCAAAAACTGGAAGCATTCCCCTTGAAAACTGGTACAAGTCAAGGATGCCCTATCTCATCACTCCTATTCAACGTAGTATTGGAAGTCCTTGCCAGACTAATCAGGCAAGAGAAAGAAATAAAAGGCATCTAAATAGAAAGAGAGGAAGTCAAACAATTTCTGTTTGCAGATGACATGATTCTATATCTAGAAAACCCTACAGTCTCTGCCCAAAAGCTTCTTAAGCTGATAAACAACTCTGGTGCCAAGTTTCAGGATACAAAATCAACATATGAAAATCACTAGCATTCCTATACACCAACAGTAGTCAAACTGATAGCCAAATTAGGAATGTAATCCCATGTATAACTGCCACAAAAAGAAGAAAATACCTAGGAATACAGCTAACCAGGAAGGTGAAAGATCTCTACAATGAGAACTACAAAACATGGCTGAAAGAAATCAGAGATGACACAAATAAATGGACAAACATGCCATGCTCCTGGATAGAAAGAATCAATATCATTTAAATGGCCATACTGCCCAAAGCAATTTATGGATTCAATACTATTTCTTTTTTTTTTTTTTTTTTTTTTTGAGACAGCGTCTCACTCTGTCACCCAGGCTGGAGTGCAGTGGCATGATCTTGGCTCACTGCAAGCTCTGCCTCCCAGGTTCATGCCATTCTCCTGCCTCAGCCTCCCGAGTAGCTGGGACTATAGGCACCTGCCACCACGCTGAGCTAATTTTCGGTATTTTTAGTAGAGACGGAGTTTCACCATGTTAGCCAGGGTGGTCTCGATCTCCTGACCTCGTGATCCACCCGCCTTGGCCTCCCAAAGTGCTGGGATTACAGGCGTGAGCCACCACGCCCAGCCAATTTATGGATTCAATACTATTTCTATCAAACTATCAATGACATTGTTTACAGAACTAGAAAAAAAAACTATTTATAAATTCACATGTAACCAAAAAAGAGCCCAAATAGCCAAGGCAATCCTAAGCACAAAGAACAAAACTGGAGGCATCATGCTACCTGACTTCAAACTATACTACAAGGCTACACTAGCCAAAACAGCATGGTACTGGTACAAAAAACAGACACATAGACCAATGGAACAGAATAGAGAACCCAGAAATAAATCTGCACACCTGCAACCATCTGATCTTCAACAAAGCTGACAAGAAAAGCAATGGAGAAAGGATTCCTTATTCAATAAATGGTGCTAGGATAACTGGCTAGCCATATGCAGAAGATTGAAACTGGACCCCTTCCTTACACCATATACAAAAATTAAGATGGATTAAAGACTTAAATGTAAAACCCAAAACTATAAAAACTTAGAAGAAAACATAGGAAATATGATTCTGGACATAGGAATGAACAAAGATTTTATGACAAAGATGCCAAAAGCAATTGCAACGAAAGTAAAAATTGACAAATGGGATCTGTTGATAGCTCCTGCACAGCAAAAGGAGCTATCGACAGAGTAAAGAGACAACCTGCAGAATGGGAGAAAATATTTGCGAACTGTACATCTGACAAAGGTCTAATATCCAGCATCTATAAGGCACTTAAACAAATTTACAAGATAAAAATAACCCCATTAAAACGTGGGCAAAAGACATGAACTCTTTTCAAAAGAAGGCAGACATGTGGCCAAGAAGCATATGAACAAAAGCTCAACATCACTGATCATTACAGAAATGCAAATCAAAACCACAATGAGATATCATCTCATGCCAGTTAGAATGGCTACTATTAAAAAGTAAAAAAATAGCAGGTGTTGGTGAGGTTGCAGAGAAAAAGGAAAGCTTATACACTGTTGGTGGTAGTGTAAATTAGTTCAACTGTTGTGGAAAGCAATGTGGCAATTCCTCAAAGAACTAAAAACAGAAATACTATTTCACCCAGCAATTGCATTACTGAGTATATACCCAAAGGAATATAAATCATTCTACCATAAAGACACATGCACGTGTATGTCCATTGCAGCACTATTCACAATAGCAAAGACATGGAATCAACCTAAATGCCATCAATGGTAGACAGGATAAAGAAAACATGGTACATATACATCATGGAATATTATGCAGCCATAAAAAGAATGAGATCATGTCCTTTGTAGGAACGTGGTTGGAGCTGGAGGCCAATATCCTTAGCAAATTAACATGGGAACAGAAACCAAACACCACATGTTCTCACTTACAAGTGGAAGCTAAATCATGAGAACACATGGACACACAGGTGAGGACTGAAAAACTACCTATCTGGGTGATGGAGTAATCTGACACCAAATCCTCTGACATGCAATTTACTTATATAACAAAACTGCCCATGTACTCTTGAACATGAAATAAGAGTTAAAATAAGTAAATAAAATAAAAATAAAATGCCTTAGTTATCTATTACTGCATAGTAATTACCAGAAAACATGGTAGCTTAAACCAGCAAATATTTATTATCTCACAGTTTCTGTGAGTCGGGAATTAAATTTCTTCAAAAATCTTCAATCTTTCACTAACTCACTCCTCAGTGCTCTTCCATGTTGTGCCCACTGCTCAATTCCAAAACCACTCCCACTTTTTTGCTTTTTGCTATTCCAGTACTCCATTCTCAGTACAAAAATGTGTATTAGTTTTCCATTGATGTTTAACAGATTGTCCCCAGTCTAAGTGCTTAAAGAAACAAACATATATTATCTTAAAATTTATGTGGCTCAGGAATTTCAGAGCATTTTATTTGATGTTTCTGTCTCAAGGTCACTTGTGAGATTGTAGCCAATATGGTAGTCAGGACTAGAGTCAACTGGAGATGTGACTAGGGCCAGAAGACTCCCAAGATGGCTAATTCACATGACTGTTGGCAGGAGGCCGAAGTTCCTTGCTAACTTTTGGCAAAAGGCCACCATTTCTTGCCTGAAGGTTTCTCCATAGGGTTATACTTGAGTGTCATTACACGTAACAGCTGGCTTCTATTGAGGAGGCAATCCAAGACACAGATTAAGGAGGATGCCATCAGTGTCTTTTATATCCTAATCTTGGACATCATACAATTTTAATTCTGCCGTATTTTATTTGATAGAAGCCAGTCATTTAGCACTACTCAAACATGGGGGGGTGGGGGGCAGAATTTAGTGTCTGTCTCTTTAAGGGAGGAATACCAAATTATTTGTGAATCTATTTTAAAACCACCACATTTAATAAGGGAATATTATGAACAACTTTATACCAATAAATTTGACAGCTTTTATGAAATGAACAAATAACTTGGAAGACAGAATTATCAATGATCACTCAAAAAGTAAGAGATAACCAGAATATTCCTATATCTACTAAAAAATTTAACTTGTAGTTTAAAAACTTTCCCACAAAATCAAAACAAAAACAAAAACTCTAGGCTCAGATAGCTGCTCTACTAATGATTTCTACCAAACTTTTTTTTTTTTTGAGACAGGGTCTTGCTCTGTCACCCAGGCTGGAATGCAGTGGCATGATGATAGCTCCCTGCAGCCTTGAACTCCTGGGCTCAAGGAATCCTCCCACCTCAGCTTCCTGAGTAGCTGGGGTTACAGGCATGCACCACTACATTCAGCTAATTTTAAAAATTATTTTTAGAGATGAGATCTCCCTGTGTTTCCCAGGCTGGTCTCAAACTCCTGGGCTCAAGCAAACCTCCCACCTTGGCCTCCCAAAGTGATGGGATTATAGGTGTGAGCTACCATATCCAGCCTTCAATCATTTAAAGGCCAAATAATACTAATTCTACAAAACTCCTACAGAAAATTTTAAAAAAAAGGAATACTTTCTAACTCTTTCAATTAGTTGAGAAATATTGTGATACCAAAACCAAAGACATTTTATAAAGATAATATTACAGAGCAATATCCCTCATGAACATAGATACAAAACTTCTTAACATTTTACAAATTTAATTCAACAATATATAAAAAGGATCAGATGAGAATTATTATCAGAATAGATTGGTTTAATATTTTGGTTTCAGAGATTTAAAAAGAAAAAATGTCAATATATATAGAAAAACATTTGAAAAGTTTCAACATCTATTTCTGATTAAAACTCTCAGTAAACTAGGAATAAAGGGAAACTGTCTCATACTGATAAAGGACATCTTTAAAAAATGTATAGTCACTATCATACTTATGGTGAATAACTGAATTATTTTCCCCTAAGATTAAAAAATGAAGGCAAGAATATCCACTTTCCTTACTTCTATTCGACAGTACATTGTAGGGTCCAGCCAGTGAAATAAAAATTTTAAAAAGGAAATAAAAGTCACAAAAATTGAAAAATAATAATTAAAACTACCTTTATTATCAGATGATATGATTATTTATGTATAAAATCCTACATTACCAAATAAAAGGATACTAGAACAAGTGAAATCAGCAAATTGGCAGGATACAAAGTTACACAAAGCTAAGTTTATAAAACTTCTAGAAGAAAATATATGAGAAAATATTTGTGAATTGAGTTACATAAAGATTTCTTAAGTATAACAGCCAAGCACAATTTATAGAAGAAAAACTGAATAAACAGGGATTCACCAAAATTAAGAAATTTTCCTCAAAATACACCATTGAAAGAATGAAAAAGCAAGTCACGCACAAGGAGAAAATATTTGCCAATCACATATTTGATAAAAGATGTGTCCAGAATATTTAAAGAACTCACAAGTCACAATAATAAGTAAACAGGCCAATCAAAGAAGACATATGGATGGCAAATAAGCATACAAAAAGATGTTCAACATCATTAATCATTAGAGAAATTCAAATTAAAGCCCCAGTGAGATTACACACATGTTAGAATGGCTAAAATTAGAAATCCTGACAGTATCAAGCACTAGCAAGGATGTGAAGCAAGTGAAACTCTCATATATTCTTCATGGAAATGTAAAATGGGACGTCCACTTTGAAAAATATTTTGGAAGTTTTTTAAAAAGTTCAACATATGCCCAAAGTCTAACCTAGCCACCCTACTCCTAGATATTTACATAAGAGAAATGAAAACAAAGGAGCTCACAATGACTTGGATGTTTGTAGCAGCAGCTTTATTTGTAATAGACAAAAATAAAACAACCCAAATGCTCATCAATAGATGAATAGATTAATAAATTGTGTTATATCATACCATGAAATACTGTCTAGTAATACAAAGGAACCAACTAAAATGGTCATAATCTCAAAATCATCATGCTGAGTGAAAGAAAGCAGACGAATAAAGAGTACATATTGTATGATTCCATTTATTTATGTATCCAGAAAATTTTATTAGGTTGGTGCAGAAGTAATCACCATTACTTGCCATTAAAAGTTTACTTTTAATTTTAATGGCAAAAACCTTGATTATTTCTGCACCAGCCTAATAACTAGTCTATAGTGACAGAAAGCACGTTGGTAGTGGTCTAGAGACTGGAGGACTGGAAAAGAGTGGGAATGAGGCATGAATGAGGCATTACAAAGGGGCAAGAGAACACTTTTGGTGAGGGTGGATATGTTCTTTATCTTGATTGTGGTGATGGTTTCATGGGTGTATACATATGTCAAAATTTATCAAATTCTACACTTAAAATGTGTGCTATTTATCTGTTGTATGTCAATCATACCTTCAATAAACTATTTTTAAAATAACAAGATATGTTTGGTAAAATGCTGGTGTTATCATAGATGCAGAATTTGGAAAAGGCCATCTTAGTGTTGCTGAGAACTGTATTTGATGAACTCACCTCTAAGCCAAGCTGTAACAAGAATAAAAATTTGAGGTGAATGAAGAAAGAAGGCATGCTAAGACAGCCTTAGAATTAATATAGAATTATTAATATGTGGGTAGTGGTATCTCTTCGAATTAATGTGTTGAGGGGCCTACAGCTATGCCCTCACTACCCTCTGTCTACAATAGTGGTCAGTGCTGTCGTTGTGGTTAGAGCAACCTTAGAATATGAGAGTCCTGAAGTAAGTGCAACAGCATTAAGAGTGCTATGGGCCCAGAATCTGATGAGGCAGGCAGCAGGAATTTCTATGATAGTATGTTATTAGAGGAATCTTTGGCCATGAATTCAAATGGGAAGATCCTTTTTCTGAAACAATGCTTTCTGTTTCCATTTTTTGATAATACTATAAAGAATTCCTGCTCATTGTAAAACAAGCAAGGAAAGAACATACAACAAAAAGGGATTAACTTTTATGCTCCTAACCCTTGTCCGCAAAGGTAACTACTTTAATAGTTTTACTATGTATGCACATTTTGCCAACTGATATGGTTTGGCTGTGTCCCCACCCAAATCTCATCTTGAATTGTAATAATTACCACCTGTCAAGGGTGGGGCCAGGTGGAGATAATTGAATCATGGGGACAGTTTTCCCCATACTGTTTTCATGGTAGTAATAAGTCTCACAAGATCTGATGGTTTTATAAATGGGAGTTCCCCTGCACAAGCTCTCTTGCCTGGCCTGCCACCATGTAAGATGTGACTTTGCTCCTCCTTTCCCTTCCACCGTGATTGTGAGGCCTCTCCAGACATATGGAACTGTGAGTCAATTAAACCACTTTCCCTCATAAATTACCCAGTCTCAGATATGTCTCTATTAGCAGCATGAGAACAGACTAATATACCAACTTTTATTTATTCATCATATATACACACTTATAAATTTCACTTTGATTTTTACAATGATGAGATTATAACTATATGCTTTTTTGTGAATTGCTTTATTCGTTAACCAACATATCAAGGACAGCATTTGTACCAACTCAATTAGACCTGCCTCATTCTTTGAACTAGATATATTAATTTTATATTATTTATGTACCATAACTTTTTACCCATTTCATTATTGACACAAATTTTGATTGTTTGAAATTTTTATGCTTACTAGCAGCTCTATGAGTATAATCCTGTTAAATAAATTCCTAAGTACTTCTGTAGATGCATAAAATTTTATTTTGCTCCTATTCCTAAAGTGCTTTTAGAGAAGTACTTATCACATTTTCTCCAACTTTATTAGTACCTATTTCTCCACAGCTGGATTGTATCTGTCTTTTAACTTTTTCTAACATGAAATGTATATTAGCTTGCTAGGGTGACCATAACAAAGTATCACAAACTGAATGGATTAAGCAATGGAAATTTGCTATCTCACAGTTCTAGAGGCTAGAAGTCTGAGATCAAGGTGTTGGCAGGATTGGTTCCTTCCGAGGAGAATGAGGGAGAATCTATTCCATGCCCCTCCCTACCTCCTGGTGGTTGTTAGCAACCTTTGGCATTCTTTGGCTTGTTTAAACATCACCCTCAAGTCTGCATTTATCTTCACATGGTGTTTTTCCTGTGTGTGTCTATCTCCAAATTTCCCCCTTTTTATAAGGGCATCAGTCATATTGGATTAGGGTCCCACCATAATCCAGTATTACCTCATCTTAACGAATTATATCTGCAATTATCCTAATTACAAATAAGGTTACATTCCAATGTACTGGGGGTTAGAACCTCAACATATGAATTTTGGGGAGGTATTAATACAATATACATTAGTTATACAATAGGCATAAGATATTTTATTATTGTTAAGATATTGTATTAATCAGGGTTCTCCAGAGAAACAGAATTAATTACATGTCTATTTTAGATAGATAGATGATAGATAGATAGATAGATAGATAGATAGATAGATAGATAGATAGATGATAGATAGATAGATAGATTCTGTTTCCATGGAGAAACAGAGAGAGAGAGAGAGAGACAGGTGTTGGCAAGCTGGAGACCCCAGAGAGCCAATAGTGTATTTTCTTTTCTAGTCGAAAGGCCTGAGAACCAGGAGAGCTAATGGTATAAGTTCCATTGTGAAAGGCAGCAGGCTTGTGACTATTAAGACCCAATTTTTCAGCTTAACTCCTAAAATAAGAAAAGACCAGATATCGCAGTTCAGGCAGTCAGGCAGGTGAAGTTCCTCTTAGTCTTTTGTTCTATTCAGGTATTGACTGGATGAGGCACTCTCACATTAGGGAAGGCCATCTCCTTTAAACAGTCTACCGATTTAATGTTAATCTCATCCAGAAATACCCTCACGGACACACCCAAATAATCTTTGGCCAAATGTCTGAGCTCTCCATAGCCCAGTGAAGTTGAGCTCTCCATAGCCCAGTGAAGTTGACACATAACATTAACCATCACAGTGTGCAGCTTAACATAAATATAACTGTGCAATTTTGATGTTTATTGATCATGTTTTTGCTTCTTTTGTGAATTTCTTATATCCTTTGCCCATTTTTCTTTCTTTCTTTTTTTTGAGATGGAGTCTCACTCTGTCGCACCCAGGCTGGAGTACAGTGGCACTATGTCAGCTCACTGCAACCTCCACCTCCTGGGTTCAAGTGATTCTCCTGCCTCAGCTTCCCAAGTACCTGGGATTACAGGCACATGCCACACACCAGGCTAATTTTTGTATTTTTAGTAGAGATGGGATTTCACCATATTGGCCAGGCTGGTCTCAAACTTCCGACCTGAGGTGATCTGCCCACCTCAGCCTCCCAAAGTGCTGGGATTACAGGCACAAGCCACCGTGTCCAGCCTCCTTTGCCCATTTTTCTATTGGAGACTCATTTAAAAGCTCTGTGCTTGATTAATTAAAAGGCCATAAAACAATTAGTAAGCATATTGAGAACAAATACAAGCAACCATAATTCAAAACGATTTTTATTTTCAAATATCACCTTCCAGTGATTTTTCATTATGAAAGATCATTGTTGCATGATAGCAGCTGTAATATATAATTTTGTATTATGGTTTTTGGATTTATTTTACATCAAATATTAAAGTATCATTTAAATTTTTATCATAAAATAAAAGTGGTGAGAAGAAGACTGTTTGAAAAGATGGCATTTGTTGAGATACAGTCCAAGGTGAAAAGAAAGCTCTTACAGTTTTACTATACTTCTTTCCCCCTCTTTACTTCCTGGGTTACTGTTTTTGTCTCTCATACTGCTTTGCTATTCCCTCCAGAAATGGTCCAGGGCAGTCCAAGATTAAATAACACAGCAAAGCCACCAGCCTTTCTCAGTAAGTTCTCACAGGGGACAGGAAACTTGCACACTGGAAAAATATAAGCAGGGCACTATGTTGGCTCCCTAGCAATGCTGACACTTTGTATAAACTTTCTGACAAGGCAAATCTTACACACTGCACATGAGTGCTACATACACTAATTTGAATGGAGTTAGAGCCAGAGTATAAGGTTCTGGAAAACAGTGTTTCATTAAAAAACAAGTCAATTCAATCAGGTCCTGAAAGTCACATACATAGCAAAGGACCTTTCAGAAATACTGAACCCAGCCTGTCTGAAAGACTGCCCTTCTCCAAGGGTTTCAGGTTACTTCCCTGTGCCCTAAGCTGTTATTTCTTGAAAGACACAGCTGCAGACCAGCTTGATGTAATTTTTCTTAGGAAGGCAGCCTAGGGCATTGGGGAAAAAAGCTACAGTTAGAATTAGAGATCCAGAAAACTGAGGAAGGGACGTGACTTTCTCAAGCTTATACCTATAATGAGAACTGGGATAAGAATTCTAGTCTTCTGTTTCCTCGTTATGTTCAAAGGAAATATTGGCTTCAATGCTTTGTTTAAATTTAGGGTAATCTCTAGTTCTATTATTCAAAATTCATTGTTTATTAGACTGAGTTTGAATTGTGGCTTTGCCTCTTATTAAATGTGTAATTTTGTTAAAATATTTATCTGTGCTTTTTGCAAATAACTACCTCACTCACAAGTTGTAATGTATATAAAATGCTAAATTCAATGCCTAGCCTATAACAATCAATTAATAGTAGCCAGTAACTGGCATTATTATTATTATTAAAATAATAACTGTATTTTCACAAATGTAGAGGAACCTTTCCTTTTCCATTTCATAGAATCATAAAAATGTTAAAACTCTCAGATCTTAGAGAGAAGTAATCCAATTTGCTAGTCTTTCAGATGAGAAACCTGAAGGCTAGACCTGGCCAAATCACCCAGCTAGTTAGTTGTGGAACCAGAATTGGAAGCTTGGCTTCCTGGCCCTGAGTTCTTACTACTCCACCCCTCTCCAGTTTCACTTCTGGTCTGTCTCATTCCCTGACGAACAACTCCCACAGGCTGGCTGTTCCCAGTGCCCATACCTCTGCTTCCCTTCAACCCTTCTAAAGGTTCCTCTGGGGAAAGAGGATAAAGCCTCTTTCAGTTTTACTCCTGATCCATGCTCATTCCTAGAAGGGTAAGGCTTGTGCATCCTGACCTCAATTCTCTTACTTCCTTTGGCTATTCTGTTAGCCAGAGTAGCTCCCCTCCCCAGTTCTCTCTCCTTCTCTCCATTACCTACACCATATCATATCTCTCACAATAATCTGTGTGTCTGGTCGCAGGATTGCTCATCCCCATTTTTATCTAAAATGGCTTAAGTTATTTTCCCCAAGGCAATAGCCAATGTCCTGTGAAAGAAGAAAGAACAGCTCTTTCTCTCTCTCCTTGATTAGCAGATCTACCATCCTCTCTATTAACAACATCTAATCAGTGGGCTTCTTTGATGTCTTGCTTCTCCATTTGGTTGCTAAAATTGAATTCATATAAATACAGATCCTCCCTAGTACAGTCTGGGTGAACAAAAGATAGAGAACAATTATTAAAGTTTGGAAGGGATCATAGATTTTCATCTCCTTATGTCATAGATAGAGAAACTGATGCCCAGAGGGTTTCAATGACAGCTTCTTGGACCCAAGATTTATGTGGTGGAGTTTCCTGGATCAGACACTAGGAGAATTGATAAATAAGCTTTAGAAGTTTGGTGCTTCAGAAACATCTGCAATTTTTTTTTTCTTTTCTGGATGTAAGTGAAGAAACAGGAGGCAATATGACAGGCTGGCAGTGACAACAGAAAGATATGGCAGCCCCCCTGGAAGAGATCAAAAGGAGGTTTTCTTTTTTGTTGTTGTTGTTGTGGGTTTTTTTTTTTTTTTTTTTGCCCTACCTTCCTCTGAGTTTTTGATGTACTATGGGAAGGGAAAACAAGGGCAGCACATCCCAAAGAGGGAATGTCTGGATCACAGGTTTTGGAAGGAACTACAATCTGTATTTGCTGAACTTTCTGGGAAAGCTGGAAAAGGTTTGCCAGAATAAGAATCAGCTTGCATAACCAAGTTCATCATCAGGCAACGTGAGCTTGCTTTATTCATGACCACTGAAACTCATGTCAGTAACTAGAATGAGAATTGAAAGCACAGCCCATATCAGTGTCCAAAAAAAGTCTACACACACACACACACACACACACACACACACACACACACACATCAATGCCTTTTCCTGGTCATTGTACTTGTCTATTCAACATTGTTCTAGAGGTACCAAGAATTTAGAGAGCAATTCTGTGACATGGACCTCAGTGTCTCATATGATATATTCTTGAGGGAAGATACCAGATGAAGACAGTGCATATTTCATTAAACTAGTCACAAGGGGAATTGTGAGAAGAAACACTCATAAATTTCCTAACCAAATATGAGACCATGAATGTGACAGGACTGAAGGCCAGTTTCAAGTCCACAGCCCAAGGCACAAAATCCATTTCTTTTCCACTTTTGTCTTCATTTTGGGAACTTTGCTTTGCTGTATACTGTCTATGCAAAGGACAAAAGATAAAACTTCTACATTAAATATCTCTAAGTCGGGATTATAATAAAATAAGAAAGTAATTCAGGATCACAATAAAAGTACATATGTATAGGTAAAGAGCAGATTGAACAAACTTACATCAATAAATTCTAATTATTTTTATGTTTTTAAAGCCATAAAACCACAAAATGTAGGGAAACAGGAAAGGATGCAACACTAACACAATTTTGGAAACTGGAAAGCTGATGGACAAGCAGGCATAAAAGATTTTAGGAAACATGAGAACACTGAATTTGAAGAGATCAACAAGGAAACAACACAATGTACTTCAACTTACACAACAGAATCCCCAATGGCAGCATTTATGTATCTCTAGAAGTAGGGGAGAGAAGGGGAAAGGAAAGATCCAAAAGAAGGAAATTGAGTTCAAAATCTATTTAAGAAACAATTAGGTTGCTAGATCTACTCTTTTACCCTTTGAAATTTCTTCCACTCACCCTAGAACATTATTGGAGATTTATTTTCTGGAAAGATCAAAAGTAGGGTCTTTGTGCCTTGTGTTCACGATTGAAACAGATAATATGGACAGTGAGGTCTCCCCAGACCTCTTTTCCATGTTGCTCTCAGAATTCCAGTCACCATGCCTTCATCCTTAAGGCAAGCCTTGAGGCTACAAGAAGAGCCTACTCTAAGGAATATGATCTCCCCCAAAGAGGAAAGCCTTAATCAAAGTTTCCCCAAAGAAAGGGCCCAGCCAGATAACCCTATGGAAATATTCACAGTTGATCAATTCAACTCTAAAAGCTTCCAGTCAGCTTTTTAGTGTCCCTCTTGTAAATGTAAACAGACAGCCAAGGATCATCAGATGAGCAAAAAAAGCAATTAGAGGAAACAGTTATTTTGTTTAACCTTTCCTCTTCCCAAATAACCTATCAGCACCTCACAGAGCTGAGAAGATACTGCAACCATGAAAAAACAAGGACAAGAAAGAACAGAGATTTAAAAGAAGAATATTTAAAATAAAAATATAAATGCAGACATAAATATATAACACTATATGATACACATAAATGCATACATTTAATTATCTCATATATACACAATATTTCCTCTAATTCTGTTCTTGTAGTCCATGCCCAGGGGCTGTAGTGCAACTAGGTTCTTTAAGTACTTCATAAACTAAGATTGCTTGTATAAAGTCCAAGATGCATCCTGTGTATACTAAATTATAGTTCACTAAAATTGTTTTCTTATAACAATACTATAATATACACCATTTATTGAATGGCTACTATGTACTAAGAATTAAGCTGAATACCTTTAACCCATTCTTTCATTTAATCCTCACAACTCTGCAAGGTAGTATTATCAGAGAAGTTAAGTATCTGGCTGGCACTCAGCTGGTAAGTGGTAGAGTTGTGGTATAAACCCAAATCTACCCGAGTCCAAACCCCTTCAAGTGCAACATGGGTATTAAGATATCCATTCAATGGCTTGTTCCGTTACCAGCAGGTTTAGGGTCTTTGCTTAGGCCCAGCCTGGCTGGTCTGCCCTTGTTATATTCTTTGTTCACTCTTCCTCCATGATGGGTCATCCATGAAGAAAGCAGTTTTCTGGACACTAAATATCTTATCCTTGGTTAAGATAATGCTATCATTTTAACACACACACACACACACACACACACACACACACAAATATTTATGTATATATAATTTTTGAATTTATCTTCCTCTGTTTATTATTTCTCTTCTCCCCCAGGGATTTTTCCCCCAACTGTGTCTAGGCACATAGGACTGACAAGCTCAGGCATGAATTTTAAATCCTGCTATTCAGAGCCCACAGTTGTCATCCTTTCTGCTGAGCTGGCCATTCTGGTTAGTAATTGTTTGGCTTTTTAAACTGCTGAGTCAGTCCCAGAGATAACTAGCCCTCTGTCAGCCTAGTAGCAGAAACATAAAATTCAGGTTAGAACATCAGTTCTGCCACATTTAAGGCTATTATAAATTGGGGGCTTATTTAAATGAAGCTTTCAGACTGGCATAGGCTTTTCTGTAACATGAGTCCTGTTTCCATGAGACACAGCAGGGAGATTATCATATTCTATTAACTCGCTGGCCTTCCCACCTCTTCGTCACCTATGGGGCCTCATAGGACCCTGCTTCATGAAAGGGTGACAGTGTCTGACCCACAGCTTTAGAAGGCCTCAAAATAAATTTTCTAAGTACACAGAGATAATGAGGCTTTGATAATTGAGTCACATTGACCCATCACCCAGATATCTTCCGAGGACAGACAGTACTAGCCATAGTATCTGGGTACTTGCTGGCTTCTGTCACAGAGGGTGGTTTGCTCCTCATGTTTCTTTTTTTTTTTTTAGCTTTTTTTTTTTTTTTTCAGAGACAGGGTCTAGCTCTGTTGCCCAGGCCAGAGTGCAGTGGTGCAATCATAGCTCACTGCAGCCTCAAACTCCTGGGCTCGAGTAATCCCCCCAATCTCAGCCTCCCAAGTAGCTGGGACTACAAGCGTGTGCCAACAAGCCGGGCTAATTTTTTGTATTTCTTGTAGAGATGGGATTTCACCATGTTGGCCAGGCTAGTCTTGAACTCCTGGGATCAAGTGATCCACCTGCCTCGGTCTCCCAAAGTACTGAAATAAAAAGCATGAGCCATTGCACCTGGCCTGCTCCTCATTCTGAGATTTACTTTGATTTTGGACTTCTCATATAACTCCTGGCTTCAGAATCTCTCTTGCATATTTCTTGGATTAATGGTGTGGGGAGTGTTCTATTTAACACACACATTAAGAGTAATTTTAACCCATCTTGTTTTCCACTGAGATTTGGAGAATTTCTCAAAGATTGGTCCATGGATCACTTACATCAGGATTACCTGGGAAGCTTGGATCTCCATAAACAGAGTTTGAGGCAAAGGTTTTGATACACATCATTTATTTGGGAAGTGAACTCAGGGGGCAAGGGTAAAAAACTGAAGGAATAAAAGGGAAGCTGGACAAGACAACAAAAAAATGCATTATTAAGTTGGCCACTGCTACTAGTAACTGGTGTTTGAATTTGAAGAAATCTCTAAAAATCCTAATGAAATAGATCTCAGACCGGTTCACCTGGGGATGAGAGAGAGAATCATCTATCTATTGCATCTCATCCCCCATTGGCCAAGGGCCACCCAAGGAGTGTTAACTCCTCCATATTCTGAGTTACTCATGTGTCACAGCTGAGTGGGAGGCAGCAGGATTCCATGCTATTGTGTAAGAGAAGCCTGGAGCAAGAAGCAAGAAACATGAGGTGTTGGCTGGGAGAGAAGTGCTATCCAGGTGCACCTGTGTGAAACAGCCCAATCTACTTCGAATTGTAACAGGTGCTATCCAGGTGTAACAGTGCTATCCAGTGCTATCCAGGTGCACCTGTGTGAAACAGACCACTCTACTTCGAATTGTTTCATATCAAGGCTACTGGAATCCAAGATTGGGCCAAAATTATAAAGAGAAGCTTAAGGGGGTTTTGATACATCATGTAAAAATGCCAGTTTCTAGTTGTTATCCATTGTTATGGGTTGAATTGTGTGTTTTAAAAATTGCATACATTGAAGTCTTAGCCCCTGGTACCTCAGAATGTAGTGCTATTTGGAAATAGGGTCATTGCAGATGTAATTAGTTAAATAATTCTTACCTTACTTAAATTGGAGTAGGGTGGGCTTCTCATCCAATATGACTTGTGTCCTTAGAAAAGAAATTTGAACACACATGCATACAGAGAGATTACCATGTGAAGACAGAAGTTATGCTGCCACAAGCCCAGGAGCTATCACAAGTTAGGAAGGACATCTGGAAAAGATCTTTTTCTAGCCCTTTCAGAAGGAGGGTGACTCTGCCAACCCCTTGATCTTAGACTCCAGCCTCCAGAATCATGAGACAATAAATTTCTGTTGTTTAAGCTGTCTAGTTTTGTGGTAATTTGTTACAGCAGCCCTAGAAAACGAATGCACCTGTGATCTATTGGATCACAGTCCCCAGGGGTATGATTTACACTTCTGCACTTCCAACAAGATTTTCAGGGAGTTCTATTTGCACTCCAACTTTGAGAAAGCTGGTCTAGAGTAAAATAAATAACATGGTACCTGCACCCCAGGGAGAGTGAATCCAAGGAGGTGTGCTTTTGTCCAAACACTATTTCAAAGTCCGAGACAATATACTAGATGCAGAACAACACCTTGGATATAGGGAATTCTCTTTCCAAATGTCAACTCGAGTCGCACAGTCTAGGCCATGGTTGTTCTTCAAAACCAGGGGCTAGAAAAATGGTGAAGGCGTAAACTATGACTTCACTTCCATCACAAAACCTCTGCAGAAGACAGTGTAGATCAATTAATGGACACAATACCCCTGAACTTTTTCAACTCCCATCAAAACATAGATATGTACACACACACACACACACACACACAGAGTTATATATTATTGTGAAATAAACAGGAACAAAATGAAAACCTTGCTTGCAAAGGGCAGCACATTAACTTGTTATTTCAAAATGGAATAGAAGTATTCAGTATACGTCAATATTAAGGAAAATGCAGACAGAAGGAGATAGAGTCAAAAGCACTAAAAGGGGGCCATTTAAACCATCAACAACTGCCTATTGTACCTTTGTAAAAGAGTAAAATCACTTGAGAGTGGGAACCAGCTCTATCCCCCACAACTCTTACCACATGTAAGAGTTTGCTCAGTGCAGAAATGTTGAACAATCTCTGACATAGTTTCTGCTCTTGGTGGACCCAGATTCTTGCTTCAGTCTAATGGGCCCTCTACTATGTTTCAACCACTCTGCAGACTGGTCAGTCTGTGCTCCCGTTTCTTGGGCACTGTGCTTAGATCTGAGATCTCACTTGAAAGGATATCACTTTGAACTCTGGCTTTGGTTTCTTTTACCTGCTAGTGATTTCTCCCCACAGCCTATAGTTCATGATATGCCAGCCTACCCCAGCACCAACGCCAGCTTCAGTAAATGAAATGTCCATCATTCCTTGGTAATTTCCCATCGACCTCTGGTGTGAAAAAGTACTCAATAAATATTCAAATGAATTTTCAAAAATGAACAAATGGGTGAGTGGATATGGCAATAGGAGAGCATCTGTCATGTGAACAACATTTTTGGAGTGGGGGCAATATAGGCTGGATGAGGATGACCACCGCTTCAAAGTTTTCAAAGCACTTTCATATAAATTACCAGAAACAGAATAGATACCAAAGCACATGCAAACTGAAAATATAGGGAAGGAGACAATAAGAACCTCAAAATGAAGCCTGCCTATACGAGAAAGGAACAGATTTGGAGGGATATGTAGAGAAGCAAAATCACTTTTTGGGGAGTTGGGAGGAGGTATGGAGAGAGAGATTGAGAGAGATGGGGGAGAGAAAGAAAGAAGAGAGGTGTGTAATAGCCTAGGGAGTAGTTGCATGACAGATTTACAACAATCAGGAGAATTTCTTACAAGCAATATTTTTTAAACCTCCTAACTCGAGTGACTTTCTCTTGCAACAAAATGACTCTTGACTGAGAGAAATGGCCACCCATAGAATATTGCTTGCAGGGAGGGATTTTTGTTTATTTTACTTTCACCAAATAGAGCTTAGTACAAAACAGGGGCTCAGTAGAGGCATATATAAATGTACAAAGTTGGAAACATGACTCAAGCAAAATAATTATTTTGTAATCTCCTTGCCCCAAAGCTAAAGGGGTTTCTAATTAATAGGGATATTGTAGCAGGATCTCTTCCATTTGCCCTTCTAGACCTGTGCTCCATCTTTTTCCATCCTGCTTTCTGCCTTGAGAGCCTGGTCTATATAAATTATATCAATGTCTTCTTTGTCCTATAGTTTCCACTTAGGTTTGGCTCATAAAGACCCTTAGCGGAAGATCAGGGCAAAAATAAAGTGAGGTCAAAGTATTTATCTCCACATCTCCCTCCCTGACAGTTTGTCTTGAGCTGGGTGGGTTTCTCAACTGAAGGCAAACTTCTCTAGAAGACTCTTGCCTTCTGGGTCCCAGTTAGTGCTTTCTCATCTCCCTTCAGGCTAGGAAGAAGTAACATCTTTGTAGTTACCAGCACTAAGTTTTGTGGTTCCTGAAATATTTTTTATGGTTCCTCTATGTCCCACCCACATCTTTATAAATAGTGCCTTTATTAATCCTTCCTTGAAGTATCCTAATTCAAGAGCATCATCTGTTTCCTGTTGGGGCCCTGTCTAATATAGGGAAAATTCAAATTAGTTCTTTGTACAAAATAAGCCCTCTAATGTGTATCTTGGCCTCTAAAAATTACAGCTCATTGAAAATGGATTATTTGAGATGATTTAAGTGATGAAAGAGGCAAATATTCATGTGAGAAGAAGGATTGCATTTTGTCGAAGAAATTGTTCTGCAGATGTATACAATGGCTACAGCAAAAACACATCAGTGACTACACGCTTATAAACATGGGAAAGATATAAAAATAACCCAGCATGTTCTTTGAATGGAGCCATCTGTAACATTATTTTTATTCCTGTGTTTGGAATGAGTATATGGTGTTGGAGGTACAGTAAGGGAGATCCTGGGAAATACTTCCCTGCCCCAGGCTTGGTTTTATATATATTGAAAATAGTCTGGTTGTTTAATTATCTTATTTATATGCACTTTAATAAATAGAACCTTAATTTTAATACTTCAAGGAATTCTGATTCTTTGAAAGAATATAAGAGAACATGGAAGCATGTAAGCAATAGTATTTCCTACAAAATATATCAGAGGATCGGATGTACCCTCTGCATGTGGCTGAGGCCATTCTAAGTCATCCACAAGGCTAAGTTAACTAGGGCTTAAACTTTAGCTAGACCCTGAGGCAAAGATGAAGTTTTTCTTGTTCATATTTTTATGGCAATGGGAAGTGCCACATAGAAAACACTTGATAAATATTTGTTGGAATAATTAGTGATTGCTCACTAAACTATCACAGACAGAGGATGTGGAAGAGGGAAAATCATTAAAAACATGGGGTTTCCTTTTCCTAGAGTTTTCTTTTGACCAGGATAGTTCTTTTACTAGGTGGGAAAAAGCTGCTGGAATCTAGTTTAGTTTTTGCAGTACAAAATCATAACAAAGAAACAGAAACCATGGCCTCAGCCTTCAAAGAGCTTATACAAATTTGTAGTTCTTTATCTTGGTTTTCTCCTTTTTGTTTTCTTTTATAGCCTCAAGATACTTTGCAGAACTATTTCAATATGCTAGGCAGACAGGATTTCCATGTCTTCTTGTACCTCAAGCTACTCATTTCTCCAAAATGTGACCTAGAGTAGTGGTCAAATTTATCTAATAACTTCTTTCTTTCTATTTTTTTGTTTCTTTAGTTTTTTGGCACCATTAAAAATGAGCCTGGGTGTGGCAGCTCATGCCTGTAATCCCAGTGCTTTGGGAGGCTGAGGCAGGAGGATAGCTTAGGCCCAGGAGCTCAAGGCTGTAGTGAGCTATGATCATGCAACTGCACTCCAGCCTGGATGACAGAGAGAGACCCTGTCTCTAAAAAAATTAAAAGAAATCAATGAGCACATCCAAAGTTAAAAGCAAAGAGCAGTCATGGGGAAATGTGCACATTCTCCCGATGGGGAACAAAGCCTGGCACATTCACAACTGTGAGTGGGTACTAGAGGTGCTTCAGATCTGGCAATGGCCTTGGCAGCTTTCTCATCAAAAGTACATTTTAAAAGTGATTTCAAAAAGAAAACTTACTAAAAGGCTAAAGCAGGAATAGAATGCTAAGGATACTTGAAAGTTGGCTTCAGCCTCAGTATTTAGCCAAAATCAAATATTCCTCTTATATATCAACTTTTGAAAAGCTGAATGGCCAAACACCCACATCACCATCATTACTGGCCTTCCTCAGTAAGATCCATAATATTAAAAGGCCATGTCGTTTTTCCAGATTTATTATTAACACCTCAGTATTCATTTTCAAATATATGTAAATATTCTATAACCTGAAATGACAATCCACATATAAGATTTATATGTTGAAATTCTATCCGTCAGTTAAGTCTAAATGTGTACTTATTATTGTAAGAGTAACCTGTAATATTATTATTATATATTTTTTTGAGACCGAGTCTTGCCCTGTCACCAGGCTGGAGTGCAGTGGCACAACCTCCGTTCACCACAACCTCTGCATCCTGGGTTCAAGTAATTCTCCTGCCTCAGCCTCCCGAATAGCTGGGACCACAGGTGCGTGCCACCACGCCCGGCTAATTTTTTGTATTTATTTAGTAGAGACGGGGTTTCACCATGTTGGCCAGGCTGGTCTTGATCTCCTGACTTTGCGATCCACCCGCCTTGGCCTCCCAAAGTACTGAGATTACGGGCATGAGCCCTTGTACCCGGCCTGTAATATTATTTTTTAAAATATTTCATTACTGTATTTCAGCTAACATTGCAGCATCTAAAAACTGCTACCTCAAAAATAGTATGTTTTATCTAGTCATTATTTTTGCCCATTCATTGTTTTCTCATTAAAGTGATGGAATAATAGGAGGAACTCTGGGTACCTGTGAAAGGTAAAATGTAACTAGAGTGTTGTGAATCTTGGGGAAGAATAGATTCCATAGATAAGAGCTGAGGAAGTGCTGACCTTTGGTCTAAACCTACTTAGATCAAGATTTTCAACTTGAGGAAGACAAGGTTCAGAGAGCATGGAGTGACAGTTCTGCAGTTCTTCTGTGATGGCCTAGGTTGGTCTCTACCTTTGGGAACAGTATAATTTAGAATTTTAAAGCCCTTTTCCACACAGAATCAAGGATCAATAAGTGCAACATCCTTTCCTTAGATAGATTAGATGCTAGTAGGTTATGTGACATATTTATTGTCACAGAGCTAAATCAAGTCTAAGTATACCACTCTCGAAGATATACGAGAGAATTAAATTAGAAGAAGCTGATCTTTGATATGCAAATCTATTTAATTAAAAATATATTTGAGTTAAGTAACTATAGATGGAAGTATGTCCCACTGGTGCATTTAGGTCAGCACACTGGACAGGCATGATTTTAATAAGTCATTAATTCTTCCCATTAACACTGTGCAACCTTCTAGAATAATTAGAACCCCCTGCCCTTTGAAAATAAACCCTTGTCTTCCATTTAGCTTATAATTTACCATGATAGAGGCGATCACTGTATGATTTGTCTCTCTCTGCATTTAAGAGCACCCGTGTGATTAGAAGATTGTCTAAGTCTTCTGCAGCAGGCAGATACAATCTGGGAGTAGAAATTAGTCCAGAATTTTTCTTCTTAAGACAAGATATCTACTACTTAATTTAAGGATATTACAAATAAAGGGAGAAAAGGTTCTTATAAATTTTTTTCATAGTCACTTATCTCTAGCATCAACAAGTAAAACAAGAATATTGGTCAGCACCTTCTTTTATACCTTTTCTCCAGAATGTGATTCAAGATGTCTGGTTTGTCTCATACAACACCAGTACTAGCAAGGGTGCAGGTGGGGTAGGTATAAGAAGCATAGTTTCAGGCTGGGCACAGTGGCTCACGTCTGTAATCCCAGCACTTTGGGAGGCCAAGGCAGGTGGATCATGAGGTCAGGAGTTCGAGACCAGCCTGACCAACACCGTGAAACCCCGTCTCTACTAAAAATACAAACATTAGCCGGCGTGGTGGCGTGTGCCTGTAATCCCAGCTATTCAGGAGGCTGAGGCAGGAGAATTGCTTGAACCCAGGAGGCGGAGGTTGCAGTGAGCTGAGATGTGCCACTGCACTCCAGCCTGGGTGACAGAGCAAGACTCTGTCTCGGAAAAAAAAAAAAAAAAGAAGCATAATTTCTTAGTCTGGGTGCTCTAATAAGCAGAACCCAAGGTAAGGATTAGAGCACTGCTGTTTTATTTGGTACAAACCCATGAGAGTGAAAGTGAGAAAGAAAAAGGGCAATGAGGCAAGCAAAAATAAGTGACATAATTTGTTACTGCATTGGCCACAGCTTGATGATAAGCCAAGAAACTAGAGCATAGGTAACTTGGCATCTATGTCTCTTTGTACCAGGATTCCTCTGGAAGGTGCAAGAAGAAACCACATGTCACAGCAGTCCATGGAAGGGAGAAAGGAGGAGGAATTTATATGATCAGCTCCCTCATGCCTCCTGTTTTCCATTGGCCAAGGTTTACCTCACAGAGAACTAACGCCCCTTTACTTCTAGATTGTGTCATCCAGCCCCTTGTCAGTCTTTCAGGAAGCCAGATGCCCCCTGAGTGTGGTGTTTCATCCAAGTCTGAAAATGGAGTGGATGTTGTCATGGATTAGCCCAGAGTATGGGTTATATAGGCCATCAAAGTCCCAGGATGCAACTTAACTCCAGCCAGCATAGGGATCTCAGCAAAGATGGTAATGGTGGAGAAGCCTGGGCAGCAGATGGCACCTTCAGAAAGAGAGAAGTAGGCAAGAGAATCTGAGGAAGTGCACACAATTCATGTCCAAAACAGTTATTTAACAGACACTTACACTGTATCATGCGACCAAACCTCACCCCACCCAATTTTAGCATAGGCAGATAATTCACTGTACATTGCCAGTATCTCACATTCATTTGGGAACTGCTTTGCTGCCTCAGAGCTTTCTCGCAAGCTCAGAACGCCTGATCAGCTCCACACAGGTGCAACCTGGAAATATGGGGGGGTGTGAATGCCTCCCAAGGGAAAACTTTAACCAGTGAAGGACAAAAATAAACAGATAAATGTTCCAGTCCTGGTGAAACAATAATAAGGTCCCCAAGGAGACAGAGCTTCAGTTTCTCTTAGAAAAACCAGATCATTCATGCACATTTCATTGGCTTTTTCCATTCCCTCTCTCTCTTTCCCTATTCCCTTCTTTGGGACTAAACTACCTGTTCTTACATTCTTGTCTCAGGCTCTGAGACAGGTTAATAAAGGGGTTTTATAAGAGAGTAAAGGGCTTTTGAAGCTCATTGCTAAGGATTATGATTTGTAGTCCCTGAGAGAGAGGAGTGGAAGCATGTACTTGCAGGTAAGTATGGGAACTGGAGAAGAAGTACATATGGTAAAGACTCAGCCCCATCTGAAACTGCACCCTAATGGGCAATCACAAGGGATTCTGCATAGCCTCAGGACTATGCTATTCAGCCATGAGAGAAGTGATGAGGGTCTCTTTAGGTGATGGTCACCGCAAGGGGCCTCTCTGAGCCCAGGCAGTATTGAATGAATTACCAATCAGTGACAGAATAAAGGAATAATGGTATACCACCATGGACTGAGGACCTAATCTCTACAATGGCTCTCTAGCCCCACATAGACCTGGACCCTGTATGTTTTATGTACTGAGGTTTAGGGAGTTATAGTAATGCATGAAATTAAATATCCTGCCAACTAAGAAGTGGGCAGGGTTATGAATATATGAAATTCAATTTGAAGAAATAAAAGAATGTGATATTTTCTGTAACTAAGGGTTGCAGAGTAAACTCATCCTTGACACATATACATGCAGTAAAAGTCTGTGTTTGTCTAAAAGGAACAGCCAAGACCTGCAGGAGAAGCTGGTGTAAAGGGAATCTGGAAGCCACAAAGGCGTACCCTTGCCTGATGAGCCACTTTTCTCATTCTTCTTGTCTTAACTGACCTAGACATTATAGCCACTCAGATTAGAGTTCAGTTATATAGTACATCTTACTTTTCCATTTCCAAAGGTAGGCAAACATTTTTGTCCCTTATAGCCGATGCTGTTTGCAACCTGCCAATATCTCTGCCACTTTCATCATTCCTGTACATGCTAATGTCTTTCTACTGAAAAGAGGCTTTTTCTGACTACAGGACAAGGTTTCACCTGTGAGTGCTACAGGCAGAAATTTCCAAGGGGTCTGATGCCCTTGTGAGCAGCCCTCAGCCAATGATGGATGGGAGCTGGTGATAAATACCCAGCTTCCTCGCACATCAGGTAAAACAACTCTGGCACATGCCCTGCACGGTTTCCCAGTGGTTCCCAGTGGGATCAGGTTCTGATTGCTTAGGGAAGTCAACTGCTCACCGCCACACACTGTATTAGTTTTCTTCCACTCCATCCTCTCCTTATTGGTGTTTCCTGTGATCAGCTCCCAAATGAACCACCCAAATCCTTTCTCCAGGTTGGCTTTTGGGGTGCCACAATCTAAGACACTCCTCTCTTCCCTAAGTGTCATCACCAGATACAACTTAATTCAATGCAAACTGACACTCCTAACTTGGAACTGTAGTCTAGTGCTGTGGCTTCTGTGACCTCTTCCTGATTCTGTTCTGAGTGAATATACTTATGGATGAGTCACATTTTCTCTAACAGGGTTTGTGCTTCTATGTGTAGATTTTTCTTACCTATCGGTAGGTGCTTTGGGCTTATATACTTCACTTTTGAGTCCTGCACAAAACAACTCCCAGTCTGTAGGATAGTGATTTTTGTCAAATTGTGCAACTCAGAGCCCTTTCAGGGGCACAATATGGGGAATGATGGGACTTTGAGGATTTGACTTTCTCTACTTCAACCAGAATGTCAGAACATCTCCCACATCCTTATTTCCATCCATTCCACATGCTGAGGCAGAAATAAACACACACACACACACACACACACACACACACATACACACACACACATATATATGTGCATACTCAAAGATATGTACAGGTAGGACGTATCTATATTATGTGCCTCCTTGGTATGACGCACTAAGAAGGACATTGCATTACTTTGTTGGTGCTCCTGTTATATTCATGAAAAAGCAAGCAGACAAACCCAAATTGAGGTAGATTCAGTGATGTGCTGGAGCTGGCTCGTACATATCAGCTCAGGAGAGCCAACTGTGCACAATTCTTTCCAATGGCACAATGGCACTTTCAGCAACATCACTTTGGTAGCCTGACATCAGCCATGATAGGAATATTTACACCAGGGAAATCAGCAAATGCTACACAGCAGGACTTTTTTTTTTTTTTAAGACATCTGTTAAACATTTACCAGCACACTGCTGGACATTCTACAAAATAATTGGCCCATACTCTGAAAATGTCAGGGTAATGAAAGACCAAAAAGTGCTGAGAAAATGTTCTGTATTAAAGGAAACTGAAGAAGCATGACAACTAAGTACATGCATGGTTTTGGATTGGTTTCTGGACAGGAAAAAAAAATTGTTTTCAAAGATACTATTGAGGCAACTTGTAAAAATGGAATATGAACTGTAGATTAAGTAAAACAAATGCATATTTCCTAAGAACAAGGATATTTTCTTATATAATAATGGTGTAACTATAAAATTCAGGAAAATTTAACGTAATGCAATACTATTAATGTGGTAAAGGGACATGGTATATTCAGCATACTCTCAGCTGGTTCATGAAAAACTGGTTCATGATAAAACAATGTGGCAAGATGTGTGCAACTGATGCATTAGGTTACAGGTACAGATACACAGAGATCTTTGTATTCTTGTAACTTCTCTGTAAACTTGTCATATATATATATAATTTTTCGTTTTAATATCATTTTAAACATATGGGGACCCATTAAATCTTGCCAACCCTCAAAGAAATACATAGTAAGACATTTTTACAGTTTTATTTTACACCAAATACTTTCATTAAAATAATAGAATCATTTAAAATAATAATACTAGCAAGTGAGGTGGAAATGTTTGGCGGATTATAAATTGCCACATTTTGGAAAACAATCCAGCAATATCTCAAAAGCTGTCTAAATATTCATGCTTCTTTGACCAAGTAGTTTCTCTTCTCAAATTTGAGACTTATCTGTAGTATGAAAATTACAAACTAGCACAACTGTCCTATGGGAATACAATTGAGTAATTGCACAGAAGCCCATGAAAAACTATAATTAAGACTGTGTAACAACATGGAAAAATTATTTTATGTAAAAAATCAAAACATAAAATATCTTTGCTACCATTATAATTATTTAAACTATGTATAGGAACAAATATTGGAAGGAGCACAAAAATGAAAGCAACTGCTCTACATAAAACATCTTTTAGCTAATGATGTATGGTCAGTATTATAATCTTTAACTATAAAAAAAATAAGTTCAGAGTGGGATTTGAACCCACAACACTGACTTCATCACACAATTTTTCCATGGCCTGAAGCTGCATCAGAAAATAGGAAGCGCAGATTTTTGGGGACCATTGGTGGGCATTCCCTCTTTTTTTAGCACCCTTTTTCCTAATGTCCCACATCTCAGGTGCAGGTCCAGAGCTCTCAAATAGCTAAGGAAAACATATTTCATATGTACTTATTTCCTACTAAACATGAAATGCCACGTTTCTACTCCTAAGAGAATTTACATTTTCAAAATTATCAGAAAGTGTTTACAGAATATAGTCACAAACCCAGCTTTGTGCTAGGTGCTATAAGCTTCAAAAGCAATTATAAAGAAAAGATCACACAATGAAGTAATATCTAACAGAAATTTCAGAGATAATTAGGGGTGCAGCAAGGAAAGACGATGGAGGCAGCTTTCCTAGGGAGCACGGCATGATGCCACAAGGGCAGCCAGCTTCATCTGCCAGTCCTGTTCTGAGGCAGTGTCTTGCAATTCTTCCTCCTCCATTCCTGTCAGCTCATGCACTAGCAGATATTATATCATTTGTCATTCTGAGTTTTTCTTTCTCCCAGTCATTTGTTAATACATTTCCCTCATCGTGTCATTGAAATCTGTCCCAACATTCCAGATAAATTTCTCATGTCCTTACTTCCTATCATCTATAACATTCTCTTTTCTGGGGATTCTCTTGATATTCAGCAACAAAGCCTCCAGTTAGTGTTTTCCACTGTTCATCTTCTTACAAATACAGGGAAAAAATCAGCACTGCAACTAATTAGATCATCTCCATGGATTTTTAAGAAGGGATGCGAATGGTGTAGCATGCTTTCAGAAATCTTGAAGGCATTCCTTTAGCTGTGTTTCTAAACTCCATTTCCCTGTCTCTCTCTCTCTCTCTCTCTCTCTCTCTCTCTCTCTCTCTCTCTCTGTCTCTGTCTCATTAGCTCTCATTTCTTCTCTTGCAAAGCTGAAGATCCAGGGTTGGGGAGAGAGGATGTGGGACAGACTTAATAAGTGTAATTGCAAAGATGTTCATTGCAGCCATAAAGGAGCTGCTTTGGAAATTTTTCTTCCAAAAATAATTTGGGAAACATAGAGAACACTTAATGCAATCATATAGCTTATAGTAAATTTGTTACATGTGATGTGTATGCACAAATATTGCTCTGTATATTCTCTGGTTGTGTATAATATGAGCTTGCGCAGCTGAGAAATATACAGAACTAATCATTTGAGGGAGGAATACTTCTTATGCCATGGAATTGGCTAGTGTGGAGTTCTAGTCAGGTTTCTTCTGGCCACCCCAGAATAACTGACCCTAGGATGGAGCATCAACTTGTCATCTGTGCCACCTCACTGTCCCTAACACCCTTTCTCCCTCCACTTCCCACTTGCAGTGGATCTTGTGATTTGTGCCCAACTTCTCCCTCTGCCTGATCGTGCTGTCCTCCCTTCCCTGCATAGAAGAAATATCCTGTATGCTAATTTCTGTTTTAGTCTGCTTCCCAGGGAATTTAATCTACAACACCACTCTAGATATTTCAAGCAGAGGAATTCCAGAGAAATAAGCTATAAAAGTGTTTTATGACTGAGGAGTGAATAGGGAGAAGGTGGTATTGCCCAGAGGTCAAGAAGAAGCCTCTACGGACCAGGTAGGTTCCAAGAGCTATGTTGATTTCATCTTGAGAAGAGATCCCATATGGAGCAGCTGCTGAAATGAGAGTCAGCACTCAATTAACTGTGTGATTATCCACAGCCATTCTCTAAGACTCAGATGCTTTCTGCAGAAGATAAATAGGCAAGTTAAGTGGTGATGTGATAGGAACCATATTTCTCAATTTTTCATGGTGACACCACCTTTTGTGGTTACCTTAGGGAAGTAATACTGCTTATGATTTATTATCCTGGTAGGAAATGGAAGTTCCAGGGGTTTTCATTGGCTACTCCTACTGTAATGTCCCTCAGTCTGAGCCTGGGAAACAATGTGGGGATTCTGTCATATTCTGTGTATGTCTATCCCAGTCATAATTCCAAATCTGGGGAAATAATCATATTCTCAGCCTGAAATTCTATGAGTCACCTAACCTCTAGCCACCATTCTGTTTGGTGAGCCACAGCGGCATCTGAGAACTCCAAGACTAGGTTCAACTCTGAGCCACTATCTGGTAATCTTTGATGTAACTACTTCCCATTCTCCAGTCCATGGTCCCTGATAAATGGCTCTAAATTGCCTGAGGAAAACTTAGAGACAAATTTACAATATATGCTTATGGCAATATCATAGGGATCCTTCTTCTAGGGGACCCAATATCCCCTTATTCAAGATGTTCTGATTCTGTGACCTGGCTCAGGTCTGTGAACAGAGTGAGAGACCATGATTTTCACTGTAATAATTCAAGTCAGGTCTCTCTCCACTAGACCTAGATTTTTCCCCCTGGTTATATAGATCCCATAAAACTTCAGTAGGTGTGTGGGTACTTTGGTACTTTTCACAAGCCCAACCCTTCTTCTAAGACTGGAGCATTCATTACCACAACTGATGAGGGTGTTGGCAGCAACATCTCAGCCAGGTCCTTCTTTGGAGCTTGCCTGGGCCTGAGGACAGAACTTGCTTGCCCAAGATTATGCCTCTTGCTGGGGGCAGCCTATATCAAATGGCAGGTCAGTACAGAGGCATAAAAGCCAGGCACCTTTGCTCCAAATCGGAACACTCTGCAGATCCATCTCAGCTTTTTTTTTTGCCTAGTGCTGCTTCCTTCACTTTCCCATGGGTACTGATCCCAAGAGCATTTCCCAAGAAAATTTCGTAATGCAAATTTTGTATCAGAGTTTGGTCCTGAGGAAGGTGAACCATGACAACAGGCTGATAACTTATTTCAGTCTTAGGGACATTGAGATCAATAAACCATCCCCAAAGATCCCTACAGGACAAAACTGATTGCCACTCTGACTCTGGCCATTTTGGTAATTGCACCCCGTATTAGTCTGTTCTCACAGTATAAAGAAATACCTGAGATGGGTAATTTATAAAGAAAAGAGGTTTAATTGGCTCACAGTTCTGCAGGATGTACAGGAAGCATGGCTGGGGAGGCCTCAGGAAACTTACAATCATTGTGGAAGACGAAGGGGAAGCAGGCAATGTCTTACATGGCCAGAGCAAGAGGAAGAGAGCAAAGGGGGAAGTGCTACACACTTTTAAGCAATCGGATCTTGTGGGAACTCACTCACTATCATGAGAACAGCAAGGGAGAAATCTGCCCCCTTGATCCAGTCACCTCCCACCAGGCCTCACCTCAAACATTAGGAATTACAATTTGACATGAGATTTGGGCGGGGACACAAATGCAAAGCATATCATACCCACCTTTTCTCTAGTGGTTAAGTGCTTTCCCTTGGCCTCTATCATTCAGGGATCCCATCATTCCTAATTAAATGAGGAAGCTCAGTTCAATAGCAGCATCTTCCACCATGATTGCTAACCTGAAGAAAAAAGCTATGAAAGAGCTTCTGAAGCTCCCATGCCCATGGATTTCTCAGTGCCTTGAGAAGGGAGTATGTCATCTGCATCTTGCCAGAGGAAATAGTGAGAGAGGTGGGTGGGGTGGGGCACACAATAAACTCACTCCAACATTCTTATCTCTTGTTGGAACTCAGAAAACCATACCTTCAAAGACTGATGCTTTGATATGCTGAGAAATCTTAGAAGCTGCCTCAGAATCAAGATCCCTCTAGCCTTGTCTTTTTCCACCTGCTCAAAGTAGAGGGAGAGACTTTCTCTGGAATGTCCCTGATCTGACCAGGAAAGTTTCTTTTCAAAAGAAACAGTTGCCTTCCTCCCTTCCTTGAAATCTCATTATCCATCTCAGAAAAGAAGACAGGAATGCCACCACATCTGGACACTTTTTCACAAAATAATGCCTGCCTCTCAGACTCAAATTCCAAAGAGAATCATTTACAAGTTAACTTTTGTCCATTATTCTCCCTAATAATCATTTACTACTCCTCAAAAGCGTTGTCTACATGCCCTATCTTCCCCCTTCCCCTATGAAAAAGGTACATGCATTTCTGTATCCCACTGGGTTACTGGGTAATCATTCTCCTGGGATTCCCTCATGTTATACATATTAAAGTAAAGTCTTGTATGCCTTTTCTTCTATTTAATTTGCCTTTTGTCAGTTGATTTTCAGTGAACCTTCACAGGGCCAAGGAGAAGTTTTTCCCTTGCCCCTTACACTCTTTACACTCTCTGAGCTTTTGGATTTCTTCAGGCTACTTTTGGCTACTTCTGGCATCTTAGCTTACTGAATTCAGGCATCTTTCTGAATACGAATGTTCTTCCTGATAAACCCATCATAAATTGAAAACTATCGTAAGTCAAAAGTGTATTTTCAAGTGATGATATTTCAACTTACAATGGGTTTATCTGGACATAACCTTATTGTAAGTCGAAGAGCGTACTGAATGAGAATTGCTTTCACACAATCCAGAGGTCAAAAAAAAATCATGTTAAACCATCGTAAGTCAGGGACTGTCTGTATAGCCCACTCTTGAGTTCAGATTTTAGTCAACCACTCCCAGCTGTTTCAGATAATATATGCAGTCCAGTTTCTCTAAATTGTCCAAATTGTTAAGTTTCTGGATGAAGCAGAATTCATTAACAACAGGTATACTTAGCCAATGATATATTTCACATCCCTTGGTCTAGAACCTTCATAATTCATTTTCATACATATTTCTCATATTGTTGCTGATACAATTTAGCTAAAACCTTGACATTTTGCCAATGTTTAAGTGTTCTCCTTTTCACTCAGTCTTAGCACTTGGCCCTCATTGGGTGTGCTGTGACTGGACTCCAGTTATAGGTCAGGAAGTATTGGAAGGTAGTGAGAATGTTTTGATGAGACTTGGCATTCCCCTGCAGGCTAACTCCCTCAAATGAAGATAATACAGGGTTTTCAAGCAAGAGAAGAGCCATATCTCTTCCGAGAGAAATTTCCCAGTGTTTCTCCCCGGGTCCTTATTCGCAATCTGGTGGTTCTCATTCTGAATGTCAAGTGTGGATCTCACTTCTCTCCTCACTGCCCAGTGCATCCTCACATTTACATGCAGAGCACATGTTGTCTTTTCATTATTTCATGGGATTTCTCCTTTAGTTTGTCATTAGGTAACATTCTTTTTATTCCTCCATTTTTATCTAGAGTTCCTCAAATTGAAAATACACTAAAGATGGCCCTGTATTCTACAGAGGGTGGGTTCCCCCAGCTATACTGCAGCTAAAGTTGAGTTACCAGAGCACAGGGACAGATGCCAAGTCACCTACATTGACCCTGAGATGCTTTATTCATCCAAGTAAAGAGGGTTTAATTGTGGGCATCCATACCTCATTTTCACAAGCCCTTTTATCTGTGCTATCTGTGAAAAAAAAAGAAGTCAAGTGATCTCTTCTAGGTCTTACATTGAGGTGTAAGTACATTGAATCCAATGTACATTGAAAAGTGAATAAAAATACATTGAAAGTGAATAAAAATATTAAATCTTTTGTAAATGGTAATAAAGCTCCAAATCCAAGCCCCGAATTCTAGAGTGACTTGCCTGAAGTCACACGTTTAGAAGAGGTGGGTTCTCCCCCCAGATTTGCCTTCATCTAACTTTCATTTTAGTCCCTAAATAGACAAAGAAAGAGCTACATCGTGCTTACATTCAAAATGAGGTTGGCAGAAAAATTCCAAAACACAGTAATAATAATCGTGTTAGAAATCCGCATTTAGTTTCTGTTTAAAAAATGAGATCAGTGTTTAGGAGGCAGTATGAAGTAGGTAGTTATTGATCATTGTTTATTCTCTCAGGGGAATTTAAAATCAAATGATAAGAGTTCAGTATCCCAAGACCTGGTCATTTAATCAGGCAGACCGTGGCTCATCAGAATGTAAATTTCAAGACTTTGGAACCTGAATATATGCACATACAAGGCATCATGCTTTACAAGTTAAGAATTTATCTGTGATAAGATGTTGTTCTGCCATGAATGCCATTCCTTTTTCTAATTAATCAAGTTTATTAGATTCCACTTTTTCAAGTAGAATCAGATTCATTAGATTCCATTTTTTACACTAGGAAAAAAATCCCCTAGCCCAGTGCAAAAGAAAATTATGTAAAAGCAGACAGTTCTTTCCTCCCCCAATTCATTTGCAATTCTAATGTTCACTTGTATATATTTTGGGCACTGATGTATGATGAAGCTGTTTATTTTCTGGAGTCAAATATGGCATGATTTCTTTTCTTTCTTCTTCATTCTCTCAGAATCACTTAAAATCAACTAGCTTAGTTTACCATCAACTTAGCTTTCACATTTTCTTTGCAATGAGTGCAAGTTCTTTTAAAAATTAAAACTTACTGTAACAACAAGGCACTTCCCACTGTTTTTCTCGCTTTAATAGTGTTAAGATATTAATGAGTACAATGAATACATAATTATATTGCTGAGCTCTCATTTATATAAAGTATAACAAAAAGGATCAAGTAAAGTTTAGTTGGTCGTGGAAAATTCTACCAACTCCTAGTTTAAATAAATAAGATCTATTAATGTAGGGCTGGTTATTATGAGTGGTATGTTGTTTAAAGACTGCTCTCCTAGAAAATTTACAATCAAAGATGCTGAAAGTGTTAGAGTCTCAAAACCATTAAGGAAATATATACATTACTACATTCTTATTGGTGCCTTAGAGCTCCCTAATTATATAGCAAACACTGTGGCCTTGTATTAAAAGCATTTTGCCAAGAGTTATTTCAAAGCAGTGGAGCTAGTGCTGTTTTGTCTAAAGAAAGAGTGTCATAAAATGACTCCCTGCCACTTCTTCATGTAATTAGTGAACAGGTCCACAGGCTCCCTATGGCCCATACTTAGTAGAAAAACAACCTGGGCTGTGCCTTCCTGTCTTACAGTAAGGAAAAGAAAAACAAACAAGCGAAAAAAAAAAAAAAAGGTAGAGTACAGGGACAGGAACTGTTTCCCACTCTTGCCTTCAGTCTCTACAGAGTAAGTCAGACCTGTGCACAGAGTGGGCCTTTCATGAGAGAACTAAATAATATACTTGGTATTTTTAAAAGGTTGCAGTAAATTTGTATTATGTTTATAGATGTAAGAATTGAAAAATATTGCTCACCTAGACAAGTAAATGAATAGAAATAGTTTCATTATAGCAAAGTTACTCCATTCCAATTCATATGGCAAAAATCAAATAGTAGTTATTTAATCAGAAAGCATCTTTTTTCTTAAGAGACACAGTATCCCTATGTCACCTGGGCTGGAGTGCAGTGGTAGGATCACAGGGCACTGGAGCCCCAAACTCCTCGACTGAAGTGATCCTCCCACCTCAGCCTCCTGAGTAGCTGAGACTATGGACACTTGCCACCACACCCAGCTCCAGAAAGCATCTTTAATGACGTACCCGCTAATAATCTTATTAGGTCTTCTTTCAAATTACTTGAAAACGAAGAATTGAAAAGTATATGACTTGCAAAAGGATTTACCTAGTCAAATCAATCATTCACTTTCTCATTTTTCTGGTGGGAAGTATACTTTAAAAGACTACTTAAACGTACAACATGGCAATTCATTATCCGTGTTACTCTTCCACTTAGAGGCACCTTTTGTAATATTGTATACACAGAAGGGGCTGGAAAAATTGAAACATTGTTGTGGTTTTATACACTGCTTTTATCTTATTGTGTAAATAAATGTTGTTTTCACCAAATCCTTGGAGCTTAAAACAGACACTAAGATGTAGATGAATGAAATTTTTCATTCTCTATCTAATTACTGAGAATGTTGAAAATGCAGAAAAATGAGCTTTGTAAAAGATTGATGTTTCTCATAATACTTTAACTTTTATTTAATATTCATATTATGAAGCCTTGTTATTGTCACCTGGGTGAAATAAGGCATGGCATTGTCATTTTTCCAACACTCTCTTTCCTTTTCTTTCAGACTCTTTCTTAAGAATAATGTATGCATTCTTAAAAGCCCTTGCCTCTCCCATCCCCTGAACATTGTCAAAAAAAATTTGTCATCACCTCTACTTCTCCAGTCTAAATATGTAACTAAATTCAGACTACTCCAACATGAGCTAAAGTACCCCATGTTCACTCCAATTTCTTAATTTATCCTTAAGAGAATGTGTATACCAGAGCAAAACATGAAACCTAATAGCAGGCTTATGATACCTTGGTTAAAAGAAGCTGTGTCTAATTGTCTAATGTCTAATTGCCTATATGTTGGTTTGCAGGATGTTTTTACATCCCACGGCAATCAATACACCTTAGTAAAATCTGGGATGGGTGAAAGGCAAGCCTGTGTTTTGTAAAGTGGGAAAAGGACAATTATGAAAGGAGAAGTAGAAAGGAGAATCTTCATGACACTTGATTGCATGTATGTTCTCATTTTTAGCAAATAGTACATATGGGAATTTAGAGTCTAGAAATTGATTCTCACAAAATTCCCATGCCCATGTACTTGTTATAGACTAAACGGTGTTCCCCCCGCAAATTCATATGTTGAAGCCCTAACCCCCAATGTAACCATATCTGGAGATAGGGCCTTTAGGGAAGTAATTAAGGTTAAGCAAGGTCATAAGGGTGGGGCCCTAATCCAACATAACTGTTGTCCTTATAAGAAGAGGAAGAGGAAAAGACACCAGGAGTGTGCATGCACAGAGAAAAGGCCAAGTAAAAACACAGTGAGAAGGCAGCTATCTGCAAGCCAGGAAGAGAGGCCTCATGAGTGTCAACTTAAAAATCACAAAGACGGCCAGGCAAGGTGGCTCAAGCCTGTAATCCCCAGCACTTTGGGAGGCCAAGGCAGGTGGATCACCTGAGGTCAGGAGTTTAAGACCAGCCTGACCAACATGGTGAAGCCCTGTCTCTACTAAAAATACAAAATTAGAAGGGCGTGGTGGCACATGCCTGCAATCCCAGCTACTTGGGAGGCTGAAACAGGAGAATCGCTTGAACCTGGGAGGCAGAGGTTGCAGTGAGTCGAGATGGCGCCATTGCACTCCAGCCTGGGCAACAAGAACGAAACTCCATCTCAAAAAAAAAAAAAAAAAAAATCACAAACTCTATAAATTTGGAAAGAAGAGCTTTATTTCATAAAAAGGGTTACAGTCTGCAAGCTGGGAAGTGGAGCCTCAGCTAAGACCAAAAGCAGACACTTTAAGGGAGGAAGAGTGAGACAGGAATTTATGCTGAACAGATTAGCCAAGTATACGTATCTAGACAATATGAATATGTATAGATATGAATATTCATGAAGGGGGAACTCATACATGCATAATAAGCAAATATATATGTTACACGCATCCCATGTTCACTTTGGGATGGAGACTTAACATTTAAATGTATTACAATTTGGCCCTATATGTCAAAAGGTGAAACAAAGAACACAGAGGTGTCTTGTGTACAACCTTTATAAACCAGCTAAAACCAGTCCATGGAAAGAAGAACATAAGGAAGAAACACAAGGTATAACTGGTCATTTGCTGTGTCAAAACCACAAAAAGGGAAGGGAGTCTGGTTGCAGCATCAGGCGATTGGATGAAGTCAGTGATGGAACAAATCTTCTGTTTTTTGTTTTTTTCAGGGTTGGTTTCTGTTTAACTCAGGAAATAATCTGGGAAAGGTTAGCGAGGAAGGGGTTGTACTGAGGTGTGAGCAAACCTCTGTCTTTTCATGGCCAGGGAACTTAGTTTTCAGTTTTTCTGGGATCCCCTTGGCCAAGAGTAGGGGCTTAGGATTCTATTTTAATTTCACACCAAAACCCAATTCTGCTGGCATCTTGATCTTGGACTTCCAGCCTTCAGAACTGTGAGAAAATAAATGTCTCTTGTTTAAACCACCCAGTTTGTGGTATGCTGTTAGGGCAACACAAGCTGACTAAAACAAATCCCTTGGGATATCTTGATATATCTTTAGGGGTCACACAGCCTAGTTTGACAAGCTGACCCTAGTTTCCAGTTGCTGTTGCACTATCCCTGCTACATCGTATAACTGTGGAACTCTGTCCATTGCTCACTCAACTAGCTAAAGCACAGACTTCAGTCATGCCTTGTCCAGGGGGATCACAGGGTTATAGTTCTTTAGGTTATACTTGCTAGGTCACCCTAACACACACTTCTGATGCCTTATATCACATTCCTTGGCCCACCTCTGAATTCACCCACATCTACCATGGACAGTTACACTCAAGCTCAGAAGTCCCATCTTCGGCTTTCCACAGTCAACTTTCCACTTTCTGCCTGGGGGACTTTTCTGGTGCCTTGAATCCTTTTCTGATGCCTTGAGAGCCTTATTCACAGGGACAACAATATCCCAGCCAAGAATACAGAGAAGTTAACAGCCCCCAAAGTCTAACCTTCAACCAATAGGAGGCTGCAAGCAGGAGATAAATGTTCCAGCCTCCCAGCCCTCAGACAATGTGGGGTTGGGGGAGCTCGGGTTTCTGTATGCTTTACAGAATGTCCTGGAAGAATAACGATCCCATTTCCCACAGAGGCAATCTCCATAATGTATCCTTAGTTCTTGGTCCTGTCCCCAGAAACAGACCCTGAAATGTGGATTTTTGTGTGAGCAATTTATTAAGGATGTGTTCCCAGGAGAGAGCAGTAAGGGTGTAGGGGAAACAGAGCAGGGCTAGGGAAGAAAGAAACAAAGAGAGATTTCAGGTGAATCCCAGCCTTGGGAAATTCTGCAATGTAAATCACACCATAGAGTGTGTCCCACCTGGAGGCAAGGCAGCTGTGCTTTCACACTTTTGTACTAGCCATTGGCTATGGGCCACTCTGGAGCATGGGGATCCAAAGGACTATAAACCCCCAGGCACTCCTGATTCTCACTGGCTCCAGATAAGGCAATTCTAGTAGTTCAAGAATGCTTCTATAATGAAGGCTGCACGTTTGATCCATTAAGAGCAAAACCCATAGAAGCCGGGAAATTGGGCAGTCAGTATAGGAGAGCTACGCAATAGCAGTGACATCATTCACTACATCTTTAATCAGTTTATTCTCCTTCCCTGTCTCACTTTCCCCATAACGTCACACTTGCTTCCTGAGATCCCTTCCCCCCAATAACCCTCTGCACCAAAAGCCTTGTCTCAGGTTCTGCTTTCTAGGGAACACAAATTAATTAGCTTTGAGAAGAGTGGGTGTCTGCCTCCTTGGAGCTAGAACTTCTCACATGACTTTGAGCTCAGCATGCAGGGGGTAATGAGAGATGTGTACTTTGTCAGAAGACAAAAGGTTGTGTGGGACTTTTCTCAGAATAATGAGCACCAACTCAAATGTGTATACCTATGCAGAGCAGCTTGCAGGCTCTTTCCAAAACTAAGACGACCTGCTGTCTACACCCAGGCGTGTTCAGAGCAGCAGCTTCTCTGTTTAAAGTTGATTTTATTTATTGAGTACCATCTTACCATTTACCTAACTACATACAGAGTAAAAAACTGCTTTGTATAATTAGCATTACGTGAGTGCTATTTTCACTGGCAGGAATCTCCCTAGTAGGAGGGAATTCAAAGTTTCACAATCAAGCTTGTTATAATTTGCTGTATTTATTTTTGGTAATTCTATATCAGTGCCATGTGCTGTAGCAATAGAAGCAGAAAACTGTGTCTTATAAAACTGGCTGATCTTCCTGGATACACTCCTTGGAGGCACAGTTAGACCACTCCAGTTTTCCCCACCGTGGTCCTTCCTTTCTTGTCCTACCTTCAAAATCTAGGCACTGAGTTGAGATTACTATCACTCGTTCTTAAGAACATCTCTTGAAGAGACAACTGACAGCCCAGAAGAAAATATTTGCAAAACATAACTGATAAGGAACTTACACCTAGAATATAAAGAACTCTCAAAATTCAGCAGTAAGACAAACCACCAAATGTTTAAAAACTGGACAGACTTGAATAGGCATTTCACCAAAGAAGAGAGGCAGATGACCTGTAAGCATGGAAAAAGACATTTAACATCATTCATCATTAGGGAAATGCAAATGAAAACCACAAGGAGATACACACACTCTAGAATGGCTAAAAGAATTTTTAAAAATAATAATAGTTGACAATACCAGCTGCTGATGAGTTTGTGGAGTAACTGGAACTCCCATATGTTGCTCATGGGAATGCAAAATCATACAACCACTTTGCAAAAACAGTTTGGCAGTTTTTCCTCCCTTTCTGAGGGCAGCTCATTTCCAACGATTGGTTAATACAGGAGTATAAAGACCCAGTCCCCTTGCCCCAACTTGGTACACCTCTGAAGGACCATCCGAGCTCCAGAGCTCCTCCATGGGATTGGCTGAGTCATTTCCTAAGACTGCATTGCAGCCCAGCCTCTCCCTCTGCCTACTCCTGATTCCTCCCTTTCCTTCATAGATATTGACACCAAAAGGTACTCTCTCAGAAACTTTCTGCAGACTATTCTTCATCTTCAAATCTGCTTCCCAGAAAACCCAACCTGTGATACCCCTCCTGCCTAGTTTCCTCCTTGAAACCCCTGGTATTTTCATTCAGCATTATGTGGGACAATCTCCTACATGAAAGAGCCAAGAAGAAACTAAGTCCCTTGCTTTAAAATAAGATCTAAGTCTCTGGAGAGCTAACGAATGTTATTTCAGGAAGTAAAGACAGGGTGCTGTCCAAAGGAATTCTGAGTCAGCCTCTGGTCTGCCAAGGCTCTCAGGAATAATTACAATTTAACTCTACTACAAATGTATAGTCCATGACCAGCCTCTTCTCCTAACCTCCTGGATTGCTCTGTGTAACAAGTTGGATTCACTGAGAAGCAGACTTTGAAATGGATTTTGTGTGCGGGAAGTTTACTAGGGTGTGCTCTTAGGATCAACATCTGTGGGGAAAGTGAGGGAATCTGGACTGGGCAGAAGGAGAAGTTGGGTTGTGATACAGCCACCAACAAAGGCATGGTAGGCAGAATGATGACCACTTCCCTCCCAACCCAGCCCCACAAAGATGTTCACATCCTAATCCCTGGAATTTGTGAATATATTACCTTAGATGGCAAAAAGGAACTTTGCAGATGTGATTAAGTTAAGGATCTTGACATGGGAGATTATTCTATATTAGCCAAATGGGCCCAATATAATCACAAGGGTCCTTATAAGGAAAAGAAGGAGGCAGGATGGTCAGAGTCAGAGTGAGAAGATATAAACGTAGAAGCAGAGGTTTGAGAGAAGATAAGATGCCTGATATGCTGCTAGTTTTCAAGATAGAAGAGTTTACAAGCCAAGGACTACAGATGACCTCTAGAAGCTAGAAAGGGAAAGGGAATGGATTCTCCCTAAGAGCCTTCAGAAGGAAGGAGCCCTGTTGACACTTTGATTTTAGTCCAGTGAGATCCACTGTAGACTTCTGATCTCCAAAAACCATAAGATTACAACCTTGTGTTATTTGAAGCCACAAATTTATGGTAATTTATTACATCCAACAATAGAAAATGTATACAAAAGACCTCAGCCAATTCCAGCAGGAAGTTCTGAAGCTGAGATGGTCTTTCAGAGTTTCCCCAAGCTGGATTGATGGGCTGGGCATTTATACCCCCCAAATAAACTACTCACTGGAAACGAACTGCTCCTCAGAAAAGGTTGTGACCTTGAGCAAGGCAGTTTTTGTTTTCAGCCAAAGTCAATTCTCAGAGAGGACTTATAGCACTCCTAGGGACTGAGGTAAACTAGTGCCTAAGCCCTGGAAGGATGAGGAGATTTATCTGAGTGGCATAACATGACAACCACTGTGCTCTGAAAATCTATGCATTTTCCCCATCCTTACCTCCAGTCCTTGCAGTACTGATATGTAGAAAAAGAAAACTCAGGTAGTTGTGCTCTTATCAAGAAAATTAAACTCTTTTATCCTATGCTCACTTTAACATTCTTGAGCTTACCTGCTCTATTTGGAGAGGGGAGGGTTACACTTATGTTCTCTATGCCTCAATTCCCTTGGGTTTCTAAAGTTAAGAAAAGCTTCAGAGTGCAGATTTTCCCAGAAACTATTCAAGAGCAAAATTAATACAATTATTCTGAAACTTGCTAAAAGTGAAACAGAAATACTGTTTAACTGAGTACTGTAGAAGAGAAATTAGAAACTCATTTTAAGAAACATTTCTAAAGATTAAGTCTTTGAGGAACTTGCCAAATGATGCAATTCTAATTTCACACATGCTATCGACGTTAGTTGTTGAAATATCATGAGAAACTGTTAAATGAATGTTTAAAGGGGGTAATAAGTGAACTCATTTTTAGTACAACAGGAGTTACATTTTTGGCCATTTTGCATTTTATTGCTACAATCTGGTATCACATATTGCTTGATTATTAGAATATGAAAATACAACTATTCCTTTGTATGTGCTATTTTCTAAACTAAATATTCAAATTCTATATAGACTGTGAAATATTTCCATGTGTTCAGACACTCACTACACCTTGTTCGAACTAATTCCATAGTCTGCCCACTTGTCCTGCTCTCAGTCCTACTCCAACCCATTCTGCACACTGGAGTCAGATTAATCTTTCTGAACAATAACTTTAATTATGCCATGCTTTTATTCAAAACCTCTCAGTAGCTCCTCAATGTCAAGCTAGTTGCAAAGTCTTCTCGCTAGCATTGAAAGCCCTCAACATAATGTCCCTAAAATACCTTCCTAGCCTTTTTCCATTAACCTCCACCTCCACCACCACTACTCTACCTACCCCATGATAGATCCAGCCAAATTGTAATGCTTCCTGCTCTTGAGAACTCTTTACTGGCCTGCTTTTGTTACTGCTCTTCCTTCAACCTGGAACACGCTCCTCATTTTTGGTAGTTTGAGTCATATCCATCCAGAAAAGTAAATGTTATAAACCACCACATAAAGTCTTTGCCCATTCAACTAACTAGATGTGATCTCTCCCACTTCTGATTCTCCATAAGATTCCTGTCCTAGTTAGGGATTGTTTTGATTGCAAGTAGTAGAAACCCACCCAAATGGTTTAAATAAAAGGGAGAATTTATGTGAAATATGAAAGGGGTATCATAATACCCAAAGTCCCAAACAGCAGCCACAGTCCATGAGGTTAAAGAGAAAAACTCACTCAGAAGCACAAAACTGATTGCTATGAAAAAGATGAAATCAGTTATTAGAAATTGAAAACATGATTTATGACAATAACAATACATGAATTGAATAGCAGAATGGACATAGTTGAAGAAATTAGTGAATTGCTCTGCTTGATTTTCCAGTTTACTAATAAATTCAGCAAAAAGATATGGGGGGAGCAAAGATGAAAAGCAGATTAAAGGGGGAGGTTAAAAAATAATGTAATTTTAGATGTTGATAGAAAATTTTCAGTTTAAAACAAAAAATGCTTCACTTTAATACCATGTACCAGCATGAATATAAGATGTATAGCTTCTGGAACACAAGAGGAAGTCTGGGGCAAAGGGTGAGAGGAGTGGAGAATGCAGAAATCTTGTTCAATCACTTCCTTTCAGTTTTGCCAAAATAGTAGGTAGCAAGGGATCTTATTTTTGTTTTCATTTGCATTTTCTGCATTACTAGTGAAGTTACTTACCTTCTCATATGTTTATTGGGTATTGATATTTCTTCTGTTAATTGCCTGTACATACACTTTGCCCATGTCTATTGGGTTATTTGTCTTTCTTATTAATTTACAGTTATCGTTATATATTAAGAATATCAAAACTTTGTCTGATGGACTGGGAGGAAACAGAGTATATGTTTCTTTCCCTTTTTTTTTTTTTTGTATTGTGTTTTCAAAATGGAGTCTTACTCGTTGCCCAGGCTGGAGTGCAGTGGCGCGATCTCGACTCACTGCAACCTCCGCCTCCCGGGTTCAAGCGATTCTCCTGCCCCAGCCTCTTGAGTAGCTGGGACTACAGGCACACACCACCATGCCCAGCTAATTTTTATATTTTTAATAGAGATGGGGTTTCACCATGTTGACCAGGCTGGTCTTGAACTCCTGACCTCAACTGATCCACCCACCTTGGCCTCCCAAAGTGCTGGGATTACAGACATGAGCCATCACACCCAGCCCAAAGTATATGTTTCTTGTCTTTAAAGTTTATTTTATTATTTGCTATAACATATTTTTAATTATTTAGAGAAACAGGCTAGAGGAAAATATAAATAAAGGCCAATAGTGTTAGGATCAGATTGTCTATTTTTCTTCCTCTACAATTTCTTACCTTAAAGAAAAAATAAAAAGGAAATACTGACGGATCTGACTACAAACTAAACTTAAAAATTCTACATGGCAAGCAATGAAGTTCACATTATAATAGTAATATGATGCTTCCTGTATGCCAGGCACTATACTAAGGGCTTTATACAGATTAACTCATTCAATTTGCACAACTACTTTATCAGATGGATATTATCATCATTTTCTTCATTTGACAAATGAGGAAACTGAGGCACAGAGAGGCTAAATACTTTCCCAAAGCCACTCAGTAGGTAAACAGCAAAGGGAGGATTTGAACTCAGGCAGTCTGTGCTTCCTGGACCCATGCTTTAAAGCACTGTGCTATAATTCTGCCTTTCAGACAGGCCAAACTCTGTAGAAAAATATCTTTCCAGAGCTAAAAGAATTTGGATATGGACATATTTTTCACAGATAGCTGGGTGCTGATCCTGCTGTCTTTCCTACAATGATGTTGTCTTAGAGGTGCTAAACTTGGCTCAAGAACCAGGAGAGACTGATGTTTGTGAAAATTGCCCTAAACTGAACTACACAGATTCGTGGTGTATGTTCTTCCAGAATAGTTATATAAGCCACAGTATAAATGACTTGCAGCATGGCAACAAATAAGCTGTTTTGTCAATTTTGTACCCTATCAGGGCACCTCAGCTGCCTTTGACAGTGTTTGTGCAAGTCCAAAACAAGATAATGCTGCTTCTGTCCCTTCTCTGTGTAGTACCTCAATTCCACCAAGCTCTGAATCCTCAATAAATACATTGGGCATTATAAAAGGAGTGTGTATGTGTGCGTGTGTGTTTGTGTGTGTGTGTGTGTTGGGGGGGGGGTATGAAAATGTGACAGACCAAAAAAGGTGATAAAATACATAAGTAAAAAGTATGTTCAACACACCCTATTCCCACAGTCGGAACAACCCCAAATCCCCTGGTCTATGTGAAAAACAAAGAAAAAAGTCCTGTTGTGAATCATGAGCCTGCATTTAATGGGATAAATAATAAACATAATATCCTGTGCCAGCCAGGGTCCCAGCAGGAAACAGATGGTACACTCAAATTAGGATAATTTAAAGAGGAATTGTTATAGGTAATATCCCCCAGGAAGCAGACGACTCTGAGATGGAGATTAGCAAACAGAAAGTTTATTGTGCAATGCTCTGAGGATCAAAACTTGGGAAAGAAAAGGAAGCCGACTTGGGCAGAGGGAGAAGTTGGGTTGGTAATGCCATCTCAGCCAAGGTCTTGGTGGACTCTAACAGGAGCTACGAAGCTGGAGCAGTCCTTCAGAGTTGTCCCAAGTTGGGCTGAGGAGGCTGGGCCTTTATGCCTCCTGCTTTGACCAGTCACTAGATATTGGCTGCCCATGGGACAGGGGATTACTTGGGCATCCTATCAGCTCCCTCAGCAGAGGGCAATTCCCAGAGAGGACAGGACTGACAGCTGACGGCAGTTGGTGGAATAAATCCTCCCATCCTGAAGGGGAATCCTGACAACTTAGTATAGCATCCACTACAGGGTTTATAAAAGGAACTATTTCCCAAAGTAAATGCAGAGTGTATGAAAAAGCCACGTGGAAAGTTATCAGGTAACTTTATTCAAAGAGATATGATGTGCTGTGTCTCTCAACTGAGAGACTGAACAGAAATAGAAAAATGGCCATATCATATATAAAATAGAACTCTAACCCACAATCTAGAGTAACAGGCCCAGGAAACCAATCAATTATCTACAGTAACCAGCCCAGGAAGCCAGCCTGCTATCTACAAGTCAGACTTGTAGAAAGTCAGACTGCTATCTCTAATAACAACCCAGGAAACTAAATAGAAATCCCTGCACAATCAGCCCAAAGTAGACAGAACTTGATTAATAACTGATAGATTCCCTAACATTTGTCCCCTCTTCCAACTTAGGACCAGAGAAAAACAAATATGCACCCCTAACCAATTACATAAGATGCCATGCTTCTCGTTAGCCCCTCACAACTTCCCCAGGTCAATAGCATCTAATCAGGGCATACATGAGACCTACCCTTTTATCCAACATAAAGCTTTCCCACTCCTCTGCCCACCTTGGAGTCTATCCCAAAACCCAAGTGATGGTGGCTGACTCTCTTGCTATAGCAAGCTCTGAATAAATAGCTTTTGTTTGTTTTCATTAGAGTGGTCTTCATTTATTTCCACATGACAAAGCCTCCACTGAGATTATCTCAGGACAAATTGTAAGAGGACAATTTGCCTAGCCCTGAGGCATTTGGAGCTAAACTTAAGTTTCTGGAAGTCAACTAAGAATTTTCTTGTTGTATAGAATAAACATTCAGAATGATGAATGTACATCCTTGCTTTTAAGACATATCTAGGTGGACAGCAGGTCCAGGAGCAAGAGCAAGTTTGAGGCTGGGTACACCAAAAATATATAAGAAAGATCCTCCAATATACAGGAGTGGAAAAGAAACTTCAATTTTAACAGTCCAGTAGCCCAGTTACACTCTTAGTTATTCCAAATATTTCACATGAGAATACGCCCTGAGGTAAGGTACTTTGTGAATGTTCCTGATCTGATATGCATAGGTAGCTTTGAGAGAAATGAGCTTAGGGTGGGGGGGGTGGCGGGAGTAGGGGGGAGTTACTTTATTAAGTACAAAAGAAACACTCTCTATGTTGTCTTCCCACCCTAAATCAAGTGTCCATGGAAACTGGGTAGCTTTTGCTTGAAAAAGGGGCTCTTGTTAAGATCTCCTTTTTGTTCTAGCACATCCCTGCTTAAGAACTTAACTTTCAGGCCACACACAACAGCTTATTAACCCAAATAAATGATTCATGCTGGACATTTTCAGAATTAAATGCTGGCCATTTTCAACAGCCCAGTGGGAATGGTCAGGTGAAGAAGAATGGAAAAATTATGCCATCAAATAATTTAGTAGATGGTTAACTATACCACCTCAAGCTGGCCCTGGATGAAACTAACTCACTAACAACCCTCTTTAATACATCAGCAGGCCTTAGTTTACCATATTAGCTAGATTCAGAGCTGAGTCCCTAGAGAAGAGACTCCGGATTGATTCAGTTTAAATGACAGGAGTATCTGAGAGGCTTGGGGTTACCATGGAAATACTAATAAATAGCATACAACGCACCTCTTGGAGTTGGAGTAATGAGTGGATAATTTTTTTTTTTTTTTTTTTGAGACGGAGTCTTGCTCTGTCGCCCAGGCTGGAGTGCAGTGGCATGATCTCAGCTCACTGCAACCTCCGCCTCCAGGGTTCAAGCAATTTTCCTGCCTCAGCCTTCCGAGTAGCTGGGACTACAGGGGCCCACCACCACACCCGGCTAACTTTTGTATTTTTAGTACAGACAGGGTTTCACCATATTGGCCAGGGTGGTCTCAAACTCCTGACCTTGTGATCCGCCTGCCTCAGCCTCCCAAAGTGTTGGGATTACAGGTGTGAGCCACCGTGCCTGGCCCAAAATATTGATTAGAGAGCAAGACAAGGTGCTATTAAGAAAAACAACTTCACCTGTGGCTGAACCTAATCCTTAGCTTGAGCCAGTTATGGATGAAAGTCTTTAGAACATAGGAATATTATGATCAAATAGCTGCAGTGGGGGTAAGAGAAGTGGCCGTTAGAGATTACTTAGTGAATCATCATTCCTCATCTGCTCAGCCCAATCCCACCTAACCACCAGCCAAGCTGTCTCACCACCAACATACTCTAAGCCCCTATGGTAAATAAAAGATCTTTGGTGAGGTGAGGCCTTGCTCCCCATGACTACTTGATTTTCCACCTAGGCTTCTGTAGGGAAGTTGTTGAGGAAGGCACTCCATTTCCCCAGAGATCCCTAAAGAGCATGTACATACTTCCCCAGCTATGTGATTTAGAGCCTGTTCCTCTACCTCACTGAAAGGGAAAAAGAGTACTTATAAAATGTTTACTACTGTTAATCCTTATAACAACCCTCTGGAATTCTTACTCTTTAGACTTCACAATGAAGGGGATCGGATTGTGCCAGCCCAAAATATGCCACTTTGGCATAAGGATTATTTTGAGCTAAAGGCAATTAAGAAGCAGCAAGAAGAGAAAAGGAATTCTTTTTTTGGGGGTGTTGGGGGGGCCGGAGTCTCGCTCTGTCACCCAGGCTGGAGTGCAGTGGCGTGATCTCGGCTCACTGCAAGCTCCACCTCCCGGGTTCACGCCATTCTCCTGCCTCAGCCTCCCGAGTATCTGGGACTACAGGCGCCCGCCACCACGCCCAGCTAATTTTTTGTATTTTTAGTAGAGACGGGGTTTCACCATGTTAGCCAGGATGGTCTCGATCTCCTGACCTCATGATCCACCGGCCTGGGCCTCGGCCTCCCAAAGTGCTGGGATTACAGGCGTGAGCCACCTCGCCCAGCGAGAATAGGAATTCTTTATCCTCCCTGCTTCTGCCTAAAAGCAGGGCGTAAGTTTCCCTTTGTGAAGGTGTCCCCCCCTCCTCTCTCCAGCACTGGGAAGAGGAGAATGACTCTTAATCACCACAGACACTGGAGATGGCCCTGATTTGAGTCTGCATAACAAAGCTTACTAATTAACCCTATCTTCTTTAATTTTTTTCCCATATATTTACCTTCCCACTATTTACTGCCCCTAAAAATCCAAACTACTTTTGCTTTGTCTAGTCACTTCTCCATAATTTATTGACCTTTGTTATAATGGTACATAAGGTCTGAAGTCTAACCACTTCTTTGGATTTTTACTTTTTTTAATAAAGTTCCTGCATGCATGCATAGTAAACATTTTCTTCTTTTGTCAATTTAATTTGCAGGCCCAGTGCTTGAACCTAAGAGGGCAAAGTTTTTCCTCCCCTACAACATTCGCCACACTTTACAGATGGGAAATTGAGTTGGAGAAATTGAGGCTAAAACAGCAAGTAGCTAGTGCCAGAATTTGGGACCTGTCAGTCTGATTTCAGTCCCTATGCTCTTTCTTAACTACTCCACTACAACTTCAGTTTAGAGAAACAGAATTTTTCCATAAAGCCCAGTTGCACACAGGGGCTACACTGTATTCAAAATACATGCTGAGTCTTTAAATACTAGAATCAGACTCAGTGAAGCAAGAAACATTGCAAGGAACATGAGACAGAAGCCTAGAATCTGCTGTCCCCTCAGGAAGTCTCAATCTGGGGCACATGCCTCTTGAGTGAAGGATGGGCAAAATTTCTTGAAGTGTTTAAATCCTTCCTTGTTATGTATGATCACAATAAGGAGATTATCAAAATGTGATTTCATTAATCACACAGTTTATTGCCATAAAAAGAGAATTTTTTTTTCCTTAGGTTCACAATGCTTATAAAGGGGGAGAATAACATGAACAAATCTCACAGGGAACACACTCAATAGATGAGGGACATTAAGCATATAGTGAATGAGATCCAAAATTATTAAAGTCTAGTTGTTCAATCAGGATGGAAGCAGGCCTCTGTGGAAAGTAACATCAAATGAAAGTTTGAGTTATACCTTTTGGTTACAAGCAGTTTTTTGGGAGCGATGGCATTCAACGTAACAGAGATCCATGAGGACATGTAAGGCCCCTCAGTGCTAGAGGACAGTACCAGTATTGGTGGGCAAGGCTTCAAAGCTCAAAGATTAACAGAGCAAACCTCAGGTATCAGAGAAGTGGCTGACAGAGAGCAGCCTGGTCACAGCAAACGCTCTCTGTCTCTCATATGAGGTCTGATAAGACATCACATGCTCGAGGGGAAGAAGGAGTATATTCCAAGTTCTTGCACAGCAAAACATGTTACTCACATAGCAAACTATGGAAGTATTTGGAATCATTTCCAAGATACATAACATTCCTTCATCCCTCTTTGCTGCACACATACAGGAAAATTTACGTATATTAAATGTGCACATGAGGCCAGGCCATCATTTGTAAAACAAGGCAAGGTGTGTGGGTTTTCAAAGTACTTAGAAATATAATTGACAAAGAAAATAGATAAAAAGGATCTAAGGCCTGTACACTGGTCAACTTCCTTGCCTGTGTGTTGCTTCTAGTTGGCCTGTGGTTGTGCAGCAGAATAGAAAACATTATTTCCGCTGGTTAATAGAAGACAGGTCTGAAGCCTCACGCAATTGAAGAAGTGTTGGCCAGTGCTTCTAACAAGCTCTGCAGGAGAAAGTGCAGCTAGGAGGATAAGGAGAAAATGGAAAACCTCAGGGAGGCTTCCTCCCAGCAAGCCTGCAGGAAGGCAAGGCACTGAGCATTTCTGACAGCTCTCTTGTTTTCTGCTCCCCTATTGTATTGATAAATATCACCAAAGGGCTTCTGAGCCTCGGACCTGGTGGAAGTACTTGGTTGAGCTGTTACTGATATTATGCACACATTCATACAGCTCCCAGAGGCTCAGGATTTGTTTGTCAAGAAAGCTACAATCAACACTTTCATCATGTCAGGAAGACATTCTAGGTTGTGAGCATGAGGCTAATGTCTGCACCCCTCACTTGGATGGAGCCACTTGGTCTCACATCATGAGATGTGAGCTGTAAACAGAAATGGCAGATGCTGTACATCCCACCTCATTACCTAGTGCCTTCAAATGAAAAGCGATAAACATGCTGCTACCTTAAGCATCTTGCACTTGTTCCACATTAATGGAAACTCTATGTTCTAGCTACAAGTAGTGGATTTCAGGTTGTTGGTTAATAACAATTCACTAATTTAAAACAAACAATTGGGGCATTCATTTGAAGGGTAGTTACTAGATGAGGAGACTGAACTCTCTCAGGCTTCATTGAACTTGGTTTCAGGTGACTCTGCAATGACAGACTTTGGATACATGCATTGACTTCATCAGCAGAAAGAAAGATTTTTATAATCACACGTTCCAGGATAATAACGAGGAAGGACAGGAGAGAGAAACAAAGAGAGAAGGGAAGAGGGGAGGGAAAAATCAGTGAGGGTGAGAGGAAGAGAAAAAGAGAACAGAGAGGTAGAGAAGAAGGGAAAAAGAAAGTGACGGGGGAGGGGGAACACACAGAGGAAAGGTAGAAGGGAAGAAAAAAAGAAAAGAAAGAAATACGTTCTATCATATACCATGTGAGTTGGAATATTATGGGAAGAAAAACAATAGCAGAGAGGTTTTGTTTGTTGTTTCTTAATGCAAAGAGGTTTTTGATTGCTACTACCACAGCTGGCTGTACTCCATGGTGACTGAGTTTTGTTTTTTGTTTTTTGGTTTTTTTTTTTGGAAAAGACCTAATAGAATAACTTAAGCAACCTAGGGAAACAAAAGACACAAAGGAAAAAGGAGATAAAGTTCCAGAGTGGTGCTGACCTGATTTTAGTGACATTTCTAATCCTGCCTAGAAGTACTCAGTAATTGACAGCAGGTAGGTTTTATTTAAAAGGGAGAAGAGAGAAGGGAAAAACATCGGTCATTAAATGCTGTTTACCATTTTGGCTCCCACCTTGCATTGAACCGAAGTTTGAAAGCAATGGCTAGAATAAACAGAAATAAAAATGAGAAGGTTCCAAGGATTTCTTTTTGGCAGTACTGCAATGCGGATCTGACAGAGCCAAGGGGCCCAGGAGCAGTCAGTAAGCACTGCAGAAAAAGTACATTCACAACTCTGCAGTTAGTTGCCCTGTAGAGGGTTTTACCAGGTGGCACTCCTTTCAGTATTTTTCTGTGTAAAATGGTATAACATTTGGTCTATTTTTGCTAAAAATAATATTTTGGCAGGGACTCAGAAAAGTAAGGTCGATAACGTTTAGAGGCTTGGTACTGTAACTACCTTATGGGTTCTTCCTGCCCACTGCACAGACAAAACCAATTCACTGAGACCATGCCATTGCAATAAAGAAAGAGTTTAATCAACACAAAGCCAGCCACATCATGTGGGAGAGAGTTATTACTCAAATCAATCTCCCTGAAAATTCAGAGGCTAGGGTTTTTCAAGGATAGTTTGGCGAGCAAGGGAAGGGGTGTGTGGAAAGTGGTCCTTCTTTTTTGGGGGTGCGTAGGGGGCAGGTCTGGGTGGAGCCATCATTGTCAGAAATGCAAAAACCTGAAAAGACATCTCCAAAGGCCAATCTACAATAGTGATGTTATCCACAGAAGTAATTGGGAAAGTTGCATATCTTGTGGAATATCTCTGGAATAAGGGCTGGTAATTACTTATGTCTACACCTCAGCAGAAGCCAGGGTCCTCTCATCCTCCTAACCTGGTGGCCTTTCATTAGTTTTACGAAAGAGGTTTAGTTTTGGGAAAGGGCTATTATCATTTATACTATAAACTAAATGTCTCCCAAGGTTAGCTTGGCCCAGGCCCAGGAAGGATTAAGGGCAGTTTAGAGGTTAAAGGCAAGATGGGGGTTGATTAGATTGGATATCTTTCACTGTCATAATTTTCTCATAGTTATAGCTTTTGCAAAGGCAGTTTCAATACTGAAATCATAGTTTGAAGACCAGCAGCAGGAGAAGCATCTGGGAGCTGGTTAGAAATGCAGAATGTTGGTCCTACTCCAGGCAGACTGAATCAGAATCGGCATATTAATAAAATCCCAGGGGATTAATACACAGATGAAATTTGAGCAGCCCTGGTTAAGAGAAAAATGGTAGGCTAACATCTCAAGTATCTATTTACTGAAGGCCTTTTGTTCTATCTGAGATCCTTAGTGCTTAACTGTGTATGCCCTTGCAAGTGACATGTGCAACCTCCATCCCCTTCCCCATCTCACGGCCAAGGCAGATGTTCCCAATTGATTAATCAATGCTGGACACCAGGAACACTGTCCTGAATTGTGAAGCTGAAAAGTGATTGGGTGAAAAATCTGGCTTAGCTTTTGTGTGTATGTGTGTCTTTATCAGAAGTTCTCAAGCTTTAGCATGCATCAGAATCATCTGGAGAACTTGCTAAAACACAGAGTGCTGAACCCCAGAGGCAGAGTTTCTGAAGCAGCAGGTCTGGGGTGAAGCCTGAGAATTTGCATTTCTAATTCATTCTAAATGCTGATGGTCCAGGGATTGTACTTTGAGAACCGCCAGACACTATCCTTTCCCTACCCCTCTCCCTCATATAAAGGCATTGTCATCTATCCTTGCCCTTGTTCTCTGCAAAGTGAGGGATAGTAGCTTGATGTGGTAACAAATATTGGCTGCTTAACCTGTTATACTCAAGAGAACAGAAATTTTATGAATATCTTAAAACAAACTCCTAAGAGTATTGTCTTAAATTATCTGCAGATGGTATTTTAAAAGTAAGAGTCGGCCGGGCGCGGTGGCTCACGCCTGTAATCCCAGCACTTTGGGAGACCGAGGTGGGCAGATCATGAGGTCAGGAGTTCAAGACCAGCCTGGCCAACATGGTGAAACCCCGTCTCTACTAAAAATTCAAAAAGTTAGCCAGGCGTGGTGGCAGGCGCCTGTATTCCCAGCTACTCGGGAGGCGGAGGCTGGAGAATCACTTGAACCCAGGAAGCGGAGGTTGCAGTGAGCCAAGATCGTACCACTGCACTCCAGCTTGGGAGACAACAGTGAAAACTCTGTCTAGAAAAAAAAAAAGTAAGAGTCATGTGTTAGAGATGGAGAGGAGGTGTTTGGGGGCAGTCAGTACCATGCTATGTCCTCTAGGTACCATCACCTAGACACTTGCCTCCGTAGGCCCTACCAACAGGACCAGGGGTCAGCTTCTGTGAATGTTTCCAGCAAGGCATGAGTCACTCTGCCAGGGAAACCCCTTTCTTTATCATAAAATATAAGGGAAAAAACTCTATCCAAAAAAGGAAGAAAGGTTGCCTTGCAACATTTTTGGGAAACAAGTAAGTTCTTTGTCTTATTGTAAAATGTGAAGCCTTCTTTATTTCAGAGACTAAAATGAGTACTAGAGACAGAAAGTCAAATAAGATATGGTTCCCAGGTTCAACCATGCAATTACAGTATATTTTGGATAATACAGTACAGGTATGAGCCAGGTCCCATATAAAGAGAAGGGAGGCTAATTTAGTCCAAAGGTTATGAGGGCTTCCTGGAGTAGAGGATGGTCAAGGAAATGAAAATATGTTACACTAAAATATACTTCTTTGACGTATTTTGACATGGATATTCAGACAATCAGAAAACAAAAGTATCCCTGCAAAGCTGTCTTTTGTGAAGGGATTTGCATCAGGAGAGAAAATCTGCATTGATGCAGCTAGGCCACCTCATCCAGATCTAGGAAGGTTTAACTGATAATCCGACACCTTTGAAAGTCTGAAAAACAAACAAGCAAAAACAAAAACAAAAAAAACATTTACCATGTGTTGTCTCTGAGGGCTGCTACCTATGAAGTTTCAACTACATAACAAGATCCCCTTCGCTAGCCAGGCCTCCTGTTCTCCCCACTCCCGTAATCTGTCTTGTCACCATAACAGTTTTGCCAGGATCCAAGCCCCTGTTCTTTCTGTAACCTCAAGATGGTATGAAGATGAAAGCATCAACCAGTTTACCTTTGAGTTTTTATATAATGTGTGACTCCCATGCACATGTAATACATGTGTGTATTTTTTCTTGTTAATCTATTATCAGTTTGTTTCATAGACTCAGATTATCAAACCTTCAGAAAAACATTTAAACTTTCTTACAATGGCTAATCTGATTATCAAATAATGATTGGGAGTTACCTTTAGCAAGAGAATAATATGATAGTTGTACTTACTAGAATGATTACACTGGCAGCTTTGTGAAGAAAGGATTGAGTCAAGACTTGGGATAGGGACTGGTTAGAAGATGGTCATGTTAGCAGCAGAGAATCTGTATGGGTCGGCAGCAACCTCAGTTCTTGCCTCCTCACAAGAAAGAATTCAACCAAGTGGTACGAGGCAGAGTGAGAGGCCGAGGAAAGTTTTAGAGCAGAGTGAAAGTTTATTTAAGTTTTAGAGCAGGAACAAGAAGAAGTACACTTGGAAGAGGGCCAAGCAGATGACTTGAGAAATTCAAGTGCCCATTTGACATTTGACTTGGGGTTTTATATGTTGGCAGGCTTCCAGGGGGTTGCATCCCTTCTCCCCCAATTCTTCCTTTGGGATGGGCTGTCTGCCTGCACAGTGGCTTGCCAGCGCTCGGGAGGGGCTGCATGTGTTTACTGAAATTGTGCACATACTCACTTGAGGCAATTTCCCCTTAGCAGTTGAGTGTTCCTAGGGGAAGATTATATGTCAGTTAAACTCTGCCATTTTGCCTCTTAGCGCACATGCTTGATCCCACTTGCCCAAATCCTGAGATCTTATTGGGAAGCTGCTAATCACCAGCTTCAGGTGTTTCTATCCATTGGGAGACTGCCTTTCCCTGGTGCCGGCTGCAACGAAGCATTTTTTTAGAGAGAGTTTAACAACTGCCTGACTATCTCCTGATGGTTGCTTGACATTCCTGGTGCGGGGTGGTGGGGGGAGGGGGGGTGTTCCCTGCCCTGCTCATGTCTGACTAACTACCTACTGTAGCAGTCACAATAGTATATGGAGACCTAAACTAGAGAATGGCAGAAGGGGAGAGATAGACAGTTAGAAAATATCCAAGATATAGAATTATCCAGTCCTCACAATTCTAGCTGTAGGTTACTCTTATGCAGAGTCATGCTTCTTGAGGATGATACCCAGAAATGTGGTCACAGCTCATCTAGCCCTGCCTTCTGGAGAGGACTTCATCTTATTTTAACCCTCTACTACCACCATGTAGGGGTCAAGGGAAAACTTTTCCTTTGCCCTTTGAAGTTTCATTGAAAATCAACTGACAAAAGGTAGATTAGATTAATAAGAGAAATGGCATACAAATTTACTAACATGTACAGGAGAATACCAGAGTGATTACCCCAACTCTCCAATGGGGTTCAGAAGCTTATATGCCATCTTGAGGTTACAGAAAGAATATGGGCTTTAATCCTGGCGAAACAGTTTAGGGTGGCAAGATAGATTATAGGAGAGAGAGAAGAGGTCTGGTTAGCAAAGGTGGTCTTGTTATGTAGATGAAACCTCCAAGGTAGCAGTCCTAAGAGAGAATATAGATTGTAAATGTTTCTTTCAGACCTGTAAGGGTGTCAAACTCTCAATTAATCTTTCCTAGATACAGACAAGGGAAGGCCCTCAGAGAAAACCTGGAAGTATCAATGCAGATTTTATCTACAGATGCAAATCTCCTCCACAAAAGACAGCTTTGCAGGGTTACCTCTGTTTGCAGACTCTCTAAACAGCCATCTCAAAATATGTCAAAGTAGTATATTTTGCGGTAAAATATTTTTATTTCCTTCAACCATCATACTCTTTTCCTTCTATTTTACTAGATTCCTCCAGAACTGATTATAGTGCCACTTCAATATTCTTGTTTTCAGACATCCCCCTTATTAGACCATGTTATTTTTACGAAATGCCCCAAGTGTCTGCCCTGGCTCTGCTTCCCTCCCCCAGGTACCAAACTCTGCTAGCAGACCCACTACAGATTTGACTGGTACCTGGCCTCACAGGGAGCCATCTTTAAATACCAACTCTCCTAGCCAAGAGCTGCTTGTATCTATGTACATGTATCTTTGCTGACTTGTGTCTTGCTAACATCTGCCTTCTAGTTACTCTGACAGTCTACTTATGCCGCTATATCGATAAACTCATGATTTTCTTTCTGAATCAAGACTTTTGGCTGCCAGGTAAACTCACAGCCCAATCTGTCTCAGCAACTTCCACCCCCAGCAGTTATTTGCCATCAGGGTATTTGATCTAGACCAAGGAGTGTCTCAGTCTCCACTATTTGGCCATTATAGCAGATGCCTCTGGTACCCTAGCCTTATCCCCTATGTTCACCTCTGATTTCAGCCAAAGATATTATAAATAGTTCTGTGCAAAGGCCCCACTTTTGCCTTTATCCCACCTCAAGCCACACCTCTTTTTGCTTTTTGCCCTAGGGCCTTATCCAATATTCGAGGGAACTTCAAAAAGTTCATGGAAAAATGGAATTAAAAGATAAAAATTAAAAATATAAACTTTATTTTTTCACATAAGCTCCATCAAGTCCAAGACACTTTTCTAAGTGATAATAACAGCCATTTAGTTCATCCCTAGAGAAATGAGGATCCTGGGAATTTAACTATGTCAATGCAGTCATTGCACAGCATTAACTGAAGAAAAATGGGTGTCCTTTAAAGATTTTTTTTGAGACAAAGTCTTGCTCTATCGCCCAGGCTGGAGCGCAGTGGCACAATCTTGGCTCACTGCAACCTCCACCTCCTAGGCTCAAGCGATCCTCCAGCCTCAGCCTCTTGAGTAGCTGGGCCTACAGACACATGCCACCACGCTTGACTAATTTTTGTATTTTTTGTAGAGATGGGGTTTCATCATGTTGTTCAGGCTGGTCTTGAACACCTGGGCTCAAGCGATCCACCCATCTTGGCCTCCCAGAGTGCAGGCATGAGCCACTGCACTATGCAAAAGATGTTTTAAGATTAGGAAACAAAAGGAAGTCAGAAGGGGCCAAATCAGGACTGTAAGGTAGATGCCTAATAATTTCTCGTTGAAACTCTTGCAAAATTGCACTTGTTTTGGTGCAAGGAATGAACAGGAGCATTGTCATGGTAGAGAAGAACTCTCTGTTGAAGTTTTCCTGGGCATTTTTCTGCTAAAGCTTTGGCTAGCTTTTCAAAACACCCTCATAATAAGCAGATGCTATTGTTATTTGGCCCCCCAGAATATCAACAAGCAAAATTCCTTGAACATTCAAAAAAACTGTTGTCATGACCTTTGCTCTTGACCAGTTTGCTTTTGCTTTGACTGGACCACTTCCACTTCTTGGTAGTCATTCCTTTGATTGTGTTTTGTCTTCAGGATCATAGTGGTAAAGCCATGTTTCATCTCCTGTTACAATTCTTCAAAGAAATATTTCAGGATCTTGATCCCACTTACTTAAAATTTCCATTGGAAGCTCTGGTCTTGTCTGCATTTGATCTAGGCACAATGGTTTTGGTGCTCATCGAGTGAAAAGTTTGCTCAACCTTAATTTTCCAATCACAGTAGTGTAAGCTGAACCAGTTGAGATGTCTACGGTGTTGGCTATTGTTTCTGCTGTTAATCATCAGTCCTCTTCAATTAGAGCACAAACAGGATGGATTTTTTTCCTGGCAAATTGATGAGGATGGTCTGCCACCATGGGCTTCATCTTCAACACCATCCTGTCTGTTCTTAAAATGAGTTACCCATTTCTAAACTGCTGACTTCTTTGGACATCGTCCTTGTAAACTTTTCATAAAGCAACAATGATTTCATCGTTCTTCTACCCAAGCTTTGCCATGAATTTGATGTTTATTCTTGCTTCAATTTTAGCATAATTCATGTTGCTCTAATAGGGGCTCTTTTCAAACTGGTATCTTATCCTTCTTAGTGTCTCAAACTAGATCCTGTCAAAAGTTAGTACTAGCTTATAGTACTAACAATACATGTATTTTATATGGTTCAATACATGAATTATATATTTTGAAATTCATCCATAATTTTTTCATAATACAAATTTTCTCATGAACTTTTTGAAGCTTTTTCATATTAGTAGTTTGCCTGTACATAAGCATACCCCAAAAGTGTGGGAAGGTAGTGTCTGCAGGGGTGATTTTCAAACAATAAGGGGGTAGGGAGTGATGTATAAATAGATGAAAGCTCTGACCACCCATGAGATTCTTTATACTTCTTCAGAAGCCCTGGTGGAATCAAGACCCTGTTCATCATAGCAATTACCTCAATTAAGTACCCATATATTAGGTTTTCACTCTCCCTGCCTCATTTCCCCATTTCTTCACTCTTGCTTCATGAAATCATATCCCAAATAAACCATCTACATTCAAATCCTTGTCTCAGTTTGGGTTCCCTGCAAGGCAGAGTCAAAGATAGTCATATAGCATGTTTTACTCTGTCTCCTATATTACTCATTTCCAGAAAATGCCAAACAATATACAACATTTAAGAGGAAGAAAGAAGGGGTATAGAGATCTACAAGGTAGAGGGAATAAACATAGTATTAAAGTAGAAAACTTGTGATATTAGGGACAACAAGGAATTATATATGCAAAGAAAAAATCTGAGACCAAAGTTGCCAACATTCTTTCAATTAAAGGACTAATCCTTAGGCAGACCACATATACAACTCAGAGCTCTTAGTCAAAGGAATATAGAGGTTGGCATGCCACCAAGCTGCTCAGCATCATAGTTGTTAGATTAAAATGTGATGGTGCCTCCAGGGTAGTGCAATACAGAGACTCTGATGTGAAGAAGTAATTTGTTTGAGATCCATTTGTCTAGTGGTAAAAAAATAACCTTTCGGTTGGGACAGGGGGTAAAGAGGAGGAGTCAGGGAGAGAATGTGTATGTGTTTGGGAAGGGATAAAGTAAATTTTAAGAAGCAGTTGAGGTGGGGTATGGTAGCTCATGTCTGTAATCCCAGCACTTTGGAGGCAGGAGGATCACTGAGGTCATGAGTTCTAGACTAGCCTGGCCAATATGGTGAAACCCCATCTCTACGAAAAATACAAAAATTAGCCAGGTGTGGTAGTATGTGCCTGTAATCCCAGCTACTCAGAAGCTGCTCAGGAAGCTGAGGCAGGAGAATCATTTGAACCTGGGAGGCGGAAGTTGCAGTGAGCCAAGATCACACCACCACACTCCAGCCTGGGAGACAAGAGTGAAACTCCATCTGAAGAAGAAGAAGAAGAGGAAGAAGAAGAAGAAGGAGAAGGAGAAGGGGAAGGGGAAGGGGAAGGGGAAGAAGAAGAAAGAAGAAGAAGAAGAAGAGGAAGAAGAAGAAGAAAGAAGAAGAAGAAGAAGAAAGAAGAAGAAGAAAGAAGAAGAAGAAGAAGAAAGAAGAAGAAGAAGAAAGAAGAAGAAGAAGAAGAAGAAGAAGAAGAAGAAGAAGAAGAAGAAGAAGAAGAAGAAGAAGAAGAAGAAAGAAAGAAAGAAAGAAAGAAAGAAAGAAAGAAAGAAAGAAGACAGATTCACTCATCCTTTATGCCTTTTGTGAGAAAATGTAAGAACCTAGGATGGTGACAGGTAAAACATAGGATATATAGACCCACCATTAGCAGATGCCATTGGTGCCCAGCCTATATCTTCCCATATCCACTGTAGTGGTTCTCAAATAAGTCCACAAATTCTTTGACATACCTCCTTTCAAAAGGTGATGATAAAGTTCCCCTTGAGTGTGTGCATTGGAATTAGTGATTTCCTTCTTACCAAAATAGAATATGGCAGGACTAGGTAACGGTGTGTGACTGTCAATACTAGGTTATAAAAGGCATTGTGGTTTTCTCCTTGTGCTCTGTCTTGTGTTGCTCACTCTGAAGAAATCAGTTGCTATATCTTGAGAATACTCAAGTAGCCCTAATGAGGGGCCCACATGGTAAGAACATGGGGCCTCTTCCTAACAGCCAGCAAAGAACTGAGCCCTTCTGCCAACAGCCATGCATCTTGGAAGTGGATCCTCCAGCCCCCGTCAAGCCTTCAGATGACTGCAGCCTGGCTGACATCTTGAATGTAACTTTATGGGAAACCTTGATCCAGAACCACCCAGTTAAGCTGATTTCCTGATACACAGAAACAATGGCTTAGAAACATTATTATCCCACAAAATGTGGAAGTAATTTATTATGCAACAATAGACAATTATTTACTATTCTAGTACCTGCCAATCCAACAGCTACCAACTGAAGGTACTTGTAACTCTGTGCCTGAGGGGTTTCTCTGGCTGCTGCTACCCTCTCATTCATCATGCTGGGGCAGGCTAGAAGTATCAGAGAGTCAGCATTCTCAGAAGTAGATTTCAGTCAATCACTCAGAGAGTTTGGCGGACAAACATTTTCACCTTCTTCCCCCTGAATGTAGAAAACTATCTTCCAGAGTCCTCCAACAGAAGTGAGGCCCAGGTGCTCGCAGATAAGTAATCTGCTCTCATTTCATGTTCATCTTACCTTTCCAGTCCCTTATCCATAACTACTGATATAATCTCCTGAACAAAGTACTGCTACTCAAATCCTTGCCTCAGGGTCGGCTTTTGGGGTAACCTTACCTAAGATATCATCAGATAATTAAGTTCCAGCCTTTCTATTAAAATGAAATAAAATTATGGGAGAAAAAAATATACAGTAAGAAATTAAGAAAAATTTTTTTCTTAATAAGACAAGATGGCTGGGCATGGTGGCTCACACCTGTAATCTGAGCACTTTGGGAGGCTGAAGTGGGTGGATCGCTTGAGGTCAGGAGTTCGAGATCAGCCTGGCCAACATGGTGAAACCCTGTCTCTACTAAAAATACAAAAATTAGTCAGGCGTGGTGGCGCATGTCTGTAGTCCCAGCTACTAGGGAGGCTGAGGCACCAGGAGGCAGAGGTTGAAGTGAGCCAAGATTGTGCTACTACACTCCAGCCTGGGCGACAGAGCAAGACTATGTCTCAAAAAAAGAGACAAGACTATTATCGATCACATAATATCTTCTAGTACAAATGTGTCCCCTCACCACCATGAAATCTACAGCTCATTGCTAAAGATTAAATGGAAAAAGAAAGAGGGCTGATGACACAGTATAGCAGAGATCTCTAGATTGGGGTGATGATCTTGAAGAAAGTGCTCTGGGTAAAACATTCTTTTGATAAACTTCTCCACCCTCCTCCATTCTATCTGGTTTGCGTGAGGATTGCCTATAACAAGATTTTCTGAATTGGAATTAAGAAAATATATTTCACTGGCTGCTCCAGGATTCACATATATGAATATGAATGTGGTAACTTTCCCAGTTTCACCAATAGAGAAATATGGGCCTTGATTTTTGCCTTAAGGAGAAAGATAGCCTGAGAGAACAAAGCTGAAACAAAGAGAGAAGCAGAGAAGGAAGGAGAAGAGTAAGGGTCAGCTAGCATTTCAACTCCTGGTTCCTGAAGCCAGTAATATATCTGGCTCTCTTACAGACAGTTTACATAAGCCAATAAATCCCTCTTTTGCTTCATCTTATTTTGGGCTGCAAATGAAAGAAACCCAAGACGTGAATACTAATTAATACATCTTACTTTAATAATCCCCAAATAATCAGACATTCCTCTTCTTGAACCTCCAGCTCCCAAACTGGTCTTAATCAGGCTAATTGAGCTTAATTTAAAGGTCAACTTTCACCTAAAAAGAAGATGCACTAAAAACTTATGGCAGATGCTTTGCACAGAGAATTTTTAAAACCTGTCATTTAACCCTCACGATTATCTTTCAATGATATTCCTGTATCATACATCAGGAAATCAAGGCTCAGAGAAGTTAGGAAAGATTTGCCAAAGGTTGTCTAACTGGTAGTGATAGAACTACAGATGGTCACAAAACACTAGGCTGGAAAAGGAGAAAGGCCCAGGCCTTCAGCTTCTCCCTGGTGTCATTTATCTCAAACCCTGACCCTTAAGACTGCAAGATCGTATTTAACACCTGTTGTTATTTTTTGCATTTATGTATTCCACAAGGGTAACCCTAAAATGAATCCACTTTGCACTCACAAAAAGAAGACATGACATGCAGCAGCCAGGGAGGTGTACCACTCGTATCCCCCTCCAAGAAAGTACTTGTCATTCCCCTGTAAAAAAATGCAGTTAGCTGACAGTTTCCAGCTTTTGAGCCAAGGCTATGCTTCCTGGGAAGCCCCAGCTGATGACTGAGCTCGGCAGGAGCCCTGCCATTTCCTGTGCACCATGGGACTTCTCTAATGAACTGTCTTTGCTCTGGGGCTCCCCACTGGGTTGGCCAAAATTTTGTCATATTTGCATGGCAGTCTGAAGCTCTTTTGCCTAGTCCTGCTTTTTTCCTTCTTTCTTCAGGAGTCGGATCAGTATCATAGTCTGGAAGCTGTGCCTGCCCAATCCTGCCTCCTCTCTGTTTTCCACACGGACATTTACCCCTCAATAAACTGCTTGCATTTTTGATTCCATCTCAGTTTCTGTTTCCTGGAGGACCCAACTGGCACACTAAACTGTGAGTGAACGAGCAAGAGAAGCAGAATTCAAGGGAAAATAGTTCTTTTGCAAGACATATTTTCCTATAGATAAGGCAGCTGTGGTAGACCTTTGTAATTCTAGTTCAGTAAAGCAGATTGTGCTGAATATGCCAAACGGCTTCTCTTAGCTGGAGGGAGTGCCTCCCTGAGACCTGTCAGGCAATAGTATTTATGCGACCATTTCTACTATCTTAGTGACCCAGTCCCTCTTTATGTGGATGATTGCTTTGCAGCCCTGCCATAGGTATTTACCATCAGGGCTATTATAGCCTACTGAGTCATCCAGGAGAGAAATCCAAGTTGATAATTAACATCCTGAGGAAGGTAATTGTGAAACACTTAAGCATGGGGCTATAACTTCTGGCTCAGTGTCAGTAAGGACAACCTGTAGGGCATATCATACTTAATGAGTCAGTAGCTACCTAAGATGATTATAAAAACCCAAAGCATATTATTTTTATTGCTGTGTGCAGGAGCTGCAGATTATGTCCTTTTGACCTATTTTGTGTTTTCATTCCCAGCTAAATAATAACCATTCGAGAGTGGAGGAGATGAATGATTCTTCTCATTATTAGGAAATGCTATATATCTGCAGTATGTTTTTCTAAATAGAAAACTTGTAGGGTAGGAGCTTTTCTCCTTTCCCTCATGAGTTAATGTTCTGTTTTAATTATGAACGTGATTCTCCTTCTTAGAGTTAGTGGAAAGTAGTAGACAAATGCACATCACAGTCCATAGACAGAGCATGCATTGATAACAAAAGGGTCAGAGGTTGGGTTTGACCTTGGAAAGAAAAGTTGGAGCAGCACCCTTCAAACAAAAGGGGCAACACATTCACGGACAAGGCAACTATTCAACCGAAGTTTTACAGTCTCCCTCAACTGTTCTGCTAGTTTCAATCACTGATGGTTTAAATGTAACCGTCCATTACTCCCAGAAGGATGTTATTTCATCTCTACTCATTTCTGATAGTTTCTTCTCCTTCTTGTCTATGCTGCAGTCTACATGCTCTATTTACCAGGTACACAAAGTAGATGACTTTTACCATAGTATAATGGTATCAGTTCAGGTCCTCTGGTAAGCAGACATCAAGGACAAGTTAGCAGTATAAGATGTGTATTGGGGAGTAATGCCTGTGAAAAATGACTGGAGAGAAAGCAGGAGTAGACATAGAAAGTCATAGAAAGATCATGATGCCAATCAGACTCGTGATTGAGTGTGGCTTTTGTTGCAGGAAAAAAAAATCAGACTCGTGAAAGGAAAGAAGGAAGAGGACAGAATCTGGCAGGCAGAACCTCAGAATGCAATGCAAATGTGGTTAACGCAATAGACAGCACAGAAACAAAGGGTGTCCAATAGCAGAGGCCCACACTGGGCAGAGAGGCTAGGCCCTAGTATATCCTCACCATGCTCAGTCTCAGTCATTGTGTCGGGGGCTGCCTGAGAAAAACATGGTCTTCGCTCAAACACTGCAGTGGATCCCAAAGGTGAAGCAGCTGGAGGCTGTCAGCTAGCTGTCCTTCTTGCCTTGCAGCTGATCAGCAAGTTCTTCATTGAAAGGAAATCCAAGAAGCACGCCTCCACAGCCACTAGGATAATCTAGTCTCTTGGGACTATGATACAAAAAGCGAAGGCTTATTTCTTGGTTATGTTACATGTTATTTGTGGATTAACTGTGGTTCTATTCTATTTTGTCCCAAGTTCAGGACCCAAGCTAAGAGAGGAGCCACCATTTAGAGCATTGCCAGTAGGTGTGGTAGAGGGAGAGCTCCATTAGGTTTCACACTAACAAGAGCTCACAATTCATTGGCCAAACTAGGTCATATGATTCCCACCCAACCACAGAGGAGAAGAAAGTTCAATCCTACCACATGCTTGGAAAGCAGAGAGCCTAAAACAAGCAACACCAACAATTACAACAGTGAACAAATTGGTTAACTCCCAAAGCCTCCTTTATGTTCTATAAATAACAATTTGTGGGGTACTCAATAAGCCCAAAGGTTTGTATTGGTTTTTTTCCCTGATAACTTATAAGTCATCATTTCTCTAAGAACCCTTTCTATTTATAGCAGTAGAGACATTAAGTCTCCCTGTTTTGTAAGGAATAAATCCAATGCTCCCTTTTGGTTGTTTGGAAGCAAGGCAAGTAGAAATTCACCATTTCGGGAGGAAGCATTGGAGCTCCAGCTCTTTCAACTATTGGGCAGAATCACCCAGCATCCCCACCTCTGTCCATTTCTACAAACTGTAAAACTCTCTAAGCTTTCTGAGAAGGTGGTGAGAAATTTTTCCAGGAACCTACTATGAGAGAAGAAGATGAGGCCACAAACTATTTCTTGAGAGTCAAAGTTATTAAAACCAATTTTGGTGTTTGGAAGTATTTCTGTCTGAGGCCTAATGTTAGAAAAGAAAGCCATACGTTGATGAAAAAATTTTCCTGAGAATAGAAAGAGACTTGATCAGGATGCTGGCTTCTGCACCAGTATTTACATTGCCAAAAGAGAATATGGTCCTGGGTTTACGAAAAGACCAACTGAAGATTCTACACAAAATCTTCTCCTGGTCATGGGATTTAACCCCAAAGAAGTACCTGTGAGTGGAGATACTAACTAACAAAGCCTTGTAAGTGAAGAACTGTAACTTGGAGACCAAGGCAAATGTGAGATAATCTGTAATATGGGTAAAAGGAGATTCTAGCACCATATCAAAGAGAGCACCTCAGCTATCACAGGTCACTTAATAGAAACAGAATTGAATTGCATGGTAAAGGAAATCAAAATATTTTACCCCAAAATATATTTCTTTGACAAATTTTGAAATCGCTGTCATAGAGCCAGAAGATTGAGATGGAAGAAATTTGTATCTGTAGAGAATCTCTACTAAAGCAGCCAGGCCTTCCCTTTCTAGGCTTTTCCTGGATCTGGAAGAAGTCTACTAAAAGTCTGATAACTTTAAAAGTCTGAAAAGAAACACTTACAATTTATTCCCTCTGAGGGCTACTACCTATGAGGCTTCATCTATATAACAAGACTACTTTTGCTAGCCAAACCTCTTCCTTTCTCACTCCCATGACCTGTCTTGCCACGAAAACCTGATTTACCAACATATCTGTTTTGGGCCATGCTCTGAGCCTGCATTCTTTCTATTGCCTCGAGATAATAGATAAACTTCTGTACTCTGTTGGGGGGTTGGATCTTCCTTCTGAAGGATCCCATGTATACATGTTAAATAAATTTGTATGCCTTTTCTCCTATTAATCAATCTGCCTCATGTCCATGATTTTTCAGTGAGGGCCTTGGCCCCCACAAGGGCAAGACAAGTAGAACCCTTTGGAGTTCCAAGCAATTTCTTTGCTTTTCTCCTCCTCAGGGTGCAGCAAGGTGGACCCTTAGGATTGTAGGATTGGCTAAACCACTATTCTTGTGCTTGTTACAAAGAAGAAAACCTAGAGAGAGAGGGGCTAAACTCTCTGCTAATATGAATCTAAGAAGACAAGAGGGCTGGGTGGAGTGGCTCATGCCTGTAATCCTAGCACTTTGGGAGGCCAAGGCAGGTGGATTGTTTGAGCCCAGGAGTTCGAGACCAGTCTGGACAACATGGCAAAATCCTGTCTCTACAAAAAATATTAAATACCAAAAATTATCCGGGTGTGGTGGCATGTGCCTGTAGTCATAGCTGTTCAGGAGGCTGAGGTGGGAGGATCACCTGAGCCTGGGAGATCAGGGCTGCAGTGAGCCATGATTGTGACACTGCACTGCAGCTTGAGTGACAGAGTGAGACCTTGTCTCAAAAAAAAAAAAAAAAAGAAGAAGAAGAAGAAGGACAAGAGCAGCTTGGGGCATTGTACTTGGGGGGGCATTATTTTTTTTCCCTGAATCTAATGTGATCAGAAAATGTTGATTTGTAAAGCTATGTTTTGAACACCCCAACAAGAACTCCTAAGGGAAAATTACTCTAATTTGTTTTTGTATGATCTGTCTTGATTCCTGGGGATTTCATTTGAATATGGACTTGTACAAATCACAATCATCAGTAATATTTCTCTGAATCTTTTTCCCATGCCTGCTAAAGTAAGATCTTCGGGTTGGGGTGGAGGGAGAGGAAAGGACAGAGGCACTATTTCTAGGAGTCTCCAAGGGACACCTTGCCTGAGCCCACAGAAATATTTCTTTTTGCCACTCCATGGCATTAGCCATTTCTTTTTTCTGCTGTGTTTCCCTGTAGCTGAGATGTCAGGCCACCCATGCCCTCAAGAGGCAATGTCCTTCAGTTTATAACAACTCTGTCATCATAGGTGAGAGCCTTGGCACTGCCACGGGTGAGATAACATAACAGGGCAACTCACTGGGTTATTTAGAGCCTTTGTTCTACCATATCTGGGCTATGTTTTCCTCAGAAGCAGAGACAATTCCTCTTTCCTCATCTTGGCATTTTAAATGCTACTCCAAAACAAAGCTGCACTGTTTTAGATCCTGAGTAAAAGCATTTCAATGCAGCTATTCTGCCAGTTTTTTCCTGTAGTTTTCTCACCCCAGGACTTCAGCGTCAGTCAGTGGGGATTAGATTGGAGAACTGGCTGAGCAGTAGGACATGTTAATACTCAAAATCATCCCAACCCCGATTAACATGGGCATTGTTATTAGGAAGGACAGTTGAGACAATCCACTTTGTTTGGAGGAGTTATTTCCCAAGAGACTTCTTGATCTTTCATCGAAGGGGAAACCTGGTGACCCCTAGCTCCACTGAGCAGAGGCAAGAAGCTCACAGACAGACTCTTGCTACCCATGCAGAGATCATATTGCCCCATGTTTAGTGAAACACAGTGACTGGACAATGGGGGTGAAAAGTGAGGAGTGAGCACTCCGAAGCTTGAAGGCAGGGGTCAGGTGTCTCTACTTCTCTCTAGTATTTAGACCACACCCTCTTATATCTGTTATCCGCCTGGTGCTAATCTGTTGTGAGCACAAAAGATAAGAAGCAGAGAGACAAGGCAATGTCTTCTTTCCAAGTGAAGGTATATTGTGAGCATAGGTACTAACGGGAAGGTGGCAAATACGCTGGAAAATACCCTGACACATACAGCATTAGCACACAGGTATTTTTTGTTGGATGCTGTAAAATTCAGAGAAAGTTTGCCAAGAGGCAGAGTGAAAAAAAAAATTGGGTTATTATTTTAGAAACTGATTTTGAAAGAAGGAAGATTAAAAAAAGAAAAAAAGCCTTCTTACTAGAAGATACAGCTGACCTCAGAAATAAGCAGATGCGCCTCCACCACCAGGAGACAGTTTTAGAAAGGATTCCCCCTTGTTAGCTCAAGTTTATTCTTATCCCTAAGCACAAACTCCCTAGGGGATTTGGACACAGGCTGATTGCAGAATTCCATATGTTGAGAGCCAGAGTAGCATAATAGCAGGGAATACAGACTTTGAAAGCAACCTGCCTGTGTTGAAAGACCTTAGATGTGACATTTAACTAGCTGTGTGCTAGTGAGCAACTGACTTAACCTCTCTATGTCTCAGTTATCCCTTTTTGATAGATGAGGTGAGGACGCCTGCCTTACATAACTGCAGTAAGAATCACGTGGCTATATGTCAAAAGCGCTTAGCTCAGTTCTCTGCACATAATCATTCGAAAGATGTTGGCTTTAACATTTTGTTACCATCTAATTTTAAGATTGACACAGTAGAAATCAGAAATCTAATATGTATGCAGATATTTAGACTCAGGGCTCAACTTGCTTTAAAACTTTGTTCTAAAGAATATAATTTACTTAAGTATATTTGAATTTTTACAAGTTATTTGCACAAATGTGCAGAAATCCAATTGTATTACCAAACATGATTAAGACCCACCATCTTGAATCACGGAAAACACGTTTCCGGCAAAGCTGGGCTCTGAGATTATGGTACAGTGCTGACATCTGGTGGCAGCAAGCCCTGAAACATGAAATTGAAGTTCTCTCACTAAAAGGAAATAGGTAAACACCCATAAATAAGCCTTCATAAAGGAAATAGGTAAACACCCATAATAAGTTTTCATTGGGCGGATAGGTTTTAGAACTCCTTCAAACTCTAAAATATAAATGAGTCTTAGAATTTTTATAGATAAGAAACTCCAAATGACTAATAAACATACTAAAGATGCTTATCTCCCCTAAAAACCAAAGAAATGAAAACTGAAGCAATTAGATACCATTATACCATTTTTATCCAACAGACTGAGAAATAGTAAAAAGACTGATAATACTAATTGGAGATGAGTATGGAAAAATTGGGACTTTCAAACACTGCTGTCCAAATTTGAAGTGCTATTTTGCTGTACCAATAGACATTTAGCAGAATCTGGTAAAAGTGATGATGTGCATGGCCTGTAGCTCAGCAATTCTAGTTCAGGGTATGTATTCCAGACCCCAGGAAAAGCCTGTGCTCAAAGAAATGTGGTAAGGATACAAATAATACATGGCAGCATTATTTGTAACAGCAAAAAAAAAAAAAACCTGGAAACATCCTAAATGTTCAGCAATAGGATGATGGCTAATATGTCACATGCACATACTTAAAAGGATAAAACAGTAAAATGAAATGCACTAGAACCACATGCATCAACATGGATAAATCTTGAAAACAACAGTGAGACATGGAAACTTCAGAATGTCACATAGAGTATGCTATTTATTGAATATAAAAACACAAGAGAATACTATATATTGTTTTGGAAAACTAAACATATAATATAAAAATATAAAATGGGAAGAAACCCATCAACTTCAGGGTAGTGATTACCTTTAGGGAGGGAGGAGGGAGAATAGGATTGGGAAGGGGAATAAAGGAAGTTTAACTATAACTGCAATTTCAGTTATTAAAATTTCTTAATCTCTCTAACATTTTTATACCATTTATTTTTTGCTATTTATTGTATCCTTCAATATTTTCTGCACATTTATATACATACAATGGAATATTACTCAGCTATAAAAAGGAATGAAATTCTGATACATGCTACAACATTGATGAATCTTGAGGACATTATACTAAGTGAAATAAGCCAGTCATAAAAGGACAAATATTGTATAATCCCACTTCTATATAGTACCTAGAATAGGCAAATTCATAAAGACAGAAAGTAGAATAGAGTTTACTGGAGCTGGGGGTAGGAAGAATGAGGAGTTATTGTTTAATGGGTAGAGATTTTCTGTTTAGGATGATAAGGAAGTTCTAGAGATGGATGGTGGCAATGGTTGCACAACAATGTGAATGTACTTAATGCTACTGAATTACACACTTAAAAATAGTTACAATGGCTTTATGTTTATATATATATATATAACCACACATAAAAAAATTAAAAACCTATAAGTCAGTTCCTGCCCTTTGGGCAACCACTCCAAGCATGGCAGAGAAGTAGGATATCTCCATATCTGTGCTGGCAGTTGTACAGAAGTTGGTGGAGAGGCAAAGAGGTGGCTGTCGCTGGCATTTCTTTTTTTTTTTTTTTTTTTTTGAATTAGAGCTGTAGTAAGAGGATGAAACCAAAGTTTAGGTTTCGGCATCTAAAGACTAGAAAAATTGTATTTTATTGCTTCTTGAAATGCTAGCTTTTGCTGCCCTCTAACCAACAGGAGACCAGGGCCAGCTGAGCCTTCTTGTCTTTGAGTAAGGTCTGCTTCTTTCACTCCCCCTGGGCCCACCTCCCCTGGGGAGGTGTGACTTGATTCAATTTCCTGAGAATCTGGGGTGTAGTGAAAGGATGCCAGAAGGTGGCAGCAAAAGACCACCTCGTGGAAAAGACCTTCTGCTTTCTTCTCTTCACTCTCCTGGGCATCTGGCAGAAGTTGGCTTTGATTGCCAGGGTCCCCACCTCAATTCAAGATGAAGCCTAGTGTAGTAACACCATGCCTGGGGCCAAGAGAGACACACCAAGCACAAGGTAATCAAGAGGCAATAATTCAAGAAAGGGTGCTTCCAAAGGCAAGGGAAGGATAGGAAAAGATATAGGTGAACCTGGCCAGTTAAACTCAATGAAACTTCCTATGTTTGGGGCTCTGTGGACCCAAAGCTGGGTAAAGCAATCTCTTTCCTTGAGACATAGTCTAGTAAGAGAGATTAAATATATGCGCTTACATGAGGAAAAACAAAAGATCAAGGCCCAAGGTTTTTGGAATGAGCCCACGTTGGGTATTTTCCTTTCCCCTCCAGATCTACTTTTTCTACCCTTTTCCTTACCTCTCCCTGTCCAGAGATGCTGATCTGTATAGATTGGAAGCCAGAAGATAAAGGCACCTGTGAAAATGTTGGCAAGATGACAAGGAAATAGGTAAATGTGCTCAGGCTTTTATTCCCAGGACTCCCTCCTGTGATGTTGCCTTGGCCTGGCCCTGTTGCGGAAGATCTGTTCCTCTCAATGGGCCTGCTCTACAGGATTCTCTCTCATTCTAGTTTCCAGCAACCTTTCCTTCCCCTCATCTCTTCTAGCCTAGTGGTAGTAGTAGCTGCTTCTAGTCTTGGGTTCCTGCACTCTCTTGTAGTCCTCTTCACCCCACCTATGCTTTAATTAAACCCTTTGTAAATAAACCCTCCTTAAATGATCCTAATTCGTGTATGCCATCTGTTTCCTGTTGGGATCCTGCCTGACACAACACCTGGCTAAATTATATTCATCCTCTACAACTAAGCTCATATAAAACAAGGAATAGCAAGGAGTGGTTTACATGAAGGCTGTGGCATGTTTTCACAGAGGACTATGAGTAATTCAGTACCACCAGAAAATAAGTTATAAGACTAGACGTGGCAGTTCAGTTAAAGGTGACAAGGAGTTAATATGAGACACGAGGTTCTCTTGATCTGGCACCTAGCATCTTAAACTTATGTCTGAGGAATAAAGGCAGTTCTTAAAGGGCACCGATTAGTTAAGTGGTTTAGAATCTTGAATATAATTTCTACCCAACATAGAGATTTAAGACAGTAGTTAAGGCATAAAGTTAGCAACATGGAAACCAGTTAGGAAAAATTTACCACAACCTAAAGACATGGCAATTTGAACCAGATTTTTTTTTTTTAAGTTTTAAGTTCAGGGGTACATATGCACAATGTGCAGGTTTGTTACATAGGTAAATATGTGTCATGGGGTTTGTTGTACACATTATTTCATCAGCCAGGTATTAAGCCTAGTATCCATTAGTTATTTTTCCTGATACTCTTCCTCCTCCCACCTTCCATCCTCCAATAGGCCCCAGTGTGTGTAGTTCCCCTCTATGTGTCCATGTTGAACCAGATTCACGGTACTTGGAATGCATATGATAAATATTTAGAAGGTAAAACATCAATAGACCTGGATATTCAAATATTAGGGATGTCAAGGAATAAAATAAAACCACCAGAGGTTTAAAAATTACAAAATTGGGTGCTATGGTTTGAATGTTTCCTCTAAAACTCATGTTGAAATTTAACTGTCATTGCAACAGTATTAAAAGATAGGACCTTTAAGAGGTAAGACCTTTGGCTGGGTGCGGTGGATCACACCTGTAATCCTAGGACTTTGGGAGGCTGAGGCAGGCGGATCACCTGAGGTCGGGAGTTCAGGACCAGGCTGACCAACATGGAGAAATCCCGTTTCTACTAAAAAAATACAAAATTAGCCAGGCATAGTGGTGCATGCCTGTAATCCCAGCTACTCAGGAGGCTGAGGCAGGAGAATCTCTTGAACCCGAGAGGCAGAGGTTGCGGTGAGCCAAGATTGCACCATTGCACTCCAGCATGGGCAACAAGAGTGAAACTCCATCTCAAAAAAAAGAGGTAAGACCTTTAAGAGGTGATTAGGTCATGAGGACTTTTTCCTCATGAATAGATTAATGCCATTATCACAGGGGTGGACTAGTTAGCCCAAGAGTTTGGCCCTCTTTTTCTCGCTGTACCTTGTGCACTCTCACCTTCTCTCACCATGTGATGCCTTCCACCATGGGATGATGCAACATGAAGGATTTCACCACAGGCGGACCCTGAATCTTGGACTTCCCAGCCTCCAGAACCATGAGCCAAATTTATTTTGTTTATAAATTGTCCAGTCTCAGGTATTCTGTTCTAGTAACACAAAATGGACTAAGACATTTAGTCGATTAACTTCCTAGGCAAAGGAAAGCATGCCTTTGAAGAAATGCACTGATTTCTTCACTGAGAGAAAAAAATAGTTTTTAAATACCAGGCAGCAGGTTTCATAGTGGTTATACTAATTGAGGATTAAAAACTAGCACTCTGGCTAACATAGAATGAATCCATAGGTCTGACAAGGTTGGTTTACTCAATTCCTATTATTCATTGGTGAGGAAAGCATCATCAGTTAGGTCCAGTCAGTGTTTGGCTTACCAGGGGCACTCAAACAGTGTGGTTTTAGTTTTTTGAAAACAAAAATACTTCATCTGTTTACAGACAGTTGCAATGACGCACAACATTTAGTTTTGGTATTTCTTAGGCAAGTGTTGCTGTACTTAAAACATCTTCCTTTGGTAATGAGGGCACTGGGGAGGAGGACATGGGGGAAGGGAAGGTGATGAAAGCATTGAAGATCCTCTCAGGTTACTGCCTTACATGATGAATTGGATAAGAATACCATTGACTGTGGTCCTGAATACCAAAAAAAAAAAAAAAAGGGGGGGGGGTTATGGGTAGGCAGGTGATGAGAAAAAAAATCAGACATCTTGGCCATAGTGAATTTGAAATACCAGTGGGATAGACAAGTCTGCAATACAGAGGCTCTAAAGAAAGGCTTGAGATACAGCTCTGGCAGCCAGCATTGCTCAAGAGGAGCATGAAGAAAGGCAGTGAGCGAAGAAAGGCAGTGGGCAAAGAAAGATTGTGATGGTTAATTTTACATGTCAACTTGGCTGGGCAAACAATGCCGGGATATTCAGTCAGACATTATTCTGGATGTTTCTCTGAAGGTGTTTTTGGATGAGATTAACATTTAAATTGGTGGACTTTCCCTCCATAATGTGAGTGTGCCTCATCCAATCAGCTGAAGGCCTGAATTGAAGAAAAGACCAACTCCCCCCAAGCAAAGAGGAATCTGGCCAGCCGATGGTCTTCTGACTTGAACTGCAACATCAGCTCTTCCCTGGGTTTCCAGTCTGAAGGAATTCAGACCTGAACTGTAGATTTTGGACTTGCCAGCCTCCATAATCACATGAGTCTATTCCTTAAGTGGCTCTACATACACACACATCCTACTGGTTCTGTTTCTCTGAAGAACCCTGACTAACACAGACATCTATCCCTCAGCCTTTTGCTATTTACATTAAAGTAGGAAAGTAACTATTTTCGGGTGGAATGAAAACATCTTTCCTTTCCTGAAAGGAATAGAGATCCTTGACAGCAGGAAATACATATTAGTCAAGCTTATACCACCCATCCCTAACCCTGCCCCTCATCCAGGATATGGAGAACCAGTTTTCTGTTGCTCATAATTTTAACTCTAGTGATACTGACACTAGATAATGACTCTGGTGATAGGACTATTAAGTCTCCTCCTGACTGGCCATCAGACTTCTTCTGAGGGAAAAAAAGAGACCCTATCTCTAAAGGGATTGATGAAAGAAAATAGGGCCAGCTTCTCCATATCTTGTTCCTGCAAAGGTAAGGCATAGTTTTGGGCACTGTCCTCTTGAGGAGAAGTTTTAGCATCTCCAGACTCATTCTGTTTCATAAGGCTAACAAGAAACCCTGAGTGGGCATCTGCTTGAGAATCACTGACCTAGGGTACTTCTTTTCAAACTCTAACATGCATATGAATCACTTGGGGACCCTGTTACAAAGCAGATTCTGATTCAGCAAGTCCTGAGTAGGGCCTGAGCATCTACATTTCTAGGAACCTCCTGAGTTATGCCTATTCTGTCAATTCATGGTCCCCAGTTTAGTAGCAAAGTCCTAAAGAGCAGGAAGTTACAAATGCCCAACTGACTTCTTTACAAAAATCAGGATAGCTTTTTGAAGAATTAGGCAACAGGCTTCACGTGGCCCAGTGGAGAGCTCTGAGTAATAACTGTTCTCTTGATAGTTGTCTTCTGTGCGCACATTTATTTTGGGGGACCTTACAGATAAGAGTAACTTGTTAAGGACTAGTCTCTTGTCCATCAGAAGTGAGAAGGGGAGATAAGGTATGTCAGCAATTCCTCATGTGTCTTGTCTTCGTGAAGTTTTTTCTCTTTTTTATTTTTCCAAGACTGAGTCTTGCTCTGTCACCCAGGCTGGAGTGCAGTGGCGCAATCTCGGCTCACTGCAACCTTTGCCTCCCAGGTTCAAGCAATTCTCCTGCCTCAGCCTCCTGAGTAGCTGGGATTACAGGCACCCACGACCATGCCTGGCTAATTTTTGTATTTTTAGTAGAGATGGGGTTTCACCACGTTGGCCAGGCTGGTCTCGAACACCTGACCTCGTGATCCGCCAGCCTCAGCCTCCCAAAGTGCTGGGATTACAGGCGTGAGCCACCGCGCCAAGCCCTGAAGTAATTTTTATAGGTTTAAAACTATATACACAGAGGCCTGGCTATTATGTGCTTGGCCTCACCCTCTTTGACCAGCACTAGATATTGCTCTCAATCAGGGTCTCTGCCGGTTTAAACAAACTGATTGTGAAAAGTTACAGTTAGCAAGTAGCATTTGTAATGAATTCCCCTCCTCCTGGTTCAACATCTAAATGTAAACATACCTCTATTATTTTCCATCAGTACTGTCACTGACAGGAATAGAACCCCACAACCATTATCCCATTACATTTATTTTTCTTGCTAATGAGTTTGCACTAGCAGCAACGGTCTACCCAGGATCCAACTTATGTCCCTGGTTCCACTAATACCAGATCCAACTTCCATTATGTGTGAAGTCACCTTTCCAAGCTACAGGCTTGCTTACTGCCTGTGGGATGTTGGGAACTTAGGAGACTGGATGTTTTGAACCTACCTCCAGTGAAATGTTCTATTGGGATGGATATGATTTGACGCACTGTGGAACGTGCTCCAGGAGAGGGATCCACTTACCTGAAACTCCACATTTTTATGAAGAAGTAGAGAGGAGAGAGGGAATATCCAACCAGTCTTGTAAACATCAATTAAAATTCCTTGAGCTCACAGAGTCAGAAAAATATCTTTCTGATAGGAGGAACATGCCATTCTCAAACATCAGGCAGGCAGGGAAGTTTGCACACCCATGCCAGAACCAGCTAGGGAAACAGCATTTCCTAAGCTACCTATGGTACAGGGGAGGGGAGCTACTTACAGTGGATGAGTGGGTGGCTGGGGGGTGGGTGTGCAAAGGGAACTATCTATAGGGGTGGGGCAACCTGGGCTGTCTAATAGACAAATGGGCTTATGTCTGTCTCCTCTAAAAGCTATTTTAAGAGGCCCACAGTGTATACACAACCTCTGTGGGATGGTATAATTAATCCATAAGTAATTAAAGAACATGAGCCTAGGGAAGATAGCTTCTTAAACCAAAACATAGTGGGGCAGGGTGGAAACCAATGAAAAAAGAATTGAAAGAAAATAAAGGACTAAGAAAAACCAACACCTGTCATGTCTTGACTTTAGGAATCAGACATAAGTGAGCGGAGAATCTTAGTTCTGTCCATTCAAAACCAATTCAGCAGGCAATTAAAGCTTTAGAGATAGCATAGACACATCTAGAAAGAGTTGGAATCTAACAGAACATGAACCAACTCAAGAAAACACAGAAACTATCAGAGTCCAGGCTGATACCATAAGAAAAGAAACAAGGTGGCTCTAAACTGGAGAGAATGCTGTACCCAGCCCTGCCCCAACTTGGGAGAAGGTTGACTAACTGATCTTGTTTTAAAATATAGGAGTAAATATTTGATAGACTTGGAAAACACACAAAAAGTAAGCACTAGAGGTAAGGTAAAATTATCCCAAATCCCGCAACTCAAAGAGAATTTGTGTTAGATTTCTTCTGCTCTTTTCCTTAGGCACATTATTTTCTCTTTTTAAAGACTGGGATTATGATATATAACAGTATCATGCAGTACTATTTGAATTCTAAAACTTTTGTGAAGTATTAAATAATTAAAATTGAACATAGCTGCAAGACTTATAGTGAAAATAAACAGGTTTTTCTTCCATGCTCCACCTTAACATTTCATAAGTTTACTTATTATAGAAGATGAATATTAGCACTCTTATATAATACCAGTTTCTCTCTCTTTTAATGTTATATAGGTTTCTGGTTAAACCAGTATTTAATATTTACCTTTATGATTACTATGAGTCACTACTAAGCCAAGTGGTACATATGATTATGAGTCCTTGTTGATATTCTTCTACCTCATTCCTGGAATTTGCCTGGCTTTTCTTGTTTTTTATCATCAGTTATATATTTGTATAGGTTCAAAGGAAATAATTTGGAAATTCAACATGTCTTACAAGACTTACAATTTTAGTTATCAGTCATTAGTGGAGAAAAACCTTTTTGAACTAAAAAACACTACTATTATATTGCTTCAGCTTTGTGTATTGAAACAGATGCCTATAGGTTCTCAATTCTTTCCAGAATTTCCAAGTCCCCAAAAATATTATTTGATGATGTATTATACACACTTCAAAGCCCCATTTCTCTTATACTAAATGTCCAGAAGTAGACATGTTTTCAGGAGATATTGATGATGTACTATTTGTCAACAGGAAAGAGGAAGAGAAGGAAGGAAGGAAAGGCAGGTCTTTTTCTTGCTTGGCATTCATTTTCAACATTTCTTCTTTCTGAGAGATTTCTTACATTCACCTTTCCATCAAGACTTAAGTACATGTTCTGAGCAATAGTCCTAAGTGCCCAAGTGGAGATGTCTGCTCATTACTGAGTATTGGGTCAATGGCACTTCCTTGAGTATACCAGTATTTTCTGGATTTTTCCTTAACAGCTTCTGAATCCAAGTTCCAAAACACTAAGAAAATCTGAAGCCTTTTTGTGCATTTTTGTGCATCTACCTCAAATGAATCTTCAATTTTTGAATCACACTAGCAATTGCCTGATTCACTTTTTGCTTTACTTCCAGCAAAATCATTTTTAATTTGTAATCTTTTTTCCAAACTCTTCATCTCTGCCATTTGCAAACGTCTGGACATTCCCTTTTATCCCATACTGTGGCATCAATACTCTTCCCTTTTTCCCCTTTCACTTTCTTTCAAGATTGGCTGGAGTTGCATGGTTTTCTCTTCCTTCTTCCCTTCATTTTGCAGTCTTCTAATTTGATCTTCAAGCAGAAGCTGCATAATTTCCTATGGAACAGGACAATCTTTTCATGTACACTAAAAGGACAGTAAACCTCAGGATATTTTGCATGTTTGGATATGTATCTGTCATACTTGAGTACTAAAGCCATGGTCACATGTATTGCAAGGGAGTAGAATACCCTTTTTTCCTATTTTCTACTGGAGATATTAAAATCATTGCAATCTATGTCTTGTTTTCCACAAAAAATAAGCGATTTCAATATCATAGTACTGGGGACAGTGTCCTGAAATTTCCTTTTCCTCAGCAGAAGTATTACAAGCCTCTGGATGAAAATTGGGAATCCGGGAAGGCTGTAAAACAAGGAGGGCACTAGGTGCAGAAGGGGCAGTGCCCAGGGGAAAGGCTGGGCATCAAGAAGGTGCTACACCTCTGAGAAAAGTGGTAGAGGTGGTAAGGATAGAAGCTGCTGCAGCGTTGCTCAGAGCATCCAGTTGTCCAACAGGGGGACAGTGCTGTCCAGAGGCCCCAACATGGGTGTCAACCGTGGGGTTGGGTGCAGCAACCATATCATAGAAGGGATGAAAAACTAGCTGCGTCAGCTATAGGACTTGCCAGCTTGGGAAACTCACCCACAAATGCCTTTTTTGTCTTATTTTTCATTACCTCACTTTCCTATCTATTATTAATTCTTCACGTTCTATAATAGAACTCTGAAACTCTTATGAATGCTACTTTCTACATAATCAAAATCTAATATTTTATCATGGGGAAAAAATCCATGACTGGGCAATTATTTTTATTTTTTTATTTTGATTTATTTGATATGACCCCAGATGCACAGGCAACAAAAGCAAAAATAGACAAATGAGACTATATCAAACTTAAAAAGCTTTTGCACAGCAAAGGAAACCGAGTGAAGAGATAATCTATGGATTGGGAGAAAATATTTGCAAACTGCACCTCTTATAAGGAGTTAATATCCAAAATATATAAAGAAACAGATTCAATAGCAAGAAAATAAATAACCCAATTTAAAAATGGGCAAAGGACTTGAATAGACATTTCTCCAAAGAAGATATACTAATGGACAACAAGTATGTGAAAAAGTGTTCAACCCAACTAGGAAAATGCAAATTACCAATACTTAGGAAAATGCAAATTAAAACCATAATGAGCTATCATCTCATACCCGTTAGGATGGTTATTGCCAAAAAGACAAAAGAGCAAGCGTTAATGAGGAGGTGGAGAAAAGGGAACCCTTGTACACTAAGAATGTAAGTTAGTACAGCTATTATGAAAAATAGTATAGGGTTTTCTCTAAAAAAACTAAGACTAGAATTACTTATGATCCAACAATCCCACTTCTGAGTCCATATCCAAAAACGGAAGTCACTGTGTTGAAGAGATATCTTCACTCTCATGTTCAATGCAGCATTATTCACAATAGCCAAGATATGGAATCAACCTAAGTGTCTATCAACAGATGGATGGATTTTAAAAATGTGGTACACGTGCACAATGGAATACTATTCAGCCCTTACAAGGAAGGAAATTCTGTCATTTATGACAACATGGATGAATCTGGAGAACGTTATGCTAAGTGAAACAAGCCAGGCAAAGAAAGAAAAATACTACGTGATCTCACTTCCATGTGTAGCCTACGGAAGTTGAACTCCTGGAAGTATAGAGTACAGTGATGGTTACCAGAGGCTGGGAGAAGTGAAAGAGAGATGGGAAGATGTTGGTTAAAGGGTACAAAAATTCCAGTTAGGCAAGAAGAATCAGGTTGAGATCTATTATGTAAAAGTGATAGATGTGAGGTGATGGACATGTTAGCTTGATTTAAGTATATCAAACTGATACCTATACTTCCATGTCTACTGTAGCACTATTCACAATACCCAAGGTATGTAATCAACGAAATATTGATCAACAGATGAATGGATAAAGAATGTGGTATATATACACAATGGAATATTACTTCGTCATAAAAGAGAATGAACTGGATGGAACTGGAGGTCATTATGTTAAGTGAAATAAGCCAGACACTGAAAGACAAATACGGCATGTTCTCATATTTTGAAGCTAAAATAGATCTCATGGAGGTAGAAAGTAAAATGGTGATTACCAGAAGATGGGAAGGGAAGAAGGATGGTAGTGGATGAAGAGAAATTGGTTAAAGGGTTTAAAAATACAGTTAGATAGAAGGTATAAGTTTTAGTATTTGATGATACAGTAGGAAAATTATAGTTAATGATAATGTACTGTATATTACAAAATAGCTAGAAGAGAAGAATTATAATGGTCCCAACACAAAGAAAAGATAAATATTTGAGGTGATGGATATCCCAATTACCCTGATGGATCATTATACATTGCAGACAGGTATCAAAATATCACATGTACCCCCCAAAATATGTGCCAATTAAAAATGATGTTTAAATGTAATTTATGCATATCTTGTTAAGATTTTAAAGACCAAAAACACCCTTCAGTGTTAAACTCAAGAGACTTTTCATTATTTTAATGCAATTCAATTGTATTAAAAGGAAAGCCATTAAGTATCCACTATGTGTAAAGAATTATGCTCCCAGGGCAGGAGATACAGAGATGAATAAGGCATAGTCCTGGCCCAAGAAGGGTCTTTCATGTTACTCTCAACAAGCAAATGAGTAACCTATCAAACGAAAGATCTATAATAATCATAATGTTGTATTCCAGCAAATGATTACCAAAAATGTTTTTCATGATTTATAGTGAAAAAGCCATGTTTTTTGAAAAGCTGGCAGAAAATACTTAACAATTTAGAAGTATGCTGCAATAAGTACACCTTCAACTTATTACAGGTCTCCACAGAGTAACAGAGGTTCTGGGGGTAAAGATAGGCATAACCCTCCAACGACCAATAAATTTCAGAGTTAAAGTTATCTTTTTTAGAAAGCAATGTATGGCCTAATGCAGTTTACTTTACATCCAAAAATTAGTTTGATTTAATCATTCCATGATGTATACTTATATCAAAACATCATGCTGTGCCCTGTAAACATATACAATTATCAATTAAATAAAATTTTTCAAAAATGATTTCAAAAAAATCTAGTGTTTTGTTTTCTTGGAACCACCTCTCCTACAGCCCTCAGTTTTTCTTCCACAGCTCACTGGATGTTGATCTGGTAAGGTAATGCAAGCTTGTTAGAGTCCCACCAACTGTCATACCAATAGGTTTTCTCTAGGAATTTTGCTTTTGGAGATGTTGAGCAAGCCCTGTCTCCAGTGTGGGATGGAAGGGAAGAGAAAAAAGCCCCATGGCCAGCATTTTTAGGGTGAGCTTGAGAAAGGATTGTGAGTCTCCCCACTCAATTAGGAATATCTTCATTTCATCATTCCTCTCAATGTGACAGTTGAAGGATCAACTCCTATTGTGTTTAATGCCCTGAAATTTAGAGCTTCTCTGGTACAATGTTTCCTCAGAACAAGCCTCCAGATTCCAGTGCCATTCTGGGTTAAGTGGTCTCCAGGATTTATAGGAGAGGGAAAGGGGGCTGGGAGATTAATGAGTTCATTATACAGACTTTTTAAACGACTCCTTTATTTTCGCCACTACGACTCATCTTCTGAGGTACAGTATCTTGTCAAGCATTTTCTTGTCAGCAGACCAAATCAGAATACTTTTCATGGCATCACCTCTGCCAACACTTGCTATTAGAAAGGAGACAGAGGAGCTGATAACATTTCTTTCTTAGCTTTCAAAGATGTGTTGATATTTTTCCACTGTTGTCTCCTCTCCCATCTTCTTTCTGCCTGTTTCTTTACAGAACCAAATTAAAATGAGAAGCAGGAATTCTTTAAAAGTATTAACCCCCAAAGACAAACAGTTCTAATCCAATATGTATAAGCATAAATCTACCCTTTTCCTTGGGTTTTGTGAGCTTTAACCTAGCAAAATTGTTTTAACTTAAGTTTGTATTTTGGAATACAAACAGCTTGACATTTTACTTCTCAAATTAGTATATTTACTGTTCCTCCCTCTTCACCTCTCTTTTCTCAAACAACCTGATTGTTATTGATTACCTTGTCCTTCTTAGCTTTAACGGTATAAAATTAAATATAAATGCTATCGTAGCAAACAATGTGACCTCTCAGCTATAAAAGATGAGGAAATCAGCATATGTATAAAAGCTGATAATGTAGAAATGACCATTACTTCCCAGCATCCCTCTCCTTTTCATTCTATGTTTATTGGTTACAAAATAGAATGTGAATGTCCAAATTTATTTGAAACAATCTTTCAAGCATATTTGATTTCGTAAGTTCTTTTAGCATAGTTTTTTCAGTAATTTTATCTGATTGAATTTAATGTTTAATATTTCTAAGGAAAGGGCTCATTCCCTGAGATCTAGAATGCTCATTAAAATATATTTATAGGTATTTCTTTTGTTCAAATAAGGGCAAGCAAAGTACTCAAGAAAATAAAACATGACCCAAGAATTTTACATGCAGCAACTACTCTTCAAGAAGAATTTTATATGCAGCAACTACTCTTCAAGAAGTAGTGAATATTGAGGAATGAAGGCAATCTTTTTATCCAGAAAGCTTTTAAACTAGAAGGCCATACCATGACCTAGGAAGATTAAGTCATTATGTTTTAATCATGAACATCTTATGTCCAAAACAAAAATGAATCTTTGGGCAGCCAGGCAAAAGACTGTCATTCACAAGAGAAAGAGAAAAAACTTGAAGCTATAAATTAATGCTTAATTTGAAACCATTAAAAGTACTGAATGGTGGCCCAGAAGTAAAGGGATAAAAAGAATTTAAAAGGATGAGTGAGAAAAGAAATAGGGGAGCTCCAAAACATGCACAATTTCATTTCTTTCTTATTTTTCTTTCCTATTCCTTGCTATAATTTCAGCAATGCCTACCTTCTTCTACATTTCCTCTTAATTTGTGTATTTTTCTTCCATTTAAAGTGTGAGCTGGTAGAGCTCAGAAAGTATTGGCTGGGCACAGTGGCTCATGCTTGTAATCCCAGCACTTTGGGAGCTCCGAGGCAGGTGGATCACTTGAGGTCAGGAGTTTGAGACCAGCCTTTGCAACATGGTGAAACACCGTCTCTACTAAAAATACAAAAAATTAGCCAGGCGTGGTGGCAGGCGCCTGTAGTCCCAGCTACTCGGGAGGCTGAGGCAGGAGAATGGTGTGAACCCGGGAGGCGGAGCTTGCAGTGAACCGAGATCACGCCGCTGCACTCCAGCCTGGGCGACAGAGCAAGAGTCCATCTCAAAAAAAAAAAAAAATACAAAAAATTAGCCAGGTGTGGTGGTGCGAGCCTGTAATCCTAGCTACTTGGGAGGCTGAGGCAGGAGAATCACTTGAACCCCGGAGGCAGAGGTTGCAGTGAGCTGAGATCATGCCACTACACTCCATCCTGGGCGAGAGAGCAGGACTCCATCTCAAAAAAATAAGAAAAGAAAATATGGGTTTTCCTGGGTCAGTATATTTTCCATGAGCTCTTATACATCTACTTTTGCTATTGTTTTAGAGAGATAATTGCTTTAAATTTTCTTTTTAGGATAACATATTTTAGTTTTTATTTTCTCCGTGACAATATTTTTCTTGTATTAGTCTGCCACAAGGTATTCCTATGAATTTCCTGTATTTTTTTTTTCATCTCTAAACAGGTCATGTGCTGTTTCCTTTTTTTTTTTTTTTTTTTTTTTTTTTTTTGAGAGGGAGTTTCACTCTGTCACCCAGGCTGGAGTGCAGCGGCGCAATCTCAGCTCACTGCAACCTCTGCCTCCCAGGTTCAAGCAATTCTCCTGCCTCAGCCTCCTGAGTAGCTGAGATTACAGGCGCATGCCACCACGCCCAGCTAATTTTTATGTTTTTAGTAGAGATGGGGTTTCGCTATGTTGGCCAGGCTGGTCTTGAACTCCTGACCTCAAGTGATCTGCCCACCTCGGCCTCCCAAAGTGCTGGGATTACAGGAGTCAGCCGCTGCGCCTGGCCGCTGTTTCCTTTTTAATTACTCATCTTTAGTTCAGAAAAGCTTTTTTCTGCCAGTCAAAATCATTTACAGATTTATGGTGGATGGGGTAGGCCCTGTTCCAAACAAGGAAAATTTTATCCAATGGATATAGACTTAGCATAAGGAACACCTCTATGAGTACCTCTTCTCCCAACAGCCACATGGACAAAATGTGGCTTGTCTGTGTGCATTTCTGTTCAGCTTCACCAACTTTTCCCTCTAAGAACCAGGAAACCTTTGGCAGCCAGGCTGTGTTTCCCATTTCTACTACTGCCATCAAGGAATTTATGTTTAGGGTGTGTTTATCACCTTAAAGAAATGAGTTTTATCAGCCCTTACTGAAATCTACAGCCACACAAATTCTCTTTCCATTTCCTCCCATATGTATTCCAGTTTGATTATCACTTTGGGCACTCATTCCACTCATTTTGTGGTTTGGGTTTTTAGTGAAAGCAGAAGTCCACTAAGATGGAACACATTTCTTTTTCTGCCTCCTGGGGTATGTCTGGATGATTTCCAAGAGGACAGGGAAATGCTAACTTTACACCTACATCTTCAGACCAAAATATCTCCAGAACAGGAATTCTTGATGATCTTTTGGAAGGCTGAAATAATACAGGGTTCACAGGTCTCTTCCTCTCATATATCCTCACATTTTACCCAGCTTCTACAGCAAAGCAAGTACCAGAGAAAACGAATGTCTATATAATCCAGCCAAGCTTTTGAATTAAGAATTTTTCTTTGGTTTATATATGTATTTTTTAGAGACCTTGAGGAAGCAAGTTGTTCAGGCAAGGGTCACTTTGGGGCAGGGAACCCATATACACTTCTTTCCACTTAGCACACTTAACTGCCATCAAAATTCTGTATGTCTTTACAACACTGAATCATATAACATCTGATGGGATTGTATTCTCACGAAATTTTTCCTATCCAAAGAAGGGCCAGGAAGGAAAAAGATTACTGTACTCCTGACTGCAAGGTCTTCAGCATTCAGTGATATTACAGGATGTTGCAGGAACTGTACCCTATTATAATGGGGGCAATTGGTCCCTAAATGGATATCATGTTGGGGATGCCTAAGGATCTGGGTTCATCAAGGTTTCTGGTTTCCAAACAAAATTCAGTCACTATTTGAACTTCTGCATGTCACACTAGATTTGAAGAAGAGGAAAGTACCTTGTCTATTTAAGCTAAACAGGCCTGATAAGAGGTCACTTCCAAAACAGAATGTTTCTGAAGAAAAGTCTTTTTTTTTTTTAATTTTATTATTATACTTTAAGTTTTAGGGTACATGTGCACAACGTGCAGGTTTGTTACATATGTGTACATGTGCCATGTTGGTGTGCTGCACCCATTAACTCATCATTTAGCATTAGGTATATCTCCTAATGCTATCCCTCCCCCCTCCCCCAACCCCACAACAGTCCCCAGAGTGTGATGTTCCCCTTCCTGTGTCCATGTGTTCTCATTGTTCAATTCCCACCTATGAGTGAGAACATGTGGTGTTTGGTTTTTTGTCCTTGCAATAGTTTGCTGAGAATGATGGTTTCCAGTTTCATCCATGTCCCTACAAAGGACATGAACTCATCATTTTTTATGGCTGCATAGTATTCCATGGTGTATATGTGCCACATTTTCTTAATCCAGTCTATCGTTGTTGGACATTTAGGTTGGTTCCAAGTCTTTGCTATTGTGAATAGTGCCACTATAAACATATGTGTGCATGTGTCTTTATAGCAGCATGATTTATAATCCTTTGGGTATATACCCAGTAATGGGATGGCTGGGTCGAATGGTATTTCTAGTTCTAGATCCCTGAGGAATTGCCACACTGACTTCCACAAGGGTTGAACTAGTTTACAGTCCCACCAACAGTGTAAAAGTGTTCCTATTTCTCCACATCCTCTCCAGCACCTGTTGTTTCCTGACTTTTTAATGATTGCCATTCTAACTGGTGTGAGATGGTATCTCATTGTGGTTTTGATTTGCATTTCTCTGATGGCCAGTGATGAAGAGCATTTATTCATGTGTCTGTTGGCTGCATAAATGTCTTCTTTTGAGAAGTGTTTGTTCATATCCTTTGCCCACTTTTTGATGGGGTTGTTTGTTTTTTTCTTGTAAATTTGTTTGAGTTCATTGTAGATTCTGGATATTAGCCCTTTGTCAGATGAGTAGGTTGCAAAAATTTTCTCCCATTCTGTAGGTTGCCTGTTCACTCTGACGGTAGTTTCTTTTGCTGTGCAGAAGCTCTTTAGTTTAATTAGATCCCATTTGTCAATTTTGGCTTTTGTTGCCATTGCTTTTGGTGTTTTAGACATGAAATCCTTGCCCATGCCTATGTCCTGAATGATATTGCCTAGGTTTTCTTCTAGGGTTTTTATGGTTTTAGGTCTAACATTTAAGTCTTTAATCCATCTTGAATTAATTTTTGTATAAGGGGTAAAGAAGGGATCCAGTTTCAGCTTTCTACATATGGCTAGCCAGTTTTCCCAGCACCATTTATTAAATAGGGAATCCTTTCCCCATTGCTTGTTTTTGTCAGGTTTGTCAAAGATCAGATAGTTGTAGATATGTGGCGTTATTTCTGAGGGCTCTGTTCTGTTCCATTGGTCTATATCTCTGTTTTGGTACCAGTACCATGCTGTTTTGGTTACTGTAGCCTTGTAGTATAGTTTGAAGTCAGGTAGCGTGATGCCTCCAGCTTTGTTCTTTTGGCTTAGGATTGACTTGGCAATGCGGGCTCTTTTTTGGTTCCATATGAACTTTAAAGTAGTTTTTTCCAGTTCTGTGAAGAAAGTCATTGGTAGCTTGATGGGGATGGCATTGAATCTATAAATTACCTTGGGCAGTATGGCCATTTTCACGATATTGATTCTTTCTACCCATGAGCATGGAATGTTCTTCCATTTGTTTGTATCCTCTTTTATTTTGTTGAGCAGTGGTTTGTAGTTCTCCTTGAAGAGGTCCCTCACATCCCTTGTAAGTTGGATTCCTAGGTATTTTATTCTCTTTGAAGCAATTGTGAATGGGAGTTCACTCATGATTTGGCTCTCTGTTTGTCTGTTATTGTTGTATAAGAATTCTTGTGATTTTTGCACATTGATTTTGTGTCCTGAGACTTTGCTGAAGTTGCTTATCAGCTTGAGGAGATTTTGGGCTGAGATGATGGGGTTTTCTAGATATACAATCATGTCGTCTGCAAACAGGGACAATTTGACTTCCTCTTTTCCTAAAAGAGTTGGGAGGATGTGGGTGGGAAAGAAAAAAATGAAAGATGATTTCCTAAAGTTAATTTATCTTCTTTCTGGGAAACTCAGGTTAATAGAGACCCATTAAAAACAAACAAAAAACTTAAAGGCAAAGGCTTATGTGCCACTAATTTTTAAGGAAAGTATCATCCAACAGAAAGAAAGGTAAGGAGGGAAAGATGAGGAAGGCATATTACTAAATTTGAGCAACTGGTTCTATGAGATTGCCCTGTTTGGTATCAAGAGCAACTGTCTTCCCAGAGGCTGTATAAAGAGCTACTTCTCAGAGCAGTGTGCTTGTGGAAGGAAGAGGAAGAATTTGTCTGCCAGCTGCCTCTCATTGCTTAAAATTTCAGCCCATACCAAATCATCTCTCCTGTGCTATTCTGATCCTTCTAGGCCTCAGCATCAAGCATGCCCCGGGAGCAAGAGATAAGCACTCTGTGGCTTAGGTATAGAGCTGCTGTCAGGTTGCACCTGCATGAAGTTGGAATCCATGTAGATTTCATGACTGGCCGTTTGTTCCAGCAACATCTGCTGCTGCAAAGGCAACATAATGATAAAAGGATCAGTCCATCCAGAAGCCATAACAATTTTAAATTGTATGTACCAAACAGAGCCTAAAAATACATAAAGCAATAACTGATAGAGATGAAGTGAAAAATAGACAAACTCCCAACTATAGCTAGGGACTATAACACTCCCTCTCAGTGACTGATAAAACTACTAGACAGAAATTGGCAAAGATATAGAAGAGGCGAGCAATTCAACCAATAGGATCTAACTGACATATATGAAACACACCGCTGCACCACCCACTAGTAGAATATTTTTTCCCCCAAATGCTCAAGGGGCATTCACCAAGATAGACCATATGTATGGCCATAAAACAAATTTAAAAGAATGAAAGTCATACAGAGTGTTGCTCTCCAACCATAATGGAATGAAACTTAAATAAAACATGGATGTCTCTAAATATGTAGAAAATAAACATACTTCTAAATAAACCATGGATAAAATATGAAGTTAAGGCAAATAAAAATACACAGAAGTTAATGAAAATGAAAATGCAATATATTAAATTGTAGGTGATGCAGCTCAAGCAATGCTAAGGGAGATTTATAGCACTATAGGTTTATATTAGACATGAGAAAAGGTCTTAAAACAGTCCAACTTGTTACCTCAAGAAACTGGAAAAAGATAAAGTAAACCCAAAGCAAGCAGAAGGAATAAAACATCAGCAGAAATCAATGAAATTAAAAACTAGAAAACAATAGAGAAAAAAACAAGTGAAACAAAAATCTGGCTCTTCGAAAAAAGTCAATAGAATTGATAAACTTCTAACAAGACTGATAAATAGAGAAAAGATACAATCACAAGTATCAGGAATAAAATAAGAGACATCAATATTAATTTTGCAGCTATCAAAAAGATAACAAGCAAATACTACAAATAACTTTTTGTTCATGAATTTGTCAACTTAGAAGAAATGGATCGATTTCTCAAAAGCTACTAAAACTCCATCAAGAGGAAATAGATAATATGAGTAGCTGTGTGACGATTAAAGAAATCAAATTTATAATTTAAGAGCTTATAAAGAAGAAATCTCCAGGACCAAATGGTTTGCTGGGGAATTCAACCAATAATTTAAAGAAGAATTAACACCAGTATTTCACAATCTCCTCCATTTTATGAGGCCAGTTATTACCTGATACAAAACCAGAAAAATGCATGTTCTGCATTTATGGTCATTATGCTTCCCATGTTAAGTGAAACCGTTCGTTTCCTAAGGCTGCTGAAAAAAAAAAAAGCACCACAAACTGGGTGGCTTTCAACAGAAATTTATTCTCTCACAGCTCTGGAGGCTAGAAGTCTGAAATAGAGATGTCAGCAGGATCATGCTGTCTCTGAAGGTTCTAGGGGAGAATCTGTTCCATGTGTTTTGTTGTCTTCTGATGTTAGCTGCAATCCTTGCTGATACTTGGTTTGTAGACCCATCACTCTGATCTCTCTTGTTATCACTTGGCATTCTCCTTTGTGTGTGTGTTTTCCTTCTCTCATAAGAACAGTCATTGGATTAGGACTCACCCTAATCCAGTGAGGTCTCATTTTAACTTGATTACATTTTCAAAGACCCTATTTCCAACTATATTCAATTCATGGGTGCCAGGAGTTAGGATTTCAACATACTTTTCTGGGGGACATAATTCAACCCACAGCACCATCTGAATAAGTAGAACAACATTTGAAGAAAAGCTTTGTTTAATGTGATTTCATTAATTAAAAAAAGAGGCACAGATAGTTGATGCCAAATTTAAAGATTTACTTTTAACAGAAATCACATCTATGTAACCATGATAAACAATCAACATCCTCCAAAATGCAATTACAAATGCAATCCTGTTATCAGGAGCAATGTTACTGCAAGCAAAGGAAATACAAACAGTTGTCCAATTTCAGTTGCTTTATCTATGGTTTCAATGATTGTTTACAACCATTTACTTGCAATGCCTGAATGTCATCAAAACAAGAGACTGTTCATGAATTCCTTTCATTCTGAGGTGGTTGAACTGCAGGCATTTACTATCTCACTCCCTCCTTCATAGACTCACACTTTCTCATCTTCACCCACCAAGCAGCAAGTGTATCTATCAGTCAAACAGGAAAACAGAAGCCACTTCAAGGATTTGCAACAGGTGAAATTTAACACAATAAATTGTTCACAAATAACAGAGTAAATGAAAGGAAAAAAAGTGGTGAGGCAACGTAGAAATGAGGAAAAACCGGAACTGACTACAATTCTTAACCTAGAAGGTCAAAGGAAAGAAGCAATTCTCAGAGCCCAGGGGGAGTTGAAAGAGGCTGGAAACATAGCAGAAGTTGGGTTTCAGGAAGGAATGGAACCATTGCCAAAGCTGTACCTAAGGCTAAGAAGGCGATGGAGAGAGATCCTAACTTCTCCCCACCCTCCAATCTGATCTCTGACCCTTGTCTCCTATTGGTCAAATCCAGCCAGAAATCACCTTTGTAGAGGCCAAGGGAACGCAGCTTTATGAGGAAGGGCAGAGCAAGAAAAGGGCAAGAAGTCTGTTGGGAAATAATGCCCGGGTCCTGCACATCTTACTCCTCTCACCAAACTTTACTCAGGCAACTCTTCTACCAGTGACACTTTTTGTATTGCCTTTTTATTGGCATGTATGATGTCTAATATTCTACTGCTTATGTGTTTGCTGCTATGTAGAAGGAAGATAGCTCATATTTGTTGAACCCTGAAAACAAACATACCCAGCTAATGAATTCATTGTTAAGTAACTAGGAATCACAGTTTAATATGCTATTATACAAAAACCTCTTGTGAATTGCTATAGGTGTTTAAGAGTTTGTTTTTGTTGTTTTTTAGTAGAATTTAGAGGAATGGATTAGGATCTGGAAATGGAATGGGAACACATTTTTCTTATTTAAAGTAATAGCTCCTGCATTTCCAAAATTCTCTGCCACCAAGTTTTGGGAAACAAATTAAGAGTCAGAAATTAAGAGATGCATGGACTTGCCTAAATCTGCTAACAAGTTTTTCAAATTGGGTCTGTAGAGTCCTCTTTCTAACTCTTGATTTATATTTTATTTCTTCCAAGATTTTAGAGATAACCTATAGCCTAGACATTTTCTACTTGGATATATGCTAAGCCTTGCTTTTTTTTTTTTTTTTTTTGAGACAGAGTCTCGCTCTGTCGCCCAGGCTGGAGTGCAGTGGCATGATCTCAGCTCACTGCAGCCTCCGCCTCCCAGATTCAAGCGATTCTCCTGCCTCACTTTCCTGAGTAGCTGAGACTACAGGCGTGTGCCATCATGCCCAGCTAAGTTTTGTATTTTTAGTAGAAGCGGGGGTTTCACCATGTTGCCCAGGCTGGTCTCGAACTCCTGAACTCAAGTGATCTGCCTGCCTCAGCCTCCCAAAGTGCTGGGATTACAGGCATGAGCCACCATGCCCAGCGAAGTCTTGCTTTTGATCACTATTTATAAAGGATTTTTTTGTATCAGATTCATTTAAAACATCAGTAGGCAAATTAGGTTACCGACCCTATTATGAGTTAGATCATCACTGCCTTGAGACCTAGATCTATTTGAAATTTTTTTAAAAGGTTACAATGTTTTCTGCTGTGAACTCCTGTCCTCAAGCAATTCTCCTGCCTTAGCTTTCCTAGTAGCTAGAACTACAGGCATGTGCCGTCATGCCTCGCTCTTGTTACTGAATTCTTACATTCACATATAACTTCACTTAGGATGGAAGAGTGCTAAAAATAGTAATAATTTTTATTTCCTTTAAATCAAAGTTATACAAATTAAGAGAAAAATAACGTGTTTGGGTAGGACATTTATTCTCTGAATAATGTCCTTTATCATGTCATATGTTTAAAAACAAAGTTTATGGAAAGAACAGTGATATAAAATTTTATATATGGGACAAAGCCAATAGAGTCATCATTCTTCACGAGAATGGTGATCCTGATACTAGGAAGCCAGGAATATTGCAGACATTGCATTCCAATCACAGCCTTGCCTCAGTATTCTATGATTTCACAAAAGTGAGACAAGGGGCCAGTGTCAGTAGTCCCCTCTCTGCCAACACAACTGATAATATCAAAGAGAATAAACGTAGCAGCAAGAAGGGTTTGGCCTCCAGGCATGTCAAAGAAGTTACAGAAACACACATGGAAGGCCCTGGTTCAAAGCATACTATCAAACACCTGAAAGCAACATGTGGCAACTTGCAAGGTAGCTGCTGGTTCACAAATTGGACACCAATACAGCAGTGGGAGAGGAAGGATGAGTACTCAGTGGAGAGACTCTTCCAAACAAAGGCTAACCGCATCTTCTAGGGATCATTTGGTGGGCTAGTCCTAGGTGGGCTCAGGTGCTCTATTTAAGAATCATAGCACAATTACACAGCCATTTTCAAACACTGTGACTACAGTGCCACCAATATGACACCTTTCAAGCCTCATACTTGAATTTCTACAGCTGGGTTAAAAGCCATATCCCACACTAAGAGGGTGTGACATAGTCTTGGCCACAGACTGGGTTCTAGAAGGTGAGTATCTGGAAAATGTGGTCAAACTAACTGCCACAGAACATACTTTAAGAAGTTGAGTAGGAATATATTAGGGGACAAAAAATGTCAAACCCTAGCTTTCTGCTAATATGTAGTTCCTTGCTCCATAGACCTCAAGTCATTTTCATGTGCTAGGGAGAAAGATGACTAACACAGTTATCTGCCTCTTAAGAGTTATTACATCTAGTAACAGACTCTATTATATTGTATTTTAATGTTGGAATATGAAGTATTTACCAAGACCTGTGGCAATACAAAACAAATGTGTGACGGTACTGCATGAAGTAGAGGGTATTCTGGCACTTGAGGTCTATGCATTCTCTAAACATGACCAAATTGCTCAATACACTGCCGGGTATTATCTAGTACACCCTTAGGTGTTAAAAAAAAGTCTCACTGGGCTATTCATGCTCAGTAATATGAGCATGAAAATGAGCAAGGATATGACAGCTCAGGCTGTCATAGGATCCAGAATTTACATCAAAAAAACTAGACATTTAGAACAGTACGTTTCCATATTATATCTCGGGATGTGATGCAGGTTTTCCCAAGGCCCTGTGGAGCTCTGTCTGAAGCACGAAACTACTTGCAGGGAACAGAAGAAAGCCTTTTGGTGAGGACAAAATATTGCCTAATAGGTTGAGCAAGCCCAAGACAAATGAACATAGCATGACTCCTGAGAAATGAGGTACCTCAGCTTACAACACTCCAAACTTTGGGATCCTGTTCCTTCTCAGGTGATAGAAGATTGGCCCATGCTATAAAATCCCAAGTATTCCTTCAGAGTAAGAAGCAACTAACAGTACTTGAGGCTAACAGTGGATATTCAACTTAGGTGATTAATTTCCTTAGATCAAGACATCCCAATATTCCAATATAAAAATAAAAAACAAAATACCAATGCCAATTTCCTGGTTTTGACATTGTACTAGAGTTATGCCAATGCTACTATTAGGAGAAATGGATGAAAAGTACATGGGACTCTCTGTTCTATTTTTGCAACTTCCCAGGAGTCTATGATTACTTAAAAAATGTTTTTTGAAGTAATAGAGTCAGAGATCTTGCCCAAAGTCATAGACCTTTCAAAAACTTATAATTAGATCCTAGGATAGAATAACTTGTTTGATTAACTAGCCTTACGAAACATGCTACCACAGTAGAGATCACCTTGACCCATGAGCTACAGGCCAAAATAAGCGATCTATTACATTAGGGGTTCTTAAGTTGGGGGTCTGTAATATCCACGAGGTGTTTCAGCTTGATTTAGAAAGCATTTATCTTTATTTTTAGTAACCTCCAACTTAAATTTAATACTTCCTTTAGCTAATATATTCAAACCACAGCACCATTAGCAGAACCTGTGAATTGTGAATTTGTCACAATAGAAATCAGCTATTTTCATTTCACATTACCTTGTTGCAGATTTCAAATTACAACTTGTGCTTATCATTATTTCAAAACTATGGTAGTAAATAGACTGGCCACCAGATCTTATATGACTGCTTTCTTTGTGTCTACAGACAGTAAAACGTAGTCGCTCAACTCTGCGTCAGTAAGATATTCAGCTACTAAACAACAAAGGAGAAAGTTATTTCATGGGTAATCGAGGCAGTCACGTTGCTTTCGAGTACTCCCTATCTACATTTTTTTTTTTTTTTGAGATGGAGTCTCGTTCTGTCACCCAGGCTGGAGTGCAGTGGCGCCATCTCAGCTCACTGCAACCTCCGTCTCCCAGGTTCAAGTGATTCTCCTGCCTCAGCTTCCCGAGTAGCTGGGACTACAGGTGTACACCACCATGCCCAGCTAATTTTTGTATTTTTAGTAGAGACGGGGTTTCACCATGTTGGCCAGGCTAGTCTCCAACTCCTGCCCTCAGGTGATCCACCCACCTCAGCCTCCCAAAGTGCTGGGATTACAGGTGTGAGCCACTGCGCCCAGCTACAGTTTTTTTTTTAATCTATTCACTAAAGGTGGCAAGTCATTCTCATTAAGTTGTTGCAAAACTAGCACTCAAATGAGAGCTCTTAACTCTCAAATGAGAGCTCTTAACTCTCCATAAGGCAGCATGACTTTCATAACAGAGAGTACATAGACTACAAGGGTGGACCAGGCAAGTTCAAACACATCTAACAGTTGCAGTAACTTCAAATAATACGTTTAACAGTTATTACTAATAGATTAAACAATGATGTAGGTAGGTCATGCACAGGGTAAACATGAATAACAAGTGATTTTTTTTCTTCTTATACTCTTTTTGCACACTGTTAGGAAATAAAGCTATATACAAGGCACATACAAGGTATTTTATGAGGGGCATTTACGTATTATTCTGTGAAAACACCCCACATTTAAAATATAACTTTTGAAGGAAAACCAGTCACACTTGTAAACCATTTTCCTAGGAAGGCACAGAAAGCTACATAACTGCAATGCTGGGGGGAGTGTCTTACCACGATGAAGATGCAAGTTCATTTCTTTGAGGAAGGATAGTTGTCAACACCTGGAAACACCGCAGAACTTTTTCAGAAAGTCATTTTTCCTTAAAGGCAAAATTCAATCATGGATTCATAATCTTTTTGTAAGTATAAAACTCTGTCAAAGATCTTGGCCTAGCCAAAGATGACCTATTGATTTTAAAAAATAATGGCTCTGAGACACAATTCACATATGAAAAGAATAACCCATTTCTGCTGTACAATTCAGTGGTTTCTTAGTATATTTACAAGGTTGGGCAACCATCATCCCTATCTGATTTCCAAACATTCCATCACCCCTAAAAGAACTCCCATACCCATCAGTAGTCATTCCTTTCTCCCAGCCCCTGAAAACCACTAATCTATTTTATTTCTATAGATTTATTCTAAACATTTCATAGAAATGGAATAATCCAACACATGGCCTTTTGTGCTTCCTTCACTTAGCATGATGTTTTCAAGGTTCGTCCCTTTTATCACCAAGTAATATTCCATTGTATAGATATGTCAGATTTTGTTTACCCATTCAGTTGGACATTTGGGTTGTTTCTACCTTTTTTGGCTATTAGGAATAATGCTGCTATGAACATTTATTTACAGAGTTTTGTTAGACACATTTTAAATTCTCTTGGTATATATCTAATAATAGAGTTGCTGGGTCATGTGATAATTCTATATTTAATATTTTAAGGAACTGCCTAACTGTTCTTCATAGCAGTGGATTAGATGAAGCCAACCCCACAGATTCTAGGACTTCAGTGAAGACAGGGCAGCTCTGCAACTGAGCTGACTCTGAAAAGACTAGCACTGCAGAGAAACCACCAGGTCAGAAATACTGGCCCTATAATCTCAAACAGTAACTGTTCTGATGCTCCAGTGCCCATGTTGCTTTCATCCTAGACCATTTCATGTCAATCCCACCCACTTGTCCAGCTGTTCTGTTCAGTTATAACTAAATATTGAAATGCAGAACTCGAAGTCCATAGGGAACAGAATAGCAACATTCTTCAGGTCCCAGCTTACTAAGGAAGGGGAACGTGGAGCAGACCCATAGCTCTAGTCATGAAGTCTGGTAACCCACAGAGAAGCCATGGGATTTTTCATCACAAGACGTGCTCTATGCATATGTATGACTGGGCAATGGCACTGGCTCAATTATTAAGTCCAGGAAGAAGTATAGTAAGTCTTCTCTTAACATCATAAACTCTTAGAAACTGTGACTTTGTGCAAAACAGCATATAACAAGACCAATTTGACCATAGGCTAATTGACATAAACAAGAATTAAGTTCCCACAGCATGCCTCTGGTCACAAAAAACATCAAACTTCTAAATAAAGACCAAAACACTTCTAACATTAAACACTGAAATAAATGTGAGCCATACATAGAAAGATTAACAAAAACAAGGTAATTATTTACCTGCTTATTCCAGTTTGGAATCAGTTGACCAGAGCCTGTCCTGGCAGCTGAAGGCACCAGGGAGGAACTCACTGTAGACAGGATGCCATCCCATCACAGGGCACACTCATATACACACCCACTCACACTGAAACCATGTAGACACACCAATTCACTTCACATGCACAGCTTTGGGATGTGGAAGGAAACTGAAGTCCCTGGAGAAAACCCATGCGCACATGGGAAGAATGTGCAGGCTCCACACAGACAGTGGCCCTGGCTGAGAATCAGTGATTGTCATCAACATTAAAACAAAATAATGTTGAATGAAATGACATTATTTGAGGACCTACTGCACATGGAGTGAGGGAGATTGGGACCCAGCCCAATGGCTGCTCAACCTCTAAATAAGTAGATTTTAGAATGGCTGCTTCTAAATAAGTAGATTTGAGAATGGCTAAAGTTCAGCTACCTTCCCCTCTCCACACACATTTGCACCTACCTCCACTGAACAGGAGATGGGGAACTGCAACCAGCTATGTTCATGCTAGCACTTATAGCGGGGGCATGCCATGCTGCAGGGGTTGCTATACCATGGCACCCAAGGCTCAGAAAGCTTTTGCCCCTGCTGCTAGGAAGCACCTGGCCCAGTAGACATTGACCAGCAAGGCCCTACATTGTATCTCCCATCCTCATGCTCTCATTTCATCCTTCTGAGAAGTGTGGATGAGTAAACCTGTCTCCAAGCCAACATGATGGGTAATTCAAGAGAATGAGCATATTTGTGAATCAAACCTTGGTCCAACAGGCCAGCAGCAACCATAAGCCACTTGTTGATGGATAGCCCCTGCTGAGGGGAGGGCAATATCCCACATGACCACTCCTGTGTAGCTACCCATGGATAAGCAAAATTTTGTTTTACTTTACTGAGACTTTGGCATTAGGATCCTTCCAGCTATTAACCTCATCAGCATTACTACAAGATCCACCCATTATTTTCGCAGTTTTGCCACCAGACCTGTCTATGTGTCCCACAGTGTCCTGTTCCTCATATTCAGGACTCCAAGTGCTCTATCTCTACAAATACTTCAAACACAGGGACAAGGGAGTTGCCTCTACACTTTATATAACAGCACAACTAGCCTGGATCCCGGCAGCTATAGCAAAAGGAGACTCACTTTGGGAAGCCAAACAGATTGAGTTTGTTGACAGTAACTTGCAGCAGGGGCTATTCCAGGGCTTGGCTAATGGAGATTCAATCTCTGCCACATGACTGAGATCAGAGTGTTGCCCATCCCTTAATTGCTCTTGATCCTTCAAATCTGGAGGTCACAGATCTTCAGTAAATTATACCTCTGTGATAACCCCAGCCTTGCCAGCCCTCAGGAAGGACGTTCACCTGTTACTAAAACTGAGGAAAACAATATGGCTTGGGCAATAAATGAATGCCCACCCACAGCAAGGACAAAATCCAAGGTTACAGATGCAGTTAGAGCAGTTTACCTGGGCGTTATCTTCCTGAGACTCTGCTCCAAGAGGCTTGTGTAAAATAGCATGTAGGTGTTTAAGAGGTAGAGGAAGTCACTTGTGGGAAAAAATTGAAAGTCTGAATCAAGGTTTTTTAGAATGACTTAAAGAATGAATAGGAAAAGTAGTTACGTTTTTTAGTTTGTTTGCAGACATAAGATGAGAAATAACACAGAACAGAGAGAAAACCAAAGGAATTGCCAACAGTAATCTTTAGCTTTTTAGCAGTCACAGGCATGGAGCCCTAGCAGTGTGTGGCCAAGGAAAGGCTTTATATCGTGAGTGAAGCTGTCCTTCCAAAGTTTAACTCATTTCGTTACTTAAGATCCTTACCAGGTTATAGCCAATACTGAGAAGTTTGTTGGAGAATGCCATTTCCCAAATAAACCTACGTCAAGATGTATTAGAACTTTTTTTTTTTTTTTGAGACAGAGACTCGCTCTGTCACCCAGGCTGGAGTGCAGTGACGTGATCTTGGCTCACTGCAACCTCTGCCTCTTGGGCACAAGCAATTCTCCTGCCTCAGCCTCCTGAGTAGCTGGGACTACAGGCGTGTGCCACCATGCCCAGCTAATTTTTTTATTTTTAGTAGAGATGGGGTTTCACCATGTTGGCCAGGCTAGTCTACGAACTCCTGACCTCAAGTGATCCACCTGCCTCTGCCTCCCAAAGTGCTGGGATTACAGGTGTGAGCCACCACGCCTGGCCAGAACTTCTTCCTCATTCATAGCTGGGAGATTAAACCAGTTGTGCAGGAGGACAGGCAACTTAGAAAGCAACCTGAAACAGCAACATCCAACAGACTCAGGTCTCTTTCCCTGAGAAAGATTCTTAAACTGGTGCTTTCTGAATGAATTTTTTTTTTTCTGGAAAACCAACTAACCTATTGACCACCAATCTTAGCTCAACAGGCTAAAACCACCAAGGACAAACCTATAGTTCAACAAGGTCAGGTTTATTGACCCATTGCAATAAGGAAGACTGGACAACAGAGGAGTGTTAGAGAGCAACTCTCCCCAAAGGACAAGGTGGTTATTTGAGGGTTTGAGAGAAGACAGTATAGGTAAGTAATGGGCTCAAGGAAAAGCAGACCAATGTGTAAGGGAGTCAGCATCAAAACCAGTCTGCAAAGTAGTCACAAGCTCCTGTGTCCTTGAAGATTACAAAGTTAAGATAGATGTGGAACACTGTATTCTGTAACCACTTTTCTGCACCTGGGTTAAAATGCCAGGCTGATTCTCTCTGTCACAGCAACTCAGAAACTCTAGGCAAGAGTGGGTGATTGGTTTTTTGTTCTTGCGATAGTTTACTGAGAATGATGGTTTCCAATTTCATCCATGTCCCTACAAAGGACATGAACTCATCATTTTTTATGGCTGCATAGTATTCCATGGTGTATATGTGCCACATTTTCTTAATCCAGTCTATCATTGTTGGGCATTTGGGTTGGTTCCAAGTCTTTGCTATTGTGAATAGTGCCGCAATAAACATACGTGTGCATGTGTCTTTATAGCAGCATGATTTATAGTCCTTTGGGTATATACCCAGTAATGGGATGGCTGGGTCAAATGGTATTTCTAGTTCTAGATCCCTGAGGAATCGCCACACTGACTTCCACAATGGTTGAACTAGTTTACAGTCCCACCAACAGTGTAAAAGTGTTCCTATTTCTCCACATCCTCTCCAGCACCTGTTGTTTCCTGACTTTTTAATGATTGCCATTCTAACTGGTGTGAGATGATATCTCATAGTGGTTTTGATTTGCATTTCTCTGATGGCCAGTGATGATGAGCATTTCTTCATGTGTTTTTTGGCTGCATAAATGTCTTCTTTTGAGAAGTGTCTGTTCATGTCCTTCGCCCACTTTTTGATGGGGTTGTTTGTTTTTTTCTTGTAAATTTGTTTGAGTACACCGCATATTCTCACTCATAGGTGGGAATTGAACAATGAGATCACATGGACACAGGAAGGGGAATATCACACTCTGGGGACTGTGGTGGGGTCGGGGGAGGGGGGAGGGATAGCATTGGGAGATATACCTAATGCTAGATGACACGTTAGTGGGTGCAGCGCACCAGCATGGCACATGTATACATATGTAACTAACCTGCACAATGTGCACATGTACCCTAAAACTTAGAGTATAATAACAAAAAAAAAACATTAAAAAAAAAAAAAAAAAAACTAAAAGGTCTTTGATGTCATTCCCCCAACACACACATATCCAAAGAAAAAAGTAAGGGGTCAAATATATAATATCATGTTCAAAATAAATTACTGTTATTATTGTTAAAAAAAAAAAAAAGAGTGGGTGATTTAATGTTACTCTTCTAATTTTAAACACTTAAGTTTCTGATAGTCTATGATTTTGGAGAACACATTTCTCAGTAAAAACACAATAGTTAAAGAAGGAGGTGCTTATGACATATACAGCTGCAGTGACCTGAAAACATATTCCTTCCTGATAATGTACAGCTGGCTTTATTTGTATCGGTGATTGTACCAACTTGATGAATAGCAAGGCAGATTTTTACCTTCTGAATGTAAGCTAATTTTTACTATATCACATTCAAGCAGGGCCTTTCCAGTGCTCCTCATTTGTTTGCCAAATGTTTTTAAAAAAATGAAGTATTTGCCAACTCTCATTAGGTCTAAGTTCTAACAGTACTGCAAGCAGGAAAACCTGAGGTCGTTAGTGCTTTGCAAATGAGGAAACCCAGGATAAAAAGCTTACTTGAGTCCTAACCGTATTGGAAAGGCAAACTCATATGTAAACAAAAGTTACACTAGGGAAAAGTTATAAAGGTAACTGATTGAGCAAGAGTCTAGAAAAGGGAGGGGTAGTCAGAATAGAACAGAACTAGATGTTCTAGTTATATTACAACAGAAAAACCTTTCCAGTGAAAACAACTGGAGTTAAAATAGTTAACCCTTTGCTGACAATGAGAAGCCCTTTATTATTGCCTCTTTCTCGGTTTCATTAAACAAAGAAAGCTCCACACTGTTAGATTAATTTTGGCCAAATGATTTCAGAGCCAAAGACAAACAACATTTAAAAGTCCCTGACATTGAAATATGATTAAAATGTGAGACCATTTCTAGAGAGGAGTTAGCACACAAAGACTCCCCGGAACATGAAGGGCAGTGCTGATGTAACTTAGGCTGGTTTTGAGTTAATACCAAAAACTTGCTTGGCTAGAAAAAAATAAGCAGTCTCATTTCAACTTGGCCACTTACTAACTCTGTATCCTTGAGAAATTGCACATCTAAAGCTTCAGTTATTTAAGCCATAGAGCACAGATCACTCACTGATGAGTGATAATCAGACCACAGATGCTTAACAACGAAGTGAGAACAAAAATGGGAAAACTGTGAGATATGAAGCACTGTACCATGTAAAATATTATTGCTGATGAGCCAAGATTCTGGTCTATTTGAGGCAAGTGTTAAATCCAAGAAGAAAGCCAGGGAACACCAATTTCAAGATAAGTCCTACTATGACAGAAATAATCCAGTGGTGGACCCCTAAAATTTCCCTCTTAGCTCTCTGAGTACATAGTAGGAAATCACTTTTAGAAGTTTTTAGGGTGTTTTCTGAAAAATCCTCTTGATTAAGCTCACAGCTCCAACACTTTAAATTAATTGTACTCAGAAGAGAATTGGCATATGAGGGAACAAAAAACAGAAGCCAACAAGAATGTAAAGCCTTGTGCTATGGTTGCCTCATACAGTGATAGTCTCTAAAAAACAAAGTACCTCAAAGAAAATTGTAATGTCTTGTTTCTCATCTGGCCCAAGTGGTTGTGTTAGTCAAGCAGAGCTGTCTAGTTTATTTACTTATTTATTTATTTTTTGAGATGGAGTCTCATTCTGTCACCCAGGCTGGAGTGCAGTGGCGCAATCTCGGCTCATTGCAACCTCTGCCTCCCAGGTTCCAGCGATTCTCCTGCCTCAGCCTCCTGAGTAGCTGGGACTACAGGTCCCCGCCACCAGGCCCAGCTAATTTTTGAATTTTTAGTAGAGACAGGGTTTCACCATGTTGGCCAGGCTGGTCTCCAACTCCTGACCTCAGTTGATCTGCACATCTCGGCCTCCCAAAGTGCTGGGATTACAGGCATGAGCCACCACGCCCGGCTGGGAGAACTGTGTAGTTTAGAACTGAACGGCAAATATCAGAGTTAGATGTAGAAACTTAATCTCATTTAAGAATAAAATAGTGGCCGGGCGCGGTGGCTCACGCTTGTAATCCCAGCACTTTGGGAGGCCGAGGCGGGCGGATCACGAGGTCAGGAGATCGAGACCATCCTGGCTAACACGGTGAAACCCCGTCTCTACTAAAAATACAAAAAAAATAGCCGGGCGTGATGGTGGGCGCCTGTAGTCCCAGCTACTCGGGAGGCTGAGGCAGGAGAATGGCGTGAACCCGGGAGGCGGAGCTTGCAGTGAGCCGAGATTGCGCCACTGCACTCCCGCCTGGGCCACAGAGCGAGACTCCGTCTCAAAAAAAAAAAAAAAAAAAAAAAAAAGAATAAAATAGTTTGGAGTAAGATAAAGCAAAAAGCATTTAAGTGTTCTTTCTGCTAAATTATTCTACTAGTACTTTCTTCCAGTTATTTGCTACAATTTCCATGCATTGACTATACTGCAAAATTCACGTGTTTCATCTTGACCAAGGACAAAGTAAAATCAGCTCTTTGCTCTCACAGTTAACAAACCACTTGTTACTCAACCGGACTGTCAAGAGTTGTCAAGAAATGAAAACAGCAAACTAGAAAAAGGCTAACTAGAGGAAGAACTATTGTGCCTAATGAAAAGATCAAAGCAATTGAGAATGAAGGAGCACCTACCTTTATGACATTCAGAAAACATAAATGGTGTTTGGCTACCCTCTTTATATAAACTGACCTTCTGACTGGCTGGTTGAATACTGACTCACTTTTGACCTTATCAAACAGGTGCTCCCTTTTAATTTTTGTTCTGTGTGTCTGTGTGTGTGTGTGTGTGTGTGTGTGTGTGTGTGTGGTGGTGGTGGTGTTGTTGTTGTTGCTGTTGTTTTTTTGAGATGGAGTTTCATTCTTTTGCTCAGGCTGGAGTGAGGTGGCACGATCTCGACTCACTGCAACCTCCGCCCTCCATGTTCAAGTGATTCTCCTGCCTCAGCCTCCCAAGTAGCTGGGATTACAGGCACCCGCCACCACTCCTGGCTAATTTTTGTATTTTTAGTAGGGATGGGGTTTCACCATGTTGGCCAGGCTAGTCTTGAACTCCTGACCTCAGGTGATCCACCCACCTCAGCCTCCCAAAGTGCTAGGATTACAGGCGTGAACCACTGCGCATGGCCCTTTTTAACTTTTGGCTCAGAGGTATTCCTATTGGAAAATCAGAGCCATTAAAAGCCTAATGTAGGACAAACTAATTAAATTCTAATAAAGTTTGTGGTTTATATCACAATGTTTATACCAAAGTTTATTTCTTAGTTTTGAGAAATGCACCACGGTATGTAAGATGTTCACATTAAGGGTAGCCAGGTAAAGGGTACACAGGAACTCTCTGTATTTTGTTTGTAACCCTTCTCTAAATCTAAAATTATTTCAAAATAAAAGCTTATTAACCAAAAAAGTCTACTGTATTCTCAGCATTGTGCTCCACAAGGTGATGGCTAGCCTCCAAGAGCTGGATGTATTCTTGCTCTGTCAGCTATTCAGCCTCTACAGTCAATTCAGCAATATAAGGGAATTTTCCAGGCAGCATCCAGTACAGACTTCTTTGATGAAGAGGAGAAACATCTCTAAAAACAGAGCTTTGTTCACGATGGGAAAGAACGTGGGACTCTGCAAGACTTGTTACTACCTGCCTGTCTCACTTCCACCCCTAGGGCCACTGGATTCTGGAGTCCATCTAAAGGGCCTCAGGAGGACTATAACTGTCAGGGAAAACTTTCACTACTGGAAAGCTTGTTAGCACTTTCCTCTTGCAAATGATCCTTCCAAGAAAGCTCATCTTCTACTTCATTGGCATGTGGGACAAATGTTGAAGTTTAATTTGTAGGCAGGGAGTTCTCCATCGACACACACTGTGGCACTCTGCTTTGATGGCTAGAGTGCCTGCTTAGGCAAACCTAGTGGTGCTGAGCAACATCCTTGACACCTTTGTATTGAGGCATTCCTGCTAAGGATTCATTATGATGTCGTAACAAGAAGATCCCTGTAAAAGACTTTGGTGGGTATTTTACTTGGTGGGAGTATTTTGTGCTAGATGGCCTTTTGCTAGTTGTTTCCTTACAGATGATAGATTATTTACTCTCTATTGGAAGGTTCCTGCCTCTAGTTTGAGATGTATTAAAGCTAACATTTTCTACTCCCCTTCCTCAATAAATTCTTCAGCCTTTCTTGATGTTTAAAGGAGCATTAAAGCCTCTAGGCTAAGCTTTATTTATTTGCAAGCTCCATTACTAAGCCATCCGTGTGACTCAGTGAAAGCCTTTTATTGAAAAAGTAAACATCTTAAACCAAATCAATCACTTGCTTTTTCTCAGTCTATCAAAAACTTCATATCATTTTTTTGTCCATCAGATATAGGTGAAAGAAAGATAATAAAAAGATATGTTGAATGGGGGCTGTGGATGGGAAGTAGAACAAGCTAATATTTTGTAGCATTCCCTATAAGATTCAAGGAGCATTGGGAATATAATGAGAAATGAGCTTCCTTCCTTCATGGAGCTTACCTGCTCATAGAGGAGGGAAATAAAAATCGATCAAACATAGACATTGATAAAGTAAATGTAAATTGTCATAGATGCTATGCAGCAGACAAATAAGGGGCTGAGACAGGGAATATGGTGGAAGGAAGGGGATCTCTACCTGGAATGAGTTGTCAGAGGAGGCTTCTCTGGGAAAATGATTTGAGCTGAGACCTAACGAAGGAAACAACCAAACCCATAAAGATTGGAAGAAGCAATATATGTAAATCCCTGGGGTGGGAAAGCTGCTAGTGAAAACTGGTGGGGTTGAAGCCCACTGAGCGAGGGGAAAATGGTCCAAGATTGGGCTGGAGAGATGAGCAGGGGCCAAGTGATTCAGGGCCTCATAGGTCATGGGAAGTAGGTTGGGTTTTTTTCCAGGTATAGAGGGAAGCCATGGAAAAGCTGTAAGCTAGGAAGTGACATGATCTGTCTAAGACTTTAAGAAGATTACTTTTGCTGCTATTTGACATGATGTACTAAAGCAGATCAAGAGGGGAGCTGGAAGGCCAGTTTGAAGCTGTTGCACTGCTCCGTACCTGGATGAGGAAGATGCCAATGGAGAATGGTGAAAGTGGGCAGATTCAGGATATGTCTTGGAGAAAGAAACTACTAAACACTTCCATGGATTAGATGTATGAAGTGAGGGAAAGGAAGGAGACTAAAATAACTACTAAGTATGACTTAAATGACAGGACTTGATTGTAAGGGCTGTCATTACAAAGTAAGGTTTTAAAAATAGGATTTTCTTTTTACAAAAGATAATAATCTCAATTTTTAAAAGTAAAGGTTGGTGTCTTTGGTTTTTAAACTTTTATGTGTATTAGAAGCCATTGTAGACTTGTTTTCTTTGCTTAAGATATAGATGCTTAGGCTTCTACTCCAGCCCTACTGAATCCAACTGGGAAGACATAGGGCCCAGGCATCTGCTCTTATAACAAGCTGTGAAGAGTTCTGATGTAGTTTGAGACCCACTGGTTTAAAGAGAAAAACGTGAGATGCACAGACACAACAATTTGTTTAAAGAATGGGCCGGGCACAGTGGCTCATACCTGTAATCCCAGCACTTTGGGAGGCCGCGGCGGGTGGATCATCTGAGGTCAGGAGTTCAAGACCAGCCTGGCCAACATGGTGAAACCTTATCTTTACTAAAAATACAAAAATTAGCTGGACGTAGTGGTGGGTGCCTGTAATCCCAGCTACTCAGGAGGCTGAGGCAGAAGAATCACTTGAACCCAGGAGGTGGAGGTTGCAGTGAGCCGAGATCGTGCCATTGCACTCCAGTCTGGGCGACAGAGTGAGACTCCATCTCAAAAAAAAAAGGAAAAAAAAAGAATAGATAATAAACCAGATTTACCTACAAGTTTATTCAAACCACTCTTTCTGGTTAACACAAAAATAGTATTCAGATAACAATGATAAAGAACTCATGAATATCCTAACAAATTGTGTTTCTAAAAGATAAATTGAATGACTGGTAAAGAGGAAAGGCAAGCAGCAATTTTGAAAGGAAAGAATTATCTCTACTCCCATGATTCTATATTTGAATCAACTTGTTTTGTGTTTATAAGGATATATCAGGTAATATAATTACACACACGCACACACAGCGGGAGAGAGTGATTTGGCTAATCAGTAACAGATATTTCTGCCATAGTTTATAAAACTCCGAAGTGTTTTTGATACCCTCAACAAAATAATGAATTCGGTAAATATTAGTGGAGAAGCACTATAGGAGGGACCATAGAATGTTACGGAGTACATAAGGATGGGAGGCACGAGTGGTGGTTTACAGTGATGAAGAAAGGCAGAAAGGGAAAAGGTATCTCTACAATGTGACATTCATAGCATACATTATTTCCCTGAGTCTTTAGAGACCACCGTAAGACTGAAGTCATATGTTCATTTTATAAATGAAGATACAAAAACTCAAGAATATTAGGTACTGTGTTTAATCCTGCTGCGAGTGAGCAGTAGAACCAGAATTTAAACCAATTATGTCTGGTTCTAAAGCCTGTCTATGCTTTTTGTGTGCGTGCATTGGCACAGAAAATCAAGTGATACAGTCATCCCTCAAATTTTTCAGCAAATACTTGATGGAAAGGAAGACTGTGAAATAATTGCTGAAAGCTGAAATATTTCTTCCTCCTAACATGGTGGACATTATATGAAGTCTACCAGGAATAAATATAAATTTGTCATGACCATAAGTCAGACAGGCAGGCAACAAGAAGGGTATTTATTGTATTGTGTTATGTAGTCACTCTGCTGCAGCATTGCAAAACACAGTTCTGCTGCAAGTATTACATTATTGAGGTTTCCTGAAGCTTGACCTAAGCCTAATATAAATTAAGTAAACATATTTTTTTAAGGGGGATGGGTGTGAATTTTGGTAAGTTAAATACAATTTTAGGTTAAATATAAATTTGAGGAGCAACAATAAGGCATTAAATCCATATCAGGTTTTTGCTTCTGATGAGGTATTGACTCCCTTGGAGATATCATTCATCATTCAAACATAGAAAGGGCCAAGCAAATTATTTCAAGCTTTTTTTAATATCATGAATGTGGCACAGCCTTATGAAAATTAAACAATTTTATGGCCGGACGTGGTGGCTCACGCCTATAATACCAACCCTTTGGGAGGCCAAAGCGGGCAGATCACCTGAGGTCAGGAGTTCGAGACCAGCCTGGCCAACATGGTGAAACCCCGTCTCTACTAAAAATACAAAAATCAGCCGGGTGTGGTGGTGCGCCCCTGTAGTCCCAGCTACTCAGGAGACTGAGGCAGGAGAATCGCTTGAACCAGGGAGTCGGAAGTTGCAGTGAGCCAAGATGGCGCCACTGCACTCAAGCCTGGGCAACAGAGCGAGACTCTGTCTCAAAAAAAAAAAAAAAGAAAAGAAAATTAAACAATTTTAAATGCAAGGTTTCCTACAATTCTTTTCACAAAACCTAGAAATGTTGATTCTTTATTCTCTACAAATTACTGGTTTCCTTGATCTCCCTGTGCCCTAAGATAAAATTAGACTTTTTGAAAGGAAATGAAAGACCCTTTTCCATGAATATTCATATCAAAGAACCCCTCACACTTGCCTATCTATCAGGGTGACTCATTGTATTAGTTTCTTATGACTGAATTAACAACTTACCCCAAAACTTAGCCTAAAATAGCAAATGTTTATTTAACAATTTCTGTGGATCAAATATTTGAGAATGGCTTAGAATGGTTCTGATTCACGATCTGCCAAGACATTATAATCAAGATGTCGGCCAGGGCTGTAGTCTCCTGAAGGCTTGCCTGAGGTTGAAAGATCCCATTCCAAGCTCACTCAGGTGGCTATTGGCCAGAGTCATCAGTTCTTCACCAGATGGATCATACCATAGTGTTGTTTGAGTGTTCTCATGTGACAGTTGTTTTCCCGCCAGAGGAAATGATCCAAGACAAAGAGAAGCAAGAAGTAAGCCACAATGTAACTTAGAAGTTATAAACCATTGTTTCTGCCATATGCCATTGATGAGAAGTGAGTCTCTAAGTCCAGCCCACACTCAAAAAGAATGAAATTAAGCTTCAACTCTTCAAAGGAGAAACATCAAATAATTTGTGAACTTATTTTAAAACCACGATAACCACTGAAGTAAAAAAAAAAAAAAAAACTAATATAGTTCCCTGTGAGACAGAAAAAGTTTCTATTAAATACTAGTGGTACTCTTTTGTGATTTCTAAATCACAGCTAAGAATGATGAATTGCTCAGTAAGAAAACACTATATCAGGTGGGAAACCATTTTTATACAATGGTGGTCATACAGATTACTATCAGGCAAGCTATCCTAGAGGTTATGAAACAGAAAGGCTTATTAACGAAATTATAAATGTTTAAATCATACACAGTCTTTAAATAAGTTTAAAACACAGAGTGAGAAACAAGAGGAAAGAGATGGGGTACCTTAATACACTTAAGATAGGGTACAAGCAGGGTGGAAGGACTGCACACCTGAATCCTTAGAACGTTCTTCTGTTCTCTCTTTCTCTCTCTCTCTCTCCCACCCCCAAATCCCCACCATACTACATCATGCTACATTGATAATGTAGTTATAAAATTATGTGTTATGGGATCTCAGGCCACAAATGGAAGATTCCTGGGACTAATGGCACACACTTGCTCTGTTGGAGATGTACAGGGACCAGCACACCTGAACACAGATGTAGCTTATTGATACTTCTGCTGAAGAGCTATGAGATTTATTTGTTTTTTTGGGAAGAGCACATATGAGTCCAGTATTGTACTCTACTGGATGTCACCAATGGATGACCAATTTAGGGGCTACACAACTGTCAGTCCAAAGGTAGCATAATCATGACTTGGTCTTGGCCTGTCCATCACTTTCTAGCCATAATAACACTCTATTCTATTGCATATTTCATTTATTCTATCTTTTAACATATCTTATAGGTTACTAATTTACTATTTACATTTAAACACTTTTATATATTCTGCCTGTATCACAAACTACATGCTTATTTATTACTTACACTTAACACATTCTATAAATTTTGTCTGTATTTTATAAGCTTCTAGCTTACTATTTATTGTTAACACTTCTTATGACTTTCTTCTATTCCATTTAATTTTCTTTTCTATAGCAGAGTTGAATTATTGAATTATGGCAGAAATATGAATTATATTATTATCCTCAAATAATACAACAAAAGACATTTCACAATGTTTCCAAAAGCAGAGACAGCTCTTCTCTTATTGAGGAAATATGTTTTTCCTAATATGCAGTTGGGTTATATAATCTCTAAAAGGAATGGATTAGCATTTAAAAGAGGTGATTATGTCACTGGATAATGGAGCTACATGGCTGTCAGTTTGCTTGGACAATAGGAAATCTCCACAAACCCCTTACCCCCACCTCTGCCTCTGAACAACCAGTGACAAACAAAGTCTACCCAGAAAATACAGGAGACCTCTAGTAATGACTTCAGGAACCAAACAGGATCCAGAGAGCCTCTTGCAGGTTGAGTTCTCTGGAAGCAGATGCTGTGATAGAATTTGGGGTGCAAGATGTTTATTAGGGGTCAACGTGTTAGGAAGTGAGAGCAGAGGGAGCAGGTGAGCTACGGTGTAGGTTCAATACATCCTAGTTCAATTCAGTGGAGATCTCTGAAGAGAACATTGCCCATTAGAGTTGTCTCCCATTAGGCCAAAATAACAGGGCCTTTATACCTCTGCCTCACTCAGTCATTGAATGCTTGCTACCCTGGAAGGACTCAACCTCCAACAGGGCTGCTCTCTGCAGATGAGGCAGATTCTGAAGGACTGACAGCCGGAAACTGCCTGCTGACTATACTTCTCACAGCTGGGTAATAAATCCTTCCTTGAAGGAGAATCTAGCGGGTATATCTCTGTGCCTAACACAGAACCAGATAGATCTTTCCTTCTGGGGTAGCGTGTGGTTTTCCTGACAGAGAAGAAAGAGTATTCAGACTGAGAGATTTGAAAGAAATCGTTCTTGGGAAGAAGAGGCCCAACCTGAGGGTGAAAAGGCCAATTAGGAGTTAAGGGAAGCTGGGAGAGATTGGCCTTCTCCAAGGGAAGACCTATGTCTTTGGGAGCATCCCTTGGGAGATGGAAAGCAAAGTCTAATGCAGCTAGAACTTTAATTTGTATCTCCCTCTCTATACCTCTTTTCTAAAAATGCTTTATCCCTGTAGGAACAGGGTGTAGAGGCAGAGTATCCAGAGCAAATAGGTCTGTTGTATTCTATCCCCCATTCCTTGCCTAAGGAGAAAGGAGAGTACATCTGCTGACTAACTGGACCAGATCTCTGAGAGCACAGAGGTGATTTCCAGTCCTGGAAAGCTTCCCACAGTTAAGCCCGAGGCAGAAGAAAGAACCAAGACATAAGATAATTTTTCTGGAGAGAACATATGCAGAAAAGACCAAGCCTTTTGACTATGTTCATAGATTAGCAAATGATGGCTCCTAAGAAAGAAGGAAGGGACTCCAGAAAACTCCTGATTTTGTAACAAACTTCCCACATTGTGGAGTGAAGTAGCTTTTTCTGAAATGTTTACCTAGGAACCAGAATATATTTTTAATCGACCTAAGTTTTGAGTTTTTCAGTTCAGTCACAGGTTCCTACCAATGGTGGCTGGATTAGTCAGGAAACAGTAACAAATAAAACCTAAAATCTCAGTGGTTTAACATGACAACAAATTATTTCTGACTCACATATGATCAGCACAGTCAATGGGGGACTGTGCTACACAATCAGTCACCCAAGTCTTGGAAGCTCCACCATCTTGAATATATACCATTCGGAAAACATGGCCTTCACCCACTTCCACCACACACAACCCATTACCTAGAATCCAGTTACATGGCTGAAATTTCAAAGCAAGTGAATTTGGAGACTGTAACTTTCCTATTTATCCAGACAGTGGAAAATGAAATGGGATTTGGTGAGCATATAGCATTGTTTCTAGCACAATAAGGAACAGCTGGCTGTCTGGTTTTGCAGAAAAGCCTGGTGAACCTTACAAACCCTTTCTCAGTTGGTTCTTACTTTTATCTGGGCTAAATAATCCTGGACTTGGAAACACATACAGGCAACACAGAACAACTGCTTTTGAGAAGAGGATATTAAACTACACTTCTGAGATGAATTGGTACCCAGAGTTTATTGCCTTAGCTTATTAATAAACCTTCAAGCAGTTAGGGTAAAGAAATGATGAGTACAGCTGAAAAACCATTATAATATTTTCAGGTTCAAATATTTTAGAAATAGTCTTCACAATTTTAAGAAAACCAGAATCAGTAGAGGACTGATGTGCTCTGTCAAAACACCAAGGAGTAACATAAACATCCTTCTATAGTCTCCAGAAATTATTTCTTACAGAAAGTAAGATAAGGCCAGGTGCAGTGGCTCACGCCTGTAATCCCAGTACTTTGAGAGGTTGAGGCAAGTGGATCACCTGAGGTCAGGAGTTCGAGACCATCCTGGCCAACATGGAGAAACCCTGTCCCTACTAAAAATACAAAAATTAGCCGGGTGTGGTGATATGCACCTGTCATCCCAGCTACTCGGGAGGCTGAGGCAGGAGAATCGCTTGAACCCGGGAGGCAGAGGCGTCAGTGAGCCAAGACCCCGCCTTTGCACTCCAGCCTGGGCAACAAGGGCAAAACTCCGTCTCAAAACAATAAAAAAAGTAAGATAAAGTAGTTCCCTGGGGTTGTTTCTGTGGATTCTTTTAAAAAAACATGAAAAAGCAGACTGTTTCCAGAACATTCATGACATCTAAACCCATGGATAAATACAGCATCTGAATATCTTTTATTCATTCCATCTTTTGCTCAGTTCAATAAAACCATGACTTATTAGCAAACAGGTACCATAAATTGCATCATTGAAATGAGTAGATAACTTACCTTTAGTCTACAAATGTTTATTGAATATGTATTATGTGTGGGGCAGTTTCCTCTGGAGCTATAACAGTGATCATAACAGAAAAATTCCCTGCCCACTTAAAGATTACATTTTAATGGATAAAATCAAACAAACAAAGAATTTAGTAAAGCAAACATTGTGTCAGAAAGTTGTAAGTGCTATAGAGAAAAAACAGAGCAAGGAAGAAGGATGGAACTTGAGATAGGGGTTGTCACTGCTCAGAGAATTACTTGGGGATTAGTTTCTGGGAGAATAGAAAAGAAATGATGGGTTTCTTATGGGTACTGCCATAAACAGGGACAAAGATCATGGTGAGACTTTTTAAAAGTGTTTATTTTAGGTTAGGGGTACATGTGAAGCTTTATTACACAGGTAAACTCATGTCAAGGGGGTTTGTTGTATGAATTATTTCATCACCCAGGTATTAAGCCCAGTACATAATAGTTATCTTTTCTGTTCCTCTCCCTCCTCCCACTCTCCACCCTCAAATAGACCAGTGTCTGCTGTTTCCTTCTTTGTGTTCATAAATTCTCATCACTTAGTTCCCACTTATAAGTGAGAATATGCAGCATTTGGTTTTCTCTTCCTGCATTAGTTTGCTGAGGATAACAGCCTCCAGCTCCGTTTAAAGGACATGATCTCATTTCTTTTTATGGCTGCATAGTACTCCATGGTGTATATGTACCACATTTTCTTTATCCAATCTGTCATTGATGGGCATTTAGATTGATTCCATGCCTTTGCTATTGTGAATTGTGCTGCAATGAACATTCACATGCCTGTGTCTTTATGGTAAAATGATTTATATTCCTCTGAGTATATACCCAGTAACGGGATTGGTAGGTTAAATGATAGTTCTGCTTTTAGCATTTTGAGGAATCACCATACTGCTTTCCACAATGGCTGAATTAATGTATACTCCCAAAGATCATGGTGAGATTATTCTTGATTCCCTCAAGGCAAACAGTGGTAGTAAAGCTGTAATGAGTGGAGAGATGGAAGTCTTGCCAGAAACACACAGAGATCTGGTCTCCCTTTTCATTCCTGCCAGTGATGACATGGAGACTGGGGAGTAGATGATTGTAACTAGAGAATGTAGACCTCTGGGACTCCATCTGCACTCTTGCTCTCTATTGATGGAACTGTGAATTTCTTAAAACCTCTTATCTATTGAGACTTGTCAACTTAAAAATCACAAATTTATAAATTTAGAAAAGAGACTTTGTTTTGTATAAAGGTTTATAGTCTGCAGGGCGGCCATTCCACAGGCTGGGAAGTATGGCCTTCAGTAGAGACCAGAAATAGGCACTTTGAGGGAGGGGAGGGTGGAAGAGGAACTTACGTTGAACAGGTTGGCCAAGTATATATATTTAACAGGTTATAGCAGGAGCTATGAATATTCACAAAGGGGATCCTGACACATGGGTATTCAACAAACATGTATGTGACATACAACCCAAGTTCATGTTAGGGTAGAGACTTAACATTTAAATGAATTACTATTAGGCCCTATACATCAAAAGCTAAAGCAGGGACATGGAGGCAATCAGGTGTGCAGCCTCTGTAAACAAACGAGAACCAGTCTATGATTGGTGGTCTCTCATCAGAAGAAAGTTACTGAAATCATTCTCCTTCATGGCTTTTGGTATAAGAGGTTAGTTAGTCAGTGCCTGGCGGTGGATGAGCCACAAATGTTTAAAAATTGTTTATCTCAGGCCATGTGCGGTGACTCACGCCTGTAATTGAAACACTTTGGGAGGCTAAGGCAGGCAGATCGCCTGAGGTCAGAAGTTCAAGACCAACCTGGCCAACATGATGAAACCCTGTCTCTACCAAAAATACAAAACCTAGCCAGGTGTGGTGGTGTGAACCTGTAATCCCAGCTACTTGGCGGGGCTGAGGCAAGAGAATCGCTTGAACCCGGGAGGTGGAGGTTGCAGTGAGCTGAGATTGCACCACTGCACTCCAGCCTGGGCGATAGAGTGAGACTCAGTCTCAAAAAAAAAAAAAAATTGTGTATCTCAAGGCCAGTGCTTGTTTAGCTACTAGTGAAAAAGAAAAATGTTGTGGCAGATAGAACATAGTTTATTCTTTAAGTGTGGTGGTGCGTGACTTAACCCTTGCCTGGCATGTTTATAATTTGGTATCTTATTGTCACAAAGACCCCGTTCTATCAATCTTATGATCTCTATTTAACACTATTGTTGGTTAATTGTTGTGTCTAAACCACAAAAGGGAGGGAATATAACAAACTGTGTCCAACCTCTTGTCACATCATGACTGGGAACTCAATTTTTAAAATTTCTCTGGGGTCCCCTTGGCCAGTCCATTCAGTGGTTGGGAGGTATAGGATCTTATTTTTAGTTCTCAGATTCAATACATGTTGAATGAATCAATCTCTATGAAATGCATTTTTAAATGTATGGTATGAGCAATCTATAGCAATCTAAAAAGTAGTTTGGTGCCAGGCATGGTGGCTCACGCCTGTAATTCCAGCACTTTGGGAGGCCGAGGCAGGTGGACCACGAGGTCAGGAGATCGAGACCATCCTGGTGAACACTGTGAAACCCCGTTTCTACTAAAAATACAAAAAAAAATTACCTGGGCTTGGTGGCTGGCGCCTGTAGTCCCAGCTACTCGGGAGGCTGAGGCAGGAGAATGGCATGAACCCAGGAGGTAGAGCTTGCAGTGAGCAGAGACTGTGCCACGGCACTCCAGCCTGGGTGACAGAGTGAGACTCCATCTCAAAAAAAAAAAAAAAGTAGTTTGGTAATTGTGGTGGCTTTATAATGTGTCGACTTAGCTACACTGAACTACATTTCCCAGAATTCTCTTTATTGTATGTTTCCTGTTGCCATCAGCCGCAAGGGAGATTCTGGGAAGATTTGGAGCTTAGACAGGAAACAGTAGCCATTTTGTAGCTCACACAAGTTGTTGCTAATCTGCTGACTCATGTGTTGATGTGAAGTAGTGGCTGAACCAGCAACTTCTCTACCTTCCCTGGATCCTCCTTCAGCTTTTCCAATTCCTATATGTGTGTTTACCTCCATGATGAAGCAGAACACTCACACCATTAAGGTCAGAACTGACATGGATTTCAGTCTCTCCTTATGAGATCCCAGACTGCATTTTCCCTTCCCCACTTTACAGTTATCTTTTCTCATGACACACTGCTCTGTGGACTTAACATTCTAACATCAGATACAAAGAAACACAGACATACACACACACACACACACACACACACACACACACACACACACATCCTTGTGGCTCTGTCTCTCTAGTTGAACCATAATGGATACAAATATTTTAATTATTAACATCCCCAGGGAGTTAAGAGAAAATATTGCATCTGTGAAACAAGACTAGGGTACTACAATGGAAAAACCACTTAGAAAATAACAATCAAAAAAAGTTATTAGAAGTGAAAAACATGATAGCAAAAATTTCAAAAACCAACAGAAGATTTGGAAAACAGAGATGAAGAAATCTCAGAAATAAGAGCAAAAAAAATATGTCTTCCACCTTATACTCTCTCTCAGGCTCTTCTTGCTTGTTTGCTCTTATGAAGCCAGCTGCCATGTTATAAGCTGTCATATGGAGAGGCCCATATGACAGGAACTGAGAATGGCCTCCAGTCAACAGCCAGCAAGGAACTGAGGCCCTCAATCTAACAGCTCACAAGGAACTGAGTCCTGACAGCAACCACATGTGTGAATTTGGAATTGGCTCTTCCTCCAGTAGAGCCTTGAGATGACTGTGGCCACAGCTGACACCTTGATTGAGGCTCATGAGAGACTCTGAGCCAGAGGCACCCAGGTAAGCTGCATTCAGATTCCTGATCCACATAAACTAGAAAATAATAAATGTTTGCTGTTTTAAGCTGCTAAGTTTTAGGGTAATTTGTTATGCAGCAATAGATAATTAATATGCTGATAGTGGATGATCGATAATCTAAAATTAGTTATTTCTATTCAGAAGTTCTAAGTGAAATATTATCACTGTTATTACAGACTTGTATCCCAATGGAATCGTGTGCAGGTTAGGTGGAAAGCATTAGTGTTTTGGAGTATAATAAAGTATGTAAACGTCGTTCTACTCTCTCTCCCTGCCTAAAAGTATCATAGAGTAAACGTGGCAGTGAATAAGACATTCTCAGAAGAGGAAGGTGAGTTTCCATGGGTCCTGGACTAACATGAGAATTTGGCAAGGCTGGGAATCCTGAAATCGAAACAAAGAAGTGTTTGTCTGTAATTAGGCTTTCCTAGAAAGTTTTCAGAAGTGACTAACTCACATCCTGATATACCAAGATACCTAACCCTATGTGAAGTGTGTCATTATTAGGACTGTGTATAAGTGTATGTAGTACTGCCTTACTATAACTTACAAACCACTGAGAAGGGCCAAGGCCCTCCAGTTTCAGAATTAGGCTTAATTCTTGGATTATTCTTCTTTTATTGTATGTTTTTAAAGAAATATCAGAACTATTAAATACCAATAAAAATTTTGAAAAATAAACATAACTATTATATATCATTTAAAAATTTTTAAATAAAAAATAATTGTTCTGTATTTAGGAAACATTCCATAAAAGCAATGACAACTGTGGTATTTAGATAATGGTTCAAGGATTTCTGGGTAAAAAATGTGTCATATAGAGTTGCTTTTCTAACTTTCAAATGGAGATTTCATATTGTAATGAGTCTTTTATGCATGTTTAAGGATTTTAAAATATAGAGGATGTGGAAAATGAAGAAGATGAAATGAAATCTACATTGTTGAGCTCCAACAGAATTAGTAGTTTTAGATTAGAAAGTGTCTTTCTGTATGTGATATTTTTGGGTCAGTATTTTACCAAGATTATGCAATGCTCACTTACTATTGATTTTTTAGTATCTATCTTGTTGTTTCAAATCTATGACTTGCTAAGGGATAGGCCAAATTAGCAAGTAAAAATGCATGTAAATAATTATAGGAAAATATAATAAAAATTGATTTCAATAACTTAAAACTCTCTAAACACAGAACTGTCAAATTTACTTTTTTATTTTAATTTTATTTTTATTTATAATTTTTTATTTTAATTTTTGTAAGTACATAGTAGGTGTTTATATTTGTAAGACACGAGATGTTTTGATACAGGAATGCAATGCATAATAATCACATCATGTAAAATGGGGTATGCATCCCTGCAAGCATTCATCCTTGTTGTTACAAACAATCCAATTATACTCTTACAGTTCTTTTTAAATGTACAACTAAATTATTAGTTTCTATAGTCACCCTGTTGTGCTATCAAATGCTAGAACTTATTATTCTTTCTACCTATTTTTTTGTACCCATTAACCATCCCACCTCCCTCCCCACCATCCACCACTGTATTTCCCAACCTCTGGTTCTCATCCTTCTACTCTCTATCTCCATGAGTTCAATTGTTTTGATTTTTAGATGCCACAAATAAGTGAAAACATGCAAAGTTTGTCTTTCTGTATGTGGTTTATTTCACTTAGCATAACGACCCCCAGTTCCATCCATGTAGTTGCAAGTCACAGGATCTCATTCTTTTTTTACGGCTGAATAGTACTTCATTGTGTATATGTACCACATTTTCTTTATCCATTCATTTGTTGTTAGACACTTTGGTTGCTTCCAAAGTTTGGCTATTGTGAACAGAGCTGCAACAAACATGGGAGTGCAGATATCTCTTTGATATACTGATTTCCTTTCTTTTAGTTATATACCCAGCAGTGAGATTGCTGGATCATACAGTAGCTCTATTTTTAGTTGTTTGAGGAACCTCTAAACAATTCTCCATAATAGTTATACTAATTTACATTCTCACCAATGGTGTGAGAGGGTTCCCTTTTTCCACATCCTTACCAGCATTTGTTATCACCTGTCTTTTGTATAAAAGCCATTTTAACTGGGGTGAGATGATATCTCATTGTAGTTTTGATTTGCATTTATCTGATGATCAATGATGTTGAGCGGCTTTTCGTGTGCCTGTTTGACATATGTATGTCTTCTTTTGAGAAATGTCTATTCAAATCTTTCACCTTTTTTCTTTTTCTTTCTTTCTTTTTTTTTTTTTTTTTTTTTTTTTTGGGACAGTATCTCTCTGTTGCCCAGGCTGGAGTGCAGTGGCACGATCTTGGCTCACTGCAACCTCCGCCTCCCAGGCTCAAGAGATTCTCATGCCTCAGCTTCCTGAGTAGCTGGGATTACAGGCGTCCACCACCACAACCAGCTAATTTTTGTATATTTAGTAGAGATGAGGTTTCACCATGTTGTCCAGAATGGTCTTGAACTTCTTAACTCAAGTGATCCACCTACCTCAGCCTCCCAAAATGCTGAGATTACAGTCATGAGCCACTGTGCCTGGCTTTCACCCATTTTTTAATCAGATTATTAGATTTTTTTCCTATAGAGTTTTTTGAGCTCCTTATATATTCTGACTATTAATACCTTGTCAGATGAGCAATTTGGTTAGGTGAATTCCTAGGTATTTAACTTTATGTGTGGTTATTGTAAATGGAATTACTTTTTAAATTTTTTTCACATTGTTTATTGTTGGCATATAGAAATGCTACTGATTTTTGTATGTTGATTTTGTACCCTGCAACTTTACTGAATTTTTAAGTTCTAATAGTTTTTTTTGGTGGAGTTTTGAGATTTTTCCAAATATAAGATAATATCATCTACAAACAAGGATAATTTGACCTCTTCCTTTTCAATTTGTATGCCCTTTATTTCATTCTCTTGTCTGATTGCTCCAGCTAGGACTTCCAGTACCATGTTGAATAACAGTGGTGAAAGTGAGCATCCTCGTCATGTTCCCTACCTTAGAGGAAAGGCTTTCAGTTTTTCCCCATTCAGTATTATACTAGCAGTGGGTCTGTAGCATATGGCTTTTATGATGTTGAATTATGTTCCTATTATACCCAGTTTTTTAGGGTTTTTATCATGAAGGTTGTTGAATTTTATCAAATGCTTTTTCATCATCAATTGAAATGATCATATGGTCTTTGTCATTCATTCTGTTGATGTGATGCATCACACTGATTGATTTCTGTATGTTGAACCATCCTTGCATCCCAGGGATAAATCCCACTTGGTCATGATGAATGATCTTTTTAATATGCTGTTAAATTAAGTTTGCCAGTATTTTGTTGAGAATTTTTCCAACAACGTTCATTATGGATATTGGATTATAGTTTTCTTTTTTTGATGCATGCTTGTCTGGCTTTGGTATCAGGATAGTACTTGCCTTGTAGGATGAGTTTAGAAGTATTGCCTCCCCCTCTATTTTTCAGGATAGTTTGAGTAGGATTGGTATTAGTTCTTCTTTAAATGTTTGGTAGAATTCAGCAGTAAAGCCCTCAGGTCCCTGGCTTTTCTTTACTGGGTGACTTTTTATTATGGCTTCAATCTTGTTACTTGTTATTGGATTTCTTCATGGTTTTGGATTTCTTCATGGTTAAATTTTGGTAGGTTGTATGTGTCTAGGAAATTTGTCCATTTCTTCTAGATTTTCCAATTTATTGGCATATCATTTCTCATAGAAATCACTAATGATCCTTTGAATTTTTGTGATAAAAGTTGTAATGTATCCTTTTTCATCTCTGATTTTATTTATTTATTCTCTCTTTTCCTTAGTCTAGCTAAAGGTTTGTCAATTTTGTTTAACTTTTCAAAAAAACGTTTTGTTGCATTGATCTTTTGCATTGTTTTCTTCATTTCAAATTCATTTATTTCTGCTCTGATCATTATTATTTCTTCTACTAGTTTTGAGTTTGGTTTGCTCTTACTCTTCTAGTGCTTTAAGATGCAGCGTTAGGTTGTTTATTTGAAGTTTTTCTTCTTTTTTGATATAGACACTTATAGCTATAAACTTCCCTTTTAATACTGCTTTTGCTGTATCCCATTGGTTTGTGTATGTTGTGTTTCCATTATCATTTGTTTCAAAAAGTTTTTCAATTTCCTTCTTAATTTCTTCAATGACCTACTGGTCATTCAGGAGCATATTGTTTAATTTCCGTTTGTACAGTTTCCAAAATCCCTCTTGTTATTACTTTCTAGTTTTACTCTATTGTGGCCAGAGAAGATACTTAATATTATTTCAACTTTTTTGAGTGTTTTAAGACTTGTTTTGTGACCTAACACATGATCTGTCTTTGAGAATGATCCATGTTCTCAGGAAAAGAATGTATATTCTGCAGCCATTGGAGGAAATATTCTGTAAATATTTATTAAGTCCAATGTTTATCTGCTGATTTTCTGCTTAGAAAATCTGTGCATTGCTAAAAGTAGGATACTGGAGTATCTAGCTCTTATTGTATTGGGGCCTATGTCTCTCTTTAGCTCTAATATTTGTTTATATATCTGGGTGCTCTGATGTTGGGTGCATATCTATTTAAAATTGTTATATCCTCTTGCTGAATTGGCCCCTTTACCATTAGTGAATTTATTTGTCTCTTTTATAGTTTTTGTCTTGAAATCTATTTTGTCTGATATATGTATAGCGTATAGCTACTTCTGCCCTTGTTTTTGTTTCCATTGGCATGGAATATCTTTTTCTATCCCTTTATTTTCAGTCTATGTGTGTATTTATTGGTGAAGTGTGTTTCTTGTGGGCAACATATTATTGGATTTTGTTTATTTTATCCATTTAGTCACTCTGTATCTTTTGTTTGGAGAGTTTAGTGCATTTACAGTAAATGTTGTTATTGATAAGTAAGGACTTACTCCTGCCATTTTGTTATCTGTTTTCTGGGTTTGTGTGTGTGTGTGTGTGCATGTTTGTGTATGTGTGTGTGTGTGTGGTCTTCTCTTCCTTCCTTCCTTGTTTCTTTCCTTCCTGTCTTCCTTTTAGTGGAGGTGATTTTCTCTGATGATATGATTTAGTTTTTTTGCTTTTAATTTTTTTGTGTATCTATTTTATGTTTTTTGGTTTGAGGTTACCACGAGACTTGCAAATACTATCTTATAATGCATTATCTTAAGCTGATAACAACTTAGGACTGTTTGCATAATCAAACACACAAAACGAAAACTAATAAAGGCTCTATGCCTTAACTTTGTTCCCCCTCATTTTAACTTTTTGTTCTTTCTACTAATATCTTATTGTTCTCTATGTCTTGAAAAGTTTTACTTATTATTTTTGATTGGATCATCTTTTAGTCTTTCTACTTAAAATAAGAGTGGTTTACACACCACAGTTATAGTGTTATGATATTCTGTGCTTTTCTGTGTACTTACTATTGCCAGTGAGTTTTGTACCTTCAGATGATTTCTTCTTGGTCATTAACATCCTTTTCTTTCTGATTAAAGTACTCCCTTTAGCATTTTTTTTTTTTTTTGAGACAGAGTCTTGCTCTGTCACCCAGGCTGGAGTGCAGTGGCGTGATCTCGGCTCACTGCAAGCTTCGCCTCCTGGGTTCAGGCCATTCTCCTACCTCAGCCTCCCAAGTAGCTGGGACTACAGGCGCCCGCCACCACGCCTGGCTAATTTTTTGTATTTTTAGTAGAGACAGGGTTTCACCATGTTAGCCACGATGGTCTCGATCTCCTGACCTCGTGATCCGCCCGCCTCGGCCTCCCAAAGTGTCGGGATTACAGGCATGAGCCACCGCGCACAGCCTCCCTTTAGTATTTCTTGTAGGACAGGTCTGTTGTCGATGGAATCCCTCAGCTTTTGTTTGTCTGTGAAAGACTTTATTTCTCCTTTATGTTTGAAACATATTTTCATCAGATATACGATTCTAGGGTAAAAGTTTTTTCATTCAGGACTTTAAGTATGTCATACCACTCTCTCCTGGTCTATAAGGTTTCCACAGAAAAATCTGCTACCAGACATAGTGGAGCTGCATTGTAGCTTATTTGTTTCTTTTCTCATGATGCTTTTAGGATCCTTTTTAAATCCTTGATCTTTGAGAGTTTGATTATTAAATGCATTGAAGTAGTCTTCTTTGGGTTAAATCTGCTTGGTATTCTATAACATTATTGTATTTCGATATTGCTATCTTTCTCTAGGTTTGGGAAGTTCTCTATTATTATCCCTTAGAATAAATTTTCTACCCTTATTTTTTTCTCTACCTCCACTTTAAAGCCAATAACTCTTAGATTTGCCCTTTTTATGGTATTTTTTAGATCCTATAGGCATGCTTCATTCTTTTTTATTCTTTTGTCTTTTGCCTCTTCTGACTGTGTATTTTCAAATAGCATGTCTTAAAGCACACTAAATATTTCTTCTGCTTGATCAATTCTGCTATTAAAGAACTCTGGTGTGTTCTTCAGCATGCCAATTGCATTTTTCAGCTCCAGAATTTCTGCTTGATTTTTAAAAAATATTTCAATTTCTTTGTTAAATTTATCTGGTAAAATTCTGAATTCTTTCTCTGTTTTATCTTTTTTTTTTTTTATTTCGAGACGGAGTCTCACTCTGTCGCCCAGGTTGGAGTGCAGTGGCGCAGTCTTGGCTCACTGCAACCTCTGCCTCCCAGGTTCAAGCAATTCTCCTGCCTCAGCCTCCTGAGTAGCTGGGATTACAGGCGCCTGCCACCACGCCCAGCTAATTTTTGTATTTTTAGTAGAGACGGAGTTTCACCTTGTTGGTCAGGCTGGACTCGAACCCCTGACCTCGTGATCCACCTGCCTCGGCCTCCCAAAGTGCTGGGATTACAGGTGTGAGCCACTGCACCCGGCCTCTCTGTGTTATCTTGAATTTCTTTGAGAGTTATCAACACAGCTATTTTGAATTCTCTGTCTGAAAGGTCACATATCTCTGTTCTTCTAGGATAGGCTTCTGGTGGCTTATCCAGTTCATTTGGTGAGGTCATGGTTTCCTGAATGGTGTAAATGCTAGTCGATGCTCTTTGGGGTCTGGGCATTGAAGAGTTAGGTATTTATTGTAGTCATTACTGTCTGAGCTTGTTTGTACCCACCCTTCTTGGGAAGGCTTTCTAGATATTCTAAAGGACTTGACTATTGTGATCTAAGCTGTATCTGCTTTAGGGGGCACCCCAAGCCCAGTAACACTGTGGTTCTTGCAGACTCATGGAGGTACACCTTGATGGTCTTGGACAAGATCCAGAAGAATTCTCCAGATTACCAGGCAGAGACTTTTGTTCTCTTCCCTTATGCTCTTCCAAACAAACAAAATCTCTTTCTGTTTGGAGCCACCTGGAAGTGGGAGTGTTGTGACACAAGCATCCCTGTGGCCATCACCCCCAGGACTACACTGGGTCAGACCTGAAGCCAGCACAGCACTGGGTCTTACCAAAGTTCTGCTGTAACCACTCTCTGGCTACTGCCTATGTTTGCTCAAAGCCCTGGGGTTGTACATTCAGCAGGTGGCAAGCCAGTTAGGCCTGTGTTCTTCCCTTTAGGGTGGCAAGTTCTCCCAGGCCCCAGGCATGTCCAGAGGTGCCATCTGGGAGCTAGGGACTACAGTCAAAAACCTTAGAAGTCTACTTAGTGTTCTATTATACTGTGACTGAGCTCACACTCAAACCACAAGATGCAGTCCCTTCCCACTCTTCCCTCCCCTTTTCAAAGGCAGAGGAGCCTCACCCCATGGCCACCATCACCAGAAGCCCATATAGAGTAATACCAAGCTAGCACTGATGTTCCTTTAAGGCCCAAGGACTCTTCAAGTCAGCTTGTGGTGAATCCTGCCTGGCCTGGGACTCACCCTTCAGGGTGATGGGTGCTTCTCTGACCTGAGGGAGGTCCAGAAATGCTTTCTAAGAGCTAAATCCTGAAATTGGGAACCCCAAGAGCCCACTTGGTGCTCTACCCTGCCGTGACCAAGCTGATACCTGAGATGCAAGAGAAAGTCCCTTTTACTTTTCCCTCTGCTTTTTTGAAGTGGAAGGAATCTTGTCCAATAGGTACCACCAGCTGGGAATGTGCTGAGTCTCACCTGAAGCCAGCAAGTCTCAGAGTCTCATCCAAGGCCCTTGACATAGTACCTGGATATCGCTGCTGGTTATTCAGGGCCCAAGGGCTCTTCAGTTAGCAGGTGATGAATTCTTTCAGGACTGGGTCTTTCCTTTCAAAGCATCAGGTTCCCTTGCCCAGGGTGTGTCTAGAACTGTCAAGGGAGCGAGGGCCTGGAATGGGGGCCTCACAACTCTGACTGGTGCCCTGTCCTCCTATGGCTGAGCTGATATCCAAGATGATAGCCTTCCCCACTCTTCCCTCTCCCCTGCTTTCCTCTCCTATTCCCCCCTCTCCTCTCCTCTCCTCTCCTGTCCTCAAATAGAGGGAAAGGGTTGCTTTTGGAGCCACAAGCTGTACATTCTGGGGTTAGGGATAGGGTGATGCCAGCACTCCTTTAGCCACCCCAGCTGGTGTCTCAGTAGGTCATGGAACCCCCAGTCCACTGTCTCTGAGCCCAGTTCAGCAGTAGGACTCACCTAAGGTTTGCTTGTCTATTTAGGGCCCTGGAACACTTTAGCCCATGGTGGTGAGGCTTGTGGGAACTCAGGTAGGGACCACTGGGATTGGCCATTCTCCTCCGGCTAGGACTAGTTTAAATGCTCCCTCTGTGGGTGGGTGTCAGCTGAGTTTGGTCTGGTTTTGTTTTCTGTTAAACAGGGAAGCACTGACTAGATTGTCTCACAGTTGCTGCCATCTCCTGCTCCCCAGCATACAGAAACGCTCTCTGCACCAGACTGCCACTGCTGGAGGATGGGGGAGGGGTGGCATCAGCAATTCAAGACTGTTTTTCTTATCTCTCCGGTGCCTGTTTTAATGATATGAAGTTAAAACCAAGTACTGTGAGTGGTCATCTGATTTTTGGTTCTGATGAAGGTGCTTTTTTGTGTGTAGATAGTTATTAAATTGGTGTCCTCGCAGCAAGAAGTATTGGTGGAGCCTTCTATTCTGCCATCTTGCCTCAAATTTTCTTTTGATGATGATACTAGATTTTGAGAACGGAAGAACCAACTAGAGCAATTACCAGAATTGTGTATTAAAAGAACAGCGTATTGTGTTTTCCCTGACATTTAAGCTATCTATTTAATGCTTAACTATTGTGGTGTGGAATGATGGTTTAAATCAGGAAATCAATCATTTGACTTCAGGTCTGGAACTTTTGTTTTTCCTGAATGGGTATAAAAGGAAGAGTGCTGAAGAAATGTCTAACAATATGCAGGAAGAGGTAATGCCTTTTCCCCACCTTCTCTTCAGTCACCTAAAATAAAGCTTATCATGTAATTTATTCATATTGGAGTGCCCCAAGCTATCCCCTGAATTTATTTACAATTCTAACATATGTTATTCATTCATTAAACAAATAATAAATTGAGCACCTACTATATGTCAGCTTCCTATCTAGTTGTTGGGATTATAACTGCAAGAAAAATAGAAACAGTTCCTGCCCTAATGAATCTTACATTGTATGGGGGATATAGATAATTAAACCAATGGCCGGGTGTGATGGCTTACACCTGTAATACCCAACAAATGTAATAAAATATCGTAAGTGCCATTACTGGGGAGGAATTAAAGAAGCACATGGCAGGGAGACCTAAACTAGTACAGGCAATCAGATAAGTCTTCCCTCACGAAGTGATATTTTAGCCAGGCAAAAGATAATGCCTCTCATTAAGATAATAGAGGAGGAAGAGCAGTTATGTCAGGTGTAAGAAAAATAAAAATGATTTTTTCAACATTCATAGGTTCTTAGCTGGAATGGACCCCTGTACCAAAAGATAAATTAACAAGAGAAAAACAAATTTATTAACATGTATATTTCATACATGAAGCATACACTTGGAGAATAAGTAGTTCTCAAAGAGGTAGCTTTGAATTCCAGCTTATATATCATCTTCAACAAAGAATGGTCAACTTTTGGAGAAGTGACAAGACAAAGGAAAAAGGCTTTGAATCTCTAGAGGTGGAAACTTGAGGGAAGGCAAATAAATGGCAGGTAAAGGCTAGTTAGTAAAGCTTATAGATTCCTCTAGTAGCATCTACAGGCCAATAAGGGCTTACACTGTCTTGTTTTCTCTGATAGAGAAAGGACAGGATATCTTTTGTCTCTGTAAATTTATGTCCTGATTTTAAGCAAATAGAGGGAGAGCAGGGAGCTTTCCTGCATCTGCTGCTTAATTGCCTTCAGCTCAACTATGATTCATATTATGGCGTGGCACAGGAAAGATGGATTTTATTCTAGATCTGTTGAATAGGCTTATGGCACCTAGGCACAAGCGATATTTTGGTGGCATTGAGATGTATCTTTGTCTTGAGCTCACAAGAAAGGTCAGACTTGGGACTCTTCACCCTGTGGATAGTAAAGGAAGCCGGAGGAATAAATGAGTTCACCTAGTCAGAGGGCATGGAGTGAGAAGAAAGGACACCTAGAGAAGAATCCCGACAGACAAAACATCCAGAAACAGGCAGAAGAAAATAAAAGCTGGCAAAACAGCGGGAAGAAATCCAAGGGTATGGCATGCCAGCAGTGAAGGGAGAGGAGAGCTTCAGGGAGAGAGAGAACATTGAGTGCTCGGGAAAGCCAAGTAAAATGACAACGGAGAAATGTTAATTAGATTCCAACAAGCAGCTCCTTGATAAACCTGGCAAAGCCAGTTGGAGCAGAGTGTTAGAAAACAGAATACAGATTGCTAAAGAGTGGGAGCTGAATTAGGAGAAACATCCAGTACAGACAACTTACCCAAGAAGTTTGTGAATGGGGATTGAAAGAGGTAGAGGCTGAACGAGAGGGCAAGAAAAAAAATGAATTGCATAAGCAATAGGTGAAGCCGGATGAAACCCAAAGAGACTCTGTTCTTTGTTTTGTCCTTTTAATGATATTAACTTGAGCATATTCACATTTCGATGGGATAGAGAGTGTAGAAAAGAAGCGGATAAAAATAAAAGCAGGAGAGAGCAGGAGTCGGGGGAAGGGGCAGAGGTTGGGAGAAGGAAATGAAAATAGCCATAAATTATAACAATACTACAGGAGATAGGATCCAGAGCACAGGTTTTACTGCAAGGAATGAGGAAAAGACTGGTGCAGATGTTGACCATGGTTTGTAGATGTAATTGCAGGGAGTTGAGAGGATTTTGTTACACGGGTTCTCAAACCTCGTAAGATTCAAGATAAGAAATCTGAAAGTGTGGACTTACTTGGGGCAAATACATTGACAGTAATAAAAAATAACAGTTGGCCAGGCGCGGTGGCTCACGCCTGTAATCCCAGCACTTTGGGAGGCCGAGGCGGGCGGATCACGAGGTCAGGAGATCGACACCATCGTGGCTAACATGGTGAAACCCCGTCTCTACTAAAAATACAAAAAATTAGCTGGGCGTGGTGGTGGGCACCTGTAGTCCCAGCTACTCGGGAGGCTGAGGCAAGAGAATGGCGTGAACCCGGGAGGGAGAGCTTGCAGTGAGCCGAGATAGTGCCACTACACTCCAGCCTGGGCAACAGAGTGAGACTCCGTCTCAAAAAAAAAAAAAAAGTAACAGTTGATCACAAAAGATACTCAATTCATTTATTTAACAACATTCAGCTAGTACTATAATAGGTTTTATAAGTGTTACCAGAAACGTGTTTCAATCCAGACCCCAGGAGAGGGTTCTTGGATCTCCCGCAAGAAAGAATTTGAGGTGAGTCCATAGGGTAGAGTAAAAGCAAGTTAATTAAGACAGTAAAGGTATAAAAGAAATGGCTACTCCATAGGCAGAGCAGCCCTTTGGGCTGCTGGTTGCCCATTTTTATGGTTATTTCTTGATTATATGCTAAACAAGGGGTGGATTATTCATGCTTCCCCTTTTTAGACCGTATAGGGTAACTTCCTGACATTGCCGGGGCATTTGTAAACTGTCATGGCGCGGGTGAGAGTGTAGTAGTGAGGACAAACAGAGGCCACTCTCTTCCCCATCGTGGTTTTGGTGGGTTTTGGATGGCTTCTTTACTCTAAACCTGTTTTATTAGCAAGGTCTTTATGACCTGTAGCTTGTGCCGACCTCTTATCTCATCCTGTGACTTAGAATGCCTAAACATCTGGGAATGCAGCCCAGCAGGTCTCAGCCTTATTTTACCCAGCCCCTATTCCAGATGGAGTTGCTCTGGAATCACATGTCTCTGACATAAGAATACTTCAGTAAAAAACTCATTGTCTTGGCCGGGCACGGTGGCTCACGCCTGTAATCCCAGCACTTTGGGAGGCCGAGGCAGGCAGATCATGAGGTCAGGAGATCGAGACCATCCTGGCTAACACTGTGAAACCCTGTCTCTACTAAAAATACAAAAAATTAGCCAGAGTGGTGGCATGCGCCTGTAGTCCCAGCTACTTGGGAGGCTGAGGCAGGAGAATTGCTTGAACCCGGGAGGCGGAGGTTGCAGAGAGCCAAGATCACGCCACTGAACTCCAGCCTGGGCAACAGCAAGACTCCGTTTCAAAAAAAAACAAAAGAAAACAAAAAAACAAAGAACCCATTGTCTTAATCTTATGAACAAGTAAGAAAAAACAGGCTTCCTGCTCTCAGGAAATGGTGGCTCCCCAATTCATCTATTTGCTTCCAAAAGAAACCCAGGAATCAACATTGATTCCTTCCTTTCCCTCCCCTATGCCCCACCATCCCCTCGCTCCAGAAAACACACCACACAAATAAATATATACATACCATACTCAATTCACTGGGGAGCCTGTCAATTCTCCTTCCAAAACAGATCTGGAATTTGACTTCCATTTCCATCTTTTCTGTCTCAACCTTGATCCAAGCCACTAGTGTTTTCCACCTGGAACTAATGCAATCACCGTCTAACTGGTCTTCTCTCCATATCTACCTTGGTCCCTTTCGGTCCATTCTCTATACAGCATCTATAACATAGATCAGATCATTATTCTCCCCTACTTAAAACCTCCCAATGATTTCCAACTGCTCAGAAATAAAATTCCAGATCCTAGCCATGTCCTGTGTAGAAGCAGAGGGAAAGCTTCCCTTTCACCCTCTCTGAAGGCTCACTGAAATGAGCTGACAATAGACACTATCAGGATAAGAAACATACAAATTTATTTACGGGCACATGGACACAGGAGTTCGGCAAATATGAGACCCAAAGAAGGGCCAGAGATTTGAGACTTAAATACCCTCTTTATAGTGGAGAAGAAACATGGGGGATGTAGGTAATCCTGATGGGTAGTAAATGCTTTTCAGGGGAAATGCATGGGCCCAAAGAGCAAACAACTTGGCTAGGACGAAGTTCCTCTGAGCTCTGGGGGAGGTGGTGGCAATTTGTGGGAAGTGAGAGATAGAATTTCACTGTGAACAAAGGTGGCCTTATTATGCAGATGAAGTCTCCCAGGCAATCTCTGGGAGCTGCCCTCAGAAAAGTAGATGAAAACTCTATCTGGGTGTGGTGATGACTTTTAGTCTTTTTACCTGCTCTGGTCATTAATCTTTTCTGATTATTTGATGAGAATTCTAAAGGAGAAAGTTTTAAGACAATTGCATTTCTTCTGGAAGAACTTCCCTTAATGGCATAAAGGGACTTCAGAGAAAGCCCCTGTCTGTGCTTCAGGAAAGAAGGGATCAGAGCAGGGGCAGAGAGAGACCTTGGTTCTGAGGCTTGTTTCTGAGGCCTTTTCCTTCCTTCCTTCTCTCCCTCTCTATTTCCTTCCTTCCTTCCTTTTCTTCTTTCTTTCTTTCTCTTTCTTTCCTTTTCTTTCTTTCTCTTTTTCTTTTCCTTCCTCCCTCCCTCCCTTCCTTCCTTCCTTTCTGTCTCTCTTTCTTTCTTTTCTTTCTTTCTTCCTTTCTTTCTTTCTTTCCTTTTTGATAGCTGTTGTTGCTGTTATTTTCTTCTGAAGTTTGAGTTGTCAGGCTTCAGTTCGCAGGGCTTTACAAAAGCACAGCTTAGTTTTCAGTGACTCCAAATTAGAAAAAATAGGGGAAAAAAGAAGGAAAAAAATGAAAACATTATTTTGAAGACTTGTAGCCAAGAAAAATTAGAATTCTGTCCAAACTGTAGAAAATAATAAAAACTGAAAAACATTAGGCAAGACTAGAATCTAACAACAGGTGTACTATAGTTTTGAAACAATTATAATTATTACAGATAATGTAAACTAAGTCATGTCAGAATTATAGGAGTTTACCATGATTTTAGAACACATACCAATAACATATTTATACAAAGACGGCTCAAAGAAAACCAAACACCATTTCATATTTGACAATGTTTCCTATATAATTTTTATACCAAAAAAGCCAAATCATGCTATTTTTGGACTTTAGGGAATCTAATATCGTAAAAGATTAATTAGATCAGAAAAAAACATAATTTATAATTTGATTTTGGGAAGTTTGTCAAATATCAAAGGTTTAATTAAAACACTTGATATCACAGTTCATTGTAAAATAAGTCATTCATTTGACCAAAGTGATAACTCAAGGATTTCAAAAAAAAAAAAAAAAAAAAGGTGAAAACCTTCATTATCTGAGAGAGGACACTTAATTTTCCAAACAATAAGTCTTGATAAAAACAGCTTGAAGCCAATTAAATTTGTTTTTCAAAATTTTATAAGCGGTATATAAAATTTTAATCTTGATCATAAGATATAACTTCCATAAGCCTTTTATAACCTTTATAATCTTTATTAAGGAGTTGGTTAATGCTTCAAGAAAACCTTGTTAATCTGACACAGGGGCCCATATGCTGGTCTTGCATCAGCGTGTCTTTGACATTAATGATTAATTAACAGAGAAACTGAACTTATTTTATCTCTCAAAATCAGCCTTTACAATCTCACACGCCCACCTCTTCTGCAATAGTCCCTGGCCTTGAGGAGTTGAATAGCTTTAATTTCTGGCCCTGTGTCTCAGGAATGCAGTTTATTTTGATTGGCATCTTCTACTGGGCCTGAAGATGAGGCTTTAATTACTGTCAGTGTTTAAGATTTAGCAGGACTTGGTGTCCTTTTTAGACTCAGGGGTCAAAGCTCTGTAACTCAATGTCACAGGAACTTTAAAAGCACATACAGAAAGGTACATGGATGTAATAACTTTAATTAAAAAGAAGTTTTTTATCTTAGTTTTTTCCCTAAGCAAGCCAAAATGTAACAATAATGGCATAGAAATTGTTTTGATAAACCATAAAATCTATTAAGCCAGTTACCAAAAGGCAAAAGAAAAGACCTTCCGCACTGCACAGAATATTATGTTGGAAGGAAACTTTTTCTTTAGACCTTTAAGAACACATTGTTAGCATCAAGCCACAACAAACAGAACTGGAGGAAAAAACTTACATGAGTTGAAGAAAATGAGTTGAAGGAGAGCATTACTATTTCACGCCCTTTAAAAGGGGAGAGAAAACCGAAAATGGCGAGATGCAATAAAAGTTGAACTTTGGGTTAAAAAAATTAAAATATATTACAGATTATTAAGGGTAAATAAATCCCTTAAGGAAATTTTATTGTTCTAACCAGTTATTTAGTGTATAAGGGTTTTTTTAATGTCAAGCCCAATCTCTAGAAACACCCTTATAATTTTCCTTTAATTATAGACAACTTGATCATATAAAAGTTTTTTTTTTTTTCCTGGTTTGTCCTGAACATCTCTCTTTCTTAAACAACCAGTCATTTTATTCTAGGCCTAAATTTACCATACAAGATTCTTTCTCATATAAAATTACTTCTCTTTAAGCTTTCTTACCAAAGGAAAAAAAAAACCTCTTTATTTTTATAAATTTCCTTATTGCTCTCTTATTTCCTGGTTTCTTTTACTTTGTTTTATACGTAATCTTTAAATAAGCTTTGAATTAGACAAAATTGTTCACCTTTTTAAAAAGAACACACGGCCGGGCGTGGTGGCTCACGCCTGTAATCCCAGCACTTTCGGAGGCCGAGGCGGGCGGATCACGAGGTCGGGAGATGGAGACCATCCTGGCTAACACGGTGAAACCCCGTCTCTACTAAAAATACAAAAAATTAGCCGGGCGTGGTGACGGGCGCCTGTAGTCCCAGCTACTGGGGAGGCTGAGACAGGAGAATGGCGTGAACCCGGGAGGCGGAGCTTGCAGTGAGCCGAGATCGCGCCACTGCACTCCAGCCTGGGCGACTGAGTGAGACTCTGTCTCAGAAGAATAAAAAATAAATAAATAAATAAATAAATAAATAAATAAATAAATAAAATAAAAAGGACACATTTTTTTTAGAATGTTTTCCTACAATATATTTTTATTGGAAAATGCCCAAATAATGAAATATCTATTATTTAATTTAATATAATTTTAGATTCTAAATTATAATGAGTTTGTCTACAAGTATTTATTCCATTACATTTGCCTAGTAATTTAATTTTAATCGTTTACCTATATTATTTATAAAAACTGCAATAGTTATCATTTAAAATTATGGAACTGCCATTGCAAAATTATAACTGAGACAGTGAAAAAGAGCTGACCTAACTGACTCTATCTTGCTTCAAACCTCCAAGCTGTCTTGTTCATTCCTGGGCATAGGCCAAACTAACTTTGGGAGGAATTTAGTTTATAGTTTAGCTTTGAAACAAAGATGGTAACAGTCCTTACCCAAAACAAATCTTACTGCCTGTGGACTGGACAGTCTAAAGCCACAAGATTAGAAGTTATGGTAATCTTAATAAATTCAAGATGTAGCTAGTTTCATGAAACCAGTATCTATGTCTTACTTATTAAAAATTACATAAGCAAATATTATTCTGTCTTGGGCTAGGTTTGTAGTTTTGTAACTCCTATGCCAAATTTTGACACCCTATAGTATGTGGCAGGGGTTAAGTATGAAATTGCTTGATTAATAAATGCAAACAAAAATGTATGCTGGACAGTCTTAAGACATTTCTAATATTACTTTACCAATAATTTTAAAGCTAGGTTATTTATTGAAGATTTTACTTAAGTTACATAAACTTCAAAAAGCATTTGACTAGTGTTTTCTTTTTTCCTGATAAAGTATTGGATCAAGTGCTTTTATTAAACCAATTAATTAGAACTCTTTCATACATTTTCAGTAGTGAAACTTTGTGTACACACCACATAAATACATAGACGTATTAGGCATGCCAATAGAAGCACATTTTATAGATTCATAAAAACCTTTTTTTCCCTATCTTGGACCTTCAAATTCTTGATAACCTGTTTTACTACCCTATGTAGTTGTCAGCTAAATAGCTTTAAATTTGCATATTAAAGGAAACAACTCAGGTGAAAATCAAATAGCAAAATTTACATCATAAGGCATGGAGAGAAAAAGTCTGGTGTGCTAGAGGGAAATTAAAACAGATTTAATTGCCAATTAAACATAAACTTATAGAAATTATAAAGGCCTTTTAAATATATACACACACAAAGATTCTGTAGCTTTTACTTCAGAACTTTAGCCATGAGATAAATACAAATTCACCTGCTTGCGAAAAGAACTTGTTGGATTCAAACAGTGGCTTTTATCTGAATAGAAACATAATAGCAGATTTAAAGCAGGCAGAAAAGAAAATAGAGGAAAAAGAGGACTTAGGAACTCTATAGTATAAAGGTCGACCTTAGGGTTCTTTTTCCTTCATATAAATGTGCACAAAGACCATATTACTTCCATTTTACATAAACTCTGGCAAGTCGAGGTGCCATCAAACCTATGGAGTGTTCACAAGGGTGTCATTCTCCTTGTTTTCTCCTCATTCTCAGATTATTTGTTTCTCACTTTTTTTTTCTTAAGAGGAGGAACTGAGCTATGGCCTAGGGTTTTAGTGTGGTGGATCTGTGTGTGCTGCTTGTGGGCAGGACTCCACAGTGTATCACCACTGAGTCCTTTCTGTCAGGCCTCTGAGCCCAAGCTAAGCCATCATATCCCCTGTGACCTGCACGTATACATCCTGAAGCAGATGAAGAATCACAAAAGAAGTGAAAATGGCCGGTTCCTGCCTTAACTGATGACATTCCACCATTGTGATTTGTTTCTGCCCCACCTTAATCTGAGCGATTAACCTTGTGAAATTCCTTCTCCTGGCTCAGAAGCTCCCCCACTGAGCACCTTGTGACCCCCGCCCCTGCCCCCAAGAAAACAACCCCCTTTGACTGTAATTTTCCACTACCCACCCAAATCCTATAAAACGGCCCCATCCCTATCTCCTTTCACTGACTCTCTTTTCAGACTCAGCCCGCCTGCACCCAGGTGAAATAAACAGCCTTGTTGCTCACACAAAGCCTGTTTGGTGCTCTCTTCACACGGATGTGCGTGACAGTTTCCACCCCCTTACATTTCTCAGTTTCTCTCCCCAGTGGTCTATGACCTCTGAAATGACTCAAAATGCCGGGTGATCAGCCCTTATATGTGTTTCCTGGAAGAGCCTTTTTTTTTTTTTTTTTTTTTTGAGACGGAGTCTCGCTGTCACCCAGGCTGGGGTGTAGTGGTGCGATCTCTGCTCACTGCAAGCTCCGCCTCCCGGGTTCACGTCATTCTCCTGCCTCAGCCTCCCAAGTAACTGGGACTACAGGTGCCCACCACCACATCCGGCTAATTTTTTGTATTTTTAGTAGAGACGGGGTTTCACCATGTTAGCCAGGATGGTCTCAATCTCCTGACCTCGTGATCTGCCGGCCTCGGCCTCCCAAAGCTCTGGGATTACAGGCATGAGCCACCGCGCCCGGCCGCCTTTTTTTTTAAACTAATTTTTGTTGGGGATTTCCCTGTAGGACTGCTGCACATTGTGGGAGATTAACCCCCCAGACACCCCTAGGAGGCCCCTGGTCACCCAGGGGTGCCTTTTGGCTGGGAGGAGAACAATGCCTTTTCTCTTCAGAGCTAAGAAAACTCAGTCTCTCATTTATCTATTAAAATAACAGCTCAGCTCCTCACACAAATGTGCACAGACAATCCGAATCGAGATTAACTTTGGGAGAAAAAGCAACAGAGAAGACCCTTTAGAATGCATCTCTGAACTAAAATTAGTATCTTTAAACAACAACTTCCTAGGAGAAGAAAAAAAGGAAAACAACAGCCAAGACCTCTTCCTGTAAACTGGGCTCAGCCACCACTACTTTGCAGCTCTTGTCCGCTATTATACTCACCAAGGTCAAATCCTCTCACAGTACAAGGTAAATCTCTGGTACCTCCAAAGATAAAGAGGTCAGGTCATGCAATACAAGAAAACAGAGCTTTAGACCTAAGAAGAATCTGCCCATGACTCTTGAAACTCCACAAGGAAAACAGAACACCCCAAAAGGGGTGAGTAGCGCCTTTGTTCTGAATTCTTTAAAGGGGTTCAAGTCATTAGAAGCCTTCTCTAGGTTTTTTGGTACTGCAGATGGCAAGGGGGAAGGAGGTATAGAGTGGAAGAAAAGTAAACGAAGGATTTTTTTTTAAGACAAGCAAACACAGGAATCAAACACGTGGTTTTTTGTGTTTTGTTTTGTTTTGTTTTTCCTTTTTTTTGCAGCTGCGAGGAACTTTAGCCAAATTAAAGAGGATTTGTTATTCATAATTTGGAATTCTCACTCGGATTTGACCAAGTCGGGTAGAGTCGGTCAAACCTGATGGGAGAAAGACCAGAACGAACAATAACAACAAAAAAACCAACAATATTATCACTGAGCGCTCTAATGGTAAGGAGAAATTAAGACTAGCTGGTTATTAAACTTTAGCCAAGACAAAACCCCAATTCAGCTACTTACCTAGGGACAGGTCTCAGGCTGAAGACTGCTTTCTACCATCCTAGAAGCAGGAACAAAACCTCAAACTCGTCTTCCCTGCTGGGAGCGAGCTCAAACTCCATAAAGGAGTTACCTGCCTTCTATCATTATGGAAGCAGGAAATTTTGCCTTCCTTGTTGGAAGCAAGTAAAACTCCAAGAAAAGGGGAGTTGTAAAGCAAAATAAACTAGATCTCAACCAAATTTTGGGAGATCTGGGATTCTCTGGAGGGGGACCTCAGACCTCAGCAAATTGTCCTATTGGTTTGAGCCATAAAGTTAGCTCATGCTGGTCCCAAACACTGATAGGAGATTTGTCAAAGGTCGGGGCACCCCCACTCAGAATCCCCCCATGGTTACCAAAATGTGAACCCCAAATATCTGAGACAGGTCTCAGTTAATTTAGAAAGTTTATTTTGCCAAGGTTGAGGGCACGTGCCCGTGACACAGCCTCAGGTGTTCCTGATGACATGTGCCCAAGGTGGCAGGGGCACAGTTTGGTTTTACACATTTTAGGGAGACATGAGACATCAATCAGTATGATGTGTAAGATGTACATTGGTTTAGTCTCGAAAGGTGGGACAACTTGAGGCAAAGGTGGGACAACTTGAAGCGAGGAGGGGGTTTCCAAGTTATAGGTAGATAAGGACAAATGGTTGCATTCTTTTGAGTTTCTGATTCACCAGTCCAAATAAGCCAATCAGATATGCATTTATCTCAGTGAGCAGAGGGGTGACTTTGAATAGAATGGGAGGCAGGTTGGCCCTAAGAAGTTCCCACCTGGACTTTTCCCTTTAACTTAGTGATTTGGGGACCCCAAGATTTATTTTCCTTTCACAGTTTACTTTTATTGTCTGTCTTCCCCTCTGGAATGTAAATTCTATGAGGGCAGAAACTACATCTGTCTTATCTCTACTTCCTGAAAAAGTACCTGACATATAGCAGGTATTCAAAAAGGTAGCTTGAATAAATGAACTAATCAAAACCAATTGAACAATAAACAAGGCAGAATGAAAGTGTATTTAATTACACATAAGATAAAAGCTATGAGAATACATAAGAAGGGATGATTAATTACCATTGTTAAATGATAATAGTTACAGTGAGATAAGGTTTAAGGCAAAACTAATCTATGCTGTCAGAATTTAGAATGATGTTTTGTTTTGCAGGGGGCTGCAGGTAATGACTAAAAGGGAATGTGAGTCAGGCTTCTAAAGTGCTGGTAGTATTTTGTTTCTTTATTTGTTTACTGGTTACCCAGGTATGTTCAGTTTGTGACTATAAACTTATGTGCACTTTTCTGGATGTATAATGTTCTTCAATAAAAGATTAAAGTTGGGGAAAAACATAGTTATATGGACCATATTACATCAAAGTACTATAACTGATGTTCATAATGATGGTCTAATTCATCAAAAAGATTAAGTTTAGTGTGACTATTTTCAAAAACGTCAAGTGTATAATGTAGTTTTAAAAAGATTTCCATGAAAAATAGTTAACATTATGCCACGATGTTGTGTCTATAACATGCTGACTTAGATGGAACACCTTATGTTTCAATGACACTCAAGAAGTAAGGTATTAACACATTAATATCTTTAGAACAACCACAAACACCATGCTGGCATTATTGCCCCTGATTTTGCAGAAGTACCTGAGGGAGGTAACTCGATTTCTTCAGTTGCACATAAAGAAAGTGGTTGCTCCAAGACCAAGATTCCATTTACTCTGACTTCAGGAGCAGGACAGTATGCTTCTTTCAATACATGGTAATATGGAAAAGGAGAGGCAGATCCAATGGCATTGAGCCATCTCAAGGAGAAGGGTCTGCTAAGAAGATGATCTGTGAGTGGCCCCCACCTTCAAGACTCTTCTTGAGTCTTCAAGTTTTGAACATCTCCCATGCCTCCTCCTCACTTCCTTTGAGTGGTACTTGGCATTCTTTTGAGCAGTGAAACCATGATTTTTCAACAGATATTCATGAACTCTTACCATGGTTATACCTTGGTTTAGTAGAGCCATCTTTTATTTCTAGGGGCCATTGTGCATCTATTCTCTGGTTGTAAAGAGCAACAAACATATGCAGAAATGACTCTGAAAAATGACTATATTCTGTTGAGGTCTAAAAATTTTACCCTAAAGCATGGGTAACCACTTCAGCATTCAAGTTCTACAGCTGATTGACTTTGACTCAATCAAGGACTATCAGGTCCCAATTGAGTGAGGAAGTGGAGTGTTACAGGAAAAGGAAGAAATGAGGCCCACTCTGGTATACAGTGGTTCTGAGAAGGCTAGGTTTTCCAGGCTGTCATATCTGGAGGGCTTAGTGCAGGCCTCTTCTTAAGCAAACATGGTAAGTGCATGCAGATCAGATAAAGCCCACATAGCTACAGAGCCCCATGAGCCTCAGAAAGGGCAATTCTATGGCCTGGGAAGAGCCTGAACTTGATCCAAAGCTCTGAAGTAAACTTCTAGGTAAGATCCATAATTGACATAAGACCTGAGACCAGATTAGTTGAACAAAGCCACACTTATCCTCCCAGGCCTATGAGAGACCATTGGTAGAGAGTGGGAGGCACCGTGTGGCAGAGAAAGAGTCATTGCCCCCTAAAATTCCAAGTAATGCCAGTGTTTTCAACCCTGTAGTGGATGCTATGGTTGGTCATCCCAGATTCCACCTTCAGGGCTGAGACAGTCACTCATTAGCCCAGCTGCCAGGAATGTTGGTGGCTGGTAACCATCAGCTGAGTCCCTGTCCAGGAGTTTCTGTAAGCCAAAAAGAGCCACTTGCCTCAAGGTCCTGCTGCCTGCATAGAGGTAGACATCATCCAATGACCATTTATGACAGGAGTTGAAAGCCTGGTCCCTGTGTCTCAAAGTGAGACTAAGGGGCCATCCTTGGGAGATCAGCTGAGATCTTTTCTGTGACTGTATCACAGCTCACCTCCACCCAGTCCTGCTTCCTTCACTTTCCCACTTTCAATGTTCACTTCAACACTTCCGGGTATCAATCTTTGTGTATAGGAAGATCCTTAACACACTTCCTATACACAAAGCTCTGGCTCAGAGTCAACTTCCCCAGAAACAGAGAACCTGACTTCAAACAATCCCTTATTAAAACATAAAAGGTATCGTAAGTTTAGAAATCAGAAAGGCCATGAGTATAAATAGCTAAAATATGAATGCAGCAGAAAATACCTTCCTTAGAACATTGTTTTAGAAGTGGCAAACTAGGAAACTTTGAAAAGAGGTCAGTATGAAACTGTGATTTTTTTAAAAAAGATTTCATTTTGACTTAGTTTTAAGGGTGTTTCAGCCTGCAGTTATTTCAGAACTAGAGATCTAAGCAGATGTGCTGAGTTTTCATTCGTGGAAAATTTTGCATCAATAGACCAAGGGTTGATATTTTTAATGTCTAAGAAGCTCATACACATCAATAAATAAAAACATGAATACTTCAAAAGACATAAATGTTTAATGGTGTGAGTATGCAACTCAAAAGCAGCAAATAATAACAATCTCTAGTAATAAAAAAAGTAATCAAAACTAAACAATATTTTCCCTATTAAATTAGGACACATTAAAAAATTATAAAATGTCTAACCCTGGTGAGATTTTAATGAAACATAACTGTTACTTACTGCCAATGGTGAGCAAATTGGCACAGTCTTTTTGGGAATCACTTTAACATTTGATATTAAAACTAAGAGAATAATATTACTTGTTAAAGCAATTCTATTTCTGGAAATCTATCCTAAAGAAATAATTCCAAATGTGGGAAAAGCTTTTCTCTACGTATTTTTTTTTATCACAACATTAACTCAAGTTGAAAAAAACATGAAAACAAATACATGTGAAATTTGTTTAAAAGAGTCACTATATATATATTTCATGGGCTGTTATGCAATCATAAAAAGTGATTACAATGAGTTTATGAAAATTTGAAGAATGCTTATAATTTAGTGTTAAGTGAAAGAAGACACATACTTTTTCTATTTCCTCTCTGCTGTTGAGTAGAAAGTTTCTCTTCCATTGATACCACTTTAAAACTGTTATATCCTGCATTTAAACTATGTTTTTTTATCTCAACAATTTAAGATGCTAAAAAGGTGTTTTCTGTGTCAGTTTTACTTACTTTTAAGATGATTCTTATGTTGGATATGATTCATTCACATTAGTTTTCTCTAGGAATTGGACAGAATGGTTCACTGAAACTTTGACTGGAACACAGCACAGTAGCAGGTTAAAACACTGTCCTACTGTGCAGTGGTTTACAATAATTTTAGGGCTTTTAAACACTCCTGGATCATTGCCTTAACTGTATTTGCTGTAGTAAATGCAATAAGATTTTACTTAACCACCAAAGAGATTTTGCCTCAAGGTCATTTCACCCATAAAGCCATCAACAGTAAAGCTCAAGGGCATTCTGGCAGGGATATGGCAACCTGCTGTTGTTAGCTCTGGTAGGAAGAGCTGTACTTCAAGCTGAACTTCATCATTAACTGGTCAGTCCCCACGTTATTTGAGCAGTGTCCAGCCAGAAGTGAAGGTAATGGCTTTGTATTTTGTACACATGTTCCAGAGTAAAATCCACAGTGAGGTACTGGAAACACAGAAATACTTCTACTATATTGCATTTCTCTGCATTTCTAGAACAATAGTCCTTAAGGGAAGAAATGCTCATTAGATTGCTTGGTCTGTGACTTCCTAGACCTCATTGCCCTGGATGAGTTTGACACATACAAGTCTATTCCTTTACCAGAGCAATACTTGGAAAGTCACATACATATCAGCAAGAAATGTGTCAATTTTCAAATGCTTTGAATGTTTCGGGCTTTAAAAAAATTTCAAACCCAAAAATATGGTGAGAAATATATCATCTTTCCTCATGTCATATAACTTTGCAAAAATTATTCCTAATGTGTTAAAATATCTTAGCTACTGCACATATAAAGTTAATGGTTTTCTTATTTTTCATACTTGAATGTTACTGCCTTATTCCTTCTCATTGGGTTGTAATTTTCCATAACGGGTTAATAGAAGACTGGATTTTAAGGTCAGTTAATGTTTGTTAGAACCATATTATTTGTCCCAAATACAGATAATTCATATGCACTGCTTTACCAAAAATAAAAAAATAGAAACAACAAAAAAGAGGGAGAGAAAAACTTTCCTCTTTAGGTTCAATTATAACAAATCCGTTTCACCAAAGTGACACTCTTAATAACAGAATATGCAAGGATGTGGAAGAACTGGAATTCTCATAGATTGCTGGTGGGAATGTAAAATACTGCAATCGCTTTAAAAAACAGTGTGGCCATCTCTTAAAAAGTTAAAGTTAAACATGTTTTTACATTATGATCTAGCCATTCTACTTCTAGGTATTTATTTAAGAGAAATGAAAGCGTAAGTCCATACAAGACTTGTATACGAATGTTCATGGCAGCTCTTTTTTTTTTTTTTTTTTGAGACAGAGTCTTTCTCTGTCGCCCAGGCCGGTGTGCAATGGCACGATCTCAGCTCACTGCAATCTCCACCTCCCAGGTTCAAGCTATTCTCCCGCCTCAGCTTCCCAAGTAGCTGCGATTACAAGCACTCGCCATCATGCCCGGCTAATTTTTGTATTTTTGTAGAGACAGAGTTTCACCATATTGGCCAGGCTGGTCTTGAACTCCTGGCCTCAGGTGATCCACCCACCTCGGCCTCCCAAAGTGCTAGGATTACAGGCGTGAGCCACTGCACCAGGCCAAGCAGCTCTATTTGTAATAACCAAAACCCGGAGTCATTGAAATATCCATCAGGAGGTGAATGGATAAACACATTGTGGCATATCCGCAATTGTCCAATATCCACAAATACCCAATATCAGCAATAAAAACAGAATGAACTGTTGATACACACAATGTGGATGCATTTCAAAATAATTATGCTCAGTGAAAGAAAACAGATAAAAAAGAATATGTTGTGTTTGACCTCGTGTATATAAAATTCTAGAAAATGCAAACTAGAGTGACAGCAAGCAGATCAGTGGCTGCCTAGGAGATAGGTGTAAGGGAAAGGCAGGAAAGAGAGATGACAAAGGAGCTCGAAGAAATTTGTGGGGCTGGTAAATATGTTCATTTTCTTAAATATGGTGATGGTTTCAGCCATGTATACAAATGCCAAAATGTGTCAAATTATACTCTTTAAATATGTGCAGTTCATTATATGTAAATTAGACTTTATTAAAGCTCTTAAAAAAATAATAGGCCAGGCAGGGTGGCTCACGCCTGTAATCCCAGCACTTTGGGAAGCTGAGCTGGGCGGATCACGAGGTCAGGAGTTCGAGACCAGGCTGACCAACATGGTGAAACCCCATCTCTACCAAAAATACAAAAATTAGCTGGGTGTGGTGGCGGGCACCTGTAATCCCAGCTACTAGGGAGGCTGAGGCAGGAGAATCACTTGAACCTGGGAGGCAGAGGTTGCAGTGAGCCAAGATCTTGCCATTGCACTCCAGCCTGGGCATCTCAAAAAAAAAAAGAAAAAAGAAAAAAGAATAACATTCAGTGGAACAAAGGTTGTAAAAAATGTGATAACTAAGTTTCTTTGAAAAGGGATATAAAATTTAAACATCCTGTTTTTTTTAAAGAATGGCTTGGGGGTTACATAAGGAGTAGGACTAGAACTGGAAAAACCTTGTGGAAGGGACAATCACTGAGTGACTTTCTATTCACTAACTCACCAGCTATGAGATGTAGGGGCCAAGGTCCTTGGCTCTCTGGAGGCTTGAAAGTGATATGAGGCAGACTAATAGGAGAAAAGGCATACAAATTTAGTTAATGTGCATACACAGGAGCCTTCAGAATGAAGACACAAAGATACAGGGGAAATGGTCCATTGTTATGCCTAGGTTCAACAAAGTATGGACAGCCATGTAGAAATATAATTGGAAAAGAAGGGCATTATTTCATGTTAATAAACCGTGTGGGAAGACACAGCAAGGTCTATCTTCTTGGCCTCTCTGAGCAACATTCCTTGTCTAGATTTTTCTTGGCCTCTCTGAGCAACATTCCTTCCTTCTGAGTGTGGGGCAGGGCCATCTCTGGAATGAGGGTCTTATGACTGACAAACAAGGAAGGTCAGATAATTTCTTTATGGCCAATTTTTACACAGAAAGGCAGAGGGAGCATTAGAATAATAATTTTAGGTTTTATGACAAGTTTTGTGGGGAAGGGGTTCTGGTTTCTATGACCCAGCTTGGGGAAGAGGGATTATAATTTCTATGGCTGGCCTTGAGGAGAATGGGACTGAGACATGCGGGCAGAAGGTCAGAGAGAAACTTTTGCCCTCTTTCTAACGCCTTCATTTTAGGCATTGTTTTCTGAGCCCCAACAGTAAAAATACCCCCAGAATAGATAGAAATAGTCTAGATTATTATATCAATAATTGTGTAGATTAAAATACCAATGGCCAGGCACGGTGGCTCATGTCTGTAATCCCAGCACTTTGGGAGGCCGAGGTGGGTAGATCACCTGAGGTCAGGAGTTCGAGACCAGCCTGACCAACATGGTGAAACTCTGTCTCTACAAAAATACAAAAATTAGCCAGGCATGGTGGTGCACGCCTTTAATCCCAGCTACTCAGGAGGCTGAGGCACGACAATCGCTTGAACCCAGGAGGCAGAGGTTGCAGTGAGCCAAGACCATGCCATTGCACTCCAGCCTGGGCAACAAGAGCAAAACTCCATCTCAAAAAATAAAAAAATAAATACCAATGACAACACTCAGAGATTAAGGGAGAGCAAAGTAAGATACTGAGCATATAAAATCCTGGTCCAAATATAATCCAAAGTTTCTCCACCCAAGAGAAAGGGATATAAAAAATTTAAAAGCCCTTAGAATCCACAGAAGGTATTCTCCTGACAAATTGCAGCTTATTGCATAGGCCAGAAAAGGTGTTAGGAATGCATGTGAAAACACATATTATCCTGCAAATCTCTTTTTTAAATAAAACTCTACCCATGGACCATTTTTCCAAGCATCCATTAGTATTTAAAACACAAACCCAATTGAAAAATTTTACATTTCACTTAGGGACACACCAAGGAAGGGGTTGGAGGGAGGGGGAGAACATAAAGGTTAGAGGCCTGAGGATCTGCCATTCCTGATTTAATGTGCCAAGAAACAGATACCCTAAATGAGTTAGGGTTACTGGATCTGCCTTTCCTCAAAGCAAGGAAATAATCCTATTGAATATATCTCCCCTCTGAGGCTGCTTTGGAACTGCTGTTTCACCCTAAATCTTCTCTGGATCCTCTTGGCAAATGGCTTTGAGATGACATAATGAAAATGGACTTTGGGTCTTGTTTTTAATTTCATTCATGCAAACGGAAAGATGGGTTCCATCTAAAAGTTCTGATGTGGACACTGGCAAGTGTTGGAAGTAACACAAACACAAAACAGGCAAGAAGATGAGGAGAAAAACAGAGAATACAAGAAGAGATGAAAGGAGGGAAGAAAGACCCTGTATATGATTATTTGGAGTTAGGAAAGGAAATTGGATTGCCTAGAATGGCAGACACTTGGAATAAGTGGGAACCCACAACATTTACTGATGGATACAGCTTCATTAGGAGATAATTGTTAATTTAGTCTAAAAGAATGAATAGGGAACATCCAGGTAAAAATTTATATATAGAGAGAATGAAGCCCAGGATGCAGCACAAATAAAGGTGTGACATTATGTGCTGCTATTACTAGTGCATAGAATGTGTGTATATTGAGGGTGGAGGGTGGGGCAGGTGAAGAAATGTGTAGAGGGTCAAAACCAGGAAACTGACATTGGCACAATACAATTAATTTGACTACAGATCTTATTCAGATTTACCAAATAACAGTGTTTTAAAAATTGAAGTGTTGACATTTCAACAGTGACATGTATATTAGTCAGGTATCATTACTAATGGCTTACGTGGACCGTCATTCAGAAATAACTTCAGTGATGCTGGTGAACATGTACTAACCTATATAAGTACATTTCCTGGTATGAGGCACAGATGGCCCCTGTCTTAGGGAAGTGTGCAGTCCAGTTGGGGAGCTGATGTAGGGGAGGAAAAACAATTTTCTCTTTATCCTTCGTAGTTCTTAGTTGAGATGGATCCTTGTATCAAAGGTAAATTAATAGGAGAAAAACAAAGTCTAATAACATGTATGCTTCATGTATACAAGGGATATATTCAGGGAGAATGAGTAAATCTCAAAAAGTTGGCTTTGAATTCAGGCTTAAAAAATCATCATTCTCTAAAGCAAAGAAAGAGAAGAAGACCAGTTATGGGGAGATAGCTAGGAAAAGGAAAAGCATGGTAAAGAAGGATAAGGTTTGTTACACAGATTTAAGTTGATTCCTTCTCCATTGACAAGAGTCTTTATTGATTTAGAATCATTCCTCTCCTCCTGATACAAAGAGGGAGACACCCTTATAAATGAATTATTTCCTTTATAGATGTAAATTTCCCTTACAAAAGGATAACCTCTACTCTGTTTTCAGAGTTTCCCCTGTGTCTGCCATTTCTCAAAATAATCTTTATGCCAAAAAGCTATATTTTGGGGTGGCATATTCTGGTCTCCTACAGTCACATTTTGGGGTGGTGTTGGGGTGGAGAGAACAATACCACAAAGTATAGTGCTTGGGCATGCTGAACACTTTTGAATTAAAGGAAATCGGAAGGCCTTCGAAGCTACCTCAAAACCAAGGACTTTCTAACCTTCTCTGGTTTTTCCCCGACTAGCACAGGGAGAGAATCTTTCTGGAATTTCCTCATCTGACTAAGAAATCTTCTTTCCAAATAAAATGCAATTGTCTTAAGACTCCCTCCCTAGGAATAAATAACCAAGAAAAATTAACCAGCAGGGACGAAAAAACACAAAAAGTTGTCACTATGCCCAGACAGACTTTTCATCTATTCTTCTGAGGACAGCTCCAAGAGATTACCTGGGAAACTTTATCTGCATAATAAAACAACCATTGTTCACAATGAAGTTCTGCCCCTCATCTTCCTGCTACCTCACCCAGAGCTCGGAGGAACTCTGTCACAGGTCATTGTTATTTGGGTTCATTCGTTTCCCCTGAAAATCATTTATTACCCCTCACTGCTAGGTGGGGTGTCAGAGCCCTGGCATCAGAAAGTGATCGACTCATGGGTTGGTAGGAAGAATTTACCAATGACAGTATAAGTTTGAAAAAGGAAAGTTTTATTAGAAAGAAATAATGCTGTAGACGAGTGCAACGGGGCACCTCAGAAAGACAGGACTGAGTGTGCCATGGTGGATTTTTTTCCTCAGGGGTATTTATGGACCTTAAAGCAGGAGCTTAAGGGTAATTTGGAGTATATTAGTCACAAAGGTCATGATAAATGATTACATTTGTAGACATTTTGGTGCCTTAATGTCAGCAATGGTTGCACAAGGAGTTTCAGTTTGCATGCATTCCAGGGATGTATAGAAATTCTAGTTACTTAAAAATTTGGGGGAAAGAGACCTGGAACCAGATGCCTGCTTTAGATAATAGGGAAGTCTAATTACTTCTGAATTCCTCAGATAAGGAGTTTTGTCTCTAGATGGTCTGCTTGCTGGTCACCAGGTGATCTTGCTCTCCTCATTTTCTGCCTGAAAAATATCTTGGTCAAATCTTTGACCCTTCATATTCCCCCATACTCATGTCTAGCTGCTGCCTCTTAGGGTCTCAAGAAGAAAGGGAAAATGGCACAGTGAAGAGCGGTGTCGAGTCTGGTTACCTCCTGCTGAAAGGGAGCATTGAGGGGATACATTGTGTTTTCCCCTTTCTTGCTCTCTGTCATGAAGGGAATGAAAGTCATGAAAACTTGTTCACAGGGAAGACTGGATTCCATCAAGAATCCCCTTGTAAATGGAAGTTGCTGTTGCAGGCCAGTATTGGGATTGCATAGTCATCTGTAGATGGAATCATTGTAATCAGGAAGATATAAACTTAATAAGAGCGTTTAAGAGGCAGGGACCAAATATTAAAACAAGAATGATATGGATGAAAGGTGCAAAGAACGGGGGAAGCCAAGTGATTTATGGAAACCAATCAGTAAAGGTTTTGGGCCAGTCTTGGTTACCTTGGGAAAGTGTGTGTAGCCATTTGGCTTGTTTGAAAATTTCTTGGACCTTAATTTTCACTTCTCCAGACACATTAATATAGATGCAACAGATTTTGTTGATGACAGCACAGACTTCTCCTTGCTCGGCTTGGAGGTAATCTAGAACTCATCTATTCAAAAACCATTTCTGCTAGTGAGTTTAAAGACTTTTCTAGCACCGATAGACTTGCACTAGCTTTGGCTAAGGCTATTTCAAGGGAGGCAGTAAGTTCTCGTAGTGTGATTTTATGGTAAGTAAAACCTCCCCAAGGGGCAAGAATTGCAATGCTTCCTACAACTCCAGTCACAATAAATCCTAGGGCCCTTTTTCTTCTTGAATGGAATTATAGATTGGAAGTTATGCTCAAGACAGTAATTTGGATGGGAGCTATTGTTCCCAGAGTGCAATCACCATAATGAAGAGAGAATTATCAAGGTGGTATAGTGCCAAAGCTTGAAAAGGGTTTAAATAATTCTTAGCAGTGCCACAAAGCCATAAGAGCCCAGGATGGGCAGGTAATATAGTTTCAAGCTTTTTGGACTAAGAGGTCCTCCACTGCTGAGGCTTTTAAGTGGGTGCTGGGGGGCCATCCCTAGGATACTAGGTCTAATGTTTTTGAAAAATATGCCATAGGGTCCTTAGAGAGCCCCAGATTTTGGGCTAAGAATCTTAAACCTATTCCCCTTTGTTCATGTACATACAAAAAGAAAGGCTTAGTCAAATCTGTTAGGGCCAAGGTCGGGGCTGAGATTTAAGCTTGTCTTAAAGTGTTTAGAGCATGCTTCATATCATTAGTCCAGGATAGAGGTAGTTCCTCAATTCCCTTGAGGGCTCACATAAAGGTTTTGCTATTAATCCAAAGGAAGGAATCCATATTCTGGCAAAGCTACTGTTTAGTTTCCGGAGTTGTCACATTTAAAACGAGATCTTTTCAAGCACTAGAGAAGCTCTTTGTACCAGGGGTTAAAATAAGACTGAGAGGTGCTTGTTCTTGCCCTTGCCCTTGCCCTAGTCCTTGTACTGTAGGATCCCTTTGTTGGGTAGGTTGGCAAGGTTGTGGCTGTGACAGCACAGAAGGAAGAGATGTCCCCCTTCTCATGAGGGAGAGAGGGGCACTCACTCTTCCAATGACCCTCTTGTTTGCAATGAGGACAGGGTCTAGGGGACAGCTTGTAACCCAGAGGTTTGGGACATTCTTTACTCCAGTGTCCTGGATTTCTACAGCAATGCCAGGCCCCCATTCTTTTAGTATTATAGGGACGAGCCTTGGGGTTATTAGCTAACAAAAAAGAATGTGCCAATGCTGTTGCCGTGTATTTAGCTTGGCAACAGCATTTTTTTCTCCTCTAATTGAGCCTTTTTTATTTTTGGTGTTTCCTCCTGGTTATTAAAAACCTAAAGTCTGTATTTAATAAAGTAGGAAAGGGAGTTTGTGGGTCTTGCTCTAACTTTTGGAGTTTTCGTCTGATGTGTAGGGAAGCCTGACAAAATGGATTGGCCCTCAGGGCTTTTGGAGTCTAAATTTGTATATTTATGCATGGCCTCCACCAGTCTAGCTTGGAAAAGGGCAGGATTGTCAGATGGCTCCTGAGTGATTTCTTGTAATTTAGAAAAATTAACAGATTTTATTACAGCCTTTCTCATTCCTTCCAAGAAACAATTTATCATATAGTCTCATCTGCCCCTGCCTCTGTTTGGGCTGGCATCAGCAGCCTGGTATTGCAAATTGGGTTGTGTGTTGGGGACAGCTTCTGCACCAGCTCTATCATCATTAGGATTATAAGCATGAGCGTCATCTGCCCAAGCTGGAACTAAAGACCATATGTGTGATTTTTCTTCATGGAAGCAGCAAGTAGTTAATACCACAAATATGTCTTGCCAGGTTAAATGAAAGACAATAGTTAAAGCCCCCAATTCTTGAATGAACTTAGAGGGATCCTGGCTAAATGAACCTAACTTGGATTGAATTTGCAAAAAATCAAACACTGGAAAAGGAACATAAACTCGAATTGTTCCCAAATCTTCATTTGCCACCTCGTGGAGAGACAAAACTATACTAGTGGTATATGTGACTCCTGTGTGAGTATGTGAGAGTGATAAAGTGTCTAGATATGGAAGGGGTGTTGATTAGCAGATGGAGGGGGTGTAGGTGAAGTGGGAGCAGGCTGAGGAGAGTGTGATAGGCAAAAGGAAGGATCATCTAAGACATAGAATCAGGGAGGGAGGAAGTTCCTTGGAAACATATGCGACAATTTTTATGTTATTTTGGGTTTTGGGATAAAGCCAAAAAGACCTGAACATTTGGGACCTCTGAATCCTTTCCAAGGTTCTGGCAAAATGAATCTAGTTGTAAAATAATGTTCCCGTCCAGGGTTGGTTTAATTAAGAGGCCAATTTAAATTATCGGGAAGCTTATATTGAACCCAAGCTGTATTACAAAAGAAAATCATACACTTCTTTTTGAGAGTGTGTGGGTCAAAATGGGACTAGTTTTTAAGTATGCAACCCAAGGGCGAGTCGAGTGGAATTGAAGAATGAATTGAACCCATATTGGATTTTGGTAAAGGACTACAAGATCCCTGGGGCAACCCTGAGGGATTTGGACCTCCCTTTTTCCATTGGCTTGCTCTATTCAGTGATGTTCCACCATGGATATAGGGCCTGCCCTTGCCTGGATGACCAGTCCAAGAGTGCCCTTGTTTGAGTGGTCAGCTCAAACCTAACGTGAAGGAGAACTCACCCATAACTTGGGATGAGGTGCTTGTGATGAAGGTGAATCCAAAATTGGGTCCACAACCAGTAGAGTGTGTCTGCGCAGAGTTGAGATTGCTGCTGCTCGTTTCCAAGTCACGGTTTACAGAGTGTTAAGTGAAAGTGGACTTGCCATCCTGACGGGCAATAGGGAATTCACTCTTTTGTCTTGGCCTTCCCGTAACACCAGGGAGTGCCCTCAGCCAGAAACCCTCAATTACCAAAGAATACTTAAGCTGATTAGCTGGCAGTCAGAAAACAGAAAAAATCCCTGGCCAGTCCCTCACCCCTAAAGGCAATGACAGACAGGTGTCCCTTCCCTAGGGCTTCAGGATCTCACCGAAGAGTGGCCTCCGCCAAGGATCTTCAGTTCCCGAGAGTAAAGAACCAGATCATCAAGGGAAGCAGGGAGGAAAAAAAGAAAGGAGAAATCCCAGTAAAGTCTCACTATGGGCGACCAAGATGCCGAGCAAGGTATCAGAGCCCCAGCATCAAAAAGTGGTCAGCTCATGGGTTGGTAAGAAGAATTTACCAACGACAGCATAGGTTTGAAAAAGGAAAGTTTTGTTTGTTTGTTTGTTTTGAGATGGAGTGTCACTCTGTCGCCCAGGCTGGAGTGCAATGGTACAATCTCGGCTCACTGCAACCTCCGCCTCCCGGGTTCCAGCAATTCTCCTGTCTCAGCCTCCCAAGCAGCTGGGATTACAGGGCCCTGCCACTGTGCCTGGCTAAGTTTTGTATTTTTAGTAGAGATGGGGTTTCATCATGTTAGTCTGGCTGGTCTCGAACTCCTGACCTCAGGTGATCCGACCGCCTTGACCTCCCAAAGTGCTGGGATTACAGACGTGAGCCACCATACCCACCTAGGAAAGTTTTATTAGAAAGAAAGAACACTGTAGAAGAGTGCAGCGGGGTGCCTCAGCAAGACGGGACTGACAGCGTCGTGGTGGATTTTTTCCTCAGGGATATTTATGGACCTTAAAGCAGGAGCTTAAGGGTACTTGGGAGCATATTGGCCACATAGGTCATGATAAATGATTACATCTGTAGATATTTTGGTGCCTTAATGTCAGCAATGCCTGTGATTTTTGTTGTTGACAGGTACGGCTAATACTACAGTGGTTTGTTACCTACATTCATAGTAAAAAAATATTAATTTCAGTTAGAAGTTAGCAAAAATGAGTATGTAATTTTTTTTTCCTTTTCAAGATCACAGATCCTCCTGAATTCTATTAGTTGACTTCAAGTTGAGAACTTCTGGTCTAAAAATCTGTGGTTTTATTGTATACCTCCAACACTGGATCTGCTAGTGTGTCCTGAGAAAACTCCCATTAAATAGCAAACTACATGCTCAGAGACAATTGCCAATCTTCACATATCCCTCACCTCTTCAAGTCATAGAGAACTGGTCAGGAGCATATGCAGGGCCTGGCATCTCTGCCACTTGCATAGTATCTGTTTGTGTCTTTTTATCCTTAAATCTCTCTTTTGTCCTGTCCCTGATGACCTTAGGGCATGTTCTTTTTTCTTTTTACTTTTTTTTTTTTTCAGTAATTATGGTTTCAGTTTTTATTTCCCTCTAGGGAAAACCTTTAAAAGTTTTATTTTAATGTATCACAGATGTAAACTGGAGGGATTTCCACAAACATGAGTGCTCTACACTTGTAGTAAGAGTTGTTAGCTCCAAATTTTTATTCCAAACAAACATGAAAACAATTGAAAATAATGAGACGCTAACTCATGCTCATATTTATCAATCTAAGTGGTGCTAAAGAACTTTCATCCCCATGCAAAGGACTTTGGTAACTGATAACAACTGACCGATAACAGATGTCACGTCCCACTTTATCTTTTTAAACATTCTTTTTGAGCTCAGCAAATTTACAATGGTATATTCACCATGCATATACACTGTAATTACAACTTCATTTTTAAATTTTTTTTTTTTTTGAGACATAGTCCCGTTCTGTCACCCAGGGTGGAGTGCAGTGGCGTGATCTCGGCTCACTGCTACCTCCGCCTCCCGGGTTCAAGCAATTCTCCTGCCTCAGCCTCCCTAGTAGCAGGGATTACAAGCATGTGACACCTCACCTGGCTAATTTTTTTTTTTTTTGTATTTTTAGTAGAGATGGGGTTTCACCATGTTGGCCAGGCTGGTCTCGAACTCCTGACCTCAGGTGATCCACCCGCCTCGGCCTCCCAAAGTGCTGAGATTACAGGCGTGAGCCACCACGCCCAGCCCATTTTTGAAATTTTTAAGGAACTCATTCAAAGCACAACATAGAAAGTGGACACAGATCCAGAGCCTTGCTTATCAGCTGCTGTAGTAGGTCATGTTGACATGGTCGACCATCAATCAGGATCCCAATAAGAAACACATGACAAACTCAGCTGAGATTTTTGTATAGAGTTTTAAAGATGGGAATATTCACAAAAGTATGAGCTGGGTTAAGAAAACTGACAAGGGATATTGAAGCATCCAGGGACTAGTCATGATGGGAAGCCACTACTTGACCTGACAGGATATGGGGAGGAAAAGGTGTTAGGGTATCCCAGCTGAGAGCTGGAGCTGTGGACAATGACAGGACAGAAGCTATAGTTAGAAAGGGGCAATCATGGCCATGTCTCAGCTGTGGAAGATGGGGTGAGGAAAGATGGTGACAGTGATGAAATAAATACCATGACTGTTCTCTCCTGCCCTTTAGTCTCTTGTCAATCCCCACTCCAATGCCCCAACCCAACCAGAAGCTAAAAGGCAGGGGCACCCAGGTGATGCATTCCATGGGGGTCAGAGCAGGACAGAGAAAGGTGGAAAATCAATGTGGAGGAGAGAGAAACAGAGAATAACCAGTACCTTCCCTCCACACTTTTGAACAGTGTTTTTACAAAAATAGGGTGAGGAAATTGAAGGCAGTAATCTGGTTTAAAATTCAAGTCCCTCTTAAGATGATGCTTTTAAGGAAGGTCTTGTCTGCCTAGCATTCCATATTGATCAAATTGTGTAGATAATTGTTTGTTTACCTTACCATTTTACTTTGCCTTCCTGGTCCCAGTCAGTGGGAATGCCTAGAGCTGCATCTCTTAAGTGAGTCTGATTTGAACTTAATTGCTTATCTGCTGAAAGAAGGGCACTGCCTGGTTTTTTAAAAATCATTCTTGTTCAAATTGTGTCTTGAAATATTGAAAGTTAAAAGAATGATTTAAAGAGCCTGGACTTAAAATTGCCCAGAGCTGCATGATTCAGAGGATTCTCTGACTCTTGTCTATTTAGATGGAAGGAAGAGTAAACACGTTTATAAATGTCAGACATGGCCCCTGTAGGGGCTATTGATGCAGACAGCCAGAGCCAGCGTTAAAAAAATTATCCAAAGGGCTTGATTCAATATCACTGCTGACCAGAAGTCTGGGAAAGAACTGAGGTTTAGGTGCTTGAAAGCCCTAAATTACCCTTATCCTCTGTCCCTGCACATAAGAACTTCTTTAAAGGAGCAGCAGTTCTTGTGGTATGAGCATAGAAGCTTCATCTTCAACTGTTGAGTAGCTGGGATGCTGTACCTTCCACCCCACCACAATACATCCAATACCTTGCTCTGAGCTTAAGTCACCTGTCACTTATTAAGGAACTAAACAACATACATTTATACTTCTTGAATCGGGGAGGGTCCTCTGAGGATTTAATTAGGTCCACATATATCATATCTCAGTGATACCATCACTAGTTATCACCATGATAATCAGTGAAGCCCCTTCCCATAATGGAATGGGTTATACTTCAAAGTATTATTCTGCTTGTTTTCAATGTTCTCCCCTGCTCCCTCTTCTCTCTCACTGATATACGATGGTTCAATTTCACTCTTCCAGTCTACATTGAAGTTGAAATAAAGTTACACAGAAAACATAAAAGAAACTTTTAAATTTATGTGTCAAATGGAAATTCAAATGGAAGAGGAAGGACACAAGGATGGGCGGAATGAACTTTCTGTCATGAAAACCAAAGAGCCAAATAAAAGGGATTCAGTAGGGGCTGTTGTTGAATGCAGATTCCCCTTCCTCCACCCATGCCAACTCACAGCATGTAGACAGGCCACCTTTCAATAATATTGGATATTTGTAAGTCTTCTCCACTCACACCCACCTCTGACCAAAAGGTGGAGATGGGAGGCATGAAAGGAGAACCTCAGCCCCTGGTAAGGTAGAACTGAACAGGGCCAATTGGGAGTATCCTCCTTGGGCAGGGCAACAGTAGACACACATTTACTGTTCTACATTCATTTAAAGAACTGTATCAGAAGGATTAAGTTCAGCTGCTTTTGACAGAAAACCCCAAATAATAGTGACTTCAACCAAAAGAAGCATATCTGTCATATAAAAATGTCTAGCAATGTACATACTCCTTCTAATTATTCTGCCAGCTTTCTTCTATCTCTTTGTCTCAGGTGGCAATGAAAAGAGGAAGGAAAGAAGAGAGAACAATCTTTCCCTTTAAGAAAACTTTGTGGGAGTTTCACATGACATTTCCAATTATATCTGTTGACCAGAACTTAGTCACACTTAACTGGAAGGGAGGCTAGGAAATTATGGTCTTTATTCTGAGCAGCAAAACTGTGGTTCCATTTCTAAGGAAGAAAGAGAAAACAGATACTGGGGGATAACTGTCTCTTCCACAGAGATAATCACAGTGATCTTTCATTTACAATGAAGTAGAAGATTGCGGGGAGAAAGACAGATGAAAGAACAGAAATAATGCTCAGATTCTTGGTAGTTATGCTTTTTAAGAGTAGAAGTATACTAAGAAAATTGGTGCCTCATAATGTGGCAACAGACAAATAAAAGGTAATTTTAACATATCTGTACTACATGCAATAGAAGATATAATGCCCACAGGAGGACCAGAGGCTAGACATTTATTCAGGACTGGAGACTGGACAAAAAGGGCTGCTGTCAGGGCCTGCTACATAATTTGCATGGGCCAGTGCAAAATGAAAGTTCAGAACTCCTTACTCAAAAAAAGGCATGCTGGCAGGGTGTGGTGGCACACACCTATACTCCCAGCTACTCAGCAGGCTGAGGCAGGGGGATTGCTTGAGCACAGGAATTTGAGGCCAGCCTGAGAAACATAGTGAGCCCCTTATCTCTTTTAAAAAAAAAATCCTAACACTATGCAAATAGAGCAACAATGGGATGACAAGGAACAGAGGACATGCATATTACGTGGATCTCCTCAGCTCATATGCATCCTCCATTGCCCAGTGAAGTCTCTTTGGGCTTCATTTAAAAAAAGCAAGTTCAAAGGTAAAATCATTAAGCATTTCAAGACAGAAACAGCAGGGCATTAAACCTAGGGCAAGACCCTTCTAAGAAAGGGGCCCTATATGCCCACGAAGCCAGCCCTGGGTGCTATAACAGGCATGGACATGCATCACTCATATCCTTCAAGAAGGCTCCTGCACAGATGTGAGAAGTGTGGCTAGCTGACAGCCCCTTGCTGTGATTTTCTTCAGGATCTGCCTCAGCTTTAGTGTTAACTTCACAATATTCTTGGGGAAACACAAGCCAATGACTAAACAAAACAGTCTTCATAGGAAAACCCGCAGTGAATGACTAAGCAAGGCAGTGGTATGGAGCTAGACATTTATTCCAGTTGAGTAACTCCGGGCTTCTCTGAGAAGTATCTTTCACTGGGAACTCCCACTTGGCTGGCAGAGACTTTCCAGATCTGCATCTGGATAGCCCTCTTCTGAAGTTTCCTTTCAGAAAGAGAGATAAAGTTTATTTTTTGTTTGTATGAAGATGAATTTCTTTTGCCTTCACAATTGAATAACAACTTACCTTGGTAAAGGATTTTTGGCTCAAAATAACTTTTCCTCTGAACCGTTTCTCCCCAGTGCCTAATATTGAGCAAATGTCAAGCCTAGAGAACAGTTAAAAGAATATTTTGACCAACACCAACATAGTCTTGACCTGGACTCACCAATTGTCATAGATATTACCACATTTTCATTATTTGTCTATTTTCTTTTTTTTTTTTTTTTGAGTCAGAGCTCTGCTCTTGTTGCCCAGGCGGGAGTGCAATGGCGTGACCGCAGCTCACCGCAACCTCCGCCTCCTGGGTTCAAGCAATTCTCCTACCTCAACCTCCTGAGTAGCTGGGATTACAGGCGTGAGCCACCATGCCCAGCTTATTTTTTGTGTTTTTAGTAGAGATAGGGTTTCTCCATGTTGGTCAGGCTGGTCTTGAACTCCCAACCTCAGGTGATCCACCTGCTTTGGCCCCCCAAAGTGCTGAGATTACAAGCGTGAACCACCGTGCCCAGCCTTGTGTTTTTTAATAAATTATTTAAAAATAAGTTGAAGCACTCATGACATTTCACCTCAAAGAACTTCAGCCTGCATCTTCTAGGAATAAGAACATTCTTGGCCTGATGTGGTGGCTCACACATGTAATCCCAGCACTTTGGGAGGCTGAGGTGGGCGAATCATGAGGTCAGGAGTTTGAGACCAGCCCGGCCAACATGGTGAAATCCTGTCTCTACTAAAAATACAAAAAAATTAGCTGGGTATGGTGGCGGGCACCTGTAATCCCAGCTACATGGGAGGCTGAGGCAGAAGAGTCGCTTGAACCCGGGAGTCGGAGGTTGCAGTAAACCAAGATCGCACCACTGCACTCCAGCCTGGGCGACAGTGCGAGACTCCATCTCAAAAAAAAAAAAAAATTCTCCCCATAACTATAGTACTATTATCACATGTAGTAAAATTAACACTAATCAATAATATCATCTAATATGCAGTCCATATTTAAATTTCCTCCATTGTCACAATGGCTTTCTAATTTTCCAAACCAGAATCCAGCCAAGTTTTACAAATAGTCTTTGATCATGCCTCTTTATTCTCTTAATCTTGCACAGTCCCAATACTTTTTAGTTTTTTTCACATTAACTTTTATTGAAGGATCCAGGCCAGTTGTCTTGTAAAACAGCCTGTATCTGAATTTGTTGGATTGTTCTCTCATGATTGGATTCAAGTTAAGCATTTTTTGGTAAGAATACTGCATAAGTAAGGTTGTGAACTTTTTTTTTTTTTTTGAGACGGAGTTTCACTTTTGTTGCCCAGGCTGGAGTGCGATGGCGCGATCTCAGCTCACCGCAACCTCTGCCTCCCGGGTTCCAGTGATTCTCCTGCCTCAGCCTCCTGAGTAGCTGGGATTATAGGCATGCACCACTACACCCAGCTAATTTTGTATTTTTAGTAGAGACGGGGTTTCTCCATGTTGGTCAGGCTGGTCTTGAACTCCTGACCTCAGGTGATCTGCCCGCCTCGGCCTCCCAAAGTGCTGGGATTACAGGCATGAGCCACCACGCCTGGCCAGTTGTGAACTTATTACATGACATCAAAGGACATATTATATTAGATTATTGATGATTGATTATCTTAAGTTTGATCATTTGGCTTAGGTGGTAACTGCCAGATCTCTTACCTGTAAAGGATTGTTTTTCCCTTTATAATTAATAAAATAATCTGTAGGGTGATACTTGGAGACCTTGTGAATGAACAATTTCCTAATAATCTTTCACTCCTGGTTTTTAGCATCTGCTGAGATGCTTGAATTGATTACTACAAGAGTTCAAAGTGGTCGTTTTTAATAATGCCTTCTACATTTACTACCTGATATTTTTCTGTAAAGAAAAACTTTCCTTTTTAACATCTTTCTCCTTATGTTTTATTAACTTATTTATTTTGGTATAACACAATGGGCTGATGGATTTTCTATTAATGTTTTATTATTGTCATCATTTTTTGATGCTCAAATTGTTCCAACTTCAGGCAACATTACTTATAGCAAAAAAGTGCCTCTGACTGGTAAATAGCATCTGGACTGGTAGACTTCATAAATAAACTCTAAATGCTCAATGCAAATACCATAATTTTGGGCTTCCTTTAGTGTGGTAACTGTTATAATTGGCTATGTCCCATGTGAGGGATCCTAGAAACTATGCCTGTGTAATTATTACAAAAGTTATTGGCTCCTATGGGGCATAAGGCTGCTAAATCAGGCTAAGTTCCACTGTTGTCTGAAGTGAAACTTGTTCCCTTGTACGTAAACTACCACTTGGGAAACTAATGAGAATAGCCGCAGGATAGCTAGTCTGACTGCTCTTTGATCTGCTGTAAGAACACCCATGGAAGGTAAACGCTCCATGCTGTCCTGCTGGCAAGCTGTGGTTTGTTGTATCCCTTTGAGTGTACTGATGCCAAATACAGTCCATGGTAGTTTTGTGAGTCTGAAGGTTTAGTTGGACCCATGAAGAATCCCTAATGGGAGTTGCACTATTTAAAAAAGAATACTCAGAGAAACTTCACTTCCATTCCTACTCCTTCCATCCCATTTTCATTCATTTCTCCATATATGATTTATCCTTCCTATATATTTTTGAAAATATAAGTAATATATCCTTACACAAAGATACAAATAGACATACATACATATAGACATATTCAAAGGTATGCTATATATATATTCTCTCATACCTTCATTTTACTACTTTTTTTTTTTTTTGAGATGGCGTTTCACTCTTGTTGCCCAGGCTGGAGTGCAATGGTGCGATCTCAGCTCACTGCAACCTCCGCCTCCTGGGTTCAAGCGATTCTCCTGCCTCAGCCTCCCTAGTAGCTGGGATTACAGGCATTCACCACCATGTCCGGCTAATTTTGTATTTTTAGTAGAAACAGGGTTTCTCCATGTTGGTCAGGCTGCTCTTGAACTCTCGACCTCAGGTGATCCACCCTCCTCTGCCTCCCAAAGTGCTGGGATTACAGGTGTGAGCCACCGCACCCGGCCTTCATTTTACTACTTGAAAATATATCCAGAAAATCACTCCATATTCCATACCAGTTCACAGAGATCTTCTTTCTTTTCTTTTTTGTAATGACTGAATAGTGTTTCATTGTGTAGACTTATCAGTGTTTATGCAAATGGTCCTCTATAGATGGGCATGTAAATTGTTTTGAATATTTTGCTATTCAAAATAATTCCACAATAGATAACCTTGGGCATATTTTTTCACTGTTTGTGGAAGTGTATTATTAAGGTAAATTCCTAGGAGGATTGCTGGGTCAAGGGGTAAATGCATAGGTATTTTGTTAGATATTACCAAATTCCTCACTATCAGAGGTTGTACCATTTGTACTTGAGCCAGCAATGTATGAGAATGCCATATGTGTCTATAGACCAAGAATAGCATTTTTGGCCCAGGGCAGTGGTTCACACTGTGAAATAGTGAGGAAATCATAAGGAGAAAATGCATTGAGATATACATGGCATAAATGAAAAGTGAGTTGGCTGAAATAAGAACTTAAAGTAAAAAACAAAACAAAACCTAAAATGAAATGACAGTTAAAATCTGCATTAGAAGCAGTACAAATAGAATTAGAACTTCAGAAAATTAAATCAGTAATGTGAAGGATAAATTTGATTAGCTCTCAAAATTCAGAGGAAAAGGACAAAGATGACAACAATGATAAAGGACATAGAAAGGTGATCCAACAAGATAACTATAGGTGTTTCTGAGGAAGAAACCAAATATTTAAAACAGATAAAATAATCCAAGTTATAGTAGAGAAAAACTCCTTGCCCAGGAATGAACAAAAACCCCAAATTAAAAACCCACAGATTGAAAGGATTTATGATACTACACACACGCAAATAGACACACACAGACACACACACAGACTCTTATTATCCTCACAAATTTGTTTAATTTCAGGGATAAATGAAACAATTTCTCAAGAGTATTCTGTAAACGAAGACTTATTTTAAAAGATGTGAGGGCTGCCAAATAGAAATTTTTCAAATTGATGTCTAGGAAATATCATCACAATTAAGTTAACCAGTCATTTCATTGATGAAATGATTTTGAAATTTATTTAAATATATAAGAATATATTAATAAAAGGACTATGTAAGAATATTGCTAAGAATTTGTTAAAAAAACTATTGGGAAGGGACTAATCTTTCTATCTGATAAAATCTAATAAGGCAACAATAAGTAAATCAATGTGACATTGATGGTAATGTGGCAAAAATAAGCAGGTCAATATAACACAAGAGACGGTTCAAAAGCATATCACTGTTTATGTTACATGAGGTAAAACAAATCAGTGGAGAATGGAAGGATTTTTCGACAGACAGTTCTCTTATGATTGGTTAGCTATTTGTGTGGGGGAGCAGAGAATCCATTTAGGTCCTCACCTTATAGCACATAGCAAAATACATACCAGTAGATTAGGCTTAAATAATTAAATTTTAAAATATCAGGTTGGGCATGGTGGCTCACGCCTGTAATCCTAGCACTTTGGGAGGCTGAGGTGGGCAGATCACTTGAGGTGAGGAGTTTGAGACCAGCCTGGCCAACATGGTAAAACCCCTTCTCTACTAAAAATACAAAAATTATCTGCATGTGGTGGCGCAGGCCTGTAGTCCCAGCTACTTGGGAGGCTGAGGCAGAAGAATCTCTTGAACCCAGGAGGCAGAAGTTGCAGTGAGCCGAGATTACGCCACTGCACTCCAGCCTGGGCAACAGAGCAAGACTCCGTCTCAAAAAAAGAAAAAAAGAATTTAAAATATCAAACCATCAAAAAACTATTATAAAAGAAAACAGATTTTTTCCTTCAAATCTTTGAAAGACAAAGCCCTTCCAAGTTGAAAAACAATGGAAGAAATCACTAAATAATAGATATAACCACATAAATTTATTTATTTATTTATTTATTTATTTTATTATACTTTAAGTTCTAGGGTACATATGCACAACATGCAGGTTTGTTACATATGTATACATGTGCCATGTTGGTGTGCTGCACCCATTAACTCGTCATTTACATTAGGTATATCTCCTAATGCTATCCCTCCCCCCTCCCCCCACCCCACAACTGTCCCTGGTGTGTGATGTTCCCCTTCCTGTGTCCATGTGTTCTCATTGTTCAGTTCCCACCTATGAGTGAGAACATGCGGTGTTTGGTTTTTTGCCCTTGCGATAGTTTGCTGAGAATGATGGTTTCCAGCTTCATCCATGCCCCTACAAAGGACATGAACTCATCATTTTTTAAGGCTGCATAGTATTCCACGGTGCATATGTGCCACATTTTCTTAATCCAGTCTATCATTGTTGGACATTTGGGTTGGTTCCAAGTCTTTGCTATTGTGAATAGTGCCGCAATAAACATACGTGTGCATGTGTCTTTATAGCAGCATGTTTTATAGTCCTTTGGGTATATACCCAGTAATGGGATGGCTGGGTCAAATGGTATTTCTAGTTCTAGATCCCTGAGGAATTGCCACACTGACTTCCACAATGGTTGAACTAGTTTACAGTCCCACCAACAGTGTAAAAGTGTTCCTATTTCTCCACATCCTCTCCAGCACCTGTTGTTTCCTGACTTTTTAATGATTGCCATTCTAACTGGTGTGAGATGGTACCTCATTGTGGTTTTGATTTGCATTTCTCTGATGGCCGGTGATGGTGAGCATTTTTTCATGTGTCTTTTGGCTGCATGATGTCTTCTTTTGAGAAGTGTCTGTTCATATCCTTTGCCTACTTTTTGATGGGATTGTTTGTTTTTTTCTTGTAAATTTGTTTGAGTTCATTGTAGATTCTGGATATTAGCCCTTTGTCAGATGAGTAGGTTGCAAAAATTTTCTCCCATTCTGTAGGTTGCCTGTTCACTCTGATATAACCACATAAATTTAAATATTATGCATATCTAAAATGTCATAAACAGCACTAAAATACAAATTGGAGTAAACTCTCTTCAGTGAAAATAGCAAGCAAGGGGTTACTATCTTTTATAAAGCACTTTCAGAAATCAACTGCAGAAAGGCATGAAGTGATCATTCACAACAGAAGAGATGGAAATGGCTATAATACATTTTTGAAAGATGTATTTCACCAGTAAGCAAATAAATGCTAATTTAAATAGCAACGCCATGCTGATTTTTCACCTTTCAAGTTAAGAAAGGTTAAAAGTGAACTTGTTTATTGTCGGAGTGGGTATAGTAAGAAGATAGCCATTCTTAGGCATTACTAATGAAGTATAAATTTGTATAATCTTTTGGGGAAGTAATTTGGTAACTTCAATCAAAGAGCTTAAAAATGCTCCTACTTTCTTACCTCATAATCCTGTTTTAGGATTCTATCTCAAGGAAATTGTAAAAACTACATACAATATTTTATGCACAAAATGTTCGTCTCCATGTTATGTATTATATTAAAAATTGGAAAGTACTAAACGCTTAATGTTAGAGGGTAATGATTAAGTAGACTAGAGTAGGCAATTGAACATAGAGAGTGAATATATATATATATATATATATATGGCATGAATATATAATGTAGTTTTTTAAAAATTAAAATGTGAATATGTATTGAGTAATTCTTACATGTCTGGTACTACCCTAAATGTTTTAATGCATTTGCTCACTTAACCCTCGCTTCAGCTGTGCTAGATATCTTCATTTTGCTTCTCCGGGTGCTACTACCACACTTCTCTACTCTGTTCTGGCCCCTGAAGGCTGACCTGTGTCAACTAAGGGAAAAAAATGAAGCTTTTAAAGAATTACAGTTAATTTTATACAGAAGTCTTACTGGAGACTATAGACCAAGGCTTATAGCTCGGGAGCAGTTCCATCAGACGGCTCGGGCACAGTATTTCAGCCCATTGCTTATAGACAAGCGTGGGAGTTCAGTACCTGCAAAATTGCATCAAACCTGCTTGGAAGTTACAATGAAGCAGAATCACATCTAGATTTGGGTGTAAGAGTACATCTGGCAACAGATTACGGAAGCATAATCACCAACCCCATCAGACGTTACCTTATGTGTAGGGAAAGGCAAGGACTAGGGTCATTTATCTTCTAAGGAATATAGTGACTCAGACAAGAAACATGGGGGGCCGTGTGCTCTACCCTGTTGTGTCTTCAAAGCATCCTTCTGGTGAGCTGCATATCTTCACAGAGTCAGAGGCTTTGTGAAATTATGCTGGCAAGCAGAAATGAGCAAACATGGCTTCTTGGCACTTGCTATTTTGTCTCACACCTGTATGGACTGCATCACCAAGAGTCTCCCTTGTTTTCTAGCTTCTGGTTGGGTTAGGTCTATGCAGAGGACCAGCAGGAGACTGGAGGGAGGGAGATTACGTATTTATTCTCCCAGCTTCCTACCTGCGGGTTTCCTGTGGGCTGGCTGTCTCCCTGAACTAAAGGCCACACCTTGTGTCAGGCAGCCCTTTCCTAACAGCATTGTCACTAAATTTCTGGTGACTGCTTTCTCCCCCTACCTGTTCAGAGTGATACCTTCTTGCTGTTACCAACCCAGGGTACTGCACGATTCCTTACGGCTTCTCTCCATCTTGCCCACATCTTTGAAAATAGTTCATTGATGATACGCTCTTGAAATTACTTAATTTGAGTTTGCTGTTTCCTGCTAGAACCCTGACTGATTCAACAACTTATAGGATTCTACGATTCTACGGCTGGGACAACACGCAGAGAGAAGTCTAGTAATTTGCCTAAGGTCACACAAGGGAGGAAATAATACTTATGGAATGTTTCACAGTCATTCTTTTATTTGTTTATTTAAAATGAACTTTTATTGTTTTCATACAACACAAATAAAATGAAGAGAGAAAATACTCATATTTCTACTCATCGATTTCCATCCTTTATTTAATGAAACTTCCACATTTTCATCTCCATCCAAACTCTTGCTTTGAGTCTCAGGCTTTATGTTCCGTTGCCTACTCTATAACATTCATCTGGATGTCTCAAAGGTACTTGAAACTCATCATGTCCAAAAACATGCTCATGGTCTTCCAAATTCTAGCTACAACCAAGTCCTGTCAACCTTATATGTAAATGTCTCTAAGATAGCCACATGTCTCCAGCTCCACTGCCACCACCTACCTCAGTCTAAGACACTTTCACCTCATTCTTTAAAGAATTCCTAACTTTGGTCTACCGGTACCTATCTACTCTTGCCCGATTATGCACATGGCAGGCAGATAGACCTCTCCAAGTTGCAATCTAGGTATATTGCGACTTGCCTAAAGTCTTGCAGTGGCTTTTGTTGCTCTTAGGATCGAGGCCAAGGATGCTACCTTGGCCCAGTCGGCCTCAGCAGCGTTGTCTCCCCCTTGCCCAGAGCTCCACAGAGTAACTTTTAGTTGCCTTAATGAACTATGCTTTTTTTCTACCACAGGGCCTTTGCACACATTGTTTCTTCTTTCTAAAACATTTTTACACTCTCTGTCCCAAAGTTAATCTCCAGAGGGGTCAGGACTCAGGACACCCTAACACTTTCTTATCCATGTGGATCTTTCTAATATAACATTTGTCAGAGTTTGTATTTACACATCAGATAGACAGTTGTCTATGTCCTCTATTAACTCATCCACTAGACTGTGTGTTCGATGATGATGGTCTCTGTCTTGTGTTGCCTGTGTATCCCAGTACCATGCCCTGTGCCTAGCACATACTGTGAAATCAAGTATTTGAACGAAAATAAATGAAAACAATGAGAATAAGGAGAAAGGTGGACAGAATCACATTAGAAAGAGCTGATTTCTTCATATCTAGTTTTTCTTCTCTCTATGCTCAAAGTCTACCAAGATAAAAATGATTTCAATTTAGTCATAAGTCTCAAGTCCTTTTCTAGGAAGTAAAAGTTATTGAAACAGGATGAAGAAAAGACTAAATCCATATTTCTTTACAGTTTATTCAACAAGATGTTTGATACAGAATGGGGCGAGGGGCAACAGGAGGAATGTTTATAGGTGGGAGCAGACATCATTAGCTTCCTCGAGTTCTCATCACTTTCTCTAAATTTACGTCACGATTTCACCTATTTTTTTTTTTTTTTTTGAGACGGAGTTTCGCTCTTGTTGCCCAGGCTGGAGTGCAATGGCGCGATCTTGGCTCATCATAACCTCCACCTCCTGGGTTCAAACAATTTTCCTGCCTCAGCCTCCCGAGTAGCTGGGATTACAGGCATGAACCACCACACCCGGCTAATTTTGTATTTTTAGTAGAGACGCGGTTTCTCCATGTTGGTCAGGCTGGTCGTGAACTCCCAACCTCAGTTGGTCCGCCCGCCTCGGCCTCCCAAAGTGCCGGGATTACAGGCGTGAGCCACCGCGCCCGGCCAGATTTCACCTATCTTTGAGAGTTCCAGTAATGACAAATTCAGCTTTTGATGACAAATTCAGGATAACAAAAAGTGGAAAATTAAGAAAGGGATAAAACTAGCAAACAGAAGGCTGGCTGCACAGTAAAATATGTGCACTAAATAGCACTCTTTTCAGTAGGATGGGGAAACACATGTTTTCTTATTTCATTTGTTTCTGCACCTTAGCCATCCCTTTGACCTTTTAAAATGCAGTCCCACTTAATACATGATAGGTGAGTTATTTTTCTTGCCTACTTGCTTCGATTTGGGTTAAGCGCCTCAGCTTGAAAAACCCCACAGAGAACCAACAATTGCCTGGTCTCCCCCAAGTGACGGTTCTCGCCCCGCCCCGTCCCGTCTCGCCTCGCCCCGCCCCTCCCCGCTCCTCCCCGCCCCTCCCCGCTCCTCCCCGCCCCTCCCCGCTCCTCCCCGCCCCTCCCCGCCCCTCCCCGCCCCTCCCCGCCCCTCCCCGCCCCGCCCTCAACCTAGTGAGGGCTGGAGGCTGCGCAGACCTCGACGGGCCCTACATGACGTCACAAAGGGGCCAGACCAAGTGGGGCAGCACCCTGCGACCCTGCGATCCTGCCTGGCTCAGCCGCCTTCATATATCTGCTTCCTTAAGTCCACTCTTGCCCAGATAGCTTTCAGTTAAAACTAAAGAATGAAAGCACTAGGTTGAGAGCCCACGCGGCTACACCCACGTCTACTCCCCCACTCTCGCCAGGCAACCGCGCCCCCCGCCTGCAGTGGCATCGTCCGGCCACGCCCAGTGGCAGGGTTTCCAGCGCGAGCCTGCAGGCAGGCCGGGAAGGCGGAGCCAGGCCGGCCTAGAGTCACTTCTCCCCGCCCCTGACTGGGCCGGGAGCCCGGGGCTGGTCTCTAAGAGTGGGTACCGAGAACAGCCTGACCGTGGAGAAGGGCTGCGGGAAGCAGAACACCGCCCCCAGCGCCCAGCGTGCTCCAGAAACATGAGCACAAACGCCTCAGCCTCCTTCCCCGGCGGCACCGGCACCGGCACCAGTACCCGCACCAGTACCGGCACCGGCACCAGTACCCGCACCAGTACCGGCACCGGCACCAGTACCCGCACCAGTACCGGCACCGGCACCGAGCGCAAGGCGGAGGGCCCGCCCGAAGCCGGGGGCACAACTGCCCAGGTCCCGAACCCGGACTCCAGCTTGGACGACACCTCCTACAGCCTGTCCGAATGGAGCGTCCGTTCTGAGTGGCGGTCCGTCTCGGATCCGCTAGCCAGTTCCCAGTGGAGCACGTCCTCAACTGCCGAGGCCGCCTCCTGGAGCTCCAGCATACACTCCCCAATCAGCACTACCGGTCTTAGCGAGAGTACTGACTCCGACTCCAAGAGTGGCCTCCGGGGTTTCAGCGCTTACAACCCGAGCAGTCGGATCCCCAAGTCTACCACCAGCTCGAACTCCTCCGATGGGGCCGTCACAGCCTCCAATCAGGACACCGGCATTCCCTGGGTATTAGTAACAGGACCTACCCCGCCCGTAAACTCCCCCGTAGAGTCATTGCAAGGGTCTGCCTTCTCCTCAGGGTTCAGCACCCCACGGGGTTTGGTAAAAGGACCGACCCTGCCCCCGGATTCCAACCTGACCTCAGTGTCCGACTACACTTGGATATTTGTACGGGGACCTCCTATACCCAATGACCTTTCGCAAGTGTCAATACAAGCACCTCCTACACCCAGTAACACCCCCGAGTGTCAGTACAAGGGTCTGCCGCATCCTCAGTGTCCAGCTTCCCCTGGGGTTTGGTACCAGGACCACCTCTACCCAATAACATTTCCCCAGTGTCGCCACAAGCACCTCCTGCACCCCATAACATCCCCCCAGTGTCAAGGCAGGCGTCTACCCCCACCTCAGTGCCTGACACTCCGCGGGGTTCAATACAAGAACCTCCTGCACCCAGTAATCCTTTCCAGCTGCCGACACAAGGACATTCTAAACCTAATAACTCTCGCCGAGTGTCAGTACAAGGGTCCGCCCCGCTCTCAGTGCCCAGCTCCCCCCGGGTATCAGCTGAAACATCAGCTCCGCCCCTGGGCGCTCCCGGAGTATCAGCAAAAGGGTTCGCCCCGCCCACAGTGCCCGGCTCCCCCCGGGTATCAAAAGAAGGATCGGCTCCGCCCCCGGGCTCCCCGGGGGAGTTGATAGAAGGGTCCTTCCCACCCTTTGCCGTCCCCACTCCTGTGCCTACGACCCAGGAGCGTGTCAGCCAAAGCATGGAGAATCAAGAGAAGGCGAGTATCGCGGGCCACATGTTCGACGTAGTCGTGATCGGAGGTGGCATTTCAGGTCAGTGTGGACCGTAGCGGTGGCCTGGGGGACCCTGGCCAGTGAGGGGTAGGGGAACCTACAGTAGCTCTTGTGGTGTTTGGGGGTCTCTCATGCATGCGAGAGTGTAGTGTAGCCATGGCTTGGCCCCATATCCTGCGAGGTAGGAGTGGGGGTTGTGCCAGTTTTGCTGGTGGTGTGACTGGGGGAGGCAGACACAATAATTTTACTACTACTACTATTAAATACTAATATTTAATTAGCTCTTGCTGTGCAGTTGTATTTAGCACTTTACGTGGATTTTCTCAGTCCTCAACAGTCCTGTGAGGTGGGAACTAAATTCATCCCCGTTTTGCAAAACCAAGAAACTGAGGTCTGGGGAGTTTCAATAACTCTCTTGAGGTCGAATCACCTAGCTTGTAAGTGGCTGAACGATTTTCTCCCATTTAAGACCTGCAGTACTAATTCCTGAGGTGGCTGCTTTGCCTCACTGATTTCATATCCTTTGCCCTAAACAGAACATCAGGATACAGATTTCTGTAGTATTGAGGGAGCAGTAGTGTTATTCCAGTCCTGCTCTTCTCTATTTTCCGTAGAAAATTTAGTAGGTGAAGAGGAAGGAGGTAGACTCCTTTAAGAAAAGGTTAAAAAAAAAAAGAGGAGAAGAGGGGGTGAGCTCTTAAACTATTCCTGTGTGTGTGTGTGTGTGTGTGTGTGTGTGTGTGTGTATGAACTGTGTTTATATATATATATGAACTGTGTTTATATATATATATGAACTGTGTTTATATATATATATGAACTGTGTTTATATATATATATGAACTGTGTTTATATATATATATGAACTGTGTTTATATATATATATATGAACTGTGTTTATATATATATATATATGAACTGTGTGTGTGTATATATATATATGAACTTGCAGGAAGGTGTAGGACATTTATTGTCCAAAGAGAATCCCTTTATGAAGCAGGGGCTGAGTGCCCTGTTGTATCCTCCTTCCTCCTTTCACTAAGAGCTCCCACCACCTGAATCTTGTCTTCTGATGAGCCAGTTGGTGGGCCAGGGTGCCCCTGGTCCTGGCTTGGATTTGTGGCTAACCAAGTGAGTGGTGCATGAGGCTTTCCAATATCTTCCTGGAAGCCTCATCATGATTGATATATTGTCGCCTATGTTGCCATCATTGGTAAAATGTTTGAAAATTAGGAATTTTGTTGCCTTTCATCCCTGGCTAGAATACCACACTGACCTATCCTCCCCCTACTAGGTGTTAATAATTTCTGAGTTATCCCTGCAGGATCTGATTCAGAAAGAGAAAGCTGATGGGAGGGAGTAAGTAGAGTGGCCCCACAGTAGCCATTTTTATATATAAATCTTTCGAGGAGACTCTGAACATGCTACAAATTAATGTTGGGTAGAGATAGCTTTATCTGAACCCAACATTGTTTATCCTGAACAGGCCAAGAGAAGAGATTGGCATGAACTGTTGCTTTGCCAGTTCCAGCCAGTACCAGCAAAAACATACATGTATGTTGGAGCATCAGAGGAAAGCAGCTCCTGGTGGAGAGTAAGAAAAAGGAGTATTTCAGCTTGTTTCTCTTTATTTATTTATGTATTTATTTATTCATTCAAAAAACACTTGTTGAGTACCTGCAATGAAGTGGACTGCTGTTTCCCAAAATCTGGTCCCACTAGGCAAGCCTCCTAAAAGCAATATGGTTGTAGATCACTGGAAAATAAATATGATGACAATGTGTTATATACATTGACTAGGGGTTCTGGGTCCTCTCCCATCTCCATACCATCTGTATTCTGCAATTCAGAGTTCTTTCTGGGATTTTATTCTTAGTCTTTTTCTTGTTCAGTCTCCAGAATTCCTTAAGGAGCGCGGTTTTTTTATTTTTCCTCTGCCTGATTACCTGCTCTTCCTCCCTTTCTATACTTTATGCTCCATACTTGGTCATTAGCAGAGGTGAAATTACCATGTAGCTGATAAACTTTATGCTTTATGGCCTTATAACTGTAGGTTGCTTCTGGTTCTCATTCTAAATAAATAACCAGTTTCATACTCAGTCCTGTATTTGCAATTTTGCTTTCTTATTTCTTAGAGAGGATACCCAAGTTATATATAAGTTGTAGGTCCCACAAAACCTGAATCTGTCCATAGTCACTCTTAATTATTAATTTATTTCCATTTGGGGGAAGTAGAGGGCATTTCTTGCACAGTAGTTCACACCTCTATTCCAGAGGCCAGCTTCAGTGACACTGGAAAAAGCACTTGACTTCCTCTAATGCCATCTCCATCAGTCAGATCTGAGTGATTTTAATACTCAAACTGACCAGAAACATTGCTTTCTATCTGTGGTACCTTCCCAGATGGTTCACAGCTAAAATGAAAGTAGTTGCAAGTGTGGCTCGTGTTAGATCCTGGACATAAACTGAGTGTTTCATGAGCGGGTGAGAAGCATCACTTCCCAAGCATTCTTGTGAATTCAGAAACATACCATTTTTGTGTGTGCTTGGCAGTATCCCATGAATTACTTAATAGTCCCTGTGGCAGTTTTATATGCCTTTGGATGTTCTTTATAACTTTTATTAGGACTTGTACACTTTGATAGGTTACCCACACATTCATAATACATCACCAATCCATAGCATCAGCAGTGTTATTTCTATTATATAGCACCCAGAAGAGTACATATTCTAAGTGACATTACTCAAAATTGATCCATATTAGCAACATTTTTTAAATAACTCTCTACACAGAGAATAGCAGCATCTGGATGTATCTCCTTTTTTGTCATTATAAAACATAAAATAGACTATGTCTTACAACCACAAACTCTTTTTATCTGCCTAACCACCAATTAAATAATTATATATAGTATGTTAATAGTTGAGAGGGGAAATAACCCTGCTGATTTGTTGGTCTAGTGGTATCTTTAAAATGCTCTGGTCCTTAACCATCATTCATCATCTATCACCCATTCCTTTTTGAAACTCCTTTCATGTTTTCAGCGATGCTATTGGATCCTGAATTTTTATCCCATACTGATTGCTGCTTTTCCATCCCTTTCATTGTGCTCATATTCTTGCAAACATCTGGTTTTGAAAGGTTTCACTGTTCATCACTTTGGGGCTCTTGGTACTCTCTCCCTCTCTTTCTCATTCTAGGACTTCAGCTGTCCCTTATCTATAGAAAACTCTCAAGTCTCTGATTTGAATCCTCTTCCTTCCCTGAACTCCTGTCCCATAGCTTATCTGCTCCTGGGTATTTCACGATTGAACACTTCAGGTTCAACATGTACCATAGCTACTGTGCTAGCCAATCCAGCTTCTTTTCCTCAGTTCCTTGACTCTGTTCTTAGCACCACCATCCCTTCTATAATTTTTGACATAATCTTTTCTTTTATCTTCTGCACCCTTTTAGCAGATCCTTCTCACTCTTCTTTGGGGCTATCTCTCTTCTCCTTTCTCTATGATGACCTCCCTCCCCCCATCACCAGGACAGACTCTTTTTTAAAAGTATTTTGTATAAATGTAAGGGATACGACTGCAATTTTGTTACATGGATAGATTGCATAGTGGTGAAGTCTGGGCTTTTAGTGTATTCATAACGTGAATAATGTACGTTGTACCCATTAGGTAATTTCTCATCATCCTCCTTCCTCCTGCCCCACACCCTTCCAGTCACCAATGTCTATTATTCCATACCTCTATGTCTGTGTGTGTACATTATTTAGCTCCCACTTATAAGTGAGAACATATGGTATTGGACTTTCTATTTCTGAGTTGTTTCACTTAAGATAATGGTCTCCAGTTCCATCAATGTTGTTGCAAAAGCTCTTGACCCCTGAAGCTACCTGGTTATGACCCCCTTCCCAGTGGCCACCCTTTACAATAATGGCTCTCCCTTTATGTCCATCCTGCATTCAGTGTTCTCCCAAACTTGATTTTTCTTAAACACTTCTTTCATCACCTTGCCCCTCTGCTCAGGGCCTTCAATGGTCTCCTATTAGCAGCCTCCCAAACACCTCCCTATCCCGCCCCCCATCATGACAAGTAGCATTTCCTACTATTTTCCAACATGGATCTGAGCTTTAGTCTCACCGCCTCGTGTCCTCAGGCTACACTACGTTTATTTAGTCCCTTCATGCCTTTTCTGTTTTTATCTTTCTTAACATGGAAGTGCTTTTCTCTTACATTTATATTCTATCTATCCTTCAATGCTTGGCTGAAGATCCTTTCCTTGATCACTCTGGCTCCCATTGATTTTTCTCTCCTCTTGTAGAGCTTGTAATCTGTACTTAACAAACAATTTACACTTATTTTCTATCTCTTATTTCATGATTTGATTTTAAGGATAATGGCTCAGTCACTGAATTCAGTTGTTAGTTCTTACTCATGAGCTGCCACAGATACAATAAATGACAGAAAACTAGCGGTGGAAGATTTTTAAATCTGCCCTCAACTGAGAATTTCTGAAATGGTTCTCTTTAGTAGAGAAAAAAAGGAAACAAGAAAAAAGCCCACCTCCAGGGGACAATGTATACTTCCTTCATGAGTCTGTTTGGAATTTGAGTCTTTGGGTCAAAGGGGTTTTAAAAGGCAATCTAGTCCAATCACCTAAGATTTTAATCTTCTTAACAGCACCTCGCTAGTGATTAGAGCCAGATGGCTGTAGCTTTGAACGCATTTAAGGATAGGAAATGCTCGGTCTCTCAAAGCAACTCATTACAAGTAGAGGTAGCTCTGGCTCCTTGTCTTGTTTAAGCATTTCAAGAACCTCTACCTATATACTAAGCAGTGACTGGGGATCATGGGGAAAGAAAGAGATATATAATGATGAGTAAGTAGCATCCCTGTACATAAGGTACTTCTATCTTCTGGAAGAAGTAATCAAGTGGGTGAATAATTGACATGAATACAGTGAGATAATAATTGATATGAATATAGTGAGATAAATATCAATGTGGTGAGATAAATATTAATGTTTTGAATATGAACAAAGTGCAGGGATCTTGAGAGATAAGTAGAATTTTAACAGGTAGAGATAAGAGGATGGAAAAAAAGACATACCATACAGGAGAGACTAGAGGAACACAGATACAGTCATGAGGGTATAAGCCAGATATGAGCAGTGCTTAATTTCCCAATGGTGAGAGTTCCAGGGAATGAAAATAGTTGTTTCCTATGCCTCTAGGTATGTGATCCTGGTAGCTATTGAGATGAGCCCAGTGTGCCACATCTACCCATGATTTTTGTTCCTGTGTGAGCTGTGAATGGTTAGCGAGCGCACAGTGAAAATGCCTTAGTCATAACACTGGATTGTCCTGGGTGAATAAAGTGTTTCTTCATTTTTTTTTATTTTGCAATTAAATTCCAAGTGTCACGTAGAAAGACCTCTTCATGTCCAAATAGTGTTTAAGCAATAGAACTCCTCTCTATTTTTGTCCATCAGCTGAGCTCTGCTGAAAGAATTGAGAACACTAGCTGCCCAGAATTCAGTGCTGTATAAAACCAGCAGGAATGAATTTTTCTTATCTTCTGAGAGACAGAAAAGCCATTTTGCAAGAGAAATAACTAATGTTCAGCATTCCGATGATTGAGTCCACAACATACCACAATTTCCCTTTTTGCTGAAATATATCACCTGTAAAAATTATTCTGCTAGGACCATTTTAGGCATTTTAACCCAGAACTTGGCAGCATGTACTGTGTGGTTTTGCAGTGATTAAGAAAAGCTTCCATTTAAGAAATGCCACTTATTTTTGGTGTCTTAGTTATTTAAATACTCTGAGGTTCAATGTGGGCTGAGCATTAATTTTTTGCTGTTTAGGACACTTCTCTGCCCCTAATTTATATTTTATTTTTCTAAAAAATAAACTAGGGTGTTTTTACTTCATAAACTTTTTAAATACTAAACAAAGAATACAAGAATTACATTTATTTGTGTTCTGATTTTTTTTTTTTGAAATCTTCATGGTTGAAGGAGCTTTTGGATTTATCTGGCATTAAATGGGAAATTTTAGCATTTAGTCAATACTAATTGATTTGAATTGTTACATAATCCTCAGCTATTGTGAAAAATGTATTTAACAATAGATCTAGGTATAGCATAATTGCATACATTACAGAGACCAATAATGGAGAAAAAGAAACATGGAACACCATTATTGGTGAATATTGGGTCACAATCTTTGTGCAGTTATGGCATAGAAATATTTTAACCTATGAAAAATCTTGCAGTATTTGCATTCAAGTGTACTCAGAAAGACTAAGGTTGTATTCTAGTTTTATATTACATATAGGGTGCCCAGCCCTGTGATTTAGAAAGTGTAGACACCCGATAAATAGTTGTTAAGGAATATACTTGTATGTAGGAGATGTATAGATTTCATAATGATAGGGTTTTTTTTTTCATTGTAATTAGAACTTCAAAAATTGAATCAAAACATTTTCTAAATGTTGTGAGCATTTGAGACAAATTGATTGTTGGGACTGTTTCTCCTCCTTTATCATGACAAATATTTTATATTTTTACCAGCAATTTGTATTTTCCTTCAAACAATCTATTTCTTGTTATGTTGCCATCTGTCATTGTGTATTAGGGAAATTTAAAGTCTTTGAACTATGGTTTTGTCATCCAAGAAGTTGGATTAAGTTATATGTGATATATCTTCTGGTATGGATTTTTAGTAATTAGTCAATTTCATGAAGATCCGTCTCTTTAGCTTTCTTTCTTGGACCCTCCTCAACGTTTTTTTCTTCTATGCTTTATTCTGGGAAGAGTTTGCATTATCTGTCATACTGACATTCTTCACAAACTTGAATCAGGGCCTGGGTCTCTCCACAGGTGCTCATTCACACTTTCCCCATGGCTTCTCTGAGACTTTGTTTAAAACCCTTTTCTAGTTGTTGCTAGGCAAAAGTAAACAAAGCACACTCAATAACAATATTTAATTGATTGACTAAGAGTGTTAAGAACATAAAAAACAGATGATAAGATTTAAGAGTTGAAGTAATTATATATTAACCATGTCCAAGGGTTATAGAATGGTGGCCTGTAAGAGCCCAAAGGGACTGAAACAGAGGCTCAGAGGGGTCCAGGGAATTACCAAATGCCACAAAATTCTTAGCTGTTTAACTTGTCCTTGGATGCGTAAAATACTGACTTCCAGGACAGTGCTCTTTCTGTACCTCACCTCACTGGACCTGCTTTGTCAGCTCATCCATAGATCTGCAGTAAACCTTATTATTGCTTTACTTTGAACGTTGATGCTCTAAAGCATAGTGACTACTGCTTAACAGTAATTTATATATTATAAGATATCACAAGGAATGTTATTGCTTTCTGAACATTTAAATTTAAAAATATGGGACACCCTATTAAATAAAATGACTTTCATATGACAAATCTATTTCCTTGTTGGAAAGGCCATTCCTGGTGCATTTAGGATATGTAGAGATTGTTGGGATAGTTTAGATCAGTGATTCTTGACCTTTTGGACCAAATGTCTCTTGGAAAATCTGATGAAAGCTATTGGACGTTTCACCAAAAAATGCGTATTTTTACGCATAGATGTTTTTCTCCTCTGCACCAGGCCAATGTTCTGGAAACCTCTTCTGCGTCACTGTCCTAATAGTGTAATTATTTTTAGCTGATACTGAGACTTCACGAAAGTGGTGAAAAATATTTCAGAGGATTCATTATATCATTAGACAGTTACTAGTAATGAATTTTTAAATAGACCATGATGAAGAGTCAAAACATTCAGGCTGGACACGAAGGCACCTACATTTGCTATATTAGCTCTATGATAACTAGAGAAGTGAAATTGACATGTTTTGAAAAGAAAGAATTTGGGAGAAAACATTGGTGAAGGAAATGGAAGGCTGTGGTGGTTGAGATTTCTTTTAGTAGTTTTCAAAGATTGTTTATTTAAAGTATCATTAGCCCATCGTCTATTCAGTGACTTGTGTGAGGCATAGAATCTGTGTAACCTCTGTGTCACAGGGGTTACAGAGATGAGCCTGAAATGCTCTTCAAAGTTGGTTCAGAGGTCCAATGTCAGCACAGAGGAGGGAGGAGTTAATTCCACCTGGAGGAAGTGACAAGGAAAGGATTTCATGGAGGAAGTCATACTCGACAGAAGTGTCATAGATTTTGGATAAATTCTGAAATGTAATGAAGATGACCTTTAAGGTGACCGTTTCCAGATTAAATGAGTTAGCTTGGAGCTGTGGCCTAAGTTGAAGACCATTTTCTTGCTTGTATGTATCTGTTCATTCATTCAGTAAATATTTGTCAATTGTGCATCACTGTATGCCTTGAGTAAAATTTGTGGGGTTTGCTCTCGCTTCTCTGCTTTGGGCATATTGCCTCAAAAATAAAATGCCTCTTCGAAAATCTGATGAAATCTGATTGCCTCAAAAATGAGGCAATATGAGTTGATATTTGACTATACTTTTTATTGCCCTTGGAGTGTTCAGTCCAAGAGTCCAAATGTGCAGTTATGTAAGAATTCTTTTGGCCAGAGACCACTTCACTGAATAATAGAGAATTAACAATGTATCATGCAGTGTACTCTGTGCAATTCCTAGGTGATGATGCATATCAAAGTTGAAGAAAGATGTCACTTTCGGGAATAAAGAGAAAGAACTAGGCAGGTATACACCATAGCTACACTAAAACCTTGCTCCAACATGCTCAGCTTGTGCTCTGGGCATTGTTCACCTAGGACCTTGCCTTTGGGAGTTTATTATGCTATTTGAACAATCAATCTTATGAGAGATTAAACAAGCTTTCCTAAAGTGTGTTTTCAGGTATACATTTTTTTAAAAAGCAGAGGGTGGATAAATGCTGAGTTAAATGGGTCTTTTTGCTGCAGGACTTCTCAGGACCATATGCCAGTGTGCACCAGGCATTTCCCAGAAGGAGAAACAGTATATGGTGTCTCAACTTCCATGAACATTGATACTTCTCCCCAGAGCATCTTTCTTGAGGACTCATGTTCCGTAAAACATTTAGGGAACTACAGCCCATCCTAGTGTGCAGAGTCCAAGGACAGCAATATGGAGTGTCCCTGGTGCATTTTAAGTTTCAATGAAAGATTGGGGCGAATAATGAATTAAGGGGTAATTGCATTCCCTAACTTGGGTGAGATCCTTTTATCTAAAGTGAAGATGAATGCGGAACAATAATCAAATAAATTAGGACTGTCTAGACAACCAGTCTGTTGAATTCAGGGCAAATTGAAGTTAATTGTTAGCTTTCATCTGTTTATTACTTGAGACAGCCCTATCTTTTTTAGCCTATCAAGGGGATTAGAAGATTTGGCCTTTCCTAAAGCAGAGAATTATGTATCTGAAAGGAAGTACAAAATACAGATAGGCATAGGTATAGATTAGATAGATAGATAGATAGATAGATAGATAGATAGATAGATAGATAGGAATGGTTTTATATATCAAGGGCAAGTTTGTGTGTATATTGATATTCTCTGTTGTCTTCTGCCAAAAAGCACAATGCTGGTTCAAAGATCAGAGAATGTGCTAGCAGTATTTAGAATCTGCTGACTTACTTAGGCGTAAAGGTTAAAATGACATGCCACCGTATCCTTGTCAATGTTTCTTAGTTGCTTGAGATAAATATATTCTAGGTAGCATTAGAAACTTCCCTGTTGCCCTCATCCACATAAGCATGATTTTGTTTTCTTAGTATGTGGTTCTTCTATTCATTGCAACAAGCATTTGGGCACTGCAACGTGCAGGCTCCATCCTAGGGATGCAAAGATTTGTAACACATTTCTGTTTTTTCATAACACACATATAGCTCATTTATGCATCTCAAGATTAATGCATCTAAAACAAGACACTTGATATTTCCCCATAACTCTTCTTCCCCTGGCTGTTTCCAACTTAATAAATGGTACCTCTATTTAACCAGTTGCTCAGGTTAAAAACCTTGAATCCATTCTTGGTTCCTCTCTTTTTGTCATACACCACATCCATTCCAGCAGCAAATCCTATTGGCTGTAGCCTCAAAATATGTTCTGTATCTCACGGCTTCCCACAACAACTGCAACCACAGTTATCCCCACCCAAGCCGTTGTGGTCTTTTGCCTTTGTCCAAGCCACCATGATCTCTTGGCCAGAGATCTGCCTCTTTACTAGTCTCTGTACTTCCTTCCTCTTTTGCCCCACTACAGTCTGCTTTCCTCACAGAAACCAGGATGATCTTTAAAAAAGTTAAAATAAGGTGAATCACTCCCCTACTCATAAGCCTCCAGTAGCCCCCATCATACTTAGACCAAAACCTAGAGTTTTGATGTGGTCTACAAGACACTCTGTCACTTAGTCTCTTCTTACTTTTCTAGTCTCATATTCTCCTCACTAATTTCCTTTTGGCTGTGCTAGCCTTACTGGTCTTTGAGCACATCGGCCTTTTTCCTATCTTCCCCATATACTTGCATGGCTCACTTCCTTACTTCATTAAGATCTCTGCTTTTGTTCTCACTCATAGGTGGGAATTGATCAATGAGAACACTTGGACACAGGAAGGGGAACATCACATACCAGGGTCTGTCATGGGGTGGGGGGCGGGGGGGATAGCATTAGGAGATATACCTAATGTAAATGACGAGTCAATGGGTGCAGCACACCAACCTGGTGCATGTATACATATGTAACAAACCTGCACATTGTGCACATGTACCCTAGAACTTAAAGTATATATATAAAAAAAGATCTCTGCTTTAATGTCACCTCTCAGATGCATTCACTGATGATCCTGTGTAAAAGCACTCCCCACTTCCATGGCTCACTCTCCCCTTACTCTGCTTTATTTATCTTCATAGCACTTAATATTTCCTTAATAGTTCCTAATCACTTAATCGTAATATTTATTCCTTTATTTGTCTCTCTTTCCCATAAAAGTGTAAGCTTCATGAGGACTTAGTTATATTCACCTGTATCACAGCACCTAGGATGATGCCCGGGACTCAGTAAGAGTGCAATATTATTTGATGGGTGAATAGATGAAGGAATGACTTTAGCTAGGTTTATGATACTTGTGAAGGGGTAAGTATATGTACTTGCAGAAAGATTCCATTGTTATCCATGCCTTAGATGCTTCTCATGAAGACAGCCCACATTTCATATATCTGTAGGCTGTATTTGAAACATTTTAAGGGGAAAAATAATTTGGGGTAGCAAAAAATTCTTAATGTTTGTGTGTACTAGTTTTCTCTTTGCAAACACAGTGATGTTCTACAGGAAACATATATATGCAGTACATTCAAGTGAGTGTATATTGAAAGATGACTCTTCATTCCACTTCAGCCCCAAGCACTATAACCCAAAAATAACTGCTATGATAGTTTATTGTGTATCCTTTCAGATATTTACTGTGCAAGTATGAAGTATATACATTTTTTGCTATTCTACAATGGGCCTATACTATATACAGGGAATCTCAACTTTGCTTATTTTACCTTATTTATTTCAAAGAACTTTCATACTTTTTAATAGTTGTATAGTATTTCAAAGAATGCCTCTACCACATCCTTGTATGTAGCTCTTGGAGCACATAGGTAAGTTTATATGTAAGAGAGCTTGCTAGGATTGTAATTGCTGGATCAAAGGGAGGTCCATTTACAGTTTTGATAGCTAATGACAACAAGGTTGAATCACTTTACTTTGCCACCAACAGTGTAAGACAGAATCTGTTTTTCTGCATCCATGTCAATACTATGTTTTAACTATTTTCATTCTTCAACCCAATAAGCCAAAATGGTACCTTATTTTTATATTTCTCCAGTTATGAGTGAGATTGAACAATTTTTCATTGAAAGGCATTTACATTTCTTCTGTAAAAGTTTATGTTCACATTTTTTTAACCTATTTTAAAAGCATGTCTGGTCATTTTTCCTTATTGACTTGTGAGAACTTTTTATATTTTGAAGAAATGAACTCTTTGTTGAATGTTGCAAATATTTTCTTTTTATGGCTTCTGGGTTTTGTGTCTTGCACAGAAAGCATTCTTTATTCCAAGAATATTACTTTAGAAAAATCTGCCTTACTTTATTCTAGTTTTTTAAGGTTTTTATGTTATGCATTTAAATCTTCTGAGTTTATTCTGAGTAAAGAGTTAGAGAGAGATTCTGCTTTACTTTTTAGATTTCCCCAAATCAGATGTCTCAACACAATTTATTGACTAAACCAGGATTTACCTACTGATTTGTATAATTTAGGCTATTTCTAGACCATATGCTCTTATTTCTCTGTCTCTCTAATCTTGTACCAGCACAACTCTTTCTACTGTAGCTTTGTCATACATTTTAATGAAAAGTTGAGCTAGTTATAATGCTTTTTCAGGAATTTCCTGGCAAGCTGGCCATGCTATTTTTCCATGTGAACTTTAGAATCAGGCTTTCTAATATAAAGAAAAAGTTACTAATATTTTAATTGAGATTTCATTACATTTGTAGATTTATTTGGAGGAATTAAGGTCTTTATAATACTATTTCCTTTTATCAAAAAATAAAAACTATTTTTCTGTTCAAATCTTCTATTGTGTCTTTTGGTGATTTTGAGGATATTTTTCAGGTTTATTTTTCAGAGCTCTTGTTGAGTTGATGTTGCTCTAAGAAGTGAGCTTATTTTTTTCCATCATATTCCAATTCATTGTACATAGGGTAGATATTTATCTTTTAATATTAATTTTGGCTGGGCATGGTTCTCACAGCTGTAATCCCAGCACTTTGGGAGACTGAGGCGGGCGGATCATGAGATCAGGAGTTCGAGACCAACCTGGCCAACATGGTAAAACCCCGTCTCTACTAAAAATACAAAAAAAAAAAAAAATACCCTGGCGTGGTGGTGTGCACCTGTAATCCCAGCTACTTGGGAGGCTGAGGCAAGAGAATTACTTAAACCCAGGGGGCAGAGATTGCAGTGAGCTGAGACCGTACCACTGCACTCCAGCCTGGGCAAAAGAGCAAGACTCCATCTCGAAAAAAATAATAATAATTTTTAAACTAGACACCTTATTCCTTGAATTTTCTTTTTGTTTTTCTTTCATTCATTTATTCATTCCTTCTCATCAATTTTCCAGGCTAAGTTTCCACTATCCATCCACTATGATAATTTTCTCTCTTCTCTAATTTTTATGCCTCGTTTCACCCTTATCTAATGGCATTGATTAGTACTTGCCCAATAATGTTAAATAAAATTGGTAATGGTGGAATTTCTACCTTGTTTCTGATTTTAATGCTACTGTTGTTTCACCATTAAGCATAGTGTTCAAGCCAATCACTCCAAAAGCTCTGGAAGCTCTCCTAAATCACTCCAGGCAAGCTGGCTTAAGGACCTCCATAGCACCTTTTTTTTACCTTTATTGTAATCTGGAACACAATGAACTTGAGAATGTGTTTATCTTACTGAACAATGTTGACAAATTCTGTGTACATCCTCAAAGAAGTACTTTTCCACAGATCGCCCTCTGGGAAACACAGATTTAGAGAAATACATGATCAACAATACCAACCATAGCATAAAGGAGTTTAAGGATTGAGACAAAACCATGAGGCTTAGAAAAAAGGAGGTCATCAGTGACCTTAAGGATAATGGTGATGATGATAGCTCATACTAATGGTATATTTACCAGGCATCAGTCACTTGGCTGAGTAATTATACATGTTACCTTGTTTAATCTTCACATTACCCACCAAGGCAGAACAATTATTATCTCTGTTTTATAGCTGTGGCAATAGGCTGAAGAAACTTTCTTAAGATTATCACACAGTAAATAATAAAATGTGATTTCAAATTGCACTAGCTCTATAGCAGGAGCTCTTCCACATAATACTAGGAGAATAAATCCAGAGCCTGCCCCAGGAATGTTTTGTTTGGCCAATTCATTATGGGATTTTTGTTTTGTTTTGTTTGTTTTTAAACTGTGAATGCCTTCAGTAGGCATACATACCATTGAATTTGTGAGTGTTTTTCAATTGCAGTCTCTGAAGTTTTATGTATTTAATTTTTATTTTATTATTATTATACTTTAAGTTTTAGGGTACATGTGCACAATGTGCAGGTTAGTTACATATGTATACATGTGCCATGCTGGTGTGCTGCACCCATTAACTCGTCATTTAGCATTAGGTATATCTCCTAATGCTATCCCTCCCCCCTCCCCCCACCCCACAACAGTCCCCAGAGTGTGTTGTTCCCCTTCCTGTGTCCATGTGTTCTCATTGTTCAATTCACACCTATGAGTGAGAACATGCGGTGTTTGGTTTTTTGTCCTTGCGATAGTTTACTGAGAATGATGATTTCCAATTTCATCCATGTCCCTACAAAGAACTCATCATTTTTTATGGCTGCATAGTATTCCATGGTGTATATGTGCCACATTTTCTTAATCCAGTCTATCATTGTTGGACATTTAGGTTGGTTCCAAGTCTTTGCTATTGTGAATAGTGCCACAATAAACATATGTGTGCATGTGTCTTTATAGCAGCATGATTTATAGTCCTTTGGGTATATACCCAGTAATGGGATGGCTGGGTCAAATGGTATTTCTAGTTCTAGATCCCTGAGGAATTGCCACACTGACTTCCACAAGGGTTGAACTAGTTTACAGTCCCACCAACAGTGTAAAAGTGTTCCTATTTCTCCACATCCTCTCCAGCACCTGTTGTTTCCTGACTTTTTAATGATTGCCATTCTAACTGGTGTGAGATGGTATCTCATTGTGGTTTTGATTTGCATTTCTCTGATGGCCAGTGATGGTGAGCATTTTTTCATGTGTTTTTTGGCTGCATAAATGTCTTCTTTTGAGAAGTGTCTGTTCATGTCCTTCACCCACTTTTTGATGGGGTTGTTTGTTTTTTTCTTGTAAATTTGTTTGAGTTCATTGTAGATTCTGGACATTAGCCCTTTGTCAGATGAGTAGGTTGCAAAAATTTTCTCCCATTCTGTAGGTTGCCTGTTCACTCTGACGGTAGTTTCTTTTGCTGTGCAGAAGCTCTTTAGTTTAATTAGATCCCATTTGTCAATTTTGGCTTTTGTTGCCACTGCTTTTGGTGTTTTAGACATGAAGTCCTTGTCCATGCCTATGTCCTGAATGGTAATGCCTAGGTTTTCTTCTAGGGTTTTTATGGTTTTAGGTCTAACGTTTAAGTCTTTAATCCATCTTGAATTAATTTTTGTATAAGGTGTAAGGAAGGGATCCAGTTTCAGCTTTCTACATATGGCTAGCCAGTTTTCCCAGCACCATTTATTAAATAGGGAATCCTTTCCCCATTGCTTGTTTTTGTCAGGTTTGTCAAAGATCAGATAGTTGTAGATATGCGGCATTATTTCTGAGGGCTCTGTTCTGTTCCATTGATCTATATCTCTGTTTTGGTACCAGTACCATGCTGTTTTGGTTACTGTAGCCTTGTAGTATAGTTTGAAGTCAGGTAGTGTGATGCCTCCAGCTTTGTTCTTTTGGCTTAGGATTGACTTGGCGATGCAGGCTCTTTTTTGGTTCCATATGAAGTTTAAAGTAGTTTTTTCCAATTATGTGAAGAAAGTCATTGGTAGCTTGATGGGGATGCCATTGAATCTATAAATTACCTTGGGCAGTATGGCCGGTTTCACAATATTGATTCTTCCTACCCATGAGCATGGGATGTTCTTCCATTTCTTTGTATCCTCTTTTATTTCATTGAGCAGTGGTTTGTAGTACTCCTTGAAGAGGTCCTTCACATCCCTTGTAAGTTGGATTCATAGGTATTTTATTCTCTTTGAAGCAATTGTGAATGGGAGTTCACTCGTGATTTGGCTCTCTGTTTGTCTGTTATTGGTATATAAGAATGCTTGTGATTTTTGTACATTGATTTTGTATCCTGAGACTTTGCTGAAGTTGCTTATCAGCTTAAGGAGATTTTGGGCTGAGACAATGGGGTTTTCTAGATATACAATCATGTCGTCTGCAAACAGGGACAATTTGACTTCCTCTTTTCCTAATTGAATACCCTTTATTTCCTTCTCCTGACTAATTGCCCTGGCCAGAAATTCCAACACTATGTTGAATAGGAGTGGTGAGAGAGGGCATCCCTGTCTTGTGCCAGTTTTCAAAGGGAATGCTTCCAGTTTTTGCCCATTCAGTATGATATTGGCTGTGGATTTGTCATAGATAGCTCTTATTATTTCGAGATACGTCCCATCAATACCTAATTTATTGAGAGTTTTTAGCATGAAGTGTTCTTGAATTTTGTCAAAGGCCTTTTCTGCATCTATTGAGATAATCATGTGGTTTTTGTCTTTGGTTCTGTTTATATGCTGGATTACATTTATTGATTTGAGTATATTGAACCAGCCTTGCATCCCAGGGATGAAGCCCACTTGATCATGGTGGATAAGCTTTTTGATGTGCTGCTGGATTCGGTTTGCCAGTATTGAGGATTTTTGCATCAATGTTCATCAAGGATATTGGTCTAAAATTCTCTTTTTTGGTTGTGTCTCTGCCCGGCTTTGATATCAGGATGATACGGGCCTCATAAAATGAGTTAGGGAGGATTCTCTCTTTTTCTATTGATTGGAATAGTTTCAGAAGGAATGGTACCAGTTCCTCCTTGTACCTCTGGTAGAATTTGGCTGTGAATCCATCTGGTCCTGGACTCTTTTTGGTTGGTAAGCTATTGATTATTGCCACAATTTCAGATCCTGTTATTGGTCTATTCAGAGATTCAACTTCTTCCTGGTTTAGTCTTGGGAGGGTGTATGTGTCAAGGAATTTATCCATTTCTTCTAGATTTTCTAATTTATTTGCATAGAGGTGTTTGTAGTATTCTCTGATGGTAGTTTGTATTTCTGTGGGATCAGTGGTGATATCCCCTTTATCATCTTTTATTGCATCTATTTGATTCTTCTCTCTTTTTTTCTTTATTAGCCTTGCTAGCGGTCTGTCAATTTTGTTGATCCTTTCAAAAAACCAGCTCCTGGATTCGTTAATTTTTTGAAGGGTTTTTTTTTTTGTTGTCTCTATTTCCTTCCGTTCTGCTCTGATTTTAGTTATTTCTTGCCTTCTGCTAGCTTTTGAATGTGTTTGCTCTTGCTTTTCTAGTTCTTTTAATTGTGATGTTAGGGTGTCAATTTTGGATCTTTCCTGCTTTCTCTTGTGGGCATTTAGTGCTATAAATTTCCCTCTACACACTGCTTTGAATGTGTCCCAGAGATTCTGGTATGTTGTGTCTTTGTTCTTGTTGGTTTCAAAGAACATCTTTATTTCTGCCTTCATTTTGTTATGTACCCAGTAGTCATTCAGGAGCAGGTTGTTCAGTTTCCATGTACTTGAGTGGTTTTGAGTGAATTTCTTAATCCTGAGTTCTAGTTTGAATGCACTGTGGTCTCAGAGACAGTTTGTTATAATTTCTATTCTTTTACATTTGCTGAGGAGAGCTTTACTTCCAACTATGTGGTCAATTTTGGAATAGGTGTGGTGTGGTGCTGAAAAGAATGTATATTCTGTTGATTTGGGGTGGAGAGTTCTGTAGATGTCTATTAGGTCCACTTGGTGCAGAGCTGAGTTCAATTCCTGGATATCCTTGTTAACTTTCTGTCTTGTTGATCTGTCTAATGTTGACAGTGGGGTGTTAAAGTCTCCCATTATTATTGTGTGGGAGTCTAAGTCTCTTTGTAGGTCACTCAGGACTTGCTTTATGAATCTGGGTGCTCCTGTATTGGGTGCATATATATTTAGGATAGATAGCTCTTCTTGTTGAATTGATCCCTTTACCATTATGTAATGGCCTTCTTTGTCTCTTTTGATCTTTGTTGGTTTAAAGTCTGTTTTATCAGAGACTAGGATTGCAACCCCTGCCTTTTTTTGTTTTCTATTTGCTTGGTAGATCTTCCTCCATCCTTTTATTTTGAGCCTATGTGTGTCTCTGCACGTGAGATGGGTTTACTGAATACAGCACACTGATGGGTCTTGACTCTTTATCCAATTTGCCAGTCTGTGTCTTTGAATTGGAGCATTTAGTCCATTTACATTTAAAGTTAATATTGTTATGTGTGAATTTGATCCTGTCATTATGATGTTAGCTGGTTATTTTGCTCGTTAGTTGATGCAGTTTCTTCCTAGTCTCAATGGTCTTTACATTTTGGCATGATTTTGCAGCAGCTGGTACCGGTTGTTCCTTTCCATGTTTAGTGCTTCCTTCAGGAGCTCTTTTAGGGCAGGCCTGGTGGTGACAAAATCTCTCAGCATTTGATTGTTTGTAAAGTATTTTATTTCTCCTTCACTTATGAAGCTTAGTTTGGCTGGATATGAAATTCTGGGTTGAAAATTCTTTTCTTTAAGAATGTTGAATATTGGCCCCCACTCTCTTCTGGCTTGTAGAGTTTCTGCCGAGAGATCCGCTGTTAGTCTGATGGGCTTCCCTTTGTGGGTAACCCGACCTTTCTCTCTGGCTGCCCTTAACATTTTTTCCTTCATTTCAACTTTGGTGAATCTGACAATTATGTGTCTTGGAGTTGCTCTTCTTGAGGAGTATCTTTGTGGTGTTCTCTGTATTTCCTGAATCTGAATGTTGGCCTGCCTTGCTAGATTGGGGAAGTTCTCCTGGATAATATCCTGCAGAGTGTTTTCCAACTTGGTTCCATTCTCCCCGTCACTTTCAGGTACACCAATCAGATTTGGTCTCTTCACATAGTCCCATATTTCTTGGAGGCTTTGTTCGTTTCTTTTTATGCTTTTTTCTCTAAACTTCCCTTCTCGCTTCATTTCATTCATTTCATCTTCCATCACTGATACCCTTTCTTCCAGCTGATCGCATCGGCTCCTGAGGCTTCTGCATTCTTCACGTAGTTCTCGAGCCTTGGCTTTCAGCTCCATCAGCTCCTTTAAGCACTTCTCTGTATTGGTTATTCTAGTTATACATTTGTCTAAATTTTTTTCAAAGTTTTTAACTTCTTTGCCTTTGGTTTGAATTTCCTCCTGTAGCTCGGAGTAGTTTGATCGTCCGAAGCCTTCTTCGCTCAACTCGTCAAAGTCATTCTCTGTCCAGCTTTGTTCCGTTGCTGGTGAGGAACTGCGTTCCTTTGGAGGAGGAGAGGCACTCTGCTTTTTAGAGTTTCCAGTTTTTCTGTTCTGTTATTTCCCCATCTTTGTGGTTTTATCTACTTTTGGTCTTTGATGATGGTGATGTACATATGGGTTTTTGGTGTGGATGTCCTTTCTGTTTGTTAGTTTCCCTTCTAACAGACAGGACCCTCAGCTGCAGGTCTGTTGGAGTTTGCTAGAGGTCCACTCCAGACCCTGTTTGCCTGGGTATCAGCAGCAGTGGCTGCAGAACAGCGGATTTTCGTGAACCACGAATGCTGCTGTCTGATCGTTCCTCTGGAAGTTTTGTCTCAGAGGAGTACCCGGCCTTGTGAGGTGTCAGTCTGCCTCTACTGGGGGGTGCCTCCCAGTTAGGCTGCTCGGGGGTCAGGGGTCAGGGACCCACTTTAGGAGGCAGTCTGCCCATTCTCAGATCTCCAGCTGTGTGCTGGGAGAACCCCTACTCTCTTCAAAACTGTCAGACAGGGACATTTAAGTCTGCAGAGGTTACTGCTGTCTTTTTGTTTGTCTGTGCCCTGCCCCCAGAGTTGGAGCCTACAGAGGCAGGCAGGCCTCCTTGAGCTGTGGTGGGCTCCACCCAGTTCAAGCTTCCCGGCTGCTTTGTTTACCTAAGCAAGCCTGGGCAATGGCGGGTGCCCCTCCCCCAACCTCACTGCCACCTTGCAGTTTGATCTCAGACTGCTGTGCTAGCAATCAGCAAGACGCCATGGGCGTAGGACCCTCTGAGCCAGGTGCGGGATTTAATCTCCTGGTGTGCCGTTTTTTAAGCCCGTCAGAAAAGCGCAGTATTAGGGTGGGAGTGACCCGATTTTCCAGGTGCCGTCTGTCACCCCTTTCTTTGACTAGGAAAGGGAACTCCCTGACCCCTTGCACTTCCCGAGTAAGGCAATGCTTCACCCTACTTTGGCTCGCGCACGGTGCACCGCACCCACTGTCCTGCGCCCACTGTCTGGCACTCCCTAGTGAGATGAACCCAGTACATCAGATGGAAATGCAGAAATCACCCGTCTTCTGCATCGCTCATGCTGGGAGCTGTAGACCAGAGCTGTTCCTATTCGGCCATCTTGGCTGCCCTCCAGTCTCTGAAGTTTTATAAACTCTATTCATTCATTAATAAATTATTTCAACAAATATTTCCTGAGTGTCCACTGCATGCCAGGTACTATGCTAGGCTCTGGAGATACAGCAATAAGCAAAAATGAGCAAAGACCCTATTTTCGTGTAGGCTTAATTAAATAACATACAAAAAATGTGTGTGTGTGTGTGTGTGTGTGTGTGTAGTGCCAGGTAGTAATGTGTACTAAGAAGAAAAATAAATTCAGGGTAGCAGGGACAGAGTGTGACAGATGACTATATTGATTGTCTGCATTGATGGTGGGGTCACTGGGCATTTTTTATGAGGAGTACACTACATTTCCAGGTTTATTCAAGTTAGGAAATGGAGACATCTGATCATGTGTTGTAGAAAGAAAATCAGAAATCACATAGGAGCTGAAAAGGGTGGCATGAGTCTAATTGAGGAATTTCTTACTTTTCTGTGATAGAATAATGTGAATATTCTTGAAGAAATAAGGTAAAGCAAATGGCCCTGGGAGAGGTGGAGAAGGCAGGGCTAAGTGTGGAAGCTAGGTTCCAAAGTGACAGTATGCCTGAGATTTATGCCCTGGGAAGCAAAGGGATTATTTCCTCAAAAGCTTCATTGCACAAATTAACTCCCAAGGTATGCTATGTGGATAAAATCATCTCCTATACCAGTTCTCTGGGGACAGCAACCATTTTGGGTTGTTGGAAGCATTGCAGAATTGGTGGTAACACAGTTTCTATGGGCAGTTGCTTTAAGAACCTGAAGCTTGTTTTGAGGTTGCCATGGTAACACCACTGCTGGCTGCATACAACATCTCACCCAGGCTCTCTTGATCTAATAACCAGGACCCACATTGCCTTGAACTCCCTTAAACAAAGTGTGCTTTTAGCAGACTAGCTTTTTTTTTTTAACCTCTCTGATAAATCCATCAACCTATTTTATTTTGGTTTCTGTAAATTGCAAATTACTGAGGAGAGAGAAATTAGGAGAGGAATTGTATTGTTTTAAACTCATCATCCCGATTTAGAATACTTAATGCAAACTAATTAAAGATCTGCTTGTGCTATGATCTGCTATTTTCCTGTTTTCAAGTTTTTGCATTTTGAAATCTATCATATCTCCTTGTTCACACAATAAGGCCTTAACAAACTCTTTGTGAATGTAGTTTCTCTGACCTCTCTACTCTCATAGAAAACCACAGGATACTCAGGAGTCTTGGGCTCTTTTCTTCCTAATGAGCTCTGTTTGCCATGGTTTAGGAGAGGAAGAACTCTGAGTATAGGGGATGATAGATTTTGCTAGTGTTCACTTAGACCTCTTCTCTCAAAAACATGGGTGAGAGAATCACAAATTTTTGACACTAGGATACTTGACAGTTTGGCCCAGTGGTCTTTTACCAAGATGGCTCCACATCTCCTACATCCCAATGATGATCATAAACACTTGCTGATTTAATAGACAATAATGTTAGTAGCCTGAAATCACACTAGTAGTTTGAAACCCATGATGAGGGTACAGATACACCATGGAAATCTAAATGCTGTGAAACAGTCCCCGCTTCCCACTGCTGGGCTGGTTGTTAATCATTTACTGGCATACCTGTATCAAACCCTTCCCTTATCATGCGGGTGGGGAGTGGTGAGAAACAGGCTTCTTATCACTAGATTCTATGTGGCCATTAAATGATGGAAAATAAAAGAAAGGGAGAGCTGTAATGCATAATGCTCTTCATTTTTGTTTAGTAATTTATATTACTTTGGAACAAGATGAAATAAAAGATTTAAGATGAGATTTTTCTCTTTGCATAATAAAATGTGAAAAAATATTTGATTACAAAAGCTATCTTTATAGTAGCCACATTTTATTTGGTGACTTGCCTTCAGACTTAAGAATCTTTTCTAACAATTTTATCCCATTTACAAAAAAATGCTCAATAAATATTTCGAAAGATTAGGTCAAAAGCCCTTAAACTAATCTGTAGGGTTGACAATTAAGATATCATTTTTTTTCTATAACTGATCATTGAATTTTGTAGTGATGAGGGAAGGGTAGAATGCATAGTGAGTGACACACAAGTACAAAAAAGAGTTGGTTATAATCCAAGACTTACATCTTAAAGTAGGAATAATTTTTAGGTTTTGCCATTCAAATCAGCAGATAGCCACAGTTATTACATTACAAAAGATTTCTGAGCTCCAAGTGTTTGCCTGTACTTTGACTTACTAAGCATTCAAAAATATTTTCCTAACAGCATCATACTTTTATTTTCATGTTGTATATATTTTAACCTTTAAGTTATCGTGGAAATTCCTTAACAGGGTCTTCTTCCCAGTAAACATGCAAACTGAAACATTAGCACCCATTTATTCAGCATCTTAGAAGAAATATGCTTAATATAGTAGATTTTCCTAAATAACTTAAACCTTAACCCTTCAAATTCTAAGACCTTTTAGAAACCATTTATCTGAAATCCTTTTTAAATATTTTAAACATATTTCTTATTTCTTAAACTAAGAATTTAAACTCTCCTTGCTGTGATAGGGCAATCGTTTTTCTGCAATGTAGAAACAACTACTTTCACCAGCTTTTAAATTTTATTTAGTTATATCCTTAAATGCCAAACTGCAAAATGACCTTTGTCACTGGTGTGGTCATTGTATTGGCTCAGAAGCCCTGCTCCCCCCTCCCCTTTTAGTTTCCTGAGTAGTGTTTATTTATTATTGGCACTGAAATCCATTCATAAAACTTGTTTAGAGTTACATACTAGATTCGATTTTATTAAGACTCTAAGTGAGGGTGTGAGAAGGAAAATCCTTCGCTTTTCAGAAGACTTTGTTGTGGTCATATCAGGCACTTGGAATATGGAGATAATGAAATCTACTCCAAGGGATGGTTGTGAGAGGCAACAAGGAAAGGCATATGAAATGAATCTATAGGATGCTACTGAGAGGTCCCTTTATGCACACAACTGCTACAGGCCCCACCACTGTTGTTCAAAGTTCCCCACCGCTCCATCCCCTTAGGCAGTGTGGGGAGAGCCAGTTTCCCCTCCTTACAAGAGGAGCTGCCAGAGCAATTCCAGTAGACCCTTGGGTATATTTATCTACCTAACTGGTTTTTAGTTAGGTTGATGAAAGGGAATGAGAAGAGATAAAACTTTTGCATCTGAGTTTCTCTGTTTTTAAATATGGAGTATTACTTTGAGCCTAAAAATGCTCATCACTTTCGACTTAGTAATCTCCCTTCTAGAACTTAACCCTAAAGAAATAATCAGACATAAGGAGAAAGATTTATGCATAAACATATTTTTCATCTCACTTTCATCCCATTTTTACATTAGTCAGCACAAACTTTGGCTGTGTTCCAGAAAACATATTGCGCCAAGACTGGCAGACATTGGTTTGAGTTTATTTAACTGTCAGGGGATGGCTTTTCTTTGTGAGCTGATTCCACAAATTCATTACATACTTAAATCTTTTATGGGCATCAGCAATGTAAGAGTAGTGTACTTGAAGGGCTCAAAATTGCACACAAACATTAGCAGATAGCAGTGCTGGATATTATGGTTTAGACTTAATATCTTTTAAGATATTTTAGATCTTGTAGACCCAAACTCATCCTTGATTTGGCTATGTGTATTCTATGACATTCTGTATATGAGTAAAATACTGGGTTCTGTGAGAGCAGGCATCAAGATAGAACTAGCTGTTTAAAAGATTTATTGTGGGAAAAGCCCGTGAAGGATAAAGGGGAAGGAGAGCATGAGTAGGGAATAAAAAAACAAAAAATAGGGTAGTCCTGTATAATTTCTTACAATTTGGATTTTGTTCATTTCATCCCAGTAGTATTATTTAACATGTTCCTCTGTCCCCTAAGTATCAGATACAGAGGGCTGATCACATTAGAATTTAATTTGTTCCTTCCTTCCTTCTCCCCTCTCCTCCCCTCCATCCCCTCCCATTCCCTCTCCTTTCTTCATTCTTGGAAAACTACTTCATAGGTGATGGTGTGTGCTTCCATCAAGAGTCAGATAACATTTGTCTCATCTGTTTTTCTGTGTGTGTTAGCAGCTTGATTATCATTATGCTAGATCCATTAATTCATTAGGGGTTGCAAAATGCTGACATTTGAATTATTTCTGTCTTCACTTACTAACTAGCATACTTTTATACAGAGAAACTTCCCCTCATTAGCTATTTGGTTGTTTTGAGGTTCAGCGCAAATAGGAAACATAGGATGAATACTAGATTTTTTCTTTTGCTTACCATTTTTCAAAATGGTAAGTTGATTCCTTAGCATTTTCCAAAGGTGGAAAATGAGAGTTTTTGTGTTTGTTTAGTATTATTATGAACTCATGGATTTAAGCCATTGTAGTTGTTATCTTTATTTGACACTCAAATTATTTCATCTTTGGCCAGTAGGAGTTTATATAGGTAGGCTCCTAAGTCTTTTTGACAGAATCCTAGTAGTCTCTGACAGCCTTCTTGCTTTCTGGTATGATTTAGTGTTCAGGCTCATCTTGTACATTTCCTGCCTCAGGTCTCACTAGGTCACAAGCCATAGTTCATTGTAGTGAGAATTGATTTTTTAGAAACAACACTGTAAGTGTTGGGAGTGTTCATTGCTACTGGGTAGGTTATTTTTTCTAGACCTTTTCATTGTACAAAACTAAGAAATATTTTTTTTTAAAGTTAGAGTATATCCAGAGATCATACTTATAATTCCAATTTATATCTAGGACTACAGGGTTACTACTTCATCTCATCATTTTTTACATCTGAATTTCTTTATCTCCATGCTAAAAAACCTGCTTCTCAGCAACTCAAGCCTGATTACTCACTTGTTTTATCACATACTACAAATGTAACAGCCTTGGGATAACAATGCTAATACTAGGACTAGCTAAATTGTTATTGAAAAAAAATGTGAAGTTCTTTTTTATCTTTAGGATATATACCATTAGAAATGAACTATCAAATCCGTGTATTTTAAAATCAGTTAGAATAGTTCTCCTCCTCAACCACTTGTATACATATTTAGGTATAATTTGTATCACTTTACTAATCTTGTCTCTGGTGCCATTCTTATTTCCCTCTACCCTAATATAACTAGCATTTTCTCCCTGTATTATGTTTATCTCTGTAATAATGAGAAGTCTATGAGAAGTATAATGAGAAGTATAAAGTTAACTAGGAACTAAGACAGAATTTGAAGTACAAAAATGAATGTGGATTTAAAAATAAATGTATGCACAATAGCACTATATATATATATATATTTTTTTTTTTTTTTCTTTGAGACGGAGTCTTGCTCTGTTGCCCAGGCTGGAGTGCAGTGGCACGATCTCGGCTCACTGCAAGCTCCGCCTCCCGGGTTCAAGCAATTCTCCTGCCTCAGCCTCCCGAGTAGCTGGGACTACAGGTGCCCACCACCATGCCCAGCTAATTTTTTGTATTTTTAGTAGAGATGGGGTTTCACCATTTTAGCCAGGATGGTCTCGATCTCTTGACCTCGTGATCCACCTGCCTTGGCCTCCCAAAGTGCTGGGATTACAGGCGTGAGCCACCGTGCCTGGCCTATATTTCTTTGTGAGCTGAGAGGTCTTAGAAGCAATGACACCCCAGTAGCAATGAGCACACCTAGAACCCAGATCTTGGTTTCTAATACTGTTCTCCAGTAAAAGGGACCAAAGCTCAATGAAGAAATGCCTGATTCTAAGGCTGTGGCAGAGAAAGATAAGATGAGTCGGGAGCATTGTGTAGTACTAGAAAGGAAGGAAGTGTTTAAACACACACACAAAATGATAGGGGCATGTCAAAGGGGCATAGGAGCCAACTAACAGAACTCCTAATAACCATAGCTGGAAGAATTTGAGCAACGAAATAAATGACATAGTGTTGGATTATAATCCAAAGTATAAAACAAATATCTGCGAGTCCATATTGATATATTAATAAGTAAATGATTGAAAAAGTCAGTAAGTGAGGAGAAGAGACACATCTCCAGTGCAGAATTCCAAATAATTTATATGGATACTCTACCCTCAAAAAGCTGGAACATACTTCCCACTCCTTAAGTGTAGGCTATGCATAGCCTTTTACAGTATGTTAAGATGGGAAAAAGAATAACTATAGTGGAAAAACTTGACAAACACCACCTCAGCCAGGTGATCAGATCAAGGTCAACATCAGTGATAAATCATGCTTGTAGCATGCACCCTTGATATAATGTTAATCTGCAATACTTCCTTAATTTTTCTGGTATTACTATGTTGGGTTTAAAAAATATTTTATCTATCCTGAAGGCTTTTAATTACAGGTGGAAACCTGTTCTCAGCTTTGTTTGAGCTAGTGAAAAAAGTATGAAGCATGGTTTCTACCTTATGGTAACTTAGAAACTAGTGAAGGAAACAAGATCTAGCAAGCATGTAATCAAAATATAAATCATAGGACATGATTATACAGGATTTTTAAGTTGAGAAAAGCAAAGCATAGCTATACTGAGACCTGGTGTAGCTAGAGGAAGTTTTAAAGAAAATAGTCTCTTCTGTTAATACTATCAGGATTTCTGTATGAGGGAAATGATAGGGATTGATTTAGAGGCTCAAAAATTCTCTAAATATATGATTATCACCAGAAAACAAGATATATATATTTTAAGACCATTACATTTTGTTTCTGTTGACCAACTGAAATGCAAGATGACTAAATTAGTTATTTTTGAATCCCTTATGACAGATAATAAAAATTGGTGGCTCACTTAATCACAGTGTGGTCAGAATTTATTAGAAAGACAGCAAAATCATTGGATTGTATATGATACCCTGCATTTATTTGATGTGTAGACCTGGTTAAATCTTGGATTTTAAGCATTTGAATGTTACGTTGCTCTTTTTTGTTTTTCCTTTAGGACTATCTGCTGCCAAACTCTTGACTGAATATGGCGTTAGTGTTTTGGTTTTAGAAGCTCGGGACAGGGTTGGAGGAAGAACATATACTATAAGGGTAAGTGATTTTAATACTTACATGTAATGTAATATCTCACTCAAACTACAAGTGGCACCACTGGAAATCACAGGGCTAGAGGAGGTCTTAAGAGTTCATGCAGTTAAGCCGTTTGTCCTCCATAGCCCTAAAGTACTCCCATCAAATAAGCGTCCATTCTCTTTAACATGTACGCACTGAAGACTGACAGCTTCTGAATTTCAGTGGAGTGAATTCAAAAAACATGAGCAAATAACTTCAATACAGTGTCATAATTTCCATACTAGAGACGTAAATGAAGTGTGTAGTGTCTCAGATGGGGTGATAGTTTGGCTGTACTGGAAGTGACTATACACCCGCAATACACACAGACACACACACACACACACACACACTTAGATTCCCTATTTATCCAATGACACACAACTTAATAGAAATGTGGTGGCAAAAACCCAAAAAACCAAAAACAGACAAAAAAAGAAATGTGGTGGCTGCAGTAAGCAGGAACAAATGTAGCATATTTTTGCATAACTTTTCCCTTGGCCCTTGTTCCCTAAGAAGTATGCTTCTGCCAGAGATACTCCTCAGGTCGCGTCTGGCTACATGTAAGAAGGAAGCCCAGTTCTTGCTACATCGCTGCTTTTTTTATACTTCGGCTTACATCACCATTCTGGAAAAAATGCATGCTATTATTTACTACTATTAAGGGAATGGTTGCAGGTGGTTGACTCTGTGGGTACTGATGAAAGTAGGCAGGGAGATAATGAAGAGTGGGAAGGAAATAGGGGCAAAGATGGAAGTTTTTGCACATAAAAGTGGGGGAGAAAGGGAGAAGAGTCAGAGAGAAGTAGTAGAGGCAGAAGAGGAGGACCAGACTAGACCAGCAATGGGTAAGTCAGTGGACGAAAGAGGAAGGGGTGCTCAACAGTCAACTGACACAATATGAAGGCAAACAAAACAAAACAAAACAAAACAAAACAAAACAAAAACCCTCGCATTTGACAGAAGTTCATTAATTAATGAGCCCCTTTGCTAGAGTACACAAATAGAGTGTTAAAGACTAGGGATTGAGAGTAAAGACAAAACTAGACTGTTGAAGTGACTGGAAAGAAAGGAAGCATCTATCTAACTAGAAGATGCTTCAGTTAGACTAATAACAGAATGGCGTAAGCAATGCAAACATTTGATTATTTCACAGAAGTCTGGTGGCAGATAGTCCAGGCTGGTGCTCTTGCTTTTTGCTCTTCTTTCTGCTCTGATATTCTTTCTTTTCTTTTCTTTTCTTTTCTTTTTTTTTTTTTTTTTTTTGAGACGGTGTTTTGCTCTTGTCGCCCAGGCTAGAGTGCAATGGTGCGATCTTGGCTCACTGCAACCTCTGTCTCCCAGGTTCAAGTGATTCTCCTGTCTCAGTCTCCAGAGTAGCTAGGATTACAGGCACCCCCCCCACCACGCCAGCCAATTTTGTATTTTTAGTAGAGACAGGGTTCCACCATGTTGGCCAGGCTTGTTGCGAACTCCTGACCTCAGGTGATCCACTGGCCTTGAAGCCTCCCAAAGTGCTGGGATAACAGGCATGAGCCACCGCACCCAGCCCTGCTCTGATATTCTTTGCATGTAGGTTTATTGTCTTGTGGTAACAAGATGGATGCTGAGATTCTAAGCATCAAGTTCTCATTCAAGGCTGAAAGGAGAGTGAAAGGGTGGCACTAGCCTTGTCTGCAACTAAGCTTTTCCTTCGCCAAAAGACCCCAGCAGACATTTGCTTTAGTCTCATTGGCTAGAGTTGAGTCACATGGCTACCCTCAGCTGTCAGGGATCCTGGGAAAGTAAGTATTTCACAATACTAGGCTACATAATGGAAGCAGGCATGGGAGAGGAAATATCAATGGATACTAGAATAACCTACAGACAACATTTGAATTAGGATTTCATAGCAGCGATTTCAGCCACATTGTACCATGCTACCCTTCTGTCATTTGCTTCCTACCTTTTTAGATACAGGGATGTATCTAGGCCTATTTCTGCTTTGCTCAGCTCTAAGGGTGCTGTACAGCCTTGCTATGCAAAGTGTCATCTGTGGGTCAGTAGCCCCAGAATCAACTGGGATTTTGATAGAAATGCAGAATATCAGGCCCTATCTCAGAACTGCTGAATCTGGATCTGCATTTTGACAACATCTCCAGGGGACACTATAGAAGTGCTACTCTGTGGCATTTGTTTGCTTGCTTGCCTTAAACTAATGCCAATCCGGATTAAATTTTCTGAGTGCTCCCTTAGATGTAGTCCACTGGGAAGCTATTGGTCTGGGAGTGAGGAGACTGGGATTCTAGCCTCTGTACTGACTTGACATGATGTCTTGGATAAGTCCTATTAGCACTTTACATCTCAGTTTTCTCATCTGAGTAATAAGATACTATCTAAATGTCCTCGAAGAAACTCCCTTCCATCTTCAAATTCTAATTGAAGGCAGCGTGTTATAGTGCAAATGAAGAGCTGCATCTTCTGCCTGTATGCCTTTATTAGATATGATTCTTCTGTCATTTTCTGAAAAATATTCCTCCACTTTGGAGATAGTTATTAAGTTGTCCCTTAGCTCTATTTTTCTTATCTCTAAAACCTTTTGGTTATTAAACAGGAGCATTAGTCATGTTGCGGATTTTCAGTTAAGAACAAGTTTCTTTGTATAAGGGAAATGAGAATTCCAACATACTTGTCCCCATCTGTGTTATTGGCCCCAATTACTTTGCCATGCTGTGTCATTTATATATGTCAGCACCACACAGGAACTGTTATTGTCTATTCAGCATGACATTACACCCCCCTTAGGAATGTGAGAAAGGAATCTCTGAAATGCTTGGAAATTAGGACTTAGCATTTATACTCCAAATGATGAGAAGGAGAGAAAGAGGGCTTTAAGAAACAGGCATGGAGGCCGGGCATGGTGGCTCACGCCTGTAATCCCAGCACTTTGGGAGGCCAAGGCAGGTGGATCACTTGAGCTTGGGAGTTTGAGAACAGCCTGGGAAACATGGTGAAACCCCATCTCTACTAAAAATACAAAAAGTAGCCAGGTGCAGTGGTGTACACCTGTAGTCACAGCTACTTGGGAGGCTGAGGTAGGAGAATCACTTGAGCCTGAAAGGCAGGGGTTGCGGTGAGCCGAGATTGCACCATTGCACTCCAGTCTGGGTGACAGGAGTGAAACCCTGACTCAAAAAATTAAAAATTTTAAAAAAGGAAACAGGCATGAAAATTGTATTTAATAAGAAACTGAAGCAAATATTTTTTAAATTGCTTCTAATAACATAATCAATTAGGATAATTTTGGGAGGAGATGCCATAAAAGCTACTATGGATCTCTGAGTACCAGAATGTCAAATTTGGTATTACCTGGCAAGCTGTTCAGATGCGTCTTCCATTAGTTCAGAACTTGCCCGTTTTTCCTAATGTGATTCATCCATGATTCTTCAGAGTCAAATTAATAAAGTTGAAATGCCTGCAGGGCTGCCACAGGGTTGGTGTATGTTTCCAATATTGTTGCATGTTTGTGGCCTCTTCAAAGGCTGAGTAGTGAGATCTAAATCAAGACCCCAAAGACTGAGGTGCAACACAGTAGAATACAGTGTTACCGCTTCTAGTGTCTTCATGCTGAATTTGAGGCACTTCATTTAGAACGTTCTTACTTTGTAAAGGAACATTCTGCAAAATGCCTCACTCTTTTTACTGCTTCATTTAGGATTATTTGCTTTAAAGATAGTGTCAGCATTCTAAAGACATCATGTTTGGAAACTCCCAGGAGTCCCCTTGCTGTCTTTGTTAAAGCCCAGAAATTTATTGGAGTACTAATTCCAGTTTTGTTCATTATATCTTAAAATAGTTGTTGTAGATTAGAAAAGGTTTGAAGGACAGCACTGATGGTTACTAAAAGAGAGAATAAACATTATATGAGGGCACATTAAAGAAGTCACAGAAGCACTTCATTTCTGGTATTATGGCAGAATGGAAACCCTAACTCCTCATTGAAATAAGTAAAATGCTGAATACAATATGCTGTGCTCATCTGACATGGAAGTTAGAAATTTGTAGATCTCCTGGATGTTGCATAGACATCTCAAACGTAACACATCCAACACTAGACTTCTGATCTTCCTTAAGGCCGCTGTTCCAGCTGCCCATGTTAGAAGATGGCAACTTCGAAAAAACTCAGAGTCATGCTCAACACTACCAGACCCTCATTTGTTTTGTCAGGAAATTCCGTTGGCCCTGCCTTCAAAACATATCCAGAATTCAACGCTTCCCACCACTTCCACTGCTATCCCCTGGTGGGAGCCACCATTATATCTCTAGGCCAGATTACTAGAGTAGGCTCCTGATTTTCCTGCTTTTACTCCTGCCGCCTACATTCTGTTCTTTCTTAGTGCATCAGTGAGAGTGAGCCTTTCAAATGTAACTCAGATTTTAGCATTTCCCTGCTCAAGACCTTCCAACGGCTCCCCTTCTCACTGACAGCCAAGGCCTATGTCCTTACAATGTCCTGTGAGGCTTTACGTGACCTGCTCTGCCAATAACCTCTGTAACCTCATCTTCAATTTTTTTCCTTGCTCACATTGTTCCGGCCACTTTGGCCTCCTTGCTATTTCTTGAATATACCAGCAGACTTCTGTATTACAGTCTTTAGATCCATGTTGCTAGGAGTTTTTGCTTTTTTTTTCGAGACGGAGTCTCACTCTGTTGCCCAGGCTGGAGTGCAGTGGGACGATCTCACCTCACTGCAGCCACTGTCTCCTGGGTTCCAGCAATTCTCCCGCCTCAGCCTCCTGAGTAGCTGGGATTACAGGCTCACGCCACCATGCCCGGCTCATTTTTGTATTTTCAGTAGAGATAGGTTTTCACCACATTGGCCAGGCTGGTGTGTTTTAATTTCTACACCTGGAATGTTTTTCAGTTATTTTTCGTCATCACTGCATTGTGGTCAGAGAATATTGTTTCATGGTAACAATCCTTGAGGCTCGCTTTATAACCTAGCAAGCACATGGTTAATATCCAAAGATCTTCTAATTTCTGCTTGAAAAGAACATGTAGTCTCTAAAAGCTATATGCAGTGTTTTATATATGTCCACTAGAATAAGCTTAACTGTGCTCCTTCTTTTTTGTTTGCTTAATCTATTAATCACTTTTAAAAGTATGTTAAAAATTCTCTGTTCTACTGGGCACTTATCTTTGGTTCCTGTCAAATGTTGCTTACATTTTGAAGCTATATTACTCAGTTTATGCAAGTTTAAACTTGGTTAGCCTTCTGGATCTTTTAGCATTATGTAGTGACACTTATTTCACTGAGATTTATTTTGTTTAAGGTTTTCTTTGATATTAATATAGTTATAACAGCTTACATTAGTATTTGTATATCTCTTTATCTTTCAGTTAGAGTTTTCTTTATTCTGACTTTTTTTCCTTTTTTTAAATTTTAGATTCAGGGGGTACAGGATTTTTATTTATTTATTTATTTATTTTGAGACAGAGTCTCACTGTGTTGCCCAGGCTGGAGTGCAGTGGCGCAATCTCAGCTCGCTGCAACCTCCACCTCCTGGGTTCAAGCTGTTCTCCTGCCTCAGCCTCCCCAGTAGCTGGGATCACAGGCGCTGCCACCACACCCAACTAATTTTTGCATTTTTAGTGGAGTTAATTGACAAACTTGGTCCATCTATATTTGTTATGATTTCTTTTTTAAATGTTTTAACTTTATTATATTATGGCTTTCCATTTGTCCCACTTTAACAGTTTTCCTCTTGGTTTCTTTCTTTCCTTCTTTTGGGTTAATGGTTTTCTTCTTTTTGTTTTCTTTTTAAGTTTTTTCTTCTACTTGTTCAGAAGTTATATAGTCAGACCAATGTTTTTCAGACAATTTTCCTAACTATATTAACACTCATACTTAATGTAGTCTAAAGTTTATCAACATACTATCTTTCTACTAAAAAATACAAAAGCTTTCATGCTTCAGTTGTGAGCACCCTTCTTCCAATCTGTAAACTATAAAAGTATTTCAAGTTTGTATGTTTCTCAGACATTATTAATTTTATTTTATTCTATTGTTGATGTTGCTTAATTTTCTTTAAAGTTTTGCCAGTATCTTTGTTCACTGTCCATTCTTGAATCTCAGACCTTTTATTTGTAACCATTTTCATTCTACTTGAAACACACCCTTTCCTCCAATCTGGGTCCTAAACTCTGTACACTTGTCAGCTTGACAAAAACATAGTTCTAACAGGTAACAAATTCTACTTAGAATTTCTCTTCCTCTTTTTTTTTCTCTCAGAACAGCAAAGATATTATTCCCCTATCTTCTGGCTTGTATTTTTATTGTTGAAGAGTCACTCGTAAGTCTAATTGTTGATTTTTTTCAGAGTATGTATGATTTGCCTCTTTTGTTTTCTGAAAAAGAATTGCTTTTAGGAGCTCTTTTCTTTGGTATACTGCAGTTTCTCTGTGTCTGGGTGAGAATTTCTTTTTTATTTATCATTCTTTGGACCTGTTGGGTTTCTTATCTTCCAACAATGCTGGTAAATCCTCAGCCACTATTTTTTAATACTACTTAATATTTTGACACCATCTTCCATGTCTTAACTACCTCCTCAACATATTTTCCAATTCTTTATCTTTGAACTGCATTCTAGATAATTTATTCAGATCTAGCAGTTTACTCACTCTTTAACTATGTCAAATATATGGTTTAATCCATTCACGGAGTTTTAAAAATTTTAATTAGTACATTTTTATTGCTAGCAGTTATTTTTTAATCTACTTGATAATATTTTCAGTTTCTTTTCCCCTGCTCCTAGTTTTAATGACTTATTTTATTTAAAATATATTGCATAGTACTTTTAGATTCTGTGTATAATTCAACTATTATGAAATCTTTCTGGATTATTTTTTCTGCTTATTTTCTTTTGGTGCCTTGTTTGCATGTATGTTTTGTAACTTTTGGCTGTGGGTTGCTAATTTTCCATGGAACTTTATCTGTGTGTAAATTATTTGAGGCATAGGGGAAAAGGACTTAAGTCTACTTCTACCACCGTCCTTGACACTTTAAATTTTCTGCCCAAGTTTTTTCATATCATATGGATAGCTTAAATTCAGATGGAAAACATAAATAAAGATAAGCTTTTTTTTTCCTTTTCTTTGTGACAATACTTAGAGCTGCAAAATAATGGAAAATATAAAGTCGTGGATGCAGCTAAAGCAATACTTAGAAGATGTATAGTCTAAATTCTTCCATTAGAAAAGAAAAAGGCTATATATGAATAAGCTAATCATGCAAAGAGTTAGAAAATTAAGAGCAAAATAAATCCAAAGAAGGGGTAAAAAGGGAATAAATCAATGATGTAGAAAATAGACACCCAACAAAGAGGATCAATAAAATAAAAGTTGATTCTTTGAAGAGACCTATTAAAGATACACAAGAAGTGTCTGATAAGATTTTTCCAGAAAAAGAAACACCCCAAATAAATACGAGATCAGAGCCAGATGTGGGGCTCACGCCTGTAATCCCAACACTTTGGGAGGCTAAGGCAGGTGTATCGCTTGAGCTTAGGAGCTTGAGATCAGCCTGAGCAACCCTAACCCTACAAAAAATACAAAAATTAGCTGAGTGTGGTGGCACATGCCTGTGATCCCAGCTACTCAGGAAGCTGAGGTGGAAGAATTCATAGAGCCCAGGAAAGTCGAGGCTGCAGTGAGCCATGATCATGCCATTGTACTCCAGCCTGACTGATAGAGTAAGACCCTGTCTCAAAAAAAAAAAATAAAAATAAAAAAGATGAAAATGAAGATATAATTACTGATGCAATAAAGAATAATTAAATGAAAAGAAGATGCCATGAACATTAAACCAACAGTTTTGAAACATATATGAAATGTACATATTGTGAGAAAAATATAATTCATCAAAGTTAACAGTGATTTAGTCTGGAAATAGAAAAGATGGGTAGTGCTTTAACCTAAAAATAAATTAAATGTCTAGTTTAAGATTTTCCCTAAAAAAATCACCAAGCCTAGCTAGTTCTACAGGCATGTTCTATGTAATGTTCAAAGAATGGATCACTTTATTTACATACAAACCTTTCTAGAGAATAGAAAAAAGTATGATCACTAAGGAGATTAGCAGTACTGTAATGCAAAAAACAGACAAGGCAGTAGAAGAAAGGAGAATCATAGGCCAGTCTCAATATTGCTTATAAACATAGATATAAAAATTCTAAACAAAATGTTAGCAAAGCATATCCTCCAACAGAAAGATAATATCACGTTGGGTAGCTCCAGGAAGGAAATGTTGAATAATACTAGACAATTTTCTGGAAATAGCAGATTAGGTAAATTATAACAAAATACAAAGAGACTAGACAAGTTGCACTGTATAGACACACACACACACACACACACACACACACACACACACGCACGCACACATCTTTAAAGCATTAAAGAGCCAGCGAGCTAACAAGATAGTGAAGAATCACTGGGCCAACATCTGGAAAGGATTAACCTACTTTTCCCTGGGTGGCAGGGGGAGTTGCTGACCACTGAAGAAGCTCCCGAAGGCTGAGCAGTGCTTTGGACCTAGTGCAAAGCTAGGGTGACAGGTCAAGTCCAGAGCCCCATGAAGTGTGTACTGATTTCTGGGGGAGTGTTTGTCAACTCCTTGTGCTGTGGGTTGGGCTGCATCTAAGGACCAAGGGTAAATGGCAAGAAAACTAGGCCAAATGTGCATTTCGGCCCAGCTTCAAATCCTCTCAGGTACTGAAAATGGTATAAAGTTATCTGGTACTGTGAGAGTCCCAGGCTGTGGGCAGAAGCAAACATAAATCCTCTCTGAGAAAGATATCATCTTCCTAGGATTCAAATGATTTCTACATGTTTTCAAGTGCAATGAGTGGCATTCAACAAAAAATAATCAGGCAAACAAGGAAAAAATGCATGACAACATGCTTGAGAATTGGTATACACAACAAAATAGACACAGACCCTTTATTTATTAAAAAAAAAAAAACCACGGAAGGGTTGCAGCTCACCAATATTCAATTATTGATTAAATCATTGGAACTTTCCAATTAATAAAAACAGCTGAAAAGCATGGAGAACTGTATTTATGAGGGAGGAAGTAAACAATTTTAGTTTATGATAGAGGGTTTGCATATTTGTAAATAATTTAGTGATATGTGAATCTTTTTATACCTTCTTGTATTCTTTTCCTATGACGCATTCTTTCCTGGAAGTGTTTTAAAATAGCATCTAGAGCCATCAATGTGGACTGATTTAAGATTTCACCTGGTGGAAATTAGGGAATTAGGCTTTGGGTGGCTCCTCCAGCAATAACACCAGACAGAAGCTCACATAATAATTTAAATGTTTCATAAAGGATCTAAACTGGCAGAACATACTACAGTGTTCTTTATCTTTTATGCATTGTATTGCTGAATTGGCCTTACCAATAACTTTACCAAATGATGGTGCTTAGTGATGAGTGTTAGACAGGATTGTGCCCCAGTTCTTGAGTGGATGAGGAAAGATTGCCATTTTCAGTTGCTCTTTATAGGGGAGATGTAAGGCACAATTAACTTTTAAAAAAATAAATGGGGTTATTTTTTTACAAGACACCTTTTTTCCAAGTTTTAACTAAAGTCCTCTGACCAATTTTTCTCTTTTTGCAGAATGAGCATGTTGATTACGTAGATGTTGGTGGAGCTTATGTGGGACCAACCCAAAACAGAATCTTACGCTTGTCTAAGGAGCTGGGCATAGAGACTTACAAAGTGAATGTCAGTGAGCGTCTCGTTCAATATGTCAAGGTAAGGCTGACTTTTCACCCAAGTGACTGATAGGGAAGCATTTTATTTGAGAAAACATTTGGTTTGTTTTTAGTTATTTTTCTTTCAAAGCAATTGTAAAAGTAGGCTCTTGACTTTGAAGTAGTATTTGCCTTTCTTTTCTTGTTTTCTTTTTTCTTTTTCTTTTGAAAAAAATCTCTAAAGTCTCCTGGAATCACTGCAGGATATTATGACTCAGCTTGACCTTCCTCCCTGTCACCCTCAGTGGCCCTCACAAGCTATCCTCACTCCCAGAATGGGAGGCTCTGGGTTCCCTCCTAATGCATTTGAAGGCCACAGGGGTGGGGGTGGCAGGTGCCTGCAACAGACATGTACACACACACACACACACACACACGCACACTCCCCTCCCCCAGCTACAGGCAATCCCTGAGCAACCTAGGGAGCAACCCTAGAGCTCCAAGGAACACAAGAGTTTGAGGCCACTTCTTTAGCCTTTGAACTGGTTATTCATCCTCATTCTTACCTGGCATTATTTGGAATGCTTCATTTCCTCTGTACCTGGCCTTCACTCTTGGGAAGTCTAGCTTGTTTGTGCAGTTTCCTACTGTTTAAACAAGAGATTGTTTAAACTCTAGCCACTGATTTCCACAGCTGTTGCCAGTGTTTTTCTTTCTCACTGAAGCCAAACATGGAGTGGCTGGAGTCTGGAAACATGCCTTGAGAAATCAAAGTTCCCATCTGACATTGCAGCCTACTTCCTAGAGCTAGTGTCACTGAGGAAGGGGTCATTTACTCATTCTAATGTCAGGATTCCCACACCAATAACCACATCATTTCTCAACAAATACATCCCTTCCCCTACTCCACCTCGGGCAATAACTGTGGGTCCGGAGGCTACAGGGCTTTGGGTGTGTCCTGGGAGTTGAGGATACTTGTGACATATGTACACTGATAACCAATCAGGAGAGACCAGAAACCTTTGTAAACTCTGATAGCCACATGGTTTGAGATGCTTGGGATAGTCTGGTGGTGACAGATGTGAAAAAGCAAATCAGTAGTCTTTTTATTCTTTTCTTTTTACCTTTAAGCTCTGTTGGACTTGAAAATCAGTAGTCTTTAGAAAAACTGTGGGTTCAGAGGTCAAGGGAGGAATGAAGAAAGTATAAAAAATTTCACAAAGTATTTAGGAACTCTGGCTACAACAGGCTGTGATCAAAAAGGAAAAACCCCTTTGCTTCCTCATTTTCTCTTTTCTGCACTGCACAGTGTTTCCATGGACTAGTAAGTAATAACAACAGTGAGAATAATAGCTGCTAACATTTATTAAGCATTTTTACCTGTATTCTCACATTTAATATAGGGAGAGAGACCAAACCCTTTGCGCTCAACTACTAATTAAACAGTCATGTAAATTCACTCTCCACTCCAACTGGGAAGCAAATGAGTGTGATGATTATCTTGGAATCTGTGCAGATTCATGCTGATAAGATTCAGAGGCTGAGAGGTTTTTAGTTTACCTGGAGGCTAACAATAAACAACAACTAAAAGCTTTTTATGCATGAACTCATTAAATCCTTACATCCACCCTGCTAGGCAGGCATTATCATCCCCATTTTACGTTTGAGAAACCAGAAGTTCAAAGAGGTTAAAGTGACTTGACAAGGCTATAAAACTCCTAAAAGTCTACCTAACCCCTGAGTGCATGCTCTTCATTATCCCGATATATGGCCTAGAAAATGAAACTGAGGACTCTGAATGGAGATGTGCTGGACCTCCAATGTTTGTTTGTCCTCACACACATCTACAGTAAGGTATCTCACTGTCAATATCACTGAAGTCTGGGTCATATGATGAGGAGATTCAGTCATTGAAAGACCACTTTTTTTCCTACTTTCTTACTCTTCTTCCAGTTTCATGTTCCTTTTATGTACATTTTAAAAACTGGGAAAAACTGGAAAAAACTGGAAATTTACAAGTATGTCCTCAAGCTAGGTACCTGCTAGTCTCCCAGCCACGCCCAGTCTAAAACTTGATATTGGGCTGGGTGTGGTGGCTCACATCTGTAATCCCAGCCCTTTGGGAGGCCAAGGCGGGAGGATCATCTAAGACCAGGAGTTCTAGACCAGCCTGGGCAACATAGTGAGACCTCTTCTCTATGAAAAATTAAAAAATTAGCTGGGCATGGTGGTGCACATCCTGTAGTCCCAGCTATTTGGGAGGCTGAGGCAAGAGGATGGCTTGAGCCCAGGAGGTCGAGGTTACAGTGAGCCATGATCATGCCACTGCACTTCAGCTTGGGCAACAGAGCAATATCCTATCTCAAAAATAAAAATAAAAAATAATAAAAGTAAAACATGATGCTAAGGTGATAGTTTGAAAGTGGCACCCATAGGCAGCTTTTGTAAGTAATTTAGCTCCTCATTGTTCTTGATGGAGGCAAGGTGGAGTTAAAATGATAAAGTTCTGTTTGAGAATTTTGACTTTGCCTGAAAGTGATCAACAGATCGTGACATGCTATCCAAACTTCCTAACAGGACCTTACAAATTACATATCTTAAGTGTTAGACTTTCTGATGTCTCTGAAATTTTCTGGGCTTTACTGGGAACCCTGCTTTCTAGAAATCCAGATGTAATTGTTCTGTACTTTAAGAAGGTGGTCCTGCTGCAAGCTTTAATAGAGGATGAACTAATGGAAAGACTTAAGGAGATGATGCACGTTACATTAGGTGCCTAAGTAAGGAAATGTTAAGAGTAGCATCCAGGGTCCCTTTTTTGATTTTGTTGCTGCTGCTGAGTCCCGCTGTAAGGTTAGGTCCACACTACCCTGAAAGTCCTGTTCCTAAAGAAAAAACAACTTCAGCTTTCTGGAGGGGAGAACTGCTCAACTCTACCATATTTTTATTTCACAAAAATACAAATATGGCTGTGCTATTGCATAACCTACTGGACAAAGGCATCTTGCCATGGCATTGGACTTGGTAGCCCGAGGCTGCTTTCAGGAATGTAAGGCAGAAAATAAAATAAAAACAAAAAAAGAGGCTAGGCGCGGTGGCTCATGCCTGTAATCCCAGCACTTTGGGAGGCCGAGGCGGGCAGATCATGAGGTCAGGAGATCGAGACCATCCTGGCTAACACGGTGAAACTTCATCTCCACTAAAAATACAAAAAATTAGCCGGGCGTGCTGGCAGGTGCCTGTAGTCCCAGCTACCAGTTACTCAGAAGGCTGAGGCAGGACAATGGCGTGAACCTGGGAGGCGGAGTTTGCAGCGAGCCACGATTGCGCCACTGCACTCCAGCCTGGGTGACAGAGCGAGACTCCGTCTCAAAAAAAAAAAAAAAAGAAAAAGAATAAAAAACAACCAAACAAACAAGAATGCAAGGCATTGTTAACCTCTGGATCTTTGCCATTGCATGGCCATGCACATCAACACAATGGTAATATTAGACCATAATTATTGCATATGCAGCACGTGGCAGGTGTGTGCTAAAACACATACCGTGCCTACACTTTGGACAACAAATGGCACCTTTAAATCACAGCCGCTGTGGTTGATCCCTCAAGGTCAGTACCGCTCCCATAGTAATAATAATGACTACCTCCCCTACTGAGCTCCCATTATGTTCCAGGCCCTGTGCCAGGGCCTTCACCTCCATTATCTTACTTAACCCTCACATGGATCCTAAGTTAGGGGTTATTGCGCCATTTCACAGAAAGAGTCTGAAGTTCAGAGGCCCAGTAACCTGCCTAAGAGAGTAAGGGAATTCAGATTAAGGTCTTTTGACTTTATGCTGTCTCTTGCTAGTCCAGATTCTACTGTCAGGGACTGTGGACTCCAGGAAGCTGCCTTACAGTTTGTGCTTGTCCTGGCTCTTTCTGGCAGCTCTCTTCTGATGGTCATCCTGTGTCCATCATTGTGTCCCCATATGCAGTGCTGGTGACCATTTTGCTCAATCTTTTGACCCGGAAGCCTGAAAGAGCAGTGTTAACTACCTGCTATGATACAAGCACTGTGCCTTGGTTATTGTTTGATGGATGCAGTAACTGGAAAACAGCCATTTAACTGTCAGAAAATAAAGATTGAAGCTCTATTTTGAATTTTAGTACTTATTTTCAAATAGCTACACATTTAAGATGGTAAGCATCATTCTTTTCATTGAATACTTAATCTCATCGAATGAAAAGATGAAAAATAGAAATATATATCATTAAACCATCCTCTCACATACTTTAACCTTTCAGAGAATACATATTTTCAACCAAGGTAGACAACAATGTTAAGGCAAAAAAGTAGTGGGTTGGTTAAAGTTTAGTTTATTTGATCTGAATGAGTGCCTTTTTGCTAGTGTTTTCCAATACATCATATCATTTCTGGAATGAGAAGTACTCATTGTAGTAGATGTTTTTATGATTATCAGGAAACTATATTAGGGAAAAGCAGGAAGATATTTAGTTCAATATTCCAGATAAGATGATTAATAAATTGTATACTAAAAGTAACTCTACTTATTTTAAAATATCTTAACTCTCACTGTTTTTCTCCACTTCTAGGGGAAAAGTGGGTGTTTCCCCAATGTGATAGTGTATTGGGTTAATAATACAAATTGTATTTGTGACATTTTCTGCATTGCTTTTTGACAACTTCAGCTTTCATAATCTAATACAGTCAATATTCGTTTTTGTAAATAACACTGAAGTGAAAAGGAAGATTGCCATTTTCTAGATAAACCAATCAATAATCTTTGTGGCCCAGATTGCTTCAGCTCTTAAATTTTCCCAATGCGAAACCTTAAAGAATGTTTAAATTGTTTAAACACTGTCAACAGTCTGTGGCACATCTAGTCCCAGCTTACTCTAGGATGGTTTTTACTATTCACCAAGGAACTACTCGTTACCTTTGTTAGATTGTGTTTACAGTGCAAGTTTTAGCAAGACAGTGTATAGTTCCAAGCCTGAGCCTCTCAGATGGATACTGAGGATACACCTTAGTGGTGTTTCCTCTACCTGATCCCTTCCTTTTCTGAGACTATGCCTATCTACTACGTTCATAGAGGATTCACATCGATATGCTAAATTCACTCATTGCTTAATATTTATATTTATGTATTTGATAAATATATAAGTATTTACAGAGCAAAATCTACTCTGTACCAGATATTGTTCCAAGCTGCAGATAGAGTGGTGAACAAATGATCAAAATTTCTGCCCTCATGGTCCTTCTAATCTAAAGAGAGAAGACAAGTAAACAAGAACAGTAAATAAATATTAGCTAACATTTTTGCCTGTATCCTTCATGGATCTTGTGAATAGAATCCCTCTTCTAATTCTGGTTTAGAAGATCCTGATTCTTATATAATAGGTTCCTGACTGGTTTCTACAGTGAGCAGCTTTTATGAATTTTGTGAATTTGACATGCTTTTATTGGGGAGATTATATCTGATCTGTGAAATTAACATAAATTAATCATATCATTGTGAACCTTAAAGGTAGATTCTTAAATGGCATCAGCTAGATATTTTTACACTTGATCTTAGCCAAAAAGCCAAGAAGCAGTAGCTAGATATGTTTAAAACATTCTCTTTATCGGTTGCACATGGTGGCTCATGCCTGTAATCCCAGCACTTTGAGAGGCTGAGGCAGGAGGATTGCTTGAGCCCAGGAGTTTGAAACTAGCCCGGGCAACATAGTGAGGCCCCCATTGCTACACAAAAATTTAAAATATAATTTTAAAAATAAATAAAATAAAACATTCTCTTTATCAGTTCTTCTCTTCTGCATGGCATAAAGGAAGCAGCTGGACCTGAATGCCAAGTGGATTGATTCATTACTTGCATTAGTAAATAAGATGCTCCATCATTATGAGTGTGTTTCATTGAGTTGTGGAGATCTTTTGTTAAATTTTGCAATGCTGTGTCTTGCAGAAAAAATGAAAATGTTGGATTCCATTTTTTTTTTTTTTTGCTTTCCATGAGTTTCCTGCACATCATAATGCAGGTAGGGTGAGGGGTATGGAGAGGGAGAACCCAGCCAGAAATGGAGCAAGGCATTTTGCAGAGGCTACTTCAAAGGAGAAATTGACAATTACATGCATTCTCACGTTCTTCCTGCTTTTCACGTCCTCTCTAAATAAAAGTAGAGACTATAAATATATACCACCCATTTGTTTTTAGAGAGTGGTGTGATAAAGATTTATTTAAAACAACATAGGCTTTGCTGACAGTAACAGCTCAGCAAGAATTTTTTTTTTTCTTTTTGTATTGGTTCTATTCTTCCCACAGCCCTTTACTCCAGGTTTCTATGCCAACGACTGAAATCAAAGGCTTTTCACAATGTGTATGTTCTGGAATACTAAGTAAATTTTGTTGTTGCTAAGAGGGAAACTTGGTTTTAGCCAGCAGGCCATGTAGAAAGCAGAGTTTGTCTTAATGCTTACCAGATATAACCCCTCACTTCTAATAGAATTTGACCCATGGCTTATAATAGAATTTCTTTTGGATATGCGACATTTCATTTTAAGTTTCTTTTAGTACCTTGTCCATACTAACTCACAGAAGATATTTCTTTTATCTTCAAAGAAAGATACATTTTCACTTTCAACCTCTCTCAGAAGGAAACTCAAGAAGCGGAAAGTGTGAAGTCTTTGTAGGGATGTTGCTTGTTGTATATTTGCCTCCTTTCTTTTAAACACCTAAATTCATCCCTCCTGATGCCATGCTATTAATATTGCCTTCCACCTGTAATGTACCTATACATGTTTTACCTCACTTGAGCTTCCCAATGGTCCTCAGAGTAAAAAGCATTATTTTTCCCAACTCAGAGAGCGTAGGAGCCAAAGTGTGGCTTTCCAGCTCTAAGCCCAGTGTTCTGTGGGTTACATCACCTTGTTTTTTATTCCAAAGTTAACTTGTGAACCCTTCTAGTAAACTGCTCCAAGATATGACAAAATCACTTTATCCCAACAGGCTCTGAAGTTGTAAGATGCCCCTTTGGAAACAGGGACTCCTGTGGATATGGGGGTGGTCGTTCATGGGAGCTGTATGTGACACAGTTTATATTTCACAGTTCACAGTTCATAGTTCACAGTGGTTGTACATGGGAGCTGTATGTGGCACGGTGGCTTCTCTTCTCTTGCACCCTGAGCTGTAGTCTGAGAGGTCCTCTGGCCTTCAGTGAGCACCTGGCAGCTAAACAGCCCCCAGTGTGTCCCAGTTAGGCTCAGCAGGCTGAAGACCACAGATGTATTCTATTATTTTGTTAAAATACTAAATCTGGAGGTCTAAGGCATGGTTTGAAATTGCTGGCTATATATTATTTTTGTTAAATGATCCATGTAAACTTATTATTCAAAGTATGGCCCAAGTATTGGCCAGTATTTTATGTTATACCATTATATCCTGCCTGATTTTAAAAATAACAAAAAAGGAAAGGATTTAAAGTGGTTCTTGATAAGTATTACAAATTTGGATAAGTCAGGGTAGAAGATAGAAAAACAAAACAAAACAAAAACACCAGTTAGGTAAGGATAGGCAAGTAGTTACAGGCCTGTGCTCATGATAAGAAATTCTGTTTTGATGATAGAAATGAGGTAATACAGAAGGGATTGCTTTCTTCTCTCAATCACAATTCTGAGTAGGTTTTAAAAGCAGAGAGGCTAAAAATGTTTACATATTTTCAGTTTGATCTATCCAGTATCCAGTATAAGGATATATGAAGATAGCTGGTAAAAAATAGTTTTTAGTAACTTTCATTCTTTTTTCCCCCTCACTTTGGAAAGACTTCATTTGCTGCTTGTGAGTTCCCAGAGAGCTTAATGGCAGAATTCCTCTTAAAGCTTTGCACTGTTTAGAGAGCTAGGTCAGCATTAGCCATCTCCTCTCAGAGGCTCCTTCTTCCTATAAACTCTCAGGATTACATCTCAGATTTGGTTTCAAAAATATAAAGTTCCTACTCAGTGACAACCCAATATATAGCAAAATAAGTTAATTATTAGATTTTTTTCTTAAAAAATGGTAAAGTACACTAACATAAAATTTATCATCTTCACCAATTTTAGGTGTACAGTTAATTCAGTAGCATTAAGTACATCCACATTGTTGTGCCACTGTCGCCACCATCCATCCAACAGAACCCCTCTCATCTTCCTTCCATTCATTTCTAATAGGGACTAATTCACTACAGGAATTGTTTCTAACCATTCATTGAGAAGTAACCTAGCATCACCCTCCCACTGGCAGCACAGAAAGGGGGTTAAGTCAGACACAAAGGATTTCTCTCACACTCAGGCTGAGGGACTTTGTGATCACACATAATCATGTAGTGCCTCAGTATTTGGGTTAATGGCCAAAAGAACTTTGTGAATGGAATTAAACATTATATGAGCAGCTTCCTCAAGAGAAATTGCTCTAGTCTCCATAATAACTGAACTCCTGGAGGTTCTGACCTTTCAGGTTAAAATGTAGTTGCCTCTCAGAGGTTAAAATCTCCTCCTTCTTCCTTGCTTTCTACTTCCTTCCTATTTCTTCTCAGCAACCCCTGTCCTCACCTCAGTGGCATGCACATTACTCCAATCAAAAGACTCAATCATTGATCTTTAATTTTCAAACTTTTGCAAAGTAGCCTTCTAACAGTTGAAATCTTAAACAGCCTCTAACGTCCAATGAATCCCATATCTAGTCCATTCTGGGCACTTCCTGAAGAAGGGAAATTCAGTTGTCTCATGATCACATGTTGAGCCAGCTAGAAAACCTTTTCTGTCATTGCCTCATCCTGCTGCCTAATAGGATCGATGCTGCCATGTAACCCTCTGTATCACGTGCAGACTCAAACCTTTTTCATTTCTATGTCAAATTCAATGAACAGATACCTTTTGAAAACCTGCTGGGCCACAGAGTTTTAGTAAGTGACAGTTATTCCTACTTTAGAGATAAGAGAAAGTTATAATAATGAGAGTGGTTCAAGGTCCTACAGAAGTGAGAGAGAAAGAGGGACAGGCATAAAAGCCTAGTTAATTACTAACCTTTGCAAACACAGAGCTTCAAACTGAAAAGAGACAAATAATGATAATAATGTCAATACCTGATATTTGACAGTCCAGTACTATTTTCATAACACTTCATTTTAGTTTTTGCTTTGTGTTTGGGTTTTATGTAACCAGAAGAAGAAAATTCTTGATGGAATCACAGAAAACTTGAGAGTTAATTATAGTTCAGTGTAGTGAATGCTTTGATCCTGAAGGCTGTGAAACTGAATCGTTTTCATTCAGAAAATTTCTCATGTCAGGTTTTTCAAACAAAAAGAATGATTAGTAAACTATTCTATTACCTTTCATTCCCATAGCTCTCCTGTAATTTGTAAGACTCAAATGATACACACTGAACCTTGGGCTGAGATTTAATTTTGTATATTTGCCAAAGTACACAGTAGCCTAGTTTCCATAGCCATATCTAGCAGATAAATGTCTCTGAAAAAAAAAATCAGGCTTCAGAGACAATGGGAGGAAATCACTGTGGCTCACACTTGCGGACCAGCAGTGGGTGACAAAAGTGGACCCTGGGACACAGACATGGGTGCAGTCACTAATTGACATAATTATTTGAGCATCCACCAGTCGAGTAGTCCTGAGTATCTGTGACTTTTCCTAATCTGTAGATTAAAAAAAAAATACTATTCTGATGTTTAAATGCTGGGAAGATGGTGCTAAGAGTATAATGGCTCTTAGTTCATCCACCCTTTCATTCCATGCCATCACCCTATCTCTGCCATCATGGTTATAAAGCCATCACTGAAGTAACTTCATCTAGTAGTAGGGGGCAGGGCCACATCCTCCCAGACACTGTGATACACAAGGTGGATGCACTCACTTAACAGCTTAGCTGACAAGAAGTTCTGCTTTGCCCTTTGCCCCTCTCTACCTGCTCTTATGTACTTTCTCACTGCACTGTCTTGTTACGAGGAGGACGGGCTAAGGGCAGAAACTCAGCATGAAGCCCATGATGCACTTGCAATTTTAGCTAGATATACAAGCAATTTCCTTCCTTTCTCCTCGTTGTTGTGGAATGATGTGCCCTTTTGTCCAGAAGGGATACAAATGACATTGTATTCCCATGTGTAACATTTGGAAAATAAACATTCTGGTTGTCACAGCTTCTATTTCATCGCATATTTTCCTGTGTTATGTCATACTTCTGCCAGTGCAAGCCAGAATGTGAAGAATGCCTAGGGGAATATTTCTCAAGTGTTTTCTAAGCAACATTAATCTTAAAAATACTTTGCAAAAACAGGGCATTTGGTGGTCAGATAAACTTTGGAAGTGCTCCATATCCTATCCCTGTCTTTGATAGTCAAGATGCCCATTAACAAATTAGGAGTCCTAGGAAGCCTGGCAATAAAAAAAGACTATTGAACACAAACCAGGATTTCCCAGACTTATGACCATGGAAACTATTTTCATATAACACCTATAAAGATCAGAGTAAGAGATGCTATCACAGGAAGTGTTTTTAGAGATTTAGGTTCACAAATTACCAAAACTACTCGGGAATAAATAGAAAATTGAATAGACCTATAATAAGGAAAGAGATTGAATTAGTAATTTAAAATCTCCCACAGAAACAAACCCAGACACAAATGGCTTTACTGGTAAATTTTACCAAAAGTTTAAAGAAGAATTAATACCAATTCTTTATAAACTCTTCCAAAAAAATACAAGAGGAGGAAAGATTTCTCAATTCATCCTATGAGGCCAGTATTATCCCGAATAACAAAACCAAAGACATCACAAGAAAACTACAAACCAATATCCCTATATAGAGATGCAAAAATCTTCAAGAAAATACTAGCAAACTGAATCTAGCAATATATTAAAAGGTTTATACACCATGACTAAGTAGGATTTATTCCAGGAATGAAAGGTTAGTTTAATATACAAAAATCCAATAATGTAATGCACCACCATATTAATAGGATGAAGGACCAATAGCACGTGATCATCTCAATAGACGGAGCAGAAACATTTGACAAAATTCAACATCCTTTTATGATAAAACCACTAGAAAAACTAAGAATAGAGGAGAACTTCCTCAACCTAATAAAGGCCATCTACAAAAAACCCACAGCTACCATAATACTCAATGGTAAAAGATTGAAAGCTTTCCTTCTAAAATCAGGAGCAAGACAAAGATATTTACTCTGGCCACTTGTATTTAACATTGTACTAGGGATTTTAGCCAGGGCACTTAGGCAAGAAATAAAAAAAAAAAGAAAAATTGTATTTGCAGATGATGTGATCTTGTATATAGAAAATCCTGATACTGACTAAAACAATTCATAGAACTGTTAAACAAGTTCATCGAGGTTGCAGGATACAAGATCAATATTCAAAAATAAATTTTATTTCTAATACAGTAGCAATGAACAATCTGAAATGAAATTAAGAAAACAACTTCACTTAAAATAGCATCAAAAAACAATAAAATACTTAGCAATAAATTTAACCAAAGAAGTGCAAGACTTATATACCTAAAGCTACAAAATAACATTGAAATAAATTAAAGATGTAAATAAATGGAGGCATCCTGTGTTCATGGACTTAATATTGTTAGGGTGACAATACTTCCCAAATTGAACTACGTTTTTAACACAATCCCTTTCAAGATCCTAGCTGACAGTTTTTGCAGAAATTGGGAGATTGATCCTAAAATGTATATGTAAATGTGAGAGACCCATAATAGCCAAAGCAGTTTTAAAAGAGAAGAACAAATTTGAAGGACCCACACTTCCTGATTTCAAAAATTACTATGAAGCTAGTGTGCTAAAACAATGTGTACTTGTATAAAAACAATGTGTACTTCTATAAGGATAAACATATAGGTAAATGGAGTAGAACTGTGATTTCAGAAATAAACCCTTACATTTATGCCCAATTGATTTTTGTCAAGGGTAGCAAGACAACTCAGTGCAAAAAGTAAAATAAGTTATTTCAACAAATGTTGTTGGAACGACTGGATATCCACATGCAAAAGAATGAAGCTGGACTTCTTCTCACACTATACACAAACATTAACTCATTTTAGACCTAACTATAAGAGCTAAAAATATAAAACTCCTGGAAGAAAAAATAATAAATCTCTGTGAGTTAGGCAGTGATTTATTTGATGATACTGAAAGCACAAGCAACAGAAGAAAAAATAGATAAATTGGTCTTCATCAAAAAAAGTTTTTGAAGTGTTGTCATTTGTATACCATCAAGAAACTGAAAAGACAATCCATAGAATGGGAGAAAATATTTGCAAATCATATATCTGATAAAGGACTTGTATTCCGAACATATAAAGAACTCTAACAACTCAATAATAAAAAGACAAACAACCCAATTCAAAAATGGACAAAGGACTTGAATAGATACTTTGCCAAAAAAAAGATATGCACATGATCAATAAGCATCTGAAAAGATGATCAATGTTATTAGTTATTAGGGAAATGCAAGTCAAAACCACAATGAGATATCCCTTCACACCCAACAGGATGGCTGTAATAAAAAAGGCAGACATTAATAAGTGTTGTGCAGGATGGGGCGACATTGGAAACCTCACCCATTGCTGGTAGAAATGTAAAATGGTGCAGCCACTTTGGAAAATAGTTTGGCAGTTCTTCAAAATGCAGTGTCAGAGAAAGAAGAGTGACTACTAATAATTAAGGGCTTCTTCTCAGGGTAAAGAAAATGTTCTAAAATGAGATGTGATGATGGTTGCATGCTCTGTGAATATACCAAAGACCATTGAATTGTACACTATAAATGGATGAATTATAGGATATGTGAATGATATGTTAATAAAGCTGTTAAATAGCTATTTGTCCTCACAATGTGATATTTTCATCTTTTTTCACACTTCCTGTTTCTCCTGAGTTAATGGCATCTGTGAAAGAGGAAAACTATTTTTTTAAAAAACTCTGTCAATTATCTTTAATTACACAAAAGCCGCCAGAAGAACTCATTATTGTTTCTATCTTAACTGTTTTGTTTGTAATTTCTGTATATAACTAGAATCCCTTGGAGAAGATGACATAAATTTCTTTTAAAACCCTTCACTGTTGGGGCCAGGCACAGTGGGTCATGCCTGTAATCCCAGCAGTTTGGGAGGCCAAGACAGGAGGATCACTTGAGCCCAGGAGTTCAAGACCAGCCTGAGCAATAAAGTGAGGCCCCATCTCTACAACATAAATAAATAAATAAATAAATAAATAAAAATACAAAAATTAGCCATGCATAGTGGCACACACCTATAGTCCCAGCTTACTTGGGAGGCTGAGGCTGGAGAATCACTTAAACCTGAGAGTTTGAGACTGCAGTGAGCTGTGATCACAACACTACACTCCAGCCTGGGTGACAGAGAAAGATCCTGTCAAAAAAAACAAATAAAACCCTTCATTATTGATGGTATGGCATCATTTATATCTGAGTTTAATGGTTCTATTTTTCCAGAGATAGGACTACACAATTCAGGCGCCCATTGCATTGGTAGCTGTACAAGTCTTGAGACAGAGGCTGAGAATATGAAGTGTCAGGTCATAAGCAAACACATAGGAATGTGCTGCCAGCCCTTGAAATGGTGTGAGAGGTTATAGATAATTTGGTATTCATAAACATGGAGCAGAGGCATGAAAAATGTAAACCATAAGACTGTGCCAATATAATAACAAATTTGAGGGTGGATGAGTTCCCCAGGGAAATGGGAAAGGGGTGGGCAGAAGGAAAGGAAAAGGCTAAGGATCAGACTCTGGGGGATTCAGTGGATCATAGAAGGAGGGGTCTTGGGGAACTAGGCTGAGGCTTGGGACAACTAGCACTATCTGATGGGGTGGTGTCAGATGCAGCCAAGTGCTAATGGGATGGATACATCCCTTCATATCTGGCTAAAAGGAGCTCATTGGTGACCATAGAGAAAAGGGCATCCACGGACTTTTGAGGATACAAGTCAGATTTTAGAAAACAGAAGGATATGAAGGCAATGGGGGCATCATTTGAGTGGGACTGTTAAAAGAATGCAAAGAGGATGACAAATGAAAAGGACAGACGTCTCCATGTAGGGTATGAAGGCTTTTTCTAGATAGAGTGAAGCTATGTATGTTTGAAGAGAGCTTGGATACCTGCATTTGGAAAGAGGAAGATAATGCTTTTGTAAACTATTAATACAACACAAAACTACCATCCTATTTAATGGGTCTCTTCTTAGATGATTTTAAAATTTAAAGCATTGTTATAAACTATAGAAAAGAAATCATCAAAAGATTCATCTTACAGGCTTTGTCACAAAACAATGGGACTAGAAGGGTCTCAAGGTATTCATATAAGCTGTACAGGCATGTTTCTAAATTAATCTGGAAGATAACTCTTTTATTTTCCAGATGATTAAAGAAGGCTATTTGGCAGCTTCCCCAGTGACTTATGATACTCTAATAACACTCACTTCCTTTTGCTTAACTCAAATATAAAAGTACAGAGAGATCAAACTCTCCAACGTGCCAATCAGGAAATGCTATTTTGCTTACTATAAACTTAGCTTATCTTATAGGACCAACAATAAAGAATTATGTGGGAGCCATAAACTGCCATCTCCTGGCAATAGTCTCCTGTTATTGTGAACATTAGTAGATTGAAGATGTAGTTTCTCAAAGTCACTTAAGTGTTTTGGGGCACGGTTCCAGGGACATTGCGTTCTGCTTGACATAAACAATTTCTGCTGTATCAAAGACACTGCCCTTTAGAGATTAAAGGCCACTTTGGAAAACTAGTAAGCTTTCAGAGTGTAGGTACAAAATGAACTTGACCATTACACTAGATTTTTCTCCTTTAATTTTAAAGAGCAGTAATCATTTGGAAGTATTCCCAGAGCCCCTGCTTCACCCTCTTAGGTCATGAAGGCATTCCTTACTGAGAAGTGGCTTAGTATTGAGAAACTGCTGACACCTTGGTGAGAATACTATAGAACCACATTTTGGAGACTGAGAGGGTCCACACTGTCAGGCAGTTCTCACTCAGCCAAAAGACATCTTCCAGGCCCCCCTACTGCACTACTTTAGGGATTCACACATGCAAAAGTGTTCCCCACATATGTGCATTTCTTTTTAGCAGGTTTGGGTTTTCTGTGAAACGAGAACAGAGAAGCCAGAAACTGATAGGGGTGAAACTAATTGATGAAATCCTTTATCAACAGCAAAGAAGTTTATGTTATGGGCCTTTATGGTCTTCTTGTTGTTTTTTTTTTTTTTTCTTTTGAGACAGTCTCGCACTGTCGCCCAGGCTGGAGTGTAGTGGCACGATATCGGCTCACTGCAGCCTCCGCCTCCAGGGTTCAAGCAATTCTCCTGCCTCAGCCTCTCGAGTAGCTGAGATTACAGGTGCCTGCCACCATGCCCGGCTGATTTTTTGTATTTTTAGTAGAGACGGGTTTTTTTGTTTGTTTGTGTGTTTGAGACAGAGTCGTGCTCTGTCGCTCAGGCTGGAGTGCAGTGACGTGATCTCGGCTCACTGCAACCTCTGCCTCCTGGGTTCAAGTGATTCTCCTGCCCCAGCCTCCCAAGTAGTTGGGATTACAGGCACCCATCACCACGCCCTGCTAATTTTCGTATTTTTTTAAGTAGAGACAGGGTTTTGCCATGTTGGTCAGGCTCGTCTCAAACTCCTGACCTCAGGTGATCTGCCTGTCTCAGCCTCTCAAAGTGCTGGGATTACAGGTGTGAGCCACCGCCTCTTCTTTTAAAATATTCCGTGGCTCCCATTTCTAAAATGATTGCCAGGCCAGATTTTCCTCTTTCCTTGAACTCTTTACTTCTCCTGCCACCACTGTTTATCAAGGCTCAGATCAAGGGGTCTTTGGACCTTGTGTGAAATCATACTCAAGTTGGCATCTTTCTGTGAAGAACTTCGTTAGGAATGTGGGACACATTTTGTTGAGTTATATTTATAATTCTTTTCTTTATGTTCCCAGACTATTGAGAATATTTATTTATTTATTTATTTAAGACAGAGTCTCGCTCTGTTGCCCAGGCTGGAGTGCAGTGGTGCAATCTCGGCTCACTGCAACCTCCGCCTCCTGGGTTCAAGCAATTCTCCTGCCTCAGCCTCCCGGGCAATATTTATGTTTTTTAATAAAATTTTTTTCCAAAGCAAAGATCAGTTTTGCATTAGACTATTCCTTGACTATACGTACATTTTATGGAGGAAAATGTAGATTTTTCCAGATTTCAGTTAAAGGAGGAATTATAACAAGGACCAGCTGCTCTGAGGCTGCCCCTGAGCTATTACTTAACCTCAGCCCCTCTCTTCTCCATAGCTATTTTTGTTTTCTATGTAAAATGTCTTTGCCCATTTCTCTCAGAGTATGTATTAGCATTTTCCAAAGCTGTTTATGTTCCCTCAGTGGTCGTCTTCCACCCCTGAAGCTTCTTAAGTCTCTATTTTTACTCCTTAGAAACAGAAAAGGTACATGTGGAAGATTTCTAAGTTTCACATTTCAAAGTTCTCTTTCTTTTGGGAAAGAAAAAGTTGGAAGTTTAAAAATGCCTCTAGAACAAACCTATCTCCACATTCCATCAACTGTATAGGAGGCAGGAAAGCATGTTTTATGAGCAAAGGCTTTGGGAGCAGGAAATTTCCATTCTATGATGTACTAGCTACTGCCGCTGGGCTTTAGTTTCCTTATTTATAAAATGGAAATATCAATAGCGCTTGCCTTCACAGGGTTGGAGTGAGCATTGCACGAGATAATGCATATGAAGGGCTTTAGCCAGTGTCAGGCATAGAGAAGGATCTCAATAAATGTTAGTGATGATGGTGGTGATGATGATAAAGGATTTGGAGTCTCAAAAAGTTGTATTGCAGCGTTACAACATAACATTTTCAGATAAGAAACGAGATCACATATTCTGCCAAGGTTATTTGAATTTGCTATGTGGAAGGGAAAATTACTTCTCTGTCACTTAATGGCTGCCATATATTCTTACTCAGTTAGGAGGTGTGCTTACACGTGTTTGTGATGTCTTGTGTCCTTGCCCTGATGGTCAGAAGTTTTGTTTTAGCCCTTTAAAAAATCCAATACAGCTTTCAGTATTCTGCAGTGCATGCAGTAGACTTTCTACAAGTAAATGTTTTAATTAAAAAAATCAAATTATCATGCAAATTATACTGGTAGAAAAGATTTTGGCCTTATGAACATTTACAAGGCATTGATTTTTAAAGTAAAATAAATTAGCAAATAAGGCCTTATAAACTACCTATTTCTGGTCTATTTCCTAGGGACTCACCTCTACTCACCATTGCTTCTCTTAGCACTTTGGCTGTTACACAATGAAATGAAGTTAATGGTTTCTAATAATGAATGAGCCATCTTCATATTAGAGGTCTTGGTACCAAGCAATAGAAACCAACTCAGGCTAACAAGAGGGAATGTACTGAAAGGAAATGAGAGGACCTACAGAACTGATGTGAGGCTGGAGGACCACACTTGAGGATGAGCAAAGAGCATGAGAGCTCTGGCAAGTTAGGGGCAGGAACCATAGCCATAGTCTTTGTAGCAGGAAGCATCTGCTCAGCACTTGGCCATGGGGAAAGAAAACCCACAGTCTACTTTCTTCTCTATGTGGGTGACCCACTCCATGGTCAGAGTCCTCTGAGAGTGTATGACTGGCCAAGCTCAGATAACAGGCTCACAGCCAGGCTATACCAGGAGCTGGGGGTAGGGGTGTAGAGATAAAAAAAAAAAATCTATCATTTTCTGTAATGGGAGCTGGTAGCTGGGACCATCCTGCCTACACAGCTATACAGAAAAGAAGAGAGACAATTTCCCAGAAAGAAACCAGGATACTACCAGGAAAGGGGAATGGATGCTCGGCAGGCCCACAGTGGCAAGTGCCTGATATTCCACACTGCTAATAATCTGATTCTTTACATCAGGCATAGTCTGTAGTCTAGCCAGTCTTTATTAAGCCTTTGTAGACTTTAAAACACAGTATAAGACATTCCACTTTGCTATTCTTGTCCTATATGTGGTCTAAAGACAGTCCTCCACGTCATCATCCTGCTCTCGTCTAAGTGGGAACAGCTTTCTCAAGAGATTAGATGGGAATTCAGGAGTTGAGAATATTGTAGCACCAGTATTAGATACTAGGATATGCTACCTTTATTTATGCATAATTTCCAAATAAATAGAAATAAATTTAAAGCTATTATTTACTGTAAATTAAAACCAGCCAACACAGCACCAGGGAGATTCTGCACATTTTATTAAATTGGGGCCTGTATAGGTATAATGTATTCAGTTGCCATCAAAGGTAATGTTTCTGACACAGTAGAGGGTCTGGTTACTTTGCAAGTCTTAGGTTGGTTGCTTTTTTGTTGTTTTAGAACACCATTCAAATTTAAGATATTACTCTTTTTGATTGATTCTGTTTGCTTTTATGTTCTAGGGGAAAACATATCCATTTCGGGGCGCCTTTCCACCAGTATGGAATCCCATTGCATATTTGGATTACAATAATCTGTGGAGGACAATAGATAACATGGGGAAGGAGGTAAAATGTGTGTTCAGTTTGCACATGACCCATTACTGAAATAACAATGGCAACTGTTTAATATCCTTCCATAGTGCAGGGAACATTGCTCTGGACACCAATGCATATCATTTCCCATGTACCCAAACTGCAAAGTTGGTCGTATTTCCACTTCACAAATGGAAAAATGAGTGCCCAGAGATTATGTAATTTACTCAAGACCTCATAGCAAGGGAACCAGCATACCAACCCACTCTCTTATACAAATGCCTGTGTGCCTTCAACTCTATGCTACTGAGCATTTATATGACATATTTTTGCCAAGTATCTCTACTTACAGTTGTCTGTCTGTCTGTAATGCCATTTTAGATAGTAAAGGAGAGAAGGACTTGCTGCCCCAAAGCTTCTTTACTTAGTCTTAGGCTCTGTAATATCAATTTGGGACATAAAATGGTTATTAGCTTTCAATAACAATGATGATGATAATTGTCATCATTATAATAATTACATATAAATTTGTACATAGACATATATAATATTATCACTACTATTATTGTTTTGGCAATGGCATTAGGACACAGAATCCAAAGAACTCTACCCCACTCCCTGTCTCTATATAGAATTCTATGCCAATCACACATTTCAACACAGAGACCAAGAGACCCATTTTCAGAGGTTTTCATGAGGGCCTTCCCGAGAAGAGGTGGCAGTTACCATCAAACCTGAGAGGGGACTTCCTTTCTCTACAGATTCCAACTGATGCACCCTGGGAGGCTCAACATGCTGACAAATGGGACAAAATGACCATGAAAGAGCTCATTGACAAAATCTGCTGGACAAAGTAAGTAGACTTGACCATTCAAAATTTACTTTTTATCTTCCCTTCTCGTCTTTTATATCTTGCCTTGAACTGCAGTGCTTTTCTTAACAACTTACAGAAAAAAAGAGGAAACCTAGTAATCTTTCAGTCAATAGCAATGTTGAGGGCACCTCAAAGTAGGTTAGAACAGAAAATGAATCTAAAAATTAAGAAAAGTGGGTGAATGAAGTAGAACTTCTTTTAATGAAAGCATTGTGTGATCTGCAATAAAATCAATAATTGTGTTTTCATATTATTGAAAGGTTGCCTACAAAAGCAGTTTGAAAAGATATTTTTTAAAAATGTGGTACATTTACACCATGGAATACTATGCAGCCATAAAAAAGAATGAAATCATGTCCTTTTCAGGGACATGGATGAAGCTGGAAGCCATCATTCTCAGCAAACTAACACAGGAACAGAAAACCAAACATCGCATGTTCTCACTCATAAGTGGGAATTGAACATTAAGAAGACATGGATGCAGGGAGGGGAACAACACACACTGGAGCCTGTCAGGTGGTGGGAGGAGGGAGAGCATCACGATAGATAACTAATGCATGTGGGTCTTAATACCTAGGTGATGGGTTGATGGGTGCAGCAAACCACTATGGCACATGTTTACCTATCTAATAAACCTGCACATGTACTCCGGAATTTAAAATAAAATAAAATGGTAATCCCATATAGATGTGGAATACTAGGAAATGAGAGGAAAGCTAGTCTGTAGTAATAAAAATGTTCAATTAGACCATGTCTTATTAGTTTATGTGGGGCTTACTATGTGAAGGCACCATACCAGGCACTGAGGAATGGGGGTGAACTTCTTAGGAATAGCCCCTACCCTCATGGAGTTTATGTTTTTCTAGCAGGCAAGACTGACCTTGAGCACAATTACATAATGCTAGGAGAGTTCCTGTAACAGGGAGAACCTTACATGGTCTGAGGGTACAGGAAGCATTCTTTGATGAAGCAATCTTTAACCTGAAACTAAGGAGTTAGTGCATCAACTAAGAATGAGCCATCGGGGCAGGGGGGAGTCAGAAAAGGTGAACAGTGTAGGGCGATGGTATCTTCCAGGAATGATACACAGGGACAGGAGAGAGAAAGGAAGAATGGATGAAGTTGGGGGGATAGTATCTGCCAGGAATAAGTCATGGGGCAGGAGAAAGACAGGAAGGGTGGATGGTGTGGTAGAAATCGTACCTTCCAGGAGTAACCCATAGGGTTGATAGTAGTGGGGCAGATGGTATGATCTAAGAATGACACACAGTGTCAAAGGGAGAGAGGGAAGGTTGGACAGTGGTGGTGGGAGGAGGGAATGATATCTTCCAAAAATTACCCACAAGGGCAAGAAGGGAGAAAGGGATAATGGAGAAAGATGGGTGGTGTTTTAGGAAAGACCCACAGAAACAAGGCGAGATGGGGACTGGAAGGGTGGATGGCATTGGGGGATTTTGTCTTCTAGGAATGAGCCACAGGGATTAGGGGGAGATAGGAAGGACTGATGGGGCAGGAAGATAGTATGTTCCAGGTATGATCCACAGGTTCAGAGGGGAGAAAAGTATAGTGGATGGTGTTTGCCATGGATGAACCACCAGGATAGTGGGGGAGACAGAAAAGGTTGATGGTGTGGTGGGATGGTATCTTTTATGAATGACCCAAAGGGGCAAAGGGAAGGCAGGAAAGATGGATGTTGCGGGGATATCATCCACCAACAACCCAGAGGTGTAGTGGGGAGACAGGAGGTGTAGATGGTATTACCAGGATATGTCTTCCAGAAATGAGCCACAAAGGCAGGGATAAGATAGGAAGAGTGAATGGTGTGGCCTGGTTGCATCTTCCAGGAATGCCCCCACAGTGTTAGGGAGTGGGGAACAAGAATGGATCCCTGTGGGGGTATGGTATCTTCTAGGAATAGCCCACAGAGTCAAGGGGAAACAGGCAACATTAGGTAGTGTGTGTGTGTGGTGGGGAAATGGGGCGGGGGTGGGGTGGGGAGAATGAAATTTTCCAGCTATTTCTCTCTCTCTGGGGAGAGAAAGGGAAGGTTGGTTTGTGTGGATGGAGATGGTATCTTCTAGGAATTACCCAAACCAGAAGGGTGGATGTCTTAGGGGAAGGGGAATTTTCCAGCAATGACCCAGAGGGATGGTGGGGAGACAGGAAACATAGATGGTGAGGCAAGATGATGTATTCCAGAAATGACCCACAGGGCAAGGGGTAGATACAAAGGTGGATGGGGTGAGGGAGATGGTCTCTTCCAGTTATGACCCACAAGGGTAGAGGGGACACAGATGGTGTAGATCATTTGGCAAAATGGAATTTTCCAGGAATGGTCCACAGGGAAGAGGGTACATAGGAAGGTTTGGTGGTGTGGCAGGATGGTATCTTCCAGGAATGAGCTACACTGGCAGTGGTAGGGGGGAGAAAGGAAGGGTGGATGGTGAGGGGTCATGGTTTCTTCCAAGAATGACTCATAGGATTGTACAGGAATGACCCAGAGGGGTAGCGCAGAGAGAGGAAACATGACTGGTGTGGCAGGATATACCTTCCAGGAATGGTCTACAGGAGCTAGGGGATGCAGGGAAGATGGGCTTGTTTGCAGGCATGGTTCTTCCTGGAGTAACCCAAAGGGTCAGGGGTGAGACAGCAAGGGTGGATATTGGGCCGCGGATAACTTCCAGCAATGACCAAAAGAGATGGGAGGAGACAGGAAGTGTGGAAGGTGACCAGGATGGTATTTCCAGGAATGACCCTCAAGAGTTGGGAGAGACAAGTAGGATAGATGATTTGATGGAGTGGTATCTTCCAGGAATGAACCAAAGGGGCAGAAGAAAACATGGTACATTGTGTTTAGAGAGATGGAATCTTCCAGGAATGAGTTACCCTGGTGGTGTTTTCGGGGACATGGAAAGGGTGGGGATAGTATCTTCCAGGATGACCCACAAGGCCAAGGGGGGAGACAGGACAGGGTGGATACTGTGTTTGTAGGGGGAGGGCATGTTACTTCTCAGGGATGTGACACAGGCACTGTGGGGACACAGAGAAGGGTAGATGTTTTGTGGAGGAGGTGGTCTCATCCCGAAATGACCCAGAGGGTTTAGAAAGGTGTAGCAGGATGGTATCTTCCAGGAATGAGCCACACGGTTGGTGGCGGGGGAAGATGGGTGGTATAGAGAGATGGTATCTTCCAGGAATGACCCACAGGGGCAAGGGGGTGACCTGAAGGGTAAAGGTTGTGAAGGGGGATATCTTCCAGTAATCACCCAAAGGGGTAGGGGGAGATAGGAAGAAAAGATAGTGAGGCAGGATGATATTTTCTAAGAATGGTCTTCAGAATGTGTGGGGTTAAGTAAACAGGAAAGGTGGATGGTGTAGGAAGATCGTATCTTCCAGGAATGAGCCACCGAGGTTGGGGTGAGACAGGTAGGTGGATGGTTTTGTAGAATGGTATTTTCCAGGAATGAGCCACAGGGCAGGGGGTAGATATAAAGGATGGATGGTATGGGGGAGATGGTATCTTCCAGGAATGAACTACAAAATTGAGGAAGGAGGGGAATGATGGATGAGCTAGGTGGATGGGATCTGCCAGGATGGCCCACAGAGCCAAAAGAAAGACAAGGCAGAGTGGATAATGTAGGGGAAATAGTATCTTCCAGGAATATCACACAGGCAATGCAGGGAGGCAGGAAAGGGTAGATGTTTTGGTGAGGGAGTGGTATCATCCCCAAATGACCCAGAGTGGTAGAGGGGAGATAGGATAGTTGAATGACAGGATAGTATCTTCCAGGAATGAGCCACGGTGACAGTGGTGGGGGTGGGAGACAGTAAGAGTGTATGTGGATGGTATCTTCCACGAATGACCCACAGAAGTCAGGGAAATAAGTTTAGGCAAATGGTATCTCCTAGGAATGTGCCAAAAGGGTAGTGGTGGGGGGAGATGGGAATGGTGGATATTGTGGAAGTGATATCATACAGGAATGAGCCAGAGGGGGTAGTGAGGAGTCAGGAATCATGAATGGTGTGGCAGGATATATTTTCAAGGAATGACCCACATGGGCTAAGGGGACACAGGGAATGTTGGCCTGACTGGGGACATGGTATCTTCCTGGAGTGACTCAAAGGGTTGGGGGAAGATAAGAAGGGTGGATGTTGTGGGGAATACATTCCAACAATGACACAGAAGGATGGGGCGAGACACAAAGTGGTTAAGGTGAGGCAGGATGGTATTTTCCAGGTATGACCCACAAGGTTGGGAGAGTAAGAAAGATGAGTGATGGTGGGGGGAAATGGTATCTTCCAGGATAACCCTCAGGGGTAAGGGTAAACAGGACAAGGTGGATAGTGTTGAAGGGGTTATATCTTTCAGGAATGTGACTAAGTCTCTGGGGGGAAACAGGGAAGGGTAGATGTTTTGTGAGGGAGTGATACCAAAATGACCCAGAGGAATAGTAGGGAAATAGGACAGTTGCATGGCATGTCAGGATGGTATCTTCCAGAAATGAGTCACACTGGTGGTGGCGGAAAGAGACAAGAAAGGTGGATGTTATCATTCAAGATGATATCATTCAAGAATTACCCAGAGGAATAGGGGAGAGACAGGAAGCCTGACTGGTGTGGCAGGGTATATTTTCTGGGAATGAGCCACAGGTGTGGGAGAAGACAGTCAGGGTAGATGGTTTGGTGGAATGAAATCTTCCAGGAATGACCCACAGGGTCATGGGGGAAAATTGAAGGGTAGACATTGTGGATGGAGATATCTTCCAGCAATGACCCAGAGGGATGGGGGAGACAGGAAATGATAATGGTGCAGCAGGATGGTATCCTCCAGGATTGAGCCACACTGGTGGGGTTGTGGGGGTCATGGTATCTTCCATGAATGACCCACTGGGGTCGAGGGAAGACTGGTAGGGTAGATGGTTTGGCGGAATGTTATTTTACAGGAATGACCCACAGGGCAGAAGGTAGATAGGAAGGATGGATACAGTAGAAGAGATGGTATGTTCCAGTAATGAGCTATAGAATTTGGGGAGGGGGGGAATGATGGATGAGGTAGGGAGATGGTATCTTCCAGGATGACCCACAGAGCCAAGGGGGAGACAAGGCAGACTGTATAATATAAGGGGTATAGTATCTTTCAGGAGTGTGAACCAAGCACTGCAAGGAGGCAGGGAAGGGTAGATGTTTTAGGAAGAAGGTGGTATCATCCCAAGATAACCAAGAGGATAACAGGAAAATAGAATGGTTAGATGGTGTGGCAGGATGGTATCTTCCAGAAATGAGCCAAATGACAGTGGTGGGGGTGGCAGAAGGTATGGGTGGATGGTATCTTCCAAGAATGATTCACAGAGGCAGGGGGTGGCAGAAGGTATGGGTGGATGGTATCTTCCAAGAATGATTCACAGAGGCAGGGGGAGACAGGGTACATTGGGTTTAGAGAGATGGTGTCTTCCAGGAATGAGACACCTGGGTAGTAGTGGGGGAGACAGGGTACATTGGGTTTAGAGAGATGGTGTCTTCCAGTAATGAGACACCTGGGTAGTAGTGGGGGAAAACAGGAAGGGTTGAAGTGTGGGGGGATGATATCATCCTGGAATGAGCCAGAGGATTAGTGTTGGGGGGGTTATATCAGGAATGTGACAAAGGCTCTGCGGGGAAACAGGGAAGCCTAGATGTTTTAGGGACGGTGTGGTATCACCCCGAAATGATCAGAGGGGTAGTGGGGAGATACAACGGTTGCATGGCGTGGCAGGATGGTATCTTCCAGGAATGAGTCACACTATGGGTGGTGGGGGAGACCATCAGGGGGATGTTGGCTGGCATGGTATCGTTGTGGAATGACCCAGAGGGACAGGGCAGAGAGAGAAAGCATGAATGGTGTGGCAGGATATATTTTCCAGGAATGAGTCACAGGGGCAGTAGGGAAACATGAAGAGTAGATGGTGAGGTGGGATGGTACCGCCCAGGAATGGTCCACAGGAGCTAGGGGATGCAGAGAACATTGGCTTGTTGGCAGGCATGGTTTTTCCTGTAGTGACCCAAAGGGTTGGGAGTGGTGGGGGAGATAACTTCCATCCACGACCCAGAGGAGAGGGAGTAGACAGGAAGTGTGGAAGATGACCACGATGGTATCTTCCAGGGATGACCCAAAGGGGCAGAGGGACACAGGGTGGATTGTGTTTTGAGAGATGGTGTCTTCTAGGAATGAGCCACCCTGGTGGTGCCTGGGGGGACACAGGAAGAGGTATGTGGAGATGGCATCTTCCTGGATGACCCAAAGGGGAAAGGGGGAGACAAGGCAAGGTGGAAGTGTTGGGGGAGGTGTGACAGTATCTTTCAGGAATGTGGTATAGTCACTGTGGGGAAACAGGGAAGGCTAGATGTGGTTATATCATCTCGAAATGACCCAGAGGGGTAGAGGGAAATAGGAAGGTTGCATGGTGTGGCAAGATGGTATCTTCCAGGAATGAGGCACACTGGCAGTAGTGGGGGTGGAGACAGGATGGAAGGTGGATGTGGATGGTATTTTCCTGGTGTGACCCGCAGGGGCAGTAGGTAACAGTGGATTGGGTTTAGAGAGATGGTGTCTTCCAGCAATCTGCCACAAGGGTGGTTAGAGGTCCGGGGGATACCGGAAGGGTGGATGGTGTAGCAGGATGGTATCTTCCAGGAATAAACCCTGGCAGGTGGGTGTTTTGGGGGAATTGTGTCTTCCAGGAATGGACCATAGGGGTAGATGGGAGACAGGTAGGGTATGACAGAATGATATTTTCCAGGCATGACCCACAGGGCAGGGGATAGAGAAGAAGGATGAATGTTGCATTGGAGATGGTATCTTCCAGGAATGAACTACGGAATTGGGGAAGCGGGGGAATGATGGATGACGTAGGGGAATGGGATCTTCCAGGATGGCTCAGAGATCCCAGAGGGAGTCAAGGCAGGGTAAATAATGTAAGAGGGGATAGTATCTTTCAGGAATATGACACAGGCACTATAGGGTAGACGTTTTGGGGAGGAGGCGGTATCATCCTGAAATGACCCGGAGGGGTAGTGGGGAAACAGGAAGGTTGGATTGTGTGGCAGGATGGTATCTTCCAGGAATGAACCACACTGGTGGTGCTTCGAGGGGGACACAGGACCGGGGATGTTATCTAACAAAATGACTGACAGGGAAGAGTAGATAGTTCTGTGTAGGGGTATAGTATCTTTCAGGAACGTGACACAGGCACTGCGGGGAGACAGGGAAGGGTAGATGTCTTAGGGAGTGGGTGGTATCATCCAGATATGACTCAGGAGTAGGGGGGAAATAGAAAGGTTGGATGGTGTGGCAATATGGTATCTTCCAGGAATGAACCACACAGGTGGTGACTGGGGGAGGCAGGAAAGGTGGGTGGTGTTAGGGGATGGTGTCTTCTAGGAATGACCTACAGGAGAAGGGGGAGACAGGGTGGATTGGCTTTGGAGAGGGCCACAGGTGCGGTGGCTGGGGAGACAAGAAGGGCAGATGGTGTGGAAGGATGGTATCTTCCAGAAACAACCCACAGGGATACAGGGAGACAGGGGTTTAGAGAGATGGTATCTTCCAGGAATGAGCCACATGGGAAGTGGTAGGGAGAGACAGGAAGGATGGACGTTGTGGGGGGTGGTATTCGGGAATGACATAGCTGGGAATGGGGGAAACAGGAAACAGGAATGCTGTAGCAAGATACATCTTCCAGGAATGAGCCACGAGGGCTTGAGGGGAGACATTATGATTGGATAGTGTTGGTACATGGTATATTCAAGGAATTAGCCATAGGTTTAGAGGGGAGACAGCAAGAGTAGATGGTGTAGAGAGGATGATATCTGCCTCTAATGGCCCACAGGTGCACGGGGGAGATAGGGGAGATTAGATAGTGTTGGGGGAATTATATCTTCCGGGAATGTGACACAGGCTCTGGAAGAGATGGTGAAGGTGGAATTTGGTTGTGGGGTGGGGGAGGGGGGAGGTAATGATATCCCCAAATCACCCATAGTATTAGGGTGGCAATAGGAAGATTGGATGGTGTAGGCAGATGGTATCTACTAGGAATGACTTTCAGAGTCAGTGGGGACATGTGAAGATAGAAAATGTGTTTGCAGAGATACTGTCTTCTAGGAATGAGACACACTTGCTGAGGGGAGGCAGGGAAGGGTGTATGTTTTGGGGGCAATGGTGCCATCCAGAAATGAACCAGAGGAGTAGGGGATAGACAGGAAGAGTCAATGGTATGTGGCAGGATGCTACCTTCCAGAAATGACCCACAGGTATGTGGGGAGATAGGAAAGGTTGGATGATGTGGGAAGAATGGTATCTTTCAAGAATGACTCAAAGTTCTCAGGGGAATGGGGAGACAGGGACGGGTAGATGATGTACAGTGATGGAATCTTCTAGGCATAGAGGACAGGGACAAGCTTTTGTGAAGGCCTTGAGGTGAGAAGGATATTGGCATGTTTGAGCAACTGAGTGGACAGTGTAGCTGGACCATAGTGATGACAAGAGCAAGTGGTATAAGGGGAGTTTGCAGGACTGGTCTAGAGGCTGATAGTGCAGGATCTATGGGCCACATTGAATATTTGTCCTTTCTCCACTGAAGATCGTTGAAAGGTTTTAAGCAGAGGGTTTTTTGAGTTTGGCACTTTTAAAAGCCCTCATTGGCTATAGTGTGGAGGATACAAGAGGAGATGCAAGATGACCAAGTAGGAGCCACCACTGCTATAGCCTGGACATATTGGTAGCCTGGACCAGGGCTGTGGCAATGAAGATGGAGAGGAGAAGATGGGTATTGAAAGAAGCTTATTGATGCTTAGAGAGAACCTGGATTAGCATACTTGGAGCTAACTCATAATTTCTTTTTTTTTTTTTAATTATACTTTAAGTGCTGGGGTACATGTGTACAACATGCAGGTTTGTTACATAGGTATCCATGTGCCATGTTGGTTTGCTACACCCATCAACTCGTCATTTACATTAGGCATTTCTCCTAATGCTATCCCTCCCTGAGCCCCCCATCCCCTGACAGGCCCTGGTGTGTGATGTTCCCCTCCCTGTGTCCATGTGTTCTCGTTGTTCAACTCTCACTTATGAGTGAGAACATGCGGTGTTTGGTTTTCTCTTATTGTGTTACTTTGCTGAGAATGATGGTTTCCAGTTTCATCCACGTCCCTGCAAAGGACATGAACTCATCCTTTTTTTATGGCTGCATAGTATTCCATGGTGTATATGTGCCACATTTTCTTCATCCAGTCTATTATTGATGGGCATTTGGGTTGGTTCCAAGACTTTGCTATTGTTAACAGTGCTGCAATAAACATATGTGTGCATGTGTCTTTATAGTAGAATGATTTATAATTCTTTGGGTATATACCCAGTAATGGGATTACTGTGTCAAATGGTATTTCTAGTTCCAGATCCTTGAGGAATCACCATACTGTCTTCCATAATGGTTGAACTAATTGACACTCCCACCAACATTGTAAAAGCGTTCCTATTTCTCCACATCCTCTCCAGCATCTGTTGTTTCCTGACTTTTTAATGGTTGCCATTCTAACTGTCATGAGATGGTATCTATTGTGGTTTTGATTTGCATTTCTCTAATGACCAGTGATGATGAACATTTTTTCATAAGTTTTTTGGCTGCATAAATGTCTTCTTTTGAGAAGTGTCTGTTCATATCCTTTGCCCATTTTTTGATAGGGTTGTTTCTTTCTTGTAAATTTGTTTAGGTTCGTTGTAGATTCTGGATATTAGCCCTTTGTCAGATGGGTAGATTACAAAAATTTTCTCCCATTCTGTAGGCTGCCTGTTAATTCTGATAATAATTTATTTTGCTGTGCCAAAGCTCTTTAGTTTAATTAGATCCCATTTGTCTGTTTTGGCTTTTGTTGCTATTGCTTTTGGTGTTTTAGTTATGAAGTCTTTGTCCATCCCTATGTCCTGAATGGTATTGCCTAGGTTTTCTTCTAGGGTTTTTATGGTTTTAAGTTATACGTTTAAATCTTTAATCCATCTCGAGTTAATTTTCGTATAAAGTGTAAGGAAGGGATCCAATTTCAGCTTTCTGCATATGGCTAGCCAGTTTTCCCAGCACTATTTATTAAATAGGGAATCCTTTCCCTGTTGCTTGTTTTTGTCAGTTTGTCAAAGATCAAATGGTTGTAGATGTGTGGTGTTATTTCTGAGGCCTCTGTTCTGTTCCATTGGTCTATATATATCTGTTTTGGTACCAGTACCATGCTGTTTTGGTTACTGTAACCTTGTAGTATAGTTTGAAGTCAGGTAACGTGATGCCTCCAGCTTTGTCCTTTTTGCTTAGGATTGTCTTGGCTATGCGGGCTCTTTTTTTGGTTCCATATGAAGTTTAAAGTAGTTTTTTCCAATTCTGTGAAGAAAGTCAGTGGTAGCTTGATGGGGATAGCACTGAATCTATAAATTACTTTGGGCAGTATGGCCATTTTCGTGATATTGATTCTTCCTATCCATGAGCATGGAATGTTCTTCCATTTGTTTGTGCCCTCTTTTATTGCGTTGAGAAGTGGTTTGTAGTTCTCCTTAAAGAGGTCCTTCACATCCCTTATAAATTGGATTCGTAGGTATGTTATTCTCTTTGTAGCAATTGTGAATAGGAGTTCACTCATGATTTGGCTCTCTGTCTGTTATTGGTGTATAGGAATGCTTGTGATTTTTGCACATTGATTTTGTATCCTGAGACTTTGCTGAAGTTGCTTATCAACTTAAGGAGATTTTGGGCTGAGACGATGGGGCTTTCTAAATATATAATCATGTCATCTGCAAACAGAGACAGTTTGACTTCCTCTCTTCCTAATTGAATACCTTTATTTCTTTCTCTTGTGTGATTGGCCTGGTCAGAACTTCCAATACTATGTTGAATAGGAGTGGTGAGAGAGGGCATCCTTGTGCCAGTTTTCAAAGGGAATGCTTCCAGTTTTTGCTCATTCAGTATGATATTGGCTGTGGGTTTGTCATAAATAGCTCTTATTATTTTGAGATACGTTCCATCAATACCTAGTTTATGGAGAGTTTTTAGCATGAAGGGCTGTTGAATTTTGTCCAAGGCCTTTTCTGCATCTATTGAGATAATCTTGTGGTTTTTGTCATTGGTTCTGTTTATGTGACGGATTACGTTTATTGATTTGTATATGTTGAACCAGCCTTGCATCCCAGGAAGGAAGCTGACTTGATCTTGGTGGATACGCTTTTTGATGTGCTGCTGGATTTGGTTTGCTAGTATTTTATTGAGGATTTTCGCATCAATGTTCATCAGGGATATTGGCCTGAAATTCTCTTTTTTTGTTGTGTCTCTGCCAGGTTTTGGTATCAGGATGATGCTGGCCTCATAAAATGAGTTAGGGAGGATCCCCTCTTTTTCTATTGATTGGAATAGTTTCAGAAGGAATGGTACCAGCTCCTCCTTGTACCTCTGGTAGAATTCAGCTGTGAATCCATCTGGTCCTAGATTTTTTTTGTTGGTAGGCTATTAATTACTGCCTCAATTTCAGAACCTGTTATTGGTCTATTCAGAGATTCAACTTCTTCCTGGTTTAGTCTTGGGAGGGTGTATGTGTCCAGGAATTTATCCATTTCTTCTAGATTTTCTAGTTTATTTGCATAGAGGTGTTTATAGTATTCTCTGTTGGTAGTTTGTATTTCTATGGGATTGGTGGTGATATCCCCTTTTTCTTTTTTTATTGTGTATATTTGATTCTTCTCTCTTTTCTTTATTAGTCTTGCTAGTGGTCTATTTTGTTGATCTTTTCAAAAAACCAGCTCCTGGATTCACTGATATTTTTGAAGGGTTTTTTGTGTCTCTGTCTCCTTCAGTTCTGCTCTGATCTTAGTTATTTCTTGTCTTCTGCTAGCTTTTGAATTTGTTTGCTCTTGCTTCTCTAGTTCTTTTAATTGTGATATTAGGGTGTCAGTTTTAGATCTTCCCTGCTTTCTCTTTTGGGCATTTAGTGCTATAAATTTTCTTCTACACACTGCTTTAAATGTGTCCCAGAGATTCTGGTACGTTGTGTCTTTGTTCTCATTCGTTTCAAAGAACATCTTTATTTCTGTCTTCATTTTGTTAATTACTCAGTAGTCATTCAAGAGCAGGTTGTTCAGTTTCCAAGTAGTTGTGCGGTTTTGAGTGAGTTTCTTCATCCTGAGTTCTAATTTGATTGCACTGTGGTCTGACAGACAGTTCGTTGTGATTTCTGTACTTTTACATTTGCTGAGGAGTGTTTTACTTCCAATTATGTGGTCATTTTAGAGTAAGTGTGATGTGGTACTGAGAAGAATGTATACTCTCTTGATTTGGGGTGGAGAGTTCTGTAGATGTCTGTTAGGTCCACTTGGTCCAGAGCTGAATTCAAGTCCTGAATATCCTTGTTAATTTTTGTCTTGTTGATCTAATGCTGACAGTGGGGTATTAAAGTCTCCCACCGTTATTGTGTGGGAGTCTAAGTCTCTTTGTAGGTCTCTAAGAACTTGCTTTACGAACCTGGATGTTCCTGTATTGGGTGCATATGTATTTAGGATAGTTAGCTCTTCTCGTTGCATTGATCCCTTTACAGTTATGTAATGCCCTTCTTTGTCTCTTTTGACCTTTGTTCGTTTAAAGTCTGTTTTATCAGAGACTAAGATTACAACCCCTGCTTTTTTTTTTTGCTTTCCATCTGGTTGGTAAATATTCCTCCATCCCTTTATTTTGAGCCTATGTGTGTCTTTGCATGTGAGATGGGTCTTCCAAATACAGCACACCGATGGGTCTTGACTCTTTAGCCAGTTTGCCAGTCTGTGTCTTTTAATTGGGGCATTTAGCCCATTTACATTTAAGGTTGATATTGTTATGTGTGAATTTGATCCTATCATTTTGATGCTAGCTGGTTATTTTTCCCGCTAGTTGATGCAGTTTCTTCATAGCATCAATGGTCTTTACAATTTGGCATGTTTTTGCAGTGGCTGGTACTGGTTGTCCTTTCCATGTTTAGTGCTTCCTTCAGGAGCTCTTGCAAGGCAGGCCTGGTGGTAACAAAATCTCTCAGCATTTGCTTGTCTGTAAAGGATTTTATTTCTCCTTCATTTATGAAACTTAGTTTGGCTGGATATGAAATTCTGGGTTGAAAATTCTTTTCTTTAAGAATGTTGAATATTGGCCCCCACTCTCTTCTGGCTTGTAGGGTTTCTGCTGAGAGATCTGCTGTTAGTCTGATGGGTCTTCCTTTGTGGGTAACTCGACCTTTCTGTCTGGCTGCCCTTAACATTTTTTTCCTTCATTTCAACCTTGGTGAATCTGACAATTATGTGTCTTGGGGTTGCTCTTTTCGAGGAATATCTTTGTGATGTTTTCTGTATTTCCTGAATTTGAATGTTGGCCTGCCTTGCTAGGTTAGGGAAATTCTCCTGGATAATATTCTGAAGAGTGTTTTCCAAGTTGGTTCCATTCTCCCTGTCAATTTCAGGTATACCAATCAAACATAGATTTGGTCTTTTCACATAGTCCCGTATTTCTTGGAGGCTTTGTTTGTTTCTTTTCACTCTTTTTTCTCTAATCTTGTCTTCTCGCTTTATTTCATTAAGTTGATCTTCAATTACTGATATCCTTTCCTCCACTTGATCGATTCGGCTGTTGAAACTTGTGTCTGCTTCACGAAGTTCTTGTGGTGCATTTTTCAGCTCCATCAGGTCATTTATGTTCTTCTCTACACTGGTTATTCTAGTTAGCAATTCGTCTAACCTTTTTTCAAGGTTCTTAGCTTCCTTGCATTGGGTTAGAACCTGCTCCTTTAGCTCGGAGTAGTTTGTTATTACCCACCTTCTGAAGCCTACTTCTGTCAATTCATCAAACTCATTCTCTGTTCAGTTTTGTTCCCGTGCTGGCGAGGAGTTGTGATCCTTTGGAAGAGAAGAGGCGTTCTGGTTTTTGGAATTTTTCAGCCTTTCTGCACTGGTTTCTCCCCACCTTTGTGGTTTTATCTACCTTTGGTCTTTGATGTTGGTGACCTATGGATGGGGTTTCTGTGTGGATGTCCTTTTTGTTGATGTTGATGCTATTCCTTTCTGCTTGTTAGTTTTCCTTCTAACAGGCCCCTCAGCTGCAAGTCTGTTGGAGTTTGCTGGAGGTCCACTCCAGATGCTGTTTGCTGGGGTATCACCAGCAGAGGCTACAGAACAGCAACTATTGCTGCCTGATCCTTCCTCTGGAAGCTTTGTCCCAGGGGGGCACCCACCAGATGCCAGCCAGAGCTCTCCTGTATGAGGTGTCTGTTGGCCCCTACTGGGAGGTGTCTCTCAGTCAGGCTACACGGGGGTCGGGGCCCACTTGAGGCAGTCTGTCCGTTATCAGAGCTCAAACACTGTGCTGGGAGAACCACTGCTCTCTTCAGAGCTGTCAGGCAGGGACATTTAAGTCTGCTGAAGCTGCACCCCCAGCTGCCCCTTCCCCCAGGTGCTCTGGCCCAAGGAGATGGGGGTTTTATCTATAAGTCCCTGACTGGGGCTGCTGCCTTTTGTTCAGAGATGCCCTGCCCACAGAGGTGGAATCTAGAGAGGCAGTAGGCCTTGCTGAGCTGTGGTGGGGTCCGCCCAGTTCGAACTTCCTGGTGGCTTTGTTTACACTGTGAGCATAAAACTGCCTACTCAAGCCTCAGCAATGGCAGATGCACCTCTCCACACCAAGCTCGAGCATTCCAGGTCGATATCAGGCTGCTGTGCTAGCAGCGAGGATTTCAAGCCAATGGATATTAGCTTGCTGGGCTCCATGGGTGTGGGACCCACTGAGCCAGGCACCGGAGGGAATCTCCTGATCTGCCAGTTGTGAAGACTGTGGGAAAAGCGCAGTATCTGCGCAAGAGTGTACCGTTCTTCCTGGGACAGTCTCTCACAGCTTCCCTTGGCTAGGAAAAGGAAATCCCCCAACCGCTTGCACTTCCCAGGTGAGGCGATGCCCTGCCCTGCTTCGGCTTGCCCTCCATGAGCTGCACCCACTGTCCAACCAGTCCCAATGAGATGAACCAGGTACCTCAGTTGGAAACACAGAAATCACCCACCTTCTGCGCGGATCTCACTGGGAGCTGCAGACCGGAGCTGTTTCTGTTTGGCTGTCTTGCTGGACCCTTGGCTCCTTTTCAACTCATAATTTCTTAAGCAGGAGAAAATGTTAGTTTCTCCAAGAGTTAAAGAATGCATTCCTTCAGAAATTGAATCCTTGAGAGTTTTTTTCAATTGCAACAGAAAAACTTTCTGAACACACTAAATCGTGTTGTAAAAACATGACATTCTCTGACTCCTGTACATATTGACACCTGACTTCCACTTTTGTTCTATGAACAGGACTGCTAGGCGGTTTGCTTATCTTTTTGTGAATATCAATGTGACCTCTGAGCCTCACGAAGTGTCTGCCCTGTGGTTCTTGTGGTATGTGAAGCAGTGCGGGGGCACCACTCGGATATTCTCTGTCACCAATGGTGGCCAGGTATGGTGTGTATGTGTCTGTTCTGAAACAAGAGCTTCATCTGTGATTTTGCTTTCTCCCAGGGCAGTGTCTTTAATAGTTGCTTCAGGATTTTGAAACATGAATAATTAGCAGCATGAAATGATCTCAAAAGATTTTCTGAAAAAAAAATTTCTCATTTCCTTTTGTCACTCCTGAAAAGGAGTTCACAGATAAAGAATGTTTCATTTTGAATTAATTAGGTTTTGAGAATTAAGTTCCTTCCTTTTGGTAGCAGGTAAAATTAGGCTGTTTATGTAGGAGAAGCTAAATTCCTAAAATAATTTCCAAAAAATTCTAGAAATTGTACAATTATTGTACTTAAAATCATCTCTGTTCTAGACACAAGGTTTCTGTCCCATCTGTTTATCAGAGTGATTCTTTTATGTTAACTGCTACAGAAGGGAAGTGACTGTTCTTCCTTCTAATTCACGCAAGTGATTATGGCCACTCTTGCAATAGTAAATTCTGCCTTTTGGATTCTTAGTTTTTGCTACCCACTTGAATTTGCCCAGTTTCCATATCATTTCCTTTATTAATAAGTGAATTCATTTCGTTCATTGGCTGGACACATGGCGAAGCCAGAATCCTAATTCCCCAGACTCTGAGATTCTCTGCTTCAACCCTTTCTGTTATCCAAAGAGAATGGGTATCTCTGTTCTATAAATGTTGTGCTTGGATGGTATGAGGTTTAATTAGTAGCAGTTTACTTCTAACTTAGGTTCTCTGAGTTCCTGAATTCTGAGTGCACAGTACAAGGTATAGAGTCTTTCTCTGCCAAGTGAATTATTCTTCTCCTGAGGAGATCACCGGAAATCCCCAAGTTCTTGTGACACCAAGACTCATTGCCCATTTGACCCTTAGCCTTGACAAATGCAGGACAGTTGCATTTTTTAAATGTCTTTACCTACAGGCAGAGATGACAGATTACTCCTTTTAGCCAGTATTTTACTTTCTGAGGTATTTTGATTTACATTTGATATTTGTTTCCTTCATTCAGAGGAGCCAGGATACTTCTAGCCAAATTCTACATGACCTTTTGGAAAATATGGTTCAGATGATTAATCTCAAACCATGGTCACAATATTTTTATAAAGAACTTAGGCTTATCCTGTAATTTAATTCAACAAATACTAGACCTGGAGGGGTGGACAGTGAACAAGACAGAAACAGTTCGTGGTCTTTCCACCACACTAAAACTCAAAGTACCTCTTAGAAAACAGACCAGATTATAAGTTAAATGGTCTGGGTTTCTTGAGGAAAGACAAATCATGAATTTAGGTCTGAACCACTCTGGGAATTTTTTTTCCTTTTTTTAATTTAATTTTTGAGACAGAGTCTTGCTTTGTTGCCTAGCCTGGTCTCCAACTCCTGGGCTCAAGCAGTCCTTCCGCCTCAGCCTCTCAAAGTGCTAAGATCACAGGCATGAGCCACCATGCCTAGCCAGGAATATTTTTTATAAAGAACTTTGGTGTTGTTATTAAAACAGTAGCCAGTTACAAAAGTGCAAAAATCACTGCGTGGCTGCTTATGCAGTTTTCTGGAGGAGTATGATTGAGGAATCTGTTAGGAATCTTCTGGCTGGGCGCGGTGGCTCACACCTGTAATCCCAGCACTTTTGGAGGCCAAGGAGGGTGGATCACCTGAGGACAGGAGTTTGAGACCAGCCTGGCTAACATGATGAAACCCCATTTCTGCTAAAAATACAAAAATTAGCCAGGTGTCATGGCACGCACCTGTAATCCCAGCTACTCGGGAGGCCAAGGCAAGAGAATCACTTGAACCCAGGAGGCGGAAGTTACAGTGAGCCAAGATTGCGCCATTGCATGCCAGCTTGGGCAATAAGAGTGAAACTCCGTCTCAAAAAAAAAAAAAAAAAAAGAATCTTCTATAATAGGCTAAAAATATCCTTCTGGTTCTTACCAAAAGCATTGTGTTAAGGACTTACCTTCTTAGATTAAGCTGGAAACATTTCCATGGTGATCGTAGCAGAAGGCAGAGGGTAGAGCACTTCTGGTCTTATAAGGGCCGCTCAAGAGAACTATTTAACAATATCTAAAGGAGCAAGCAGATGCTTAGCCTTCACCCTCTGCCTCTGCCTTGAAGCTTCCAGATAGTTTTGCAAAAAGTTACTCAAGATCTGATATTCCGAATCTTTTTTTTTTTTTTTTTTTTTTGAGACGGAGTCTAGCTCTGTTGCCCACGCTGGAGTGCAGTGGTGCAATCTCGGCTCACTGCAACCTCCGCCTCCTGGGTTCAAGTGGTTCTCCTGCCTCAGCCTCCCGAATAGCTGGGATTACAGGCACGTGCCACCACGCCTGGCTAATTTTTGTAATTTTAGTACAGCCACAGCACCCGGCCCTTCTTCCCATTCTTAGAACATCATTTGGTGGTGACTAGTAGGACTAGTAGGACGTGACTATCCCTAAAAGCACCCTGTAACTTTGTCTATAATATGGCTCTATCTGCATCCTTACCTGCCTGGACAACCTCAGCCCAGAACACAGGAATCAAAGGAAATTAGAAACTTCATCCTCTGGAATAAGCCCTGTGCCTGCCCCTTCTCAGGGCTCCCTCCACACCCTGCACTCTTTGACATTTGAAGCCCACAGACTTGCTGATATTCCCCTTGGTCAGGGCAGCATTGGCATAGTGGAACATTTCTTCGGGTTCTGTGATTTTTATAAACTTGTAATGGCTTTTCTTTGCCAGAAGCTGTGCAGGGAATGATCATTGAATTGTCTTGGTCAACTCTGCCTCTGTCCTAATGAAGTCTTCTGACAGTTAAGTGTGCAGACGTTAGAGGTGTGGCCTGTGACTTTCTGGAGGTTTTCTAATCAGTAGCCAGTAGGATTTTCCTTCCTTGGGCTTTCATAATGTTTCCTTTCTTACCTACCTCCTCCTGTAGGAACGGAAGTTTGTAGGTGGATCTGGTCAAGTGAGCGAACGGATAATGGACCTCCTCGGAGACCAAGTGAAGCTGAACCATCCTGTCACTCACGTTGACCAGTCAAGTGACAACATCATCATAGAGACGCTGAACCATGAACATTATGAGGTAACTCAGTTTAGTCAAAAGGAGCATATAGTAAATAGGCCTTGTGTCTTTTGCAGTTTCTAACCAGATATAATTCAAGCAGTAGCATAATTAATGCTGACATGTTTCCGCCTCAGTCTTCCAAATTACCAGCCTTGGTTGACCTACCTTGATCTGTTTTGTTGCCTCACAGTTGCCTCATTTTCTCATTTTGTATGTTTTTACTGCTCAATGTTGTTTAGAAGTGATAAAGATGATTTTTCACGCCTGCCACAAAGACTGCAGCTCACATTTGAGGTAATATTTTGCTTGTGTGTGTTTTAGTGCAAATACGTAATTAATGCGATCCCTCCGACCTTGACTGCCAAGATTCACTTCAGACCAGAGCTTCCAGCAGAGAGAAACCAGTTAATTCAGCGGCTTCCAATGGGAGCTGTCATTAAGTGCATGATGTATTACAAGGAGGCCTTCTGGAAGAAGAAGGGTAGGCTGCTATTATTCATGTTTAAACTGTATTATATGAAGAAATCACAGTCTTTTAGGATTATTGAACAGAAGGTATTGAACAGAAACAAAGTATTTTCAAACTGGTAGAAAAAGGATTAGAAATCTTGGTCTGTCAATTTCCTCATATCCTTGGCCACACATAATGACCCCAAGAGCACTTGTTGGCAATGGGAGGGAAGAAGGAGATCACATCAGTCATAAGGCCACCATTGCCCTGACTCCTGGCATCTGTCCTGCTTCTTACTTTTTATGAGCAGAGTGAGGTCAACAGGCACCATGGAAAGAGCACTGCGTTGAAGTTACACATTCCGGGACTTCGCTTGCTTGCTAGCATCAGTCTGTAGCTGTAAAGTGGTGACAGTAATACCTACCACTACGGTGTTGTGAGAATTAAATGAGGCAGGATCTTGGACTTAGAAAGCTGCCCAGATATGGTGGCTACTGTTGATAAGCATTCTGGTTATACTCATCGGATTCCCTCCTCCCACCTCTTCCCTGGATTGGGTCATTCCCTCCAATGCAGCCCTTCTCTTTCCTCATGTATGCTAGGAGCCAGGGTTATCTTACCATTTTTGTCATGCATTGGCTGGTCATAAGCCCTTTATGTAAAGGTGATGGAGATGGGTCATTTTCTGTCTGTGGGTGAATAGACATCCTTATATATTCAGTGTGTGTATTTAACAAGACATGTAGGGTTGGGGCCAAGACCAAGAGTTTAAGTTTTTACTTCCTCTTAAAAAATAGTTTATATATATTTATGTGTGTATGGGTGTCTCTGATGAGCTTGATCTCGATCTCCCATTGATTTTTCTCCTGGTTAAGATTACTGTGGCTGCATGATCATTGAAGATGAAGATGCTCCAATTTCAATAACCTTGGATGACACCAAGCCAGATGGGTCACTGCCTGCCATCATGGGGTAGGTTAGAGCAGGGTGTTCTGCATTTTCCAAATTGTGTTGATGTATTGGTGTGGATGCTGTCAAAGTATATTACTTTGGAATTAAGTTCAAGCAATGATGAATAATGCTATCAAAATATATAATGTTTCCATGTGTTAAAATATTGCAGTAATGTTTCGTATGTAGCACAAGAATACTGGGAAACTTTACTAAAATTGACACCATTTTGAACTTGTACCCATGTATGTCTTTCTCTCATACAAAGCTTACGTGTTGAGGATGGAGTGAAAAAAAGCAGCTAGACAGGCAGTATGGTAGCCACCCCTGCCTACAGGCAGAATGTCCACAGCCATTCTGAAATGAGAACTAACCGCTTTATTCTATAAAAACATTCTAAATGTGGGGTTTCTCGGTTTTATCCTTTTCTCCATTCCAGATATCTGCTACATAGCAAATGTTAGTTGTTACCCTGAGATATAAGACAGCTGACCAATTAGGAGGCCCAGTTCAGAATTGAGCCAGGCCTTGATTGGATGGCATGGCAGTTTTTCTGGTGGGTCACTCTAGTTATCCTTCACCAGTGGTGCTTCACTTAACCTCTAAAGTGTGCGGATGACCCAGGGCCTGGTTCTGTGTAGGGAAAATGAGAGCTTTTCCCCTCTCTTCTCATTCCGGCACATAGCTGTCCTACTCGTTGGGGGCTGGGGAGTCCAGAGAAGGAAGTGGTGTCCCCACAAATGAATTGCTAAGGAGTTCCACAGCCTCCCTCTTGCCTGCCTTTTGGCCTCCTCAAAAACTATACAAATAAAAGGCGATTTATTCTACCACACTGTAACAAAAGAACATAGCTTCAGTAGCAATCAAGTGACTTTTAGAGACCAGTGGTCTCCCCTTTACCCCTAGGAAATGCATAGCTCTTGCTCAGAGGGAAAGGTGAACTCATGCACATCATGTCATTGAAGGAAAATTACAAAGGCAAAAGGAGCAGACCCACATCCCAGGGAAGTTAGAAAGCAGGTTGTGCTGCTGGTTACTAATGAGACATTTTATAACCACTTCTCTCATTGTAACATATAAGAACACCAGCCTCCCTGAGAAAGGCAGGTGCTTACAACATAATGACTGTTGGAATAACACATCCTCTTCATCTCTAACCCTATTGGGCAGAAGAGGATATAGGTTGTTTGGGTAGTTTGACATCATCTTCTATATGCCAGAGAAAAGCAGGAGGTTCAGGTACAGGTTTCAGGAGAATGTCGGTTAAGACAAATCCAACTATGAATGGAAGAGCAATTGATATTTTTCTTGCCCTGGGAGTTAGATATAGTGATGTCTTCTGCTGTTTTTGGGCTTTCTTTTTTTTTTTTTTTTTTTGGAAGTGGAACTCAATATTTTAATGATTTTACTTAAGATAAATAGTATAAAAGGAAAATGTTAAACGGTTGTGTTCTGTGGACAGTGGGGCTAAAACAAATATAAAATAATAATAATTGGTTATAGAGGACCAAGTACAGAAGATGAGAGTTTCCTTGGAAACTGGGGAATACCAAAATAATCTGTTTCTTAACTTGGCGATGTAGTCTTAAAAATTAAAGCTACCATTTATTGAGCATTGGTTGTGGGTGCAAGTTTTTATGTGTACAATGCTTTTGGGCTTTCTTCAGCTTTATTATTAACTAGGTTAGGGCTCAAATAACCTTCCAGGTGTTAATGGAGTTATTTAGGCAATTCTTAGAAAGTGATATTCTAATCTCTTTCATCTTGACACTTGCCTCCACCCTGCTCTTTGCTGATGGCCACAGCCACGAAAACCTTGAAGATAGGGGTGGTAATTGCCCAGCACTGTGTTTGTAATAAACTTTTGGAAACTAGAAAGGACCTTGTACTTTAGAACTGTGAAATGTTTCCAACACAAAGCCAGCATGTTTAATTTCCTCAATAAAACACCAAAGTAAGTTAAAGCTTATTTATCCATAGTTGGGATTAGATCAAAGAGATTATTTCATTCATGACTTGAGATTTGACAGAAATAACCAACACTAACTGCCCTTTGGGAAGGGAACTGTAAAAAGTATACAAGACAAGTTGACTAAAAATGTTTTCAGATAAATCATTTAATCTTTTATCAGATATTGATGATTAAAAAAAACTATATACATCTAAACTTACTGATTCTTGCATAAACCCAGAATCTAACTAAAATAATTAATAACAAGCTATAACTTGAGGTGTTAAATCATGCAAAATTATGACTATATCCCATAAAGTTCAATAGTTCAGATTTCCTAAATAGTCCACAGCTTTCTCTGAAATACTATTCTCTACATTAACATACATCTTTGCTTCTCAAAGTGATCTCAAATAACAGCCCTAAAGGAACTGCCAATCCAATTTGAGGAACACTTTAATTTGTGGGTAGGGAGAGGAGGAAATATCTGTTTTTTGCACTGATCTACCTGTCCTTTTGGTCTTGAATAAAAGAAATACAAATTTAAAAATTTTTTAATGGAAAAATAATTTCATTGTCCTTTAGCTCATTTGGATTTTTGAAAGCTTTCTAATAATAGTATAACTAAGGACTTCATGTCACAATTCAATTCTTTTAAATATACATGCAGTTAGTAATATCAGTATAATAAATAGAATATATTTGATTAAAGGGGAGCAGGCAGGTTATAACTGAGTTTTATTGAGTTACTTTATTTGGGGACTATATTAGGTCAGTTTCCAGGGAAGCTGACTCAGAGCTGGAGATCTGGGTGCTGGAACTTTATTGGGAAGTGCTCTGGGGATGACTACCTATGGCAGAAGGATTATGCGGAACTTGAGCTCCAATGTTGTCCCAACAAAGGCCTCTGCCATTCCCTTGGAAGTTCTGGAGCTGGGTGGCCCTTCAGAGTTGTCTTCAACCGCATCTAGGTCAGAACAACTCTAGGGAGGGGTGGGACCTTGAGCGAGGCATTCTCTGCTGCCCCGTCCAATTACTGGGGAAGGTTTCAGCTGTGAGGTAAGAGTAACGAGTGCCTGGTCCCAAAGGGAGCCTGGGGGGCCCACCGTGGCCTCCACTACAGACACATGTTTATATTTGTTTTTCCAGCTTTGATAAAGTATTTGGCAGAAGGCAACAGTCATTACCAGAATAATCATTTAGCACAACATTCATTCATTCAACATTTGATTTCCTACTATATGCCAAAAACCATGTTAAACTTTAGAAGTAAAATATTGAATAGGAGGTCACCTGTCGTGTAGGGGATCACAGCCTAGCAGGGGTTTTGGACACACAGGCAGACCAAAGACAATATGGCATTTGCCCTACTAGAGGAGGAGGGTCTGAGAGAGTTCATTTCATGCTGAATAGCTACAGGTTAAGAATACTTCAGAAAGAAAGGGCAGCTCTTAAAATAAACAGCTGTAACCTGATCATTCAATGTAACCTCTCTCTCCAGCTTCATTCTTGCCCGGAAAGCTGATCGACTTGCTAAGCTACATAAGGAAATAAGGTAAGAATTTATAACTGAAAAATAGATGAAAAAGTTAGCTTTGTATTTTGTTTTTGCACTGACAGTAGTAGAATAACATGAGGAAAAACACAGTACTTCACAAATATTCTCAAAATTCCAACAAACCAACCTTTTGTATTTTGCTACAGCCCTCTTGACCTAGCCCTTGCCCGTGTGCATATATTAATTTTACATGTTCGTGTTTATTTTACAGTAGTTAAGAGGTAGGATTTCCCTGAGAGATGGATGGATAAAAATCATAGAAAATATTAGCTGTGAAAAATGCTGTAGAAACCGAATCCCAATCCTCTTTCAAGGCCATAATCTTTTTCTAAGATTCTCTGACATGGACTTTCTAAAAAGTATATTTTAACCTGTAGCAACTTTTGTACATGAAAATATTCACTACTGCTTATCTGGGACACAGTTCTGATGTTCCCTTATCTGAAAGCTTCCTAGTATAAAATTTATTTTAGGACAGTGGTTTTTTTTTTTTTCTTTCTTTCTCCCTTTCTCTTCCTGTCATGGTATATTTGTTTTGTTTTGTTTTGGAATCCTTTGTTCAATTAAAGTCTTACCTGAAGAGGTAAGCCTTTTAACATCAGAGTTATTTGGCTGTTGGAGGGTTGCCTCTGGGTAGCCCTAAATCCTCTGCTAGCTTTTAAAGAGGTCCAATACATACACAAAAATATAGACTTTTCTCTGAATGTAATTTAAAAAATTAAACAGCTAACCCATTAGCAGCCGTTGCTTTGGGAGTTACTCTGATGACTTTAGAAGTGGGGGAAAGGCTGCAGAATGAGTTCCTACATGTGCACACGGATTTGTTTATTTGAATCTCATGGTTTGCAGGTAAGCTTTACATGGAAGAAACTCCCAGTTTCAATTAGCAGGTTCTTCTCTGTTCACTGTAAGTGGTAAATGGTTGAATCTCAACAATCATGGGATTCAAACAACCATGAGATTGTGGAATCTCATGGTTGTTAAAAATAAACTCTACTCACTCAATGGAGGAGGGATTTGGGGTCCAGTGATGGGGAATGATTTGTTCAAGCCTCCATAGCTAGTGTCTTAGTGCATTTGTGATACTGTAACAAAGTGCCTGAAACTGGGTAATTTATGAAGAATAGAAATTTATTTCTCACAGTTCTAGAGGCTGGGAAGTCCAAGATTATGATGCCAACAGATTCAATTCAGTGTTTGGTGAGAACCTGTTCCGTAGGTAGCACTTTCTCATGGTGCCCTCACATGGCAGAAAAGGCAGAAGGAGGAAGGACAAAAAGTGATGAAGGTGGTATCCTCACTTGGAGGAAGGCAGAAGGGCAGAAAGGGCCTAGCTAGTTCCCTCCAGCCCATTTATAAGGGCACTAATCTATTCATGAGAGCAGAATCTTCCTGATTTCATCATTTCCGCAGAGACCCCACCTCAAAATACCATCACCTTGGAGGTTAAGTTCCAACATTTAAATTTTGGAGGGACACATACATTCAAATCATCGCAGCTAGCTTGTGACAAAAAGTCTGGAGTAGCATATAGCGCATACTTTTTCATTACACCACACTAAGCTGACATTTTCTTTTGGATTTCCTGCTTTCCCTCCTTATTAATAGTAAAATAAATACCAGCCTGTAGGTAGACATTTGGTTATGATTCCACACAGTGGCTGAACTTCTCAAAAGTTCTTGTAAGGCAAAACCCTTACTAAATATGTCATTGACAAAAACAGTGGTTCCCAGATCTGACTGCATCAAAATATCCCAAAAGATGTTTGGAAAATATGTTTTTATAAGACCTATAGATTGTGATTGAGTAGGTTTGAGGTGGGGCCTGTGTATTTGTATTTTTCAACAAGCTTTTCAGGTGATTATGATAAGCAACCAGATTTAGAAACCAGTGAATAAGTTCAACGAGATGATTTGCACAGTGGCCTCTTTTATTCATCACTTAGGTTCTGTTATTTTTAGAGCCAAATTAATCAATCAGTGCATTGTTTTAACATCCTTGCCTTACATATCTTTTCCAAAAATTTTTAATTTTAAAGGGAAGAAGGGAAAGGGAAAGATAATTTCCTATGTTTGTGTGAACACATCCTTGGCTCTTCTAATAATATGAAATACAGTAAATAATGACTTGTAACTATTATAATTGTTTTTAACATTCATGAATGAAAACTAACTACAATGTGGGTTGATTGGATTTCAGGTTTCACTCTGCTTTAATAAAAATTTTATTACACATCCAGAAAGTAAGTTAAGCAGGCCTGGCGCATTGGCTCACACCTGTAATCCCAACACTTTGGGAGGCTGAGGCAGGCAGACTGCTTGAGTGCAGAGGTTGAAGACCAGCTTGGGCAACATAGAGAAACCGTCTCCACAAAAAAATAAAAAAATTAGCCAGGCCTGGTGACATGTATCTGTAGTCCCAGCAACTTGGGAGGCTGAGGCGAGAGGATCACCTGAGTCCAGGGAGGTTAAGGCTGCAGTGAGCCATAATCGTGCCACTGCATTCCAGCTTGGGTGACAGAGTGAGACCCTATCTCAGAAATAATAATAACAGTAATAAGTTAAGTACTGTTGAGCTTTTTTAGAATAATCATTGCCGATACTTTCATTTTCTAATTAACTTGAAATGTCTGAATTATTGCTTGTAACACCCTTGTGAAGTAGGTGTTAGAATCAGTCATCTCTTCATAGACTAGGCAAAGAGTAGGCTGAGGATGGGTTTTGACTGAACAAATATTTATTGAGTACCTACTATGGGCAGATTACTCAGAAGGGTAATAGCCTTACCCTGCTATTAATTAGCTGAGCAAAATCAAACAGATCTCTGCAGCTCCCTGAGCCTCGGTTTCCTCATCTCTGAAATGAGGGGCTTGAATCAGGCTGAGAGAGACAGACAGACAGACAGTAGTCTTGAGACTTCTTCCCATTCTTCTTTTCCTTTATGACTTTTTATGTATAATGTGAGCAGCTCTTTGAAGGAAGCCAAACTTCCTCTGACTATCCTGAAATTTAACTATCCACCTAAATATCCATCTAATGTTGCATGACATCATCTCAGGAGTGGCATTTGTCTCTCCCTTAAACCTTCCATGGAAAATGGTAACAATAAGCAAAGTTTATAATCTGCCTCCTCCTCCTGATTTTATACATATGAGGTGAATGTTCTGGAAGTTATAAAAATGGTTTAAGTGTGAGGATTTAGATAAATTTATAAGGTTACACTTTGTCCCATGTTATTCAGAGAAATTGGGGGCATGTCTTTAAAATATTTTCTAATGTAATTGGCAACATAAAATTGTATATTTCTAAATCTCTATTTCTTTATTACCAGTAAGCTTGAGCTCCCCCCGCCCTGCATAATTTTGTCTCTTCAGCTTTTAATACTTGTCTTACAGATTTGACTCAAACCTTTTGCCACATTTTTAAGCAAATATTTTTCCAGTTGCTTGTTATCCCTTAACAAATATTTTAGAGCATTTTCAAATGTTTAAACTATATTAAAACTATAAAAGGTAAATAGGAAAAGTATATAACTGGATCAGTGTGAACCTATGCAAACAAATCCAGAAATAAAACCATTAATTTCTAAAACAGGTGATTTTAGTAAATTAGACTTTTAAAAAAATTCACCATGAGTAGTTGTGAGTTTAAAATGTATTTCGTTTCAAAAAGAGTTTATATAAGTACAACCACTAACTTTTTCAGACATGAAAATACCATGTTCTGGGCTAGTCATTTAGATAATGAATTATGAGAATAACCAAAGGCTGTGTTTGAGGTAACATTAGCATATTTTGCCCATCCCTCAGATACACTTTGAAATACTGTGGTCCACAGACCATTCTATCAAGTGACAAATTCCTAGACTGAAATGACTGTAGATACTTTCTGTATAGCATATCTTATGTTATGCTTAAAAGATGAAATGAGCTTTATATGTTTGTAGGTAATTAAAACACAAGTATAGGATAGTTAAAAGACACCATCACTTATACTATAGACTTATAAAAGGGATCATTTTAGAACTCTACGTATTCCAGAAAAGTTATATAGAATCAGTTCCTAAGACTGGCTAAACTTAATTGAATTCATTTTTCCCATTTTTATCTCGAGAAGATATCATATTAGGTAGTGAAAGAGGCAAAAATGTAAAAAAAGAAAAGAATAATTCCATTGAATCCTCAAATTAAATGACTACTGAGGCATTGAAAGTTAATTTGAGTGCGGGGATTCATGGAAATGTTCATTTGTGCAGTTACAGAAGGCCATGGATTTTAATTTATCTGTAATAAATCTGGTTGATACCAAGAGCTCTAGAACTCACTGTATTTATTCTATACCCATCAGTTACTCCTTCCCTAACTTTATTTTTTTTTTTTTTTGGCTCTGTTTTATAGGAAGAAGAAAATCTGTGAGCTCTATGCCAAAGTGCTGGGATCCCAAGAAGCTTTACATGTAAGAAACTCCCAGCTTTAATCCCTAGCAGGTTCTTCTCTGTTCACTATAAGTAGTAAAGCAAAGCATATTCTGATTTTTTGACAGTCTTATGAAGAGAGTATAAAGCGATATGCTTAACTTGGAGGATAAACTTCAGCAGTCACAAAAGGTCATTAAAAGCTGGTATTAGGCGCATGGAATTTCTGACACAGCAACTTCTTTGGGCTGTTTAAATGTTCACTAGATAACTGGCAGCCAATTGTAATGAGAGCCTAGAGCTGCAGGGATTATGTCAAGAATGGGTGAGTTGGGTTCCTAGAACAGAAGTCCTGCCCCCAGTCAGTGTCACTTACCTGCTGCACAATTAAATTCCAGATATGTTATCATTTGTTGGTGAAGGCAAAGTAGTATGTACTTGACAAGATAGACTGAATCTAGAGTCTCTTCCCAGGTCAAAGTCATACTAATTTGTTTTTCCATGTGTGAACTCAATTCACAACTCATTTAGGAATATCAGTGCTTTCAATCCACCACTGAAAGCAATTAGGAGAATGAAATTACGTCTTTTTGAAAAAAAAAATAGAATGGCTGAGCGCTCTTTCAGGGGCTTGTCTCTAAACTGTTCAAATAATAAACTTTCTGAATGTGCCAGGGAAATTAGAGAAGGTTCTCTCATGTCCCCTAGGAAATAGTTTTCATCTTAATTGCCGCTTTTTCGTGGAATTCCCATCATACATGTTTCCAGCTTAGAAAAGTGGCTGGGAAAAAAGCCTTTCTTAGACATTTGTTTGTCTTCTGCCTCCTCCCTCCCACCCTTTCCTTAGCAATAATGCCTGATAGATGGGGAAGTAAAGTCTGTTATTAGGGACTCCAGAGATTTGAGCAGACCTTTCCACAAGCTGAATTGTTGATGGGGTTTCCTATAGACTTAGCTCTAAAGACTTCAGAATCTGCATGGATGGATGGATACCCCTCTCTCCCAGATACTGGAATACTTCATGTCTTCCCTAATCAAGAAAATGGGAAGAGCAAAGTATACATGTTTTGCCACATGGTACTTCACAAAAGGCCATTGCTTGGTACTATCATGTTTCCCCTTAAGTGAGTTAGAAAAACAGGATTTTCTTTATTTTCTTAATGTAAACTTTTTGTTAAAGCAACGATATTATTGACTCGCAGCATTTCAGCTTTGTTTTCTCTTTTGTATTTTCTTCCCCACTGAACTGCAGCCAGTGCATTATGAAGAGAAGAACTGGTGTGAGGAGCAGTACTCTGGGGGCTGCTACACGGCCTACTTCCCTCCTGGGATCATGACTCAATATGGAAGGTATTACGCAAGCACTACGCCAATTAATCCAAGACCTGTGCCAAATTTAAAAGGAAAAGCAGAGTTCAATGCAAATTCTAGAAATAGTTGTCAAAATCCCCATTTCTTATGTCCTAGATAATACTTGTATATTTCTGGATGTCCATAGAAAAATAAGGATGTCATTACATAGAACAATAGCTGTCAGCATACAGAACAATAGCAGAACAGTGGGGAGGATTTCAGATGTGAACAGTGCTTGTGAGAATGAAGCAAGCTACAGTGTCCTCCAAGGGGACTTCGTGAGCTCAACTTGACATTTAGTCTCACATGACTGCCTTAGGCTCCTTGGCACCAGTCAACACAGAAGGACATTGGATGTGTTTATCCAACACTTCTGTCTTGCCAACAGAGCAGCATCAGCAGACAGTCCTCTTCAGGGGAAGAGTCCTCACTGTATACAGTTGAGATGTGAGGAAATGACATCCACGTGGGGTGGGTCCACCTTGACCTAGAAGCCCCTTGCTCCATGGGAGCCATTATCTCTATGCTTCATAGGCATAGTGTCCGGTACCTTGCTCAGTTATAAGACTTGCTCAGTTACAAGAGACACCACACTCAGGGAAGCCCAAAGTGATAGCCTCCTACCAGGTATTTACAATTCATTTAGAGTCCTCCCAGCCTGGATGCAGTTCACTAATGTGGGGATGGGAGGGGAGGCACTTTTAGCATAAATGGTGTTGCCTCCATAGATGGCATTACACCTTCATCTGGTTTCCAGAGAAACAGAGCTAGAAAGTTAATACAAGGTCACATTTGTCCACTGAAAAGGAGGAAGTATTTATTAACCTTTTCGTTACAGGAGTTTTTAGTCTGTTTTTTTTTCTTCTTAATTGAGTCAGATCGCCTTTGTTAACAATAGCAGGATTGATGAACTGGATTAGTTCTGGTATCAAAGTAGAAGTCTAGAAGACAAGACTAAGATGAGGAATAGATGAAACCCAGGGTTCTGGAATTGGAAAAAGGAGTGCCAACGGGTTGAGATGAAGGCCATCAGGGTGGGGGGCAGGACATGCAGCTTGGGAGAGTTCATGAAACTAGCTGTGGACATGGCAGGAGTCAAAGCCAAAAAGTTGGAGGGGACAGCTGTCCATTCAGTCCAGCCCTTCTTTGTAAGAGGAGACCCATTTCCTTGCTCTCAGCCAGTCCCCAGAGAAGTTCAGAGAAGCTAACTGTACAGAGGTTGTTTTCTTAAAGAGACACACCCATATAATGTCTCAGGTCTCTCCTTTGCCAGAAATGATAGTTGACGTCCCTGTCTTCCCACCTGCCACTGCAGTTCCTCCTGACACACTGGGAGTGCCTGCAAAGCTGGATCTGTGGCTGTTTTCAAGAAGAGTGCACCTTCCCCCGAGAAAGACAGGACAGGGAGAAGAATGGACTGCCAACAGGAAACAGCAAAGAAATCTGATTTGGGGATTGAATACATGTTCTTATATTCCAGCTCTGGCTGGCTTGGAAAAGATCAACATCCCCTTTAATGATTGATGATCTGATGGCCTGATTCTCCCTGACTTGAAAGTTCAGATCCTCTATGCAGATCCAGAAAGCAAAAAGTGGCCTTTCACCTTGGGCTAAGTCATACGGGTGTTTTTTAAACAGTCTGAATTTCTGTGCCTTCTGCAGACTAAATGAGGGCAGTGATTGGCTCATTTACCCTGCCCACCTTCCCAAGTAACTCTGTGTAACCTCTTGGTTCCCTTGAAGGGTGATTCGTCAACCCGTGGGCAGGATTTTCTTTGCGGGCACAGAGACTGCCACAAAGTGGAGCGGCTACATGGAAGGGGCAGTTGAGGCTGGAGAACGAGCAGCTAGGGAGGTAAGCAGGAAAGCCCAGGCTCTCTCCCTCCCGAGTCACGGCAACGTTTTTGGCATCTGGTCTTGCTAGTTCTTGACACTGATAGAATCTGTATGTCCATTTCTCTGCCCCTCACTCATGGGGCTCATCTGTGGCTAGCAGGGCCTTGAATCTGTAGAAACTATACAGCCTCTTTTCATAATACCATGGTGACTTTCTTTCAGGTCTTAAATGGTCTCGGGAAGGTGACCGAGAAAGATATCTGGGTACAAGAACCTGAATCAAAGGTAAGTTTGGTGACTCTGGGCACTATCTCTCCTTAGACCAATCATGGAACATAAAACTCACATCTCCCTTCTTCTAGCCTCCGATTTAATTATAGATGCAACTATCCCAGGGGTCTCCATGCATGGATCTTGCAGTGTTTTGTTCCTCCTTGTCAGCATGAGTTTTTTGCTCATGATCTGTGTTCCTTCATCTAGGACGTTCCAGCGGTAGAAATCACCCACACCTTCTGGGAAAGGAACCTGCCCTCTGTTTCTGGCCTGCTGAAGATCATTGGATTTTCCACATCAGTAACTGCCCTGGGGTTTGTGCTGTACAAATACAAGCTCCTGCCACGGTCTTGAAGTTCTGTTCTTATGCTCTCTGCTCACTGGTTTTCAATACCACCAAGAGGAAAATATTGACAAGTTTAAAGGCTGTGTCATTGGGCCATGTTTAAGTGTACTGGATTTAACTACCTTTGGCTTAATTCCAATCATTGTTAAAGTAAAAACAATTCAAAGAATCACCTAATTAATTTCAGTAAGATCAAGCTCCATCTTATTTGTCAGTGTAGATCAACTCATGTTAATTGATAGAATAAAGCCTTGTGATCACTTTCTGAAATTCACAAAGTTAAACGTGATGTGCTCATCAGAAACAATTTCTGTGTCCTGTTTTTATTCCCTTCAATGCAAAATACATGATGATTTCAGAAACAAAGCATTTGACTTTCTGTCTGTGGAGGTGGAGTAGGTGAAGGCCCAGCCTGTAACTGTCCTTTTTCTTCCCTTAGGCAATGGTGAACTGTCATTACAGAGCCTAGAGGCTCACAGCCTCCTGGAGGAAGCAGCCTCCACTTTGGATCAGGAAATAGTAAAGGAAAGCAGTGTTGGGGGTAGCGGCATGCAGACCCTCAGACCAGAATGGGGACATCTTGTGGTCTGCTGCCTCAGGAATCTCCTGACCACTTGTAGTCCCTCCGACTTCTCTAGACATCTAGTCTCAGTGCTAGCTTATTTGTATTTTTCCTCTTTCACTTCTTATGGAGGAGAGTGTTTAACTGAGTTAGAATGTTGAAACTGACTTGCTGTGACTTATGTGCAGCTTTCCAGTTGAGCAGAGGAAAATAGTGGCAGGACTGTCCCCCAGGAGGACTCCCTGCTTAGCTCTGTGGGAGACCAACTACGACTGGCATCTTCTCTTCCCCCTGGAAGGCAGCTAGACACCAATGGATCCTTGTCAGTTGTAACATTCTATTTCAACTTCAGGAAAGCAGCAGTTTTCTTTTAATTTTTCCTATGACCATAAAATTAGACATACCTCTCAACTTACATATGTCTTCAACATGGTTACCTCTGCATAAATATTAGCAAAGCATGCCAATTTCTCTTAAGTACTGAAATACATATGATAAATTTGACTGTTATTTGTTGAGACTATCAAACAGAAAAGAAATTAGGGCTCTAATTTCCTTAAAGCAAGCTCACTTGCTTTAGTTGTTAAGTTTTATAAAAGACATGAAATTGAGTCATTTTATATATGAAAACTAAGTTCTCTATCTTAGGAGTAATGTCGGCCCACAAGGGTGCCCACCTCTTGTTTTCCCCTTTTAAAAACTCAGATTTTTAAAAGCCCTTTCCAAAGGTTTCAACTGTAAAATACTTCTTTTTACAATGTATCAACATATTTTTATTTAAGGGGAATTAACAATTGCCAGGGAAACCAGCCAACCCAAGTTTATTATATCATTAACCTTATCATAAATTCAAACCTAAGTTGCTGGACCCTGGTGTGAGGACATAAATCTTCCAAAGTTTTGCCTATCCTAAGAGCTGCATTTTTCTACTGCTCTTTACCTTGCATTTTAGCTAATTTAGGAGTTTTGAGAATGTATTGGATACGCTCCAGTACATAAGGAGTTGCCGCATATTATATCAGACTGCTTTGAGAAATCTCATCCCTAGTCTATTGCAGTTGTTTCTATTAGCTTACTGATTAACTCAGTCCTGACACACCTTTTGGGAAATGCTGATTTAAACTTCTTAACTGGCAACAGTTGGAACAGTAATCAGTTTGCTAACATATTTAAAGTCTTGAATGTTGAAGAACTCATGTGATTTACCCTTTTCAACTTTTTGGAAAACGATTTAATTTATTCTAATTAGATTAACCCTATTAATCTATGGATTGGGTATCAAAATGAATGCCAGTCCAGATGTGCCTAGACACGAAATTGGAGCTGAGGACTCTCACGATATGCAAGTTCATCCAACGTGAAGATACCATAAGCTTTTTCTCTGAACCAGAGAAATGAAAGTCAGTTTAAGAGGCTGATAGATCTTGGCCCTGTTAAGGCATCCACTTCACAGTTCTGAAGGCTGAGTCAGCCCCACTCCACAGTTAGGCCAAGAATTAGATTTTAAAACTTCATCTGTCTGTCCCAGTTAACTGTTAAATAAGGCCTCATCCTCCACTGAAGAGTATGGATTGAAGGATTGTGAACTATGTTTAGTGTGATTGTGAACTTGGTGCCTAATGTTCCATGTCTGAAGTTTGCCCCAGTGCTACACGTTGGAGTATACCTATGTGTGTGCTTTGCCACTGAAGTAAGATTTTGCCTGTATGGTACTGTTTTGTTTGTTAATAAAGTGCACTGCCACCCCCAATGCAGACTCGACTCCTGTATTTAGTTGATGGCTCTATGCAGAAAGTTCAATGGCTTCTTATAGCAGGAGGTCACAATGAGGCATTGTCCATGGAGGATAGGCTTAGGAAATTGTTTAATACCGACTGCAAATTCTCAAAGTTGAGTTTGACTCTCATGTGTTATTGAGGTTTTCTGGGAACTGATTAAACACTGAAATACTGTAGCCTGCCTAACTGGGCCACAGATGTGGATTCTGGTCCAAGTTTTCTCACCTAGTAGCTTATGATAACTTGAGCAAGTCACTTTGGTTCTCTCGGTCTCCACATCTGGAAAAGGTTGGGTTGCATTAGATGACTTCTGAGCATTCTTTTCACGGCAGCATAATGTGATCTATGCATTTTGTTGCCAGCACTGTAACTGTTTTTGCCTATTGGTATGCCAGGGGCAAAAAAATCAGTCTTTCTGTACCCTGGTTTACTCCTTGTCCTAGATTGGGTTCCCTGGAAACAGACTCTAAGATACAGAGTCAGGGCAAAAAGTTTATTGAAGACAATCCTCAGGAAATACACCTAAGAGGGTGAGGAAGGTAGGATTGGGCAGGAGAGTCGACCTACAATGCAGTTGCAACTACAGGTTCTAATGAGGAGCTAGGAAGACCCTTCAGAAGTATCCCTCATTGAGACAAGGAGGTCTGGACTCTGTGACCCTTCATCAGCCTCCCCCTGAGAGAGGGTGTTACCTTGAGTAAGGCAGGTTCAAGGACAATTTCTAGTGAGGAACTGTAGCTGGGATCTTCGACCAGCCTGTATTCCCTGCAGATCCAGGGTGGAGCACTGCATTATCTACTTTATTCTCATAGAAAGTTGCCTTGTCATGTAAAAGACATTGTGGACTTGAGCTTTGGCTTTATAGATAGAATGGAGCTCTCGCTGTGAACCTATCCCTGTTAGGTAAGGGAACTTCCTTTAGAGGGTTGTATTTCTGCACTATTCTTTACATGGAAGAAAAAAAAATCAGAATTGGAAGGAACCCTGGAAATAATTCAATCTCTGTCTCAATGAATGAGCCCCATCTACAGAAAACTAACAGAAAGATCAAAGGGAAAAATAAGCATTTCTAAAGAGGAGTCCTAAATTCAATGTCTTCAGGAGTTGGGCAGCTAAAAACGAACAGCAGCAGACATAAGACATTTGGGAATACTGAGGACTGGCTGACCTAGGAAGTATGTGCCCTTCTAAAGAGCATTTATATTCAAATTCCTTGAAAAGATTGCTGATCAATTAAAACACATTTGGGGTGGGTGCAGTGGCTCACACCTCTAATCCCAGCACTTTGGGAGGCCGAGGCAGGTGGATTATTTGAGGTAAGGAGTTCAAGACCAGCCTGACCAACATGGTGAAATCCTGTCTCTACTAAAAATACAAAAATTAGCCCAGCGTGGTGGTGCATGCCTGTAATCCCAACTACTTGGGAGGCTGAGACAGGAGAATCACTTGAACCTGGGAGGCAGAGGTTGCAGTGAGCCGAGATCGCGCCATTGCACTCCAGCCTGGATGACAAGAGCAAAACTCTGTCTCAAAAAATAAAAGGCCGGGCACGGTGGCTCACGCCTGTAATCCCAGCACTTTGGGAGGCCAAGGCGGGCGGATCACGAGGTCAAGAGATCGAGACCATCCTGGCCAACATGGTGAAACCCCGTCTCTACTAAAAATACAAAAATTAGCTGGGCGTGGTGGCAAGTGCCTGTAGTCCCAGCTATTCAGGAAGCTGAGGCAGGAGAATCGCTTGAACTAGGGAGGCGGAGGTTGCAGTGAGCCAAGATCGTGCCACTGCACTCCAGCCCTGGTGACGGAGTGAGACTCTGTCTCAAAAAAAATAAAAAAATAAAAATAAATAAAATAAATAAAAATAAAATAAAATAAAAAATAAAACACATTTGAAGGCTTGGTTCACATGTCCAAGTTGTCTTCAAGTCCTTGATAAAGAAGTGCAAGGTTTGGTTTTGCATCACTTAAATGATGTATTTTCCATCACTTACAAGTTCTTTTTGGATGTCTGATTTTCTGAGAAATAAGCACAAAGATCAGCAACCACTTTGTAAAACTACCTGGAGTGAGTAGGAGAGGCCTGGGTTGGAATGGCAAAAAAGAAAAACAAAGACAGAAAAAAGTCTTCTTAGACCAGAAATCTCCCTTAAGAAATTACCCTTCCCCAGCCCAGCATACCGTGGCAGTGTTTATCTCCTGCTATGTGAATGTCACGATTGACGAGAGCAGTGTCAGACTTTATTGGAAAAACCACATATTTGCAGTGAGATAGAAATCACCGCTCTTCTATTAACATTTATTCTGTGCTATGATATAATTTCAGCAAACAGGACATCAACATTGAGTGTATTAATTTTTTCAAACTATACTCCTTGCTTTACACTGAGGTGGTGGTAAATGTGCAAGGCATGCCCCTTAGCCTAAGGAAGCTGACTGAGACATTAGAGGAAGAGGATGAAAACAAAGGAAGGTACTAGGTAATAGTAACAGTTCTCTTTCCTCTATCAGAGCCCAGGGCTTGGCTCTCTTCCTTGATCAAGGCCATTCTTTTCAGAGTTTGAAGGCAAAAGCAGGTCTCAAAGTGACAGTAGATGTGAACTGGTTGTCTCAGCCTGGAGCCAAGTTTCTGAAAAGCAGCTTTGGAAGCCTCATGTGAAAAAGCTGGCTTGAGGAAACTTGCCATTCATTCAAGGTGGGCTGTGGGCCCTTCAAGTAAGACCTCCCCTTAATGCACGTGTGATCCATCAAAGGCTACTATTTATTTACACTCCAAACAGTAACACCTCAATGGGAACCAGGTTTTCCTATTAATGGGCCTCATATATTTTCCACAAACCACCGAGGTCTATGGGTGAAATAGAGTGGAGGAAAGAGGTGTGGGTGTGTGCTGGGGGATGGGGAGGTAGGGACAGGGAAAGAGACGAAGATTGGCGGGGGTGGGGTGCTTAAAGGTCCACAGAGTAGTGCAGTAATGAGAATCTTGATGGATTGATATAGGGCACCCCTGCACCTTGTGTCATTTACTTTTTACATGCCCCTAGATAAGTACTGTGGCTTGAAGTACCTGTCTTACAGAATTGATGGGAAAACAGAGATAATGCAGGTAACGGCTTAATGCAGCAAGCACTCAGTAGGCATCAGCTCTTCTCCATCAACCTTTTAGAATAGCAGAAAGGAAGCACTGCTTAAGTTTTGCGAGCAGTTATTACCTTGAATTTCTTACAATCATTCAACACCTACTTATTGAGCACCTACTATGTGGTAGGTAGGCACCATGCTGTGATTCAGCAGTGTACAAGACACAGCCCACCTCATGGAGCACACAGTTGATTGTAGATACTGTGGAACACATTAATTGTGGCTCTGGTCAGTGCTATTACAGAAAAGCATGAGGTGCTAGGAATGCAGGGGAAGCACGATTTAAGAGGAAGTTACCAGAATCCTCAGGCCTCCATAAGCATCACTGTGTGGCAAGAGACTAAGGACACCACATAGTGAGACAGGAAGTAAAAAATAGAAATGGCATGACTAAATGGTAAAGAAAACCACATCTGCAACTAATAAGTGCTGACTGTTAAGTCCTATTTGTCCCATTGACCGTAGTTCACCCCATCAGTCTTTTACTGTTCCCCTGTCTGCCCAGCCCTTCTCTGCACTTGGAGCTCTTTAACGACTGTGATTGACTATCTTCCAGCACCTGTGCTAGGGGGCGGCCCCAATTTGTTTTAAAAGAGTGCCATCTTCTGGCCAATTAGTGTTGTTTCCTTCTAGTGGAAATCCTAAAGTATTCAAGACAGCCTCGCTCTTGGGGAAACTAAGAAGCGTCACCTCCACCCAGAATTTCCTCCAACACATTTGCCTGCACTCTCTTACTTTGTTTTCAGTTGTGACATGGATCAATATTGATATCTAATATTTGCAGCCTTTCCTCTGCCCTAATCTCTCAGGAAGGTTTTTTGTTAGAACTTCTTGGTTTTTCAGCCTCTGTTGTGTGCATCTGGGTAATGGGTGAAAAGAACATCGATGGGAGATGAGACAGGTGGAATTGCTTTCACCTTAGAAAGGGCAGGGAAGTAATCTGGGGAAAGCAGGAGAAGGGAGCTGGGGAGAGGAGAAAGTTTCAGAAAGGCAACTTGGGGCTGTGGAGGAGTGCAGCTGGACAGAAGAAGGGGTTTTCTCTTTCGATTTTATTTTAAGTTCTGGGATACATGTGCAGAACATGAAGGTTTGTTGCATAGATATACATGTGCCATGGTGGTTTGCTGCACCTATCAACCCGTCATCTAGGTCTTAAGCCCTGCATGCATTAGGTATTTGTCCTAATGCTCTCCGTCCTCTTGCCCCCTCAGGCCCTGGTGTGTGATGTTCCTCTCCCTGTGTCCATGTGTTCTCATTGTTCAACTCCCACTTATGAGTGAGAACATGCAGTGTTTGGTTTTCTGTTCCTGCGTTAGTTTGCTGAGAATGATGGGAGAAGAAGGGGCTTTCAAAAGCTGTTTTGACAACCTAAGGAGATGGAAGGAAAGAAGGAAAGAAGGAAGGAAGGAAGCTTCCTAAGTTTGGCTAGGAGTTTTGTGGTATAGTAAATATTTACATTACTTTTAAGATTTGGGCGTCAAAATTGTGTTTCTTTTAGGCACTGTATAGTGCTTGGACCACCTTAGAGGTCCTCAGAGCACCCTAGATTATTTGGGGCTGTACAAATTCAGAAAACATACACCTAATAGTGGCTGGCATCTGGAATGGTACATAAGTGTCCCGTGGGTTCACTATATGGGATTTCAGTGGAACTAAACCTTGGCAACTCTGTCTTCAGCAAGATCAACATCTAAGCTGGTAAACTGTGTACCCCATGCCAGACATACACTAAATATGTAATACATCTGGCAGTGAATTAGGTTTACATTAAGAAAATGAGCAAAGGAGGTCTGTTTGCCTGGTGTCGTGTATTCATCTGGCTACTATAGACTATTCTATCACATCAACTAGCAAACATGGAAGATGCAGGTATGAGGTCCCTAGATGAGTCCAATGAGGCAGCTGGTATTAGATGGGCCTTATATTTAGACTGTGTAGAGCTGGCTGGAGGATACATCTGAAAGGTAAGTCCACTGAGAGATGGGGCCAGTTCAGACAGGCCAAAGGGAGTGAGGGTAAGTCAGCTTCTCCCTCAAGCAGCCTGACCACCTTTGCTATATCAGCCATTTTAATTTTGTTGGCTGTATTAATGTCCTATTGCCCCTGTAGCAAAATGGCACAAGCTTAGTAGCTTAAAACAACACAAGCTTATTATTTTACAGTTCTGGAAGTCAAAAGTTCAAAATGAGTCTTACAGGGCTAAAATCAAGGTGTTAGCAGGAATGGTTCCTTCTGGAAGCTCCAAGGGAGAACTCATTCCTTGCCTCTTTCTGTTTCCAAAGGCTGCTAGCATTCCTTGGCTTGTGGCTGCATCACTCCAATCTCTTGTTTCCATGGATGCACCATCTCCTCCTCACTTTGAGCCTCCTGCCTCCCTCTTAAGAGAACCTTTGTGAGTACATTGGGCCCATGAGGATTATCTCCCTATTTTATAATCCTTAATCACATCTGCAAAGTCCCTTTGCCATGTAAGGTAACATATTCATTTGCCCCAGAGTTAGGACGTGAACATCTTCAGCCAGGCTATTGTCTAGCCTACCATATGGGCCTCAATATTTTTGAAAACCAAGAGTTAAATGCCACAATTGGTCTGTCCTTAAATCCCTGCTGTTCCAGGCACCTGAATTTGGAGCAGCAAGTAGAACTTTTAATGATTTAAAACCACATGGCTCTGCCCTGCTTCCACCAATGCCTACCCTCTTCCCTATCACACACACACCCCAATATAGCTTCTATCCAGCTTTGTCTTCTACAAAGCCTGAAAAGGCTTGCATCTGGGATCCTGAGAAGCAAATGTATTTGTCTTACATAAGCACGAAACTAGATTCCAAGTTTGTACCTTTAATAAACGACAGAAGAGAAATTTCTATTCTTTAACCCCAATAACTGAATTTCTTTCAGACTCTGCACACAACTGAATACTGGACTTTCACATGAACCTGCTCAGGCATCCCTTTAGATGGCCAAGCCCCAAAGCAAGAGTATCCTACCAGGCACTTGCCAACCATTGACTTCCCAAAAGATCATCAGAAAACATGTCAATCAAGAAAAGCTAAGTTTATCAGACACATTGCATAAGGAAGAACATCGCATTGACAGTCTTACTAGTGTCTCAAAGTGGAAAAATTGGGGGAGGGTTCACAGGGTTTTCAATTTGGGGGTTGTTTTTAAGGCAGATCTTGCAAGGCAAAAAACTGGTTGGAATTGGAAAAGTTTATGATAGAGTAGTTGTGGATTGGTAGGCAAAGTAAAGTGGTGTCTTAAAGCAAGTCTTGATGAGCAAGCTGTTAGTCTTGATAAATAATCTATTTGTGTTACTTCAAAGCTTTGTATTCCAGGAGCAAGTATTTCCTGGGACAAGTAGCCAAGTTATTTTGACTGGTTCAGTATTGTTTAGCTTAGGGACAGGAAAGTCTGTTGGTTTCAGCTTCCTACCTTTAACACACAACTAGGAATACTTATTATTTCTAAAGGCACGTTCTGATTTCTTAGCCCTAAGAACTGTCTTTAGAAACAGATACTTTGTTAAGTCACCCTGTTTTGTAGGAAAGCGTAAATGTTAAAAGCTCAGGTTTCTGGAGCTGGCTAGGCCTGGGTTTGAATCTTGGTATTGAACATGCATTTTCTTATCTGTTAAATGGAGCTAGCTGTTCAGTTGTTCTGAGCATTCAATAGGATCACATAAGTGAAGTTGTTACAGTACTAACAATAAATGATAGCTTTAAAGAAATAAAGGATCTCTTTGTGGTCTACTATGATTCCTACTTCAAAAATACATCTCAAATTACTTTTCTCCACTAGTAACTCCTCTCTGATTAGTCATCTCTTGCTAAAATGCCCTGGTTTCCCTTTTACTACACCACCCGAGCAGCCCAAGTAGATCTTTTAAAACTGCAAATCTGATCCTGTCAGTCCAGACTCAAGCCCTTTCAATAGCTGCTCAATGAACTTTGGATATGACGCACTGTGGCTCCCAAGGCCTTGCATGCTCTTTTTTCTGCCTGTTTCCCTACCCTCGTCTCTGGTCACTCCACTCTCCCTCAGAACCTTCCAGCCATCTCGTTCTCATAAATCCTCAGATATATCCAGTTCTTTTCTGTCTTGGTTCCCTCTCCATGGAAGGTTATTTTCTCCATTCTTCAGTTGGCTAAATCCTTTAGGTTATTTCCCAAGGGATGAAATAGCACTTCCTCAGAGATGCATTTCCTGAGAAACCCCCCGGACAATTAATTCTCCATTATAATCTCTTATCACTGCTTTAAAAAAATTATTTTCCATAAGTGATTCGGGTACAGGTGGTATTTGGTTACATGAGTAAGTTCTTTAGTGGAGACTTGTGAGATCCTGATGCACCCATCACTCGAGCAGTATACACTGCACACTATTTGTTGTCTTTTATCCCTCGCCTCCCTCCCGCTCTTCCCCGCCAAGTCCCCAAAGTCCATTGTATCATTCTTATGCCTTTGTGTCCTCATAGCTTAGCTCTCACATATCAGGGAGAACATATGATGTTTGGTTTTCCATTCCTGAGTTACTTCACAAAAGAAGATATACAAATGGCCAACAAACATATGAAAGAATGCTCTTATCACTGCTTTTGTTTTCCCTCCATAAAGATTCACAATTACATATTTTTTGAAATGCTTGTTTAATGTCTCCCCAAATGACAGACCCCACCACGAATGGGTTGTATCTATGTAGAGATCTGGAGGCCATCAGTTCTCCAGTCAGAGGAATAGGAACTTGGGTGGCCACAGCCCCTAAGCTACTAGCTTCCATGCATTCAGTAACTGTATCCATTTACCCAGTGTGCCAAAACAAATGCAATCATTTTTTTTCTGTGTAATGTGATGTGAAAAAGGTTGGCAAGCACTGCCTTATGCCACTATTTTTGGTATAGATAGAGAGATAAGCAAGTAGCCATCAAGGATCCAGGTTTTACTACGAAACATCACTTGCATGAGAAAAAGTAAAACCCACTGTCATTTCCCAGGACCACAATTTCATATGGTGCCCAGTATCATAATGGTAATGACATACCTTCAAACATATCCAACTACAAATTCAAGTTTTCTGCTCTTTAATTATTTCACTTCCATTGTAACATGCCCTCAAAAGAATGAATTTAAATGAGCCAATTAGTAACCGAAGGTCAGTCTGGAAGAAATAATTGACAGAACCAGTCCTCAGATCTCACCAGGGCTCTTGGATTTAAACTGGAATCCAAGAGAGAAGCATTTATTCATTATTTATTTCATCCGATCATTTATGACAAGCCTGGCCTCTCAGGGAAGCTGGATATCTGGCTGAAATGCAAAATTAACAAATTAAAATTAACAAGCACAGAAAACAAAAACAAAAAAAATCCAGTCTCTCTCCAGCTTACTCCAAGGGCTAGGACTGACACCGGGTGTACCCAGGAAGGGTGCTCTTGGCTTCTCAGAGTTGGGCTAACCTTCTCCCCACCCCCACACATGAATCCATGGTAAAAATTTCCAGTTAGGTAAAGACAGAAGACAGTATTGGGATAATGTAAGCGTCGTTTGGCATCAGGTGGGTGCTTTTGAGCACTCAGCAGATCACATCCTTCACGGATCGGCATTGAGGGAAATGAGGGTTCTGCACAGCAGTCCCTCTGAGACAGGGAGAAGGGGCCCATGTATGGCACAATGCCCTCTCCTGGGACAGGGACAGACTCAGTATGGTGGGGTGGCCAGGGTGAGCAAAGGGAAACGACAGCCTTAGTGGTCAGGAAACAGTTAGCGGAGAAGATGGGCTTGCCGCACAAGGACTTAGCCATCCTCAGTCTGGGTTTCAGGCAAACAGGTCCAGGGTGTCTTTGTGGGGATGGGTTGGCAGAGGATAATAGCAGGAAATCTAGGAAACACACACTTTTAGGCTCAGACAGGAGAGCCCTACACATAAGGAGCAGAGGATAAGGAATTGCTAATGGCTACTGGGCATGGAGCCTTGGTCCTGTACCCTGAGGCAGACCCATCTCTGTGAGAGGATGGGATCTGAGATCTAGTCCGAGGCCTGTGGTCTGCACTGGGCACCTTAACTACCCTGTTTTCATCACAGATCCCTTTGGGGCAGGGATATGGCTGGCACCCAGGTGCTGCTGATGTCTTGCTCCCTGGTTGAATATGACTTTTTGCACGCCTGCTGAATACTGGGCCCTTGAATCCACCTGGATTAGCCTCTGCAGAACCTTGATTGAATAATCTGCCAGCAACACTGGGACCCTGCTGCTCTTCCCTGCCCGCCTATCTGGGTCACCCTACTAAGCTGTGCATATGGCGTTTTTGGCACTGCCAGCCTGGATGGGTTGGGGTGGAGAAAGAGCCTCACTGGACCCGGGTGACTCTCCTCTCCTTGGCTTCTCAAAGAAGGAAATCCTGGAGCTGAGTGGCTAAAGACAAAATGTAGAAATTCTCCAGGCTGACAACAGGGTAGGACACCTAAGGCAGAGGAAGTAGCACTTCCCGCAGGTACAAGCCCCAGGGAAAGGTTCTTGGGCCATAGTCTGCTGGGTGGACCAAAGGCCTATAGAAATTATCAGAGCCTTCCCCGCTTTCATATCTTTATTCTAGATTTTTCACCCATCCACTTTTTCATAGAGCCCTTTCAAATAGGGAACCCAACCTTCTGAGGTCAAGCTATGAAAAGCGTCATTTTAGCATGCCTGCTGACCCCTGGGAAGCACTGGACATATTTGGAGTCCTCTTCTTACCATCAGCAGGATCTTGAAAAAGGAGGCAGTCACCCACTGAAAGCACTCCAGAGGAAATCAAGGAGAAACATGAGGAAGAGCTGACATTAAGGAGGCCGGCAGAAAGAAGAGTTCAGAGGGTGATGGGGAAGGAAGAATCATTGAGTCCCCCAACATCCTGAAGTCACCTTGTGCTAGTGTTGCCCAGAATTTCATCTTTGGAGTAGACTTTTTCCCTGAGTTGACCACAACTTGATAAAGCTTATTTACACTAAAGTGAGACGTGCCAGGAATCCATTTGGTGGGCCAAAGGTGCATTTTGATAGACCCCAGTCTAAGAGGATTTCTGATGTAACATTTCAGACAGTGCGATAAAATGAAACAAAAACATTTTCAGGCCTTGGTCAATGGGTCTTTGCTGGAGTCCCTCAGATTCCCTACCTAGACAGCAGTCGGCCTTCCCTGTGCCCACCTGCTTGTCCACATTCTCCTCATCCACTTACTGCTCACACACCATCTCCTTTTGTTTTGTTTTGTTAACTTAGTGTTTAAATGTGTTGCTGGATGTTGTCTCAAATTCTCTGGGAAGTAGCAGACAATAAGCAAATACATAAATACAGCAGCAGATTGTTTAACCAGGTGTCCAAACACCAGAAATATAAAACACAAATGTTTTTAAAAGATTTTAAAACAACTATTACTCACTTTTTTACATCAGCTTGCTATAATCACTGAAAAGCTGCAATAATGGAGATTATAATGAATGATTACAGTGAAATCACTGTAATCTGAGTACATAATTTGTCATAGCTCTTAGATATATATTTCTTTTGGGGATCACTGCTGTTTGTAATTGAGTAAATAGATATTGAACATTTCACATTTAATGGTTGGGTGTCTCGGGGCTCATCTTCAAATATTGCTCTGTTTACACTCAATCCCACAGCTCCCCAAATTATATCACCAGCCCCAACCTCTCCCTGGAACTCTAATGTACATAGTCAAAAGCCTACTCAACCCCTCCATTCGGATCTTCATGGATCTCCACGGATCTGTATCTTTATTACTCTAGACCAAGCCACCAGAGTCTCTGGCCTGGACAACTAACTTTCCAGGCCTCCTAGATAGTCTACTGCTTTCAGTCTTACCACACAGAAGCCTGCTTTCCACATCACTAAGTGTCTCACAGGGTGGAATTTCCAGGAAGCAGACTCTGTGATGGAGATTTGCATGCAAGAAGCTTATTGGAATGTGCCCTTGGGATCAATACCTGCGAAGGAGTGAGGGAAGCAAATTGGGCAGAGGATGAAGCAGAACTCTGAAGCAATTGCAATAAAGGTTTTAGGTGATTCCACGGGGAGGTCTGGAACTAAAATAGTTCTTTGTACCCACTCATTGGATTTCGACTACTCCTAGGAAGGGGCATGCTTTGGGACAGGGGGTTTCCTTCAGCCCGCAGAAAGGGACACAGCTATGAGCTGTCAGCCTCCCAACTTCGAGCAGCTGCGTGAATGAGTGCATCATTTCCAAAGGAAGATTTGAGTAGCACACTACAGTATCCACGACAGACTAATTCTTGTAAAAATTTACCAGACTGTCTACTACCTTACTAGAAACACTCCAGTGAATCGTCTTCACACTTAGAATAAAAGCCAAACCCTTTCCTGTGGCCTAAGACTTCCTACATGATCTGGCCCCTGTCTATCTCTCCAACCTCATTTTCTAGCATTAATTTGTTGTTACTGTTGCTCCTGCCATACTGGCTGTTTTGCTATTCCTTTAATACTCCAATCATGCTCTCACCTCTGGGACTTGCAATTGCTATTTCCCCTGCAAGTAGCATCATGGCTTTTTTTTTACTTCATTTAGGTCTCAGTTTAGTAAAAGTCACTTTCTCGGTAAGACCTAACCTGACCACTCAATCTGCTATAGCCATCCCCTGCCACCACATCACTCTTTATCCCCTTTCCTTGCTTACTTTTTCTTGATGATGGTTTTCATCACCTGAAAGTATAGGTTACAACAATTTTTTATTTATTATTTATTTATTTATTTATCATCTCCCCATTAGAATTTAAGTTCCATGAGGGAAGGGAGTTTCTCAGTTTTGTTCACAACTATATTCCCAACACCTACAAAAATACCTGAAATAGAAAGTGTATTCAATATATATTTGTTGAGTTATTGTTGAATGGTTATCATTCTTTAATCCTTATAATGGAACAGGCAAAATATCGTATCCAGAAGATATTGGGGCCATATTGAGTGGTAGAAGCAAATAAAAATATTTTTGGAAAGAAAATACCTAAGTTTTGGAGATAGCAATAATTTAGAAAGATCAGGTGCTAGGTATTCTGGATAAGTAATCTTATAAGGCTGACCCAGGGAGTAGAGACAGTGAAGAGAACACTCACAGGTTTAGAGCAACTCTCATCTGGGTTTGAAGCCCATCTATACCTCTTACTGGTTATGGGAACTTTGCCTTGTCTCTGAGACTCAGACTCCTTATGTGTAAAATGGAAGTGATGGGAGTGGAATCAGGATAAAATAAGATGATGTACAGCATCTTGTAATTAATATTTAATAAAAGTAGCTGTTGTTATAATAATATAATTAATAATAAGCATTATTGCTATCCAAAGGCAGTCTTATAAGAAGGTCTTAAAATTGTGTCAAGTGAGGTGGATCTTTTAGGATGTTTTGGACTGTAACAGAAAACCTGTATTCAAAATGGTTGAATTTATTTCTCATATGACCAGACTTCCTAAAATTGGGTAGGCTGGGAGAAGGGTATATCAGGGCTGATGTTTGATTTCTTTGTAACTTTTTTGGCCTCAACCTTCTCTGTGTATGGACCTCATCCTTGGCCTGGTAGTTAGATGGCTGCAGCAATTATAAATGTCACATCCAGATACTTGTAACATCCCAAAGAAGATAGAATGTGTCTGTTTTCTCATGTGTCTGTTTTTAAGAGTGAGGAACTCTTTTCCACAAGCTCCAGCTGGCCCCCTAAGAAGACTTCTCCTTATGGTCATTGGCCAGAATTGCATAACATACACCAGTAAGCCCGGGTATGTTTATTTTTTCTTTTTTCTTTTTGTCAACCATTGACAAAATAAAATAGGACCACCATGATTGCCTTAGGCTAACCAGTACCCACGTCTTGGGACTGGCGATGTGGCCAGCCTACCTTTTCTGAAGTACAGTAGTGTGTAAATAGCTGAACAAAATCAAGGTTCTATGTTGAAGGAGGTGGAAGAATGTATAGTGAGTAAGTCTAGTACCCAACATTCTGTCCTAACTTTTGGCTCAAAAAGAGATGGCCATTGCCAATGGGAATAGTCTATAATACTTACATCTTCCTCTGTGAACCCTACTCCTATACTGCTCCCTTCTGTGGTAGGTTTAACTGCCTACATTGTCCTTTGCTTAAAGCAATGCCTCTGGAATTGGGCACCTAAAAGAAAGGGGGCTCAGCTTGCATGGAGAGGGCATGCAGGGAATTGGCAGGAAGGCTTTTATATTATTTAAGGACATATACTTTATGTACTGTTTTCACATTTAGCAGGCAGCTTTTAGAAGATGTTATTTTGAAGACAATCCTGCCCTTAGAGTGCTTCCAAAACATCAGGATGCATAGCCCAAAGGCCACCAGCCCCACCGAACTTTGGGCTCCAAAAGGAATTATATTTATCCAAAGTAAGCCTTGACCAGTAGACCAAAGGCCTGAGCATTTGGCAGCACTGGAGATAGAAGAGTAAAAGATCAGGTAGAGCACAACAGGAGGCCAGAGAAGATGGACGAGTTGTGGGGATGAGGAATTTATGGCCCAAGACAGCCCTCACTCTCTTCTGAAACAGCTGGTGGTCTTCTTCCCATTGCTCCCACACAACTCCAGGACTTTCTCCATAATTTTCTATAACCCAGGGAATATTCTGGTATTGAAAACATTTTGACAGCAGGCTAGGGGGGAAGAAAATATAATGCAATGAAATGGCCTGGAGGTAAGAGAGATATGTCAAATTCAAGAGCAAAACTCAGTGCCACTCAGCATTTTGCCTGGCAAGGAAATGGATTTTCAAGGAGAATAAAGTGAACCAGAATGGTTAAGGAAGAAGTGGTTGGGGATTAGAGATGTAAAGAAAGGTAAAAGAAGAGTTCAAAGTGATCAGGGTTGGAGGCCAGGGACTGAGATGTCAGTCTGCTGGAGTGGTATATGACTTGTTAGTAACTTGTCATGTGGTCTTAGCAGAAATGACAAGAGCAATTACATCAGAAAGTAGCAGTCCAGGGTAACTGTAGGATCTGATTAGATCAGTTATTTCTAATACCAGAGCTTGGCTTCTAGTGTCTACAGGCTGAAATGTCATTAAGATCACTCGCCAGGAGGATTTTCAAGTCAGATGATTCCTTATGAGCACTTAGACAAATTAACGGGAAACAAACAACAACAAAAAACCCACCAACACATTTCACCAAGTTGTCTACACATTCCCCTACAGTCCAGAACATTCTAGATTATTCTATTTGGTTGCAAGATTGATGGCTCCATTATTGAAATGAGGAATGGGTGAGAAAACTACCATTGCTTTCGAATAGGACCTGTCCTTTTTAGTTTGAGGCCAAGGCTAAGAAGAAAGTAAAGGGATCCTAACATATTGGCCAGGAGACAAGATCCTAAAGGGTATGCAATGACAGAGGACTAGTAACTGGGGACAAGCAGAGTTAACGTTTTAAAGGAAGCAGATAGGAGGGCAGGTGAATGTTGGCAGAGAAAAGATGTCTCTGTTAGGTACACTCTGTTTCCATAGGAAAACTAGGGGCAGTGAGGAAGTAGAGGAGATCAGCTCCACTGTGGTTCATTCAAATCTCATGATGTCCCGGAGCATTGGTCATTAGTATTGAGATGCCTCAGTAGGTCACATGGCACAGCAGCCACTCAGATTTGGGCTTCATTCTCCCATTCCCTGTGACTTAGCCTGCTCTCTCCTTGTATCAACTTTGTCTTCACCACTGTCATAGAAAGGCTTTTAGCCAGGCCAACTCATGGACCACTGGCCACCTATAGAGTGCTTTGACTCAGGAATCAATCCTAGTCCAATCAGTTGTGGCCAGTTAGTAGGATCAAAAAACCAGGTGACGTTTTTGCAAAGATTCATTTCTGACCACCTTTTAAAAAGGGAACCACAGGCATGGCAAGCACTCAGTGTTTCATAGACATCTTTCTGGCATGAGACCTTACCGATAGATGGGATTTATCCCACTTATGCAGCCTTGAAGATCCCAAATTGAGATGTTCTCTTTATAACTAAAATATCCATGAGACTGTCACATAAACAGGTTGTTTTTCTAAGATTCAACATGTCTCTCCCTTGGACAAAGAAAAAAATTAAAAAATAAATAAATAAATGAAATACTGTGCTTCTTTCAATAGAATTCTTTTAAGTTGTGTATTGGTTCCTATACGTTACACCTCTTAGGCACCACTGTATCCTCTCAGCCCATCTTTTTACTCTAGCCATAGACGCGGCAACCAGATGTGCAAACTGACATCAGCACCTTCCCCAGTGGCTATTCCAATTCATGGGCAAACCTGGAAGTTCAAGGGAGTTAACATTCCAGCGAACACTTTAACTATTCTAGGGTACATTGTGCAAGACTCCTCAAAGGGTCCCCAGAAGGACTGAGCCCCTGTATCCCACACCAGTGACCAGCTCAATAATACATCCTCGGATTGGCTCTCCCACCTCCCTTGTTTCACAGTCCTGCTTCCTGGGATCACTTTCCAGAGTGAATGGTCTCCATAAAAGCCCTTGTTTGAGGCTATACTTGTGGGTGGTACCCAGTTCAAGACAACCATGCCTTCCAATCAAGATAGTCTTTCTTTAATCAAGTAGTTCCTATGATCCAGGAAACATGTATCACTCTTTAACTTGTTAAATTGATGCTTAACTTTTATTTTAATTTAATTTAATTTAATTTTTTTGAGACAGAGTCTTGCTCTATTGCCCAGACTGGAGTGCAGTGGCACGATCTCAGCTAACTGCAACCTCCACCTCCCAGGTTCAAGCAATTCTCTTGCCTCAACTTCCCAAGTAGCTGGGACTACAGACATGCACCACCACACCTGGCTAGTTTTTGTATTTTTAGCATAGACGGGGTTTCGTCATGTTGCCCAGGCTAGTCTTGAACTCCTGACCTCAAGTGGTCTGCTCGCCTCGGCCTCCCAAATTGCTAGGATTACAGGCATGAGCCACTGCACCCGGCCCAGATGCTTAACTTTTAGGGAGCAACACTGTTTGCTTTTATTCTAAGTATGTTATTAGCATCTTTTTTTCACTCCAATGTAGCTGAGTAGGTGAAAGAGGATGGAGGCTGAGCAGCAGTCTTGTGAGAAAAGCTCAATGCCAGATCTCCAAGCTTTACTGCATCTTTGAACCAGTAATTCTTAGCCCTTGATTATGACCTTCACAGAGAAGGTCTGTGAAGACACTCACCACCTACCACCCTGCTATATTCAATTCCTCATGTATTTAGGTACAAGGGGTCTTTCCAAAGTCCCCCAGTCATTTTGTTATGCACTCACAGTTGAGAATCATAGCTTTAGATCCATCAATCGACCCAAGAGGGAAACTGTATCCAACCAGTTAATGCTATCTCAACTAAAATCTAGTAAAGAAGACAATTGACACTTTCAAAATGAGTATGCCAAAAATTTAAGTTGGCTCTCTGCAAAACAGCATAGGAGCATTCTGTTTGCTGAGTAAGTATAACAGGATTGCTAATTCAGAATTAAAATAAAAATTACAAGAATCCATTCATTTATTATTTTTTAGACATTATGATGGCTTAGGCACCACAGGAGGTACGGAGGATGAAAAGATGAATAGAAAACTGTCTCTGCTCTCAAGAATAGATGATAATAATACCAGTGTATTGAATGGGATGTAAATAAATCACTTTATTTTTTGTCTTCCACTGTTCATTTAAACCTGCTCAGTGAGGGAAGTTTCTCCATTTCTTGCATTTGAAAACCCTGGCAGGTCTATGACTCTATCATCAATTGCTCTTAAATAACAGACAATCCTATGACTTCCTTAAGCCACAAACCACAGTCTCAATTCAGTAATTTTGATGTCCAGTACTGTGGAATGATCAAGTCTCTGAACTTGATTTAAAGCTCAGTCTTCTCCCCTCTTCCAGTTAAGACCAGCTTCAGGGGCAGCTGTGCCATCTTGCAAGGGACATGTGGTAAGCTTTTCCTTTCCTTCTGTACTCCTTCCTTCCTTAGCTTGCCAACCGTGGATTCTGGGACTTTATGGGTTGAGTGTGGAAGGCAATGAGGGAAAGTGGTTTACTGAACACTCCTACTTGACTGTTCCTCTTATAAGGTAGTTTTATATGATCCAAGCCTGGCTGTTATGAGAACTAACTCTTTCTTGTGAGGACACTTTTGGGTGTTTTTTTCAAAGACTCTCCCTCTGGCTCTAACCTTGACTGCCACAAAACAGGCAGTGCCTCTCCTTTGGGTAGCCAATTTTAATCCCTGCTTAGCTTGTTTTCTGGCAGTTGCTGTGGCAGCCCCTAACTCTCTGGTCAAAACTATCTCAGCAAACTATTGCAAGGACAAAAAACCAAACACCGCATGTTCTCCCTCATAGGTGGGAATTGAACAATGAGAACACTTGGACACAGGAAGGGGAACATCACACACCGGGGCCTGTTGTGGGGTGGGGGGAGGGGAGAGGGATAGCACTGGGAGATATACCTAATGCTAAATGACGAGTTAATGGGTGCAGCACACCAACATGGCACATGTATACATATGTAACAAACCTGCACGTTGTGCACATGTACCCTAGAACTTAAAGTATAATAGATAAATATATATATATATATACATACATACATATATACTACCTCGAGCAGAATCGAGGTCTTTGATTCTTCAGAGGTACGTGAAGCTCTCAAAGGGGTTTTCTTGATGCTTCTCTCACTAGACTTGGAATGAGAAGGCAGCCCCCCCATCCCTCCCTTTTGTGCTGTGTTGGACCCAGAGAATGGCAGCTCTCTCTCTAAAGAGATCTGTACAAATCTGCCCCTTTGAAAACCCTCTCTACTCCTTTTATATTCTCAAAACTGGTGAGGGGTTACAACAGAAAACAAAAACACGTTTTTTATATCTTTCCTTTGAAGTTCTCTATTTTTGTCTATCTCAGGACTCACCTTGGTAGCTGATATTTAATGTAACTTGGCACCTCAGTCAAATCATGTAAATTAACACGACACAATTGCAGTATCATGTGGTCAGCACAGAACAAGAGGTCAATGTATGTGACATTGGGAAAACAAAGAAAAGGGGCACCTCACTCAGCTGGAGAATGAGTGATCCAGGACATTTTTGGAGAAGGTGATTCCTTTTCTTTTTTTTTTTTTTTTTGAGACAGAGTCTCACTCTGTCACCCAGGCTGGAGTGTGATCTCGGTTCACTGCAATCCCCGCCTCCCAGGTTCAATCAATTTCCTGCCTCAGCCTCCCCAGTAGCTGGGACTACAGGCACGCACCACCATGCCCGCTAGTTTTTGCATTTTTTATAGAGATGGGATTTCACCATGTTGCCTAGGCTGGTCTCCTGAGCTCAAGCGATCTGCCTGCCTCAACCTCCCAAAGTGCTGGGATTACAGGTGTGAGCCACTGTGGCCAGCCCTTGACTCTTTCTTAGCAGATGCATTAGAGTTAGCAATGAGATCAACTTTTAGGGAGACTTTTTTGGAGAAGATGCTCAAGAAGGCACCCCATGCCATGTACATTTTTAGAGAGAATAAAAAAAAATGGTTACAAAGAAAATCTTGGTGGGTTTCCCATTTAGTATCTGCTATGGATTGAATGTATCCCCCAAAGTTCATGTGTTGGAACTTTGATCCCCAGTGCAGTGGTGTTGGAAGGTGACATCTAATAATGAAAGATGTTTGGGTCATGAAGGCACTGCTTTCATAAATGGGTTAATACTATTATCATGGCAGTGGATTTGTTATCACAGGAGTGGATTCCTTATAAAAGGATGAGTTTAGCCCTCTCTTGCACTCTCTCACCCATGTGATGCCTTCTGCCACACAGCAAAAAGGCCCTCACAAGATGCCAGTTCCTTGATCTTGGACTTCCCAGCCTCCACAATCATGAGTCAATAAATTTCTGTTCACTATAAATTACTCTGTCTGTGATATTTTGTTATAACAAACAACACAAAATAGAGTAAGACAGTCCCTAAATTTTCCATAAACTCATACATGTTAATGCCACTGTAAAATCAGAAACTCTATACTATTATTAATTAATCTTGGGAGATTTCTTCAATTTCACTTATGCTAAGAATAAGCTTCATTTTTTAAACAAAAGTATAAGAATGGCCATTTATGGATTTAAAAAACATACCAATGAAAACTGACGGTGGGAGTCGAGAGGTATGAGTGCTTTGAAATGATGATACCATTTAAAAAATAGTCCAAATAGAATTTAATGGACTGTGAAACTGCAGTTTCAAATTAATGAGTGTACCTAGTAAAAAGCTTTGCACCAAGAAGGAATATGAAATGTCAACTGAAATATTATAATTAGCTTAATAGTTTAAGCATCTTGCTTATTAATATGTCATTTATTTTGGCAGGTATTTTTTGGGGTAGTGAAGGCAAGGAACTGCATCTTTTAGTATTCTTACCATATCTTTATAAATCATTTTCAGCATGCTCACACATATGCCACCCATGATGGATCATGCAATCAAATGCATGCATCATCCAGGCTTCAAGGAAATTTTGACTAAATGCTTTCAAGTCACAATTATATACTTAATACTGGATCTTGATTTGATGTGTCCAAAGCTTGAAAGTCATTACCCAAAAAGAAAGGACAGCAGATATGGTCAATCAACTTTTATTTTTAATTACCCAAGTGTGTACTGTCCTTTGTATGAAGATACAATGGAGGATACAAAAGGAAGAAGAGATAAAATTTCTACCATCAAAAAAGTTAAAATCAGCTGGAGACACACCGCACAAAACAGTAAGACTTAAGGCTATATACTGAGTAGCATTTGAGAAGTGTAAGACAACTTAGCACAGAGTAAACCCACACAACGGGACACCATCGGTAACTATGACAGGGAGTGAAGGAGGATAATTGGGGAAAACATCCAAAGAGGTGGGAAAAGCGTTGGATTTGTGTTCTAGTCCCCCAGATACCAGTGGCTTATTGTGGCTCTTAGGTAATTAAGTTCCACCTCTGTGGGCTTCAGTTTGCTCAACTCTAAAACAGAAGGTGAGGACTAAATGGTCTTTACTGTCTTTCAGCTGTAACAATACAGTATTCTAAGGACGAATGCAAAGAACTAGGGAAGGTGAGGCTATTACAGGTAAGAGGAAGAACAAGCACAAAGCCATAATGGTAGGAAAAAATTCATTCCTTGTGCATGGGCAAGGTGTGTTGTGGGGCAGCAAGAACCTTAAACAAGCCAATTTAACTATTCTAAAGATTTTGAGGGCAATAAACTTGGAAACTGGTGAAACAGAACGCTAAGCCAGGTAAGGGACACTAAGCAGGGGCCACAACGGAGAAAGAGATACCATGTATTTTACAGTCAGAGTTGGATTTATCTTCATGCTCCCCGCCTCACTCCACACTATTTGTCTTCATGGAACTTTACTGCAACTCTTTCCCCAAACTCATATCCCAAATACAGTAAGAAGAGAGTGTGATTACAGACACCCTCTCTCTTTAGACTCTCACAAGTAGCCCCCTTTTGTGGGCCAGGAAGCCAAGAGCCGTTGCTGAAAAGATGGTGGTCAATCCAATCAGCCTGAGCAGGCCTGGCACGGAGGGCAAATGTCTCTCCAAAAAGGTGGTGGTGATGGGCTGTGCAGGGACATCCTAGGTTCAGAAAACATTGGGTATTAGTACAGGGCTTGTGCACTTTATTCCAGAAAGTCTGTACTTTCTCCAGCTCTCTGAACATGACCCATTCTTGCCAACGTCTAGACCAGTAAACACGATGTTCCCTCTGCTTATACTGTTTACCCTGTCTTCCTCACTGGACCCTTCACTTCCTCAGGGAGGCTTTCTTTCCTGAGACCCCAGCCTAGGATGACATTCTCCTTTTGCATTTTTTCTCAGCATGTCTTCTTCACTGTTCTGTACTTTTTGGTTATCATCTGCATTCTCCACCAGATGTTGAGCTCCACAAAAATGCTGCTGTGCCTTTGCCACAATGGCTGATACAGAACACGTGTGCCATAAATACTTGTTAGTAAATGAATCAATGGTCCCTACAGCCCACAATCCCATCCCTGGCAGAAGCACTAAGAGAATGACTGTGGAGTGGCAGGCCTATTCTCTTTGACTTCACACTTAAAAGGATAGAGCAATAATTCTGACCTTTGTGACTTTGTCCTCTAAAGTGCGTTTGCACTCTAACCTCTATGCATCCCTCCTTCCAGCCAGGAAAACTTCCTAGGATTTTATTACAAAAATGATGAGTATATTAAAAATAAAATTTTAATCTAAATATTCTCCATTTCATTCCATTTGTTTGTCCCTGGACAGGAGATGCTAACACACTTTCCTTTCTTTTCCTACCTCATGTGGAGAATCACCAGGCTAGATATTTATTTGACAGGCATTTATTGAGTTATTATTTTTAGAAGTCTCCGAGAAATGTCTCCCTCCTCATCAAAAAATATTTTTTCCTAATAATCTGTAATGAATGTGACAGCTACAAATTTATCAAAGTTCATCTAAATCTCTCACCTCTACCCTAACCCATGATACTTATTTAAACATTCATGTTTAAATCACTTAGTTGAATCACTTAGGAAAAGGTATGTGAATATATACAAGTGTGCTCTTCTTGAAAATAATGGGTTTAGAGAAAAGATATCTAATTTCATGAAATAAAACATAGCCTACCACAGACTCTGGTTCTGACTGCCAGATTTCATCCTCTGGAATCTTCCCCATGGCATGCAGGATCTGAAATGAAAGAACACACTGGCAAATAGCAAAAGTGACACCATCTTTCTTCTAATCTGCTCCCTAAAGGACTAAGTAACTGTCTCTTGAGATATCCATCAAAAACACCAAGGTAAAGGCCAGAACACTCCATACAACCTTTAAGAGGCGCCAAAAGGTCTTTCTCCTGTGGTATAAGAGGTTCCAATCATTAGGCTTACCATAAATTTTAATAGTTATGAACACACCTCAAATAGGGATGACATCAGAGGAACTGTCAGAAAATCTTTCCTGTGAAATGAATTGAATTTTGAGTCCTAATAGAAGCATGTTTGGTTCTAGAATATCAGACCTAGGTTACCTTTCAAGTATAGTCAGGTTGATCGTTTGCCCCATGGGCTCTTTTTACTTCGGGTGACATGTTAGGTATTTTCATTATTACTTCGGGCTAAGGTGTTCACTTCACCTGAGACAATAGTTAAAATAGTATTTTATGGGTCTTAAGATGGGGGTTACTGGAGAGTTGGTCTCCAGGCTCTCAGATATCTTTGACCTACATGTCAGGACCATGAGTTGCCTCCTTCCCCATAATCTATGACCCCAGACCCTACCTCTCGGGCTGCTCTCTCCCCGGCCTCTACAGCCCCCTCCATGTAGCCGCTCCAGTGTGTGGCAGTCTCGGTGCCTGCAAAGTAAATCCTGTCCACTGGCTGGCGTAGAACCCTTGGAACAAAACCAAAGAGGCAAAAGTGGTCAGTCTCAGAGAGTCAGAGAAAAGTTTTCCCATAAAGACCAATGCTGGTCAGCTTCCACAGATTCTAAACAATCAAGAAGGACATTGGCAATTTTGGAATAATGTTTATGTGGTTCCTCCAGCTCTTACATGATCCTTGTCACAAACAAAATAGAATAAAAGCCAAAGTTCACTCCTGCACCAAGAGTTGCAGGTGAAGGAGCTGACATTAATGGACGTAAATTATGTATTTGCTTCATCAACATGAAGTGAGGGACTGTGTAAGCCCAGTCACATGGCTCCCTTTATGGCTCACTGGCTCTGTGGCAAGGTGATACATGCCCCCAATTCCCCACTGGCTATTCCACTAGTGAACTTGGCAAATCACTTACTCTCACTGTGCTCTGGCTTCCTTGCCTCTTAAAGGGAATGGTCCACTGATTTCTAAGACCCTTTCAATCAGTAACATTTAACAAATCTGAGAGTCTGACTATGGCTCCATAACTCCTATTCCTTGAACACTTGCCTGTACTGGTGAGGTCGGTACTATTATTATCACCATTTTGCAGATAAGAATATGGAGGTAGACTGTGGTGGACATTGTGATGAACCACGCAGGCCCCCTTCAAGAATGAAAGACTTATTCCCAGCTGCTGGGAGTGCTGCCAGAAGAGGGCCTACTGATGTCAGCCCTCTTTGGAGATTGCCTCTGCTAAAAAAAACTATGTTACCTACTAGGTCATGCCTCCTTCCAATAGCAGTTGCATCCAGTGACTGATCACCACGGGCTGTAAATACCTGATTCCCAAGCTCCAACTTGAGACCTCCCACTCTGAAGGGCCATTCTAGTTCTGGAACTTCCTCTGGGGTCAGCTGAGGCCTTCACTGGAACTGCACTGCAGCCCAAGTTCTCCCTATGCCCACTCCTGCTTCCTTCTCCCTTCCACAGCTGCCAATCCTAAGGGCATGCCTTAATATATATCCTGTCTGCTAATCGTTGTTTCAGGGTCTGCTTCCTGGAACCTAACCAGCAACAAAGACAAAGTAATTTGCTCTCGGTCACAGCTAGTAAGTAGCAGAGTTGGTATTTGAACACAGGCAATCTGACTCTGGAACCTACAGTCTTAACCACTTAGTTATACTTCCTCTCTCTACTGCATTATTTCTTCAATCTATTAAAGAACTCTGTGATGTAGCTACTATTATCATTATCTCATTTTTACATATGAGAAGACTGAGGCTTGGAGAAATGTTCAGTGATATGCCAAGAGCCACACTCCTAGAAAATAGCAAAGCCAGGATTTGAACCATGTCTAACAGATGTCAAAGTCTCTATTTTTATCTTATATTCTTTGCCTGGTGTATCATCACCCTATAATATTTAATAGTTAGTAGACTGCCCACATGCTATACAAGGGACTGAAATGTCATAGCACTTGGCCTGTAAGAGGGGCAGTTCATTGTTGCTCTGACAAAAATACCATAAGGAAAGCACCGTCAACATGCCATTATTCATCCTGTCTCATGGTTCTCTTATATCTGATAAGCGATGTCAAGAACTAACATCCATGTTCCATCTTAGTCAACACTGTACACCACTGGGCCTTTTATTAGAAAACCAAATGAGCTGGCTTGCATTGGTGGGTTTTCTTTCACCTGCTCTGATTGTAGTCATCACAAAAAGGAGAAGAAAATACAAGGAGAGATATTATATAGAATACAGATGGTCTCCAACGTATAATTGTTAACTTTATGATGGTGTTAAAACAATACACATTCAGTAGAAACCATACTTCAAGTACCCATACAACCATTCTGTCTTTCACTTTCAATACCGTATTTAAAACTTGACATGAAATATTCAACCCTCTATTATAAAATACGCTTTCTGTTAGATGATTATGCCCAACTGTCGGCTAATATAAGTGTTCTGAGCACGTTTAAGGTAGCTAAGCTAAACTATGATATTCAGTACATTAGGTGTATTAAGCGCATTTTCCACTTATAATATTTTCAATTTATGGTGGGTTTATTGGGATATAACCCCATCATATTTTGAGGAACACCTGTATTAGTATATTGATGACAACACATGAAATATATAGAGAGCCTAAGGGTACTCAGGAAGGAACCCTTCCTACAAGAGAAGGTGGATTGACTTTCCCCGTGTTGATTAAACAATGCCGTTTTTCACTACATGTTTACTTTTTTTTCAATGGAGAAAACTAACCCCAGCTGGAGACCTCTAGGAGGCCTGGCTAGACCCTAAGAATGAAATATTAGAAGACAGAACAAAGGCTTAGAGAACTAATCATACTATAAATCAGAATATGTGAAAACCAAGAATTAATTTTAAACAAAGAGATAGTTTCCCGCCACTTGTCATTTGGAAATTATGTTCCTTTAAGGGAAAAAAAGAGTCCAACAACCAGGTAAGAAAAATACCTGCCCCTTCTTTTGCAGGTGCGTGAACAGACAGTATATATTTACAAAAGATATAGGACATCATAAAGGGGAACTCCACATATATTTCTTGTGGCTTATGAGTTTTACTGCATAATCACGACAATCATTTTTTTCACCCTATCCAGAAGAAACATTTCTTAAGAAATGTATATTTAGTTCTTTACCAAGTTGTACTGGTAATTCTGTCTTCTCTTTTCCTTCAGAACATGTACTGTGAACTTTCAGGGCTCTGAATATAAAACTTATTGCAATATCTTAAATACCATGGCCCTGAAGGGTCAAGGGAAGTCTTCTGGGCAGGTAGTCTCTGTTCAAGCTGGGAATTATGTTAAGCTATGCTGTGCCTTAGTTTCTACCCTAAAAATTGAAGGTAGTTATAGGAAGCCTGACATATATCCCTGGGAAGGAATAAAGATAAAAGAAGGCATTACTGTATCACCACCAATGCCAGATACAATGGGATTTATCTTGCTTCTCTCACGTGGTCAGGATCAGGCCAGTTCAGGTTAGTGTCCTCTTTGTTCCCCAAACCAAAAGGTATTTATGAAATTGAGCATAAAACCCACCACTCTGTGGTCAGAAATCTAATCATATCACACTTCTGATTTAAAACAAAGCCAAAAACAAAAGTAATGCAGTGATAGCTGTTCTCTGTTGAAATATCAAGTTTTGTATTCCTGAATGTGTCATATAGGGCAAACTGTTCTTCCTCCCCCTTTGATCTGATTCTCCATTCTGTCCTTAATATCACCCATAGCCCATCTGATATAATATTTTGATATTTGTCCCTGCCCAAATCTCATGTAGAATTGTAATTTCCAATGCTTGAGGTGGGGCCTGGTGGGAGGTGTTTGGATCATGGGGACGGATCCCTCATGGCTTGGTGCCTTCTTCATGATAGTGAGTTCTAGCAAGATCTGGTCACGTTAAGAGTGTATGGTACCTCTCCCCACCACACTTGCTTGTTCCTGCTTTCGCCATGTGACTTGCCTGTTCTCACTTTGCCTTCTGCCATGATTGTGAGCTCCCTGAGGCTTCACCAGAAACTGAGCAGATGCCAGCACCATGCTTGTATAGCCTGCAGAACTATGAGCCAATTAAACCTTTTTTCTTTATAAGTTCCCCAGACTCAGGTATTTATTTTAAGCAATGCAAGAATGGCCTAATACACCATCCATGCAAAGTTCTTCCCCAGACTTTCCAGAAACCTGTGGGATCCTAGCGTTTTCCTCATGCCATTCCATCTGCATAGACTGCATCCCCAATAGCCTTTCTCTGCCTCCTACAACCCTCAGGTGGTATGTGCATTATGAAGCCTTCCCAGATTTCTCTAAGTAAAGCTAGCCTGTGCCTCTGTGTGTTCCAGTGGTATCTCTATGCCCCTGTATTAGAGCATTTACCTCAGTGGTAACATTCTGAGTGGTGATACAGTAGTGCCCTCCTTTATCCTTATTCCCTTCCAGGGACATATGTCAGTACTTTAGAGTCAATTTTTGATATCATGTCCTCTCCCCATCCCCACCCTAGCCCTCAACACTGTCAGCTCCTTCTCAGCAGGGAGGCTGTCCTTGGTATTGAAGTTCTCAGCACAGTGCTTCGCAAATGGTTGGCACTTAGCCAATAAATGCAGAATGAAACAAATACCATTGACATATTCTACACTCAGTGATACGATTTGGCTCTGTGTCCCCACTCAAATCTCATATTGTAGCTCCCATAATTCTCATGTGTTGTGGGAGGGACCCAGTGGGAGATGAGTGAATTATGGGCGGGGGTCTTTCCTGTGCTGTTCTGGTGATAATGAATGGATCTCACAAGATCTGATGGTTTTAAAAACGGGAGTTTCTTTGCACAAGCTCTCTCTTTGCCTGCTGCCATCGACGTAAGATGTGACTTGCTCCTCCTTGCCTTTTGCCATGATTGTGAAGCCTCCCCAGCCATGTAGAACTGTAAGTCCAATAAACCTCTTACTTTTGTAAATTGCCCGGTCTCAGGTATGTCTTTATCAGCAGTGTGAAAATAGAGTAACACAGTCAGCATATCTAAAAATTAACTTAATGACCCAGCAGCTTATCAGGTGCTGCCCCTTGGCCCCAGAATGTTCTCTTGGATAATATTTTGCCATCTTTAAGCAGGTAAAGAAAGTGCTAACCAAAGTTATTACGTATCTTCTGATAAGCAGGTTTTACTCCTTATTCGACCAGTTTTCATGGACAGATTGATTAGCCATTTCCACTTACCCCCTCTGTTTGCTGCATACTTTCAACAGTCTTTGACTCACTAGTCTACATTTCTCATCCTGTTTAGATTAAGCTTTTGGCATTAAATTATTGCTTGGTTTAGTAATAGTATAATAGTCATAAAAATCACTGCTATATTATTAGTTCATTTATTGTCATCAAATAAATTAACTAAACAACAACACACTTGGATGTATAATGCTGTGAATGCTAAAAGCCATTGAACTGTGCACCGTTTTGAATAGGTGAATTGTATGGTATGTGAATTACGTCTCAATAAGGATGTTAAAAAATAACTCATACTTCCCAGCATCTAAGGATTAGGATCAAAAAATAAAAAAAACTCATACTTTCTTGAGCATACTGATTATTGCTCACTTTTCATCATTTTGTGCTTTCCCATCCACTTGCTAAGAAAGTGAGGTTCAGAAAGGAGAAGTGACCTGTTTGGCATGACAAAGTTTGTTATTGGTAGAATCAGAGCTGGGACCCAAGTCTCTTCATGCCCAGTCTAGAACTCATTTTGTTTTTATAATTTTGTCCCCGTGTTGGCAGTTGTACAGTGGCATTTGAGGAAGTTTTACTGAGTCCTAACTCAGTATAAGGACACTTCTTCTGACATTGGGTGAACCCTTGGACTACCTAAAATGCTACTCTTTTTTGATTTTTAATTTTTATGGGTACAGAGTAGGTGTATATATCTATGGGTACATGATGTGTTTTGATACAGGCATGCAATGCGTAATAATCATATCATGAAGAATGGGGTAAAATGCTATTCTTATGCTGAAACCTTCTATGGTTATATTGATTGGAATTGCTCTTCCAGGGAAAAGCAGCACCATGATGTATGTATAATTATAATGATTTCATTCATAAGATACACGATTTCATTCATAAGATACAAAGGAAATTGGGTTGTTTTTTTTTTTTTTTTTTGTATTTATAAGAAACAAGGGAGAAGAGCTACCTGAACCTATTTAGGTTTTGGATTCAGGTGCAGGGGATTTCTGTAACAGCTTAGCATGCTTTTACTCTACCTTCCATATTGAGTCAGGATCCCAGGGGGGAAATAAGTTGTGTAGCAGCCCCCAGAGTACTGCTCCTCACACCAGTTCTTTTCTTCATAATGCACTGGCTGCAAGATAGAGCAACAAAAACTTGAAGGAGACTCAGAGAAAGCTATTTAGCCTAGAATAAATCGAACAGTTTAGTAGGCTTTGTATTGTCAAACCAATGTATTTCGGAAATAGAGTTGCATTATCCTGATGTTTTTAAAGATATGTCTTTGGGCAGGTAAATGTCCTTGGTAATAAGCTTCTAAGAAATTCAGATCTTAGAATGTTTTTTTCATTTGGTTTCTTTGTATCTTAAGTACTGTTCATAAATTGCGATAATCTAATTCCATTTTTACCTTGGTTTTACCTATTAAAAAGTTTTAGTGCCTGATGGTTTCAAGAAAAGTTTTTAAAAGGATTTATGTTTACTGGAGTGACTGGATAGGAAAAAAAGACAGAAAAATATGTCTGTTGAAGAAAAAGGATTATCAGGTTCATGTTTTGGTGGAGGTGAGCTTTCTTGAGGGAGGCTGAACAAACATGTTTTTGTGGCAGGCAAGCACTTCTGTTGATGGTGGTATTTGTAAACAACTATTGGTCTGAAAAATATGTTTTTGACACGAACAGGAAAAATTGGCAGAGATTTTGTAAAGCTCAAATGCTTTTTTAAAGTAACCAAACAGAAGCTTTATCATTAAGCATTACTTCGAAAAGATAAAATCAACGTAGCAAGTTTTAAGAAAACAATGTTTGTTTTAAAGGGAGATTTTGAAAAACATTTTGTTTAAAAGAATTGCAATCACACAGCTGACTTTGGACAGTCATTTGTAAGGCATCCTATTTACAAAGTATGATTATGAGGTTCTGCCTGATGGGTTAAGTGGCTCCAGGTCTTCTGTGGTATCACCACGCTACACGCCCCAGCACCTGACGGCTACATCCACCTCCTAAGCAAGCTTCTCTGGCTGTCTCCAGCCAATCAGAAGAAAAGTTGGACTTTATCTTTCAATGTATCTTGTTCCCAGGAATTTCTTCCTTCCACAAAATAGACACCAAAGCAAAAAGAAAACAAGTGGCCTTCTCTATGCCAAGAGCAAACAAGGACAGGACCAACTTATTTTTATCATCAGGAATTAATCATGCACACCCTTCTTAGGAAAAGAGACTTTCTCAAATGAAAAATGATCAGCCTTTTTCAAAATATGAGGACAAATGCTTTCCCCTTCAACTGAAGTTCCCCAAACAACCATCTCACGAGTTGTTGCAGGAACTTCAATTAACAAACTGCTTTAGCCTGGGAGTGCCTCAGAATGTAACTTCACAAAGCTTGAATATCTACCAGGGTGAAATATCTTGAATGGCTTTTTTTTTTAAATCAACTCCACACTCTTTATTCTCCAGACCTCTAGCACTGAATGGCATTTTTTTTTATTATACTTTAAGTTTTAGGGTACATGTGCACAACGTGCAGGTTAGTTACATATGTATACATGTGCCATGTTGGTGTGCTGCACCCAGTAACTCGTCATTTAACATTAGGTATATCTCCAAATGCTATCCCTCCCCCCTCCCCCCACCCCACAACAGGTCCCAGTGTGTGATGTTCCCCTTCCTGTGTCCATGTGTTCTCATTGTTCAATTCCCACCTATGAGTGAGAACATGCAGTGTTTGGTTTTTTGTCCCTGCGATAGTTTGCTGAGAATGACGGTTTCCAGCTTCATCCATGTCCCTACAAAGGACATGAACTCATCATTTTTATGGCTGCATAGTATTCCATGGTGTATATGTGCCACATTTTCTTAATCCAGTCTATCATTGTTGGACATTTGGGTTGGTTTCAAGTCTTTGCTATTGTGAATAGTGCCGCAATAAACATACGTGTGCATATGTCTTTTACACTGTTGGTGGGACTGTAAACTAGTTCAACCACTGTGGAAGTCAGTGTGGCGATTCCTCAGGGATCTAGAACTAGAAATATCATTTGACCCAGCAATCCCATTACTGGGTATATACCCAAAGGATTATAAATCATGCTGAATGGCATTTTTAAACAGAAAAACTAATAATTTTTAACAGATGTTAAGTTCTGTTTTTAGTGAGTATATACTGTATTTTTTGTCTTGATACTTTACTCAATATCCTTGAGCCTGGAGGCTATGCCTATATTTAAACTTGCTAATTGGTATATGAAAGCAAAAAAAAAAAGCAAAACATATTCCTCATTAATATTGTTTCTCTAATTGTTCTAGTTTATTTGCTGAGAAAGAATTCCAAGAAACATCAAGAGCATGTGTTTCACCTGTATCAAGTACAGAAGATCTGCAATGGTGGGGCGAGGAGGGAGGGAGAGAATTTTGCTTTAAAATAGTGAACAAAAATGACAAATTTGAAAGACACAACAACTTAACCAGGAGGAAGCAAGTCACTCCAAAGCTGAGCAAAGTAAGTGTTAGAGTAATAGGACTAAGTCATGTAGCTGCTCAACTAGATTGTGGTATATACTACAGAGACTTGGATTTAAGAGGCTTAACAAGTTAAACATTCTCAGCCTCCTCATTAGACTTTTCTCACGCATTAACTGCTCATTTGTACATTGGTCTCCATTGTCTTCAAATGCTTCACAGATAATTGGATTTAATAATCACTTTCAAAAGGTGACATAGTCTATGTCAAAACATTAAAAACTTAGCAGTCTGATGAATGTCATGAGAACACCAATTCATCATTTTAAATATTGATGAGGGAGGTGATTATGGGTACTTGTTATGAGTACTTTGGGCCCTCTGACTGTCACCAAATGCCCCCTACCCTGCCCCTATCCCACCTTTAACCACCTTAGAGTTCTACTTGATTCATTTGAAGATCACCGTTTTCTCAGGCTACTTCCAAAGGTGTCTAGAAAACTCAACTGGCATACAGACAGACAGCCTGTCTTCTTTACATCTCTCATGTTCAAGGGTAAAACAAGGCAGAAAAGAGGGCATGCAGGAGTGGGGACAGGTAATCTTATTTTTTTACTGTGAGACAGTGGGGGATGGGGTAGGTATAGGTTTATGTACCTGAGTGAGACTCTGTCCTTCTTACAAGATCACCAGAGAGGGGAAAAAGCCCTTTTCATCCCCATCCTGGCTACCAGGATCTAGGATCTTCCTATGGGTAGTAGAAGCTCCCCTCTTTTACCCCCCTAACAGAACTGGAAGCAGAGTGACCCAATGCCCTCTCCCAGGAAGAAACTCTGAATTCAGGGACAATGTAGCATCACCTAAACCACAGCATATTGCAAGTTCCCTGACCTGCCACCAGCACAGCCAGGGCCCACACTCTCTGGAACCACTTGTAAACTGACCAGTCCTGTGTAGATGCCTCTGCAAATATATTGGGAAAAACATGAACTTCAGGACCCAACTTGCATTAACCTATCCCTGCTAGTCACTTGGGGACAAAGAAAGGCCTCTCACCCTTAGTATAGGGTTGGGAAGCAGCCTTACCTCCAGAGCTTCTAGGGAACCCAGAACCTTGGCATAGAGTTCACAAAGTTTCTTCAACCTGTGAATGAAAAGAGACAAAAGAGAAAATAAAGGAAAGAAGGGAGGGAAAAAAAAAGTGGGAAAGAGGCATTTATCCCCTCATAAAAAAGATTCCATGAGCCATTGATTCCACTCCAGCATTTCATTTTAATTTTTTAAAACAAGGCATTTTGTTCCATTTCAGATGTCTTAAATCTTTGAGGTCACAAATATTAATCACACAGGATTGCTGGTAAGTCTTTAAGAAAGTAAAGTGACATGTTGCCTGAATCATGGTATTATTTTATTATTTTAAATCCAGGAGCCCTTTTGTTTATGAACAAAATGTTTCTGAAACAAATGTTTATGAAAATGCCTAAGTTCTTCTCCCTCCCTCTCTTCTTTCTCTCTCTTTCTGTCTTTTTCTTTGTTTTTATACAAATGATGTAACTTGCCACAAGCAGAGGAATGGATAGAAAGAGCAAAGAAATAAGTACAGAAGTAGAACCAAATATATAAGGAAATTTAGAATTCATAAAGGTGGACATTTTGAACCCACAGGGAAAAGACAGTTTTCAATAAAATGGCACTGGGACAAATAGCTGCTCGTGAAAGAAATAAAGTAGGATGCTTACGTTATTTTCTTACACCAAAATATGTTTCAGAAGGATCAAAGATTTACATATAATAGGTCAGACCATAAAACGAGTGGAAGAATGGGTGATTTCTAAAAAATTATCTTGGAATGAGAAAGTCTTTTCTATGTATGATAGATACTCAGAAACCATGGTTTTAAAATGGATAAATTTGATTACATAAAAAGATAAAATTTTATTATAGTATAAAATGAATAAGCCATAAACAGGATCAAAAGGCAAAGTGGGAAAAGATTTGTTCCAGACACTGGAAACCCAGCAGTGAGCCAATCAGACAAAACATCCTACCTTCATGATCTTATATTCTAGTGGGGACATTTTTAGGGAAGAGGCCGAGGCAGACCGCTACGGCCCTGGCTATGTGCAGAGGTAACATTGGTCATTGAGGAGAACCCTGATGGAATCGGAAAGCATGCATCATAATATAATTCAGGAGCTCTTTCCTGGTAAATAGGTTATTAGCAGTGGTGTGGGAATAAATAATTGGCACTGGTGAACACTAATTGCAAGAAGAAATTGCCACCTCCAGAGGAATTAGTCCCACTGTACCTATAATCTGTAATTGTTATGCATCATTCATGTAGTATGTGTACAGCAGACTTCCCCACAACACAGTAATTTTTCTCCCTGGTTTATCTCCTTCACAAGCAAATTTTCAGCCCCTGGGTTATATCCATTTTCATATTCTCCGTAGCCCCTAGCATGGTGTCTTATGTACAATAAACTCAATAAATATTAATTTGAATACTTTGGTTCTTAAGTTATCAGCACTATGTCTTTTACAACAAGACCCTTATAATTAACATAGCAAACACGTAGCACTGGCAATACACATATAATTAGGCAGTCCGTAAGTTAAAAAGTTAAGTAAAAATGAAAGGCAGGCAAGTAGGTAGAAAAGAAGGAAAGAAAGAGAAAAGGGAGGGAGGGATGGAGTGGGGGGGAAAGGAAGGAAGAAACGAAAGAAGCAGCATTTCTTTTGTTACCTTTCCTCTTTGGTAAGACGTGCCAGTTTTCTGGCTTTGTGGGCCAGGATAAATCTAAAGAATATAAACAAGAAAAAGGGGAGAAATTAATGGTTGGTTTCATCCTAGCCTCATTTTCGTAGCTACACATGTGCCCAGTTTACACAGTTAAGTCAACCAAAAGAAACAAACTATACACTAGCTTTTCTTACGTTCAAAGTTTTATGATTTACATATCAAATTTCTGACACTGAAGAGCACTTTCTAACTTCAAGGAATCAAGCGACTAAAAGTAGATGACTGGCCATAATTTTTGCCTTGGATAACACTATGGCTGACCCACTTCCCCTCACCCAGCTGGTGGTCAATAAGAATAACCCTTGGGCCTCAGATGCCCACTTAAGGCTATGTCTGAGCTCTTCCAATTTCATCCAGTCCTTGCTCTTTGGTTTTGTCTCCACCATGGTGTCTCCCTAGCACCCAACCTTCTAGATTCCATCTCCATTTCTAGCCCCATGATTGCTTTCAACTAACAATTAGCTTTGATCTCTCTGTTCTGACTGTTGGCTCTCTCTGAGATAAACTCATACATGTCCTGAGGCCCATCTTAATTTTGGATACTCCAGGTCACCACCTCTCTGGGCCAGGATATCCTGGTCTTCCCTTCCCACGTGCTGGTCGTCCCTGGAAAGCTGAAGACTGGGCTGGTCTTGGCTCTTCTCTACTGGGACTCAGAAATCTCAGCATCTCATTTAAGTAACATGGATGCCCACACAGCCTCCACAAGAAGTCTCTTAGTAAAACACCCCAAGTCAGGTCTTTTTATCATGCTTTCAACAAAAGATGGGTCACCTAAATATGTCTACCCCCAACACTAAATACTAATAGAAAACTAACATAAAAATTTTAAAATGTTATTGGTATTCTGCTTCCTACCTAGATATTTATTCATTGGAAGACATTATTTAGAAAAGAACCAGTAATAATTTTTGTACCGCTGAATTTGAAAAATAATACCACTGGGTAAAAAAAAAATCACTTAACAAAGTTTGGGGCACATTTGTTAATAGTATGTGATTATCTTGTCAACACTGAATAGCAGCCACAACACCATAATTGTGCCTTACCCCATTATGGCAGCATAGTTGCCTTCAGGTTTGGTATCATCCAACGTGTAGGCAACTGGAGCTTCTTCTCCATCAATAATCATGGTTCCACAGTAATCTTAGAGAACAGCAAAATGGAAGAGCATATTCATCACTCTATCAAAATATCCATTACAGATATAATGAAGTGCATGTTTTTAAACTTGAGAAGCCCAAAGGCCAAATAAAGCATGTTATACTCCAAACATATGAAGGCAAACCAAACTGATGTCAAAGGAGGGATAAGTAGCCAGCATTTTTTGAAAAAATCAAACCATAAGCCCTTCTCTGCAAAGAATAAAGCATATGATATTAGGAATTCATCCAGGTCACCGTTTAATGAAATCTGGTTCTCCTTGCAGTTAATACTTGGGCTCCCTGTTTTCTCTTTCATAAGAAATCAGAATAAATCCAAAGATGTGTAAAGGAAATACCAGTTCATTACTGTAAAAAAGAAGAGACTGAACACTGACACTTTATGAAAAGTCACTTATTCTAAGTAGTTCTTTATTATCTGGAGGCAGTGTTTAGAGGGAAATTTATAGCACTAAATGCCCATAAGAGAAAGCAGGGAAGATCTAAAATCAACACCCTAACATCACAATTAAATGAACTAGAGAAGCAAGAGCAAACAAATTCAAAAGCTAGCAGAAGACAAGAAATAACTAAGATCAGAGCAGAACTGAAGGAGACAGAGACACAAAAATCCCTTCAAAAAAATCAATGAATCCAGGAGCCGGTTTTTTGAAAAGATCAAAAAAATAGACCGCTAGCCAGACTAATAAAGAAGAAAAGAAAGAAGAATCAAATAGATGCAATAAAAAATGATAAAGGGGATATTACCACTAATCCCACAGAAATACAAACTACCAACAGAGAGTACTATACTATAAACACCTCTAGGCAAATAAACTAGAAAATCTAGAAGAAATGGATAAATTCCTGGACACATACACCCTCCCAAGACTAAACTAGGAAGAAATCGAACCCCTGAATAGAACAAGAACAAGTTTTGAAATTGAGGCAGTAATTAATAGTCTACCAACCAAAAAAAGCCCAAGACCAGACGGATTCACAGCCAAATTCTACCAGAGGTACAAAGAGGAGCTGGTACCATTCATTCTGAAACTATTCCAAGCAATAGAAAAAGAGGGACTCCTCCCTAACTCATTTTATGAGGCCAGCATAATCCTGATACCAAAGCCTGGCAGAGACGCAACAAAAAAAGACAATTTTAGACCAATATCCCTGATGAACATCGATGCAAAAATCCTCAATAAAATACTAGCAAACTGAATCTAGCAGCACCTCAAAAAGCTTATCCACTATGATCAAGTCGGCTTCCTCCCTGGGATGGAAGGCTGGTTCAACATATGCAAATCAATAAACGTAATCCGTCACGTAAACAGAACCAATGACCAAAACCACATGATTACCTCAATAGATGCAGAAAAGGCCTTCGATAAAACTCAACAGCCCTTCATACTAAAAACTCTCCATAAACTAGGTATTGATGGAACGTATCTCAAAATAATAAGAGCTATTTAGGACAAACCCACAGCCAATATCATACTGAATGGGCAAAAGCCGGAAGCATTCTCTTTGAAAACCAGCACAAGACAAGGATGCCCTCTCTCACCACTCCTATTCAACATAGTATTGGAAGTTCTGGACAGGGCAATCAGGCAAGAGAAAGAAATAAAGGATATTCAAATAGGAAGAGAGGAAGTCAAATTGTCTCTGTTTGCAGATGACATGATTGTATATTTATTATCTGGAGGCAGAGCAGAGAGGACATGTATAATTGAAATTCATAGAGTCCCAAACCCTCATTTCAAACATGACCTCCAAAGACTCTTTCCCCTGTCAAGAACAACTTGAGAAACAATTTCAGCTCATCCTGGATAAGAGTGTCTTCCTCAGTTCCCTCCTGAACAAAATACAGGCACACCTCAAAGATAATGTGGGTTTCATTTCAGATAATGGAAATAAAGTGAATATTGTAATAAAGCAAATTGTGTCACGTAAATTGCTTGGTTTCCCAGTGCATATAAAAGTTATATCTACACTACACTGTAGTCTATTAAATGTGCAATAGAATTATATCTAAAATATGTACATAATTTAAGCATACTTTATTACTAAAAAAGCTAACAATCATCTGAGCCTTTAGTGAGTTGTAATCTTGTTGCTGGTGGAGGGGCTTGCTTCAATGTTGATGGCTGCTGACTGATCAGGGTGGTGGCTGCTGAAGGTTGGTGTGGCTGTGGCAATTTTAAAAAAGAAGACAACAACGAAGTTTGCCACATCAATTGACTCCTTTTTTTATGAAAAATTTCTCTGAAGGCTGCGATGCTGTTTGATAGCATTTTACCCATGGTAGAACTTCTTTCAAAATTGGAGTCAATCCTCTCCAACCCTGTCACTGCTTTATCAACTAAGTTTATGTAATATTCTAAATCCCTTCTTGTCATTTCAACAATGTTCACAGCATCTTCACCAGGAGGAGTTTCCATCTCAAGAAATCACGTTCTTTGCACATCCATAAGAAGCAACTCCCCATCTATTTAAGTTTTATCATGAGTTGGCAGCAATTCACTCACATCTTCAGGTTCCACTTATGATTCTAATTCTCTTGCTATTTCCACCATATCTGCAGTTACTTCCTCCACTGAATCCCTCAAAGTCACTCATGAGGATTGGAATCAACTTCTTCCAAACTCCTGTTAATGTTGATGTATTGACATCCTTCCATGAATCACGAATGTTTTTCATGGCATTGACAATAGTGAACTCTTTCCAGAAGGTTTTCAATTTACTTTGCCTAGATCCATCAGATAGGCAGGAGGACTGTAAGGCAGGTATAGCTTTACAAAATGTATTTCTTAAATAATAAGACTTGAAAGTTGAAATTACTCCTTGATCCATGGGCTGCAGAATGGACATTGTGTTAGCAGGCATGAAAACAACAATAATCTCCTTGCACATCTCCATCAGAGCCCTTGGGTGACCAGGTGCATTGTCCATGAACAGTAACATTTTGAGAAATCTTTTTTCTTCTCAGCAGTAGGTCTCAAGAGTGGGCTTAAAATATTCAGTAAACCATGCTATAAATAAATAGGCTGTCATTCAGACTTTGTTGCTGTTTGATAGCATTTATAGAGCACAGGCAGAGTAGTCTTAGCATAATTCCTAAGGGTCTTAGGATTTCCTGAATGGTAAATGGACATTGACTTCAACTTAAAGTCACCAGCTGCATTAACTCCTAACAATAGAGACAGCCTGTCCTTTGAAGCTTTGAAGCCAGGTGCTGACTTCCTTTCTGTAGCTATGAAAGTCCTAGATGGCATTTTCTTCCAATATAATGCTGTTTGGTCTATATTAAAAACCTGTTGTTTCCGGTCGGGTGTGGTGGCTCTTGCCTGTAATCCTAGCCCTTTGGGAGGCCAAGATGGGCGGATCACTTGAGGTCAGGAGTTCAAGACCAGCCTGGCCAACATGGTGAAACCCCGTCTCTACTAAAAATACAAATATTAGATGGGCATGGTGGTGTGTGACTGTAACCCCAGCTACACGGGAGGCTGAGGCAGGAGAATCACTTGAACCAGGGAGCCGGAAGTTGCCGTGAGCCGAGATCGCGCCACTGCGCTCCAGCCTGGGTGAAAGAGTGAGACTCCATCTCAAAACAAAACAAAACAAGACAATCTGTTGTTTAATGTAGCCACCTTTGTCAATGTTCTTACGTAGAACTTCTGGATAACTTGCTGCAGCTTCTTCATCAGCCCTTGCTGCTTCACCTTGCACTTTTATGTTATGGGGAGGAGGCTTCTTTCCTTAAACTTCATGAACCAACCTCTGCTAGCTTCACACTTTTCTTCTGCAGCTTCAACTTCAATTGAAGAGAGTTGGGGGCCTTGCTCTGGATCTAGGCTTTGGCTTAAAGGAATATTGTGGCTGGTTTGATCTTCTATTCAGATCATTCAGTTCTCTGTATCAGCAATAAGGCTGTTTCACTTTCTTATCATTCATATGTTCACTGGAGTGCACTTTTAATTTCCTTCAAGAATTTTTATTTTGCATTTACAACTTGGGTATTTGGCACAAGAGGCCTAGCTTTCAGCCTATCTCAGCTTTCAATATGCCTTCCTCACTAAGCTTAATCATTTCTAGTTTTTGATTTAAAGCAAGAGATGTGCAGCACTTTCTTTCACTTGAACACTGGGGAGACCACTGTAGGGTCATTCATTGGCCTTATTTCATTACTGTTGTGTCCCAGGGAACAGAGATACCCAAGAAGATGGGGAGATCTGGGGGAACAGTTGGTTGACTGAGCAGTCAGAATACATACAGCATTTATCGATTAAGTTTGCCATCTTATATGGGTGCTGTTTATGGAACTCCTAAACAATTACAATAGTAACATCAAGGGCCACTGATCACAGATCACCATGACAAACATAATAATAATGAAAGTTTGAAATATTGTTAGAATTACCAAAATATGACACAGAGACATAAAGTGAGTACACGCTGTTGGAAAAATGATGCCGATAAACCTGCTCAGTGCAGGGTTGCCACAAACCTTCAATTTGTAAAAAGTGCAATTATCTGTAAAGTGCAATAAAGTGAAGTTCAATAAAAAGAGGTGTGCCTGTATATGCAATTTCAAAAGACTGTGACAGGGCACTGGTGAAAATATCAGGGCAGAGTCTGAAATGTTATAACAATATATTACTGCAGTGTCCAACTCCTTCTGCTCCATCATTTACTTGCAAAATTGAGGTTGTTTGAACAAAATTATTGTGGAAGACTCAGCGGCAAATGTTGTATAGAAAACCCAACAAGAAGATTTCAAAATAAGGAAGAAAGAACAGAGAAAGGACCTCCCCAACATGTGTGCATACGTGTGTGTAAGCAGACAAACCAGGAAGCCTTTTAAAGGGAACTTGTCTCTTTCTCGTCTCCTGCACCCCTCCCCACTGTGCACCTGTTAGAATCAATGTCCCAATCTGCCACTGGCTTGAGGGGTGTTTGAATGTCCTTCAGGCATGCTGGGGCAGGAAAAGATGTTGAGAAAGTCTGAAGTATGTGAAGAAGAAATGTTTAAAGTCTAAGAGCTCAAGGTTTAAAAATACAAGAGAACCATCTTAGGAATCCCCTAATATAAGAAGGCAAGAGAGAGAGCAGACAAATAGGACAAGATCTGATCAAAGAACGTGTGCATACTGATCATGTGGGGATCGGTTGGACAGGACCAGCATAGGATGCCAGGCTGGCCAAGGTGGAAGTACTGCTTTCTCGATGTAGGGGCTCCTTGGACACTTCCTTCTCAGAGTGAATCTGGCCTCTGAGTCAAGTGAGTGCACTTAATGGAGGTGAAGGAACAAGGAGCAGAGAGAAAAGTCATGTTCATGCCAGGACAAGCTATGCAGCATGGAAGAGATTTCTGCCACTTGCAGATAGAAAGCTCAAGAGCCCCACCCATGCACACAAAACATCTCATCAGCTTTGTAGGGCTTTACTCTTAGAAAAAGAGATGATATTCAAGGACATCCAAACACTTAAAGAAGTTCTTAAAGAATAAATGCAAAGACAAAGAAGAAACAAATTCACAACTAACAAATGAAACAGAAAAACTATGGGGGGGTGGGTAGGGGGAGGGACCCAATAATTCAGGTAGTAGAAGAAATTTCCCCCAAAGTGCTAACTTTCTCAGAGAGAAAAGAAGCCATTGTAGCTCTGGGAGGTAACAAAGAGGCATGTTCAGAATAAAATAAGTCAATAGAAGCTTTTGTAATGTAGGGGTGTGGAGGCAGGAGCTTTGATGAGATGATAATAACATTCATCTGGATGAATAACTGAAGAAGTTTACCAAGGACAAAATTAAAGGAAAAATAATAATAAGGGAATGTCCTACCTGACATAATATATAACATATTATAAACATATCATAAAGCTACAGATATTAAAACAGTACAATGCTGCCATAGGATTAGATAATATAAACTTGTGCTTTCCAAAGTGGGGGTGTACACCTAGATTGCACATCTAGATAGTGGAAGAAAATACTAGAGATTCTGGTTTTTCAATTTAAGCTTTTTAAAAAGTCTACTTTTCAAATGTTTTATAGTTACAACGATATAATTTTTCAGAGGTACTTGTGTACAATTTAGGAATACCTATAGTGATAGTTTATGTGTACATTTTTTAATAAGTAGAGCTGCAAAAATGTTTAGAACGCAGTGAAAAAGGTCAGTGGAACAGAAAGAATCAATGTGTATCTGAGAATTTAGTAGGGGGAAACCATCATACAACAAATCGTTAAAAACTGATTCACTGGGAGAAAATATTTGCAATATAAACAGAAAAAAACTTTAATGAGCAAAGGTAATTTACAAAATGATACTTTGTTAATGATAAAAATTACAAATTATAGATAAATGAGGCAATTTCTCCTACCTGATTGACAAAAAAATTTTAAATATTATTAGCTGGTGTCTTAGACTGCTGGTGTTGCTATAAAGGGATACCTGAGGCTGGGTAATATATGAAGGAAAGAAGATATTTACTTGGCTCATGGTTCTACAGGCTGTACAAGAAACATGGTGCCAGCATCTGCTTCTCATGAGGGCCTCAGGAAGCTTCCACTCATGGCTGAAGGTGAAGAGGAGCTGGCGTGTGCAGATCACTTGGTGAGACGGGAGGCAAGAGAGAGGGGAGGGAAGTGCCAGGCTCTTTTTAACAACCAGCTCTCATGGGAACTGACAGAGCAAGAACTCATTTATTACCTCAGGGAGGAGGACGGCACCAAGATGTTCAGGAGGGATCTGTCCACATGACCCAAACATTTGCTTTTAGGCCCCACCTCCAACACTGGGGATCAAATTTCAACATGAGATTTGGAGAAGACAGATATGGAACTTATATCAACTGACAAGGATGTGAGAGGACAGACCCTAACAAAAATTTCACAGGTCTACCCAAATCAATTGACTTGATAATTCCATCCTACAGCATTTATCAAAAAGAAATGCTCCTATACAAATATGTAGAGCTATATGGAGGATGCTGTTTATTGCAGCATGGTGTATAATAGCAAAAACATGGAAACAAGAAAAATGACTATCAACAGCTGATGTCTTGGGTAAATTCTGATAAGGCACACAATGAGATACTGTTTATTCAGTTGTCGAAAGGGGTTAGATTTAAATGTACTGCTATGGAGAGATGTCCATGGCATATTGTTAACAGGAAAAAGCAAATTTCAGTGTGATATGTATGATGTATGTTTTTTAAAAAACATGTTTTTGGAAAAATATATTAACATATTTATTTAAAATTAAAGTTATATTTGTATAAAATATTTATTATATTATTTAACATGTATTTCCAGTATATATAGTTCTCTCTACATATATATAGGGATGCTCACACACATATATTTAAAGTACAGGTTGAGTATCCTTATCCCTTATATGAAATGTTTGAGACAAGAAGTGTTTCAAATTTTGGCTCTTTTCAGATTTTGGAATTCTTGCATATACATAATGAGATTTGAGTGTGAGACCCAAGCCCAAATACCAGATTCATTTATGTTTCAAATACATCTTATACACATAGTCTGAAGGTAATTTTATACATATTTTAATAATTTTGTACATGAAACAAAGTTTTGACTGTGACCCATCACATGAGGTCAGATATGGAATTTTCTACTTCAGACATCATGTCGATGCTTCAAAAGTTTCAGAATTTGGAGCATTTTGAATTTTGAGTTTTCAGATTAGGGATGTTCAACTTGTATTACCTATGCATACAGTAAATCTTTAAGGATAAACAATCTAAATTTTTAACAGTGGCCCTCTAGGGGGAGGAACAATAGAAGAGAAACATTTTTCACATACTTTCAGTTTTTGAAAGTTTTATGGTCATTATATTTATTTCTGTAATTTAGAAAAACAAGTACAGCTTCTGCCATTGAAAACATAAATTGAGATAAATTAGATGTAAATATTCAAGGGAAAGTAGAAATGGTTCATAGATGAACAAAAGCAAGGAGACCACAAGAATTCAATGCATTGCTAACAGCCTATCCTTTCCACAGAAGTGGGCTAGAATGAAGGGCTGATGCATCCCGTGTAGGATGGGGTGCTGACGGTGAGGGCGGCTAGACTTAGAATGCCTCAGTGGAAGGCCAGCAAAATATAGGAAGCCTGTCCTTGCAAATTCACAAAGATGTTACACACTAAGAGACTGGGAAGCATTTCCTGGGATAATCAATCTAGAAGCAATCAGGTGCTCTTACCACACACAGGAGATGACCATGTGAGGAAATGGGTATGTTAATTTGCTTGACCACAAGATCATTTCACTATGTACATGTGTATCAAAACATTATGAGGTACACCTTAAATATCTACAATTAAAAATAAAATAAAAGCAGTGTTTAGCATGATGCTGGGATTGGGTGGGGGGTGTGGAGGGGAGAAGCAATCAAGAGTTGGCTACCACTGTCTGTATCAAAATACAAAATGTTACCTTCTCTTTAATAACCCAAGCCACACTGAACTTGTGAAACAAAACAAAGCAACATAAAACCAAAACTCTGGTGATTACTGACTGTGTGCCTGATATGTGCTAATCACTGTGCTGGATTGTTGGGGCTGCTTAATTCATACCCTTCTATCTTGTTACCTCATATTGACTGAGCTTGTATGTTACTAGTTAATTACAGTGTCTTTGGCAGTGATGTTGATAGTCTAGTGCAAAGCAAAGATCTTGTTATAAGAGTGAACTTCTTCAGATTTCATTACAGAAACTTTCAAATAAGTGTCATTGAATACACTTATCAATGTAACAGGAATCATATTGGATGTGAGTCTGGAGCCCTACTTGGTGTTTCTATAATAGCCTAGAACTCAATACATTGTGCAATTACCAGTTTGCATGACTGTCTTCCTCCTGAGCCTGGATTTTCTGGGCAAGGAAAAGTGCCTTTGAATTCTCAGTGCCTAGCACTGTGTCTGGCATACAATAGGCGCCCAGTTGAAGAAATACATTAAAGTTGTAACTCAAAAGAAATCTCAAATGCTTTGGTGAGGCTATCTCATGTCAACAAACTTTTTTTTTTTTGAGATAGAGATGGAGTCTCACTCTGTTGCCCAGGCTGAAGTTCAATTATAGCTCATTCACTGTATCCTCCACCTCCTGGGCTCAAGCAATCCTCCAGTCTCAGCCTCCCGAGAAGCTGGTACCACAGGTGTGCACCACTATGCCTTGCCCACAATCATTTTTTAAAAGTCTTATGCAAGGCTCATTACCAACAAGGACCAAGTCAGATTCTGAGGGGTGGAGGTCTTGGGTTTTCTTTCTGATACTAGTGCCTAACAACTTGCCTGGCACATAGCAGGCCTAAGATAAAGATTTGCAGGCATGAATGGAAAGTTACAGTTTCTCTCCATAAATAAAGGCACCCATGCTCATTCAGAGAAGACTGTATTCCTGGTCCTAAACCTTATCTACTTGCCACCAGCCAGTCATTTAAAATGGGTGGCCTGGGTCACAAGAGGAAGAGATTCAGCACCAGTGTGTTACAGCCATTAGATTCAAAGACTAAAATGACAGGGCTCTTTGTGGTGGGTCACTGCACTGACTTTGCAAACAGTAGATTACTTGCCCAACTGATGCACCAATCCAATAGCAGTCCTAAACGTGATTATCTGCAATGTGGAGAATGAGGAGCCTGTGATGCAGCGGAAAAAGAGTAGTTACACAGGAAGAAGCACCCTAAGCCAAAATTGTGGCACTTTCCCCATTTGCCTCCAACCTTCTTTCTGCAGTCTTGCTCCTCCTTGGAGTACATCCCGCCCTTCACCCTCCGTTCTAGATACTGACTCTTCTTACATGGCCTCCACTTGGAAGAAAAGTGGGTTCTATAAGAGCAAATATGACAAGATTCTAGCGTTGTGCTGTCTGCATGTGGCTACTTGCATTTATATTTAAAGCAATTAAAATTAAATAGAATTCTTATGCCTGTAATCCCAGCACTTTGGGAGGCCGAGGCAGGTGGATCATGAGGTCAGGAGATCGAGACCATCCTGGCTAACACGGTGAAACCCCATCTCTACTAAAAATGCAAAAAATTAGCCAGGCAAGGTGGCACGCACCTGTAATCCCAGCTACTTGGGAGACTGAGGCAGGTGAATCGCTTAAACCCGGAAGGCAGGGGTTGCAGTGAGCCAAGATCGCACCACTGCACTCCAGCCTGGGCGACAGAGCGAGACTCCGTCTCAAAAAAAAAAAAATTAATTAAATAGAATTTTAAAATCTGATTCCCAAGTCTCATTAGCTATATTTCAAGTGTTCAGTACCCACATGTGGCTAGTGACTAGTGTATTAAAGCAGCTCTAGAACATTCCCATCATTGTAGAATCCAGCACTTTAGTGAGCAACCCTGCAATGTTCTGCCCAATTGAGTAGTACACTTGTTGAATATGTGCAAGTGAATAAATGAATTTAATTTAATATGGTAGAATCGACACTAGTGAGAGAGAGCCAAGACATTTTCAGAATCTCAACCTTGGTGATTGGCTTTATAAACCCATACTTTAAAACACTGAATTAGAAAAGATTACTCATCTCTTTTCACAAGATTTTGGGGGAGGATTAAATAAACCTTTTATTGATTTACAAAGAGTTGGTTATATTCTAAAGAAAGTTAATTCCATGAGTTTGTGCCAATATATTTTATTTGAAAGAACTGTGCTTAGAACCTGGATTAACATTTTATGTCCAGCATACTAACAAAACAGTTACATGCAAACACATGTCTTTAAGTTTTCAAAAGCAATTGAAACAAAAACAAAAATTGCCAGGTAGGACCTAATTAAACTAAAGAGCTTCTACACAGCAAAAGAAACTATCAAGAAAGTAAACACACAGCCTACAAAATGGGAGAAAATATTTGCAAACTATGCCTCTGACAAAGGTCTAATATCCAGAATCTACAAGGAACTTAATTCAACAAGCAAAAACCAAATAACCCCATTAAAAAGTAGGCAAAATGCATGAACAGACACTTCTCAAAAGAAGACATACAAGTGGCCAAAAAGCATACGAAAAAGAGCTCTGCATTACTAATCATCAGATAAATGCCAATCAAAACCACGATGAGATACCATCTCACACCAGTCAGAATGGCTATTATTAAAAAGTCAAAAAATAAGAGATGTTGGAGAAAAAGGAGCACTTATGCACTGTTGGTGGGAATGTAAATTAGTTAAGCCACTGTGAAAAGAAATTTGGAGTTTTCTCAAAGAAGTAAAAATGGAACTATCATGCGACCCAGCAATCTCATTATTAGGTATATACCCAAAGGAATATAAATTGTTCTACCAAAAAGGCACATGCACTCACATGTTCATCGCAGCACTACTCACAATAGCAAACATATGGAATCAACGTAGGTGCCCATCAAAGGTGGATTAGATAAAGAAAATGTGGTATGTATATAGCATGGAATACTATGCAGCCATAAAAAGAGAATTAAATCATGTTCTTTGCAGCAACATGGATGCAGCTGGAGACTATTATCCTAAGTGAATCAATGTAGAAACAGAAAACCAAATACCACATGTTCCCACTTATAAGTGAGAGCTAAGCATGGGGTACATATGGATATAAAGATGAAAATAATAGACACTGAGGACTACTAAAGGGGGAGGTAAGGAGTACAGCAAGAGTTGAAAACCTACCTATTGGTACTATGTTCACTACCTGGGTGACAGAATCATTCATACCACAAACCTCAGCATCATGCAACATATCCATGTAACAAATCTGCACATGTACCCCTGAATCTAAAATAAAAGTTGACATTTTTAAAAAATGCATGCCTTAGCAACAAGTTTCTTGGACCTTCTTCTAAAGGTTTTTATATAAGGAAAGTACTCACCCTTTTTCCTCCAGAAAGGCTCTTTATAATAAACTATACACTTGATGACTGAACCCAAAGGCACACGAGTGATCATCTGGTTTCTCATCATTGGCAGAGGGGGATTGAAGTGAATCTTCATGCCCAGAGTAGGAGGAATAGCACTAATCACATATTTAGCCTGAAAGAAAAGCAACATGGTTAAACATTGTTGCCGTGTTGCTTTTGTTTTTTTCCCAATGATTCTCTCTCATTCTATCGTTATATTCTTTTCAGTCTCTTAAAGAAGTGACAAGGATTTTGTCGAAACCTAAAGTAGCCCTTATTGTTCCTTAGTTCAAAACCTCCAATGACTTCCCATTGCACTTAAAGTCAAAGCCAGATTTCTCACCATCATCGCCAAGGCCACACATGAAATGGGCCCGTTACATCACTGATCTCACCTCCTGTTACATTTGCCCTGACACTCTTACTTCTGCTATTTTTGTTTTCTTTTTGAGACCCAGTCTCACTCTGTCGCCAGGCTGGAGTGCAGTGGTGCGATCTTGGCTCACTGCAACCTCCACGTGCCCAGGTTCAAGCGATTCTCCTGCCTCAGCCTCCAGAGTAGCTGGGACTACAGGTGTGCACCACCACACCCAGCTAATTTTTGTATTTTTAGTAAAGACAGGGTTTCACCATGTTGGCCAGGGTTGTCTCGATCTTTCGACCTTGTGATCTGCCCACCTTGGCCTCCCAAAGTGCTGGGATTACAGGCGTTAGCCACCAAGCCTGGCCCTGCCATTTTGATCACCTTGCTGTTCCTTGGTCACACCAGGCTTGCTCCCACCTCAGTGCCTTGGCACTGGCTGTTCCATCTTCTTCTCTCAGGGAACCACATGGCTCAATCCCTCGTCTCCTCCAATTCTCTATCAGATATCACCTTCTCAGTGAGGCCTTCCCTGATCACCTTATTTAAACTTGCATAACCAATTCTCCCATCTCACTTTCTGGTATGCCCTCTCCCCACCTTCCTGCTTGATTTTTTCCGCACTAATTATCACTATCTGACATACTTTATATTATAACTATATGTTTCATTACTGTCTTTCTCCTTCACTAGAAGGAGAATTGTATGTGGGCAGAGAATTGTATCTGTTTTGTTCACGACTGTGTTCTTAACTCCTAGAATCATGTCAGGCACATAGGAGGTGCTTGATATTTATCAAATAAATATTTTCTGTGTTTTTCTAATTACATAAAAGCAAAATACAGAGGGTTGATAATACCTTTATAAGTTTTTATAAATCCTCCCCCACCCCAAATATTCTGGTTCTCTTTTCCTTTTTTTCAGTTAGAGATAGCTTTTTCACTATTGGCAAAAAGACTGTCTATAAAGTGTGTGACATTGTTGACTTCGGCTTTGATTATCTATGAGACTGTGGCCTCTTCCCACTTGTTTAAGTGTCTTGGTAACTCTGAGTGGAAAAATTTCAAAGCAAAGTTGAGTTCAAAGCAAATGTTGAGTGAGAGAATGGAAAAAAGTGCTTTTTTCCATTCTCTCACTCAACAACGATCACCACAGAAGACTTCTGTGACCAAATGTGGAGTGGTTTTTCCCCACATATTAAGCAAGCAAGCAATTCTATAGCAGACATCAGCCATGTGTCCTCTGAATTCAACTCAATTCTGACAGTATCTACCTGGAGATAACTTCTGATCCTACAGGTTGAGGGCTCAGTCTCCAAGACTGTCCCCCACCTTCAGATGTCAGTCACAAGTCCAGCTTCCAGAATTTCTGACCAATCTGCTTCCAGTTGATGTTCCTACAACCCCTTCAAGTTTGATTGATTTGCTACAGTGGCTCACAGAACTCAGGGAAACATGTTTACTGTTTTATTATAAAGGATATTACAAAGGGTACAGAGGAAGAGGTGCATTGGGCAAGAGTTGTGAGAAAGGGCATGGAGCTTTCATGCCCTCCCCAGGCATGCCATTCTCAAGGAACCTCCAGTTGTGCAGATATCCAGAAGCTCCCAGAACTCGGTCGTTTTGGGTTTTTATGGAGGCTTCCTTATGTAGGCACAATTGATTAAATCATTGGCCTCTGGTGATCAATTCAACCTTCAGCCCCTTGCCCCATCCCCTCCCTGGAGGCTGGGGGTGGGGCTGAAAGTCCCAACCCTCTAGTCTTTCCATGGTCTTTCCTGTGACCAGCCCCATCCTGAAGCTACCTAGGGGCTGCCAGCCATCAATCATTGGCATCAAAGGACATCACTCTGGAGATTCTAAGAATTTTTAAAGTTGTATGCCAGGAAACTGGGATGAAGATCAAATATATATTTCACAATATCACAGTTACCTCATACATCTCATGGTTTAGGGTCTCCACAAGGACATTTTCTCTTGTCTGGTCAATGTAGATCACAGGCCTCTCCAGCTTCACTCGGTCTCCAAGGAGGTCCATTATCCGCTCACTCACTTGACCAGATCCGCCCACAAATTTCCTCTCCTGGAAAGAGAAAAGGAGGTGAAAGAGAAACGCAGGAATGGGCATAAATTGCTAAATTCTTAGTTGTCCTCACATATGTCTACTCTGAGATGTCTAACATTTCATTTTGCTGCAGTGAATAGTGGCTTTCACCATGGTTTTCTAAGTAGGAATTGCTGTCTTTGGACAAAGTTACAGGATTTCTAAGTTACTTTACAAGCTATGCTCTTGTAGATTCCCAGACTCCAACCTTAGCTGGACATCTTCAGAATGACCCCTGTATCCCACCTTTCTGGTCACCATCCCTGCTCTCTGTCCTATCTGCAGTCTTTTGCTTAGAGCTGGAACTGGTGAAGCTGTACCTAAAGCTCTTCCCTAGCTTGCCTGAGCAGACCTAAGCCTGCTTCCCCTTGCTTTGTGGCTCAAGCGCAGAACTTCCCTGCCTCCCACCATGTCCCCTTCCCCCAGGCCAGCCTACTCCCTGTTGCAGGCTGCCCATCTTATCCTGGGTCAGATGCCTGCTGCTTCTGTAGCCACCGAACTCATTTCACCTCACTGTACCCACCTGCCCTCAGCCTTGCTAAAACTTCCAAATGTTCTACCTGGCTATGCACACAGTTGACCTGGCTGCCTCCTCCTCAATTTTCAGTTAAGGTCAGAGAAGGAGAAGGAGAGGGAGAAAGAGAAAAGGAGGAGGAGAAAGAGGAGGGGGAGGAGGAGAAGAGAAAGAAAGAAGAGGAGGAGGGGGAGAGAGAAGAATGGAACATGACAACCAAGCAGATTATTTAAGAACTCCAATATGTTCCTACTGTGTCTAGCACAGTGCCTTATACAGTGCCGGGGCTCAAGAAATGGGCATTGAATGAATGAATAGATAAATGAATTCCATGAATAGTGTGTGTTTTAAATTGAAAATGCATTACTGAATTTCCTTTATAAGCTTTCCAAGAAGTGCTCAAGCTAAGCTTAATTCAGATGGTCTCCTACAAACTTACCAAATAATAATTGAGCGTATGGAAAATGGCCACAGTGCATAAAGAGAGACAAGCCTAGCTTTAAAATTACATTGGACACTGGGTTCTCACAGTGGGTACCTGACAACAGACTGCCTTACAAGAAACACTTTGAGCTGCCATGGTAATGCTCTAAAAGCCACAAGCCTGCTTCCCACTTCAGCAGTTCATGATTGAAGGATGATGATCTTTCATTTCAGTAGCAGTGTTTTTCCATTGGGACTGTGGAAGAATGGATGGGTACCTGTCCTCCATTTGTTGTCGAGATGATTCTTGTTGTGCCTCCACACTGCTTCACATACCACAGGAACCAGAGAGCAGAGACCTCATGGGTCTCTGCAGTGACACACAGGTTCACAAAGAGAGTGGCAAGCTGCTTTGCAGATCTGCACAGGAAGAAACAAGAGCAAACTTGGCAAACGCAGGAGAGCAGCTTCTTAATTCTCTAAAAATTATTTAAGTAACACATTTTCTTGGTTAAGTTTAAAACAATGTGGTAAGGTCAAAAAATTGTCACTAGAATCTAATATTACAAAACGTGACATCGGAGGTTTTTGAAATATCAGATTATTTTCCCTGTAAACAAAACACCTTACTCAGAATCAGCTTCTATTCCAGATTCTGTGCTTTCATGATTTCTCCTTACATTCCTGCTGCTCTTCCAGTGATCCCCATCTCAGTAAAAAGCACCATCATTTACTCAGTGGTAAAAACCAACACTCTAGAAATCAAACATTATTTCTCTCTTTCCATCAATCTTCCCCCATCCAATTCATTGGGAAGTCCCATTATCTCTCACCACATCACTCCACCTTCACCACAAATTTAGAATCCATCTCTTTCCAGGAGTACTGCAATTACTTCCTTCAGACTGGCCTCTCTGCCTCCATTCATCCTCACCTGGTATCTGTTCACCACACTCAAAGCCAGAGGCTTTTCCCTCCCTCCCTACCATGATGCTCTCTCTGAAGTATAAATCAAATCATGTCATTTTCTTGCTTAAAAAGTCTCCAGTGGTATCCTATTAAAACCAGAATAAGATTCAGATCTTACACCATGGCTTCCAGAGCCCTATGTGATCCAGCCCATGCCTACCTTTTCTGTCTCATCTTGTACCCTCTTCTTTTTACTCTAATGTTTCCTTAGAAAGACATATTCACATTTGTCTATGAAAACGACCACTGGCTTCCATATTCCCAGCATCCTGACATTCTCTATCATTTTGCTACTGTATAGTATCTTTATAACTCTTTTCACTGTCTGAAATTGTCTTGATTATTGGTTAATTCTTTTTAATTGCTGTCTCCCCCCACTAGAATATCAACCTATGAGAACAAGGATCTTCTGTTTCTCACTCACCATAGTGTCCCCTTTAACAAAATAGTGCTTGGAACATTGTAAGCACTCAATAATTACTTGTTGCATGATTGAACGAATGAATGATTGATGAGAAATATCAGTTAAACAAAATTTTTTAAACATCCATAACATGCAAAGGATATGCTAGGTGCTGTACCAAACACAAAATTAGTCACAGTTATCTATTCAGTTATTTTACTGCCTAACAGAAGACAAGCTCAAATAATGGATGAGGGGACAAACAATTAATAGAGCATAAATGGGTAAGCTTTTGCTTGACATTGGCAGGTAAATGGTGAGAGGTTATCACCTATCAGGAAGCACACCAGAAAGCAAACTATCTCATGCAATTTCGAGGACTCCATTATATCTAGCACAGCATAAAATTCATCAGTAGTAGTGTGCACTCTGGGATTTCTTTAATAAGGTCCAATTCCCCTTTTGACTTTGACATGAAGTTTGCATATTGTTAATCTTGTTATATCTGAGGCAGCATTTTCCACCTGGTAATGCTGACAATGGTTGGGATAAATGATATTGTCTTCCATTTATTGAACTCTTTCCACACTCCATTGTCTTTAAAATCATTATCTTGTTAAATTGTTGCAACAACCGTATCAAATATCTATTATTTTTCCACAGTTCACATGCTAGAAAACGGAGTCTCGGACAGTTTAGGAATATATAACGACACAACTTCAAGTCAGATCGTACTTGACGCAAAACTCGTGCTTTTGATACCTCAAAATGTTTTCTAATTAGTCAGCTGACAGCCTTGGAAGTGCAGCTACTCACCAAGGGGCATCTCTCTACTTTACTGTATCTTGACCCTAGAAGTTTGTAGAATCATGCCTAACACACATACCAATTATTGACATTATTTGCAGCTGTAACAACCTGACAGCCCGTCTATGACAGTCCCCATCATTACAGCCTGTGAAATGGTGTCATATATACATTAAAGCGACTTACAGTTAGTTTTGTAAGATTTCTCAGGATAATTGAAGGGATGGAAATTGCTAGCTCATGCCTTCCTTGCAGAGGCAATTTGTAATATCTAACTAAAACACATATCCAGACGTCAATTTAAAATAAAAGTAGTATTTTATTTGTTGCTTCCTAAAATCCTATTTCTTTTCTTCCTTATTTTTTAGGTGGATTGAGGGGCATACAGTAAAGGGAGTAATAAATAACTGAAACCTAACATTGGCCCAGCTGGAGAGCCAATATTTAACAAAAATATTGCTGGAATTCTAGTTGTTATTGTTGGCAATTTGGTGGGAAAGAAATAATTCTGGTTTGAAATAAAGGGAGATCTAAAAGTAATTCTGAAGGGCCAGTCCATTCCTAATCCTTTATTTGAATTTACTCTAGGAGCTTCAGTAAGAAAAGAAATAAGAACAATATTTGAAGGATGGAAGGTCAAGGAAGTTAGTGCAATATTTCCGTATTTTTTGCCCTGTTGACTTTTTAAAAGATAAATGTTATAATATTTTTCTACATGAAAAATACATACACATTATATAAAATTTGGAAAATTTATAAGATAAAAGGATGAGAGAACGAGTGTCTTCCATATTTCTGCCCCTCCAGAAGATAATTACTAGTCTCATTTTGATGCATTTTTTTCTAAGTATAGGTCTTTTAAAAAATGTTTTTACATAGCTGTGATCACATTGAAAATACAATTCATGTTTGTGAAGTGCACTTTGTAAATGATAATAACTGAAAGAATAATCAACATTAGTCTTGGAATGTATGATTGTGCTTTAGTTTGAACAACAATAGGTTGGATATTCTGGGGATTACTTCATTTAAATCCAGGAAATAATACTGTGTGTATCTTGCTTGGGAAGAGTTGGAAAATTGTCTTGTGTTCTTATACTCCTAGTATCTCAGAATGCTTTATTTTGTCAAATGACAACTTAGAATATTCACTAAGTGGAGGACTAGGCCAAGGGCTACGATAGAAAATGTCGGGTCCCTGTGATCCCAAAAACATATGATTGATTTTATCACCAAGAAACTTAAAAGTTCTCTGAGGAGAGAAGACCTAACTGAATTTATTAAAAGCTTTTCATAACAGGAGTTATAAAACAAATGCAGATAATTACATACTTATTATATTTTGAAAATCTAAAGTATATAATTTAAAACTAAATACTACAATTTTATTACTATTAAAATAAATTATATTGCAAACTACATTCTCATAGAGGTGTTAGATAGCATTAGGTAAATGTTTAAAAGAATATAATTAATAACACGCATTGATTTCATGACATAAAAGGATTTTACTATTCCAGAACTGGTTGCTTTCAAAGGTTGAAAACACAGGAGAGGCATAAAGATGTTTATTATAGAGTATTGTATAATGATAATAACAAAAAACAGAAAGTAACCAATGTGTTCAACAGGATGATAATGGACAAATACATTACGTATTCATTTCCCATGGAATATTCTGGTACCATGAAATATGATGTTTAAAGAATAATTTTTAATGATGTAAAGTTTTTAAACATTTTAAAAATAAATGTTTGCATGGTAATATTAAACGTTAAAAATACTTCAATGGATGTCCATTGCTTTTGCAGTGCATATATAAATAGTTGTTTTTAGAAATGAGATCATATACCATACCACAATAGCCTGCTTTTCTATGTGTTTAATATTACTATTTTTTCCAGTCATTAAATATTCCTCTACAACACGATTTTTTAAAACCCTCAAGTACTCAATTTTTTAGATGTTCCATACTTGATTCTGCCGATCTTCTACTATTGGGCTTTCAGATCCTCCCTTTTAAAAATAATGCTTTGAATCTGCCTCTTTCACTGTTTCTCCCTCTCCCTCTCTCCTTCTCTCCCTGTATGCCTCTCTCTTCTTTTTTTTTTTTATTATTATACTTTAAGTTTTAGGGTACATGTGCACATTGTGCAGGTTAGTTACATATGTATACATGTGCCATGCTGGTGCCTCTCTCTTCTTTTGCCTCACTTTCTTAAAGCTAAATTATTAGAAGCTGAATTTTTATATGAAAAATATATGAATTTTATGTCTTTTGATTATTTCCATTTTTAAGATTCAGATATTCTAAAAGCTTGTTTTTACTTTTAGTTGGCAGTGAATGAATGCCTAAAAATGAAGACATTAACCCCCGAGCCAAACATATTCTCAACTAATGCTCTTTAGCAAGACAGGGCAGTCTCCTTGAATTTGGCTTCCATTTCTCTTATTTTGTTTACCACAAATTTACCACGTGCTTGAATGGGAACCCTCATAATCCTTTCCATTTTCCCTGCTGTCCAAGAGCAGTGTGGCCTCTCCATGTGGTCTGTCTATACAAGCCTTCACAATTTCTCTACAGTTCCCAGTTCTGCCAACAAGAATTTAATGCTTAACTCATAGGTACTTGTTTTTTCACTAAAGGGGAACAGCCAGTCCAGTCACACATGTTTCCCCTGTAGTTGTGACCTATCTACACAAAGGCTTTAGAGGTTCCTCTTTAAGTCCTTGAAGAATTGCACTACTTCACACAAGGTGTGGCAAATGCACATGCTAACCATCTCCACATTTGACCACCAGTGAAGAATACAAAAATTGTCCTATATCAACAACTTAATAAATGAGAGCTTTAAGCTGATGGTCTTTAAGCTGTTTCAGATAAAGAAAGTGGTACCTTCTGGTCTGTTCTGAGGACTTCACAGGGTAATACCACCTTTGTGATACAAAACTACTCCAAAGAAGTAAGTTGTATGTACAGATATCTTCAGGGTAGGAGCCAATTCCAATGGTTTTCAGCATGCCACTGGCTGGTGGTGTGGTTTTAGACACAAAGCAGCTACTTGTCCCATACTTGTTGAACGGTATTGCTAAATAAACCTAAAAGGTGGTCACAGTAAATGCCTGTGCCTAATGGCAAGACTTACTCAGTCCAGCAGAGCTTGTCCAGTAGCTCCTTCATTGTCATGTTGTCCCACTCTTCTGCAAGGGGAGCCTTCCATGGGGCATCACTCGGAATCTACATTCAGATGAGGATTCGAAGGAGAAAGACAAATGTAATTTTCTCTTTTATTTTATTCATTTTTGTAATTTTCCACTTTAAATAACTATTCAAATAGTATTAAAAACTCTACCTTAAAGAGGAAAAATGTTAAGTTTTCCAAATTCATCCAATATTGCTTTTACTGCATAATCAATGCTGTCTATGTAGCTTTCCTATTATAAATCTGTACCACCCAAGCCATATTTAATTTGTGATAAAACTTCCTGCACAATAAATAGAGGCATGTTGTAACTGGGCTATTTCTAGATATGGATTCCTAAGTTACTAACTTCTAGAGAACACTCATAAATTTAACTATTTAACAAGGATCACAGAGCTGCAGCAAATCATGTCTATGGAGTTTTCAGTTAAGCTTTATGTGTGTTCAGAAACAGAAAACCAAACACCACATGTTCTCACTCATAAGTGGGAGTTGAACAATGAAAACATATGGACACAGGGAGGGGAACATCACACACTAGGGCCTGTCGGGGGTTGGGGGGCAAGGGGAGGGAGAGCATTAGGACAAATACCTAATGCATGTGGGGCTTAAAACCTAGACGATGGGTTGATAGATGCAGAAAACCACCATGGCACATGTATACCTATGTAATGAACCTGCACGTTCTGCACATGTATCCCGGAGCTTAAAGTAAAAGAAAAAAAATGCTTTATGTGTGATTACTTATGACTTGTTTGGGCATGGTGGTGAATCAAAGACCCAGAAGTCTAATTTTGCTATGTACTGAAGATTTCCAAAATTTGAAACATCATTCCAAGAAGGCTGAGTGACACCCAATCTCCTGCCCACTCATCAGTAGTATACAAATATCAATCTGTTTGACATCTTATTATTGCAGAGGTTAGAAACAAGTTCATTCATTCATTTCACAAATCTTTAGTTACCATGTGTTCACAATGTGCTAGGTGTTGGAGATATATTTTACTTTCTTTCTTTGAAGGATGAAACTTATTACAAAAAAGAATACAAATATAGTCAAAGAAGCTTTACCTCTCGCCCCATGTCATCCATTGTCCTCCAAAAGTTGTTATGATCTAAGTAGGTAATTGGATTCCATACAGGTGGGAATGGCCCCCTGAAGGGGTATGATTTGCCCTGTGAGATACAAGATATTTTTAAAAGGAAATATTTACTACAATGTAAAAGTAGGTAATCTGCCAAATTGGTAAATGTCTGCAAGCAAAATTATGTGAGTTATCAATATGTGATATACACTCAACTTTTTAGCTCCTTGTGTCCTCAGAACCCCACTTAACTTTTTAGCATAGAGATTGCCAGCAAAATTCTCTGTTAATTAAGTTCACTGCCACACCAAGCACGGTAAAGAGGTTTCTCTCTGAAACTGGAGCCTTTACCATACAAAATGTAAATACAAGTACATAAGTGGAGTTAACCTAAGGAAATCTTATTTGTCAATGGTACTTGCAAATATCTCAGAGTCAGGAGCCTCTGTGTGCCTGGAGAGTCAGAAAATTATAACTATAAGCATTATACAACTTAGAAGGGGATCAAAAATCAATCACAAGAATGCAACCATCTGTTAGAAGAACCACAAAACAGGGCCCAGAAAGCTTTCCCAAGGACTCAGATGTGCTAGGTAAACACAGGAGTTCCCAGAGATCAGCAAAGTCAAAGCAGAAAGATTAGACAACTTCAAACTTCTCTTCTAGACATGTTATACCACCTGGTTCTTCCCACAGGGATACCTCGACACAGAAATAAAGGGAACACATTGTTCCAAGGATTTAAAATAAATAATATCTGGGAGAATTAACCTGTTGATGGCACTTAAGAGACACGCAAAAAAACCCACTTTGGGTCAATCTGAAAACCCGAGTCAGAAGCCAGGTCGTGCATTCTGATAGCATCTTTCAACGGAATCAGAATAACTTAAGGTTCTCAGTCAACAGAAACTTCCCCAAAACTCTGAGTCATTCAATAAAGATGCACCTTCTGTTGATGTTGTACAGGCAGAGAAACTAGAATTGTGGAATAAGAGATTTCGTATTTGTTCTTGTATTAATTCTGTGGCCATGTTGGTCTTCTCTCTCCAACAAGGCCATAAGATTCTCAGGGAAGGGTTGAGATACAGCTTTATGTTTCTTCTCAGCCAGGATTCCTTAGAGAAACAGAACCAACAGGAGAAAGAGAGAGAGAGAGAGAGAGAGATACATACATAGATATATAGATACATAGATACATAGATATAGATAGATGATATTGATATAGATATAGATGGAGAGAGAGACAGAGACAGAGAGAGAAACAGAGAAAGAGAGAAGGATTCAGATTTATTTTAAGGAATTAGCTCATGTTGATTGAGAGGGACGGCAGGTCCAAAATCTGTAGGGTAGGTCACGGACCCAAGGAAGAGTTGCAGTTTGACTTCAAAGGCAGTCTGCTGGCAGAATTCCCTCTTTTCCTGAGAGTCATCAATCTTTTTCTCTTAAGGACTTCAACTGATTGGATAAAGTCCATTCACATTATGGAAGTTAATCTGCTTTGCTCAAAGTCTACTGATTTAAATGTTAACCTTATCTTAAAAATAGCTTGACAGAAACATTAGAATAATGTTTGTCCAAATATCTACACAAGTTGACGTATAAAATTAACTGTCACCCTTCTTAACACTATTGAGGTGTACTTTAGCTACAATGTACTCATTTTATTTTAGTTTAGTTTCCGTATTTTGTTTTTTATAGTTAGAAGTAATTTTAAAAATTTTAACCTGCCATTAAAACTGTATATATTTACAATACACAACATAATATTTTGAAATATGTATACCCTGTGGAATGGCTAAATTGAGCTAATTAACATACGCATTACCTTACATACCTATCATTTTGGGAGGTGAGAACACATAAAATCTATTCTCTTAGCAATTTTCAAGACTACAATACATTGTTTTTAACTATAGTTACCATGTTGTACAATACATCCCTTGAACTTATTTCTCCTATCTAACTAAATTTTGTATCCTTTGACCAATATCTCCTCACAAATGTACCCACATTAAATAATTTAACATGCAATTTGGGGAGTTATGACACATGTGTACACCTATGTAACTACCACTCCAATCAAGATATAAAACATTCCCATCATTCCAGAAAGTTCCCTCTTTCCCCTTCCTAGACAATCCCTGTCCCCTTTCTGGCCCTGGGCAACCACTGTTCAGTTTTCTGTCACTTATAGATTGTTTTTGCCTGTTTTCACATTTTTTAATGGACTCATACAAGATGTACACCTTTGTATCTGGCGTCTTTTGCTCAGCATGACATTTCTGAGGTTTGTCCAAGTTTCCGTTTGTTCCTTTTTATTGCTAAGTAGTGTCCATTGTATGGATGCATCACGGTTTGTTTCACCTGTTGATAACTATTTCTAGTTTTGATCTGCTGTGAACAAAACTGCTATAAACATTCTTGTACAGGTCTTTTTGTGTACATATGTTTTTTTCTTCTCTTGGGTCAATGCCTAGTAGTGGAATGGCTGAGTCACACAGTGGGTGTATGTTTAACTTTTTAAGTTTAATAGTGTTCCAAAGTTGTTGCACTGCTTTACATTACCAACAGCAATGCATGAAAGTTCTAGTTGATCAGAATACTGACACTTGCTGACTTTTCTTTTATGCTTTATGCTTTAAATATAGTTTCTATTTGTTTTACACATTTTTACAAAGTAATTTGTTTTACAAATTTTTACAAAGTAACTTTGTTTTACAAAGTAATATTTGTTTTATAAAAAAGTTGCAAAGATAGTACAGAAAGTTCCCATATACCTTTCACCTAGTTTTCTCTAATGTTAGCATCTTACATTACATGGTACATTGCCAAGACCAGGATATCGACACTGGTAGATCACTATGTACTAAACTTCAGATTTTATTTGGATTTCACCCATTTATCCACTAACCATCCTTTTTCTGTTGCAGGATCCCATCCAGGATACCACATTTCATTTAGTTGTCCTGTCTTCTTAGTCTCCTATGGTGTGTGATAGTTTCTCAGTAGTCCCTTATTTTTCATAACCTTCAAAGTTTGAAGAATACGGGTCAGTTATCTGGTAGAATATCCCTTAATTTGGATCTGTCTGAAGTTACTTTTTTCATTTTTAGATTAGGACTATGAATTTTGGGGAAGACTACCACAAAGACCAAGTGCTCTTGTCATCATGTCACCTCAGAGGGCACTTGATATCAATATGACTTATCACGGATGATGTTAACCTTGATTCCTTGCTTAGGGTGGTGTCTGTCAGGTCTCTCCACTGTAGAGTTGCTACTCACCCCTCTTCCATGCTCTGTTCTTTGGAAGAGAGTCATTAAGTTCAGATCATCCTCAAGAGGGGATGGTGGGAGCTAACTTCCACTTTCTGGAGATGGAGAATCCCCACAAATTTTTTGAATTCTTTTCTAAGGAAGATTTTCCTCTTTTCCCCTTTTACTTGCTTATTCATTCATTTATTTATAACAGTGGACATATATATGTGTTTTATACCTTGTGTTATAATCTAATACAATATGATTTATTTGTTGCTCAAATTATTCTACTTCTGAGCACTCCTTCAGGTCGGCTCCTGAGTCCCTTTGACATGTCCCCATCCTTTTGTCTGTTGAGCATTTTTTTCATTTTTGGCACTAGAAGATTCTCCAGACTCATCTTCTATTTTCTCTGCCCAAGCCCTAGGATCTGTCATTTGTCCAAGAAGGCTTTCCTTTTATCAAGAGAGTGGTATTTAGAAGCAAGTTCTGGCTGCTGAGTGCATGCTGATTTTGTTTTATAATCAGCTTTATTGAGAAATAATTCATGTTCCATACAACTTGCATGCTGACCTGAAAACCTCCACTTATCCCTCCTTCATCAGAGTTCAATACATAAAACTTGCTCAGCAGAAACCTGTGGATTGATCCAGGGACCATTCTCCACGAAGAAGAAGTCAATCCCCATTCTAGCTCTGCCTCTCCTAAGATGACTGACACAGAGTAAGACAGTTACTTAATCGTCCAGGCCCCAGATATCAGTCTTTGTAATTCAACATCTATTGACTCCATCGTCTTCTTCCAGGAAGTATGCCCAGATTAGCATAAACAGTTGGGTTAGGTGGTCTTCTCAGTGTCCCAGAGCTCTCTGTTTCTCTTTCATCTGCCGCTAACTCCACTGCACCAGTTTCATGCATTTACTATTCTATCTCATTCACTGGGCCCTACGCTGCAAGAGCATGGGCTCTGGAGCCAGTCTCCCTGGGTTGAGTCATGGTCTGCCACTCACTAGCTGTGTTAAGTTGCTTAACTTCTCTGTGCTTCAGTTAACTCAGTAGTGAAATGTGATCATAGTAACTGTCTTGGAGGCATGTTAGAAAGATGAAGTGTGTTGATACATGTAAATCACTTTGAACAGTGGCTGGCATGTTGTAAGTTCTCAATCAATATTATTACCGCAGCTGCTACTATTATAATTATAATCTTTGTATGCCTAGGACGTGCTGGCAGAGACTGCTGGCACACAGTAGGTTCACAATATATGCTTGATATAATCTCAGCTGTGTGACCTTGAACTTGTCATTTATTTGACACACAATGCCCCGATTTATAAACTGATCTTTTGTACTTTGGTTCCTTATGTTATAACTATCTATCCTACTTGTTTTAAGTCTCCCCTTGAACCCAGACCCACTATGGTCTCTGCAGATCCCTACCAGCAGAGTAGTGCCCAACCCTGCCCCCTCAACACAATGCACTTGTACAAAGTGGGTGTGGGATGGAACTTAAATAGCAAAGAACCAAATCAAGATGCACATTGAGAGCAATGTGCATCTATGACTGGTGTACAAAGTCATCCTTCTGCACTATCAGTGTGGCATTGTGCCCACGAGTAAAGGGAATCACAAAGAGATAAAACCATAAGCAGCTAAATAGCCACACCATAAGTGGGAAGAACAGCATATTTTTGCTTGAAAATCCATTAATAAAAAGATAGGAAGAAATCAGTATTCAGCCAAACAATTAAATTATTTAGGTTTTTTTGTTTGCTTGTTTTCACAAATGCATTGGTTCAGCCAGAAATCACCACCAGATGACTTGAAGAAGAATGTGAGCCCAGCAGATGTGGTTAATTAATGTCTGTCTGTCACTGCCAGGGCCTGCACCAGCAACCATGGCAGCTCCTGGAAACATAAAGACAATTGATTCAGAAAGTGAGAGCTCAGTCTGACACATGGGACTTGGCCTGGGAAAAAGTGAAGGACAGCTTTTGGAACAAGGCAGAGTTAACTAACTAACCATGACCTGCATGTGGAGCCCTGCCCAACAAAAGCATCCTGCACATCTATATCTATATCTATATCTATATCTATATCTATATCTATATCTATATCTATATCTACACATAGACACACACACACACACACACACACACACAGAGTCTTGCTCTGCTGCCCAGGCTGGAGTGCAGTTGCACAATCTTGGCTCACTGCAACGTCTGCCTCCTTGGTTCAAGCGATTCTCCTGCCTCAGCCTCCTGAGTAGCTGGGATTACAGGTGCACACCACCACGCCTGGCTAATTTTTGTATTTTTAGTAGAGACGTGGTTTCACCATGTTGGCCAAGCTGGTCTTGAACTCCCGACCTCAAGTAATCCTCCCAAAGTGCTGGAATTACAGGTGTGAGTCACCGCACCCAGCCATATCCTTCTATATTAACCTCCCACCAGAACACATAAGATGGGCACCTCTCCACCATCCCTCCTTCCTTTCCCCAGAGATAAATTATTTGTACAGTACATGTCATATGGAAATGCTGTGATGAGGGTGGGAAGGGGCCCCTTCCAAGACTCTATTTGACAGATCCCATCTGAATAACCCAGTTGAAATGTCACCTCAGCTGAATTATACGGATTCTCATTCAATGGAGTCCCAAAAATATTGAGGGTTGCCCAAATAGCAATAATCCCAGCAATGCAATGGTGTCAAAGACCAGCTGTTAAAGCCCTCCTAACTCAGGAATGCTCCTAGAAAGGAGGTTTGCTCAAGACTCTAAAACCAAAAACAGAGTAAATGTGTGAGTAAATGGGAACCAAACAATATGTAAAGGAAACTATCATGAAGCAGAATAAAACACTTTACCCTTTAACCTCCTTGGTGTCTTATGTCTAAGCAGGCAACAGCTTAGTTTAGGTAAATTCATAAAAACAAATCTTCTTTTGTAAGATTAGGGAAAACTTCTGATAAACACAGGAAAGAGCTATTGTTAGACTCATAAAAATTTGCAAATCTTCAAGCTTCAGGGAGTAAGTGGGGTAAGGAGGAAATGTCTAAGTTTATAAGATTACACAATCTGAGGCAAGAGTTTTGTGCCTCACATTTGGCCATGATGGAAACATTCCAGTGATTATTACTGTTTTGAACATTGTCCAGGGAGGCTTGTTCTTCTGAAGAAATCATGAGAAGACATTAGAATAAGTCCTTGTCCTAGGATGTACCTAAGTTAAAAGGTCTAATTACATATAGCATTTTTCTTTGATCATTACAGCAGCCCTGTTAAGTAGGTCCAGCAGAAGTTATTTCTTCCTTTTACAGGTAAAGGAAATATAGCTCAGATAAGTTTAAATGACTAGATTGGGATCTCATAGCTCATGAGTGAAAGCTATTGGAAGGGCCGGGCGCGGTGGCTCACGCCTGTAATCCCAGCACTTTGGGAGGCCGAGGCGGGCGGATCACGAGGTCAGGAGATCGAGACCATCCTGGCTAACACGGTGAAACCCCGTCTCTACTAAAAATACAAAAAATTAGCCGGGCGTGGTGGCGGGCGCCTGTAGTCCCAGCTACTCGGGAGGCTGAGGCAGGAGAATGGCGTGAACCCAGGAGGCGGAGCTTGCAGTGAGCCGAGATCGCGCCACTGCACTCCAGCCTGGGCGACAGAGCGAGACTCTGTCTCAAAAAAAAAAAAAAAAAAAAAAAAAAGAAAGCTATTGGAAGTTCAATTTGATTTACAGTAGCTGCCATGGTCACTGTCTTCTTCAAGCCAGATGTGAACAAGATCCGCAAAATGTAAATTAATGTCACTCACTCATTTTGTTTGTTTTAGAAAACAGTTTTTAATAAAAATTTATTATGTTTACTTATAGTAGGGTTATTATTGTTATTTTAAGTAATTAAATCATGTCAATAAATATTGTTAAGATTCTCAATTTCAATTTATAAGATGGCAAGTATAGAGAGATAGAGCCACAAAAACAAAAGCTACTTGGAATTCTTAATAATTTTTAAGACCCTAAAACTTAAAGTATAATAATAATAAAAAAAAGAATGTAAAAAAGTTAGAGGCTCTGGACTAGAATCTCATTAGAAGGATTACACGATGATTTTTAAGAGACCAACAGAACTGACTTGAACCAGCTCTTCAAAGTAATAGCTGTATGAATACAGGCAAATTGCTCAACATTTGTAAGCTTCAGTTCTCTTATCATTAAAATTGGAATCATGATACCTATCTTGGATGTACTGTAGGAATAATGGAGATTATACAAGGTACACAGGATGCATGCACTAAATGGATATTGCTGATGGTTTTGTGATCATTATGAGTGTACCATCATTTATACAACCACTTCTTACCCATAAATCCATGACCACACTTTTGATGAATCTCCTCTGGATGAATTCCTAGCATAAGAATTCCTGCCATGAAAATTTGTCTTTGACTTTTTAAAGCAGACTTTCTGAAAAACAGTAAGCAAACTGATTCTCACACGGCCTCATTTTGGAGCCTGTATGTTCAGTTAAAACATTTGAACTCCACTTCCTAGAATTGTCACCTAGTGAGTGAGTGAGTGGCTCTCAGAAACAGGCTGGCTGGGTCACACATCCATTACTATTATCAACATCAATGTTCTACATGTCCTTCTCCCCTTCTTACCTCTGTTCTGGAGGTAAAGACCCAACACCCCAATTTCTGTCACATTTGGGAAGCCCTTTTGCCATCATATTCTTGATGCTGGACCCAGTCCCTGTCAGTAGAAACAGGTGGCCTGGTCCTTCTCAGATTCAGTTCCTGAGGAGTGACCTTTTTCTCTCAGAATGTCTCCTCTGATGTTCATGGGAACCTTGCCCTTCTAACTGTTGGGAGCCAGGGTAAGCCACCTTCCCCTCTATAACTCAATCATTTTTACAGTTATGAACAAGGGTTGTTCTTGGGCCATAAACTAATTTGAAGGACCAAGCTTTCCTTTTGACCTATACTTGCAGTTTGAGAGAAAATAAAATTAGTCTTTCCCATCAGGGAGGAGGGGAGAAGTCCTGCAAATTGTAGTTGGGCAAATGGTTGTCTTCTTCTGTTCGTGTGCCTATTTCATGACCCTTGTTCACATTTCCAATTTTTTAAATTTTTAAAAAGTTTTCTGGGTACATAGTAGGTGTATATACTTATGGGGTACATGAGATGTTTTGATGATACAGGCATGCAATGTGTAATAATCACATCATGGAGAATGGGGTATCCATTCCCTCAAGCATTTATCCTTTGTGTCACAAACAATCCAATTATACCCTCTTAGTTGTTTTTAAATGTACAATTAAATTATTATTGACTAGAGTCACCCTGTTGTGCCATCAAACAGTAGGTCTTATTCATTCTTTAACTATTTTTTTTTATCCATTAACCATCCTTATCTTCCTCCCACCAACATTCTACTATCCTTCCCAGCCTCTGGTAAGCATCCTCTACTCTCTATGTCCATGAGTTCAATTGTTTTGATTTTTAGATCCCACAAATAAGTGAGAACATGTGATGTTTGTCTTTCTGTGCCTGGTGTACTTCACTTAACAAAATGATCTCCAGTTCCATCCATGTTATTGCAAATGACAGGATCTCATTCTTTTTATGGCTGTATAGTACTTCATAGTGTATATGTACCGCATTTCGTTTATCCATTAATCTGTTGGTGGACACTTAGGTTGCTTCCAAATGTTGGCTATTGTGAACAGAGCTGCAACAAACATGGGAGTGCAGATACCTCTTTGATATGCTGATTTCCTTTCTTTGGGGTGTATACCCAGCAGTGGGATTGCTGGATCATATGGTAGCTCCATTTTTAGTTTTTTGAGGAACTTCCAAATGGTTCTCCATAGTGGTTGTACTACTTTACATTCCCACCAACAATGTGCAAATATTCCCTTTTTTCTACATCCTTGCCATAATTTGCTACTACCTGTCTTTTGAATATAAGCCATTTTAACTGGGGTGAGATGCTATCTTACTGTAGTTTGGATTTGCAATGAGGTTGAGCAGCTTTTCATATGTCTATTTGCCATTTGGACGTCTTCTTTTGAGAAATGTCTATTAAAATGTTTTGTCCATTTTTTGATCAGATAATTATTAGATTTTTTTCTTATAGAATTGCTTGCTAACATTTCTAAGCACACAGAATTGGCACTGACACTGTCTTCTGATTGCACCATCACATGGGTGAAACTGGAGTGAGGTGCAGACAATGGCAATGCTGCATTTTTGGAATCTTCCAGCAGCACCACAGCATGTGAAAGGCCTGGGATTGTCCACATAGAAAGAAATGGGGAAGATGGGAGTCATAGTGGCTGAGAAACCAGGTGAAGCCCTGCAAGAATAATAATAAGAAGCAATAATGACAACAAGTAGTATTGAGTGCTTACTCTCTTCAGGCCCTGTTCTGTGCACTTCATATGTATTGACTCAATCTTCACAGTGACCCTATGAGATAGGCATCATGTTGTCCTTTTCAGATGAAGAAACTGAGGCATATAGAGATAAATAATTATATTTTGCCTAAGATCTCACAACTAGTATGTGGCAGCAGGATTTAAATTCAGACATTCAAAGACCAATGCTCTCGATCATGAAGCTTCCCAGCCTTTCCTTTTAATTATAATGATTGAACACTATTTGTCAGACACTGGGCTAATAGGTTTAAGTTAATTCATTTAATCCTCACAAAGATCCAGTGAGTAAGCTGCTGATAGTTTCATCTTGCAGTTGAGTTTCATAGCACATAGGGTTGAGTAACTTGTCCAAGGTCACACAGTTTGCATACTGCAGAAACTGAATTTAACCTCAGATTTGTGTAGGTAGAGCTCACGTTCTTTCTTCTTAAACAGCTTTATTGCAGCATAAGTGACATACAATAAATTGCACATGAGTAATAGAGTTCAAGCTCTTGTCAGGTCTCTGCTCTATGAGCCACTTCTCATGTGGTCCAAAGATAGTCTCTGGAAGGCATTTAATCAAGTAACCACTTGAGATTCTTACAAACTAGTTAGAAGCTAATGACGGACTCAATGACCAGCCAGATCATTTTTGTGGCTGTCCCTCCTGTTCCCATGCAAGGCCTAGTCCAGTCCATCCTCTAATGGCTGTCACATCAGTTCATTCATTCATTCATTCATTCAACAAATATTTCTTGAGTGCCTCCTGTCTGCCTGGCACTGTTCTGGGCACTGGAGGAACAACAGATAAAAGTCTGCTCTCCTGGGAGCTTATATTCTAGTAGGTATAAACAAGGAAAAACTGACAAAACAGACACTACACAAAATAGATAAGAAAATCATGTAGTAGATTAGAAGGTGAAAAGTGCTGTGAAGACAAAGTAGCAGGGAAGGCAAAGAGGAAGTGTTGGTGGTTTGAGGTTGGTTGCAATTTTAATTAAAGTGATGTCAAGGAAGGCCTCAAGGAGAAGGTGACAGTTGAATGAAGAGATGAAAGAGGTGAGGGGGGAAATCATGTGAATATCTGGAGGGGAGAATGCTCCAGGCAGGCAGAGGCCCTAGTGTCTTCAGATGGGAGCATGAATGGACTGCACAAGAAACCAGAAGGGGGCAGCCTTGTCTTATCTCTTTTCCAACTGGACTGTCCCCTTGTTCACTGGAACAAATTCAAGCTCCTGTGCCTGGTTCTCAAAGCTGCCAAAAGAAGGTGGCTGCCAGGAAGAAGATGCCTTCCAAGAAGAAGGTGGCTGCCTCTGTGCTCTGGTCAAGCAGTTTCCCTGATGTCAGCAGGCTATCCTCTCCTCACCAGTGTATCATCACTGCATCTTTCCTCAAAGGCTTTTTATTTTCTAATATCCATCAGCGCAAAGTATAAACAACTTTCTTTGCAAAGCTCAAGACTGACTCCTTCAAGAAGCCTTCCAAGCTTCATCTCACTACCCATCAGTGCTCTGCACATAAAGTTCACTCCATTTGAGTCCCTACCATCTTAACTTGTACTTGCCCATGTTATCTTGATAGTACTGTATTCTCTAGGTATTCCATGTGGGTATGTCTTCCCTCTCCAGCTATATCAGGAAATGAACCAATCATCTGTATCATCCCATAATGCTTAAGAATGTTATATATTCAATTGGTGTTTGACATGCATGGGATGGTTGGATGGATGAATGGATGTTTGGATGGACAGATGTAAGGATGGAAATGGATGGATGAATGAATGGATAGATAGATGACTGGATAAACAGTACTAAAATAAGAAGAATTCTTCAGAGTCTGAGTCAGAAGTTTGACTGCTTTCTAAACACAATCAAAATTAATTTATTCTGAAAAAAGTAAAGTGTTTAAGAAGCTGAAAATTGTAATTCCTCCCTCAAAGACCTGTCTTTCTCCTATTTACCCTCATAATCTGGTGTAAATGCATCTGTCAGTGGAGACAGGTTTGAGTTCCACAGAAGTCTCCAAAATTAGTCCATGCATTGACCTCAAAGAATAAGGGTGTGTTCAGAAGGATGCAGGGTTTTATGACCCTAATTCTTTGCTGCTTGTATCAGCCATTTTCAGCTGTATCAGCCATTTCCAACTGTATCACATTTCTAACCATCAGGACATGCCATCATGCCAAGAGGTTGTTTCCAAAGCAGAATAATGCCCACGACTAAAATTGGTTTTGCTGTGCCAACTTTCTCACTCTTTCAATTTGTAAACACATAAGTGTTTATTTGATCAAATAGCACAGGCATCTAAAGTATCTCAATAAATATCATCCCTTTATTTAGGACATGTAATTTTTGGATATCCCCAACATATTGCTCAACATGCACACCAGCACTAGCAAAACTCCAGAGTGTTCTGGCCTTGAATAATGTGCTTTTCAAAAATAGAGACGACTATCTACCAGTGTCAGCTTTTCCAGGAGAAATCTTGGCTCAAATAAAAGGCTGTTTCACCACAATATTAGAGATTATAAGAAAGCTGAAAACTGGAAGCCGTAGTTTTTGCCCTTCTCTGGGACAAGGGCTCCTCTGAAAATTTGTTGCAAACCATGAAGTCTCTCCAGCAGAGTGCATACATATAGATAATATAACACCAGGAGAAGGTACTTGAAGCTTACTCAGGGGCCTTCTGGCCAGAGTCCAGGAAGATGAGGTTGAGAAAGCTTGATGACAACACCAAGTGTTGGTGAAGTAAAGAAGCCACCAGAACTCTCATATCTTGCTAATGGTAGTGTAATATAGTATATTCCCCTTTGGAAAACTGGCAGTACCTACTAAAGCTGCATGTACACATTACTATGACCCACTTCTAGGTATACGCCCCAGAAAATGTTCTCCAAACACATACACGAAAATGTTAAATATCCATCAATAGCAATATGGACAAAAAATAAATTACAGTTCCTTAATCGTGCACCATACAGCTATCCATCAGTAGCAATATGGACAAAAAAAGAACTTTAGTTCCTTAATGGTATACCATACATCAAGGGGAATAAATCATCCTACAAATACTCCTAATAGCATGATTGAATTTCACAGCAAAAATTTAGAAAAGCAGCTGGACACAAAGACTACATACTATAAGATTTCATTTTTAGAAAGTTTTAAAACAGGGAAAATTAATCTATGGTGATAGAAGTCAGGATACTGGCTCTCCTTGGGGATGTGTAATGCCAGTAAGGGAACATGAGGAGGCCTGTGGGGGCTGTAGCGGGATGAAAGCTGGCTTTATGAATATGTTCATTTTGAAAATTCATCAGCTGTTCATTTATGTTTTGTCCTGTTTTCTGTATGTATGCTATACATCAACAAAAATTTACATACTCAGAATAGACTAAAAATCCATTGAATTGTACACTTAAAGTGGTGAACTGCATGGTATGTGAATTAGATCTCAATGAAACTGTAAGTAAATGAATGGTTGATGTAACTTCTGAGTTCAGGGTGAGGAGGGTTAGCAGCCAGCAAAGGAGCCCTGGAATGTTGTAATATACAGAAATATACAGTAGATTCATTGACTACTTGAGTAGAAAGAGACTTCAACTTTCAACTTTCTACAGCCAGCATTGCTCTATTGTTATGGAGAAAAGCTTCCTAACCAACCTGATGCACTGTAAAGACATCCATATCACTAGACAAGGTAATTTCCCTGGAAAGGGATGTTCAATGTCCATACTTGCTGTAGTGACTGACTTCCTCTGAGAGAGAAATAAGAGGAAGGGGTTTAAAAATCAAGTTCCTTTTTGGATTCCAGTGGCATTGGATTTGGAGTGGTCACCGTAATAGGTGACATAGGCATTGCTGATGTGCTGTGCCAGGCTGGTGGTTGCTAGGCTACCCTGAGGAAAGAGATCCACATTTCTATGTTTGATGCCTCCCAGCAAAAGACACATTTTTCTTTAGTAGATGAGCTTCAGAAGCTTCCAAGGCCATCTCCAATGACTACCAACAAGAGCCTGAGGTCTTCTAGTGTAGGATTTCTTCCTCCCAGAAGTTATTTCTTCCTCTCCTCCTCCTCCTCCTTTTCTCTCTCTCTCTCTTCTTCTTCTTTTCTCTTTTCTTCTTCTTCATCTTCATCTTCTTCTTCTTCTTCTTTTCTCTCTCTCTCTCTCTGCTATAGCTCTCTGTTTTAACTACTGACCAAAACGATTCTTTGGGGAGTCTGGTGAATTTCACTGACTCATTCTATTGTTTTCTGTATGCCTCATCCCCCATTACTTTTACTGCTAGACAATAATAATCCATTCATCTGTAAAGCAGATTGCCCGAAATCAGTTGCTTGACTTCTTTTTTTCTCCTATCCCATACATAATCAGCCATCAAAACGACCAGTTCTAAATTCAAAATATATCTAGAATCCAATCACTTCTCATCTCCTTGACTGTTACCTCCCTGCTCCAAGCCACTGTCAGTTCTAACCTTTATTACTGCATTAACTTTGTTAATTCTCTCTCTGCTTCCACCTTTGGCCCCCAGAATCTCCTAGCAGTCAGAGTGAGTCTTGTAAGATATAATTCAGAACATGTCACTCCCTTGAGAAAATCCTTCTGATGACTTTTTATCGTGCTTACACAAACTCCAAAGTCCTTTCCATGGGCAACACGGCTTTTGTACTTCTCTTTCCCCATCTACCACTCTCTCCCTTTGTTCACTTGCCTCCCTGCTGTTCTTTAGACACATAAACTTATCCCTGCCTGAGGGCCTTTGCACCTGTCACTCCCTCTTTCAACAATATTTATCTGCCAGATATTCACAAGGCACTATTTAAATGTCACTTCCTCAGAGATGCTTTTCCCGTCAACCTTTATTATTCTTCATAGCAACTGAGACTATGTGGTACATTTGTTCATATATATATACATATATTGAGTGCCTCTCCACGCTGGAATGTAATCCCCACGAAGGTAGAAATCTTGTCTTTTTCACTGGTGTATTCCCAGTACCTGGAGGAGTACTCATTCAATAAATCTTTGAAGAATAAATAAATATCTGATAGTGTGTTCATTTGAAACCATGTTTAGTGGCCAGAAGAGATTCAGAGCACATAGTAATAATGCTCATATAAACAAAGTCATACAATATCTGTCTTTTTGTGTCTGATTTATTTCACTTAGCATATCTTCAACGTTCACCCATGTTGTAGCATGTGTCAGAATTTCATTCCTTTTTAGGGCTGAATAATACTCCTATATATGGATATACTATATTTTGTTTATCCATTCATCTGTTGATACACAGTTGGGTTGTTTCCACTTTTTGGCTATTATGAATAATGTTGCTTTTTGAATATTTGTGTAGTAACTCATATTACAGATGAGGAGAATGAGTCTTAGGATAAACATCTTCGCCAGGATTACACAGCTGATAAGCAGAGTTCAAATTCAGGTGTGCTTAACATCAAGCTAGTTTCCCAGCTCCTGCTTCCTCTCATGCAGCAGAAGATCCAAGTCCTGGATGGATCCTTGCACACAGGCAACAGCAGGCACCAACATTGCCCACCTCATCACCATTCTACTCTACTTCAATATAATTGTGACTTTAAGAGTATTAGGCAGAGCGACAACGCAAAGGATAACTACCAAATTAGAACTAACACTGTATTTGGGTAACTGATGAAGACAATCAAAACTACTGACAGGCTCGGACAGACCCAGGAGAAATCTAGGCATCATACTTTTAAGTGCTACTAACACTTAAACAAAATGGAAAAAGCGCAAGCTATGAAACAGGCATTAAGAAATACACTGAAGAAGCGGAAATTAAATAAGACATAGTTCCAGGCTCCAGAAGCTCCAAAGTCCTGGAGAGGCAGGTCCATGAAAACAGAGATTTACGGCATCATAATTATAACATGGCATATGGCTGGCTTCATAGCTTCGCCTGGCTATGTGGCTGTGTATGGAACAGCCCCTTGATGGCAACCCTAGTCTTTGGATAAAGGAAGTTGTTTCATGGAAAGTGTAGTCAGCAGGATTCATGACTCTATTGATCTCACCAGACACTCTTACGCTTCTCTGTCCAGAGCCTTTGGGTCATCCAGGTGGCAAGGTCCGCAAAAGCCCCAATAAACAAAGTTTGGCGTGGAACTACTAAAGAGAAGAGTGGAGTTCCCAAGTGGTCAATGTGGCAGATGCTGTGATGAGCTTGCACAGATTGCCCTTCAGAAATTAGGAACTTATTACTTCAGTTACTCGGAGTGCTATTGGCAGGCAGCCCTTGATTTTCAGCCCCCTTCAGAGATTATCCCAGCTGCAGAAAATCCACTTTGCCTAAGGTCATGTCACCTTCTCTGGGCACCTCACTTCCAATGACTATCTACATGAGGATAGAAAGGCCTGGCCCTCTTGCCCCACTCAGGACAGCTCCCAAGGGCCATCTCATCTTCAGAATCCCTTGTCAGGTCAGCTGAGGCTTCCACTGCAACTACATCACACTTATTCCTCTGGCCACCCCTGCCTTCTTGCCTTCCAACAATCAATGGCTGTTGATCCCCACAGTACCCACTAACAAACCACCAACATGCTATTCGCCACCTCCAAGTCTGTGTCTTGAGGAACCCAACTGCAACAGCCATCCATTGAAATGGGCACAGCAGCCTGTAGCAATGTCTAAAAAATCTCAATCCCAGGGCTCTGGGGTGGCCCAGACCTCATGAGAAACTTCTGACACAGGCTTAATGGGACCTCATTTGAGAATTGAGGTGTTTTCTTTTGGGGCGGAGATTGGTGGCAAGGTCCCAATTGTTTCTATTATTCTTATCAGAACCTTGCTAAAGGAAATGAGACATAGAGCAATAGCTGCTACAAACATACTCAAATAGGTGAACAGACCAAACTGAGAGAAGAAAGTCTGTAGTCAAATCTAACTAAGGCCCTCAAGACAAAGCTTATTTTTACATCATAGATCATAATTTTAAAACACCATTAATGTCCTTATAAAGGTTTGTGCCATGAACAAAAGTGAATTTCCTGTTTTAGAAAGGTCTCCAACCTAAACAACAACTCCTATTATACATTTTGAGTTATTTAGGAAAGGACCTTGGAGTTAAAGTCCACTTGATCTCCAAATTCCAATAAATCTTAAACAAGTCTAAATATTGAAATCTTGTCTTCCATGCATTTTTAACATGTTCTATCAGCTGTATTAGCTTAAGTACAATTCTTAGAGAAAAGATCACTCTACTTTTAGTCTTACTACAAGAATTTCATAAACTCCCACCAATAATTTACATAGAAGGTGGTTTCCCAGCTCTAATATTCTAATTTAATTAATAAATCTATTGTGGTTTTTCACAGACAAAAATATTTAAAAAAGTGCTTGTTTAAATAGCTGTTATTAAAGAATTGTAAAATTTCAGGTTCATAAAGATATGTTATGGTTTGGAAAATTTCACTACAGACATAAAGTGATTTTTATGGTGATTTCATTGTACAGCAGCAAAGAAATAAAACCAAATACAATAGCATTTACAAAAAAGGGAACACTCAGCTTCACCATAATCATCGCAAACTCTTATTTTATAACATTCAAACACCAGAAACCACTTGCAAAAAGTCCGTTTTTGCGTACAGATACATGATATTAGATACCAGAGGTGAGAGCACAGCTTGTGATGTTCAACATCCCAGCAGGTAACCATGAACTCAGGCATGCAACAAACTGGGCCTCTGTATATAATGTGAATGTAAATAGAATAGAACCAATGCCATGATAGTATTATGGGTCATCAGTGATATAATGCATACACATCTCAACATAGTGACTTGCACATAGTAAATGCATAGATATTGACTAATATCATCCTTACTATCCCTACACTTTTCTTTCCACAAAAAGTATTGCCAACTTTCATGTAGATGATGAAAGCATTGGCTCAAGAAATGACTATTCTAATTCTATGACCTCAGGTAAGTTACATCTCTGACACTTTCATCATCTGTAAAATGTAGGTACTAATACCTACCTCCAGGGCTGTGGCAAAGATTAAATGAGATCATATATGCAAAGTTCTTAGAAGGATATTAGTTGTTGTTGTTATTATGATTTTAATAAATACCACAAAGCCCCTTTCTACACACACCTTGAGCCTCCCATAGGGCAATTGCCTCCCTCTGGGATAATTCTACCGTATGAACTAGCAGATGACTTTGTAGAAGAAAGCTCAGAGCTTCTCGCCTTTACAGCATCACTGAGCATGCTGGGATTTACCAGCACAAAAATCCATCCCCAAATGCTTACCCTAGCACCTCCTTGTCATGGAAGGTACTCGTTTAATTGCATTTTCTAGCAAGCCCTCTCTGAACCTCCAGGACTGGACCCTGAACTCCAGCCCCAGAGAGCAGATCAGCTAATCCAAAACAACTGCACCACTCTCCTATCCCGGCTGCAGCCTCACTGGGCTCACAGGTGCCGGATGACAGGCGCGCCCCTTGTCTTTCAAAAATATTATCCGAATGCTTTTGATGCCTCTGAAATGTATAAAGTAATGAGAAGATGGAAAAGTTCTTGGTAACCTGGGTACGTGCCTTAGTACAATATACAAGGATGGATGGGGATAGAGAGGGAGGGAGAAATTGACTTCTAAAATAAAAGATTTTTCTCAAAACAAGTTCTTCCTTAAATGTCAATTATTATCCTCAGATTATTAGATTATCCTTTTGAAATCTGAGGACATGTGATTATCTCAGTTGAGAAAAAATTGTTTCTAAAAAACAAATTGTCAAAAAACTCCTTTCTAAAGAGGTTCTCTACCACATAAGATTTTAAAAATGATGAAGGTACCTGATATTTATAAAGTCATTTCATATATTATCATATTTAATTTTCAAGGGAACACTTGGAGGTTAGAAATTAATAATCCCACTTTACAAACTAGGAATTGAAGCTTCTACGAAGCATTAAATTACATGCCCAAGGTCCATGGTAAAGTTATTGAAGCCCCAGGAGTGTAACAGAAGTCTGTGTCTCCAGAATTAGCTTGTCTTTCTCTACAGAGAGAGCCTTATGAGACAGAAATTCATATCCTCGAATTTATCCAAGCACAACATGTTTTCTCTTCTCCATTGAATAACTCATCCAGTACCAAAGTCAGCCTCTGATTAATGCTGGTGCAGGTACCAAATTTTCACTCCATAAATTGTTTGGGAGAAGTGTTCACTTTCTTTAGTGATACAAGCCAAAATGATGATTCACTTAGATGAGTCAGAATACTTCTCCAAAGAAAGTCAATGCTTTGAAATAAGAACTCCACTTTAAAATAAATCAAAGGAGACTTTATGCACAAATAGAAAGGTTTTCTTGGTCCCAAAAGGAGCTCTGTTGCTATGAACATTAATCCCTAGTGTAGAAATTGTGTTGATTTAAAGGAGATTCACTTGTTGAGGGAATAAGAAGGATGCTGGGAAGATTCTGATTAGAAGAATATTCTGAAGACTAGTCGAGAGATGACACAGCAGGAGAAACCTGGAGTGAGATTCAGATGAAGGAAGAGGCAAGTTTGGCCAAAAAGCTACTTGTGAATTTTACATGGAAGACACCCTGGAGATACTTAAAGGGCATTCAAACTTTACCAACTGGACTGAGATAAAAAGAATATCAAAGAGGCATCTGTTTATTTGAAACAATTATTTTCAGGAGGAAAAAGTTTTCAAAGAAATTCACTTAATGGGTACTTTGAATTGACACCCATATGCTTTTTGAAAAGCCATTTCAAAGGAGAAGTCATGAGCACAAAGAAAGTGGGTATGAGAAATAAGGATTGTGATAGGCAAGTATCATAATTACCATCATCACCATCACCATCATCACCACCACCACCACCAGTATCATCATGATCATTACCACCATCACCATCATCATCATCATCATGGTTAACACTTTTTTCACATTTGCTGCATACTAAAATCCTTTTAATAAGACTTTATACGTTTATTTTTATTTATCTCCCTCAACAACCCTATAAGCAAGGTATTATTATTTTCATTTTTTAGATTAAGAAACAGAGGCACAGAGAGGTTAAGAAACTTGCCTCAAATCACACAGCTAGTAAATAGCGAGTTCAGAATTCAAACCCAGGCCCCTCTGGGTTCTAAGCCTATGCTCTCAGTATCTAAAACAGATGGTCTTTTTTTTTTTTTTTTTTTTTTTTTGAGATGGAGTCTCACTCTGTCACCCAGGCTGGAGTGCAGTGGCATGATCTTGGCTCACTGCAACATCCACCTCCCGGGTTCCAGTGATTCTCCTGCCTCAGCCTCCCAAGTAATTGGGATTACAGGTGTGTGCCACCACACCCGGCTAATTTTTGTATTTTTAGTAGAAACGGGGTTTCACCATGTTGGCCAGGCTGATCTCAAACTCCTGACCTCAGGTGATCCTCCCGCCTGGGCCTCCCAAAGTGCTGGGATTACAGGTGTGAGCCACCACGCCAGGCCTACAGATGCATTTATTGTTAGAGCTTTCAACTTTCCCAAGAAAATACACAGTCACATATGTTGTTCAAGGCTCTGAGGAACTTTGATATGACAATGTCTACATATCTTGGGGCTGCTAGAAGATATTAGCAAAAGACCCCTGAGGCAAAGGCTGTTTCTTTCATAGCTAGGAGAGAAATTCTTTAGGATACATTATATAATAATTCATGGCTTCTGTTACATTTATAAGCATCTGCCTCTTTCTTTTTCTTGACATTGTGTTCAGTTATTTCACCTTTTCCATCTTCAAGCCTGTGTATTTGTGCTCAGGAAGTCGGTCACTGTGCTAGTATTTTCTCTTTCTTTGATCTGTACCATTTGGACCCACCCAAAATTAAACTTTTAATTCAGAAGGTCCCTACTTCCCATACCATTCTTATGTATAGCTTCAATTTTAAAATTCTGTTCAGAGATATTGTCTCATATGATGGCTTTAAATTCCAAAGCAGGCCACAAGGTGCTAGCTAACTCATGCTGACCTAAAGTGGGTTTCAGCAATGACCGTCATAATGACAACTGCGGGTTGGTCTAAGTGTAGTTTCGAAGTGCTCCTCTTCAAAATTATTGAATGACTGCTGACAGCCCTCCCATTTCTCACACATATGTACATGAGTTTGAATAGGATGCTGTGAGTTTCAAAGCTAGAGAACACAGCAGGATCCTAAGAATACTTCAATTACCAATTGATGAGATGAAGTAATAGAACAGATTGTGATGATATATTAAGGCTTCACACATGTGCTGCATTTCACTTGTATGAGAAGCTCTATGGTTGAGTGAGCCACATAGTCTAAAAATCATGATTAATATTGTCATTTTTATTTCAGTGGGTTCTGGGTTAAATGCCTAAATGAAGAAAGAGGTTTGGCCCTTCATAGGAAAAGATTTGTGGCCAGGTGCAGTGGCTCACACCTGTAATTCTAGCACTTTGGGAAACCGAGGCGGGTGGATCACCTGAGGTCAGGAGTTCGAGACCAGTCTGGCCAACATGGCAAAACCCGTCTCTACTAAAAATAGAAAAATTAGCTTGGCATGGTGGCAGACACCTGTAGTCCTAGCTACTCAGGAGGCTGAGGCAGGAGAATTGCTTGAACCTGGGAGGTAGAGGTTGCAGTGAGCCGAGATCACTCCATTGCACTCCAGCCTGGGCAACAGAGTGAGACTCTGTCTCAAAAAAAAAAAGAAAAGATTTGTATTCTTCTTTTGTATCTGCCCCCAAAGAAAGCAGAGTAACAGCTGGGGTGAATTGCCGTCCATGAAGAAGAAATAGACACAGACATATGTGTGGCCATGTGCACGTGCACACACACATGCACACGCATGCACACATGTGCACACACACGCACACATGCACACACACATCTATTTGCTCATGAAGGAGGTTCTGCAGAATAGTACTTTACAAAGGAAAGTCACATCATGTTACTTCTCTACTTCAAACCTTCCAGTGGCTTCCCACATCACCCAGAGTAAATGTCAATGTTCTTAGAATTGCCCTCTAGGCCCTATGCCATTTAGCCCTGTTCTCTCTCTGACCTCCTCATATTGTGTTGGAGTCTGTGCGTACTGTGTCATGAGAACCATCTGTGTTCACTTCTTTCCAACTCTGCCTTCAGGGACGGTAAGTTGGTAGCTTGACATCGGACATTAAGTATTTACACCGTGCAAAATCTACAGGTGAGAGTTTTGTTTTTTGTTTGTTTGTTTTTTGAGAACCACTGTTTCCCTCCCCCAGCTTTCTTTTGTCTACTTCACTCCAGCCACAGGGGGTTCCTTGCAGTGCTGTAAACGTAAGCTTTACAAAACAGCTTCAGGGCTTCTGAACCTCACATTCCTCTGGCTGGAACACTCTTACCCAAAGACCCATTTTTAATTTATTTATTTATTATTATTATACTTTAAGTTTTTTGCTCTCTCACCTGCTTTAGGTTTTCTGTTGAAATGTTACCTCCTCAGTGAGGCCCTCCCTGACTACCCTACTTGAAATTGGATCCCACCCTCTCACATAACCCCACACTCCCGTTCTCCATAGCACTCATCACTTTCTAATACAACACACATATATATTTTCCAATGTGTGCAGATATTGTATTATACATTGCTATTAACATAATAACATCTTATACATGCATTTGGGAGATTTGGCATATCTGGTTAAAAAGTTCAAACCCTTACTAAAAATTATTAAATCTTGACAGGGGAAAAGCAATAAGATTTTGAAAGCCAAAGCTTTTTGCATAATTCAGCAAGTTATTGGTTAACTAAACTTGAGCTCTAAAATATACTTGAAAATTAACTCATATCCCCATTAGAATTGAGAGTGTTAAATTTAAAGTCGCATTTTTTTAAGTTTCAAGGAACATAATATATGAATTTTTGTTACGTCTGAATTAACTTCATTTAAGAAGGTCCATGTTTTATAGCCTTTTTTATTCTGCACTTAGCCATATTTCTTGATTGTGCCTGTTACTGCAAGTGAAAAGCAATTATAAAATCAAACATGACTAATTTTATTTTAGGCATACCAATATTTTTCTATATATTTTATTTGTTTGTTTATATCCTCCCCAGATAACACATAAGCTCCACAAGAGCAGGGATTTTTGTATGTTTTGTTTGCTTCTGTATCTCCAGTTTATCTGTAACTCAACTGTGGACAAAGAAAATAGTCTTTATTTGTGGAATTTGGGTGGGAGCCGGTGATGTTAAGTGTTGAGGTGGGGGACCCTCCTGGTTTCCTGACACCATACTAGGTGGCACTTCTTTTCCTGTAGGACTAGAGTGCTTGTGGCTAAAATATTTCCGTTTTCTCCTAAGAGTGATGCCAAATCAGGGTCTGCCCAATTGTGCTCTAAAAGGGACAGGCTCACATACGGGTAAAGACCCATTCTTTCAATCATTTACACAAGGAACATTTACCTAAAGCCTACCAACTGCCACATCCTGAGCCAAGTGCTGGAGATGCAGCAGTGGACAAAATGGAAAAAGAAATAATTTTGTTGCCTTAGTCCATTTTGTATTGCTGTATTAGAATACCACAGACTGAATAATTTATAAAGAAAAGAAATTTATTTCTCATAGTTCTGGAGGCTGGGAAGTCCAAGAACAAGGTGCTGGCATCTGGTGAGGGAATTCCTGTGGCATCATAACGTGGTGGAAGGCATCACATGGTGAGAAATCACAAGTATGAGCAGAAGGAAAGGGGCCAAACTCATCCTTTTATGAGGAGTCCACTTCTCCGATGACAGACCCACTCCCACAATTAACTAACCCACTCCTGCAATAACAGCAACAATTAATGAGAGCAGAGCCCTTATTACCTAATCACCTCTTAAAAGTCCCACAACTCAAAACTGTTGCACTGGGGATTAAGTTGCCAACACATAAATTTTGGGGACATATTCCAACCAAAGTATCTGCCGTCATGGAACTTGCCTTCTACCAGGAGAAAGTAGTCAAAAACAAATACATGTATAATATGATATACATGATATAATTTATAAGTGCTATAAAAAATAATAAAGCAGAGAAAGCCTAAATTAAGAATAGAGAATACCAGTGGGGGTGGGAGAGGCTACTCTGGCATCTCTGAGGAGGTGATATTTGAGTTGAGGCCCAAGAAAGGGCATTTCAAGTGGAGGGAATAGCAAGTGTGTTTTGGTTACCAATGGCTGCATAAAAACATAACCCCACAATTTAATGGCTTAAGGCATCACTCTATTATTTTCTCTCACAGTTGTGTGGATTGACTGAACTCAGCTGGGCAGTTTCTTGCTGGAGTTTACTTATGTGGCTGTGTCAGATGGCGGTTGGGGCTGGAGTCATTCAAAGGCTCAACTGGGTTGGATGTCTGACACAGCTTCACTTCCAAGTCTAGTACCTTTGTAAGGAGGGTTGGAAGGTTGGATTTGGCTGGCACAGGGGACCAGAGTGCCTACATGTGGCTTCTCCAGTATGGCAGTCTCAGGGTATTTGGACTTCTTACATGGTGTAACTCAAGGTTTCAAAAGTGGAACCCACCAGTTTCTTAAGGCCTAGGCTGTCAAACTGGAGTAGCATAACTTCAGTCATATTCTCCTGGTCAAAGCCGTGACAGAGTCCTCCCAGATTCATAGAGAGGAGGCATGGACCCCAACTCTCCCTTTCCATGGGAAGACTATCAAAGAATGTGTAGCCACCCATCTTTAATCTGCTTCGAAGCACAATAGCCCAGGGGCAGGAATAAACTTGGCACACTAGAAGCCAGAGTGGCTGGACCAGGGTGAGCTGGGCCAGGAGATTGGTGGGGCATATCATTTAGGTACTTGGAGGTCATGATGAAAATTTAATTTTATTCACTATCTTTCTAACTTATTTATTTTTACTGCTTTTTCTCCCAGGATTCTACAGTCAAGAAACCTTAGCTCCAGCCTGGATACATAGACAAGATGTCAACAGATATCTGGGAGAAATGCCTGGAACCAATCAGGAAGAAATATGAGGTCCCTAAAATAGCAGCAGCACAACTATCCTGGCCTCATCAAGAAAAGTAGCAGCTTAAAAACAACCTGTTGTTTTTAGATGGACTCTCATCCTTTCTAATCCAAAGGATCAATGTTATTAGATATCATAATGACATCCTTTCAATTGCCAAAACATCTACTCCACATAGGTCACCCTTAAACATGTAATTTTATATTTTCCTTTCTGCCTAAGTATGAAGTTATACAGAAAGCAATGCTTCTTCTAACCCTATTATGTTTATACTTTGCAATGGAAACATGAAATAAACCCAAGAAACATGTATGGCTCTCTATTCTTACGTTTATCTTGTGTGACACAGAGTTCCAGCATTCTCACTCAAATGAGCAGCTTTAATACTTTTTTTTAAATTCCTGGATTAAGAATGAAATGAGAGATTTCAATGTCTCTCAATAGTCCTTGATTTAACCAAATAGATGATTCATGTCAGTGTCCTCCACTGGAAGGTCAAGTAGGTCACAGGTGGTCAAATGGAGATAAAAAGAAAAATCAGTGATGAGGCATAAGACAAAAAAAAAAATCAGCATTAGGAAGCAAGAACCTGAACGGAAAGGGGAGAAGGGTTGAGGGCCTGCCCCGCAATTCAGTCCTCAGCACCCTTATCCTTTTCCTTGTCTTTTTTGAGACTTCATCTGCTCTTAAGTATAATCTCTATGTTGGCCTGCACCTAAGCTGAGCTGCCAAATACCTGGATGGTGGAGTGAGATGGATCAGGGTTAAAGCCCCCACTCCATCACTTACCAACTGGGGCATCTTGAGCAAGTTGTGTAAATGCCTTGTACTTACTTCAATGCTCTCCTTTGTGAAGGAGAAATAATAAAAATCATCAGGCTTTTCTGAGTATTAAGTGAGATAATGCATATAAACTGCTTAGAATGGTGCTTTGTATCTATCAAAATCTCAAAAGATGTTGCTTATTGTTATTATTAAATTGAGTTTGGAACAGAATTTCCAGGAGCCACCATGTACATATGAATTTGGTTTCCCTTGAGAGCCTAAATTATAGGTAACTATGAATTGTGATTTTTCTCATGGTTTGCACATGAGTAGAAGCTGTCTGTAGCAACTGCCCTTAACATTTGCCAACTTTAAAAAAGGGGAAATAGTAAATGTCAGCAGTAAAATGCTCCAGGTCGCTCTGCAGTTCTTTTGCTCAGAATTTTGCATGAAGCATGTGTGCTAAAAGATGAAAAGAGTAAATAAACTTCCATTGAACTACAGGCTTATCTTCTCTACAACTCTTTACTTGTTGGACTTTTCTCTGACTGTATGTTAAGATAATCACCATTTATGGCACTTTGGGACAGTTCTATTGTTTCTCCTGAATTAGTCATAGACAGGGACAAATGAGCAAATGTATTAAAATAATGACACTATATGAAAAGTCTTTATGCTCTCCATAAATTTATTCCCTTGAATTTATTGCGCAGTGTCTTTTAAGGTTTTTGTAAGTGTTCAAAGCATTCTCTTAGGGTAGTCTCTCTGACCACGTCAACCTCAATTACTTCCAGCTTGCTCACTTTCTAATGCATTAAAATCACAGGACATAGCATCTCCCTGTGTACCTAGGATAGTTTTCTCAAAGTGATTCAAAGTTTCCCTGCCCTTAGGAAGTAGCAGGCACATAAGGAACTTCACTCATTGTTTACTTCTGGATTCTTTGTGATGACAGATGTTTGAAGTTAACAGAATAAAGGAAGTTAATTTGCGATGTACTGTAGGGTCTCTGTTGTGAGATTTAGACATATGTTTTGTACGGGTTTTATTTTTTAACAAATTTAAGATGGATTAGCAATGTTTGCAAAAATACACAGAATCTACTAACCTTTTATCCCTGTGCTATCCAATACAGTAGCCACTCACCAGGCTATTGAGCACTGTGTGCCTGGTCCGAATTGAGATATGCTGTGAGTGGAAACCACACATCAGATTTTAAAAGCTTAGTACAAAAGAAGAACGTAAAATCTCTCATTAATAATGTTTTATATTGATTACAAGTTTAAATAATATTTTGGATATACTGGGTTAAATAAAATGTATTATAAAAATTAGTTTCATCTTTTTCACTTTTTAATATGGCTACTAGAAAAATGTAAAATTATCAATGTACATATTAAATTTTGATTGGACAGTGCTGTTGTAAGCTATTTTAATACTTTTAGATTTCACGCATATATCAAAAGAGATTTTTAAAGTAATGTATTTTACTTCTCTAAACTTAGGTTTTCTTAGAGACTAGTAAATCCTGAGATGCCTCCTGTCTCCTGACAGGAGGAGACATTCCTGACTCTACAAGAGTGCCAGCATGGCCAGTTAGGGACCCAGAGGAAAGGATCTCAGCTAAGCCCAGTAATAGCCATTGTCCCCTATTCTAGGGTATTAAAAGTCTGACTGGAACTGAAGGAAACTTAGAAGGTAATACAGCCAGAAAAGATCACTTTATTTATCTATTTATGATCGATTTAGCCTGTTTGGGCATGTGAGTTTAGTTGCAGCCAAATGCTTCTCTCCTAGCCTACCAATAACACAGAAGAAAAATAATACTGGATTTTAAGGGGGAAAGTTCACAGTTCAGTGTATAAGAAGCCCATGAAAATATTTTCAGGTAAGTTTATTGGCCTGGTCCTCTTTTGAAAAGAATTTGTAAAGCTTCATCTTACCTGGTGTCTCATCATTTACATTCTTACTTGCTACTAAGAATCCCCAGAACCTATTAGAAAAGTTTGTTTCCAAAAGGAAAGTAAAGAAACTCTATCCTTCCTATCAAAATGTTCTTAGGATCTTCAGTGTATCACAGCAGCCTCGTGACAATGATGTTAATCAGTGTCTTGTTAACATCTTGTTTCTTTAAACCTCAGAATACTAAGTGGGACAGGTACAAACATCCTTCTTTTCAACAGAGATATCAAAACACAAAAGCATAAATAACGTGGCCAAGGACACACAAAAGGTCAATGATTAAGTGTGTGTGTGTGTGTGTGTGTGTGTGTGTGTGTGTGTATGTGTCAGACACTCAGAAAATTCTGCAGCACAATAATACCAGGATAAGGGCCTTTGAGGTTCTGCATTAGAACAGCTGCTTTGGGATCTAGACTGTCTGAACTCAAAGGATCTAAGCTCAGTCACTAAGCCTGGCTGGAAGCAGTTTGGTGATTGTTAATGGATATGTAACCCAGGAGACTGCTGCCTAGGCAGGTGAGAGGCACAGAGATCTGCTAGAAACACTGGGCCTAACCTCTTCTCATAGATCATGAGCTTTCCAAAGTAAAGTCTGTGTCTAATTACATTTTTAAAAATAAAAATGAGAGGAGCTCTTTATAAAATGTTTTGGCAGTACTAAAAAGTACAAAGAAGAAAGCAACGAATTACTCCATGTTGTACCATCAAGTTAAACAAAAAAAAAGCCGTAACATTTGGTGTATGACATTCCAGACCTCTTATATAAGCATCTACAAGATAGAAAAATGAATAGACGAATGGATGGATGGTTGCTATGGATGGATAAATGAACAAATGGATGACTGAGAGAGGGAGGAAGGAAACAAAAAACAAGGAAGGAAGAAAGGAAGGAGGGAGAAAAGAACAAAGAGAAAATAAAAAATATGAGAATTGAATCATATTATATCTGTTATTTTAAATGATGGAAATATACTTCAATTTGATGGAAGAAACATAAACTGAAATGAACTGAAGGAAGTGCTAAACTTCAAATAGATGTTTCACACACCCTAAGAGATATTAGTTCCTGAGGGAACTAATTAATTTATTAACTATTTATTAACTATTAATTTTGGTATAGATTGATTCATTGCTATGAAAGATTTAAGCAGCTGTTACCTCTCTTATGTGTCTTCCTTTCTCACCTTCTCTACATTCTGATTTTGTTGATTATATAATTTTTACCATATAAACATTTTTAATAACATGTACATAAATTACTATGATTGTAATTCTTCCAATTGTTTAAATCTTTATTTAGATATATTTTATGTTCAACACCAGTTTCACTAAAGCTGATCCATTCCTGAATTCTTGATTTATCACTTGGTGATATTCTGAACTAGAATGCTGCTATGACAAAATTTCCAATTGTGTGTGCCTTTGTCTTAGTGGACAGGCTGCATGTAGCCAGCAAACAGGTGCCACAAGACTGACAGGTAGAAAAAATGATAAAGCATTCGTAAAACTGTCGCCAGCTTTACTTGTTCATCAAGTACAATCATCTGGATAATCTGGAAGGCCAACCAAGTACTTACCAACCTTAAAGCTCTAAGAGAAACTGTTAGAATGTCAGTGGTTGTTAGCATTTACTTGTAATACATTTGCTTTTTTGCACACATACACAAAACGTTGACCCCTGAACAACACAGGTTTGAACTGCATAGGTTCACTTCCAAATGGATTTTTTTCTGCCTCTGCCACCCCTAAGACAGGAAGACCGACTTTTCCTCTTCCTCCTCTACTTCTGCCTACTCAATGTGAAGATGATGAGGATGAAGACCTTTATGATGATCCACCTCCTCTTAACGAATAGTAAAAACATTGTCTCTTCCTTATGATTTTCTTAATAACATTTTCTTTTCTCTAGCTTACTTTATTGTAAGAATACAGCATATAATACATTTAACACAAAATATGTGTTTACCAACATAATTAACAGCAAGCTATTAGTAGTTTTCGGGGAGTCAAGTTATATAAGAATTTCTGACTGCACAGGGGGTCAGCACTCCTGACCTCCACATTGTCCAAGAGTCAACTGTTTATGAAGTCTCGATGTACAAGTAACAGAAAACTGTTTATCCTACTTAAAAACAGACTTTTATAAAGAATAATCAGGAAGGTGAGGAGGATACAGGGCTTTGGAGGGAGCTAGTGGAATAACTGTACTCAACTGTGGAAAATCTTAAGGAAAGGAGGATCTTGAACTCGATTTTTCCAATATGTGAGAGTATAAGTTTGGCAAGAAGAAAGGCGGGCCAGGTGGGTGCTGAGGCTTAGAAAGAAATGACAAAAAGTAGTCCCCAACCAGCAGAGAGTGAGCTCTTTGCAGTGTGTTCTTGACACCCAAAAGCCTCAACTCATGCTCTGACCCCATTGCATCTTGTCATTTGCAATTAATCTCTTTAACCTTTAGGTCCTCACCTGTTAAATGGGGATAATACTTCTAATTCACAACTAAATAACTTATAGTTATTTGAGATTGAAAACACTTGGTAGTTTCTAGATGTCCATATAAGAGTAATGTTACCATTGTTATTACTTCTTGGTGGTTGCAGAGGCCAAGAGAAATGCCCAGGACATGTGATACGCAGCCTGGGAATCCACGCCTAAGCCTTTCTGCAGGCTGCTGCTCTGCAGAGGACATGGTAAGGCAGGCTAACACATTTCAGGCCATCTTGCACTTTCTGTCAATCTCTTGGTACTGCAAGTTGCCAAAGCTCTCTTTAATCTGTTACATGGTTCCCTTATTAGTCACCATCTTTTGGTGAGCTGGGCCCCCTGTCTTTGCAGCTCCTTTGGACTACTTGGCCATAACACATGATCACATAGTATAGAAGCTGTAAAATTTTGCACAAGATTTAATCTATATCGCTGTTTCCCTTAGTGAATTTCACTATCATAACTTAATTCCATACATTGTCTACCCTCCACTCCCAGCAAAATTTAAAACTAACTGTTACCCACAACCATAGTCACTGTTAAGTTTATCCAGATATGTGTGTGTATGCATAGAAAATATGTTTACTGATTGTACCATATTTTAAGTTCCAAATGGAAACCTTGGAGGCGGAAAATGAATTCATCTCATATCCTAAATGTTGTTCCAAATTCAGCCATCAAAGGCATAATTTTCAGCAAATTATTACATGCCAAAGATCTGCCTGTATTCTCTAAAGAACACAAATGAGCACTTTGGTTTCCAGAATAACAGCATAAGCTTTAGAATGATCACTAGACAAATGTGTTTCACTTACTAGAGAGAAAATTACTATTCTCCACATTTTTCCTTGAAAAAATCTTCCATAATAAGACATATTTGTTTCAAACAAATAAGAAATGAAATGCAGTGTGGGTGGAAGTGGTAGAAAAGGTTCATTAAGCCCACTTCAGAAAGGGCAAACTCACAGAGCCAGTAAACTCAACATGGTAAGTGTGAAGTTCATGTAAAATGGGCAACTGTTCCTGAATAAAAACAAGAGTTGGTCTAACCTGTTCCTGGAGACTTCTGTCTTTATGAGAGAAGCAAGTGTATTCTGGACTTTGATCCAGCCTCCCCTGGATTAATAGGATCGGGGACAGGGGTGTGAAGAAGGGAATATTGAGGACCTAGAGAAGACTGGATACTTCTGGCCTGTTGATTTCCAGGAGATGCCAAGACCTTACACAACAGGACGATTTCCATTTGCTAAATGCAATTATCATTTGCATTTTTTATGTCTCAATATTTCTACTCTAATCCTGTTGCTGTTTCTTAGTACTGAGAGGCCATTTAGACAGAGAGATTAACTGAAATGGCATCGCAGATAGATAGCTATGGTTTCCCCTCTCTGCCTTTGTGTGCATTTTGTGTATCATATTTTCAACTGGATTTCAGAGTTGTCAGCAAGACTGAGGGGTTGTGCCAAATGCCTCCTCCTCTGTGAGGCTGTTTGAGCAATAGCAGCTATGGCAGCAACAAGCAGACAATATATTTGAGAGATGAATCCTCATTCGCATGCATCTTTAGCATTGAAGGTTGACCATATGCAATGCAAAAAGGACTTTGACAATAAGCTTTGTTTCTGCCCACTGGGAAGTAGGTTAAGACCAAAAAGTCCTTTTGCTCAGCTTCTCCAGATAGCTGAAGTTTGGAAATGAACATCAGTATGAAGTTGGACTCTTAATTTTAAGTCACACTACATCTTTATAGTGGCAAAACTCTTAACAGTTCAACCTTCAGACCTAGAGCAGTTTCATGGGTGTTTTACCAGACTTTACTTTCAAATTTCAGACTGATGAAAGCTTCTGAAACAGAAAAATTTTATTTGCCTACATTGTACCAAACCTTAGAATTTTCTCCAACTTCTTCAAAGAGCCCAAAAGAACAAAGACAACCATACACGCATGCACATGTAAACACACAATGAAAGAGAAAGAAACATAAGTCAAAATATAGCAGGATTCCTTAAGAAGTTTTTGTTTTTATCTTTTTCTTTTTAATTATGAAATATTCCTTAAAAGAAAACAATTTTTTCAAGTTACTTCCAAGACATCTAAACAGCTGCCTTCTAAACTATACCAGTGGAAATTAGCATGCCTATTTGTAAAACGGATCAAAAATCTCAGTAGATGTTTAACAATAATTGTAAAGTACTAACAGCTGCATCACTGACTCCAGAAGTAAGGAAAACACCTTCTAAATTATATAGATTTGAGCTGAAGCGATCCCTTTCTCACTGATAATTAAATCCCAATATAGTTTGGTATCACATCTTTTATTTATGAAGTTGTCTTTGGAAAACCCTACTTTAACAACATATAACAGATCTACAGAGCATTAAAAATGAACGCCACTCAGTAGATACAAACATGTCTGACAGATCAGATCAAGACAGAGGCCTGTTCATCACAGCACACTAGGTGTTTAAAGATGCCTATTATGGAGCTGGCATGAACACACTTCCTCTATCAGAAGAACATTTCTATGACAACTACCACAGAACTGGTGATATTGGGAGTCATCCTCTCTTGAGGAAACACACTCTTTCATGTGGGTAGTTAGTCCACCATGAGCTACTGTGCCCTTCCCCTTTTCTGGGTAGCTCCACTTCATTCATTTCAATATCAACCAGTATATCCAAGTTCCTTAGCTTAATGTTACTAAGGTTGCACATAAAACTCTATTTCCCATTATCAGCCACATAAAAAATTTTAAAAGCAGATTCTTTGATAGCAGGATCTGACAATATGGCAAGTAGCATACTTGATACTCTCAAGATTCAGATTAAGAAATACATGCATGTTCCCTGATAAAAAAGAAACAAGGCCCAAATATACTATCTATTTACATGAACTGTAGTTTGCCCTTGGGGACAGTAGTTATTAAAATAGGTAATAGAGGGCAGTGTTCAAATTCCCAAAGTACTGCTTTCCATGACACAGGAGGCAAATTTCTCAACTACATTCTCTAGTATGTGGTAGGAGAAAGAATGTCGAAGTTCTTGTTAATAATTCCGGAAATGAATGTAGCCATCCAAGATGCTTTTTACAGGTCAAAAATGAGAAAAATGACGTATACAAAGACATGGAAGTGGAGATGGTAGAGAACAAGTACTTAGTTTGAGAAGGACTTCTTAGCTATAAGGTCTTCGTCATTATGTATTATCATGTAGCTCTTCACTGCATGTGACTGATCACGAGGAGGCCAAATTGGCACCTTTGTCAAGACTGCAGAAACCTTTTTTTTACAGCATCAGTATTTTTTCAATTTGTCTCATTAGTGATAATTAATTTGAGAGTAAGTTACTACGTAAAACATATACACATATGCATGTGCATACAATTTCTTAAAATGCACTGTTATTTCCCATTTCCTCCAGCAGAGGTCAGAAAATAGCAATACAGGAATACGAAAATCTACGAACCAAGAGAGTATTTTAGAGTGATCTTCTCAAGATAGTATTATAAAGGGTTTGTTAATTGTTCTAGTTTATCTATATTTTCTAATCATATTTTTACAATAAACATGCTTTACTTTTGTCATAATTAAAAAGCAGTAAGACTTATTTTAAATATAAAGAGCATTATTGGCATATGTATTTACCCTGTATTAAGTAAGGACTACTGCTTAACTACTTGTATTTTCCTAACTGCACATAGAGTAATGGAAATAGTGAAAAAGCAGCACATTTGGCCATCACTGTGAAATATCATTTAAGTGTAACATCATTCCTGTAATTGATGACTCAGCAATTTCTCTCAGACAAGGGACTTAATGTCAGGAAAAAACAAAGCATCCTGGACATAGCTCTGAGCTGACAATAATCTCTGCACACACAAAGACAGGCAAGTGAATATAATCTCTGGTCATTTCCTTTGTCTGGAGAAATTTAAAGATCCTAGTGTTCTGAAAAGTCAATCTCTGCAAGCCTTACAGGTAGAATAAGACATAAGAAATCGGTCAAGAAAATCTACATTTAAAAAAACAAAGAACCCAACAAAGGGTGTTAAGAACTGTTGATTGATGTTCAACAAATCACATTATCACCATGGTAGATTTTCATTTCTAATTCATGTGTCTCTTTTTCTCCTAGACACATAGGGAAGGAAGGTGGAAAGGCTTATAAAATAAAATTTGGTATTTTTAGTAGAGACGGGGTTTCGCCATGATGGCCAGGCTGGTCTGGAACTCCTGACCTCAGGTGATCCGCCCGCCTCAGCCTCCCAAAGTGCAGGGATTACAGGCGTGAGCCACTGTGCCCGGCCAATATAAAATAAAATTTGAAGGTCAACCAAAACATTTATTTATAAATTAAGGAAAACTTTTACCCACATTATACCAAATTAAGTAACTGCTTAGTTCCCATTTTATTAAATGTTTCATGATTTATGGTCAGTTATTTGTTTCGATATTATCACTCACAAATAATATGAGGATGTCAAAATTGTTATATAAATCAAAATTGACCGTTGCTAGTTTCTTCTGTCTTCTAAGGGGATGTTTTCTACCAGTGAGGAATAAGTTCCTGTGCTGCTTACTTCCACCCACAGGAGCAAGTGAAGATGAGAGAGGAAAGACTGAAATTGAAAACCTCCGCCAGTTCTTCCATGGGACTCCTGGATGGGGCCCAGATTAGGTGACTGTCTGATTGTCAGAGAACATGAGTGACTTTGTGGACCAAGATGAGGATGCTGGAAAAACAGAGGAGCAGGGAGATGTGAAGAGAGTCTGAGGACCAGCAGCATGGTGGGAGACTGGAATCTGCAGAGAAATGTGACCAGTGAGAAATCCTCAGGGGATGCTTTGATCTAAGAGGTTATTAGAATGAATGTCCAACATTCAGTTCTAATCTGTTTGTATTTCTGCAAATTTAAGAGCCTTCCCCCGCCCACCAAACCCAAGCAAACTTCAGTGACGTTTGCTTTTCACATATGCTTGTGGCGGTCTGAGAAAAATCAGGACAAAGAGGTGAGTGTGAACCCAGGTTGGCATAAGCAAAGAGAAGAAAAGAGTCACAGGCCGTGAGATGTGAATGAACATAGGTATCATGGAAGCCAGAACTATGAGCCACAAATGATCACAGGAATGAGAAACTCAGTAAATTCACAGAAATCTTGGGGAGAACAATGAAGCTTCCTTGCAAAAGACGGGATCTGGGACTTGAACCACTTTGATGTCAATCTCCAAAGAAGAATAACTTTAGCTGATATATAGGCCACAATGATAAAATGTAAGAATATTCCATTAGGCATATTGCAAATACTCTTTACAATGTGCAGTCTAGGGCAGCATTTTAAAAACTTTGCACAGGTTTTTATATAACATAAAAGACTTCCCGGTATTTAAATAGATATTTAATAAATAAAGCACAAATGTTTTTTCTTTATGGGTTTTGTTAAACATTTTACCACATGGAAGATACCACTTCATCAATAACCTTCCTAAATAGGTAGAATTCCCACCTAATTCACCTTTGATAACAGTGAATGAATCTCAGAGTGGCTGAAATACCATTATAAAATACATTTGCATCATCCAGAGATATAGAAGATTCTCTGAGAGAATGATCTGGAATTTGTGTAAGGAAACATCATAGAGAAGTTTTCAAATCCTTCAAAGTCTGGCCTGATCTTACCTTTACATGGTGGATCAGACGCTCAACCTCATTCACTTTGTAGGTCTCCAATCCTAGCTCCTTGGCTAATCTCAAGATACGATTCTGGGTTGGTCCAACATAGGATCCTCCAAGGTCCACATATTTAACCTTTTGGTTCTGTTTTCCCATAGGAAAAAATTAAAAAAAATTTGTAAAAAATGTATAAAATAACAAAAGACAGTCCTGAAATAAGCAAATCGACATTTCACAAGTTATAGATACAGCTTAAGGGTATATCCACGAAAAACTAGATTTTGTTATCAACTCTACTTCATTCACATGACTTAGTTATTAAATCAATCTTTAAAGCAAAATTGATTGAACTCTGAATAGGCAAGAGCTTCTAAACCTCATCATTTACAATATACCATAACATGGCTTGGTTTTTAGTGCTTTGAATTTGTGAGCTGTGAATTATTGACGAATCTCTTTACTCAGTACTTCAGGTGAATGTTGAGGAGCCTAATGCTAGAGAAAAAGCAAGAAAGAAAACGATCACTTCTTATGTGATTTGTTAATCCAGACATTTGAAAATAGCACTAGGGAATATTTGGTCATAATTTGGACTTTGAAATTGCTTTTATGTTTAATAGTATATTTACGTAGTTTTGAATTGGTTTCATTTCCAATGACTGAGGGGCGAACTTTGAACAAAAAATTAGTAGAAAAGTTTCCTATTTCTGAGTATGTCTAAGAAAAACCAGGTTCCTACCAGTTAGAAACACTAGAAATGGTCCTTCTCTTCTGTTTTTGTTTATTTGCGTATTTTTTGTCTAGCTTTCCACTCACTTACCCTTCAAAAATGCAATTTTCACAAGGCATCTTTGTTTTACTCACTAAAGTATTCCAAACTCCTATAGCAGTTGTCCAATAAATTTTCTCAAATAAATGAAAGAAGGATGTTTTTAAAAATTCAGCACCTAATTGTACTAAACCAGCTTCTTTACGTAAAAGGCACTCTTATATGCTGTATTTTTCAAGGAATATGAAGATTTCAAGAACTGGGAGAGATAAGATGTACACAGGCAAAACCTTGTAAAGCAACATATAATAATTGTCCTTGTGTGGAACAGGTAAGTGGTATTAACACAGAAGAAAGGCAAGTAGCTTTTGATTGGAGTAGGAAGGGATGAGATCCTGGAAGTATGTGAAGATTTTGCCATACGACAAAGGTAAAAAGAGATATTTGAGGAACACATAATGGCAAAAACAATGGCCAGTAGACAACAAGGGTTAGATCAAGTTTGAAGGCTTGTGTGAAATCACAAATAACTAGGTCAGGCGGTGTATGTCACAGTCAATAACAGATAAGGCTTTCAGGCTTCTCTGAGTCTCTGGCTCTCAAGACTGGTAAGGTACCCTCTTATGCCTCCTATGGCACCACTCCAAGCTGTCACCCACCCTCACTGTAGCATTTTCCTTGATAAGCTATAATTAGGCAATTACAACAGTCATTGTCCCCCTGAGAGACTGTAAAGTCTGTGGAGCAAGGCCATTTTGGGGGGATTACTGTGCCTGATTCATAGTAGGTACTCAGTAGATATTTGCTGAGGACAAATTCAATTATAAAGGAGATGACTCAAAGTAAAGAATGAGTACAGAGGGCTGGCAAGATGGTCGAATAGGAACAGCTCCAGTCTGCAGTTCCCAGTGAGATCAACACAGAAGGCAGGTGATTTCTGCGTTTCCAACTGAGGTACCCAGTTCATCTCACTGGGACTGGTTAGACTGTGAGTGCAGCCCATAGAGGATGAGCCTAAGCAGGGTGGGGTGTCGCCTTACCTGGGAAGTGCAAGGGGTTAGGGAACTCCCTTCCCTAGCCAAGGGAAGCTGTGAGGGACTGTGCCATGAGGAACAGTGCATTCTGGCCCAGATACTTTGCTTTTCTCATGGTCTTCACAACCCGCAGACCAGGAGATTCCCTCGGTCCTATGCCACCAGGGCCCTGGGTTTCAAGCACAAAACTGGGCGGCCATTTGGGCAGACACCGAGCTAGCTGCAGGAGTTTTTTTTTTTTTTTTTTCATATCCAAGTGGTGCCTGGAACACCAGTGGGACAGAACCGTTCACTCCCCTGGAAAGGGGGCTGAAGCCAGGGAGCCAAGTGATCTAGCTCAGCAGATCCCACCCCTGCACATGTATCCCAGAACTTAAAGTATAATTTAAAAAAAAGAATGAGTACAAAATGTCAGATATATATCATTGATGAATCCTTCCAAAAGAAGAGCTGTGAGTCAGAATTTTATATGTCTTATCTCTCTGGAAATGAAAATACTCTGTAGCTTCTATATCTATTATTCAGATCTTGAATGTATGGAAGTAGGGCATTTCCTTGCAGAGAAACTTGCTTTGCTTGACTCTGTGTTTAAATAGAAAATCATTAATTTTAGGCAACAGTGTCAGAATTGAAACAATTAACCAGCAATTAAAATAAGGGTATTTATAAATTGGTAAATAATTCTTTTAAAAAAATAAAAGCTGAAGCAAAAACAAGAAGGAAAATTAGGCAGGTAAAAGTTTAGTTTATGTGAATAAATAAAAACACATCCATGTTCATGGATTGGGAGAATTAATAATGTAAAATGTCCATACTACCCAAAGTGATCCATAGATTCAGTGCAATCCCCATCAAAATGCCAATGTTATTTTTCACAGAAACAGAAAAAACAATCCTTAAATTCATATGGAACTACAGAAGACTACAACTAGCCAAAACAATCTTGTACAAAAAGAACAAAGGTGAAGGCGTTATACTACCCAACTTCAAAATATATTATGAAGCAATTTTAATCAAAACAGTATGGTACTGACATAAAAACAGACTCACCAACCAATAGAACAGGATAGAAAGCTCAAAAATAAACCCACACATTTACAATCAATTGAGTTTTGATGAAGATTCCAAGAACACACAATGGGGAAAGGACAGTCTATTCAATAAATGGTGCAGGAAAAACGGACTATCCACATGCAGAAGAATAAAAGTAGTCCCTTATCTTATACCATATGCAAACACCATATACAAATAATCAACTCTAAATAGATTAAAGACTTAAACACGAGACCTGAAACGGCAAAATTACTTGAAGAAAACAAGGGGAAAGCTCCATGACACTAGTCAGGGAAATGATTTTTTGGATATGGCCCTGAAAGATCAGGAAAAAAAGCAAAAACAGACAAATGGAATTGCATCAAACTACAAAGCTCCTGCACAGCAAAAGAACAATTAATAAAATGATAGTTTTCTTTACATATTTGCAAGCCGTACATCTGATAAGAGGTTAATATCCAAATTATATAAGAAACTCAAACAACTCAATAGCAAGAGACAAATAACCAGATTTTTAAAGAATGGGCAAAGGAACTGAACAGACACTTCTCAAAAGAAGACATGCAAATGGCCAACAGGTTCATGGAAAAAGTTCAGCACCACTAATCATTAGGGAAATCCAAATTAAAACCAAAATGAGATATCACCTCACACCTGTTAAAATGGCTTTTATCAAAAAGAGGAAAAATAATCAGTGTTGTCAAGGATGAAGAGAAAAGGGAACCCTTGTACACTATTGGTGGGAATGTAAATCAGTACAGCTATTACAGAAAACAGTATGGAGGTTCCTCAGAAAACTAAAAATGGAAAACTAAAAATAGAACTACCGCATAATTCAGCAATCCCATTTTTGGGAATATATCCAAAAGAATTGAAGTCAATATGTCAAAGAGATATCTGCACACCCATGTTCATTGCAGCATTATCTACAGTAGCCATGATATGAAATCACCCTAAGTGTCCATCAGTGGATAAATGGATGAGGAAGACTTGGTATATACACACAATGAAATACTATTCAGCCTTTAAAAATAAAGAAATGTCATTTGGGACAACATAGATGAATTTGGAGGACATTATGCTAAGTGAAATAAGCCAGGCACAGAAAGACTTATAAGTGGAATCTAAAACACGTTGAATTCATAGAAGTAGAGAGCAAAATGAATATTATCAGGGGCTGGGGGGTGAGAACTGAGGGAATGAGGAGTACAAAATTTTAGCTAGACAGGAAGGGTACAAAATTTTAGCTAGACAGGAAGAATAAGTTTTGAAATCCATTGCACAGTAACTGTAGTAATAATAATGTATTGTGCATTTCAAAATAACAGAGTAAATTTCAAATGTATCACCACAAAAAATGTCAAGAAAGTGAGGTGCTGAATATGTTAATTTAGCTTGATTTAATCACTCCACATTGTATACATATGGTGAAAACATCACATTATACTCCATAAATGTAATACAATTATGATTTGTTAAAATAAAATTTAAAAAATAAATTTAAAAATGGGAGAAAGTCTCTCCAAAAAAGTTTAGTTTGTATGATTAGAATGATTGTGTTGGTGTGAAGGAAGCATCGAAGTTAGGAGTGGAAAGTACATATAATTATGTTATTTTTCTTCCTATTTCTCTCTCTGTCTCACACACACACACACACACACACACACACACACACACACACACACACACACAGAGGCACACACATATCTGTCCATTTCCCTCTTACTCAATCCTAACTCTATGAGGCCAAATATCATGAGATGAAAAGACAAAAAGGAACAGAAGAATTGAAAGGAAGGCAAACTGGGAGAGAGGCTGTGAAGAATGTTTCAGAGTTATTTTCACCCTCTTAGAGTCAAATGAAATTGAAGACTTTTGGGGAAAAAGACAAAAATGAAACCCCAAACTCAGCTTCAGTCCCACATTTGTCCTCCGGATTCTTAATGCCTTACCCTAAGAGTGTAAGTCCTGCCTCCCACACGGTCCCGGGCTTCCAGAACAACCACATTCAGTCCAGAGTCATGCAGAAGTTTGGCTGCTGCCATACCTGGGAGAAAAGACAGTAAGACATCAGGATCAAATACAAGGATGCCAGACAAGCTCCTCATGCTAACAGCCAATGAGAAAAGTCCATGCTGGCTCACGTGCACCGCCTATTGTTACATTCAACTTACAAGTGGATACGGTTTGTCAATAGAGGCCCAGAGTCTGATGTTTCTGGAAACGACAAAAGGGATTTCATTTTTTAGTAAATTTCTCAAATCTTAAACACATCCTCTGCCACTATATCAAAATGTCTATTTTAATGACTAAATTGCATGTCTGATAACATAAATGAGAACACAAGGCCATGCTCAAGAGAAATATATGAGTTGCAGACACAGGACTAAGTCCAGTCACTGACTTCATTCTCAGGGTAAATATGAAAAACTGGTAAACTGAGGGACAGTGGGCCTTCAAAGTGTGTGCCAGGAACTGGGATTTACTATTAAAGTTGGACTTTTAGAAGTTGACGTAAAGTTTCAAAATCAAGGAGGTAAAATTCGACCCCTTATGCATCTGGATTTCCTGATATGACCCATCACTGAAGAATGAAATAATTCCATTCATGACTAATTTAATTATTAATTTAGTCAAAAATACTTAGTGAATGCCTATTACATTCTCACCACCATGAATTTAGCTCTTAAAAAAACCCACAGCTTTACTGAGGTAAATGTACATGCAATAAACTTTACCCATTGTGATGGTTAATTTTAGGTGTCAACTTGACTGGATGGTGGGATACCTAGATGGCAGGTGAAGCATTGTTTCTGGGTGTCCCTGTGAGGGTGTTTCCAGAAGAAACTGGCATGGGAGTTGGCAGACTGGGAGAGGAAAACCGGCTCTCAATGTAGTGGGCACCATCCAATCCAATCGGCTGGGGCCCTGCAGGGGCAAACAGGTGAAAGAAGAGGGGACTCTCTCTGTCTCTGCCCTCACTCTCTCTTCTGGAGCGGGATGCTTGTTCTCCTCCTGCCTTTGGACATCAGACTCCAGGTTTTGGACTCTGGGACTTGCACCAGTGACCTCCGGTGGGCTCTCGGGCTTTTGGCCTCGGACTGGGAGCTGCACCATTAGCTTCCCTGGTTCTGAGGCTTCCAGACTAAGCCAGCTTCTCTGATGCTCCAGCTCACAGTCAGCCTATCATGGGGCTCCTCTATCTGTGTGATGGTGGGAGCCAATTCCCCCAGTAAATGTATTCTTCTATGTATCCTACTGGTTCTGTCTTTCTGGAGAACCCTGACTGATACATCCATTAATGCAGAGTTCAATACATTTTGACAAAGGACAAAGCATAGTGTGGAGTACATGTATAAAGTTTGGGGTACTAATCCATCCTGGATGTAGTTTTTGACCTCAAAGCTCTTAAAATACTGTATTTTTTTTTAAAAGCACTCTTACAGAATTTAGCAAGCTTTCTCAGAGAACAGAAATCTGGTGCTCTTCCCATGATGAGTGGGCTGAATGTGCTCAGTTCCAATTACCTTCCTCATTTGCTTTATGAGACCAAATATTAAGGCCATGCCAAGATGCTCTCATGCCTTACAACGTAAATAAAACCGCTTCTATCTTGTCTTTCAAAAATAATAGTTCTGTGACTTTTAGACACCACTACTGCAAAATTAAAAAGATTCCTATAAAATAGCTAATACTCTTATTATACTGGGTTCTAAGTGTTTTAATAAATTAATTCAATGAACTTCTACGACCCCATGAGATAAGTACTGTTGACATTCCCATTTTATGGCCGAGAAAATCGAAGCCCAAAGAGATGACCAAGGTCGCATAAGGAGTAGGTGACAAAGCCAGTTTAACTGCAGCATCTGTATTCACAGCCATTATACAACACTGTCTTCCCCGGACCCCCATGGCCATCCTCTTCATTGATTGCATCTTCCAATTTTTGCTACAAAGAGAAATTACACTTCAAAAGATATTTCTCACTTTTTTGGATCAGCTTGTTTTTAAGACACACTTATATGTTGTGGTTTATAAGAATCCATATAACATAAAATATGAGCCCACATTAAAAACCATAATGAAAAGCCAAGGCTTTAGTCACCGTCTATCAGTGATCTTAAAGGAGGAATTCCCATTTTATAGAGAGGCTGATTTGACATTTCATTATTTGAGTTAATCCATCTTCCCATCCCTGTCACCGGGGGCAGAGCCAATGCTTCCAGTTGCTGATGGGATAACAGTTCCAAAGTCCATGAACCCCATGCAGTGCACACAAGCATTGCACAACCCTGATTTAGGAATACAGGGCACAGGATTTATAACCCCAGTTTCCTAATTTTACCTCCATAAGGAAAAAGAACCACTTCTATTTAAATTCAAAATTGCAAACAATTCAATGACATTTTTCTTACCAAGCATCAATTCAACAAATGAAATAACATGCAGCCATAGTAACAGCTATTATCACTGAATTTAGATAAACCGCTTGAGCATGCTGAGGCTTAAACAAAAGAGTTCAGAAGGAAATACATCGTTACTTGTATACACTAGCATTTTATATTCCACAAAAGGTACCGTCTTTTAGTAAATGCATTTACCCAATAATATCTGATGTTAAATATAAACAGTTATTAAAACAAACAAAAGACTTATCAAATCATTGAACGGAGTTCTCTATGCTCATGTACCTTAAACAATTATAAACAGAAAATTACAAAAATATCTTTAAAAAGGGCAACACAAAAATATGTTGCTGGAAGTAACTTACAATTTAGCTCACTAATGTTCATAGGGGGTAGTCAAGAGGCTTGTTGGAAATCAATTGACAGAAATTGATCTGAAAAAAAAATTGGTCCAAATATCAGTGGCTTAGGGAAGTCACTGCAATTTAGAAGGAGGGAATTTTAGGGTACATAGGAAACTGAGTTGGAGTCTGGTCAAGAGGTGATTAAGATTGTCTAGAAGAGGTAGCTCAAAAACCTCCCTCAATGATGACTGATAAAAGGACTAATAGTTTGACTGCTCAAGGACTAAGCAAACAATGAACTCTACAGAGCATCCCTCACCTAAAGACAGTTATTTCCCAAGAGTTCTTTTCTATGTTGGTTGTTTGGAACTTTTAATACATTTTGCCATAGAAACAAAAATATGAGAGATGGTATATCCTCTGGGAAGTATGAAAATTTTTGAGTGCAATACTATTGCAAAAAAAAATCATACAGTAGCAGAAATACATTTGCCTTAAAACATTAGACAATGTAATCGCCACTGTTTAAACACTTATGCAATAATCTCCTGATATAATGCAATTAACAATTTGTTTGTTAAAAATGAAAATACTGGCCAGGCACGGTGGCTTACGCCTGTAATCCCAGCACTTTGGGAAGCCGAGGCAGGCAGATCACCTGAGGTCAGGAGTTCAAGACCAGCCTGGCCAACATGGGGAAACCCCGTCTCTACTAAAAATACGAAAATTACCCGGGTGTGGTGGCGGGCACCTGTAATCCCAACTACTCGGTAGGCTGAGGCAGGGAGAATTACTTGAATCTGGGAGGCGGAGGTTGCAGTGAGCCAAGACCATGCCACTGCACTCCAGCCTGGGTGACAGAGTGAGACTCTGTCTTAAAAAAATAAAATAAAATAAAATGCCCAGAGTAATAACAGCCACCATCATAACTCATGAAGCACTTTGGTCTGGGTGAAGCGCTTTACACAAAAAGCTCAACTGATCCTTACCACAATGCTGAGGAATATTATTATCCTCATTTTAAAAAGAAAAAATGGCAGCTTAGAGACATTCAGTGACTTAACTGTAGGTTACGCAATTAGTAAGTGGCAGAGTCAGAGTTCAACCCAAAACCTGAACTCTTAGCCACTACCCTTGGACAAAAAACAAAAAATTAAAAACACAGTAACTCTACATATACACTGATTGATATAAAGTGTCTTAAAACATTCTACTATCTGACTAAATATAAGAATCTTAAATACCAGCTTTTCTCTTAGATATTTAACCTTTGCAAACAATTTAGGAGCAAGCTTATCATCACTTCATCTTTTTAAAAAGCTAATGACACTTGAATTTAACATGCAGTATCAATTATAATCTCACAACCAAATGGTAATTTGGCACTTTCAGAAGCAGTCCCTATGTCCCCATGACAGGCCCTTGGATGAATAATCATAGCACAGCACACACAAATAATGGTAGACTAATATTTGATGTTATGAAATTATAAAAATATTGCATCTCTCTTCTGAGAAGTTTACTTGGAAAAGGTTTCATAAAAGTGATGACAATCTCAATTACGAGTAGACACCCAAATTTTTTAAATACTTAGAAATCAGTGATGTACAACATGATTAGCATTCTGCACTTTTAGTTTTTTGCCAAGAAAATGGCCCAAGTTAGATGCTGTGGGAGACTGGGAAATACACAGTGGCAGTAACACAGAAGTGCCCTCTTTACAGTGTCTTAAGGGCAGTTAGAGGAGCCAGAATACAAAGGGAGGGGTAAAATCAAAATCACCACCTGCCTCATGCTTGGCTTTGTCAATCTGTTTCACACTCTTCATATCAAAATTTGATATTTAACAAAACTTTTTTAAAAAATTAAAATGCAAAGTTAATAGTCTTGAAAATACTACATAAGGACTCTTTCCCAGTTTAAAGTTATGAAAAGAGAGAGAGGGAATCATGTTAACCAAAATTGACAATGAAATTCACTATACCTCAAAGAATCCCTATTGTAATCCTGGTAAACTATATAGGCATTCCCTTGGGACTGTTTTTTTTTTTATGTTGTTGTTGTCATTTTTGTTTGTTTGTTTTAGTTTTGTTTTGTTTTGTTGAGACGAAGTCTCACTCTGTCACCCAGGCTGGAGTGCAGTGGCGCAATCTTGGCTCACTGCAACCTCTGCCTCCTGAGTTCAAGTGATTCTCCTGCCTCAGCCTCCCCAAGTAGCTGGGATTACACGCAAGCACCACTACGCCCGGCTAAGTTTTGTACTTTTTGTAGAGATGGGGTTTCACCATGTTGGCCAGCCTGGTCTCGAACACCTGACCTCAGGTGATCTGCCTGCCTCGGCCTCCCAAAGTGCTGGGATTATAAAAGCCAATAATATGCAAACATCCCTCATCACCTCTATCACTCTGACAAAGCAGTGGTTTTATGAGAAAATTCTAAAAACTACCAAGTCATCTTCTCATCAAATAACTGGAATTCTCTGATTTCTCTGAAGAGAATACTTTCTAGTTATTTAACACAAACACACACCAAAAAGATCTGAGGTAAGGAGATAAATATCACCAATTTGACATCAAATTCATAAAAGAAAAGTGGTTTTTGTAGGTAGAATTTAGATGTTAATTGTTGAACTTTTCAACACAGAGTAGCAAGGAGACCCTGAACAGTAAAGCCATCACTGAAAACAGCTAACATTTTGAGCATTGACCGTGTGCCAGCTGCTATTCTATGTGTTTTAAGAACTTATTTATCCTCCCAATAACTATGAGGCAGGCAGATGTAGAAAATGAAGCATAGAGAGGCCAAGTAATGTGCACAAAGGTCACACAGCTAGCAAGTAGCAGAGCCAGTATTCAAATTCAGGCAATCTGACTCCAGATAACAAGCACGCCAGCAGCCTTCATCATATTTCACAGTGAAACATTGCAAATCTTCCCTTTAACATCACGGATCATACAAGCATCAGGGCCACTGCTAGCACATTCATGCATGCCTTCGTGTAAATTGCAAGAAGGCACACACTCCTGGCTAGTAAATTTCCAAAACATGTCCTTCATTCAGGCGAATGCAGCTCACAAGGTGCATGCAAACGGCTTGGCTGGCAGAGTGGGGGACTGCATTACATCCCCCTTCTACTTCATCAGCCGAATGCCCTTGGGCAGGGCACCACCTGAACAGCTTATGCTGTGGCCTTGAAGCTCAGAAAACTTTTATTTCCTGAACAATAAGAATTTAATTGTCTATTCTTTGTCTCCTCAATGCTAGTACACAGTTGGCACTTAAATGTTTGTTGAATGAATTTATTTAATACCCTTCTACAGGGGTGACATTTGATTACTGAGTAAATAAATAAATAAATGGCTGTAGTGATCAGTGTCTGTATAAGTATTTTAAATACAGTATAAGAAACTAAAATACTTAAGACATACTGAAACTGATTTCCTCTGGTCATCCAGAAATGGTAACATAAACTTTTGACTTTTTCAAAGGGAAAGAAAGACAGTCAGCCAACAGTAATAACCACCTTACATTTGTACAGCATTGCACAGTTCCCAGCACTCACACGCATTCAATCCTTAACAATAATGCCATGAATCTGGCACCGTTACTCCTATTTTTCGGATTAGTAAAAGGAGGTTCGAAGAGATTCAAGGGTTTGCTCACAGTTATACACCTAGCAATGGCAGAGCTAGGTCTGAAACCTGGTTCTGTTTCTTTGTCTTAATGGGTGTTGCCTCAGCCTTATTACCTCCTATAACATACAGAGATCCATGTTGCTAAAACAAAATTCTTGAAACATGCAGAGTTTTAAAATCAGAATTTTTAAATTAACTTTCTTGGAAAGAATATGTTGATAAAAATCACCTGGAGTCTATCAATGTCCAAAGCCTTGGGACTGTATCATTAGAGGAATATTTGCAGGCATGTGGAACAGTGCAGCATTCTCCAGGGCATCTCTACTGAACTACATATTAGGAGGTGTTTTGGCCAAATAGTTCCTCCTCCTTAAGTTCAAACTGGCTTGTCTTCCTGAGAATGCACCAGTCACAATTTTGGGGAAAATCTAAACAACACGTGACATAAACCAAATATTGCAATGTGTACCATCATTTTGATCATTGAGAAGCAATGTTTAGAATGATGTTATTCATGTCTTGTCCCACAAAATGAAAAAAAGAGAAAATAGACTCCAAGCCTTCTCGGAAACATGATAACCTTTGCTCTCTTTCCTCTAAGACAATCAAAATATATAACATGAAAACAAATGGCAATAGCTTGTAAAATAATGGAGACCTTTACTGAAGCCTCAGGCTGTGGGATGATTTATGCTCTTGAAAAAGATAAAAAACATCAAGCTTTCATAAGTTGCCATAGAAACCTTTCTCCAGATGCAGCCGCTTTGAGATACTAGAATGAGATTGCCTTCCAAGGTCTTTCAGAATATGTCTAAAACCATAAAAATTGTCTCTTCATCACAGTTTATATGCAAATGATTGCATTTTCTAAAATGTCAGCAATCATAATGAGTCTTGTTTAATAACCAAGCTTTTGTCTCTACCCTTTGTTGTTTGAAAGGAGTTGACTATCTTTTATGTATTGTAATCGTGGAAGACAAAATTTGTTTTTGCTTTATCTCAACATAGTCTCCCATGAATAAAGGAATCAAACCCAGAAATTATAGCTTTGTCTTTCTCGGGTTTGTGTGCTATATTATTCATTATAAAAACTGTTAAATAAAATTAAACTTTTAATTTACCTGCCTCAAATCCTTCTGGGAATTAGAGGAAGTGTGTATGCATAAACATACTCTCAAGAAATTTTTTTTTAAGTATAGAAGATAATTATATGATGCCATGATCATTTCCTTTTTTATTTTTAATTTTTATGGGTACATAGTAGGTGGATGTACTTATGGGGCACATGAAATATTCTGACACAGGCATACAATGTGTAATAATCACATTGAGGTAAATGGGGTATCCATTTCCTTAAGCAATTGTACTCCCTCAGTTATTCTAAAATACCATGATCATTTCTTTGATGGGGATCTGAGGATGAAATATTTCACTACTATGATAGTAGCCCTCCTACGGATTACCAACACAATTTTTAGAATCACAAGCATCTTTAAGGAAGAATATAAAACTGAAGAGCTACCATTTCTGCTTTGGGTGACCCCCTCCCCAGATCCCATTTTGTGATGGGTGTTACAAATGTTATGAAGAGGGTTAGAAGTCTGCTATAGAGTATGCTGACTACGTCTCCAGGAAAACATCCCCTTTCACCAGAAAGGAGAAGACAGATTAGGAAATCTAGAAAAAGAGGACAACATGTGGGAGGTGCCAAGGAAAAGAAGTCTGAGTGTGATGTAATCAGTGATTGGAAGAAATAAAATTACAAAGGAGTCATTCAGTGATGCCAAAGCCTGGCCCTGCTTCCATCTTCTAGGAGCCTAGTGAGTCTGCCCCAACAAGAACCTGTGAAACAAAGACTAAGGTAGTCAGCAGTGTGCAAGGACCAGAACCAAATGAAAACACCACCTGGTCAAGAAGAAGCCAGGTCTTTGCCCTTCAGTAGAAAAAGCTTTATGCCCAAAAGGCCACCTCCTGGCTGCATAACCTCAGACAAGAGTCCCCACCTTTCTGGGACTCACTTTCCCCATCTATAAAATAAGGTGATTAAATTAGGCCCCTTTCAGTCTGTGATCAACCCAAATGAGACAGGGTGGCAATGTCACATAAACTGAGATTTCATTACAGAGGTAGTATCTTTATGACCCCAAAGCATCTAGCCCAAAGTCTGCCCTGTGGAGCTTAAAATTTGGGTGTCACCAATAGATGTGAATAAAAATATGTGTTTTATTTGTGTTCATATACGATAAGGAAATGCTGATTTAAACAAAGCTGTTTAGGAATAGATGTGCTAAGATAATTAGGGATGAAATGTCATGATGTCTGTAACTTACTTTGAAATGCATCAAAAATCAAGAGAGATTGATAGATGGAGAGAGGGATAAATAGTTGGATATACTGGAATAAAGCAAATATAGCAAAAACATTAATTGTGGAGTCTAGTTGGTTGGTATATGAGTGTTGACTGTATAATTCTTTGAAAAATTTCATAGTAAGAGAATTCTGGAAAAAAGTTAAACTGGTTTCTATTCCGCTGGACTTGTTCAGAGCCCCAAGTTAATGTATCACATAATTCCATAAAGATACTATATACCATTTATATAATTTCTTAGTCTTTAATAACTTATTGGGCAACAGGGGACAAAAGTGATTCTCTTGAGGGCGGAAAGTTCTCCTTATATTTTTTCAAAAACATACCTAAAGCAACTGGTCAATTTGGTCAATGTGGCTAAAACTGGTGGTGGGTTCCTTAGAGTGATATCCAAAACATGATGTGCCTCTAGAAAAGAACAAAGCCTAACAGAAGAGGCACCATGAAGGCAAGGAAGAGGTTAACTACAGATATTTGGAAAGGGAGCTTCCTGGGGAGGTCAGAAGTGCATTTGGTACAGCCAAGTTACAGAAAAGTAGAAAATGATGGGCCAGGCGCGGTGGCTCACGCCTGTAACCCCAGCACTTTAGGAGGCCGAGGCGGGCGGATCACGATGTGAAACCCCATCTCTACTAAAAATACAAAAAATTAGCCAGGCGTGGTGGCAAGTGCCTGTGGTCCCAGCTGCTCGGGAGGCTGAGGCAGGAGAATGGCGTGAACCCGGGAGGCGGAGGTTGCAATGAGCCGAGATCGCACCACTGCACTCCAGCCTGGGCGACAGAGCGAGAGTCCGTCTCAAAAAAAAAAAAAAAAAAAAAAGAAAAGAAAACGATGAAATGAGAAGGAAAAGGACAGGGAAAGTTCCCCTGTTTTTTTTCTGGCCATGCAGTCTGGCAGGATCACCCAGGAAAAGGTACACCAAAGATAGGCCCGGGGGCAATGCCCTCAGCTAGAGCAAGGAGGAAGGGAAAGTGTGCTGCCACCTCTGAGGAGCTGGAAGATGGCCAGATGAGTAAATTTGGGTAGCATGGTGTTGTGAAATGAATTGAGTATGCCTCAAAATTCATATGTTGAAGTTCCAACCCCCTAGGACCTCAGAATGTGACCTTATATGGAGATAGTCTTTACAGAGGTAATCAAGTTAAAATGAGGTCAGTATTGTGGGCCCTAGACCAACCTCACTGGTGTCCTTGTAAAAGGAGGAAATTTGGAAACAGAGACATGCACATAGGGAGAACTCCATGAAAAAATGAAGGCAGAGATAGAGTGATGCCTCTATAAGCCAAGAGGCACTAAAGATCGCCAGCAAACCACCAGACACTAAGGGAGAGGCATGGCACAGATTCTCCCTCACATCCCTAGAAGGAACCAACTCTGCAAACACTTTGATCTTGGGCTTCCAGCCTCCAGAACCATATGACAATACATTTCTGTTGTCATAAGCCACCCAGGGTGTGGAATTTTGTCACAGCAGCCCTAGCCAACTAATATACATGGGAAATGTTATCTTCTGTACTAACTAACTTCATTGTTAATTAAACTTATTTGGGCTTATTTGGGGATAACATGGTGATGAAAACCCTGGGTAGCCACTCCAGAATGGTTTTTCTTATGTTGTCAGTAGTGCTGAGAAGTTGGGAGAGGGTAAGAGAGCAGAGAGGGAGTTCCTAGCAGAAGCACTATTTCGAGTGACCTGTTGGAACTGGGAAATGGGGCATTAGCCCAAACAGATGTTAAGTAAGCAGTTGGGTGAGCCTCATAGTGACAAAGCTTAATAATCTCAGTTCTAACCCAAATGCCCATCACTGATAGATTGGATAAAGAACATGTGGCACATATACACCATGGAATACTGTGCAGCCATAAAAACAATGAGTTAATGTCCTTTGCAGGAACGTGGATGAAGCTGGAAGCCATCATTCTCAGCAAACTAACACAGGAACAGAAAAACAAACACCACATGTTCTTATTCATAAGTGGGAGTTGAACAATGAGAACACATGGACACAGGGAGGGAAACATCACACACCGGGGCCTGTAAGGGGGTGGGGGAAATGGGAGGGAGAGCTTCAGGACAAATATCTAACGCATGCAGGGCTTAAAACCTAGATGACAGGTTGATAGGTGCAGCAAGCCACCATGGCATATGTATACCTATGTAACAAACCTGCATGTTCTGCACATGCATCCCAGAACTTAAAGTAAAATAAAATGAAATCTAAGTTCCAGCTTTGGAGCTGTAAGCAACACAATAAAGGAGAGGCCTTTCTCCATTCAACACAGAGCAGTAAATAATAATGAGGGGATGTGAATAATCTAGAACTTAAGTGAGAAATAAAGCTTCCTGAACTTCGCATCAAAAAATCAGCCATTGCCAAGATTATACAAGTCCTATGCTTCATACAAATTCTGTAGCATTTTTGAAGTGTACAACTCTACTTTAAAATTCAATGATTGTCAATGACATTTATGTAACTATTCAACTCACCGAGACATTTTCTGGCTTCAGAGCCTCATTGTCTTTCTCAGTGTCAAGGAAAAGTTTTGGCACGCCCAGGCACAAGAAGTTCCATCCTGCCAGCTCAGATGCTCCAGGTCTCTGGGCACCCAGACCAGGTAGGATGAAACATGGTGGCAGGTCAAGACTGTGAACTTGACCAGAATAGGTTATTCAGAAACATGTGTGTGGGAAAATCCTTTCCTTAAGACCTTAATAGCAACTTTCAAACAGAAGTCACAAGTGGTAGAAGAATCAGTTCTGGCATTAAAAACATTGGCTTCAATAATCACAAGCCAAGCAGATTCTTCTTCTTTTCTTAAAGCCTAACCCGAAAGACTCATATTAAAACTGTACAGTCCCATCCTAACAGTGTATAGACTTTGACCCACATAGGAGGGCACAGACTCATGCTCAGTGTCTAGCATATACGTGTGTGTGTGTGTGTGTGTGTGTATGTGTGTATGTGCACTGAAGCTGTGAGCAACATACATAACCAGGGGCATTATCCAGAGCTAAAGGTATCATTGAAACAGCAATGCAGAAGCTACAACTGCTTCTTCATCTGTCACTGGGGATTGAGTGGCACCCTTCCTGCTAAAATAGAGAGACAACATAAAGGTATTACAATACATAACTGTAGTTAGAGAACAAAAACAAGGACTCTTGGAAGTCATAACACAACAACCAGACTCCTAGAGAATTTTATTTTATTGACTCAATTAGAATGGGCCTTGCATACAGAATTTGAAACAGATAAACAAATGCAATGAGAAAAGGCAAAGGTATGGCTCTCTTGGCAAACACCATTAAGGCAAGTGACCTGTGGGAAGGAGCAGGAAGGGATAGGGGAACAGGTATGTTTTCTTAGAAGCTGCTTTCACAAGCAGATGGCCTCTGTCCCAGTGCTTTGGAGCTAATTCTCCCTGCTTTAGTCTACAGTCGGTGTCTCTGGCAGCAGCCTAAATCTGAAGAGACAAAACATGTCTTCCATCACCATGGAGAAACAGCATCTCCCCCCAGCATTCAGGAATTTGCCCTTGAAAAAGCAAAAATAAAAAATAAATATAAAACAAAAAAAACCCCAAAACTCTACATGATTTTTTAAGCAGCGTTCAACTTTTTTTTTCTTTGGAGATGGAGTCTTGCTCTGTCTCCCAGGCTGGAGTGCAGTGACACCATCTCAGCTCACTGCAATCTCCGTCTCCTGGGTTCAAGCAATTCTCCTGCCTCAGCCTCCTGAGTAGCTGGGATTACAGGTACACGCCACCATGACCGGCTAATTTTTGTATTTTTAGTAGAGACAGGGTTTTGCCACGTTGGCCAGGCTGATCTCGAACTCCTGACCTCTGGCGATCCGCCTGCCTTGGCCTCCCAAAGTGCTGGGATTACAGGCATGAGCCACCACACCTGGCCCCTCAACTATTTTAATTCTGATAAAAGAACCTGCTGAAATCCTAGTGTTTTAAAAATTCAATTATAGTAGATTTTACCTTCTGCTTATATCTATAGTTGACGCTTGAACAACACAAGGGTTAGGGACACCAACCACCTGTACAGTCAAAAATCCATGTATAACTTTTGGCTCTCCCAAAACTCAATTACTGTTAGCCTACCGTTAGTCTTACTGATAACATAGACAGTCCATTAACACATACTTTGTATGATATATGTATTATATACTGCATTCTTACAATAAAGTAAGCTAGAGAAAAGAAAATGTTACTAAGGAAATCACAGGGAAGCGAAAATATATTTACTATTCATTAAGTGGAAGTGGATCATCAAAAAGGCTTCATCATTGTTGTCTTCATGTTGAGTAGGTTGAGGAGGAGGAAGAAGAGGAGGAGCTGGCCTTGCTGCCCCAAGGGTGACAGAGACAGAGAAAATCCACATGTAAGTGGACCCGAGCAGTTCAAGCCTGTATTGTTCAAGGGTCAACTGTACTTTCACATTATTTTCTCTTGTTCCATTTAACTACAATTTAATTTTTTTTTTTTTCATTTAAGGTAAAAGCATTGGATCCAGGGCCTTTCTACACCGCTAGCATCCCATCACAAACACCATTGACTAGAAATCCTCCTCCAGCCCCTCAACACAAACTACCTATTCTTTAAATATATATATATATATATATATATATATATATAGAGAGAGAGAGAGAGAGAGAGAGAGAGAGAGAGAGAGAGAGAGAGAGAAGAAGAGAGAGAGAGAGAGAGAGAGAGAGAGAGAGATGGAGTTTCGCTCTTGTTGCCCAGGCTGGAGTGCAATGGCGCAATCTCAGCTCACCGCAACCTCTACCTCCCGGGTTCAAGCCATTCTCCTGTCTCAGCCTCCCAAGTAGCTGGAATTACCGGCATGCACCACCACGCCTGGCTAATTTTGTATTTTTAGTAGAGATGGGGTTTCTTCATGTTGGTCAGGCTGGTCTTAAACTCCCGGCCTCAGATGATCTGCCCACCTCAACCTCCCAAAGTGCTGGGATGACAGGCATGAGCCACTGCTCCTGGCCACAAACTACCTATTCTGTGATCATCTCCACATAAAATTAAATCTTGCAGCAAGGCTAACATCCCCAAAGCACTTTCCTGGAGTCCTGCGGTCCATCCCACCCTGGCCTCTGCCTTCCTGAGAAAGGAAAGACCCTGCCAATATGGCTGCAAAGAATTTCCTCCCCAATTTCTTGCTGCTCTGAAAACAACTTCCACCTCCCACCTCCCGAGTGCTAGCTTCTGGAAGTTACGTTGCCTGGACTTGTCTCGGAGTCAGAGATATTGAGGTTCTGGCAAGATTTCGTCTTCATTTTTCATTCTAAGTTAGGACTTGGAAACCCAAAAGTCCCAGGGAGCTGAATAGAATAGTAGGTAAAGTGTGAGATGGGCAAGTGTAAAACAATAGCCAACAGCAAGGGCTTTGGAGAGCTGAATAAAAACACTAAAATCAAATTTTAAAACACTGGCGAGCCAGCCCCAACTTGTGAGAGATTTGGTCCATGGGCTACCAATTTAGAACCTCTGATCTAAGCTACCATCTAGGCCTCATTCCATTAATAGGAATGTGGCTTCAGCAAAGACAGACACCATTTTCCTGAGCCCTCGCAGATTCAAGTCAGCTGCCTGCATGGCTCCAAAGATGGAGGCTCTTCCTATTCCCCAACAGGGCTTTCTGTCAACCCACTGAGGAAATTCCTCCCTCCTGTATGTGAAGCATATTTACAATGTAGGGCTCATTGACAAACCTGAACCAATACATGATCAAATCCTACTCATTTTCCCAGGTTTCCTTCTGCCTTATCACTTGGGCCCAGTCATTGGGCTAGGAGCTCAAACCTAAATCCTGGGCTTCATGCTTCAGTCTTTCAGGTTCCATATCCCATCTTACCCATAATACCCTGCAATACCTAGCAAGACCTGCCCTCTGCCAACCTCTCTAGCCTTCTTTCCTTCTGCTCCACATCCTATACTCTGGCAACACTGAACTCCTTTCCCCTCATTGTGGTTCTTCTCACACTCTGCGCTGTTTAGTGTTTCCATGCCTTCGTTCTGCTGAGATTTCATGTAATTCCACCTCATCCCCCAAAATCAGTTCAAGTGTCACCTCCTCGAGAGAATTTGCCCTAACCAGGCCCCAGGGTGTGTTAGGACTCCCTAGTGTGGATTTTCCACAGCAGTAAATACTTTATCCCTTACTAGATCACCCATAAGAAGGAGGATACCATGGCAGGCTAGGAGAAGGCAGACTGAGGCAGAGTTTGCATCTAAATGCGCAAGAATCTTTGGGGAGCTCCATAATTTTTAACTTTTCACTCAGATTATTTTTGGAAAGAGGCTTTTCCTGTTATTTCATACCAACAGATTGGAGATAGGTTGAAACCTTTCCATGTCTGGCCAAAACGCAGCTCGTGGTTTGATAAAACGATTTAACAAAAGCCAAAACAAGCTGGCAATGTTTGTGAAGACAAGGCCTCAAATGGAACTCAGATGAAATTACTTATACCTTCATTAGGTTCAATCCCTTTGAGATAATTTACACTTAAAAAAAGAATCATTCTAGATAGATCTCAGTGAGACGCCCTGAATGCAGTTGTCAGGGTCAAGTATCAGAAGAAGACCTGGCATACAAAAATTACCACTAGTGCAAAGATTTAGAGAAAAACAAAATACCTATTGCTGGTTGGGCAAATTATTACAGGGGTGCCTGTGGCTGAGATCTAGTTTCCCCATTCACTTTAGGATATCTGCTCAGTCGCCCCAAATCAAAAACAAATCCAGGTGTTTTTTTTCTGTCGATAACATTTTTATCATAAACCTGGAGCAATCTGAGCAGTATCTTTTGCTTAATCATCATCAGAAAGAATACTTTAACATCTCTTTTCTGAAATTAAGGCCACCGTATTTGACAGATGCCTTCCTACAATTAAATGAATCATATTTTTGAGCAATAGTTTTTAATTTTCCATTGTACAAAATGGCTGCTTTATAGCTTTTCTTCTTAAACTTCCTACATGACACCATCCGACCTCCATCCCTCTTCAGCTGATGATCATGCCTCATTTTTATGGAGAAAGTAAAAGAACTTGTTCATCTTTCCATAATCAACCCGCCTATACACACACCTTCACCTTTGCCTGTATGTGAAGTTTTACCTCCTATGACTTAAATGAAGTGTTATTTCTTTAAGGAAGCCAATCCTCCATGCAGTTTTTAGATTCCATCCCTATCAGGGCTTCGATCCTCTAATCATATATTTTCTCTCCTACATCATCAATTTCTTCTTCTGTCCTGGATCATTACCATGAGCACATGAGCATGTTCTGGTATCTTCCATCTTCAAAAAATATGTGGTCAAATACCTCCCTTTCCCTTTGAATCCCTTCATAGCACTTCTTCAAATAATAATCTATACACATTGCATCTATTTCCCCATCTCTATTTCCCCAACTCACTCCAGTCAGACTTTCATCTCTACTATTTCACTGAGACTGCTCTTGTCAAAGATGTCAGTGATTTTCATATTGCCAAATCTGGTGGGCACACCTTTGTCCTTAAATGACTTGTTCTCTTAGCAGTATTTGGTCATGCCTTCCCTCTTGACTCACTGTCTTCACTTGTTTCTGAACCACAGGCTTTCATGGGTTTCTTCTCTAACTCATTGCTGCTTCTTAAATACCTTTGCTGGATTCTTCTCTTCCCAACCTCTAAACATTGGAGAGTCCCAGGACTCCACTTTTGAGCCTCTTCTTTTTTCAATTATTCACAGGTGATCTCAACCAGTTCCATAGCCTTGAAACTTCAGACTTGATATGTAAACTGCCTACTTAATTGTGCCTTCCTCTATGTAATAATCATGTCAAATATAACATGTCCCAAACAGAGCTTTTAAGTTTCCTTTCCCAAATCAGTTCCTCTCTAGTCATTTCCATCTCAATAATGTTACCACAATTCACCCAGTTTTTCAGGCCAAAATCCAGGAATTGTCCTTGATTCTTTTTCTTCCTGACCACTCTGGCCTCCAGTCAATACATCAGCAAGTCAGTGTCACCTGAATACAACCATTTCTCAGCATTCTTACTAATACCATCTTGGTCTAAGACAATATCGTCTTTTTTGGGGACTACTGCAAAAGCCTGCAACTCCTTCAATTCTTGCCTTTCTAAGATATCAAATTACACATCTCAGGGTATCTTTCAAAACAAAATCCAACTCATTACACTTCTGTATTTCAAATCTTCTAATGACTTCCATTGCAAACAGGAGTCCCACCCTGTAACTTACCTTACAGGGCCCCATATGACCTCACTCTTGCTTAGTTGTCTTTCCTACCACCCCTTGCTCATTCTACTACAGCCACATTGTTTTTCTTTCTGTTCCTTGAAAATGCAAGGGTTGTTCCCACCATAGGGGATTTACAGTAACTGTTCCCACATTCTGTAATGCTCACCTCCCTGATAGTTACATGTTCAGGATCGCAGATCTCAGTTTGAATGTTCTCTCTAAGGAAGAGGTATTTCCTGACTCTGCTTCATTACTGCATCCTATTTTACTTTTCATCGATTAACTTATCACTAGCAGTACTTTGTAGGTAGCTAAGTATTTATTTTGTTGGTCCATTTGGTAATTTATTATGTGACTGCCCCTCCACCAACTAGACAATAAGCTCTGTGAAAGCAGAGATCTTGCGTGTGTTATTTCCTGCTTTATCCCTAGCACCCGGGAGAATATCTGGCATGTAGCCATCCTCAACAAATATTTGTTGCTGGCAGGAAAGAATTCAGACGAGTCAATTAATTCACCTCAGAAGGATGAAGAGCAACTCATTTTGCAAAGAACTAACGCTAGTGCGGCCATCAGAATGCATTCCTCCTCAAAACCTGATGTATCAAAAACGTATTTTAATGTCAAGGTGACCGTTTGATCACAGTTATCCTCCAAAATTTTTAGTCCCAAATTTTCTGTTCCAAATGTTTCTTTAACTACAAATTTAATACAAAATTTTGTCAAGGAAAAAATTTAAAGTACCAGTGCAGAAGGGTAGTTTTCCACCTGGACAAGGATTCAAAACAGACCCCCAAATATCAATAGCATAATGTTAGCTCCATAGCTTATCTGCCTCATGTCTAAAATCTACAGTCTCCTTTCATCAGTAACACCATTTTGGGCACTTGTCAGAAAACTAAAATGCTTCCCCTGCTGAATGTCATGTAAGCACCTGAAATTTTAAAGAGTTATTTTAAGGGCTTTGTTAATTATTAATTCCTCTGGGGTATTTAAATTCTAGGCCTGCACTGTTAGATTATTGAAAAGAAAGATACCTATTCAATGCTGTACTAGCTACTTACAGAAATTTCTTACATTTTAAATGTATTTTAGCATTATGCTCCAGCTGAAACGTGTGTGTGTGTGTGTGTGTGTGTGTGTGTCTATTTTTAAGTACTTTGAACAAACTCTCTGTACTCTCAAGCTGTGGGCATGGTCCAAAATTGTCAAATGAGTCAGCAACCCAAGTTGAAAGGTAAAGCCTCCTGTAACAGGAACGGCCAATTCCGTCATGTTGAAGAGAGGTATAATCCAGACCTGAGAAACCCGTGCTACTTTTCAAATTCCTCCTGAACAAAGAAGTAAATCCTTTGCCAACTCAAAATGGCAATGTCACCCCTTACACCCACAGTTGCAAAATTACAACATTTTATATGTCTTTAGTGACAAAATTCTAAACCCAGAAAATTATGCAATGATATTATGTTCTTCTGTGCTTCTTTGTCCCTCTGGATTTGTGTTTGATTCTATGAGTCTTTATTTCCTTTACCCTGTATTGTATTTTTGTGGGGTTCTCCATGTAAATTCTTAGTGCTATGTCTTACTATGTCCCTCTGTTATCTCATGCTTCCCCAATTCCTTGTCTCTCTTAACTGACCCAAATTCAAAGCCAATAAACATTTATTTATTTTCACATTTGTTAACTCAGCTGAAAATATAGAGATTTGGGAGTCATCTTAGGAAAAGTGAGTTTTGAATCCACTGAGTTTCACTAAAGGCTTGTGAAAGCAGTAGAATTACATCACAAATTTTACATACACTAATACCACACAGAAAATATGTTCAAGGAAGTCTACTTATTGGATTAGGCCACTTTAATTGCAGTATCAGGACTCACCCTGTGGCTATTGGCCATACACCTGGGTGTGAAATCTGTACACTGGAAGTAGTTGGGACACTCACTGAATACATGCACCGGAAGGGCATAAAGGCTCTTAAAGGCAGAGAATGCAACTCAACAGCTTGGCTAAAACATTTCTTTTATGAGTTACCTACCCAGTTCAGAAACATAAACAAATACTGGTTCATTCAGAAAGAAGAATGGATTCCACCCCATATTCTAACCACAAGTCAAAAAAATGAAATAAAAATAACCTCCCCAGAAAATATAATTGAATAAGAGACACAAGAAAAATATTTGACTTTGCCAGCAATTAAAAATGAAAAATAACCATTTTTCACCTCCCAAGTTAGAATACCACATTCACTCTCAATTTGAAAAAGATTGATAAAGCAAAGGATGCTATTAAGTGATCCCAACAGTGTGATAAAACAAAGCTGGCTGGAAGAGTAATTGGTAAAGTACTTGAGAAAAACAATTTGGCAGTATCTGTCAAAAACATTAAACTGTCCATATTTTAAAATCAGGAATTATTACCTTATGAGTCAATCCTAAGGAAGAATACCAAATATGGGAAAAAGTAATTATTTCTGAATATCTTTAGTGCACTGTCATTTATAATAACAACACACACACATAATACATAACGTCCAATAGTCTGGTATTAGTTAAGTAGGTTTTGGTATGCCTTATTTGACGTTACTTAAATTATGTTCATAAAGACTGTAATAATATGGAAAATGCTTATAATAGAAAATCAGGTGAAAAGATAAAAAATCGTGTCTATACTATGACAGCAAATATAAATGTGTGGTACACGTGTGCGCACACACACATAGCCAAAATAAATGAATATATTTTCAAGAGGCTGGAAAAAATATATACCCAAAGTTAAGAGTGGTTGTCTTTAAATGGTAGGTCTTTAAAATGAACTTATAAAAATAATTATAATTCACCCAGAATTAGTCAAAAAACCCCTATTTAGTCATGATACTACATGGGCAATTTCATTTACTGGACTATTTCCTGAATTATCTTCACAACTGATCAACTTTCTTTGTAAATTTATACTTTTGAGATCCCTAAATTAAGCACTTAGTCACATAATTGCAAACTTCTCTATAAATCACAGTCCACCTTCCTTGATATTGCTACTAACCTTCTCTATTTCAGAAAAATAATGGATACAAGTAAATTGATAGAAATGCCATCCCAAAGTCAACTACTTGGTATTTTATGAAATTTACTTCAATTACAAGCTAATGATCAGATTGGGAGATGGAGAGAAAGATGCATATTATTTTTTCAAGGCTAGGGAGCTATTTCTTTTAATTGCTGTTTTAACACCACCAATACATCTCTATTAGATTACAGTGTAAATCTTGGAATTTAATAACATTGTTTATATTATGCTTTTTAAACTGATGAATACAACATAATTATTGTTCATCAATTAAGGGACTGAACTTGGCATCACTATCTGTAACTCTAGGCTAAGGAGAATACTTACTACATGTTAAACATAATGTCAAAATATATGTATATATAAATATATTCATGTAAGTAAACGCATTTCATATATGCACACATTAAATATATACGTATTTTCTCTAGTTGGAGTTTTCATGTGAAGCATTTTGTTTATTTTATAAACATATAAATATATATACAATACATACATACATTATCTGTATACGTATATATGATATTACTTACCAAATGCTTACTGTTTAGGATAATTGTTTTGGATAATCATTTTCTTAGTGATAAATGTTTTAGCTTCATTGGTCTTGTGAGACACATTTATGAATGTGTCTTAATTTCCATTTAGTTTGCATTTCATTCCTGGAAGCTTACCTTGTTTCACATTATTTTCCAGGAATACCTACAATCCAGGAAACAATCACCTCAAACAATGGATGGATAAACTTTGATGAGTGGATTTATTCCTGCCAATATGATATCTTATTTGGGCTTTGGGATTAACTACATAGAGGAGGTTTAGGTTTGATTTCAACACTCAAGATGGCCCAGAGTCAGCTTTTAAAGGACGGGAAGGGTATGGCTTGGCATGGTACATGGATGCTCTACTTAATGTTTGGAACTGGGTCAGAACTAGACAGAACTGGGTCAGCCTCAGGACAGCATCTTACCTAAAGAAGCTGAACAGGCTAAGAGTTTTTCCCAAAGGATCTCTCCCAGCACCAACCATCTCAGAAAAGCATATGAGAGACACAGGCAACCCAGTAATCCAGGCATCTCTACCCTCTATCCAGGAGGCAGCACAAAATGATGGCTTTGTAGGTGTACCTGCACTATGTGACATTCAGTAAATCACTGCAGATCGTACTTTAAAATCTTAAGAGGGTGATCCTCAAAAGGTTAAACAAAGAGTTACCTTATGATCTAGCAGTTTCGCTCCCGGGTATATACCGAAGAGAAATAAAAATATCTCCACACAAAAACTTGTACAAGAATGTTCATAGCAGCACTATTCATAATAACCAAAAAGTGGAAACAACCCAAATGTCCATCAACTAATTAAAAGATAAACAAATTATGGCACACCCATATTATAGAATATTATTTGGCCTTAAAAAGGAATGAAATATTGATACATGCTACCACATGGATGAATCTTGAAGACATGATGCTAAATGAAAGAAGCCAGACACAGAAGGTCACACAGTGTTTGATTCTATTTGTATAAAATGTTCATAATTGGCAAACATCTAGAGACAGAAAGTAGATTAATGGTTGTAAGGAGCTGAGGGACTGACGGTGGTGATGGGGAATGAGGAATGACTGCTAAGGGATGTGGAGTTTTCTTTTAGGGAAACAAAAATGTTCAAAAATTACATTGGGGTGATGATCATAAGACCCTGTGAATCTATGAAAATCCACTGAATTGTACATTTGAAATGGGTGAATTGTATGTGAATAATATCTCAACAAAGCTATTATTTAAAAATCTTATGAAGATAAAATTTTAGAACTCAATAAGATTGATTATTGTCATTACTTTTTCAAGTGATTCAGAGGTTTTCATGAAAAATGTTGTAGCAGGTATTGTCGATGTTATACCCATATTCCCTCCTCATTCACTTCTACGAACAACCATTGTTTATTTGAACTACAGTGACTGACTCTTTGCCCAAAAGCTTTTTTTTTTTTTTTTCTGGCTGCAGGCGCTAAGGTAGTTCACACAGGTCTGTCAGACAAGAGGAAGGACCCCTAAAAGTGAATTTTAAAATATATTTGGAAGAATGATCAAAAGTTACCTAGGTCAGGGGTGGGAGGGAGGAGAACTAGGAAGACTACACGTGACAGAAGCAGGTACAAAGGCCAGAGGTTGCAGATTATTCGAGAACTTCAAAGTGGATCAGTGTAGCTACAGGCCCTAGGAAGAGCCACGGGAAACAAGGCATCCGAAGTAGGCCAAGTTCAGGTCTGCAGTGTTTCTGGGCCATAACCATCATTTCAGACTTTATCCTGGGGGTAATGGAGGGCCATGGAAAGATCTGAAGCAGAAGAGTAAATCTCATGAGATTTACATTTTAGAAAAATTGCCCTTCCAGGAGAAACGTGTGAAAGGAAATACACCAGGCTGTTAACACAGGTCACCTCAGGAGGGCAGGAATGAGGTGAAGTTCGACAAATATTTAGCTTTGTCTTTGAACAACTTTGTTTGCTTCACTTCTGACAATAAATATGTTTTGTGACTAAAAAATATCCAATCTGCTTTTTCCCAATTCACAAGTTGTACTTCCTTTATTGTAAGAATGAACTAGAAGGATGAACCTTGAGGATATTATGCTAAGTGAAATAAGCCGGACACAAAAGGACACATTCTGTATGATTCCACTCATATAAGAACTGAGAGCAGTCAAATGCATAGAGACAGAAAGTAGAATGATGGTTGCCAGGGGCTGGGGAAGAAGGGAATGGGGAGTTATTGCTTAATGCGTACAGAGTTTCTGTTTGAGAAGATGCAACGGTTCTGGAGATGGATGGTGGTGATAGTTGTGCAACAATGTGAATGTACTTAATGCCACTAAACTGTACACCTAAAACAGTTAATACAGTAAATTGTACATTAGGTATATTTTACCATAATAGAAAAACAGAATGGACTGGAGAAGGGCTAGACCGAATGATGGGACACAAATGAGCAGACTCTGGGAACTACAGTGGTCCACGTGAGGAACACCAGATCCAGAAGGGGCATGGAGACAGTTAAGTGGTTACCACTGTGGGCAACTGTGGGGAAATCTGGGAGACAGTGTGGAACACACTTTAGCTATCCTAAGAGATGAGGAAGATGGGTTACTTATCCATCAAATCATGTTAGTCACAGACTCATGGCTGCTTTTCGGGGGGCATTAGCCCCACCCGCACTGCTCACCTGCCTGGGTTTGAGCCAAGAGGAGCTCCAGTGGCCAGAGAAAGCCTGCAGGCAAAAACTTGCATCAGACAGAGGCCTTAAGTTCATGTGTATGAAAATAAGTGCCAAGGAGATTTGGTAGGATCCCTGCAATGTCTGCTACAAATGTCAAGACTCTTGGCTGGAAACCTGGCCAGAATATGGTTCCACTTCCTGAAACCGGAAACATTGGTGGCCAAAGAAGAAGGAGCAGGCAAAGGAAGGGAGCTGGCAAAGGAGACTGGTGGAGCACTAGCGATTTAGGAGGGAAGCAGGAAATTGTACTATCATGGGAGTGATGAGAAGTGACGTTTTAGAATGCCCAGTTAATACATAGCCCAAGAAACTAGAAATTATTTTCTTAGATCATGGAAAGTATTTTAGAAAACAGTATTAGTTAAATAACAGTTTATAGGCTTTAAACACCTCATACTGCACTGTACTACAAAATTCAAATGTCAAAGATGGAAAAAACAATATTCAACTAGACAAGAGTATGAGATAAGTGTTTCCACTCCTCATCTCTTTCTTTCCTTTCACTTAATGTGTGAATTATACAAACCAATATACTGTACAGACCACCTTATAGGAACGCTGTATTTGTTGAGTTAAAAATTAACATTCCTTTTCTTATCATGCGTACAAGAATTATATGTAACCAAAGTCCTTTAGAAATACCAGGCAGATATTGCTGTTATTATATTTTGCACATGTATTTTGTTTGTTCTTCACATACAGCTATAATTACAAAATTGAATAAGCTCCCATTTAAAAAATCACTTGCAGATATCATTTTTCACCTGCCATTGAGATCTTCATTGCATTTTAAAAATATTGAAAAATGATGCTAAAATTTATATATAGGATGTATCATTTAAAAGCTGGTTTAAATTCTAAGTGCTAATATTTCTTTTTTAAAATCCCTTTTTTCCCTAAGAAAAAGTATTCAAACATCTTTACACATAAACATATATTCAATGGAATTTTAAAATTCACTAATGCCTTTAATTTTAAAGATTAATTTTAAATGTATTCTGAAGCAACCTTTAAACCTACAGACTCCTTTCAAAGGAATTTATCTATGGGGAAGGAAGCCAGATTTTATAAAATATCTGTTTGGCGAAATATATTTTTTAAAGAACACAATAGGAGAAAAGAAATGCTTTCCTATTTTCATCAGCTTCTGCTAGTTTTCTGATCACAAACTAAAACCCAGAAATAAAGCAAGTGCACACCCCAAATGATTTTTCTTCTACATGCAAAATGCTTTTACCTTTCCTACTTACTGTCATCTCAACCTCTTTGTATTTTTCCCCATTTCTCAGACCTGTCCACTGGAAGCTCAATACTGTGGACTGGCCAACTGATTTATCTACAGAAAACTCATTTCCCCCTTGGACACATTCTCTATGAAATCAGAGAGAAAGGAACAAGGGGAGAGAAGCAGGACACGGGTGGTATATTTTGGATGTTCTGCCTTTTATCAACTAGGACCATGTGATTTCCTTTCAGACACTGACGGTTCCTGTGTGCAGCCCAATTTCTGATAACATAAAAGGCAAGTATGATATTTTACTTATACCCCTTATAAGGCCAGGAATATCATACCACCCATGAATAAAACTAAAAAAGCTAGCAGAGGACAGAGACTTGGAAAGCAAAGCCAAAGTGATCTTAGCATCCATTCTAACTTTGTCCAAAGGTAAAGCTCTTTCACGGCACCGAGAGGCTTCTTTCATTTAAAAAGTACATTTTTGTGCATGCACCAAAAATAAATAAGCACAGAAAACGTAATTTCACATCAATTCTTGTGTGTGTGTGTGTGTGTGTGTGTGTGAATGTGTTGAACTGGAACCTGATTATTCATTCCTAGCACTTAGCACACAGGAGGCATTCAGTTAATGTTTTCTAAATGATAGCCTCGTAGCAGACAGACGGGGATAGAATGGCATGTTGCCGGCAAAGATTTCGGGTAGATAGTAAATATATGAGGCTGAATCACAGGGTTGAAAACTAGCCCGCAATTTCCTTTTACAGACCCTTCCATAAACAATGTGCTTTTTCTTTTTCAGTCAGAGAACAGAATTCTCAAAGTGCTAATGGTATCATAACACTAATGGTCTAGCTGCATAAAGTGTAGTTTGATGGGGTGTGGGAAGGACAAGATCTCTCTCTCTCTATTATAATTTGTTTTGGAATAGAACAAAGTGCTGTTCCCACTGGACTTTAAATAACGCTAAATTTTGTACACCCTCTGACTTTTTTCTATGCTTTTCTAATCATCTTCAAGAAAAACAGCTGGGAGATAAAGGCTGCCTATGTCTCCCAACTGCTTTGCATTGCTGTAGTTTGAGCACCTTGCTTTGGTTCCCCTCCCCAGCCTGCTGTACATCACTCACATAGCAAATCAGCAGTTGAGGGGTTAGCTCCCCAGTGACCTGCATGCAATTTTAACAGAGACCTGCTTAGAATCTTTAGGACCCCAAAGTGTATGATTCCTGCCTTTCTCAATAAAACAGAGGGACTTTTCTGCCAATCTCTAAACTTAGATTAAATGGATAGTTGTCTCTTCTGCCCTGTTGTAAAACCAATAGCAGATTAGTAAATAGAAAATAAAATGAAAGAAAATCATTTTTCTGACTCTTACATCATTTTTTGAATCACATAGAAAATTAAATCTCTGGACATGCTGATTCAAAATGTTGCAACTCATTTAAAAAATGGTTATTTCCAAGTAGCACATATCAAAAGGTTCATCGTCAAAACCCTACAGAACACCCCCTCACAATCATGATTTCCTATCTTTCTAGTTCACCTGCTCAAATTGCTCTAATATAAATGTTCTTTAATGACACAAAGACCTCCAATCTATTAACATCTCCATTTGAATCTATGAACCAGCTTGCTCCCTCACAACTTCCCTTTCTCCCTTATCCATCAAGAACTCCATTGTCCATTTTTTTTATAATCACTTTCAGCATTTTCAACACCCTGTGAGAAATCCTACAGGAAGCTGCATAAAATGGTCACAGGATAAGGGAAAGAATAGAGGTGTGTGCCAACAGCACTATTTTTCCAAGAACCCAGAATCTGAGCTGGATCCAAAATGGTGGCTTGGAATAGATGGACAGCGTCCAAACTTCTGTATCCAGTCTTCACAGATTAGGGCTGTTTCATAATTTCTCTCTTGGCTGTACTGCCACGGATTCCTCCAGTAAAAGAAGGAATCCATATTTTGAGCACTTCCAGATCGGAGGCTCTAAATTTCAGCTCTGAATCAGCACACAGAGTGGTAAGAGATTGGGATTCCCCAGAGAGTGTTTGGGCCAGCATAGTGATCAACCTCTACCTTTCACCCTTACTTGGGGGCTCTCAGGGCACCAAAGAGTGCTTATCCAGAACTGATGAGACTAAGCACCGTCTCCAGGCCCTACCGGCCTCTTGCATCCTTGGTGGAGGCCATTAAAGAACATGGGCGGTGGCTCACGCCTGTAATCCCGGCTCTTTGGGAGGCTGAGGCGGGCGGATCATGAGGTCAGGAGATCGAGACCATCCCGGCTAACATGGTGAAACTGCGTCTCTACTAAAAATACAAAAAATTAGCCAGGCATGGTGGTGGGCACCTGTAGTCCCAGCTACTTGGGAGGCTGAGGCAGGAGAATGGCATGAACCCGGGAGGCGGAGCTTGCAGTGAGCCAAGATCTCACCGCTGCACTCCAACCTGGGCAACTGAGTGAGACTCCACCTCAAAAAAAAAAAAAAAAAAAAAAAAAGAGAAAGAAAAAGAAAAGAAAAGAACATGGGAAAGGTCATGCCCTTTAATTGCTTCTTCCTCCAACTGTCTGAAACTTCATGATTAGAACATCTTGTGACACGCTGAGCAAAAATGCTGTTCAGTCATCCTCTGTCTAGCTTAGGGTCCCCTGGTAAGCAGCCTCTGAGATGGGTTTGCATATAGAAGCTTTATCGGGGTTCAACATGTATGAAGAAAGGAAGCAGGATTGGGCAAAGGAAGGAGTTGAACTGAGAGATGCAAGCACAACAGAGAAATCAATCAGTCCTACAGTGAACTCTCAGGCTAATGTGGCCTTTCAGAGTTATCCTGGATTGAAGCAAGAGGGTACGAAGGCCTGGGTTAGTCAGCTCCCTTCAGTCAAGGGTGACTTTCAGAGAGGGACTTGGCTGTGAGCCAGCAGCAGCCAACACTCTCAGCAGGTCCTGAAGGTAGTGGGACAGCCTACTATAACATCCACTATACAAAGAGTGAAAGTGAAATTTCAACACTCTATGTACATTAGAATATAGATTTAAGTTCCAACTACTTAAAGCTATATTTCAAGGAAGAACATTTGAATTTGCTGGTTACCTCTCCAGTAAATTCCATTGCCAAATCCTCCTTCAGGGCCTCTGAGGCCCTTGAGGTGAAGCTGCTGTCCTCCTCTTCTCTGTCTCATCTGATCCAGATAAGCATGTCTTTCTCAGCACCCACCACCCCTCAGAACATTCACCTGTACATGTCTGCCTCCTTCTGCTTGGTGTACCCCTGAAAGATGGGCACATGTATTACCCATCTGTGTATTCCCACACCTAGCCCAATGTTTGGTAAATAGGGCACTCGATAAGGGTTTATTGAATGACTGAATCAACGAATGAACAAATTTCTTTTTCTCCCTGCAGAAACAATGACATAGGGAAATACATTTGATGAAACGAGGACAACTCTTTTAGTGCACACCCTTATGTGTATTTATCATCGGTGCTTAACAAGGGCTGTTTGATTTCCACTAACTGGCACAGCATAAAAGGGCTATTCTGAAACAGTCGACTATATCTTATGGGTTTCCTAAATAAATTAAACTCTATCACAGGATTTGAATGCAAAATACAGAGGAAATTAAAATGTAAAACATGAAACAGCTGTTTGATCAGCTGTTACAATAGGCTGTGAACAAAGGCTATACTCATGTTTTATCTAGATGGGTAAAAATAATTAATCATAGAAAATGGTTTGTTACAGGACTATTTTCTTTTCTTTTCTGCATAGAAACACAACAGTTATCTAATTAATGATGGCAAACTTCTGGAAGCACAGGCTAGATGGTACCCAATAAATTTAAAAGTACTATAAAAGTATATGTTCCCAGTAGATAATGGTAGGCATAACGTAGTAATTGCAAAAAACAGCTTTCCTGCATGTTACAGAGAGCAAAACTTACTTGCCACCACTAAAATGTTACAAAACTGAAGATATTTTTAATTTCTAGTGCCTACAACTTCATTAAATTACGACTACAAACTGGTGAAGAATCTTGATTATCTCTGTACTGTCTGGGGGATCGTTGGGTGGGGAGGAAATGTTGGTTTCCTATTGAAATGGCTAAGAAGTCCATTATTACAATTCCATCATAAGGTAAATTGGTAAAACTTTCTTGGGCGACAATTTTGCTATAATTATTAAATGCCTTAAAAGAATTTCTAACATTTATCTCTGGAAATTTCCTAAAGAAACAATCAGAATTATGTACAACAATTTAGGTTCATAACAGCTTTGTTGAAAATAGCAGAAAGTTTGAAAAAAACACAAATGTTCAGCAATAGGAGATTGATTCAACAAGTTGTGATACAATCATATGAACTAATGTTATAAAATCATGAAAAAACATTTAAGACATAGGTAAACATTCATAACATGTTGGTATTTATTTTTAAAGGGGATACAAATAAGTACAGTAAATACAACATAAAGTTTGCATAAAGAAAATATAGGTGGCAATAGTAACAGTGGTAAATATTTTATGGAGTTCAATTATGGATGATTTTCATTTTCTTTTTGCCATTTTCTATAATTTACAGATTTTCACAACAAATGTTTATTATTTCTGCATTCATGCTATTAAAAAAGATACTCACACCTCTCTAAAAAATGTCCTCAAACTGTAGATCATCAAGATGGAATGTGATTGCATCTTTCATTTCTATCAGTGGCCTTTCTTCTTACCAAATGTTTGAAGTAATTTTGGTTATTAACTAAATTGGTTATTAATTCTTAACTTTATCCTTCTGAAAAAAGATGCTTTGCTGGATAACAAAAGCTCTTCCAATGAGCTTGTTTCTTTAATGTAGAAAACTGGAAAATAACCCAAAGAAATGAGATATAACTAAAGACATAATTATCAATACACAATTTAATACACACACACCACTGGGATCACAGCAATAAAAAGTAGCCCAACTTCAAAATATGAAGTAAGGATTCCAAATTCAATTAAAAGAATCATTAAAAATGTTGGAGAGGTTAAGCAAAAGGGACGATTATTTAGGCTAGAAGGAGAGCAAATAAAACTAAGTATCTAGTAGGACATTTTCATCATTGTGTAATTCTGATAAATGTTATTGAGGAGGAGAGTAGAATTAAAAATGGCCTAGCTAAGAGATGCATAACATAAGATCAAGAGCTCAAATTTCAGATATGAAGTGGAAATTAGATAGTATATGACATTTAAGATGCCATTAAATGGAGACTATGGTAAGATGACTAACATTTGAAAGGTCAGACCTACCTGAAGATGTTTTCTGATGGTGCCCCTCTCTCACAAAACAAAAGGTTTAAATGACATTTTTGTTCGTTTTTGTTTGCTTGTTTGTTTTTGAGATGGAGTCTGTCTCTGTCGCCAGGCTGGAGTGCAGTAGTGCCATCTCGGCTCACTGCAACCTCCGCCTCCCTGGTTCAAGCGATTCTCCTGCCTCAGCCTCCCGAGTAGCTGGGACTACAGGCGCCCACCACCACGCCCGGCTAATTTTTGTATTTTTAGTAGAGACAGGGTTTCTTCATGTTGGCCAGGATGGGCTCGGTCTCCTGACCTCGCGATCCGCCCGCCTCGGCTTCCCAAAGTGCTGGGATTACAGGTGTGAGCCACTGCACCCGGCCGACAGTTTTTATATAACAAATAAGATGAACTATTCATTTTGTGTTTGAGATTGCCAGAGATACACGTTTTATCATTTAGTAAACTGGGTCACAGCCCTTGGGAAGAAAATCTCTGTTTTTAGTTTTTTAAAGAAGAAAAAATGTAAATACAGTCAAGTCCTTCAATCCCAATGATAAAACTTTGGAGGGAAGTTTGCAAAAATAAAATATAGGTGGCAATAGTAACAGTGGTAAATGTTTTATGGAGTGCCTACAACTTCATTAAATTACAACTAATTATTGTTTGTGATACTTCTTTTCTGGATAGGCTGCCAGCAAGACAGTGAAGAAAGCCAAGTGCAACTTTGGACACCTCCTTCTACTCATTCTTCCCTTCTTTCTATCCCCATTTCTCTTGAAACCTCCCTTGGGCATTCAGAATAACCCAATACATTATAATCAGCTGATCACCTCTCAATCCTTTCCTGAATTTCTATCCATGTTTTGGCTTCCCTGGTTATCAGGCACACGACCATCCACCTTATCTTTATAGTATAAACTGTCAATGGCTCCCTATTTCTTACCACAGGAAAACCTAACTTTTCACTTTGTTTTTCAATTGCTCGTTTTTGGATCCTGCCCCCCTCCTACTAACTTTCCTTCCCATGTCTCCCCTTCCTTTTATTCTAGACAAGCTGGACTTTCTACTGTCCTGTAAATATAAAGATCACCTGCTAACTGAAGTCTCTGGCCCTATGATTTAAATGATTCTTCTCATCTTTAAAGCCTCTCTCTTCTCTACCCTCCCAAACCTGGACTGTTCTTCAGAATCTGTTAAATTCTACTCCCTTAATGAGACCTTCTCCAACTCCTGGGGTCTTTAATGATTCTTCTAACTTAGTCCTTGGGTCCCACAGTTCAGAATTCAATTATACATTAGTTTAATTGTTCCTTATTGCATGTATGTGCTAGTCTTGTGTCTCCATCTGCATTTTAAGTTTCCTGAGGCTGGGAACTTAGTCTTACTCTTTTTCTATACCTTCCTTCAGTAAATAAATGCATGCTGACTTAGGAAACATTGCTAACAGGGACTTGGCTTTCTGTATCTTTATTTACTGAGTTAACAGAGGAGGCCAAAGATGGATCCATTTTGTGAGCATGAAAACAGAAAGTAGAAATAGTGCATTCAAAGTATTAGTGATTCTAACCTCTCACCCAGCACCATTTGATCAGGTTGTCCTTCTGTTTGCATTTTCTCCTAAGGCTGAGGGCTCATCCTCCAGGACAATAATTTTATTCAAAAGAAGGGGCTGTGAGGTCTGGAGCCAGCCCTTTGCACTCTCTAAATGTGCTTTTTCTTGGATGCAAAACCAGGCGATCTTAACTAGTAGGTAAAACTCTAAAGATGCTTCCGTCTTCAGTCACCAATGATTCTATTAAACCAAAGTATTTTTTAGCTTGGTCTTCTAAGTTTGTTCCTTGAATATTCAAAATCAGGAAGGAATTTTATACCATTATGGCCTCCTCTTAGGGGAAATAACAACTTTTATGCAGACACACTACTAATAAGTTAAGCCCAGCGAATGAGATTCTTGCAAAAGCACAATGGTACACATTTAACCTGAGCAAATTTCCAAAGCATTCTCTTGTGGGGCTGAAAACACTCGTTCTTCAGACACATATTACACCTGAACGTGGCCCCTCAATTTGGCTCACTTTTGCACCCTTCAAGGGTATTCGATCTTGCATGATTCCAGGGTGCCCTCAATTGAGTACTGCCCAGTGACTTGTACAAATAACAAAGTTAACATTTATTGAGAATTCTAGGAGTTAGCCCAGGAACACTCACCCGCTTTTCAAGTACCAAGAAAAATTGAAGAAACTTGGCTGAAGAAGTACCAAGACAAATTGAAGAGACAAGCTCTTTGAAAGAGCTTTTGATATCTAGCAGGGCATCTTTTGCAGAAGGATAAATTGAAGAATTAATAACCACATTTATTTATTAATTATTTATTTATTTATTGAGACAGAGTCTCACTCTGTCTCCCAGGCTGGAGGGCAGTGGCACAATCTCGGCTCACTGTAACCTCTGCCTCCCAGGTTCAGGTGATTCTCCTGCCTCAGCCACCCAAGTAGCTTCGGACTGGAGGCATGCGCCACCACGCCTGGCTAATTTTTGTATTTTTAGTAGAGACGGAGTTTCACCATGTTGTTCAGGCTGGTCTTGAACTCCTGACCTCAAGCAATCCACCCACCTTGGCCTCCCAAAGTGCTGGGATTACAGGTGTGAGCCACCATGCCTGGCCAATAACCACACTTATTAATAACAAAAATTCCCTCAAATATTTTTAAGAAGAAAAGCCACTGATATAAATGAAAGATGCAGTCACATTCCATCATGGTGATTTATACTTTGAGGAATTTTTTTGGAGAGGGAAGAGTATGGTGTTTCTGGAAACGTGAGTTGCAGAAATAATACATATTTGTTGTGAAAATCTGTAAATTACAGAAAATGGAAAAAAATGAAAATCATCTGTAATTGAACTCCACAAAAAAACTAACCTGTTACTATTGCCACCCCTATTGCCCAAGCTCCACATTTAGGGGAACAGATGGGATTTGAGCCCAAGTCCCAGGCCTCCAATGCCCTTTGTGTTTAACAGCTGTGTTATCTTCCTTCCTCTTCGTATACAAATGTTTTGCATTTATAGTTTCTGACATATTTATCTCTTAAAATACATATTAAAATAATTAGAGTTAAAGCCTTTTGTTTAAATTAAGCTGCTGACTTTCTCACATCATCTGTGTTAGTAAATCATATACAAGCCAAGAAAACAGGGCTTGGAAGCAGAATCTCTGTTACAGGCTAATGTTCTCCGAGTGTGCATGCACGCGTGTGTGTGTGTGTCAGTGCATTCAAATGCACAGCCACAAACCACTTCCTCAGCCCAAAGTTTGACAGTGAGGAAGCTGGCACACTGGCACTTCAGACCACTAGTTGCTAGTGGACATTTTGTCAGCCTGATGAACAATAATCATCAATATCTATTGTGTGCCTGCCAAATGCCAAGCCACATTCCAAGCACTCTACATGTATTTTCTCCTTTAATTCTCTCAGCCACTTTGTGAAATAGATACCATTATTATCCCCATTTCCAAATGAGAAAAGTAAGGCATGGGAAGGTTAACTAACTATTTTGCCCAAGGTGGCACAGCTAGTTAGTGGTGGAACCAGGGTAGACACCATGCTCTTAACCCCTATGCTCCACCACTGCCCCTGAATGTATGGCAGGGAGCCTAGACCTCAATACCCAGTCAGAGGAGAAGAAAATTGTGACCATTGTCAATGCCAAGCCAAGCCTTAAACCTGCCCTGGTGACTTCTGAGGACACATGGGGGCCTAGAAATTGTGACTCTAGTGGCAACTGGCTCTACTCACACAGCCCACCAACCGGCCCCAACACTGTGTCCCAGGGGTGTTAGAATCAAGCAGAAAGAACAAGGCTTTGTCATTCTTAACCTTCACAGAGCTTTTGTCATTCTAATCAAGCTCCTAACACCTTGTACAGCATGTAGATAACGCTTGATATGCTACCTTTTTATCATTTATTATTAAATAATATTATTAAATAAATAATATCATTTGTTATTAATGCATTTATCTTCTATTGTAGTTAAGACAGGAATCAAATGGCTGAAATGAAGACCAGATCAGAATTGGAATAATAGCCAGGTTGAGGTGAGGCTGAAGTACAGATCTAAGACTTCCAGAATTTCTCCTGAAGCGGAACCCAGTGGGTCTCAGAGCCCAAAGTGAGCCTGAGTTCCTCAGGCCCCTTGCGGGGGGATAAAGGAATTGGCTGAGCCAGGATGAGGCTGAAGTCAGGCGAGTCTCTCCTGATGCCCACATGTATACATGGCGTCCTGTTGCCACCTTATCTATGCTGCACATCCAGAAAAATTATTGGTTGGTGAAAAGAAGTGATTACATAGAAATGCCTGTTTTTGCTCCCTTAGATTGAAAAACTCTACAGGACAAACAAGGATATATTTCCAAAAAGGTAGAGTAAGGCACCTATAAGCCAAAGCCGAAGTGATCACTGTTTATGGTCCTACATGTGCATTCTTTCCAATCCTTGAAACAAGCCGGCCAGGAAGGCATTATGAGTCTCATTTTAAAGATGAGGCAGCTGAAATACAGGGAGGTTATGTACCTTTTAAGGTTCCACATAGGTAAGCATAAGAAATGAGATTCATAACTAGTGTGTTTGACACTAAGCCTATTCTCCCCCTCCCAGTCTTTTTTTATAGGCAGTCTTTGTCTGTGGCCCACGCTGGAGTATAATGGCATGATCATAGCTCACTGCAGCCTCGAGCTCCTGGACTCAAGTGATCCTCCCACTTCAGCCTCCAGAGTAGCTGGGACTACAGGTGCACTCCTCTATACCCAGCCTTTGTGTGTGTGTGTGTGTGTGTGTGTGTGTGTGTGTGTGGAGACCATGTCTCATTACGTTGCCAGGGCTGGTCTCAAACTCCTGGGCTCAAGCAATCCTCCCGTCTCAACCTTCCAAGATAAATCGTATGTTCTTTTAATATTGCTGTATTACCTCTGTGTATTCTTTCCTTGACTAGGATATACAAATTTTCAGGCATATCTATATAATTATTATTTTTTAGGACATTCAAGTGGGTTACAGGAGCCCAGGGAAGTTCTCCATTTTTCTTCACCAAAGGTGAGAAAGAGGCTTTGCCATTAACATATGGGCCACATCTGCCCACCACACACCTCAACTCATAACCCCTTGTGAGCCATCTCTGACATTCCCTGCCAAAGCCAGTACCACTAGCCTGCAGCCAGGCTTGCTCTCCCTGCCACAAAGATCACCTGCCAGGTGTTGGTTACAATTTGGAAGTCTGGTTCCAACACTTCCAGGGATCTCAAACAAGTGCCTGCCACCCTCAAATGACCAAATCTCCTCTCCTAAGTCTGGCCAAAACTTTCTTGTTTCTGCTTCAAGTTGCCTTTTTTAGTTTTTATTTTGGGGATTGAACAAGAACTATTCCAGAATTGCAAAAGATAGTTTCCATGGTTCCACCCACCCAAACACTAAAACTGAGAGACGCGGGACAGATGCAACGTGCTGCTGTCCAGTTCCATGTGGGAGATGTCATTGCTCTGCCAAGTCTCTGGAGATGATCTGCCCCTTGGGTAAAAGAGATTTCAGTGCATACTCATTTATACACCATACACATTTCTAAAAAGTTAGTCTACAACTATCTTGGAACTTTTAAAACATCAAAAAAGAAAGTTATGTATTAACCAGCTATCCTCCCAGTATGTCTCTGTTTATCCCAAAGGGAGTGATTAAAATTTGCTGACAGCTTTAAAAATTATCAGGGAATTGCCAGAATGTCCCAAGTTTAATAATTAACAAAGCTTAGAACGCAGAGTCAAATCCAGAGACTTTTAAACATAAATCATTGTGTTGGTCACCTACTAATTCGAAAATTCTACACACTACACTCTTGATTTTGGCCATTTCATCTACTAAAACCTCTATCGTACACATTTGTAACCCCAATTTCATTCCAACTGCTAGATTTCTCTCCCTGGGTGTCCTCCCAGAACCTCCAACTCTAGACGTCCTATCTTTTCCCAAAACCTTCTCTCCCTCTTCTTCATATCCCTCTTTTTGCTAATATCACCATCAGATGTGACACACGCCATTTGATGCATGGCACTCTGAATAAAAAATCATCAGTGCTATTCATTGATCACAGAAAGAGCTAAACCTTTCTGATATACAAGCCTCCCCATAATTCATCCCAACTGACTTTTCTAGCTTTCTCTCCCACCAGACCCCTCTGGCAACTCTCCGCAATGAAGTTCTTAAGTTATCCTACACGTTAGCATGTTCTTTCACATATTTGTGGTTTTATACAAGCTGCTCTTTAGTTTAAAAATGCTTTCTTCATCTAGTCCCCTGGTGAATTCATATTCATTCCTGAAGACATAGTTCAGATGTCACCAACTCTGTGAGTTCTTAGATTTTCTCAGACAGAGTTTGATGTTCTCTCCAATCACCTTCCCTAGAATTTTTTATATGCACTATTAAAGCACCTATCATATGCCAAAGAGTAGTAATTATTCTTGACTGTCTTCCACATCAGCTTGTGAGGGCCCCAGGAACAATGGCCCTGTATAAATCATCTTTTATTTCTTTTGGGACAAAATGTGGAACAGGAAGTAAATGTTCATTGAATGAATGAATAATGAATCAATGAATGGACCCCTCCCATGGCACGCACCACCTTCTACCTTGTATTGTCTGAGTATCCCATCACCCTTCTTGAATTGACAAGTCTTCCGGGGCAAGAACAACATGATCCATTTTTGAATCCCCTACACAGCCTCCCTCAATTCCTATTGTCTGAATAAATGGGTAAAACTCTTGAGGGGCTTGTGCCATATTTCAGACTCTGCAAAGCTATTTTACTCACATTGTTTCACTTGCCCTGTAATCCAGCAGTGACTAACTGGTGTTATCCCCATGTAGCAGATGAAGCAATTGAGTAAGACTGGGCCTTGGAAGGCTGCTTTCTTGGTTCTTAGAACAATGCCTATTCCGTGGAATGTTCTTGAGAAAAGTCAGATCTACTCATCAGTACCTTGTTTTGATCAGAGTTCGGGAGGATGAATGCAGAGGTTTCACCACTGCTTGCAAAAATAGTTAAACCCTTATCTACCTTTTCCAGATGAGTCTAACATGAGTAATGTGATTGAACCTGAAGGTGTGGAGTATGAATCAGAAAGGGACAAATCATGAAGGGAAAATAGAAAAATCTGAATCCATTGGGCATACTTTAGTGAGAAAATGACTTCGGGGGCCTGAAAAGAGAAACTTCAGCTTCTGTAAGATGGGGTGCTATGCAAGGCAGCATCAAGAGGCACTTAGTAATATTTTCTAAAACACCTAAGTAGGTATGCTTTTAAGTCCAACTTCCTCTAGGAGAGAAGATGTCAAAAATACTGAAAGAAAACTGAATTTATACACAGCCTTGGCCAACCTCAGCATGTTGTGATTACGCATCTATGTACCTGCAACACCAGGCACAGGGCCTGGCATGGGCGAGCTCACCAGAGCCTGCTAGACAGATGTGGTAGCCTGAGATCCCACCCAAAGGGGAGAAAGGCTGGAGCAGAGGCAGGAGGACTGGACCATGGTCAGCACCAAACATCCAATGCCTTGGTTTTTTCTCCAGCCACAGGAGAGTCAGAACAACTCTGTCCTGCCCTCCTGGCAGGGAGCAAGGCCAACCTCTACTTCCCAAAGGCCACTTGAGAACTCCTTAAGGCAAGTCTTAGACAATGCATCCACGGGTCTGGAGGTGTCCTAATTACTGCTCAAGTACTAGGCAGCGTTAGGAGGTGGGCCAAAGCATGCCCAGGGGGCCATTAAACAGGCTGTGCTGAGAGCATCATTGATTCCCATTGACCCTATCCCATAGGATCTGCCTGATCCTCCACAGAGGGTAAGTTCCACCACTACCCCCATCCCTTCTTCTGGCTTCTATTTTTCGGTGCCCTTGGTATGTACACAGCCCCGTGTGGCTGAGGGGGTAGTGTCTGTCCCCATCCTTGCCAAATATGGGCTAGGCCAGAGAGCAAAGCTGCAGCTTGGCCACCCTGCGCTAGGAGTGGGGTGGGGTGGAGTGGGGGTGCGAGAGGCATAAGAGGAAAACAGGCATTTGCCAAAAAGACACTGCAGCCTCAAGTTAGATCCGTGACAATCACAGAACCTCAAAGAATCAGGAGGGCCTGGAAAGTCTTTGGCAATCGATTGGCCAGGCTCCAACCTCTTCTGTTCAAGGTCGTTTTCCTGACGCCAGGACAACAATACGATGTGGTGCATGCTTGCTCTAAGCGAGGGTGCGGAGTGTCCAGGTCAAGTTGGAGCAAATGACTGACCTTTGTGCCACCTCCCCACCCCTTTTCCCTGGCTTCGAAAATTCCAGCAAGCGAAGGCCTAGCAGCCTTCTGGGGGAGAAGTTCAAAGTCTGGCCCCAGAGCTGCAACAGGCTTCCAGCCTCTGGCCTCTGCGTCCGGGAACGCACCCAAAATTGCCCCCAAAGGAGGGTTCAGTGCACGGCGCTCTGGACCCACTAGAGCCCTGCCCGTGCGTGGACAGTCTGGGGACTCCAGGGTCAGCCCCTGCCCCACGGCCGCCCCCCGCGTCTCCCCCAGGCAGCCACCTGTCCGAGCGCGTGAAGAGGAAGGAGGGCGCACAGCCGCGACTAACCTGAGATGCCGCCCCCCACCACGACCACGTCGCATTTGTTGCTCATGGCGCTCGCCCCGTTCCAGGCCTCCCTGGTGCCCGCTGCTCCGTTTTCTGGGCCTCGATCCCAGTCCTGCCTGCCAGCCAGCCCGCCCGCCTGCCCGCCGGCCTGCTGCGCGCTGCCCCCGTGCACCAGCGCCTCGGCGAGCCGCTATATTACCAGCCCCGGGAGCCCGGACGCGCAGCCCCGCCCGCCCGCCTACGCGCAGGCAGGCCGGGTGCAGCGCAGGGCCACCGCCCCCGCCCGCAGCTCTGCAGCCCAGGCCCGGGGAGGGCGGGTGCCTGGGCGGAGAGGTCACCTAGGACTTCAAAGAGTCCCGCCCCAGAATCCCCACTCCTCAGCCTTCTGCACGGTATTTTCCCATCAGCCTCCCTAGTGCACTATCAGGCTTGGCGGCTGGGAGGACGGCAAATTGGGGTGTCTTCCTTCAGGGCCCCAATTACTCCTTGGGTGTAGGGCAAATAATAAGAAACTTCCATTGAGTGATTTCAAGGTACCAGGCACTGTGCTCAGTACTTTATGCATGATTCCTGTTCAAGCTTACAACAATCCATTTTGCAGATGAGGAAAACAAAACATGGTGAGTGACAACATAAGATAAAAAGTCAGAAAGAAAAAAAAAGAAAAGAAAAGAAAAGAAAAGCTAGGAAGATTCCAAGACCCACTTTGATTCACCACACAGTACTACCATTTCTTGGCATTCCCAGCCCACCTCACCCTCCTTCCAAATACCCACTTCTTTCCCCACTCCCCCTACGTGATTAAGTCAGGAAGGCTCCTCCCTAGCATCACAAATGCCGCACCTTAAATACACTCTTAAGCAATGCAGTGTGTCCTTGGTGGAAGCTGTTGAGGCTAGACCCCAGGAGACTAGTGGCAGCAGGGAAGAGGTGGTGGATCGGCATTGTGGGATTCAGAGCCCCCAGAAGCAGCAAGCCAAGTTACCTGTGTGACCCTGGAACGTGGGTATGAGGAGCCTGGTTTAGCCAAACACAGGGATGATTCAACAAGATTATAGGAGTTTAAGCTAAGGTGACTCCAGGGAAAACAGAAGTTTATGTCTTCTGGACAGTAGGAAAGCCACCTCTGAGAACTAAAAGTGGGAAGCAGCAACATAGAATGGCTTTTCAAGAAATAAACAGGTGAAGTGCTTCTGTTCAGGCCTGAGAGGGGCTGGCTTCAGATCTGGGGAATTTGATGAGAACCTGAAGCAAACCTCTGCCTCATCCCACACCATTCCCTGTATCTACCTGCTAGAAAGGTATCCTGAGCTTCTGCTGTCCTCAGACCAGAAGACAATTTGGGCACTTCTGTGACTGAGTCACAGGTGACAGGAAAAGTCTTTGTCCACCTCTGACTTCCATCTGTCCTGCTTTGGTATAAAACAGTCAGACCCTGTGCCTGAACCCCGATCCCTACCTCATGTCCCCACTGCAGAGAATGAAGCTACCTCACCCTGCAGACAGTTTGTGCTGACCTCCTCCTTGCCATCCCCTATCTGGTCCACTTCTGTTCACAGGTCCCTGAAGCTGTGGGCTTCTTGGCTGTGGATACTCTTGTCTCCCCACCTAGCCTGCAAGTGAATTACGTGCCAGGTGAGGTAGGATGAATGGAGAGGATCTGCTACGGTTTGAATGTGTCCCCCAAAGTTCACGTGTTGGAAATTCAATCCTCAATGCAACAATGTTGGGGCATGTTTAGGTTCCAAGGGCTCCATCCTCATGAATGGATTAATGCCACTATAAAAAGGGCCTGAGACAGCAAATTTGACCTCTTGCTCCTTCTAACCCTCATTGCCCTTCTGCCATGGGATGACATATTGGGAAGGCCTTTGCCAGATGCCAACATCTCATCTTGGAATTTGCAGACTCTAGAACCATGATACAATAAATTTCTCTTCAATGTAAATTACCCCCCTTAGGTATTCTGTACTAGCAGCACAAAATGGACTAACACGAGATCCTTGTGGGATCTTCTTGGAATCTCTTTTGCTTAGTTCCAACAGTGCAAGTCAGCCAGGAGCCTGGGGATCTAAGACTTTGAATAAAAGGCAGACTGATAAACCCTTCTCTATGTCCAACTGGCAATGAGGGCAGGAGAGGATCCACACGGTTCCATGGTATCTGGAGAAAATTCATTAGCAAACAGCATTTTCCCCAAACAAAGGTAATCAGTTACCTTGTGCTCCATGAGGTATATTTTTAAAAGGGATGGGGGTGGGGATTGAATTAGAACCTAGGACTTGGTCATAGGAAAAACAGCAGCCACCTGTTGTCCCCACATACAGGCAATCATCTGGATCCATTCAGGACCCTCAGTCTCTTAGGTGGGATGATTTCTGAGGTCTGTCTTCTCCATCTGCATTGTGTGGCCAAATGAAAAGCAGGACTTTTCAAACTTGAACGTGCATACAAATCACCCAGATTTTGGGTGGGGTCTGAGAAGACACATTTCTAACAAGCTCCAGGTGATGTCAGTGCTGCTGGTCCATGGACCACACACTTTGATCACATTGTCTATTCCAGGCCTCTGCCTCCCCATCATTTTGAGAACCAGTTCCATGCTCTAGAGCCCCTTACCTATTCCAAGGTGCTCTTTGTAAGAAAGTGTCCATTCATTATACCAGCATTTATTAAACACCTGCTATGCTGAGCCCTGGGAAAGAGATGAAAAGGATGGAGTCTGTCCCTGCCTTCATGGGGCTCATGCTCTGTCAGGGAAGACATACAGGAAGAGTGATCACAAGCATAATTCTGAATATTGCCCTGGAACATAAAGCAGAGCTAGATAACCCAGCCCAGGCAACCACAGAGGACCTCCAGGAGGAAATGACATTTCTACTGGGGCTTGGAGGATGAATAGGAGTTAATTAGCTACTGAGGAAGATGAGCACTCCAGGCAGGCTGATCAGCAAGTGCTAAATTGAGAGGCAAGCCTGAGGCTGGAATAATGGAAGAAACATACACAGGCTAAGGTAGAAAGAACATCTTTGGCTACCTTTATGACTTATCACAAATACCACAAAATTAATAGTGAAGAATACGATGATAACAGTAGACGATTAACAATAAATACAATGATAGGAATCATCACTTATTTTTGTGTATGTTTCTGTCTTCCCCTCCCAACTAGATAATCAATTCCTGCTGGAAGGGATAATACATTATCTTTTATTCATCCATTCAAGAATAATTTATTTAGCAACAACTGTGTGTCAGACATTGTGCTCATCATTAGGTATATGCCATTATAAACAAGAAGCAATGTGAATTCTGGGAAAACTAAATATGGAAACAGACCATTACAATAAACCTAATTCACGTTCCAATGGAGCAGTACTCAACAGCTCTAACCAAAAGGCGCAGAGGAGTGCAGTTTGCCCCTAGCAGTGTTTGTGTGCCTTTTCAACTTGATGAAATCTATGTCCCTTTCATCAATTAAAATGAACTTACTTTCCTTTCATTTTTTTATTAGAAGATTCCCAAAGAGATAAAATGTTCTTATTACTTCTTTCTTACTGTCCAGCTTTTCATTAACGGATATTTCAGCGAATGTCTCATGATGCCACAGGCGGTTTCAATAAAGAAGTAGGCTGTGCAGAACAGAGTTAACCAGATATTATCTAAGTTGTACATTTCGCTTTTTTTTTTAATGCAGGAAGCTTGACAGGGGATAGAAGATTTGTTTTAAAATTAGATTCTTCAGAGCTTTCCATTTTTTCCCCAATGACTCTGTTAATCTTTTTAAAAACATATAGAGGGATAAAGTGATGAAAGGGTCAGCCGTTACAGCCAGGATAGCTTTTTAATAATGTTGAATTGGAAGTGTTATAGGGCTCCTGGTTCTGCCCAGTGCAGTGTTCATCATCAGCTTGGATCCTAATCTGAAAGCATCCAAATCTTTCCCTTGAGGTCAATGAGAAGGTGGTAGGGGACCCTTCAATGGGGCAAGACCTTGCTTTTGGACCCAAGGACTTGTTTAGGGGGGATCACACATCCTCAGGCAACACAGAAGTTGGAGGAGCCCAGCTTCAATCCAAGTCAAGGCCTTTCACAGGAAAATGGGCTACAGAATCTAGGCCCACCTCAAAAGTCCACAGGCTGGTTTAAGATGCCAAAGGAAAGACCTACCCCAGAGCCAGGGATTGGTCAGGTATTTGATCAAAGTAAAGTTGGCAAGGAACAAGTCAAATGACAGGTGGGCATTCACAACTCACCTCAATAGACCGACAGCCATGTGAAGGTGCTGACCTGGCTTATAGAGACAAGATTGAGACAGAAAGAAAAATAACTTTTACTTTCCAAAGAACCAGAATATGGCCTTTTTCCTTATGGTTCCATTGTCATAGTATGAGCAGGACAGGAAACATAGGGGCACATTACAGAGGGGTTGGCCCCAGAACATACAAAGTCAGGCAGAGACACGAAGTCACAGGTCTTCGGAAAGATAGAGGTCATCCCCAAACATGCTGTAGAGCATGTTGAAGAAAAACAAGACCTTATTTGCATTATAAGTGCTAAGCAATCTGCACCCAAAGTGAATTTTTTTTAACAATGAGTGATGTCAAGACTAAGAATATTTCTACAACTTGGCAGGGTATGGTGGCTTATGCCTGTAATCCTAGCACTTTGGGAGGCTGATGTGGGCAGATTGCTGGAGCTCAGGAGTTTGAGACAAGCCTGGGCAATATAGTGAGACCTCATCTCTAAAAGAAAATAATAACTTAAAAAATAAAAAAGAATACTTCATAACTCATACATGGGGCCTTAAACAAGGAATGATGTATCAGAACAGATGACATGAAAAGAACTGTATGGCACACAGAGGAAGGTCAAATAGCAAAAATTCTGATCAAGAAGAAGTGAAAATCAGAACAAACATTTCTTAAGAACATTGGGTCAAGGATTTTCACCAATTCTTTTAGTAAAAAGGAAATTAAAAATAAATATTAGGGGCCGAATACTAATTATTGGTTGTTGAACAGAGTTATTTTGAATGAATTTTTCTTCTTTATATAATTCTAACTTCATAGTGTAAGCTCACTGATGCAGAATCAATTATTTGGTTACATTTATGTAGCCTTGAGTTAAATAATCTCTCCATGTTTTGTTATAAAATAGATATTTATGTCATGTAGACTCCTGATGATGATTGCAATCAAGCGTCTGGTAACTATGGGTAATCAGATAAGAAAAGTAGCTCTTCTTATAGATGGCTACTGTAGTAAGACATATTCCTGGCTGGGAGAGTTATTCGTTACAAAATGATGCTCATAGCTTGGACTTGTGTTAACTTGAACTCTTCTAAGTAATAGAAAGCCAATTTTTATGAATGGTTGAAACAAAGTATTTGTTTGTATGGGAGAGAGCAAATTAGAGACACTACAGGAAGTTAAAGCCTATGGTTGAGGGTAATGTGTCTACTCCCACAGAACTGAGGATTCTATGCTCACAAATCAACCAAAATCCAAGAGACTGTGTCACAGCCTGGAATACCTGGGAAACGAACGGGAGGTATTCTTATATCTGAAAGTCTGTATCCTTTGACCAACATCTCATTTTCCCATCCCCAAGCTTCTGGCAGTCGCCATTCTACTCTCTGTTTCTATGAGTTTGACTTTTTTTAGATTCCACATATAAGTGAGATTATGCAGTATTTGTCTTTTTCTGTATAGTCTTACTTCATTTAGCATAATGTACCACAGTTTCTCATCCATGTTGTCACAAATGGCAGGATTTTATTCCTTGTTATGGCTGAATAGTATTCTACTGTGTATATATACCACATTTGCTTTATCCATTCATCTGTTGTTGGACACTTAGATTGATTCCATGTGTTGGCTATTGTAAATAATGCTGCAATGAACATGAGACTACAGATCTCTCTTCGACATACTGATTTCATTTCCTTTGTATATATACCTGGAATATATACAAAGGGTTATAGGGTTATATGGGTTATATATCAGTTCTATTTTTAGTTTTTTTGAGAAACCATCATGTCAGCTGTGGTGGAAATTTCCACCAACCCACCAACAGTGTACAAGGGTTCCATTTTCTCCACATCCTCACCAACACTTATCTCTCTTTCTCTCTCTTTTTATAATAGTGCATAAGGTGATATCTCATTGTAGTTTTGACTCACATTTCACTCATGATTAGTGATGCTGAGCACCCTTTCAGGTGTCTGTTGGCTTTTTGTATGTCTTATGTGGAGAAATGTCTATTCAGGTCCTTTGCTCATTTTTTAATTGAGTTATTTGATTTTTTTTGTTTTACTGTTGAGTTGTATGAGTTCCTTTTATATTTTGGATACCAGCTTTTTATCAGATGTATGATTTGCTAATATTTTATCTTATTCCATAGTAACCTTTTCATAGTGTTGACTGTTTCCTTTGCTGTGCAGAAACTTCTTAGTTTGATGTAGTCCTCTTGTTTATTTTTTATTTTGTTGCCTGTGCTTTTGGTATCATATCCAAAAAACAACAACAACAACAACAACAACGAAACACTGCCAAGACCAATGTCAAGGAGTTTTTTTTCCTGTTTTCTTCTAGGTGTTTTATGGTTTCAGGTCTTATATTTAATGAAGTCTATATTCCTTTTTGCATACAGTGCATGATAAGCATGCAATTTCATTATTTTGCATGTGAATACCCAATTTTCTCAACACCATTTGTGGAAGAGACTGCCCTTTCTTGATTGTGTTTTCTTAGCACCTTTGTCAAAGATTAATTGACTATATATGCATGGGTTTATTTCAGGGATCTCTTCTACGTTTCATTGGTCTGTGTGTCTGTTTTTATGCTAGTAACATACTGTTTTGATTACTATAGCTTTGTAACATAGTTTGAAACCAGGAAGCGTGATGCCTCCAGCTTTGTTCTTCTCTCTCAAGATTGTTTTGGCAATTTGGGTCTTTTGTGTTTCCATATGAATTTTAGGATCATTTATTCTATTTCTTTGAAAAATGACTTTGGGATTCCTTGAATCTATAGATCACTTTGGGTAGTATGAACATTTTGACAATATTAATTATTCAATCCATAAACAAGGGATACCTATAAAACATATTTTAAAGCTTCTATGACTAAAGCAGAGTGGCATCAGTTCATGAATAGACAAAATATTCAACAGATTGGAAAGTAAGAAATTGATTCTACTGCATATAGAAATTTATCATGTAATTAAAAGGAGCATCACAAATCCATGAGGAAAAGACGGAGATTGTCATTTCTCCATAAATTTTATTTTACACAGTCTCAAACTTACAGAAAATTTGCAAGTACAGTACAAAGAACCTTTTATTCCCCTGAAGCATTTGAGAATAAGTTGTTGACATTATGTTCTATCACTACCCCCAGTACTTTAGTGTGTATTTTCTATGAACAAAGTCATTCTCCTACATAACTACAATATGGCCCTCAAAGTCAGAAAATTAACAATGAATTATAACTACCAACTAATCCTCCTATCCCATTCAATCTTTGCCAATTGTGTCAATAATACCTTTTCTAGCAAAAGAACCCAGTCCTGGATCACATGTTGCCTTTAGTTGTGCAGTCTCTGTAGACTCCTTTAATTTAGAATAATTCTCAATCTTGCCTTGACTTTTCATGACCTTGACACTTTAGACGAATTTTGTATAATTACAAGACATTTTGTAGAATGTCCTTTAATTTGGGTTTGTCTGATGTTTCCTTGTTATTAGATTCCTAATGTGTATCTTTGGCAGAAATATTATAGAGGCACATTTGTGTTCTCCTAATTGCCTCCTATTCTGTGGTGCACAATTTTAATTTGTCCCATTACTGGTGATGTTAATTTTGATTTCTTGGTTATAGTGGTATCTGCCAGGCTTCTACTATAAAGTTACGCTTTTTACTTTTGTAGTAATTATTTTGTGGAAAAGTACTTTGAGACTATGTAAATACCTTGGTCTTCATCAAACCTTCAATGTATTCACCTATTTATATAAGTATTAACTCACAGATTCTTATCTTATTCAATGGGTTATAATCCATTGCTAACTTTATTTATTTTCATACTCAAATTATCTGCGAGTTAGCCAGTGGGTATCCCTTCAAGATGACTTCTCTGTGTCTAAAATTTCCCTCAAAATGTAGTATTTAATAAATGGTATCAAAATAACTGTATAGCCATAAATAAAAAGATAAAATTGGATCCATTCTTCACATTGTACACCAGGATACATTCCAAATAGATCTGGAATTTAAATGTAAAACAATGAAACATGATGAGTGAAATGCTACATAAACTGAGAGTGGGAAAAACTTCCCTAACACTGACTCAAATGCAGAAGTATCAAAAGAGAAGATGAACAAATGTGATCAACCTCGCTCTTGTGGTGTTCACATGATGTCCAGGATCCTTTACCTGGCTTCAAGGCATCCTGTGAGCTGACTTTAGTCTCGCCTGCTTTCAGCAGCACTCCCAATAATTCCACAACATAGATCCTCTTGGGCAAGCCTCCTCAAGTTCACCCAGGCCCATTCCAGCCTCTGCATATTTTCCAGGAACAAGGAGAGAGCCCTTCCCAGAACCCAAGCAGCTGGCACCCTCATCTCTGACTTCCCAGCCTCCAGAACTGTGAGAAACAGACTTCCATTGTTTAAGCCACCCAGACTGTGGCATTTTGTTATGGCAGCCTGAGCAGAAGAAACACAGAATGGCAGGCTCTTTTTCTCTTCTACTCTTAGCCCTCCTCAGGCTACATTTTTTTTAATTTTTTAAATTTTGTTTACTTTTTCTGCTCATGTACCCTTTCTGAGTCACTTTGCTAAAGACTCCTGTGCCATCTCTGTTACTTCTGCATGATTTCTTCCTTCTTGTTTCCCTGGTCACATGGTTTCCCAATTTCCCAAGCCTAGCTACTAAGCTACTTTGGTGAAGCCGTTCATGTTACTGGGAATGTTGCCTTTTCTCTCTCAGTAAATCAAATGACCCATTAGCCAGTCCTTGAAATACCTTATGCCCATAAAAAATCTACAGTGGAAATGTCTTCAAATTTTACTGTGATTTCTCTAATAGATAGTCTTGAGTTTAGGTAGTTGGGGGTGGGGCGGATATTTTAAAATTGGAAAATTTTAGCTAAAGGATTTTTAAAAGGAAGCCGGCAGAGTTCAACTAAGTCCTTTACACACTTTTTGAAAGAAGCGATGTGACAAAGCCTATGGTCTCACTTTGTTTTCTTGTGTGTTACTTGGAAAATTGCTAAAACAATGGATTTTTAACATTCTTACCATACACAAAAAGAATGATAAGTTGGGGAGGTGATGGATATGTTAATAGGCTTAATAGAATCTTTCTATTCTACAATGTATACATAGATCAAAACACCACATTGTACTCCATAAACATATACAATTATTATTTGTCAATTAAAAATAAGTGAATAAATATTATCGGTTTTAAAAAAATGTTCTGTATGCTATAACAACTTTTTCACAGCTATCTGGCCACGTAGAGTAAAACTATGATTATGCTAAGGATTCCAAGATTCTCTGAACTCCTAGGGTGCTTTCTAAATTGTCTAACAGAAAAAAGATAAAATTATGCTCACTATAGAGACCCAACCAAATGCAGTGTGTAGACTTATTTGGATCCTGATTAGAGGAAACCAATTGTATTTTGGGAACAGCTGAGGAAACTTGAATATGGGCTAGATGACATTAAGAAATTATTGTTCATATTGATATATGTCATAACAGCATGGTGGTTATATTAGAAATGTCCTTGTCAAATAGAGATGCATACTTAAGTATTAGAGGATGAAATGACACAGTGTTTGAGTTTTGGTGTAAAGCACTCTAGGAAAAAAAATAGTGGTGGCTAGTAGATAAAACAAAACTGGCAAAACAGTGACAGGTGTTGAAGCTGAGTGAGAGGTGCATGGGGGATTTATTATATTATTCTTTCTACTTGTATGAATTTATGAAAATTTTCAGAATAAAATGTTTTAATAGTGTATTGACTATAATTTTATTAAACATATTTTACTATGCTCAAATGATTTGAAAGTTGGTAACCAGTTGGTAACTTTGTGCAACTAGGTTGAGTAATAGAGGATTTGCTATAGTCTAAAGAAAATAAAGTTTTTGCATCTTTCTTACTCTGGTGAATCATTCAGTTTATTTTTTCTCCACCTGGAAATTCCCTGGAAAAAAATACAAATAAACCTTTCTACCTCCTCAAGACACATGAAAATTTAACACCTTTTAATCTTTAGAGGACTAGTGATGTGAGTCACAGAGCTGGTAAAGATCTTTGGAGCCATTTGTACAACCCCTCTGTTACCTCCCTCCAGCAGCCTACCTAAAGCCTTGGAGGCAAAGAACAAGGTCAGCAGCAGGCAGGCTCAAACAGTGAGGGAATAGAATACCCAGAGGTCTCGAAATAGGAACAGGAAGTAATGTCATCTCTAAAATTTCCTTCTGTTAACAACAGCACCCATTTGTACAGCCAAGATGAGAACTCAGAACTCCTGGCTAAGAAAAGCAAGTATAAAAAAGCTCAAATATTGTGAAGTCACATTTTATGTGATGTAGCTCCTGTTTGTATAGTATTCTGCTATATGTGGGACATTTACTGGTAAATACCAGGTAGCAGAACATTTTCAAGGTCCAAAAAGCACTACTCAGAGTTGGTGTTGCAAATAGAAATTGACCTGCTGAAATCAGGTTGGGTGCTATTTTGCAAAAATTGCTTTCTTGGCGTTCAAGTGAAGTCATTTCATCAAGTGCTGAGATTTTAGGGAAATCCCAGTAATTTTCAGTCATAATATTCACTGTAGAACTAGAAAAATGGTCATTTATTGCAAAGTGCTACAGTGAAAAAAATATTATTTGAGGTATAATTTCCATGGTTAATTATCTAAGTAATTGAGGTTAGAACAAGTTGTTTCTCTACGTTACCAACATACCAATGCCTTATGTAAAACTCAGGTTTGGAATGTAAGGAACTAAAAGGCAACTCATCTGCCCTATCCTTCCGCAAAACAAAACAAAACAAAACAAAAACAAAAACAAATGTAGGACCGGCCTCCTCTCCTAATGTGATATTTAGGAGTCATATCCTAAACTCCACCATTTCCTGGAAGTCTGTTCTTTACTTTAGATCACAGTTGATTTAGCTATGATGTGAATATGAACTAGTATTAGGTTGGTGCAAACATAATTGTGTTTTTTGCCATTAAAAGTAATGGTAAAAAACCATTGGCCAGGTGCCATTACTCACACCTGTAATCCTAGCACTTTGGGAGGCCGAGGTGGGCCGAACGCCTGAGGTCAGGAGTTCAGGAGCAGCCTGGCCAACATGGCAAAATCCTGTCTCTATTAAAAATACAAAAATTAGCCAGTTGTGGTGGGGGGCTCCTGTAATCCCAGCTACTCGGGAGGCTGAGGCAGGAGAATCGCTTGAACCCGGGAGGCGGACTTTGCAGTGAGCCAAGATCAAGCCATTGAACTCCAGCCTGGGTGACAAGAGCAAAACTTCGTCTCAAAAAAGAAAAGAAAAGAAAAGAAATAAAAGAAAAGAAAAAAGAAACCACAATTACATACCTTTGGACCAGCTAATATAAATAGTCACTGTCCCTATCTTTGGAGGAAGAATAACTTTCTACCTACATTAAAGGAATAAGACAACTGATTGCTTATTTGGGTACTGACTGTACATCCAGTTCTGTGTCACATGTCCTTGGAGATGTAGGGAAAATATTAGAGAGCCTTTGCCCTAAAGAGGGTTGCCATATTGAACAAATAAAAATATAGATGCCCAGTTAAATTTGAATTTCAGATAATCAATGAATAAAATTTTAAGATATATTTTCCCATGCAACATTTGCCACATACTCATACTAAAAAAATTATTTAATGTCTCTCTGAAATTCAAATTTAGGTAGATGTCCTGTATTTTTTCTGGCAACCCAGTCTCCCAAAAATATTTATTTCTGGTTCAGGAAGAGAAATCAACACATGGAAATCAATTTGAGAGTAATAAGGAGTAGAATATAATCAAATGTTATATTATGGGGCACAAAAAAGGCGAAGTGTTAACAAAAGTGGAACTCCTCCAACAGGCAATATGCTACTCAAGGAACTATGTCTTTTGGGATTTTTCCTAAGTCCCCAGACCTTAGCACAGTGGCAGTGGTGTTTAATGGATCCTTAATGTGTTTAATAAATGAGCAAATAAATAATACATCAGTCAGTGTGAGAGGATTTGAGGTGGGTCTTGAAGGAAGATGAAGATATGTATATATAAAGAATAGCAGAGAAAAGGAAAGGACATAGCTGTGTTGGCAGGAGACTGGGAAGAAGCAGCTGTCACAAAGGAAAGTTTCTATAGCAGTGGTTCTCAAAATTTTTTCTAACTGAGAATGACTTAAGCGGAGCAAAAGATTCCACAGCTGCTCATTCTACTTGTTGCACTTTCCAGTAGAAAAAAAATAACTAAAGAAACAAAATTAACTAAAAGTCTACAGAATTGCATGTGATGCTCCTAGAAAGACTGATGTGAAGATTACATTTTTAGGTCAGTTTTTACCTCTTTAGGGGAGTTCTTGTTACCCACTAGTGGCTTAGGAACTATATTTTTAGAAATATTAGACTAGAATGTAGGTGTTAAGTTTCTTGAGATAGAAAATGAAAAGTAAGAAGGCAAATACTAAGTCCTCAACATTTTTTTTTTTTTGAGACAGAGTCTAGCTCTGTCACCCAGACTAGACTGCAGTGGCAGGATCTCAGCTCACTGCAGCCTCTGGTTCAAGTGGTTCTCCTGCCTCAGCCTCCCGAGTAGTTGGGACTACAGGCTGCAGCACCACACCTGGCTAATTTTTGTATTTTTAGTAGAGATGGGGCTTCACCATGTTGGCCAGGCTGATCTTGAACTTCTGGCCTTCAAGTGATCCCCCTACCTCGGCATCCCAAAGTCTTGGGATTACAGGCATGAGCCACCACACGTGGTTGACATTTTGAAATGCAAGTATTAATATGAAGTGCATATACTCTGGCCTGGCAGAGTTTAAAGGATTTTTTTTTTAAGTCGTTTAAAGCCACCTGGGACGAAGAAGGAACAAGACCTAAATTCTAGAATTGCTTCAGGGTAGATCAGGTTGAGACCTCAGTATAACTGACATTTGGACAGGATAATTCTTTGTTGTGGGGGGCCACCCTGTGCATTATAGGATGATTAGCAGCATCACAGCCTTTTATCCAGTTTCTATCGTTTGAGCATTTGGATCCTTCCAAAATTTATGTTGAAACTTAGTCTCCAGTTGAATAATATTAAGAGATAGGAACTTTAGGAAGTGACTAAGTCATGAGGACTCCTCTCTTGTGAATGAGACTGAAGCCTTTATGAAAGAGGTTTCATACAGCGTTCATCCCCCTCTTTGTCCTTCCGCCTTCCACAAAGTGAGCACATAATGTCTGCCTCTTCTACCATATGAGAACATAGCAAGAAGGCCTTCACCAGACACTGAACCTCCTGGTGCTTTGACTTTCTAGCCTCCAGAACTGTGAGAAACAAATTTCTGCTCTTGATTAATTACCTAGTCTCTGTTTTTTTGTTATAGCAGCACAAACGGACTAAGACACCACTAGGCGCCAGTAGTACTCCCTCCCCTATTTGTTTGTGACAAATAAAAATGTCTGCAGACATTGCCAAATGTCCCTGGGGGACAAAATCACCCCCTATTGAGAACCACTGCTCTAGATGAAAGCACCCTGTACCAATTGAATTACATGACTAAGAAGTCTCTACTGTAATTATTTTTCTATCCAATTGAGGCAAATAAGGGACAATTTGGGCAAATAGAGCCTGTGAATTTGAGAAATTTGTCTCAAAGATGAATAAAAGTCCTGCCAAACATGAATACCAGATGATGAAAAGGCAAATTATGACCTATATCCATTCAGATCACACACATTTACTTCAAAGGTCCAGACTTCAGTGGTCCTGGGTCAAGCTCAGTTAGATTTCCTCATTGAAATAAGTGCACTTGAGAATGAAAGGCAAATAATTATCAGCTAATTACAGGGATGACTACCTTTAATGTATGCTTCTGCATCTACAATGTTGGGTAGAAGAAAAATTACCCAAAATAAAGAAAAAGGAGAAAAACCTTTGGAAATCTGGGATCTTTCCTGAGAGGCAATTCTCCTCAAAAAATAAATGTTATGCTGTAACAGTTCAAAACCCCTCTGGAAATTTGCACATCCAATATCATTCTACCAAAAGATGTAGGTTTCATATTGCTTACCTTTTGCTATATTATACTAGAGACATCATTTCATCATTTTCAGAAACAATTACTGCTTCCAACTAATATTAGGGAGCTCATAAATCTCTCCCTATGGGAGAGATAAGATACATTTTTCCATATGATAATGATTCTATTTTTCCTATTATGAACTTAGTGACTGACTTTAAATAAATTCTTATTTTTCCTGATAATTTTTAAAGTGAAATTTAGTATGGGATTTAAAAATATGGATAAGGCTGAGTGCAGTGGCTCATGCCTGTAATCCCAGCACTTTGGGAGGCTGAGGCAGGTGGATCCCCTGAGGTCAGGAGCTCCAGACCAGGCTGGTCAACATGGTGAGACCCCATCTCTACTAAAAATACAAAAACTTAGCTGGGCGTGGAGGCACATACCTGCAATCCCAGCTACTCAGGACGCTGAGGCAGGAGAATAGCTTGAACCTGGGAGGCGGAGCTTGCAGTGAGCCGAGATCTCACCACTGCACTCCAGCCTGGGCAACAGAGTGAGACTCCATCTCAAAATAATCAAATGAATAAATATAATAAATTTTTAAAAATGGATAAAAAGAATCCATATTTTGAAGGCCCACTGTTATAGGGGAATTATTAACCAAATATTAATGAAAACAGTCTTAGTCTTGTGTTAAAAAATAATAATAAAGCACTGAATAAAAGTTTTGGAACTCCAAGTGATAAGTATCCGTCAAAACGAATTTTCAATAAAGTCCCTTAATTTCCTACTCGGTCACATATTGTATGATCCCTTTTATATAAAATATTCAAAATAGGTAAATCCATAAAGACAGAAAGCTGAGTGGTAGTTATCAGGGGCTGAGGGACGGGTAAATGGAAGATTAACTGCTCAATGGGCATGGAGTTTCTTTCCCTTTGGGGTGATGAAACGTTTTGGAAACAGATTGATGTGGTGGTTGCGCAACATTGTGATACACCAAATGCCACCAAATGTATGCTTCAAAGTGGTTAATTTTTATGTTATGTGAATGTCACCTCTATATAGAAAATAAAAATTAACAATACTTTCTAAATGGTGTTTGTTTTATATATATATACAGATTTCCATAAATTATATATATAAACAAAAATTTACATATAAACATCTTTTTAATTGTATAACCAAGTTAACAAGAAAGTGATAGAAATCATAAGGGGCTCAATATAAGAAGCAGATGGAAATACAAGTGGTTATATGAAACTACAGTTATCCTGGAGCCTTTGATGATTTCCCTAACCAAGGGAATTAGACTTTAAGGGCAGAACTAGGACCAGGGGAAACATTTGGGCCACATGGCATGAAATGTTCTGAGACTAAAAATGAAGTTCAAACGCTGAAAGGAATAAGTTGATGAAAGTGTTCATTGGACACAAGCCACCTGTCCAGACGGGAGGAAAAAAAGGAACATATTTTGGCCTGGGATCTGGATTTGAAAAAAAAAAAAAAAAAATTTCTTCCCTGTAACAGCAAATTACAATGAATGATAGAAATAGGTGGGGAAAAGTAACAGTTAAAGACTTAAAAGACTTCTAATGAAAAAGGATAAATACTTATATTAAACTACTAAATAAAATTAAACAAAATTATCAAAACTTAAGGAGTTGAAATCGTAAAGTTTAGTATGTGGGAAGTAAAAAGGAAAAGAACTAAAATATATAAAAGTGATTTGAAAAGCAAAAGGTCATATAAAATTAAAAGATAAAAGGAAGGGTTTTTAGAAAGCATAGCCCTTAGTCAAAAAATAGAAAGAGAAAATAGGATACTAATTCATAGAAAAATAATTTATAACAAGTTAAACAAACTAATAGTGTACATAACCAACACAGAAATGCCAAGTTACTATTAGCTTTCAAATACAATAAATTTATACACAACCATAGTAAGGAAAAATAACAACTAATAGCAAAGTTGGTGACAGTTCCTAGAAAATGGTAGGCAGTGGCCATGTCCCATGTAAGGGCCTGGGCAGACAGAGGCCCTCAACAGAGGCCAGGGTGGCAGGATCCCAATTCCAGAGGTCAAAGCCCTGCCCTTTGGCTATTTATAAGATTACTTGAAATCCAAGACACTCCCTCAGTACAAACACATATGTAGAGACACTATGATACTAGGGATAGAGGTTTCTCTGAGATCAGACAACTGACAAATGAGAGAGCTGTCACTTCACCTCTGGTCTTCTGAGTCAAGAACATAGATTTCTGTCACTTCCCCGAATTCTCAACTTTAAGACGACAAACAGTGAAGCAATTAAACACACAATACCACGTGTTGGCTTTTACGATTTTATTTTCCATTTATTTTTTTGGCTTTGGAATCTCAAAAATGTTATGTCTAGTTAGAAGAATGAATTGCGTAAGGCAAATAAAAATCCTTCTGCTCATACTAAAGAGAACAGAGCTGGGTGACATTACTCAGAGGGAGGAGGAGAGGGACCCAGGGACCCAGGGGCCAAAGAGTACAAGTGGAAAACAATAGAGTCCACCTGGGACCCCAGCAGGAGCAGATAATGCCTGTGCTCCACCAAGGACGATTAACCATCCTCAAAATCGGAAAACTAAGAATTTCACACTGCAGTGAAATTTTCAGAAAGCTAAGATTATGCTAGTTGGGAACCATCACCTAGTCTGAGATTATAACCTCATGCTTTTTTGGTGTTAACATGATTTTTCTGTTATAAAATGATAACAAAAGTTGTCTCTCACATCTGTTTATTTGGAAAAATTAAAATTTGGCAACCTTAAACCAGTCAATCAATTGATTATTACTATTATTTTTAGGAAAATCGTATCAGTCTGAGAAGTGGGAAGGTCTGAGTATTCTGCTTTTGCAGACAAAAATGGCAAACCTTAATAAGAGGGTGCGAGCAGCCACGATGTGTATGTGTGAGTCTGCATGAGAGAAAAAGCTAGACACACACACACACACACACACACACACGAGAGACAGAGAGAAAAACACGGAAGGCCACTGCAGAAGGCGGGAGTTTTGGAGAGGCATTCCGAGAACGAGGAAGGAAGAGACTGAGATGGATGAGGGTCAGTGCCTTGTCTCCGTTGTCTCAATATGGTGCTTTCCTTAGCCTGGGTTGTCCTGAAAATCAGAGCCTGGGACAAGGGTACTCATGCAGGTAGTTGATTTGGGGGAGTGATTCCAGGGAACAGTAATGGAGGCTGGGAAAAGGGAAACAGGGAGGTGCAACACACATGGGGGCACCTGGCGTTTAAACTCACTGGGACCTTTTGGGGAGCGTTAGAGAACACACCTCAGAATTGTCTGCCAGTGGCACAGAAGTCGGGAGCATTTATCACATTCCCCATATCTCAAGGGTTGCCCTGTGGGCTGCTAACTCCCCCACACTTCCAACTTACGCCTATATGAGTACCAAGAGAGCTTCTGCATGTCTCCCAGGTAATGATGTCAGAGGAACCTGGGAGCAGAAAGTGAGAAGTACAAGATGCAGTTGAGATGAGGTGCTGCAAGGTTATATAATATCTGTGCAGAACTGGTTGCCACTTCTATGGCTGGGGTAATAGGTGGGCTGAGGGATGTCACATGCCCCTGAGTGTCTTAGCCAGTTTTTTTTTTTTTTTTTTTTTGTCAAGTAGTAGGATCCAGAAGCAGTTGTTTCATCATAAGAAACAAAAGCTTTCAGGTGAAATATCAGTCAGATGTATTGTTTTTCTCATTAGCCTGTAGCAACTGTGGCCTCATCTTAGTGACAGCTTTGGCAGACAGACATTCTTCTAACATGCCGTGCACCTAAGCATAGCTAAGACTATAGCTGATGTCTCAAAATATCTCACTTCCCAAAGTCCCTAATGTCCTCTCACATTTACACAGCAGTTATAGTGACCTGTTCTTTGCATAATTGCTTAATAATTCTGTCTCAAGTGTTACTGCAATGGGACTCCTTAAATTCTGCATAATCTAGACTGGCTCAATCCCAGCCTAGGACAGGCTTGAATTGCCACATTTGACCAGCCCTACTAAAGTTACAGAACATTTTCACATGATATTTTTCCTTTGGCCTACACATCAGTGCTGCAGGGATAGGCTCAAATGGTAAAAGTGACGTCTACATTCCAGAGTTAGCATAACAAGCAAGCCATAGACTAGCCATAGAATGCTAGGATCTCTGACAGTGTTCTTTCCTCATTAACATTCTGTTTCTTGTCTGTAATAATTTGAAAACTGTTTTTAGGAGAAACTGGCCCGCCTTCTACAAATTAAAGCTGGGACCAGCTTCTGTCATAGTTGTTAATGTATCTCCCAGTGGTTCACTTGATATTCTTGATATTCAACTGAAATCAATTCTGCCTATCTTAAAAAAAGAAAGATCTTGTTGAAAAGTTTTGGATTGTTGTCTCACAGAATCAGCAGGAAGGCTAAAGAACTAGATTAATGAATAAACAGGAACCAAAGTTACAGGATTGACTAGGTTCTCTTTTTTTTTTTTTTTACCAGAACATCACATAAGTTTATTTCAAATGTAACAGCAATGTTAAAATTGACGAGTTTAATTCTTAACTGCACCAAGTAAACTTAGCCATTTAAGTACTTTTTTAAGTTATTCCCTCCAAAAAACTGAGGGAGCTTTTCTTTTCCACCACCACACACACACCATGGTTTCCCAATAGTTCTGTTTTTGGAAGACTTTTCAACTGATGAGTAAACTGCTTTAGAGATATTTCAGAACTTCATTCCCCATATGAAAACTAATCTGGACAAACTATATATTGCATAGATTTCTCTACAGAGTTTTTGCTTTAAAACCTAAATGTAGTTACCATACAGTGTAATTTTAACCTATTTGCTGCACAGTTAAAACTATTTGTCCTGAAAAATAAGATGGATATATCCCGTGATTTTCCAATTAACAGAATTGTTCTACCTCAAAGATAATTATTATCATATATCAAAATAACCAGCTCAACATGGGACATTACTTCAGTCTTTACTGACTCATAGGCATATGAAGTTGTGCCCAGCTTTTTACCTCTTCCACATTCTCCTCCTCCTCCATAAGTGGATGGAATGATTTAATATAAGTTTGATGTAGGACAATTAATCTTTTACAAACATTTACAATTTAGGTTAAGTCACTGACTAGCGTGGAAAAAGAAAGTCTATATATAATGATAGGGAGCCTACACACTCCATTCAAAATTTAATATTTTTCCACCTTAAATTACATACACTTGTCATGAGGCAGCTATTCGGTTTTCAATAACCACATTTAGGGATACATTCATAGGACTGATGAGATAGTCCAGGTGAAATGGTTATAGAAATAGAGGCAGTGTCATCTCAGAAAACCATTTATATATCGAAGTCTATTTTGATATCTGGAAAGTTTACAAAAGCGCTGCTGTATTCTTCAAACTAATTACGACTTCTGTAACTCAAGCACTCTTCTCTTGGCAAGAGCAAACTGAAGCTTATCCATGAAGATAAAGGTGCTTAATGCTAAACTTTTCTTCTAAGCTTAGATTTGGATTGTTTAAGAAAAGAATGCCCCCAAAAAACCAGCAAGGTCTTTCTACATTTTTACCATTTTGAGATTAGAACCCTATAAACTCATTCATCAACTCTCTTCTTTTTCTGTATTATTCTTGGCGCTCAAAACTGTTGAAGTCTACTGCACTTTGTACTTTCACATTCTCAAATAAAAACTTAAGGTTATAAAGTGTGCATAAACATTTTATAAAATAATTTTTCATTTAACATATTTGGAGATGAGACTTTCATGCCATAATTTTACATAAGAGGATAAATATTATGAATGAAACTTCCTTTTAAAGTCAAATGACAGAAAGCTCAAGCCCTGTGCATTGTTTTAAAATCTAACTGAGAACATTTCTAAATATTGGAGATGGGACTACAGGAGGAAAACATGAATATTTTAGATGTCTCCCATCTTACAAAGTTATCAACCTGTCAAAGCTTCTCTCTATGTGCTGGAAAATGATCTGGCATAAACCAGTCCTCTCAGTGGAGGAGGTCACAGTGACATTTGTATTACTACACTTTACACTTCTACTTTTTCAAGAATAGAGGCAATATGTTGAACAATTACACCTGCCCCAAATCCTTAAACTCAATATCATAGGCACAGAATGTAAGCAAATCTGGGGTGTTCTCTAACAGATATGCAACAGCACAGCTATGTTAGTCTCAAAAATACTGTCTAGATATTTTTCCCTATAAAATCAAATGCTCAGTGGCCACTTTTAACAGCTGGCATTAGATGACATTAATTGCATTTATTGTGTCACCTAAGCTTCCTGTTCGGTATTTTTAAATATGTCCAAGAGAAAACACCTGCTTCAGGTTTATTTAGGGATAGTGACCTAGAAGGACATCAACTCCATTTTTAAGGTTAGACTATTGTCGGGTTTACTGAAGGAAAAGGAACAGGGGAAAATTAAATCACAACAAACATTTTTAGGTTAGTTAAGGGCCATATCTCTAGCTGGGATATAAAAACATTAATCTCAGCAGCCCATATTCTAAAAGTTAATGCCGCTAGTAACAATCAACAGCAGGAAAAACAAACCTGCTAACAACCAGCCCACTCATTAGCAAAAAAGAAGTTTAACTCAAATACTTAGACCAAAGTATAACACTACCTAAACCAAACTGTCCCACCTACTAGCAAGAAGAGAAGAAATAATTGCTTAAGTATCAAAATAAGCTTAGTATTTCTTACAAGGATAACGATGTTCCAACTCCCGAGAGAGTGCTCAGAAGGACTAAAGGTGGGGTGAAGGCAATGTCTAGGGATTAGTATCCCACAAATTCTGTAAAAACCCAAAGTACCATAAACACACTCAACTTGTCTATGAATTACAGAACAAGATATTGCTGCTACTTCTTTTTGTCTTTTGAAATATACAATATTTTGTAGGCCCTTCAATGTGAAAGCAGGACATTCAATTTGAAATTATTTGACAACTAAATTTTTAGGACCGTCTAACTTTAACTGCAAAATTAAACAGATCTACCTTCTCCTTCCTTCAAACCATCTCAAAAAATAAGATAAAACAATCCAAGCATGATTTTTTTAAAGTACTTGAAAGTATTAAAACTCTTAAAGGAAAGGCAAGGAAAGGAAGAAGGAAAAACAAGAACAAGGAGGGAGAAAAGCTTTGAAAGAAAAGGTTAAAAGAAAAGTTGGGTTGGGGGAATCAATGGGCCTCTCTTTTATTTGGTCATACGGCTCCACTCATCCACAAGGCAGCGAGGTAGTGAAATTGTACCACATACCCAGAAGAAAGAAAACACTGGAAACAGTCGATAAGCAGCACTTAAGAGTGCCACAGCTGTGCAAAAGGAATATTCCCTGGTTAGGGCTCCACCACTGGGCACTGACGGTCACCACTAGTGTCACCAGAATGAAGCCTAAACTGCTTTCATCACTGATTCTGAATTCAAAGACCATAATTTGACTGGGCTAGGGTCAAATGACCCACGACCTGGCTGCCAGTAGCTGTCTCCTACCATGTCATTTTATGAATTCCATGGCGGAATTCCAAATGTAAAAAGAGGCTTAGATCCTGTCCTAGACAGTCAATAGGAAGGATCATGTCCACTACATGATACATGTCTAATACATTCAAAGTGCAAGAGAAAATAGAAAAGCATATACTTAAATGGTCCTGTTCCAAGTGTCATTACTACCTGTCCTCTGATTAAAGTGGAAATTAGTGCTACAAGGCCTATTCACTCATATCTCCATTCACATATTCATTTAGGCACCAAATGTTCATTGAGATCTCACCTGCTTCCAGGCACTCTGAAGATACCAAGATGAATATGACATGGTCCTCCAGAGTGTTGTATTCCAATAGAGAAAACAGACATTAAATAAATAATTTTAATGCACTGTAGTAAGTCTTTATATACAGATTAATGCTAAGGACTGGCCGCAGTGACACATGCCTGTAATCCCAGCATTTTGGTGGGGTGGATTGCTTGAGTTTAGGAGTTCAAGACTAGCCTGGTCAACATGGCGAAACTTCATCTCTACAAAAAATACAAAAATTAGCCATGTGTGGTGGCACACACTTGTCATCCCTGCTACCCAGGAGGCTGAGGCAGGAGGATCACTTGAGTCTAGGAGGTGGAAGTTACAGTGAGCCATGATCATGCCACTACACTCCAGCCTGGGCAACAGAGGGAGACCCTGTCACACACACACACACACACACACACACACACACACACACACACACAAACACACACACAAACTAAAAAAAAAAAAAAGAGAGACAGATTAGTGCTAAGGGGTGGTTGGCATGAAGTAGAAAGTAATTAACTTAAACCAAGGTGGGGTGCATTAGCCAGGGATGGCCATTCTGGGAATAAGCTATAGTAGTGGCAGATGAGGGTAAGCTGCAAGGTACCTGCATTAGGTAGAGATGAGTAACATAGTGTATCAGGGGCACAGAAAAGCAGATAGAGCTGAGGGTGAAGATGAAGGCCAGATCGAAGAAAGCCTTCCTGGTCATGCTGGGCATGAGCTTTGTCCTGCAGACAGTAGCAGTGCTGACATTGGGAGTGGGATGGTTAGTCCAAACTAAAGGAGGGGTGGGCTGGTGCATAGAGGCTGGTATATTCCTTGAGATAGGGCAGGGATTTCCAAAGGACAACCCCATAGGAAGGACAGAGAACCCAGATGACATGTCCAGAGCCACTGAGGCCCAGCAAGGTGAGGAAGGGTCATTTCAGCTAGACTAGGAAGTCTTGCTACACGTGCTAGTTCCAGGGATGGGGTCTCAGCCATTGGGCTGGAGTAAGAGCAGTGCCCACAGCTGGAAGGTGTGAAGTCACCAAGTTCCACCAGTTGGTAGCAGGTGGAAGGGAAGCATAGGACTGAAGCCTAGAGCCTGCAGCCTGGGGCTTACAGCAGTGACTTGAGGGAGCCAGTACTTGACACCTGGAAGCTCAATTTATGAAACCTCTGGAGTAGACAAAGCAGGAGACCAGAAAGCTAGTGAGCTAAGTCTGCACAGATTATAGGGGGCCTCTTAAATGGGAAAACTTGCTGGCCCACAGTTTGTCTCTTAAAGTGATAGGTACAACAGAGTCTATAAAACATGGGTGAACAGGGCCGGATGCGGCGGCTCACACCTGTAATCCCAGCATTTTGGGAGGCTGAGGCAGGCGGATCATGAGGTCAGGAGATGGAGACAATCCTGGCCAACATGGTGAAACCCCATCTCTACTAAAAATACAAAAATTAGCTGGGGATGGTGGTGCATGCCTGTAATCCCAGCTACTCAGCAGGCTGAGGCAGGAGAATTGCTTGAACCAGGGAGTCGGAAGTTGCAGTGAGCCAAGATGGCGCCACTGCACTCCAGCCTGGTGACAGAGCGAGACTCCGTCTCAAAAACAAACAAACAAACAAACAAACAAAACATGGGTGAACAGGCTAGATGGCCCAGGCCCAGCGTTGGAGGAAGCAACAGAGGTATTGGGCACATGTACCAATCTGAGCTAGTATAGCTATCTTACAAGGTAAAACTGATTACAGAGTGATGGGGAAAAAAAGGCAAAAACAAAAACAGAAACAACACAGAGAGCTGGACCCAAGGCACATCTTGCAGAAGGTTGACTGAATTCTCAGCAACATCTGTTATTGAAACACAGCTCCTTAAATTCTCCACAGCCCAGGCTGTACTGGGCCTGACCATGGCAGCAGTTCTATGGCCTTGCTGCAGGAAGAAGAAAGAAGGAGTGTGGGGACAAGGAGCTATGCATGACTTGGCAGACATGACTAGAAATGATGGAGATGGGAGAGTTCAGAAAATATATAGCCTTGCTGCAGACATCCATGCATTCTGAGTCTGAAGAGTAAATTATCTCCTGTAGCCTTCTGTGTTTTCTAGGTTTGCTCAAAATGGAAACAAGAATTAAGTATAAGCTTCTTAGCATGGCACACCTATCCCCTAACCTGGTCTCTACCCCTCTGTAGCCTCAGCTGCCTCCCTTCTGTCTCATATTTGGCCCTGTTATAATGCCACACTCCTGGCTAGTCTCTCCTCTGTGCCTTTGTTAAAGTAATTCCCTTTCTCCAAAAGTAGGGCTGCCAGATTTATAAAATAAAATACAGAATGTCCAGTTATTAAATTTGAATTTCAGACAAACAATGAGTTTATTGTGTGTAAGTATGCCTCATGCTACATCTGGGACATATTTATATAAAGATTTATTCATTTATGTGAAATTTAAACTTATCTGGATGTCTCATATTGTATCTGACCACCCTAACTGGAATGCTTTCTTACTCATTCTTTGGGGTGCATTTCAAAAGTCCTGTTCTCCAGGAAGCCTTCCCTGAAGTCCTGGGTTGGTCCAAATGCCCTCTTCTGGGCACCTTTGGGCTCACATGTGTGCCTCCAGCCTTGCACATTGTTGTGAAGTTATCTTTGGAGGCATTATTTTCCTCCATCAGCCTCTCAGTTTCGCCAGAGCCTGATTAAGCAGGAACTTTGTATTCCCAGCATGAAGGCTGCTCAATAAATGTTGGATGACCTGAATTAATATCTGTAGGAGTACACTTGTAGCCTTGCAAATAAATGCAGCAAATATACCAGCCCAAAGAGGTTAAAAAAAAAGTTTGTCATTACTCTCTCTGTTGCTCAGGCAATAAAAGAAAAGAAAAGCAAGACTCTTTCTGATGGCTGAGCTTACACCTTGCCCCTGGTGCTGGGTGAATGTAAAGGGCAGTTATAAAGAGCACTAAGAAATCATCTAGTACTCTCGCAAAGCATCTAAGTTCAAACACTGTAAAGCTTGACCTTTCAGAGTAACTATATGTTTCTATGACTCTTTAGGAAAAAATATGGCTGGGTGCAGCAGCTCATGCCTGTAATTCCAACACTTTGGGAGGCTGAAGTGGGCAGATCACTTGAGCCCAGGAATTCAAGATCAGCCTGGGCAACATAATGAGACACTGTCTTTACTAAAAGTTAAAAAATTAGCAGGGCATGGTGGCACATGCCTGTGGTCCCAGTTACTCAGGAGGCTGAGGTGGGAGAATTGATTGAGCCTAAGAGGCTGAGGCTGCAGTGAGCGTGATTGGCCACTACACTCCAGCCTGGGCAACAGAGTGAGACCTTGTCTCAAAAAAAATAAAAAATAAAAAATAAAAAAAATGTATATTTGTTGGGTGTGGTGGCTCATGCCTGTAATCCCAGCATTTTGGGAGGCCGAGGGGGGTGAATCACTTGAGGTCAAGAGTTTGAGGCCAGCCTGGTCAACATGGTGAAACCCTGTCCCTACAAAAGTACGAAAATCAGCCAGGCATGGTGGTGCACACCTGTAGCTCCAGTTGCTCGGAAGGTTGAGGCAGGTGGATAGCTTGAACCCAGGAGGCAGAGGTTGCAGTGAGCTGAGATCATGCCACTGCACTCAAGCCTGGGCGACTCATGCCTGTAATTCCAACACTTTGGGAGGCCAAAGTGAGACTCCATCTCAAAAAAAAAAAGTGAGAGTGAGACTCCATTTCAAAAAATAAAAAGTATTTGTATTAAAAAGGAAAAAAGAAAAAGATATTTTGAATTTTTCTATCTCAGAGTGCTACTGAGACAATAACGAAATGTGAAATATTTAATGATTTAAGAAGAAAATCATTATTGCAGGCTACTGAATAGGCTAGCAAGGAAATCTAGCCCATTTCCTTGACTTGAGTTAGGAATCATTTCAGCAAGATGACAATCTAGCCAAGAATCAAGGATGTTCCTTATTAGTCCAAAGATGCCACTTTACAGATGAAAAAATTAGTGACTTATCCAAGGTCATGGAACTGATTAATGACTAAGGGTTAAGGTTTTTCTGATCCCCAGCCCAGCAGTATTGTAATTGTCTAAAAAAACCTTTGAGGAGGGTTTCCAACATCAAGGGGTAATCCATTCAAGTGTTTATTAGAGGATCCTTATTAACAAAACAAATTCTTCTTTCCTTCCATTTTATCAAAATTTTTCATTCTGTTTAAGTGTTCTTTCAATTGAAAGGAAAAACATAAGTCTCACCCTCATCAACCTGTGCTTTGTATATTTAAAGACCACTGTACTTTGTATATTTAAAGGCCACTACTCAATTGACCTCTACATCTTCCCATTCTCAAACAAAACTAAAAAACAGTATTTGGTGGGGTTTGTTCTCCTGGGAAAGTGTCTCTTCTTTGAACTATTACTTGGGTCTTCAGATCCTTCTTTCATTGGAGCATATAGAATGGATATGGCAATTTAATATGGATCTGCCCAGATTGGGAATAAAGGAAGAACTACTTTTATTTGTGCATTTTCATATATCCCTACACATCTTATGATTACATTTTCTTTAAAGAAATAAAAGGGGAAAAATATCTTTTAATTATTGCTTCATGATCATGCCATTCGCTTCAAATCACAATTTAGTTTTACTATTATCAACAGTAAAGTCTCAGTGAGATCCCAAGACCTCTGTCCTGCAACTAAGCATTAGTAACTCACATGCCCTGTATCTTAAAGGGCTTCCTTTGCTAAAGACGGCTTAAACTCATTCTCTTTGCTATCCTTATGTCCTGCCCTAGGTGAATTTTACTGAGAACTCAAAATCACAAGCATGCAGGCCATAAATCTTGCTTAGGGCAAAGTGTATTAAATATCAAGGAATTTAAGTATAGAGTTCCTTCTTGGCCAATTCTCACTCAATTTCCAATATCTATTTTACTTAATCTCCCTCCCTCTCAGCTGCATTATCTTTATTGTTAATCTACAAAGTCTCTAATTGCCCTGTAATAACACAAGCTTATCTTCTCAGAGACATTTCCTTGCAAGTTTACTTAATAATCTTTAAAGGTACATGATGCCTATACTTTAAAGAGGGTAAGCATAAATATGTACTCATAAACTGTAATATTGGGGAACTGAATAAACATTAAAATCATATGCTTTATAATCTGGCGTGAGAACATTTTCTTCTGACACCTTTGCCTAAAAAATGTCTGCCTTCTCTCCAACTACCAAAATCCTCCCTATTCTTAAAAGTTCAGCTTAAAAATCTCTCTCCCCATGATACCTTCCTGATCCTCCTGGCCCAAGTAATTCCTCCTTAACTTTAAACTCCTATATGGCTCACTTGACCTTTAATGTTTTTATAGAATCTTCAATTTTACAAAGCATTTTCCCCACACTTGTATATCTTAAAGCATTTCATTTTTTTAAAGGTAGTATATTTTTATTTTTTATGATTTCAACTTTTATTTTAGATTCAGGGGGTACATGTGCAGGTTTGTTATGTGGGTATATTGTGTGGCACTGAGGTTTTGGGTACAAATGATCCCATCACCCAGGTAGTTAGCGTAGTACCAAATAGGTAGTTCTTAAAGCATTTTCTAAGGGCTTTTGTCTCTCACAGGGCTGGTTGGTACTTTTATTGTACTAAAGCATTTTTCAGTTGATACTTATTTGTTCATTAGTTTGTTATTAGATGTCTCTCTTCTTCCTTGTTTGTCTGTCTCCACTGGCAACCAGTTCTCAGCAGTGTAGCCCCAGTAACTTTAATAATACTTGGTATTTGTTGAATAAATGAATGAATGAAAGCAATCCATCACTATAACATTCCTATCTGTAGGCATTATTATCCTCAATTCCCCCATGAGGAAACTTAGTTTCAGTGGTTGAGTAATTTACCCAAGGTTACATAGTGTCTGACAGAGCTGGATTTCTCCAGGAAGGTTTTCTGATTTGCTAGTTGTGAGACTGCACAAGCTTCTTCCCCCTGCTGTGTTTCCATGTCCTCATTGTAACAGTGGAGCTAATACCACGCTATCTGCCTTACAGGATTATTGTGGGGATTAAATGAGCAAGCGTAGGCAAAGTACAGGGCCCTTGTCCTCACTGCTGGACATCCCTAGTTGATACTAATTCATCATTCATTGAGTAATACCATTCAAATAGCTACTAATCTAACAATTTTGTTCACAAAGATATAATGAAATACTTTGTTAAATACCTTGCTGAATTTAAAATTCTCTCAACCTATGAAATCCCTTACCTGCTGGTTTCGTTAACACTATCTACAAAGGAAGTGAGGTTTGGTTTATTTCTTGGTGAACTCATTCCATCACTCAGTGGCCATGGTTTCCTTGTGTGTGTCCCAGGCTTTCCCTCTGTTATCTGCTTTAGAATTTTGCAGAGGAATTCCATCAAGCACATTATTCCCTCGCTTCAGAACCCACCTTCCTTCCCTTTTAGAAAATGGGAACATTATTCCAACTTCAAAATAGATTCATTTAGTTTTTATATTTTGTTCCCACAGTGTCTGGTAAAATGCATTGCTCAGCCGGGTCCGGTGGCTCACGCCTGTAATCGCAACACTGTAGGAGGCAGAGATGAGCGGATCAATAGAGGTCAGGAGTTCAAGGCCAGCCTGGCCAACATGAAGAAACCCCATCTCTACTAAAAAATACAAATATTAGCTGGACATGGTGGCACACGCCTGTAGTCCCAGCTACTTGGGAGGCTGAGGCACGAGAATAGCTTGAACCCAGGAGGTAGAGCTTGCAGTGAGCTGAGATTGCACCACTGCACTCCATCTTGGGTTACAGGGCGAGACTTTGTCTCAAAAAAAAAAAAAAAAAGACAAACAAAAATGTATTGCTCAATTGACTTTTGTGGATTGCTTGATTTGGTACTGAATTCTGATATAGATTGGATCTCTGTGTCCCCACCCAAATCTCATGTTGAATTGTAATCCCCAGTATTGGAGGTGAGGCCTGGGGGAATGTGATTGGATCATGGGGACAGATTTTTTATGAATGGTTTAGCACCATCCCCTTGCTGCTCTTCTTGTGATACTGAATGAGTTCTCCTGAGATCTGTTCCTTTAAAAGTGTGTGACAACTCCCCCTCTTTCTCCCTTGCTGCTGCTTTTGCCTTGTGATATGTCTGCTCCTTATTCATCTTGCATCACGATTGGAAGCTTCCTGAGGACTCCTCAGAAGCAGATACCACTATGCTTTCTGTACAGCCTGCAGAGCCATGAGCCAATTAAACTTCTTTTCTTTATAAATTATCCAGTCTTGGGTATTTCTTTGCAGCAATGCAAGAATGGCCTAATACAAATTCTTACAATGTCTTTGTAATTGATTAGAATGTACCCAGAACTTTAGTATTTAAATGATCCATTTGCCTCGTAGTATAATAACTAATATTTTTATGTGCCAAGGAATGTGCTAAGCCCTTTACAAGCATCATTTCCTATAACTTTTACGATATTACTTTGAGTGAATTAGTATTCATTACCCATTTCACAGCTGAAAAGCTAGGACTTATAGATTGTATTTCATGCTCCATGGTGACAAAAAAAAAAAAAAAAAAAGCAAACAAACAAAAAACACCAGAAAGAGTAACTGACAAAGAGGAAATAGGATAGATACAAAATGAGAAGTGCAGAGCTGCCAGGATTCCTAGAGGATTTGGTGGTTTTCTAATTCCTGATTTTAATCCTTTCTGGACCCTTATTAAAAGAAACTTTTTTCTCCCTTAACCTAATTCTACATCATATCTGTTACTTGAAAATTAAGTCTTAAGAAGGCTTTCTGGAAGATGTTACAAACAATAAATTGTTTTGAGGAAATAGGAGTTTACAAGGTGAATAAAGGGCATTTGCAGAACAAGCAGCATCCGGTGAGAAGGGTATAGTGGCTCCATGCAGCACGACATCCAGTATGTTTCAATGTTCCCAATAGGAGGGGAATCTGAGAGGTGTGATGGAAAGTGAGGTGAAGAGATAGACAGAAGCGTAATCACGTTGTGCCTTGCATATCAAAATGAAAGAACTTTAAATGTATCCTGAAAACTAAGAGAATAGTTTCAATGTTTAGTAATAATAAATATAAAACTAAGATAATGATTTAAATGTTTAATAATAATTAAGATGAATAATTTTAAGCTGGAGATAAAATTTGCATTTTGGACTGATCATGCTGAGTGTAGCCACCTGGTGAAATTTGTGGGGAATTTTCAAGTGCCAAAAGACCATGGATTTCAGTGATCCAGGAAAGGAGTGGACGGGACCTGAACCAAGGCCAACACAGTCTCACCATTACCTAAAAGGTGGAGGGTTTTTATTAAAAAAATAAAAATAAAATAAAAAGACTGTTATTTATTCTTTTTTTTCTGTTTCTTTTTTTAACTTTTATTTTAGGTTCAAAGGTACATGTGCAGGTTTGTTATATAGATAGACTCACGTCACATGGGTTTGTTGTACAGATGATTTTATCACGCAGACACTAGACACAGTACTCAGTAGATATTTTTTTTCTGATCCTCTCCCTCCTCCCACCATCCACCCTCAAGTAGGCCCCAGTGTCTGTTGTTCCACTCTTAGTGTCCATGTGTTCTCATCATTTAGCTCTCACTTGTAAGTGGGAATATACTGTATTTGGTTTTCTGTTCCTGCATTAGTTTGTTAAGGATAATGGCCTCCAGCTACATCCATGTTCCTGAAAAGGACATGATCTCGTTCTTTTTTATGGCTGCACATTTCAGGTGAAAGGTATCCTTTCGGCCCAATTGCACGCATTTTCTTTCTGACTCTCAGTGAACTTGGAGGGTATAAAGACAAAGCAAATGTCCCAGAAGGAAGTAGACGTATGCAGTTTCATAGTTCATCTATGCACACAATCCAGATACGTTGAAGTTTTATCTTAGGGACAAATAAATTCATAAAATTAATTTGATTCTGCAGGCAAGTTGGCTACTGCAGTACACTTAGAATTCAGGACAGAGAGACATAAACAACAAGGCTTGAGTTTAACTTTCTATGAAACGCTTGTTGAGATTCAAATATTTTACGTTAGTTTCAAATAACAGGTTTCTAGGGTTGTTAGATTAAAAATTGTGCCTGAATTACATTTGCATCTTTTTGGCTACATTTTCTTCTCATTTCCACATGAAAATAATTGCAAATAATCTCTCCGTTTCTTTAACAACCCCAGAGAATCTCAATTTTTCTAAAGAAGGCTTCTGGTTTTGTTCGTTTGTTTGTTCACTTGGTTTTTAGGAGTAAGGAGCAGCATGTGTGTTTCAGACTTAAATGCCCCCTGTATTTTTCCTACACTATTGAGCTAGCCTGTTGGTTCAAGACTCTGCCTTTCATTTAGCGAGGGCTGTGCCTTTTAAGTCATTCTGAATTACGTCAGTACCCAAAGCACTTACATGTCTAGGACCTCTTTATACTGAATAGCATATAACAAAGCTTGATGCAACTGTCCTGAGAAAAAGTGGGTGTTATTGAAATTCTAGGGGGAAAACAGAGCTTGTTCATTTGTTTTTTTAAGGTAATTGCTCAGACCCAAACAATCCAAAGCAATGAAGAATTTTATCTAAGACAAATTTCATTATATTATATTCTAATTGCCTCAGTAACAACTGTAGAATATCTAATTCTAATCATAACAACAACGAACATTTTTTAAATAAGCTGACCAGATGTCTACGTCTGAGACAAGGCAGTGGAGAGGGGATATGTGTATGTGAACATAAAACAAAGGACAGATTTCAGAGATTGAAGTTCTGATATTTTCTTGGCAATAAGATCAAAGTTATGAACTACATGATCCTGAAATTCTTCCTAGAGGAAGACAATGCTTCCTTTATTTAGCCTGAGTATCTCAAAACAAAAAGACATCTGTGTCAATTTCAATTTCCAAAGGTGTTTTAAGTATAAACATGAAGCACACAAAACTTTGTTATTTATAGTGCATATATTTTAAGTTTTTTGTGATTCATATGTTTTCATATTCACATGTTTTTACTAATGCAAATGTGTTGTTGTGTTTTCCATTTTTTTGTTTGGCTCTTCCCTTCACCTCATTGCTCTATGCTCACCCACAATTACCCCTCCAACACACGAGCACACACACATGTGCACACAGAAACGTCATGTTGACTATCCGGTGTGTATCCTTACCAAGCTTACGTAATTGTATACACACATACAAACATATGAGTGTTTGTCATCGTTTATTTCATAAAAGTGCATCATATTATATTACACACTCATTTTTTCCTTAACGTTCCTATAAAAATTCCTCGAAATCAAGTGGTACCTTTTTTTTTTGAAACTGAGTCTCACTCCGTTGCCTGCCCAGGCTGGAACGTGTGCAGTGGTGCCATCTTGGCTCACTGCAATCTCTGCCTCTCGGGTTCAAGCAATTCTCGTGCCTCAGTCACCCGAGTAGCTGAGATTACAGGCGTGCACCACCATGTCTGGCTAATTTTTGCATTTTTAGTAGAGACGGGGTTTCGCCATGTTGGCCAGACCGGCCTCAAACTCCTGGCCTCAAGTGATCCATCCATCTTGGCTTCCCAAAGTGCTAGGATTACAGGCATGAGCCATGCACCCAGCCGGTACTTTCTTTTTAATGGCTGCATAATAGTCTACAGTTTAAGAACATACGTATTCAACCATACCTCAGCTTTCATCCAAACCCGATTTAGATTATTTTCAACTTCAGACTTCCAGAACTGTAAAATAATAAATTTATGTTGTTTTAAGCCACACATGAAGTGGCAATTTGTCACAGCACCAACAGGAAACTAATACAATTATAAAGAGGTGGCAAATAGAAAGTAAGAAAAAAAAGGCAAGGCAGAGAAAGAAATCAGAAATCAGAAAAAAATAGCCAAAATTTTAAGCAAGAGTATGTGTGCAAGATAGGAGGTTTCCTCTATGATGTTCACCTAAGAGTAGAGAAAGAGTATATCCCTAAATTTTATAGCTTGGTAAAAGAGGGCAGAGAATATCTGCTTTAAGTCCTAGTCAGTATAGCTTCCATAACAGGAAGCTGATAAAATAAAAAGACAGAAAAACATTTTATTGGAAAATGTAAAAATTACCACTATTGGGAGACTACATAATATTTTCCTAAAATTTCCAAGGAAATAAATTTGAAATTCTTGTAATTAATGAGTGAATTTATTTCAGGGGCTCAATAAAAAATGTACAAAAGCATTATCTTTCTTATATATTTGTCATAGTGAACATTATAATTCATTTTATTTTCTGCATATTTGAATTTTCAGACTCTTATACAATTGTGTTTTATGACTTGAGTAATAAAAAAGAAATAGTGGATAATGAGAAAATGAAAAAAGTCACTGGTTTCAAGTAATTTTATTATGTTGTAAATCTGTGTCATTTTCTTCATGTTTCTTATGTTTGAAGTTTATTGAGTTTCTTGGATTTATAAGTTTATAATTTTCATCAAAATTGTACATTTAAAACAACTTTTTTTAATTCTTTTTATTGTCTTCTTCTCTTCCTTCTTCTTTGGAGATTCAAACTACACATATGTTATGTCACCTGACGTTGTCCCACATCTCACTGATGCTCTGTTTATATATTCATGCACGGCTTAATGACAAGGATACGTTCCATGAAATGCATCCTTAGGTGATTTCATCATTGTGCAAACATCAGCATTTACTTATACAACACCTAGGCTATATGGTATGGCCTATTGCTCCTAGGATACAAACCTGTACACCAAACTTGTCCAACCCACACCCCACGGGCCGCATGCAACCCAGGACAGCTTTGAATATGGCCCAACACAAATTTGTAAAGTTTCTTGAAACATTATGAGATTTTTTTTTTGCAATTTTTTAAAGCTCATCAGCAATAATTAGTGTTAATGTATTTTATGTGTGACCCAAGACAATTTTTCTTCCAGTGTAGCCCAGAGAAGCCAAAAGATGGAAAACATTGGAAGAAGAAGAAAATTTTCTTCCAGTGTGGCCCAGGGAAGCCAAAAGATGTTACTGTACTGAATACTGTAGGCAATTTTAACACAATGGTAAGTATTTGTGTGTCTAAACATATCTAAATGTAGAAAAGGTACAGTAAAAATACAATATTACAATCTTATGGAACCACTGGGATATAGGCGGTCCATCATTGACTGAAATGTCATTATGTGGTGCATGACAGTATTTTTTTTGTCTGTTTTCTCACTCATTTTGAATGGTTACTACTGCTATGTCTTCAAGTTCACCAATCTTTTCTTCTACAAAGTTCAATGTGCTGTTAATTCCATCCAGAGTTTTTTTCATCTCAAATATTGCAGTTTTATCTCTGGCATTCTATGAGCCTTTTCTATTTTTTCCATGTCACTGCTTAATATGCTTAATCATCTTCTAATTTATATGATATATGGAATAAAACTATAATTGTTTTAATATCCTTATCTACTAATTCTATCTTCTCTGCCATTCGTGGATATGTTTTGATGAATTTATTTTTCTCCTCATTTTGGGTCACTATGTCCTGCATTTTTGCATGCCTGATCATTTTGTATTGGTTGCTAGACATTGTGAATTTTACTTTGTTGATGATTGGATGTTTTTGTGTTCCTAAAAAGAATTCTTGAGCTTTGTTATAGGACGTAGTTACTTAGAAACAGATTATTTTGGAGGCTTTGTTTTAAGCTCTGTTAGATGAGATCTGAGCAGCCTTCTGGTAGATTTGATTTTGCCTCATGACTGTCCCAATACCCATGGGATTACTGTACCTAATACTCTGTGAATTATGAGATTTCCTCTCTGGCTAGTAGTAGTACAAACTATTGACCTTGTGTGAGTCCTGGAGTTTTTCCCTCTACTATTTTTGGGTTGTTCTTTTGCCCAGCCTCTGGTAACTCCCTTACACACCTGCGTCAATCAGCTCTCAGCTGGAAATTCAAGGGGCCCTTATGCAGCTCTCTGGGAAAGTCTTTTTGGGTACTCTCTCCTCTTTGGAACTCTGTCCTGCAAACTCAACTCAGGGAGAGAACCAGGCTTCATCTGGGTTCCCTCTTCCTGCACTGCTCCCAGGAAATTCTCTCTGAGCAGCAAGCTGGGATAGTCATAGAACTCACCTCATTTGTTTACCCTCTCTCAGGAATCACTGCCCTGCACAGCCTGATGTCCAGTGTTTGAAAACCACGGTTTCACATATTTTTTCCATTGAAAAAATGGTTTAAGTTCCCCATTATTACATATTGAATGGAGGTCAAAATCTAAAATAAACATTTTTATATGCATCATTAAGTTTCAATAATCAAAAACTTTTTAATCTGATGCAAGAATTCCTTGACCAATCATTAAATCTGTTTATCATTGACAGGTGGTCATGTAATATATCATAAAGACGGCACCATAAATTAGTGGCCAAAAGGAGGAATTAATCAGTAAAATGGGGTGGAAGATTCCTTAGCTATTTGGTAATAAAATAAATTTGTATCTTCACCACACACAATACTTGAAATAAATTTAAGTTAAAATAAAGAATTAACTATAAGTCAAAAATGAGCAAATCCACTAAAAAGACATGAATATTTAATCCCACCATACAAAGAGTTTCTAAGTTTAAATTTAAAACTGTGCTACAAAACACAGAAGAATGAACAAATCTGACTTATAAAAATAAAAAATTACATGTCAAGAACTATTCATAAAATTAAGGAGGAACGTTGAGAAAATATTTTCAACATGCATTTAAAATTGCTAATAACTTTTTGTAAATTAAAATAAATAAAAATGAATATCACTCCAAAGTATACATGAGCCCATGTTATGAGTATATACTCCTCAAAATTGTAAATTAAATTACTAAATAAACATGTGATAAGCTACTGAACATGGTGGCAATCAAATAACTGCAAACTTAAAGTAACAATGAGAATCTATTTTTATCTACCACACCAAAGTAGATTAACAAAAGCTAAATTTCAAAATTGGCAAGGTGGGGAAATGGAATGCGTGCTTACCTATACTGTCAATGGAAAGAAAAATAAGAATTCCTTTTATGAAAGCAATTTGACAATATTTATCAGCAGTCTTAAAAGTGTTTCTTTCTTCTGATTCTGTAATTCCACTTCTGGGAACATATCCTAAGCAATAACAATTCTAAATGTAAACATTTATTTGTACATAAACAAGTTCAAGTTGTATAAAATGGAAACATTTAATATTGATTGAACACATGACAATGTGCCTAAACAATGAAATGGTATGCCACCATGAATAATGTTTACAAAGAATTTAGATACAAATATAGTTATTAATTTCAGAAAACAGGAATAAAATAGAATGTATAGTAAATACTAGGTAACTCAACCATGTTAAAATTTTATAGAAATAATGACTGGGATGATATTCACAAATACATTATTGATTATCACTGGAAATAGAAAAATAAGCTACCGTATTCTTTCCTCATACTTCTCTGTATTTTCCATATGTTCAATAACGAACACATTGTTTTCATAATCAGAAGAAAGCTAACACTTAAAATAATGCCAATTCTCAAGCTGAATTTAAAATTTCTTATAAGGTCTATTTTTTTAAAGATACTATGCTTGTGATCTTCTGGGTAGTCTTACAAATAAAATATGAAGACCGCCCCCCCCAACCCCCTACATCTCTGGTCTAGGAATCATCGTTATTGTTAATGTTGTCAATGTCATTAATCATCTTCTGGAGCTGATGATAAAACCTCATTAGTGATCAATGACCAGGCATTAGTCTACTTCTAAGGAAGTAGAGTTTCTTCCTCATGGTCTTCGTCATGGTTCTACTTCATTTCTATTTTTGTATCTAATTTACTAAGCCTGCAAGGTTCCTAACAGTTAAGATCTTTGTCAGAAGCAGTTCTGAAGTAATGCAGCATTAGAGATATAAAAGGCACTATCAAGTAGACTGGAACTTAAATTTACCTGCCTACATCTAGAAAAGCTAATCAACTGAGTCTCAAGATTTTTACCTATAAAAATAGGGAAATAAAACCTAGAAATGAAATTCTACCTTCTAGAATTGCTAAATGTTAAAAAAATAGTAGCTACAAAAAAACTATTACTTAGTTAAGTATTCAATAAATTGTAGCTGGTAGTAATATTTCATGGAGTAAGTGCTAAATAGGAATTTCTTGCTGACTGATGGAAGAAATTATACAATCAGTTAATCTCTTTGGAAAAATAGCAAACCAATCCTGAGAGGCACATTATTTACCCATTATTATTTACACACCTTCTCCTCCCCAAAGTAATATTTTTTAACAAGATGCTGAGAAGAGCAATATCTTCACCCAAAGAATGAACTTCTAATAGCACAATTTAATAGTGTAACAAGTGTGCAAGGGAGTGATTTGGGAGCAGCAGAAATATTCCAGAAATAACCTCCAATCTTCCTTACTTTGCTTATGGATAAGGCCGTAAGTATAATAATGGAATGGTGAGATTTCAGGCACAGATGAGATCTTGGATGTTTTATTATCCACCAACACTTAATCAGTAACTTCGTAGTGAAGGAAACCAAGATCCAATGAGCTGGAAAGAACCTCCCACGGCAGGTCATGTTTGAGACAAGACTAGAAGCCAGATCAGGCCTCTTGGTTCCTAGTTTAACCTCTATTTACGCTATATTTCTTGATAAGGAGGTGAGGGAGAAGGAGAAGGAAGAAGAGAAGGAAGAGAGTGACAGTGGTGGTGGTGCTGCTGAAGAAGAAATGCTATATGTATAAAGTCTTCACCCTGTTCTAAAGAGGGAAACTGATTTACAGTACCATGGTGTTATGGACTGAATTGTGTCCTCCCCCAAAATTTATATGCAGTGGCCCTAACCCCCAATACCTCACAATGTAGCAGTGTTTGGAGATAAGGTCTTTAAAGAAGTAATTCAGTTCAAATGGGGTCATTAGGGTGGGCCCTAATCCAATATGACTGGTATCCTCATAAGAGGAGGAAGTTGGGACACAGACATACACAGAGTGATGACCATGTGAAGGCACAATGAAAAGATGGTCATTTGCAAACCAAGAAGAGAGAACTCAGAGGGAACTCATCCTGCTGACACTTTGATCTTGGAGTTCCACCCGCCAAAACTATGAGAAAATATATTTCTATTGTATAAGGCACTGAGTCTCCGGTATTCCGTTATGACAATCTGAGCACAGACTTACACATAGGGCAAATTCAGCTCCTTTCATGAAAGCAATTAGCCAGTCATTTGCACTGATCCTTCTTATTGGTCAAAACTAGTCCCAGCTGCTGGTGCCCTTCTCATGAGGAAATTTTTGATGAGTGAAGGAATGGGAGAAAGGAAAGAAGTTAAAAGATGATTTAACAAAGGAATTAAACTCTAAAAATGTAGAATAAAATAGAAAATAGAATGAAGTTGTTTAAAAACTGACAGAGAACATAGGGGAAATTATCACCACTGTGAGCAAATTTTTCTTTGGTTTAGAGAAATTTCCTTTTGTTCATTGAGATTTTGGTGCTGGGCTAAATAATTTTTCCCTTCCTTTAAGCCTTCTTATCACCCTATCTTCTTAATCACTGTATTAAATTACATAACGACTATACATTTTATGCTGATTTTGCAAGTGAAAGGGAAAGGCTGTCATGGTTCAACGAACATGGATTTACCAAAACAACCTTATCATTTTTTTACATAATAAGTCATGTCAACTGAAACATAGGAAGATATTTCTTTTGCTCTACAGTGACATGTCACATCAAGAACAAAGAAGCCTATGCCACCTCGGTACACACAAACAGCTTTACCCTCCCAGTAGGGGTATGCCATTGTGAAAGCACCACCATCTAATGATTCCATTTCACTTTTGGCAGTGTTCCAGCTAACTGAATGTCTGCCCACTTATCCACCTGAAAGAGAAGATCTATGACTCTGAATCAAATCAAGATATATTTGGTTTTTAAGATTTTGATATACAGTTTAACTTATTTCTTGCTTTATTGTTTGCTGTCTTTCACAAAGATAATGATAAACTGAGAAAGAAAAGACAAATAGTTGTGTGCTCAAGTAAATACTTGTTTTGGCTTGAAAATATTTTACAAATAGAGTTATTTTTATAAATAAATAATAATCTTGATGAAATGCCTAATACAATACCTAATGCAAAGTAATTATAATTACTTAATAAATGGTTGTTATTATAATGATTATTTTCACTATTATTATTACCGTGTAATTCTTTTATATATATATAAAATAAAGTGTATATATATAAAGTATATACTTTATATATATATACTTTATAAGTATATATATACCTATATAGTATGTATATATACTTTATAAGATATATATATACACCTATAAAGTATATATATATACTTCATAGGTGTATATATACTTTATAGGTGTATATACATACTTTATAGGTGTATATATATACTTTATAGGTGTATATATATACTTTATAGGTGTATATATATATATTTTATAGGTGTATATATATACTTTATAGGTGTATATATATATATACTTTATAGGTGTGTATATATATATATACTTTAAGTTCTGAGATACATGTGCAGAACATGCAGGTTCATTATATAGGCATACACTTGCCATGGTGGTTTGCTGCACCCATCAACCGGTCATCTACTTTAGATATTTCTACTAATGATATTCTTCCCCTAGTCCCCTACCCTGGGACAGGCCCAGGTGTGTGATGTTCCCCTCCCTGTGTTCATGTGTTCGCATTGTTCAGCTCCCACTTATGAGTGAGAACATGCGGTGTTTGGTTTTCTGTTTCTGTGTTAGTTTGCTGAGAATGATGGTTTCCAGCTATATCCATGTCCCTGCAAAGGACATGAACTCTTCCTTTTTTATGGCTGCATAGTATTCCATGGTGTATATGTGCCACATTTTCTTTATCCAGTCTATCATTGATGGACATTTGGGTTGGTTCCAAGTCTTTGCTATTGTGAACAGTGCTGCAATAACCATACGTGTGCATGTGTCTTTATAGCAGCATGATTTATAATCCTTTGGGTATACACCCAGTAATGGGATGGCTGGGTCAAATGGTATTTCTGGTTCTAGATCCTTGAGGAATTGCCACACTGTCTTCCACAATGGTTGAACTAATTGACCCTCCCACTAACATTTCTCCACATCCTCTCCAGCATCTGTTGTTTCCTGACTTTTTAATGATTGCCATTCTAACTGGCATGAGATGGTATCCCACTGTGGTTTTGATGTGCATTTTTCTAATGACCAGTGATGATGAGCTTTTTTCCATATGTTTTTTGGCCACATAAATGTCTTCTTTTGAGAAGTGTCTGTTCCTATTCTTTGCCCACTTTTTGATGGGGTTGTTTGATTTTTTCTTGTAAATTTGTTTAAGTTGCTTGTAGATTCTGGATATTGGCCCTTTGTCAGATGGATAGACTGCAAAAATTTTCTCCCATTCTGTAGGTTGCCTGTTCACTCTGATGGTAGTTTCTTTTGCTGTGCAGAAGCTCTTTAGTTTAATTAGATCCCGTTTGTCAATTTTGGCTTTTGTTGTCATTGCTTTTGGTGTTTCAGTCATGAAGTCTTTGCCCATGCCTGTGTCCTGAATGGTATTGCCTAGGTTTTCTTCTAGGGTTTTTATGGTTTGAGGTCTTACGTCTAAGTCTTTAATCCATCTTGAGTTAATTTTTGTATAAGGTGTAAGGAAGGGATCCAGTTTCAGTTTTCTGCATATGGCTAGCCAGTTTTCCCAACACCATTTTTTAAATAGGGAATCCTTTCCCCATTGCTTGCTTTTGTCAGGTTTGTCAAAGACCAGATGGTTGTAGATGTGTGGTGTTACTTCTGAGGCCTCTGTTCTGTTCCATTGGTCTATATATCTGTTTTGGTACCAGTACCATGCTGTTTTCGTTACTGTAGCCTTGTAGTATAGTTTGAAGTCAGGTAGTGTGATGCCTCCAGCTTTGTTCTTTTTGCTCAGGATTGTCTTGGCTATAGGGGCTCTTTTTTGTTCCATATGAAATTAAAAGTAGGTTTTTCTAATTCTGTGAAGAAAATCAATAGTAGCTTGATGGGGATGGCATTGAATCTATCAATTACTTTGGGCAGTATGGTCATTTTCACGATATTAATTCTTCCTATCCATGAGCATGGAATGTTTTTCCATTTGTTTGTGTCCTCTCTTATTTCCCTGAGCAGTGGTTTGTAGCTCTCCTTGAAGAGGTCCTTCACATCCCTTGTGAGTTGTATTCCTAGGTATTTTATTCTCTTTGTAGCAATTGTGAATGGGAGTTCACTTATGATTTGGCTCTTTCTTTGTCTATTATTGGTGCATAGGAATCCTTGTGATTTTTGCACATTGATTTTGTATCCTGAGATTTTGCTGAAGTTGCTTATCAGCTTAAGGAGATTTTGGGCTGAGACAATGGGGTTTTGTAAATATACAATCATGTCATCTTCAAAGAGGGACAATTTGACTTCCTCTCTTCCTATTTGAATACTGCTTATTTCTTTCTCTTGCCTGATTGCCCTGGTCAGAACTTCCAATACTAGGTTGAATAGGAGTGGTGAGAGAGGACATCCTTGTCTTGTGCCAGTTTTCAAAGGGAACTTCCAGTTTTTGCCCATTCAGCATGATTGGCTGTGGGTTTGTCATAAATAGCTCTTATTATTTTGAGATACATTCCATCAATATCTAGTTTATTGAGAGTTTTTAGCATGAAGGGGTGTTAAATTTTATCGAAGGCCTTTTCTGCATCATTGAGATAATCATGTGGTTTTTTTGTCATTGCTTCTGTTTATGTGATGGATTACATTTACTGATTTGTGTATGTTGAACCAGCCTTGCGTCCCAGGGATGAAGCCAACTTGATGGTGGTGGATAAGCTTTTTGATGTGCTACTGCATTTGGTTTGCCAGTATTTTATTGAGGATTTTTGCATTGATGTCCATCAGGGATATTGACCTGAATTTTTCCTTTTTGTTATGTCTCTGTCAGGTTTTGGTATCAGCATGATGCTGGCCTCATAAAATGAGTTAGGGAGGATTCTCTCTTTTTATATTGTTTGGAATAGTTTCGGAACGAATGATACCAGCTCCTCTTTGTACCTCTGGTAGAATTTGGCTATGCATCTGTCTGGTCTTGCTCTTTTTTCTGGTTGATAGGCTATTAATTACTGCCCCAATTTCAGAACTTGTTATTGGTCTATTCAGAGATTTGACTTCTTCCTGGTTTAGTCTTAGGAGGGTGTATGTATCCAGGAATTATCCATTTCTTCCATATTATCTAATTTATTTGTGTAGAGGTGTTTATATTATTCTCTAATGGTAGTTTATATTTCTGTGGGATCTGTGGTGGTATCCCCTTTATCATTTTTTATTGTGTCTATTTGATTCTTCTCTCTTTTCTTCTTTAATAGTCTGGCTAGCAGTCTATTTATTTCGTTAATCTTTTTTAAAAAACCACCTCCTGGATTCATTGATTGTTTTGAAGGGTTTTTCTTGTCTTTATCTCCTTCAGTTCAGCTCTGATCTAAGTTATATCTTGTCTTCTGCTAGCTTTTGAATTTGTTTGCTTTTGCTTCTCTAATTCTTTTAATTGTGATGTTAGGGTGTTGATTTTAGATCTTTTCTGCTTTCTCCTGTGGGCATTTAGTGCTATAAATTTCCCTCTAAACACTGCGTTAGCTGTGTCCCAGAGATTCTGGTACATTGTGTCTTTGTTCTCATTGGTTTCAAAGAACTTATTCTTTTCTGCCTTAATTCAAGAGTAGGTTGTTTAATTTCCATGTAGTTGCACGGTTTTGAGTGAATTTGTTAATCCTGAGTTCTAATTTGATTGCACTGTGGTCTGAGAGACTGTTTGTTATGATTTCCATTCTTTTGCATTTGCTGAGGAGTGTTTTACTTGCAATTATGTGGTCAGTTTTAGAATAAGTGCAACGTGGTGTTGAGAAGAATGCATATTCTGTTGATTTGGGGTGGAGAGTTCTGTAGATGTCTATTAAGTCCGCTTGGTCCAGAGCTGAGTTCAAGTCCTGAATATTCTTGTTAATTTTCTGTCTAGTTGATCTGTCTAATATTGACAGTGGGGTGTTAAAGTCTCTCGCTATTATTGTGTGGGAGTCTAAGTCTCTTTGTAGGTCTCTAAGAACTTGCTTTATAAATCTAACTGCTCCTATATTGGGTACATATATATTTAGGATAGTTAGCTCTTCTTGTTGCCTTGATCCCTTTACCATTATGTAATGCCCTTCTTTGTGTGTGTGTGTGTGTTTTTTTTTATCTTTACTGGTTTAAAGTCTGTTTTATCAGAGATTACGATTGCAACCCCTGCTTTTTTTTGCTTTCCATTTTCTTGGTAAATATTACTCCATCCCTTTATTTTGAGCCTATATATGTCTTTGCACATGAGATGGGTCTCCTGAATAAAGCACATCAATGGGTCTTGACTCTTTATCTTTAATTTGGGCATTTAGCCCATTTATATTTAAGGTTAATATTGTTATGTGTGAATTTGATCCTGTCATTGTGATGCTAGCTGGTTATTTTGTCTGTTAGTTGATGCAGTTTCTTCATAGTGTTGATGGTCTTTACAATTCGGTATGTTTTTGCAGTGGCTGGTACTGGTTGTTCCTTTCCATATTTAGTGCTTCCTTCAGGAGCTCTTGTAAGGGAGACCTGGTGGTGACAAAATTTTGAGTTAAACATTCGTTTCTTTAAGAATGTTGAATACTGGCCCCCACTCTCTTCTGGCTTGTAGGGTTTCTGCAGAGAGATCCACTGTTAGTCTGATGGGCTTCCCTTTGTGGGTAACCCGATCTTTCTCTCTGGCTGGCCTTAACATTTTTTCCTTCATTTCAACCTTGGTGAATCTGATGATGATGTGTCTTGGGGTTGCGCTTCTCGAGGAGTATCTTTGTGGTGTTCTCTGTATTTCCTGAATTTGAATGTTGGCCTGTCTTGCTAGGTTGGGGAAGTTCTCCTGGGTAATATCCTGAGAGTGTTTTCCAACTTGATTCCATTCTCTCTGTCACTTTCAGGTACACCAATCAAACGTAGGTTTGGTCTTTTCACATAGTCCCATATTTCTTGGAGGCTTTGTTCATTTGTTGTTTTTTTTTTTCTCCAATCTTGTCTTCATGCTTTATTTCATTAAGTTGATCTTCAATCTCTGATATCTTTTCTTCTGCTTGATTGATTCAGCTATTGATACTTGTGTATGCTTCATGAAGTTCTCCTGCTGTGTTTTTCAGCTCCATCAGGTCATTTATGTTCTTCTCTAAATTGGTTATTCTAGTTAGCAATTCGTCTAACCTTTTTTCAAGATTCTTAGCTTCCTTGCATTGGGTTAGAACATGCTCCTTCAGCTCAGAGGAGTTTGTTATTACCCACCTTCTGAAGCCTACTTCTGTCAATTCATCAAACTCAATCTCTATCCAGTTTTGTTCCCTTGCTAGTGAGGAGTTGTGATCCTTTGGGGAAGAGGCGTTCTGGTTTTTGGAATGTTCAGACTTTTTGCGCTGGTTTTTCCTCATCTTCGTGGATTTATCTACCTTTGGTCTTTGATGCTGGTGACCTTCGGGGTTTCTGTGTGGACGTCCTTTTTGTTGATGTTAATGCTATTCCTTTCTGTTTGTTAGTTTTCCTTCTAACAGTCAGGCACCTCTGCTGCAGGTGTGCTGGAGTGTGCTGGAGGTCCACTCCAGACCCTTTTTGCCTGGGTATCACCAGTGGAGGCTGCAGAACAGCAAAGATTGCTACCTGTTCCTTCCTCTGGAAGCTTCGTCCCAGAGGGACACCAGCCAGATGCCAGCCAGAGTTCTCTTGTATGAGGTTTCTGTTGGCCCCTGCTGGGAGGTGTCTCCTAGTTAGGAGGCACGGGGGTCAGGGATCCACTTGAGGAGGCAGTCTGTCCCTTAGCAGAGCTCGAGCACTGTGCTGGGAGATCCGCTGCTCTCTTCAGAGCCAGCAAGCGGGAACATTTAAGTCTGTTGAAGCTGCGCCCACAGCCACCCCTTCCCCCAGGTGCTCTGTCCCAGGGAGATAGGAGTTTTATTTATAAGCCCCTGACTGGGGCTGCTGACTTTCTTTCAGAGATGCCCTGCCCAGAGAGGAGGAATCTAGGGAGTGAGTCATTTTTTTTTTTTAATCTACCTGTGTTCAAACATATCCTGGTCTCTGTAAAAATGTCTGTCCCTACTATTCCCTACTTGCCCATATTCTAGCAAGAAACATCAGGGACCTGCAGAAGCAAAGTAGATTTGTGGGATGTTGTAGATACTTTTTTATTTTTATTTTTTAAAAATTTTTGTAGAGATGGCATCTCACTATGTTGCCCAGACTGGTCTCAAACTCCTAGCCTCTAGTTATCCTTTTTCCTCAGCCTCCCAAAGTGTTGGGATTACAGCCACGAGCCACTGCACCCAGCAACTACTTTATTGTAAAATTAGAAATCTTACTTTGTCATCAAATAATATCTTCCTAACTTAGGCACAATGTATATCTCGTGGTAACTCTCCAGTGACTGATCATATAAGCCCTGATAGCAAATTTATACTCATGAAGGTTTTTTTAAATTCTTTTCAAACAGAAAAAAAGCTTCTGAAGTAAATCTCTTAAGGCTAAGATATTATATTTCTGTTTTTTTCTTGGAGATCATTAAAATTAAAATTGTGGCTGAAAAAAAAACAGTATGTAAAGTATCATCTAGTGGTTTCAAATACCATGGGTTCATTAGAACAGCAAGACACTTGCTGATAATTTATCAGAAACTGAACAAGGGGGCACCTAGCAAATGAAGAAAAGTAAATTTAATCTGCAGTTTAATTAAAGAGCAAAGGGATGGGATGATTATATTAATCATATATTTTCATGGGAAAAGTACCCATAGACATCTAGGACATAATAATTGACAGTATCTTTGCAGTTTTAACATTTGGAATTTTCATGCAAGAGTAAAGACACAGTTTGAGCAAGGTCTGGGTGCCAGGAAATTGCATGCTTAGCTTTAATGGTAATCCTTGGGATGACTTTATGTAGCTCTTGGTTTTAGTTCCTTCACACAATGGAACTCATCACAATTCTTTATTTTCTCACATAAATCTTGATAAACGTTAGTTTAAGAAATATACCAACCAAAAATATTTTATTATGTTGAGCCTTCTGGACACATGTGGTCCATACCATTACATAAACATTTTCAAAACAGACACAAAGAATGATTAAGAATAAGCAACTTGCATTCAGACATGATGAAGTGATCTTCTTTCCAAAATGCATGCTATTTTCCAGAACTTGGGGTTATCTTAGTCCACTTTGTGCTGTGCTGCTAATACCTGAGACTGAATAATTGATACAAAATAGAAGTTTATTTGGCTCACAGTTCTTGAGGCCAGTAAGTCCAAGAGCATGGTACTGGCATCCATAGAGGGCCCCTATGCTGCGTCATCCCATGGTGGAAGGAGAACGGGCAAGAGAGCAAGAAAGGCCTCACAATCACAAAACCACTCCAGCGACAATGTCATTAATCCATTCATAACGGCAAAGCCCTCCTGGCCTAATCACCTTTTAACAATCCCGCCTCTTAATATAGTCACAAAGGCAATTAAATTTCAGCATGAGTTTTAGAAGGGACATTCAAACCATAGCAGGGCGCCTGGTATTATGAGACAAGAGATGGAGAATTCTAATTGCTGAAACAGAAATAATGTGTCTGCTTTTTGGGCGTTTAAAAATCTTCCTTTTTTTTTCAGCCATGAAGAGGGTGTTTTCTTACAAACTAAAAAACACCAAATAGCCTTTATTTAATTATGGGCTAAGTGCATTCTGGTGGGAGAATAATGCAACTTAATGATACTATGCCAATATTCTCAGTTATCAAAAAAAGCAGAGACTCACTGATTTCAACATACATTTTGTCAAGATTTAATATCTGAGAGTCTTTATTTGCAAATTCTCTGCTATCTCTTATGAATGTGCCATCCAATTATTTAACCTGTCTGCAATGTCTATCAGCATACAAGATATGGATGGATTGATAGATATTGACAGATGAATAGCTGTGGAGCTGTGTGTATAATTCTTGTGACAAATTACTCTTTAATTCATAAATGTGTGCAGAAATGTTATGAAAATAAGTGAATTCAGCCCTTTCTTGCTAATCTTGCCCTTTCTCCTTCCACCATGGGATGACTATTCAAAAATTAAGTTTCTGAAAATAATCATTTTTTAGCTTACAATTTTACAAATTGGCAACTTGAGCTTGGGCCAGCTAGGAAGGTTCTTCTGGTGGTTTTGGCTGGAATTATTCATTTATCTAGAGAAGGAGTCAGCAAACTTTTTCTGTAAAGGTCCAGATAGCAAATATTTTAGGCTTTGTGGGCCATACAGTCTCTATCACAACTACTCAACTCTACCAAATAAAGCACTAAGGGAGCCATAGATGGTAGCAAATGAATGAGCATGGCTGTTTTTCAATGAAACGTTATTTACAAAAATAGGCAGCTATTCAGAGAACTCTAGTTGCCATACTCTGCTTTAGGGTCAGAAGCCTGTTGGCTATGGGCTGGCTGGTCTAGAATGAACTCAGCTGAAATGTTCTGCACTTTTCAAGTTTCTGCTTGTATCCTGTTTGCTAACTCCCCATTAGCTAAAATAAATTGCCAGCCAACCCAAATCTAAGGGCTGCAGAAACAGACTACACATCTTGATGGGAGGGGAATAATTTGTGGCCATTTGTAATTATTTAGTTCCCAGTCAACCATGATCTATGTATCTAAATACTCTTCAGCAAGATATGCTAAGAGACAATACACAACTAAAGCTCATAGTAGCCACACATATTCAGTGAGGGTTCCTGGGTAGATCCTGGATGTCCCCAATGCTGACCAGGGCTGGAATTCACAAAATCTCTTAGAATGCTTCTTCTCCTTCCTGAAGAGGTGGGATGGCCCTGGGAAGATTGCCACCCTATGCATCTTATATGTAGCGAGCAACTAAGTAAGATAACCTGAGAATATAAAAGAACCCAATTGGTCCAAAAGCATCACTCACTACCAATGACATCTTCTACCATTTGAGCCACTTCTTTGAGGTTAACAACAGTGAGGCACTTATCCTCCAGAGCATCTAGTTAAAGTGCATTCAGGCCAGCAGAAAGTCCAACTTCTAGTTCAGATTTACTCCCTGCCACCTTATGGTTTGTCTCAAACCTCTCACAGTGCTTTCATGTTGTTCTATAATGGTCTCTTTTTTGTTTGTTCTGTTTTCTCCTTATCATCGATAATAAGAATATGTCTTACCCAATATCTGTCGAAGGGCCAGTCAGATGTAAATTTGGGGTGGGAATATGGATACTGTAGGGTGAGAGAAAATGTAGGCACAGAGGGCAATTTATGAGAAGGCAGATCCTAGGCAGATTTTGCTCTGGCATCCTAATAGCAGCATGAGAAATCCCAAATCAAATACAGCATGTTTTGCCATTTGCCTGGTGGAAGGAGAATATCCTCAATTGAGTGTCTGTCATTTTGCAAGGCCCACCTTTAAGAATTTGGCTTACAGCCCCTTTTTCAGTCTTCTTAAAAACTCTTTGGCATATATAGTATTATCCCCATTTCACTGATGAGAGAACTGAGGCTCAGAGATGTTCAGTGAATTGGCTGAGGCCACTCACCTAGTAAATGGCATAATCAGGATCGAAACCCAGGGCATTCTCTGACAACTCCAAATGATGCCGCCAAGACTGACAAAGTCATTCGGATGCTTCTTCCATCCTATTGTCTAAACCCTTCAAAGCAAGCAGCATTAACTTACCAAATGTTTGACATGTAAGCTTTCCTTTGCACTTTACCTGACAAGTTTTCCAAGTTATCTAGTGACTGTCAGCAACAATAGCATTTGAATTTGGACTGTGACACATAACACACTTTCTACCTTGTGTTCAGTATCTTGTCATCTCTTATTAGAATCAGGAGTGTTCCTAGGGAATCATCCATCATGCCTGGCCCTCACTTCAAGGCTGTGGAATTGTCTCAGCCTTTCTCAAACTGCCATCTTGTTCCTTTCTCAAGGTTCTCTAGCAGAGAGTTCCTATCTTTTTCACTGGAGGCCTCTTCTAGTGTTTTCTTCTCTTGAGAGAAAGGAGTTTCTTCTTAATGAAGATCTAAAGTTACTGTAGTTCTAAATAAAATCATTCCTGTATTTTTGTCTTCTAAGAAAATAAAGAAAGATGATCCAATTCATCCCCACAAAAAATCCATTATACAGTCATGTGCCACATAATGATGTTTCAGTCAACACCAGGCTACATACACAATGGGTGGTTGAGATTATAATGAAGGTTTCCTATTCAGATATGCCATTTTTCATCTTTTATACAATATTTTTACTGTACCATTTCTGTCCTTAGATATGTTTAGATACACAAATAGATACCATCATGTTACAGTTGCCTACAGTATTCCCTACATCCACATGCTATATAGGTTTGTAGCCTAGGAGCCATAGGCAATACCATATAGCCTAGGTGTGTAGTAGGCTATACTATCTAGGTTTATGTAAGTACAGTATACGATGTTCACATAATGACAAAATCACTTTATGATGCATTTCTTAGAATGTATCCACATTGTTAAGTGACACATGAATACATAGTTGAAGATAGCAATTATGCCTTCAGCTTCTCTTGAGTACCTCTATCTTCCTCAATTAGTTTTTGGCATTCTTTAGGAGCACAATACTGATCATAATTATTTCTCCATCTTTAGAAACTCCTTATTTACAAGAATCAGACTAACAGTCATAATTTCACTTCTTAAGAGATGAGTCTCTGAACTTTGCCATGTCAAGTAATAAAAGATCATGGAATCTGGAGTCAGATGTTCAAGATTTGAACCCTGGGTCTGTCAATTATTAGCTTATTTACCTCTGAACCTCAGTTTTCCCTTAAATCTTCTATTGTATTTTTTCTTTTTATTTTGGGGGGAAAGAATATATTTCATCGTTTAGGAAATGTTGTGTGTTTGTTAAAACCTAGTATATAGTTACTGTGGTAGGCAGAATAATGCCCCCACCAAAGATATATTCCTTCTAATCCTTGAAACTTGTGAATGTATTACGTGACATGGCAAAGGGGGATGAAGGCTGCAGATGGAATGAAGGTTGCTAAAAAGCCGACCTTAAGATAACAAGAACATCCTGGATTATCTGGGTGGGCCCAATGTAATCACAAGGGTCCTTAAAAGTGGACGAAGGTAGCAGGAGAGTTAGAGTTAGAGAAGGACATATAATGGTGGAAGCAAGGTCAGAGCGGTGCAATATGAGAAGGGCTCAACTCACATTTGCTAGCTTTGAAGATTGAGGAAGTGTTACTAGCCAAGGAGTGTGGGTGGTCTCTAGAAGCTTTCAGAGGTGCTAGAAGATAATTCACTTTCTTGTCTTTCCAGCTTCTAGAGACCACACACACTCCTTGGCTCATGGCTCCTTCCTCCATCTTCAAAGCTAGCAAATATGAGTCGAGTCCTTCTCACATCACTCCACTCTTTCCTTGCATCCATTATCATATGTCCTTCCCTGACTCTGACTCTTTGCCTCCTTCATCCACTTTGAAGGACCCTTGTGATTACATTGGGCCCACTGCAATAATCCAGGATAATCTCCTTATTTTATGGTCAGGTTATCAGCAACCATAATTTCATCTATAACCTTGATCCCCCTTTGCCATGTAACCAGAGGCTCCCCTGTGCCATCAAAATCCCAGTTCTCATACAGTCCATACATGAGTGATGCACTGCCAGCCACCCTCTGAATCCTCTCCAACCTCCACTTCCTTGACTTCTGTCATTCCTGGTCCTGCTTCAGCATCCCTGGGTGAAACCCCCAGTTGTCTTCGTTGTATACTATGTTAGAAGGTGGTATGTGTTATGGAGGAAAGAAAAAAATAAGTCAGGGTGTGGGGAATTGGGAATGTTGGCAGGGGATGGTAGCAATGTTAAGTAGGGTGGACAGGGAAGGCCTCATGGAGAGGGGAGTATTGGAGTAAAGACATGGCATTTACTAATGGCGTGACATGATCATATCTGAAGATGGAAGCTGTAGCTCTGCTGGCTATATCTGTCATCCTCCAAGGGTTACATGAGGGCATAATAGAAGAAGGACTAGTAGAGAGGGAAGAGACATATGATTTGCAGATGAAGTGAGGTGTTTAGATGTCAAAGGCAGTACTAAAATGCCCCATTTGTGAATTACCTGGCACATTCTGCAGAGGGCAGGGTGATAGGCCCTTAGAAGCACTGTGCTAGGTTGGACAAGATGGAGGCTACAACACAGACACAGACGTGGCAGTCTGCAGCCTATAGTGGTAGTGGAAGCCACGAGAGCAAACAAACTTAAAAGGAGACCCTGAGACCACTCACATTTCAGGGGCAGGTAGAAGAAAGGGAGCTGATGAAGTAACTTATTATGAGCATTGTTTGTTGTTTGTCTCCCTATTAGCATAAAAGCAGGAATTTGTGTCTGTTTTGTTCTCTGGTATATTCCCAGCACCTAGAAGAGTGCCTGGCACAGAACATAGTGAGCCCTCAGTAGTTATTTGCTGCATGAATAAGTGAATAAAGCAATAACAGAACAGTGATTTATGAGGCATATGAAAATTAGAAAGATAAAAAAAGACGAGGACGCAGTGAAGGCCAGAGTACAGGCTTCAAAATTCCATCCATATATAATGTCACAGGCCCTAATGTAGGGCACTGCCAGTGGTTATGCAAAATGGAATTACAATCAGAGGACCTGGAAAGGGCGCAGCTTATATAATAGATGGATAATTTAATATCAGAATTACTACGCTATATTATTAAAACCTGAAAGTTGTTTGCTTAGTTAAGTCCCAGATGATAAGTGACAGGTAGACAAAAGCTGCATAAAATAAGCCCTTCTAAACGGTTGCTTATTTCTTCTTGGATGGGGTTCTCAGAGTGTATTAATAATTTTTTTAATGTTCTGATGCTTTGATATCTTGAGCTTTTGCAGATCCAGGGAAGGACTACCCCTCCCAAGGGTGGCTAATTCCTAGCAATAGCAAACAACATACCACAAGCCAACCAAGCCCAAGCTCATATTCCCCTTTGCCTTATTCTATTAAGCTCCTGTTATCTGGGACACCATCTCCCTCCCCTAAAACACCCCAGGGCCAAGTACCAAGCAACCCTACAGCCTAGACTTTGCCAACATTATTCAAACTATTCAATCCTAAAACTGCTTAGCTTGCTTACCCTGACTTGCCCATTATTTTTTTCCCCATGGAAACCAAAATAAAGGCTCTGGTCCATGTGTTCTCCTCACTCCTTCTGCCTCCTGACTGACCCTGGTGATTTCTCATGCGGCCCTGCAGCCTTCTCTTTTCTTTTTTTAAAGATTCTAGATATGCTTAAGATAATTTGATCTACTAAATAAACTTACCAGATTCGCAGACATGGTAAGGAGGATTTTACTTGTTAGATTTGTGAGTTTGCCTTTGTAAAAGTGAGAGAATCAAATATATTAAACCTGTAAATGCAGTTTGAAATAGCTAAGGTCATTTGATTACTTAAAGATGAAACTGGTGCTAAATACTTAGAAGGATTTAATCTGTAAAATTAATGAAACATTAATTAATTAAACATTAATCAAATAACCAATTAAAATGACTGTTCTTTTTCTTATATAAAAATACTAAGTTTATAAATATAACCTAAAAGATGGGCTTAAAAGCTTAAGAAAGCATAGGTTTTTATAGTTCTTATTTTAAAAATTAAATAGTAGGAGCCAACCTATGGAATGAGAGAAAATATTTGCAAACCATATATCTGATAAGGGGTTAACATCCAAAATATATAAGGAACTCATACAACACAATAGCAAAAAAACAAATAATCTGATTTTTAAATGAGCAAAGGATCTGAATAGACATTTTTCCAAATAAGACATACAAATGACCACCAGGCACATGGAAAGGCGCTCAACATCACTAATCATCTGGGAAACGCAAGTCAAAACCACAAACACCTGTTAGAATGGCTATTATCAAAAAGACAAGAGATAAGTGTTGCTGAGGATCTGGAGAAAAGGGAACCCTCATATACTGTTGGTGGGAATGTAAATTGGTACACCTACTATGAAAAACAGTATGGAGTTTCCTCAAAAAATTAAAAATAGAATTATCACATGCTCCAACAATCTCACTTGTGGGTATACATCCAATGGAAATGAAATCAGTAGCTCAAAGAGATGTCTGCACTCCCAAGTTCATTGAAACATTGTTCACAATAACCAAGATACAGAAACAATCTAAGTGTCGTTTGACAATGAATGGATTTTTAAAAATGTAGTATACAAAAAGGATAAAATACCTAGGAATACAGCCAATCAAGAAGGTGAAAGATCTCTACAATGAGAACTACAAAACACTGCTGAAAGAAATCAGAGATGACACAAACAAATGAAAAAACATTCCACGCTGATGGATAGGAAGACACAATATTGTTAAAATGGCCATAGTGCCCAAAGCAATTTACAGATTAAATGCTACTCCTATCAAACTACCAATGACAGTTTTCACAGAATTAGAAAAAAAACTATTCAAAAATTAGTTGGGAACCAAAATAGAGCCCAAATGGCCAAAGCATCCCAAGCAAAAAGAACAAAGCTGGAGACATCACACTGCCTGACTTTGAACTATACTACAAGGCTACAGTAACTAAAATAGCATTACTCTGGTACAAAAACAGACACATAGATCAGTGGAACAGGTTAGAGAACCCGGAAATGAAGTCACACACCTACAACCATCTGATCTTCGACAAAGCTGACAATAACAAGCAATGGAAAAAGGACTCCTTAGTTAATAAATGGTGCTGGGATAATTGGCTAGACTTATGCCTGGTGAAACCCTGTCTCTACTAAAAATACAAAATTTAGCCAGTTGTGGTGGGGCACCCCTGTGGTCCCAGCTACTCAGGAGGCTGAGGCAGTAGAATTGCTCGAACTTGGGAGGAGGAGGAGGAGGTTGCAGTGAGCTGAGATCCCACCACTGCACTTCAGCCTGGGTGACAGAGTGAGAGTCTGTCTCAAAAAACAAAAAACAGAGAGAGTCTCGCTCTGTCACCTCCTCTTCCCAAGTTTGAGCGATTCTACTGCCACAGGCATGTGCCACCACAACTGGCTAAATTTTGTAATTTTAGTAGAGACAGGGTTTCACCATGTTGGCCAGGCTGGTCTCCAACTCCTGACCTCAGGTGATCCACTTGCCTCGGCCTCCCAGAGTGATTTTTGTATATGGTGTAAGGAAGGGGTTTAGTTTCAATCTTCCACATAAGTCTAGCCAGTTATCCGAGCACTATTTATTAAATAGGGAGTCCTTGGCAAGGCAAGTCAGACCCTGCCTGCTTTCCCATGTCATATTTATGCTCCTCCATCCCCTGCCCAGCTTCTCACTTCCCAGTCTGTGTGGCTGCCAGCTGGATGCCAGCTCCTCCACCTCCCTTATGTGTTTGGCACCATCCAAACCCTCTTCTTCACCTGGCTCTCTTTTGCTCGTCCTTCAAGTCTCAGCCTGAATGTCTCTTCTTTGGAAACCCCATGTTCCAACTAAATTCGTCCCCTTTCCCTGAAAAAAAACTCTCACAGCATCCTATAGTTTTCAGGTTGAATCCACACTGAAATTCTGATCCATATACTTACTGCCTTTGGGCACTGCTAGACTCTCGGTTGCAGCTTTTAGGGCAGGAACAACCTCACCTGAGTGGTAATTTACCGTTCAACCAGGTCATTGATGGGAGTTTTCTGAAACAGCAAGCAAGTCTCTTGTGATTTTCTGAAATTCAGGAGGAAGACCACAAGTCACATCGCAGACCCCCAGGACTAATTTCCAATGACTGACATTCAAGCCAAAAGAATACAATCCCTCTCCACCTCATATGACCACACCTCTCAACGCAGTGCCCTCTCCACCCAGCTCTGTATCAGGGTGCAACTCTTTGGCCAAATTTCTTCATCTATGCAAGATTTCTGAAGATTAGCAGGACTGTAATGTTTTAAACAAATGGAACCAGAGCAATTGGATAAAATTTAAAAAAAGAACTTCGACCTCTACACCATTGACAAAAATTTATTCAGAATAGATCATAAACCTGAATATAAAGCCTGGAGCTATAAGATTCCAGAAGAAGACATAGGAGGACATCTTCATAACTTTGGATCAGACAAAATTTCCTACACAGGACACAAAAAGTCCTAACCATAAAGGTTTTGGTTATTTATTCAAAAAGGTCATTTACTCTGCCACACACGTCAAGCTGGTGTCTCCTATATGATATATTTGCTGTGCTGATACTTAAAATTTGATTTGTGATATAGCCTCTTTCAGTTTTGAAAATCCTAAATCTTAAACAGTTCATATTTATTAACATCACCAGTAATGTATCCTAGTGGATCCTGGATCAGAGGGAAAAATATTGTTACAAGTTCATCAATGAGACAATTGCTGAAATTTTAGTATCATTTTACCCTGGTTATGTAAGAGAATGTCCTTGTTCTTAGGAAATGCAAGATGAAATATCGAGGAATAAAGGGATATTATAATGCTGTTTACTGTCAAATAGTAACATATATATAACATACATGTATTATATATATAGTGGGAATATGTGCTTGCATATACATATATTTATATATAAATAATGCTGTTTACTGTCAAATAGTAACACACATATATAAAACAAGGGGATATTATAATGCTGCTTACTGTCAAATAGTAATTATATATATATATAGAGAGAGAGAGAGACAAAGGAAGAAAATACTGCAAAATATTAACAATTGAGGAACCTAGGTGAACAGCATATGGGTGTCCTTTTACATTTTTGCAACTCTTCTGTAAGTCAGATTTTTTTTAATTTTTAAAAACTGAAAAATTCCATTGGAATTGAATTGAAATCTATCTCCTCAAGATTTCCATCCCTTTGAATCTAATTCCACCCCGACATGAACTTTCTGGAAAAAATATTTTTTTCCACTATAATAGAAATCCAGACATTATAATAATGGCACCATGATCCTCCCAAACCTTTTTCTTGTTCAGTGTTCTGGATGGGAACTTCACCTCCATCCTGACTTTTGCCCCCTTCTTGCTCCTGAGTCGTTCTTCTAATCAGAGTGGAGATACATATACATGCAAGCACACATTCCCATAAGCACCATGTATCTATATTAGGTGTGACATCTGACTTTGGAAACCTATGTCAGCTCCCACATGTGCAGAGCCATCCATGTGAATGGACAAGAAGTTATTTTCCTTCCTGCAGAGAAAACGTCATCAATGTCCAGGGCTTCTCAATGCATAAGAAAAATTGGATAGCAAAGCATTGTCTCTTTTGGCAGGACTCTGAGACTGATGGAGTCTCAGGAACTCACAACGTGTGGAAAAGAAAAAGAAAGAAGACATAAAAGCCTGTTGTAGAAATGTTGCTATAGTGTGATGTGCTCTTCCCCATCCCTCTTTTCAGAGCAAGAAAAAAATGAATGATGCTAGAATTTTACCAGTTCTTTCTTAATTGAATGAATGAGGCTTTCCTGAAGAAAATTGTTCCACAAAATGAATGGCTCCAACGCACAATCCAGCAACATAATCAGACATTATGAACCAAGATTGCCACAAGCTCCAGTCAATACACAAAGACACAAGATAAATCTGAATCCAGAGGATGTATATTCGTGTTTAAAGTATTGACTGATGGCATGGATTGCATGAGACCTGCCCAGAATAACTTGGTACATTTAGCATCACCAAAACTTTGCTGTGGCAACCAATGCCCCAGAAATTTATTCTTGTCAAGATGCCTCCAAATCTGTGAATGGGTTTCCCTGACTGGGCACAGGATGTTTGAAATATAGCTAGACTCTTGAGGTCTCATCCACCTCTTTGATTTCAAGTTTAAAAGAGTACTTGCAGATTTTGTGTTATAGTAGACCATTAGCACCATCTAAAGGCTTCATACCAAATGTCTTGACTGTCAATGTGCATGTTGCTCAAAATGCTTTTTGCTCTGATGATATAATTATTTGGGAGACTGATACTCTGAAAACTTTTGCCTACCTGGAATGACACAGTAGGCCCCTACTGTATACTATGTGTCTGTGACTTAGGTTGTATTCCTGGAGAAGTGCATGTTGTCTGTAGCGCTTGCCTGTTTGAAAGAGGTAAAAGCGTAGTCCATGTGTATCAGAAGCTGTGTTGGCCTAAATTCACTCTGAAATTGAGCCTTATCTAAACTTGGCCATGAGTGCAGGAGTCAGGGGGGCAGGGTTGGGAAGAAGAATGGGGCAGACATCCAATAATAACCATTAGCTTGGGCCTGAGCGATTGAGGCTCCAGTCCTGCATTACTGTGTCCTAGGTTTGTGACTTTAACCTCTTTGAGCCTTTCATTTCTAAAGCAAGGCCATTATCTCTAGGGGCCCCACCAATTCTGCCATCAGTGTGGCCCTGGGTTTTGGGAAGATTATATAGATGGCCCGGTCCCTTACCTCTCTTTCATATCATTGCGGGGAGCAAAATAAAATGACCCAGGCAAGTCTTTGTTATACAATTCTTAAGCTCAGCCAACTTTCACTGAAATTATTTGGACTCAAGGCCAAGAGAAGTCTGACTTAAAATTTCCTCGGGAAGTTTTAATTTTATAGGGGCCCCGGTGTTTCGTTGGAGTCCCCAGAGTCCCTGGAAGCTCATGTGCTCCCAAAGACGTTTTAGAAATACACGCTGGTTTTATAAAAGACTTGGGTGGCATGTGGTTTTTAGAAGAAATTTACCTTTGATCCTGACCAGGTACTTTGATGTAGTCATCCAATGGGAAAGTGCCTTGTATAAGGGTCAAACCCAGGTAGGTGTGAGGAGGGAGGGTGGATGAAACAACAAGGAATCTTAAGCTTAGTAGACACAGAGATCTGTGGTCGAAGTTTACCCCTGTCCTTTACTGGCTGTGAGACTTGGGGAAAATCATACAACTTCTCTAGGCTTTGGTTTCCTTGTCTGTAAGATGTGGTTAACTAAAAAGATTTTAGGCTCAGCGGTGATTCAGGCCTGTAATCCTAGCACTTTGGGAGGTTGAGGCAGGAGGATCACTTGAGGCCAGGAGTTCAAGACCAGGCCGGGCAACATAGCGAGACTTTGTCTCTACAAAATTTAAAAAATAGCTGGGCATGGTGGTGTAGGCCTGTAGTCCCAGCTACTTGGGTGGTTGGGGAAGGAGGACCTCTTGAGCCCAGGAGTTTGAGGCCGCAGTGAGCTATGATTGCAACGTTGCATTCCAGCATGGGAAACAGAGTGAGACTGTCTACACATAAATAAATAAATCTTTAAAAAATTGTTGAGAAGATTAAATTAGTGTATCTATCCTGTCTAGCACCATCCTTGATACAAAGTAAAGATTCTATGAGGGATGTCATTGACTTCTTATCTTAAAAGCAGACACTCCTGTTTAAGGCAACACACTGCACAAAGAAAGGCTGAAGGCTCTCGCTTATGAAAACAGGCCCCAGCAATAGATTGCGAGTCTAGATTCAACAAACTCTTGCCAGTTTCCTCTGACTCACAGCCTGGGGCCTTGCCTTTGTCTTTCAAAATGTCCTCTCTGCCCACTGTTTCTGAGTATCTGCCATGGCTCTGCATTTCCCCTGCATGATCCTGCTTCTCTGCTTTCAGCACAGGTGGCTTTTGCTATCAGGGTATTTGAAGTTTTCCTTTGATGGCCCTGCAACTAAGCAACTTAATTATGGATGAGCACTCTGACTAAATGCTTGTATCTCTCTTTCTTTTTTAGTCAAATACCCCTGGCATATATCCAGGGCTTCAATGCACAAAAGCAAAGGGAAAGCTGACCCACCCACCACTGAACAACCCCCAATCCCTTCCCATCCATCTGCTGCTTGGAGCCTTTGTTAGAAGGGAAGAGGGAGGAAGAGTGAGCTAGGAGGAAATGAAAAGGAAAAATGAGACACATTTCCATAAAATATGGAATTTAATATTTTAAATTCTCAAGATGAATGATGCATTATCAGCAATGCTACTGTATGTAAAATAATAGAGCTAACTATGTTCTGATATTGGTCAAACCAGTATTTTAATGAGATTACTAGACTACTCCCATTTTTAATCACATATATAAAACATCACCCAGGCACAACCCTTGAAAAGAAGAAAAGGCAAAACAGAGAAACCCAAAAAGTAAGATATAAGATTTCTTACTGGTGAAAATAAAACGGGAACAGATTTTTCTAAAGTACCTTTACCTTGAGTACAGAGAAATATTAGAGGAGGGAAGCATGTGCTTGTGTGTGTGTGTATGTAGAAAGAATATTCATAGTACCAGAAGAGATATTCACAATCTAGCCTAAGAAACTGAGAAGTAGAAAGCGTAAGTGGTTCACTTGGAATCATGTGTTTGGTTATTGGTGGAACCAAAGGTGCATTCAGATTTCCTGACTCTGAGGGGGATTGCTGGGCAGAGCCATGTTGGCAATAAAGTCTCTGAAATGTCCAAGTAACTGTTGCTTGCTAAGTGCTAAGCTGGTTCATTCAGTTTGCAGTCCCATCCTCTTTGCTCTTGTTCTTAGACTTGCTCACCCCATTGGCCTTTTGTTCCCGGTGATTTCAGTATGCCCATGAAATCTCAGAAAGAAGCTATAGTTCCAATTGATATGCCCTGTAAGCATAAAATACACACCAGTCTTGAAAGACTTGGTATAAACAAGAATGTAAAATGTCTCATTAATAATTTTTCATATTGATTACATGTTGAAATGATCACTTTTGGGACATAGTGTATTAAGTAAAATATGCTAACACTAATTTCATCTGTTTCTCTTTATTTTTTAAAATGTGGCTAAAAGGAAATGTTAAATGATATGTATATATAGTTCATATTATATTCCTATTAGGCAGCACTGACTTATGTAATATAAAATTGTAATTTTTCCCATTTTAATTTGATATTCTACCCTTTATTCAAATTTAAGACTTGCTACGAAATTTCTGGCTGTGGATGAATGACTGCTGTTTTGGAAAAATGGGAATTAGTGTAAGAAACAAATGATTAAGATATATTAAACTGTGCTAATTAATAATTGTGCTGTTTTTACAAAATGTAGAAATTACACCAATCAATAGTTGTATTATTTTGAAAAAATAGAAACTAATGTAAGCAATCAATGATTTAAATGTATTAACTTGTACTATATATTTAAATCCTCCCCTTCTTGGGGTGGAACATACAGTCCCTGACACTCTGGTGTTCTTAAATTTAAAATTGACCAAAAAGTTTACCTTCGTGTGGTTCTTCCATCAGACTACTACCAGAACATACTTCAGAATGGGCTAACTCACATGTTAAAGAGGAATCGTTAAAGCTGAGGTTGGGGGAGGGGGGGGCGGTGCACAGTATTTTCGAGAATAATTGGATGATGAGAGGAAGAGAAGGTCATACATTTACTTAAGAGTGAAATAACTTCCTGAGAAAAATGTTCAGAAACTCGCACATTTCATTGCTTTAGTTGTTCTAATCTAAGCCTGATTCAGACGTGTAGTTGGGCACATGAAATAATCTCATAGGTGTTTTCTGCCACTACTATGAATGTTATTTGTTTTGTTTTGTTTTTGTTTTTTGAGACAGAGTCTTGCTCTGTCACCCAGGCTGGAGTGCAGTGATGCAATCTTGGCTCACTGCAACCTCTGCCTCCTGGGTTCAAGTGATTCTCCTGCCTCAGCTTCCTGAGTAGCTGATATTACAGGCGCACACCACCATGCCTGGCTGATTTTTGTATTTTTAGTAGGGACGGGGTTTCATTATGTTGGCCAGGCTGGTCTTGAACTCCTGACCTCAAGAGATCCACCCACCTCGGCCTCCCAAAGTGTTGGGATTACAGATGTGAGCCACCATGCCGGCCCATAATTCGAAGGAAGAACGCAAGCTAAAAATTAAGCTATAAAATAGCAACCAGCTCTAATTTTTTTCTATTAATTTAGTGCTATAACCTTAGAAAATGAAAACTTTTTACTGTAGAGTAATATAACAAGAAATGTCAAGAATGCATAATTTTTGCTGGAAAAAAAATGGTGGGGGGGGACAGTCAGAATAACATTCACCTTAGGCAAAGCTGTATTTGACAAGTTACAACTTGTTCAAACTATGACTCCATAATGACAATGGCAACTAATACTCATGAGTGCTTACCAGGTTCCAGGCATGGCTCTATTTCTCTATTTCTCATCATATGTTAACTCATTTAATCTTCAAAATGGTACCATGAAGTACAGTATATACATATTGTCCTTTTCCTTGACTTACAGATGTGGAATCTGAGGCACACAGAGGCTAAATAACTTGCGCAAACTCACATGGTTAATAAACAGCAGAGCAGGAACCTGTAAACTCTGGCAATCTAGCCCCAGAGTTCATGCTCTTTACAATGAAGACAAGTATAAATTGGCAAGTAATAGTGGACAAAGAGTCAGAGAAATTCACAATGTGTTGGTTTCAACAACAGTAAAGAACAGTTTTGGGTGGTCCATGGAAAACTGTCATGCAAGAAAAATCACAAACAATATTGGCCAGCGGTGTGAACATCATTTGGGAAGTCAGGAGACAGAGGATCAAAAACCTCTATAAAGTGAGAGAGTTGGACTATATGCCTTCCACGTTCCTTCTCAAACTAGCAATTTTGTTAGTGCTGTGGTTTCTTGTGGCTTCTTCCAACAATGGTTACCTAAAGAGTTATGAATTGCAAACGGAGTTGTGAAACCTAATAAGGGAAAGAGAAGGAGACTGTCCCAATGCAAAAGGGGAAATAATTTGATATATTAGGATTATGGGGGAAAAAAAAAAAACCACACTGCTAGAGCAGACCAAAGATTGAAGAGAACACATTGTTAAGAATTTAATGATTGAAGAGAACACATTGTTAAGAATTTAGCTATTTAAAACCACAGCAGGGTTTATAATGTCAGATCTTACAAGGATAGAACTTGCCTCTCTTAAAATTTATTTCCAGAGCATGTATGGATGCACAGATACTTTATCTACACTTTGTGATGATGATGGCAGTATTAGTGTTGGTGATCATTTTGAAGATAATGAAGAACTCTGGGATATTTTCAAAAAGCCAAAGTGATTGAGAACCATAAGCACTTATTCATACCATCTGTAAAGTGCGGGTAATATTAACCTCAAGGGCTTTGGGGAAGATTAAATGAGAGAAAGCAGGGAAAAAGCTAAACACAGTGTCTGCTCCATTATATGCTATTATTCAAGGGTAGCAATGATGATAGAGGGTTTTTTTTGTTTTTTGTTTTTTTGTTTTGCTTTGTTTTGTTTTGTTTTGCTTTGTTTTGAGGCTCGCTATTTTGCCCAGACTGGCCTTGAACTCTTGGGCTCAGGCTATCCTCCCATCTCAGCCTCCCAGGTAGCTGGGACTGCAGCACCAGACCCAGCCTCTGATAGAGTTTTAAATTCACAAGCATGGCTTTGTTTCACATACAATTTTTGAACATATTTATTTTCTTCAGAAATTCATATTAGAATAGGTTGTAAAGGTCTGTTGGGTCAGACCCTGTATACTTTATGTCAACAAGCTCCTCACATTCTGGGATCATAGTTTGCTAATGACAATTGGCAGATACCTACACAAGATGGTTTGGTGGTCCTTTTCTTTGTCCACATGCTTTAGAAAAAAGAAAAAGACGGTTTTTGGAATAACAAAGAAGACATAGACTTTGAGGTCAGAAAGTGACCTCAGGTTTCTTTTCTGTGAAACTTTTGTAATAATTAACTTATTCCATAAAGATATAGAATCTTTTGAGAACCAAGTGAGATACTATCTGTGGAAGTGCGATACAAATGCTAATGTTATTATTAAAAGTCATATCGCCTTATGTTAAAATGGTTGCTTTCAAACTAAGAACACCAGATTGTCTCTTTGTAGGTTACCTCTATATGTCATTAGCGCACTTATTATAGTCATCTCTCACTCTCTCAGTCTGTGCACATATTAAAAGCAAGGATAGGACTTTTTGATCTCAGTATCTCCAGCATTTAGTATTCTAGCTGACACATAGGAGGCACTGTCACATATTCTTAAACCATGCATTTAAGGAAGCAAAAACATTGATTTGAACCTTTAAATATTATGAGCCACACAATGAGACTAGATGGCTTAGATCCAAAATGAATGAATTTCTTTCTTTTTACAGATCCATAAATATATAAAATTTACTGTTGCAGGCTTGGTTCTCAAGAGTCACATACTGAGTTAAAGTTTGTGGTGCAGGATATTTATTAGGGATCAGCATCCATAGAAGACAAGTGGGGAAGCAAGCTTAGGTAGAAAGAGGAGTGCTCATTAGAGTTGTCCTTCACTGGGCCAAGATAGCCAGGCCTTTATACCCTGGCCTTCGTCAATCACTGGATATGAGCCATTCTGGAAGAGCATGTCCTTGGGCAAGGTGACTCCTTGCAGCTGAGGCCGTTCCTGAAGGGGTTGACAGCTGAGGCAACCCCTTTTTAAGGGGGATCTGGCTGGTGCATCTCTATGTTTGCCATAGTCATCAAATTTAAAATGTTCTGTGCCCCACATGAGAAGACGGCATAGAGCACAGGATGACTTTAATCAATGAGACATTTGAAATTAGATTTATAATTGAATAAAAGAAAAGGCTTGTACTGTCATAGATTTATGGTAGAATATACCAAAAATTAATGTACTGAAGACTTACAGAAAAACAAAAGGCTCTAACATTGATTTGTTGGCATGTGATGCCAATTTCTTATGAAATGCTGTCTTTTAGCAGGTGTTGCTGAGTACCTTTTTGTGCGTTGAAACAAGCAAAGAGTTCCTCCCAGAGTGTAATGATGCAGTGATGGGAAGAACTCTTCCCAGATTCAAGTCTCTCTACTGTTCTAGCTCCTGAAGAGAACAGGTGTGTCTGTCCACCAGGAGGTGTCTGTACCCTAGAGTCATGACGAGTGCAGCATCAGCGGGATATGGCTTCCCTTTCTGATCTAAGCTTTCTCACCCCTACCCACCCCTCAGCCCCAATACATTTGGTGTTTCATCTTGGGCAGCTCTCTTGCTCAAGTGTATAGGTTTCAGTGGTGCCCAAAGAAGTGAACAAAAGCAAACCCATACCTTAATTTATTCAAGGTCACAAAGAAGAAATCAACTTACTCAGTTTCCCAGTCATAACGTGTATGCGACCTGCTCTACCTAACACAAAATAATGTGTTGGGTGGACTAGCAAACACAGGAGTTTAGAAGAAAATCAACCACTATTTCCTCAGGACCTAGAAAGGTTGATTTGTCCTTCATTTTGAGCTTCTGGGGATAGTTCAGGAGCTTATGTGTATTAAGATTTAAGGTATTGGTCTGTAAAACTGGGATGTCAAGAAAATCAATTAAGTTCATAAACCTATCTTCCACTGCAGTACTAACTCATTATTATTAAATGCTTAAAAATGATGAGGGCAAGATCAGTTTACAGGAGGCTTGCCCTCCACCATTATAGATTATCAGACAGATTTCTAAGAGGTAAGCTACTAAAATTATAACATACTTTAATTTTCTCATGCATAGTAAATGGGGAAGCAAATGAACACTTCTTAGACATTCCAGGAGTAATGTTTTTAACTGATCAATGTTTTCATTTGGTTGTCTCTCAATCCTTAGGGGTAGACACCAAAATAAGGCTAAATATGTTTAATTTTTAAAAGATAGAAAACAAATTCCATAGTAACTTAATATCCAGTAATGTCTGAAATCTCTCAGTTCCCAAGGCTATTTTTAGGTCTTTAGGGAAAATATAACTATTTTTCCCCTTTCTCAGCCTTGCTATTCCCCTAAACTTTACCCTGTCTCGCCACACTCTAAGATCCTGAAAGGAGCCAGGCTCCTTTCACTGGTGGCAGGAAGGAAATTAAAGCAGTCAGGGTTGTGAGGAGCAGGAAGCGTGGGTTCGAGTTCCAAATCCAAGAGTGTCTGTGACTTTCAGCCAGTTCCTGGATTTCTACAGGCCTCCATTTGCTCATGTATTTAAGGAGAGAAGAGGATGTATGCTTTCTAATAGTTCTTCCAAGGCCACTGTCCTGTGATTCTTTAATGCTCCAAGTATATTCTGCTCATTTCCATGGGGGAAACTTTGTCAATAGACCATGTAATGGGATTTGAAGGGACTATTTTCTATGGCTTCCAGAGAATTTGGAAGATATGAGTCATATAACTGCCCCCTGTAGTCCCAAATTGGTAGAAGGAAATAAAGACTAGAGTTTAGGGTATAGATTATAGATTCTCAAAGAAAATTGAGTTTTTAAGGCCCAGAAAATACTTTTTAAGGCTGGAAGTATTATTTTTCACTTTTTGATTAGCAACATGAAAGAACAGTCATAAATGTGACCAACAGTTAATACTTTCATTATCAGTTAAAAATTATAACCATTTAACTTTCAGTATTAAATTTAATTCCATTTATGACAAAATTCTTCATGTAATGGTCCAAACTGCCATTTCGCATTTGCCTTCAGAATGAGGAGAACCTCCAATTTAGGAGACTGGCTGGCTGTGTCACCACAGAGATTAAGATCAAGGTCAAGATTTAATAGCATTAGTTTCATTCTGTTTCAAAGCCATGAATACAAGTATAACCCTGCTGGCTTTCTTAAGAATGTGTGAAAGCTGTGCCAAAGAGTGTTCAAAACCATTATCTCTACTGGAAAAGTAATTCACAGGTTGGCTGTACTAACAGTGGGGGAGTTAATATCATCTCTAGTTAACCAGGACAAGGTTGCCCTGGAAACTGAATTGCCAAGTCTGGATTTGTATTGAGATACCTAAGAGGGACATAGCACTGTGCTAACATCATGAGTATTCTTGTAATGCCCAGTAATATCATTCGATCCTGAGCACTGCACAGTCAATGGCACAGAAATGTTGTTAACTATTTGTCCTTCTGCTGGTTCTTCCAACTTCACTTATGGATATTTATTTTCTTCTGAGAAAAGTGAAGAAATTAAAAAGGAGGGGACTCCTCTGTTTCATTCCATAGCTTCCAAGGAAGCCAAAATGCATTAGATTTTGTGTTTATTCAATGGGCTAAAATCTAAAACTCAGAGTCAAATTTAATAAGCCCTCAACACCTTGTTACATTGATTTCAAAAAAATGTTCCCACAATGCATTCTGGAACCCCATTTCTGTCTCCTTTTTTTTTTTTTTGACTCTTTTACTATATCATAGGAGATGCTCAAGCACTAGCTACATGTATGTTCTAGTCCACATGATAGTAGGATATCAAGTAGGAAAAAAATACTTAAACAGTCAAAATTTTGAATATACTCTTTTTATTTCAAAACGTGGGAATAACTCAAAATTTGAGCCTCCAGGACCAAAACACATTTGAACCAAACGTTCAGAAGACAAGCCAGGCCACCATTTTGGCAACATGTTTCACATGGACAAGTGGATATTAGAGAATGATGCCCGTGACACGGCTAAAGCTATAGCACACCCACAAATAGATTCATACTTGGTTGTCTAATTTGCATGCATGAGTATGGTGCATTCTCCATGCCACTAGTACATATATGCCTTTTCCAGAGTCAGTGCAGGATCCGTATTTGTGCAAGTCTTTAAAAGTCTGCTCCCTTACAAAATTTTACCATAATTTATCTGAGACAGCCTTCCTGTGACAAATTCTTTATGCTGCTTTTACTTTCAAAAAGTCATTTCTGAATAATAATTATAGCTGTCAAGAGTTCCAGCATCACATAAAAGAATCTGTTTGTTAGTTATTTTAATGTCAGTTCGCTGGCTGTGAGTAAACGTAGCTAAACATATCCACATGCTTGGTATCTGGACTTTGAAATCGGTAACCTTTAGCAGCAATGGCAACCTTAGACCAAAATGACAAGGTAAAAAAAAACATCAACAATAACAGAAGATGTCCCAGGAAAAGCTGGGCTTTTCTACTTTCCAAAGTAAATTCTTCCCCAGCGTGCACCAAACACTGACAGCCTGACACGCTTGTGTATGAGGGCCCACTTTTTCCCACTAATGCTGAATTGTTGGAAACCCAAACAGCATTGAGAGCCAAGGGGGAAAATGCCTGAATCTGAAAATGAACCAAAAGAAATTGTACCAGAGAAAGGAGATGGGAACTGCAAAGAAGTTCCCAGAGTATCTCTCTCTGTCAACAAGCATGTAGAGTCTTTATTACTAGAATATGCAGAGTCCCGGGAGAATTGTTGCATCCTTTTTTGCCTTAACTCTTTTCTTGCCAGTCTTTCCCTGGCTGGTCGAACTGCCTCTACAGTTGTCCCATCCAGAAGCCACACACAGCAGCGGGCCTCAGGAATTGCATTCCTCGCAGTGACAGGAGAGGATGTACCGGTAGGTGGCAGTGAGTCGCATGCCCCCTGAGCATCGCAGCCGCAGTGCCTTCAGCTTGGAAGTCTGGGGCCGGCAGCAGTGACAGGAGGAACGGAAGGGTTGCTTGAGGACAGTGCTGAACGACACCAAAGGCTCGGAGCGTGACGCCTGGCTGCAGTGCCCCTCGCACCTGGCCAGGAGCACCATCTGGGGAAAGAAAAGGAGGTGGTTACTCTGTGGGCATGCCACAACCTTAGCCAGGTAAAACAGCATCTTTTGAAAGACCCTCACACTCGTTGCCAATTCCTGCTAGATTAGACCAGTGGCTCAATGCATGTTGCATTTTTTTTAAGTCAACACCCAGGCCTCATTCAGATCGATTGAATTAAAATCCTTGGAGATAGGGACCAGGCTTTCATGGTTTTCAAAGCTTCTTAGGTGATTTCTAAGTGTACTGAGGGTTTAGAACCACTGAATGACGCCCATCACTGTGATGTGCGAGTAAAAACCAAAGAACAAAAGAAATTTCTCCTGACAGGTAGTGGTCTACCACTGGCCCAATGCATTGCAATTCTACCAGTAGCAAAATGCAGAAAGTCAATCCAAATTGAAACCAAGAAGTAAATTAAAATGACTACCAAAAAAAAAAAAAAAAAAAAGAAATTGATTTGTGCAGGAAATAGCTAAAGAACAGGAATATAGTTTCTGAATAAGAAAATAGGATAGCCTGAGTAATGCTTAGGAAGAAATATTCTGGGTGCTGCAATTTGGGACAAGAGAATGAAGTAGAGACAGGGCATGTCTGGGGCCCTGAAATCACACTTCTGGGTTTATATGTTGAAGGAGCCTGGGATTTATGTAATTGCATCCGCATCTTCAGAGTCATTTGCGGCAAATATTAGGATGTACCCATTCTGATAATCTCTATTTCCAAAGATTGGGCTGGAATAACGGAGGCTATGTGTTCTTTATAGTAGCTCTTAATCTGGCTTTAGCAAACAGACACCTTTAAGAATCTGATGAAAACTACCAAAGTTATCCCCAGAAAAATGTACATAAGCACACACACAATTTGCATACAGCTTAACGGAATGGAAAAAAGGATCATTTATGTATCCCATACAAAACTCCTGGTATCCTGGGAGTGGGAGTAATAGGTGGGTAGGGTGGGACAGCTTGACTCATTAAGCTGCATAATCCTAATATCAAGGTGGGGAGGGGAATGGAGAATCTGAGATTATTGGTCCCATGGTTATGTAAGAGGTTTTGCTTGGTGAATTTCATGTTAAGTGATGGAGAAAAAAATCCCCTGGGCCAGGTGTATTGTCTCATGCCTATAATCCCAACACTTTGGAGTCTGAGGCAGGAGGATCACTTGACCCCAGGAGTTTGAGACCAGCCTGGGCAACATAGCATGACCGTGTCTCTAAAAAAAAAAATAAAAAGTTAACCAGGCGTGGTGATGTGCACCTGTAGTCCCAGCTACTTTGGCAGCTGAGGCAGGAGGATCACTTGAACCCAGGAATTAGAGGCTGCAGGAAGCTATGATCAAGCCACTGTACTCCAGCATGAGTGACAGAGCAAGGCCCTGTCTCAAAAAGAAAAGAAAAGAAAAGAAAAATTTGTCCTATAATTCCAGAACCAACAGCAAGATCATAAAAAGTGAAACTGTTCAAATGAAAGATTAAAAGATACATATATATGCATGAAACCTTTTGACGTTTACCTTACAATATTGTAGGAATTCGCAGTTATTATTAAAGACTCACCAGCTATTATCTCTGACATCATCCTGTAGGGCAGAATTAAACACCCAAGGTTTACAAGAAAAAAATAGCCAGTCCATCTTTCCAAAAGGGAGAAAAGATGAATTCTGGTAATTATAGATTATTGGCATAGTTATCTGAGAATATACTGGGGCTAAATCCAACAATCACTTAGCAACCACCAAGGCAATATGAAATACTAGAAAAAAAAAACAGCAGGGCTTAGGGAAGAATAAGTTGGACTAGACCAGTGAATTTATTTTCTCTGAATGATCGCAGAGGCAGAGAGAAAATAGCAGCTGTAAGCTGTTTTGATTTTTTTAAAGCTTTTGATTCTATCCTACCTGCTCTTCATTTTGACAGGCAAAGTAAACTATCAGAAATGATTGTTTGTTTGTTTTGTTTTGTTTTTAGAGACAGAGTCTTGCTATGTTGTCCAGGCTGCAGTGCAGTGGTTATTCACAGGCATGATCATAGCACACTACAGCCTTAAACTCCTGAGCTCAAGGGATCCTCCTGCCTCAGCCTCCTGTGTAGCCAGGACTACAGGCATGTACCACTGTGCCTGGCTCTGAAATGGGTTTTGAGAGACTATGCCATAGGTCAGTAGTACACAGGCTAGTCCCTAATTCCCACCCCCATTTCTCTAATGAGAGAGAGAGTCCAAGATCTTCCTTAGTCTGTTCTCCCCCCATCTCCCTGTATGTGGGAAGAGCTGCTTGATACCTCACCTTGGAGTAGTGTTAAATTTGCTAATCTCTCATCTAGATCATCTATTAGGTTGACTAAGCAGTTATTCACAGAGTCACCTTCCGTGATGGAGTCTTCAGAGGTGCAGTTTCAGTCTGGGTGGACAAAGTAAATCTGTGCCAACGAACTTAACTCAGAAGGGCCAACAATGATATGGGACATAATATCCAAGTGATGTATACACAGGTGAACCAAACGTAGGCCTAACTGACTGGGCCATTAGCACTGTCCATAAAATGACCAAGTCAACAGCGTAGGGCCATTTGTAAATGAGCTCATCTGATTGCAATCTCACTAAAAGTTTTCAGGATGTCCAGCTCCACCCCCAGCCCACTCTGAAGGACAAGAACTCCAGGCACTGAAGGACGTGGGGCCACCTCCAATGGGCTGGGCCCCTCTTCCTTGGGAGCTGGACTGTTTGTGCAAGAAGAATGCACAGACATGTACAATAAATGCCTTCAGTAGTTCAGAATAAAATCCAAAATCTTGAAGAGGAGTCAAGGCCCTTCATGACCCAGGTTTCACATGTATTTCCAGTCTTACTTACAACTATTCTCATCACTCTACTACCCACTCCCTACTCCAGTCAAACTTAACTACTTAGGAGTCCAAGAAAGTGCCCTGAATTCTCCTGCCTCTTGCCTTTGCTTATGTCTTCTGTCTCCCAAATATGTCCTTTCCACCTTGCTCTGCCTAATAAAATCCCACCTATCTATTCTCTGTAGCCAAATTCAAATGCTCTTTCCTGGAAGAAAAGACTATGAAGCAATTATTGAACCATTGATGTTCTCAACACACACACACACACACACACACACACACACTCCTAGAAGGAAATCTATCTCTGTTTTGTGTGTTGAAGTGGTAAAGCAGAAGTTTGAAAGATAAGATCCTTAAGGGATGGAAGGAATAACCATCTGCTCTCCTGGTTTACTCTCAATACTTCACATTTTAGCTTCTGCCATGCCTTACTTGTGTTTCAGCACTTGAACATCTCCTGATCTCTTCCGGATCAGAGCTTCTCAGACTGGAATGTGCGTGTGAATCATCTAGGATCTTGTTAAAAGGCAAGTTCTGATTGAGTAGTTCTGGCCTAGAGCCTGAGATTCTGCATTTCCCATCAGATTCCAGTTGATGTCAGTCCTACTGGGCTGGTGCCCACACTTTGAGTAGCAGGTCTCTGGACCCATTCAAGTTTGAGGGCTGTGCTCTAGATGAATCACTAGATAACCATCATTTCGCTAATAAGAACATTTATTGAGCACTTGCAATGTGAGTTATTTCATCCTTACAACAACCCTACAAGAAAGTACTGTTATGATCTACACTATTAGGACAGATAAGGAAACTCAAGCTTTAGAGAGTTCCAGTAACTTGCCCAAACTCACATAGGTGGTAAAATGCAGAGCTGGAATCAAACCAAGGTCTATCTGAAACCAAAGCCCTGACCTAAACCAGTATAATACCTGCCTCCTGATACCATGTTTTCCTCAAGCATATGCCAACTCACAGACTTCCTTATCTACATTGATTTGCCTCAGAAACCCCTGACCATATCCATAGACATACAAGTCTAACTTTTTCTTGTGGGCTTCTTGGGACATTAGCTTCACCATCCCCAAGCTTATGCAGAGCTGAATCTTCCAAGAGCCTTGACTGACCAGATGTCACCATTAGCATCAGAATAAAGACCCACCTGTCCCACCCTAGAAGAGCATTTTTGCGATTTTACTCCGACAGAGTGGAAAAGTATTTTGCCTTTTTCGCAGCAGTGAACACTATGCACCCTTATTTCCATGGCACCTCTTGAAACACCCTCTATAACCTCAGGAACAAGATTCACCCATGCTTCTTCTCCCATTCTTTCCCCACGGGCAGCCTCATAACTCCGCTCATCTTCAGGGACCCAGGTCAACCTCCAAAAGATCTGTGCTAGGCTGAGGGCACCAAGAAAATTGCAACCAGGGAACAAAGCAGCAGAGAGATGGTGGGGGCTTTGAAAGGGTGGATGGGAACTCAGCTCACTCCAACTAGAAACTGGTCCCTTCACTCCGGTCATGAATCAAACAGATACAAACTGATCTTTGTGCACAGAACACCCCTCCTCCCTCTCTCCCCATTTTCTTGTAAGCATCATGAAGGCAAAAAAATTGTCTCTTTTTTCTTTCTTTCCACTTTAGAGTCTCCAGCACCTTCCACAGCACCTGGACATGGTAGGCACTCAGTATAAATTTGTTCCTTTTAAAAAAATCAAATTATATCTCTCAAGAAGTCTATTGTATTATAAACACAATTTTCCTGACTCCCTCCATTTCTCCTATCACACCATGAGCTTGGTGGGTAGCAGTAGAAGATGGCTTGGGGGTCCTGTTAGGAAGCTGTTAGGACTCAGCCCTTAGCATACCAGGTCCTCTTTTCCTAGGTTTTGTCTCCCAAACCTCTTCCTCCTTATCCTTTGTTGTTGCTCTTCCAGTTCCCCACCTGCTCCTGTGGCCCTTACCGGTTCAGATAGTCATGCCCTGGTTCCATGCCCTGGCCTGGGGCCAGCATCCCCCACTCCTCACCCAACTGAGACTTTCCAGGTCTTCCCTGCCAGTTTGCTTTCCCACCCTCCATTCCTGAAATCCCCTCCCTGGCCCAAGTCCAAAACTCATCCCCCTCCAGCCCCTCCTTCCTCCACTCATCTGGGAAGGAAGGTTAGACAGATATCGGGGCTGTTTCTCTTTTACTTTTATCCTCCCTGTTAGCACCCAGCACAGTGGCTTACATTTACTTTGCTCTTCTGCCCCACCCTGTGCTTAACAAGAACTACAATAAGGTTCATTTTCCTAATCTTTTAAGGCTATAGGAGATCCCAGCAGTTATTGAGATCTCAGTTGTGACTGAAATAGAAAATTGAGTCTAAACACCTGCTTAGTTTATAACTTTATCATCAAGATCATAATATCTTCTATTAAATGGCTATTATGTGCTGGACACCGCTGGATGCTTTACAAATCACCAACACCCATACCCATACCCTCAGGTAGACAGCTCTATTTTGCATGGGAAGAAACTGAGGCACAAAGAAGGAAGTTACTGAACTTCCTCAAAGTCACTCATTCGGCAAGCCATGGAGCTGGAATTGGAAACCAGGTCTCTCTCACTTCAAAGCCTGGCATGCCTCAGTTCTCATAGAGATTCCACCAGGCAGTCTGTTTCCACTATCAACTGGTCTTTTGCCTGTTTGCTCTACAGCCTTTACTCCAAATTTTAGAGAAACTTAGTCTTCCATGAAGATTATAAATGAACCTGCTACTCCCAGGATCTTTTGTACCCAAACCCAGGAGGTGCCACCACTTAAAACTATCAGGCACATCCTAATCTGTGGCCACACTGTCCTCTTTGGTGGGCCACTGTGGCCAGTCTTTTCTGCCTGACTCCCTCTCAGTCCTTTCCGGAATTGCTAGGAGATGGGCAGCAGGGACCTAGGACTGGCCAGCTGCAAGTTCAGGGCTGGGATGAACAGTCTCATTGAAAGCTCCCAGAAAGGCTTTCACTATTATTTATTTTTTCTAGAAACATTGCTGAGTATAAATTATTACTGCCAGCAGATCAGAAGCAGAGCCTGAACTTCTATGTGATGGCTCCTACATTCTACTTGTGTTCCTCCAATATGAAGATCCAAGTAGTGGGAAGATGAATGCTGTAAGGCAGACATTGCCACTCCCTGGCTATATGATATCAAGCAATCTAATTATTTTGGGCTTCAGTTTTCCTTACCAGGATAATGGGAATAATAATGCCTGCCATCACAGGTTTCTTGGCAATGATTATAATATACAATATGAGGTGCCTGACACATATATTAGGTGTTCAAGCAGGTACACTCCCTTCCCTGAGCCTGGGTCACATTCTCCCTTTCTTGCCTTTACAAGGCCAGATAATGGATAAATGTGAGTCAGAAAGCATTAACAATTGGCAGGCAAACAGTAGGCACATGTTTAATAAATAATGACCCTTGAACATGATGTCAAGGGATAATTTTTATAGAGACAAAAAAATCTATCCCAGTCTTTTCTTTGTAAAAAGAAGCTAGGGTAGATTGTTGTTGCCTCTTTTCTAGACATAGGCTAAATGTTTTATCCAAGTCTCTAAAGGCAAACAATTTCATTAAGTGAGACCCATTAGAGAAAAGATCAGCCCGAGAATGTAAGAGTTAAGAATTATAGAACATTTCCAAATGAAAACAGTTTTGCTCCTGGATACATAGAGAAAAATCTAACCTAGAAAAGGTCTGGGTAGTTGAGATTTTGCCAGGCATATTTTATGGCCAGGGAAGAAAGGTTTATAATTGCAAGCACCATTTACATAAAACTATTGCTATATTTGGGATAGTTTGGGATGTTTGAAAACAGATTGTTCCCATGAAATTACAAACATTTCTCCTGCTATCACAATTTTGCGCTGTTATTTGCCATGGCTTTCTGGAAGAAACAAAGGTGAATAACAGTACACTAAAGTCTGTTTCTAAGACTCATGCTCAGAATTCACATGTGAATTTCTTCGGTTTGAGTTCATGATGTCTCTTCTTTGACCTTCGCTAGATTAATGTGATTGTTGCCAAAGTACTCCTCCATCATTTTGTCCAGTCTTTCCAGATTGTTTTCTAGTTTTTATAGATGCTCCTATTTCTTTGTTCCTTTCTATCATCATAGTGACACTTTCTTTGAAATAATTTTAATTCCTTTTTTTAAAAAAGAATCACGATTATGGAGGACAACTCAATACGGAAAGAAATTATCCATGGAATAAAATCACTAAATATTCATGCTGTCTGTTTCTGAAGGGGGAGGGAAGGAGAAACTAATAATTGCTGCAGTCAACCTTACATGGGCCCACAATTTCTGAGCAATCACACTTGTAAAAGCACTTCTCATGTTTTTTCTCAATTTGTTTTAGTTTCCCTTTCCTAAGAAGGAATTGTGGCCCTGCAAAAATTTATGTTCATCTATTTACTCCATTTTTTTTTGGTTCTACAAGCACAAATAAGAGCCAGAAAGTTTTTATTAAGTGGAAAATCTCTATTTTTTCCCACAGTCATAGATCTTATTAATATAATGGTTAAAATGATTTAACTCGAATTCTGATCCTCCTAAACTAAAATGAATCATCATCACTGAGCTATAATCAGAGAAATTAATGGAAATTTTCAAGGCATACAAAAGTCATAATGTTTTTGAATGGAGAGTGGAGGGATTGGCTTATATGGTCTTAATTCTGGTGATTGATACTATAAAAAATTCTTAATTATACTGGTAATTTCAAAAATTACTTGCCATACGAGAATGTTTAAGTGATTTTCATCTCAAAACTAAATGTAAAAATCTCTGAGGTTGGGCTAAACAAATTATTATTTACCAAGTGTGGACAAATTTCATTCATTGTGCCTGTTTAGGGGCAGTGACAGTCGTGAGATCTCGTATGTTCCACCCTACAATGTGCCTCCCTTCTGGGTGGTCCATGTAGCTGGCCACTCTTGGTGGCCTTTTAAGCATGATATTCCCTTGCACACCACTGAGGCACGGACTGCCTCTGCAAGAAACATGCATCCTTTTCCAAATGAGAACGATTTGGATAAGCAATGTAAAAATGATAAATGATCATATTGCCATCTTATCTTTTGAAATCATTTGAACAGAAATGTAGCACCTGAAGAAAGGCTCAGACCACAAAGCCAGTTATTTCACCAAGAATCTCTTTAAAGAGCCCTCCAAGAAGTATGTTCCACTGCTCAATCGCATTCTTTGCATTCTCTTCCTCTTTATTGATGATGGAGCTAGAGAGTTATGATGACTTGTAAACTCCATTTTTCTTTTTTGGAAAAGCACACTACCACTCATAAACATCACAGCCAGGGACAAAGGACACCTGTCCCACTGGATGGGTGTGCACATGATTGATTAGGCACTTTTACTGATAACAGTGCAAAGCACGGGGGGAAATTCTAAAAGCCTCATTCTCCCACAAGCCCTGTGGGCCAGCCACATCACTTAAGTTTGGGCTATGATCTTAGTTCTCCATCCCCTGACAAAGAAATATGGCTTCTTGCCTGTTTCTGAGGGAAATGCTCTCCTCACAGAGACCTTGGTCTTACCTTTGAGCTACACTTGTACAATGGGTGACTGATAGAATCCACATAGTGGTGCCTCATGCAGCGTCGAGGGTCCGAGTCCATTATGAATGAGCTGTCCGTTTTACTGTCTGTATCTCCCATTATCACCAGCAGGGAGAGCATAGAAAAGGATGCAGCTAGTACATGTTTTCTCATTGTTGTAAGGAAAAACTTCTCTAGAAGAACAGCAGAGGGAGGCAGAGGACAAAAAATTGGAAATGGCTTCACCTCCTAGGATCCAGTCCCGTTCAAGGAAAGGGCAGGATCGGGCTGAAGCTTTCTGGTTGTCATTGTCCTTTATGTGCTGGAGTTTTGTCTTACTCTTTGCACTTGCAATCCATCATCACAGTATCTGCTGCACAGCTGGAATGAAAACAGAAATTACTTTCCCCAGAATTATTTACCCAGAACCACTAATGGAACCCAGGAGGTATTAAGTAGAATTTTTCCATGTTATTTTGAGAGGAGAATATTGGTTTCTAGAGCGTCATTAGCAAAGGCTGTCATCCATTCCACCCCAACTCCCATAGCTTATGCTACATATTTATAACCATTTGGAGGTGGACACAATGGTTTAATGGAAGCACATGTTGACTTTAATTGCTGAAGTCCATGTTCCTAGGGCCAAGAATAGTTTGAACCCATGTTAAAGATTAAACATGTTGTTCTGGCAACAACGTAACCGAATTGGGTGGTCTCATCTTTGTCCTTGGTTGGTCGGGGCGGGAGGGTCTATTCAGTTTCTCAGCAAGCTTTGGTGTCAGCGTCAGCTTACAGGGCTAGAGAGGAGGCAGGTCAGCACTAATGAACACAAGCCATGTCCCACAGGGAAGCACATTTTCCATTTCCAAGTCCATACTCACCCACCCACCTAATTTTCCACTTCTGTGCTCTAGGCTCATCCTGTTTTTGTTTTAAGCCCCATAGCACCCAGCACTGATGACAAACTGCATCTGAAATACACATTATGCTAACTGGCCTCCAGCATGGTTAAGGTATCACACGCGTATTTGCCAACAGAGTCACATTTCTGCAGAGCCTTTGTAGCCTGGGCACATGGTGTAATTCGAAAAAGAAAGCAGTTGTTGGAACAGACTTACCATTAAAATAGGATCATATTATACCGGTTTTTCTGAAATTTGCTTTGTTCTTTTGACCATACCTCTTGGACAAAGGACTGGGGTCCAGAGATCTCTCCAGATTACCTCACTAACTCCCCAGGCATAGCCAACACTGGTGCCTTCTTTTTTTTAACCACAACAGAAGACAGAAAGTATCAAAAATATTTTCAAACATTTAGGAAAATTGGGAGGGCCTGCTATTACATCCAAAACAAAAGGAACATGATAATTAAAGCTTCGGGAAAACTTTCAAAGGTATTTCAGATAAAAGTTTGATCATTTTGTTCATAGGCAACATTTTCCTTAACTTCCTACTCATGAACAGTCTGAATAAACAGGGCAAAGTGTTGATAAAATCAAGATTAGGAGTTCAAGTTGGCATAAGCCAATTTATTTTGCACTAATAGAATGGCATCAGACCCATTTAGCCTCAATTAGCTGTCTTGGAAGTGTGAGGTAGGGGATCCTAAGTGGAAAGGGGTGTGTGAGATAGGGCTGTTTCAGAGCACAGAATCCCTGGCAATAGCAAAGCCTCAGCACATGTGCCTCAGGGAAGTCCTATAAATTGCAGGAAGGGCAAGGACCAGTAATGAGGGAACCCACCTGGACTTGAGTCCTGGCACTGCCATTAATTAGCTGGGGAAGCCTTACACAAGTCATTCAACCTCCTCTAGCCCAAGTTTCCTCATCTGTAGAGGGAAGGAGTTGACAGAGATGGCATCTGCTGTCCCTTTGTGTTCTAAAATGCCACCACTTGATAACTATGGATTCAGTTACTATCATCTCCATATGCAGACAGTGAGCCCAAAGTTGACGAGACCATATTCCAGCACAACTTTGCACCACTTTATGTTCATGCTAATAGCAACATCTCATTGAAATAAATCAAACCTGTGCCCAAAGTTTCAAATCTGCAAAGGATGCAGAAGAGCATGTTTGTTTTCTTTTCATCTGCATAATCTGGGTTTTCCTATACACGTTACCCTGAAAATTACCAAGACAACAACTCAAAGAGCCAGAACTTTCTTGGGGTCCACTTTCAGAGGATGAAATATTACTGACCATTTCCCAAGTTTCACTGTGACTAAATTATCCCAAGTGGTTATCTGTCTCTTTGAAGCCTTAATTAGTGTCAGAAAGAGAATTGATTAGATTTCACTGCTTCGGTCTACAGATATTTCCCCCAGGAGTCAATGGCAAAAGGATGAAGAGAGAAGCAGACATTCCAGTCCTGGCCCTTCTTCTGCACTGCCAGCAACTTCTCTTCAGAGCCATGGCCAGGAGGTATGGTTAAATGAGCAAAGCAAATTAAAGAACATCATGTACAGCATGATGGCAAAAACAAGCTACATCAATAACAAAACCCTATACATGTGTATGCATCGTTGTATTTATTGGCATTTCCACTTTCTCCACAGAAAAAGGAAATATAAAGGGCCCTTAAAGATAGAAGAGAATTTAAGAGAATAAAAGTCTCATTTAAGAGAATGAAAATTAAAGTACTTTGAAATACATTGTTCAACCAATCAGATTTACAAAGATTCCGAAGTCTGATCATGCACCCTATTGGCAAGGCTGTGGGAAAACAAGTCCATTTTGGAGAAAGTTCAGTATAAATTGGTCCAAACTCTGTAGAGGCCAATCTGGCAATACCTTTTAAAAATGCAAATGTATATAATTTAGACCCAGCAATTCCACTTCTGTGAATTATCCTACATGTGAAATCACATGAGCACATGGCTGAAATAGCATAAAATTGGAAACAGCATGAAATATCCATTAATAGGGGACTGGTTAATTATATTCTAAAATGTTCACACAACAATATACTAACCAACTATATATGGAAGGATGCAGAAACTCTATGTATTGATTTGAGTTAAAATGGAGAGAGATAAAAACACATATTTGTATAGCAAAGCTCTGAAAGGATACCCAAGAAACTAACAAAATTAGTTACCTGTGGTAGTTGAGGGACAGGCATGAGAGAAAGACTTTTCACTATATATCTTTTCGTATTTTTAGATTTTTGAGCTTGTGAATGTATACTTTATTTAAAATTTCATTAAAAAATAAGGCTTTCTCTTTTAAAAGCTCAGCTTAAATATGGTAACTAAGTTAATGGATGTTTACTGTTTGTGCCAGTTTGAGTATTTTAAAAATATTATATTTTTATTTCTTATAATTACGGGAAGGCATGCTAGTCTCTTAGTCAAATACTCTTCCAGGGCGACCACATAGTTCTTGTACATTACTGCCACCTAGTAGCACCATCCTGAATTGCAAGCACAGTTTAAAATTTTTTCCTAAAAATGAATAAAACACTTTGCAAGCAGATATTATGACATTTACACAGATAAAGAGATAGTTAATGTCACATACAATGTAACTTGATCATCTGGCTTTCTCTTTAGAGATGGTGAGCTGAACCCAGAAGTAATATTAAAGAATGAAAGATTGACAGGAAATGTTGCTTTACCATTAATTCTAAGAAACAGATTTTTCATTTCAACACACTCAGAAAACGTGAGAGTTGTTGCCCAGTTTTTATCTTAAATTCTGAAATAAGAATGTAAGCAACAATGTAAATATGCCACAAAACTCACAGAACCCTCAAAACAAAAACAAAAAGGTAAGATTCTGAAAACATAACCTGGGATTTTTTTTTTTTTTTTTGCCTTGAGTGTTCAAATTGAATGAACCAACACTGTTGTATTGAAGAAGAAATGAAAACAAAGCTTAAGAAAAGAGCAATGCTAAGTCAAGTTGTCAACATTGTGTTGCTCAGGGTGTGCATAGGTGAGAATGTGCAAAGTATGGGAGTGGGAGGAAGACCTCACAAAGAGGAAAATCAGGAATTAAGAAAATGTACACCACTGAGATCACCACTTTCTGGCAGCCTAGAATTATCTCTGCCTTGTAGCAGCTTCTGTTGTTTTCTCAAAACTAAATTAATTCCAGTTTGCCTTAATTTTTTAAGACGTGTCATAAAATCAAATGCTGCCTACGAAGACTTAGAACCTTGGCCCAGGCAATAATGGATTGAACAAGAGAATGACTCTCTTGCTGAACTCAGTAGCCCTGTGGCCACGCTATGCTCTGGATACAGTCTCTGAGACATGGACTTGGCCGACGTACAGAGCCCACATTCTAATAGCTCCAATGTGGAGCCTCTGCCGGCAGGAGAGGCACGTAGGCTGGCGTGCCCGACTTTGGAGCTACCTTCCAAATGATACCAGTGGAAAAGAACAACTGGTGCCCAGATTTCCCCACCTGTCATCCTCAGGGAAATAATATAGCAGAGCTTACAGCGGGCCCAGCCTCCTGGGTGAGAGATGGTGTTGTGCCCACAGATCAGCTCACTCTTGGGCTGACCTTCTGGCTGGCAGAGGGTAAAGTGCTGGTTTCACGCAAGTTATCTCAGCAACAGGCTAAGTGGTATGTGCCAAGAATGGCCTTATTCTTGCCTTGCTTGCCAGGCACAGGAGGGTGGTGCTTCAGTATCCATATTTCCCCCTAGGCTGTTTTCAATACTAATGTATACTGATATTCCCTTCTGTGGCTTCTTTCAACAAATATTTTTTAACATGTATTTATTGAGCACCTACTGTGTGTCTCCTTTTGCTCTAGCAGATAAGAGATAGGGTCAGGGGAAAAATATAGTTCCTATCCTCGATCCCTCTTCTAGCTCACTGACTCTGCAGGCAGAGTCTTGGCCTGTTGTTTTCCTGGATGGTTTTTAGACACATTGATAAACTCTCTGAACATCTAATTTGTATCCAGTATTCATTGCATCATTTCTAAGAAGACCAAGTTAAGCAAATAAAATATAATGACCTTGGAATGGAGTCAGTATATCAGCCAGAATTACTTGATATTTATTGTAATTTTTTAAAAAATTATGGTATGAAGCATAAATAAAGTGAAGATAGTAGAACATAAAGCCTCTATCAAAGAAATTGCAAAAACATCAAAGATTTATAAGTGGAAGAAAGCTTGCTAGATAACCCTAGATAAAACTTCATACAGTACTAGGATCAGAAAAGCAAGAAACTCTAGGTCTAATTTAGAAAGTGTGAAGTGTTAAGTAGCCCCTTCCCAGGAACTCAAAGGATTCCAATTGGATCTAGTCAACTAGATGCCTTGGAGAATAAGTCAAATGCCTCTTCCCAAGGCAGTTAATTTATAAACTGTAAACAGCATGTTGGATTTTATAAAGCATCCTGTGCGTTCAATGAATGGTTTTTAATATTCCTAGCTGGCAGCACATCAGTAGCAGCCAAGGAGCCAAGCCTGGGCTGACCCAGAGGCAGCGGCACTGACTGCAAATGCTGCTAGGCCTCCAGCCTGCCAACTCCAGGTATCTCCAAGGATGGGCAGGCAAAAGGTCAGTGGGGAGGAAGCAGTTCTTGCTCCTTTCATCTCAGAGATAGGCACATTTCATGTGTCTAATCCAGTGCAGGGGTGGTGGGGGGGTGAGGGAATAAAGACAGCAATGACCGTCCCCAGAGTGCTACCTTAGGAGAAAAAAGACAACATTCTTGTGATTAAATAATAGTCCTCCAGTCTGTGATAGGACTCTGTGTTCTCCCAACCTGCACTACTAGCCAAGTGTAGCCAAGCTCAGCAGTGGGGGTGATGGAGGAAGAAAAGAGATGGGAGAAACAAAAAGGATGGAGGAATATGGCCAGGGAAAGAGGCAATGAATTACAATCCTGGGGTAAATAGGAGTGCTAAACTGAAGGACTAGAAATATAAATAATTTGGAGGGTGGGGAGATGAGCCAACTGTCAAATGCCCCCACCTATATGTATGTCCTTGGCTTGAAAAGTTTTACTGTCTGAGGAGGGACTGGAGTGGGAGGACTCGACCTTGAGCCTGACTGAAGCTTAAAATCCTGACTTTTTTTTTCAGGCATTGTCAGGAACTCCAGAAAAACATCTCATTGTTATCCAAACTCCCACTTACCTACAGCTTTCATCTTTTCCTCCCTAGACCCATTGGTCGCCTATGTTGTTAGTGTTCCGTGTCCCTATACTGATTTGAAAGAAATATGGGATAACAATTTCACTGCATTCTGAAACTGATCCTCAAGCCCTGAGTCCTACCCTCCCATCATTGGCTGTGTGATCTTGAACAAGTCACTTGCCTTTTCTAGGACTCAATTTCCTCATCTGCAAAATGAACAGATTGGTCTAAATGCTTTTATGTGTCTATCCATTTCTAACAGTCTCCAACTCTACCCAAGCTTCTCAGAGTACAGCCCCTGCCTTGGGGCTACATATTCCCCAAAGCAATCCTACAAAAAGAGTTCCCTTCTTACTTAAGGAGTTAATGATTGCAAAAAACTTCTAAGGTGGTGTCTGATCCAACACTGAAGCCCAAGCTATAAGTATTTGCCCCTTGATGAAGCTATATTGGTGGCCTGAAATAAAAACAGCCGTTAATAACCATTTGACTGAGTGCTTGCCATGTACTAAATAGTTTCTAAATTAATAATATCCTGTTAATCATAGGAAGTGGGCCAAGTGCAGCGGCTCATGCCTGTAAACCCAGCACTTTAGAAGGCAGTGTTGGGAGGATCACTTAAGCCCAGGAGTTCAAGATCATCCTGGGTAACACAGGGAGACTTCATCTCTACAAAAATAATAAAAAAATACTAGCCAGGCATGGTGGTACACGCTTGTCATCCCAGCTACTTGGGAGGTTGAGGTGGGAGGATCACCTGAGCATGGGTGGTTGAGCCTACAGTGGGCTGTGATCGCATCACTGCACTCCAGCCTGGGCATCAGAGTGAGACCCTGTCTCAAAAAAACAAAAGTTAACAGTAATATCAATAATAATAATAATAATTTGAAGTAGTGAGGATATTTAACCAGTTACTATTTCTCTTAAAACTGTCTTAAAATTTGTGGGGTTTCTGTCCAGTACCCACCAAAGCATAAACGGGGAGAGAAGAAAGGCTAATATTAATAAATCATGCTAGGATTAGACTTCTTGCATTTGATAATGACAATATAGGCTGAGTTCCACCCTCTTGCACCTTTCTTTTGAAAGACGCTTATTTCTTAACTGAGCTTGAGCCACAGATCCTCGTGCCCTAATGGGACAATCTCTGATACTCTGGTTCAGGATAGAAGAGAAAGATTGATTAGAAAAGTTGTCTTCTCTGCAAGTAGAATCAGTAGTCTTGGGGTCAAGAGCGAGGCCCTGTGCTTGGTAAAGTATCTACTACAGAGCTTCTCTGCTAGGGGAGGTACATTCCAGAAGCCCTGGGCTGAGACTTACGTCTAAAAGAGTTGACCACTTGGTATGGCACTTGGATCCTGTGCTGAGTATCTGTGGGCTTCTATGGCCCACAGATAATCAGAAAAGAGTCATTCTGAAGAATGGAAAGACTCATTCTGAGTTTTTAACAGTTGACATAACTAATTGACTTTTAGAATACAAATCTTGCATAAATTGGAAATGACCAAGTCAGGTTACCCAAGTGTCAGGAGGTACTTTTCTGTTGAAGTCTTTTCCTCTAGGGATTTGATTATTTCTGTAAATCCAGCTACCCAAATAAAAGCTGTGACTGAGATGGGGATGAGCTGTCAGAAAATGCTTAGGGGTGGCCTTTCTATAGTGCCACAAATCAACAGTAGCCCTAAACACAGAGTCCTCTTCTATCCTTTCTTCAATGGGGAATTAAAGTAGGGAGAGAGCAGGTCATGGGAGAAGTAACAAAAGAGGAGGAGGAGGAGGAAGGATTCATTTTGAAGTTCAAAATCTGCCACTGCCCTTTCAATTTTTTCAAATAGCACAATTTCAGTCAGGGAAGGATCCCTTCATTTCACCCACTCCCTCCCAGGAAGGGGATTTTTTATGAGGAATGAGACACACTCTACTGCTCACCTTACATAAGACCCTTTAGAAGGAAAATAGGAGAGTTCCGAGACACCCAACTCAGAGGACTCAGTCTTGCCAAAATGCATGAATGTACATTCTCCCTGTGGAAAAGAAAAGGTGCCAGGTGTTCTGGGGATACCTGTGCTGAAACAACTAAACACTTGTTCTGCTGCTGTACTGCTGGCTGTGGTATGGCCTCAGGAGGAGAGGTGACCAATGTTAGCTCAGGGTACAGGCTCTCTTTTACCCTAGAGCCAAATGAGCATGTTGGCCTTTCTTCAAAGAGTGCAGCAAAGTGTTTCCAAAGCTGCGTTTGAACCTCCTCACCCGCAACAACACTTTGGAATGGTGGGTAGTGATCTCACCTAACAGCTGTAGAGCCCTTAGTTAGGAATGGGGCATAAACAATAGGAGCAACTCAGTCTTTCCATTCCCCATTCAATTTGCCTTTTCTGCCCAATGGTGGGATTTGAATACTGAATTCAATCCCGTTGCAATCCGGAATGCTCCTAGACTCAGACATATGTCAAAGGGGCAAGGTTCTCATAAAAATCACATAAAAATACGTGTCCCTATATTGCTGATAACCCTGAACTTGTTGGGGTGGTGGTTTTCTGCTTGTCTTGATTTGCTTAAACCATGCATGCTGCAGCTATGTCTATGTCTTTTGACTGCCAGCTTCCCTGTAACAATACTATTCTGCTGCCTTTGGATTCCACATCTCAAAAGAAAAATTTAAATTCTGAAAAGGAGTAATTTTTCATAATTTGGTGGGGGGCAGTGAAATCACAGCAATGCAATGAGCCCTAAAATATCCTCTCAAGTTTTAAAGAAAAATTGGACTTTGATTAAGGATTGGATTTCTTTGATTCTTTACATCCTTTATAGTTTGTGGATACAAATTATATTTGTACCCACATAATTAGGTACAAATGTGTGTACCTCCATTTTACTTCGAGTTGAAGATAGGGGATGTTTTTTCACTTGAGGAGTTGACCTCCTTTTCAGGTAAAGACAGCAACTTCAAACACCTTCCTGGGAGGGAGAGTGGGTGAAATAAAGGGATCCTTCCCTTTCTGAAATTGTGATATTTGAAAATATTGAAAGGGCAGCAGCAGATTTTGAACATCAAAAATAATCCTTCTTACTTCTCTTTTGTTACTTCTCCCCTGACCTGCTCTCTCCCTATTTTTATTCCCTACTGATGAAAGGATGGAAGAGGACTCCACGTTTAGGGCTGTTGTTGGTTTGTGGCACTGTAGAAAGGCCACCCTTGAGCATTTTCTGACAGCTTATCAACTTTCTTGAATGTCTTAGCCTGTTGCCCTTTCATTTTTAAAGGATACTGCAATTGGTTGGATCATGGCTTAAAAGAAAAAGTTGGGATTGATCCAGGCCTTGGAAGAGAGCAAATTGTCTGAAAAATTCTTAGCTTTTGTGGAAAAAAAAAAGAAAAAAGAAAAGACAAAAATGTTATCTGTTGCAAATCTTATACCCAGTTTAAAGCTACTAGTCAATGTTTATGTCCAGATTTTGCCATGAGGGTGAAATGGACCCCAACTGGATGAATTCCTGATTATGAGCACTGGGGATATGTCGCCAACGGAAGTTACCCATTCTTTGAATTTTCTGAGTCAGCACTCTTCCTAACAAGAAAGTAGTTGCTTCAGATTGCAAACCCCATCCAGGGTTTCACGTTCTTACTGTTGAAAATGGGTCTGGGGGTAAGACTCTAGTGACATATCCTTGACCATCAGGCTCTGAGAACCTCTGATGAAGGGGACAGTGCACATGAATGGTGACAAGCAAATGACTGCCAGAGACACAAGAAAAAAGCTTTGCAGATGCAAGGGAAGCTGGCATCAGAAATAATGCCATCGGCACAATCTTCCTCAACAACTCAACTGTGTGGGTGTGTGAATTTGCAGCATGCAACCTGCACAGCCAAGAGAGTACTGATTCCAGTTCCAGCCTCCCCTGCCCTGCTGCACACACATAGGGGTTTCGGAAGGATTTCCCACCCTTTGTTTTCTCCTGAAATTAAACACAGAAGTTCATGATTGCTGACCTGATGGGCGAGGAGTGGATACTACCAGCTGGAACATTGCCACTGGCAGGGGCAGACAAGAAAACAGGAATGCTCTTAATGTCCTCCCAAAGAAAACCTTTGATGGACAAAAGAGTGGTTGTATTTTTACCCTCTCCCTTCATGCTGCCAGGCGTCTTTAAATAGATCCTCTAGCCTAGGGACTTGTATGGAATAATTCATATTAAAACCCAAGAAGTGGTAGTGGAGGGGAATTGGTTCTTTCTTCTCTTTCTTTCCCTTTCTTCCTTTCTTTTTTTCTTCTTGTCAGGCTAACAGGGAAAGACTCATTTTAATTCAGCTGCTTTAAATTTTTCCTTTTGGGTCCTTTAATGAATTTTAGCTAATTTGAAAAAGACGACCAAAGCCCCCAGAAAAAGAAAAGGAATAGGAAGCCGCCTGGTGGCTTGCTGTTTAATACCTTTTGGTCCCAGGGACATTAGCAGCATCTTTTAAGGATGTCACAGGGAGGTTTACATTGAGGCTCTTAAATGGGAATCTCTAATTGAGAGGTCCACTTCCTTCCATTTGCAACTCATCAACGAAACTGTTGTTCTGCTCTTAAGAGACAGAAAGAAAGAAAGAAAAAATCCCGCCCCATCTCCAAAGCCCCATGCATTTTTTAGTTCGGATCAACCCAGAATATATTTCTCCCCTCTTTCTTTCACTAAATGGGTTTCATAAAGACATTCGGGTCTGTGCTGGCCAAATTAGAAGTCCTGTCTCTCTTTCTTTCTGTTTGGGGAGGGAGGGATGTGGGAAGGACAGACCGGGAAAGGGGGCAGGGAAGGGGCCAAGGATCCAGAGGGCTTTGTTTCAAGCCGCTTGTCTCTCCCCCGAAACAGAGAATAACCACATTTCTCTTAATGTAGGCCGAAGTGCATCCAGGCATTCCCATAGCGCTCCCACCCCAAGGCCTTTGCCGGAGATGTTCGGGTCACTGTGATGGTATGCTCGTTCCTGCCAACCCGGTCACTCCAGCCCCGCTCTCGGCAGCCCAAAGGGCAGCTAAGCCATGTGGCTGCTCCTCTCTGTGAGTGGATTCAGGCTCGGGACTACAAAAAGCCCCCCAGTCCTATCAGCCCGGCAGAGCTGGTGCCAAGAATGACATCCTGGGAATACTATGGAGATGGGGAGATCCCATGGGCTGTTCTCCCCGGATGGAACAGGACCCAAGCTGTCTGGAAAACAGGCAGAGCAAAGAGCCAGCTGACAAAGGAAGGAGCTCAGGCGAAGGGAAAAGGGGGCGGGCTGGGAGCAGTGGTGAGCAAAAGAAAAGAAAAGCCACATGCCACCCAGGAAGATTCCAGGACTGGCGGGAGGAGGTGGAGGAGGAAGGACTTGCAGGAAACAAGTACCCAGACATGGCACTGCCAGTCTAGCTGGATTCTTTTCTGAATTAGATTATGCGAAAGAAAGAAGGGAAATATATAGCCAGCCAGCTGTTCAAAGGCTTACAACCTTGCTTTTATTGTCCGGGTAAGTTGGTGAGGTGGGGCATCAGAGGAATTCCAAACATACCATCCCAGAGAAATTTTAATATGTTCCACAGTGTCATACACAAAGAGGAAATGACAGCTGATCACAGCCAGGGCAGGCCACAGCAACCCAGGCCCTGGAGCTCACCCACCCTGTCTCACAGCCCTGCTTCCCCGCTCTGCCTTAGCACTTCACAGTCTGTCCACCTGCCTTCCCATCCCCTCTGCTCCCACTGGCTGCTGGCCTAGTGCAGAGGGCCTGGGCAAAGAAGCAGTCACTGGCCGTCATGGGAAGAGGTGAGGATGGGCTCGAAGGCCGCTGGCCAAGAAGCTGAGGGCTGGCTAGGGTGAGTCAGGCACCCCAGGGAGTCAGAGGCATTTTAATCCAACCACGGGGGATTATCTGCTGATAAGGACCAAGTCAAGGACCCTGGTGATGCTGTTTTCAGGGTTTTTTTTTTCCCCCAGTAACCTAAACACGTGATAAAACACCATACTGGGTTATTTGAAAGCAACACTGTGTGGCTATGATGGAGACCTGGGTTTGGGGAAGAGTTTCCAACAGCTTCTTCCCAGGGGCCTCTTGAATTTAGGCCAGGCCCAGAGGTCATTTGTTTTGATACTGGGGGTGGGACAAGTAAGTGGTGAGGGATAGTGACTGCATCTTCCTCCATATGCATGTTTCTAATTCGATGATTCATCAAGTGGCCCTGATGTTAGCTACTGAGTAGGCGACTCACACCCATCCCCAATAGAGACAGCATATGGTCCTTTCCACAGGGTGCTCAGGAGAGCAGAGAAAGGATAAACTACTGTCTTTTTCCGGGATTCTTCTACCCAGGCTGGAAAGATCTAGCCGTGTTAGCTGTGCAAATGACGTGTACCCAGGATCTGGTGAAAAAGGCCAAAGGGGAATCCCTTAATCATAAATGGAAAGAAAACCCACTGATGAGTGAGAATCATTTCAAGTAAATCTAGAAACCAGTAGCTGTTTTAAATAATTCTTTATAACAGGAAAGTTATTGCCCACTTTACCCATTGGCAATGCCCATTTCAGTTCCAAAATCTAACTAGAGATGGCATATGGACTGAGAATTAGAGTATGGGACAATGTCTCATTCACCTTTGCATCCATCGGGACTAGCATAGCACTGGGCATCTAGAAAATGCTTAATAAATATTTATTTAAAAATTGATGAAATAAATAATTAACCAGAGAATAATAGTACTTGAATTGTGAGTTCTTAAAATAAAGATTGCTGGCCACCATTGGTGGCTATAATTCCAAGAAACTCACCACATTTTTCAAGGGCCCAGGAAAATAAATGAGTTGGAAATTGTTAAATGTATTGAAAAATGATTTATTTTTCCCTTGACAGTGTCATTGGAACTCGAATTAAGATTGAAAACTCCACAGGCACATTTCCATCTGTGGGTGTCAGCTGCTTGGTACACAGTCGTAAGAAGGCCTCAGCCAGTTCTCCCGTTACCTGAACCAAATGTATTTTAAAATAAATGATGCAAAACATTGCATTTTGTGTTCAAATACTCTCATGTAATGATCTGAATAATAGTCTAAGAAAATTGTTTTGATTCAGCTAAATGCTTTGCTAACCGCAGTTTTTTTAAAAAAAAATTACAATAAAATTTTACAGCAATGGAATCCATAGTGTCTTTTATGGCTTTCTTGACTAATGAATACCCCAAAGTTGTAAATTAACCTATTCAAATATCAGATTTTCATTCAGCGATGCTTATTGGGCTGGTTATCAGAGAAAATCAGAAAAGTTTTGCATAAACTGTGTACCAATTTGCAATGAAAACTGGCAAACAGGACCATAAAGTTTCCTTGAATTAGTAAGACTGATGAGAAGAAAATGAGCAGATATTTGCATCTGGTTTAAACGCTCAGTTGAGAAGCATTGTGCCGTCCCCGCTGTATTTGGTTGACACCCACAGCAACTCCCCATTTCAGTCATCTCTCTGTTTTCAAATGCACCTGGTATTTAATCTTATGTGTTGGGGTAATTTGCCAATGCCAGCTCCTTGTAATTAAAATACACTAATATTAGAAATGAAAAGAGACATGTTTCACAGCAGCCATATCTGTTATTAATGAGTTACAAAGAACTGTACAAGGGACTCCCATCTTGCCAAATAGCTTCCTTTCCCGCACCTGAATCTCAGTAAAGATGGGAGTCTGCCTCTCATGGAGGCTTATCTGGGTTTGTCTATTACAATGAGCCTCAGTTACTGGGCGTTCTGAGTCATTAACATTCTGTACACAATCAAACTTCCCGTCCCCCAAGAAAGAGTTATGCCCAGGCCTCCTACAGCTCAATTGTTCATTTAAAGAGAGAACTTGTATTCCAAAGTTTGAAAGAAACCTCGGAATATCCCGCAGGTAGGAGTCATTCCTACAGGTCCTGGTCTCTGTGCTGGTGGGAGCATCCTTTCCCGGTCACTCCTTGAACATCATGCTGCAGGGACGAGCTGATGACTAAAAATAACCCCCTGCAATAAGTCCAAGGCAAACAGCATGCATTTCCTCGGACTTTTTGCCCAATCAAAATCATACAGTAAATCCATCCTCATCTCCTCCCGGTGCTCCCCAATGCATCTATGGAAGCGAAGACCTGCACGCTGAAAGAAGAGTGCAAGGGAGCAGGATTCCTGCAAAGCGTGACACAGAAAGCTAGAAATAAATGTTGCCTATTGTTTGAAGTCATTCTGAGCACTCCGGCAGAGCCCTGGCAGGAGATCAGCAGCATACATAAGTAGTAATAAAAGTAAACAGTGCGCTTTTAAACTCGCAGTCTTGCCTGCGTTAATAGTGCCCCCATTGTAAGTGGGATGAGGGTGCTGGGGAAGATACTGGGCTCCATGAATCCATGTTGGCAAGTTGCTGCTTCGCAGCCCCCTTTCACGGGGTCAACTATAAGAACCATCACAAAGTTACATCTAACTACGCAGAGAGTTTGAAAAGAAAAATCTCTTTAAGTCAAACCAAAAGATATTTTCAAGCTTTTCTAGGAGGCTCCCTGCTCTGTCACAGACTTCAAAGACCCGTTCATTTAAGAAACACAATGCTAGCATGCTACAGATTAATGCAAATTAAAGTAATGCAAATTTAAGTGGTATTTAAAGGTTGTCTCTTTGTCTGAGAGGAGGATGAAATGCTCGGTTTGGAAAGAAGCGATTTCCTAGGCAAGCCGGCAGCGCTTGTTTTCCTGCTTACCTTAGGGGAACGCAGGGCTCCTTTCTTCTCAGACTTTTCTGAGAGCTAGAAAGAGGTCCTGTTACTTCCAAATGCTTTTGTTCTTCTGTCCCTCTGTCACATGGCTTGCCTTTTATATTTGCAACACACAAAAGTTAGGACTGTTGTTTAAGCGACACAGGGAGAGAGAGAGAGGGAGAGAGAGAGGGAGAGAGAGAGAGGGAGAGAGAGAGAGAGAATGTCAAATGGAAAAGTGCCATTGCAGTCATATATCAATCAGGCGTGCGGCCGCAGCAGCGCACTAGCAAATGGGAATGCCACGGAAATGTGAGGCGCTCGTTATCGGGGACTCAGCCTCTGCCCACCGCTCGGCTCCCTTCCACGGAGCATCTTACGATGGGAACAGCGTAGCAGAACAAGGGCGAGGAAGTTTCTTTCTTTCTTTCTTTTTTAATGGTATTATGGAACTAATAAGAGGCCAAATGAATATTCTGAATTTAATTCTTTTTCAAGCATGTGGCTGCCATAAAGATGTGCCGTCCGCAATAGAGACGTATAGTTTTGGAAATACAAAGGCAGTGTGGCATTCTGTTGAACGATTCGGCAGCTGACTGTGATGAAGTTGAAATTTTAAGTAAGAGAGGGGAAAGATGGGAACCAGAAATTTTTTTCTCAGGCGATGCTGTTAAAGCAAGTGCAAAACGCTGCCCTATTTTATCACGATGTGTGTGGGTGGTGAGAGTTCTTTTTTTCCGGGTTGTTCATCCATTAAATGATTTTTAGCAGCATATACATGATTAAATTCACAATGGCACTTTAATAAGCCCCTTCATCTGCATCATTTAGAATAAAACTTTAGGTCTGATTTAGAAACAATGAGAACGTGTATTCCTTGACTCCTTGAGCTATATGAAGGAGAAACTAATAGATAAAGCTAACCCATTACACAACAACTAGTAGAAAAGTGACAAAGGTAACTATGTGTGTGGGTTAAATACCTGCAGCTGAATCATGCTGTGTTATGAGCTGTGGGACTACAAAGGCAAATATTTCATAATTCTTGCCCTTTGAAAGCTTAAAATTAACACAGAAAACCGTCAGGGATTTTGGAGGAAAATACAAAGAACATTTAATAATTATTTTATGTCAGGTAAATCAGACCCAGAATAATTTGTTTTATTAATACTACTGATGAAGAATTAAACTGAGAATTTAAAATATATATATTTCGTGGAAAAAATAATACATTATAAAACTCAAAAAGAAATTTTTCTTGGGAGCTTCATGTAATTGTTGATGCTGAAACTGTCTTGTTCAACTCTGTATCAAACTATTTGTTATTCATTAATAAATTTACATTCACCTTATTACTTTTCCATGGGACCTTTACTCCAGTCACTGATATTTGCAAGAGGTGTCTTAAAACTTTCAGTTTTATTGCCAGAAATCCCTTTTCTTATGCTCCACTTGGAAAAAAAAATACCCTGTCTACCTTGGACCAGCCAGTCACAAACAGAATCCACCTGCGAAGATCATGGATAAATGACAAATTCAAAGCCTTGAAAAAAAACCTGGCACTTGGCTGATGATGATATTGGCTAAATATCTTAAAAGCAGAAGATCAAAAAGCAAATGGAAATTGGGCCTTAAAACTGGAAATAATCTGAAAGGGGAAATGACTTGTAGCTGAGTAAGAGCCATGGAAACAGTCAGGAATACATTTTCTGGCCTAATTTTGTGGGTCAGATTGGGAGGGGGAATAAACTCTTTGGCCACCAACATTTTCAAATATCAGAACTTGACATCCGTCCACCTTCTCATTTCTCCCAAGAAATAATCTGTGGCTTTCTCAACATATGCTCGCCACTCCACCCTGCCATCTTTCGCCTTCAGGTTGTCAGGGTTGCATGAATTCTGCCCAGTTCCTGGGCAGAATTTTCCAGCATTCTACAATCTGCCCTTCTGAAAGAGCACCACAGAAAGTGTAAAGATTGCAAACACATTGACTGCTTGGCCACAGAAGACAAGATCTCTCCCAGATGGAGTCCTACTGCTTCTTCCAGCCGTTATTTTGTCAGGAGTGGCGAAGAATACCATCTGCTGCCCCATTCAAGAGGAAGGCTTTGCCTCCCCACATTGGGCTCCAGAGAACCCATTTCTAAGCCTGTCAATAGAGAGCTGGCAACAGCAACTGTTTTTATCTCATCACCATGCTTTTTAGAAAGGTCACTGTGCCACGTGTAGTTTCTTTACTGGCCATCATTAATGTTGCTGAGAAAGAAGGACTCCCTTTAACTTTGCCAAAGGGATGAAGGGACCCCTGCTGTTATTTCGTATGTATTAAGGGAGAGAAGAGTTTGCAGAAGGAGATGTCTATCAGCTGGCTGAGAAATCCTTCAAGGGATCACTTCTCAGCCTTTTATTTCTGGTCCTGTTTCAAGTTGGGTTTCTCTTTCATGGTAGCCCTAGTGGATATTTACAGGAGTCACCTAGCATTCAAACACCCCTGGGGGGATGGGTAGTCCCAAAGCAGGTGGGAGACAGGACCCGACTTCTTGCTGCAGAACCTGAAGAAGCAGGTGTTTCCCCTCCCCTCCTCAGGACAGCTGGAGGAGCCAGGTGTAACCAAGCCTGGTTCACCAGATGAGCCATCTGGGAGGAATGACCAAGGCATGCCGATTTTGTGGTTCCACAGGAATCGAGATCCCAGAGGTTGCAGCAGCTGGTGTGGGGAGCTACAGAGTCCAGCAGTGTGACAGTGAGTAATCTGGGGACACAGGGCCTGTGGCGACATCCTCAGTAGTTTCGTCTCTTTGATTGCATCTGTGTTTGCCACCATTTTATGAGCCTGGGGCTCCAGCTTTCCTGGTGATTCTGTGAACTGCACCCCATCCCCACCCCCACCAAGATCCTACCAATAAATTCCTTTCTCCTTTAATTAGCTAGAGATAGTTTTTGAGGTTGGCAACTAGGAATCCTAACCTGAATATTACATTTTCCAAATTTAGGCAAACTAACATCATTAACATACAGATGGAAACACAGTCTCCACTTCCTCATAGTTACTTTCCCAAACAAATAAATGGCTTCAGATTCATTGTCAGTCTGCTCTAGTCTCTGCTATAGTATTGCAAAAGTAGGAAATTCCTTTGTGGGTGTATGAGAAGATCCATGGTGTATGTGCATTTGTGTAATCCCAGTATACCAGCATAATCTATGAGGCACAGTTTATAATTTTCTGTGAGAATGCTAATTTCTATTGTCCATGAATATGATAGTATTCATTCATTCAAAAATACCTGTTAATAGTAATAGCAACCACTTAACGGGTGTTTACGCTCTGTCAGCCTCTGTGCCAAATATTCTATATGTATTATCTCTTTCAAAGAGATATACAACAACTCTATAAAGGAGATACCATTAATGTCTCTATTTTACAAATGGAAAAACTGAGGCTCTGAGAAATTAGGTGGCTTGCCTGTGGTTGACACAGCAGGCAAATGGTAGGTATGAACTTTGGCTTTCTTGTCTCCAAAGACCATGGCTTACCTACTATGCTCTGCTGCCCCTATTCAACAGAAACTCCCTGAGCAACACCTACATAGTAACGCTCTGCTATTTGTTGGGGAGACACATAAAAGTAGGACATGGATCCAGTTCTTAAAAATGTTTATGATATTATAGGGAAGAGAGAAATGTTCACTTGTGAAGACACTGCAAGGTAGAGCATGGTAAGTGCCACAAGAAAAGCAAAAGGTACAATAAGAGGAAGTGGTACATCCAGGAGAACGCCATTGGATCTGGGCTTTGACGGCACAGAGTGGGAACTAGAGGACAAATGAGTTTTTGCAGTGACTTGCAGCCATACATTTTGCCTGGGCTTAAATTTAGGCTACCGTAAGCCAGGAGGGTGTGATGAGCAGAGTGAAACCAGGCCACGGATCTGGGGCCAGATGAGGTTAAAAAGGAGAGGATAGAATGGCAAGCCAGACAGTTAAAGAAGAGGTTATATATGTGGAAGGAGATTAAGCAGAGGAGCAAAGGTAAGTAGCCTGGCAGGGGTGCAAACAGGTATTTTCTTTCATCCATGCATTCATTCAACAAATATTCTTTTATGAAAAAAAAACTTTTTCAGAAAGCATGACCATTTAAAAGTCATTATCACAAAGCCATAATAAATAATTTGAAATAAACTTTGAAATACAGAAAAAAAAATTTCTTTGAGTGCCTCCTAACTGCCCGAGCTGTGTTCATCCCAGGGGATCTGGCATTGAATAAGACAGACAAAGTTTCTACGGTTGTGGTGTAGGAGTATGTCCATAAGGACACATTAAAGACAAATGACAAAACCTTGAGTATCAATAGCTTAAAACATAAGGACATTTATGGTGCTCAATCTGGAACTGGGCAGTTCTAGGGCTGGTATAGTGGCTCCATGATATCATCAAAAACCCAAGCTCCTTCCACTTCCATGATACTCAGCACTGTTGGCTTCCGTTTTCCTCTGGCAGGTCAATTCGTGGATGCCAGATGGCTGATGGAACTCTAGAAATCACACTGAGATTCAGGAGTCTAGAGGGAAAGAGAGAAGAGTTTGCTCTTTGTCTGTCTCTTCAATCAGGAAGCTCACTCTGGCTCATATGTCAAGATGGATCATGTGCAGATAGGGAGGTGGGAAGGAACAAAGTGTGGCAGGAGAGAAGTCACTGAAGTCTCCTAGACAAGAGAAGGTGGTAGCTTGCACCAAGGTTGAAGTAGTGGAGATAGAGTGAAGTGAACAGATTTCAGATATATTGGCCTCTGCCTTGGACGTGGGAGTTAAAAAAAAGGAGAAAAATCAAGGGTGATTCCTGCCCCATGGTGGAGTGAGGGAAGCACAGGTTTGGTGAGGGGTGGCGCTGTATGCATTAACTCCATTTGTAACAGGTTCAGTTTGACATTCTTGTAAGACATCGAAGTTGAAAGGTAAAGAAGATGGGTTGATATACAGGTCTGGATTTCAGGGCCAGTTTCAGAGCTGGAGCTATACATTTGGAGGTTGTCAAACTATGGAGCGTATTTAAAGCTATTTGATTGAGATCACCCAGAAACAGATTCTAGCTAAAGAAGAAATGGTGAACTAGGAGGAGTCCTGGATCTCCCCTACACTGAATAAGACTGAAAAGAAGAAGTCAAAGAGGTGGGAGGAAAGCCAGAAAAGTAGACTGTCACCAGTAAAACAAATAGTAGCTTTGTTTTTGCTTTTAATCATAGAAAGCTACTGCCTGAAACTACAGAAAGGTCTCCACGGCTTTAGACTTGTACTTTTAAACTTTAGGACTGAATGGAGAGTTTAAAAAATGCTAAGGCTCAGGCCTCACCCAGGCTAATTAAAATAAAATGTCTAAAAGTGGGGGCTGGGCATTTGGTATTTTTAAAAGCTCCCTTTACAACACCAAAGGCCCTGTCCATGAAAGACATAACTGATAAGCTTGACCTCACTAAAATTAAAAACTTCTCCTCTGTTAAATACAATGTCAAGAGAATGAGAATAAAAGCCACAGACTGGGAGAAAATATTTGCAAAAGACACATCGGATAAAGGACTGATATTGAAAATACACAAAGAACTCTTAAACTCAACAGTAAGAAAACAAACAACCTAATTTTAAAAATGAGCAAAATACTTAAAACAGATATCTCACCAAAGGAGATATACAGATGGCAAATAAGCATATGGAAAGATGTTCCACATCATATGTCATCAGGGAATTGCAAATTAAATCTGCAATTAGAAGCTCCTACACACCTATTAAAATGGCCAAACTTCAAAACATCAACACCACCACACCACTCAATGCACCACTCAGTGCTGGTGAGGATGTGGAGAAACAGTAACTCCCATTTGTTGCTGGTGGAAATGCAAAATGGCACAACCACTTTGGAAGACAGTCTGGTAGTTTCTTACAACACTAAACAAAGTCTTACCATAGAATCCAGCACTCACATTCCTTAGTATTTAACCGAATGAGTTAAAAACTTATGTCCACACACGTGTATGTCTGCACACAGATGTTTATAGCAGCTTTATTCATAATTGTCAATACTTGGAAGCAACTAAGATGTTCTTCCATAGGTGAATGAATAAATAAACTGTGGTACATTTAGACAATGGAATATTATTTAGCATGAAAAAAGAGCTATCAAGCCATGAAAAGACATTGAGGAAACTTAAATGCATATTACTAAGTGAAAGAAGCCAATCTGAAAAGGCCACATACTGTATGATTCCAACTACATGACATTCTGGAAAAGGCAAAACTATGAAGACAGCTAAAAGATCAGTGGTTGCTAGGGGTTAGGGAGAGAGATAAATAGATGGAGCACAGAGGATTTTTTAGAGCAGTGAAACTACTTTGTGTGATACTGTAATGGTGGATGCATGTTATTATACATTTGTCCAATTCCATAGAATTTACAATATGAAGAGTGAACCCTAATGAAAACTATGGACTCTGGGTGATAATTATGTATCAGTGTAGGTTCACTGACTATAACAAATGTACCACTCTGGTGCAGGATATCAATAGTGGGGGAGACATTGTGGGTGTGGAGACAGAGGATACATGGTAACTCTCTTTACTTTCCACTCAATTTCACTGTGAACCTAAAACTGCTCTAAAAAATGAAGTCTATTTAAAACACACACATACACACACACACAAAGCATGGCATGTTCTCTCCCCTCCCCCTAAATGTTACCTGATTAAAGAGACAACCTCAGGGAAAGAAACAAAAACAGAGAATGTCAGATGATACCAAAGAGCAGTTTTTACCCATCACAACTGTACCCAATGTTTAGCTATTACACATGTACATAGTCAATCAGTTAATAAACAATTTCATAGTGTAAATTCAAGCCAATGAACCACTAGATATGCACTAATTTTTTTTTTTTTTTTTTTTTTTTTTTTTTTGAGATGGAGTCTCGCTCTGTCGCCCAGGCCGGACTGCGGACTGCAGTGGCGCAATCTCGGCTCACTGCAAGCTCCGCTTCCCGGGTTCACGCCATTCTCCTGCCTCAGCCTCCCGAGTAGCTGGGACTACAGGCGCCCGCCACCGCGCCCGGCTAATTTTTTGTATTTTTTTTAGTAGAGACGGGGTTTCACCTTGTTAGCCAGGATGGTCTCGATCTCCTGACCTCATGATCCACCCGCCTCGGCCTCCCAAAGTGCTGGGATTACAGGCGTGAGCCACCGCGCCCAGCCGATATGCACTAATTTTAATGAATGATTTCTTTTGGCATCTTTTCCACCATTTTATGAGCTTCTTCAGAGCACTGAGAGAATATCTTTTTTTACAACATACTGTACATCTCATCAAAGGCATAAATAAGGCACACTCTTTGGTTTATAAAAAGATGACAAAAGAAAAAAGACTTGGCTCTAAATTGAAGCACCTTTTGAACTTTGTAAAAATCATTTTAAGAGCAACATTGTTATGTAATAGAAAAATTAAGATTATTATCTAACTCGTTGCTTTTTAAATAAATTATCTGTGAGTTACTCCATAAAGATAATGAAAAAATATTTTATACACAAAATTAAAAATGTAAGGATTCAAGTAGGTCCAAAGAACATTTGAGAAAAAAAGACTTGTCTTTAAGTGGGAAAAATATCCTGTAATAAAGTGTGTCATCTTGTTTCACTATGGTTCTAAAATTAGCCCTTCCTCATTTAGGTGAGAAACATGGTTATTAAAATCATCAGTTAGTACGCTGCCAAACTTCTGGGGGCCTCCATGCAAGGAAAAGATCCCTGATGTCCATTTTATTTCAAAGGTCTTATTTTTACCCCAAAGGACCCCTCAATAGTATCTGACACAAATAAGCAACTCTTCCTTAAAGTTCTTTCTTCCCTTAGTCTTCATTATGTTATAGGATCCATTACTACCCTGGCATTCCTTTCCTCCAAGGCCTCAATTCTCTTCTCCACTCACACACACCTGATGATTTATTCGATTCACCATTCAAATGTTTGTTGGATGTCAATTTCTCTTGACCCACTTCCTGAACTCCAGAATGAGAATTTCACTTTCTCCTGAAAAAGTCTCCATTTAAGTATCCCATTGGCATCTCTCACTGGTAGCAGTCAGGCCGATCATCTGCTACTATAATGCTGCTACATTTTTTTGTATCCTCAACTCAATTGTATCACAGTTGCCCCAGCCTGGAAACTGATTTAGGTCTGCAATTTTGGGAAAGTTATTGACTTCTTACAGCCTCAGTTACTTCATCTGTTTTATGGGTAAAGAAAACCGATTTAAGAGGCTCAGTGTGAAGGTTATTTGAGACATTGAACTGCCACTTCTTTTGATTTCAGACATTATTGCTCTGTGTTGTTGTTAGACAAGGCCTTGCTGTAGAACACCTAAGGAAATGGTGAACTTAGTTCCAGCTATAAACAGACCCAAGGCCTTTGACTCCCATATTATAATGCCTACAAAACTACTGGCAGGCTAGGAAGTAATAACTTCCTCCATAGAATGAGACAGAACTGTTTCTGTCGTATTTGAACTTCAATTTCTTATGTTCTTGCTATAAAATAATAGACACTACTGTCAAATCTTATTTGCTCAAATTCTTAAAATTTTACAGGATTAAGAAATATTCCCCTACTTTTGTATAAAATACGAAATTCACTTAGAAATATATTGTTAATTAACTTTGCATGTTTCAGGATCACTATTTTCATTAGTAGCTCAACAAATTCCTATAAGGTTCATTTTCATCTTACTTAAGGTCAATCTCACATAAAAGCAATTATTGTTAGAGTTTGTACAGACAGCTTATAATTAATGTACACTTTTGAAACAATGAATAGCCATTGACGGGATATTCAAAGAAAAATTATATTTCTTGATCTTCCCCCAGCAAAAAAGAAAATCATACTAGTCATCATACTTGACACTTCTTTATTATTCTCAAAATAATTTTTTCACATATTGAACAGTTTCTTTGTCCCAAATTTATGGATGACTTTCTCAATTAAAACTTAATCTTAAAAAAACATATTTGGTGGTTTGAGGCAAGAAAAAATAAAAGGCTTCAATTGCAACAAAAACAATAATTGACAAGTGGGACCTAATTAACCTAAAGAACTTCTGCACAACAAAAGAAAGTATCAATAGAGTAAACAGACAACCTACAGAATGAGAGAAAATTTTTGCAAAGTATGTATTCAACAAAGGTCTAATATCCAGAAAATATAAGGAACTTAAACGAATCAACAAGCATAAAACAAATAATCCCATTAAAAATGGGCAAAGGGCATGAACAGACACTTTTCAAAAGAGGATATATGCACAGCTAACAAGCATATGAAAAAAATGCTGAACATCACTACTCATTAGAGAAACACGAATCAAAACCGCAATGAGGTATCATCTTACACCAGTCAAAATGGCTATTACTGGCCAGGCGCAGTGGCTCATGCCTGTAATCCCAGCACTTTGGGAGGCCAAGGCAGGCAGATCACCTGAGGTTGGGAGTTTGAGACCAGCCTGACCAACATGGAGAAACCCCGTCTCTACTAAAAATACAAAAAAAAAAAAATTATCTGGGAGTGGTGGCGCATGCCTGTAATCCCAGCTACCAGGGAGGCGGAGGCAGGAGAATCACTTGAACCTGGGAGGCGGAGGTTGCAGTGAGCTGAGATCACACCATTGCACTCCAGCCTGGGCAACAAGAGCGAAACCACATCTCAAAAAAAAAAAATAATAATGGCTATTACTAAAAAGTAAACAAATAACACATGCTGGCAAGGCTGCAGAGAAAAGGGAATGCTTACACACTGCAGGTGGGAATGTAAATTAGTTCAGCCACTGGGAAAAGTAGTCCGGATATTTCTCGAAGAACTTAAAACAGAACTACCATTTGGCCCAGCAAATCTCATCACTGGGTATATACCCAAAGGAAAATAGATCATTCTACCAAAAAGACACATGCACTCATATGGTCATCATTGTGCTATTCACAACAGCAAAGACATGCCATCAACCTAGGTACCTATCAATGGTTGATTGGATAAAGAAAATGTGGTACATATATACCATGGAATACTACACAGCTATAAAAAGGAATGAAATTAAGTCTTTTGCAGCAACATAGATAGAACTGGAGGCCATAATCCCAAGCAAACTAATGCAGGAACAGAAAACCAAATACCACATGTTCTCACTTATAAGTGGGAGCTAAACACTGAGTACACATGGACATAAACATGGGAACAATAGACACTGCACACTGTTAGATGGGGGAGGGAGGAAGAGGCTGTGGGTTGAAAAACTACCTATTGGGTACTGTACTCACTACCTGTGTGCAATATACATATGTAACAAATCTGCACATGTATCTAAAATATCTAAAATAAACGTCAAAATTTGAAGCAAAACAAAACAAAACAAACCCTTCAGATGGGAGACTGATGTGGGTGGACTGCTTGAGGCCAAGAGTTTGAGACCAGCTTGGGCAACATAGTGAGACCCCATTTCTACAAAAAAAAAAAAAAAAAATTGCTGGGCATGGTGGCACATGCCTGTAGCCGTAACTACTCAGGCTAAGGCAGGAGGATTACTTGAGCCCAGGAGTTCAAGATTACGGTGAGCTATGATCATGCCACTGCACTCCAGCCTGGGTGATAGAGACCCTGTCTCTAAAAGCCAACAAACAAACAAAGTACCCATTAGAGTCCTTTCTCTGGCAGGCATCAATTCCTTCTCTCATGACAATAACTTATAAAGACTTATAAGAAAAGAAAACAAACAAAAACCCAAGAAATATTATAAAGGAAAGAGAAAGGCCAGAACTTAAATATTAAGATGCACCCAATTCATGTACCCTTGAGAAAGCCATATTGCTGGATTCATGGCCCAGCAGCTGGGTGACAGCCAGGAATTTGGTACACCTCATACTCCCAGAGTTTCCTCTGAGATGTGCTTCCATTTGCCCCTGGTTTCCCCCCTGCACTATTTTAATTAAACAACAAAAAAAAGAACTAGTAAATTTAGAGTGTAAATCAAAGAGTTTGTCTTTCATTTCAATGAACAGTGTTCCCATCGTGTCCACATCAGTAAAACGGTGATCAGAAATAACTATTTTAAGAATTATTTATTTATCGTTTAGGAAAATAACTGAATATTTTTTACTGCAGCATGACAACATACTGCAGAATGTTTCCTGCTGACTCCAATTGCATGTATAAGCATTTACTTGAAGGAAATATTAAAAAGTATATTATTACACATTTTTGAAATATATTAGAAAGTATTACCAAAACCACTGAGAAAGACAGTTCTGAAATCTGGTAACTGCTATAACTTTTTTACTATTCTGTTCCTTCAACATATCTGTATTTATCCTTTATTTACAAAGTATATAAATAGTCTTTATTAAAAAATGAAAAAAAGACTTAAAGGTAGTCCACAGTTTTTCTATGAGATAAATAGAAGCAACTTCATTTTATTCATTTGTTGATTCAATCTGCATTTATTAAGCGCCAATTAAATACAGAAAACCCTATCTTTCCTTACTGAGTTGATGAATAATAAGATTTTCAGAAATGCTCCTTGATTTTCCCAGGTATCTGAGAAATGATTTTCCAACCTTTTTTCAGTCCCATTTATTCAACAAATAATTTTTGAGCAGTGTCAAGCCCTGTTTTAGGCCTTAAGATTAGAATAGCAAACAAGATAGACAAGGTCCCAGCTCTCATGAAACTGACATTCCATTAAAGAGACAGACAACAAGCTCATAAACAAATAGACAATAAACTCTCAGGTCATTATAAGTGCAATGAAGAAAATCCAAAAGGATAAGGGGATACGGAGTGAAGGGGAGTGCTATTTTACATTGGGTGATCAGGAAATGCTCCTAGGAGGAGGTGGTATTTGAGCAGGGATATGGGTGAAGTAAGAGAGGTCATGCAAGGGCTAGAAGAAGACTACTCCAGGCAGAGGAGACAGCCTTTGGAGGGGAGCATAAAAAGGAGGCCACTATGGCTGCAGCAGAGTGAATAAGAAGAGCAAGAGTAGAAGGAAATGTGTCAAGGGTCAGATCATGTCAAGCCTCTGGGCACTGTAAGGCATTTTCAGTGCATTGTAATGTGATAGGAAGCCACTGGGGAGTTTTGAACTAGAGGATGACCTGATCTGGTTCATGTTCATAAAAGATCACCCTGGGTCTTTCGTGGAAATAGGCAGTCTGGTTAGGAGGCCAATGCAGTGAAACATGATGGAATTCTGACTATATTTTGAAAGTAGAGCTTTTGCAGAACTTGTTGATGAATTGAATTTATGGCCTGGGTGAGGAAAAGGAATTAGTAATGGCACTTGGGTTTTTGGTGTGAACAACTAGTGATTAATCGGAGTTCCCATTTAACTAAAATAGGGAAGATCAGAAAATACGTATAGTAGATGTGGGAGGCAAAGCCAAGAGCTCTGATTTAGACATATTAGAACATCTATTGGGCAAGAAGGACAAATGTTCTGATGACAAACAGAGCAGACCTGCTGGAACAGTATTTATTGCAGATCTGTGAGTTTCCCATTGTACCTCACCCTCTGGGGTAGCTCCCCAAAGTCAGATGTGGAAAAGAGACATGACTGTTGGGACATGAAGCTTTTGTGCTGAATAATTTAGGGAAGAACCAGGCTCTATTCTGATATGATGAAGGGCCAGGATGTAATAACAGTATTTACATAGTAGAACCATGCTCCATCTCTATCTTGCCAGTCTTGCCTCTGGTGTGATTGGGGACCAGGATATAATAACAATATGATATAGCAGAACCTTGTCCCACGCCTATCCTGCCAGCTCCTCTTCTAGTGTTACGAAAGTGCAGGAAGAATCAAAGCTCCATGCTGCAGCTGTATAACACAGAAAGCTAACAGCAAGATTTGCCGCATCTGTGTTCATGACTGGAGAAGCATCGGCCCCTATTCGGGCATGCTTGGAGGGCTGAGGTCCAAGCCTCATGGTTGACCAAGATTGATTGCCTTAAGTACTGGCCTTGGCCAGTTTCTATGGAGATTTGCAAGAGGCTACTTTTCTCTCTGCAGGAAATAATTCATGGACAAATTAACAGTTCCTCTTAGTAAAAACTTGGATTCAGTTTGTAGTGGTGGAGTGGTGAAATGTGGTTGGATTCTGGAAATACTCTCAATATAGATTTCTTAAGGAACTTGGTGATGGGTTGGCTTTAGAATTTAAGGGGGAAAGGGGGAATCAAGGAGGATGTATAGGTTGTTGTCCTGAATAACTGATTTAATCATGTTGTCACTGACAGAAATAAGGAAGATTGAAGAAGTGTATAGTCGGGGTGGAGGTGGAACCAAGAATTCTGCTTTGTAAATGCCTAATAGACACACAAATAGAGAAATGGACAGCACCTGGAGTTCAGGGGAGAGATCTAGACTGCAGATACAAATTTTGGAGTCATCAGCATGTAGATACCTTTGAAAGCCATGAAACTGGATCATCTTAGGAGTGAATACGAAAGGGAAAAGGGCTTCACGCTGTCTTCTGCCCAGATTGTGTCAATATTTAGAAGTCTGGAGCAGGCCTAGTGTTCACTTCTATTCCAGGCAGACTCTTGGTTGCTCACACCAAGAAAAGAAGAAACATTCAAGCACAATGTAATCTCAAAATGATACCTGTGATTTACTGCACAAGGCAGGCTTGATATAGACCTGAAGCATCATGTTCCAAGGCAATGGGGGAATATTTCTACAAATACAGACACAAAAGATGATGAAGGCACAATATTAAAAGCACAGCTTTCTCCTCACTCCTCTAAGGAGAATTCCCTGCCAACTAAACATGAAATTGACAAAAACACATATTTTGCCTACTCTTCCAGAGATTTCAATTAAAATTATATAATTATTTCAAAGCTTTTTGAGCAAGGCTTGTTTTCTTTTGAACACAACATTTTCTTCTATCTTTAATATGGCTATATTTTACTCTTTCTTCCTTCCAAACTACAGAACTCTTAAATTATTGGACATTCCTCTCACATGATATGTCTATTTTGTGCTTCAAGTTTAGGTTTCTCAGACCAATGTTTCAAGTAGGCAACAATGATGCTTCAGATATAGTTATTCCCATACAGATCACTTTTATATTCTTTATTGCTCTAAAGAGAAATTATCAAGGAAATCTGAAAATGTAATTGTCCTTTCCTCAGCTTTTGGGTCTAGAGCCAGGAATTGGTTATGGCCCAAGCTAAATGAACGAGGCATTAAATCATGATCTATAATACTTAATCAGGAATCAAAAGGGTCTTGGTTGATAGGGATGGTGGAACAGATAAAAATGTCCAACAATGTGAAACATGGAATTATTTGGGTTCCTCTTTGTTTTAGCTTATTTCCTGCTCCTCTTCCCCAAACAAAAAGATCTGTTTTGGTGCTGGAGAGGATGTGGAGAAATAGGAACACTTTTACACTGTTGGTGGGACTGTAAACTAGTTCAACCATTGTGGAAGACAGTGTGGTGATTCCTCAAGGATCTAGAACTAGAAATACCATTTGACCCAGCAATCCCGTTACTGGATATATACCCAAAGGATTATAAATCATGCTACAATAAAGACACATGCACTCGTATGTTTATTGCGGCACTATTCACAATAGCAAAGACTTGGAACCAACCCAAATGTCCATCAATGATAGACTGGATTAAGAAAATGTGGCACATATACACCATGGAATACTATGCAGCCATAAAAAGGATGAGTTCATGTCCTTTGTAGGGACATGGATGAAGCTGGAAACCATCATTCTCAGCAAACTATCGCAAGGCCAGAAAACCAAACACCGCATGCTCTCATAGGTGGGAATTGAACAATGAGAACATTTGGACACAGGGTGGGGAACATCACACACCGGGGCCTGTTGTAGGGTGGGAGGAGCGGGGAGGAATAGCATGAGGAGAGATACCTAATGTAAACGACGAGTTAATGGGTGCAGCACACCAACATGGCACATGTATACATATGTAACAGACTTGCACGTTGTGCACATGTAACCTAGAACTTAAAGTATAATAATAAAAACATCTGTTTTTTTAAAAAATAAAAGTAATTAAAACTTAGTACATTGGATTATAAAATTTTTCAGGGCCAATATTTGGATAAGAATAACTAAGAAATTTCTAGAAAAATAAACAATGAATAATGAAGACACGGCAAGAACACTTATTGCTCACTCAGTTTCCATGTGTTCCTCCACATTACTCAACCCCCTTGTTGTGGATGGGACCATGGAACCAGTTCTGGCCAATGGGCAGGAAAGGTACCACTTCCGAATCAGTGTTTAAGATCGTGGGCATAAACTCTCCAGCTCTCTCTTCTCATACTTCAGTGACATGAAGGCCATACATGAAGATTGCAGCATCAAAACATGAAAACGGCCTATGTCACTGAATCTCTACATGAAACAGAACTGGCCCAGAGAGTTGACTGACCCATGGTGGAATGTGTGCCACTGTGAAATAAGTCTTTGTTGTATTAAGCTACAGAGTTTTGGAGTTTTGTATTTTACCATAGCATTACCTATGTATATACTAATACAAAGGGAAACTTTCCACAATAGATACTACTAAACAGATCAATGAATATGAGGGTTTATAAATCAATCTATGTATATTTTGAAGTTTAGTATATGACAGTGGTGTCTTAGTCGGGAAATATTACTGTGCATGTCTCAGTTAGCAAATCAACCCTATACTTAGAGGTTCAAAATGTCAATAATCATTTATTATCTCATGGATTTGGTGGGTCAGAAATTCAAGGCATAGTAGAAATAGTTTGTCTCCATACCACAATGCCTGGAGCTTCAGCTGGGGCAGATCAGAGGCTGGAGGCTGGAATCCTCTGAAGACTCATTCACTCACATATCTGAGGCTGATACTGGCCATTGGCTTGGGGCCTAGCTGGGACTGTCAGCTGAAACACCCACATATGTCCTCCCTCCATAGCATGGGCTTCTTCACAAACTGATAGCTGGGTTTTCAAGGGTGAATGTAACGAGAGAAAGAGAGAGAGAGTTACAAGCTAATATATAGATAAAATTTCCATATACATTATTTTATTTAGTCACCTTGCACTGTTGGAAATAACTTACTTTGAGTCCATTACTGAGATATTTTTAATGGTATAAAGCCTTGAAAAATTCCAAGCTAAAGATATTTTTGTTACATCGTCTGGAGTAGAGCTTCAAGCTTTTATGTCCCATGTGTATATGCACTGTAGTAAATGAAAAGCAATTTTCTAGGAGAATCTTAGCCTGGTCCACAGTTTTCCCATGTCTCACCTTAAAGCAGAGGTGATATGACTTACTATTCAGGTACGTAGTCTTGTTACGCTTTTTGCAAAAGGAATTCAGATATCGACCCTACTCCCAGGCCATTAATCTTCTACAAAAGTATTCCAACATAGAAGGACTGACTGTCGGAAGTTATCAGTGATGGTTAATGTTAGGTGTCAACTTGACTGGATTAAGAAATACCTAAAGCATTATTTTTGGTTGTATCTGGGAGGGTGTTTCCAGAGATTAATGTGTGAGTCTAAGTGGACTAAGTGAGGAAGATCCACTCTCAGTGTGGGCCAGTACCATCCAATCAGCTAGGGGCCCAAAGAGAACAAAACAGAGAAAAGACAAATGTGTCCATTTATCTGCAGGAGCTAGAATACACTCTTTCCCTCCTGTTCTCAGACATCAGAACTCTGGGCTTCATGGCCTTTGGACTCCAGGACTTACACCAGTGGATCTCCAGGTTCTCAGGCCTTCAGCCTTGAACCAAAGGTTACATTATTAGCTTTCCTGGTTCTGAGACCTTTGGACTTGGATTGAGCCACTCTACCGATTCCCAGGGTCTGCAGCTTGCAGACGGCCTGTCATGAGACTTCTCAGCCTTCATAATCACGAGCCAATTTTTGTAATAAATTCCCTCATAGCTCTCTCTCTCTCTCTCTCTCTTTCTATATATATATATTCTATTGGTTCTATATTTCTGGAGAACTCTGACTAATACATCTTGAATCCCTTTTAACAGCATGTACTCTCCCTCAACTTCTGCAACTATTTGGGGGAGGATTAATCACAGGCTACTGGAGCCAATTTGTTCACAGGCACTAGAGCAGTAAGTACCTGGGAGTTTATCTCACGTCTACCCACTACTGGACCCACAGTCTTTAACCAATGACTGATGGGTACAGGAGAATGAAGCCCAGGTCTTTTGTCCCCATCAGTATAAACTCTGAGTTATAATTTAACCCTCAGGGCTCCCTGCAAAATCAGGCTGAGGCTATGATGTTATCTGTACTTTCACCCTTGCTTGACTTTTCCCCTTCTCTATCCTGCTTCCCTCACTCCCCTGCCAGATTTTTTTATTTTTTATTTTTAGAGGTCCCACTTTGTTGCCCAGGCTGGAGTGCAGTGATTCAAACATGGCCCACTGCAGCCTCAACCTCCTGGGCTCAAGCACTCCTTCCACCTGCTGCACTCCAATATAGCCACTATGTTCGGCTATATATATATTTTTTAATTTTTGTAGAGACAGGGTCTCACCATGTTGTATAGGCTATCTTGCCAGATTTTTATGGGAGCACTTTTTAAATAAAATCACATAAACATGAATCCTCAAATCTAGTCTGCTTCTGGAGAAGACCTTAGATACTCCACCTCTGTAGCTATTCTGATGTCTTTCTCTAATTAAGGTAAAACACTAGAGAGTGGGATACTTGGATTCCATGGTATACTCCTGCTGAATCAGATTCTATACATTAATGAGATCCCTAGGAGATATGTGTGCACATCAACGTTCCAGAAGCACTTTTCTGAGAAACAGCCTTACAAACTGGTTCAAGAAAAAGTAAGATATTGGAATAGACCAGAAACCATGGAATAAATTACAAGACTTGTGGAAGAAGAATTACTGGGTTATTTTCATTTTTATAATATTCGAATGTGATTTAAATAATTCCAAAGTAGAGAAAATGATGGAAAGTTTCCAATTCATTTCATGAAGTTAGTAAAACCACAGTATGAAAACCTGATAAAAATTAAACACTCAGAGAGAAAAACTCCATTATATATAGTGGTGAATATATAGAAATAAAAATTCTAAACATAGCATTGGCAAACTAAGTCCAGAATGAAAATAAAAGAATAACGTACCACAAAAAAGAGCCTATATATATCAGGAGTGCAAAGGTTATTTAATATTTTTAAATCTACTAACATAATTTATCATATCAAGGAAGAAAAGCCAGAATTTCAATAGAATTAAATAATTAATCAATGATAAAATAAAATATCCAATAATTATAAATAGAGTTTATGTGGTATACTGGATGAAATAAACTTTCTTAACATGATAAGTGGTGTATAAGTGAGGAGTGATAAGGAATAAATAAGGGTGCCTAAAATCACAACTATTCTTTTTCTTTTCTTGTGCATTCTGAACAACACAATAAAACAAGAAAAAAAAATGAGGTATCAACAGTGAAAAGAGGACAAAATGAACATATTTTCAATTTTTTAAACCTACTTTGAAACTTTAAGGAAATCATCCATGGAATGTTATAACTACTTGGAAGTGGCGCTAACATAAAGATACAAGCGTCAATAGCTTTCATGTATTTACAACTAAATATTATTTCATACACAAAGTGAACAAAAAAATAACATTTTACAAATGATATTAACAAGAAGTGTTCAATACTGGGCAAAGAAAACTCAAAAACACTAAAAGCAAAAGTTTAAAATAGAGAAAGACAATGTTTCTCAATAAAAGAAACACATTATTGTTAAAGTATGAATTCTTCTCAGCTTGCTTTACAAATGTAATATGTTGCTAATCTAATCCAATACCAACTGAACATTTTTGCAGCTTGACAAAATGCTTTTAAAGTTTATCCAAAGGAAGAAATGTGCAAGAAGAACCAAGAAAATTCTAAAAAGACAAATGAGAAAAGATGAAACCAACTGTTGAAATGTCTCATAAAGCCGTGATAATTTGAACAATGTGGTACTGGTGCAGGAATAGATAAACAAATCAAAATAACAAAAATATAAAGTCCAGAACAGACATTTAATTAACAAGAATATTTAAGAATTTAGTGTATGATAGTTATAGCATTTAAAATAATATTTATTATAGAATGTGACTAAATATTTGTGTGAAAATTAACCTCATATTCCAAAATATCCTCCCCCAAATAGTTGCAGAAGTTGAGGGAGAGTACATGCTGTTAAAAGGGATTCAAGATGTATTAGTCAGAGTTCTCCAGAAATATAGAACCAATAGAATATATATATATAGAAAGAGAGAGAGAGAGAGAGAGAGAGCTATGAGGGAATTTATTACAAAAATTGGCTCGTGATTATGAAGGCTGAGAAGTCTCATGACAGGCCGTCTGCAAGCTGCAGACCCTGGGAATCGGTAGAGTGGCTCAATCCAAGTCCAAAGGTCTCAGAACCAGGAAAGCTAATAATGTAACCTTTGGTTCAAGGCTGAAGGCCTGAGAACCTGGAGATCCACTGGTGTAAGTCCTGGAGTCCAAAGGCCATGAAGCCCAGAGTTCTGATGTCTGAGAACAGGAGGGAAAGAGTGTATTCTAGCTCCTGCAGATAAATGGACACATTTGTCTTTTCTCTGTTTTGTTCTCTTTGGGCCCCTAGCTGATTGGATGGTACTGGCCCACACTGAGAGTGGATCTTCCTCACTTAGTCCACTTAGACTCACACATTAATCTCTGGAAACACCCTCCCAGATACAACCAAAAATAATGCTTTAGGTATTTCTTAATCCAGTCAAGTTGACACCTAACATTAACCATCACTGATAACTTCCGACAGTCAGTCCTTCTATGTTGGAATACTTTTGTAGAAGATTAATGGCCTGGGAGTAGGGTCGATATCTGAATTCCTTTTGCAAAAAGCGTAACAAGACTACGTACCTGAATAGTAAGTCATATCACCTCTGCTTTAAGGTGAGACATGGGAAAACTGTGGACCAGGCTAAGATTCTCCTAGAAAATTGCTTTTCATTTACTACAGTGCATATACACATGGGACATAAAAGCTTGAAGCTCTACTCCAGACGATGTAACAAAAATATCTTTAGCTTGGAATTTTTCAAGGCTTTATACCATTAAAAATATCTCAGTAATGGACTCAAAGTAAGTTATTTCCAACAGTGCAAGGTGACTAAATAAAATAATGTATATGGAAATTTTATCTATATATTAGCTTGTAACTCTCTCTCTCTCTCTCTCTCTCTCGTTACATTCACCCTTGAAAACCCAGCTATCAGTTTGTGAAGAAGCCCATGCTATGGAGGGAGGACATATGTGGGTGTTTCAGCTGACAGTCCCAGCTAGGCCCCAAGCCAATGGCCAGTATCAGCCTCAGATATGTGAGTGAATGAGTCTTCAGAGGATTCCAGCCTCCAGCCTCTGATCTGCCCCAGCTGAAGCTCCAGGCATTGTGGTATGGAGACAAACTATTTCTACTATGCCTTGAATTTCTGACCCACCAAATCCATGAGATAATAAATGATTATTGACATTTTGAACCACTAAGTATAGGGTCTTCTTACTGCTTCATCTCATGGCAGATGGCAGAAGAGCAAGCAAGCACAAGAGAGTGCAAGAGAGCAAGGGGGGGCCAAACCTTGCTTTTAGAACAAGCTCACTTTCACAATAACTTACCAATTTCAGCAATAATAATATTAATGTATTAATGAGGGTGAAGCCCTCATGACCTAACCACCTCTTAAAGGTCCCATCTCCCAACATAGTGGGGATTAAGTTTCCACCACGTGAACTTTAAGGGACACATTCAAACCACAGAAATCATAAAGAAAAGTACTGGTCTATAAGGGCCGGGCACGGTGGCTCACGCCTGTAATCCCAGCACTTTGGGAGGCTGAGGCGGGTGGATCACTAGGTCAGGAGGTCGAGACCATCCTGGCTAACATGGTGAAACCCTGTCTCTACTAAAAATACAAAAAAATTAGCCGGGTATGGTGGCGGGCACCTGTAGTCCCAGCTACTCTGGAGGCTGAGGCAGGAGAACGACATGAACCCGGGAAGCAGAGCTTGCAGTGAGCCGAGATCGTACCACTGCACTCCAGGCTGGGTGACAGAGCGAGACTCCGTCTCAAAAAAAAAAAAAGAAGGAAAGAAAAGTACTGGTCTATTTGACTATGTAAAAAATTTTAAGTTCATATACATTAAAAAATCAATATATAAAAAATCTTAAGCATACTATGCTCTTCTATTGGAAGAGCACAAACAAAATTGGGAAAATATCATTACTACCTATGAAGCAAAAAATATACATTTAATAAAGAGCTTTCACAAATAAAAAAAAAATTAAATTGAAATTAGCAAAGGCCATAAGGAGTAATTCACAAAATTGCAGAGCCAATTATTTTATTTTTAAGAAACTTTAACTTTTTTAGTAATAAAATGCACACTAAAATAAAAATGAGGTATATATCACCTTTTGTGTATCAAATTGACAAGAATTAAATAAGACTATGATATACCAAGTGTTGGTAAGTGTGGAAGCAACTGATACCCTCAAACACAGCTGTCCAGAGGATACATTTCATGACATTATATAAGGAAAAGTTATCTTTCATATCAAAAACTTTCAAATTTGACCCTTGATCTTCTGGGAATTTGTCCTAAGGAAATAATTATAAATTTTCCCAAAGATGGGTCTATAAATAGGTCCATTACATCATTTCTTATAGTAGCCAACTTTGGAAAAAAAAACTAAATATCCAACAACAAAGAATTGGCTCAATAAATAAATGCTTTTATTTTTGTTTCTTTTTTTTAAGTAATCTAAAGAACACTTAAATTTTAGTAGTAATACTATTTCTTAATAGATATTAAATTTTTTTATTATACTTTAAGTTCTAGGGTACATGTGCACAATGGGCAGGTTTGTTACATATGTATACATGTGCCATGTTGGTTTGCTGCACCCATTAACTCATCATTTACATTAGGTATATCTCCTAATGCTATCCCTCCCCCCTCCCCCAACCCCATGACAGGCCCTGGTGTATGATGTTCCCCTTCCTGTGTCCAAGTGTTCTCATTGTTCAATTCCCACCTATGAGTGAGAACATGCGGTGTTTGGCTTTTTGTCCTTGTGATAGTTTGTTCAGAATGATGGTTTCCGGCTTCATCCATGTCCCTACAAAGGACAGGAACTCATCATTTTTTATGGCTGCATAGTATTCCATGGTGTATATGTGCCACATTTTCTTAATCCAGTCTATCATTGATGGACATTTGGGTTGGTTCCAAGTCTTTGCTATTGTGAATAGTGCCACAATAAACATATGTGTGCATGTGTCTTTATAGCAGCATGATTTATAATCCTTTGGGTATATACCCAGTAATGGGATTGCTGTGTCAAATGGTATTTCTAGTTCTAGATCCTTGAGGAATCACCACACTGTCTTCCACAATGGTTGAACTAGTTTACAGTCCCACCAACAGTGTAAAAGTGTTCCTATTTCTCCACATCCTCTCCAGCACCTGTTGTTTTCCTGACTTTTTAATGATCGCCATTCTAACTCGTGTGAGATGGTATCTCATTGTGGTTTTGATTTGCATTTCTCTGATGACCAGTGATGATGAGCAATAAATGCCTTTATTTAATGAGATACATAGAAGCTATTAAAATATTTGTAAAAGAATAATTAACATGAAGAAATATGCATAATATGTAGTTTAATTTAAAAACATTGGAAAATAATATGTAGTTTGAATCCTTTGCTAAAAATTACATTCATGCACAATAAAAGGCAAGAAATATACACAGGCAAGAATGTCCACACTGGTTTTTTCTAGGTTCTGGGATTTTAGACTATTTTTAATGTCTTTTCTGCTTACCTGTATATTTCAGATTTTCTTGAATGAACATGTGCTGTTTTATAACCAGAAATTATAAATAAGTCACAATTAACTTTTAAAAAAGTCAAAAAAGAGAAACAAGCAGTCTTGTAGACTTCTTAATGTGTCTTACTGAAAATATGTTATCAACATGTGTTTGTCATGATACGCAGTGTCTCCTTCAGAAGAACACCCAGGAGAGATTCTTCTCCATTCTCGACAACAGTGGATGATAGTCACTATAGTCCTGAGAAGTTGACCTGTTTTTATCTGATGCACCCTATGAAGCATGTAAACTAGAAAGCTTGGAGACAACCTAAGTTCACTTCTGTAAAGAAGGGTATGAATCTATGTGACATGTGATTGTTCTATTTTAGAACCTTGTCATCTTGCACTCTAATAGTGAGCTTAGTCTTTTCAGGAAAGATGCAAGATCTGTATAAAGTAATACGTACATCCACTAAGAGTCCTGAAGCAATAAGAGAATTTCCCAGAATGCAAAAACTGCAGTGAAGCGTCTGTGCTAGGCCTACAGGAGTATTCACTCCTTAAACAACTAGGAAGAGTAGGTAATTCATTAACTCAACTAACATTTGTTAAAGGTCTATATGTGCCAGACACTGTTCTAGGTGCTGAGCAACCATACACCTGTTTTGGTGAGAAAATTACCCAACTCCATTGGGTGAGAAAGTTACCCAACTCCTTTATGGGATGAATTCTGGCCCCTCCGTTTATATGTTGAAGTTCTAATCCACAGAACCTCAGAATGTGACTGTATTTGGAGATAGAGTCTTTACAGAAGCAATTAAGTTAAAATGAGGTCACAAGGGTGGGCCCTAATCCAGTATGGGGAAATTTGGACACTAACACACAAAGAGGGAAGATGATGCGAAGCCACAGGGAGAAGACCTACAAGCCAAGGAGAGAGGCCCCACAAGGAACTAACCCTGCTGACACCTTGATCTCAGACGTCCAGCCTTCAGAACTGTGAGACAATAAATCTTTGTTGTTTAAGTCACCCAGTCTGTGGTACTTTGTTGCAGCATCCCAAGCAAATTAATATACCTGCCATCAAGGGAATAAGGGGCAAATAAGGAAACAAACAAATACACAATTACAAATTGTGAACTGCCCAGATCAAATACTCAGGAAAGGCTGCCCTGGGGAAGCACAGATTAAGCTGTAGAAGGAACAGACCTGTGAAGAGTGGGAAGCATCCCAAGTAGAAAGGCAGCAGGCATGCAGGCCTAGGCAGGGAAGAACTGAGCTGGTTCCAGAAACCAAGAGTTAAATGAGGTTGAATCAGTTCTGTGAGGAGGCATTAGTGACAGACATCAGAACCCACTCTGACTCTTCTGTCAATTGTCTTTGAGCAGGTGTGGAGAAGAGTAATGAGTCCTCAGTACCGAATGTGTGCTCTGTTTGTATTAGTTCATTTTCACACCGCTATAAAGAATACCCGATACTGGGTAATATATTAAGGAAGGAGCCTTAATTGACTCACAGTTCTACGTGGCTGGGGAGGCTTCAGGAAACATAATCATGGTGGAAGGCAAAGGGGACGCAGGCACCTTCCTCACAAGGCGGTAGGAGAGAGAGAGAGAACATTTGAAGAAGGAACTGTCAAACACTTATAAAACCATCAGATCTCATGAGAACTCACTCAATGTCACGAGAACAGCATGGGGGAAACCACCCCCATGATCCAATCACCTCCCAATAGGTCCTTCCCTCGACACGTGGGGATTATGAGGATTACAATTTGAGATGAGATTTGGGTGGGAACACAGAGCCAAACCGTCACTGTCCTTCATTATTAACTCAATTTCTTGATAAAGTCTCCCATTATAGAAAGTCTTTTCAATCACAGATGCATGAAGCCAGAAAGTCAGGTTATGAGAATAGAAAAACCTCCTTTCAGAATTCATCGCTAATTTTGGTAAGAGTGTGCTTCATGATACTCATTCTCTGTACAATTTTTCCAGCTCTTTCCCCCTTCCTAGAAGCTCTTGTTTTTCTTGGTGCCTCTAAAACTTCTAGGGCCCTACCTAATCTTGATGATATACATGACTGTGTGGCAGTCACCAACTCAGCTCTTAACATGAAGAAAGCAGGCAGAAAAACTGACTCCATGGCAGTGCAAACCTTCATCCATATGTTTATTTATTTATATTTATTATATATTTATTCTCTGTGTGTCCCCACAGTCATCCATTAATCAGTAAGCTTCACACATTCAATTACACATAGCCCCCCCTTTCTGTCACTGAGGACTCACTTCCTTGTCTTGCTCTGAGGTGTATCTCCCAATAACTCTGTGGAGTGGTTATCCAACTCTTGGGCAGGCAGGTACTTGACTCAGCTTTAGTGATGTCCTCTGACTCAAAGCAAGGTTTTATTCCTATCGCCAAGTTCCAAAAATGCTTATTTAGCTAGCAGCAAACATCCACCATGCAGTTACTTCAAAATCAATGTTATTTAAGATTCTATCACATACCAAACTGATCATTCAGTAAGTAAATTAAAATAGACTGGGCACTTTAAAGCTGTAGATTTTTATAACTCATGATTTTGAGCAGATTTTCTGTATTCACTTTATATACAGTACAAAGATGAGACTAAAATGGCTTCAAGACATTCATTCTAGTTGAACTAAACTCATTTTTAAAAATAATCCAGTGCAAGTCACTTTTCAAATAAGTTGAACAAAAAGGAATTCTTTATAAAGAAAAAAAACTGATCTAAGAATATTATGAATATGCTACACAATTTAAAATGTAATATTGCAGCTAGATTCTCTGCTAATCCTTTTGTGCATTTCTACTGTAGATATGTGGCCTTGAGAGCCAATCCAGAATACCAATAAATAATGGTTGAGCACAGCTAATAGAACTGCCAGTTATAAGCATGGATTAAAGTATGGTTGATTTTGAACATTGTACCCTGCCAGTTTGTAATAGGATGCTAATATTATTACTGCTTCTCATTCGCATGCTTATTCAGAATCTTACAGCCCCCATTTCCAGGTATAAGGTTAGAGATACAGAGCAGTGGCGACCGGTACCCATGGGAGGTGGAAGTGTCTTCTGGAAGTTTTCTGGGTCAGTGACCATTTTCCAACATGACTCCAGCATTTTTTTACCTTTCTCTGCCCACTCCTACAATCTCCATTGTACTATATGTCAGCTCTATTGAGAAGTCCATAAACTCTGAAATATGCAACGATGTTAGTGGATGCCCTCCCAACACCAATATGTGGGAACTTTCAAACTAATGCAATAGTCTTTTCTCAGTTAGTATTTGCTTTTACTTCTCTATAGCTTTTAATGCTTGGCCATTTCCTCCTTGAGACCCTTTCCTCCCCCAGCTTCTGTAACACCACATTGCTACAGCCATCCTTCTAAAATTATAAACATCCCCTCCATGGACACACCTTGTATATTCCCATTTCTGTAGTTCAATGTGGAATCCATTACATGTTTCTTTCCACTGATTTACATATTACAAATCAATCAGTGCCCCCTCCTCTTTGACAACTCCTCAGACCATCCCATATTGATCTGATCTGCCACTGACTGAAGAGTTTTTATACCGTTTTAGTCAATAATCAAATATTGCTCTGTGACATTTCTTGTAATGTAGCCTTATATTTTAGTTAATTCTTATACCCTTCTTATAGGGAGAAATTCTTACACCTTCTGAAAGACAGAGTGAGAAAGAGAGGTAAACAATTTGAAATGTGACCTGAGGATCTTTTCCTTGCTCTTCCTTGTACACACTGCTCTTCTCCCCTTTCAGTCATAGTTATCATCAATTAAGGGAAGAAAGAATTGTTACAGCAGAGTAAAGAAAGCAAATGTACTCAGTTTTGGTTAACAGACTTCAAAATAGGCTTTTAAACTAGTGACAGAGACAATAGGTTGAGAGAAAAAGGGTTTAAATTCCAAGAGTCTAGTCTTTTTTCAGTTTTAAGTGCCAAGGAGACTCAGAACACAAAGTTTATGCTAAACTAAAGGCATGGAGTGTATGATTGGCTTGCGGAGGAGATAACAATGACCTGGACTGGGCAGAGGGAAGAAGAGTCAGCAAGGGAGGGGGCTTCTGTAGTGGATGACAGATGAGGACTGGAACATGTGCTCCCTTTCAAGGTGGAGAAAACTATAGCAAGCAAGCTCCCCATACCTTCTGCCGTGTAGTGAGGACAGACAGATGACCATGGCTCATGAAGGTTGGGGATGTCCAAGCAGAAAAACCTAAAGGAGACTCCAAGAGCCTCCATGTGCTCCAGCATGGCAGAAAAAGCAACTCAGGTCTCCCTAAGCATAGGTACAGCCAAGAAAGCCAAGAGAACAATGATGGAACTTGAGTATTCTTTTTTTTTGGAGACGGAGTCTCGCTCTGTCGCCCAGGCTGTAGTGCAGTGGCGGGATCTCCGCTCACTGCAAACTCCACCCCTGCGTTCATTCCATTCTCCTGCCTCAGCCTCCCGAGTAGCTGGGACTACAGGCGCCTGCCACCAGACCCGGCTAATTTTTTGTATCTTTAGTAGAGACGGGGTTTCACCATGTTAGCCAGGATGGTCTCAATTTCCTGACCTCGTGATCCACCCGCCTCGGCCTCCCAAAGTGCTGGGATTACAGGCGTGAGCCACCACGCCCAGCCGAAACTTGAGTATTCTAAGCTCATCTAAGGATGAGACAAGAGACCAGCAGAGACCATTGGTCGAAAAACAGATGGAAATATCTGGGCAGGTACCAGCAAGCACAAATGCCAATGACATGCAGAGACCAGTGGGGGCAGGTCCATACTGGCTCCTCTGCTGAAGCTCTTTCCCTAAAACTTGCTTTATGCCAAGCCCGCTGGAACTTGGCTACCACCCTGAGAGACAAAGGCAGAAAGGGAACGCTTTGAAGTAAGCAACAAAACCTTGGATTGACTAAATTTATGTGGACTTAACTATAGTTAAGTTTCTTTTACAAGGCAAGATGGTAACTAGAGATAGCCAGATATGGAAAAGAGTTTTGGAAAACTGTAGTAGAAAATCAAATGAAGTTGCATGTTTTAAGCCTAAGGAAATTTATTCAGTATTATGCATCATCTCCCTGACTAAGACAGCTAGCTATCTTTTTTTTCTTACATTTAAGGTTTTCTTCTAAAGCTAGAAGACCTGGAGATGGCTAACAAATAATCACGGAATAACTGAATGATCATTCAATTAACTTCAAATTTAACATTAGTGGCTAATTTAAGATTTAAAAAACAATGGCCTGAAGTTTAGCATTTCACTCAAAGATTGAAGGCTACATTTAAAAACTAATCGATCACTCTTCTTCCTACAACACATTTATTATTTAGCCCAAGAAATAAGTTTTGTGTTTCAGGGAGGTGAAAAGGTGTAATGTATGCTTAATAATGTCTTTTACTTTCATGAAAGTCATAATGTCAACCTTGGAGAGAAGAGAGGGACCCAACTCCAAAGGGTTACCTTAGCACCCGTAAAGAAACATTCATTCAGTCCATCATCACAGTCATAAAGTGGAATGTGATGATGTAGAGGGGTAGGGGAAAAAAACTCATGTAGATATCATTTGGGGGATAGAAAGTAATAATGCTAAAAGTAGAACTATAGAACAATTCTTTAGAAATTTGCTATGGATACTCTTCCCACATAAACTATCTCCGTTATAAAAACAAGGCTTTGAAGAACCTTTTAAAATGTCCCATTAAAAATCCAACACAGGATTGTAACAAATGTACCTCTCTGGTACTGGATGTTGATAGTGGGGGAGGTTGTACATGTGTGGGAACAAGAGGTGTATGGGAACTCTCTGTACTTTCCACTCAATTTTTCTGTAAACCTAATACTGCTCTAAAAACTAAAGTCTATTAAAAAAAACAAAAAAAGAAAACAAAAAAAAAACTACCATACTAAACTAAACCCGTAGAGACAGAAAGCAGATTGGTGGTTGCCAGGGGCTTACAGGAGATAGAAATGAAGAGTGGTTGCTTAATGGGTATGGGGTTTTATTTTGGGGTCATGAACATGTTTTGGAACTAGATCGAGCTGGTGGCTGCACAACATTGCACTACATGCCACTGGATTGTTCATGCTAAAATCATTAATTTCATGTGATGTGAATTTCACCTCAATTTTTAAAAAGCCACCATACAATAGATGAGCTTCTTCAAAAATACATTGCAAAGAATTATAGTCTCCCAACGTGGTCCTGAAAAAAGGACTTTTGCGATCCAATTTGTTTTGAAGCAGCGCCCATGTATCTTCTTGGTGATGCCTTCTTGGCATTAGCAAATATACAGAGCAAAAGCTCTGAGGGGCTGTGATGGTTAATTTTATGGTCAGCTTGACTGGGGCTGTGGTAGTGCCCAGATTAAACATTGTTTCTGGGTGTGTCTATGAAGAGGTTTCAGGATGAGATTAGTATTTGAATTGGTGAACTCATTAAAGTAGATGGCCCTCTCCTATGTGCATGGGCATTACCCAATCCCCCGAGGGCCTGAAAAGAACACACAGCTGAAGGAGGAACCCACCCCTTTCCTGTCACATTGCAAGATCTGGGACATCTCATCTCCTCTTTTCTTGCTCTCAGACAGGGATTTACATCATTGGCTCCCCTAGTTCTCAGACCTTTGGACTTACTGGAATTAAACCACTGGCTTTCCTGGGTCTCCATCTTACAGACAGCAGATTATGGGACATCTCAGCCTCCATAATTGCAGGAGTCAATTCCTTATAATAAATCTCCTTGTGTGTGTGTGTGTGTGTGTGTGTGTGTGTGTGTCCTATTGGTTCTTTTTCTCTGGAGAACCCTGACTAAGGCGGTAGTCTTGCAGTAAAGCTTTTGTTCATACAAGGATCCTCACTACCCACTCTTTGCATCACACCTTATAACATCACACAGGGCACATTTTGGAAAATACTATTCTAGATCTTTCCATGCAAATAAAACTCCAATCCATTTTTACTTTAACTGCTCAAAGAAAAAAAAAAGGTTTTTGCACGTAAACTTTCTTTTGATATTTGTTGAGAACAACTTATCCTTCAAGTAGAAACATGTTTTTTGATGAGGTCCTTTGATAAGTCTCAAGACAACAATAGGTGGCCTTAGTAAAGCCAATTGTAAATAAAGATGAGATGTTAGAGTAATAAAGACATAATACGACTCTTCAATACTACTCAGTTTGTAGTCAGGAGTGCCACACTAAGAAAACTTATTATCCCAGCTATGTATAGATCAGCTAGCCACAGAGTTTGAGATTTTATTCATTTGCACAAATTACATTTGCTATATACTTCAGAAAGTATGACACAGTATGTGGGCACATATAAAATACCCGACTTTTTAACAGCAGATATAAAGATGTTCAATACAATGGCAATTTAGTAAAATGAAATGGCCCAAGGCTATTTCTTCATTTCAAGTAAATACATCCTCATGAATCTTCACTCAGGCCATTTCTTAGATTCTAAAACTGTTGATTTAATAATAATTAACACTGATAAGAATATCTGTAGAATGGAATTGACTGTTTTAGGATTGAAGTCAGTTATTCTAGACCAGAGGTGGGATAAAACAGGTGTGGAACAGAGGAAAACGCATTTCCTTCTCCCAGAGACATGTATCAGAATCTTCTGGAGGCATGTTTATTTAAAAATGAATTGTCAATATTATAATTACAGATTTTATTTTAGCCACACTCCTCATTAATCTACTTTGACTATGTAATCACAATTAAGAGGGTGTGGGATTTTAGATTCCTCCATTGGAGGCATGCATCAGGAAAGGTGGAGAAGCATAAAGGGGCATGTTGTCTACAGACAGATTAAACCCAGACAGCACGTCTATTTCTTCACCACCCACACAACACGTACAGTTTCCTGAATGCCCATGTCCCAAATGTCCCAACAGTCTGGACTTCCCCGATCTGAGTGTGAGTGGGTGGGGTGTGAGAGTTCCAGGAAGCAGCATCCCAGGAGCCCATGCTCTGAGTCAGGCTTTCCCTGGAGGAGTATCTGGCTCTGTACTCCCAGAATTCCTGACTTTGGCATCAGGAACCACCTGTCCTGCTCTTCTGACTTTCCTAAAAGTTATATTGCCCAGGCCAAAGAAATTATTATTGCCTCAAAGAACTGGGTTATAAAAACATTGGTAGTGTGTCTTCCTGCCTCGAAATGTCAACATGAGTGCATGCGCACACACACACACACACACACAAACACACAAAGACCTCGTTGGCCATGTTTGTATTAGTTGATGCTAGCCTCTTGGCCACTAAAGATCGGACCAGGCCTGCATAATTGGCCCACCAGGACTACTTTCTTTCTCCAAGGAATTTCGAATTGAAGCTCAGAGGTCAGTGTGCTGGGAGCATGGATTGCAAACTAAGGAAAGGTTGGGCTGGAAATATCTTATTTGACCATGAATGCCTAAAGAAGCAGAGGAAGTCACTCTGGAGAGAGAAGGGGGGAAAGGAGAGGGAGACGAATAAAACAAATACATAGATTACAGTAGGTTCAAGAGAGCATGTGGCCCTAGAGGGGCAGGGAAGACCTGCTGTGCTTCTGATGGCTTTTCAGGTCCTAGTTCATAACCCTCTTGTATCCTGCCTTCATTTCCTGGTTTCTGAGACACTTCTGTATTGTTATAATAAATCCTCCCCAAGCATTCTTGGTTTTCATCTAAAATACCTCATGGGCTTTTCTGTTACTTGCGGACAAAAGGCCTGTCATGTAGATATATATACATTTATTTTTAATCAGAGACGTTCCCCCATGACAACAACAATTTTGAAATTCTCAAGATTCTGTGGATCGACTGGGTGTTTTTCTGATCTATAGGATGTCAACTACATTTAGCTCATGGGTGAGCTGCAGTGTTGACTCATATTAATTCTCTAATCCTGCTATAACAAGTTATCACAAATTTTGTGGCTTAAAAAACACAGATTTATCACCTAACAGTTCTGGAGGTCAGAAATCTGACACAGGTGATTCTGGTCTAAAATCAAGGTGTCAGCAAGGTGGCCTTCCCTTCCGCAGGAGAGAGAGGCTGCTCAAATTCCTTGGCTCATGACCTCCTTCCATTTTCAAAGCCAGTAATGGCTGGTCAAATCTTTCTCATTAAGCCATCTGGCTGGTTCTGACAGAGTCTCCTGCCTCTCTCTTTCCCTTATAACAGTCCTTATCCTACAATGGGTCCACCAAAATAATCCAGGATCACCTCTCCATCTCAAAGTCAGCTGATTAGCAACCCCAATCCCACCTGCAATCTTAATTCTGTTACATCAGGACCTGCTACATAATCTGCAAGGCCCAGTGCAAAAGGAAAATGTGAGGCCCTTTATTCAAAAAGGTGGGGGATCTTACTTTTTTGAGAATATCACTAAAGTTACTTTCTTATGTGGTGTCTCTCTTGAGTTGCCATAGCATTTTTTATTTGCAATTCGATGTCATTCTAAATTTTCAAAAATTCTAAATTATTATATAAATTTTACTTTTTATATTGTGCAATAGCAGTTTTAAATGCACATATAGCAGCATCTAATTCATATGTGAAATCACCATACTAATTCACATTTCACAGCTTGTTAAATGTATATGTATTTTCTTCTTACCAGAACAGTGGAAATGCTGCTCAAAATTAACATGTAATATAAAATATTCGCAGGTTCCAGGAATTAGGATGTGAACATCTTCATGGGCCATTATTCTCTTTAATGCAGCCAGAATACCTTGATTCTTCTCCACGTGGCTCACTCTTATTCTCCTATCAGCTTCCTGATGGCATAGTGATCTCAGAACAGTCAGGTCTTTTATATGGTGGTTGATTGGCGTCTTAGAGTGAACTTTCCAAGCAGAAAAGCCTCAATGTGCAAAGGTTTATCAAGCCTCTGCCTGTGTTGAGCTTGAGAATGTTCCATTGGCCAATAGAAGTCATATGATGAAGCCCAGGGTCACTGTGGAAAGGGACTTCATAGAGCAAGAATACCAGGAGGAAGCATTGATTATTCAAGGCCACTATTGGGACAGTTACCACAATCACAATTAGAATGTTCTTTCCAGTAAGCTTGCACATCATCCTCAAATGTCCAAAATTACAAAAGAGGGGGGCATTGTAAATGTTGCAAAATATTTACTGATTCAAATTGTCTCCATTTACTGATAGCATGATCTTATATATAGAAAACCCTAAAGACAATAGGGTTGATAAAAAAGTGTTAGAACTAATAAATGAATTCAGTGAAGTTGAAGGATTCAAAATAAATATGTAAAAATCATTAGCATTTCTATACACTTATAATGAACTATCCAAAAAAGTAATTAACAAAACAGCATCATTTATAATTGCAATAAAAATAAAATAAAATCTTAGGTATACATTTAACCAAGGAGGTGAAAGATGGAAAACTATAAAACATTGATTTTAAAAACTGAAGAAAACACAAATAAATGAAAACACACCCTGTGTTCATGGACTGGAAGAATTAATGTTGTTAAAATGTCCATAGTGTTCAAAATATCTAGATTCAATGCAATCTCTATCAAAATTCCAATGTCATTTTTCACAGAAATAGAAAAAACAATCCTTAAATTCATAGAAACCACACAAGACTGAATAGCCAAAGCAGTCTTCGGCAAAAGGAACAAAGCTGGAGGCATCACACTCCCTGGTTTCAAAATATACTATAAAGTTATTGTAATCAAAACAGTTATTGTAATCAAAACATGGTACAGGCATAAAAACAGACACATCAATCAATGGAAGATGATAGAAAGCCCAGAAACAAACCCACAACTTTACAGTCAAATGATTTTTGACAAAGGTGCCAAAACACACAATAAAGAAAGGACAGTCTTCAAAAAATGTTATTAGGTAACCTGGATATTCACATGCAGAAGAATGAAAGTGGATGCTCATCTCACATCATATACAAAAAAAAAACCTCAAAATGGATTAAAGACTTAAATATAAGACCTGAAACTGTAAAGCTACTAGCAGAACACATAGGTGAAAAGCTTCAATACATTGATCTGGGCAGTGATTTTTTTTGTATAGGTCCCCAAAAGCACAGGGAACAAAAGTGAAAATAGGCAAATAAGACTGCATCAAACTAAACAGCTTCTGCACAGCAAAGGCCACAATTAACAAAGTGATGAGACAACCCATGAGTGGGAGAAAATATTTGCAAACCATCCATCTGGTAAAGGGTTAATATACAAAATATCTAAAGCATTCATACAGCTCAATGGCAAGAGACAAATAACCTGATTTTTTTTAAATGGACAAAGGACTTGCTATGGTTTGAATTTGTCCCCCAAAGTTCTTATGTTGGAACTTAATCACCAATGCAACAGCGTTGAGAGGTAGGACATTTAAGAGGTGATTAGGTCATGATGACTCTGCCCCCAATAAAGGGATTAATGCTGTTATCCTGAGATAGGTTGGTTATAAAAGCAAATTTAGTCCTCTCTTGCTCTCTGTCTCACCATGTGATGCCTTCTGCCAAGTTATGATGCAACAAGAAGGCCTTCACCAGATGCAGCCCCTTGATCTTGAACTTTCCAGCCTCCAGAACCTTGAGTTAATAAATGCATGTTCTTTATAAATTACCTAGTCTCAGATATTCTGTTATAGCAGCACAAAATGGACTAAGACAGACCAGACAAGAACAGATATTTTTCAAGAGAAGGCTTACATGTGGCTAACGAGTTTATGATAAAATGCTCAACATCACTAATCATTAGGGCATGCAAATTAAAACCACAATATCATCTCATACCAGTTAAAATGGCTATTATAAAAAATATGAAAGATAAGTGTTAGCGAGGATACAGGGAAAACAGAACTCTTACACATTGGTGGTGAGAATGTAAATTAATACAACCATTACGGAAAATGGTATCAAAGTTCTTGATAAAACAAAAAATAGAACTACCATATGATCCAGCAATCCCACTTCTGGTTACATATAAAGGAACTGAAATGGATATGTCCAAGGGAAATCTGCACCCCCATGTTTATTGCAGCATTATTCACAATAGCCAAGATATGGAAACAACCTAAGTGTCCATCAGTGGATGAAGCGATTTAAAAAATGTGGCATATATGCACAATGGAATATTATCCAGCCATAAAGAAAGAAAATTATTTCATTTACAACAATGTAGATGAAACTGGAGGACATTATGCTAAGTGAAATAAGCCAGGCACAGAAAGACAAATACCACATGATCTTACTCATATGTGAAATCTAAAAAAGTCTAACTCAGTGAAGTAATGAGTAGAATGGTGGTTATCAGAAGCCAAGGGGAAGGAGGAGAAGAGGGAGGGAGGGAAATGGGTAGTTTTTGGCCAAAGGGTACAAAGTTTCATTTAGAAACGAGGATTAAGTTTTGAGATCTATCTCACAGCAGGATAACTATAGTCAATAATAATGTATTGTATATTTCAAAATAACTAAGAGAGTACATTTCACATCACCACAATAAATATCAGAAATTCCACCTAAAGAACTTATCCATGTAACCAAACACCACCTGTTTCCCCAAAAACTATCGAAATAATAATAATAAATAAAATAGACCGGGCGCGGTGGCTCACGCCTGTAATCCCAGCACTTTGGGAGGCCGAGGAGGGTGGATCACGAGGTCAGGAGTTCAAGATCAGCCTGGCCAACATGGCAAAACCCCGTCTCTACCAAAAATACAAAAAAAAATTAGCCAGGCATGGTGGTGGGCACCTGTAATCCCAGCTGCTCAAGAGGCTGAGACAGGAGAATTGCTTGAACCTGGGAGGCGGAGGTTGCAGTGAGCTGAGATGGTGCCACTGCACTCCAACCTGGGCGACAAGAGCAAGGCTCCATCTCAAAAAATAATAATAATAAATAAAATAAAAAACAAATGAAAAAAATAAAGACATTCAAATTATCATTATGTCAATCAGTTTTCTAAAGTTAAATTTAGATAAATGACTGAATGCAGCAATATATTAAATGAACTTAAGTTCATATATGTTACAAAAGTGTATTACAAATAAAATAATAAAAGCCTTAAAAGTTAAGTAAGCGAAGTGATGAACATGTTAATTAGCTTTATTTAATCATTGCGCATTGTATACATATATCAAAACATCACACTGTACCCCACCTAAATGTATATAATTATGATTTATCAATTAAAAATTATAGTAACATTAGAAAGAAGAGGTTTTTCTTTTTTTATTTAACTTTTAAGTTCAAGGGTACATGTGCAGGTTTTTTATATAGGTAAACTTGTGTCATGGGGGTTTGTTGTACAGATTATTTCATCACTAAGGTATTAAACCTAGTGCCCATTAGTTATTTTCTTTATCCTCTTTCTCCTCCCTACCTCCACCCTTTGATAGGCCCCAGTGTGTATTGTTCCTCTCTATGTGTCCATGCATTCTCATCATTTAGCTCCAACTTATAAGTGAGAACATGTGGTGTTTGATTTTTTTTTTCCTGCGTTAATTTGCCAAAGATAATAGCCTCATGCTCCATCCATGTTCCTGCAAAGGACATGATCTTGTTCTTTTTTTTTTTTATGGCTACACAGTATTCCATGGCGTATATGTACCACATTTTCTTTATCCAGTCTATCATTGATGGACATTTAAGTTGATTCCATGTTTTTGCTATTATAAACAGTGCTGCAGTCAATATACACATGCATGTATCTTTATAATAGAATTATTTATATTCCTTTGAGTATATATCCAGTAATGGGATAGCTGGGTCAATGGTATTTCTACGTTTAGGTCTTTGAGGAATCACTGCACCGTCTTCCACAATGGTTGAATTAATTTACACTCCCACTGACAATATAAAAGTGTTCCTTTTTCTCTGCAACCTCACCAGCATGTTATTTTTTGACTTTTTAGTAATAGCCATTCTGACTGGTGTGAGATGGCATCTTATAGTGGTTTTGATTTACACTTCTCTAATGATCAGTGATGTTGAGTTTTTTTTTCATATAATTGTTGGCTGCATGTATGTCTTCTTTTGAAAAGTGTCTGTTCATGTACTTTGCCCACTCTTTAATGGGGTTTTTTTTTCTTGTAAATTTGTTTAAGTTCCTTATAAATACTGGATATTAGACCTTTGTCACATGAATGGTTTGCAAAAATTTTCTCCCATTCTGTAGCTTGTCTGTTTATTCTGTTGATAGTTTCTTTTGCTGTGCAGAAGCTCTTTGGTTTAATTAGATCCCATTTGTCAATTTTTGCTTTTGGCATCTTTGTCATGAAATCTTTGCCCATTCCTATGTCCAGAATGATATTGCCTAGGTTGTTTTCCAAGGTTTTTATAGCTTCAGGTTTTACATTTAAATATTTAATCCATCTTGAGTTAATTTTTTTCTTTAATTCATCTTGAGTTAATTTTGTATATTCCCAGAGTAGTGTCCTCATTGCAGGGGCAAAGAGCACACACTCCATCCTCATTCCAGCCAGTGGAAAGGAGGAAATGGAATAGGTAAACATCTTCCCTTTAAAAGTTTCTACATATTAGTCCAATTCACATGCCATTGACTTGGACTTAGTCATACGGTCATACCTCTAAGCAAATGAGGCTGGGTAGCCCTTACCAGCCGAAAAATTCCTTTAGGATGGAAGAAGAGAAAAGCAAACATGGGGGTACAACTACCCATATCTTCCACATTGTTTAACTGATATTCCTCATTTATGTTGATTCATGGTTTTTTTTTTGCTTGTAAAAGTATCTTGTTTTTTGTCATGTGTGATTCTTTGGAAAGAAAATATTAAGTTCAGGACTATTTCTATTGTATGTGTTGGTTCTTTGTGAAAGAGAGACAAAGAAATTAGCAACACAGAAAGTCATCACATCTGCTGGTTTCCACAGCTCAGTTTAGCTGTCCTCTGGTAATTTGAGGTCACTTGTGATTAGGGTCCTTGAATCTTTAGGTTTTGTCCCCTCTCCAAAGCTCCTCCTGAGTCTCAGCTTCCAGCTTCCTTGCTTCATATTCACCTTCTCCAGTGTGTCTTCAACTCTTGATGTATCTATCTTCCTCAGCTAACTTGCTGGCAACAGCCCGCCTGAAACAGACCTAAAATAGGACCATCTCCTTAGTCCTTACTTTCATCACTCTAGGCATTCCTTTTCTATTTACTATTACAGATGATCACAAACCTAGTGGCTTAAAAGAACACCAATGTATTATCTTACAGTTTTGTAAGTTAGAAGTCTGACACAGGTCTCACTGGGCTAAAATCAAGGTATATACAGGCCTGCATTTCTTCTGGATATTGTAGAAGAGAATATTTCCCTTGCCTTTTCCACCTTGTAGAGGCATCTGCATTCCTTGGTCACGAAACCTTTCTCCATCTTCAAAGCCAGCAACAGCAGGTCCTGTATTTCTCACATCACTTCACTCTGACCCCTTCCAGAGTCACATCTGCCTCTGACTTCCTCCTTCTGCCTCCTTCCACTTTTAAGGGCCGTTGTAATCACATAGGGCTGACCACATAATCCAAGACCATCTCCAAATCTTTAGATCAACTGATTAACAACTTTCATTCCATCTGCAACCTTCATTCCCCTTTGCCATGTAACATAACGTATTCACAGTTTCCAAGGAATAAGACATGGACATCTTGGAGGGGGCATTATTTTGCCTACCACAATCCCCATTTTTATTTTACTTCCATTGTGGCCAAAAGCACAGATAAAAATCTTTTCTTCTCCTCCTGGCTTTCCTCCACTCCTACTCCCAAGTCAGGTCATTATTCAGCTCAAGGACTGGTACTTGAGAACCAAGCTTCCTACCAATTGTCACCTTAATTTGTACATAATCACCTATTCAATTTTAAGTTATTCTATAAATGAATGAGTCACTGTTCAATGTGCTTAATTAAAAGACAGCGAAATGAAGAGGTGATCTTTAGCAACCTTTTTAAGCTGCCTTGTACTTGATTGCAAGTTCTAACCACTTGACTTTGGGTTTACGGCACTCTGTGCAAAGTTAGTAGCCGCTCTTAAGAAATGAAACAACCTCACTCAGAATGTTTTGTCAAACCTGGGAAACAGAAGCATTAATATCATTAATTTTGGAAGTTAAGTCTGGGGCTTCAAAGCTGTTTCTGAACAGAGGAACGAGTGAGGAGAATCAGTAAGAGAAGAATGAGAATGTCCTTGAAATGTTTTTATATTCAAGTCATTTTACTATAATTAGCCAAACTGCAAATGCATCATCATGGCCTGAAGCAGTGGGATTTAGTAGCAAGATCATGGGAAGAAAAGTAGAAGGGCTGGATTCCCACCCAGCTTTTATCACCAACTTGTAGGCACTAACCATGATGAGTTCAAGTTTTATCTTCTTCAGGATGAGGGAGGAAGGCTCTTGGCGCCAACCACCTGAGTGCTAATCAAGGCCAGGAAAGCAATTCTTGCTCCTCCTAGAGTTGAAAGTAGATATGAGAGAATGGTCTCTTGCTTGTAACTCCGTAAAAATTTACATCTGATGGGACTGAGTAATGGAATGAGTTGGCATGGATGGTTGCCAAGGCACCAGTAAGCTGTGCCCATCTGGGGGTTGGTGACACAGTCCTTACTCAACTAACAGCCACTACTCTGCCCTTGAACGGCCCCAACCTCTGCTGCACTCTGGGACCAAGTCCTCACTGTGGCCTGGGTTGCGGTTTTACACTGTACTTCCCTCTTCCTTCCTGAAAGATGAATCAGACTGACATGATTTTTGCCATTCTCTGAAGGGAACTGAGCAAATGTGGGTGTGTCTTTGTGGGTGTTTCTTTTCCCAAGAACCAGACAGTGGCATTTAAGATTAATCAATTTTATCAGATAAATATACTACATGCTTTATTTTCTTGATTAGAAAATGACAAGCCAGTGTACTGCCTATTTACATTTTACTCTGTGTGTTTTAATACTGTAACACGGAGTTTGTGAATAAATAATCTACAAATGAAATTCAGGGATAAAAAAAACCCTACAATTTTGTATGTATGCATGTGAGTATACATCTTTCTGATAAGAAGGTCTATAACATATCAGATTTTCAACAAAATCCGTGAACCAAGATAAGACCAACTAATATAGAAGAATGTTCCATTGCTAGAGAGTTAACATCAATTATTGCTGTCCACTGATGGAGGTAGCTAATATCCTTAATAATTACAATCATTTAATATCAAGCATCATGTGGTAAAAGTTCTCTTGACCAATCACTCCTTAACAGATTGGCCAGATTAAGCACTGTTCTCTGTTTCATCTGTAAAATACATTCAAGAAAAATATACTCAAGAAAAAGCCTTGGCCCTTCATCAAAGGATTGGGAGATTAATGCAAATTTATATATTTTGAGTTAAACTTAAATGTTTAAGAAATGTATGAATCATTTTTATGATTCCCAGATTGAACTAACTTTTTCCATGAGCCAAACAACCATCAATTCCCATTGAATTAATTTAGAAGAATTATCCTATGTTGGGATCCCAAATAGGATGGAAAAAATGGGTTTCAGGACCCAAAATTTTCAAGGATGTTAATAGTGTACTTTCACTGACCCAGAAAAAGAAAATGAATGGATATATTCAACCTTATAGATGATTCCATACTCAGTATCAATATGTTCTTTAGATAAGAGTTGGGCTTTTTTGACTTCAAACTATACTAAAAGGCTACAGTATCCAAAGCAGCATGGTACTGGTACAAGAACAGACATATAGACCAATGGATCAGAATAGAAAACTCAGAAATAAGACCACACACCTACAACCATCTTCAGAGAAATATGGGAGGAGGTGATATGGCTTGGCTCTGTGTCCCCACCCAAATCTCATCTCATCTCAAATTGTAATCCCCATCATGTCGAGGGAGATGGGAGGTGATTGGATCATGGGATGGTTTCTCTCATGCTGTTCTCTTGATAGTGAGGAAGTTCTCATGAGATCTGGTGGTTTAAAAGTGGCAGTTTCCCCTGTGCTTTGTCTCTCTCCCACCACCTTGTGAAGAAGGTGCCTTGCTTCTCCTTTGCCTTCTGACATGATTGTAAGTTTCCTGTGGCCTCCCCAGCCATGCAGAACTGTGAGTCAATTAAGTCTCTTTCTTTTATAAATTACCCATTCTCAGGTAGTATCATCTTCATAGCAGTGTGAAAATAAACTACTACAGGTAGAGTAAAACTGCATAGCACTTCACAGTAAATTGAGAAAATGTCCACTGTACCTACCAAAGAATAGTAGGGTGGACTGAGGGGGATAATGGTGATTATGTGGTGATTAAAGTGTCTCCAACTCCACTACCTCTCGTCCTCATTTATGTATTTATATGCTTATAAATACAGCATCACCACTGTATTTATAAAAATCACCATGACTACTGTGTAAAGAATGAACACAGGGGAGCAAAAGTAGATGCTTGATATGAGGTTTGCTGCAGTGGCACAGGTAGGAGATGATAGTGACTTGGAATTAAGGAGATAATGATGGGAATGAAGCAAAACAGACTTATTGAAGATTACTGTTTTTCTGTAAGAACATAATTGACTGTCACCAGTTCTGTGGCATCCTGGGAATTGTAGAATGCTCCTCCAAGCTGTGCTCTTGCCTCTTTTCTTTATGGTGTTTCTGAATTCAGACATGTTGTAGACACTGTCCACTCTGATCCTCTCAACTCCATTTTATTATTGTCATATGCCCATCTCCTGGCTGTGGTGTGCTTTTGGCCAACAATGGAATGCACTTGGAACTCTTTGTCACAAGACTACCCTCCAGCTACTGAAGGACTTTGCCCAAACATGTAGACAGCCAGAAGTGTCTAGGACTTCACGTCTCTCCCACCCCTACTTCTCGTTCTACCTGACCAGCTCTTAGCTAATGACTGATGAGTATGGGAATCTGAAAGCCTGGCTCCCAAGCCCTGTGTTGAGACAACTCTGAGGCATAACTTACCCTCCAAAGCTACCCTTCATGGGATTTTGCCTCAGAACTCACTTCAATTGGCTGCTTCTCTTGTGCTGTCCTACTTCCTCCACTTCCTTACTGACTTCTGGATGCATTTCCTGGAAAATTCACTTGCACACAAATCCTTATGTCAGGTATTGAGGAGCCAATCTAAGACAAAACTCTTCCCCCAGGGCTCCCTTCAGGACCAGGGCTTCTCTGACTCACAAGCACAACTCTAAAATTTTATCTGAGAGCCTGCAAAGTCTCATAAAAATGGGTGACTAGACAAACTCCAGCCTAAAAACACTTTAAAATCCAGACTTTGGATATTACGTTTAAATCCTTTACCCATTTTATTAATTACATAAGTTAGAAATTCTATAGGCTGTAAGACAAGACTTTGCCATTACTTTGTAAGTTCAGGTTTGAAAGAGTTACTTCTCTTTGAGTGTCAACTTCCTCATTTATACAATGAAGATAATAATATCTAACTTGGAGATCAAAACTAAGGTATATAAAGCTCTCACCAAAATGTTTAGAATAAGAAGGTGCTTAATAGTTGTTGATGATTGTTAGCCTTATAAAGGATGATTGGCCAGGCGTGGTGGCTCACGCCTGTAATTCCAGCACTTTGGGAGGCTGAGGCAGATGGATCACGAGGTCAGGAGATCGAGACCATCCTGGCTAACATGGTGAAACCCCGTCTCTACTAAAAATACAAAAAAGTTAGCCGGGCGTGGTGGCGAGCGCCTATAGTCCCAGCTACTCGGGAGGCTGAGGCAGGAGAATGGTGTGAACCTGGGAGGCGGAGCTTGCAGTGAGCCGATATCGCACCACTGCACTCCAGGCTGGGGACAGAGCGAGACTCCGTCTCAAAAAAAAAAAAAAAAAAAGGAGGATTAGCCTTTCTTGGGCTACTGGCCCATGGACCTCAGCCAGTCTAATATTTTTCTCTAAATTTGTAGCAAAATGAGAAAACTGAAGCCAATGCAATATGCTTTTTCCCACAACTAAAATCACTCTGTTTTTAATGTCAACATGTCTCTTCTTTTTTTAAATGGTAGTTATAATATATGGAAGTTCTATTTCTAATGACCATACTTGAAAAAATTAAAAAGTGACAACTTGATATCAGTTCTCAAATTTTCGAGATCCAAAAACCTGAGAACCAACTTTCTAAGTAAGCATTATAACCAATACAGAAAGCTGCTATTAAGTGTATACTGCTCTTTTTGAGTATTTGTTTCCAATAATTTTCTGCCATGACCTTTGTCATAGAAGGGTCACATCTGTGGCCCTGCCCCATGGGTATCACTCCCAGGGTAGCCTTTTCTCCCCTACTCAAGAAAGCCTATTATTGTGCAGTTGGTTGATGATATCATTATTATAGGCATAACCTTGATTCTGCACTGGTTTATTTTTAATAAGTTAAAAAATCCACAAACGTCACAACTTTAGCTACTATTAATAATAAATTATTTGCAGTGTGTCCTACAACCGATCACTACACACTGGAATGGCCTGAAAGGGTGATACAGAACCAAATGAAACTTGGTAGGACTTCAGATGACAACTGACTCTCTTACTCCACACAACTAACCCAGGGACAGCAGGATGAAAGCACAGTCAAAATACATTTTCTGTTTTTGCATATACAATGTATCTTTTTATAAAAAATAACAAGCATAAATATTTAAGTTAGACCATATGAAATCTCCATCCGCATTTTCATATGGCTCATCCTAACACTAATTATAAACTTGGCTGACTTTTAAAGTTTTTATAGATACAATATAGATTTAAGGAGGCCCTGCCTTACTCTTAACCTCAGCCAGATACCTTCTTAAATAAACTGCACTTAATGTCAAACACACTTATCTCGGAATGTTCACTCCAAGACTAAGTAAATGGATCTTAATCATTTTTGTAGATTCAAACAAAGCCTTCCGGGAAATATAACTGGTTCTGGGTCTTTCTTCACCCTTTAGGAACCTGCATTTTTTATGTTACTATTAATGTCACTACTAATGCCTTACCCTTAATTTGGGCATGAGATTTTGAGGCATTACTTAGCATTCCCCCAGGAGTACTAGCGTCCATTGACCTATCCCTGTTGCTTATTTTGGTGCCAACCTCTTGGGTACAAGACAGAAGATTTGAGCATGAATCCAACTTGGCCATGTTCTGACTTTATGAGGACAGACTCCTTTTCTATCACAAACTCCTTCTCAATTTAAATGTACATGTGTCTCATTCTTTCAATTTCAATCTACATTGTGTTTTCTTTTTTCATGTTGAAAGAAAAATAAACTATTACCTTTCAACATGATTGATTTTTCAAGTTATTTTTAATCATAAAAGTAGAAACCAAAAAAGCAAGAAAAATCAAGGCTTGACTGCCCATCCACGAGGTGGTATATTCAAATCATTATGTAATAAATAGGTATTTATGACTGTTATAAAAGCAGATAACCTCATGTGTTAGTTGCATACCCAGTGTTTTACACAGCATTGTAAGATTTGATCTCTCCCAGGAGTCACCAAGTCGTGCCATACCTCAGTGTCTGCAAAGTGTGGGGTTATTTTGTCCTCACTCATTTTCCTTCAGGGACTTTGGTCACAATAGCTTGCTCTCCTGTGGTTGCCCAACTTGAATCAAGTGATGCTTTCAGTCAAGTTGCTTTTTCCTTAACTGAGAAACCAAAGACAGACCGCAGTTAACAATAGTCTTAAAAATAACATCTTGGGAATAATCATCACATGGTTCTTTATTACAGGAAATGCATACCAAATGTCGCCTTGTATTTAAACCTGAAAAGTGGGCAGAGTGTAGGCAGACAATTACACCAGAGGCTATTTAAGGAGGGCAGGTTTTCCATGACTGGCAACAGTTGGCCTTAGAACTCCATCTGTTCCAGACTTAATTTTACATGTAACTATTAGCACAGGTGTCATTAGTTAATATTACAGAAGCAAATTGATTGTCATGTAACCTTTTGGATGCGAGTGGCTCATTCAAATCCCTCTAGCATGACCATACGTCCAGTACGTCCAGTGTGGGTGAGGAGCAAAAGCAAAAAACAAGCTTGCAAGGACTGTGTCTTTGAGGTTTTTTTAGTCCTTGGAACCAGGGACATGAATTTAATTTCAAGGCCCCTGAAATACAGAGGCCCTTTTACAATTCTCACCACTTCCCTGGAAATCTCACTAGCCAAATGCTGCAGGGACATCACAGCCAGCTATATAATCTGAAGGCCCGGTGCAAAATGAAAATGCAGGTCCTCTTGTTCAAAAAACAGGAAAAAAAGTTGCCATTAAAGGCATAAATACATAAAGCTTTTTCTTTTCTTCTGAGGTTTCTCTCTTGAATTGTCATGGTATTTCTCATTTGCTTTTTAATGTCGTTCTAAGTAAAGAAAAATTAAAATTTTAAATTATTAGCATAAATTTACCATTCATCTTATATTACACGATGCCAGTTATAAATGCAAATATAAGAGCATTTGACCCATATGTGGAAACATCAGAAATTACACAATTTGGATATCATCATTCATACATTTATGTGTATTTTATTCTTACCAAAGGAGTGGAAATGCTGCACAAAACTAATTCAACTGTTTTTATTTCATTTATTCATATGCACACATTCCATCAACACTCAGTCTTTGGCTTCCTGAGAAGTAAGGAAGAGGTAAAAGGAAAAGGAATGTGTTGCTCTGTCATTCTCTTTCCTTCTATTGCACCATTTTCAGTGGTTGGCTAACATGTGGAAGTAACACAACTAAGAAAGAATATGATGGGGTTCCTTGGTCCTCCATGTTTCTTAGAACGGCATTGCCTTAGTTCTGAAATCGAAGCAAGTTCCAGTTCAAATGGAAAGTGTGGCTTCTCAGGGCTGCCAGCTCCCCTGCCTACTCAGGTGTAGCTGTAACACCCTTTGAGTGAGTCTCTGTGAATTCACACACACAATGGTTCCACTGAAATTCTGTGTTCAGAGGCATTGCAAACTCTATATGCCAATGAGGCAGCCAGGAACAGCACACACATATATCATTCGCGTCTCCACTACCCATGTTCATGCTCCATTGTCCAACCAGCCCTCGCTAACAAAATGTAAGTTCAAAAGTAAAATTATTAAGAATTTCAAGAAAATGACAGCAGGACATAAAACCAAAGTGCAGGGCCCTTCTGAGGGTGGACCCCTGTATGACTACACAGATCTCACACCCTTGAAGCCAGCCTTGGGAGATATATCTCTTTACACTTCAACATTTATTAAGCATCACGTATGTGTGAAAAGTGAATGAGACAGAGTATGAGACTCGTGCCATCCTTCAAGTCTCTTGGGGGCTGTTTGGGTGATTGCTATGTCGATGTTTCCAATAGGAGTGCTATCGGCTTAGCTCCTGAGATGATGCCTAAAGTTGCAAGAGAATATCGATAGCACTCTTGGGGTATGATTTATACCCAAAATTGCATTCCCTTGAGGTAAACAGGTGAAAATACAAGATTTCTGAAGCTGAGACTTAACACTAACTTATGAGCTCAACTTGGCATTCAGAATATATTACCCAGGAGACTTATTACAGACATACATGCTACAGACAGAACAAGGTGACCAGACACAGCTCTTAGCAGCTTGCCTAAACAGCAACCTAGTGAGCCTCAGTGGTAGATTTGTTGAACCTGAAGTAGTGGCAGAAACTAATTATATTTCTAAATTTTATTTTACTTTTAATTGTGATAAAAACACATACAATTCATCATCCTAACCATTTTAAGCATACAGTTCAGTAGTGTTAAGTATATTCACATTGTTGTTATGTAACCAATCTCCAGAACTTTCTCTTCTTGCAAAACTGAAGCTCTGTACTCATTAAACAGCTCTCATTTTCCCCTCCCTCCAGCCCCTGGCAACCACCATTTTACTTTCTGTTTCTAAGAGTTTAACTAATTTAGATACCTCATATAAGTGGAATCATGCAGCGTTTTTCTCATTGTGACTGGCTTTTCGCACTTAGCATAATGTCCTCAAGGTGCATCCATGTTGTTGCGTATGTCAGAGCTTCCTCCCTTTTTAAGGCTGAATAATATTCCATTGCATGTATATACCACATTTTGTTGGAAAGCACTTGGGTTGCTTCCACCTTTTGGCTATTGTGAATAATGCTGTTACAAACATGGGTGTGCAAATATCTCTTAGAGACTCTGCTTTCAATCATGTTGGATATATATCCAGAAGTGGGATATCTAGAGAAAACAATGATTTTAAATCACATTGATCCACGTTGGGAGATAAAATGATGTTTGGAATTGTCAGGAGACTATCTTGGGAGTCTGAGAGGTAAAAGAAGTAAAGTGGAGGCACTAAGTTTGAAACAGTTCAAGTGTCTCCCATGCAGTTGTTCAACGATATGACCTTCTGAACTGGAGAGACAAAATTGCTGACCAAAATAAGTATAGAGACAAATACTCTAACCCAAAACTTCAGTTTGGAATCAAGTACAGCTAAAATAAGTACACTGAAGACATGTAGAAGAAATACTCACTGGCCATCCAATTGTTCTTGGATAGATAAAACTGTTAAGACACTGTTTATGGGTTTGCAACTCAGCACTTGGAGCAATGCAAAAGAACCCTCTGTGGCAAGATAGCAATCTGCAGACAAAAAACAATGTCCCCAGTGAGATATTATAAAAATGCCCTAAAGTAACCCCACTGAGAATACGTCAGTGTTCAACACTTAGTCAACACCCTAGCAGGCTTCACCGATGGATTTTAAAATTATAGAACTTTCAAGTTTATTAGGATGTTAGAGATTATTTAGTCCAACTCTTCCAAGTATAAAAGGAGGAAACCAAGACCCAGAAAGGTTAAGAGACTCTCCCAGGACCACAAAGCTAGCTGATGACAAAGGCAGGGTTGAATTTCTCAGTTCTAATGGTGACTCAGTTAATATCCTCAAGGCCACCCTTATAGCAGCAACAGTATAAATAAAATAGTTCAAGCCTGAAAAGACAAAAGCTTCTGGAGTATTTCTGTAGCATAGCCAGGCTGCCATTGATGCTGTCCACATGCACCTTCCCAATTCAAGGATTTAACTGATGCTTTTTCAAGACACATTATGATGTTTGATGGTTGCAAACAATCAGCATCGTGAAGGCAATAGTCAGTGCCCCGAATGTATACACAGACTTCTCTCCACTCTTTTGGGTTAACTGAAGACATTAAGACCTCAGAAAACTCTTGTTAAAATGGAAATCTATTCCCTAAAAGAGATTATACACGTATCCATTATGGACATTCACATGCTAGCAGTGATTCATTGATCAAATTAGTTGTCACTTTGCCAAACAAGATACCTCCTGGAATTGAGGGAATGGAACTCAGGTCCCACTTATTTTTGTTGAGTGTACAAAGAGGTTGGGTAGAGAAAGCCTAGCTGAGCTGGGGGTGCAAGTGTGGGGGGTCTGTTTGGGGGCTCTGAGGAAGATGTAAGCTTTAGATAGGGAATAAACACCAAAAAGAAGGTATAAACGGGTCAAAAAAATTCACTTACCTAACAATTTTACCATGAAGAGCTACTAGGAATGCTATAGTTGGAAGATAAATGTCCATGTGACCCATGTTATGTGCAATATAAAATAATTTTTGATTATCCAACAACCTCTAAGACAAAAAAGGTGGATCTGCAATGTGGAACTTTAAAAACTTGGATTCCAAACTGTTCATACACCCTGCAGTAATATTCCTACTTGACAGAGAATAGACTAAACTTGGCTAAGATAGCAGCCATGTTGCTATAAAAGGAAGGGAAGAAAAAATGTTATGGAAAAAACCTCTGATATTCCACCAATGATGGAGTCACCCAGTTTGAGGGAACTGTGTCCCCTCTGTCACTAGACAATTGAGACAGATAGATAATGCAAATAGACCCTTTGGAAACTGACTGAGATTAAGGCAGAGTGAATATTTATTTTCTTTACCTTATCTTTATTTTTCCTATATTCATGTGCTGCATGTTGATTCAGCCATTAGAGACCGTGAAGGTTCAGATAAGCTCAGGGAAACCCCACAGGAGTGGTGGCTGTTTTCCATTCTCTCTTTGGTGCATGTATTTGTTTTGCAGCCAGCCATGCTGGGTGGCTGGTTCCCTGGACCCAATTCCTGATACCCAGGAAATTCCAGAGATGCCAGGATCTTTGGGGTCCGTCACAGAGAACTCACACCACACCTGATCTTTGCATGAGGAATTTGTTCCAGACAATTCTGAGGGTATTTGGGAATGGCAAATTCGTTCTCTGGGAGGTCCCAAAGGACTTACTCGTCAGAGAGATGTAGCACTCACAAGAAATTCTGAATAAGAAAACCATGACTAAAATGTTCACAAGAGCAGAGATTCCTGGGCAAGCCACTATTCCCTCATTGCCTTATAGAACTTCTGCTACTCCCTGGTTAACCCCGTATCCCTTTCCTGCTCTCCTACCAATCATTAACATGCCATTCTGAGCACAATTCTAAGCATTTTACATATATTATCTCGTTTCTTTCCACTGTAACCTTGCTAGATAAGTGCTATTATCATTCCCCTTTCACAGATGAGAAAAGTGAGATTCAGAGAAGGAAAATGAATCAGCCCAGGTCACAGAATGAGTGAGGAGTAGGACTCAGACCCAGCCTTGTGGAACTACAAAGTACATGGTCTTTACACAACCTGTTTTTCCTCCTTGGTATCTGGGTTTCTCTGGGAAATGAGGAGGCTCCTTATTTCTCTGTTCCATACCCCATTTCCCCAGCCCTTCACTTTGGAGCCTCAGGACTGAGCCCAGCCTAAGAAGGTTTGGGCTTTGAGGAAAGAATCCCTTGACTTCTGCTTACTAAAAGCTGCCAAAGGTCAACAAGGCCCAGATCCTTCCACGGGTAGTGCCCTGCTCTGGGCTCAAGCCACCTAGTCTGGCTGCCTGCCAAAGACTTTCCATCCCCAAGGGGAGACTGCCCAGGAGAGATGGCCATCTGGGAACAACCTTCCTGATGTTCCTTTGGCTACGCATTTTGCTGATTTCCTTAAGTGTGTTTTCTTATGGGGTTACTGTTTCTTTTCTGGCTTGGTTTGTGATTTGACTTCACTTCTGTTTATTTCTTATTATTTGGCCCAACACACTTGTTTTCATTTGACTTTTTTCTTCTCAGACTTCTGGCATACATGACCTGTGGCTCATTTTGCCATACGATATGCCACCCTGTCTGTGTATTTTGTCTGAAGTTCTTGGAAGCCAAAACTTAAACATCATGAAAATAGGATCGGGGAGGGGGGAATTATTCAAGCTTTTTGACTTAGGCAAAGATCATCTTGTGAATGAAATACATAGCTGCTATTGAGATCATGTTACCTCAGTGGTTCAGTACTTTCATAATGGATGAAAGTTGCCATTAGAAATGTAGCATCAACCACTTTAAAAAGAAATTAAAAAGTGAAGTGTTTCTGACCCTTTTTCTTTGGAGATCCAGGGATGCAGCAGACAAGGCTGGGTGATCACCAGCTCAGAACCCTGGGGAAAAGGAGAGACTTAACTCTCAGGCCTGAAATCTAGAGCATGGACCAGCTAGGATGGGGTAGGAGAAAGTGTAACAAGGCAGGGTGGACTCAGTCATTTCCCATAGAAGGTCATCATCACACTGAATATGGCATATTATATGTATGTGCTCAACTCCTAATCCAAGGTAATGTTCCAAAAATTTTTTTAAACCAAGCTAGTTTGTAGTCTGCCTGGACCTAATTATTTTCCTCACACATCCAAGAATGTGTTTGGAAGACTTGTAGCAGAAAAGATGAGATACTAAATAATGATACAATAGACTTGAGTTTTAGTTCTACTGAGAAAGAAAAGAAAAGGCCTAAATAATAAGCATCCTGGATTAAAGTGGGAAATATTTTCCAACGATCACAAAATACACAGAGGAGAAGGCCAAGTCGAGTAGATTCCAAACGTAACTAAATGCAGAGGACAGTGAAGAGCTTTATAATGAGGCTGTACTGTTCTTGAATTTATTTAGAAGTCTTAACAGTTTGCTATGTGCTAAGGTTTTAGAATCAGTGAGGTCTGAGTTCAAGTCCTAGCTGTGCAGCTTACTAGCTGAATGATGTGGAGCATTCAGTTACTTTGTCTGTAAAATGAAAATAATAATGTGTATTATTTAGGGTTGCTGTGAAGTTCAACCGAGATAATGCATATAAAGTACTTAGTACAATGCTGACATACAACTTTTCAATAAGTGGTTATTCTTCTGTGTTATTCTACCACGGCATGTATTTCCTGTTAGCATTTGTTGAGAGCCTCATGCACACAGCCTAGCACCCTATGAAATCACAAATATTGTTTCATGTATACTTACAGTAAACATTGGAGAAGAGTTGCCTTATTGTTTACCTAATTCTATCTTTATAGAAATTGAAGTGAAGGCTGTCTTGACCAAAAGCATATGGGAAAGCAAGGGGCAAGAATCAAAGCTAAAACTGAAAGCTCTAGCAGCTCCTCTCCAACCTCTTTCTCTAGTATCTCCACTACCCCCAGAAGCATAGTGAAGAGGACCTAATACAGGCCCAGAGGGCCCAGGAAGGCTTCCCAGAGGAGATGCTAAGATCTGAGATTGTAAACTAGATGTGGAAAGAGGAGAAGGAATAGAGAGAACTTTAGATCTGGAAGACAAAGAAAAGCAGAACCCCACACGGGGGTTTCCCCTCTTTCCTCTAACTTCTTTCCCAAAGAATGTTTACGTCCAGGGATTTGTTGCAAAGTCCCCACAATCACTTCAGTTGGAGAAGTGGGTCTCAATGGGCATGTGTACATGCAACCTTCAGGGACTCAAGAATGCACCGACAACAAAATAAGTCCATCCATACCAGTCACTTGCATCAATACATAATAGATGTTTGTATGTTTAGAGAGATCGTAGAACAAAAAGTGTTCTATATCATTAACAACTGCACTTTGGAGTACCAAAATAAACAACATGCTGAAATGCATAGTAGTGCTCAATTTTGCTAGGTATAACAATATAAAAAATTCTATATAAAAATAAAAAATAAAAAATTCTGAGAATGTAGGAGCCAAGGTCAACTTGGAACTTAATTATAGGTTCAGGTTCTTGCAAACCACCAGCTCTGCTGTGCTCTTTTCTGAGGCAGGAAGGAGAAGGGATTGCCTCTTGTGGTTAAAGTCATTGCTATGGTGGATCTTCAATGTGTTTGTGGGCCCATCGCCTCTTCCCTCTTTTTCTGGTAATAGCATGTTTCTTCCTTGGGAGGCCGCTCCTCCCTAACTTCATCCATGTGATTTCAGGGAGCTGCCCTTAATGCTATCCCACCCACCTGATCAGAGATGAGAGCATGTAACTGAAGCCTGGACTTCCATAGTGCCACTTTCCTGTGAAAAGTGATTACTCAAGGGATGGGTGTGAGCTCCTAGCCAGGCTAATCAGTCATTTCCCTGGGCTTTTCTAAATAGAGCTGACAGGGAAGAGCTCTCTTTCCTTTTCTGGCCCCAAGACTGTGAGGACATAAGCCTAAAACATTTACACCAAGCTACCATCAGATGGAAAAAGCTCGTCTGTAGTAGGAGATGAGTCATGGTCCTGCTGGAGTTGAAATCCTTGGTTCTAGGGTGTTCCTGGGGCCAGCTCCCCTCCTGTGTTTCCCAGGCACAAGTTGTGTTTCTGTTATTTGCAGCTAGGAGTCTTAGATAATATGGAGAGAAAACTCAGCCAGATACATTCAGGACAAAACAACTGATAAAACTAAAGGGGTAATAGAAGTCATCTATCCATTAGAGAACCTTTTAGAGGAGGGATTGTAGGGACTATGAATCAAGCAATGAAAACAAAAAGGATTGGGGGTAGATTAGAGCAACCTTGACTGCCATGCTATCTACATTTCCTAGACTTCAGAGTGGAGCTGAGCTTCTTAACAAAACAACAAATTTGGACGTTTCGTCTCTGCACTGTACACATACTCGCATATTTTGTATAGTATTTCAGGAGGGTCACGAACCCCTTGAAGCTAATTAGGAACTGTCTTCTAAAGGCTATATGATGAAACTAGTGCTAATGATGATGCTAGTGATTCAAATTTCCACTTAGCCTCTTGCTAGCTGTGTGTTGTTGTTTAACCTCTCCAAGTCATAGATACTTTATTTATAATACTGAAATAATACAAAACATTGAATGTAACAGGAAAGTTCAGTATATTAAATTAGATCATATTATGTAAAGCACCTGGTACAGGGGTGGCTCACGGTTGCTACTCAATAAATGCAGCCATCATCATCATCACCATCATCATTATCATCATCAGGTTAGGCATTGGGATGCTTAAGGATTGATTCACTGAAGATACACAGATATCAAGTATTTAACTTTCACAATCAACTTTATATTTAATCTTGAAAGCGTCATTGTATTATAATTGTGTTTCATTGCATAAATACAGGAGCCCTCTGGTGGTCAAAACCACTTGTAGCATACATGGAAAACACTTTTTTTTTTTTTTTTTTTTTTTTTTTTTGTGACGGAGTTTCGCTCTGTCACCCAGGCTGGAGTGCAGTGGCACGATCTCGGCTCACTGCAAGCTCCGCCTCCCGGGTTCATGCCATTCTCCTGCCTCAGCCTCCTGAGTAGCTGGGACTACAGGTGCCCACTACCACGCCTGGCTATTTTTTTGTATTTTTAGTAGAGATGGGGTTTCACTGTGTTAGCCAGGATGGTCTCGATCTCCTGACCTCGTGATCTGCCCACCTTGGCCTGGAAAACACTATATTTATTTAAGTATAAAAAGGACTCACATAAGAATATTTTTATCTATATCCCATACAATAAATAAGAAGTAATAGGTGTATATATCATATCATGGGCTGAATTATGTCCCCCCCAAAATTCATATGTTAACATCTTAACCCCTAGTCCTTCAAAAAGTGACTGTATTTGGAGATAGGTTCTTGAAAAGGGTAATTAAGTTAAAATAAGGTCATTAGGGTGGTGCTTAATCCAGTAGAACTGTTATGAGAAGATTTAGACATAGATATGCACAGAGGAATGACCCTATGGGAACACAAGGAGAAAGTAGCCATCTTCAAGCCAAGGACAGAGACCTTAGGAGAAAACAACCCTGTCAATAATTTGATCTCAGACTTCCAGCCTCCAGAACTGCGGAAGAATAGATTTCTGTTGTTTAAGCCACCTAGTCTGTTATGCTTTATGGCAGCCCTAGCAGACCAAAACATATGAATGGAGGTCCCAATCAATAGATAACATCAATTTTCCGTTTAGTGTAAGTTGTGCCAACAGATGTAACCTGTTGTCTTCTCTGAGGTCCATTTGGATATAACCTGGGATGACATATCCCATAAAGCATGGTTCTAATGAGGTTAGGGCCAAGGAGTTCTTTCTGGGTACAGGTCACATGAGATTTACCTTGTTTCATGGTCAAACAGCAATCATTGAAAATAAAACCAAGAAGACCTATCTGAATACAGTATATGGCTAGGTACAGTCCAAAACCATCAATCAAAAATAATAGAAGCAACATGTTCATTGACAAGGTCTAACACACGTAACAGAATTTATATATCCTATATAATTTGTAATAGAATTTGCATAATTTGCTGTAGTTTTTGCTTAAATTTTTTTCCAAACTTCACAGGAACCCCTTATGATTGCTATTTTTCTTTTTTCTACTCTTAAAGATGATGAAGTGAAAAGTCAGAGAAGGTCAGGAAAGAAAGTTGCAGAGGTACAGTTCAAACCTTTTTGACTCCGTATCCCATGCTCCTTTTACTACTTCCTGCTGCCTCGTCACATTCACATTTTACATGAACCTCAATTGCTGAAACCTTCTCAAAGCATCAGTATCAAATATGAGATTTTTTTCACGGAGAGAGTGGCAGCCAATTGTCCTACAAGCTTGTGTTTATGAACTGAACACATGAAAAAAGTAGGTGGATATGAGATCTCCTGTCCAGAGTGTCAAAATGATTGGAAAGGTACAGATCTGAGAAGGAAGAATCTTTTCATCCTTATAATTTTATGTTATCCTGTGCAGTAACTATTTAATGAGAGTCGGTGTGATCTCTCTGTGTTGACAGAAGTATACTTTTGTTATAGTAGAGAGTCCTACATTGCCTTTTCTTAGCTTGAAGGTAATCCCTTGAATAACTGACCCTTGGTTGCATTTTAATGCTGACCATCTAAGAGTGTAAATAAGAATTCATGAGAAAATTATTTAACTAGTAGAATTCTGTACTAGTAAAGCGCTGTCAACATCAGATAATTAAATTGAAACATACAAAATTGTTGCATTAAATGCAGTAAGGTTTGATTGATTGGGAGTACATTAATGCATGATGATTTAATTTAGCTGATGTTAAATTTAATTTAGCTGACGTTTACCTCTGCACTTTCTCTGAAGAAAGAATGTGCTAAGAAAATTACTACAGCGTGAAGCAGCGGCCGCCATTCCAGGGAGCTTGCCAACGCCGTCGCAGGGGTGGATCCTGAGCTGCCGAAGCTGCCGTCCTGCTGTTTCCGCGTGGGTTTCTCTTTTCTTTTTCTTTTTTTCTTTTTTTTTTTTTTTTTTTTTTTTGAGACAGAGTCTTACTCTGTGACCCAGGCTGGAGTGCAATGGCGCTATCTCGGCTCACTGTAACTTCTGCCTCCTGGGTTCCAGCAATTCTCCTGCCTCAACCTCCCGAGTAGCTGGGATAACAGGCGCCTACCACCACCCCCGGCTAATTTTTTCATTTTTTAGTAGAGACGGGGTTTCACCATATTGGCCAGGCTGGTCTCGAACTCCTGACCTCGTGATTCGCCCGCCCTGGCCTCCCAAAGTGCTGGGATTACAGGCTTGAGCCACCAGCCACCGCGCCCGGCCCCGCGTGGGCTTCTCTAATTCCATTGTTGTTTTGAGATTCGCTTGGGCCTAGCTGTCATCGCAGCCCTACATTCGGGCTGGGCGGTCCCGCGGCCTGGGCGTAGGGGCGTAACAGTAGCAACAGCAGCGGCGGTGGCAGCAGCCGCAGTCTCTTCCCAAACACGAGCACCACAGGCGCCCGAAAGCCGACAGAGGCGTTTAGAGAAAATGGCAGACGATATTAATATTGAAGCAATGCTTGAGGCTCCTTACAAGTAGGATGAGAACAAGTTGAGCAGGGCCAACGGCCATGAAGAACGTAGCAAAAAAAGGAAAAAAAGCAAGAGCAGAAGTCGTAGTCGTGAACGAAAGAGAAGCAAAAGTAAGGAACGGAAGCAAAGTACAGATCGAGAAAGGAAAAAGAGCAAAAGCCGTGAAAGGAAGCGAAGTCGAAGCAGAGAGGCGACGGAGCCGCTCAAGAAGTCGAGATTGAAGATTTAGAGGCCGCTACAGAAGTCCTTACTGCGGACCAAAATTTAACAGTGCCATCTGAGGAAAGACTGGATTGCCTTATAGTATCAAATTAAGCATAGGACGTTCCCGAAGCAAAAGTCCACTCAGAAAAGACAAGAGCCCTGTGAGGGAACCTATTGATAATCTAACTCCTGAGGAAAGAGATGCAAGGACAGTCTTCTGTATGCAGCTGGCGGCAGGAATTCGACCAAAGGATTTGGAAGAGTTTTTCTCTACAGTAGGAAAGGCTCGAGGCGTGAGGATGATTTCCGATAGAAATTCAAGACATTCCAAAGGAATTGCTTACGTGGAGTTCGTGGGTGTTAGTTCAGTGCCTCTAACAATAGGATTAACTGGCCAACGAGTTTTAGGAGTGCCAATCATAGTACAGGCATCACAGGCAGAAAAAAACAGAGCTGCAGCCATGGCAAACAATGTACAAAAGGGAAGTGCTGGACCTAAGAGGCTTTAGGTGGACTCATTACACTTTTAACATAACTGAAGATACGCTTCGTGGGTTCTTTGAGCCTTTCGGAAGGATTGAAAGTATCCAGCTGACGATAGACAGTGAAACTGGTCGATCCAAGGGATATGGATTTATTACATTTTCTGATTCAGAATGTGCCAAAAAGTCTTTGGAACAATTTAATGGATTTGAACTAGCAGGGAGGCCAATGAAAGTTGGTCATGTTATTGAACGTGCTGATGCTTCGAGTACTAGTTCATTTTTGGACAGTGATGAACTGGAAAGGACTAGAATTGATTTGGGAACAACTGGTCGTCTTCAGTTAGTGGCAAGACTTGCAGAGGATACAGGTTTGCAGATTCCACCAGCAGCACAGCAAGCTCTACAAATGAGTGGCTCTTTGGCATTTGGTGCTGTGGCAGAATTTTCTTTTGTTATGGATTTGCAAACAAGACTTTCCCAGCAGACTGAAGCTTCAGCTTTAGCTGCAGCTGCTTCTGTTCAGCCACTTGCAACACAGTGTTTCCAACTCTCTAACATGTTTAACCCTCAAACAGAAGAAGTTGGATGGGATACAGAGATTAAGGACGATGTGATTGAGGAATGTAATAAACATGGAGGAATTATTCATATTTATGTTGACAAAAATTCAGCTCAGGGCAATGTCTATGTGAAGTGCTCATCAATTGCTGCAGCTATTGCTGCTGTCAATGCATTGCATGGCAGGTGGTTTGCTGGTAAAATGATAACAGCAGCATATGTACCTCTTCCAACTTACCACAACCTGTTTCCTGATTCTATGACAGCAACACAACTACTGGTTCCAAGTAGACGATGAAGGAAGATATAGTCCCTTATGTATATAGCTTTTCTTCTTTCTTGAGAATTCATCTTGAGTTATCTTTTATTTAGATAAAAATAAAGAGGCAAGGATCTACTGTCATTTGTATACAATTCCCGTTACCTTGAAAAAATAAAAATGTTAACTGGAATGCAGTGTGCTCATTCTCCCTAAAGAGCAAATCTCACTGTATACAAAACTGTTCTCTTGTTCTGCCTTTTAAAATGTTCGTGTAAAAAAATTAATGAACTATAGGAATAGCTCTAGGAGAACAAATGTGCTTTCTGTAAAAAGGCAGACCAGGATGTAATGTTTTTAATGTTTCAGAAGCCTAACTTTTTACACAGCAGTTACATTTCACATTTCACCAATGTTGATATTTGGCTAATGGTTGAGCAGGTTTCTGAAATACACATTTAGTGTATGGGAATACAAGACAGCTAAAGGGCTGTTTGGTTAGCATCTCATCTTGCATTCTGATCAATTGGCAAGAAAGGGGGATTTCAAAATTATAATATTTCTTGATGCTATCTTTTCAATTAATTTATCTGTAAAAGTTTCTTTGTAAATACTATGCGTTCTGGTGTGTCTTAAAATTCCAAACAAAATGATCCCTGCATTTCCTGAAGATGTTCAGTGAGAGTCTGGTAAGCAAAGCAGTCTGAGAAAGAAATAGGAAATGCAGAAATAGGTTTTGTCTGGTTGCATATAATCTTTGCTCTTTTTAAGCTCTGTAAGCTCTGAAGTATATTTTTGGGTTACTTCAGTGTGTTTGACAAGACAGCTTGATATTTCTATCAAATAAATGACTTTCATATTGCAACAATCTTTGTAAGAACCACTCAAATAAAAGTCTCTGAAAAAGGCAAAAAAAAAAGAAAAGAAAAGAAAAGAAAAGAAAATTACTATAGCATAAACAAGAATGGGTGAAGGTATTTCATCTTGAGTAAGCCAAAATAATTGTTTTAAGAAACCTTGGCACATTCATTGTAAACCAATCATATCCGACCCATTATGTGGGTATGGAGTGGCTATGTGCCCAGTCTGTTGAATCAATCAGTGAATAAATGAATACAAAGCATGCAGATTTCCTACCCCCCTTGAAGAAGGCCCACAATTGTGTGTCTGCCCACCAAAATGGTGGTTCTCAATGTGGTCCTCAGACCAGCAGCATCTGGGAGCTTGTTAGAAATGCTAATTCTCAGGCCGCAGCTCAGACCTACGGACTCAAACACTCTGGTGGTGGGGCTCAGCCGTCCCTGTTTTAATAAGCCCTCCAGGGGATTCTGATGCATGCTTAAGTGTGAGAACACTGCACAAGAAAACGGCTGTTTGTTAGATGCCTCAGTGTTCTTAATTACACTCCAAAGAAAGAATTGTCGTTCTTTTTGAGTATTCTGTTCTTGAACTCTTTCACTGTTTCATAGAAGCATCTCCCCAATGAATTCAGGGATATGAACCACAACTTAGTGTTTGTTTTTAGTGATTCCAAGAGGTCAAACTGATGCCCATTGTCCTGACAGAGGAATGAAGTCTTAGCTGCTGGGCCTGGCAGGCCTCCTGCTGGTTGAGGAGAATGGAAATTGACCAGGATGTGGAGCTCTCAAATGGTTGCAATAACTTCCAAATCTATTTTTTTCTTTCTCTTATTTAGGTTGTGTTGCAAATGAAATCCAATCCATATTTTCCCTAATTTACATTTAAAATGGTTCAAATGTTATGTTGATAGGAGATGAGTGAGTCCCCAAGAGACCTTATGAACCTACGAAAACTTAATCTTCAAAACAGGAAGTTGCACTTTACCCAGTGCAAACAAAGTTTAGCACGAAAAGGCCTGATTTGTATTTAACTTTCTTAGCCCAAAAATTTGGAATATATTTTAATTTTCAAAACACATTCTCTCCCATTCTCCCTACCATCATCAATCACATCTGCTGCCTTTCCTTCTCATATAAACTAAGTTGTGAGAGCTCTAACCTTATTTTCATAATCATATGCTTGTCTTTTATGGTTAAGGGATCATGAAACCCTGGAAATATACTAGTTACTTCTAAGATTAATTCAGTTCAACAACCATTTATTGTTGCCTGCACCAGGAAATAGGACTGGCCTGTGGTGAGAAAGGAGATTTAAAAAAAAAAAAATCAGAAATGAGTTGATCTTAGCTGAGAAATGACTATTTGGTGCACTAAATATATGTTTGATCATCATTTGCCCCGATTGCTTGAGAATAAGACATAGCCTCTATATTAGATCTCTGAAATTTTTTTGGAGATTCTGAAGAGAATCTCCATATTAGGGAACAAGCAATTTAATTAGTGGCTAGAGGAGGAGGAGGAAAGAGAGAGAACTGTGGCAACCTGCCTAGGCCAGGACAGGATACAGTCAAGCTGTCTTGTACCCAACTCCTCTATGTTCCCATGGTACTTTGTACATACTCCCATCTAGCACTCCCCCTCAAGGCAACTAACGCTTTACACATCTATTTCTCTTAATAGGACCATGAGCCTTTTGAAGGCAGGGGCTGCTTTTTTTTCTCAAGGAATTTGTGTTGAGTTGCCCCTGCTGTTTGATACCATGTGCATACTTCAACTGGTTCTCTTAGGCTCTTTGCAACTTGAGGCCTCATGGAGGATTACAGAGATATTATCACTTTGGCCTTACACCCAGGAGAAGAGGTTCCCAGCCAGTGTAGGGCAGACCCTTTTTAATTTTAAAATGCCACAGTTTAGGAATTTTTTTTCCTTTATGGGAGCAGATGGCCAGTAACTAGGTGCGGAGGAAGAAGAGCCCTGAGGAAATACGGTGAAAATAGGGAAGACAGAGAGATGAACCTCCCTCACCCCCACCTCCATCCCCACTCCATTCAGTGCCTCATCCCCAGCCAGCGTGTCAGTGTGCAAGTTATTATTGCTGCATAGCAAATCACCCCAAAATTCTGGCTTTAAAAAAGCAGCAGTCACTGTATTATCTTTCCAAGCTTTTGCAAGTCAGGAATTTAGGAAGGGCTCTATTGGGGTGGTTCTGGCATAAAATTTCTTGCTGCAGTTGCAGTCAGGTAGTAACTAGAGCTGGAATAGGTGGGGGACTGGAGCAACCAGGACCTGGATGGGCATCTTTCTTACTCTTCATGAAGTCACAGGGCCTCTCCACATAGTCCCTCCATGTGGGACTTCCTAAAAGCATGGAGACTAGACTGTTTACAGGGAGACCCAGGATGCCAAGCATTAGTGTTACAGTGAGCAAGGTGGAAAGTTGAGTGGCTTTTTATGAACTAACCTCAGAAGTCTCATTGTGTGACTTCTGTCATAGTTTATCGGTTGAATAGTGCCACAAAGCCCACCCAGTTTCACAGAGAGGGGACATGGCCACCCCTCCATGATGGAAGGAGTGTCAAAACCACATTGTAGAAGAGTGCGTGAGATGGGAGATACTGTTTCAGACATCTTTGGGGAATATATGGTTTGCCATGGCCAGGAAGAGAGCTAATAGCTGTAACGTCTTTTTCCTTCCCACCAAAATGGTTTCCTTAACCCTCTTCTCTCCCCACCAACACACATACACACCCTGCACTTTTTATTCCAGTTACATTTTTGTTTTTGTTTTACACTGAAGGAATCTGGCATAACATTAATGTTAAGAAGCCTTAAGGTTTCTGTCTAAGGAATGTGAATTTAGGTTTCATAAAACTTAAAAATATCATAGGTTTGAGTGTTCACATAGATTCCCAAGTAATTTTCCCAGGAAATACTATTTCAAGTCCTGTTAGTGGGGAAAAAGGTAGATGAAAATCAATGTTGATGGGTAGTATTGTACAAAAAAATGTGTGCTTTGGGTTATATTACCACAGAGGTAGTTTCCTGTGGAAACTTTTTCCCCCTAAAAAAGGTTTGACTGTTCAACAGTGAAACCTGTTCACATACATTCCCAAGTAATTTTCCCTGGAAATACTATTTCAAGTAATACATACCTCCCAAATAAACCTGTTTACCACCAGTCATTTAATGATGGTAAAGCTCAATTTTAAAATATTTTGAGAAACAAGACAAAACTTGGGTGGGGAAATCTAATTCTCTGTTACCCAAAGAAAAGTTAATTAATTCGTATTAACATTTGAAAAGACAAGATTAAAGTTTGTATCTTTTCCAAAGGTAATTTGTAGCATGTTCAATAGTAGCTGGCGTATACTGGCAAAAAAAAAAAAAAAAAAAAAAATCACTAATAAATTCATTCACAAATTGTAGATGATTTTCTTTTTCTAGAAATTTTAGCTTTTTAAATAAAGAACTGCCAGATTTTTAAGTTTCACTGAAAGTATCTAAAGCAAGCAGCAAGTAGCTATTGAGCTTGGTGAGATAATGACTATTTTCTTTAATTACCTTCCTACCAAATGTTGTGCTATTTAATATATTCTACACATAAATCATTCCAAAGACAAGATTCAAGCCATCACAGATTTACATTTCACAAAGAAATATAAATTACCCTTGTCTCTATTTTCCACATTGATGATCTGTGTAATGAGCTGAAGAGGTAAGACTCAGGAAACCATCTTCATTAACAGTAAACTAAGAACAATTAATAACATTTTTTAAAAGAAGGAGGAGAAGCCATTACCCGGGGCTCAATAATTGAATTGTGTAAACTTGCTGAAGCTTTACTCTAACTATAAATGTATTTGCAAGTAATTATCACCCACAGCATAAATAACTTTATAATATTCTACCTGAGTCAACATTAGTCAGATTTGCAAAACACAAAGGAAAATAAGCAATTAGTTGATTCCTTATCCAAGAAAAGCATATTACTTAGTTACAGATAAGTCCAAAATTCCCAGGGGAACGAGTGGGCAGAGACTGGTTCTGTACAGCCTATGACACAACTTCAGATGTGGCAAGCAGGTCCCCCGTTGACAGGAAAGCCACCTTCTGATAAACTGCAGCCCAAGCTTCCTTTACTTTTCTGAAAGCCCATAATAATAACACAGAGTTGTAAAATATGGAAGTCTGAGGGCTGGTATTATAACCTGAGACAATTTTGGGAATCTTCAAATGGGTAGTACCTGAAGTACACCTCTTGATTATTCCCAGAAGCAAATTTTCAGAAGATCTTCTGCCAAGAGCTTCAGATCTGTGAGAGAAAAACCTTGGGGGTGGGGGGTAGGGGGGAAGGTAGAGGAGCACATAACCATGCTGTGAAATTCCTGGGCTAAATATTCATTTCAAAACAATAAGATAGAAATGGAAACACTGAAATAGTCTATAAACTATCTAAATATTACCACTACATGATTTTTCATATGAAGCACTCATCTCTCTCCCTATCAAAATTTCTGGCTGCTTTGCTGAGTCCTATCAAATAATTATTGGGGACTCATTTTTCTGGAATGAACAGAGGGCAGGATCGACTTTTCTAAAGTTGAAGTTTAGAGGAATGTCTGCATTTGAAATCTCACTTGTATAACACCCAGCCATCTTATTGCCCATGATTCTTGTGGACAAGAAACCAACTAAGGCATGTGTTTGAATGATTATGGTCTCTAACCTTAGCCTGAGACTGGTAAATTGCCAGATGCTGACTCCTCACAAAAAGCATTTCTGCCTGGCTCAGTGTTAATTGTCACAGCTGTTTCTCTGAGTACGTATGGGATGTGGTGCCCTAGTTCTTCCTAGGAATGTGCTTCTTGAATGAAGGAAACACGTTATCTGCTTCTTATCTGATTATATGTTTATAAATGCATACCTACTTCTAACCTTGTCCACAGGCCAATTTTGTATCAGCCGAAGGCACTCATTTGCTGTCTTAACTTTAGAAACTCTGTCCCAATAATTTAAGAAAGCCTAATCAGTAAAAGCCATCAAATTTCTAGGGAGAATTATTTTTTAATACACAAGGTGTTATTAAGTAGAGTGACTTGGTTTGTACCTTTTCCCTTTCATTTTCCATAGGCTACAGACTGAATGTTTGAGTTCCCCCCAACCCCCAATTCATATGTCGAAGCTCTAATTTCCAAGATGATGTTATTAGGAGGTGGGGCCTTTTGGAGGTGATTAAGTCATGAAGGTAAAGCCCTCATAAAAGGAATTAATGCCCTTATAAAAGAGACTCCCCCCAATAGCACGCATCATCTTTCCACCAGGTGAGGATATAATGAGAAGATGGTTGTCTGCAACCAGAAGAGGGCTTGCACCGGGAACCAAATCAGCCGGCACCTTCATCTTGGAATTCCCAGCCTAAAGAACTGTGAGGAATAAATGTCTACCGTCTAAGCCACCCAGTCTATGGTACATTGTTACAACAGCTGAACAGACTAAGACATCATCTAAAAATGTCCATTCGCAACTGAAAGTGAACAATATTAATTATTTGTATATTACAAATAATATACAAAACATACCCGCCATTTTATTTCTCCCTAAATTCTATGTGTAACAATCCTCTGGGAAACTGAGTACTTTTCTTCCTTCGTTGCCAGTAAAGATACCCTGTGATCTCGAGAGTTCTGCTATCAGTGGAGAGTAATCATTAAACAGAAAGCACCCCATGTGTAGTAAAAGACTCTACACATGGTTCTAGTTATACCACCCTGGATTGTTTATTTGCTGAAGAATCCCAATCCTTGGACTGGCTAACTTAGATTAAAGAGCCAGACCATCAATATCATATACAAAAAGCAGCAATATTTTTTATTTAAGTGTTAATTTTCATTTAAAATGTATATCTTTTAAAGCAATACATATGTACATTAGTCATCTATTTTTAGCTTTCAAATTCTACCATAGCATTGGCATTTGTGTCTATTTTTCAAATTAAAAAAACTGTTTTCCTGCTTGCTTTAAGGCCTACTCACAAGGTATTAGAGGATATGAGAAGCTGAAGTTCTGTGATCCAGCCACCCCACAGGCTGACACCTTGTTGGTACTTTCTAAGTAACATTTGGATATGCTCTTCTTTAAAAATTGGATTCAGGGGAAAATTAAATTTAGGACTTTGTGGTTGGCATAGGGGTAAGTGTTGAGAAATGTTCCTTTGGCTTGCATGAAGGAAAGAATATGGCCATCCGGAACCTTTTTTAAAAAAACAAACAAGCCTTTAATCTTCTTGTTATACTCAATTTCCTTTTGCATGGAGAGTGTGGCACTGGGGCTGCCTATTTGAAAGAACTGTAAGGAAACAATGAAGAAGAATGGCAAGGGGAGTGGCTCCCAGGGCCCTCTATTAGTTCCTATTCTTTATACAATGCATACAAAGACACACACACACACACACACACACACACACACACACATTTTTCTACCACCACTTTCCATCCATGTACATTGTGTTCATCCATATCTGCTGTTCTCAATACTTCTTTTGACTTAGTTCACTCACACTGACTTTACATTTCTGAGGCCGGAAAGATTGCATCTCCCACATGCATTTATTTCTTTGCTCCGTGTGTTTTGAGAGTATATTTCCTGACCATCAATCTACCCCTTGTCTCCTTAGAGCAAATGTAGTCTCCTTCTTTGGCATTTCCCATTGTTAGATAGGACAATGCTGGGGACAAAAGTACTCCATACATGCTTAAAGAACAAATGACACATTATCTGTCATCAGAATTCTGAATCTGAATGTCCCACAACACTAACAATCTTTTCTTAGATGATGCCTGATATCTACGGACATTATGGACATTACGCATACAGAGAGTGCCTTAGGACCATATGTATGTGCAGAATGTGACATTTTTGCATGTTATCTTCATCCAGTTTAATCCTACTCCAACTCCAATTTTGAATACAATATTTGATTCCTTCTGCTGATGTCATCACCTAGTAATCCTGAACTTCTGCAGCAAGGCAACAAGGGACAATCACCTTACGGTAGCATATTTATCACTGTAGGTGATAAACATGGCAGAGCTTGCCTGTTACTTGTTGAGTTTCTTAGGGGGCCATTCAGGGATATGGCCGTATTGCTGTAGTTCAGCAGGTGAAAGGAACAGAATTGGATGTGTGCCTTACTCGACTTTGTTTCAGAAAAGGGTGTGAGCTCTTGTTTCCCGGATATTTTTGAAGGACACTTGAGGGTTTCTTCCCCCACATTTATTAAGCTTTCATTGAAAGCAGTAGGTGAGACATCTAAATGTGTTTTTGTGTGGTTATCTAGAAGGAATATAACATCTAGGTACAAAAGTGAAATCTAAAGTTAAAGACTTGTATGCAAAGTTTTCATGATTATTTCAAGGTTCAGCAACACAAAACACACATCCCTAGCAGTGTCAGTGAAAATCTTAGTACATTTAAGAGATTGACACGGTTCCCTGGTATGCCCGTCAGTTACAGAATTACACTGTGGTCCTGGCAGAGACTTCCACGTTTCACACCTTAAGCTACATAATCCTTACACACCCCCAACTGTTAACTATCTGGAGGGAAGGTACAGAGATTTGCAAATAAATATATTTGAAAGAGCTAAGGAATTATCCACAGGACTTACACTAGTGTCAGTCATTGAAGAACAAAAAGTTTTACTACCGGATATGTGTTCTACATGAGTGATTTAGAAGCATTTTATGCACTCAAATGTCTCCAAGGATCCGAGGACAGTCAGGATGCATCAATGAATGCATTACTTAGATATCTTTACTTTGTCCCCTCAACTCCTCTCTCCACACTTCTTTTCCCTGCTGTCTGCCAGGACACTGCAGTTCTGGACTGCATCAGCAAGGCCCCCATGCCCTCAGGCTTCCAATTGTGTTTGACCCATAAAGAGTATCTGCAGAAGATCAGTTAGACAGAGGAAATTGGGATCTGGATATTTATGCCTCTGGCTCCCTTCCTGCTGTTTTGCCTTAGGCTAGAGGCATCCCTCAACCACCTTTTCCAGGCGGCAGGCTGTATGACAACTCAAAGACTCACCAGCTCCTTCCCTCTTCCAGCAACCATTCCCTCCCCACAAGCTGTCAAGCCTGAGTGGTAACAAGCTGGTTGCTACAAGTTACAGATAACTGCACTCTCCTTTGTGTTTCTCCTATGCTAACTTTGTCAATAAATCCTCCTCTAATTATCCTTTTTTTTGAGCGTGTCAACTGTTTTTTGTTAGAACCCTGACCTATGCATCCATAGGATAGAATGTCTGCATTTTTCAGGGCCTCTGTAGAACATCTAGGAGGCAGTGCATGCAGTAAAAGGTAGGTGGCAACCACTCACAACATCAGCATGGAGTTTTGGGGCTGAGTTCCAGACTGGGGGATGCTGGTGGGGTGTGGCAGGGAGAGATAGTCAAATTTTTGCAATTTGTAATTTACCACCATCATGGTGCACTTATTGCCTATTCCACAGGCAGGTGGAGAGAAGCTGCTGGACATGGAGCCAAGAAAACGGAACTCAGTCTCCCACTTCATGTCCCTTTCAGGGAACTATAGCCTGAGCTTGTAAGGCCCCTCATTGTCACAGTTCCTTGTGAAGGGTACCTTAGGCCATCTTTATGAGTAAGAAGTGAGTGTCCTTTGGAATGGTTTTCCCAAAATCTTTTAAATTCTGTAGGAAAATGTCAAGCAATAAAAAATTATAGGATGATATGTTTATGGTAAAGAGATGGTGTTTAAAAACAGGAACTTTGCCCATGTATTTACTTAAATGAAGAAACATCAAATTACCTAATAGTAATACATGTTTTCTTAATGATATTGCATTAAGAATTGCAAAAGATCATCTGTGTCAACCCGCCACCTACAAGGAAAACCACGTTTATTCCACTGAACCCTACCTACTGTAGAAGTTCTTCAGGGAAATGGCGATAAAAACAGTCTTCAACTTACCCTTGAAGTCTGCATTAGAACAGATATAAAGAGTTAACAGTTATTTTTGCAACTGAAGCTATAAAAGGGGTGACTATGGGATAGACCAGATCAACATCCAGTCTCTAATAGAATGTTTTTCTTCCTGTCTCGCCCATCCAGCATTGGAATTCAGGAACTAGACACCTGCCTTATGTTTAATGTGTATATATAGTGTCTAGGCTGATGAGAAAATGTCCTGGGAAGAATTTCTAAAACTAGTATATAATCATTTTGGTTCCTCAGCTTGATCTATCCATAGATCATCTTGGCTAGATTTTATTACACTGTATATCTAATGTTTAGACAGATATAGAACATTATTACTTGATTGGAAAAGCATTTTCTAAGCAAAGTAAGGATTTTTGCTGTATCATGACATGGAGATATAGAAATTTGGGGCCAGGCCCTGACTCTGCCATCTAACACTTGTACCACAGGGGTTTGTCACCTTACCACCAGGGCTTTGGTACACTCATGAAGGGATAGAGATAAATGATAAATAATGTTTTTTTCAGCTAAAACGATAACCCTATTATCTGAACATGGGAAGATGGAAGGTCTTAGATGTATAAGTCAGGATTCTGCTGAAATAATTCTCCATAATAACTTCAAAACTTGGTGGTTTATAACAATGAACATTTATTTCTACCTCAAGGATCTGAAGATCACCTGTAACTCAGCTGGGCTCAGCTGACCTCAGCTCTAAGCTTCAACTTGGGTTCAGATTTGCTCCATATTTCTTTTCAATCTGGGACCAGAAACTACCCAAGCATGTTATTCTCATGGCTGATGGCAGAAATACAAAAGAAAGGAGCGAGAAGAAATACACAATATCTCTTAAGGCTTCAGCTGGGAACTGACACCCTTTCACTTCTACCTACATTTCCTTGGCTGAACAAAGTCACATGACCAAGACCAAAGTCAATGGATCAGGGTATATAATCTGCTTACTCTCTTGAGAAGCACTGCAAAGTCACATGGCAAAGGATGTGGTAGTATAATTCTATTACAAGAAAGAAATTAAGAATTAGGAACATAAATCCAATCTGCTATCCCACTGGCCATTGAGCATAGCCTATAATCTCTCAACTCTCCAGCTCTGATTGGTATGCTCCCTTCCTGTCCTCATATAGGGCAGTAAAGGTAAAGTTCATCATTGAACTTTACCTGCAAAGCAGAGCTACAGCTCTTTGAGAAGGAGCTACTGGTTGTCTGAGAGGAAGCACCCTGCTCTTGGCCAGTCACTTCAAGACAGCGCAGAGTTCGCATCAGTGGTCTGAATCAGATGGGCATTTGTTGAGGACCCTCATTCATCAACATTCAGGACAGCAGAGAGCTGTCTTGAGACATTCTATTCACCCTGATGAAGCCCCAAATAATTCCATAACAGTCTTTAAGTTCCCCAGTAAAACACATTTCTTAGCTCTTCTCTAAAGTTCTCATACAAGAGATTCAATAGAAAACTGTGGATGTTTCCTCAGTGACAGCCCCAGAAGGCCTAGCAGGGTGGTGGACTGCCAGAAATGCAAATTACCAGACTTGCGTCAACAGAAATCAGGAATTTCATCTCTCATTCAAGATCTATTGAGTCGTCTTGAAATCTGATCTTCATTCTGACTTGCTTGAAGATTTGCATCCAAGTCTGAGTCAGGAAAATCACCAAGCTACCCTTCTCAGAGATACTCAGACCCCTGTGGGGCATTCTCTTCCTTGTTCTCATTTTGACTCTTAGAATTATGGGTTGTAATGGAAATATTGGCATAATCTGAACTTTAGCTGTGGACTGTACAAGGGGAACTCATGGCTGTAATTTTAATTTTTTTACATATAATCTGTCAATACATACACCCATAATGTAAACTTACTTGGTTTAGGTTTATAAATTGGGTGTTTTTGACAAAATCTAAGACCCTCAGGGAAGTCACTATGTCACTAACAAGTCAGTTTATTTAAGGAGCCATTAGTGAAAGAAAGGATGGGAGAGAAGAAGCTGAACTTGTATCTTTCTTCCAAGTCTCAATCCAAGAAATACACCTTCTTCAGATGGTGAGACCTCCCTTCTGTGGACAGTCATTCACCAAATCTGTAAGAAAACATCATGAGCTGTTTCCAGGCTGAATTAGAGCTATGACTTCATGCAGCTGCCTCACTTTCAGACAAGACAGTTTCAGTCAGATGATCTTGCTGGCCAGAAAAGGGGAGAAACTCTCCTATCAACAAGCTACTGGCCATTGGCCAACCTGGTCATCTCTCAATAGTGACGCAGGTTTAGAGCTACTCCTGGAAAAGCAGCTGTCTTCAAAGGATATGAAATGAGCTCATGCATGAAATAAGACTTGAGCAGAGATGTGATTCTGTTTATGTAATTGCTTTAATTAATACCCTCTCCATAAGCCATTCCAGTATATTTTGCTTATGAAAATTAATACTTTTAATGTTATGAGATAAAATCAGTAAAAAACAACTTTCCCTTTCAAGAGGAAATGGAGATTTAAAAAGGGAAATGCCCAATCAAAGTCAATCTTTGCCCCAAAGATTAATTTTAACATTCTATGATACTAACAATGGGTATTGTGGGTGACCATCATACTCACTTCTACTAGAACTGTCTTGGAAGAAACTTTCCCATTGATTAGTCAGTTCCTTTTCGAGATTTATTCATTCACTATTTAGAATTCTTAACTATGTAAAATCTTATTATTTTAAATTGTATATGGATGTATTGGAATAATGTTCTTCATAGGGAGATGACAGTAGAAATAAATGCTTCTTTCCTTGATCATACCATACTTGTGATCTTGTGTTAATTATCTACTCCTGTGTCATACTAGTGACCTTGTGTTAATTATCTACTATTGGGTAACAAAACCCCCAAAACTTAGTGGCTTAAAACAACATGTATTATCTCATACTTTCTGTGGGTCAGAAATCTGGGTGTGGTTTAGCTGGATCTTCTGACTCAGGATGTCTCACAAGGCTGCATTCAAGGTGTGGGCCAGGGCTGCAGTTTCATCCGAAGGCTCTACTAAAGAAAGTCTGCTTCCAAGCTCACTCACATGGTTGTTGACAGAATTCAGGTTCTCACAGATTATTGGATTGAGGGGCTCCAGTAATCACTGGCTGTTAATGAGAGGCTTCTCTCAGTTTCTTGCCAAATGGGCCTCTCCAGAAGGCAACCTTCAACCTGGCAGCTGGCTTCCCCAAGAGCAAGGTCTCCGACAGAAAGGAGGTGTATAAGAGGTCACAAGCAAAAAGGAAGTCAGATTTTTGTAACCTAATCTCAGAAGTGATATTCCATTACCTTTGTTGTATTCTGAGAAGCAAGTCACAAAGTCCAGCCCCACTCAAGGATGTAAATATAAGACAGAGATCATTATGGGGCAGTTTAGAGGTTGGCTGACAGCTCTTTTAGCCATTTAATAAAATACAGCTTGAGATAAAGAAAAAAATATTTATACAAACATACTAGAACTTAGAACATAAATATATGGTTCCTATTGAGCTAGGCAATTTATGAGGCTCTAACTGTTCTAATAATGCCACCTCTACTCAAATTATTTTTCAAATTAATTTTTAAAATTATTTTTCAGAGTTGCCTTAAGTGCCTAAGTCACATTCTTTCCATTTGAATAATGGAAATAGTTAAAAGTCATTCAAATAAATAAGGTTAGTGATCAAGATCGGTAATGTTGTTTTTAGTGTTGGTTTTTGTAAGCATGAAATAAAAAGACTGATTTCCTTATGCAGTTCATAAATTGGCCTCAAAGGCAATGTCTAAAAAGGATTATTTTGATTTAACCTTCATTTGGATGCTTAAAACCTGGTACTTATCTGAAGATTTTCAATCTGCTTCCTTCATAGCTATGGTTTATGTGTTTACACTTTTTCCTCCACATCTGATATTCCAGGGCAAATATAAAGTATAGATCATGTTGGGGCATGCTGAGACAGAAGGAGGCACTGAGGAAAGAACCAGAATCCCCCAAGTGGGCTCCAGAGTACACTTTCTCTCACAAGCAGACAGAATACCTTTATAGCAGCATGCACTTGGATTATCTACTGTACATCTAAGACCCCGCTAAGGTTTGCGGTTGGAGTCAGTATGAGACTGACATGCCACATCCACACCCAGGAACCTCCTCAGAGCTGAGAGAAATCTGAGGAAAACCCGCAGCCACTAACCTTAACCTGGTTGGGAGGGGAAGAGACATTACATCACAAATAGGGGAATAGTTTTCTGGGGATCCATCCACTCACAATCCTCAGGATTATAAACTGTTTATGAGCTTCATACTTGTGAAATAAATGCCTTCAATTTTGTCAAACTTAGCGTAACTGATTTCCATTAATCTCTATTTTCCTGGGCCCAGGGCAAGAGGTGAAAGGCTAGGCACTAGTTCTGTGCTGAACCTTGAGTCTGTGCAAAATGACCTCAAGCTCCATTTTTCCATTTCCTCTGGCCTCCCCTCCCCACTCCCACCCCTCTTTCCCTTTCCTCAAACCTAAAGAGCAAGCCTACAACCCTGATACTGTCAGAGGCATTTGAACCACAGCAACTCCATGTTGAATAGGGGCTGGGTAAAATAAGGCTAAAACCTACTAGGCTGCATTCCCAGACGGTTAGGCATTCTAAGTCACAGGATGAGATAGGAGGTCAGCACAAGATACAGGTCATAAAGACCTTGCTGATAAAACAGATTGCAGTAAAGAAGCCAGCTAAAACCCACCAAAACCAAGATGGTCATGAGAGTGACCTCTGGTCGTCCTCACTGCTACATTCCCACCAGCGCCATGACAATACACAAATGCCACAGTAACATCAAGAAGTTACCCTATGTTGTCTAAAAAGGGGAGGCATGAATAATCTACCCGTTGTTTAGCATATCATCAAGAAATAACCATAAAAATGGGCAACCAGCAGCCCTAGGGTTGTTCTGTCTGTGAAGTAGCCATTCTTTTATTCCTTTACTTTCTTTTTTAAAAAATGTTTTATTTCCATAGGTTATTGGGGAACAGGTGGTGTTTGGTTACATGAGTAAGTTCTTTAGTGGTGATTTGTGAGATTGTGGTGCACCCATCACCTGAGCTACACACTCCACCCAATTTGCAGTCTTTTATCCCTCACCCTCTTCCCACCCTTTCCCCCGGAGTCCCCAAAGTTCACTGTGTCATTCTATGCCTTTGTATCCTTATAGCTTAGTTCCCACTTATAAGTGAGAACATACAATGTTTGGTTTTCCATTTCCAAGTTACTTCACTTAGAGTAATAGTCTCCAATCTCATCCTGGTCGCTGCAAATGCCATTAATTCATTCTTTTTATGGCTGAGTAGTATTCCATCGTATAGGTATACCACAATTTCTTTATCCAGTTGTCAATTGATGGGCATTTGGGTTGGTTCCACATTTTTGCAATTGCGAATTGTGCTGCTGTAAACATGTGTGTGCAAGTATCTTTCTTGTATAATGACTTCTTTTCTTCTGGGTAGATACCCAGTAGTGGGATTGCTGGATCAAATGGTAGTTCTAATTTTAGTTATTTAGGGAATCTCCACACTGTTTTCCATAGTGGCTGTACTAGTTTACATTCCCACCAGCAGTGTAGAAGAAGTGTTCCCTGTTCACTGCATCCACTCCAACATCCATTATTTTTTTAATTTTTTGATTATGGCCATTCTTGCAGGAGTAAGGTCGTATTGTATTGTGGTTTTGATTTGCATTTCCCTGATCATTAGTGATGTTGGGCATTTTTTCATATGTTTGTTGGCTATTTGTGTATCTTCTTTTGAGAATTGTCTATTCATGTCCTTTGCCTAATTTTTGATGGGATTATTTGGTTTTTTCTTGTTAATTTGTTTGAGTTCGTTGTAGATTCTGGATATTAGTCCTTTGTCAGATATATAGATTGTGAAGATTTTCTCCCACTCTGTGGGTTGTCTGTTGACTCTGCTGACTGTTCCTTTTGCCATGCAAAATCTCTTTAGTTTGATTAAGTCCCAGCTATTTATCTTTGTTTTATTTCATTTGCTTTTGGGTTCTTGATCATAAAATCCTTGCCTAAGACAATATCTAGAAGGGGTTTTCCAATGTTATCTTCTAGGATTTTTATAGTTTCAGGTCTTAGATTTAAGTACTTGATTCCTCTTGAGTTGATATTTTGTATAAGGTGAGAGATGAGGATCCAATTTCATTCTCCTACATGTGGCTTGCCAATTATCCCAGCACCATTTGTTGATTAGGGTGTCCTTCCCCCATTTTATGTTTTTGTTTATTTTATCGAAAATCAGTTGTCTGTAAGTATTTGGTCTTATTTCTGGGTTCGCTGTTCTGTTCCATTGGTCTACCTGCCTATTTTTATACCAGTACCATGCTGTTTTGGTGACTATGGCCTTATGGTATAGCTTGAAATCAGGCACTTTACTCTATGGACTTGCCCTAAATTCTTTCTTGCGTAAGATCCAAGAACCCTCTCTTGGGGTCTGGATCTGGACCCCTTTCAGGTAACAATACCTCTCTGGTAATGACTCTCCTGGATAGAGAACTGCATTACTACTCCATGCCCACATTCAGCAACAAACTTCTGAGCATAACATGGATTTGCCTTCATAAAACTAAGGTAACAGGATGATCTTAGCAAGTTTTGATATCTGGATTCCTTTCTCTGCCATTTCACTTTGGTGATGAACCCTCCTGTTCTTCAGAGACCGGATTCTCTTACTATTTGGTGGTGGATTGGCACACTGGTGGTCCCTGAATTTCCCTATACTTATGCCTTCATGTAGTTCCCTCCCGAAATGATTCTGAGTTTGACCAGGCACTATGTGACCAGCTTTGGCCAATAGGACATTAGCAAGCATGATGCAAGCAGAGACCTAGTAAATGCTTGCACACTGGGACATGTCCTCTTAGAGAACTCAATGGAAGTCTCTTGCCGTGGTATAAGGAAGCTTAGGTTAGCTACTGAGTGTTGAGAGGCCACAGACAGAGAAATCCTAGAGGGTGAGAGGCCAGCTTGGATGTTTCTCACCTAAGCAAGCTCCCAGATGAATTCAGCTACATGTGTGACCTCAGCTATATGATGTGAAGCATAAGGTGGCCTGAGCTGAGCCTCATCAACCCTGAGAATCATTAGAAATGGTAAATTGTTGCTTCACACCAAGTTTTAGAGTGACTTGTTATGCAGCAGAAGAGAAGTCAAACACTTCCTTCTCTTCCCCAGCAGCAAATTAAGAAAGTGGAAAACAATTGTCTTTACATTTGAAAATTGATTGCTTGGTTTTAAGCATCTGAAGGCCTGAGATATGTTGTTTCATCTGCATTTCAAATTGTGGATTGGAAGATGAGGTTATTTGGGGAAGCATGTCTTCTTATACAGGTATAATTAAAGGAGGACTTAGTTTTCTGCAACTTCTAGAATTCCACTCTGGGAAGCAGCCAAGAAGAGAGGATCCCTTACTCCTTAATTCATCTCTTTCTCCTTTACCTTTTCTACTGACCAGGATCCAGCCTTTATTTCCCTTAACACTCACTCAGTTGATTCATCCATTTAGTGTTTTCTATTGTGTTAAAAGATGTTCTGCTGACTATTTTCTCAGTTTGCTCTTCCAGTTCCATGTTTCTCCTTTCTCATTCCTTCTCTGTGCCCTGGGTTGACCTCTGTGGTAATGCAGCACCTGGGTTCACCAGAACCCTGGTTTCTGATTGAGTTGGGCCAAGGGGCAGCACTCGCAGGAAATCAGAGGAATAGAGGAGAGTAGTCAGGAAGTGCATCCTAGCCCCACCCTACCTTCCTACAAGTCACAGTCTCCCTTATGGACAGGTAATCCCTCTCCCACAGCAAGAGCTCTCTCTAGGTTCTAGTAACGGTGGCCTCTCCCTGCCCCTTTAAACCTTGGGTGGTAATGGATTCCTACTTTTGTTAGTCCCTGGCGTGCATCACCAACCTTGGTGGTTCCATTAACCCTGTCCACAATTCTATAAAAGGATCTTTTTCTCATCAATCACCCCTTGAGTGTGCCATCTGTAACCTATTGGTCACATCTGTTTCCTCAAGGACCTTGACTGATAAAAATGCTAACTAACTAATTATACTTATTGTAAAGACATTTTCAATTTCTTACTAGAGACATGCATAACTGTTAATAATATCTTCTTACCTACATAAAGCCAAGAGCCCCGTTGCTAAGTTGGTATCATTCCAGTGAACAGCAGAGGAGGGCTGGGTGCCTTAGCTCACACCTATAATCCTAGTACTTTGAGAGGTCAAGGCAGGCAGATCACTTGAGCCCAGGAGTTCGAGACCAGCCTGGAAAACATAGTGAGACCCTGTCTCTTAAAAAAAATGTTTTTTAATTACCCAAGTGTAGTGGCACATGCCTGTGGTCCCAGCTACTCAGGAGGCTGAGGTGGGAGGATCACTTGAGCCCTGGAGGTCGAGGCTGCAGTGAGCTGTGATCATGCCACCACACTCCAGCCTAGGCAACAGACAAGACCCTGTCACCTTCCCTCCCCCAACCCATACAAGCAAAGGAGCACAATGAGGTAGAAGTTACAAAATGACCACTTCTTTCTGTTTCAAGGAGTGAAGAGGACATGCCTCTATCTCTGAGATGGAGTCCCCAGGACTGGGAAGAGGAGTGGGATTTATAGTTCCGTGAGGGAGGTGGATGCCTGAACCTCACCTGGCTAGCTGGGGGAGTGTGCTCTTCCAATAGGTCACAGTAGTCTAGGGCCAGCAAGATTTCACTGGAACACAGCCAACAACAGCAGGCAGACAGAGGGGACCAGGGCCCTTGGAGGCTCTGAGGAGTCCAGGAGGGATGGCAGCTATGCAGCAGCAAGCTGACTGACACCAGGAGTGGCCTTCAGGTGTCCAAGAGGACAGATTGTAAGCAACTGATGGGGTGTGGGGGATAGTTGACACAAGTAAAGGATGCTGGGCCCCTTGCCAATCTGCCTCTTCATTCATTTTAAATTTAATTTTGAGAAAGAAAATGTGATGGGACTGGATCCCTGAAGGTTGCTGAGTGGATTTTGGAGAACTACTTTGTTGACAATGTTTCCAGTTATGGAAATGTCTATGCTTTTATTTAAAAATCTCCTTCACATAAAATAAGATTCTACAAATACATAGCTGATTACCTAGAATCTCTTCTGCAAGGCACAAGCCATTCTAGAGGGTATAAATTCTAAATCTCAGTTGAAATCAATGATATAATCAGGTCTAGCTATGGGTGGTTAATGGGAAAAGATAACTTCAATTTCTGGAGGTTGTTTTTCGCTATGACTTTCAAGTGTAACATGCAGAGTTACATTACAGAAAATTTGAAAGGATGCTAGTAGTTAAATGTTAGGATAGATGAGAGGATAATACCTCTAATATATTCTTTCTCACCTTTAAAAGGAAGAGAGAAAGGAAGGAAGAAAGGAGGGAAGGAAGGAAGGAAGGAAGGAAAAGAGGAAAGAAGAAAAGAAGAAACTGTTGGAAAAATACAATATATTTTGAATAGAGAGGTTTCAAAAAATAAGTCTCTAAAAACATGGCCACGTTCTCCAGTGAACAGCATAGCAAAAGAAAATGGGCTTGAATATTGGGTTATTGGGTAAGAGGACTCTACTCCCACTACCTCCTTCATCCCATAATCACTTCCATAAGGTCTTTTTTTTGGTTGGTTTTTTTTTTTTTTTTTTTTTTTTGAGACAGAGTCTCGCTCTGTCGCCCGGGCTGGAGTGCAGTGACGCGATCTCGGCTCACTGCAACCACCGCCTTTGGGGTTCAAGCAATTCTCCCTGTCTCAGCCTCCCGAGTAGCTGAGACTACAGGCGCGTGCCAGCATACCTGGCTAATGTTCTGTATTTTTATTAGAGACGGGGTTTCACCGTGTTAGCCAAGATGGTCTTGATATCCTGACCTCGTGATCAGCCTGCCTCGGCCTCCCGAAGTGCTGGGGTTCATAAGGTCTTAAATCATTATTTTTAAAATATGTCCTTACTACAAATTAGAACTCCCAACCTGGACACTGAAAAAGAAATTTTAAATATATATTAATAGATGTGGTTATAGATCAGATACTGTACGTACGTTATCTCCCTGAATCCTTGCAGTAATTCTAGACAATAGATATTATTACCTCAGTTCTACAAATAAAAAAACAGGCATAGAGGGATTCAGTGAAATGCTTAATGACTCATGATCAGAAAGTAGTGAGGCTTGGAATTGAGCATAGGTTTATGCTTTTTCAACAACTCTACACTGCCTTCTAAATGGGAAAAAAATGTATGTGTTGCGGGGTGGGAATCAAGCAACTGGCATTTTTAGAAAGTTAATTTAGTGAGAATATGCCGTATTTGGTTTTCTGTTCCTGTGTTAGTTTGCTCAGAATGATGGTTTCCAACTTCATCCATGACCCTGCAGAGGACATGAACTCATCCTTTTTAATAACTGCATAGTATTCCATGGTGTATATGTGCCACATTTTCTTTATCCAGTCTATCATTGATGGGCATTTGGGTTGGTTCCACGTCTTAGCTATTGCGAACAGTGCTGCAATAAACATACATGTACATGTGTCTTCATAGTAGAATGACTTAAAATTCTTGGGGTATTGGGATAATACCCAAAATCCCAGTAATGGGATTGCTGGGTCAAATGGTATTTCTGGTTCTAGATCCTTGAGGAAACGAGGAATCACCACACTGTCTTCCACAATGGTTGAAGTAATTTACAGTCCCACCAACAGCATAAAAGCATTCCTATTTCTCCACATCCTCTCCAGCATCTGTTGTTTCCTGACTTTTTAATGATCCCCATTCTAACTGGCATGAGATGGTATCTCATTGTGGTTTTGATTTGCATTTCTCTAATGACCAGTGATGATGAGGTTTTTTTCACATGTTTGTTGGCCACATAAATGTTTTCGTTTGAGAAGTGTCTGTCCATATCCTTCACCCACTTTTTGATGGGGTTGTTTGTTTTTTTCTTGTAAATTTATTTAAGTTCCTTGTAGATTCTGGATATCAGCCTTTTGTCAGATGAATAGACTGCAAAAATTTTCTGCCATTCTGTAGATTGTCTGTTCACTCTGATGATAGTTTCTTTTGCTGTGCAGAAGTTCTTTAGTTTAATTAGATCCCATTTGTCAATTTTGGCTTTTGTTGCCATTGCTTTTGGTGTTTTAGTCATGAAGTCTTTGCCCATGCCTATGTCCTGAATGGTATTGCCTAGGTTTCCTTCTAGGGCTTTTATGGTTTTAGGTTGTACATGTAAGTCTTTAATCCATCTTGAGTTAATTTTTGTATAAGGTGTAAGGAAGGGGTACAGTTTCTGTCTTCTGCATATGGCTAGCCAGTTTTCCCAACACCATTTATTAAATAGGGAATCCTTTCCCCATTGCTTATTTTTGTCAGGTTTGTCAAAGATCAGATGGTTGCACATGTGTGACGTTATTCTGAGGCCTCTGTTCTGTTCCATTGGTCTACATATCTGTTTTGGTACCAGTACCATGCTGTTTTGGTTACTGTAGCCTTGATTATAGTTTGAAGTCAGGTAGTGTGATGCCTCCAGCTTTGTTCTTTTTGCTTAGGATTGTCTTGGCTATATGGGCTCTTTTCTGGTTCCATATGAAATTTAAAGTAGTTTTTTCTAATTCTGTGAAGAAAGTCAATGGTAGCTTGATGGGGGTAGCATTGAATCTATCAATTACTTTGGGCAGTATGGCCATTTTCACGATATTGATTCTTCCTATCCATGAGCATGGAATGTTTTTCCATTTGTTTGTGTCCTCCCTTATTTCCTTGAGCAGTGGTTTGTAGTTCTCCTTGAAGAGATCCTTCACCTCCCTTGTAAGTTCCTAGGTATTTTATTCTCTTTGTAGCAATTGTAAATGGGCGTTCACTTATGATTTGGCTCTCTGTTTGTCTATTATTGGTATATAGGAGTGCTTGTGATTTTTGCACACTGATTTTGTATCCTGAGACTGCTGAAGTTGCTTATCAGCTTGAGATTTTGGGCTGAGACAATGGGTTTTCTAAATATACAATCATATCACCTGCAAATAGTGACAATTTGACTTCCTCTCTTCCTACTTGAATACGCTTTATTTCTTTCTCTTGTCTGATTGCCCTGGCCAGAACTTCCAATACTGTGTTGAATAGGAGTAGTGGGAGAGGGCATCCTTGTCTCATGTCAGTTTTCAAAGGGAATGCATCCAGCTTTTGCATATTCAGCATGATATTTGCTGTGGACTTGTCATGAATACCTAGTTTATTGAGAGTTTTGGCATGAAGGGGTGTTGAATTTTATTGAAGACATTTTCTGCATCTATTAAGATAATCATGTGGTTTTCGTCATTGGTTCTGTTTACGTGATGGATTACGTTTATTAATTTGCATATGTTGAACCAGCCTTGCATCCCAGGTATGAAGCCACCTTGATCGTGGTGGATAAGCTTTTTGATGTGTTGCTGGATTCAGTTTGCCAGTATTTTATTGCAGATTTTCACATCAATGTTCATCAGGGATATTGGCCTGAAATGTTCTTTTTTTGTTGTGTCTCTGCCAGGTTTTGGTATCAGGATGATGCTGGCCTCATAAAATGAGTTATGGAGGAGTCCCTCTTTTTGTATTGTTTGGAATAGTTTCAGAAGGAATGGTAGCAGCTCCTCTTTGTACCTCTGGTAGAATTTGGCTGTGAATCCATCTGGTCCTGAGCTTTTTTTGGTTGGTAGGCTATTAATTACTGCCTCAATTTCAGAATTTGTTATTGGTCTATTCAGGGGTTCAACTTCTTCCTGGTTTTCCTGGTTTAGTCTTGGGAGGGTGTATGTGTCCAGGAATTTATCCATTTCTTCTAGACTTTCTAGTTAATTCTGTATAGTATCCTCTGATGGTAGTTTATATTTCTGTGGGATCAGTGGTGATATCCCCTTTATCATTTTTTATTCTGTCTATTTGATTCTTCTCTCTTTTCTTCCTCATTTTTCTGGCTAGCGATCTATTTTGTTAATCGTTTCAAAAAAAAAAAAAACAGCTCCTGGATTCACTGATTTTTTTGAAGAGATGAACAATGAGAACACATGGACACAAGGAGGGGAACATCACACACCGGGGCCTGTCAGGGGGTAGGGGGCTAGAGGAGGCATAGCATTAGGAGAAATAACTAATGTAGATGACAGGTTGATAGGTGCAGCAAACCACCATGGGACGTGTATACCTATGTAACAAATCTGCACATTCTGCACATGTATCCCAGAACTTAAAGTATAATTTTAAAAAATGTTAATTTATGTAAACGTTTCAACATTTTCTTTAAAAAAAAAATCCCAACCTGGGCAACATAGCAAAACCCTGTCTCTACAAAAAATACAAAGATTAGCCAGGCATGGTGACATGTGCCTGTAGTCCTAACTACTGGGAGGTGGGGATAGCTGAGGTGGCAGGATCATTTAAGCCCAGGGGATTTAGGCTGCAGTGAGCCAAAATCATACCACTGCACTCTAGCAGCATAGGCAACAGCAACCCTGTCTCAAAAAAAAAATCCTTCTATTTTATTTACTGATATTAACTCCAACTCTATATTAGTTTTAATAGTGGCTTGTTGACTACAGACCAAAAAAAAAATTTAATTCGGAGTAAAAACGGTAGGTTTGGAAGAGGGAGTCTTGTCCCACTAGGTTAGGTGGGTAATGCAACCACATCTCTCTGTTTCATCTTTTCATTCCTTGATGGGCTCTTACAAAGGAAAAGCTTTGATTCATTCCAATTAGTTTTGAGAAATGGTTTTAGTGCCTGGGCATCAAAGCATTAACATCTAAATCTATAGGAAAAATAAATAGTATAGATATTCATGCAGTTCTCCAACATATTTGGTAAAAATTTTGGAAGAAAAAGCTTAAGCTCCACTTCTTGCTGAAAAAGCATATGGATAAAATTTAAAAATCCAAATTTGTATCGAATGTGAAAAAGAAACAAACTCCCAGCATTCCATGTACTAGGTTGAATTTTCTTCTCTACCTCTCAGATGGAGACAATTCAATTCTAACCTGCTCCACTCACCATGTGGATATGACTTGATCTATCTTTGCTGTCTTTCTTTCCAGGGACACAGAGAGACACCATCCACAGGGCATAAGGGAATTTGCCCAGTCTGCTCTGGGCATATAAATCCATACTTGATCAATAAACAGGGAGCAGGGAGGAGGTCAAATAACTGGAAATGACAAAGTGTCATATGCTAAACCTGGTTTACCCCTGGTCTAGTCCTTATTTCCTATACAATCATAGCCCATGACCTTTGCCATGGAAACTAGGTCACTGTGGCAAGATAGATCTTGAATGTATTATTCATCTCTGATAATATTTTGAGTAGGCTGATGTCTATGCCACAAGACTCTGCTTCTGAAAGTGAAATGGTAGCTTCTTCTAGATAACTTCATGTAGATATAAGCAAAGATTTAGTTATTCATGTAAATCAAATTACAGGTATGAAAATGAAGTTGTGGGAATCTAGGTGCGTGTTAACGAGTATTAATGTCTGAGGGAAACAGTGTCAGTTTATTTTTTAACATATGTTTGACTTTAAAAGCTGTGAATGTGGGAAAACTCACAGGATGTTAGCACGTGTGAACATGGCAAGATTTGCAGTCAAAGAAGACCTGGGTGAAGAAACTATTGCAGTGGCATCCTGTTGCTGATCTCCATCCTGCTTTCAGCTCAAGAGCAGCTGCCTGTGAGTGTTACTGAATATCAGGAAAAATATGTTCCGTTCTAGATGAGAAGCAGAAGTAAAGCCACATCACAGGCATATATTTGCAGTGCTATGGTCTCTGGAACCAGTGTCCAGTAGTATGTTGGTAAATGCTTAACAACCAGCTCTCCAGGAAATTCAAAACCCTGATCTGTAACGGCTGCCAATTTTCATGGTATAAATACTCCCACTCTAGTCAATTTCAAGCTACCAACCTGACCTCACTGCAGACAGAGTTAGGAAGAAATGTGAAGCTGGCTCCAGTGAGCCAAGTATAACCCTTTTCTCCTCCAACCCCAAGCACTCCACTCGCATGGGACAAGTCCATGAAAGATATGAAACTGGCCAGTTTCTGTTTCAGAAGAAAAGTAACAGATCAACCCTCTGGGTTTTTGCTCACACTGGCTCGTCTACCTCAAACACATTTCCCTATCCATCTTCATTCAGCTCAGCCCTTCTCAACCTTCAGAAATATAGAAGTATAGAAGTCTTCCTTTATCCCCAACGCTAAAGCTAAGTGAGGTTCCTTTCCTCCAACTCTGAGGCTCCTGTCCAGATAACATTCTGTTTTAAGAGTCTGTTTACTGCTTTGGGAGCTCCTTGAGAGCAGGTCCTGGAGCCCTTTCACCATTATATCCCTGGTGCTTAGCACAGTGCTTAACACAGAGAAAGGGGGTTAATAAGTCTTTATTGATTGAAGCAGGGAGGGAGGGAGAAAAAGAGTGAGAGATGGACCTTGAATTACCGTCCTCAAGCTGCCTCCGCCAAAAAACACAGCTAAGCAGTTGGAGTCGCAAAAGCACTGTTGCGGTTTTAAATGTGTTAATTTATTTTATCACTTTGATTACAAACCATCATTAGCCATCTAGCATTTCCATGTGGACTGTATAATATGACTTTGGACTGAGACTCCCTGCTTTGAACTCACTTCCTTCATTTACAAGCTCTGTAACTTTGCGACCAGCTGTGTATTTTCTTTGTGCCTTAACTTACTTTTCTGCTAACTGAGGAGAGTGGTAACACCAAGCTCACAGAATGGTCACAAGAAAAAATGAAACAGTGTGTTCCACACTTAGCTGAGTGTTTGGCTCATGATCAGAGGTTTATAAATGTCAACTAGTACCGATAAACTGTTGTGCTCTGTATTTTCAGACAATTGACTTGTTTAGGGGAAAAAAAATGGATTCCCCAGCCATAAACACCTGATTCAAGAAACCCATGTACGTGTAAACAACCAGTTAGTTATTCCTTTCTTTTCCCTTTGCTTGCTCACCTCCTGTGACTGCTCTGGTTAGTAAGTGCAGTGAGTTGGCATGAAGGAGGGCCTGATGTAACAGACACCAGGGCCAACAGTGTTTTCCCGCCACCTCCTTTCTTGTTTTTGAGATTATGTGCATTTCAATTCATTCCACCTTGAGCCACCTTACTCTTCTTCTTTGTTCCTCTTTGCTTTGTCTTTTTCTGTTACTTCACATAATCTCTTTATTCTTCCCATCTTTCTCCTCCTTTCTCTCTCTCTACCCATTCACACCAGTCATGCATCAATATGAGGGAGACAGAAGGTGAAAAAAAGCAAAAGAGAAAATCATTATAATTAACTCCTATAGCCCTTTAAGCAAGCGTGGAAGACTCCTAATCACCCTTTACTCTTTCAAATGCTTCCAAGCATGCATTCACTCCAAACCTCAGCATTCTTAGTCATTAAAAACATGTATTTAAATTTTTTTCTTAACACTTTGCAAAAGCTTTGTTTCCAACTATCTGTAGATTATTTATGCTAATAATATTCCCACTAAAAATTTTCTGCTAAAAATATTCCAACATAATTCCAATTAAAATGTACATTATGGGTGCTGGGGTTTTCTTGGGGGCCGGAGGAAGATGCGGACTAATCTAAAAACCTGAACAGTCTAATAACATTACTTCTATAGGAGAATATTGTACAGCACAGCCTGTTTGCAAATGTAGAACTCCTTGTCTATGTCGTTGATCAAGTAGTTTAAATTACGGGCTTCTTTTGTCCCTCAGTGTCCTTTTTAGCTCCAGGAGAGCCTGGGCAAGGAGAGATGACCCCAAGCACCACGTATACACCAACACAAACACAGTCAGAGCATAGCCCTTTCAAGGGGCGTGTGCTTTTCTACAAAGAAACAACACTTTGCTTTTGTAAGATAGTCTATTCAAAGTATGTGGAGAGTAAGTACAGCAAGACCCAGCAGGATGTATGTTTTGCTGAAAATCAGTATGTTGATCCTAGACACAAAGCTTATCTGTTTTGCTCAAAAAAACATATTTCTGAGCTTTTGCAGGATTGGATGGCAATCAACACGAGGACTCCACATCGGCTCACTGTGAATGCTGTTTAGCTGAAGAGCCAGGTTGTTGGAAGGGCATCTGCCCTTTAGAAGTCTAAACTGAGTTCAACTGTTTCTTATCCAATGACTTTTAAACTTGTTTTTTTAAAAAATCCCCTTAATGCAGGAACAATCCCTTTATGACTCCAAAAATGTGGTTATGGTATAAGTGATATAGTCACTGCACTAAGACATATTGGTAGACTGGCAAGGAGGTCTTTATAAGGTGTGGAATCCTGGGATGTCATTTCTAGTGGCAGTTACTTAGACAAGAAGAATTTCTTTAGATCAGAAGCCAGATCTGAATGCTAAGTTCCTAGGTAGGTAGAGGAAACTTGGTATGTAAGATCGTTGGTATGTATGATCTTCATTATACAAAGATCAAGTTATCCTGAAAAGTCTTGAGTGATGGGGAAGGCCACCAAATATAATTGAAAAAGTTGTTCACTGCACAAGAGTGCCTGGCTGAGGGAGTAAGTAGAAGCTGAAATCCATGCTGCTCTTTGCTCCCCAAGACAAGAACCTACAGGGTTGCATCTGTCCAGAGGGGGCACCTTTGTCAAGTTCACACACAGATGTCTTACAGGTTAGACAAGGCCCTTGGTGGCAGGGCTTCATGACGGCACCAGCCACATGCAACAGAAACACAGAAACCATGGAATACTATGCAGCCACGAAAAGGAAGGAGATCATTTCCTTTGCAGGGACATGAATGGAGCTGGAAGCCGTTATTCTCAGCAAGCTAACATAGGAACAGAAAACCAAACACCACATGTTGTCACTTATAAGTGGGAGCTGAACGATGAGAACACATGGACACATGGAGGGAACAACACACACTGGGGCCTGTCAGGTGGCTGGGGCTTGGGCAGGGAGAGCACCAGGAACAATAGCTAATGAATGCTGGGCTTAATTCCTGGGTGATGGGTTGATTTGTGCAGCAAATCACCATGGTATACGTTTACCTATGTAACATATCTGCACATCCTGCACATGACCCCAGAACTTAAAAGTTGAAGGAAAAAAAAACAGGCAGACAGGAGCTTGACAATTTTGGCTTGAGGACACAAATCCTAACACAGCACGTGAAAAACAATATGGCCTAAAAGCTCTGGAAACACACGGCCCAAACTAGGGTCAAAAAACTATTTTGTGAACCTTGTACCACTATCTATGCTTATTTCCTTTTGTTTTTCCTTAGAATTATATAAAGCTTTTGCAAGAGTTCCAGTCTGTCTTGACTGTGTTTAGAGGAACCATGGGAAAGGTTTTGTTTGATGCTTGTGTCACACTATTACAGAGTCATCTGCCTCCAGGGCTCAGAAAGGTGGTAATGAAAGAAATTAGAACTGCCCACCTTTACCCCCACTCCCCTCCCAGGGCGTCTTATAGAGCTCAGCCTACTTGGAAATCTTTTGGTTTGATTTTCCTTTTAATTAGGATAAGTTAGTAGAATTTCTTTATGTGTTTTTTGTGGGGTGGGTGGGGGAATGCTGAGGACCTTTCAGCCAACCCCGGAATTGATTCTCTTTGGGGGAAACAAAGGAAATTGTCCAGAAAGAGAGTAATAAAATCTTATTTTCTGCTTTTTATGAGGATCTTCAAGGAATTCCATTTCATTTCACCCTCTCAGAAGAAAAATCAGAAGCTCACTCTAGCAACCATCGGAGTAGGAAGCCATCTGTTTGGGTGCCTTCTCCTCATAAAGTTGTGAAAAAAACAAAGTGCCCTTTCTGGCACTGTTGAGGCTTCCAGCAGGGCCTGAAATCTTCACATAGTCAGCAAGCAAGTTAACAGAGTCAACTGTCTATCCCTTCAGGTCTTAGAGTGAGGACTTCCCTTTTTTCTTCTCCATTAGAAGAGGATAACTCTGGGTTATCACATGGGATGGCACCTAAGAATGTTCAGGAATTTCTGAGATGAAGCTGGATTGCCTGTCTTGTCAAAAACACTTTCTGTGGTCAATTCTCAAATTCCCTGGAGTTTGTAAGAATTGCCTTTAACCCTTAGTATGTTGCTCTGAGAAAGAGCAATGCCTTGGACTGTGCGGGACATATACTTAATGCGCACTGTGGCCGGAAAATCCCAAGGCTCCCCTGACACCATGACTTTCCATTTATTTCTAATGTTTTTCATTTTTTAAATTAAAAATAAATGTTGTGGTGAAATAAACACAACATAAAATTTGTCATCTTAACTATTTTGAGTGTATAGTTCAGTAACATTAAGAACATTCACTTTGTTCTGCAACTAGTCTCCAGAACTCTTTTCATCTTGCGAAATGGAAACTCTATACTCCTTTAAAAACAGCTCCTCATTTCCCCCTTTCCCAGCCTCTGATCACCACTACTCTATTTTGTGTCTCTATGACTCTGACTATTGTAGGTACCTCAGACAGGTGGAATCATACAGTATTTGTCCTCTTGTGTCTGACTTATTTTACTTAACATAATGTCCTCAATGTTCACCCACATTGTAGGATGTGTCCAAATTTCCCTCCTTTTTAACGCTGACTGATAATGTATGGTCACACCACATTTTGCTTATTCATTCATCCGTTAATGAACACTTGGGTTGCTTCCACATTTTGGCTATTGTGAATCAAGTTGCTATGAACATGAGTATATAAACATTTCTTTAGGACTCTGCTTTCAATCCTTTTGATTATATACCCAGAAGTGGAATTGCTAGACCATAAGGTAATTCTACTTTTAATTTTTTTCCAGAACTACCATGCTGTTTTCCATAATGGCTGCACAACATCACTTTTCTATTTATTGATTGATTGAGACAGAGTCTCACTCTGTCACCCAGACTGTAGTGCAATGACGCAGTCTCAGCTCACTGCAACCTCTGCCTCCTGGTTCAAGCAATTCTCCTGCCTCAGCCTCCCAAGTAGCTGGGATTACAGGCGCCCACTACTACGCCTGGCTAGTTTTTTTGTATTTTTAGTAGAGACAAAGTTTCGCTATGTTGGCCAGGCTGCTCGAATTCCTGACTTCAGGTGATCCGCCCTCCTCGGCCTCCCAAAGTTCTGGGATTTACAGGCGTGAGCCACTGCACCCTGCCACAACACCACTTTTCATTTAGACCTACCTGTGCATCCTCTGTGTACGCTTTAGGAGTTTTCACTCATGAAGATGAAAATGACCATCCTTTTAAAAGTATTTTTATACAAGTGTTTTATTATAGAAAATTTTAAATATATACAAAATAAACAAAGTAGTATAATTGACCTCTGACCCAACATCAGCAACTACTAATCAAGTGCTATTTTTGTTTTATATGTGCTTTAACCCATTCCTCACCCTCACATTTTTTTTAGTTCTTTTTGTGTGTGTAAGGTCTGATGTACATACACTGAAAGGCACAAATTTTATTTATTTATATATTTTTTGCCTTTTCTTATGATGCTGATGAAAGGTACAAATTTTAACTGCACAGTGGAAATGACCATCTTGGTCATTTGCAACAGCCTTTTCCTCTTCCTGCATCCTTCATCAAAAGCAAGACACCTTGGCAGAAGAGACTATTCGGATTAGCCTCAATGACAGTTTTGTTTCTTGAATTGGGAAAAACATGTTAAAGTCCCCTTAATGGTATAGTTCAATCCATATTTTCTTTTCTTAGGAGTATTTTGACCAAGACTATTCACTGAATATAAAGTCACTAAAGTGTTGGAGACTTTATATGGCTTTGCACTTACAATGGTTGATTTCATTTCAAGATCACAAAATACTTCATTCTCAAGTAACCATCATGATTATAATTCTATGATAGTGGAGGAACTGAGGAGCAAAATGTTTAAATTACTTACCCAGGAAGATCCTGGGATGTGGTGGCTGAGCAAAGAAGGAATGCCAAGAGTCTCTGGTCCTCTGTCTTAATCTCCAACCTACATTTGCTCAAGGAGCATGGCAGATCTAACAAGGGCCATGGGTTCCAGGAGCTGCCTTTGAGAGACTGACAGGTTAGCCAGATGCAGCCGAAGAGAACTAGCGACATTTAACACCAGGCTTATCTTACCAAGAAGAGGAGAATCTGACCTTGGACAATGAAAAAATCTCAAGGGAGGTTATTTTCTAGTGAAAAGAATAAGGAAGAATGAACTCTCTTAAGATTATGATCAACAAATAAGAAAACAGTTAAAATGCATGTGTGAGGGTTTGGAGAATATCACCAACTAATGAAAAGTTACAGGCACATCTTGGCTTCTAGAAGCATTCCAGCCTAGTAGGAGTAAACATGGACGATATGGATCAGCAAGGCAGCCAATCATCTCCCTGGCCCAGTGAGCACAGACCCTGGTTCTAATAAAAGACTCGTCATCCTGTTGTTTATGAGGGTATACACAACTCCCTCAGGGATCCTGTAAAATTCCTTTGACTTGCCTGCAACATCCCTATATTCTGGTGTTTTGCATTTTCTAGATTATGTAACAATGAGGAAAAAATATGCATCCAGCTACATTAACATTTGCTTATTTTCTGTGACTTGACGGTAATTTACAGAGATGCAGTGGAGCAAACCCTCCTTTCTCACAGAAACACTGCATAAACAGAGCAGTTAATCTTCCAAATGAACATATCATTCTTTCTATTGTATGTCTCTGGAAAATGTTCAATCCAGTTGGGGTCATGTGGACTCAGTAAAAGTTACAAACCAGTTAGACCTTGTCCTTTCAGTGGCCATGCAGATGTTAGAGATTGAGGAAAACAGATGAGTTCTTCCAGATTTTTCTTGTTGTATATACCCTGCACGTACAAACAACAAGATAATGTTTTAAGTGATTAATTTCTATAAGGGTATTGGGGCCACATGAGTCTATTTCAGGTGCATAAATCACCTATAAAAAGATAGACTCTAATAGAAGAACTTCCTATTTTTAAAGTGATTTTAGGAAAGATTTCTCTGATTATGAGAGAAGCCTGAACAGAGCCAGTCCTAGAGCAGTGGGGGCAACAGCCTGGGACCCCTTGCACTAGAAAGACTCAGGGGATGTCAGAGGAGAGCAGAAGGAGGAAGCTCTATCAGCCGGGGCTAAAAACGGAGGCACAGGCAATTATGCCATCTCCTCATGACTCATGCCCAAAGCCAGGTTAGTGATACTGACCCTCCCCCAGGGCACATCCCTCCAAAAGGCAGGCTTTTTTCTGGTTTTCATCTACTTCAAGGCCATTTGAGGCTTACTTTAGCCTCATTTTAAGTTAATAAAAACGCTGTGGTTAGAAGGTAGAGAAAGAATGGAAGGAAGGAGTGTATACTTTGTCCCAGGGTTTAAACCCCCTGCCTCTGAGTCATCTGTATTGTTTCAGGTCATATTCTATCATGTACTGCTTGATATATGATACATCCTAGAAGACTATCCAAAGATCTTCAAATCCTTCTCTTTGTGAAAATTTTGCACAGGAAGTTACCTGACTAACCATAAAGTAGTAAATTGGTTAAATTGGAATACCTCACTCTACAAAAGCCTTTAGCAAAAATGTACAGCCGTATGATTGATGGTGGCCTTGCTGTAAATCCAAAATGGGTCACAATCCTATAATGCATTATTAATTGCTTCCCAGGATCGGGTTAAATCAGGCTTTCTGTATTTATTTTTTTTAATTGGAGCCAAAAGCACACAGCAAAAGGCATTCAGTGAAACACATAGGATAAGACACAAAGGATTATAAAAGCCTGAGCAAATGCCGATATGTCACTAAATGCATCTAAACCTCTTCCTTTTTCTTCTTGTTTTAAAGAAATTCTCCAACTTGATAGTGATTGCATTTGATGTACACTCAAGAAGCTCAAAGAGAAAAGTACCTATTTTCTCCAAATTACTTTTATACTGCCCCTACCCCCAAAGCATTTTTACATCTCTGGCTTCATAAAATCCCTGGAACTCTAAGTAGAATGAGGATTAGTACTGACTCATCCTGGCAGGTAGGCTATGGGGTGTCACTCCAGTGCTCCCCACAGCACTTGTGTGAAGCAAGAACTGGGCTCTCCCGGAGGTGAGGAAGACACTGACTAGCCTACAGGATCGCTACGCGAGCAATCCTCAGCTCATGCTTAAAAGCCACACTGTCTGTGTTCTTATTTTCTCTTCTCACTGACTGTGTTCTCCTTATTGGCCCAGACTATTCAATGAAGGCCAGAATAACTTTTCTTGAGTCAGCCAAAACCACTTTCTAAGAAGAAAATCACATGGAAGATAGCTCCAACAACTTGGGTGCCTTCTCCCTCCCTTGATTTCATGAGGGCACTGAGAAGCTATTAGTGACCTGAGCCGTCCCCAGATGGGAATCAAAAGAACTAACTTGTCAGGGAAGAAAGCCTGACTGGGGTCAACATGCTCCTTATAGTTTAGTTCCTAAGTGCTCTTTGTTTCTTTGTGTTCTGTGCCAATTAGTCCATCATGGTATGTCTCTCATGAGGAGAACATACTCATAAATCTAACTGGAAACCGGAACGTGGCATAACCATTTGACTATGGGAAAAATCGATTTGATTTATGAGGTATTATGAACCAGTGAGCCGTATTGTACTTTCTTCTCTGTTGCCTGGCTTAACTGCGCTGGCAATGAAGTCCGTCACTCAGCCTCACAATTGCAGGATTCATGGCTTGCCTCTAGCAGCGAGATGGGTCAGGGAGGACAGGGTGAAGAGCCTGAGGAAGAGCTGCTCCTTAATTACTGCTTATTTGAATATTAAATTATTCCTCATGAAAACAGCTAGATTCAGCAGTCTGTGGATCAGGCTACATTTTTCTGTTAATGTGACCTAGAGCCCTGGCTCCTGAGAACTCTGAGAAAGCCCATGCTCATATAAATATTCTGAGGAGTCTTGTGAATCAGAGGCAGGCAGCCATTTCCAAAAGGGACACCATTACAAAGTCCTCACAATTCAGCTACTTTAAGGGAATTTGGTCTAGAGGGCACATTAAATACATTATGATTCCTCTGAGAATACATCCATGTACATATTTCTTACACTCCAAATGGCATTTGGTGGAGGCCAGTGACTTTCTTTCCTGTGGGTTTAGGAACAGAAATCTATTTTGCTTCCATTTGTATGGTGAATGTGGGTCAACTCAAAGTGGGGGAAACTTGTCCTCCCACACGGGTACCATCTGGGTGCAACCTTACTTTTTACAGTAAATTAAGAAACATTTTACCCAGTAGGTCACTTTCTGGATTTCCAATGGAAGTATTTTTGCCCAAAAGGGAATTACTATTGTCAAAGTTGTCTTTATGAATTGCGCTTGAGGTCAAATTAAGAACCGCCTTTGGGGCTCAATTACAGAATCATAGAAATCATAGGCCTTGAAGGAAAAATAGCTCTTTTGCTTCCTGTAAGAAAAGTCAAACTTGAACTTGTAAAGATTGAGCCACACCAAGAGCTAAGAAAGGAATATTTCCTCTTCTTTCTCTTATTCCAGGGCTGAATTTAACTAATGAAATGGAGCAGAATGTTCCACCCAGGAACACCACTTTTTTTTTAATATTTAAAAAATATGTTTAATGTTTAATTTAATTTACATTTATTTGATTACTAGTAAGTTTACATAATTTTAGAAATTATGTGTATTAGTTACTTGCTTTTTTTTAAATACTTTAAGTTCTAGGGTACATGTGCACAACGTGCAGGTTTGTTACATATGTATACATGTGCCATGTTGGTGTGCTGCACCCATTAACTCGTCATTTACATTAGGTATTTCTCCTAATGCTAACCCTTCCCCAGCCTCCCATCCCCTGACAGGCCCCAGTGTGTGATGTTCCCCATCCTGTGTCCAAGTGCTCTCATTGTTCAATTCCCACCTATAAGTGAGAACATGCGGTGTTTGGTTTTCTGTCCTTGCGATAGTTTGTTGAGAATGATGGTTTCCAGCTTCATCCATGTCCCTACAAAGGACATGAGCTCATCCTTTTTTTATAGCTGCATAGTATTTCATGGTGTATATGTGCCACATTTTCTTAATCCAGCCTATCATTGATGGACATTTGGGTTGGTTCCAAGTCTTTGCTATTGTGAATAGTGCCGCAATAAACATATGTGTGCATGTGTCTTTATAGCAGCATGATTTATAATCCTTTGGGTAAATACCCAGTAATGGGATGGCTGGGTCAAATGGTATTTCCAGTTCTAGATCCTTGAGGAATCACCACACTGTCTTCCACAATGGTTGAACTAATTTACAGTCCCGCCAACAGTGTAAAAGAGGAACACCACTTTCAAAGGAAGCACGATAAACTGTGCTTCTGCCATCTCTGCAGAGGGCCCCACCCCAGAGCATTTTGGGAACTCCTGGTCATGAGGAAAGAGCAAGCAAAGAAGGGCTGAAGTGGGAATTGGGGACAAAACTCCCTGGGGCCAGCAAATGTGCCTCTCTCCAGGGAAAGTATATCAGGGTAAATCTCTAAATCTAAATGGGCATAGCAAACTTAGGTGTGTCCAAACGTAGGGCAGGGAGGTGATGAGGCTCCCAAGCAGTAGTGTTAATGATGAATGAGCTTAGAAAATGGGACCAGGCTTATGGGGCTGGCAGAAAGTACTTTTGACTGTAAGCCCCATGAAAGGCTCCATCTGTCTTATTTATATAGTGCTCTGTGCTCAAGGCAGGGCCAGCCACACATTAGGTAATACTTCCAATAACAATACTTGGAATGAACAAAATAATTGAGGCTCCCCAGTTGACAAAGTGAGAACACTAATGGGTATAATAATAGTTGCATCTGTCTCAAAGAGTAGTTGTTAACAGGTAGGATGGCATTTGTTAACATACATACGATGCTTAGAATATTGCCTGGCACATAATGATCTCCCCCTGGCATGTCTACTTATAGAACAAGAGGCTAGATTCAGTCCTTCTCACTATTGGTGAGGGAGCTCCCACTTCAGGCCAAGCCTCCATTGATTCCAGGCCACACATAAGTGGGGACAAGGCTGGCAGGGACCAACAGACCTATTGAGGCTTGGGCAAAGTACCAGCTCGGGCCTTCATCCTCACTTGTCTGTAGCCAAGTAGTTAATAGCTGGGGCTTTGGAGTTAGAAAGTCAGGTTCAAATTCCTCCTATTATATTTTTTGTGACTCCAGGCAAGTCACAAAATGTGCAAAGCATCAGATCTCTCATCTATAAAATAGGGACGATAGTGGTCTTTACTGAAGGGTTGTTGTGAGAGCTAAATGAGAAAATACCAAATTTTGGGCACAGGGACTGTGTTAGTCTGTTTTCACGGCTATAAAGGAATACCTGAGACTGGGTAATTTACAAAGAAAAGAGGTTTATTTGGCTCATGGTTCTGCAGGCTGTAGCATGATACTGGCATCTGCTTGTGGTGAGACTTCAAGAAGCTTACAATCATGGCAGAAGGCAAAGGAGAGCCAATGTGTCATGTGGTGAGAGCAAGCAAGAGAGATACAGAGAAGGTGTTGAGCTCTTTAAAATAACCAGATCTTGGCCAGGCGTGGTGGCTCACTCCTGTAATCCCAGCAATTTGGGAGGCCAAGGTGGGTGGATCACAAGGTCAGGAGATCGAGACCATCCTGGCTAACATGGTGAAACCCTGTCTCTACTAAAAATACAAAAAATTAGCCAGACATGGTGGCGGGTGCCTGTAGTCCCAGCTACTCGGGAGGCTGAGGCAGGAGAATGGCGTGAACCCGTGAGGTGGAGCTTGCAGTGAGCCAAGATCGCGCCACTGCACTCCAGTCTGGGCAACAGAACAAGACTCCGTCTCAAAAATACATAAATAAATAAATAAATAAATAAATAAATAAATAACCAGATCTTGCATGAACTCATAGAATGAAAACTCACTGATTACCAAGGGAACAGCACCAAGCCATTCATGAGGGATTTGCCCCCATGACCCAAACGCCTCCCACTAGGCCTACCTCCAACATTGAAAGTCACATTGCAACATGAGATTTGGAGGAAAAAAGCATCCAAACTGTATCAGAGACTGATCCAAAGGAAGCACTCAATAATGGTAGCTATAGTGAGTACTATTATTAATAAGCCATACTCTGATCTAGCATCCTATTCTTACTGTTCTCATGCTTAGGACCCTAAGATATAGTGCCTTGCATGGAGTGAGTGTTTAATAATTGCATGTGCCTAACTCATCCTCCATTTCTTTACCTCTTATTCTGGGCTTGCTCATGTGTCTTTTAGGTTGGGGCAGGGAGGGCTAACAGTCAGCAAAAGAGCTAAGCTTCATTTCAAGCTGCAGGTGCAGCTGGTTCAAGTGAGCTCCAAGTGTGTCTCATTTTCTTCCTGAGACCTGTGGTTAGTTGGGGCATATTATTCTCATGGAAGTATCTGAAGCACAATAGTGCAAGTCCAGACATGCAACCACATTTTAAGTTATATTTGCTAACATCGCATGGGTAAGACATGTCACATGGGCAAGTCTAAACCAAACTGGGGGGAAATACACACTCTGTGGGAAGAACAGCAAGGTCACGTGACAAAAGGCATAGCTGTATGGAGAGATGAGGAATCAGGACCAATAATCAGAAAGTATTTCCTGATGATTCCCCCAAGAAATTAAAATTCCACACCTAGAGTGCCATAATCCCTTGGATATGCTTCTACACTAGTACTTGCTCACTAGCTTCTAGATGTCTGTTTTCTGGGTTCCCCCATTAACTGGGAGCTTTTCAAAGGCAAAGATGGTGTCTTATTCTTTTCTCTATCCCTAGCACCTAGCACAATGCCTGCTGTGTAGCAGGTATCTCATGAATGAATGTTTGTTTTCATTGCTGAATGTATGTTTTTTCCATGAATGAATGGATGTTCTCATGAATGAATGGATGTTCATTACCCTTGGTTCATCATTTCTCATCAGTCTCTGGGCAAAGTTTGGGGTTACTAGGGCATTGGAATCTGTGATAAGTCCACCCAGTATCATTAGGGACCCATGCCCCAGACGGCACTCCCTTTCATAAGTGGCTCATAGACCTCCTTATTGGCTGCCTTCATCCTTATTCCAAAGCTCCAGCTCACCTTCCCACCCATGTTGAGGATGACTCTTAGGAGCAGGTCTCTGTTTTGTTTTACCCTCAAAGATGGGAAATATTTCCCTCTCAAATTATCATAGTTTTTATCCAGCCTGGATGATTTAACCACAACTCTTTTTAGGTCCTCAAAAGTCACCCTTATCACTCCACCATCAAACTCTCAGGTCCAGAGAGCATTTCTGTAATGACCGACAAATATCTGAAAGCTATATACTTTTCAGCTCTGTCCCTCCCTGGAGTGAGTTCCCAGTTACAACTCCTAATTCCTTATACATAATCTAAAAGGAGATTTATCAGCTTTCTTTCCTCTTTGTCTTGATCCTTAACTCTAGTATCCCAGGAGGCCATGAGGCTCTCACGCAACTAGAACTAAAGTCTTACCCTGAAAGTCCAGATTTCTGAAGGTAGATAGCAGATTAGGCTCTTTGCATGGTTATATTTGATACATGCTGCAAACAGATCCACCAAGGAAGTTGAGTGCTGTTGGTTTTATTATTTTAAAAAAATCTGAAGGGGTCAGTTTACTTTTTCTTCTTCATCAGATTTCATAATAGTGGACAATTCTATGTTCTGTCATAGACTATTTGCTTTTCTAAATACACTTTTTACAGTGAATTAAGAAACATTTTACTCAATAGGTCACTTTCTGGATTTCCAGTGGAAGTATTTTTGCCCAAAGGGGAATGAGTATTGTCAAAGTTGTCTTCGTGAATTGCACTTGAGGTCAAATTAAAAACAGCCTTTGGGGCTCAATTACAGAATCATAGAAATCATAGGCCTTGAAGGAAAAATAGCTCTTTTATTTCCTGGAAAAAAAAGTTCAAACTTGAACTTGTAAAGTTTGAACCACAGCAAGAGCTAAGAAAGGAATATTTCCTCTTGTTTCTTTTATTCCAGGGCTAGATTTAACTAAAAAATCGAACAGTCTAGCAATGAAAGTGTCCCTAACACTTTTTTTGTGTGTGTGTCCAGTTTAGTGCTGTGGGAAAGACAAAAGAATCAGAAGACTTGGTGACTGCTCTCTAAAATCTACAAGTCACACAAGAGAAATGACAAGAAAGCACATCAGATTGTACAGCATGTTCTAGTCCAGAGCTTTTTAACTTTAATGTGCATACAAATCACCTCTGATTCAGAAGTTCTGTGGTGGGGCTCAAGAGTCTGTATTTCTAACAAGTTCCTAGGTGATACTAATGCCACTAGTCTGTGGCCCACACTTTGAGTAACGAAGTTCTAGTTGTGGAAGATACTGGAGTCTTGTGTAGGAACATAAAGGTGAGGGAGATAATGAAGGTGAGACTGTCAAGAAGTATGCAGATTAGGAGCAATTCGCATCTAGCAGAGCCAAAGGCCAACAAAGGATTCTCACTTACAATGGCCCCATCAGGAGCCCGAAAGAATCCTGGCGTGAATTACAAACATGGTGCCCTTAATTCAGTTTTGCCCACTCACATTCTCACTAAATTGGTAAAATGTAAATTGATTCTGCTTCCACCTAAGAAGGTATGATCCTAATATGTACATAACACATTTAGTATGATATTAGTTAAGTAACTTGCTGATCTATTTCCATTGAATGTTTTGTGATCAAAACATGGAAGTACAACCACGTTCTGCTGTGAGTAGACATATGCAAACCTACCCCTAAAGGAAGCTGGGAGGCTGAAGAAAGAGGCTGACAAATCCAATTTCTTCGAAAGAAACATTTAATAAGGACTTACAAACAGAAGCCATGTCTTAGACAGCTGCGAGAGGAGATGGTGGGTCCCTGAACCATTACCCGGCAGACCCAGGGCTTATATACCATAGGGAATTTGCCTGATGACAGGATTTATGGCAAGTACAATAATATCTAGGTTGTTTTGAGCCAAGGGCAGGATTTACTGTAAGTACATGCTCTTACACAAGGAACAGTAGATACAATAGAAATCTTCGAGGCATACACGGAACTGGTGTTAATCAGAAGTCAACACGGTGGATTAGCATCAACGATGGAGTTGCTTTAGTCTCCACAAACAACCACAGACTAACCACCTAAGACTAGTTATAATCAAAAGAACAAATAATCAAATGAACTTCCTCACCCAAATAATGTTTGCTGGGGATCGTCTACCAGAAAAGAGTGATAGTTTTAATAACCTGTATTTTAGGCTGCATAATATGCCTCCAAAAAAGTTATGTGACTTGGGAAGTTATAAAAGAAAACCAAAGAAAGAACAAAAACGACTTAAAAGACAGAAAGGTTTTGTTGACTTTTCAGAACATTGACTCTGTTGAGCCCTTGGAAAGGAATTAGAGAGTGAATCTGTTTCCTTATATTATTTTTATTAATAAAAAAACTAACTTTTCCCTCCATCACACACACTAAAAAAACGCTGAGTAAACATTTAAAGGATATCAATGTGAAAAAGCACCAAATGATTAACCTGTTGTCCTCACAACTCACTCTAAAGGGAAAGGATTTAGACTGGTTGAAGGGAAGAGCATTTTAGGCAGGAAGAGAGTTCAGGCAATAGCAGTAGTACTGTTTGCTTAGAGCTGGAAAGGGGTTGTGGAAAATAAGGTTGCCAAGGCAGGTTGTGGCCAGATGGTAGAGAACCTGCTAAATGCCTAGCTAACAGTCTGGATGCTCTTCTTTAAGTAAGCACATTTTTGACCTAGAGATGAAATAAAATATGAAAAGGGCCATATTGAAGTAATTGGTAGTTGACACTTGGCCATGCATACTATGGGCCATTCACCCATTTGACAGCTCCCGGGGGGCTCTAAGGGTAGTTCAGTGGGGAGGGGTGTCCAAGTTTATGGTAAATGCACCAGCAGACCATTGAAGAGAAAGACAAGCTAATCTCCAGTACCTTGGGACCAGACCCAAACCAGAGACTTCTCAGAAAGCCCAAAAGGCTTAGAGAGTAACTGGTCCTCAGAGGGGCAAAATGCCTAGCAGGTCCCTGAGAGACTGGGGGGCATCCATATTTTTCTCATTAACTTATTCATGACAAGAAGCATTATGTCTTGCTGAGGATGTTGGAAAATATTTCACTGAAGTCTTAAGTTGGAAAAAAAATTTAAAGTTTTTTTCCTCTTTATGACCCCAAGCCAAAGAAAAAGTTTGTCACTCTGAATGTTTATGAGAGGGGTAAGCCAGAAGAGCAGACACAGCCAAATCCCTCTGACTCATTACTGAGCTGTAGGAGCAGCATGCTCAATTAGTAGGCAGTATAATTTAGCCAGCCCCCAGGGTGGGGCCAGGGGAGGTGGTGGTGAGGCAGAGGGTGGGTGCTGGGGGTTGGGGGTGGGGGGTTGAGTGAGGTGGAAATTGGAATTTTTCAAAGTTATAAATTTACTCAAGAAAGCAAGACAGCAGGTGACCTCTCTGAGTGAAGTCAGGTCTACATGGCTGTCAGTCACTTCTGAGCTCCAGTACGTCATTTGTTTGACCCTGCTGTCTATACAGCTAAAATGAGTAATGTATTAGCAATGTGAGAAGCCTCAGATCATAAAACCAAAGGGGAATAAATCAGCCAAGATTGTCAGGATGTGGAAGAGGTGGAGATTTAGAGCTGGGACTCCACCAGGCTGGGGACTACTCTTCTTGCTCTAAAGATGCCAGGTCAGGGTAGCTGTAATGTTGCCCAATATGAACACGAGCTCTGGACTAAATTTTCTTCTGTTCCTGTTGAGAGAGGGCTGTTGGTGATGAACAGCATCCCCATGGGTAGTGAGATTATCTTGATTGTTGTGTTTTTAAACACACCTTTACTCTCTGTGTCACACTTACATGCTCATTCATTATTTTCTTCATTTAGCTAAGATTGTTTACCCGTCTCCTATATGCCAAGTGCTGTGCAAAGCATGAGGAAGACAATGCTGGCCAAGAACCAGGCCTAACCTCAATGAGCTTTCAGTAGAGATGGTCCAAGGACAGTCTGAAAGTGCCTAGATTATTCCAGAATCACCCATGCAAGAGATTACTCCAGACCACAGGGTGATTTAAGTCCTCCTCAGGGCAAATTGAATCTGTCATCTGGCTTGGACTCCTACAAGAGGTCCCTGACTGCCTTGTAGTATGGAAGAGGAGGAGATTTGGGAGAAATTAATCCAGAACTTTCTTCTCTCTCTCATCCTGTGTAAGTGATGGAGTGTATGCCTCCCTACATGGATTCTCAGAATCAAATCTGGGCCAACATACGTGAGGCTTCACTTCCTCTTCTGAGCAACCTTCTAACCAAGCCTGGGCGTTGTACATTCCTAGCCCATGTCCCAAGCTCACACTCAAGGCTGTCCTCATCCAACATTGGCAGTTCTGTCACAAGTAAACACTGGCTCCTCCATAATGGATGTTATGAAGAATCTAAGAGTAATGAACTGATTACCATACCTGAAAAATAAAAAGCATACTTACTACCACATCCCAGAATAGGGATGGTTCTGCCAGGCAAACTGTTCTAGTTCCATCTTAATGTGACCAGATAATTTTTGAGGTATTAATTTATGTTCTCCCTTTCCCCAAATATTTTTCCTTTTATTCTTCTATTTCTAGCTGGTAACCAGACTCTGGGCTTCCTCACCTAAGAGAAAGCTTGCGGCAGGAGAGCTCAAGTTGACTATGTGGCATGACACTGGGGCTATGGGAAAAGAGGGGGAGTGTCTTAAGGCAGTTACCCTGGAGGACAGAGAGCCAGAGAAACCCAGAAGGGGCCACGTTTTGTAGCTACGGGGAAATAGAGGAGATCTGCATTCTAGGGAGGGAAGGAAACAAATCTCAGAGGAAGACTGTGAGATGCCCCCGGGAGGCTTCCACTGGCTGACACTTACAGATGACTTTTGCATTTTTCTTTCCTTCTTTCTTTTTTTCTTTCTTTCTTTCTTTCTTTCTTTCTTTCTTTCTTTCTTTCTTTCTTTCTTTTTCTTTCTTTCTGTCTGTCTTTCTTCTTTCTCTCTCTCTCTCTCTTTCTTTCTCTCTCTCTCTTTCTTTCTTTCCTTCTTTCTTTCTTTTTTTTTTTTTGACGGAGTCTCGCTCTGTCGCCCAGGTTGGAGTGCAGCAGTGGGGCGATCTCAGCTCACTGCAACCTCTGCCTCCCGGGTTCAAGCGATTCTCCTGCTTCAGCCTCCCAAGTAGCTGGGACTACAGGCACGGGCCACCATGCCTGGCTAATTTTTTGTATTTTTAGTAGAGATGGGGTTTCACCATGTTAGCCAGGATGGTCTCCATCTCCTGACCTCGTGATCCGCCCGCCTCGGCCTCCCAAAGTGCTGGGATTACAGGCGTGAGCCACCGCACCCGGCCTGAATTTTTCTTTTACATTAAATAAGGGTTCCAAATGTGCTGACCTTTTCTGAGATGACAAGTGATCCTAACTTTTGCATTTAGCAGAAACTTTTTGTAAAAGCACATAATCTACCCCTTTGAAATAAAAAGTTAATGTGTTTTAAATGAGTGAGAAATTAACTACTATTTGAAAGAAATCTATGCCATGAAAAGCACATAGATGTCTGGAAGTTTCCTTCATTGTGTTATTTTTGTTGCAGAAGAGTGTGTATAAAGACTTTCTTATCATCAACCTAAGTGCATATCAATGGTGAATTGGATAAAGAAAACATGGTACATATACACCATGGAATATTTTGCAGCCATGACAAAGAATGAAATCATGTCTTTGCAGCAACATGGATGCAGCTGGAGGCCATCATACTAAGCAAATTAATGCAGGAACAGGAAACCAAATATCACATTTTCTCACTTGTAAGTGGGAGCTATACATTGGGTACATATGGACATAAAGATGGAAACAGTAGACACTGAGGACTACTAGAGCAGGGAGAAGGGAGGGGAGGGCAAGGGCTGAAAACTCCATGTTGGGTACTATGCTCACTACTTGGGTGAGGACCATTTGTGTCCCAAACCTCAGCATCACACAATATACCCATGTAATAAACCTACACATGCAACCCCTGAATCTAAAACGAAAGTTGAAATTTTTTAAAAAAGAAAAAAGTAGGAAAAAGGGGAAATAAATATATTAGAAGTGATCAATATTCATCACTACTTTGAATAAAACATGGAGATTATTAATTAAGCTCCGGATTGTTTTTTCACATTTCTAGGAGAAATCAATATATTCTTCCATAAACAGTGAAAGACATAGAATAAATGAGTAACTGAAACTTCAATCCTATTCTTGTAAGAAGTTATGAAAGATTGACTCTGTAAGTATTCTTATTCATTTGCAAATGAATATTTGTTGCAAATATATAGATAAGTATTGAAGTATTTGTTTTTTAGTTTCTCTGTCTTATAGCTAGTCACAACATATTTTTGAATTCTTCCAAATTGTATATTTGTTTGACTAAGAAAGCTATAAGAGCACAGTTGAGTGCTCTAGGGACCATTTACAGGAAAGAAGAACTTTTTTGTGTATTTCATACTTTTGTATATTTTAGACTGGCTTATGCTGATGAGGATTTTCTCCTATAAATTTTAAGGATAGAGATTCCATCTTGTATTAATGCCAATTAGAAATGTGTCATAAATATTATACTTTTTAAATTTTGCTTTATCTCTTAAGTAGAGTTCAAATAGAAAATCATTGCATTGTATAGATAAATGATTGATAGTTAAGAGATTTTAATTTAAAATAGTCATTGACTATAAACTGATTAACTGATTTTACAGACTGCAGAACGTATTATGTCTGGAATATGTTGTTCTATATATTACATTTATAGATTAAGAAATGCATGTGCAGAGTGCAGAAATTGAGTTCTGAAATCAATACAGGCAATTATAAATTAATGTACCTCCTTTAGAAAGTGAAATTTCACAATGTAATTACTACATTTCTTGACTGAAGTAATAAAAATTGTGAAACTATGAAACAAAACTTTCATATCTGCACATTTATAAAGAAAACATAGACATGAAATCTTCAATCCTGTTTAAGTATCTTCCAAATGAAATCATCTTCAAAATGCTGCATCTTCTATTTGTTTTATTAGAACAGTTTGACATTAAAAGATGGAAATTCACTAGCCTCATTTCAACAAGAATCTTTACATAATCGATGTCATGGTTATTTTTATGTGTCAACTTGACTGAGCCACAGAATGCTTATATTAAACGTTATTTCTGGATGTGTCTGAGTGTATTCCCGGATGAGATTAGCATTTGAATTGGTGGACTCAGTAGACTGCCTTCCCCAATGTGGATAGGCATCCAACAATTCATTGAGGGCCTAAATAGAACAAAAAACTGGGAAAGGAAAAGAGGATTTGACCCCTTTCTGCTTGCCTGGTTGAGCTGGGACATTGGTCTCTCCTGTTCTTGGACTGGGATCCAAGAACCATTCACTCCTCTGGTTCTCAGGTCTTCAGACTTAGACTGGAATTACACCAGCAGCTTTCCTGGGTCTCCAGCTTGCAGATAGCAGATCATGGGACTTCTCATCCTCCATAATCGCATGAGCTAATTTCTTGTAATGAATAAGTATATGTACACTAAGGGACATAGATCTGTATCTGTATATGTGTATATCCTACTGGTTCTTTCTCTGGAGAATCCTAACTAATGCAATTGATATGTTGCTCAAAAAAGAGAGTATTATGATTACTCAATGCAGCCAATAATCTAATCTACATATCTTTATCTATGTCTTGGCTAACCATGTCAAGCCATTAAAACCAAGTTTTATCAAAATAAACTGAAACTGAAACCAGACATTCAAAGCACACTTCCACAAAGTATTAAACTATGATTTTCCAAAAGCACAAAATACATTTAATCACATTGCTCTCACTTAAAAAATAAAAAAGTAAGATGAAAAAGGTTTTTGGCCCTTTTGTTAATAAGAATCAAAAATATTTTTACCAAATAGGATTTATTCTAGGCATGCAACATTCAAAAATCAATTAATGTTATTCATGTCCACAAGCTAAAGAAGAAAAATCACATAACTATAACAATAGATGCAGAAAAAGCATTTGAAAAAATTTAACACCCATTCATCATTAAAAGCTTTCAGCAAACTAGGAATAGATGGGAACTTCCTCAACTTGATAAAGAACAGCTACAAAAAACCTACAGCTAACACCATATTTAGTGGTGAGAAACTAAGTTTTCTTACTAAGATCAGTAACAAAGCAAGGACATCTCCCCTCATCACTGCTTTTCAACATCATACAGGAAGTCCTAGCTAATGCAATAATACAAGAAAAGAAAGTAAAGAAAAATACAGGTTTGGAAGGAAGAAATAAAATTGTCTTTATTTGCAGATGACATGTTTGCTTATGTAGAAAATCTGAAAGAATTGACACCAAAAACCTCCTGAAACTAAGTTATTTTAGCAAGGTTTCAGGACATAAGGTTAATATACAAAATCAATCTCTTTTCTATATATCAACAGTGAAGAAGTAAAATATGAAATTAAAAACACAATACCATTTACATTAACACCTCAAAAAATGAAATACTTCTTAGGTATAAATCTAACAAAACATGTACAAAATTTATTTGAGGAAAATATAAAACTCTGATGAAAGAAATCAAAGAAGAACTAAACAAATGGAGAGAGGTTCCATGTTCACAGATAGAAATATTCAATATTGTCAAGATGTCAGTTCTTCTCAACTTGATCTATAGATTTAATATAAACCCAATCAAAACCCCAGCCTGTAATTTTGTAGATATTGACAAATGATTCTAACGTTTATATGGAGAGGCAAATGACTCGGAATAGCCAATACAATGTTGAAAAAGAAGAAAAAAGTTGGAGGACTGACACTACCCGACCTCAAGACTTACTATACAACTACAGTAATCAAGACAGTGTAATATTCTCAAAAGAATAGACAAATAGATTCATAGAACAGAACAGAGAGCCCAGAAATACAACCACACAAATACAGTCAACCAATCTTTGGCAAAGGAACAAAGGCAATAAAATGGAGGAAAGACAGTCTTCTCAACAAATGGTGCTGGAAGAACTGAACATTCACGTGCAAGAAAAATGAAGCTAGATGCAGGCATTATACCCTTTGCAGATATTAACTCAAAATCAATCATAGACCAAAGAGTAAGATGCAAAACTATAAGGCTCCCAGAAGACAACACAGGAGAAAATTTAGTTGGCCATGGATTTGGCAATGACTTTTTAGGTACAACACCAAAGGCATAATCCATGAAAGAAATAATTGATGAGATTAAATTCATTAATTTTTTTTAATTTTTAAAAAGACATGTCAAGAGAATGAGAAGACAATTCACCAACTAGGAGAAAATATTTTCAAAAGACATATCTGATAAAGAACTGTTATCCAAAATATAAAGAGAATACTTGAAACTTAACAATAAGAAAATGAACAACCCAACTTAAAAATGGGCAAAAGAACTGAACAGACACCTCACCAAAGATACACAGATGGCAAATGAGCATACAAAAAGATGCTCAACATTATAATGTCACTAGGGAGTTGCAGGTTAAAACGACAGCGAGGTACCACTGCACACCCATTAGAATGGCAAAAATACAAAATACTAACCACAACACTAAATGCTGGTGGGGGTGGAGCAACATAAACTCTCATTTATTGTTGTGGGAATGTAAAATAATATGGCCACTTTGGAAGATGGTCTGACAATTTCTTACTAAACTAAAAAGACTCTTAACACATGATCTAGCAGTTGGACCCCTTGGTATTTACCCGAATGAGTTGAAAACTAATGTGCATACACACTCATGTATGCACACAGATGTTTATAGCAGCTTCATTCATAATTGCCAAAACTTGGAAGCAACCAAGATGTCCTTCAGTGGGGTGAATGGATAAATAAAGTGTGGTACCTCCAGAAAATGAAATATTATTTATTGCTAAAAAGAAATGAGCTATCGAGCTATGAAAAGACATAGAAAAACCTCAAATGTACATTACTAAGTGAAAGAAGCGAATATGAAAAAGCTACATACTGTATGATTCCAACTATAAGACATTTTGGAAAAGGCAAAACTATGGAGACAGTAAAATGATCAGTGATTACCAGGGGTTAGGATGGAAGGAGGGATAAACAGGTGAAACACAGAGGCTTGTTAGGGCAACAAAACTATTCTGTATGAAACAGTAATTGTGGATACCTGTCATTATACATTTTTCAAGATCCATAGAATGTACAACACCAAGAATGAACCCTAATGTAAACTATGGACGTTGGATGACAATTATGTGTCAATGTAGGTTCATTGATTGTTAACAAATGTACCAGTCTGGTGCAAGATATCAATAGTGGAGAGGCTGTCTATGTAGGGGCAGGTGATATGTGGGAACTCTCTGTACTTCCCACTCAATTTTGCTGTGAACCTAATAAAGTCTACTTTAAAGAAACAGAATGACCACAGACAGTCTAAGAAAGTGATTGTTCAATTCTTTTATGTTCAGCCCATCAGCAAAATATTTAGAGTATGCATCCTCAGTAAATGCATATGTATCTTTCATATGTTTTGTTAAGTATTAAATATAATTATACTATCCTATTTTGTACACTGCAACAAAATATAAATCTTAAACAAACATTGCTTATTTTATGTCTATTTCACCCTTTCAGAATTTCTTAGTGTATGTTTTATAGCATATGTAATGAAGTAATCATAAGTATATATATAATATGTATATGTGTGTGTGTGTGTGTGTGTGTGTGTGTGTGTGTGTGTATATATATATATATATGCATATTTTGAGATGGAGTCTTGCTCTCTTGCCCAGGCTGGAGTGCAGTGGCTCAATCTCAGCTCACTGCAACCTCCACCTCCTGGGTTCAAGAGGTTCTCCTGCCTCAGCCTCCCGAGTAACTGGGACTACAGGTGCCTGCCACCACGCCTGGCTAATTTTTGTATTTTTAGTAGAGTCGGGGTTTCACCATGTTGGTCAGGCTGGTCTCAAACTCCTGACCTCAGGTGATCCACCCACCTCGGCCTCCCAAAGTGCTAGGATTACAGGCGTGAGTCACCAGGCCCTGCCATGAGTATAATTTATAAACAAATAAATATGCATGCATTAGGAGTGAGCTCAGGATTCTTTTTAATTGAGAGGGGATCGAGTTCTACCAGAAGCAGAGCTGAGGCAAGAACCTGGATGCAGAAATTTCATCTCTTTGGTAATCCTAGAAAGAAGAGTTAAGAGACAAGGAGTATGAGACAGGAGAGAAGGAAAAGTCACGGCATTGTTGAGCTGATTACCTCTGTGTGCAACTGAGGCTTAGTCCTGCTAGGGACCAGCTGAAGAACTACCAAATGTGCCTCGGAAATGTTCTTTCAAAAGATGGAAATCTGGGGCATTTATCTCTTGACCGCCACCCCTCATTGGTGCAGGGTTGCCCTCAGAAGTGTTAACTCTGCCCCCCCCACACACACTTCTGTGTGCCCTGTGAGGATTAAGTTCCTGAAAGCAGGCGGAAGCGGCTGACACTGCGGTAAGACTCTGTCAATGTGTGTGGAAACTATCTGCCGCAAGGGATGTGGTATGGAACACTAAAAACATTTGCTGCAAGGACTATGTTAAAACAAAAGTTTGGAGATCCCTAGTTTGTTGAATAAATGAAGCTATCATCTTCCTCCACCGTTTAAAGGCAGCACATCCACACAAACGTCAATTATGAGGTGATCACACTAATTATTACGTACTATTTATGCATATTTCTTTTTCCACTGTCCGGAGAGTAGGATTTTTTTTTTTTTTTGAGATGGACTCTCGCTCTGTCGCCCAGGCTGGAGTGCAGTGGCGCGATCTCGGCTCACCACAAGCTCCGCCTCCCGGGTTCACGCCATTCTCCTGGCTCAGCCTCCCGAGTAGCTGGGACTACAGGCGCCCGCCACCACGCCCAGCTAATTTTTTGTATTTTTAGTAGAGACGGGGTTTCACCGTGTTAGCCAGGTTGGTCTCGATCTCCTGACCTCGTGATCCGCCCGCCTCGGCCTCCCAAAGTGCTGGGATTACAAGCGTGAGCCACCGCGCCCGGCCTTTTTTTTTTTTTTACTTTTATTTTAGGTTCAGGGATACATGTGCAGGTTTGTTATATAGGTAAACTGTGTGTTACAGGGTTTAGTGTACAGATTATCTCGTCACCCAGGTAATAAGCATAGTACCCGACAGGTAGTTTTTCTGATCCTCTCCCTCCTCTCACCCTCCACCCCCGAGTGGGCCCCAGTGTCTGTTGTTCCCCTCTTTGTGTTCGTGTGTTCTTGTTGTTTAGCTCCCACTTATGAGAACATGTAGTATTTGGTTTTCTGCTCCTGCGTTAGTTTGCTCAGGATATCAGGATGTTCTGACATCAGACTGAGTTAGGCAAATACCCAGGTAGTTTACTTTCTGGGTTCTTTATTTCTGGCTATATGACTCTGAGCAAGTTATTTTATTTTTCTCAGCCTCAGTTTCACCATCCGTTTACTAGGAACAATAATGCCGACCTCAAGGCATTGAGATAGGTTTAAAGTTAGGATTAAAATGAGATTATCCATATATAAAGTGCCTGGCACAAAAACACCAGCTAATAAATACGGTGTTTTTGGTGGTTTGTTTTTTTTTCATCCTTTGCCTCTCCTACACCTGGACACAGAAGATGTACAGCTTGAGGGTTAAAGTGCAAATCTTAAAGCAGAAAGAGGGGTTCAGAGTCAGACTCTACCATCAGTTTCAGAACCTTAAGCAAGATCCTTCAAGTCTTGTTGAGATTCTTTCTAAAATGAATTAATCCACCACTTTGTCTAAGCATATATAGAATATTGAATATAATTTACAATGCTTTTCAGACTACTGCATACTTCCATCATATATTTCTTGATTTTGCTTTCTCTCTTGAGATTTAGGATTTCACAGTGCCTTGATTTACCTTTTTTTATTATGGAAAACTTTAAACACTTACAAAAGTAAAAAGAATAGTATAATGAGCCCCTATTAGCCAACTTTAACAATTACCAATCTTCTTTCATCTATACCCTCACTCTCTTCTCTCTCTCTCCCGTGTTATTTTGCAGCAAATCACAGACATCAGATCATCGCATCTGTAAATATTTTAGTATGCATCTTTAAATGATAAAGACTCTTAAACATACACTCAATACTATTATCATATCTTAAAATTTAATAATTTTTTAATATCATCAAATACCCAGTCAGTGCTCAAATTTCCACTTATCTCATAAATCTTTTTAAAACTATTTGTTGTTTGAACTAGTATCTAAATAAAGTCAACACATTTTAAGGGAATAATTTGCCTCTTGAATCTCTTTAATTTTGTAGGTGGCTCCTCTATCACTATTTTTTCCTTCAATTTGTAAAGAAACAGGATTATTTGTCCTACAGATTCCCTACAGTCTGGATTTCGTTGATTGTACCTCCATGGTACCATTTAACATGTTCTCTGTCTTTCTATTTTCTATTTCCTGTAAATTGGTAGCAGGATCTAGAGGTTGATCAGATTTGGATTTGCACTTTGTTCGTAAGTGGTGGGTGTGTTCTTCTATCAGAAGTACATAATATCTTGTTGCCTCTCTATGATGTTACCAACCATTGATGATCAATGCCTAGATCTATTAATTTCCTGTTGCAAGCTGATATTCTAGGTCATTAATAGAGATGGTAAATAAAGACTCATCTGAAGGTGTCCCCCAGTGGCTCTGTTAGATGTCTCTTTCACAAATTAGAAAGCCATGGAAGGATGAGCTTAAGCAGGACACTTCATTATCCCAACATCCCTTTGTTCATGACTTTTCAGTCTGCTTGAATCCGTTGGGACAACCTCCAAGTCCGGATTCAAACCAAATTTAGTTTGTTGAATACAAACATTCTCTTAGTCTTTGGAACAAACTGATCATTAAAGACTAAACATGTGACATGTTCCACACTCACTGGATCCACGGTTTCTATAATTCACTAAAAGGGGATAGTTTGTTGTGATAACACAAAGTGTCCTTTTTTTCTTCATTCCAGGGCTTTCTAACAGAGCCACCTATGGTGGGGGTGAGGGCAGGGGGCTTTACTGTCAGATAAGTCCTTATTTAACATCTTTATTAATGACCTAAAGTAGATTAAGCTACCCATGAATGAGTAACCACTGAACTGAAAACAAGGACAGGTCATGCCCGAAATGTAGAGGCGACAGCAACGTGTTGTGGTTTTGCGGGCAAGCTCATTGTAGAAGCTCTGGTTACATGGGAGTTGGCCAGACCTGTTGCTTCACTCCAGCACATATAGGAAAATGACTGGCCCACCACTCGGAAGGAGGTCTGGACTGAAAAGGCTGTGTGGGACAATCATAAAAGTGCCTGTATAAATCTTACATAACAAAAGTGAAAAGGGATTGCCTGAGAAATAACAGAACTTTATACGATAGTCCCCCTTATCCATGATTTTGCTTTCTGCAGTTTCAGTTACCCACAGTCAATAGCAGTCCAAAAATATTAAATGGAAAATTCCAGAAATAAACAATTCATAAGTTTTAAATTATGCACCGTATGAGTAGCATGATGAAATCTCATGCCGTCCCACTCCATCCTGCTTGGGACATGAATTCCCCCTTTGTCCAGCGGGCCCATGCTGTCTATGCTACCCACTTGTTAATGACCTAGTAGCCATCTCAGTTATTAGATTTTTTTAAAAAAAATAGTACTTATAGAGTTCCGTACTCTTTGCGGCTTCAGGCATCCACTGGGGGTCTTGAAACATATCCCCTGCAAATAAGGGGGGGAGTACTGTATGTGATTTCTGTGTTTTGAAAAATACAGGAATAAAATTGGAGCAAGATAAGCTGCTAAGTTATGAGAAGAAAATGCTACAGGAAAGGAAACTTAATAACTTTGTAAGAAATTAACTCAGCAGAATTTCCAATCTTAAATCACTGCATAGGCAATGTGTGTAATCACTCTTGACTTTAAGGAACTCTTGATTTGGTTTCAAAGGACAAATTCATTAGTAAACTGGAGAAATCCATGTACTCCAAACCACACAACTTTTGGAAAGGGCACAGGCTTAAAGCTTATACCCAGAGATCCATTACGAATGGAGTGGTCACCAGATAGTGGTCTCCTGAATATGCCAAGCACTTTACAAACTCCATTAATCCTGACAACTCTGTGAAGTGGCCATTATTATCTCAATTTTTGTTGATGAGGAAACTGAGGCTCAGAGAAGATAAGTGACTTGCCCAAGGTTCTTCAGCTAGTAAGTGGCAGAACCTGCCTTTAAAGCCTAGGTCTGTTCATGCAAGCCTTTATATTACTCTGCTCATGACATTTTAGAAATGGCACGAGGGCATGGCATTTATAGAGCATCTTTATCTAAATTGACCATCAAGAGCCACCCCATACCCTGCCCAAAGCTCAACAAATAAACACAGTGAGTGCTCTTAACAGCTATGCTCTACCACCATTGGCAAGGCAGTATGAACCCTCACACTTGAACAATGCTCTGAAGGTCAGTTTAGGATCCATTTGATATTAGCCTTTCCATTAGTGACCTGGGAAGATGAACAGTAAGTCTGCTTACCATGTTTACACATAATGGCATGCTAGCCATGGAGGAAGCCAGGGAAGAAGCTACCATGGCAGCGGGGTACTACACTATCAAAATCCCCTAATAAAACTGGGGAAAAAGCCACAAATTAAGAGGAAGGAGATTAACAGAGAGAATTGCTGGGATTCAATACAGTAAAATAAATTCAAAACAATAAATCTCAATATAGCCATGGCCTTATATGACTAAAACACCTGCAGACTTAACTTCTAAACATGTTAGCTGAGTAACTCTGTCATTTAATCAAGGTCCAAGAGAGATCATATAAGCAGGAGTATTGCACACAGGGTCTGAAATAATCCTTTCACTGTAAAGTATCTTCTTCTGAATTCTACCATTTAAAATTTCAGAAAGGCCATGCAAAAAGTTATAGGGATGATTGAACAGTCTAACTAAAAAAGTCTATGAAGGGAAGTGAAAGAAATTAGGAGTTTTACAATAGGCAAAAAGGAAAATAGGAATAATTTAATAATTATCTCTAAAGAAATTACAGATTTAATCTTACTGGAGATGATCAACTATTGCAAATTTTAAAAATTTGCTAAGCATGCTCCTAATATGAATCCATTCTAGTTAAATAATTAGCTCTGTCAGGAAAATTTTCTTCTACCCAACCCAAGTTCCAGATTATTCTTATTCTTTTCTCTCCCTGGAATTAGGTTTGGTAGCAATTCTTTTGTATAACTAATTCTGTAATAACTATTTTAATTATTCTACATTTCTATCTTTTCCATTTTAAGTGTTCAAAGAAAAACTGAAACAAACTGGTTGGCTAGGGTATCTTGGGGGAAAAGTCTTCTAGGAGGTAAAAGCAATAAAATAGAATGTATTTCTATTCATAAAAGAAAGCCCCAAGAGTGAAAAAAGAAATTACATAGCAACAGCATCATAGTCAAATTCTTCTTTCCCAATGGGGGATTGGAAGTTTATCCTTTTGGCTTTCACTTTTTAAGTTTCACTTTGAAGCAACCCAGAACCCAAGAGTGAGGAGCTGCAACAACACCTTAGTTTTATAGAGCACTTTACAGTTTACAAATCATTTCACATTCCTTTTGCATTTGATCAGCCTGTGAGGTCTGTGAGGGACAGGGTGTAGGAATTTTGGTTCTCTGCTAGCAGATAAAGGCCTTCTTGCAGGAAATATTAGTGAAACATTGGGGCATAACTAACAGGACATTCAAATGTCCTCGTTTGAGTCAGGGTTCTCCACAGACTCAGAACCAATAGTGTGTGTGTGTGTGTGTGTGTGTGTATATGTGTATAGTGTGTATATGTGTGTGCATGTGTGTGTGTGTGTGTGTGTGTGTGTGTGTATGTATATATATAGAGAGAGATTATAGGGAATTGGCTGGAGCAATTATGGAAGCTGAGAAGTCCCATGATCTACCGGCTGCAAGCTGGAGCCCCAGGAAAGCCCATGGTGTAGTTCTAGTCTGAGCTCAAAGGCCTGAAAACCAGGAGTGCCAATGGTGTAAAGCTCAAGAGCAGGAGAAATCCAGTTTCAGCTCAAGCACTCAGGCAGAGAGAGAACAAATCTTCCTCCACCTTTTTGTTCCATTTGGCCGCTCAGTAGATTGGATGATGCCCAGCCACAATGAAGAGTATAGTCTGCTTGACGAAGTTTACCAATTCAAATGCTAATTTCATCAAGAAACACCCTCACAGACACACCCAGAAATAATGTTTAGCCAAATATTTGAGCACCCCAATCCATTCAAGTTGACACATAAAATTAACCCCATCACATTCCCTAATCTCACCCCAAGGGGAAGGGGGAGGTTTTCACCTCTGAGGGACCACAGGAGAGGGGATCCCCTTTCACTCTGTTCTAGACTCTACTCAGGACACTTCCTCCCAAGGATGCTTGGATGAAATCACTTTTGAAGGCTCCATTCAACTCTGGACCCCGCACTGTCATCCAGGTAAAAACAGAAACTCATGATCAAAAGCCAGGGCAGGGCAGCCAGCAGTAAGAATTAGAGAGAATCTCCAAATGCAGAGGATAATAGAGTGGGATTCATTTAGAAAAATACAATCTAAACTATTTGGTGAGATCCAACCTGAAGGGGAGTTTGAGATGGTTCTTGAGTCAGACTGACCTGGACCCTTTTCCTATGACCAAGATGAGTTAGCCAATTTCTCCAGTCTTCCACTTGCTCACAGGTGACATGGGGATTAAAATACCCCAGCAGGATCTACTGATACACACAACATGAATGCCTCTTGTGAACCTTATGTTGAGTGAAAGAAGCCAGACACAAAAGAGTATCATACCATATGATTCCATTTATATGTACTTCCAGAAGAGCCAAATGAATCTATGGGAATAGACATCGGAATAGTAATAGCCTCTAGGGTGGAGAGAGTTCACTAAAAAGGGGCACAAAGGAACCCTTTATGGTGACAAAAGCGGTCTGTATTTTCACCGTGTTGTGGGTTGCACAGGTGCATACAGTATCAAAATTTATCTGACTGTACAGTCACAATCTGTGCATCTTACTGAATGCTATATCTTAGTGACAGTTTCAAAAATGCATATATTGTTGGGCTGTTGTGAGAAATGAACAAGATAACATAAGGAAAGCGTCTAGTGGTGTACCCAGACATACAGTAGTTGTTCAAGAAATGATGGCTAAAACTCCCTTCTTAAAAGTAACTGACTTCAGAAATCTTAATAAGTCTGCATCACGCAGAAATCCAAGATGATTCCAATGCGGGGACAGGCCATAGAGGTCATTGGCCCCCTCCTGCAGTAGCCTGCCGGTGGGCTCTCTATCACTGCAACCCCCTGGCTTCAGTGGGCAGACAGGTGGGTACTGTCCAAGAAAGCTGGTAGCAGGCAAAGACCTGAGATAACCCTGGGCAGGGCTGTAGTCCCCAAGAGGCTAAAAGAGGACCCAGCTAGTGATTCCCAGTCCAGAGGAAATGCTCTCCAGACTGGGGACCCAGAGAGAGAATGAAGTAGGGAGTAGGAGTGAGGGGGCAGGACAAAGACCTGGCTTCTGGAACTCAGTGTCAAGGGAGGGCCTGGGAAGGAGGTAGAGGTCAGCTCTTACGACAAAGCAGGAGGAAAATGAAGGTCTTTCTGAGGACATAGCCTGAGCATTAGATTTCTTCCAGAGCCTGGGATGAAATCAATTCTGGATGAATCGAGTTGGCTCTGCTATCACTCAAGTTATGTAAAATTGTCCTGGATTGAACACTAGAATGATACTTCTTTTTTTTTTAATTATACTTTAAGTTTTAGGGTACATGTGCACAATGTGCAGGTTAGTTACATATGTATACATGTGCCATGCTGGTGTGCTGCACCCGTTAACTCGTCATTTAGCATTAGGTATATCTCCTAATGCTATCCCTCCCCCCTCCCCCCACCCCATGACAGTCCCCAGAGTGTGATGTTCCCCTTCCTGTGTCCAAGTGTTCTCATTGTTCAATTCCCACCTATAAGTGAGAACATGCGGTGCTTGGTTTTCTGTCCTTGCGATAGTTTGCTGAGAATGATGGTTTCCAGCTTCATCCATGTCCCTACAAAGGACATGAACTCATCCTTTTTTACAGCTGCATAGTATTCCATGGTGTATATGTGCCACATTTTCTTAATCCAGTCTATCATTGATGGACATTTGGGTTGGTTCCAAGTCTTTGCTATTGTGAATAGTGCCGCAATAAACATACGTGTGCATGTGTCTTGATAGCAGCATGATTTATAGTCCTTTGGGTATATACCCAGTCATGGGATGGCTGGGTCACATGGTATTTCTAGTTCTAGGTCCCTGAGGAATCTCCACACTGACTTCCACAAGGGTTGAACTAGAATGATACTTCTTAAAGGCGAATGTGCAAATGAATCCCCTAGGATGAATCCCCCGGGGATCCTGTTAAAATGCAGATTTAAAAAATTATAATAAAGCAAAATAGAAACACAAATTTTGATTCAGTAGGTCTGAGATAAGGCCTGAAATTCTGCATTTCTAACAAGCCTCCAGGTGATGCCCGTGTTTCTTTCAGTCTATGGATCACACTGGGGTTAGCAAAAGCCGCCTAGAAGATCCAGTTTGTGGCAGCAGTCAGATCACCAGGATGATCTGCTGGGTCTCTTTAAATATCTGTCTCCTCAGATAGAGAGAAGGAAATCACCACCACCATGCCCGAAACACACATGCACACACGCGCACACACACACACATACGCAACACTAAAACCATGGAAGTCAATATTCTATGTGGCACTCTAAGAACCCCACTCCTATTTATTCTGGATTGAAAACACTGCTGTAGATGGTGTTGCAAAGAGATTTATAGCTTTTAATCTTCTCATATAGCACAACTGCTAAATACAGTATAATATATGTGACAGGAATTAGTCCAGAATTTATTTAAGACTTTTCCCCCTCAGTTCATATGTCAAAAGATTGCCATTTCCAATTATTTATTAGGAATGTGATGTTTTTCAAGGTAGATGCATTACTCTTGTTATCTGCTTTCAATTAGCTGAGAATTTACTATGCTCAGCCAAATGTCCATTCATCGGCAAATTCCAGATTCCCGGCAGTCTGATTAACTTCCCAGGGCTCTTCCTTTATAGTTAAAATAAATGAGGCTGTCTATGTCTCATGCTTGCTTGCTTATGGAAGGAAACAGAATAGGTTTTGGATGAAGAAGGAGGAGGGTTGGGGAGAGGAAGAACAAGGAGGAGGGTTTGGGGGAGGAAGAGGAGGAGGAGGAGAGAAGAAAAAGCCTTAAGCAATCAGGAAAGATTAAAGATGGAGATAAACACCAATCCTTAGACCAAAAGCTACCCCACACTAGAGTATATTCAGCCATATCAAAACCCAGCAGCCCAGAGGTGTAGTGCTTTCAGCAAGGGGTTGGATGACTTGAACTTGGCATGTCATTCCTTGCTGTGGGACCTGGTGTAATGGGAGAAGCATGAGCTTTGGAACCAATAAGACCTGGCTCTCAATCCCAGCTAGGCCACTTAAAACTGGATCACCTTGGGTAAGTTGTCCAACATCCATTTTAAACTCTTTAAGTTTCCTCCTCTGTAAAATCACTACAGTAATGATGAACCTGCAGATTTGTCACGAATTTAAACGAAATTGTGTCTATGTAACGACGACCTCAGCTAAGGCAACCCTGCCCTTGAGTTTCAAACGGCATTTGTTCAAACATCTTCCAATGTGTGCAGAGGACCTTAAATCACTCCCAGCCTCTCTAGGGACTTGAAGGATTGGGGATAAAGGGATGGGAGGTGGTTAATGTTTGTCCTAGCCATGGCTGGCCACAAGCTCTTCCTTCTGAATGAGTCCTGTTCTGAACCTCCCCATTGCACAACATAGGGCATCCCTGCTCTTTTTTCTGTATTCACACACATCCAAAATTCAACCCACTAACACAAAGTCATGTGTGTATAGTGACTTTATTACTGACAGCCTGGGGAGAAAATGGAAGTTTGCCTTGCAGCAATTCACACACTTACAATCGAATGATAGTCACCCTTGCACTTATAAACTTCCATAGCCATTTTTGATAACTATAACTCCAGCGATCAAATATATGACTTGGTCCTCTTTCAGCCTTCTCTCTGTCTTTCTCTTTCCCTTCTGCTTGGGTGGGTAGGAGGGAGGCAGTAAAACAAAACCTAAACTTTCTTGCATCGCCCTGCTCTGTTCAGTTTAGCCCTCCCATGGCTCTGACCTCACTTTGGGGAGCCCACTTTGGATCTGGGGCTTGACATCCCAATTGTTCTTCAGTGTTATCTTCTATGGAAACACAACTCCACAATTAATTCCCTCACCCTCAGGGATCTTTGGCTCAGCTCACCGCAGTAGAGCCCAACATCGGTGAGATATACGTGCTGCAAAGCTCCATGCATCGCACGTACAGATACCTGACAAATGGGGCTCCCATCTTAATATTTGCTGAATAACAGGATTTCCTTGGCTGCTTGGCTGGGAAGTGGTCAGGCTGGTGAAATATGCCTTACATCTTGCTTTTAAAAAATTTTTCTCCCCCATGCTTCTTTTTTTTTTGAGACAGGGTCTTGCTCTGTTATCCAGGCTGGAATGTAGTGGCACAATCACAGCTCACTGTAGCTTTGACCTCCCAGGCTCAAGCTATCCTCCCACTTCAGTCTTCTGAGTAGCTGGGACTACAGGCACATATCACCATGCCCTGCTAATTTTTGTATTTTTTTTTATAGAGATGGGGTTTCACCACGTTGCCCAGACTGGTCTCCCCCATGTTTCATTTCTTAGTTTTTTTGTTATACTTTCTGAGAAATTATTTTCAACTTTATCTTGCAACCCCTCTATTAAATTTGTAAGCACCCTATTTTAATTTCCATGAACTTGCACTTCTGCATTTGTTCCATTTTATCATGTCATCTTCCTGTTTCATGAATCCAGTGTCTTCTCTTATAAGTAGGAGCATTAATGATTATTAGAGTTTTTATTGCTGCCATTATTGTTATTGTTGAAATTTTCTTCTGTTCCCTGAATTTTTGCATTTCCTCTGTGTCCCTTCATTCTATGAGTTTACTTATTTGATCTCTGCCTTTTGTGTGCCAGAGGCATTTCTCCAAATGTCTGCTGATTCTTGACCGTCTACTCATATTTAAGAGAGAAGCACCACAAAGCCGAATGGAAGTTCTGTGTGCGAGGATAGTAGAACTTGTCAACTGATGGCCTTTGTTGTAGGGAAACCTGGCAAAAACCAAGCTGCTTCACTGTGGTCTAGGGTGCTGCCAATCCAAAGAACTTTGCTTCAGAATCACTCAGTTCCTCAAGAAAGGAGTCCTCTGATATTCTACCCTTGCAGCAAAGGTAATAAAGAGTGGAAGAAGGATAGAGGGGTATAAACCTGGTGGGCAGTACTCACTAAGAAGGATGGAGAAAGGAAGCAGGAAGTCTCAGGATGTAGTGTGGAACCTTCGATTCCTCAGTCATTTGGGGGTTCTATGCTGTAGAGCATAATGTGTTGCTCAAGCTTTAGCTCACATAAAAATTACCTGGAGGGCTTGTTAAATTACAGATTGCTAAGTTCCACCCCCAGAGTTCTGATTCACCTGAGGAAGTGATACAAGTCCTGAGATATTCTCCCAGTTTCCACCAATCAAATCCACAGGACAATAGAAAGTGGCTAATGGGTATGACACGAGGCACTCCAAAAAAACTCTTCTGCCAAATATAGCAAATAAATGTTCAAAATTAAAAAGTTATTCCCCTTGGTTAACAAACTCTACTCTCTTTTTTTAAATCAATGTAGCTTGCTTGCTTGCTTGCTTTCTTTCTTTTTTTGAGACCGAGTTTCGCTCTTGTAGCCCAGGCTGGAGTGCAATGGTGCGATCTCCACTCACTGCCACTTCTGCCTCCTGGGTTCAAGCGATTCTCCAGCCTCAGCCTCCCTGGTAGCTGAGATTATAGATGCCCGCCATCATCCCTGGCTAATTTTTGTATTTTTGTATTTTCTTTTTTTTTTTTTTTTTTTTAGTAGAGATGGTGTTTCACCATGTTGGCCAGGCTGCTCTTGAACTCCTGACCTCAGGTGATCCACCAGCCTCGGCCTCCCAAAGTGCTGGGATTACAAGCATGAGCCACCATGCCCAGCCATAAATGTAGCTTTTAATGATATATTTAACATAAATATTTATCATGATTTCCTTTTAAAAATTGTGACTTTTATTTTAGATACAGGGGGGTACATGTGCGTATTTGTTACATGGGAAGATTGCATGATGCTGAGGTCTCAAGTACTGAGCCCGTCACCCTAGTAGTGAGCATAGTACCCAACAAGTAGCTTTTTAACCCACCCCAGCCCCCACCACCGTCTAGTAATCCACAGTGTCTATTGCTCTCATATGGACAAACTCTCCTTTTAAATTATGAATGTTGTGGAATGAAACTCACTGAGGAGTGAGATCTATGTTCCCTCCTTTTGAATCTGGGCAGGGTGATGTCTGTTTAGACCAATGGATTAGGTGGAAATAGAACTGGGTAATTTGCAACTCTGGATCATAAAACGCTACGTGACTTCTGCTTAGTTCTCCTGAAACGTCACTCGGAAAGCCCTGTTGGGATGCATCCTCTTGAAATTCAGCTGCCCTGCTCCTAAAAACCCAAGCCACATGGACAGGCCACATGTTAGGGCTTCAGTTAATAGACTCTGCTGAGCCCAGCCTTCAAGGCAACCCAGGTGAAGCCCCAGACATCATGGAGCAGAGACAAGCCATACCCACAGTGTCCCATCCAGACAACAAGCCTTCCCTGTCTAGGCCAGACTGCCTGCTTCACACATGCTCAGAGTAGCATTAACCAGGGCTGCAAGTTTACATGGACATATGTGATGATATGCCTCCTCCTTAAGGACTGTGAGCTACTTGAGGTCGGAAAACACACTGCTTCCTTCATTTTCACACACCCAGGGCCTAAAACATGCTTGGCATATAGTGGGAATTCACTTATCTCACATTATTCATTTGTAAACGGACCACTCCAAGCAAAGCCTCTCAATGAGTGTCATTATAAGTCCAGATTCCATTCTTCATTCTCTCCAAAGAACAAATAATGTCTAGCACAAGGTTCAGTGGTCACACCCACAGGACTAGAGTTTGGCCTGCCTGAATGTGAAGCCCCAGCTCTGCTCCTTTCTTGTTGTGTGATCTTAGGTGGGCTCATAGCCTTTCTGTGCCTCAGTTTCCTCTTCTATAAAATGGGGAAAACAACTGTACCTATCTTTTAGTGTTGTTGGGGGGATTAGATACATGTAATATGCTTAGGAGATCATTTAACACCTAGTAAACACTCAGTGGCTGCTAGCGATTTTATTTTTGTTACTGTTATTATGTTGTTATTATTAGAAGGCAATTCTTGGTATCCTCCAGGAACCAAATTGCAAGTGCCCCCCCTTCTCATAAAAGCAGCCCCAAAAGGATGCTCCTGGCCCTGAGCCAGCAGTTGCCTCTACTTGACTGTTTTATTTGTTGGCCTTAGTGACTCGGGGACTTATTGAATTTGCTACTCACCATGCATCTGCTTGTATCATGCGGTTGCATTGGGGAGTTATAAAAACTGTCGACTTTAACACAGTGTATCTTGGGTGCACAAGAATTACCAGGGGAACTTGTTTAAAATGTAGATTCTAAAGCTCTGCTCTAGCTGGTCTGGAGTAGGGCCCAGAAACGTGTTCTTTTAATAAGCCTCCCCAGGTTCCACCAAGGCAGGGGTCCTTGGAAGCTTTGCTTCAGCAGATGGTCTCCTTAAAACAAGCACCATCCAAACCTTGATGGCATCACTGATTACTCAAATAAATGGATTTTTTCCCAAATTATTAACACAGGGTATCCAAAAAGTCAAGAACAACAGGATAAACATATACTTAAACAATATGTTAGTTTCTATTTCAAATAATATGCTCACTACATTTTTCTTCTATTTCCATAAATCTTCTAAGGTGAGGTACTCCTAAATTTAAAGCAACGGGTCCAATTTTTACTCTGAAAAAAAGTTTATATTGTACTATGCTAAATATATAATATTACAGAGTGTCTGGAAACACAGGGAAAAAAGTGTATTTATAAATAGATATTTATAAGTGTATTTGTAAATGTATAAACAAAAATACAAGTAAATATACTCCAGAGTGTCCAGAAAGTCTAGAAACATAAAGAAAAGATTATAATAGGTTGAGGAGAAATACACTGAGAATATTATTTGAAAATGTAGCTAACGTACTGCTTGACAATAAGTTTATCCTATGTTTTCTGGATGTTCAGACACCCTATAGAATGTCATTAGATCACGGCTCACTGTGGTTACATGATTCAGATATATCAGGCCTACATTATATCTTCCTCCTCCTTCCCTTCCTTTCTGCCTCCCTTCCTCCTTTTTTCTTTTCTTTTCTTTCTTTTTTTTTGTCTTTCCTCCCACAGTCATTTTCTGAGCACCTACAATATGTAAAGCACTCTGCTAGACATGGGTGTATGTGTTGGAGGGTGGGGGGATGGAGGGGGAGGGCGAGCCAGACCCTGCTCTTAAGGAATATTCTCCTTGGGACATAAAATATAAATATGTGACACATTTAAATGTTATTATAAGCCAGTATCTCGTATGAGTGATTCAAAAAAATATGTTATAAATTCTGGGCCAGGGGTGTGAAGCTGTGCAGCACATTTGACATGGACAGACCATTTTTAAGGCATTTCATTATGGGATGTGAAAACTGCCTTCAGTATGTTCTCCACCTAGGATATAACCACACATGAGTCCAACAGCAAGCCATGAATGAACCCTACCCTACAATACAATGAGAATTTTTTTTAACTTTCCAAATTTCAAATGAAAGGGGATTTTTTTTTTTTTTTTTTTTGAGATGGAGTCTTGCTCTGTCACCCAGGCTGGAATGAAGTGGTGCGATCTCGGCTCACTGCAGCCTCTACCTCCCAGGTCCAAGTGATTCTCCTGCCTCAGCATCCCGAGGAGCTGGGATTACAGGTGCACATCACAATACTGAAAGGGGATTTTTGATTCAAGGCAATGGTACTTAATTATCCACAACATGAGACCTGGCTCCAACTCAGGGTTAAGGACAACAGCATGTCACCCAGTTTCTGGGCACAGGCTGGATATTACCAGAGGTAGGGAAGTGAATTTTTCCATCTCATTTTTCCTGGTTCCTTTCATGCAGATTACTTTCTTTGAGAGGTGAAGAGGAAAACGAGATGCCATCTTTAGCCTCCAGAAGGCAGGAGAGCCCGTTACTGCTATCCGTGAGAATTTGCCTAGAATAGAGTTTCTCAGCTTCAGCACTATTGTCATTTGGGGCTCGCTGATTCTCTGTTGCGGGGGCTGTCCTCTCCTGTGCACTCTAGGGTGTGTAGCAGCATCCTGGGCCTCTACTGACTAGATGCCAATAGCACTCACACCCAGCTGTGACAACCAAAAATGTCCTAAGATACTGCCAAATGTCCCCTAGGGGTTGAAATTTATCCTGGGGAGCAGAATCACCTCTTGGCTATACATTGTGACCACCTGGGGTTACTGGGTGACCACTGGGTACTGATGCCTGGGGTTAGCCCCCAGAGTGTCTGATTGGATTGATCTGGTTGTCTTCTGGGCTTCAAGGTTTTTATACACTTCCCAAGGGTTGATCTCAGATTTGTCCACTGATTCTGACTCTGACAGAGACCCTCAGTCAGATTTAATGTCTGATGTCATGTTGACCTGGTAATCACCCCAGCCTGTAGCCACCTGGCTTAATTGGCTCGGTGTTGGCATGCAGCTGATGTTGGCATCTAGCACCCGACCTCAGATAAGCCTACTGTAGCCTTTCAAGTCAAAACATTACCTTTTCCACAGTGATTTGTTATTCAGTCGTCATGTTTTACCAAGGAAATTCAGACATCAACATCGCACCAATGGGGGACATATTTGGGGGCAAGGGGTCTTTGTGACAGTCCCTCAAAACATCTCAAGAAGAAAGCTTCTCCTCACAACTCATTTTGTGAGAGTAAAGGCCATGTATGTGGTTCGTGCCTGGGTGTATGTGTGCAGGAGGAAGCACTGAGAAGTAAATGAGAAGTAAAGCCAAGGGACAACATCCACACCTTTTTCTCTTCTCCTCTTGAAACTTCTTTGGTCTATCCCTGAGACGGCAATATGCCAGAATAATGATCCTCCATGTTTTCACTTCTTTTAAGCAAACCTCCCCTGAATGAATTAGAACAACCGCAATCTACTGCCCACATCCTATGATCCGGTCGACTCCTAGGTCTACATTCAACAGGAGTGTTTACTTATATTACCTAAAAGTAAATACTACAGTGTTTTTAGCAGCATTTTCCATAATAGCCCAAACCGGAAACTATCCAAATGTGTATCAACAGCAGAATGGATAAATAGTGGTATTCTCACAAAGGAAGACCATACAGCCATAAGAATGAATGTTCTATAACTACACACAACATATTTGTGACTTTCACAGATATTATGTCAGGCAATAGAAACCAGACGAAAAGGGATATATACTGATGATTGAACCTGTATAAAGTCCCCAAACAGGCAAAACTTCTTGACACTGTTAGATGTCAGGATAGAGGTGACCCTGGGCAATGGGAATTGTGACTAGGGAGCATGAGGGGGCTTCTGGAGTGCTGCATGTCACGCTTCATTTCTTAATCTGGATATTGGTTATGTGGGTGTGTTCAGTTTAAGAAAATTGATTGACGTGTACATTTATAATTTATATAGTTTTTTGTTTGTATATTATACTTTAATGACAACTCAATACTTAAAAACTACCTTCTCTTTCTCACCTGCTGCATCCTCACTCCCAAGTTGGGAGATTGCGGGCCTTGACCTGACACTGCTGAGTCAGGAGGTAGGCAAGCCCAGAAAGCTCCTCTTGTCCTTGTCATTGTTCCTGCCCCACCACTGTAGCCCTCTGCTCAGGTGCATAGGCTGGAAGCAGCCAGCACAGAAGTGAGAGGACTTAGTGTCTCACAGCCTGTCTCCTGGGACCAGGACAATTCCACTGACTATTGACCTCCTGAGACTATAGAGTCCAGCTCCAAATGGGGCAGAAAGCTCTGGAATTCTTTATTTCTTTTAATCTAGATCTTTTATCCCTAAATCAACAATTTGCAACAATGACAGAGTCAGGCTGTGGCTTGAGGATGGGATCCACTGGTGTGGCCTTTTGGCATTCACCACCCCGGCATGTCTCACTCCAGCCTGCACATCATCTCTGTCAAGGGTCTCTGCTCATCACAGCAGCTAATGTGCTTTTCCCACAGATGATCCCATTGTATTCATCCCAACATCTGGGTAATATTCTGAATTGCACACAAATGAGAATCGGGGTGTTTATTTTACTAGCAGAGTACACCTGCAGCTTAAATAGCATATGCTGAACAGCTGTTGATGACTATAAATTGAGACCTGGGTGAGGAGTTGTAAACCCTGGAGGTTCATCCCTAGCAAGAAGGATCCAAGACTTTCAAATTCAATGAATCTGGACACTATTGAGAGAAGAGAGACATCATTACAGGCAGATAATGGTTTGAAATCTCATCCAGTGATGATTGGGGAAGCAGACGTAAGCCAGGATGATTTTTATACGTTTCGATAGCCCCTGCCGAGTGGGAGATTAAATAAGCGAAAGGTCTGATTGGTAACCACATTTGGGCCACTGAGCAATTGCAGAGAGGTAGAGGCAATCATACTGCCTGAGCTTGCCAGGAGGAAAGGAATGGGGTTAAACTGCTAAAGGCAATCCATTTTGTCACATAGCTTTATGTACTCAGACATTCCAAAACCCAGTTATATAATTCACCTAAGGTGTTGCCCATTTGGGACAGTTACTGCCCCTCTCCCCAATATACTCAGTTGTTTAGCCAGTGATTCCGACATTTAAAAAAAATTTAAATAATATTTATGTGCAGAGTGCTGGGAATAGAATAATGAAAGCTATTACCCCTGACCTCAAGGAAGCCACTATCAAGTTGGCCTTGTTATTGACTGCTGCATAATAAACCACCACAAAATTTAAGGTCTCACTACAAGAGAAACCAGGGTGACAGTCTTAATTAGTTCAAGCTATTAAATACCAGAGACTGAGAGGCTTATACAACAGACATTTATTTCTCACAGTTCTGAGGCTGAGAAGTTCATGGTGTCAGCAGATTTGGTTCTTGGTGAGGGCTTTCTTCTTGGCTTATAGATGGCAACCTTCTCACTGTGTCCTTACATGGCCTTTCTTCAATGCACACACACACATACAGAGAATTCTCTTTCTCATCCTCTTCCTATAAAGGCACAAATCTCATCATGAGGTGCCCATTCTCATGATATCACCTGAATCTAATCACCTCCCAAAGGCTGCACCTCCAAATATGATCACATTGGGGGTTAGCACTTCAACATATGAATTTGAGGGGACACAAACATTCAGTCCGTAAGAGTGACCAATCGTATTAGTTTGCTAGGGCTGCCACAACAAATACCACAGACTGGGTGGCTTAAACAGCAGAAATGTATTTTCCCATAGTTCTGGAGGCTGGAAGTACAAGATCAAGGTATTAGCAGGGTTGGCGTCTTCTGAATCTCTCTCCTTGACTTGTAGATCACCTCCTCCTTGCCGGGTCCTCACATGTTTGCCCCTTGGTCTGTGTGTTGTTTGTCTTTTAATCTCCTCTTGTTAAAACACCAGCCATTCATATTGCATTAGGGCCTACCCTAATGTCCTCATTTTAGCTTAATTATCTCTTCAAAGTCCATATCTCCAATTACAGTCGCATTTTGAGGTACTGTGGGTTATGACTTCAACATATAAATTTGCAGGGTTTGGAGGGGGTGGAACAATTCAGCCTGTAACATCAACCATTCAGTTTTGCCTGAGACTGGGGATTCCTGGGATGTGAGACTTTTGGTGCTAAAATAGGGAAAGACCCAGGCAAACCAGGACAAATTGGTCACTCTAAGAATAGCATTCAATTTGCTCACAAATCTGTGACATGGGCAGGACTCAAAAAAGACAACTTATACCTATTCCACTCTTGATCATCTGGGGCAGCTCAGAGGCTGGAGGCTGAAATCATCCAAGGCTCACTTACTCACATGTCTGAGAGTTGATGCTGGAAAGACTCAAACAGCTGGGTGATGGACAGCTTGAGTTTCTTGGGCACCTCCCTGTATCTCTATGTGGTCCCTCCATGTGGCTTTTCTAACATGATGGCCTCTGAGCACCAGACTTCTTATAGAATGCCTCTGGGATCCCAAGGCAGGCATCCCAAAAAAGCAAAAGCCAGGCCAAATCTGTGTTGCCTTTTATGACCCAGCCACTGAGTGCCACATAACATCACCTCTCCCACGTGCTGCATGTCAAGGCAATCATAACTGCCCGCCCAGGTTCAAGGGAAGTGGAAATCACTGGATCCCTCAAGATCCATCACTTGATCAGGTATCAACAAAAACACATGGGCCAAGAATTATTGTTGCAGCCATTTTTTTTTAAGTTTTGATTGTGGTAAAATACACATAACATAAAATTTACTATCTTAATCATTTTTAAATATACAGCTCACTAAGGTTAAGTTATTCATATTGTTGTGCAACCGAGCTCCAGAACTCTTTATCTTGCAAAACTGAAACTGCACCCATTAAACACTAATTCCCCATTTCCCCTTCTCCCAGCCTCTGACAACCACCATTCTATTTTCTATCTCTGTGAGTCTGACCGCTTTTAGGTACCCATGTAAGTGGAATCATTTGTCCTTTTGTGACTGGCTGATTTCATTTAGTATAGTGTCCTCAAGGTTCATCCATGTTGTAGCATGAGTCAGAATTTCTATTCTTTTTAAGGCTAAATAATATTCCACTGGATGGATAGACTACATGTCACAGGCATTTTTGATACAATCCATCACACTAGAGGAGAACAGAGACCAATCAACCCAGTTATAGCACAGCAAGGTAAGCATTATGACCAGAATGTGGCAGGATGTTACGAGGGCACAGAGGAGAGGGAAAGGCTTCCTGGAGGAGGCGATCCATTCTAGACAGGCAGGCATTACGAACTATGCTTTCCAAGCAGAGCAAACAGGAAGCACAAGGGCCCTAGGGAGCAAGAACAGCAGGGTGTTTGGAAGCCAGGTTCAGGTTATGCCCTGCTGAATTTGCGGGGGTACCGCTCTCACAGAGATGACAATAATGCTCTCTAGAACGATGCTGTGCACAGCCTGTTCATCCATCTTCCACAGTCCTGCAAAAGAACAAGCAGGAAAGAAAGCAAGGAGATGCAGTGGAGATCCAGGAGGATCTTCTACAAAATCCAAAGGGTTCAGGATTTTATCCTGGAGGCAATGAGAAACCATCAAAGAATTTTAAATGGGGAGGAGAGAGAAACAAAAATGAGAAATTACTATTATTAGTGGAAATAAAGGTGCCATTGTGCATGGTGGGGATGTGGAGAGGGGTGTTAGATCTCTTCGAGCGCTTTCGTTTTGACCCCCATTGAAATATCTGATTTACCAATTATCACGTGGAAGCCTTAAGGGGCCTGGTCCTGAGGCGAAATGAGAACAGGTCCACTTTCTTCCTGAGCCCAGCATCTGAACCTCCCACCAGCCAGCTCTAAATCTACATGGCATTTGCATTCTAGTCATGGGAGAAAGGCAATATGAAGGCAAAGGAGTGTCTGGGGTAGTCACAGATGGAGACCCATGCTGTCAGGAAAATAAACCCAGGTGGTAGAGAGTGGCTAGGTGGGGGTAAAGCCTACATTCAGTAAGGCGATCAGAGAGGGGCTCTCTGAGGAGGGAATTTTTGGACTGACACCTCCGTGACAAGTAGATAGCAGCCATGTGAATCTGAGAGGAGGGTTTTGCAGGGAGGGAGATCAGTAAATGTGAAGCCTTTAGGGTGCAAACAATGTTGGTATATTTAAAAAACAGCAAGGTCAGTGTGGCTGAAGTGGAGGTCTGAAGAGGGGGTAAGAGGAGATGAGTTGGGGAGTAGGTGGAAGTCGTGTAGGCCAGCCATTTTAGATGAAATGAATAGGAAGTGACAGGGGGGTTTTAGGCAGGAGTGGCAGAACATCAGACACCTCTTAGATGCTATCCCTTAACACCTTCTCAACCTCACCTGTTGAATGGGCCTTGACTAGTTTTTCTGTCCTAGCTGCAATGGTGGCCAGCTCTGTGCACACTCTATGATTAACTTCATGTAGACACACTCCAATGTGACTTCACCTCATGCCTCATCCATGTGCCTCTCACCTCCCCTTAGGATTTTCCCCATTGACAAGGTGACATGGCTGCTGAGGCACCCACAAGGAGCCCATATGTGTGCAACTCATAAGTGCAGGGAGTTACTGTCTCATGGAGTGGACTGTTGATCTACAGGAGAGAAGAGTTGATATTTCTTCCCCCTTCTTCCCCTGGGACAGACTATCTTGAGAGGCAGACCTTACATGCCTTCTCTGAAGCCAGCCCATCAGCTCCAGCAATCAGTTTCACTTGATACTAAAGAGTGGCTAGCTCAGTAACACGCCCTTTATTGGCTCACCGTCCTTCCCTGCCTCACTTCCTTTGTTCCTCACTCCAGCTTCCTTAGATTGCACAACCTAATATAATAGTGAACTTTACCACAGAATATTTTTTAGGGGAATCTGCAGTTCAGGCAGAAATGTTCCAATTTACCCGTAAGAAAGGTCAATCTGACTTCTATACAGGTGGTTGATTATGCAGAGACAAGTGTGGGAGTTGGGAGAGACACATTAAGAGGCTCTTGCAGTTGCCCAGGTAAGAGATGATAGTGCCTGAGATGAGGGGATTGTAGTGGAGATAGAGGAGTGGATAGACTCATATGTCTCGGAGGCACAGCTGACAAGAACAGCTAATGGATTGGATATGGCACTACAGAGAAATCAAGGCTGACTTCTAGGTTTATAGCTTGAGCAATTAGCCAATGATGGTGCCTTTTATCAAGAGGGGGAACACTAGAAAAGAAGCAGGTTTGAAAAACTTATTTGTTTATCAAATATTTTTTGGAGCATCTACTATGTACTAGTGAAGGGGTCCAGGATATGCTACAGTGGCATAAGGATTATTTTGAGCTGAAGACATCTGAGAATCAACAGCTGCAGGAATAAGATTTTTCTGAACCTCCTTTATCTTTCTAAAAGCAGAGCCTCCCAAAAGAATTCAACCGTCATAAATCCCCTCTCCCAGAGTTTCACAACCAGGGGAAATGGACCCTTACCAACAAAGAGGAAGTCAGCCCCAGTTAAGATCAATCACCTAAACAGACATTGACATAAAACTGTTATATCACCCATCTTCTCCTAAGGGCCCATTTGTTTTTCCTAAAAGTCATTTGTTCTCCCAGAAGTATCCCTCTGCCCCTGCTCATCCCCTCTTAAGATGGTATATAGGCTGGCTGCGGTGGCTCATGCCTGTAATCCCAGCACTTTGGGAGGCTGAGGCAGGCAGATCATGAGGTCAAGAGATGGAGACCATCTGGCCAACATGGTGAAACCCCGTCTCTACTAAAAATACAAAAATTAGCTGGGTGTGGTGGCACTCGCCTGTAGTCCCAGCTACTCGGGAGGCTGAGGCAGGAGAATCACTTGAACCTGGGAGGCGGAAGTTGCAGTGAACTGAGATTGTGCCACTGCACTCCAGCCTGGCAACAGAGCGAGACTTCACCAAAAAAAAAAAAAAAAAGATGGTATATAAGACCCAAATTCTAATACCTCCTTGAATTACATTTCTTTGTGAACTCCCCATCTACATATGTAATTAAATCTGTGTTTTTCTCTTGCTAATCTGTTTTTTGTCAGCTTAATTTGCCAGCCCTCAATCACCAAACTCAAGAGGGTAGAAGAAAAATTTTTCCTCGCTGACATTGTCCAGCATGTTAGGTGCTTCGGATTCAGAGCTGAGAGGCCCATATAGTATCTCAACAGGTTCAGCAATGACAATGCTGTGGAACTGTGTACAAGGGGCCATCAAAATACCGTGAGGGACATCAAATGTCCCTCGAGGGAGGAAAGAAGGAGTCAGGGAAGAATCCTGGAAAAGTTTAAGTAGAGTTCTGAAGGATGGGAGAAAGCCAGAAAAAAAGAGGATAAGGATGATTCAGGTAGCAAATGCAAACATGCAGGAATATGAGCAGGCATGGCCCTTGTAATTAAGGATGTTTGTGGTGAAGGTCAAGAAGAAGGGAAACAAAGAAAGAAGAATCTTGAGGCAGAACAACAGCAGCCATGTGAAGGGCTTTTTAGACATGCTGAGGCATTTGCCCTTTAGTCTGGCAGCTAAGGGGAGCCACTGAGGGGGTTCCCAAAACCATACACATACTTTACTATTTTGTGCTTTTGTACATGGGGTTTCCTCAGCCTGGAACATTCTCCCCCATTCCCCTTCCTACTTCCTGACAAAGTCTTACTCATATTTCAAGTGCTTCATCCATGGCTACATCCTCTCCGCTGGATCCCCACCCTGCCCCCCAAGCTATAGTTCTCTGCACCTCCATTTCTGCTCAGCTCCATGATGCCATGAGCTGGCCGTGACCTTGGCCTCCCCTTTCTCCTCCAGGCTGTGAACTCCTTTAAACTTGGACTCCTTCTCTCAGATTAGAGCCCAACCAGAGGCCTGGAGAATGTAGAATCTGCTTAGTAATTGGCTGAATTGAATGCCTTTGAAATGTGAGAGAAGCTTGAAACCAAAGAGGACAGACAGCATCCACAGACTGCAGGGAAGAAAACCAGTCTCTGCAGTCAGGTGAGAAGAGGTGATGAAGAGTCATCAAAGACTGTCTATGTCTCACAATAGCTCTGAGTCAGGGACATGGGAAATGTCCCCTTTTAAGTCCAACCACTCTTCAGCTTTTGTGCCATAGAATCAGTGCTCACCGTTGGGCTCGGCCTAGTGATGTAGTCAGTTGCCCACATAGTCCCACCAGACCAAGACCACTAACCTTTTTTACACAGTACATGAAATGGCATTCGTTGAAAGGCTGATATGTTCTGCCAGTGCAGACCCGGACTGGCCCTGAACCAATGGCTGGAGGGGGAAGGCGAAAGTTTCCATGTCTCCTTTTCTGCTGTTATTCCCTCTTGCACACATGGGATTTATTCTTTACAAGTTTAAACGTTACATTGAAAATAAATTCAAATGACCAAAATGTTTCATGGAACAATCCATAATAAAGATAAAAGCCACCTGCGCTGGGGGAGGCACCAACAGCCAATTCTAAATTGCTCTAGTGTCTGGAACTTCCTGAACGGAATTCTCAAGCGCTCTCCCAACAATTTGAAGAGCTCATCTGCCGAAGTTGGAGTAGAACTGTCCAAAAATGGGATCACCATATCTCAATCAAACAAACAAACAAAAAAAATGGAGGAAAACAAAACTTCCTGGAAAGACAGAAACAAAATAAAATAAAACAAAATCACAATGGTACTTAATGGATTCAAGTAACATGGAGTTTCCTTATTCTTGTACAGAATCTAGTATATATATATATATATATGTGTGTGTGTGTATACACATACATATATTTATACATATAGATATGCACACACACATATAATTTCCCATTTATTCCATTATGGAATCCTAGTCTAAGATCATGACCCCTCCAAAAAAAATACTAATGTAATGGAGGGACTTTTATGGTCATCTCTACAGTTAGATTGACCTCATAAAATAATGCGAGTTATATACATGCACATACACATAAGCCAGATTCTCAACTTACGTAATTCTATGGGAATTCACAGAGTTATATTGGTTGAGAATTTGGCTTAAGTTTCTCTTATTATAGAAATTCCCATCAACTAGCATGAGATGAGGCTCCACACACATTGCCACAAAGCTTCATAGGCTGAGAATCTGGCCCACAGAGCACAGGATAATGTCCATCCAAACGTCGGCTTAGATTTTATCTGGCCTTGCTTTCCAGAGCAGCTTGCATGATGGAATGAGCAAATGCCTTTGGCCTCTGGAGCTCTATGAATCAGTGTGACCCAGTATGGGAAGCTTCAGGCTATCTGTCCATCCTGGAGGGGCACAATCCCTTCCCGCCTCAGTTTCCTTTTCTGTGGATTGGGTGGGACTATTACCTGCCTCCCCACTGTCACTCTGAGGGCTCTCTGCTGTTTATGAAAGTGCAGTTTGCGAATAGGATGTCCAGAAAATAGGCATTAAGAGCTGGAGCCAGGCATTGGTTGCCAGAGAAAATGCATTTATTTGCTAGGTTAGCAAGTGCCAACATCAGTAATTGAATTTGTACCAAAACATGCATTTTTAAAAATGTTGTTCTGTTCCATTCATTATTTATAGAATATCACCTAAGGGCAGCGCATGCTACAAGCCAAAAATCTCATCCTGCATTTTATCAGAAACCCATTGCAGGGAAGGGGAGAAGGGAGAGGGAGGGAGAAAATAAAATGAGATTTCTGGAAAAAGCTAAAGGAACTTGTCTGGCATGTTTTGTCTGGACCAGCAATGCCCACAGGGCAACTCGATAATAATCTCCAAATGCAAGGGGACTGGAGAGCAGCTGCTCTCACCACTCAGGACGGGAGAAGAAACCTCCACAGCACCATGAAAGATTTAGGCTAGTTAGAAAGGGAAACTTCTTTAACAGGGAAGGTAAAGCAGTGGAATTGAGAGCAGGGGAAGACTTTTAGATGAGGGAAGGGTCTCGTGTATTCCAGACAGTGTCAGGAAAAGAAGTCGATTCGATGTTTCCTTGACTCTGAGACAATAGACGTCCCTAGAGGTCAGCAACGCACCAGGGAATTTTCCAGAGCCTATAAAGGGTGGTTCTCCGGGAAGGGTGGCATGTGATCACGTTAGGAGCATGGGTTCTGGTGCGAGAGACCATGCTTTGAATGTCATGTTTGGGCAAATGACTTAAACTTTCTGTGCCTGCTTAAGTATTCATAATATGGGGATAATTGCTCATTCAACCCTACGGCTGTACCAGGCATTGTCCTGGGAAAAGGGAATACAGCAATGAACACAGTAGGCAAAATAAAAAACAGAAAAAGAAAAACAGCAACAACAAAAAACCCTGACAATTATAATGGGAGTGGTAGACTTACTGTAATAACAAAGAATAAATAAGGAAAATATACTGTATGTCTGATGGTAATAAGTGCTATAGGGATAAATTAAGCAGGGAAGGGGGGTGGGGAAGTTCTAATTTTAAGTAGGGTGTGGGGGGCAGGTCACACGCTGAGACCACGTCTTTTGAGGAAAGACTTGAAGGAACTGAAGAAGTGAGCTAAGAGGTTGTAGTGGGTTGAATAGCCCTTCTAAAAGGATATGTCCACATCCTGACCCTGGGAACCTGTGAGTGTGACTTTATTTGGAAAAAAGGGTCTTTGTAGATGTCATTAAGTTAAAGATCTCTGGATGAGATTGGTCTGGGTTATCTGGGTGGGCCCTAAATCCAATGGCAGGTGTCCTTATAAGAGACAGAAGAGGAGAAGACAGACACAGAGGAGAAGACCATGTGAAGATGGAGGCAGAGATTGGAGTGATGTGGCCGCAAGCCAAGGAATGCCTGAAGCTACCAGAAGCTGGGAGAGGCAAGAAAGGATTCTCTCCTAAAGCCTTCAGAGGGATCATGGCCCTGTGACACCTAGATTTCAGACTTCTGGCCTCCAGAACAGTGAGAGAATAAATTTCTCTTGTTGTAAGTCACCAAGCTTGTGGTGATTTGTTATGGCAGCCCTGGGAAACCAATACAGACAGCATCTAAGGGAAGAGAGCTAAACAGAGAGAATAGCAGGTGCAAAGGCTCTGAGGCAGATCTTTTGCCTGCCTGCTTGGGAAAGAGCAAGGAGGTCTGTGTGTTCGGGATGGAGGGAGTGATGGGTTTTCTGCAGCTGAAGCAGAAGCTGAAGGAGTTAACAGGTGGAAGTTCTCTGCTAACAGCACTTTCCACAGCTGGGCAGCATGTTCTTCCTGGAAGAGGAGGGATAGTGTGGTTTGGTTCTGTGTCCTCAACCAAATCTCATCTCGAGTTGTGCTCTTTAGTGTTGGAGGAGAGGCCTGGTAAGAGGTGATTGGATCATGGGGACAGACTTCCCCCTTGCTGTTCTTGTCATAGTGAGTGAGTTCTCATGATATCTGGTGGTTTAAAAGTGTGTGGCACTTCCCCCTTTGCTCTCTTGCTCTCTCTCCTGCTCTGTCATGGTAAAATGTGCTTCCTTCCTCTTTGCCTTCTGCCATGATTGTAAGTTTCCTGAGGCCTCCCAGGCACACTTTCTGTACAGCCTGCAGAACTTCCAGAAAATTAAACCTGTTTTCATCATGAATTACCGAGTCTCAGGTAGTTCTTTATAGCAGTGTGAGAATGGACTAATACAAGTGAGTTGTGGGGAATGATATCCATATCTAACATAAGCAGTGAGTCTAAGTGAGAAAGCAATTGCAAAATGATGGTGGCTTGGACCAAGCCAATAGGAGTAGAAGTAGAAGTAGTGAGAATATGTTTTTGAGGGATAGGGACAACTGGGTTTATAGCGGATTGGATGTGGGATATACAATAAAGAAGGAGGCCGAGGAGGACTTCAAGCATTTTGGCCAGAGCAAATAGAAAAATGGTTCCATCAACTGAGACCAAGAATGCAGTAAATGGGGCAGGTTTGGAAGAAAAGATCAAGAGTTTGATTTCAGGCAGGTTAGGTTTAAGATAATTATTAAACATCTGAGTGTAAATAGCAGACAGTCAGTCAGATATCTGGCTGAAGGGGAGATGTCTGATCCAGAGATGTAAATTTGGAAAAATTTTAATATTCATTTTTAAACTTACGGCAAAAGTCTGTCTTTTTGTTATACAGTTTTATGAGTTTTTTAAAAAATGCATAATCATGTAGCCACCACCATAATCAAGATACAGAATTGTTCTATCATCTTTAAAAAACTCCCTCATACTGCCCCTTTGTAATCAAACCCTCCCCCCATCTACAGCCCTTGGTAACCACTAATCTATTTTCTGTCACTATAGTTTTCCCTTTTTCAGAATGTCACATAAATACAAACACACAGTGTATTAGTCTGCTCTTACACTGCTGATAAAGACATACCTGAGACTGGGTAATTTCTAAAGAAAAAGAGGTTTAATGGACTCACAGTTCCACATGGCTGAGGACGCCTCACAATCATGGCAGATGGCAAAGGAGAAACAAAGGCACGTCTTACATGGTGGCAGGCAAGAGAGCGTGTGCAGGGGAACTGCCCTTTTATAAAACCATCAGATCTCGTAAGACTTATTCACTATCACGAGAACAGCATGGGAAAAACTCGCCCCCATGATTCAATTACCTCCCACTTACTCCCTCCCATGACACGTAGGGATTATGGGAGCTACAGTTCAAGATGAGATTTGGGCGGGGACATAGCCAAACCGTATCATACAGTATGTAGGATTTTGAATCTGGCTTCTTTCACTCAGCATAGTACATTTGAGATTCAATCATGTCACTGTGTTTATCAATGGTCCATTACTTTTTCTGATGAGTAGTATTCCACTGCATGGGTGTACCAGATTTTGCTTACCCTTTCACCCACTGAAGGACACATGGGTGGTCTCCACTTATTAGCAGTTATGATAAAGCTGGTATGCATATTCATGTACAGGTTTTTGTGTGAACAAAAGTTTTCAGTTTTCTCAGGTACAAAACTAGGAATGGGATTGTTGGATCGTAGGGTAGATGTACATTTAACCCTACAAGAAACTGCCAAACTGTTTTCCAAAGTAACTGTACCATTTTGCATTTCCACCAGCAACGTCAGATATTTACTTATTCATTTACCATTCTAATGGGTGTGTAGGAGTATCTCATTGTGGCTTTAATTTGCCTTTCCCTAATTATTAATAATGTTGAGTGTCATTTCATGTGCTTATTTGCCATCTGAGTATCTTTAGTAAAGTATCCATTCAAATATTTGCCCATGTTAAATTGGGTTATTTGCTTTCATATTGTTGAGTATGAAAAATCCCTTATAGAGTCTGCTTAAAAGTCCTTGGTCTGATATGTGATTTGGAAACATATTCTCCAAGCCTGTACCTTCTCTTTTTACTCTTTTAAAAGTATTTTTAGCAGAGAAAAAGGTTTAAATTTTGGCGAAGCTCAGTTTAACATTTTTTTTTTCTTTTCCAGATCATGCTTTTGTTGTTGAAGCCAAGAACTCATTGCCTAATTTAAGGTAACAAAGATCTTCTCCTTTATTTTCTTTTAAAAGTCTTATAAATTTAGGTATTACATTTAGGTCTATGAACCATTTTGAGTGAATTTCTGTATAAGGCTTCAGGTATAGTCAAGGTACCTTTTTTGCGTATGGGTATTGTCTTAGTCCATTTGAACTGCTGTGACAAAATATAAACTGGATGGCTTGTAAACTACAGAAATTTATTTCTCACAGTTCTGAGGCTGGGAAGTTCAAGATCAAAGTGCCAGAAGATTCAGTGTCTGACGAGGGCTCGTTTCTCATAGGCTCTTTCTTGCTGCATCCTCACATGGTGGAAGGCACAAGTTAGCTTCCTGGGGCCTCATTTATAAGGTCACTAATCCCATTCATGAAGGCTCTTCATGACCTAATCACCTCCCAAAATGCCTCACTTAACTTACTAATACCATTACCTTGGAGGTTAGGGTTCAACATATGAATTGCAGGGCCAGGGTGGGGAGGGGACACAATCATTTAGACCATAGCAGGTATCCAACTATTCTAGCACCATTTGTTGAAGTTCTGTTCTTTTTTCAATTTATGCTTTCTTCCATTTTAAAAAATCCTCTTTTCTCTTAGTTATTCAGATTCTATAATTTCTATTGATCTATTTTCAAGTGCACTCACTTTTTTCTTTGTCATCCCTATTCTGCTGTTGAACCCATCTAGTGTTTCTTTTGTTAGAGATATATTTTTCAGTTCTAAAATTTCCATTTGATTCTTCTTTTATAGTTTCTATTTTTCTCTTGAGAACTTCTATCCTTCCATTCATTTCAAGAATGTTCACCCTCACTTCGTGGAACATGGTTATGATAGCTGCTTTAAAGTCTTTGCTAATTCCAACATCTGGATTATCATGGTGTTGACATCTGTCTATTGTCCTTTCCCTTCAGAATTGATCCTGGTTCTTTATATGTTGAATAATTTTAGATTACATTCTGAACATACTGACTATTATGTTGTGAGACTGGGTCCTGTTAAAGTTCTCTTGAGAATGTCAGTAGATATTGTTTTTATTTTAGCAGGAAATCAGCACAGTTAGGTTAAGGCCAGAAGTTTTCTCTCACTGTCTGTGGGTAGTGGTTCAAATGTCATTTCAGGATTGAATGTCATTGTTTTTACTGTCCTAGTCTATGTGACTGGAAATCAGGAGCTTGTATGGGACTTGGGGCATACCACTCCTATCATAGCTCAGTTCTCAAAGACTTTACTGTGCTTCTTTGGGTCTGTGTTGCTCATGACAGCTGACTTGTGAAGAGCCCAGGACTTGTGTCAGTTCATACACAGAATTAGGGGGATTCCCTTTTCCAGCTCTCTCCTCTCTAAGATTTTCTCCACACTCTCTGGCTCCCAAGGACCACTTTCCCCAATTCATTTGGCCAGAAAAATAGGTTTCCCTCAGAGTTCTAACTTTCCCCACTACTGTACTGTCATACAGTTCTGCATCACTGGAGCCATCCTTGGGGTAAAGCAGCGACAGAAAAGACAGAGAAAAAAAATGATGGGATTCCTTCTACACTCTTCAAACACAGGGACCCATTTTCCCAGTTCTATTAGTCAGGGAAACAAATTTTAGGTGCCTGAACTGCCACTGCCACTGTCACTATAGCAGTGACTGGGGCTAGCCCTAGGACGAAGCCAGGAGACAACAAAAGAAAAAGGAAAAAGAATGGGTGGTTTCCTGAACCCTCTGACTCTCAGGGGTTCCTTTCTCCAGGCCTCTAGCCAGAAAGATTTGGATTTCTATTAGAGTTTTGGGTGCCCACCCCCATTTCATGTTCTGTGACTCAGGCCACCAGACCACCCTCATAACAAGTCAGAAGACATGAGGAAAAAAGAAATAGCAATCTGGCTGGTATTGGTCCTTATTCAAGTTTTGACTTCATTCTCGAATCTATCCACTATTGTTTACCTTTCAGAGTCCTTCGGTAATTACTTTGTATATTCTGTCTGGAGTTTTCAGATATAATTGGTGGCAGAGACAGACTAAATAGGCTTACTCCATCTTGGCTGGCCCTGGAAGTTTTATACATGTGTGAGTGTGTGTGGCTGTGTGTGTGATATTTATATCAACCATTTAGGTTGGATATTTATGCTATTGAAATGATTCGTATTGAATGAGATCACCAACAAAGGAATGGGTTTAGATAGAAAAGAAAAGAGGCTCAAGAACTGAGGCCTAGGAGAATCCAACGGTTAGAGGGCAGGGAACAGAGGAGGAATGACCAGAAATAGAATGAAAACTCAAAAAGCCAAGTGTCTTGGATGCCAAGAAGAGTGTTTCAAGGGGGAGGGAGTGATTCCCTGGGTCAAATGCTGCCAATGAGGAATACAAAGACTGAGAATTTACCTTTGGATCATTCCTATGGTTGTGGGAGAGTTAAGTGAGATGATGTATGGAACAGCTAACAGTGTGCCCAAGAAGTAGAAAGCATTATAAAGTTCCTGAGTGTCCCTCTTCCCTGCTTTTGCCCATTTCGTTTCTTCACCTGGTATTCTGTCCTCTGCTTATCCATATTGTGAACCAACTTGGATCCCACCTGTTCTCTGAAATCTTTTCTGGGTACTCTAAATCTTAGGGACCTTCCTCACCTCTGGGGTCTCCTTACTACGTGGTCCGTGCTGCCAAGCTACAGAAAGCAACGTGGTATGCAGAAGCTTGCTTGGACTCCAGTGTGAGACTGCCTGTCCTTGAATTTCAACTCTACCACTTACTAGCTGAGTGAACTTAGGGAAACTATGTAACCTCTCTGAGCCTCTATTTCCTCATCTTAAAAATCAGGACAAACACAATGATCTCATCTGCATTATTGTTAGGAGTAAATGAGATAATATTTATAAAACCTTTGGGTTCAGCAGATCCTTTCTCTTTCCTGCTGCACACCTTAGCATTGTTTCATGTGTGCCGGTTTGCTCTTACCAATAAGCATCTTGAGGGTCGGAGTCATGCCTTAGTGTTCCTTTCTGTCCCCTGTTGCATCGAGCATGTTGATGGGTTCCACAAGTGCTTTACTGACATCAGAAGTATTTTCTAATCCAGAGTACAAATTACAGCCTGTCAAAAAGAAACACACAGCTGTGGTGTCTGGTTTACAGGTAGCAAGTCATCAGGAATGCTTAGCACGTATGGACCATTTCACAGAGAGTGTCTGAAACAAGATATTTCTTTCTAGGTATGTATCTTTTATCCAAGGAAAGCTGGAATCTTGTTTTGATTATGACAATTACAAACTATGAAATTTTAGATAGCAAGAGAATGGAAGACATAAAGTAGGTAAAGTAATAGAAAATTAATTTCAGCAAAGCTAAAGCAAGCAAGTTTGGAAGAACTTGGTGGCTAAGGCATTACAAGGTGGTAGAAAGACCACTGGGTAGACAATCAGAGGAACTGGTAGTTCTGGTCTTGTTTTTGCCCCTCACCGCTTGGGTGGTTTTGACTGAGTTAATAAACCTTCCCCTGGCAACACACACATGCCTTGGCCTCTTCTCTGAAATAAGGAAATAGGACCTTGGGTGGTTGTGTCTGAGCTCCCTTTCATCTCAAGGACCCATTCATTCAAGACACACTCATCAAGGTCTCCTACGTGCTTGGTACTGGAAGAGACACTGGGAATATAGAGAAGAAAACTATGAAATTCAGTAGTCATTGCTCTGGTGGTAGATCATGGGTATATTAAATTCCATATATTATATCTTCTCAGTTAATATAAGGAAGTCAACAATCAGTCAAGTTTGTTTCCTATTTCAACCATTGTTCCTATAATAGCTAACGTCCTGCATGACCAAATGCAAAAACAGCAATGAATTTGAAGGAACAGTCTCCTTTTTTTAAAAAAAAAAAAAAAAACCTGTTCTTTCTCCTGCTAAAAGATAACCACACTCCATATTGAATTATCCCTGAAAGACACAAGGCCTGTGTTTCTCAGGGTCACAAATGATGACTTGCTAGTTTATGTCCCAATCCCATTTTCTAAAAGTTGTGTCACAGTTGTTCTGATAAAAGGGAGATTCCTTCAGGGAGACAATGACCTTTTTTAGGGAAAAGTTAATTTATTAACTTTAATTAATTGTGTGTTTTGTTTCTGGTGCATGTCAGCCTCACCTCTGGATTGGACCGAGCATGGATACACTGGGCCATTACCATGATTTATCAGGAGCTGATTACCTAGCCAATCATTCCCATCATTCCCTTACTGAAATAAACTGAGAAAAATCAAACTAACCTTCTATTCACTGGAAGATATTCCAAATGGTGGTTTGCTTCATGCTTGCACAGAGACTCTGGCTGGGCAGCCCAGATGATCACTTTGTGTGATGTGATGCCCACAGCTGCCTAGCTGTCTCCAAGGGCCCAATCATTTATCGCTTCTCTTTGGCTGTGTGTGTGTGCAAGCAGGCAGCTGGGGGTGTGTGTGACCCCAGGGCTTCTACAATAAATCAGAATCCCTAATGCCAGATGCATGCTCATCCTTCCGCATTAATTTATTGTGGGGTTTTGACACAAGGAGGGACTACATTTATTTTTCCTGAATGAGAAAAGGCAGAATTGGACATTGAAGTCTCCTGAACTAAAGTCCAAAGGAACAGGGACACCCACACTGGTGGTGATGGCGGGGGTGGGAAGGGAAGCATTGAAATCAGCAGTTCACCTGGGCATGGCTTGTCTAGAGATGATGTTGTCCGTGGGATAACAGCACAAATCTTAGGTCCTCAGACAGACTGCCTTGCTTTTCTGAGTTCAGAAGGCCACTGTAAATCTAAGACTTAAGCTTGGTTTTTCAGTTTCAAAGTTGCTACATTTCTAACCAGAAATCTGTAGGGGCATAATATTTGGTTTTTATCTCAAGCCTCCCCCAGTAGGTTATTAAGCTCCCTTAAACATCGCTCAGCAGCCTTGTACGATGCTACGAGGAGGGGGAGAAAAAAACCTTCTGATATATTGTTTCATCTCATTGCTGCTTTTCCTAAAGCTCCCTAGATTTTACTTTGTTACCCTGGGAATTAGAAAGATTCTGAGGCTTTCTTATATTTCTGAAAAAGCAGCTTTTGGATATGCTGATAATGGCTAACCAGTCCTCAAATTTGTTGGCTTTTCTTCTCATTAGCACATAATCTCAGCTGTGAACTTGGACCTTCTAAAAGGAAGAGCCAAGTGTCAGCAAAGAGTATTTATGCAGGTTGGCCTCAGATTGGCCTATCGCAGCTCCTTGATACCGACACCAAAACTCTTCTGGGTAGAGTGACATGGAGAACATGCTTATAGAGGAAAGAAAAAAATTTGGCTGGGTTTATTTATTAGAAATTAATATGCCTCTTTTGGGGCTAGTTTTGTGACAAGTTGTGTCATTTGTAGGACTGGTTGGGGGCCCATACACCACAGCCATTCATTTTCTCAGGTGCTATGTATTCCCCACAAGAAAATCTTCATCCACCATTAGCCTCATCCCTGATGGCCTATATTAATTTATAACTGAGGGGAATTGCAAAAATGCACCATGTTTCACAGAAGCAAGGCAAGCTTTAGTAACCCTTTTAAAGTAATAATAAATTAAGGGGCAAAGAATGCCCGTATTTATCTTGCATCATTTTTATAGTTATTGCTGCTATTTTTCTTATGCTAGCTTAATTAAGATATGTCTTTGGGGAATTAACTTCTGTTGGAAAGGAGCAGAACTTTTTTTTAAAATGGCTTTGTTTTATTTCTGTGAATAAAGAGTAGGTACCGTGGGTTGATCAGATGGAGAAAAGTGGAGAATTCTCGCCTGGGAGTCTCATCCCAATTCTACCACACACTACCAGGTGACTTGGGTGTTACTTTCCCCATCTGGGCCTCAGATCTAGAGGAAGAAGTTGGATGAACCAATCTCCAATCTCTGATGCCCTTCTCCTCGTTTTTTTGATCATCCTCAGGTTGATAACTGAGCAGTCAAGCCAATCACTGTCAGATCTTTTCACATCAATCACAAAACTCCCCAAAATCACTGAAACCTCCCCAAAATCACTGAAACCTATGTTAGTTTTTAAACACTGAACTGGGTAGGCCCTTCAGTATCCAGATCGATCATTATACAGCTGGTTGTTATGACAGCCAGAAACACTGCTGCAAACGCCAAAGACTTACTAGAGAGAAATGGACACAACCAGATGCCCCTCTGCTATGAGAACTTTAAAGGGGCCGAGTTGACCCTGTGGATTTGTTCTCTCCTGCCCAGGGTTGACACTGGTCCCATTAGCCTTTCTCTCTGACACAAGATTTTGTGCTTACTCATTTTATGACAGCTTTGTATTTAATCCACAAAGCAACTCTGGTTGACTTGAAAAGTCCGTCTATAGCCAACCATAGCATGCTTCTTCAAGCTAATTATTTGTTTTAAAAAAATCCATATACATAGTAAATTCTTGTGCATGTACATTTTTATTTTCATATTAATTTTATATGACATGGGTCAAGCAATAGCTCAATCTGGCTGGTTAAGAAGGGCATACGATGCCCTTTTAAGGTTTTGCAATCACAAAAGGTTTCCCCTCTTCAGTTCCTCTTGAAAAGGCATATTTTTTCCTGGTCAAAGATAAATAATACAGCAATCATTCCAAACAGGCTCCCCTTCAACAGGCCCCATTCCACCAAGCAGGACATTGGCTGTTACCACTGATGGTAAATCACTAGACTGTGGAGCCATCTTTGCCAGTCAGAAATATTTCCTTACCACACCAGCTCTGTTTGGTTGGTCAGGGGTTTGTGCAGTTCCTGGCACAGGGAGAGCCTTCTCCTCCTCTGCCAGGTTTCTTTCAGACTTGCTACAGCCTTGTTTCAACTCTGGCTCAGAAGCCAACCCACAAAACTACCTTTCCAATTACTCCTTTTGGCTCAGAGAATGTTGTCCAGTTTCCTGTGAGGGCCTCAGTCAAAGGCGTTGTTGTTCCCAGAGCTGGTACCCCTGTGGGATAGGCCATTGCCAATCACGTCTCCCTCACCCACCCCAGCCCTGGGGACTGTTGGGGGACTTTGAGTTCCCACAGACCCAGAAGCAGGCAATGAGAGTCTGGGATGCCATTGGACAACGTTGCAGTGCATAATGATGGGGTTCTGAATCTTGTGACTTATAAAGACCTTGGTCAAGTTGACTCCGAAAATAAAGAAGAAAATGTCGTCAAGCAACAGCAGATAACAATAATACGGATTAGGTCTCAAACTAACACAAACTAATTTGAGATTTCAGGCCACTTAGCAGGAGACCTCCTATTCATCTTCTCAAACTCCATCCCTCTCCTGTCAACACACACAATGTTCCCTTTCTCAGGAAGTAATTTCTGTTTAAAAGCTTTTATTGATCACTTTATGGTGATTTCATTCTCAGATTTACAATACCTCTCAGACTCCATACACATAAGCCATGGAATCTTAATTTCTGAAGAAGGAGTAGCTGCTGTTTGTTCATAAGAAGACATCAGGTTTGGCCAATGCCCTGATTTCTTTAGGGGAAGACTCTGTCCCTGGAACTGAGGAAGGGATAATGCTCTAAATGCCATGTGGTCAGTGGCAGCTGAACCTTATATGAACTAAGTCACTTCAGCACACAGGTTCCGTTGCACCCCACCCATCCCCATCCTTGCCCCTCTCCTTACTTTGTCCACTTGTTTGATAATGGGATGGGAGACATCAAGCCAAAATATTTATTAAGTACACTCTGCATGCAGAACACAGTCCAAAGCAAAAAGAATGGGGGAAGGGAATCAAAACTGATAGCTCAGCCCTTACAGTTTCTTGCTAAGGATCTTCCTGTAGCTTGATAACTGGACTCTTCCACACTGCCAGCTTCTCCTCTACTCTCTAATACAGTGGTTCTCCAACTTTAGGGGCATCAGAATCACCTGGGGGCTTGTGAAAACACAGGTTTCTAGGCCCCACCCCCAGATTGTCTAATTTAGTAGGTCTAGGAGTGGAGGCAAGAATTTACTTCACTAAAAAGTTCCCAGATGATTCTTACTTTCATGGTCCGGAGACCACACTTGGGAAACTACTGTTCTAATCCATCCTTCTCTCTGTTTCCAGAGTGATCCTCTAGTACTGAGGTCTGATCAAACACTCACCACCCAGTCACCATGGAATAAAGTCTCACTTCAATATGGCAGTTGTTAGGGTCTCCACAACGTGGTCCCCACTGATGTGTGCAGCCACAATCTCACACATCCCATGTTCTAGTACTTAGATTGAGTTCCCTCAGAAGCAAATCCTGAGACAAGGATTTGAAGAGCAATGCCAGGAGCAATAGTATGAGAGGCAATAAGTGAGACTGGGAAGGAAAGGAAACCAATACGGTATGAATTAATAAGAAGATTACTGCTGTGGGCAACTGGGGCTCCATCTCACTGGGTGTCTCTGAAGACTGCATGGAGCATAGCTCAGAGTTTTATTGTCTGAGGGAGTGAGGGGCCTGGGGATTTAGTCACCAACTTCTGCCAGTCACTGGTTGAGGGCTACTTCTAGACTAATTAATTACCCATTACTCCCGGCATGCCCTGTGTACAAGTCTAGCTTACTCTGATGGCCAGAGAAAGCCCGCAGGTAGTGTCCCAGGAATTTGAAGTAGGAAGCCACCAGGTCAGGGTCCATGGGAATGGTGAGAGCTGAGGGTTCTTTGATGGGGCACCAACAGCTTCTGCTCCACCCGCCAAACCCATTCTCTTCATGCCAGCTCTTTCTCACATCTGCTCTTCTGCACAGACAGGCCCGGGCCTGCCTTCTCCGACTTTGGCTCTCTGGAAGACAGAGTTCTGGACTGGGCTGAGCCATTTCTTTGGGGTGTGGGTGGGCAAAAGCCTGGGTTATCCTTGGCCCAACAGACCAGATGAAGTTAAGGAGCCCGAGGGCAGGAAGTGAGTAAAAACAGCAGCCCCAAGAGGCCGGCGGACACTAGGAAAAAATGCTGCAGGGTGGGTTGTGGCTTGGGGGGCTGAAAAAGCAACTGAGGTGTCTGGAGGCACACTCTTTGGAGATAATCAATTTGGGACATAATTTGAGCTCTTTTGCCTTCTTTAGGCCAGTGGCAGCTACCTGCCCTGCAGTGATTATGAAATATAATAGAATCCTATTGCCCAAATGAGAAGTCTGAAGGAGTAGAGGCTACACATCACTGCTAAGCTGGTTCCTGGATGTCTTTAAAAAACTCATCGATGTGGTCACTGTGACTGTATTCTGGTACTTTGATTTGAAGTGCCACCCCGCCCAAGTGCTGATACAACTCTTTCCCGCTCAGTCAGTCTTTGCCTCAGGCATCAAGCCTAAGAAATTGTGGATTCCTTGAGAATCCAATAGCATGGAACACTAGGACCATCAACACGTTGAGAATGTTCTCTCCCTTGATTTCAGACAGACTTATTCTGCTATTGGGGTTACGTGAGTGCACTTATGGCTCACTTAAAGTGATTCAGAGCAGTAAATGTGTGTGACATTGATTGTGTGGGTGGGCAAGAAGGACAAGAATAATAAGCAACAAAAAATTCCCATTTAATGTTATATTGTAACTTAATATTCTCTATACAAAAAAATAAAATGTTTTCTCTTAAAAATATAGAAATATTTTCCTGAGGAAATTTCTAACCAAAACTGTCTTATGCTCATAAAATGTTAGTGAGTGGCTGGTTCATATCCTTTATTGTTTTAAAATATCCTTATCCTTTTTAATCATGGTTGAAGTGATATATGCATGAACTTTGCAAGGCATAAGAAAACATAATTTACTTGACATGATTTGGGGAGAGAAAAACTGAAATATATTAAACAACCCTCAACCGCATTATTTAGAAAGAAGAAAATCAGAGACACTAATTGCCCATGATGGCTATTTATACAACACACCACTGGAGGCAAGGGATACTGGCTGCTCTTGAAATAGGCAGTTTAAATCTGATCCAGCAGGCAACCAGTGGAGCCAGTAAAGACACATAATCTGGGAGGTGACATGTTTTCTCTGTTAAAGTTCAGCTATTGAGAAGGTAAAGAAACAAGAACAGGCCCTAAGTCTAATTTTGAAATCTCAAACGAAACTGCAGAGTGGGAAAACTCTGTCCCCTTTCCTATCTCATTCACCTGCTTGATGCCCTTCCTGTAGATGCCCACCATCCTGAAGATGACCCCTAAATGTCCCAAACTCAACTAAGCAATGACTCCTGCTCTAGAATGATCCTTTCTTTTCTTCACATCAACGAAAATGTACCTGTGTCTTATCCTTCAAGTTTGCTGTATGATTAATTAGCTGCCAGCTATTGTATAATCTAATAAACAAATTCCCAAGAAGGAGTCAAGGGCTAATGGTGGCAAAAGGAAAATCCATCAATTTCCCACTTCAATCTGGGTATCAATGTAGGAAGGTCCTATTTTGTTAATGGATTCTGTTACTGTGAACACTAAAAGTGAAATGAAGAAATACCTGGGGAATCCCTCAATGTTTTAAGGATTTTAGTAGTTCCCAAAGAAGTTGTGATGGGCGAATACACTCAGTTGCCAAATCATTTTGTTCCCTATTTAATGGTGTTTAAATGAAAGGATCCCTATTAGAGAAAGAGGAAAGGTCTACATTTATATTTTTCCAAATACACAGGATAACTTGAATTTCTAAAAAAAAAATCATCCAGGCATAGTGGCGTGCACCTGTAGTCCCAGCTACTTGGGAGGCTGAGGCAGGGGGATCACTTGAGCCCATAAGTTCAAGTTCAGCCTGGGTAACATAGTGAGACCCTCATTTCTAAAAAAATAAATTTTTAAAATTAAAAAAAAAAGTCTAAGGGAGTGACTTCAGAATCCTCAGTTCTAATAAATTAAAAATATATTTTCCTCTTTCACTGGTAGAATGTAAATTCTAAATTCCATTTCTCAAATCATTTTTTTAGGCAGTGTACCTGAAATGGCATTGGCCTCTCTAAGCCTTAAGGTATCTTTGTTTTGACTCACTGCCAGACAATATGAATCGTCATCAGAGTAAAATATGGACCAACACAGCCACACAAAAGACACTATCTGTTATAACCCAGTAGTATGGAAGGCTCGCCCCAGGTTCTCCAAAAAGGCCCTGTGCCTATTCCCAAGTGACCCTCGCACCAAAAACACTATCCCTTCACTCCCAAAGATGTTGTAACTAACATTGTCAAGCAGAATTACTTTAGGGGAAGGAATGAAATCTAAGTTAAACTATGGAGCAACAGCAATGTACCAGGCAGTATACAGTAGGAGGCTTTTATAGACTTGTATTTCTTTTACTTGTCTCAAAAAGTTGTAAAATGGCTATTATAATTCTCCATTTCTCAAAGAGAAACCTCAAAAAGTAAAAAAAATCCTTGCTACCTAAATTAATAAGTGATAGAATCAAAACTGGCTGACTCATGCTATTTCCTTAAAATCAATGCTTCTCCAAGTGTGATCCCTAGACCAGCAGCCTCAGCATCACCTGGGAATTTGTTAGAAATGTACTTTCTCAGGCCTCACACCAGACCTACTGGATGAGAAACTCAAATCTCAGTAACTCAGCAATTTATGGATTTGTGTTTTAACAAGCCCTCCCAGTGATGCTGATGCTCATTAAAGTTTGAGAACTCCTGTCCCAGATCACATTGCCTTTCAAATCCACCATGACCATATCCAAGGACAAGCTGGCTACAGTTTTGCCCCTACCATGAGCATTTGATCCTTACAAGCCCAGATACAAGCCTACTCCTCTGTAACCACCCTGTTCTCAGATGATCTCTTTCTCCTCTGAGCCTCAACAGCGGTCATTGCCTATATAATCCTTTTGCCAATTTATCACTTACGTCTTATGACAACTCTTCCACTGGGGACTGAAACTCTTAGACCTTTGTAGCAATATAATTTTTCACACTTCTCTTCCACTTAACAGTGCCTGACAACAGTGGCTTGTATAAAGCAACACGCTCCATAAATATTAGTTTCCATGATGAATGGAGAGATCAGAAGCTATAACAATTGCTTTATATACTACAAGAATATAGGAGCCAGGTGCGGTGGCTCACACCTGTAATCCCAGCATGTTGGAAGGCCAAGGTGGGAGAATTGCTTGAGTCCAGGAGTTTGAGACAAGCCTGGACAACGTAGTGAGACTCCGTCTCTAGAAAAAAACCAAAAAATTTAGCGAGGTGTGGTGGCACACAACTGTGGAACTAGCTACTCAAGAAGTTCAGGTAGGAGGATCGCTTGAGCCCGAGAGGTGAAGGCTGCAGTGAGCAATAATCAATGATCCCATATCTGCACTCCAGTCTAGGTGACAGAGCAAGATCCTGTCTAAAAATAATAAAATAAAATAAAATAAAATAAAATAGGAATATTGGGATATTCTTCAGTCTGGAGAGCACTCATTAAATGAAATGCTGGCAAATGAGAATGCGTCCTTCTCACGGCGATTGCTTCTTGAACTCTAATGTGTGACAAATCATCTGAGGATCTTATTGAAATGCAGATTACATGTAGGAGGTCTGAGATGGAGTCTAACATTCTAAATTCCTACAAGCTTCCAGGTGGCGTTGATGCTGCTGGTCTACAGAGCACACTTTGAGTAGCATAGCTAAGGCAACCGTGATCTTGATGGATCTGAAAACTGTGACACAGGAAGAATAGTTGAGGTGAGGACCTAGGTGGTCTTCAGATATTTGAAGATGAGGAATACGTGCACACTTAGCTGGTCCGAGAGCAGTGAGAGGAAGTTACATTACATTAAGAAGACTTTAATTTCAGCTCAATAGGGAAGAACTTCCAAATAATCAAAATCGTATCTATTGTAAATGTGTTACCTCAAAATACCTGTGCACTTACCATGCCCAGAGGTACCACAGGAAGGAATCCTGAATGGGACAAGGTGAACAAGATGGTCCCAGGGCCAATTCAGCATCAAGATTTCAGTACAGGGCTTTCCTTCCCCAAGTGAGACCACGCCTCTTTCATATTAATAATGTTGTCAGTGTTACCAACATAGGTATACTGAAGAAAATTTATAGAAGTGTAAAGGGAAAATGAAAATCAGTAAAAATCCTATTACCCAGAGATAACTACTGTGAACATTTTGGACTATTTCCTATAAGCCCTATAAGCCCTTTTCTAAGCACATGGTTTTAAATAATTGACATTTTCTTGATATAGAATTTTGAACTCTGATCTTTTTCCCTTCGTATTTGTATCTTAAGTCCTCCTGTCATTCGTATTTGTATCTTAAGTAAGTCCTAACGTCATTTAAAAAAACGCTTCATACGCATCTTCTTAACGGCTGCATCATATTGCTTCCTTATATGTACTGAAATGGATTTTACCAGGCCCTAATTGTAGGACATTTCTGTTATTTCCATATCTTCACTATTTTACATAATATTACAAATGTTAACTTAGTGCATAAATCTTGGTCAGCATCTCTGACTATTTCCTTAGGTTGTCTTCTAGAGGATGGATATGTTAAGGTTTTAAATGGATGCTCCTGAATTGCTATTTATAAAGGTTGTACCAATTTACATTCCCACCAGAAATAAGAGAAGGTACAGATTCCTCATTTTCCTCGGCAATAAATTACTACTTTTTAACGTTTATGACATTGATTTCATGGAAATAGAATCTTATTATAGTATTTCCTTTACTTGATTTACATTCAACATCAAATGCAATTTTAGGTTTGTCGACCATTTTTCTGTTTTGTGACTGTGTTCTTTACTTATTTTTCATTAGTCATAGAATATTCCTTATCAAATGTGTATAACATACTTTTTATATATTACAAATAAATGTGATGATCCATCATTTGTCATATTTAAAATATTTGCTGTCTAATTTTATGTTTTTGAGGTTCTAAAATTTTAATTTTGTTATCAAATCTGTTAATCTTTTTCTGTTGCTTTCAATTTCTTTTACACTTGTAAAGTTCCCTATTAGACTACACTTAGTCAACAAATGTTCTTTTTTTTTTTTTTTTTTTAATTGAGAAAGGGTCTCACTCTGTTGCCCAGGCTGGAGTGCAATGGCCTGATCATGGCTCACAGCAGCCTCGACATCCCTGGGCTCAGGTGATCCTGTCACCTCAGCCTCCTGAGTAGCTGGAACTACAGGCATGCACCACCATGCCTGGCTAATTTTTGTATTGTTTTGTACAGATGGGGTTTCGCCATGTTGGCCGGGCTGGTCTCAAATTCCTGGGCTCAAGCCATCTGCCCACCTCCACCTCTCAAAGTGCTGGGATTACAGGCATGAGCCACTGAGCCCAGCCCAAATGTTCAATTTTGATGGCTTGAATTTTGACAGTGAACTTTTATAATTAACATTCAGATTGGTTATATAGTTTTATTTTCTGAATAACTGTTTTTCTGTTCAGTGTCTTGAATAACGGGTGTTTTCTCCCACTGAATTGTTTTTATTGTTGTTGTTAGAGGTACAATCTCTTTGTCACTCAGGCTGGAGTGCAGTGGCACAATCATAGCTCACTGCAGCCTCGAACTCCTGGGCTCAAGGGCCCTCCTGCCTTGGCCTCCCAAAGTGCCAGGATTACAAGCATGAGCCACCGCACCCTGCCTCACTGAATTTTTTTACATTAAAAATTTTAATTTTATTTGTTAATGGTACAAAACACTTTTGCTCTGTAAACATTAATATTTCTTTTTTTTTCTTTTTTTATTATTATTATACTTTAAGTTTTAGGGTACATGTGCACAATGTGCACGTTAGTTACATATGTATACATGTGCCATGCTGGTGTGCTGCACCCATTAACTCGTCATTTAGCATTAGGTATATCTCCTAATGCTATCCCTCCCCCCTCCCCCCACCAACATTAATATTTCTAGTGAGAGCAATATGACTGAATATGCATCATTTTTAAAATCTTCACTTAACACAAGCAATAAACTATCTTAAAGTCTTAAATCAAGACTATTTTAATACCTATTTCCCAATGTTTCATTTTTTAAAATTTCAAAATTACAGAAAAATTAAAAGAATAGCACAATTAATACCTATATATCCTTTGCCAATTGTTAATATTTTGGCATATTTCCTTTAACTCTTTTTTATCTGTTTATCTATCTATCTTCTATCTTTGTTTTGTTTTCCTGAACCACTTAATAGATGCAGTCATTTTGACACTTCACCTGAAAATCTTCACCATGTATCTCTGCAAAACAAGGGGATTCTTATATGAATAAAATACCTGGAAAACAGCTTTTATACAACATTATTATCTAACAGAGTCCATATTCAAATTTCCTTGATTTTCCTGAACTATGTCCTTTATTGCTTTAATTTTCCTTATATAGAATCCAATCCGGGATCACACATTATATTTAGTCATTTTAGCCCTTTAGTCTTCTTTTTTGCCTTTCATGATACTGACAGTTGGTAATGTTTCAGGCCAGTTGTCTTGTAGAATGTCTCACAATTTGGTTAGTCTGATAATTTATTCAAGGACAGATCCTCGTGAAATATTATTATTATTAGAAAAATTACACAGGTGATGTTTTGTATTTGTCAGGGCATCACATCAGGAGACTCACTGATTGTTTTTAAAAAATCAGCATAAGGCCAGGCGAGGTGGCTCATGCCTGTAATCCCAACACTTTGGGAGGCTGAGGCGGGCAGATCACCTGAGGTCAGGAGTTCAAGACCAGCCTGACCAACATGGAGAAACCCCATCTCTACTAATAATACAAAAATTAGCCAGGCGTGGTGGTGCACGCCTATAGTCCCAGCTACTAGGGAGGCTGAGGCATGAGAATTGCTTGAACCCAGGAGGCAGAGGTTGCAGAGAGCCGAGATCACTCCATTACACTCCAGCCTGGACAACAAGAGCAAAACTCTGTCTCACAAAAAAAAAAAAAAAAAAAAAAAAAAAAAAATCAGTTTAACTGAGGTATAACTTAGATATAATAAACTTCACTGATTTTAAATGTAAAATTAGATGAGTATTGGCAAACATATAGTCATGAAACTACCACTTCAACTATGATTAAGAATATCTGCAACATCCCTAAGGGCTCCCATGTACCTCTTTGCAATCAATCCCCTGCCCACACCCCTGGCATCTACTGATCTGCTGTCACTATAGTCTTGGCTTTTCTAGAACGTCCTATGAGTAGATCATACTGACTTCTCTTGTCTGTATTCCTTCACTTAACATAGGGCATTTGAGATACATCCATGCGGTTGCATATATCAATAATTTGTTCCTTTTATTAGTTAGTAATTGATTGTATGGATGTATCAGTGTGTGTATCCATTCACCAGTTGATTGACACTTTGATTCTTGCCAATTTGGGAATACCATTAACAAAGCTGCTATGAATATTTCAGTACAAGTCTTTGTGTGAACATATGTTTTCATTTCTCTTGGGCATATACCTAGGCATGGGATCACTGCTTCGTATGGTATGTTTAATTTTGTAAGAAACTCCCAAACTGTTCTCCAAAGTGACTATATCATTTTTGCACTTCCACCAGTTGCTCTGCATCCTAGCCAGCTCTTGATATTTTTTTAAACTTTATTTTAGCCATTCTAATAGGATATGTAATGACGGCACATGTGGCTTTAATTTGCATTTCCTTAATGGCAAATGATGTTGAACTCCTTTTCATGTGTTTATTTACCATCCAAATAGCTTCCTTAGTGAAGTTATCTCTTCAAGTCCTTGGCCTAGTTTTTAAATTGGGTTGTTATCTTAATGTTGAGTTTTAAAAGTTCTTCATATATTTTGGATATGTCTTTGTTAGATATGTGATTTACAAATGCTTTCTCCCAGTCTGTGACTTGCCTAATTTTCTTAATCATTTCTTTTGGACAAAATTATAAATTTTGATCAAGTTCATCACATTTTTCTGTGTTTCATGTTCATTAATCTTTTCTTCTGCAGTGTCTAATCTGCTGCTATTCCCATCCAGTGTGTTTTTTTGGCCTTTTTAATATCTTCCTTGCTCCTTATCATATTCATGTTTTCCTTTGCCTTATTGAACATATGGATATATTAGCTGTTTTAATTTTGTAGTGTTCTTCAAATAGCTTTGTTAATCTAAGGTTATTCCTGGGTCTTCTAAGAGATTGCATTATTATGAAAGTGATTTCTTTTGCCGATTTACCAGAAAGCTGATTTCTATGTATATTTCTATATACATATATATGTACACCTTATATGCATAACTTTTCTGAATTGTTTAATTATAAGACGATCTTTAAAAATTATTCTCTTGGTTTCTCTCTGTAGACTATCCTTTCATCTGAAAATAAGAATTATCCTATCCAATAAGCTTATCCTATCTGATAGTACTACTTCTCATTTCTGTTATGTATCTTATAATCTTTGCTTATATATTTCCGTAAATAATAACAAATAATAATAGTGACGCTGGCTATCCTTGCTTAAGATTTAACATGAATATCATTTTTCACTGTTAAGGGTGATGTTTGCTATTACTTTGAAATAAATCTTCCCTATCTTGCTAAGAAAGTATTCACACATTGCTAACTTTTGAAGCACTTTCATAAGAAATGAGTGGAGTTTATCTAATGTATTGTTGGCATTTAATGTGAAGATCACATGCCTTAAGATGTAATACATTAACTGATTCTAAATATTTAACAATTTTTTACTGCTGTGACGTAGCCTATTTTGTTACAGTGAATTATCCTTTTAATACACTGTTGGATCTGATTTAATGATACTTTAAGATATTTGCATGTATAAGTGACATTGAATCATTTTCCTTTTCGCACTATTTTTAACGTGTTATGAAATGAATGTTATGTGAGTTTTACAAAAATAACTAGTTTTCTATTTTTAGTGTGGTAGTTAAGGGTACAGACTCTAGAGCTAGACTGTATAAACTTGAATCCAAGATTCACCACTTTACTAGCTGAGCGATAATAGGCAAGTTACTTAATCTCCTTAGTTTTCTTTTTAAAAAATATTTTTCTAATTTCTTAGCATATATTTGTACATAATATTCCCTATAATTTTATAACGCTGTCTATATCCTCTATTACATGTATGATTCTCCATTTCATTATAAGTAATAATATTTACATATTATTTTTATAGAGCTGATTCCTGAATTTTATTACAAAATTCTACTGATTGCTGTTTCTTTTTTTTTTTTTTTTTTCTTTTTGAGACAGAGTTTTACTCTTGTCACCGCGGCTGGAGTGCAATGGCCGATCTCGGCTCACTGTGCAACCTCCGCTTCCCAGGTTCAAGCAATTCTCCTGCCTCAGCCTCCTGAGTAGTAGCTGGGATTACAGGCGCCCACCTCCACGCGTGGCTAATTTTTTGTGTTTTTAGTAGAGATGGGATTTCACCACGTTGGCCAGGCTGGTCTCGAACTCTTGACCTCAGGTGATCCACCCGCCTAGGCCTCCCAAAGTGCTGGGATTACAGGCGTGAGCCACTGCGCCCAGCCTATTTCTGATTTTAAATTCATGTTTTTCTTCCTCCAGCTTTTGATAGCGTTTTATCTAATTTGTTTATACACGTGCTTTATATAATACTTTAGAAATTTAAGCTATGAGTTTATCTTTAAATACGACTTTATTCATATTTCATAAATTGTACAGGTTTCTTTTACAACTTTACTGATGTATAACTGATACACAGTGAACAATACTAATCCACTTTCTGTCAGTATAGACAAGTTTGCATTCTTTGGAAACTTATGTAAATGAAATCACATAGTATGTATGCTTTTATTTCCGGTTTTTCACTAACCACTTTTACTTTGGGATTCATCCATATTCATGACATGTATCAATAGTGCATTTTTTGGATATATTGCTATTTATTCATTTACCTGGAAATTTGGGTTGTTTCCAGTTTTTAACTCTTATAAATAAAGCTGTTATGACATTTGTATGTAAGACTTTGTGTGGAAATGTCCTTTCATTTCTCTTGGGTAAATACCTAGGAGTAGAATAGCTAGGAGGGTGTATGTTGAACGTTTTAAGAAACTACCAAATTGTTTTCCAAGATGGTCGTACTAGTTTGCATTCCCAACAGCAGCATGCCGGTTGCTCCACATCCTCACCAACAATTGCGATGATGTAATTTGAGATGTTCTATTAGGTATGTATTGTTATCTTATTATGGTTTTGGTTTGCATTTCCTTATTCATATTGAGCATCTTTTTATGTGCTTATTTGCCATCTGCATACCCTCCAGTACAATGCTGAGCAGAAGTGGTGAAAGTGTACATCATATTTTCCTGATCTTAGAAGGAAAGCATTCAGTCTCTCACCTTTAAGTGTGATGTTAGCTGTAGGGTTTTTTGTAGGTGCTTTTTATCATGTTGAAGAAGTTCCCTTCTACTTTGCTGGGAGTTTTTAATCGGGAATTTTGGATTTTGTCAAATTCTTTTATGAAATCTATTGAAATAATCATGTAATTTTAAAAAATCTGCTACTAACATTGATTTTTTGAATGTTAAACCAACTTTGCACTAAGCTAAAGTCTGCTTGGTCATGATGTATTATCATTTTTATAGATTATTGGATTTATTTTTCTAAAATTATGTTAAGAAATTTTGAATCATGTGAAGGTGAGCCCTTTGGCTTCCCAGCGATTGTATTTCCTCAGCTATTTGAAGGAGTTTGGTTAAGGTGGCCTATAAAAAACTTCCTAAAAAGAAATTAAGTCAGCTTGAGACTTCCTTCTTTGAGAAGACATTTAGGGTGCAGTAAGAAGTAAATTTTTAAAAAGGTATATGGACATTTTTTTCTACCTGTGCAATACCATAATTCAGAACTATTCCATACTGTTGTTCTGGAAAAATTTTGCTCGTGGAATGTCAATGGAATGACTGATATTAAAATGTCTGAAAATGAAGCATCAAACAAAACTGTTGTTTAAAATCTTAAAAAAATAGAAAAAGATGAACAGGTATATATAAAAAGAGAGGGTGATGAATCAAATGTGATAAAATGTGCAAGAATCTGGGTGAAGGGGATACGGGAGTTCTTTGTACTGTCCTTGCAATGTTTCTGTACATTTAAAAAGATTTCAAAATAAATTATTAGAAAAATAATTTTTTAGAAGAGAAAGTTTGGGTCGGGTGTGGTGGCTCATGCCTGTAATCCCAACACTTTGGGAGGCCAAGGTGGGTGGATCACCTGAGGTCAGGAGCTCGAGACCAGCCTGGCCAACATGGCAAAACCCCATCTCTTCTAAAAATACAGAAATTAGCTGGGTGTGGTGGCGCATGCCTGTAATCCCAGCTACTTGGGAGGCTGAGGCAGGAGAATGGCTTGAACCCGGGAGGTGGAGTTTGCAATGAACCGAGATCGTGCCACTGCACTCCAACCTAGAAGACAGAGCAAAACTCTATCTAAAAAAAAAAAAAAAAAAAAAAAAAAAAAAGTTTGCATCTATGTTCACGAGGAATATTGATCTGTAGTTTCTTTTCCTTTAAATATCATTTTCTGGTTTTTGTATCAGAATAACATTCAACTGATAGAATGAGTTGGGAAGTATTCCATTCTCTTCAATTTTTTGGAAGAGTTTATGTAGAATCAGTATTATTTCTTTATGAAATGTTTGGTGCAATTCCCGAGTGAAGACACTTTCCTTCTGCCTTTGCATTTCATCTGAATTTTAGAATCAGTATGTCAATTTCTACAAAAATGCTTACTCTCATTGTGATTGGGATTACTATGAATCTATAGATCAATTTGGAGAGAACTGCTCATGATAAACGCTTTCATTTTTTCTATATCTGAAAAAGTCTTTATTTTTGCCTTTCTTTAAATTTTTTTAAATTAACCTTTTATTTTTATATAATAGTAGATTAACATGCAGTTGTAAGAAATAATACGGGGAAATCTCATGTAGCCCTTACCCAGGTCCCCCACTGGTAACGTCTTGAAAAACTATAGTACTGTATCACACCAGAATACTGACATTGATAGTGAAGAGACGGAGCGTTTTCATTATCACAAGGATTCATCACTTGCCCTTTTGTATCTACACCCATTTCCTCTCCTCCCAACCTCTACACTACCCCTTTAAACTCTGGCAGCCACTGATCTGCTGCTCATTTCTATAATTTTGTCAAGAATTCTGTATAAATGGAATAATATAGTATGTAATCTTTGGGGATTGGCTTTTTTCACACGGTAATTCTCTGTAGACTCATCCAAGTTGTTACATTGTATCAACAATTCATTCCTTTTTATTGCTGAGTAGTATCCCACAGTATGGAGGTGCTGTAGTTAACCATTTACCCTTTGAAGGACAGTTAGGCTGTTTGGGTTAGTGTAAATAAAGCTACTATAACCATTCATATATAGGTTTTGTACCCAGGAGTGAAATTGCTGGGTCGTATGGTAGTTACATGTTTAAAGAAACTATTAAGCTGTTTTACAGAGTGGCTGTACCATTTAACACTCCCACTATCAATGTATGAGTGATCCAGCTTTTCCACAACCAGCCAGTATTTTACGTTGCTATTTTCATTTTTTTAAACATTCTGATAGATGTGTAGTGATATCGCATTGTAACTTTGTTTGTGTTACCCCAATGGTTAAATGATGTTGAATGACTTTTCATGTGCTTTTCATCTGTATATCCTCCTTGGTGAAATGTTGGTTCATGTCTTTTGTAATGGATTGAGTTTTGAGATTTATTTACATATTCTAGATACTCATCCTTTGTTGCATACATGGTTTGCAAAGATTTTCCCTGAGTCTGTAGCTTGTCTCTTCATCCTCTTAATAGGGTCTTTTGCAGAGCAAATGTTTAATTTTAAAAGTCCAATTTATATATTTTTTTCTTTTATGGATCACACTTTTGGTGTTAAGTCTAAGAACTCTTCACCTACCCTTTATCCTGAGTATTTTCTCCTGGGTTTTTTTCTACACCTTTTACGTGTTTACATTTTACCCTTAAGCCCATGATCCTTTTTGAGGTGATATTTGTACAAAGCATGAAGCTTAGGTCAAGGCTTTTCTTTCTTTTTGCCTATAAATGTTTGGTTACTTCAGCACCACTTGGTGAAATTGATTTAGTATTTTTGTCAAAAATCAGTTGATGATATTTGTGTGAGTCTATTTCTGGGTTCTCTATCCACTTCCAATGATCTATGTTTCTATGCTCCTACCAATGCCAAACAGTCTTGATGATTGTAGCTATATAATAAAAATATTTAAATCAGATAGACTGACTCCTCCACTTTGACCTTCTTCAAAATCATTTTAGCTTTTCTAGTTCCATTCTTTTTCCATATAAATTTTAAAATAATCTTGTCTATATCTACAAAAAGTGTTGCTGAACTTTTAGTGGGAATTGCATTATATTTGTATTTCAATTTGGGAGAATTTACATCTTTATTATATTGAGCCTTCCAGTTCATAGTCAACTGACATTTTTGAGGTGAAATTCGCATTGCATGAAATTAACCATTTTACAGTGTAAAATTAAGTGGCATTTAGTACATTCACCATGTTGTACAACCACCACCTGTGTCTAGTTCCAAAACATTTTCATTGTCCCCAAAGAAAACCCTGTCTTGATTAAGCAGTCACTCCCCATTCCTTCCTTCCTCCAGCTCACTCTGCTTTCTGTCTTGATGAACTTAACCTATTCTGGATATTCATATCAATAAAGCCATATAATACATGACCTTTTGTATCTGGTTTCTTTTAGTTAGCATGTTTTTGAGGTTCCTCCATGTTGTGGCATGTATCCATACCTCAATCCTTTTTTGACTAAATAATATTCCACAGTATATATATGCCATAATTTGCTCATCCATCTATAAATGTACATTTGGGTTGTTTTCTGCTAAGAACATTTGTGCATAAATATTTGAGTACCTGTTCTGCCTTCATTTTTGAAAGATATTTTTACTGGGCATAGAATTCTACATTGTCAGTTTTACTTTTCCAGTACTTTAAAGATATTGGTCCACTATCTTTTTTTTTTTTTTTTTGAGATGGAGTCTCGCTCTGTCGCCCAGGCTGGAGTGCAGTGGCGCAATCTCGGCTCACTGCAAGCTCCGCCTCCCGGGTTCACGCCATTCTCCTGCTTCAGCCTCCCGAGTAGCTGGGACTACAGGCGCCCACCACCACGCCCTAATTTTTTGTATTTTTAGTAGAGATGGGGTTTCACCGTGTTAGCCAGGATGGTCTCGATCTCCTGACCTCGTGATCCGCCCGCCTCAGCCTCCCAAAGTGCTGGGATTACAGGCATGAGCCACCGCGCCCAGTTGGTCCCCTATCTTTTTGCTTGCATTGTTTCTGAAGAAAAATCTGCTGAAATCTTTATTTTTGTTCCTCTGTCCATAACATATAATTTTTCTGTGGCTGCTTTTAAGATTTTCAATCTATATCTAGTTTTGAGCAGTTTATGATGTTCCTTGGTCTGATTTTTCTTAATATTTCTTGTGCTCGTTTATAATATTCTTGGATTCATGTGTTTCTAGTTTTTATGAAATTTGAAAAACTTTAGGTCATTATTTCCCTGTCTTTCTTCTGCCTCTGCTACTATAATCACACATTAGAATGCCTTAAGTTGGCCCACAGTCCACTGCTGTGCTCATTTTTTTTTCTTTATTCTTTTTCTTTGTCTTTTTTTTTTTTTTTTTACAATCTTCTTACTCTTAGAGCTTCATTTTGGGATTTCTATTGCTAATCTTTTCTTCTGCAAAGTCTAATCTCCCATGAATCACATTTAAGGTATTTTTCATCTCACCTCACACACTGTAGTTTTTATCAGAAGTCCAGTCTTTTCTTATCTTCCATATCTCTCATTAACTTTTTGATCATATGGAAGATAGTTATAATAGCTGTTTGATTGTCCTTGTCGGCTAATTATAACATCTATGTCAGGTCTAGATCAGTTCCTATTGATTTTTTTTCCTCATTGTGAGTTGACGTTTCCTTTCCTATCCATGCCTGGTAATTTTTTTGCTGGATGCCATACCTTGTGAATTTTACCTTTTTAAGTGCTGGATATTTATGTATCCCTATAGATATTCTTCAGCTTTTTTTCTAGGACATGGCTAAATTACTTGGAAACAGTTTGATCCTTTTAGGTCTCACTTTTGAAATTTGTTAGGTGGGATAACACCATGTTTCATCTAGGGTTAATTATTCCTCATTACTGAGGCAAGAACGTTCTGGGTACAATAGTTCATGAATTATAAGACTTTGCAGACAATTTGTTGAGAATAGGCATTATTACTATCTTTGTGTACCAAGTGTTATTTCTTCTAATCCTTTCAGGTGCTTCTTTCCCCAGTCTTGGGTAGTTTCCTTGCACACACGCACTGCTCAGTACTCAGCTAAATATGTGAGGAGCCCCCTACAGATCTTTGAAGTTCTATCTCTGTGCAGTTCTCTCCTCTCAAATAATGTGTCCTGTGAACTCTAGCTCCCTGGGTACTCTTCGACTCTTGGCCCTATCTCCTGTAGTGTAGTCATGGGGTCTGCTATATTCTACTTGGTTTACCTCTTCCCTCAACATTGGCAAGAAACTCTCCCTAGGCAGTAATCTAGGGCAAAAGTGAGGTTCACCACTTTCCTCTTTCTCATGGATCACTCTCCTTCATTGCCTGAAGTCCAGTATCTTGAAAATAATTGTTTCATATATCTTGAACAGTTTTTTAGTTGTTTCAGGCAAGAGGATAAATCTGGTCCCCCATACTATATATCTTGGCTTGAAGCAGAACTCTAATGAACAGTAATACTTTTAAAAATCATTATTTCAAGAATATTATTGATAATTTGGGTGCATTCCCCTCAGTGGCTTATTCTCATCACTACCTTGGAAGTCCTTCTGCAGCTTGAGGATACTCGAAATTGTGTGGATATCAATTTAAAAGACTATTAGAAACCAGGAGTGGATTAAATTGTTAAATAACTTACAGAACATTATGTATGTTGGACAACTCCTCTATACCATTCCAAAATCCTCTTAGCCTCTCCCTTTACTCCAGGCATTGCTGCAGCACCCAGTTCCATTCACACTTTGACTGGCTTCACATGGGTGCAATTGGACAGTGCCCCTCCTTGGCTGGTTCCATACACTTCTCACTTCCTTTCCTGGGGCTTGGGTCCATCACTAGGAACCTCCTCTGTATTAGACATAGACAACCAGAAAGTGTGAGGGAGTTTAACACACATGGAGCTGCTCTTGACCAATGGGGAACAGGGGCCAATAGATAACTGATTTCCTCCTTTGACTGTTGAGCAGACACTTCTGAGACTCATTTCTTAACACTTTACAAGAGATCCCAGGTGGAGTGAGCACCAATGTTCTATAGTGGTGGCCAACTCTATTTTTGCTTAGATTGACTCTTTTCCTCCTTCCCTGTTCCACTCTGCTTCTTGTGCACAACTGCTTCCTGGAATCACACCTCTAAATAAACTACCTGCCAACAAGACTTAATCTTTGGATCTGCTCTTAGGGGAAGCCAGCGTAATATGACAACATAGAATATTGACATGTATATATGCATATATTAATCTAGTTTGGATGTAGTTATGCAATGATACTTTTGAAAACTAATGTGAAATAGTACCCACAGCAATTCTGAAAGTTCACTGAAAATAAATGGTTTTAAAAAATCAAATTTAAAATATCAAATCAAGCATTTATTGAGTGCTTACTATATATAAGGCATCATGCTAAACACTGTGGAAACTAGCAAGAAGTAGAATTATCATGCATATGAAGCCAAAGAGAAAAATGTTTAGAACACTACCAACTAAATTGCCACTAGAACTGGCACTAGAACTAGAACACTACCAACTAAAAATTATATAACTACTGTTTTTTTGTTTTGTTTTGTTTTTTGTTTTTGAGATGGAGTCTCACTGTGTCTCCCAGGTCTCGAATTCCTGGCCTCAAGTGATCCACCTGACTTGGCCTCCCAACGTCAAGTGGCTAGGATTACAGGTATGAGACACTGTGCCTGGCCCAGTCTTTCTCAAATCAATTGTGCCACATAACATAACTTAATTATGGTAGTGACTGTCCTATCATATTCATGATTCACAACCATATTCAAATGGGAAGGGATTATATAAAGGTATGGGTCACTGGCAGACATCTTAGAATTCTGCCCACCACATTCTTGTTCCCATCAGTCAGAGTCAAAAACTTTACTAATGATGAAGAATTGGGTAGAGTACTAAGAAGGGTTTGCCTCAGTTTTGGGAAAAAATTAGCCCTTAACTAAAGGCTGCTCTTGTCTTGCCTAACAAAGCTTAAAAGCATGACCTTAAAGAAGGAAATTGTTTCCAAGTAACTTAACCATACCCTAGAACAAAGCTCACAACTGTTTAAGAGAATGCAAATATATTCAGCACACCACAAAATAAAAGTCTAAATTTTGGCATCTAAAAAAAAATTAGCAAGCATGCAAAAAGCAGGAAGATATTATCCATAATGGGGAGAAAAATCACTCAAAACAGACACGGAAATTGCTTAGATGATAAAATTAGTAGATAAGGATATTTGAACCATTATTATAACTTTATTCCATATATACATGAAGCTAGAGGAAAAACTGAGCATGTTAAGTAGGGACATTAAAGATATAAAAAGACCTAAATCTAATACCATGTACAGTACAAGATGAAAAATATAGTGGGTGGGATTAATGGCAGATTAGATGTTACAGAAAAAATTATTAATGAACTTGAAAACTAAGCAAAAGACACTATCCAATATGAACCACACACACACACACACACACACACACACACACACACACACACACAAATGAGAAAAGGGTGAACAAAGCATCAGTGACCACGGGACAGCTTTAAGCAGCCTAATATATATGTAATAGGAGTCACCAATGGAAAAGAGAGGAGTGGTAACTGAAAAAGCACTTGGGCCAGGCACAGTGGCTCATGCCTGTAATCCCAGCACTTGGGGAGGCTGAGGCAAGCAGATCACCTGAGGTCAGGAGTTCAAGACCAGCCTGGTCAACATGGTGAAACCCTGTCTCTACTAAAAATATAAAAATTAGCCAGGCGTGGTGGCGGGCACCTGTAATCCCAGCTACTTGGGAGGCTAAGGCAGGCGAATCACTTGAACCCAGGAGGCAGAGGTTGCAGTGAGCTGAGACCGTGCCATTGCACTCCAACCGGGCAACAAGAGCAAAACTCCGTCTCAAAAAAAAAAAAAAAAAAAAAAAAGGCACTTGAAGAAAACATGGCCAAACATTTTCCAAATTTTATGAAAACTATAAATCTAAGGAACCAAGAAGCTCAACAAATCCCAAGCACAAGAAAACTAGCCCAAGGCTCATCATAAACAAATTGTTTAAAACTAGTGATAAATAGAAAATGTTGAAATTAGCCAAAGAGAAAACATATATTACATACAGAGGGACAAAAAAAAAGTTGACAGATTTCTCATGTGAAACAATGTAAGCCAGAAATAAGGGGAGCAATGTACTTAAAATATAGAAAGAAGAAACTTTCAACTTGGGCATTTATACCCTGTGAAAATATCTTTCTAAAATGAAAGCAAAATAAAGACATTTTAAGACATTTAAAAAGAAAGCAAAATAATTCATCACCAACTGACCCATACTACAAGAAATGTTAAACGAAGTATTTTAGGCACAAGAGAAATGATAGCAGATGGAAATATGGATCTGCACAAAGGGTTAAAAAGCACAAGAAAGGGTAACTACATAGATAACTATATTAGTTTTTTCTTGCTATTTAAATCTCTTTAAAAGATAATTGACTATTAAATAAAAATAGCAATGCAGTGTGGGGCTTAAAACATATGAAAAGTAAGGTAATAATAGCACAAAATTTAATAGGGGAGAAATGGATGTATACTATTTTAAGATTACTATACTATACCATACATCATTGGAAGGTAGATAATGCTAAGTTAAAGGCATATACTGCAAACCCTAAAACAACCAATATAATAACAAATTGAAGAGTTACAATGAAAGGGTCCAGAATAAGCCACTGTGGCATAAAAATTATTTTGAGCTGAAGGCATTTGAGCTCCTGAAAAACTTTCTCTGCCTAAAAGCAGTGCCTCCCAAAAGAACTCAATTGTCATAAATCCCCTCCCCAGGAGCAACTGTCTGCCAGATTGCTTCATTAGTAAATTCTACTAAATGTTTAAGGAAGAAATAATACCAATTCTATACAAACTCTTCCATAAAATTGAAAAGGAAAGAATATTTCCCAACTTATTCTATGAGGCCAACATTATCACGAAACCAAAACCAGACAAAGACATGACAAGAAAAGAAAACTGTGGATTAATGTCCTTCATAGATTTTCATAGGAGAAAAAGTTTAAACAAAATTTCAGCAAATTTAGTCCAGCAATTTATAAGAAGGGTAACACATCATGACCTAATAGGGTTTATTCCAGTAATGCACAGTTGGTTTCAAAATTTTAATATTCAAAATTCAATGTCACTTTCAATCAAAAAGTGGACAAAGGATTCAAGTAGTCATTTCTCTAAAGAAAATTTACAAATGGCCAAAAAACACAGAAAAGATGCTTAACATCATTAGTCTTTAGGGAAATACAAATCAAACGAGCTACCAGTTCACATGCAGCAGGATAGCTATTTTAAAAAATGGAAAATAACATGTGTTGGTGAAGATGTGAAGACAGTGGAACCCTCATACCTTTAAGGTGGGAATATGAAATAGTTCAGTCACTATGGAAAACAATTTGGCAGTTCCTCAAAAAGTTAAATGGAGAATGACTATATGACCCTAGACTTCTACTCCTAGGTATATACTCAAAAGAACTGAAAACTAGTACTCAAACAAAATACATGTGCACGTATGTTTATATAGCAACACTATTCATAAAAGCCAAAAGGTGAAAAGAACCCAAATGTCCACTGATGCGTGAATGGATATACAAATTGTGGTATATCCATACAATGAAATATTGTTCAGCCACAAAAAGAAATGAAGTAGCAATACATGCTACAACATGGATGACCAAAAACATTATGCTAAGCGAAAGAAGCCAGATACAAAGGTCACATACTGTATGATTCCATTTATATGAAATATTTAGAGTAAGTAAACTCATAAAGACAGAAAGGAGATTACTGGTTGCCAGGGGGCTGAGGGCAAGAGGTATAGAGAGTGACTCCTTCACAGGTATGGGGTTTCCTTTTGTGGTGATAAAAATATTTTGGAACTAGAGGTGGTGGTAGCACAACATTGTGAATGTACTAAATGCCACCATATTTTACAATTTAAAATGGTTAATTTTATATGAATTTTATCTTAATAAAAAAACATTTAAAAATTAGTCATTTAAATAATTACTATATTTAAAAAGAAAAATATGATTATCTTAACAGATGCAGCAAAATGTTTAACAAAATCCAAAATCCATTCCTGATAAAATCTCTCAGCAAAATAGAAATAGAAGGGAGCTTGCTAAGCCTGATAAAGGTTGTCTACTAACATCCTACAGCTAACATTATACTTAATGTTGAAACACTGAATGCTTTCCTTCTAAGTTCAGTGACAAGAAAGGGATGTCCACCCTCATCATCTCTATTCAGTGTTGTACTGGAAGTTCTAGCCAGTGCAATAAGACAAGAAAAGGAAATAAAAGGAATCCATATTTGAAATGAAGAAGTAAAACTTTATTCATGGACTAATATCATCTATATGAAAAATCTGATCATCTATGATTGTCTTTGTATTGTCCATGTGAAAAATCTGATGATGTCTAAAAAAAAGCTGCAAGACTAATAAATGAGTTTATTAAGGTTGAAGGATACAAGATCAATGTATAAAAATCAAATAAATTAAAAATGTATTTTATCTTCTAGCAACAAACAATCAAAAATTAAAACTTTCAAAAATTACCATTTACATTGGCATTAACAAATTTGAAATACTTAGCAAGGAATCTGTCAAATATGTGCAATACCTGCTCACTGGAAACTACAAAACATTGCTGAGATAAAGAAGCCTTAAATAAACAGAGTGATATACTGTGTTCATGGGCCAGAAGACTCAATATTATTAAGATAACAATTCTCTTCAAATTGGTCTGTAGATTCAGTACAATCCCAATAAAAATCCCTAGCATGATTTTAGGATTGACCAGCTGATACATAAGAAATTGTAAAAGATCTAGAATAGCAAAAACTACTATGCAAAGAACAAAGTTGGAGAATTAATGCTACTGATTTCAAGGCTTATTAAAAAGCTATAGTAAACAAGACAGTGTCGCATTAATGTAAAGATCAGCACATAAATCAGTAGAACAGAATAGAAAATCCAGAAATAGATCCACACATAATTGACAACTGATTTTCTGCAACGGTCAATTCCCTGGAGACATGTTAATCTTTTCAACAAATGATGCTATAACAATTGGATATCCATATACCAAAAAAAAATAAACTTGGAGCCATACTTTGTACTGTACACAAAAATGAACTTGAAATGGATTATAGACTTAAATGAAAAACCTAAAACTTCAAAACTTCTAGAAGGAAACACAGAAAAAAACCTCTGTGAACTTGGTTTATACAAAGATTTACTAAGTATAACACCAACAACATAATCCATGAAAGAATAAATTAATAAAATAGACTTCATCAGAATTAAAACCTTTTGCCTTCCAAAAGACCCTGTTAAGAAAATGTAAAGACTTTTGAGAAGTGTCTGTTCATATCCTTCGCCCACTTTTTGATGGGGTTGTTTTTTTCTTGTAAATTTGTTTGAGTTCATTGTAGATTCTGGATATTAGCCCTTTGTCAGATGAGTAGATTGCAAAAATTTTCTCCTATTCTGTAGGTTGCCTGTTCACTCTGATGGTAGTTTCTTTTGCTGTGCAGAAGCTCTTTAGTTTAATTAGATCCCATTTGTCAATTTTGGCTTTTGTTGCCATTGCTTTTGGTGTTTTAGACACGAAGTCCTTGCGAAGGATAGGAACAGACACTTCTCAAAAGAAGACATTTATGCAGCCAAAAGACACATGAAAAAATGCTCATCATCACTGGCCATCAGAGAAATGCAAATCAAAACCACAATGAGATACCATCTCACACCAGTTAGAATGGTGATCATTAAAAAGTCAGGAAACAACAGGTGCTGGAGAGGATGTGGAGAAACAGGAACACTTTTACACTGTTGGTGGGACTGTAAACTAGTTCAACCATTGTGGAAGTCAGTGTGGTGATTCCTCAGGGATCTAGAACTAGAAATACCATTTGACCCAGCCATCCCATTACTGGGTATATACCCAAAGGACTATAAAACATGCTGCTATAAAGACACATGCACACGTATGTTTATTGCAGCACTATTCACAATAGCAAAGACTTGGAACCAACCCAAATGTCCAACAATGATAGACTGGATTAAGAAAATGTGGCACATATACACCATGGAATACTATGCAGCCATAAAAAAGGATGAGTTCATGTCCTTTGTAGGGACATGGATGAAGCTGGAAACCATGATTCTCAGCAAACTATGGCAAGGACAAAAAACCAAACACCGCATGTTCTCACTCATAGGTGGGAATTGAACAATGAGAACACATGGACACAGGAAGGGGAACATCACACACCGGGGCCTGTTGTGGGGTGGGGGAAGGGGTGAGGGATAGCATTAGGAGATATACTTAATGTTAAATGAAGAGTTAATGGGTGCAGCACACCAACATGGCACATGTATACATATGTAACAAGCCTGCACGTTGTGCACATGTACCCTAAAACTTAAAGTATAATAAAAAAAAAAAGGGCAGAGATAAAACAGACTGGAAAAAACAAAAACAAAACAAATCAGGAACCTGTGGTACTATAACAAAAGATCTAACATTCATATTAAAAAAAAAAAAAAGTAAAGACAACTATAGTCCGAGATAAAATATTTGGAAATCACACATCAGATAAAAAGCCTGTGTTCAGAACATATAAGGAACTCTCAAAACTCAATCAGAAGAATAGAAACAATCACAATGAGCTACAGTCTTTCCTTGATATCTGTGGACGATTGGCTCCAGGACCTCCTGCAGATACCCAAATTTGTGGATGCTCAAGTCCCTGATATACAAAGTGGCATAGGAGTTTACATATAACCTGTACACGTCCTCCCATATACCTTAAATCATCTCTAGATTACTTATAATACCTAATACAATGTAAGCACCATGTAAATAGTTGTTATACTGCATTGTTTAGAAAATGACAAGGCAAAAACGTCTGTGCATGTCAGTACAAATGCAATTTTTAAAAAATGTTTTCTACCTGCAGTTGGTTGAATCAACATATGTGGAACCCATGGAGATGAACAATTGACTGTACTACTACACAGCTATTAGAATGGCTAAAATTTGAAAGATTAACCATAACAAGTGTAGGGGTAGAAATGTGTACTACCTTTCCTCACGGTAAGAGTCATGGCCAACACTCCTATAACAAAAGACAGGTTAACAAGAAAAAAGCATAACAAATTTATTTAATCAAGGTTCTATGTGACATGGGAGCCTTCAGACCCAAAGACCCAGGACAAACTGTCTATTTTTATGCTTAGGTTTGATGAAGAATGGACAGCTGTGTGGAAATGTGATTGGACAAAAAGGTACAATCTAATGGTAATGGACTGAAGGGGGAAGCTCAGTAAGGCCTGTTCATTCATATGCTTTTTGGCCTCTTTGTGTAGCATTTCTTTCCTCTGGGTATAAGACAGGACACTTGTCACATGAGGGTCTCCAAGGGAAAAGGGGGAAGGTCAGAGAACGACCTTTCTAGGTTCTATGACCTGCATTGGGGAAGAGGAATTCTGGTTTCTATGACACTTTTCTAGGAGAAAACCGGGGATAGAGAGAGGAGGGCAGGAGAGGGTCAGAGAGACGTTGCCTTTGAGGACTTCAAACCTCCTTTAAAGTACTCAGCACATCAAGGTACTAAACTTTGGGGTATTGTGTTTTTGTTACTGGAAAGGGGTCCCAATCCAGATGCCAAGAGAGGGTTCTTGGACTTCATGCAAGGAAGAATTTAGGATGAGTCCATAAAGTGAAAGCAAGTTTATTAAGAAAGTAAAGAATAAAAGAATAGCTACTCTATTGGCAGAGCAGTGGCATGGGCTGCTCGACTGAGTATACTTAGAGTTATTTCTTGATAATATGCTAAACAAGGGATGGATTATTCATGAGTTTTCTGGGAAAGGAATGGAGATTTCCCAGACCTGGGGGTCCCTCCCCTTTTTAGACCATATAGGGTAACTTTCGGATGTTGACATGTTTATTAGTCCATTTTTACGCTGCTGTGAAGAAATACCTGAGACTGGGTAATATATAAAGGGAAGAGGTTTAATTGACTCACAGTTCCCCATTGCTGGGGAGGCCTTAGGAAACTTACAATCATGGTGTAAGGCAAAGGAGAAGCAGGCACCTTCTTCACATGGCGGCAGGACGGAGTGAGTGCAAGCAGGAGAAATGCCAGATCTCTTGAGAACTGATTCACTATCATGAGAACAGCATGGGGGAAACTGTCTCTCATGATCCAATTATCTCCACCTGGTCCTGTCCTTGACACGTGGGGATTATAGGGATTACAACTCAAGGTGAGATTTAGGTGGGGACACAGAACCAAACCATATCACCATGGCCTTTGTAAGCTGTCCTGGCACTGGTGGGAGTGTCTTCTAGCATGCTAATGCATTATAATTGGCATATAATGAGCAGTGGTGATGACCAGAGGTCACTTTCTTTTTTTATTATACTTTAAGCTCTAGGGTACATGTGCACAATGTGCAGGTTTGTTACATATGTACATATGTGCCATGTTGGTGTGCTGCACCCATTAACTCGTCATTTACATTAGGTGTATCTCCTAATGCTATCCCTCTCCCCTCCCCCCACCCCACGACGGGCCCCGGTGTGTGATGTTCCCCTTCCTGTGTCCAAGTGTTCTCATTGTTCAATTCCCACCTATAAGTGAGAACATGCAGTGTTTGGTTTCTTGTCCTTGCGACAGTTTGCTAAGCAGGATGGGACATGGATGAAGCTGGAAACCAGAGGTCACTTTCATCACCATCTTGGTTTTGGTGGATTTTGGCCAGCTTCTTTACCACATCCTGTTTTATCAGTAAGGTCTCTGTGACCTGTTTCTTCTGCTGACCTCCTATCTCATCCTGTGACTAAGAATGCCTAACCTCCTGGGAATGCAGCCCAATAGGTTTCGGCCTTATTTTGCCCAGCCCCTATTCAAGATGGAGTCGCTCTAGTTCAAATGTCTCTGACACTCCTAAGTCAGGCTTTCAGTTATTTACAGCTCATTAAGTTAGGACTCAAAGGAGGAAGGCAGCCTCAGGCCAAATTTAGTTTAATTTAACAATTTATTATCTTGATTGGGGTGATGTATCATGGGTATATACATATACCAACTCATCAAATTGTATACTTAAATATGTGCAGTTCACTGTTAAGTCAATAAAGCTGGTTTTTAGAAAGTTATTACTGTTAGTAATATGCCAGGCACTATGGTTCTCAGACAACATGCCTCCCCTGGGTAATCTTATCCGAACTCACAATTACCATCCATACTCTGATGATTCCCAAATATGCATCTCCAGCCCAGGCCATTCTGCTGAGATTCAGACCTGTTAATCCAGCTGCCTTAACATGGCCACTTATCAGTTCCGCAAGCACCCTAATTCAGCATGCCCAAGGCAGAATTTTTGATATTCTCCCTTCACTTGATTTTTCTCTCATGTATCCCAGCACAATGAAAGGCAACACCATCTATCCAGCTGTGAAAATGACCCAGTCATAATTTTGATTTCTTCTCCCTCATCTCCAACATCCCAAATGCATCGTGAATCCCTCCACTTCTCACCAACATTACATTAATCCAAACTACCCATCACTTCTCTGGCAACAGTCTCCTAATCAGTCTTCTTGCCGCCAAACACACTCTTAGAGTTCACACACACAAAGCAGCCAGAGATTTTTAAATACAGACATGATCTTTCCATTCCCCAGATTAAAATATTTCAGAAACTTCTCATTCCCTTGGGATGAAGTGCAAACTCTTCAACATGAGTCACACACAAGGTGGTCCCTATTTTTGTCCCGACTCCCCTCTAAAATGGTCATCTTTTGCCACTTCCCTTCTCACTCTCCTAGCTCCAGTCATAGTTAAAACTGGGGGTATTCGCAGGCGCCTGAAATGGCCGTTCAGCTCCTGTTCTTTATTCAACGGGTGGCCTCACAGCAATAATGACCAGTGGTAGCACAGGAGAAAAAAGCAGGCAAAAGTAATGTTATCAAGTTCCTATTTCAGTCAGAGGTTCTTGTTGTATAGGCAAAGTAGGAAAAAAGAAACACAAAGATGACTTTGGTGGAAGTATTTCTAAAGGAGAATGCATTTTTATGTTTTCACCAAGCTATCAGCTCCTCTGGATTTTAATATTATAGTGGGGTCATAACAAGCTTTCCTCTATTGTTGGCTTTACACAGATGCAAAGTGGTGCTCAGGAAGCTAGGAGACTGATGAATAGTGGGTTTGATGTATTTGAATCATTCAGCACTTTGAGTTAAATGTGCATATTCTGTTCAAAATAGACAATGGGGAGGGGCAGTCCCCCCTTTCCCTCTCTAACTTGCATAACATCAGGCCTCACTGCTTTAACTAATGAGTATTTAGAAGTAAAGGCTCCTACTGATTCCAGCGAGTCATTAATTCTCTGCTTGCAGAGCCACTGTGGAGTTTTTCATCGGCCACATTTTTTTAGCTTTTACCAAGTTGCTTCTGAGCAGCAGTGCTGACCCCGGGCTCCTGTGTGTACCACACACCAGACACATAATGGGCTTGAAAGTCCCCTTGCAAGGAATTTTACTGGGGACCAGGAACAAATTACAAAGAAGATGCATATTCTAGCCACTCTGTTGACAAAGATGTCTCAGAACTCTTAGTTTTAGGGAACTTAATTGACCTTGAATGAAAATGTATATTTAAACCAATATGTATAACCTGGTAGAATAAGCGGAGGAGGTGAGTTACAAAATTCTCTTAAACTAATTGCACAGTCAGCCCTACCCTTTGTAATAATGAATGTTTGCTCCATTATCGCTCCAGGTTTATTATTTTCTAAACAGCCTCATTGATCTTGCCTCAGTGGGCTTTCCATTTTTACACATTACATTCTCTTGGGAATTGAAAAGCACGGTGTCTCTGAAGATGCTCAGTCAACTTGAAAACACTCATTTTTGAAAAGGTCTTAACCTGCCTTCAACTTGAAGCAATTCAGACTTTGCCCAAACAAACATTAGAGCAGAGACACATCACTCGTGTATATGTTTCTACCATCACTGGGAAGCTGTTTGTCTGAAAGGTCATTTACAGACCGTTTTTTAGGGTATTGAAAATTCAGGGATCTATACTCATAACTAAAATGAATGTACATGTAATTGAGAGCATGGCACTTTATTATAATGGATTCTGCATTATTCAATATCATAAATATTTTGTGGAAGGCCCTATTTCGTTATGACTCCAACTACTAAACTTATAGCAAAATCATAATGTGTGGTGGAAGGGAAAGGAGAAAGAAGAAATAAATAGAAAAGGCTAGGAAGCAACCCCAACTCAAGATAAATTCCAGTTGGAAAGGCAAGAGTTTTGTGTTTTGTATTGATTTGAGATTTCATTTTACTCATCAATAATGCCCTATTTGAAAGAAGGAAGGGCAATTTAAATATTCTAAACTCATGACTGAGGGGTCCATAAAGCCTGGAAGCTCTATGACTCCAAATAATCAAACTTCAAATACTCTAGCGTTTAAAAAAAAAAAAATAACAAGAATAGTATATTTGTCAGTAATTGAACCAAAGGCAATACAGGAAATAAAGTAGGCAAAATGTTTAAACTATTATAATGCTTGAAAGTTACAAATCTCCCCTCTGTTGTCTAAAATTTTAACCATTTTAGTAAACTTAAGCTAAAGTAAACCAACAGACTTACCCACATTACTTTTCAAGTGGTTAGGTAAAAAAGGTAATAAAAGGCAAATAAGTACTGCAAATTAATCCTCTGCTGGCGACATCATACCTCACAACAGTGCCTCAGCAAACCACTTAATGTGAACTTCAACAGCTTTTAATCAGTTTTGTATGAAAAGACATGATTTGATTTGGGTTTTCAAATGGCTTTATCAATCATTCCCACAGTTCCAAGAATACTAAATAACAATTAGTTCTTAGGACAAAAGGTTTGCCTATATTAACCTTCAACTCACCCAGACATCCAAAGGTGGCACTTGCTTTTTCATCAAAATGAGATCATGTTAGCAGCTGAAAATATAAGTATATGGAAAGGTTGTGAAACTTCTTTCAAATTATTACCCTGGAACAATGACAATAGTTGGGATTTCTCTTTTGCAGAGGGAAGAGAAGAGGCAGAAATTCCAGTCCTCCTCCCCCCAAAATTTTAGTCTCGGGATTTATTTGTGCTGAAAGCCAGAGTTATCTACTGCTTGAAACCTAAGCAGAATGCATCAGCATTTCAGGACCACCTGGGACCAAGGGGGGCTGGGAGACTTCCAGATGGATTGTAAGACAATTCACTGATATTTACATAACGAGAATAAATGTTTTTCCTAAGATAGCATTTCCCTTCAGTGTCTTGAGACCACCAGCAAAAGAGGGAGGTACAGAAATTCTATTACATTAATAGTCTTTGTTTTTATGGCTTTGGCATTTATTAACTAGTGGGAGCTGTTTATTGGGTCATAAACTTTACTAATGGGGATATTATCTCTAAATTATAAATCTTGTCCAGTATATGGCTTAGTTATAAAAAGAATGATTATTTAAAGTGTCTGTATGGCTGCAACGTATCATGTTTATCGGCATGAATCCTATAATGGCCATTTCATTGCTAATTGTGGGCTTGAACCAGAAACAACCAGGGCAGTAACACACATCTATGCAATAGAATAAGCAGTTGTCACCCCACAACTCAGGAGCATTGTCATTGGTTTGCTTCCTTTCTTTTTCTCCCCCCACTTCTCAAATGAACTACATTATGAGCCTCTACAAGGGCTAAATTATCTACGTATTTAAACTCTTGAAGGAAAGACAACTGACTGAAGAGTTGAATAGGTAAGTGACGAATGTGTCAGCTTGAAAAGTTCCAGGAAAGTGTCATCCTTCTAAAAGCCTGCTCTCTGGGGAATGAAAAATCTTAAAGTGACAAAATGGCTTGGCACTGTCAGTTGCCTTAAAAAAAACCTGGGACAAAAATCAAGTAGTCAAATTTAGGATTTATGGTAGATAGTTTTAGTATATAAATTGAGTATACTAGTTTAGTGTTAAGTCCTGAAAGGGTTGGGAGGAGCGTCTATTCTAACAATAGCACATGTGGAATTATCCTAGGCTTACATATAGAAATCGTTTATTGATTAACTCCAATTTTTTAAAAATGAAAGGGCCATTGTTGTGGAGAATAAATTGGTACATTTGAGTGCCAAGAAGCCAGCAAGACACTGCTGCAAATGTGGAGTGAAAGAATAATGAGTCCGAAGGGTCCCTTGAGATGTCATCAGCTCTTCTTTTTCTCAGGGTAGTCCCTGAAAGGTAAATGGTGCAGCTCCTTTTTGAGACCTCCATTGTCTCCCAGAACACCAGGCAAATGGATTTATGATACATAGCATCCAACACTGAACAATGGCATAGACTGGGATAGACTTCTTACACTGAATTCCCAGAGGTACATGGCTATGGGTTTTAATCAAATGTACACTACATGACAAGAGTTCTGCTGAAGAAAAATAAAAATAGAACTAGAAAAATGCAGGGGAAAAATGTTGTAGTTTCTGAATATTTAAACCTCTAGGGTGGGGCGCGTGGGATGTGTGTGTAAAACAAACCAAAAAAAAAACAAAAATCTCAAAATCTTCAGCTTTCACATTTGTAAATATTTTAGACATAATAAAGTTTTGGTCAAACTATAATTATACACACATGCATATATTCCTAAGCTAACAAGCTGACTTTAGATAGAAAAAAGGGCATTACAAATATAAATACTGCATATGTTTCCAGTGTGTGTGCACGTGCGTGTGTGTGTGTGTGTGTGTGTGTGTTGGAGGTTCTTTTTCTTCCCATAGCTTTACTAAGTTCAAAAGATAAATATATTTACTCTAGAGAGGTTTAAGAATTATTTTGATGAGGTGGGTTGCTACAAAACTTAATTATGTAAGTAATAAACGTGTCAAAAAGGTTTCAAAAATGTTTAATAGAATCACAACTTATTGCTGTGATATAATTTGATTTTGTATTGTCATGTATAACCTTCAAAAGTCATTTTCTGTTCATATAGTAATGAATCAAATTATGTTGGATCAAAAATTATCAGAAGATTTTTTGGTATTAATAAACCATACATATAATAAAAATATTCAACATGTTTTAAGATGGCATTTTAAATAGTAACAGTACGTCGGCAATGTAACATGATGTTCTGTAAAACTAACATGACAAAATAGGATTAATTGTGGTTTATGGATTTCCATTTAATATAAACCTTGTTTCTTTTTTGTTTTTAATGAAATTATATCTACTAAAGTAAATGTGGCAAAATGAGAGAAGTAAATCATAGAGAATTGACCAAAACTGGCATGGTTATTCCTCCTCTAAGCCAAACGCGTCCTTCAAAAAGGTCCAGTAGTCAATGTATTTCGCAGGAATAGGTGATGGCATACCAAGCCAAACATCTTCACATCTCTAGAAAAAAACCAAAAATGGATATGATTAGAACCACATTTCAAAGTACAGTTTTGAAAATTCAACACCAGTTTATTTGCAAAGTGAAAATTTCTACCATCTACTTTAGGTTCATAAGGACTTTGTGGTCTACTGGATACTTGTTCTTGATTCTTCATTCCCTCCCTGTATAAGAATTATGTGCCCACACTCTTTGTCATATGACTCTGTAGAACCTCCTGTGGAGTAAGAAGGGTATATTTTCCTGTTCCTTTGATATGGGGTTGGCCACATGACTGGCTTTGACCTATGTACTATTAGCAGACATATCATGGACAGAGGCTCTAGCGTGCTGGCATCATTTGGCTTGGCCTTCTGTGCCTCTGCCATCACCATGAAAAGAACATGGCCCAGGATGCTGCTGTTCTTAGAATGACCAAGGTGGATCAGACCAGGCTGGACTTGCGGACTAAGAGCCAAGCTTAGCTGAATCCAGCCATGCTTCACTGACCTACATGCCCATAGACAAGAAAAAGAAATGTGTCTTGTTGTGAACCATTGAAATTTAAGGAGTTGTTATGCAGCATGAATACGCTGATAGATCCTCCTATACTTTCTTAAGAACCCAATTTTTATTTTTATTTTATTATTTTTTTTAAAGACAGGGTATCACTTTGTTGCCCAGGCTGGAGTACACTGGCACAATCTCTGCTCACTGCAACCTCCAACTCCCGGGTTCAAGTGATTCTCATGCCTCAGCCTCCCGAGTAGCTGGGATTACAGGCACATGCCACCATGCCCGGCTAATTTTTGTATTTCTAGGAGACGGGTTTCGCCATATAGGCCGGACTGGTCTGGTCTCAAACTCCCGGCTTCAAGTTATATGTCCACCTCAGCCTCCCAAAGTGCTGGAATTACAGACGTGAACTGCTGCCTAAAGAACCCAATTTTTAAAATACAAACTGGTATCTATACTGGCTGATTGGTTACTGTTTCTTCAGTAAACAATGAAAAGAACACTGGATCACTCACAGTATGATCTTGCAGATAAGCCACTTTATTTGTGTGTGTGTGTGTACACATATACACACACAGATGCACATTTTATATAATACATAAATACGTGTATATACACACACACAAACTTTTTGCATATGCCTCAATGGTTAATTAATATCAACAGGAGGCAAAGTTCATACATATGGTTGCTTATATTTCTACTTTCAAGGTTAAAATATGACTGTCAAGGTTAATTGTTGTATATAAGAGGTTCTATATCTTTACTAGTGTTACATTAGTATCCAGAATCACAAGGTGTCACAGAAACATAGGTAAAGGCTCAATAATTTGATGTGATGGAATTTTGGAAGCAAGCTGAATAAGTGGTGATTCAGTTGCACCTTATGGGATGAAAAACAGTTCAGCAGAGGGTTTAGGGTTGTGAAGGGTATTCCAGGCATAGGGACCAGCGTAAGCAAAGGCCTGGAGATCTAAAATCTATTTTCAAGAAAGGGTGAGTAGCCCAGTGTGGTTTGCGGCACATGGTGCAAAGTGGCAAGAGAGATGGTTAGAAGGAGAAGCTGGGGCCAAACTTCTGGCCTTCTGTGCTAGTTTATACTTGAGGCTGTGGTTAGGGGAAGTCACTGGTAGGTCTTGGCCAGGGAAATGACAGAAATCTGATTAGAAACTGATTAGCTAACTTGCTGGATGTACAGAGAATGACATGAAGTAAGAAAATCAATCTGGAGGTGAGTACTATAATACCGCAGAAAAATGACTGTGCCATAACCAGGGTGGCTGAAGCGGGCATGGAGGACAGGAGCTACTCTGAGAGATGCTGCTGCAGGAGAACATGAAATAGCTAGAAGGGGATCAACTTGAAATGGTGACAAAAGAAAGGTGTAGTGCTATGGGTTGAGTTGTGTCCTCATGCAAAAGAGTTATGTGAAGTCCTAATCCCTAGTACCTCAGAATGTGACCTTGTTTGGAAATAGGGTTTTTGCAGATGTAATTAGGTAAATTAAGATGAGCAAAATGAGATCATACCGGAGTAGGGTGGGCCCCTAATCCAATATGACTGGCCTCCCTATAAAAAGACAGCCAGGTAAAGACAGAGACACACAGGGGGAACACCAGGTGACCATAGAGGCAGAGATTAGAGGTTTGCAGCTGCAAACCAAGGAACGCCAAAGATTGCCAGAAAACCATCAAAGTCTAGGAAGAGGCAGGGAAGGATTCCCACACAGGTTTCAGAGAAAGTATGGCCCTGCTGACACCTAGATTTTGAACTGCTAGCCTCCAGAACTGTGGAAGAATAAATTTCTATTGTTTTAAGCAACTCAGTCTGTGGTACTTTGTGAGGGCATCACTAGGAAACTAATACAGGTAAGGATGGTTCTAAGAATTCTAAATTCAGTAATAGTTGACAGTGTCTGTTATTAGTTTCCTGGGGCTGCCGTAACAAAGTACCACAAAGTAAGTGGCTTAAAGCAACAGAAACTTATTCTTTCACAGTTCAGAAGGCCAGAAGTCCAAAACCAAGGTGTTGGCAGCGTTGGATCTTTCTGGAGGCTCTAAGGAAGAATTTATTCCATGCCTCTCTCCTGGCTTCTGGTGGTGGCTGGCAGTCATTCCTTGGCTTGTAAGCACATCACTCCAACGTCTGCCTCCAACTTCACATGGTGTTCTCTGTGTATACCAATATGTCTTCACGCAGCTTTCTTATAAAGTCACCAATCAATGCATTTAGGGTCCACTCTAATCCAGCATAACTTCATTTTAATTAATTATATCTGCAAAGATTATTTCCAAATAAGGTCACATTCTGAGGTTTAGGGTAGACATGAGTTTTGGAGGGGACAATATTCAATCCGGTGTTATATCATAAGGAAAGCAGGAAAAGTTGAAAAACATTTTTTAGTAGGAAAACAAGGCTCAGAGGGAAATTCTAAGTTCAACTGTGGGCATTTTTTCTTTCAGGTGTCCATGGGACATCAAGGTGAAGATTCTGGTAAACATCTGTAAATACGGTTCTATATAGCACAGAGCTAGAATCCAGAACTGTGCAAAGATATAGAAGTCACTGAAATATGAGTCATATATGAAATATAACATTGTCATAGAATCAGAAGAGAACTAAGTACCAGCATCTCTAATTCAGGTGTAAAACCTTAATTTCAGAGATGATTTATGATGATGATAAACTAGTTGCAGATTTGTGCAGGGTTATAGATAGGAATCTTGTAATTACCTAGTAGTAATAGGAATAACAATAAATTTATTGGATATTTACTACATGGCTGATACTCTTTTAAGTGTTTTACATGTATTAAGTTATTTAATCATCACAGAAACCCCTTACGAGATAAGTATTATGATGATAATCTATTTACAGAAAAAGAAACTGAGACACAGAAGGATTAAATAGATTGTCTCAAGTCAAACCTCCAGTCAGTGGAGAAGCCTGGATTATAATAACCTGGGCAGTGGAGCTGCGGAACTATGCTCGTCTGCGGGGCTACCCTCCAGAGCTGACAAGGATCTATTCAGAAGCAGCTGGCTTTCGTCCTACATAGCTACATTTGGTCCTCACACTTCCAACAAGAAAAGTTAAGTAGAAAACAAGGCAGTTCTTGAAGCGACACTACTCTTCTCTCTCAAGGATGCTGCCTCTCAGAAGTTGAGCCCAAACCACCAACTGGCAGTATGAAGAGGGAAATCACCATTCAGACGGCTGATGGCTAAACCCACTCCTAAGGGGTGTTTTGTGCAACTCATACCACATGGAACTTGGTAAAACAAAGTTGCTACTTTACTACTTACTACTTACACCAAAAAGTAGTAAACCATTACACACACACACACACACACACACACACACAAAACAATATATTTTAATCAATGAAGGCTAAGATCAATAGTCATTCAACTCCACTATTTAACATGTCCTCAAAAATTTCATTACAAAACTTACAGCAATATTTGCTCTTAAGTGATGTTTGTAAATTTAATCTCATTATAGAGAAACAGTACAAATATATGCCTTCAAAAATCACCATCCTCTAATAGGTCTTCCAAATAAAAGTTTTCAACACAGAAATAATGCATTATGTAACTCATATAAATATGATGAAATTATTCGGGGACTGGATCCTCTTATGAAACAGGTCAGGACTAGAAGATTCTGCCTCATGGCTTATGAGTCAGCAAAAGTGGTTTTGTTTTTGTATTTTTTGAGCAAGGAATTGTGATTTAAATGCTGACAATACAGAGAAAATAATAGAACTTAAAATGCAATCTTGACAACTCAAGAATCTGGAGATGAGATCAAATTTGTTAGCAACTTGGGCACAAGGAAACTCAAGTAAATATTCATGAGATTTGGAATTAAGGATAATTTAAGATGAAAAGATAACAGCAGTCCATTTCTTTAAATCCTGACCACTTTAAACCCCATGGCTCTCACAAAGCTCTCCTAACTATGCCGGCCCCATTGTGCTCTTTCTTTCGAATCAATACCACTTCCCTTGATTATTTTTCCTTTTGTCACTCTTCCTTAGGTTCCAGATGGGAATGACTTTCTGTCCAAATACTTCATAAATGCCACAAGCACATTAACAGTGCTGTGGGTCCATCTATTGCCAACCCCCAATTTCAGGGAGATTATCACACCTATTGGCTTACAATTGACTAATGGAATCAAATTTGGGACCAAAGGAAGGTTAGGAAACAGGGGAGGTTTCCAAGGCTCAGGGGATGGGGTGAGGGGCATCAATTAAGTAGAGGGAAAGGCACTTTCTTCATAATTTTGTCTATAATCGGATTTACTTAAGGAATCTCATGGCCAGCCCCTTGGTAAAATGAAGACATTTTTGGCAACATAAGAAATCCACATATTACCACTGCCTAATTGTACTTCCTAATAAATCTGCAAATGTTCCAAATATTATAGAATCTTTATGAAAATCTGGGCAGTGAGTTAAAATACTGTCTTCATTGACTTTTTATTAATCCTACACTATGCAATGCAAAGCAAACTCATATCATATGGCTTTCCCAGCAATGCATATCAATTTTAAGTGGGAATAACTGCGTGGTACTTTTACAACAGGAGGAGTCATCCACAGAAGTTGATCCCACCCATTCCAGGTGAGAACAAGCTTACTTGTGTCTCTGTAAAACAGATTCTCCTGGCAGTGCAGGTTTGGAATTTGGGATCTTAACTGTCTACGTGCAGCAGGCTCTGCCAGCACCCCTTCCTATCCCCTCATTCTTTCCACTCTGGAGCACACCAATCTGACTTCCAACTGCCAGCACCTGGGTTCCTTTGCCCTTGGGCTTCTCTTTGGCCTCTGAGGCTTGCTTTGGCTGTCCCTGTGGCAAGCCACAAGTGCCAGGGAATTGTTTCCTTTCCTCCACTTCAAGAGCAGCCCTCAAACAGTGACTGATGGGAGTTGATGGATGAATACCGCAGCTCCCTTGCACTTTGGGTGGGATGACTCTGAAGTGTCAGTGTTTCCCAGTTGCATTAAGCTCTAATCATTAGGTCAGGTGTGGGGACTCACACCTGCAATTCCACCATTTGGGGTGGCTGAGGTAGGAAATCACTTAAAGCCAGGACTTCTGAACCAGCCTGGTCAACATAGTGAGACCCTGTCTCTACAAAAGAAAAAAAAAAAAGTAGCGGGGTGTGGTGGTGTGGGCCTGTAGTCCCAGCTGCTTGGGAGGCTGAGGTAGGAGGATTGCTTGAGCCCAGGGTTTCAAGGCTGCAGTGAGCCATGATCGCACCACTACACTCCACCCTGGGTGACAGAGTGAGACCCTGTCCCAAAACAAAACAAAACAAAACAAAACTCTTAATCGTCTACATCATCTACATTTGTAACTGGTTTGCTAATATGCCTTTAGTAGCTCCTTCCCTTTCCTTTCTCACTCTCCCACTTCCTTACTAGTGTTTTCACTCCTCCCCCAAAAATGATTTACACTTAAATCTTTGTCTCCAAGTCTGCTTCTAGAGGAAGTCAGATGTAGATTCTATGCAATTTTGCATTTATCAAAATTAAGAATATGTTTAAGAAAGCCACAGCACAGCTTGAAACAAAGCAACTTCCTGGCAAACTGGATGGATCCAGAGTCTCCAAGTCACTTCCAGATAACTCAAAAGACAGCACCCAAATCTCAGAAGAAAACTTGATGTAATCTGGAGCATAAACAATACATGCCACATAGTGTTTTCTGGAAGAAGGAAGAACTATGAAATGCAGAGTGAAATTCAATGATACAAAAATCATGATTCTAAAATGTCTGGGAATCATTGTCTCCAAGAAGGCCCTATGACATCTTCCAAGCTGGCTGTCACTCGAGGCACTTAAGATGTCAAACCAGTTGGCAATAAATTACTCGTTCATCAGTGGTGAAAAAATGTAGCTGCCGATCTGTAAAATCGCACACCCTTGAAATGGGAAGCAAAGATGGCACTGGATGAAAACCCAGTAAACAGCAGCTGCCCAGTGAGAACAGCAAAGCTGTGTGTGAGCTAATGGGCCCTAGATTTATTTGCTTTGACATTTTTAAAAGGAAATTTAATTGGATTATGTCTCCTTCTAGTTTAAAATTTTCTGCTGTAATACTGGCCACCAGATGCATGAGGGGAAAAGATCGGGAGCCAATTAAATTCCATGCTTCACTGAAATAAGGTTATTTTTATTCCTCCCAAATGCAAGGCAGATAGAGTCATGTTGGTGATTTCACCATGTTACTCCCCTCTATTCACTAGGAAAAGGATGTTTCTATGAGAAATATCTATACATTTATGGAAAAGGCCAGTGGTGTGTATAGTATTAAAATTGTGTTTTTCTCAGATTTTCTCCCTTCAAATAAAGTTAACATGGCTTTGGAAATAATCTAATTAGTTTGACAAAATCATAAAAGCAATTAAATTTTAAGCAAATCAAATTGAAATAAATTTGGGGAAGAGGATTTTGCGAATATTTCTTGAGATAATCAAGAGCGTTCTGATAACATAAGGAAAAGCTCATATATAAAACCAGAAGATTAGCTTATATTTCTATACATTTCTGACTTTACAGCAATGCCAATATTTCATGATTGTCTCCCCTTTCCCTAGACAAAGCTTCAACAGAGTTGTCATCTATGTGTGAGTTGTAGCTAAAAGACAGGCGTAGTTTCTAAACAAAACCTTTCCTTGGAAGTGCAATGCAGGGCAAGTAAAGTTTTCAGGGAGATGTGGATTTTTGAGCTTCAGTGATAGGCTTATGTGTACAATTCAAGTGGACATAACCCGATGCTATAGATGAAAGTGGATTCCAGGAGTATCATTTCCTACTAGGTTATTGCTCTGTGTTAGGTCACCAGTATGTGTTTGCCAGTTATTTTTTAAGTCTAAGAGGAATGGTTAACAACCTTTTATTTCGACTGTTATATTCAACCACAAATATTAGAAATAACTTTACTTATTTAAAAAATTGGCACCAGCCCCTGACTATACAATCCTTACCATTAGGAATATCTCCGAGCCTCAGCTTCCTGTCTATAAATTGGGGATAATACTTATTCTTGCAAGATTGTTGGGACAACAAAATGTCACAGGTTATTCCATGCTCTAAATACCAAAAGGAGAGTCTCAACAAGGCGGGTGTCCAAAGATGTTTCCCAAGGTGTACCCAACTGCCCCCTACTTCCTGATGCCAAGGCCGTATATCATCCTATTGTGAAAGAGAGTGCTTTAGAGCTGACTGCTAATGCTTCTGCAGTTACGATGTTCATAAAATGAAGCCACATCCAATTTTTCTCAGAAATGTCAAAAGATAAGACGCCAGTCACACAGTGTAAGTTATAAAGTTTATATGAGAACCGATTTAGTGTTATTTTTTAAAACGTGACTTCTGAGATTAACCAGACAGGCTCTAAACAGTGGGACCTATTCTGCCAGTTTTACAGCTACCATCTGTGAGCAAACACAATAGAATGGAAATGGGGTCTCCAGGCCATGACAGTGCCAGGGCAACATGCTGAGACCATAGATAGTCACATAATGGAGTGAGAGTTAAATTACAGCCCCATGGCTCACCATGGGCTGCTGATGGGCCAGGCAGAGGGATAACCAAGGGAGTCCAATGAGAATCCAGGCTACAGGCCATTGGCTACAGGCCATAGCCGACAGTCATGATGGATGATGGCTTACATCCAACCATGTAGGAAAAACCTGTCACCAAAGGACAGTAGGACTAATCAAAGCTAGACTAGCTATACTATAGTACTCTTTAAATTCTCCTTGTTTGTTGTTGACCCCTATTCTTACTAGCTGAGGCCACCTAACTAGCACATGTAGGGGAGCCACCTCTGAGTCCAGGAAACTGGTCCTCAAATCCAGCAGACCAAGCCCCAGAAGCAGTTAGTGTAGACCTAGCTTTTATCCTGGCTGTGGGGCTTGTTCTGAGCTCAAGGCTTTATTCTGGTAACAAATAGATTGTGCTGGGTCAGTCTCCATTTGCCCCTCAAGATCCATTCTTTGCCCTTTTCACTCTGCTTTCTGCCCTGGGAGACTGACTCTGTGGATTGCATCACTCCTCAAGCTTCCTTGCTCTCTGGCTTCTGGGTGGGTTCAGCCAATGTGAAGCAGCATCAGGAGATCAGAAAACAGGAGAAGCAAGAGGTCAGAGTATGGATTTCACTTCCCTTCATCCTGTTCCCTCCCTGCCAGGCCATGGTTTGGGAGTGGCTATAGTGGCTACACTACTCTACCTGCTGCTATAGTTCCAGCTCCTCTGCTGGGCTCCAATAACACCAGTCCCCCAGTCCCTCCCTGCTTCTCCCGTTATTGCCAGTCCCTGAGTGCTCCACCCCCCTCCCCGCCCCGCTTGGTTCCCTTAACCCTACCCACCCCGTCAACAGTCCCTTTATCAAATCCATCTCCAGGATCCCTTTGAGTATGCTGTGTATTTCCAGCTATAACCTCACGGGTATAGGGGCTTAGCCAGCTCTGTCCCCTTGGCAGGGTGAAAGCTTGGTCTGAGCCTGCTGAGTGGCTCCCTCTGATTGCCGAATGGTGCTAACTTCAAGATTCCCCATCACTATGCTCACTGTTTTGGAGGGATGCCCTGCTAGAACTCCCTTCCAATCTCAAGTCTTGTGGACCAGACCACACCCCTACTCAGCCTGTGGTTGGCTGAAGCCTGTGGTCTTGTTCCTGGTTTCTGACCTCTCCCTTCTCACCCCATGATGGTTAGTCACACTAGACTGGGAAGGTGTCCCAAATTTCCACCCATAACATCCATCCTATCCATTCACGCTGATGCAGACAGAATTAGAGTTGAATCTAGTACTGAAGCCTACTCAGCTTTCATCAGCCAATAAGTTTTTTTTATTTCTAAGGAAGATTCCCAGTGCAGAAATGAGATCCTGCTGATGACAATATGCAGCCCAGGAGTAAAAATATCCACGTTCCAGGTGGTGGCCTGTCCTGGTAACTTCTACAGAGCTCTTCATAACACCTCTGAAACTTTAACCCAAGCCAGCCTGTCCGGCTCATATACTGGAGGAAGGGTGCAGCTTCCCAACCCTGGGGCCTCCATCTAAGCTTTGCTTCCACACGGGAGCTCAGCCTGCCATTCCTTCTTCTCAAAAGACCTCTGGTCTCATCACTTCACACTCAGGGCTGGGGTGCCTTCACAACCTGATGGATCTTACCCTGAAGCCCTACATGTGACTGGCTGGCTATGGAAGACTCCCCAAACGTTGGCAATCCCCAAAGTCATAACTGGGAGGTTTTCTCTGCCCAGTTGCACCCCCGGGACCTACACATCTGGTCTGACTCCACCATGGCCTCTTATGGCATAACCACTCTCCTCTCAGTTCCCTACCATGAATAGAAGATCAGGAAATAACCAAGGAACAAGCTGGGGAGGAGGCTGTCACACTGCTAGGCTCTCAGTTGATACCAAGAACAGTCAACAGGGGCTTCAAGAGTAGTTGGTTGCCAAGCTGTGATATACTACCCAGAATCCCCTTGAGGAGGGATTTGGTGGCCCAGCTGCTGGGAGTCCCCTTCCTGGATTTCCTGAGCTACAAACATGTCTTGGCTACAAAGAGCCACGCTGCACAAAGTCATATCTCTTCTTGAACCAACCCACCAGGACAAAGGCCAGGCCATTCTGGCCCAACTCAGGACAACGCTGAAAAGACATGCTAACTCCAGAGCTCCCTATGGGTTGGCCAAGGATATCTTTGGGCTTCCATCACAGTTCGACTTCTCCCTCTGCCCATTCTTCTTTTTTTCCCCCACCTTCCATGGGAGTTGATCCCAAGGACACTCCCAAAAAAACATCCTGCACATTAGACTCCATCTGCTTCCTGGAGAACCCCACCTGTGACAAACTCTGACCCAGCAGTGTTTCAGGGCATTATTCAACATTATTAATAACATTTGAGCACACTTACATGGGTCAGTAGATATTATACTTTTTGCTCCTGTATTCTACTGTATAAACTATTCAACATTGTGCTCAACCCCTTCATGCTAAATATTTTCACATGAGATTACAGACTCACTGGTAACATTCCCAAGGTATTTTATGTCTTCTTTATGAAATAATAACAAGCTTATCAGTACCAGAGTGCTTCGAACTCTTTGGAATCTAGTTAAATTCTCATTATTGGTGAAATTGATCAGGTACCATTTTATATCTATTTTCTTTTCTTTTTAATTGGCTGAAAAAGAATAGTCCTTTCTGAATGCCTCCTGCAGACTGAAATATTTCTAGGCTTTATCAGCAGAAATGATGAGGCCCTATGAGTAAATTTCTCACCGTAAATGAATCGCAATTAGAAGAACCTAGTGCTGAAGCACAGCTGTTTCTGATGTGACATTCCTGGCCTAGAACCATTCTCTTGCCATTAAAGAATAGAATCTCCCATCTTAACCTTGGCAGGGACTGCCCAGCCCCCTGACTTGAGGAAAGTAAGACATCTCAATTTTACAGAAAATAATAGCATCTAACACTTAAGCCCTTACTATGGGAGAGGTATTGTGGTAAGTGACTTGTGTATATTGACTTCCTTAATCCTCACAACCCTAATGGAAGAACTATTCTTATCACCATTTTTGAGATGGGAAAACCTGAAAGGTTGAGTGCTTTGTAAAAAGTCACCCAGTTAGTTGATCGTAGAGCTAAGGATTTGAACTAGGGTCCCTGTGATTGGAGACCTTCTGTTCCACATTGCCTCTCAAAAGCATCTGAGGTCCACAGCTCGATACCTGTCCCAGTTGACAGAGTTGAAGTGATGAAACTGGGGAGGGGTGATTAAAGGCAGAGTGGATCTTTGGCCTTCCCATGCAGTGACTTCTCTTCTAGTGTGGATGGTGATCTTTTTGTGGGTCATGAAATCAATTTAATGGGTCACGAACAACATTCAAAAGAGAGGAGAAAAAGAGGTGGTGGGGAATGAGAAAAAGGAAAAGAAAAGAAAGGAAGAGAGAAATGAAAAAAGAAAATGTATCATACTGCACCACATGTAGTCAGAACAATATTAATCCGTGAAATTTTTGTTCCATTATATATCTGCATACTGTGTTGTTATGAAAAAAAATCTTTCTTACTGTAGGTTGTAGTACAAAAAGATGACAGGATCTCATTCAAACTCAATAGTCATCAGGAAAATAAAAATTAAAGTAGTAAAATATGTTTTCAGAGGCAAAATATGTAAAAACAACCTGAATGCCTGTCAATAAAGAGCAGATTAATAGGGCCAGGCACGGTGGCTCATGCCCGTACTCCCAGCACTTTGGGAGGCCGAGGCAGGCGGATCACAAAGTCAGGAGTTCAAGACCAGCGTGGCCAACATGGTGAAAACCTGTCTCTATTAAAAATACAAAAAAATTAGTCAGGCATGGTGGCGTGTGCCTATAGTCCCAGCTACTCAGGAAGCTGAGGCAGGAGAATCACTTGAACCTGGGAGATGGAGTTTGCAGTGAGCCGAGATCACACCACTGCACACCAGCTTGGGCAACAGAGTGAGACTTCGTCTCAAAAAAAAAAAAGAGATTAATAAATTATTATATATTCATACCACAGCTATTAAGAATGGCTTAGGTCTATACATATTAAACTAGGGAAATTTTCCACGATTAAGAAAGAAGAGCACACTCCAGATAAATGCATGTGGTATGATCTTATTTTCATACAATACATGAGGAAATGATAAAACCCCCAACACAGAGGTAAACATTTGGGTGGTGGATTGAGTGGAATGGAAGAGGAAAGAGAGAAGTAGAAAGTAAGGAAAACAATGACAAAGGCTTATAGCAAAAATAGGTATGTCCTGTATATTATTCAGGGGCTCATGGGAAATGGCAGACATATACAAACTGTGGAAATCGAGAAGAGTTTAATAAAGTGACTAGTTACAAAGTTGTGGGAAGTGTTTAGAAAAACCAATAGGGGCTAGTCCCCTGGGTTTATAACAGCAGGGAGCCATTACTACCACCTGAGGCTGAAGGGGCACATGAGGGTGGTTACCAGCGCCTGGAGTGACCAGCCATATGCAAAGAGCCTCTAGACAAGTGCTGTGGACTTTGGAAGGAGGAGGCCGTCAATCTGCTGTGACTGGCAGGGAGGAAGAAGATTTCTCTCTCCTTTCACCCTCTACTCTCCTGCTGGTGCATCCCACTGGTCAACCCAACTGGAGGCCTAGGGGACCCACTGATGTGCCTACAAAGGTCAGCTGCCAAGGACTGGCCTGGGCAGGGTCAGAGCACGGTAGAGGGCTCTGGAGAGCAGTGCTAAAGGGACACAGGGACACAGTCAATATAGACTACTAGAACATTCAACAAAAAGGTAGAAGAATGTAAATCCCATCTACCATGTTTCTATTTGTATGTAAAAATTAAATATTCACATGGATGAGAATGAAAGGGTTATCAGGGCAAATGACAGTATTGATTTGTTTTTGTGATAGTGTTTCAGATTTGGGTTAATCCAATCCATTGTCTTCAAAAATAATTATATTTAAAGGACAGTTTTCTTTTGTATTCTTTGCAGCAAGAGACCTGAGTTAAAATTCTGACTCTGCCTTACATTGCTGTTTCCCTAACTTCCTCATCTCTAAACTGGGAATAATAAATGCACCTATGATTGCTAAGAGGATTAAATAAGCTAGGTGATTTTGAGATCTTAGAACAGTAGTTGGCACACAGTAAATGCTTTGTTTGCTGTTATGTATGGGGACAACAGGACAAGAGCCTCCATGGCCAGGCGTGGTGGCTCGTGTCTGTAATCCCAGCACTTTGGGAGGTCAAGGCAGGCAGATCACTTGAGGCCGGGAGTTCGAGACCAGCCTGGCCAACATGGTGAAACCTTGTCTCTACTAACAATACAAAAATTAGCTGGATGTGGTGGCACACACCTGTAATCCCAGCTATTCGGGAGGCTGAGGCAGGAGAATCGCTTGAACCTGGGAGGTGGAGGTTGTGGTGAGCTGAGATCATATCACTGCACTCCAGCCTGGGCGACAGAGTGAGACTCCATCTCCAGTCTACCCACCATCCAGCCAAAGCAAGTTCCCTGTAAAGGGCACTCTTGATCATGTTGCTGTCTTCCTTGAAGTTAGTCAGTGGTCTCCAGACCTCGCAGGACAATATTCAAATGTCACCCTTACAGGTATCTCCAGCTTCATCCTTTTCACCTCTTCCCCATGTGCCTTCGCTCTGGCCACACCAATTCCTCCTGGTTCTGTACAAGTGCCATGCTGTCCCATGTCCAGAGAATTCTGTTGGAAATGCCTTTTCCAGACCATGTCACTTTCCTACCTTGCTAACTCTTACTACTCATCATTGAAATTTCAAATGTCACCTCCCCTGAAAATACTTCCTGTTCCCCCCCAGTCTGTTTAGAAGCAGCTACCACCTCATCCCATAGAATCCCATGCAGGCTGTATCATGCCACACTCCAAATCACGAACGTACCAATTCCCCCATCAGTAGTGGGCCCCTCAAAGGTAGCAGTGACAATGTTTGTCTCTGGACCCCAGCCTACAGCAGAGAACCTGATGAGAGTCAATACTTAATCCTGATTTATCTGGGGATTACATTCATAAATCAACAAGATAAGTAACTTAACTGACCCAAAGTCATTCAGCTAAGTAGGTGGCAGGGCCAAAATTCAAACCCAGCTCTGTCTGACTCCAAAGGCTACTACTTTCCCCCAACCATCTGGAAGTTCTATGGCTGCCCTTGGAGTAGCTGCATGCCTGAGGGAACTCCCAGAGGCACTAGACCAGCTCCAGCCAGAATGAGCTGGTCAGCAGAGACCAGGAGAAATAAATGCCTCCTTTCTGGGAGTATCAACCACATGACATTTGCTTTATCAAGGGACTTTCCCAAGAAAATCAATTTCTGGAGCATGTTAAAATACAAACAAACCACCACCCACCCACCCACTTCTTAAAGACAATTAGTCCAAAGAGATCTTAGAGAATTCAGACAATTCCACAATGTTGAGAGCACCATCTGATCATGTGAACTTTGTTTTCCCTAACCAAGCATTTTTCTACAGAATTTTGATTTTAAATTTGGTTTCACTGTGAAATGTGCATCCCCATTCTCTATTGTTTCACCCATGGCAAACCTGTGTGCACAGCCGCGGATACCCGGATACCCTAGGGATTCTTGCCATAGGCACCATTTGAGATTTGCTCTTGTGGCTTATGATGATGTTACCAGAATCCCTTGATAACAGTGTTTATATCTATTTATAACTGTAACCTATTATCCTATTTTCCATATAATTGGATGCGATCGAGGTTAAAAAAAATTCAGCTGCATAAGAAAAGTCATGCTTTTACAGAGCAGATGTTTGCTCAGCATGGAAAGTAAATTAACCTTTAACACAAATGCCCAGAAACACATAAGCACTCTTTCCAAAAGCACTGATGTTAATATTTTATAATGAAAAATAATTTAAAGATAAAGGATATTAAACATGCAAGGGAAGTAACCATAGATGGTTTTTAAAATAGGTATTCATTTTACCTCTTTAAGGTATGATGCTGGTTGCAATTCAGGCACTGGATTCTTTCTCCAGTTCAGGGCAGAGAAAAATGACTTATAATCTATTTGTTTTTCACTGTCTTCAAACCTGAAAATATAATTATAATATATAATTTGACTCAATCTGCAGAATTCAAGACCAAAATGTCAGTTTCAATTTTATCATGAAAACATAATACCATATATGCTTCAATATCTGATAGTTTTCTTATTTCTTACAATTTCTTATTGCTTCTGACCCTCCAGAATGTAAATTCTTTGAGCGGGGATCTTGCCTATCTAATTCATCAAAATATCCCCAACAAGATCAGTGCTGGCACTTAGTAGGTGTTCAATAAATACTTGTTGTAGTTGCCACAGACGCAAATTTGCTCATTCAGTAATGAAGACTATAGTGAAATTTTGTTAAAAAGATTTAAAGGTCCTTTTAGTTTAATGGTTGATATTACATGTCAGCAAAATAGAATGTCCTTATATTTCTTCAATTGCATACCTTTTAAATCTTTAAGGCAAGCTAGATTCATTTTTCTACCAGTATATGTTTTGAAAAAATAAAAGGCATCTTTATCATTTATTATGTAGCCATTAAAAGGGGTTATTTAGATCCAAATTTGCTATCGTATAAATATGTTCTTGATACACGGTTAAGTAGAAAGGAGGCTGTAAAACAGTATGTAGAGTTACAATCCCACTTTAGGTTTATATATTAAAAAACAGAAAAAATATGGTAGCAATAGACTTACATATTAAGAATAGATATCTCTGGGAAGAGAGATTCTGATTTTTGATTTTTCTTTAGACTTTTGTGTATCATCTGAATTGTTTTAAGTTTATAATCAGAAAAACTTCAGCTCATTTTCATTTTGAACAAAAATTAACAAATGATTATTCTGTACCAGAAAAATATAGGTCAAAATAATGAATCTCTTTGACCACTATTTCCTAATTATGGATATTAGATAAAATTCTTCCTTAACCATAATAGAGATTTGGCCATGAAGATACAGTAATTTCAACACAATTGCTACAATGACCTAAACACAAAATTACTTAGTGTAATGCCTCAATGCCACCTATCCTAAATTTGATCACATTCTGCCAGTTTTTAAGGCTAATTATCATGTAACACCAGTTTTTGAAGGAAAATACAAAGTGGTCACTAGACATTGTTCCAGGCACCCTATTCCAGGATCCTGCCCTTAAAATATACTCCTAATCAGTCCAAAGATTTTTCTCTTTTCTTCTCAAAGTACTAAAAAATTAATAGCTTATATTTATAAACTAATAAAAATTAGCAGCAATAAATTAAATGTTACAAGCTGAAGTCACATAGCCTCATCAATCTAGACAAAATGGAATAAACAAAGTGACCAGAAGAGGGGAAAGGGGAATTCTGTAATTCTTTTGTGTACATTTTCTTTGGCCAAGGATTCTAAGATACAATTCCAATATGCTGCCCCCTACCCACTGTTTACCACCCTTTAAATTATGGCTCACTAGTCATTTCAACTCCTTTAAAGGACATACTCTGTTTATGGAAATATTTATAGCCAAAATGTAGGACCATTATTTCTTTTATTTGTGTATGTTTTGGGGGAAGAATGAAAACTCAATTAAAGATGTCTCATAATAAACTTTTTTTTAGCACAGAGCCTTGAAAGAAAGTATTTCCTAATATCCTGAGTAGGAGCTAAGGTCAAAGAATGAGATCATGTAGGACCTTTGGCTTTTATGCTGAGGAAAACTAAGAGTCACTAGGGCATATTATACAGAAAGGTTATGAGACCTTCAATGTTCTGAATGTTTGTGTCCCCTCAAAATTCATATATTGAGGCCTCATCAATGTGATGATATTAGGAGTTGGGGCTTTAGGAAAGGTGATTAGATAGTGAGGGCTCTGCCCTCATGATGACATTAGTGCCCTTATATTAATTAAAGAGACCCCAGAGAGCACTCTTGCCCCTTCTGCCATGTAATCCTGTAAGGATTCAGAGAGAAGGCATCATCTGTGAGCCAGGAAGTGGGCCCTCAGCAGACCCAAATCTGTTGTCATCTTGGTCTTGGACATCCCAGCCATGAGAACTCTGAGCAATGAATTTCTGTTGTTTATAAGCCACCTAGTTTACGGTATTGTTATAGCAATCTGAACAGACTAAGAAGGGACTTATGATATTTTTAAAAGATCACTCTGACTGATACATTCAGAGTAGAACACAGAGGGCAAGGCAGAAGTGGCAAGGACAGTTAGAAGTCCCTTGCAGGGATCCAGATGAGAGATAACGGCAGTTTAGATGAGGGTGGTGGCACTGGAAGGCAGTGAGGAGTGGCCAATTCTGAATATATTTTGAATGTAGGATTCCTAAAAGACTATATATATTATGTAAGAGAGAGAGGGAAAAAGAGAGTATTCAGGATGACTCCAATGCCTTTGCTTGAATAACTGGAGCAATGGAGCTGCCCTAACTGAGATGAGAAAGACTGTAGGGGCTGCTGGTTGGAAAGATCATGAGCTCAGTTTTAGATATGCCACATTTGGATGGAAAGTGAGCAAGTGGGGCTATGAGTCTGAAGCTCAAGGAAGTAGTCCATTTGAAGATATAAATGTGGGAGTCATTAGCCATATGGAAGGTATTTAAAGCCAAAAAATTGGGAGACTTGAGGAGATCATCAATAAAATAAGTTTCTCTATCTGTTCTTAAAGTACAGAATTTGTCAGTAAATTCCCATTACATCAATTATAAGAGGCACTTACTCAATCCTAGGGGTTTCAGAAGTATAGTATCCTGGTAATCTGGGAACCAGTCAAAGACTACCAAATAAATCTAGGATCACATCAGACTTCACTCCTCATATACAATCCACTAAGCAGTCCTGTGGGTTCTACCACTGTAGCATATAACAAGTCTATCTATTTCTCTCCATCTCTTTTACCACTCCCTAATTCCAAGCCACTATTGTCTCTCATCTGGATTATAGCAATAACTTCCTGTCTTGGTCTTGCTACTTCTACTCTTACCTAGCAGCAGACCATCCTCCACCACAGTGCTCTTTCTAAAACACAGATCAGATCAATCACTTTCTTGCCTGCAATCCTCCAGTGGCTTCCCAATCCACTTAGAACACAAGCTAAACTCCTTATCAGGGTTTATAAGACCCAACTTAATCTGGCTGCTGATGGCCTCTCTGATTACATCTCCTCACTTGAAAACTCTCTCTGTTTACAATGTTTCAGGTATACTAACCTTCTTCTGGTTCCTTGATCATGCCAAGATTGCTGGCAGAAATGCAAGGCATTTGCACTTCTGGTCCCTTTGTCTGGAAAGTCCCATTTCAAATGTTGCTTCCTTAGAAAGTCCTCCTGAAGTTCCTCTTATCTGAGTCCCTATGCCTGAATTTGCATTTGCCCTAGATGATGGCTCTGGAACTTACTGGAAAATTTCTGGAAGTCACCACACGAAGTCCTATCATTAAATGTTGTTACCACTAACTCTGATATTTACTTGTTACCTCATAACACCCAGTCTTCCTTCCTGCCCAGTTCATATGTCAGACTCAAAACATTGAACCATTTATCCATTTAGGGGGACATTTAAGAAGAATATTTAGGAATCAAATGATATTCAGGAAGGTCCACTGAATAAAAGTATACATAGCTCAGAAATAATGTCTAAAAGTTTTTTGAGAAAAAATGCTTGAACGAGTTCATCTTTCCAAAATCCCAGAGCCAGGCCTAAAGGAAGAGTTGTGGTAATGTGGTAAAATACTCCAAGTTTTCCTTTTCAGTTCTGTCTTAGAGGATCTCAGTGTGTGTGGGAATCCCCCCAAGAGGCACAAGGGAGAAAAGAACAAAGGATATTTCAATTAAAAGGAATAAAACTAGCTCATGTTTCTTGGAAGAATTCTTTGCTCTTGGGAAGTAGATAGGGTTGCAGTAAATCACGATGAATCAATCACAAGTATTTCTCTCCCTTTTCCCCAAAATCCTACCAAAATGACCAAAAAACAATAAAAATAGGTTATAACCCACAATGACAAAGAGAATTGGAAAAAAGACCACGGTAGAGAAGAGACGTCAAACTCTTTTCAAGATGAAAAGTAAACAGAGGATTGGTAACTAACTTGGCAGAGCTGAGGAAGAGAAGCTGAACCCTAAATGTCCCTGTCAGTGGGGAGAGGGCACTCAGAGTCCAGTCGATTTGGCCCACAAAATTCCTGGGAGACTAAGTGACTGCAGACTCCAGGTGCCAATAAAGGCAGGAATATGGTGTGGCACTGAAAACACGGATTGTTTGAAAGCCTTTAGAAAGCGGTGTCCGGGCGTGGTGGCTCACGCCTGTAATCCCAGCATTTTGGGAGGCCGAGGTGGGCGGATCACGAGGTCAGGAGATCGAGACCATCCTGGCTAACACAGTGAAACCCCGTCTCTACTAAAAATACAAAAAATTAGCTGGGCGTGTTGGTGGGCACCTGTAGTCCCAGCTACTCAGGAGGCTGAGGCAGGAGAATGGCGTGAACCCGGGAGGCGGAGCTTGCAGTGAGCCGAGATTGCGCCACTACACTCCGGCCTGGGCGACAGAGCGAGACTCCGTCTCAAAAGAAAAAAAAAAAAAAGAAAGCAAGAGCAACTGAACAGCCAAGTATCTTCCTCCGTACTGTGCTCCTCCCTGTAGAGACCAGAGGCTTGTTCTCCAGAGAAATTCAATGAAAGAAGCTCCAGTTTGGGGAGAGGAGGCAAAATGGAGTGCAGAGGTGAGGGGCGGTCAGGTGCCTTCCTTCCCCTTTTCTATTCCTAGAATACCAGTGGCCATGCGTAAACTCTCCCTTTCCCCATCACAACCTCCCTCCTATCTTTGCAGGAGAAGATAGGATTCTTCTCTCCACACTCTGAATGGTTCCAGAGAAATCTCCAGATTCCAGCTTCTGGGGATTCTCTAATAAAATGAAGGCTCAGGAGTTGACTGGGTAGTGAAATCCACTAATCAACAAACCCCTTCCCCTGACCAAAGCATCCAACATTAAAGACAGAAGCCAAAACAGCAACACAAAAAAAAACAAAAAACAAAAGGAACCAAAGGCAATTCAGGGAACACAGGGAAAGATGTGAGATATGAGGATGTATTACATTCCTGAAAAAAGAACAGAAGACTACAAGAAAGGAATATCTGGATGAAAAACGTGCTCTTGGAATTAAAATTTTTAATATGATAGTAAAAGATGCAGTAGAAGGGCTGGAATATAAACTTAAGGAAATCCCTTAGTAAATGCATCCTAATAAAAAACAAAATCTGGGAGAGAAAATATCCAAATTCGAGAGCTCTAAAATCTTTCTATTTATTATTTATTTATTTATTTTTCATACAGGGTCTTGCTCTGTTGCCCAGGCTGGAGTGCAGTGGTGCAATTATAGCTTACTGTAGCCTCGATCTCCCAGGCTCAAGTGATCCTCCAGCTTCAGCCTACTGGGTAACTGCGACTACAGGTGCGTACCACCATGCCTGGCTAATTTTTTATTTTTATTTTTTGTAGAGACAGGGTCTCACTATGTTGCCAGGCTGGCCGAGAACTCCTGAGCTCAAGTCTCCTGCCTCGGCCTCCCAAAGTGCTGGGATTACAGGTGTGAGCCACCACACCTGGCCTTAAAATCTTAGCAATAGGAGTTCTCATAATAGAGAAGAAATTATTAAATAATTAATAGAAAGTTTCTCAGAACCAAAGGACAGTGACTCCAAACTAGAAAAGCCTATAGGGTGTTAAGCACAATGAATCTATATATAGCTACACATACACACACACACACACACACACATACACACTCTCTCTCTCTCTCTCATCATGAACTTCCAGAATACTAGGAATAAAGAGAAGATCCTAAGAGCATTCCAAAAGAATAAATAGCAATGTAAATCAATATTAAGCTAAATTTTCAGTCACTATAACAGGAAGTTAGCAGACAGTATCTGCAAATGATCAATTATGATATCATGTGCAGTGCACTCAATATGTACATGCTATTTTAAATAGCAGAAGCAGCTAGAAGTGCTGAAAGTGGCTTCTTCTTGTGAATGGGTCTGGGGGGTGGAGAAGAATGTGGCCAGAGACTGCTGTTGTTGAAATAAGCTTTTTAGAATGATTTGATAATTTTTGACTATCAACATATGTCAGTTTGATATGAAGAAAATTTTAAGGAGTGTAAAAAGCAGATGAGAGACTCTGAGACATGATTTTCCAGGTAGTAAACATGTAAAAGTCAGATGTGGAAAGAAAGAAGTGCTACTAGTCAGGAGTATATTCAGGAGGAATGAGTCTCTCAGTTTTCCTCCCTGCTCCAAAATTCTGCCCGTAGCTTCCTGGGCCACTGACATAGGGTGATTTTTCATGCCATCATTTGTTATTATAACATGCACTCTATACACCATGCTTGTTAGATGAGGTTGTAAGGAGAGAATCAGGACATAAGGAAGATCTCCAGTCCTAACAATAGTATAGGTCAGAGGAGGAGGAGGAGGCAGGGGAAGCAGTTCAGAGACAAAGGTCTGAATATTACAGGAGTGAGAACAAATCAATCAGTCAGTGACTAGAGTTACCCCTGAAGGTTATCTCCCCAAGTCCCCCATCACAGAGGCCTCCCTCTGTCTCATGGCTAGAAGCATCATTTACCAAATCCTAGCCATCCTTTCAAAATAATCTGGAAAAGCCTATGAATCATATAGAAGATAAATCTCCTTATTTCATGGCCATGCTGTGCTTTCCATAAAAAAAAAAAAAGTGGTCCCAATTCTCCACCTGAGTCCCCTGCTTCACTCCTCTCCAAACGACATTGGCTCTTGTTAAAACTCTGATCCATGGTCAAAGGACAAAGATTTGCCACTCTGGAGGAAATTCTTTTCAAAAGGCTTTGAAAAGCAATTCCAAAGAAGAACTTTCTATGGCCACATTGTTGGAATCAGTGTGCAGCCTTCCAGGGTGACTGCCCTAAAGGGCAGCACTAATTCTGGCTTTTAAGTGTTTCTACGCTTGTTAAAAAGTCAGCCTTCTTACTTTCAAGTCCTAGCTCACAGTGCGAAAGTGTTTTCCTAAAACCTCCATAAATTCTTCTTTCCCTCTGATACTTGCGAATCCACCATTTTCTCCACTACACAAACTCAGAGACATGTTGTGGAAAAAGGGGGAGGGAAGGCAATTCCTCTGGTTCCTTTCTAGATAATACGACCCCTCGAACATGCTTCCTGATGTCATGCTAGGTGGGAGTTCTTAGAACTGAGTCTGATGTGATGTTTGACTGATGTTCATACTCCCCCTCCCCAAAATGATAAATGGCTTGAAAACCACAGAAGCCAAGAAGCCATCCATCTTCTTGCTACGGGGAATAATCCTGAACTGCTCTATTTCCACCCTTGATAGAGGTAAAAGGCTCAGTGGCAGCTGTATTTTGCTGAAGAGGAGCCTTCTTCTCCTCTATTGCAAAGGTCACCTCATCATTTAGGGGAATGGTCTGGAAGGGAGAGAAGACGGTGAAGATCCATTTTTGACTCAGTTGTATTTGGTTTCAGTCCATTACCCAACGAACCCAGGGGTGCATCTTGAAACACCTGGTAAAAGTCGTCAAGGCCAGACACTTGAGAAGAGATGGAGCTCTGGGCCTCTGCGTCAAGTTGCCAACAAGTAATTCTGGTTATCTCTAAATAGTCATGCCTCTAAATTCCAATTCTGACTCCAGCACAGATCTCTGGTGAGGTGGGTCACAGCTGCCAGGTAAGGCCTGTACATAGAGTCGATACTCTGTTTGTCCATATGGTTTGGGATTTAAAAGAAAAATCTTTTCAACTAGAAATCCCCTTATATTTGAAAAGGTAGAAAGCATCTGGGTGGGTGGATGGGTCTGACAAAGAGACAGAGAGAGTGAGAGGAGAGAGCACACAAAGGAGGAAAAAGGGAGAGACAGAGAGACAGAGAGAAGGGGCTTCTCTGTGAAAACTTCATCAGTACACCAAACACTCTGCCACAATAACTACCACATGGCTCAGCCCTTGCCCTTCAGCCTCACTGCCAGGTATTGTTGGGTGAAATCACAGGAGCACTAACCGTGCCTCTGGGAGCAGGGCAGGGGGCAAGGCTGGGTAGACTATAATGAGATGATTTTAAAGCCCTGTTAACTTTTTCCATTTTAACTGATATTTCTGGATGAGGCACCAGCTCTCTTGGGAGGCCAGTTCTAAGGCATTCCATGGAACCCAAAGCCAACTATAAAAGTCTAGCTCAGGACAGAGCTGCTGGGGAAAGAGTTGCACTTGAATCTCTAGTTATTCCAAGTCTAGATTCAGAAGGCCACAATTAGGGGAGAAGGCTGCCTCTTTCCTTCCCAGTCCCATGAAGAATACAGAATGGAATGGCTTCAGAATTCCCTCTACCTCTTATGGTCTAACAATCAGAATTTTTTGCTTATTATTACAGAGGAATATGAATATCCAAATGAAGGCTCAGAGGGGTTGAGTAAATGCCCAAGAATCGCATGGTCAGGAAACAGTAGAGTTGACCTGCAGAGGCAGGAGCAGCTCTGGTGGACACCGAGCCCATGTTTTTCTACCCCATGTCCAGTGCGTTAGCACAGGACAAGTCTTTGAGGCTGCAAAAATGAACGAGATCTAGTCCCTACCCTCAGGAGCTCAGATAGAGGCAAAGGTTTAGAGTATCTTAGGCAGTTGTAGTTCTACTTCCATTAGAGGCTCATCTTGGCCTGGAGCACAGTCTTTCAGTGAGAGACTCTCAGAGTTTATACTTATGAAATGAGGAATAATGCCTACTGCCAATTAAAATGTACCTTTTAATATGCTCAAAAATTTACAAAATATTCTAAGGCCCTTAGCACTACATCAATACAAAGTATCACTCCTATTATTAATGGATAATCGCTACCACTATATAGAACATTTAAGTCTGATGCTCTGTGCATTAATGAAATGAATTTGCTTGGTAAGTAAGGTGACCTTATACCAGCTCCCACAGCACAAACTGACAGGGGCTGAGGTAACCAGGTACAAAAAGGTTTTGAAGTCCTGATTCCAGTTTGAGTTATGTTAACATAATAAGGAAAAGATCAAGCTGAATTATAAGAAAAATGGGAATGGAGTAGAAGGAAAATCCTGGTACCAAAATATAGGGTTAGGAGAAATACATGGGTAACAATTACTGGGTGAAAGAAAGCATCCAACCCTTTAGCCATATTGTTTTTCATCTCCTGATCTGAATTTACACAGCAGGGTTACACGGCTGCTCAGCAGCTGCCCAGCTCCATTCCAAGGCAGGTAAAACTATTCCTGGGCAAGAGCATGCATTGAACAAAATCAACAAGCTCCATGCCTGCCTCCCACGGGAGACTGTAGACGTCAGAGGGGGCTCTGGCTTAGCGTGCCATAAGGAGGGCTGTGCAGAAAGAGACTCTGGTCAGGGCTCTGTAAAGCCCTGTGGAGTCTGTGGGGAACAATAAGAATGCAGAATATAAATGTAAGCTGCAGGCTGATGGGCCCATTAGGAATTAGGGCAGTCTTTGAAAGGAATCTGCAGAGATGATGCAAAACACTAAGCATGTGACCCAAATCATGGCAGGGCATATTGGAGGGAGAGGGGAATGGGAATGAGACATTTTCTAATCTGATTAGTCTGAAGTTTCCCCTGAGTGTGGAGAAGGGTCACTGCACAATTAGAGGCAAAGTTAGACTGAACATGGTCTGCTTAGCAGCTGAGCGGGATGACCTCCTCAAAGCTAAGCTGGGCTTGGAGACAGATGTGTTCAGAGACTGAGATGACTTCGAAGCAAGTTCTGAAACAATCTTTTTGCATTTAATGTCAAATCGTAAAGGCAAAGACAAAACAGTCTGCTGAGAGAATGAGAGGATGATGACTTGGTGGCCTCAGCACTGGATAAGAAACATGTAGGTCCTCCAGAGGCCAGGCTCCCACATTACTGGACTTTCCAGGACAACTCATCCTTAAGACCATCAAAAGATAATCTAATAAACATCCACAGCTTCCTGACTAGAAGACAGCTTAATGTGTGAAAGGCATTCAGATCCAATTGTTGAAAAACATGGCTTCCTCTACATAGAAAGACACAGGTTTCTTCCAGTTCATTTCTAAGTCTGAGTGTGTGGTCTATGGTCCCTGACTTAAATTTCTCTCCTAGTCCTCAATCAATTCTTTGCACCAGGTACTGTGCTGGGTACTTTATGTATGTTATCTCAATTAATCCTCTGAACCACTAGGAAATAGGTACTGTTACGTCATTCGAGAGATAAGGAATCTGAGGTTCAGGCAGGTCAAAACCCTTGCACAAGATCACACAGCTAATAAGTGGACTCAAAGAATTTAAGAGATGGGAGTGGAGGAGGGGGGTAAAATTGTCAGGATGTGACAACCCATTGGTTATTTATAGGTGGTAAATCACACAGAAGCAGTGTCTGCATCTGAATGAATCGAAGTTCAAGTCACAACTCTTCATTCCAAGGTAAGGGATAAAGAGACACATAAATAGCACTGTGAGAATTCTGAGCAGGAGATAATCACTCTGATTATCAGCCAAACGAATGCAACAGAGCTTCATGGATATGGTGCCACTTGAAATGGGTCTTGAAGGAAGAGCAAGCTTTCAGCAAGTGAAAACCATTGGGAGCTATTGCCTACTGATGAAATAGCAAGGGAAAAGGCCAAAAAAAAAAGGGGGGGGGAGGGGGAAGGCAGGAGGTATATGTGTAATATGCTAAACGGCCCATGTGGCTGGACTACTGGGAACAGGAAGGGGAGTTTTGGGAGTGGGGGATGATATCTGTGAAGAACTCTGAGTCCAAGGCCTGCCTACTTCATCTCAGTTCCTTCACGGCAGGATCCCTCACACGGCTGCTAGCAAATAAAAGCAAATAGAGTTAAACAAAAACAAAATCAAAACAAAACAAATAGAACTGATAATCTAGAAAATTATTCCAGGTTGATTCAATGCACATACACATCCAACTAGATTTGCCCTCTTCTGGGTTTCCCTCCTGATACCTTGGACCCTAGTTCCCTGACATAGAATTTGGCTTTATCTGTTCCTTTGGTTTCTCCTTTTGTCTCAAACAAGGACTCCCTACTTCAGACCCTATTTGAGAACAATGCTCCAGCTGCGAACCCTAAGCCCCACTATGGAGAAGGAGCTTAATTCAAAGTTAAAGAGCTGGTCCTTCCTTAGAGAGCAAAGAGACACCACAGAAGGTTTGTGAGTAAAAGTGCAATAAGATGACATACATTTTTGCTCTTAGAAGGTACTTAGCTGCTATATGTAAAGATGGATTTAAACATTTAGACACTGGTGGATGAAAGACCAATGTGGTGGCACCGCAGTATTTAAGAAGCAATGTGGGTCAGAACAAGAATGATGATAGTGGAAATGGAGAGGAGAGAGTAGAAGCAAGCAGTAAGGAGGAGGTAGAACTGTCAAGACATCCTAATCTACTGGCTATTTGTAGACAGTAACTCAAAATGATTAGAAGCAGAGGATGTGCATTTGAAAAGTTCAGGATTCAAATCAGAGCTCTTCTTCTTCTACACTATGTGACTTTGGGCAAAATACCTCATCTCTCTAAACCTCAGCATCCTTACGTATGAGATAAGAAGGATAACAGTTTCGACCTCACCAAGCTGTTCTCAAAAAGTAAATGAGATAATATATCCAAAACAATGATCACAATGCCTAGAACACAGCTGAAAATGTCAGAATTATCAAGATATATAAGTCAGAGGAGGAGCTAGAGTGAGTGATGCTATAGGAAGCATAAGAGATGGCCAGAGTCTAGGTGGCTGAGAGGGACATGCCAGGAAATCAAAAGTCAGGTTCAACAGGAGAACTGATGTGTTTTAGAAAGCAGTTCACCATGCTCTCATTTTATAGCATCATAATCTCTATGTTTTACATCTGGTGCTCTATCAGGACAGAGCCCCATGCTAATAACCCTAGGTTCTCTTACTGCATGTCTATAGCTATCAGGAACTGCTGCTTTGAAAAACCTGCCCTGAATTTTACATCTAATGTCCTCCTAACCAACAAAGTTGTGTATTTCATTTTGTCCCAGGAATCTGTGGATCTATAAGTGTGTATTCATGTTAAAAAGATAAAATAATAATTTGTAATAGGCTCTCTAACATTCAAAATCAAGACAAACTTTTCCTTCTGTAACACTTAAATGGAGGCAGGTCACCAATAATATAATCAAAACAGTTAAGGGTAAATCAAGGGTAATTAAAGGGAGATGTAAAACCAGGAATGGTCCCCCAAATAAAACTATGCAGGACAATCCCTATCAAGAGTGGAACTCTAACTTACCTTGACAATAAGGATTCTAGAAGATCATCACTCAAAGGTAATCTGGAGGATTTGCACAGCCTTTTAATGTCTTTGGTGGGTAATACATTTTTTCTGCATTAAAACAACGTAAATGAGCTTTTATATACCTTGTATACCTTTAGTAATAATTACATACTATAGGAAAGAAAATACATTTGTGATGTTTCCTGAGAATGTACACATGGAAGTATGAAAATTGGTATTGGAATTCACAATAAGGAAGAACAGTCACATTTCATTTCATCAACTTTTTCTATTTCAGAGGCCACCAGACTCCATCCTTACAAAGGCTTTTCCTTCAAGATGCAGATTCTTGGTTGGTGACAGTACAGCCTATTAAGGCTACAGCCACAAGTGTTGCTCTAAGTAATTGATCTGCATTCTTGACCACTAGTCAAAAATGGTTCTGATATTTGAAAACATCTCTTAATTTGACAGGCATCTAGAGCCTCCAACACAAGTATGATATGACTTGAGGGTGTTTTTCTGTTCTTTTCCTTGGACCCAAACCTTATCACCTGGAAGCCCCAGCTGGGGCCTCAATATTCACTTCAATTTTTTCAGATGCTAGCAGTTTTCTCTAGAGCAGCCCAAAAGTCATTTTCTCCAGTCTTATGGGGGCAAAGACATTCTTGTCCAATGTTCTCATTCAGCCAACACTTTTCCAGGCATCGGGCAAAATTAGAACCAACAGGAAAGAAAGTTGGCTCTTTTCTTTGCAATGAGAATGTTTATATCTAGAATCAAAGCTTGATGGATCTGGAAGAACCTCAGGCTATCTGGTCAAGCAGCCCCATTGTTCCTAAGAAGTGTTCCTTGAATGAAGGAGGGCCACACTTCTCACTCTGGGGAAGGGGGCAACACCAGGGTGGAAGGCAGGGCCAGGGCCATGCAAAACTCAGGCCACACATCTTCTAGGAAGCTTGGGAAAGCTTAAAGAGTCAAGGAAAAATACCATCTTTATAAAAACTCAAAGAGGATGCATTATGGATTAATAAAAAAAATGATTATTTCTAAGACAAACTATGGGACCTACACAGATATTCAGGGAATGCAGTTGGCCACTTGGGTTCAGACTTCAAGTTTGGGGATAAGGCAAGAAGTCACAAGGAAGAGAGATGGCAGTGGTGTGCAGCAATACGGATTAGAAGCTAGAGCAAGAACTAAGATTTTTCTAATTCCAGATGAAATCAGTAAATTTATATTTCTCCCCACTGTATAAGGTCTGTAAGATGAATGCAAAAAAAACACATTAAGTTGTTTGCATCCAGTTGTATGTAACAATGACTTAATGAAGCTCAACACGCACACAATCAATGTATAAGAAATAGCTTATACTGAACTTCATTATTTTCAAGAAGAAATAATTTCAAAGAAATTCTACAGAATGTTTGCTTGAAAATTCCATTTTCTATTTATTATAAAAGTTACATTTATAAATCCCCATCAGTACTAAAATAATGTAAAAAGACGACATCTCAGAATTAACCCTCCTAACATTTTGATTTACTATGCTTCAGTTGAAAGCTTCTAGAAACAAATGAAAAGAACATGCAAGGGAGAAGCCTATTCTTTCAAAGATACAGGGCCTCCCCTATTCCGTCAACAAGACTAGCCTGGCCAACATGGTGAAACCCTGTCTCTACTAAAAATACAAAAAAAAAAAAAATTAGCTGGGTGCGGTGGTGCGAGCCTGTAGTCCCAACTACTCAGGAGGCTGAGGCAGGAGACTCTCTTGAACCTGGGAGGTGGAGGTTGCAGTGAGCCGAGGTTGCGCCACTGCACTCTAGCCTGGGCGACAGGGCCAGATGCCATATCACACACACACACACACACACACACACACACACACACACAAGCTCTCCATCACTGGGAAATATCTGTACCTAAATACTTCTCCGAAAATGATTTAAGGTGTTTGTGCTAAATAGTAGAGTATGAGTATGATGACACATGTCTATTTTCTTTTTGCACTTTTTGATAAAATAGAAATTCCTTCATTACTCAGGTTCACAGAAATGTAAATGATTAGAATCAATAAAACAAAAGCTTACTTTTCTCGATCTTCATACACACAGGAATAAATGAAAGTGTCGAAATTCTCAAACATATTTTTCTTGAACTTTTCGTGGGCCAGTGCGATTAAGAAATCCATATCTGAACATGTGCCCTCAGGCACACGGTAGTGACGTGCAATGGTTACAAATTCTTGCTCTGCAAGGTTTCCAACAGTCAAAGACATCAATATGTCTCTGTAATAAAAATGGAAAAACATTTATAAACTGATATCTAAGAATACAGTATTTTACATCTCCTTCTATTTAAAAGATCCAAATTCCATTTTACAAAACTTTTACCAACTGTACAGAGGTCATGTGATTTTTTTAACTTAATTTCTCTTCTTAATTTGGGAGCAGCAGGAAGGCACCAATGCCAGAATGGAAAATCATAGGCACTGTAGCTTATAAATAAAATGGCATTTTGCCCAGAGTTAAACACCTACCAAATAACAGCCTGCAACCAGGAAGTAAATTTTTAAAGGCTTTGAATGGTCAAAAAACCTATTACTAAGTACATGACTTTATTCAATGCCTATTAATCTTCCTTACACAAAATAGTAACAGGCTTGGGTTTCTGGTTTCCTGGGACATAAAATTTGTAAGTTAATAAATTAGAAAGGTGTTTTGGGATGGGGAAAGCAATCATGCACATTTCTGTAATAAAAAGTAAAACTGGACACACCCTGGCAGTGAGAAAAAAAAACAAGAGAAAAAAAAATGAAAAGTTAAAAGACCTATGTAAGCGTACAGCTGTCTGCATCTTTAGAAGGCAAATGGTACTGAGATTATTAGGCAGAGCTAAAAAAAAAAAACTAAACAACAACATATCAATGAAGACGACTCAAGGCCTAGCAAATTGGCTGAATTGTTTTCAATGTAACTCTGTATGAAAGCCATAAACTAAGCAGCATACACCAGACAGAATTATATCAAAATGATTAAAATGCAAAATGTTATGGTGGTTACAGGAATAAGCTTCCACTGTCTAGAAAATTTATTTACTGGAAATAATTCAGTTCCCAAGAATCCTGAATAAACAAGGGAATAGAAAATTTTATTTGGCCTTCTGCTAGAAAGAGGTCTTTCAGAATAAATGCTTTCAGTTCTTTTAGGTATTTCTGGACATTATCATCTAATAATTCTAGATTCTCCTAGTCAAGAATTTCCATAGAGTCTAGGAAAGCCCACAGCATTGATGTTGACCTATCTAAAGGAAATTCATTTAATCTACATCTACTTCTCAAGTTTCCTGGGTTGTTTTGTTTTGTTTAAATTTGGTTTTGCTTTTGTATTTTTAATGGGAAATGAATGCAAAATCCAACCAAGATGATCCCAGAATTTCAGCAAGTCAGGTCAGACAATCAATTAGTAATATTGGCAGGAGGCTCGCTATATGGAAAACACTGTAAAAGGCTCTCTGGCATTTGAACTTTTCAGAATCTGTTATCTATTTGCACTGTCCAAGCATATAGATGATCTTTCAAAGCCACAAACTGGTAGGGCCACTTAAATAAACTGAGTAATAGCAATAACCTCTGCCATTTGTTGAGTACTGTGTGCCAGGTCCTGTGCTAGCAGGGACTTCTGGCATCTAGCCTAGGAGGTGGTGCTACTATTATCCCCACTGTACAGATGTGAACTGAGGCACAGAAATGTTAAATAACCTGCCTAATGTCACAAAAGCCAGAATGTGAACCCGTGTAGTCTGGCTCTAAAGCTCATGCTCTTGCCTACTACTCTATCCCTCTTCTGTTGGGACACAGAAGGCGGAGAGAACTGATGGAGTGGGGCTCAGTCAGGAAATGTGCCTAAAGGCAGTGGGGTTTAAGCTGATTTTTTATGGACCTTTATTGCCTTTATTGTCCATCATCTCTGCTTTGAGGGCTATCACTAATCATTATTTAAAAAGTAAGAGAAAATAATTTCAGAAAACCTGAGTCACCAACCATCTCTGACAGAGGGCTAAGTAACCACAAAAGAGCCACTCCAAGGAAAGCCCCTGGCTCCTCTACAACGCTGATCAAGAAACAGTCATGCCATGTGTGTAAAATGGAACACTACATCACCATTAAAAGCATTATGTTTGGGGCCAGGCGTGGTGGCTCACGCTCGTAATCCCGGCACTTAGGGAGGCCAAGATGGGCAGATCGCCTGAGGTCAGGAGTTGAGATCAGCCTGGCACATGGTGAAACCCTATCTCTACTAAAAATACAAAAATTAGCTGGGCATGGTGGCACACACCTGTAATCCCAGGTACTCAGGAGGCTGAGGCACAGGAATCACTTGAACCCAACAGGCAGAGGTTGCGGTAGCTGAGATCATGCCACTGCACTCCAGCCTGGGTGACAGAGTGAGACTCTGTCTCAAATAAATAAATAAATAAATAAAAATAAAAAAGAAGATTATAGAAGAATAAATCTAAAAGTTAAAAAAAAGAAGTTATGATGTCTGGGAGGCTGAGGTAGGATTGCTTCAGCCCAGCAGTTTGAGGCTGCAGTGAGCTATGACCATGCCACTGTACTCCAGTCAGGGCAACATAGTGAGAACCCATCTCTACCAAAAAAAAAAAAAAATAGCTGGGCATGGTGGCATGCACCTATAATCCCAGCTACTTGGGAAGCTGAGGCAGGAAGATCACTTGAAGTTTAGGAGTTTGAGGCTGCAGTGAGCTATGATCATACCACTGCACTCCAGCATGAGTGACAGACAAAGACCCCATCTCTAAAAAAAGAAAAGTATGGTATTGATTGATATTTATTGGTAGGATAGATGTCCATGCTATGTTGATAAATGTAGTATGATCCCAGTGAAAAATCAAGATACAGGTGCACATATGGTCATAGAAATAAGACCAGAAGGATGCATGCCAAAACATCAATAGTATTATCCTGAATGGTTGAGATGTCTTTTAAAAAAAAGTATTTCCATTTTTTCTGAATTTTTGTAATAATCAAATATTATTTTCATTGTCTAAATGAAAAAAAAAAACATTCGAAAGCATTTCCTTTTGAGAGTAGAATATGGCGTGAAGAAGAGAAAGTGGCATGCTCCCAAGGACAAGGAAAAAGAACATGTGGAGCAATAACTAGAAACTTTCCATACACCTTTCACTAAACTTATTATAGCACCACCAGAACATAAAAGTTTATTTTCCTTTTCATTGGATAAACTGAAATTATCCTGGCTTCACTGCAGTTAAAATTTATATCTGCTGGGTTTCTGTATGCTTGGGTTTTAAACAGCTCAGTATTCCGGTTTTACATGACTTTACATGAAAGTTTCAAAGAAGCTGTGCTATATTTGAAACTGCCAACAGCCCTGCAGGGCATCAGGGGCTCCTGGAGCGGCTGCCTGTGTGGCTGCTGTGCCCACATGAGGCAGGTTCCTGCACGAGGGATCTCAATCAGGATGTACAAGCCTCACCTTGCAGACCTCAGATGGCTGTCACCACTCTGCCCCGCATTTGCCACAAGTGTGTTTTTCAGGACTCACCCCCGCCCTGTTAAACTTTAGTAGGATTCACAAAGAATTAAAAATCAAAAGTCACACATTCCATTTTTCATTGTGGTAAAATACACATAGCATAAAATTTGCCATTTGTGACATTTAGTATATTCACAATGTTGTATAACCACCACCTCTATCTAGTTCTGAAACATTTCCATCACCCCAAAGAAAGCTCATACCCATTGAGCAACCACGCCTCTTTCCTCCCTCCTTCCTAACCCTCCTCCCTACCCAGAATCTGCTATCTCTACAGATTTGCCAGCTTCTGGATATTTTATATAAATGGAATTATGTAATATGTATTCTTTTGTGATTGGGTTCTCTCAGCACATTTTCAAGGTTCATCCATGTAGTAGCATGTATCAGGACTTCATCGTTTTTCACGGCTGAATTCTTATTCATTGTACTATCATACTATTGTTCATTATATGAATGTGCCATACTTTGTTTATCCACTCATACATACATGGACATGTGGGTTACTTCCACCTTTGGCTGTTGTGAATAGTGCTGCTATGAAAATCTGTGTACAAGTTTTGTGTAAACACCTGTTTTCAATTCTTTGGGGTATATATACCAAGGAGTGAAACTCCTCAGTCACAGGTAAGTCTGTTTAACCTATTGTGGCACTGCCAAACTGCTTTCTGCACACTCTATTTTTGCTTAGCAGCAGCCACAAAAACATAGGTACAACTTCCATCAAGCATAGCCCTTCCTCACCTAAAATGTCATACTGAACTTGAAATAAGATCTGATAGCAAAATCTGATCTCAGTACTTCTTGACCAATCATTTCAGGGAAATAAAAATGTATTTTAAAAGGCAGTTGTGATTGTATTGATCTTGTGTCCTGTGATTATTATTACTAATCTTGAAGATTTAGATAGCAAGTTACCTTTGCCTTTAGCCAACATTGCACTACATTCCTGGCACTAATATTTTATACAGTATAATACTATAATATCACAGTATTATTTAGTTAATCTTATAAAGGATGCTGCCATGATTTTCTCTTGACTTTAGTAACTAAAGTCATAAGACTCAAAAAAATGCCAAGATGCTCTAGGGTATTGAGAATTCTACGCAGAATTCTGAAACATGAAACGCTAAACAGCTTTATAAGACATAATTCCATTAAAGTCATCCAGTAAAATGGTGAATCAAAATTTCCTTTTAAAGCTCTGAATCTCAGGGTATTTTCTTACTTGTTGAATCATTAAAGTCTAAGCAATGTCTTTCAAATAAACTAAAAAAAAATTAGTTTTAGCATAAACAAGGGCTCAAGAGCCTAAGCCTTCAGACCCTAAGGCATACAACAAAATCTAGTTGAGCCTAAATTAAGCCAAGCAGCAGTTTTGGCGACAATTAGGTAGCACCCTTTCTCATTACTTTCAATTTGATATTCATCAAATAAAATGTGTTTTGCTTCCTGTAATCAGAAGCTGTGCACACCTGCTCATATCCTACCCTCCCTCAGGCTTTCTCTTACACTTGTGGGCCTAAGCTGCCCATACAAAACAGAAACCCTTGCCGTATTGCCACTTATATTCCAGCATGTCATACTGTGGTTTTGTTCATTGTTGAATCTGCAGCTAGAGTATTGCCAGACAGTAGAGGGTGGTAGAGATAGCTGGTAGAATATGTGTCAGAGGAAGGAGAGATGGCAAAATACATCACAGAGAGTCCGACACAAATGTCTGACCAAACAGGTTTTGCTACAGGCCTAACTAGAGTTTAATGCCATGTACAAAGCTCTTCAACTTCACTGGAGAACAAGGCCACCATAGATGGCCACTTCACTTTGGCTTCATACTGCCCACCTCCAGAGGGCACAGTTATAGACTTGTGGTATAAGTGGTTTCTTCCGGAGTTATGCAACATGGTGGCCTCACAAGAGAGACCAAGGAATTCCACAGAAAAGGAGAAAAAAGGGGTCACTGTAGACTATCAGAAAACTACTCCAGCTGAGGTCACAAGCTTGTTTTCAATTGGGAGGCAGTCTGGAAAAAGTGTGAGCTTTCAAATTACATTGACTTGTATTAAAATTCTAGTCCCACTAATTCACCAGTAAATGGGAACTGTGGTAAACTACTCAACTTCTCTGAATCTGAGTTCCTTATCTGTGAAATGGGACAAGACCACTTGTGAAATAGAATTTTATTTTCCTATAGAAGCCAGGATGATATGTTAAAACAGAAGTCAGATCATGTTCTTTGCCTGTTCAAAACCCTGTGAGGGCTTGCCATCTCTCTCAAAGTAGAACTCAAAAGCCTCATGATGGCTTACAAGGCCTGACATGATCTGGCCCCTCCTCTGCTGTCGCTAGGAATTCATCCTCTACAACCCTTCCCATCTTTCCCTCTACACCTGCCTAAAACAAGCCAGGCACATTTCAACTTCAGAGCCTTTGTACTTGCTGTTCTCTCTACCTAGAATGGAATGTTCTTCCCCAAGACAGTCACATAGGCTGTTCCTTCACCTCCTGTAGGGCATCTTATCTTGTTAGATGTCAGCTTCTCTGTGAGGCCTTCTCTGGCCAACCTTCTTAAAAGTGTGACCTCTGGCCGGGCGTGGTGGCTCACACTTGTAATCCCAGCACTTTGGGAGGCTGAGGCCGGCAGATCACCTGAGGTCAGGGGTTCGAGATCAGCCTGGCCAACATGGCAAAACCCCGTCTCTACTAAAAATACAAAAATTAGTCGGGCATGGTGGCGCACGCCTGTAGTCCCAGCTACTTGGGAGACTGAGGCAGAAGAATCGCTTGAACCTGGAAGGCAGAGGTTGCAGTGAGCTGAGATTGCGCCATTGCACTCCAGCCTGGGCAATAAGAGCAAAATTCCATCTCAAAAAAAAAAAAAAAAAAAAAGTGTGACCCCTTCCTCTACAACTCTGGCACTTCTTAACCCTTTTCCTGCTTTCTTTTCCTCAGTGTCATTCATCACACTCTAACGGTATATAATTACTTATTTTGAAGATAGTCTTTATCTCCCTCCCACCCCCACTGGAGTGTAAGATCCACAGAGAGTAGTGGTTTTTGTCTATTTTGTTCATTGTTGAATCTGTGACACCTTAAGTAGCCCCTGGCACATAGTAAGCTCTCTATAACAAGTAGTCTGATGAATAAATGAAAAATGAGGATTAAGTTAGCAAGATATAAAAAGCATTCAGCATAGTACCTTGAACTATGAATGCTCAATAAATAATAGCAATTTTTACTATTTTCACCATCTCACAATGGAGATAATTTCAAGTTGTATTAAACTGAAAGCACTACTTCTCTTAAGTAAGTTTACCTTGGAGAAATGTGAAATGCTTTTGATGACTCTGAAACCTTAGAATCTATCTGCAGGATATAAAATGAAAATGGCATGCTTGTTTTAAACAGTCATATTCAGGAGTAAGTCTAAAGTGCTAAAGAAATAAACTCCAGGTGTGCCTTCTTTTATACAATGAATAGATCTGAAATGCTCCATAAATACTTAATTTTTAGAAATTGAATTAGATGCCCTCTTTCACTCTCTATTACATATAAAGATATGCTATCTTTATCTTGGTCATTTTAAATTGGCAGTGGCATCTAACATCATAGCTTTAAATTCCTCTAATTTCTGTCAAGTTCTTAATGACAAGCAAGGACACTGAACCCTGAAATAAATAATAAGTCTTTTTTTTTTTAAGAGGCAGGGTCTCACTCTGCACCCAGGCTGGAGTGCAGTGGTGTGATCATGGCTCACTGCAACCACGAACTCCTGAGCTCAAGCGATCCTCCCACCTTAGCCTCCCAAGTAGCTAGCTCCACAGGTGTGCACTACCACGCTTGGCTAATTTTTAAACTTTCTTGTAGAGATGGGGTCTTGCTATGTTGCCCAGGTTGGTCTCCTAGGCTCAAGTGATCCTCTCACTTTGGCCTCCCAAAGTGCTGGGGTTACAGGTGTGAGCCACTGTGCCTGGTTTAAAGAAATCCTTTTGAAACTAAATAATATTTACATACTATAAATAATAACAGCCAAATTCATCTGCCTTGTAAATTGATTTTTGGATATATTTTCTCAAAAAGAAGTACATCTGCAGTGAAAATCATTGACCCTGTTGTCTTATTCCAAATAAATATAAGCAGCTTCATGTTTTCTCTGTATTACTGTTGTATGTAATCTTCATTTCATATCAACTATAATACTATGGTTTTTCCTGTTTTGACATGTAGTGGAATGTACATGGTAATTTTAATTTATTTAGTTTGAAATTCAGTATGTCTTGGTGCACTAGACTTCAGGCCTGTTTAAGTGTAGCCAAACAAAATGAGATATTTTCATGCAGTTAAGAGTAATTGCTGTATACCATTAACAGTCTATTCTTCATAGAAGTATAATTTTAGAAATCCTTTAAAATGTTCATCTATAATTCTTCCATGATTTGGTACAATATGCATTTAAACAAGCTAAAGCAACAGTGGGTTTTTTAGTTTTGTTTTTTAAATTGTGTCAACATTTTTGGTAACTGGTAACAGCAAATGAAGTCTCAATACTGGTGCTTAACTTGCAAGGTAAGCAGAAGGAGTGAATATTCATTTCATTTACAAGCAGAGTTCTTCGTTTTCTACCACTGCCTTTGCATTAACACCCACTTTATGTTCAGGGATTATTTGTCTCCAAGCAAATCCCACCTGTTTGGCTTTTTGTTTTTAACTGTCTCTCACTTGGTTCCCGATGGTTTAGAGGCCTACAAGACCATGGTGAGCTCTGTGACAATCAGGGGGCCTTACATGATGAAGGGTGCCTCCAAATAAACCCACAGGTACTTATTGATCACACAACGGTTGAATACAAAACACAGTCTGTGCCATATTGGTGCTTGTAATCAATTTAGTAATTCAAGACTTACTCATATCAAATAATTATCAGTAATATAATCAGATTCTTAAATCTTTTTGAACACACACTTTAAAATATAAAATTTGGTCCAGGCACAGAGTTTCTTGCCTGTAATTCTAGCAACTTGGGAGGCCAAGGTGGGAGGGTGACTTGAAGCCAAGAGTTCAAGGCCAACCTGGGAAACCTAATGAGACTCCATCTCTACCAAAACGTTAAAAAATTAACCAGGCATGGTAGCACATGCCTGTAATCCCAGCTACTCGGGAGGCTGAGGTAGGAGGATCATTTGAGCCAAGGAGGTCAAAGTTGTAGTGAGCTATGATCGTTCTGCTGTATGCCAGCCTGGGTGACAGAACAAGACCATGTCTCAAAGGAAAACAAAATGGTATATATATATATATATGGGCTTTACTCCATTATAAAAGTAATACATTTCCAATTATAGAGATTTTGGATAATATGCAAAAGCAAGGAAAAAAAAGAAAAGAAAAACCATACACACCCCTGCCACCGAAATATAACCAAGTAAACATCCTGGTACACTCCTCTGCAGTCTCTTTACTATGCATGGGCATTTGTCTTTTTCTTAATAGGTGTGAACATATTTTCATCTTTTTCACTTAACTAATACATTTCCATGTTATTACAGACTATTCTGAAACCAAAATGCTAAACCATACTTCTGTTACTAGATATTACACATTTTTTTTCCAAATTTTTATATAAATAATGCCATAATGAGCATCTATATGCATAAACATTTGTCTGTATTTACAATTATTCCCTTCGGATGGTGTTCCAGAAGTACAATTAGTGAGGCAAAACAAAGGAACATTTGACCAGCTTAGGCAACATAGCAAGACCCCGTCTCTACAGACATTTTTAAAAATTAGCTCGACATTGTGGTGTGTGCCTGCAGTCCCAGCTACTTGGGAGGCTGAGAGGCAGGAGAATCGCTTGAGTCCAGGAGTTTGAGGCTTCAGTGAGTTATGATAGTACCACTGCACTCCAGCCTGGGTGACAGAGTGAGAAAGTGTCTCAAAAATGAAAAGTAAAATAAAAATTTAAAAGAAACTAACACTTAAAAAGGTCTTGACACATAGTACTAAGCTGCTTTTACCCTTCCATCAGCAATGAGTAAGAGCCCACAGCAATGGAATATCCTTTCAAAAAGTGTTTCCTGTCAAACATGGAGACAGAAGTAAAAGAAAAAAAAAAGTGTTTTTTTTTTTTCTTTCTTTAACAGAGTCTCGCTCTGTCACCCAGGCTGGAGTGGAGTGGTGCAATCTCAGCTCACTGCAACCTCTGCCTCCTGGGATCAAGTGATCCTCCCACCTCAGCCTCCCGAGTATCTGGGGACTGCAGGTATGTGAGGTATGTGCCACCACGCCCAGCAATTTTTTTTTTTTTTGGTAGAGACGGGGTTGGCTTTTTGTTTTGCCCAGGCTGGTTTCAAACTCCTGGGCTCAAGCCATCTGCCTGCCTCAGCCTCCCCAAAGCTGGGATTATAGGCATGAACCACCACGCCTGGCCATAAAAAGTGTTTCCTAATTCAACAAGTAAAAATGATGTCTCATTTTAATCAATAATAATTTGATTACTAATAAACTTCAACATCTCTTCCCCTTATTTGTTAAGAAATATTTCTTCTATTGTGTTCTGTCTGCACACATCCCTTGTCCATGAATCCATTCATTCATTCATTCAATAAACACTGATTAAATATTAACTTTATGTCAAATGATGGAGAATAATAGAGGAATGGACCAGATTTGACCCCCAACCCTCAATATCTACATCCTAGAATTAATCACAGACTAGAGGGAAAGCCAAGTCAAGGAAGCAGAAAAAGTGCTACAATAAAGATATGTCCAAAAGCTCCGAGAAAGTACCCCTCATCCAGTCTGACATGTGTATACATATAGCGAGAAATCCAGGAAAGCTTCACAGCAGAGGTGGTAGCAGAGCAGATCTTGAAGATGAAAGGCAATCTGCCAACCAGAGAAGTGGGAGCTGAGTAAGGGAAGGAGGCTGAGAGGAATGGGAGAAAGAATCATATCCTCAAAGATTCAAAGAGGGCAAGAAGAGCCAGGTGCAGTGGATCGCACCTGTAATCCCAGCACTTTGGGATGCTGAGGCAGGTGGATCACTTGAGGTCAGGAGTTTGAGACTAGCCTGGCCAACATGGTGAAACCCCATCTCTACTAAAAATAAAAAAAAATTAGCCGGGCATGATGGTGCACACCTGTAGTCCCAGATACTTCGGAGGCTGAGGCAGGAGAATTGCTTGAACCCGGGAGGCGGAGGTTGCAGTAAGCTGAGATTGTGTCACTGCACTCCAGCCTGGGCGACAACGAAGCAAGACTCTATCTCAAAAAAAAAAAAAAAAAAAAAGAGGGCAAGAAGATGGTATAATACATCTGAGAAGCTGTACAAAGTGTTAATAACAGGCACAGACATTATCAAGAGCTCAGGGTATGTCAAACATTGATCTGCTTCACACACATAGACTCATTTAACCCTCATGACAATCCTTTCAGTAGGAACTTGGTTCCCATTTTACTGATGAGGAACTAAGGCCCAGAGAGCTTTAACAGATTGCCCAAGGGCACAGTACTATTAATAGTAAGTGGTGGAGCCAAGAATTGAACCACAATGTTCAGGATTCATAGAATGATTAGAATATAGTGAAAACAAAGCAAGAGATAAATTAGAGAGCTGGCAGGCGGGGCCCACTCATGAGAGATGCATGTGTACGCCATGTAGGATACCCAGGTTTTCTTCTTTTGGTGAACGGAATCTCTTGAAGGGTGTTGAGCAAGACAGCAATATGAGCAGAGAGTTAGAAGCCCCACCACTCAGGAAGCAATGCAGAGGTAGGCACGGGAGTGCATCTGAGATGAAGAGAATGGGCTGAGGTTGCAGCTCAGAGGCATAAACTAGAATTGAATGTGCTGGGCCTCGGATGGACTCTAAGCCTCTTGTTGAGTGTTAGGGAGACAGGGCCATCATGGAAGCCAGCTTTGGACAGCAGGAGGGACACCTTTTCTACCGAGATGAAAAAGGAATGGCAAGTTGTGGATGTGGGGGCATGGGTGTGGTTTACATCTCAGGATCTCTATATGCTCTATTAACCTGGAGATGAGGTTTTCTGTTATAAATTGGAGGAAAATGGTGAAGTTAGGAGCTTAAGAGTGAGAAAGTCTGAAATATCCATTGTGGAGAGTGGAAACAGGTACAACTAGGCCTTGATTCCCTCCTTAACTGCTTCTTCATCCTCAGCTACTCACTGATCCATCAGTTGTCCAGTTTGTCATCTGTGACTTTGATTTCTATTGGCCCTTTCCTTTTGGACCTTATTGGTCCTTTCCTTTCAGCATATAGAATGTTCATGTCTCTCTCAACTTAAAACAACAGCAAAACCCAGCCCATGACCTTCTGCCCGGTAAAGTCATCCTGGTAGTGTCCACCAGCCTGGCAGAACCTGTCTTCCACAGCAGCCTGGTGACAACAAGAAGCCACAGCAGCAGTGTTTGGCAGTGGTCTGGCCCTCTCCAGACAAAATAAGCATCCCTGGGGTTCCTGGACAATGAAGGGCAAAGGAAAAGAGAACAGGTCTCAAGAATATACTGACAAATCTCCAAGAGGAATTCAAGATAATATGGCAAATGGGAATTAAATGAGAAAGTAAAAGAGAGGTGACCATATGCCAATCTGGAGCAGGTGGAATGTGTCATGATGGTTCAAGGGCAATCAAGAGTTCACATTTATGGTGAGGATTTCTCTTGATTTTTTTTCCTCCTGTCATCTTATTTTGTGTTTTCAGTTTTTCATGTATTGTTACCATTACCTTATATTGATTGCTTCTTGTCTTTTGCAATACATCCTAAATATAGCAGGTTCTTGAATAACATCACCTCGTTCAACATCATTTTATGATAATGTTGATGGGGAAAAAAAAATGGCTCCAGGCTGGAGCCACTGTCTGCATGAAGTTTGTACTTTCTCTCCATGTCTGCGTGGGTTTTCTCTGGTTTCTTCTCACATCCCAAAGCTGTGCACATGAGGTGAGCTGGCATGTCTATATGGTCCCAGTGTGACTGAGTGTGGATGTGTGAGTGCACCCTGCGATGGGATGGTGTCCTGTCCAGGGCTGGTTCCCACCTTGTACCCTGAGCTGCTGGGACAGGCTCCAGCCACCCATGACCTTGAACTGGAATAAGCACATTGGAAAATGAATGAACAAATGAATACAAATTAGGATAAAATAAAAACTCATCAAGTCTATGACAATAAAGGACATGGGACAAAAGCGCTCAGCAAGCCTGCTCTACTTGTGATTTTTTGGTTTTGAACTGCAAGGTGGGAAAAGATGCTCCTTACAATGTTCGCTCTGCAAACATTTATTCCCTGATTTAACCCATCACTACCATGGCCACTGCCACTCACTGATTCACCAAAATTGGGTAAATCATTGTCTTGTTTTTATTAATTTTTTTTTTTGAGACAGAGTTTTACTCTTGTTGCCCAGGCTGGAGTGCAATGGTGTGATCTCAGCTCACTGTAACCTCCGCCTCCCGGGTTTAAGCGATTCTCCTGCCTCAGTCTCCCGAGTAGCTGGAATTACAGGCGCCCGCCACCACACCCAGCTAATTTTTTGTATTTTTCGTAGAGATGGGGTTTCACCATGTTGGCCAGGCTGGTCTCGAACTCCTGACCTTAGGTGATCCACCTGCTTCGGCCTCCCAACATGCTGGGATTACAGGCATGAGTCACTGCACCCAGTCTGTTCATCTTTCTTAAATGTATGTATAACTCCCATTTATTTCAATGCTTGATATTATAAGTGTTTGGGTCTTTATTTAGAAGTTTGGTGATTTTTTTGTGAACAGAAATATGCTATAGGAACTTAACTTTCGTTTATCTCAATTAGCCTAAGGGAAAATTGGTTTCATTATATGTCATTCACCTAAAGTCAGTTTCTGAGAACCTATTGACAGCATTAAGGATTTACCATATTTGGTTTGCTCTTAGGTTCTGCAATTCCATTTAGAATCTTATTCTTGATTAACTTGAAATTGCCCTAAAATATCTTAAACCTATATATACCTAATTATCAAAGAAATGGATGAAATATGATTTCACATTCAGATAAAATATGAGGAATTTTGCCCTTAGTCTCCTTATACTCTCTTTCTGAGTTTCGGTTATTTTATCTGTGGCATAACCCATTTCATCTACCTTTTTAATTTTTCTAATCATGTCATTCACCTCTTTGAAACAATGTTTTCACTTTGAATTCACATATGTAAGTGTGTGTGTGTGTGTGTGTGTGTGTGTGTGTGTATAAAACCTGTTTTAATGTCCAATGCTGCTCCAATTTTTAAAGATATGATGTCCTCCTGAGTTCTTAATTTTGATTTTTTCATCATATTCTGGATTAAGTTATTAAGGTAATATATTACTTTGAGCAATTTACTAAAGAAACTAGATATTTTTTGTTTTCTTAAAGGTTTAAAAAACATTTCTATTGTTCCATGCATAAAAAACAACTTGTTTACCCTCAAAGCACTGAAGATTTAACCACTGCCTCTGTGTATTGCCTGAGGTCATATCTTTTTGGGTTTTAGGGCATTGGTTCTGCTGGTGATGGTGGTATTTTTAAGCGTTGTTTTGGATAAGTTTGCTTTGATTCTTATAAGAGTCTTCTATGTGACCTTTCACATTTTTACCAAGGTATATTTAATGATCTCTTTTCGTATATTTTACAGGGATCAGAGTGAATTCTCTCAATTTACAAATACTTTACTTAGCTTAGAAAATGATTTTTTTAAACGATCTTTGATTATCACTTTAGCTACATTTATTTAGTTCTCTCTCTACCTTCGTTTCTGCTCTCTTCTTTGTCATTGTTTCAATCCCTCTCTAATTTTGCTCTCTTGGTGGTATTTCTAAAGATAGTTCTCTGGTTTATTACCAAGTTTCTGCAGTGTCCAGTTTTCTATTAGTGCCTCTAATTTTTAATTCAGAAAATGTGTTTTGTAAGTTCTAACACATCTTTCTTTATTCTTCTCTGCTTGCTTCTCAAAATGGCTTGCTCCTGCTGAGACTCTGATATATTTTGTTGTGACCATAATGAAAATTCTAAGGCCCCCCAACCATCTGAATGGACCCCTCCTCTCAACCAAGGGCATTCCAAAGTTAACCTGAAAAACTAGTTCAAGCCATGATGGGAAGTGGGAGCCAGACATGCTTCATTATACCCTCCTCCCTTGTGGAATTACTGATAGAACAGACTTTTTAAGTCCATTAGAAACATGTACAATCTATTCTCTCTGAAGCCTGTTACCTGGAGGCTTCATCTGCATAGTAAAACCTTGGTCTTCACAACCCCTTATAATGACACAGACAATCCTTTCTATTGGTAATAACTCTTTCAACCCATTGCTAATCAGAACATCTTTAAATCTACCTATGACCCGAAAGCCTGCCCCACCCCCGACCCCTTCAAATTGTCCCACCTTCCTGGACCAAACCAATGTACATCTTACATATATTTATTGAAGTCTGAAGTCCCCCTAAAATACATAAACCAAGCTGTGCCCTGATCTACGTTGGGCACATGTCTCGGGACCTCCTCAGGCTCTGTCATGGGCATGTCCCTAACCCTGGCAAAATAAACTTTCTAAATTGATTGAGACCTTTCTCAGATACTTTTGATTTACAATAACGTAACTAGTTTCCTACAACAAACAAACAAAAACTAACTTTTCACACAATAAAACTAACTTTTCAGAATCTGTATGGATTCTCCTGTACTGCGTGGTTTAGTTTTTCTCTGCTCATGCAACTTTACAAAGAGGTCTCTAGAACAGTCCTGGGCATTGGTGTGTGGCTATGGTTCACAAATTCCACAGGCTCTGTCACAGATGGCATGCATGTGTATGTGTCCGTGTGTGTAGACAGAGGGAGAGTGGTCAAGGAAAGGAGGGACCTAGTTGTATCCATTCTAAATAAATGTGCCAAATCACTATGAAAAGAGGGCACATTTATTTAGGGAAGGAGGGTGGGAGGGAGGAAGAAAGACCAGCTTTTGATTTAGAGACCAAGAAGCCAAATTTGGGATAGGTGTTTGGTAGGAAAAGAAGAGGATGAGGGGCAGAGTAAAAGCTGGGAGCCTTGTGCCAATACCCCAACCACTGACAAAGGAATTCCAAGAGAGGCTCTCCATGCAGTGTTCCAGAGTTGTGTAGTTCACAACCAGCACAACCCTTAGCAGTGGCTCTTCCCTGGGACCACTGACTCACATGGAAGCCCCAGGGTAGACTTTTGGGCTTGTGCTCAATTGACAAATAGTCATTAAGGCAACTAGGTCTCTCATGCCAGGAAATAAATCAAAAAGGCAGAAATATAAGTCCATCAATGAATAAAATGATTTACTTCCTTCCCAGAATATGAAGTAGGAGAATTTCTTACATTTTATTGTTGTGGCTTATTTTTTTTATTTGTTTTGGGTCTTCTATGAAGAATTCTGAGCTTGGGAGAGGGTAGTACTGGGCTGAGAATCAAATCTGAATTAGAAGTCATAGACACGATCTAGGCAAGTTACCCGGCTACGTTTTGACAGTGGCTGGAATTTTGAAACTTTACAATGTCAGTAAGAAATCATTTTCAATCCAGATAATGTAATGAGAACTTGTTCTTGGCTCCTTGTTTTAAACATTCTGTGCTTAAATTCTATGTAATGGATCCCAGCATGTAACCACAGAACATCAGTACCAAATATAGCAGTTTTCAAAGTAATGGAAGAAATCCATATGCTGATAGCTTCATCTCTAAAACTTAGGTGGCTCTAAATCAAAAAATAAAGTAAATATGCTCACCTAGTAAGTGTTTCACATTTCTACTTATAAAATATAAGGGAAAATGAGCACGAATTAATTAAGATCAAACAAAATGGGGGAGCTGGTTGTCAGTTATAACCCTAACTTCCCTGCCACTTCAGGGGCCCAGCCATATTCCAGCTTAGGGAGGGAGTGTGCAACTCTAGCAGGCGCTGGCACAAAGTTCTACCCAGGTTACAGAATGGTGACTCGCAGGGTCCAATTTGTACTGAGCTCATTTGTCGCAATGGTAACTAGCCACAACCAGAGCCACTTCATGCCCAAGCCTCCTGCAGCAGAGAATTAAACCTGCATGGTGGCAGCAGATACAACCAGTGCAGGGGCCTCTGTGCCTCAAGGGGCAGTGAGCTTTTCTCAAAGTCATTTCCATTCCCTCTGTGGGATACTGCATCATTGCCTTCAATACTTCCCTCTCACTATCTATGCCCTTTCCTGTGTCGCTTTGCTGTCGCACTCTCTAAAGGGGCACAATTTTCCTGCTCTTTGACAATGGGGTCAGCCACAGGACTTGTTCTGGCCAAGAGAATGACGTGGAAGTCAAAGTGTGCCAGTTCTGCGCCTAGGCCTCAAGAGGTCTTCTTGTTTCCCACTCTGACTGCACTTCTGCCATCGCCATGAGAACGACATACTTGGGTTAGCCCGCTGCTCCTTGAAGGAGAATGACAGACATATGGAACAGAGCCATCCCAGCTGGGCCCAGCTCAGATCAACGAACCCTCAGCCAACCCACGGACCTGTAAGCTAAATAAATGTGTGTGTGTGTGGTTTTTTTTGTTGTTGTTGCTGTTTTGTTTTTTTGTTTTTTTGCGTGACAGATATTTTCAGGTCATTTATTACACATCAAAATTCTGGCAATTGATTATTGATGTACTCTCCTAAGTCCTGCCTTCTTGCACTTTCTTCTCCTTCACACCCCAGTGCTATGAGGCAGCTTCAAACCCCAGTGTTAAGCTGGACCTCAGAAAGTTGGACACCTGGGCTATGGCACATGATGCCTCTGGCAGAATTAATTTGACTGAACAGTATTCTGATGGAATGATATTATTTTCTTCTAGGGAATACTGTCAGAAACAGCCACCTGGACCTTATCCCTGGGTATCCTGGGGCACGCTACTGAGACCACCACTCACCTACCAGAGAGTCCTTTCTGTGAGTGGCCAGTGGAGAAAGTCTTTCTTGCACTCTGCATTAGGATCCCTTTTCCTAAGCAACTTGGCTTATTGTTGCTTTATGTTTTTTGTGTTTTGGGTTTTGTTTTTTGTTTGTTTGCTTGTTTTTTGAGACAGGGTCTCACTCTGTTGTCCAACTTAAGAGTATAGTGGTGTGATCACAGCTCCCTGCAGCCTCGACCTCCCCAGGTTCAGGTGATCCTCCCACCTCAGCCTCCCTAGTAGCAGGGACCACAGGTGTGCACCACCATGTCCAGCTAATTTTTATATTTCTAGTAGAGATGGGGTTTCACCATGTTGCCCAGGTTGGTCAGAAATTCCTGGGCTCAAGTGGTCCACCAGCCTTGGCCTGCCACAGTGCTGAGACTACAGGCATGAGCCACCACACCCAGCTTATAGTTACTTTATGAACACCATGAACGGATCATGGTCTCCTATTTTGCACTGACTTCTAGGAAGCTCAGAGCCAGGCCTGTGGCTGACTGCTAGTAAATGCCTCTAACTTCAGAGCCTGTAAATATACTCTGTATGCCAGCCCCACTCCTGGCTCCCCTGTTCTTTCTTACTTATATTTTTTCTTTTATTTTTAGCATTTGCATATTCATTTTATCCTACAGAACTGTCTACATCTTTCTAGCTTACCTTAAATCCATTTCTGAAACAAGGCAAAATAGATAAATATAAAAATACATACAATAGTGAGAAGAAGAACTGAAGGGGTATTTACTCAGAAAGTGTTTTTTAATCCTACCCCAACTGCCCCCATTCCAAAAGACAGTCTTCCAGAAAAGGCAGAGTCAAGGAAAAAGATTTTAATCACAGCCAAGATCTCAAAGTTGGTGGAGACAGCTGCTGAGCCATCCAGGGGCACATACATGCTTTCTAGACCCAGAGTGTAAGTTCCATGTGGCCAGTGGTAAGAAGAAATGGATGGAACTAATGTCATGGATATTTGCTGGCTTAGTGTTTAGCATATGTTAATTCATCTAACGCCCCCAGTAAGCCATTGAATGATTCTCATTTCACAGATGATGAACCTGAAGCATTAGAGAGGCAGAATGAATTGTCAACCTTAGCTAGTTTGATTCTAAATCATAACTCATGATGAAATTGCTAGACTGCCTGATGCAAATCCCAGCTCTGCAACTTAATATGTAATTCTGGGTACATTCCTTAACCTCTCTGCTTCTTAGTTTCCTCATCTGCAAAATGGGAATAATAATAGTGCCCACTTTGTAGGATTGCTGTGAGGAGTAAATGAGTTAATATGTAGAAAGCATTTAGTGCAACATTTGTCACATGGTAAGCAGCAAGCATATAAATGTTAGCTTTTATGATAATTATTAGTAAGTGGTAGAATGAATCATCCTTCAAGAAAGGTCAAAATAAGTCTAGGAATGCCCTGTCAATATGATCCTATTAAGTGAGTGAAAATTGAATCCAAACAAAAGGCACCACCTTTGTTCGTTCATTCATTCATTCATTCATTCATTCATCCATCTATTCTCCAACTAACATGCATGTGGGAATAAAAAGATATGCTGGGTAGCACCAGCCATAAATAAAATGAGTTCAAAGAGGCAAGGATTACTCTGAGCTGCAGTGGTAAGGAACATCTTAAGAGAAGAAATATAATTTAGTTCATGTCTTCAGGAGCAGGCAGAAGAAACTGGACAGCAAAGGAGAGACCCCTCCAAAATGGTGTGGGAAGAGAGTGACCCAGATTGGCAGCACAGAACCAGCAGTCCAAGGCCACAGATGAGGCTGGCACTCCCAAAAGGCAGCTCATTCACCTCTGAGCCTCTGTCATCCACCATGGGACCCAATACAGAGCACATGCACAATATATGTTTATTGAATGAAGAAAGAATAAACTTACATGATTAAACACTGTACTATGTGGCACGCCTTCCATACCCAGTACTTTGAGTTGCAAAATTTACTTGAATGAAAAGCAGCCTGGCAGGGCCTGCCCTATGGTGGCCCAAGTGCCATTACCCTCCTGCCCTGCGGTATCCTCTCATTTTATATCCTAATTTTTACATCACAATTCTCCCTCTGAGGAACTACAAATTAGCATTTACTTACTGCTCCCATTTTTAAACACAAAATTTGCAATCTAATTAAAGAAGAAATCATGGGTGGCACTAACCAGGTCATTTGTTAGCAACTAAATGGCTATATAGCGGCCTTGCTTTTATTCATAGAAGCTTCATTTAGAAAACAGACCATTAGAACACTGTATTTTGGATGAAACAGTAGTTTCACTGTTAATGATTTCCTCATTTCCACAAGAATATAATCATGGAAAAAGAAATAAAATAAACACAATATAAATATATATGTATATATAAAACCCCAGAAAAAGAGTTGGTCCTTTTTCCACTCTTTAGAAACATAAGAAACACTCTATCTGTTTTGGCACAACATTATATGATTTATTTATTCTAAAATGCCAATAATTTTTTCTAGCGTCCCATAAAATTCAAGGTTATAAGAATGGATGTGCTTCAAAAATAGAAAGAGAGAAGCCTAAGCGTGATTAAGATTTTTAAATAGTGGAACTGATTTTAACTAGGCCTATACGATCACAGCCAAATCCAGTTTAGCATAGGTATTAATAATAAAGTGACATTCCCTAATAATAACGTGTCTAGTCAGTATTTTCCCCAGTGTAATTTTAGAGAGTCTTATGGCATGGGAGAGAGATTGTGCATGGCAAAATGGTAGACTAGGCAGCAATTAAAACTCACACTCCTGGCTGAGCTTGTGAAAACAGAGAGAAATGTCCCCAGGTACCAACGCGAAGAGGTAGCTGACAGCCAGAGAGGAAGATGAACAAGCTAATAGGTGGCAGCAGGATGAGAGGTAGTTGGGGTGGGGAGGAAGTGGGATCAAACCCTTTAGCAGGTAAGAGCTTAGATTTTTTAACACTCACCAGGGCACAAACGACAAGACCTCCAGTCCAGGAGAGTAGCAATTGGGAACTCCTACACATTAAACCTATGCATAAAGCTAGAACTGTAAAAGGCTGCAAGTGAAGTGAAAGAATTAATAAATTCTACCCATTGGACAAGAGAGATGACAATGAGGCTTTTCTCTGCTGAGTCTCTAGGTATAAAAAAAATAAGTTATCTGATAGAAATCAAAGCCAATATTCCACCTAATAAGAATTTGGAGTATAAATTTATTTTGCCCACTTACTATATAAAGCTCTGATACAGTTCACATGTTTGTCCCCTCCAAATCTCACATTGAAAGGTAATCCCCAGCGTTGGAGGTGGGGCCTGGTGGGAGGGATTTGGATCATGGAGGCAGATCCCTCATGAATGGCTCAGCGCCATCCCCTCAGTGATGAGTGAGCTCTCGCTCTGAGATCACATGAGATCTGCTTGTTTAAAAGAAGTTGACACCTCCTTACTCTCTCTCTTGCTCCCTCTTACCATGTAATATGCCAGCTCCCCACTTTGCTTTCTGCCCTGATTGTAAGCTTCCTGAGCTCTCACCAGAGGCAGATGCTAGCACCACACTTCGTGTACAGTCTGAAGATCCATAATCCAAAATTAACATTTTTTCTTTATACATTACCCAGCCTCAGGTATTCCTTTATAACAAAAAAAATTGACTAATCCATGTTCCAAGGCAATTAATTAACATCAAAATTAACATGAAATTAGACCAGTTTATAAGCTAGCCTGGAAAGGTAAAATCAAAATTACTCAAAGAGTTCTATTGCCAGATGCTAAAATTAGCAGGTGAGTTTGAGAAAAAGTAGGGTTTGCATAGTCTCAAAGTGTCTCTTTCAAGGTATTTATTAAATGCAAAAGGAAAGATAGTAACTTTCCAATGGAGAAAGCTGGCAGACATTACCTGAATCAAGTGATCAAGGCCAACATCACCAGTAGTAAGACATACTGACATCATGAACCACTTGATATGATGTTCTAAGAAGGAGACAACATCATTTCTGTGGTATTCTTTCCAAAAGTGTATAATCTCAGTCCAACTATGAGAAAACATCAGACAACTCCAAATTGAACAACATTCTACAAAATAATTGACCACTATTCTTAAAAAGTATCAAGGTCATAAAAGACAAAGAAAGGTTGAGGAACTGTTACAGACCACAGAAGACTAACATGAAACAACTACTAAATGCAATGTGGGATCCTGGATAGGATCCTGGGACAGAAAAATGACAGTGAAAAATTGGTAAAATTCAAATGAAGTTTTTAGTCTGTAGAACTGTCCCAGTGTTAATTGTTTGGGTTTAATAATTACACTGTGGTAAGATGTTAACATAGAAAAAGCTGGGTGAGGGAAATATGGGAACTCTAGTTTGGTAAATTTTCTGTAAGTCTACAATTAGTTCAAAATAAAAGATTTTTTAAAAACTACTCTAAATGGTCAACCCAAGCAACAAAGGAACAATGAAGTGGAGGAAGAAAGTCCAATTTAAGATGAGCTCAGAAAACAAAAGGAAACAATCCACCCTAAGTCAGCAGATATAACAGAAAAATTGGCATTCCATGAATTTGGGACAATAGAACAAAAATCAGTAATGAACCATGAAATTATGATGTTTAAAATTATTAAAGAGATAAAACACAGAGAAGCCATAAGAAAAGAACAAGATGCTACGGAAAAGGATGGAAACATGAAACACAACAATTAAATAGTACTTAAAGAATAAGAAGGCAGAGTCACTGAATCAATGAACTAGATGGGAGATTTAAGGAAAATTCCAGAAATGTAGCAGCACAGAATGAAAAATAAATGAAAAGAATGAAAGATCAAAAGACATGGAGAAAAAAGAGGAGTTTGACAGGATATTAAGAGATAACAAGAACAGGTTGAGAGTTTGAGAAGGAAAACAGGCAAAATGAACAAGAGAAGTTATTTGAAGAGATAATGGCTCAGAATAATTCTCAAACTGAAGAATTATAAATAGTCCCAAGATGCATTGTAATAAAACTGCAGAACACCAAAAACAAAGAAAGACAGCCAGAGGGAATAAAGGCTTATGACTACAAAGGAACAATTATATTAACAAGAGACGTACCAACAATGGAGGCAAAAGACAATAGAGTATCTTCAAAAGATCAAAGGAAAATAGTTAAATCTAGAATTATGTACCCGTTTAAACTTCAAAAGTAAGAGAAAAATACATGCATTGCAGAAATTAAGACTTAATTCCCAGGTTTATGAAGCAAGTCTCATTAAATATCAAAGAATTAAGAAGATGCAGACAATGTTCTCTAACTAAACGTAATAAAAAGAGAAATTAAGAACCAAATGAGAGTAACTTCATACACATATGGAAATGTCAAAACAAACTTTTAAATAACTAATTGGTCAAAAAAGAAATAATACTAGAAAATATTTATATATGGAGGATAATAAACACTAAATACACCACAGCTAAAGTAATACTCAGAAGGCAAATTAAAGCCTTAAGTGCATTTCTTAGAAAAGAAACACTGAAAATCAGTGAAACACATATTCAAGTCAAGAAGTTAGAAAATAAACACAGAAAAAGTACAAAGAACAACATGATAAAAATAAGAATACAAATTGATGAATTAATGAAATAGAAAACAAAGTTTAAAAAGAGGGTTAACAAGTTAAAATTTGGTTGTTTAAAAAAATCTAAAAAACAACTCTAGTAAAATTGATTTTTTGAAAAGGTACAAATCAACAGTAACAGGACTAAAAAGGTTATAAAAAATTTAAAATTAGGTGAAATGGGAAAGTTTCTAGAAGCTACATAATTTTCAAAACCAACTCAAGAAGAAATAGAAATCTGGAATAAAATGTATTAGAGGAAGTGAATCATTAAAAATCTACCCACTGAAAAAAGGAAGGGCCATATGGTTTTACAGACAACTTACACAAAACCTTAAAAAAACTGACAATACCTACATTTTACAAGCTGCTTTAAGAAACAGTGAATGTTCTGAAACTCATCTTATGAAGCAATTATAAAACACACATTTGACATGGACAAAGGTGGTATGAGAAAGAAAAAGTATAGACCTATCTCCTTTATGAATAAAGATGTGAAAATCCTAAAGAAAATATCTGCATCTACCAAAAACTCATAATAAGCTAAGTACTTAGTAAAAATATCTTTTGTAAGGTAAGGAAAAAGACAAGGAGATCTGCTATTACTACTCACATGTTGCATTGTAGGCCCTAGCCAATATAATAAAAATAGAAAAAAAAATCATAAGGATTAGAAAGGAAGAAGCAAATCTGTCATTATTTATAGTTTATATAATATGGTCCAAAATTAAAATCCAAAAGAATCTACAGACTCTGAGAATTCAAAAAATAAAATGAGATCAATATACAAAACATAATCGGGTGGATCACAAGGTCAGGAGTCCAAGACCAGCCTGGCAAGATGGTGAAACCCCGTATCTACTAAAAATACAAAAATCAGCCGGGCGTGGTGGTGGGCACCTGTAATTCCAGCTACTCGGGAGGCTGAGGCAGAGAATTGTTTGAACCCGGGTGGCGGAGGCTGTAGTGAGCGGAGATCGCTCCATTGCACTCCAGCCTGGGCGACAGAGCAAGATTCCATCAAAAACAAAAAACAAACAAACAAACGAAAACAATAGCATTCATACATACCACCAACTAGAAAATGTAATTTTAAAGTAAATATACCAGCTACAATAACAATAAAACTATAAAGTATTATAAAACAAGATACATTATATTTATGGATGAGAAGTTTCTATTTCAAAGTGACAGAAATTATGTCCCCAAAATCAGGTGGCCAGCTTGTGCAGCCATGCCACACAACTCTCAGACTGAAACTGAGATGGAGGGTACCACACCAGCTGTGCACATGTGGTGTCACTGCCGTGCCCAGGGATCCTCTGCATTTGAGCCACTGCACCACCAGACAACCCACAAACATACCCCAGAACCCACTATAATTTTGGCAAGCACAGGGGACCAGTAGGTCCCCTGGAGATCTAATTTCATTGTGGGCTGCCCCTAAGGGAGAGGGGAGCACAGCCCACCAAAGCATTCTTTGGGACAAAGGAATGATGGGTGTGGTACCAACTGCTGAAGGGGATATTACTGATGCCTGGGAACAGATATGGAGAGACGGGTCATCTCTCACCCCTCTCCCAGTAACTGTTGGAGATGCAGCAGCAGATCTCCCCACCAGGGCCCCATGAGCATGCACTGAAAGAAAGCACTGTTCACACTTTTCCGGTGGCTCCATTCCCCCTGAAAGTGAATGTGCACTGAAAGAAAGCAATTTTCACACTTTTCTGGAAGCTCTACCTCCAATGAAAGTCAGAGCACACTGAAAGAAAGCACTTTTCATGCTTTTCTAGCAGCTCTACCCCTGCTGAAAGTGAGCTCACACTGAAAGAAAGTGCTTGTCACACTTTTCCCACAGCTCCAACCCCACTGAAAGCAAGCCCGTGTCTGCTTGTGCTTGCACAAAGTGTAAGGCCCAACTCCCCCTCCCTAAACAGAATGGCAGTGCCCTAGCAATGAAGGACAGACCTCGGAGTTACCCTCCCTGGACTGTGGGAATAGGCTCTGCTCTGACCCCCACTCTAATGGTAGCCATCAGAAAGGTGGATTCACGGCCCACAGCCACACAGTGGCATAGAACCAAAGGACAAAACCTTTACAAACAGGTCGTGAGCCCTTGAGAGTGACATGATAAGAAAATAGATGGATTCCTGCTGGTCTAAGACAAGAAGCTGGTGCACTCCCCAAACCCGCCTCTGAGACTTCATTTTTTTATTTGAGATAGAGTCTCGATCTGTTGCCCAGACTGGAATGCAGTCATATGGTCATGGTTCACTGCAGTCTTGAACTCCTGGGTTGAAGCAATCCTCCCACCTCAGCCTCCCCAGTATCTGGAACTACAGGTGCACACTACCACACTCAGCTAATTTTTAAATTTTTCTTTCGTAGAGATTCAGTCTCACTATGTTAACCAGGCTGGCTTTGAACTCCTGGCCTCAAGTAATTCTCCTACCTTGGCCTCCTAAAATATGGGATTACAGGTGTGAGCCACCAAGCCTGGTCCCCCAAGACTTTAGCACACCATCATCTCTTCCTGCCACCACCATCAGGGCAGGTGCGTCCACCTGGACACCAACCTACCTACTGGCTGCTACTCTTAAGCACCATCTACTGTACTGCAGCCTGAACTGCACCACCAAACAAAAATGCATTGCTACAATAAGCAGCATCTGACAAAGCCACAGCACAGAACCTATCTGCAACCAAGGAAACTGTACAGAGCTTTGCCCCCTGAAAGCACCCAGAAATGAAGCCAATCAATCACACACAACATACACCACAGTCATACCCTCAAAGGAAAAAAGAATAACAAATTTTTAGAAAGCCCTCTGAAATGGTAGCAAACCCAAAAAAAAAAAAAAAAAAAGCAGCAACAGCCTCAGATGAGAAGGAATCAGGAATCAGCACAAGAACTCTGGCAGTACAGAAAACCAGAGTGTTTTCTCACCTGCAAAGGATCACACTAGCTCCCTAGCAATGGATCCTAACCAGATTGAAATGTCTGAAATGACAGATAAAGAATTCAAAATATGGATTGCAAGGAAACTCAACAATATCCAAGAGAAAGTTGAAATCCAGCACAAATAAAACAGAAAAATGATCCAGGAAATGACAGATGAAATAGATGAAATAGATATATTAAGAAAGAACCAAACAGAACTTTTGGAATTGAAAAGTTCACTACAGGAATTTCAAAATATAGTTTGAAGCCTTGACAATAGACTAGATCAAGTAGAAGAAAGAATTTCAGAGGTCAAAGACTGGTCTTCCAAGTTAACCCAGTCACACAAAATAAGGAAAAATAATTTTAAAAATGAATAAAACCTTTGAGAAATATGGGATTATGTAAAGTGACCCAACCTATGACTTACTGGCATTCGAGAGAGAGAAGGAGAAAAAGCAAGCAATTTGGAAAACATTTGAGGCTATAATTCAGAAAAATGTCCCCAATCTCACTAGAGAGGTCAACATGCAGATACAAGAAATTCAGAGAACTTCTGCAGAATGCTATACAAGACAACCACTCCCATGGCAAATAGTCATCAGACTATCTGAGGTCAAAACATAAGGAAAAATTTTAAAAGCAGCTAGAGAAAAGGGCCAAATTACCTGTAAAGGGAATCCCATCAGACTAACAGTAGACCTCCTAGATTGGAGACCTATTTTTAGCCTTCTTAAAGAAAATAAATCCAAGCCAAGAATTTCATACCCCACCAAACTAAGCTTCATAAACGAAGGTGAGTCTTTACCAGACAAGCAAATGCTAAGGGAATTAATCACCACCAGACCAGTCTACAAGAAATATTTAAAGGAGTTCTAAACATGGAAATGAAAGAACAATACTTGCTACCACAAAAGCACACATAAGTATAAAGCCGAGAGCCTTATGAAGCAACTACACAATTGATACTACAAAGCAACTTGCTAACAACACTACAATAGGAACAAAACCTCACATATCAATACTAACCTTGAATATAAATGGCCTTAACGCTCCATATAGAAGACATAAAATGGCAAATTAGATTAAAAAAAAAAAATACAAGACCCAACCTTCTCCTGTTTTCAAGAGGCCCATTTCACATGTAATGACATTGATAGGCCCAAAGTAAAGGGATGGAGAAAGATCTATCATGCAAATGGAAAACAAAATAGAGCAGAGGTAGCTATTTTTGTATCAGATAAAACCAACAACATTAAAACCAACAACAACTTTAAACCAACGACATTAAAAAAGGACAAAGAAGGGCACTATATAATGATGAGGCGTTCAATTCAACAAGAAGATTTAACTATCCTAAATATATATGCACTCAACATCAGAGCACCCAGATTTATAAAACAATTACTACTAGACCTAAGAAAAGACATAGATGGCCATACAATAATAGTGGAGGACTTCAACATCCCATTGACAGGACTAGACAGATCACTGAGGCAGAAAACTAACAAGGAAACTCTGCACTTAAGTTGGACTTCTGACCAAATGGACCTAATAGACATCTACAGAATACTCCACCCAATAACCACAGAATATACATCCTTCTCATCTGCACATGGAATAGTCTCTAAGATTGACCACGTGCTCAGTCATAAGTCTCAATAAATTCAAAAATATCAAAATTCTACTAAGCATCTTCTTGGACCACAGTGGAATAAAATTAGAAACCAGTACCAAGAGGAACTCACAAAACCACACAAATACATGGAAACTAAACAACTTGCTCCTGAATGACTTTTAGGTAAACAATGAAATTAAAGCAAAAAATTATTTGAAACAAATGAAAACAGAGACACAACATACCAAAACCTGTGGGATACAGTAAAAGCAGTGTTCAGAGGAAAGTTTATAGTGCTAAAGGCTTACATCAGGAAGACAAAAGTTGGCAGCATTTCCCCTAATAACTGCAACAAGACAAGTATGTCCGCTCTCTCCACTTCTATTCAATATAGTATTGGAAGTCCTAGCCAGGGCAATCAAGCAAGAGAAAGAAATAAAAGGCATCCAAATAGGGAAAAAGGCAGTCAAATCATCTCTGTTTGCCAATAATGTGATTCTACACCTAAAAAACTCCAAAGGTTCCTCCAATAGACTCCTAGACATGAAAAATGACTTCAGTAAAGTTTCAGGATACAAAATCACTGCACAAATATTAGTAGCATTTCTATACACCAATAACATTCAAGCTGAGAACCAATGAAGAATGAAATCCCATTTACAATAGACACAAAAAATAAAATACCTAGGAATACACCTAATCAAAGGGTGAGATACCCCTACAAGTAGAACTATGAAACACTGCTGAAAGAAATCATAGATGACACAAGCAAATGGAAAAACATCCCATGCTCATGGATTGTAAGAATCAACATCATTAAAATATCCATACTGCCCAAAGCAATCTACAGATTCAATGCAATTCCTATCAAATTACCAATGTCATTTTTTTCACAGAATTAGAAAAAACACATTTCTAAAATTCATATGGAACCAAAAAAGAGCCTCAAAAGCCAAAGTAAACCTAAGCAAAAATAACAAAGCCAGAGCCATCACATTACCCAACTTCAAACAATACTACAAGGCTATAGTAACCAAAACAGCATGGTACTTGTACAAAAAATAGGCACGTACTAATAGATCAATGGAAAAGAATAGAGAACTCAGAAATAAAGCCACATACCCACAACCAACTGATCTTTGACAAAGCTGACAAAAATAAACAATAGAGAAAGGACACCCTCTTCAATAAATGGTGCTGGGAAAACTGGCTAGACATGAATTGGATCCCTAACTCTCATTATATACAAAAATGAACTAAAAATGGATTAAAGACTTAAATGTGGCTGGGCTCAGTGGCTCACTCCTATAATCCCAACACTCTGGGAGGCAGAGGTGGGCAGATCACCTGAGGCCAGGAGTTCAAAACCAGCCTGGCCAACATGGTGAAACTCCGTCTCCACAAAAATAGAAAAGTTAGCTGGGCATGGTGGCATGTGCCTTTAATCCCAGCTACTCAGGAGGCTGAGGTAGGAGAACTGCTTGAGCCCGAGAGGCGGAGGTTACGGTGAGCTGAGATCATGCCACTGTACTCCAGCCTGGGTGACAGAGTGAGACTCCGTCTCTAAAAAAAAAAAAAAGAAAGGCTTAAATGTAAGACCTAAAACTATGAAAACCTAGGAAAAATTCTTCTGGACATTTGCCTAGGCAAAGAATTTATATTGAAGACCTCAAAAGCAAATGTAACAAAACCAAAAATTGACAAACGGGACTTAATCAAACTAAAGAGCTTCTGCACAGCAAAAGAAACTGTCAATGGAGTAAACAGACAACCCACAGAATGGGAGATAATATTTGCAAACTATGAACCTGACTAAAGGACTAATATACAGAATCTAAACTTAAATCAACAACAACAACAACAACAACAACATTCGAAAGTGGGCAAAGAACATGAACAGACACTTCTCAAAAGCAGACAGACATAAAAGCAGCCAACAAACATGAAAAAATGCTCAGCATCACTAATTGTCACAGGAAGGCAAATTAAAATCAAATAAGATATCATCTCACGCCAGTCAGAATGGCTATTAAAAAGTCAAAAAATAACAGATGCTGGCAAGGATGCAGAGAAAAGGGAATGCTTATACACTGTTGGTGGGAATGTAAATTAGTTCAGCTCCTGTGGAAAGCAGTTTGGAGATTTCTCAAATAACTAAAAATAGAACTGCCATTTAACCCAGCAATCCCATTATTGGGTATCTACCCAAAGGAAAAGAAATCTACATTTTCTTTATCCAGTCCACTGTTGATGGGCACCTAGGTTGATTCTATGAGGTGGTTATTGTGAATACCACTTTTATAAACATATCAGTGCAAGAAAGTGTGGTACATATACACCATGGAATACTCTGCAGCCATAAATAAAAGAGTGAAATCATGTCCTATGCAGCAACATGGATGCAGCTAGAGGCCATTATCTTAAGTGAATTGATGCAGAAACAGAAAATCAAATACCACATATTGTCACTTGTAAGTGGGAGCTAAACAAAACGTACACACATACATAAAGATGGAAATTATAGACACTGAGGACTCCAAAAAGGGGGAGAAAGGGAGGAAGGCGAGGGTTGAAAAGCTACCTATTGAGTACTATGTTCACTATTTGGGTGACAAGGTCAGTAGAAGCCCAGACCCCAGCATTATGCAAAATACACATGTAACAAACCTGCACATGTACCTTCTGAATCTAAAATTTTTGTGAAAAATTTCTGTCCTCAAATTAATGTATAAATTCAACACAATTCCAATCAAAATACAATCACCTTTTCATAGAGCTAGAAAAAGTGGTCATAAAGTTCATATGGAAAATTAAAAGTCTGCAAATAGGACAAATCTGAAGAAAAATTAGAACTTACCCTGCTTATATTTCATCGTGACATATCATGATGCTATAGTAATAAATGAAAACAGATAATACTGATTTAAGAATAGACAAGCAAACAAACTTAATAAAATTGGAGGGCTTAGAAACCAATTCATATGGATATGGGTCCATGACATATGTCAGATGTATCAGTACAAACCACTGGGGAAAGGACAGACAATGCATGATACTGGGTTGATTGGCAATCTGTGTGTGTGTGTGTGTGTGTGTGTGTGTGTGTGTGTGTGTGTGTGTGTGTGTGTGTGTGTGTGTGTTAACCTAGACACAAAAATTAATCTTAGATTAATTTAAGACCCAAATGTGGAAGGCAAATGTTGTAACTTTTAGAAGAAAATGGAGAAGAATATCTTCATATATGTGGGGCATACATAATTTCTTAAACAGAATGCAAAATTCACAAACCCATAAAGGAAAAGATGGACAAATTCAAGTATAATTAAAAATTTAAAGCTTTCATGTGACAAAACACACCATATTGGCACTTTTAGCCAGTGCAATAAAGCAAGCAAAAAGAAATCAAAGGAATCCAGACTGAAAATAAAGAAGTGAAAATGTCTTTATTCACAGACGACAGGACCATCAGCGTAGAAAAACTGATAGAATAAAAAGGAAAATTACCAGAACTAATAAATGAGTTTAGCAATGTTGCAGAATATAAGATCAATATACAAATATCAATCTTATTTCTATATATTAGCAATATACAATAAGAAACTAAATTTTAAAACATTATATTTATGAAAACATCAAAAATAAAATATTTAGTGACAAGCTTGACACGAGATGTGCAAGAACTATACCCTAAAAACTATAAAGTAGGGGTCCCCAACCCCCAGGCCACGGGCTGGTACCAGTCCGTGGCCTGTTAGGAACTGGGCTGCACAGCAGGAGATGAGCAGTGGGTGGGCAAGAGAGCAAGCGAATCTTCATCTGTACTTACAGCCACTCCCCATTGCTCGCATTACTGCCGGAGCTCTGCCTCCTATCAGATGAGCAGCAACATTAGATTATCATAGGAGTGCAAACCTTTTCGTGAACTGTGCATGCGAGGGATCTAGGTTGCACGCTACTTATGAGAATCCAATGCCTGATGATTTGTTACTGACTCCCATCACTCCCAGATGGGACCCTCTAGTTGCAGGAAAACAAGCTCAGGGCTCCTACTGATTCTACATTAATTATTATATATTATAATGTAATAATAATAGAAATAAACTGTGCAATGAATGTAATGTGTTTGAATCATCCTGAAACCATCTCCCAGCCATGACACCTGGGCCTATGGAGAAACTGTCTTTCATGAAACCGGCCCCTGGTGCCAAAAAGGTTGAGGACCACTGTTATAAAGCATTTCTGAGATAAAGGAAATCCAAAATAAATGGAGAGACATACCACGTTCATTAGTCAAAAGGCTCAATATTGTCTCCAAATTTATCTGTAGAGTCAATGCAATCTCAATCAAAATCCCAACAGGGTTTGTTATAGAAATTGACAAGCTGATACCAAAGTTCAAAAGAAAATACAAAGATCCAGTATAGAGCCAAAATAACTTTGAAAAAGAAGAACAAAGTTGGAGCACTAACACTATCAGATTTCAAGACTTACAAAGCTACAGTAATCAAGAAAATGCGGTATTGGTATCAAAATGGACAAATACGTCAATTGGACAGAATAGAGTCCAGAAATAGGCCCATTCCTACATGGACAACTGATTTTCAACAAGGCAATTCAGTGGAGAAAGGATAGTCTTTTCAACAAATGATGCTAAAAAAAATTGCATATCCATGTGCAAACGAGCAAAACTTTTTAACAAATACTTCACACCCATACAAAAATTAACTCAAAGTGGATCATAGCCCTAAATATAAAATCTGAAATGATAATGCTTCTAGAGGAAAATACAGTAGAAAAGAAACCTGTGTGGCCTTGGATTAGGCCAAGACTTCTTAGATACAATACCAATGCATAATCCATAGAAGCAAAAACTGATAAATAGGACTTAATCAGAATTTAAAACTTTTGCTCTTTGAAAGACACTTTTAAAAGAATAAAATCCACAGAGAAATAGAAAACATTTGGCAATCATATATCTGATAAAGGTCTGGTATCCAGCACATACTTTTAAAACTCTCAAAATTCAGTAATAAGAGAAACTAAAAATGGACAAAAGGCTTGAATAGGTAGTTCACCAGATATATGGATGGCAAATAAGTGAAGAAAAGATGTTCAACATTATTAATCATTAGGGAAATGCAAATCAAAATCACAATGAGATACTACTACACAGCTATTAGGATAGCTAAAATTTAAAAGACAGACCATATCGAGGGTGATAAGCATGTAAAGGTACTAGAACTCTCCAAGACTCCTGGTAAAAAAGAAAAATATACAACTACTTTAAAAAACAGTTTGGAGGCCAGGGCAGTGGCTCACGCCTGTAATCTCAGCACTTTGGGAGGCTGAGGTGGGTGGATAACCTGAGGTCAGGAGTTCAAGACCAGCCTGACCAATATAGTGAAACCCCATCTTTACTAAAAATACAAAAATTAGCCAGGCGTGGTGGTGTGCACCTGTAGTTCCATCTACTTGGGAGGCTGAGACAGGAGAATCACTTGAACCCAGGAGGCAGAGGTTGCAATGAGCTGAGATCGCACCATTGCACTCCAGCCTGGGCGACAGAGTGAGACTCCATCTCAAACAAACAAAAAACAGTTTGGGAAGTAAAAAAGAAAAAATAAAAAAAGATTGGCCGGGCTCAGTGGCTCAAGCCTGTAATCCCAGCACTTTGGGAGGCCGAGGCGGGCAGATCATGAGATCAGGAGATCGAGACCATCCTGGCTAACATGGTGAAACCCTGTCTCTACTAAACATACAAAAAAAATACAAAAAATTAGCTGGGCGTGGTGGCGGGCACCAGTAGTCCCAGCTACTGGGGAGGCTGAGGTACGAGAACGGCGTGAAGCCGGGAGGTGGAGCTTGCAGTCAGCCGAGATCACGCCACTCCAGCCTGGGCGACAGAGCAAGACTCCCTCTCAAAAAAAAAAAAAAAAAAAGAACAAACTGAAAAATCAAGAACTCTTCTTAGATCTGTCAGAGAAGTGAAGTCACAGGGCAAATCACTGTCCCCAAAATTAGACAGACAAGCAGGAACATACAGAGAATCACAATTTACTGGAGCAGAAACCTCTGTGGGAACCAGTACTGAGGTAGAAAACTCTGGACTGTAATTGGAATGCTGGAGGCTCAATGTGGATATGCCTGAGGGATAAAAACTCTTGAGGTCTCAGGACACAGTAATGCCAGCTACTTGAGAGGCTGAGGTGGGAGGACTGCTTAAGCCCAGGAGTTTGAATCCAGTCTGGGCAATGTAACAAGACCCCACTTCTAAAAAAGAACAAAAAAAATTTTAATGCCTTTTAAAACTGTAGACGGCCCAGTCAAAGTGGATGAGGGGGGTTGGGCGGCGAGCCTGCACTTAAGTGAATTTTACCTCCACGATCTCCATCAGGTTCTCACAGTGACTATTAAAAAATATGTCCTCAGACTTCTGGCAGAGAGAGTAGCAAAGTAACCACGAGCCTGACCTACTGGGGTTTTATCAGAGCCTAACAACCTGGGGTAAGGGTAACACTCAACTGCAGCCTGCTCTAGCCATCCACATGGGGGAAGGGAAATACGTGACTCCAGTCCCCTCCAGACATCCGGTCCCATCTAGAGTAGGGGGAGGGGAGGGGAGGAACTGAGGGTACTTCACAGTCCAAGGGCACAGGCTCACTAAAAGACTGAGACCTAATCAGAGGACTAGAGAATATTTCCCTGCCCCCACACCTTACCATCACATCACTAAAGGCCTACTTGCCACAGTTCCTTTTATTTATTTTTTTAATTTATTTTTTTGAGACAGAGTCTCACTCTATCACCCAGGCTGGAGTGCAGTGGCGCGACCTAGGCTCACTACAACCTCTGCCTCCTGGGTTCCAGTGATTCTCCCGCCTCAGCCTCCGGAGTAGCTGGGATTACAGGCATGAGCCACCATGCCAGGCTGATTTTTTTTTTATTTTTAGTAGAGACAGCGTTTCACCATGTTGGCCAGGCTGGTCTCAAACTCCTAACCTCAAGGGATCCGCCCACCATGGCTTCCCAAAGTGCTGGGATTACAGGTGTGAGCCACTGTGCCTGGCCCACAGTTCCTTTCACCCAGTACATCATGTCTGGCTTTCAACAAAATATTACAAGGTATGCTAAAAGGCAAAAAAAAAAAAAAAAAGTTTGAAAATACAAAGCATCAGAATCAGACTCAGATATGGCAGAGAAGTTGGAATTATCAGACCAGGAATTTAAAACAAACAACCATAATTAATATGCTATGAGTTACAGTGGAAAAATTAGACAATATGCAAGAATAGATGAATAATGTAAGCAGAGAGATGGACATTCTAAGAAAAACTCAAAAAGAAATGCTAGCAATCAACAACACTATGTCGATAAAAAGCGTCAAATTCTATAATATTTGAAGAGATTTATCTGAGCCAAATATGAGTGACCAGTGGCCCGTGACACAGCCCCCAGGAGATCCTGAGAACATATGCCCAAGATGGTTGAGGCACAGCCTAGTTTTATATACTTAAAGGAGACGTAAGACATCAATCAAATACATGTAAGATATACTTGTTTGGTCTGAAAAGGCAGGACAACTCAAAGGGCGAGGGCTTCTAGGTTATAGGTAGATTTTAAAATTTTCTGATGGGCAATTAGTTCAAAGAGGTACGTTATTATCTCAAGATCCTGAATCAATAGAAAGAAATGTCTGGGTTACAATGATAGGGTATTGTGGAGACCAAAGTTTTATCATGCAGATGAAGGCTCCAGGTAGCAGGCTTCAGAGAGAATAGATTGTACACGTTTCTCATCAGACTTGAAGAGTATGTTCTATCAGTAATTCCAAAAGGGAAGAGGGTATAATGAAGTATGTCTGACCCCTGCCCCTCATCATGGCCTGAACTAGTCCCTCAAGTTAGTCCCTCAGGGATACCCTTGCTGAGAGGAGGGATCCATCCAGATGAGGTGGGGGGCTTTGAATTTTATTTTTGGTTTACAACTATAACAGAAATGAAGAATACTTTCAATGGGGTAGTAAACTGGACATGGATGAGAATCTCAGACCTTGAGGTTATGTCAAAAGAAACTTCCAAAACCAAAATGCAAAGAGAGAAAAGACTGACAAAAAAAATGGAACAGAACATCCAAGAACTGTGGGACAACTACAAAAAGTGTAACAAATAGGTAATGGGAATACTAGAAGGAGAAGAAAGAGAGAAAAGAACAGCAGAAATATTTGAATAAGTAATGATTGAGAAATTCCCTAAATTAATGTCAGACACCAAATCACAGATCCAGGAAACTCAGAGAACAACAGACACGATAAATGCCGAAAACAAAACAAACCAAAACCAAACCAAAACAAAAATACTGCACCTAGGCATTTCACATTCAAACTGTAGGAAATGAAAGTTAAAGAAAATATCTTGAAAGAAGCTACAGGGAAAAAAATCTTACCCATAGAGGAGCAAAGGTAAGAATTACATCTGACTTCTCAGACACCATGCAAGCAAGAAGAGAGTACACTGAAATATTTAAAGTGTTGAGAGAAAAAGACCACCAATCTAAAATTCTGTATCCTGTGAAATTTTTCCTTTGAAAGTGAAGGAGAAATAAAGACTTTCTCAGCAAACATGGAGGGAGTTTGTTGCCAGTAGACCTGCCTTGCAAGAAATGTTAAAAGAAGCTCTTCGAAGAGAAAGGAATTCTCTAGGTAAAAATCTTAGATCTACATAAGGAAAGATAGTGCATTAGAGAAGGAGTAAGTGAAGGTAAGTAAAAGCTTTTATTTATCTTATTCTTAAGTGATCTATCATAAAAGTTTGTTCAAATAATAGCAACAATGTATTTGATTATGCATGGTTTTATACTTATGTATGCTTATATGTAAGTGAAATGAATGACAGCAATGATACAAGAGAAGGGGGAAGGAGTACTTGCCTACTGGTGAAGCTAGTATAGTGTTATCTGAAACTGAACTTATGATGTGGTTTGGTTCTGTGTCCCCACCCAAATCTTATGTTGAATTATAATCCCCAGTGTTGGGAGAGGGAACTGGTGGGAGGTAATTACATCATGGGGGCAGATTTCCCTCATGCTGTTCTCATGATAGTGAGTTCTCAAGAGATGTGATGGTCTAAAAGCATGTGGCACTTCCCCGCTTGCTCTCTCTCTCTTTCCTGCCACCCTGTGAAGAAGGTTCTTGCTTCCCGTTCACCTTCCGCCATGACTGTAAATTTCCTAAGGCCTCCCAGTCATGTTTCCTGTATAGCCTGCAAAACTGTAAGTCAATTAAACCTCTTTTCTTCATAAATGACCCAGTCTCGGGTAGTTATTCATAGCACTGTGAGAACTGACTGATACAATTCGGATTAGTTGTAAATGTATATTGCAAACTCTAGAGCAACCACTAAAAATTATGCCACTCAATAGCACCAAAAATATCAAATATCTAGGGAAAAATCTAATGAAAGATGTAGAAAACCTCTAAAACAAAACAAAAAAATGATAGTTTCTTACAAAGTTTAAACATACACCTACCATATGATCAAGACATTCAACTCCTATGTGTTTACTCAAGAGAAAGCATACTTCCATTGGGGGGGGGTGGTGGGTGTTGGAAGGGGGAAGGCAGCGTGATAGAATTGTTTTGTATCTTTATTGTGGTGGCAGTTACACAACTCTAGGAAGGCATCACAACCAGAACTGTACACCAAAAAAGTGAATCTTATTGTATATGAATATAATTTAAATTAAAATTTTAAAAATCAAATGTGGTCTTAGAAAAGGAGACCACATCTTCTTTGGATGGAAAACACATCTAAACTCACAAAAGCCTCCACCTCACCTGGCTGAATTCAGGTGAAAGGAAGAGATTCCCTACTGTTCTTGCAGATGGAAGACACAAGTACAAAGAATCTTGACGTGCACACACACACACACAACGTGTGTATGTATCTATATATATCCACATACATACATATTTCTGCATTTTAATTATATGTATGACAAGGGAAGGTCTTTGAACAAGAGATTCTTCCAAGATGTGGCATGAGATTTCTCTACCCCTGCATTTAAAAAACTGGAAAGCCATGACCTTGAGGCACTAAAGGATATCAAATTGTTCTCCAAATAACCAAAAATTAAATACTTCGTGTGAATGCAGTATAGTTTCAGTATTTCATTTCCCTGGAAGGCATTGATGTATGCTGTTCCAGTTAATATTGCTTTTTAACAAACTACCCTAAAAATTAACAGCTAATAACACCCATTTTGCTATTTTCATGGTTTCTGAGAGTGAGCAATTCAGACAGAGCACAGAAGAATGTCTGGAGCTTTAACTTGGAAGATTCTATAACTGGAGGCTTGAATTATGCCTGACAAGGGCCATTAGCTGAGATATCAGCTGGGGCTCTCAATCAAATTACCACCCACATGTGGTTGGTTTCTCCGTGTAGCCTGGGCTTCTTCATAGCATAGTAGCCTCAAGGTGGCAGGACCTCTTACACACACAGTAGCTCAGACTCCAAAGGGAAGTGTCACAGCAGACAATGCACAACCTGCATCTTTTCTAGCTTGGCCTCGGAAGCCACGCAGCATTACTTCTGTCATATTCTATTGGTTACATATGAGTCACAAGCCCACTCGAGATTCAAGGGAGGTGCCAAGATCATACACTGGGGAAAAGATAGTCTCATCAATAAATGGTGCTAGGAAAACTGGATATCCATATACAAAAGAATGAAATGAGACCCCTATCTCTCACCATATCAAATCAAAAATAAAATCAAAATGTATTAAAGACTTAAATCTAAGACCTCAAACCATGAAACTACTACAAGAAAACATTGGGAAACTCTCCAGGACATCAGTCGGGGCAAAGATTTCTTGGGTAATACCCCACAAGCACAGGCAACTACAGCAAAAATGGGCAAATGGGATCACATCAAGTTAAAAAGCTTCTGCACAACAAAGGAAACAATCAACAAAGTGAAGAGACAAGCCACAGAATGGGAGAAAATATCTACAAACTACCCATCTGACAAGGGATTAATAACCAGAATATATAAAAAGCTCAAACAACTTTATAGGGAAAAAATCTAATAATATGATTTATAAATGGGCAAAAAATTTGAATACACATTTCTCAAAAGAAGACATACAAATGGCAAACAGGCATATGAAAAGATGCTCAACATCATTGATCATCAGATAAATGCAAATCAAAAGTACAATGAGATATCATCTTATCCCAGTTAAAATGGCTCATATCCCGAGAGACAGGCAATAACAAATGCTGGAGAGGATGTGGAGAAAAGAGAACCCTTGTACACTGCTGGTGGGAATGTAAATTAGTATAACCACTGTGGAGAACAGTTTGGAGGTTTCTCAAAAAACTAAAAACAGAGCTACCATGTGATCCAGCAATCTCACTGCTGGGTATATATCCAAAAGAAAAGAAATCAGTATATCGAAGAGATATCTGCACTTTCATGTTTGTTGCAGCTCTGTTCACAATAGCCAAGATTTGGAAGCAACCTAAGTGTCCACCAATAGGTAAGTAAATAAGGAAAACGTGGTACTCATACACAATGGAGTACTATTCAGTCAAAAAAAAAGAATGAAATTTGCTCATTATGTTAAGTGAAATAAGCCAGGCACAAAAGACAAACATCACATGTTCTCACTTATTTGTGGGATCTACAAGTCAAAACAAGCAAACCCATGGAGATAGAGAGTAGAAGGATGCTTATCAGAGAGGCTAGAAAGGGTAGTGGGGGAGAGGGGAGGGCAGCAGGTGGGGATGGTTAATGGGTACAAAAAAAAATAGAATGAATGATAGTATTTGATAGCAGAGCAGGGTGACCATAGTCAATAACAATTTAACTGCATACTTTAAAATAACTTAGAGTGTCATTAGACTGTTTGTAACACAAAGGTTAAATGCTTAAGAGGATGCCCCATTTTCCATGATGTGATTATTATGCATTGCATGCCTGTATCAAAACATTTCAGGTATCCCATAAATATATACACCTACTATGTACCCACAAAAATAAGAAATTGTAAATTAAAAAAGATTCAAGGGGAAATGACATAGCCCTATCCCTCAGAAGAAGAAGGGTCAAGTTCACATTATAGGGGAGCATGTTGGATAGGAGATACTGTTGAAGCAATCTTTGGAAAATATAATCCACTATATGTGTAGTATACAGTTTCTTTCAGTTAATAAGATCATTGGTATCCAGCATTCCTCAGTTAACTAAGATATTATTTTAGTGAGAATACTTCAATTTTTAAGAAATACGAATGTATTACATAAGGAAACTATTGAAAACTATAAGATTTGAGAAAACATAAAAGGCCAGTATTTTAGCTTCCTTTGCAAAGGAGATTTTGATATTTTAACAGTCAAAACTATACCATAGAATAAGAAAAAAAAAGTATGGGTAAGACATCAGTAATTAAATAAGAATTTGAAAATTATGAAAACTCTTCCATTTCAAAATTATATTCTAAAGCTCTAGAATTATTTTTTTCTTTACTTTAATATAAAATATGCTGGCCCATAATATAAGAATTCCAAATAAGCATTTTAAGAATTTAAGATGAACCTTGATCCCTACTTCACACCATATACAAAATTTAATTTGAGATAAGTCATAGACTTAAAAGCGAAAGCTAAAACCATAAAGCTATTAGAGGGAAACATAGGAGACTATCCTAGGCGACTTTGAGCCAGCCGAAGGCATCTTAAACAGATCACAGAAAGCAACAACCATAAAAGACTGACAATGTGGACTTGGAAATGTAAACTGATACAACCACTTTGGTAAAAGGTCTGGCAGTTTCTCAAAACACTAAACACACACTTACTTTATGTATGACCCAGCAATTCCATTCCTAGGTATAACCAAGAGAAATAAAAACACATGTTTACAAAAATATTTGTGCCAGGAATATTCAGACCAGGTTTATTCATATTAGCCCCAAATCGAAAACAACCCAGGTACCCTTTGGCAGGGGAATGAATCAACAAATGGTGGTATATTCATACAATTGAATGCTACTCAGTAATATAAAGGAATTAGTGATACACTCTATAATACGAATGAATCTCAAAATCATACTGAACGAAAGAAGTCACAAAAGAGTACACACTGTATAATTCCGTTCATATGAAATTCTAGAACAGAGAAAAACCACCTATAGTTAAAAAAAAAAAAAAAGCACCTAAAGTGAAAAAAATATATATCAGAACAGTAGTTACCTCTTGAATGGCAGATGTGCACAGGAATTGACTAGGATGGAGCATGAGGGAACTTTCTGGAGTGATGGTAATGTTCTATGTGTTAGTAGGGATCTGGGTTGCACAAGCGTACATTTGTCAAAACCCAGCAAATGTATAAAGTTTGTGCATTTTATTGAACATAAATTTCACATCAAAAGAAAAACTATAAATAAATAGTAAGCATGCTAAAATATTTAGAGGGAGGTAACTGATGTCTATGATTTTCTTTGAAATGCACGAAAATTAAGATGGGTTAATAGATGGATATAAGAATGTATAAATGGAGAGATGTGTGACAAAGCAAGTAAAGTTAAGAGGTTAATGGCACAGTGGTGGATATATGGGGTGTCCACTGTTTAATCTTGCCAAATTTTCTGGATGTTTTAAAATTTTCATAAAATGTTGGAGAAAATGAATGGGTAAAACATGCTAATTTGATAGGAATTTGAAAATTATAAAAACTATTTCATCTCAAAACTTAACTTTAAACCTCTGAAACTTTGTAATTGCAGAAACATAAAATATTGTGGCCCCTAAAATAAGAATTTTAAGTAAGCACATTACAATTATGTGACTGTAGTCAATAATCAGAGTAGGTAGAGTACCAACTACAGCAACCTGTGCGCTACTCTATGATTCCAAGCCTCTTGACTTTTGCTCAGAACATTCTGCCAGCATCTGCCATTAGCTGTTTCTGGAAACTGAAGCAAGAAATAAAAAATGTTCTTTCTGAAAAACTGTTCCATAAGCTCTTTTCCCAGGCTTTTTGGTTTTATTTGTTTGGGTTTTATTTTATTTAAATTGAAGTTTTAAAAAATAATTGCTCATTGTAAAAAAAAGTAAAAATCAAGGAATGAAGCATACTCCACTAATAGCTTCGTGTGTAGCCTGCTAGCATTTCTTCAAAGGATATACATTCCTTGAAATATTTATATAAATATACATGCACACACAACTTTTACATTTTTGGCATAAGTAGGATATTAACACACTTCTGGATTTTGCTTTATCTACAAAACAGCACAACACATATGTGGTAGCCACTCATAGCTGTTCACCAAGATCTGGTTTCCCTCCTTCTTCTGAGCACATGAGTGGGGTCCTGTGACTAGTGCTAGCCAATAAATTGAGAGTGTAAATGATATGTATTTCTTGCCAAGTAAGAATTTGTTGTACTTGACCCTCCAAAATTCTCTTTCCTTTATGGCAATGTGACTGCGAACATTCAAGGTAGTGGCTATTCTGTCAGCCTCAGTCTCTGAGTGGCTACTATGAACAAAATTCCCCTGACAACCACAATGGATACATAAAGTCAGCAAACAATAAACCTTGGTTGGTTTAATTCCCTGAGGTTCAGGGGTTGTTGTTACTGCAGCATTACTTAGACAATCCTAACTGATACATCAAACATTTTTTCTGTTATGCCTATGTGGTCTACCTCTTTCTAATGGCTAAAAAATATTGTCTGAAATTAATGCAATAGAATATATCCAACTATTTCCCTATTGTTGGGCATTTTATTTTTCTAAATGTTTACTATTACAAAATTTGCTGCAATAAATATTGTGCATGCACATACACATATATTTATCAATCCACCTGTCCAAATTTTTTTCAAATAAAAAATTTCTACAAGTGCAACTACCAGGTAAGAGTCTAAACATTAGACACATTCTGCCGATTGCCCTCCAAAATGCTGAACCAATTTAAACTCCTATCAGTGGAAAATGAGAGTACCTGTTACCACACATGTTCACCTGGAGTCAGTTATATTATTCTTTTTAAATGTTGCCAATATAGTAAGTGGAAATAATATTTCATCATTGTTTCAGTTTGTGTCATTATTGGGCATCTTTTCATAGGTTTAAAGACTATTTGTATTTCTTCTGTGAACTATTCCTGCCTTTGATCCATTTTTGTGTGTTGATTTTATAGGAGTTCTTAAGTACTTAATGTTAATCCCCTGGCTCTTACACTGGTTATAAATATTTTCTCTTAGTCTGTCCCTTGTCTTTTAAGTTTGTGATAGCTTTTGCCATAGAGAGAGATAAAATTCTTCTGTAGTCAATATAATCTTTCCTTTATGGCTTTTGGAAACTGTGCTCCACCACAAAATAAGCGTATAAAGGCATTTTCTAGTTGACTGTCACCAAATCTTTATTAATAATCCATTCTTTCTCTACTGATTTGAAATGTTCTCCATACTTATACGAAAGTTCATAAAAATAGCTCTTCTATAGACTCTACACTGTATTTCACTGATATTTTTGTTTCTCTGCTAGAAAATGTTTTCAAATGTATGTAAATCATATACCTTTCTAGTATCTACATTTTAATATTCTTTTCAACATTTTCTTGGATATTCTCAACCCCTTATTCTTCTTGATGAACCTTCATAATCAATCAGTCAATTTATCTCCCTTAACCCTGTTAAACAAAACCAAATCTAACAACAGCAAGAGCAAAAACCTGCTGTGCAATTCTGATTGGAATTGCTTCAAATCTATAAATTTGGAAAATTAGAATTTTCACAATATTGTCTTCCCATTCAGAGATATCAAGTTTAAAAATTGCATTCATTTTAGTCTCACGCTTCTTGTCCAATTTATTCCCAGATATTTCATTTTTGTTGCTACAGCAAATAGTATTCCCCTTTTCAGAACACTTCTTAACTAGTTATTGCTGATATAAAGTAAAGCTATTGTTCTATATATAGCTTTCTTATATTTAGCTACTTTCCTGAATACTCTTAATAGTTCCAACCATTTTAAAATTGATTCCTTTGGATTTTCCAAGTATACAATCATATTTGGATTCTAATTTTAAAAAATTAGTCTTCAGTTCTATTTTGAACTATTTATACAGTGATTCCTAAATGCCTATTTCCACAATACCTAGAGTAACAAAATAATGGAATTTTATGTCTGGGAGGTGCCTTATATGATCTAATCCAAGAATTACCTAGTCTAGTACCTACTGGGGTAGGTATGTAAGATAAATAGGAGAAAGTGCCTTAGCGTGAGACAATAAGGACTTGTAGAAACTGAGAAGAAATGCAGAGAACAGGCTCTATCTAAGGAGGGCAAGTGCCATTCACCCCCAAAAGATTGTTGCCATAGAGAAATGTGGGTCCAATTTCTATTTTCCAAGAGGCACCAGATATATATATTCTTAGGTTTAAACTCCCAATTTTAAAAACATTAAACAAAAGCCATACAAAATATAACTGCCAGCTTTCAACCTATAAACCTGTTTTTAATCCAATACCTTCATTTAAGGCAATGGAAACTCAGAAAAGTTCATCAGAGATTGCAAAAGTAGCCAAGCGTAGGGGAGGGCTTTGCCTCTTGTTTAGCTGCTTGGCGAGTCAAAACAATATTTTCAAAGTACTAAAACTAGGTAGGTGCTTTGTCCCTGTTGTCAACATATATTCGTGTTCCCTGTTTGGCTCATGTTGGTTTGGATTTACTATCCCTGCAATATTCATGGCAAATGAAAAGGGTATCTTTTATTTATTCAATTTCCCCCCAGCTTTATTAAAGTATAATTGACAAATAAAATTGTATATATTTACAGCACATAATGTAATGTTTTGATACAGGTATACATTTAGAAGTAATTAACTCAAGCTAACTCACATATCTATCACCTCACATGCTTATTTTTTTGTGGTGAGAACATTTAAGAGCTACTCTCTTAGCAATCCAAGTATATAATACATCATTATTCACTATAGTCACCATGATGTACAATAGATCTCCAGATCTCCAGAACTTATTCATCCTGTCTAACTGAAACTTTCTACAAAGGCTATCTTTTAAATAGCCTTTCTATATTTGGGGAAATTCCCACGTAAGTTTCCTACCACCCCAACATAGAGGTCAGAGCTCAATTTCCCAGACTTCCTTGCAGTTAGAAATATGCAGGTGACCCAGGCTCTCTACCAATCAGGGAAGCTTACTTAAGACTGTGCCTCAGAAGGGATTAACAGAAGAAAAGCAGCTCAGGGTGGGCCACGTTTGGTGTCAAAGGAGCCCAGCCTTCAGGGGTGGTAAAGGACGATTGCCAGAAATAGTGGTAGTTATGGCTGTGGTAAAATCAAGTTCTTGGCAGCAATGCAAGTGCAGCAATGAGTCATGGGTGGTGGTAACAGAGGTCATTTTCTCATCAGACAAGTTCTACAGCCCTGTTTTGGGCACTGTTCCTATAGTTCAGCCTTGAGCTTGTTTCTCCAGCCCTTCCAAAGACACTGTGAACCACCCAGGCTCCTTTTAATAAATTCCTTTTTTTTTTGCTTAACTAGCCAGAGAGGATATTCCTTTTTAAAACTAAGCCCTCACCAATACAAACACCACCACCAGACAGTGACAGAATCAAATCAAAGATCTCCATCTTTTTGATTCCCAGGCTAGCATTCTTTCTACAACATCACATTATTTATATTTAATGCTTTTAGGAAAGTTCAAAATGCTGTTTTCAAAAACATATATGGAAATTTCCATTTTGAAGACAGGCTATGAATACTGTCCAAGAATCTATTTAGTTCATGATAAGAACCTATGTTTGAGTGCTTTGGGATTTTATTTGTCTTTGTTTTTGCTTTTGTTCATATAGATTCATAGACTAGTGGCTTCCTTAAAAGATGCTAGATTGCTTACAATAAAAAACACCAATAGCAATGTACACAGAGTAGTCCAAATAAAAATAGGGCAAAACCATATAAAAGGAGAGATAATTGTCCTAGATAAATCAGGATGAGATCATTACCATGTTCTAAGCACTAAATTTACAATTTGCTTCCGTGAAGTAAAGGACAGCAATAGGGTAGATTATATTAATGTTTCCCAGCCTTGGTCCACCAACAATGATGTTTATTATTTTCCATCTTCAAGGCCTACAAGTTTTTAGAGTTTCTCTTTCAACCTCATTTATTAAAGAATGTTTTGAATGACCCCCACCATGAGTAAATATAAAGCTTATTGAAATACTGGAAACAAGATGTACCTTCCTATTACTGTTGTTGGTGACACCAGTTCACAACTATTGGGATAAAGCATTTTCACTTTCTGAGTATCCACCATGCACTAGTCAGCTACAATAAGAATTTTAATATCAGTATCAAATGTATTCATCACAACAGCTGTGTCCTATGTATTACTATCCCCATTTTACAGATGAAAAAATTATTCAGCAGCTTCCCCAAGGCCACTAAGCTGGTAAACAAGAGAGCCAAGAGCTAGATCTGGGTTTGCCAACTCCAAAACCAGTGATAAGAACTATTTCTATTATATTACCTCTTTTAGGAAGAATTTTAGTTTTACAAGGGAGAAAATCTCCTTGAGGTTCTAAATCTTAGAAGGAATTTATTACATGGATGTTCACAGGAGAGCTACTGACTCTGCAACTGATAACGGGGACCTGAAGAAAAAATCTGTAATAATTCACTATGTTCATTGAGGTCTGATACACTGGGTTCTGGAGGCATCTGGGAAAGACACAAGAGTGAACCAGGCATGGGCCCTGCCCTCTGAGAGCTTCCCCAGGTGGAGAGAAGAGACAAGCACTCAGCTAACCAAAATACACACAGGCTACATGGGGCCAGGTGTCATCTCTGATGGGTAGATCAAGGCTCAGGGAGGTGGCCAGAGAGATGGACTGACCACATCTTCCTTGGCATTGGGCTCTCAGTGCTGCTGCTGCTGCTGCTGCTGCCTGTGGTTCAGAGTCCAGGGCCCTCACTGGGAAGCCCCACCCTGCCTATGTTCCCAACTGCATGAAATACTAGCCCTGCCAAGCTTAGTCCCTGCCCTGCTCCCTGCTGAAATCTGCCCACCACTGCCACCAGGTATCTATCCTAAGGCTCTAAGAAAGGTTATCTGCACTCTCTTGGATAACGATCAGCAGCTCTCACAGGCGAATCTGATAGACCATGCCAAAAAGATTCTAAAGAGGATCAATGAAACAGAAGCAGAAGTGGTGAATTCCCACAAGGCAAAAGAGAAATGTTCCCTACCCAAATAAAAAAATTAAAAAAAAAAAAAACAAAAACCATTCCCTACTTCTGTTTCCTGATGGCTGCCTGTCCCTGCATTCCATCAGGTCTATTCTGAGGCAAATATCTCCGAGAGGCCCACACATTAATCCATTATTGACCATGGCACCTTATACAGAGGTAGTTTATCAGCTCCTACCCTCAAAGTTTTTCTGAGAGGAGATGCACATCTCTGAGAAAAAGGGCAATGCTGGGGGCTTGGACCACTGCCCAGAGCAGCAGGTCTGGGCCCCGAAGCCCCAGGTGTATGCTGAGAGTGCCAGGTATCTAAGCAGAAGAGAGTCAGGGCCACAGAGGCCAAGCCCATAGGCCTATGCTGCAGTCCTGCCTTTGCTTGCCTCTGCTCTTCTCTACTATCTCAATGTACAAATTTGAAAAGAGAACATTTTACAAGAATATTATAAACTTACATTTTCAGAGTTTCCAGTTGTCAGAGCCTAGAAGGGACCTCAGAGACCAATATATGAACAAATGAGTGAGATACAGGTAGGTGAAGTGAGTTGCCCAAGTTACTTGGCTAGTGAGGATCAGGCCTAGCTTCTCCTTACTTCCCTAAGTAAGAGCCAGATGGCCCTTCCCTGGTGCAAGGAAATCAATTATTTACTTGATTGCTGCAAGCTTTAGACTGAACGTTCCTTGAGAAATAGGATCGTTCATTAAATTATTCAGCAAACATCTATTGCACTTGGCAGGAGCTGATGTGGAGGCAGGGAAGCAAACAAGTAACAACTTGACAGGAGGCTACCAGTGAAGAGTAGGTATAAAGCATTTAGCACGATGCTTAGCCCCCAGTAAGTGCTCAATACATGGTGGCTTCTACAAAAGTATTCTTCTAGTGAGATGGAAATACGGAGCTAAAGGTAGGCAAACTCATGTGACACACTGATGCAGGGTTAAGAGCAGAAGAATGATCCGATCAGAGTTTAGGAAGGTCACTCTGGCAAAACTTTGCAGGATGAGAGTTAAGAAAAAGAGATCAGTTACACTGCTCTCCAGAGGGTCCAAGTAAACAGTGATGAAAAGCTGAACTACAACCGTGAAGCTGCAGATGTAAAGAAGGGAAAGTTCCCAGAGGTAGTTCAAGACGTATAATTCCAAAGGGTGAGTGGGAGAGGTCGAGAGAGGGGAGAGGGGAGACACAAAGCCAACACCTGGTCTGGACTCTTGGGGATGCCCATGATGGCCTTTATCAGGATACAGTCTCCTAGCTGCTACTTTATGAAAGAAGAAAATGAGGTCAAGTTAGGGAAAGTTATTTCTGGGATGCCTAAGAGACATGCGAGGGGGAAACGTCCCAGAGGTATTCGTGTTTCCAGGTTTATAGCTCAGGAGAAAGGTCTGAGCTTGAAGAACTAGCATGGACACAATCAGCCTACAGGTCAAAGCCAAAGCAGTGAGGGCTAGATAAAATGTACACATTCAGAACACATGTACACAGGGAGGGGAACATCATACACCGGGGCCTGTCGGGGGGTCGGGACCTAGGGGAGGGATAGCATCAGGAGAAATACGTAATGTAGATGATGGGTTGATGGGTGCAGCAAACCACCATGGCACGTGTATACCTAGGTAACAAACCTGCACGTTCTGCACATGTACCCCAGAATTTAAAGTATAATAAAAAAAAGAAAAAGAAAAAGAAGAAGGAAGGAAGGAAGGAAGGAGAAGAGAAAAGAGAGAAGGTAGAACACAAAAGACACAAAAGCAGAGAATTATCTCAGAGAATTATTTCATCTGAGGCATATTAAACACTAAACAAAAAAAAAATGTACCCATTCAACTAGTATTTATTAACACCCTATTGTTTGCCAGACACTGAAATAAGTCATAAGGCTAAAGCAGAAAACAAGAAAGAGAAGGTCCCTGCCCTCAAAGAGGTTATATTCTGATGAGGAGAGTCAGAATACACACACACACACAAACACACACACACATACGCATACATAATGAAAGGAAAATATTAGCTAGTAAAAGCACTGAGCAAAGAATTGAATTAGGGTATGATGTGATAGACACGGGCTATGTAGTTCCTTTTTCTTTGCTCAAAGAGTTTGAAAAGCATAAGATGGGGCTGAAGACAAGGTGCAGGGACCATTTGTGGGCTGAGCACAAATGAGCAGCCCCAAGCACAGAGGGCTCAGCATCCGGCACCAAGCATGTCATATGGATTGAGACATCTAGACTCTTGGTCTACGCTCTCATTTGAAGGCCATGCCATCACCTCCAAACTAGAACCCCCAGGAACAACTCTAGTGGTTCATTATTTCATTTAGTAACTATATGTATTGAGCCCAGCAGTAGGGGATGCTGCAGGGAACAACACCATTGAGTTCCCCACCCTCAGAAAGCTCACATTCGAATAGGAGAAGACACACACAGCACATACACATAGATACCCCACCCCCAAGTAAACAGATCTCTAAATAAAATAACTGCAAGTTGTGCTAAGTGCTGTGAAAAATATAAACAAGTGGCTAAGAATAACAGCAGGTGATCTACTCTAGATAGGATCTAGAAAGCCCCTCTGAATGAAAGCCCCTCTGGGAGTTGGCATTTGAGATGAGTCCTAGAGTGTGCCATGCAGAGGATGGTGGTGACTGCATTTCAGGCAGAGGGAACTTGGTGTGCATAGGCTCAGAGACAGGAAAGAGCTTGATGTGTTTGAGAAACCGAAAGACAGTCAGTAAGGCCAAAAGACAGGGCTGCAGAAAAAGAGGTGATGACACTGGAAATACAAACAGACTCACATCACTCAAGGCCTTGCTGGCTGCAGTCAAATGTTTGGATCTTATTGTGAGGACAATGGCAAGCCACTGAAGGATTTTTCAAGCCAGGCGAAACCTGATCTGAGTTTCATTTTAAGGAATTTCTGGGACGGGGAGGTCCTTCTTTTAGAGCATGCAGCTCCTTGAGGCCACCCCTCCAATCACAGCGTAGTGGCCCTTTATCCCACCCACAATTAGGGTCAGGCCTCCATCTGCAAAGCAACTTTTCCTCCTTGGATCGCCTGCCTGGCCTAAGTGCTTCCCAAAAAGCCCTATAAACTCACTAAAGTGTTTCCAATAGACTTTGCGAGTGCTGGAAAAATGGATGCTTTTGTAAAAGGACACAAATAATAAAACGAAACCACTCCCTCATTTCTGATGGAAATTTCTTGCTTTCACCTCCACTGCCTTCCATTAGCCCATGGCCTGTGTAATTGTCTCTGCTCTTTACTGTCTCCATTTATTTTCCAAAACACTATGAACATGTGTATGTGACTATGAACAATAACAAAGAACTATAAATTCTTATTGATCCCAGAAGGTTGGGAATTCTAAACAATAAAAATATGTCCTCTGACTGCTTCTCTCCAAAGAACATTTTGGAGACACAAAAGAGCTTTGTTAAAACAACAAATGAGCTCTTGGGACACTCTGGGCCTAATGGTGGGCTCCAGGCCACCAGGTAGTGATGCAATAGGCGACTGCAGACACAAAGTTGGAAAGACCTCCCTGCTACCCTCTCCTGGGCTCACTTCCTCATTTCTCAGCCCACATCTTGACTGCATCAAGCGGAGTTTACTATATAGCTTTCAGCCACTATCGTTGTCAGGAGCCAGAATTCTCAGCCTAAAGAGAAAGTCCCCTTTGTCCTCCATCCATGATTTAATTTATTCTCCTAAATGCTCCATTCACTTTGTTTTCAGCCTAAGAAGTCTCACGATTGTACTAGACCCTGAATTTGAATTTCCCTGTGTTTCTGCTGTTTGGAAATTTGCCTCGGTCAGCCACTGGATAGTCCCAGAATTCAGCTTCACCTTAGAGAAAATCTTAATCATGATTTGTTATAATATTTCCAACTACTGTCATATATTTTTCCCTCGATTCCTATATTTTCATGTCTTTCAGAATACACATATGTGTGTAAGCACATGTATACACAGATGCATACATATCACCTTTGCTCTGATAATCGGTGAAGTTTTTACTATTTTCCAACTTCATCACATTCCTGGAGATGTCCCTCCTTTGTCCCCCAGATTTTGGTAGGGAGGACGTGCTCTTAGCGGTGCTTTTTTCTGTCTTTCTCACTCAGATGCATCATTCCTGGCATTCTGCTGATCCTTCAACCTCCTGATTCATAAGACAATGTGACCAGCTGACTTTCTATGCTCTTGTCCCTCTGTTCTCATGTACAAACTCCTTTTATATGTAAATTCGTAACATTTACTAGAGTATTCGTGGCCAAAACTTTACCACAAAATAATACAAACTCAAAGAAATGCCAATTCCTAATAAAAAATAGTTAACTGATTAGGAAAGAAATAGTTCTCTCTGTTCTTTGGACAACCTTGAGGGGAAAACAGGTGATTGTTAGCAGAATATGGCTTACCTGAATGTATTATAATCCACCATATTTGTGTGCTTAGAGTCAGCAGCTTTAAATACCTGCTTGAGCTCTCTGGATTTTCCTTCTTCTTGCTTCAGCTTTTGTAGGGCAAGTTTGAGGTTACTGAAAGGATACTGTAAGGGGGAAATGAAAGGAAAAACATATTTAAATATTCCTAACAGTTCAGGAGCCCAATCTTGCTGATGGCCAGCAAAGGGACTTCACACTGTGAATATGAAGTTAGCAGATTTGTCTTTGCAAAGAAACCAACACCGAGAAGGCATGACTAGCTTTGTATCTCCTCAATTAAAGCTTCTGGACAACAGCTGACATCAGCATAGGCCCCAGCTCTGAGGGAAATGAGCTTAAGGAACACCAGGCCACAGAGATCAGAAAACAACCCCTGCTTCCATCTCAGCCTCCTCCCTCTAACCCTTGGATAGTGGCCCAATATGTTGGGAGATCCTAATGGAGAAAATGGGGATTCAAAACTGGATAAGTAGCCCTCCATTTTCTCTAGATCTTTAGAATGGGGTCCCCCTGGAACTGCTGTCCATTAGGCAACGCACTGATGAGAGCAAGGCTGGGTATCAAAGATCCACGCAAGCACCCTAACCCTCGCACAGTCATTCTCTGGGCCGTCCACTGTTCCTGTCTCTTATCCTGTGACTAGCTTTTTGACTTGGTAAGAATACTTCTTGCATCCAGTGAAACATAAGGTCGTAAATAATTATAGGTAAGAGACCAAAAATGAGATTAAATTTTAAAATAAAAATATTGATGGCAATTTAGTCTAAAGATCCCTCTCTCCCACCAGAAAATGATCCAGGTGGTTTGGCACCTATCGCAGACCCCTACTCCTCCCACTTTTTTTGCATTTCCTTTCATCTATTTCCATGACAGGATCTATTAGCTCTTTTGAAAAGATTCCTCAGGCTGATATTAAATAGTATAGCAATCCTTCTCTGCTTAGAATGTCTTTGTTAAGGGCAGTTTTAAAATAATGCAGTTTTGACTTGGGATGCTGATTCCAGATAATGTCCTACCCTGCTTTTATTGTCCTCAAAGGAAAAAAAAACCTTTATATCTTATATTTATGCTATATATATTTTATATTAAGGTATAGGCTCACCCTCTGATTAGAAATAGAACTCTAATTTACAATAGCAACACTGATTGAGCTTACCATGGGCCTCATGGTTAGCTCAGCGCTTCATACACATTATCACATCTAATCTTCATAGCAATTCTATCAAACAGGCACTGTTGTTCCTCCCATTCCAAAGATGAAGAAACTGAAGTTCAGGAAAAATACAATATCTAAGGTCCCTCAGCTATTAATGTGGAGTCAGGTTCCCAAGCCAGGCCTGCTGGTCTCCAGAAATCTAAACTCCCAATTACTGAGTTTCTCATCTAGATTCAGTGTTTTCGAATAGCTACTGGTTCAAGGTTTTATGATAACCTGAATCCCTAAGACTACAAATGGAGAGATGGCATGGCAGCCATGGAGGGCGCTTCTCAGGCCTCCTATCAAGAGAGACCCTGTGGAGAAGAGCATTGTTGGCTGACAGACTCCAGCTGCCATACCTTCCGGATTCACACAGAGTTCACAGGCAATGTCGCTGCTGGGGCCACACTCTCCCCAAGCTGTTCCCACCCAATGACACAGCACAGCAGGGGGACTAGAACCAGGTGATTCCTGCCTGACAGGGGACCTCTCTGATGGGCAGTCTGTGCTCTGGGGCTCCCCATCAGCCTGGTTGAGACTTTCTCAGAGCTGTGTTGTCAGCTGAGGCTCTCCCTACCCACCCCTCCTCCTTCCTTTCGCTCTCCTTCCATAGGGGTTCAACCTGCCTCCCGGTCTGAAGGTCCCCCCTGCCCACTCCTGCCCCCTCCCCCTTTATCCTTCTCAGAAATTTCCACCACAACATCTCTCACACTTCTCATTCTGTCTTGGCGTCTGCTTCTCAGAGGATCCAAACTGATATGAATGATGTGATGTACACAGAGACATCAATCTTAGCAACTTAACCCCAGCCATTTTATATATAAATGAGACAAAATTGGCACTGTATGTATATAAATGGCACATAAATATTATCACTTATAGGTAAACTTTTAAAATAAAATTTTCCAGATAGATTTTTCCATATTAGGCAATGACTCCCAAATAAACATGTTTGTACACCGAACTAGTCCACATTTAAAATCAAGATTTTATCAATATGTTATTTTTACCGAACAGCATTGCCATAATGGCACTTGCAGTAACAGTACCCATCTGCCATCTTATTTCAAAAAAAAAAACTCTTTGAGCTCACTGTTGCCAGTTTATCCTTAAATCCTTATTTAGGCCTCAGGTGGCTACTGTTATGGGAAGTTGTAAACCCAGCAACTATTCAGTTCCCTTGAGGTTTCTGTTTGTTCAGGTCTTGGCCTTCTCTGTTGGCCTGTGCCAATTAACTGGGACGGCACAGTGTGTGGCACCAGATTTTTCTTCCTTTCCTATAGTTGTTGAATTTCTTTCTGAAAACATTGTTAGCGTCAGCAGAAAACCCAGGAAACTTGATTCAACCCTGGCCCTGCCTCCTGCCTGTGCCTGGAATCCGTGATGCTGGGCAGAAGAGAACCCAGCATGTAAACAGAGTAGACAAGAACCTGGCCTCTGTGATGGGACATGTGGCCAAGTCACACGAATCCATTATTCATGCCCACATGTGTGAATGCACAATGTACAACTGGTGGCAAGATGAAGAAGAAAAGGCCCTAGAGAAAGAAAAACACAGACTGCGGAGGGCTGAGAGGCAAGTCAAGAATTATACAAAGTAAATTCACCTTATCTGTATTCTGCTCCATGTAGTTTAAGGTATACTCATCAGCATTGAGCAAACGAAATAGGTAACCATTCACATTCACCGTGACTCCAATGTACAGCTCCTCGGCCTTGATATATTCAGATAGTTCACTTTTAAAGACTTCTTGTCCAGGCTTCTTAACGCGACTTCTTTTCAAGAACATCCCACCAGCAATTCCTATAAAAAATAGAAAAGTTCATGAGCAGCCTTTATTCTTAAAAGAACCACGTGACTTGCCTTCAGAGTTACTTTATCTTCAAGCACAGACCACCATATAAGTTACCTGTGAACTCATATTGCCTGTTATTTTTGGACTTAAGGGAAGAATGAGGCAGTGAGTGAAGAAATAAGACTTCCTAGGTGAGGATGTTCAAGACAAAAAGCAAAGCCAGGCATGGTGGCATGTGCCTGCAGTCCCAGCAACGCAAGAGGCTGAGGCACGAGGATCACTTGAGGCCAGCAGTACAAGACCAGCCTGAGCAGCATAGCAAGATTCCATCTCAAAAAAACAAAAAAAAGAAAAAACAGAGAAAAAATGGTGTGTAATTCTAGCCTTTTCTTCTCTCTGTCTACTCCCTTCCCAGTCCAATAAACACTTGGCAAGGACCTCCTATATATGCCCAGCAGCATACTGGGAGTGTGGAACATCAGGAAGGCACTCATCTTTAGAGCACGTTTGAACAGTACCAGTTAGAAAATTCCTCACTTGTGCTTATTTCCACCTATTTGTCCCAGATGATGTCTTATACTTAATCTGACGTGCAGATTAGGTAGCAAATGCCCTACTTCTGTAAAGGAGATTACTTAAGTGTTTAAAGATAACTATGGGAGTCCCCTTAAGTCTTTTTTTCCTACAGGTAAAATTCCTTTGCTTCTTTTAGTAATGCCTCATATTTCTTACTTTCCAGAACTGTCATCATTTCATCTGTTCTCTTCTAGACATTATTTGTTTTGACCTCTTGGAAAGTAGCCAGTAGAGTTGAACAGGGAACTCCAGGATCTTCTGATACTGAACTGAAATCTACAGACCTATAAATATAGCCTGAGACCAGATAAGCTTTTTGGTCACTTCATCCCACTCCTCCTACCACATTCAAAAATGATAGGTGGTAAAAAGACACAGGCTTCCGAGCTCTGTCATTTGTTCGCTCGCTGGGTGATCTTTAGGAGTTATTTAATCTCTCTGAATTCTTATTGGTAAAATGGGAATCAGATGTGTGGAGGCCCTGAAAATGTACTTCTCAGGTCGCCTATAGTGGGGAACATAACTGATGGAAGGCCCCAGCTGCTGTGTTCTTAAATCAATCTTCAGGTGTGTGTTGAGGTCACTCTTCCCACAGGCTGCTGCCAACAGATGAGTGAGCAAGGCAGGGACAGTAAGACAGGCTCACTCCTACAAAACAAGGACTCCTCCAACTAGCAACTTTGCCTCAAGGACTCCCTGTCAACCTTGTCGAAATTTTCTTAGAATTTCACTGCAGTCTAAGACTCCCTCTTTCTTCCTTCCCTCTGTGCTTCACAAGCATCAGAACTGCACTACAGTCTGACAGCTCTCCCAGCCTCTTCTGGCTCCTTCCACATTTTCCCTCACCAGCATTCCCCCTATTAAATCTCTTGCATATTTAATCCTGTCTTGGCATTTGCTTCTTAGAGGAGCTGGACTAACACAAAACCTAACCTCATAAAGTCCTTGTAAGGATAATAGTAAGTTCTCAATCATGGCCACTAGGATTACTAGTAAGCTTGTTGTTGACTACCATCACTCCTTTCTATTTCATACATGCTGCAACTTGTTTGGCCACATCTTCCCCATTCTAAGTGTATAGAGTTGATTTTTGACCTGTAAGAGCATGACTTATATTCATCCCTAGGCAATTTCATATTTTAAGATTTGATCCATTATTCAAATCACTCTGGAGCCTTAGTTATACAAGTTATTCCTTACTCATTGGTGTGCTAAGTAGCTCATACCAGCTCATAGGAGCTGACAGTTGAATTTTCAGAGATTTTGCAAGCCAGTTTTTAAACTCTTGGCTGCTTGAAATTGGCCATGGTTGGGGTATTCACACCATGGAAACTGGCAAACAGTACAAATCAGGGCTTTTAAAATATTTTCAAAGAGCCAGTTAACCAGCACATCACTGATTATTCTTCCCAAATGCGTGTCTTCAGCACTGATAAAAGTTCTAAACATGTTGAGACAAAGAACAGGATCCTACAGTGCCATGATTGGGCAAGTCAATGCCTCTCCTCAGCAATGACAGTGGTACCAGCATATTACAGAGAGGCATTCTGTGGGCCTGAGTGCTGGAACCTTGGCAACAACCTCAACAGACAGAAGGACCAGATAAAGATGGACCCTGACGATTGAATTTGTGTATCTGGGATTCTTGTCTTACAGCCAAACAAAAATGTTGTAAGTAGGACTACCAAGAATACAGACTTCCTCTTGGCTTGCTGGATACAAGTAAAACTAGTGGTACTCAGACCATGATTTTGAAGCCCTTGGGTTCCACAGAGGTACCTCAGAGGCCACAGCGGAAGTGGGGATAGTGGCAAGAAGGAGGTAACCCCAGGTCTCCCAGCCCTAAGCCAACCAAAACTGTTCCACTTCTATCATTTTAAATGTTTAGGTTCCCATTTAAGAGATCTGTAAAAAGAACCCTATTGTTCAGGGTTTTTTTTTATAAAGCCTCTATTGTAGATAATCTAAGCTACAAAATCAGATCATGTTCCCTAATTTTCAACATGAAGAGACACTTAAAATGTTCTCAAGAAAATACTGTGAAGAGTATATCTCTTACCTGAATTCCTCTCTATAGGTTCAAACACTGAAATGGTGTCATCACCGAGATAATATGAAATAACAAACATCCTGTCCAAGTCAACACATTTGTCTGTGACTAGTTTTGCAAAAAAACGGAGTATATTGCTTTTGGAGCCATAGCTAAATGGAAGAGAAATGAGAGTTAGAGCATTATACAGGTAATCTTCCACATATTATGTTTTTAAAAGTCTGCAAAAGATATAATATGGCTTTAATATAGTAGGCATAAACTGTCCAAAGTGAAAGAGTTCAACCATCGTCTAATTAAGGTTCTAAATCTAAATGCAGAGGAATTTTCTCAGTATATTAAGATATCTCTGATTCTTTACATGTCCTGGGTAACACATTGGGAAAATGAACCCAAAACAAACGTCATAAACACACTGTTCAAACCAGCTGCACTAACAGGCTGTTCTCTAATGACAAGGCTAGTCACCAATCACAATAATCATGCTGGAAAGAAGAGCAAGCACCTAGCCCTACTGCCTGGGCAATCCTGGGCTCTGCCAGTATCTGGGGCTACCTCCCCCATTCACCACTCACTGTCTCATGCCCTTTACTTTTCTGTCTTCCAGCCCACATCCTCCCCTCTCAGACTCACTCCTCCAGCTCCCCAGCAACCCCCCAACTTCCTTCAAGGGAAAAATTAACTTTTCCTTTTCAAATGCTATAACAAATATGATAGACCCACCTTTTTTTTTTTTTAAATAGTGCTTATCACTCGTATTGTAAGCCATTACAAGTCTGTTTTCCAAGGACAAAGATTGTCTTATTAACCATTATCTAATATAATACTTTTTACATTGTAAGTATTCAATAAATGTTTATGGAAAATTGTTATGAGATCTGTATTGATTGGAATTTGCACTCAGAATTCTATGCATAAATAGAATAGTCTAGTAGACTAAAGATAGGATCAAATTATAGAATTAAAAGTTACCAAAGCTGATTGCCTGGTCACTGAAGAAATTGATTTATGGTCTGTAGCAGAAGCATGTCTGTGGATATCCGCTAGTGAAAGGTGGACTTTGTAAGAAACAGTAAACCCTTGGAGAGGTCTTTGATAACTAAAATCATTACCCCAGGGAGGTACACAGGAGAATAAACCATGTCCTCTGTCACAACTCTAAGCAGAGAAGTCTTCCCTTGCAGGGTCTCCTATACTGAAAATCATTCTTTCCTTGTGTTCACAGTGATTTAAAAAATAAACCAAGTATTTCTGATTTGCAGAGGCAAAAAGTGCTTTTCTCTGCTCCTTTCTCAGGCTGTACAAGAATCCGGGCTGAAAAAGGATAGCACCAAGATTCCTAGGCTTGAGGCCCCATGTGAGACGGTGTGCAGCAGTTTGGAAGGCTCACCCCAGAACAGCCTGAGCAAAGCAGCCAGGTCTGCATGGCTGTTTTCTCTGTACCCAGTTTCCAGGCTTCAGACAGACCTCATATAGTGTGGGGGGAAGCTATGCCTTGTCAACCATCTTCTCTGGTATATAATTGGATTTATATGTAACAAATAGATTTGGTAGCCCCTCTCACACAAGAAAGCCATAACATTTCAGATACTAGAAATATCACTGAAACAACTGAGGAAGGTCTAACTTCAGGAAAAGGAATATTACTGTAAATTTAACTTCTTATAATTTATAAGTGTACATGTTAAGTGTGGGTTTTTCACACGTTCAATATGCCTTTTTTTTTTCACCTAAATCTAGTGTTCTGGAGATCTCATCAATTGAGAATATAATCTACTCAATAAAACTTTTAGAATAGCAGTTCACAAAGTTTATTATATATAAAAGTCACCTGGGGAGCTTGTTAAATATATAGAATCCAGAGTCCAATCCCCAGAGATATGGGGGGATTCAGTAGTTAGCTCACATCTCCAGAAACCTGCATTATTAATAAGCACCCCAGAAGATTCTGATAAGGTGGTCCCCTGGGCATACTTTGAGAAGCACTGCAAATGTTTTCAGATATTTCCCTAATAACTACTTTTCAAACTTCCCAGAATATTCTTTTTTATCACAATGCTCCAGCTGACCACCTACTTATACCTCCTGCATCAATTGTAAGGCCACACCCAATTTAGCTCTATATAGACTTTTACTCTTGGATGGTTGTTTTAAAAATGTGTTTATTCCCGTTGTCCCCAAACAAATTATAAGTTCCTAGGTCAAGAAGCCATGTCTTAACTTTTTCTACATACAGCCCAGAGTTATCTAAAATCATTACCTCAAATTCTTCTCCCATTTTCTCTTGAATCCATTTCCATTAGGTTTGCTCTACCTAAACTGCTCTTGTAGAGGTCAACAATGATCTCCACGGTGCCAATTCCAATGCTTAATTTTTTGTGCCTATCTAACTTAACCAATCAGCAGCAATTGGCACAAATGATCACTCCTTCAGTGTTACTCTTGCTTCACTGGCTTCCGGGATCCAGCATTCTCTTGGTTGTGCTCCTACCTCCTTGTTTGCTCCTTTTTAGTCTCCTTTGTTGGTTCCTCCTTTTTTCCCCAAGCTCCTAATTGGGGATGTTCCAGAGTTTATTCCTTGGTCATGCTCTGCTCTAGGTATATTCACTCCCTTGGTGATTTCATCCAATCTCAAGGCTTTAATACAATTTGGTATCATGGCTTTAAATACCATCTACATGCTGATGGCATCCACATTCACCTATCTTCTGAACCCTATACTCACACATGTATCCAACTGCCTACTTGGTATTGCCACTTGATATCTAATAGACATCCCAAACTTAACTGGTTCTAAAACTGAACTTCTACTCTTGTCCCTAAACCTACCCTATCTCCAGTCTTTCTCATCTCAGTAGATGGCAACTCCACCCTTCCAGTTGCTCAAGCCCAAATCTTGAGAGTCATCTTAACTCCTCACTTCTTTCATACTTCATATCCAGTTTGTCAGGGAATCCCACTGGCCCTACCCTCAAAATAATTCCAGGATCCACTAATTAATTTCATCACTTCCACTGCGCTCACCCAGATCTGAGCCACCAAAACTTTTCTCTTGGACTACTGCAGTAGCTTCTTACCCAGTCTTAATTTCCACCACTGCCATCTATAGTCTGCCCTCAACACTACACTGGAATGATTCTTTTAAGAAGAAAATCAGCTCAAGTCACTTCTCTGCTCAAATTTTCTAATGGCCCCCTTATCACTCAAAGTCAAAAGCATCCTTAAACAGTCTGTAGAGCCCTGTGTACCCAGTCCCCCATACACTCTCATCTCCTCTCTGTGTGCTCTGCTCTTTACTCATCTACTCCATCCATGTCGGCCTCCCGGATGCTCCTTGCACATCCCAAGCACACTTCTTGCTCAGGGCCTTTACACCGACTGTTCCTTTTGCCTGGAGCACATTTCCTCTCCTCAGTAAAGTCCATCAAGACCACACTATTTAAAATTGCAACCAGGAATGTTCCTCAGCCCCATACTCCCAATCTGCCTTTATTCTTTCCACAGCAACTTAATACCTTCTTTATTTTTTTCACAGTACTTAACATCTTGTAAATACTTCATAATTTACTTATGTATTAATTGATGGTCCACCTCCCAGAACTAGAATATAAGTTCCACGATGGCAGGCCTTGGTGTCTATTTTGTTCACTGATGTATCACAAACACCCAGAACACTGCTTGGCACACAGCAGGGATTCAAGAACTAGTTATTCACTAAGATAATGAATGGCTCATCCAGGGCTATACACCTACTAAAAACCTCAAATATATCTAGAGCTATAGAGTCTTATGGTTGGAACACACATGAAGGCTTATTTTTATTAATGGGGAAACATTTTTAAAAGAAGAAAAAAAATGACTGGTGGGGACAGCAGATGGACAATATCTGTAACAAGACAGAGATGAAGATTAAACCATGAATTTTTGGATGCTATATGGTTATGACTGGCACAAGTCTGGTATAATAACCCTCCTGGTGAGAAGTCATCTGTCTCTTCTATCCATGATTAAGAACTGGATGAGTGAACATTTATTCTATTTGCTCACTTCTTCATCCATTCCTTCTCTTCTTAGACAAACTATTGATCCCCAAATATATAGCCAGCACTAACTCTTATGGAAGCAATAAAGCTGGCCCCTGCCCTCAAGGAGCTCTTGGTCTAAAAGGAGCCCACAAATTACATAAACAAGTCATTAAGATGCACTGTTATATGTATAGGTTCTGTCGAAAGACAGGTAAATTCCAGAAGTCAGATTTCCCTGGGTTCAGTTCCTAGTTCAGCTAAAAATTAGCTGTGTCACCTTGAGGAAGTTGTATGGCCTCTCTGAGCCTCAGTTTTCTCATGTAAAAAATGGGTACAATAACATTATCTACTTTCCAAGGATTTGATGATTAAATTAGATTAAGTATTGTAACATAGCACATAGTAACCACTAATGGCTTATTATGAGTAATCAGTAATAGTAGTAATATTATTATTAGAAATATAATCAACAGAGTACTGTGGGCACACAAAGAACAGAGTAACTAATTCAGCCTGGTGCAGCAAGAAAGATATTATCCTGGTTCTCCCTCCTCAGACTAGACAATCTGCCCAGCAGGCTACCGCAGTGATATCTACCCAGATAATAAAGAAGATCTTTATATCCATCAAAAGCTCATATGCTTTAATCTGAAACTATTCCCTCCAATGACTCATAGATCAGCATTAACCTCATAATAATAGCACCAAGTACATTTTTAATAGCAATATATATATAATCAATGTGTCATGTACAATTCCATGTCTCAATTCACAGTTTATTTGTATTTTAAAAAACTATTCTTTGTATGCTTTGTGAAATCATCTTCCTTAGGTTCTTACAGTTTTAAAACCTTGGGTTATTCAAACTCATCTATAAGTCTCCAGCCGAATGTGCTAGTTACTATGGAAACATGGTCCCTGTGTGAGAAGAGCTTGAGGAAAGTGTATTCCTGGCACAGATTGAGCAGTGGACAGAAAGAACAAAATGAGAGACATTTGTGCCTATACTACCATTCTCCAGCCAGGACAACATGAAAAGAACATGGAATACCATCTACAGTCAGTGTTCTGTGGGCAAGTTTACCCAGTGTAGACAGAAAGAGGGACTAAGTCAACTACTCACAAAGAACGGTTTTCCCCTGGGTTCCAGAAACAACACCCTGGATAATATTTCATCTTGTTTACTTATAAGAAAAATTCCCTCTCCTTTTACAATAGGGACATTCTTCCTGCCCGCCTCCTTCGGGTGGCTGTCCTTAAAAACAGCAGTTAGCCATCAAAAGTCCTACCCTGGAACCTCACCTAAACACTGTTCTCGATAAGGGAGGACAGAGTATAAGCTGGCAACCCTCTTATGTGATAAAAATCAGTGGTTCTCAAACACTGGTGTGTCTCAGAATCCACTGGAAGACTTGAGAAAATTCAGAATGTTGGGCCCCTTCCCCAGAGCTTCTATCTCAGTCAGTCTGGGGGTGGGGGAGACACAATAATTAGCATTTCTAAAAAGTACAGGGACCACTCCTGAGAAGCATCAAATCTAAAACTTAAAAATAGAACCCTAAAATCCTTAAAAGTAAAAGATTATTTCTAGAAAGACAAAGGACATCATGTCATAGCAAAGGCAGACTTTAAGACATTCTATATAATTCTTAATCAATTTTTACCACTTTTATAGATACAACATAACTACTGTTCTCTCTCCTTCAAATGTGCTACAACAGCACCTGACCCCAATCAATTTTATGAAATTCAGGATGTCTTTTTCTTCTCCTTCTCCTAGACTTACCACATTCCCTTTATCACTGCTTCTCCCCAGAATCTCCTTATCCATTATTTCCCTCACACAGGACTGTAACCCTTAGCCCACATCCTATTCAAGCACCTACAATGTTTCCCCACCACTTTTCCCCTGACTTCTTTCTCCAGGGCCTGCTCTCCCTGCAGAAGCAAAAAGTAGCCGAGGGCAGTGTCTACATTCTATATGCATGATTTACAGGCAGGTTTTTCTCCATGTCTATTAGGAATACTTCTGAAAGTCCATCATTTAAAATTATATTCAGCCAAGTGAGAAACCTATGGTTACTGAACTCAACCAACCTCTCAAGTGAAAACAACATTAATCACCAAATAACACTTTTAAAAACACGTATAAATCCTTGAAATCTCTATAGCAGGGGTTGGCAAACCACAGTCAGTGAGCCAAATCTACCAGGCCACCTGTTTTTATATGACTTTTGAGATAAGAATGGTTTTTACATTTTGAAACGGTTGGCAAGATCAAAATAAGAGTAATATTTTGTGATATGTAAAAATTACATGAAACTTGAATGTCAGTGTCCATAAAAAAAGTCTTATTGGAACACAGTCACACAATCATTTACATTCTGTCTGTGGTGCTTTCACGCTACAAAGGCAGATCTGAGTGGTTGTGACAGACACCGTATGGCCCACAAGGCCAAAAATATTTCCTATCTGACCCTTTAAGAAAGAGCTTGTTAACTCCTACTCTACATCTTTCCTATTTTCGGGAGACAGATATATAGATAGATATGGAAAGGCAACATAGACTAGAGATAATATTACTTTAGGGGCCTCCAGATGATACTTATTAAAATAAGCACTCAGGTAAGAACCTGTTAATACGTGCATGTTAATCAACCTCATTAAAAGCCTATAATAATGTCTCCCTGGACTTGCAATTAGATGAGCTGCGTGACATCTGTTTCGTCATGAGAACTATGTTATAAACCCCAAACACATTTGGGAAAGATCAGACTAAAATCATGGTTCCCTCAAGCACCTGTCTTTTTCCATAAACTTCTTGAAGTTCCTCCGATGAGGTGTGGGCTTGAGGTCTATGCAGTTACGGAGAGAATCCTCTTCAGAACCAAAACCGTTGTAAGGTGGAAATTTCCTTTCTATTTTTGGAGGAGGAGAAGGAGGCTTGCATGAAACTGAGGTAAAGTTCTCTAGAACAAAACAAAGGCAAACAAAACATCAATATTTTTTTTGCCCTGATTATGGCTGTTTTGAAAGGTTTGTTATGTTTTCAAGATGAACATGGAGATCTTTGTAGACTATTTTAAACTCTTTCAAACAAAACAGCAAAATCCTGTGAGAGTACTTTTCAATCATGTTTACAAAAACCATGGAACTCACTTAATAATCACCATTGGTTCAAAAGTTAAAAAAAAAAAAAAGAATCTATGTCAAATAAGTAAACGTTTATATTTTGTCATCACATTCCCATTTCTGAATATTTTTTGTTCTCCTCTGATTTTTCCAATAATATGAAAATTCAAACTTGAAACTTTAGGCCACTCGTTCCACATTTTAACCTGTAATTTAGCCCTCTCCTATCTCAGTCAACACTCACTAATAAAATTCTTTTCCAAACAGGACTTACTCCTGACTATTCACCTTTATCCTTCCCCATCCACCATCTCCTCCTACTGCACCCTGTATTTGAGTACCCTCCATTGCCTCCAAAGTAACTCCAGGTCATAGTACTTCCCTATGTAGTTCAAAAACAAACACCAAAACAGAACTTTCCTCTCACCAGCCACGGCCCCAGGTAGCTTTTGTTAAGCCCAAGAAAAGACTACAATTGCACTCAAATGCAATGAAGCGAACAAACAAAACAGAAAAAGAAAAAACTTTTAAAATAGCCAACTGCCTACTCTCTCCAAGGGAGTGCTACGCGGTAAATACTGTTGATTTTATTTATATACTTATCATCTGTGAGGAAAGAGAGGTGGAGAGAGAGCTGGTAACATATTTGTAATAGCCTAGGAGCTTTCAGGTACTCATTTGCGAGGCTGTACAATCTCAGAAGCAACCGTGCTCTCCAGAGCAAGGAACATATTGACCTGGTCTATCCAAGTCACTGTGTTTGTCCCCAACATAAATGGCAAAAAAAGATGCCACATCTTTCCTAAAACAAAACAAAACAAACTCCCACAGAATCTATTTTCTACTTCTTCCCCAAGCTTCAGTATGACATAGGTGTTTTCAATCCTGTATGAAAGGAGTTCTACATAAGCAAATATTTCCTTTTCCACTGTCAAAGTTCCCATAGAGGAAGAGTACAAATTTTAGTGCACACCTCCGGAAGAGAAAATGGAGATCAATTTTTCATCCAAGATAACCTAACTCTTAATATTAAGGTGGTTGTTTGGTTTTTGTTTTGTTTTGTTTTGTTTTGTTTTTTAACTGATGATCAAAAGGCTAAGGGCTTGAGGCCACTTCTAACTCTTGTTGAAAACATTTTCAGCTTTCATATGTCCTTAGACTTCCTAGCAGCCTTTGTGTGAAATTTCCCCAAAAACAATCCCCAAAAGAGTATTGTTACATCCTAACAGAGACTGCTTACAGCAGACATGTTTATAAAGGTGACTCAGTGAAAGGGGGGAGCCAGTGTGCCAGTACAGAAGTGACTTGTGAGCTTCAACTATTGCTATTTTTATGGTGATTTTAAAGAAAAGTCTTGGAAATAAAGAGGAGAGTTCAAATCTTGGAATTGGGCAGAATTGCAGTAGACTCTATCATTGCTAACCATTACATCTAACACACCACTGTTTGGTCTTTCATTTCAGGAAGAACATCATAGCCATGGCAGGAGAGCTGTATGTGATTATTTAAAAATCTGGGCCTGAGGAGTTTCTTTCAACAGGAGACATATACATACAACTCTACATACCAATCTAAGCAGTCTAACCAAAAGAGGACACATATTGAATCTCAAAGTAATTAGGACTGCATTCTACACTTCCCCCTAGAATTACAGGGCTTATACCACACTGTTGTTTTCTCAACCATATAATTTTTGCAACAGATTTAAGTAACAAAAGAACCAATTTAGAGCTTTCCTCTGCACCCACAGTGCCATCTAGTGTATAAAAGCTGAGAACTTTTCCACTCCATCATGCCTGACTTTTATACCACCACATACATCTTTTTGGAAACTCTGGCTCAAGATCCAACTTTAAATCCCATTTATCTGGGTAATTTGCATACGTTCACAAAGCTCTGGACTCACAGCTGAATGACAAGTTTCCTCACTTTGGTTTTCCATCATCCCAGCATCCTGCGTGTTTTAGGTGTTCAAAAATATTCATTGAATAAATGAAAAAGTATACATTTTTGTACAAAGCATCTTCCCCAATGTCTCAAGTTGGCATTCTGCTAGATCCTGAGACAGATATGTCTTTTAATTATCTGATTCCTCTAATTCCAAGTGACTTGTCAAAACATATATATATTGAATGCCCATCCATGGTTGACTAGATTCCAACAAATTGGCAGACAGATGATACATATTACAAAGGAGTCTTAATGCTTCTTCGTGGTGATTTTCTATTCACCATCTCAGTGGGAAAGACTACTGGGAAAAGCCTTCAGTTACCTCAACGTTCACTGCTTATGTTCTAGTAGCCTAGAGATGAATACAGGTTTTGGGAGGCTGGAAGCTTAAATAATTTGGGCAAAGCTCTTCTAGGCAAAGAATGTCAAATTACTAAGACAAAGTTAGGCCAGGGCCTTGGATTGGGACCCCTGGAAAGGAAGACCTCTAAAGATTACGCTTCATTAGCTTCAAGGTAAATCCACTTGTGCTTGTATTCAATACCCATGTCAAATGATTTCAATGAAACCTAAATTCGTGAATCACATTATGTTAGAGCTATAAAATCTTTAAGAATCCTCCCATCTCAACCATCTTCATTTCATAGGGGAAGCAAAAGAAACAAAATTGTTAGGTCCATCAGGGCCATGTGATGAGACCAGAAGCCAATTCTATCCTATTGGTGCAATTTTAAGTGTCCAATTCACTCAAATAATCATTAAACACTCATCTTAAATGTCCTGCTGTTCCTAAAAATTCAGAGATGGCCAGAAATGACTCCACAAAATTAAAGGTGCTTTAAGATTTTTGTTGAATCTAAGCATAGCCCAATAAGTGTTCAACAGCAACAAGAATGAACAATCTTGTTACTAGTTTCATTGTCCCAGCCACTAAGAAAAAATAAGAAAGTCCACTGATAGACAAATAATAACCTAAAGCAGAAATTCCTACGTAAGAACAGTTTACATTTGATCCCTGTCCTTTTAGTGAAAGAAACACCTGCTGGAACCCCTAGAGCCTTTTTCAACCTTCATGCTATAGGAAAGATCAACAGACCTCCATCTGCCGGACCGTGTTCATTCACATAAAATAATGAGGGAGTGACATGCTACAGCCTGGCAGGCAAGCCAGGGCCAGCAGGATGGCCAAACTGTCTGATGGAGGGGGTCCCACTGCACTATTAAAGAGAAGAAATCTATGGAATCACCTTCTCCTTAGAATCCTTAAATGTATGAAGGAATCATCTTAAGAGATTGAGTTTTACACAGGAGCTCAAATGTCTCTTGGAATTTTAGCAAGCCCTCCACTTCTACATAAATAGAAAGGTTATCCATGTACCTTTCTTGGGACTGTGGCCAACTCCTTCTCTTTGTCTGCCATTTTTTCTCCCCCAAAATATGTTGGGGTGTCATTACACAGGAGAAGGTACTAAAGCACCAAGGCGGCGTACTGCGTTAGAAATCTCCCGTGACTTCCTGCTAGAGACGCCCCTAGCTGTGTTGCTGCTGCTTGTCAGATCCTTCCTGCGTGCTGCACAGTGGAGATACCCAGGTTTTCTACTGAACACAATTATTGACAAAGGAGGAAATGTGACCACAATTATTGACAGAACCACAATGATTGATGGGACTTTGTCCTGGTTTGGGTTTTAAGGATACCAAAACATAACGCATGTAATTTGGTCAATTTAAAAAATTGCTGAGACCAGATGAACTATAAATAAAATTAAAATGGCAGAAATAACTGTATCTAAGCAACATTAAGGATATTAATTTAACCTTACCAAAAAATCAGGAAAAGCAAATGCAAAGATTATCAGAGAACACTGATTCATTCTCCCCTCCACCTCATCATAGATATAATTTCTAGTCTTTACTTACATTAAGTACACTGTTGTAACACAAGAAATGTTGTGTAATAATAGTGTCTGTTAAATGGGATATTTTAACATATGTTATGAGAAATATAAAAAGTCAGTGTGACTATGAAATGCATCATAATTTTGCATTTGCATAATTTTCTGTTTAAATGCATAATGCTCATGTTATATTAGCTTTAGAGGCACAGACTACTTTTTTTTTACATAATACAATTAGTCCACGGAGTGAACAAAAGAAGTGAACAGAAAGAAATTAGCACAAGGACTCGACTGAAATGGACCATAGGACATTTGAAGCTGATACATTTACCCAGGATGGCTCGATTTGGAGCACACCAGGGAATTCACACTGCCTCAAAAAATTTTCTAGAGAAGCCGTTAAGACCCTAACAACATACTAAGTCCCACCAGTAGGACATTCATTTTCCCAAATGCAACTTTCATATTCTCACCAAGCTGACAGACAAACATCAACCAAAAGTTAGACTTTATGTTTAAGGAATCATATAATGCTTTGGAACACCACATCCTTTATATTAAGGTAATCATCAGGTGTAAGTTACGGTTTTTGGTGACTCATCTTGATATATACATTTAAATTTTCATTCTACACTAAAGACGGATTCCAAACAGGCATCTACATTTATTAAAGGCCAAATTCTTTTCCCACAGTCTAGGGGCCACCAGCAGCTTCTCTATAGCAGCTGCCACCTGCACATTCCTGGCTGCTTCTTGTCCACAGTCCCCAAGGCAAATATGCCCAACTGTGTCCACTGAAGGGGACTAATTTTAGAAAATAAAAAGAGGCCACCAATTTGGCCCCAGTAGGGCCCATACATTTTGACTAATCTGGCATGCAGATGCAGTGCAACAAATTCCCCTAATGAACCTAAGAGTAAAACTGTAAGCCTTTTTCACTCTAACCCCCTTGTGTACTTGATGTGCCTTCTCTCACAATATAAAGATTCCCAGAAGGCCAGGAATACTACACAATGCGGACAACAAGACACATAACATGGCTTCATCTCATTCTAGTGACAAAGCACCTTGTCTTTCAAGAAGCTGCGGTTGCACTTGGCTTCCATCTTGCCCCTCGGGGAAGTGTGTTCATATGAATACTCCAAGGTTCAGAAAGAAGTACAGGACTAAGTACCCACTATCCCAACTCCAGTACCAAACTGGGAGGTCAGCAAGTCCCATCAATTCCTAGCAGCAGCAGGTACCTGGAGCCTCAGGTAGAGGGGAGTTTAACAAATGAGGGTTTATGCTTTAGGTTTCACGTCACATCCTCCGCCAGCTTCCAAGACACTCATAACACGGTGTCACTCGCTGCAGGTCTCAGTTCCCCTTCCAGCCTAGAAACCTCTTACACAACTCTATCTCCTAAGTCTACTACAGTGACCTACATATAGTAGGTGCTTAATCAATCACTCATTTTCATTCTGAACTGAACTAACCTTACTGGAATGGAGTTAATATCTGAGAAGAGAGAAGCTTAAAACCTGGCTGAGCCTCACCAGGAAAGGTAGAGCAAACTAGCAGAAGAGAATTCCCTCAATAACTCAATTAGGTATATCCATTGTGGTAAGAAGAAGTAAGTGAAAAGAAAAGCATTCAGATTTCCATTTCGATTGCTAAACCAAAACATTTACCCCCCCAGCATCAGGCAGACAAGTTCAAATCTTGGCTCACTCTTTGCTCACTGTATAACCTTGGACAAATGAGCCCCCTTTAAGCCTCGGTTTTTTTCACCTCTAAAATGGGGATAATGAGCCTATCCATAGAGAATTGTTAGGAATATATAAGACAACAAACGGCTGGAAGATAGCAAATGCACAATAAGTGGTAGCTATTATGAGCCTAGCATTTGAAACTCCAAAGTAAAATCTTAATTAGGGAACAAACAATTTAATTTTAAAAATATTTTTAATTGACATATGTATCACTTACCAATTCCATATTTAGACTTATAATAAGACTTCGTAAATTCATCACAGTCATAAAGGAGCACTTTTCTTCCCCACACATTGATGGTGACTCCTAGGGACAGGTCACTATCTTTGTAAAACTCTTGGTCTACTTTTCCTAGCTAAAAAAGACAAAGGAACATAGCATTGGCACCATGGACCCTCCAAAGAACCAGGAACCCCTTCCCAGAGAAAAAAAGGAAATTAAAAATAAAACTTCAATCTTTAATAACTAAATTTTAAAAATCAAATAAAAAAGCAACCAGTTGATGTTAATATTCTAAAGTATTATTTTAGCACTGTAGTATTATACTTACAAACTGCAATGCATTGCATATATTTATATAGACATTTCAGCATGTTTATTACTGATAAATAGCAGTACAATGCATACATTTATGTATTCATCGATTTCATTCACAATCTCACAAGAGAAGAGTACGTAACTCGCCCCACTGTTCAGGTTCCAAAGAAGTCACACTAGAAACAGGTAATAAAATATGAGGTTCCTTCCCTTATATCTATCGAACAGGTAGCCATCCGCTTGGTTCTTTATAAAGTCACCATATGAATTGAGAACTGCTCGATCTGTTATCTGGCCTGGTTGATAGACTCTAGGTGGGCAATTCTGGAAGACAAAATCAAAACAAGATGTGGTAGGATTTAATCCATTCCCTTTCTTACTATAACCCCAGGGCTGGCATAGAGGTGGCACTCAATGAATATTTGTTGAATGAATGAATAAAATGAATTAACTAATGTTGGCACACTGTAAATGTCAGGTATGTCATTATTATTTTATATTCAGCCTATTTTTCAAAGTCATTCTAAAAACAGGTTTTTCTGACACCTCCTGGTTGCCTGCTATGGGTATCCCAGGGCTCCCTCTGGGACAAATTGTGCCTCTCCTGCCTCCAAGCAAACGCAGTAGGGCTTCCAGCAGTGGGCTCAGAGAATCTGGGAAAGCCTCCCGGTGAGGACTGAATGGCCAGCAGTTATTTGCCTCGGAAATTAGCATTATGGTAACCTTTTCATGTGCACTAAGAAGACACTTTATCCAAATAAGAAAGAAAATATAACATAGAGCTTTTGAAAAAGCCTTTATGTTCTTAAGTGTCCTTATAGGTGTTTACAGGTCCTTAGATGGTGTTTTTTTGGTTTTTTTTTTTTACTATGTTATGACATTTTAAAGATGGGGAAATAAGCTCAAAGAGGTTAAGTGATTTGCCCAAGGTAACACAGCTATTAAGGGGCAGACTCACAACTCTAATCCAGGTCTGGGCTGTTTCTGCTGCACCCAAATTACATGAGCTCTCAAATGGCCATAAATATTTGTAGAAATCAATCTGACAACTCTTTTTAATGTTAAATAAAATGCAAAAGTCATCACTGCCACTAGCTAGTGGCTAGTTGGTGACTAGTTGCTACATTCAGAAAAGGCACTTTGGTTTGTAAACTTGCATGTGTATGTTTGTGAGTGCATGTGTACATGCACATGTAGGTGCACGTGTATAAGTGTGTGTTTGTATTCACAACCCAGACCAAACCATGGGCTCTCTTCAGTAGTCTGCAGTGCCCTGTCCAAAGCCACAAGCAATTCTTTTACTAAGGAGTCATTTAGTTTCATAAAACTGGATGTGAACTCAATGATGAATAGGTGCTTTTTCTTACATTTGACTTTTTTCCTTTACTTGCCTTAACTTCAATGTTCCAACTCTAATTGATCATATTCTCTGTATTACTTTCACAGATGTGTATTAATAGAGGGCACAAAATGAAAGGTTTCTAAATACCTGCACTAGTGCATGGTTACTATCATCATATAGTCATAACACACAACATTCCAAACAGTGACTAGTCTCTTGACCCACAAGCAAATTCAAAGTGGTTATATCCACTGCTCACCTTGGGTAGCTTACTCCTCCGGAGGAACATTTTTAGAGCATCTCGGCCTGAGCTGTGTGGAAGCAATTCTTTGATTTCAATAGTATCATCACACAAGAAGTAATGCAGGATGAGTTCTCTACGGTCTCCAAACATTGAGACTGAGTCATCCCACAGGCAGAAGAAACACAAAATCTTGCCATGATACTGGAGGAACTGTTTCAGGGTGTCGAGGGATTCGTAGGGACGTAAGGGCTCTACGTGTTCTACAACCTGCAAATGGAGAAAATGTCAATAATAGTTGCAGGGTTTGCATAATCACTTCTAAGATATACACAATCAAGTGACAAATATATAAAGATATATTTTTGGTCAGGCATGGTGGCTGATGCCTGTAATCCCAGCATTTTGGGAGGCCAAGGCGGGAAGACTGCTTGAGTTCAGGAGTTCAAGACCAGCCTGGGCAACATGGCAAAAACACAACTCTTAAAAAAAAAAAAAAATTAGGCAGATGTGGTGTCACACGCCTGTAGTCCCAGCTACTTGGGAGGCTGAGATGGGAGAATTGCTTGACCCCAGGAGGTCAAGGCTGCAGTGAGCCATGTTCACACCACTGCGCTACAGCCTGGTCAACAGAGTGAGACTCCATTTCGAAAAAAAAAAAAAAAAAGAAAAGAAAACAAAAAAGATATATTTTTCTACAGATTATTCTGTGATTTTGTTTTTAATTTCAACTATGACATAGATACATACACATCTATAACCAGTTTTAACCTTAAGAACTGGCCGGGCGCGGTGGCTCACGCCTGTAATCCCAGCACTTTGGGAGGCTGAGGCAGGTGGATCACGAGGTCAGGAGATCGAGACCATCCTGACTAACACGGTGAAACCCCGTCTCTACTAAAAATACAAAAAAATTAGCCGGGCGTGGTGGCAGGCACCTGTAGTCCCAGCTACTCGGGAGGCTGAGGCAGGAGAATGGTGTGAACCCAGTAGGTGGAGCTTGCAGTGAGCAGAGATCGCGCCACTGCACTCCAGCCCGGGCGACAGAGTGAGACTCCATCTCAAAAAAAAAAAAAAAAAAAAAAAAAAAGAATAGAGACAAACAAGTTTGAGGAAGTTTTTCATATTAAACATTAATACACTAAACTATACTTCTGGCCAGGCGGGGTGGCTCACACCTGTAATCTCAGCACCTTGGGAGGCCACAGTGGGTCGATCACTTGAGGCCAGGAGTTTGAGACCAGCCTGGCTGTCTCTACTAAAAATGCAAAAAAGTTTAGCCAGGTCCGGTGGCAGGTGCCAGTAATCCCAGCTACTCAGGAGGCTGAGGCAGGAGGATCCCTTGAACCTGGGAGGCAGAGGTTGCAGTGAGCCGAGATTGTGTCACTGCACTCCAGCCTGGGTGACAGAGCAATACTCTGTAAAAAAAAAAAAAAAAAAAAAAAAAAAAAAAAAAAAAAAAAAAAAAAAAGATTAAAAAAAGAAAAAACTATACTTCTTTAATATTTTTTAAAACTGACTTTTCAAAAAGATTTAAAATTCTTATTTAAGAACAGACAAAACTAATCTACGGTGACAGAAATCAGAACAGTAATTGCCTCTGGGTAGGGAATTTGACCAGAAATGGGGAGAAAGGAACTTTCTGAGGTGGTAAAAATATTCTACATCTCGATTTTTGTGTTGGTTACTCAATTGCACACATTTTACAAAACTTGTTGACCTATATACTTAAGATTTATATGTTTGACTCCGTATTAATTATATCTCAACCAAATACATAATTTGTCTTTTCACTGGGAAATTCATATGTGTTCATAATTCTTACTCATTCAAAGATTTTTGTGAAGGTAAAAGGGAAGAAATATATTCACTGTTTTATTTCAGCTCAAAAAGCTTTAGGTATCAAGGATAAGAATGCCCCGGAGAAACAGGAGCACAGCAAATGGAGAAGGTCTTAAGGTCTGCAGAGCCTCTGCCTCGGCTGTCCTCTGTCCCAGGAACCACTAGTTAGTTCCATAGTCTTCTTGATGCAACTCTTCCCTCTATTTGCACTTTCGCAGCCCTGTCGTGGAGTTAAACTGCCCCCATTTCATCTGATGTAACCAAATAGGACTGTTATATAAGGAAGTGCACACTGACAAGGGAGATGTTATCCCAAATCAGGTTATACAATCTTTTTGTAAATTTTTGAAATTTCTATCTGTCGAGGGCAGTCTAGGTGCAGTCTTAACCCAAGACAGTGGGGAGACATGATGGCTTTCCAAAGACTCTTCAGTCTTATCTCTGATATTTAAATGAAATTATGGGACCACTATTTCAATTGATTGAAAAATGTTTCTTTGGCATTATGAGGCCTCTAAGAAAAGCATTATTGATAATATATGGGATTCTTTTCAGTCTAAGTTAAATTGTTTAATTTTAACTTTACAGTTCAAGACAGCAAACACTGCAGAAGTAAATGTATGAAAGTCAATATAGAAGCCTCTTATTAAACTCCTAATTTCCCAAAGATTACTATATTTATTGAAGAATTTTCTCCCTGAGGGAATAAATGCTAAAATGATGTTCCTACTCTGAAAGGAAATTATTTAAAACATTTCTTAGCTGTTCTTGGTATTTATTCTCAATTCCTGGCACAAAAGATCTTTTTCTGGGGGTGGCTGGCAAGATGGCCGAATAGGAACAGCTCTGGTCTGCAGCTCCCAGCGAGATCAATGCAAAAGGAGGGTGATTTCTGCATTTCCAACTGAGGTATCCGGCTCATCTCATTGGGACTGCTTAGACAGTAGGTGCAGCCCACGGAGGGCGAGCTGAAGCAGGGTGGGGCATCGCCTCACCCGGGAAGCACAAGGGGTCAGGGAACTCCCTCCCCTAGCCAAGGGAAGCCGTGAGGGACCGTGCTGTGAGGAACAGTGTACTCTGGCCCAGATACTATGCTTTTCCCATGGTCTTTGCAACCCTCAGACCAGGAGATTCCCTCAAGTGCCTACACCACCAGGGCCCTAGGTTTCAAGCACAAAACTGGGCAGCTGTTTGGGCAGACACCAAGCTAGCTGCAGTTTTTTTTTTTTTTCATACCCCAGTGGCGCCTGGAACACCAGTGAGACAGAACTGCTCACTCCCCTGGAAAGGAGGTGGAAGCCAGGGAGCCAAGTGGTCTAGCTCAGTGGATCCCCCCAGCAAGCTAAGACCGATGGCTTGAAATTCTCGCTGCCAGCACAGCAGTCTGAAGTCGATCTGGGACGCTGGAGCTTGGTGGGGGGAGGGGCGTCCCCCATTACTGAGGCTTGTGTAGGCGGTTTTCCCCTCACAGTGTAAACAAAGCTGCCAGGAAGTTGTAACTGGGCGGAGTCCACCACAGCTCAGCAATGATTTTGTAGCCAGACTACCTCTCTAGATTCCTCCTCTCTGGGTAAGGCATCTATGAAAGAAAGGCAGCAGCCCCAGTCACAGGCTTATAGATAAAACTCCCATCTTCCTGGGACACAGAACATGGGGGAAGGGGTGGCTGTGGGCACAGCTTCAGCAGACTTAAACGTTCCTCCTGCCAGCTCTAAAGAGAGCAGCAGACCTCCCAGCACAGTGCTCGAGCTCTGCTAAAGGACAGATTGCCTCCTCAAGTGTGTCCCTGACCCCTGTGCCTCCTGCTAGGAGACACCTCCCAGCAGGGGTTGACACCTCTTAAAGGAGACCTCCGACTGGCATCTGGAGGGTGCCCCTCTGGGACGAAGCTTCCAGAGGAAGGAACAGGTAGCAATCTTTGCTGTTCTGCAGCCTCCACTGGTGATACCAAGGCAAACAAGGTCTGGATTGGACTTCCAGGAAACTCCAGCAGACCTGCAGCAGAGAAGCCTGACTATTAGAAGGAAAACTAACAAACAGAAAGGAATAGCATCAACATCAACAAAAAGGATGTCCAAATGAAAACTCCATCCGAAGGTCAACAACATCAAAGACCAAAGGTAGATAAATCCACAAAGATGAAGAAAAACCAGCACAAAAAGGCTGAAAATTCCAAAAAACCAGAACACCTCTTCTCCTCCGAAGGATCACAACTCCTCGCCAGCAAGAGAACAAAACTGGACGGAGAATGAGTTTGATGAATTGACAGAAGTAGGCTTCAGAAGGTGGGTAATAACTAACTCCTCTGAGCTAAAGGAGCATGTTTTAACCCAATGCAAGGAAGCTAAGAACCTTGAAAAAAGGTTAGAGGAATTGCTAACTAGAATAACCAGTTTAGAGAAGAACATAAATGACCTGATGGAGCTGAAAAACACAGCACGAGAGCTTTGTGAAGCATACACAAGTATCAATAGCTGAATCGATTAAGCAGAAGAAAGGATATCAGAGATGGAAGATCAACTTAATGAAATAAAGCGTGAAGACAAGATTAGAGAAGAAAGAATGAAAAGGAACAAACAAAGCCTCCAAGAAATACGGGACTATGTGAAAAGACCAAACGTACGTTTGATTGGTGTACCTGAAAGTGATAGGGAGAATGGAACCAAGTTGGAAAACACACTTCAGCATATTATCCAGGAGAACTTCCCCAACCTAGCAAGACAGGCCAACATTCAAATTTAGGAAATACAGAGGAAACCACAAAGATACTTCTCAAGAAGAGCAACCCCAAGACACATAATTGTCAGATTCACCAAGGTTGAAATGAAGGAAAAAGTGTCAAGGGCAGCCAGAGAGAAAGGTCGGGTTACCCACAAAGGGAAGCCCATCAGACTAACAGGAGACCTCTCTGCAGAAACCCTACAAGCCACAAGAGAGTGGGGGCCAATATTCAACATCCTTAAAGAAAAGAATTTTCAACCCAGAATTTCATATCCAGCCAAACTAAGCTTCACAAGCAAGGGGGAAATAAAATCCTTTACAGATAAGCAAATGCTGAAAGATTTTGTCATCACCAGGCCTGCCTTACAAGAGCTCCTGAAGGAAGCACTAAATGTGGAAAGGAAAAATCAGTACCAGCTGCTGCAAAAACATACCAAATTATAAAGACCATTGATGCTATGAAGAAACTGCATCAATTAATGGGCAAAATAATCAGCTAGCATCATAATGACAGGATCAAATTCACACATAACAATATTAACCTTAAATGTAAACAGGCTAAATGTCCCAATTAAAAGACACAGACTGGCAAATTGGATAAAGGGTCAAGACACATCAGTGTGCTGTATTCAGGAGACCCATCTCACATGCAAAGACACACATAAGCTCAAAATAAAGGGAGGGAGGAATATTTACCAAAAAAATGGAAAGCAAAAAAAAGCAGGGGTTTCTATCCTAGTCTCTGATAAAACAGACTTTAAACCAACAAAGATCAAAAAAGACAAAGAAGGGCATTTCATAATGGTAAAGAGATCAATGCAACAAGAAGAGCCAACTATACTAAATATATATGCACCCAATACAGGAGCACCCAGATTCATAAAGCAAGTCCTTAGAGACCTACAGAGAGATTTAGACTCCCACACAATAATAATGAAAGACTTTAACACCCCACTGTCAATATTAGACAGATCAACGAGACAGAAAATTAACAAGGATATTCAGGACTTGAACTCAGCTCTGGACCAAGTGGACCTAATAGACATCTACAGAACTCTCCACCCCAAATCAACAGAGTATACATTCTTCTCAGCACCACATCACATTTATTCTAAAGTTGACCACATAATGGGAAGTAAAACACTCCTCAGCAAATGCAAAAGAACGGAAATCATAACAAACAGTCTCTCAGACCACAGAGCAATCAACTTAGAACTCAGGATTAAGAAACTCACTCAAAACCGCACAATTGCATGCAAACTGAACAACCTGCTCCTGAATGACTACTGGGTAAATAACAAAATTAAGGCAGAAATAAATAAGTTCTTTGAAACAAATGACAACAAAGACACAACATACCAGAATCTCTGGGACACAACTAAAGCAGTGTTTAGAGGCAAATTTATATATTTAGTGCTTATAAGCACTAAATGCCCACAGGAGAAAGTGAGAAAGATCTAAAATCAACACACTAACATCACAATTAAAAGAACTAGAGAAGCAAGAGCAAATAAATTCAAAAGCTAGCAGAAGGCAAAAAATAACTAAGATCAGAGTGGAACTGAAGGAGATAGAGACACAAAAAACCCTTCAAAAAATCAAAGAATCCAGGAGGTGGTTTTTTGAAAAGATCAACAAAATAGATAGACTGCTAGCCAGACTAATAAAGAAAAAAAGTGAGAAGAATCAAATGGACACAATAAAAAACGATAAACAGGATATCACCACTGATCCCACAGAAATACAAACTACCATCAGAGAATATTATAAACACCTCTATGCAGAAAATCTAGAAGAAATAGATAAATTCCTGGACACATACACCCTCCCAAGACTAACCCAGGAAGAAGTCAAATCCCTGAATAGACCAACCAATAACAAGTTCTGAAATTGAGGCAGTAATTAATAGCCTACCAACCAAAAACAGCCCAGGACCAGATGGATTCACAGCCAAATTCTACCAGAGGTACAAAGAGGAGCTGGTACCATTCCTTCTGAAACTATTCCAAACAATAGAAAAAGAGGCACTCCTCCCTAACTCATTTTATGAGGCCAGCATCATCCTGATACCAAAACCTGGCAGAGACACAACAACAACAACAACACAAAAAGGAAATTTCAGGCCAATATCCCTGATGAAGATTGATGCGAAAATCCTCAATAAAATACTGGCAAACCAAATCCAGCAGCACATGAAAAAGCTTATCCACCAAGATCAAGTCAGCTTCCTCCCTGGGATGCAAGGCTGGTTCAACATATGCAAATCAATAAATGTAACCCATCATATAAACAGAACCAATGACAAAAACCACATGATTATCTCAATAGATGCAGAAAAGGCCTTCAATAAAATTCAACACCCCTTCATGCTAAAAACTCTCCATAAACTAGGTATTGATGGAACGTATCTCAAAATAATAAGAGCTATTTATGACAAACCCACAGCCAATATCATACTGAATGGGCAAAAGCTGGAAGCATTCCCTTTGAAAACTGGCACAAGACAAGGATGCCCTCTCTCACCACTCCTATTCAACATAGTATTGGAAGTTCTGGCCAGGGCAAGAGAAAGAAATAAAGGGTATCCAAATAGGAAGAGAGGAAGTCAAATTGTCTCTGTTTGCAGATGACATGATTGTATATTTAGAAAACCCCATCATCTCAGCCCAAAATCTCCTTAAGCTGATAAGCAACTTCAGCAAAGTCTCAGGGTACAAAATCGATGTGCAAAAATCACAAGCATTCCTGTACACCAATAATAGACAGACAGCCAAATCATGAGTGAACTCCCATTCACAATTGCTACAAAGAGAATAAAATACCTAGGAATACAACTTATAAGGGATGTGAAGGATCTCTTCAAGAACTACAAACCACTGCTCAAGGAAATAAGGGAGGACACAAACAAATGGAAAAACATTCCATGCCCATAGATAGAAGAATCAATATCATAAAAATGGCCATACTGCCCAAGGTAATTTATAGATTCAATGCCATCTCCATCAAGCTACCACTGACTTTCTTCACAGAATTAGAAAAAAACTACTTTACATTTTATATAGAACCAAAAAAGAGCTCGTATAGCCAAGACAATCCTAAGCAAAAAGAATAAAGCTGGAGGCATCACACTACCTGACTTCAAACTATACTACAAGTTTACAGTAACCAAAACAGCATGGTACTGGTACCAAAACAGAGATATAGACCAATGGAACAGAACAGAGTCCTCAAAAATAACACCACACATCTACAACCAACTGATCTTTGACAAACCTGACAAAAACAAGCAATGAGGAAAGGATTCCTTATTTAATAAATGGTGTTGGGAAAACTGGCTAGCCATATGCAGAAAACTGAAACTGGACCCCTTCCTTACACCTTATACAAAAATTAATTCAAGATGGATTAAAGACTTAAACATAAGACCTAAAATCATAAAAACTCTAAAGAAAACCTAGGCAATACCATTCAGGACATAGGCATGGGCAAAGACTTCATGACTAAAATACCAAAAGCAATGGCAACAAAAGCCAAAATTGACAAATGGGATCTAATTAAATTAACAAGCTTCTGCACAGCAAAAGAAACTATCATTAGAGTGAACAGGCAACCTACAGAATGGAAGAAAATTTTTGCAATCTATCCAACTGACAAAGGGCTAATATCCAGAATCTACAAGGAACTTAAACAAATTTACAAAAAAAAAAAAAATCAAAAAGTGGACAAAGGATATGAACAGACACTTCTCAAAACAAGACATTTATGCAGCCAAGAAACATATGAAAAAAAGTTCATCATCACTGGTCATTAGAGAAATGCAAATCAAAACCACAATAAGATACCATCTCACGCCAGTTAGAATGGCGATCACTGGGAGGCCGAGGCAGGTGGATCACGAGGTCAGGAGTTCAATACCAACCTGGCCAAGATGGTGAAACCCTGTCTGTACTAAAAATATTTAAAAAAAAATTAGCCGGGTGTGGTGGCAGGCCTCTGTAATCCCAGCTACTCAGGAGGCTGAGGCACAGAATTTCTTGAACCTGGGAGGCAGAGTTTGCAGTGAGCCAAGATCGCGCCACTGCACTACAGCCTGGTCAACAGAGTGAGACTCCATTTAAAAAAAAAAAAAAGAATGGCAATCATTAAAAAGTCAGGAAACAACAGATGCTGGAGAGGATGTGGAGAAATAGGAATGCTTTTACACTGTTGGTGGGAGTGTAAATTAGTTCAACCATTGTGGAAGACAGTGTGGCAATTCCTTAAGGATCTAGAACCAGAAATACCATTTGACCCAGCAATCCCATTACTGGGTATATACCCAAAGGATTATAAATCATCCTACTATAAAGACACATGCACACGTGTTTATTGCAGCACTATTCACAATAGCAAAGACTTGGAACCAACGCAAATGCTCATCAATGATAGACTGGATAAAGAAAATGTGGCACATATACACCATGGGATACTATGCAGTCATTAAAAAGGATGAGTTCATGTCCTTTGCAGGGACATGGATGAAGTTGGAAACCAGCATTCTCAGCAAACTAACACAGGAACAGAAAACAAAACACTGCATGTTCTCACTCATAAATGGGAGTTGAACAATGAGAACACATGGACACAGGGAGGGGAACATCACACACCAGGGCCTGTCAGGGGGTGGGGGGATAGGGGAGGGACAGCATTAGGAGAAATACCTAAAGTAGATGATGGGTTGATGGGTGTAGAAAACCACCATGGCAGGTGTATACCTATGTAACAAACCTGCAAATTCTGCACATGTATCCCAGAACTTAAAGTATAATTTTAAATATACATAAATTTTTTTCTTCATAAACCTATGAAATCCCACAGTGCTCTGCGCATTTTCATATAATCCATCATTATTCACAATCACTATCATATAACAACAACTGTTAGTGAATGACTGCAGCCATATGCAAAGGGTGGCAATTCATTTGGATCCATTTCCTTCAAGTTCTCTCTGCTGGTTCTAAATTCTTTCTATTTATCTAGACTCTTTCATCCAGGGCATTTGGAAAAAATAAAAATGAATCCAAACCAAAAAAAATCCCTTTGTACATCAATATACAGGCATTTCACCTTAGATATTCCAGGATCAACAATATATATATTTCTCCAGAGGGCTGTATGCCTACAACAACATTAAAGAATAATTCTGCTGGGGCTGGGAGGCAGGAATAGATGAATGATCCTACAAGTGGCTTTTAAAAAGAGATCAAAACAGAATCAAAAGAGAATTTTGTTCTAAATTTTGTTACCTCTCTGCAAGGAAATGAATCATAAGTTTTAAAACAATAAAAATCAGACAAAACTCATCTATGGGTATAGAAATGAGAACAGCAGTTGTCTGTGGTGGGGAGCGGGATCGATTCGATAAACACATGAGGGGACTTTCTGGGGGAAGAGAAATGCTCTACATCTCAATATGGGGGTAGGTTATAGGGGTACGTGTATTTGTTAAGACTCATCCAACTGTACACTTAATTTCTGTGTATTTTACTGTGTGTAATCACACTTCAATAGAAAAGGAAAAAGGAAACAAGTGACAATGATGGAAATCAGGGTAAGAGTCAAGACATTTGCGATCCAGTCCCAGCAAGGAGATTAGCTGGGTGTTGTCACCTTCCACCCCCCTTTGAGTGTTCAAATTCTTCTGGAAAACAAAATTTGGGCCCAGGGACTGTTTAAAAAATAGGAAGACAAAAATAATACTAAAAATATTGAGTCTTTACTCCCTTACACTAGCTGGGGTCAGACCTTGTACATAAACATCCTTTCCTAAAGGGGGTATATCAGAATCATGGTCTTCCTTATTCTTCCAGAGCATCTTGGCATCCAATGCCATCCTAAGAGGACCTGGAATTTCCTAGGAGGAAGAAAAAATGTGTACCCAAGGCTTGCTTCACTAAATCACTAGTATAGAAGCAAAGATCTTTCTAGCCAGAGTTAGACAACTAAAAAGCAAAAACACAAGCCAAGGAAATGTGGATACAACTCATATACCATCAGTGACCACAAAGTCAATTGTGGGTGCCTAGAATCTGTCTCACCTGTGCAGTTCACTGAAGACTCCTACTGCCTGAAAGAGAGAGTCTCTACAGAGAGAATTGGGGTGAGGCAGTGAGGAAGTCATTCTTGCTCTGTGGCTAACACTCAGCCTTCCCTCTAGCCCAAAGAAGAACAAAACTGGAATAACTATGGCTCTAAAAGCTCTTTCACATCTGCATCAGGAGTACAAACACCCTTTACTGACTTTCCAAAGGGATTTTTATTTTGAAGACAAGAACTCAACAAACGTCAATTCCTTACCTCTCTCCGAATCTTCATGTAAGGATCTTCTGGACATTGCACTGGGGGATTCACTTTGACCCCTATTTTCCTCAAAAAGTTTCTTGTGAATGCATCACAGTCATAAATCTTGAATGTCCGGCCATAGAAGACAACCTCTGTGCCGACATTAAAATGATACACAGTATAAAACTGATCCTCATCAGGAGGCGGAAGAGTAATCCGATGACGCCGGATAGAAGTCCCTATGGCATGAAAGAAAATACAACTGTTTTATCATGTGGCTAACAAGTAAGAAGATACAGCACATTCACTAACAACCCTGAATACTTTCCCGCAACAGAAAACTGGGCAAAGGACTCGTTCTAGGAAGCAGCATTAGTACATTCCAACTCTGAGGAAGTCAGAATGAGCTGAGATTTCTGAGGTTCAGAGCTCTGTGGCCAGCCTTGCATGTGGTTAGAGTTGCCTAAGTGGTGCTTGGGAAGTATTTTAATAAACCATAAAGACTGGGGTGAGGATGGGGGATGAAGGACAGGGGACATAAGCAGAATGACGAAAAATACCAGACGCTGCCATCATGTCTTTTCCTAGAACAAGCCTGCTCACATTCAGCCACCAGCAAGCACTCAATGTGAGCACACTCAACAGGCATTAAGGCACCAATGCAGAATGCTCACAAAAATGTGTACTCATGGCTCAAAAAAAAAAAAAAAAAAAAAAAGCTAGTAAGCTTTGGAATGATAGGTGCCAACATTGACTTAGAAGTTTCAATAAGGATGAATCACTTTTGGCTGCTGTGAAGTTTCATGGAATCTTCTTTCCTCTATCAACCTATTTTTCCTCCTCCTTCCTCTATAGCCTCTGTCCACCTCCACCCAAGCACTACCTCAAGTGAGGGTTATCAGAGGCTTCACAGTTCTAGCCAGTGCTCTGGGCCAAAAGCTCTAGATCTCATCCCATCTTCTACTTCCAACCCTGATGCCCATTCATTTCTCCTCTTGAGAATATGTTCCCAGGGTCCCACGTATATCCAAAAGAGTGGTCAGCCACTGGAGGTAAAAGAGTTCCTTGCCTACATGAGTGTACCAACTATACCACACCATACCAGCCAAGTTACCCAAATATTGCTGCAATCTGTTGTTAAGGATTGTTTAGGGGCCAGGCATGGTGGCTCATGCCTGTAATCCCACCACTTTTGGAGGCCGAGGCAGGCAGATTGCTTGAGCCCAAGAGTTCGAGACCAGCCTGGGCAACATGGCAAAATCCTGTCTCTACAAAAGAAAAAAAAAATTAATTAAAAAAAAATTAGCTGGGTATGGTGGTGCCCACATGTGGTCCCATCTACTTGGGAGGCTGAAAGGTGGGAGAATTGCTTGAGTCCAGGAGGTCAAGGCTAAAGTGAGCCATGATCACACCACTGTACTCTAGCTTGGGCAACAGAGCAAAGCCCTGTCTCAAAAAAAAAAAAAAAAAAAAAAAGAAAAGAAAAGAAAAAGAAAAAAGAATTTGAAAAAAAGAAAAAAGGGTTTGAGATTTTATCCTACTTGCAAGATGAGAAGTTAGCCTTCCATAGTTTCATGGATGCTGGTAGAAGACAGGAGGTGCCTTGGTCAGAGACAAAAGGCAGTTTATTAATCAACAGCAGTAAGAATAGCCTAAATATCAGCATTTCTTTTTCCAGTTTCCTAAGCCCCAATTCCCACAGGATGACATAGTAAGGGCCAGGTAACATTTGTACATGCAGTGGGTTACATTACAGGAGAGTAACCCTTAGCTTAGGGAACCCAAATCTTCTATAATTAGCAATAAGCATCCCTGCTCTTTATCTCCAAGGGAGCTACTATCTTTATTAGACTGGAAGGAGACACTAAGCCTCTATCTTCCAACGCTATAAGCAAACCTATACTTTGCTCCAGAGGGAGAGACTATTTTTGTCTTCCACAGCTACTTGCTATATAAACATCCTTGAAGAGATAGTCCAGAACAAAGAGAAGTCAGTGCCTCTGCTTACAAGAGATACAGAAATGCATGATACCATGGAGAATTGTCTCTCAATATCTGTAACTGACTTAGGCCTGAGAATCTACTCCAAGAACAAAGAGAAAAGGAAAGCAGAACAAACTGCAGATCTAATGATTCAATAAAAATTGGCTTGTGGGAACTCTGCATGGAGGTATTTTAATATAAAGATGTCAACCTATCTTCTTTGTATTTTATACAGCACTGAAAATGGTGCCTTTTCTCAAAGTCTAGAGACACTTAGAAATTAGTCATTGCTTATTCATTAAGGAATATTTAATGAATATCTTTATGTGCCAGGAACTGTGTTGGGCTCTCTTCCATTATTCTACTTATCATCTTTTCACTCTGTTGAGGGGAAATTACCTAAAATCATTTTCAGCTTCTTTTCTTTGCAGCAATTTTTAATTACTTGGTGCATTAAATTAAAATAATAAAACTATAAAATTAGAACTGGCCTAGAATATTTTTAAATGTACTACATAAAAGATGATACAATTTTACTGTGAAAAAATTATACTTCAATTAGCCTTTAATTCATAGCACTGAAAACAGTATGCAAATTATTTAATCATTCAAGATTAGACATTTAGAACAAATTGCATACTTAAACATGTATAAAAGGATGGGCATTTCAGGTATTTTCAGGAACCATTATATACTACTTTAAAAATACTTATATTGTGACAGTTTTTAAAATATATAAGAATTATTCAACAGTCAGGAGCTTCTTCAAAAATTCCATCTATCTTGCATTTTTACTTCATTATAGAAATTCAAATAAGCAAGTTAGCGATGATTTTTGTTCCATAAGACTTTGAATAGGAGTCCTATATTTTTCTAGGTGGCAAAAACTGGCCCACCCACTGGGCTTTTAAATAATACTAATCACAATCATCATCATAGCCCTAGGATAAACTTTCACTTACATTTTCTCATTTAATCCTCAATAATTCTATAAGGCAGATAATACATGAAATATGAATATTCAGTTTAAGGATGAGAAAACCAAAGCTCAGAGAGGTTAAATGCCATGCCCAAGGTCATGCCCTAACAAATGGCAGTAAAAGATCTTGAAGTTGGGCTTTCAGACTCTAACTAAATACCATTACTTTCCATAGTTTGCACTGAGCTGTATCTCACTGTACTGCAGCTACATATTACTTGAGGAGGAAGAGCCATAGGCATAACAGGATGGAAATGGATAAAAGAGCTACCAGCCACCATGAAAAGAAAAGAGAGATGAAGCTGCTCTTCCGAAAGAACAGCCTCTCTCCTCGAAGGGGAAATTTCCAGAGATGCCCACCCACTGCTATGGCAATGCACCCTGCAGGGCCTGCCCCACCAGCTGACTTGCCTCTCCCAGGAGCCTGCAGATCTCAAGCCCCCCAACTCTTCCTTCTCTTAGCCGCTACACTTCTCTCACTAGATGCTTCTCAGAAAAGGCCAGGGAAGCTCTTCTTGGTGACAAAAAAGAATCCTGAACACCCATGAGTTAGAAAGAAAAGGCAGGTCTAACACTAACAGTAAAGTTTTGATAACCAAAAATCTAACGTCACAATTCCATATTAATCAGAAAACCAAGGTGGGCCATTTGAAATGTACAGTTGCACATGAGAGCTTTCAATAACATATTCATAGGATTTCTCAACTGTGTCCTTTGAGAATTAAAATTTCTAATTATCAGAATTTTTATGTTTTTAGTCTTCCACGATAAATGGCAGAAACTCCATCAGCAGGAATTTGTTTTGGGATATCAAAGAAATGGGCAGGATACCATGTCCTTGACCCACATTGAAGAGCAGGTGAAATCATCAAGGTAGATAAATAAAGATATTGTTACAAAACAGAAAAACAACTAAAGCACCATATTTGCCCTTTAAATTTTCAGGAGTTTATCTTAACTGCCCAATAAAGACTATTGGGACACATGTCCAGCTTTTCCTCATCTTCATGTTTTACATTTCTCTTCCTTTGTAAAAGCCCTGCTATCTGGCTATGCTCTTCAAGCTTTAACTTTCTAACATTTCCCTGTGGTTTAGATCAAAGTGACCATATATCCATTTATGTTTCATGTGTTTTCATGTTATTCAGTTGAGACTTGCCTTAGATCTTTGCTCATACCACTAAATTTACTTTTCTGGAATTCACCTTCCAGAATTAAGACTCCAAACTCTCACCTCTATTTTATTTTTTATTTATTTATTTATTTTTGAGACAGGGTCTCACATCATTGCCCAGGCTACAGTGCAGTGGCATGATCATGGATCAATGCAGCCTCAACCTCCCAGGCTCAAGCGATCCTCCCTACCTCAACCTCCCGTGTAGCTGAGATTACGGGCATGGCCACCACGCCTGGCTAACTTTTTATTTTTTGTAGAGACAGCCTTGCTTTGTTGCCCAGGCTGGTCTTGAACTCCTGGACTTAAGCAATCCTTTTGCCTCGGCCTCACAAAGTGCTGGGATTACAGGCGTGAGCCACTGCACCTGGGTCACCTCTATTTTAATTTAAGTATGTTAATTTCATTTTAGTAATGCTGCAGGCCTAGAGTACATCCAAGTCTAAAGGCAGATATTTCTTAGGTAAATGAAGATATAACTGCAATTGCCACTTATCATCACATCTACAAGTTTGTGCCCTAAAAATACTAAGAGGCTTAACCACAATCACACATAACAGAGTGTCTTTTCTTCCTCTTGTGCTTACTATATTCCTCTACTAAAATGACTTGTATACTTTTACTTTTATTTTTCTAAAATGTCACCTTTAGAGTTTCGGTTTCACAAGAATAATTATTTTTATATACACAACCGGGCACTCACCTTGCAGCAAAAGAATAAGAAGTTAAAAATTCCACATTTCTGCTCACAATAAGAAACAGTAACCCTACGCATCTCCCCCTTAGCTATTGAAAAAGCACCAAAATAACAGATGCTTTAATGTCCTCTTGCATGACCACCTTCTTGCCCTGTTTTCCCTATTCAATCTATGATCTGCTCCCAAATACTTCCCAATTTATTGTCCCACCACTTTATCTCATGTTGCTCCTTTTGACTATTCTGCCTTTCTCTTCCATCTTTATCTAGAGAAACTTTTGAGGTACCATTCAAATGCCAGATTCTCTAGTGGATATTGGCTTTTCCTCCTCTAATCCCTCAAGTACCTGGTTCTCTCCCCAGTGTCCACCCTCTAGGGTGACCAGATTTAGCAAATTAAAATATAGGCTGCTCAGTTAAATTTGAATTCCAGATAAACAACAAAGAATTCTTTTTTTTTTTAAATTTTTTTAATTTTTTTTCACCCAGGCTGGAGTGCAGTGGTGTGATCTCGGCTCACTGCAACCTCCGTCTCCCAGGTTCAAGCAATTCTCCTGTCTTAGCCTCCTGAGTAGCTAGGATTATAGGCATGTGCCACCACACCCAGCTAATTTTTATATTTTTAGTCGACGAGGTTTTGCTATGTTGGTCAGGCTGGTCTCAAACTCCCGGCCTCAAGTTATCAGCCCGCCTCTGCCTCCCAAAGTGCTGGGATTACAGGTGTAAGCCACCATGCCCAGCCAAATTCTTTAGTATAACTATGTCCTATGCAATATTTGGGACATAATTATACTAAAAACTTCATTGCTTACCTGAAATTCAAATATAACTGAGTATCTTATACTTCATCTGGCAACCTTCCCACCACCCCTCCACCACTTTATGGGATATAATACCTATATATAGTACATGCCCAATAAGAGTGAATGGCATATGAATGACTGACTTCTATTTTGTGTGATTACATTTGCCTGATCAAGCAGATTATCTTAGAGTATTAAAAAATATATATATGAGAAATACTACCTTATTAAGGGGCCAAAACAAGTCATTAGTGGAAATCAGTGTTCTCAACCAAGATGCACTAAGAATCATAGGGAAGCCAGTTCTTGACCCCATGTCTACAGAAGAAAAAATTCTGGGGTGGGCTAGGAGATTCTGAGGATCACTTTCAACTGAGAACAACTGGTATAGACCATACCAGAAAATCACGGCACATTTCTAATCATTATCCTTTCTTTAGCACAGATTAGGCTGGACTTGGTGTATTTAACTGACAATTATTCTGTTAGACAATTAGAGGTAAAACTACTGGATTAACCTCTGACATTCTTGGCTTGATATAATGTTGTTTTAACTACATTCCAGCAGAAAAGCAACACGTTCTGTAAATATAACACATCTAACCGAAAAGAGAGTGATGTCCTGGCAAGAAATGAAAGCAAGCCTTGAAGTGCAATACTGGCTTTCTTGACTCATAACACACACAAATCTCCTTGCCAACAAGAACTTGTGAATATTAAAAATATGTTGTTCTGATTAGAAGCTGCATGAATGCCTATTTTGGTACCATGCTAATGGATGCCTCTTTTGTTTCTGGCTGATTCCAAACTCCCCCCACCCTAAAAAATTACATGATAATAGAGGCAACCAAAAGGGAGCAGGGGAGGGTTATAATTCCTCCAGTTGCACTAATTTCCAAATGGTCACACAAGAAACAAGTGCATCTGACCTCCAAGTTCATCTAGAAAATATCAAAATCCTATGGAAGTGACAGGAACGCCATCACTGCACAGCACCTAATCTTGACCATTTGCCTCTTCCCAGGGCCCAGATGCATGGAAAGCAAGCCCGGGCCACTCAAGTCACAACTGAAAGAAACACTACCTACCCTGTCCCACTGACGTCTGAACCACTGGCTCATTAAGTGTTTTCTTTTTTCCAATCACTTAATTTAGAAAAGCTTGAAGAAGGCATTTAAATGATTTTTCAAACTATCTGCAGTCCAAATAGACCTTCCTTAACAAGAATTATCATATTAAATATTTCAAGAGACTGGTTTCTCTCTAAACAAAGCTTGGTGACAGAGTGGTTATTCATGTTTGCTTTCTACAGGATTTGCTACAGCCTTCCAAATTTCTCTACTCTGCTGACAAATTCAATGTCATTACGCAGCGTGATTACTGTGTATTCTATACACAACTCTTGAGCTGTGTCTTCACACAGGGAAATGTCCTGACCACAGTGAGCCAATCAAAAATTCGGAAAATTTCCAGAGACTTTAAAGTTGTCTTTTACTCAGGTCTTTTTTTTCTGAGACTTTATGATAGCATTCCTCCCTCCTTACACAAGAATGATTTTCAAGTACATCATTATGACTATCTTCAGCTTGCCTTTGGAATCTGCCTATGTGAGATTTGAAATCAAGAGTCTGAAAGAATTGAGAAGTCTTAATAAAAGCCTTTCCAAGATTCTAAAAGAAGCTACATTTCATATTTCTTCTTGGATAGTTTAATAAAACTAAGATGAACTGGACAGGGGCCAGTGAGCTATAGGATTATGAGCTTTCACTTTAAAGGTAATAATGAAAACAATAATGCAAGTCACTAACCCAGGCCTGGGGTGTCCTGTGACCTCCAGTCTATCATTTGTGCAAGTTTGGTGTCATGGTGGGAAAGTAATCAGAAAATAAGCAGAGCTTAGTGAGGGAATATCAGAACAAAATGTTTAGGTGAAAACCTGTAAGAAATTTTTTCTTTTTGCCACAGCAATACTATTATATAATCAAATACACGTAAGTAAAATAGATGTCCACAAAAATTATAAATTGTAAATTCTTTGTTCTTAAATAATCTTCAACCATTTTCTAATGCATTCTTGCCAATCTTTAAAAACTGCCTTATATGTTTTAAATGACCCTAAAGAATCTAAAACCTCTTGTCCCTTTGTAAAATAAAATGTCATACTTTTAACCTTAAAATTTGTGAAAACCTGTTTTTAAAATGTTATGGTATTTCCATATTTCCTGAAAGATTTACCATTAGGCCAAATTCACCAAATAAAATGGCCAGGGAGTGGATAGTGTATCAGTTGGAACACAAAGAACAATGAGGACAGTTCATATTACCTCCTCATACTAATCTTCGTCTTTTCCCACCACTAGTAAAACCAAGCAGAGACACTAAATTGAATTCCCTTTATCTTTCCATCACCTCACCAGTGGCTCTCCTCTAACATGGTAGAATAGCCTGGTCATGATCTGGGCACCTCTGATTCCCAATCTCCATTTCTAGTCTTGACTTTTTTCCTGAAAACACATCCTAAGTTTGTACCTGCCTGGAGGGGCATCACCACACAGATGTCTAACACCCCTTCAAAGGCCTCATGCCCTGAAACACACCCCAGATTCAAACCCCAATCCTGTTTCTTGCTCTGTGCTCCTGGGCTTTATAAAGGTATCATGACTCAACCACAGAGACCTCTGAGGCCGATATAGTTTGGATATTTGTCCCCTCCAAATCTCATGCTGAAATGTGATCCCCAGTGTTGGAGATGGGGCCTGCTGGGAGGTGTTTGGGTCATGGGGGTGGATCCCACATGAATGTCTTTGTGTTGTCTTCGCAGTAATGTGTGAGTTCTTTCTGTTGGTTACCGTAAAATCTGATTGTTAACAAGAGTCTGGCATCCCCTCCTTTCTCTCTTGCTCCCCGTCTTGCCATGTGACACGCCTGCTCTCCTTTCACCTTCCACCACGAGTAAAAGCTTCCTGAGGCCTCACCAGATGCAGAAGCTGGTGCCATGCTTCTTGTACAGTCTGCAGAACTGTGAGCCACATAATCCTCTTTTCTTTATAAATTACCCAGCCCCAGGTATTCCTTTAGAGCAATGCAAAACAGACTGAGCAAATTACCTCCCTAAGCCTGTTTCCTTTTCTGTAAAAGCTGACAGTGACAGTAACTACTTTAGATGGTCATCAGGAGATTAAATGAGATAATGATAAGGTAGGCACTTTTTCATTAGATATTCCCCCTCCTCACTCTCTGTATTTAATCACTGGCCAATGCATATCAACTCTGCCAACCAAATGTCTCTCAAATCCTTCCCCAATTTTCTATTCCTACCATCATTGTCCTGGTTTGGACACTCAGCATTTCTAGCCTGAACAATTGCAAAACTCTTGGACTGGTGGCCTTGCTCCCTTTCCTTTCCAATCTGGTGGCCTATTATTACTCCATGAGATAGGGCTATGATGGGACTCAGTCCTTTTGTCCATTTTCCCAAAACATAGCACAGTGCCTGACACAGAATAGGCATCCAACAAATACTTCTTGGCAATGCTGGCTGGCTCCAAATTCATTATTCCAACCACCAGACACAATGAAGCCATGCTCTAAGAAAAACCTCAATCTCATGAGCATTGAAGGAAGTCCTCTGCACACTTAATGAGGTTGCATGACAACCTTATTCTCAGAGCCCATGGCCCTCAAATCCCTGCTTCTCCCCCTTGAACTCATTGTGGTATATCAATACAGAGCCCTCAGGCCTAGATTAGTAATTAGTAAGCAAAATTTGTTCAGCATAGGCAGAAATCATGAGATGTGTTAAATAACAATAGGTAGGTAGGTATGCTAAGTAGAGCATGGGCATGTTAAACATAGAAAGAAAGGGATGGAAAAACCAAAAGATAACTGATTTTCAGTAGGTCGTAAATATACATGAGGCACCTGGACTCTAAATATTCATGATATGCTAAATATATAAGGACACTAAATATTCATGAGCACCCAATATTTATGAGGCCTCAATTTGGCCACTCATTCATCGGTGACACCCATTCTAGCCCCATGTGACCTCTGCCCAAGAAACACAAACAAAACCCAAGACTATCCAGCAGGCTTATTGACAAGCTACAGCCATGGCCAGGCACACTTCTCCCTGCATCTCCCCAACAGAGCAAGTGTGTGCCCTCAGCCCGAAGCCCCTTCTGTCTGTGGTTCTCCTTGCTTGAACCTCAGTTCTGGTCTCTAAACCATACTAGTAGCAGGGAAGGTTAGTGAAACAGAGACAGAACCATTGCTGACCCCAGGATTCAGGCAGTATGGTCCTTCTGCCTACTTGTACCCTGTCCCAAGTGTGTGAACCTACCCTATCTCTTTCCCTCTTTCTTCTCATCATGTGTTTTAAATTACTTTAATGTAACATGTGATTCATGCATTTTAATGTGATCCATGAGCCTTCTGTTTTGTGACCTCTGGGAGAGCCTGCATGTACAATTCTCAAAGGCCACCACTGTATCCAGGTAACATCCCACACAACACTCTCCCTGCTGCATACAGAACAGATTGTAGGAGGAGCAAGAATGGAAACAGGGAGACCACGTTAGGCAGCTATTCTATTCCTCTAGTCAACAGATGAGGGTAGCTTAGGTGAGGATGGTAGTGAAGGGGATGGAAAGACATGGACATATTCAGGATATGTTTTTCTAGGAGAGTGAAGAACAGGGATGGTAGTTATGAGCAAGTAGGGAAAGTAAAAGGAGTATATATTGTAGTTAGAGAAGACAATTTCAGAGACTGAGATACTGGAGGTGGCAATACTCTAAAAGGCAAAGAAACAACAACACACCCAAGAATCAGCTCGTCAAGGAACTGAGTACCCTGAAAGGTCATTTACACCAGCAACCAAACAAACACTCAAATCCTCTCATACTTCCAGCAGGCTGTCAGTGAAAAACCACCCCTGACCTGCCCCCAGGGCCATCTATCTACACGAGGGAACAAACAAATCTGTGACTCTCCTCTCCTCCGCCCCTACACCAGACCCCTAACCCCAACCCTACCCAGGTCCATTCCCTATAACTTCTAGCAGCTCTCTGCCAGAAAGTTCTTCCTCTTACTGACCTGAACTCTGACCCCTAGGTCCCATCCATGAACATAAAGAGAATAAGGTCACCCCTTCTCCACATGACAGCCCTTTAGATTCCTGAGGACATTTATCAAGCACACTGGAGTCTCCCCATTACAGACAAATATCCCTTTTCACTATTCTGTCTTGCACATGACAAATGTTCAGTTCTTTCACCGTCATAGTTGCTGTCCCCTGAAGTCATTCAGAACTCCGCAGCATCCCAAGAGAAGGACCCACAGCACAAACAGAAGAAATCAGTCATCTCCATTGATCTCTGCCATACTTAATGCAACCTAGGATTAGCTTCTCTGGTGGCCACATCACAGAGTTAACTCTTATCTGTGGCTGAGAGGAGTATGGACAAAGATGACTGGCATACACAGGGTGAAGGAACAATGACTCTCTGGTGAGGTACCATCGAAGTCTGTAGTTAACAGGTATGAGGATGAGGAGGGGGTGGTTGAAACAAATGACAGTAAATTCAAGAAAGAAGAGAATGCCAATCTGGAAGCTGCAGTAGAGAACAGCTTTCTCTTCTCCCCTAATGGTGTTGTGAAGGAAGTGATCTGCTCACGGCAAGGCGACCAAAGGGTTTGAGGAAAAAGTCAAAGGCACAGGAGAGTTTACTCATACCAGAGCAGCACCTGAAAGGATACAAGTATGCCACGGAGGAGTGAGAGACCCAGCCAATGTTGACATGCAGAGGGTAGAAAGCTGGTAAGTCACAATCAATAACTACACGCTAATGGCATGTTTATATTCACCACTGCCAGCAGGTTAGACAGCCTAAACAGTAGCATGCAGTCTTTTGAAAAGCTAAAGGCAGGCAGTATATAAAGGCAGGAGTCAGAAGTGAAGGAACCATAACTCTGCTTTAAATAGATACCTTGAAGTAATCCACTATTTTTCACCTCTGGTTCATTTACTTGAATTGTGTCATCTTCAGGGTAGAAGTAGATTTTATAGTATCTTATTCTGTAGTTGGTTTGGCTTTTATCAAGTACTTCCTCTTCCAAATAGGCATCAAAAGATAATACCTGTTGGAATAATAATTAGAAACTAAGAAATGAAAAGAAAATTCAGCAAACTTAAAATTAACAAAGCAGCTGCCTGTATACTTTTTGTTAATATAAAGAAAAAAGTAGAGAGAATTTTTCCAAGAACTCATTCTACACATCAGCCATGCGAATGGATATACAATCTAAGATACAATACATAAAGATTATTTAATACTTTTATCACCATCTGGTTAAAACAAGGAAATGATATTCAAGTAATACATCCATCGTTCAGCTCTACCATAAACTGAACTAGAGTCTGCCTTTGGGATTTCACAGTGGGATTCTAAATGTATATGTTATAGAGACAAAATATTCTTTCTCACAAGATGAATAAGTTTTGTCATTTTTTTCCCATTAACAATAACACAAAGCTGCCTTGGTTCTGGCATAAAATTATCCTGACTGTTAGTCCTGATGATTGCTTGCCTTCAGGCAATTCAAGCAGGCATATCTGAAATTCATCCAATGCCCTGGAGACCCCACCTTACACTTCGGGAACCTCAAGGAGCCTAGCCCAATGCTAGACTCAGACTCATCTTGTATGGGGGCGGTAGGGAATAAGGAAGGGAAGGACAGGTGGATTCTAAAGCAGTTATGGTAAAATTCAGAGATAGTCAAAAATATCTTTGAAAATTCCTTAACTACTTTAGAAAACTGTGCCTCTCAGTAAGTAAAACACAGCCCATTTTTCTCCCATATTGAAGCAGATGACTGCCTGCTTCTTCAGTTGAAGACCAGTTAAAATCATTTCTTTATGCTTAGGTGCCATGTTGTATGAATAATATATATCTTTAGCCATTGGAAACATTCTTAATATGGCATCCTGCTCACACACTGAGCACGACAAGGTAATTGAGGACAACTGTGGGAAAAGTAGATTCAGGCTACCATTTCAAGCTTGACCTGCGGCTCAAGCTCTGTGAGAGCTCCATTTAAATATTCTCTTTGTCTCTCACTTTTGATCAATTTTTATAATTGAAGTTGCAAAACTTAACTGTGCATATGATGTAACTCCAGGGTTATTCAATGTGGACAATATGATATATATGAGTGAGTCTGTTAGATGCAATCTACCCTCTAGGGGTGGTGGTCAGTTAACCTAAGTAAGAATATATACTCCAGGAGTGTTTAGCATATTTTTATCAGAAGCCCACACTTCAGAAGTGGCTAACAGAATGCCTCAGTAGCTTTTTCTTTGATCAACACAAGAAGCTTTGTCAATTGCCATAAATGATATTAGAATAAATTTTAGTGAAATGATTGTATTCAAAATGCACATATCAGTTACAAATACTAACCAGGCACTGTCCTTACAGGAACAGGTTATAAGAGTCTGGTGAACCCAGAGATCTACTCCCTTCAGGATGGCACCTTTGGCTTCATTCCCAAATAGTCCTATGTTCAGCTGCTTTCTTAAAGAATTTGTCTGGCCTGACTCCAATTAGGTTAGCTAAACCCCATTGCTAGAATGCTGTCACATTTGTATTGAGTGAATATTTCAGATAAGATGCTGTTGGACAAGTATAGAGTTTCCTTCTGGGGTGACAAAAAAGTCTTGGAACTAGATAGATGTGATGGTTGCACAGCCTTGTGGATATGTTAAATGTCACTGAATTGCACACTTTAAAATGGCTAATGGTTAATTTCATGTTATGTGAATTTTACCTCAGTTAAAAAAAGATATTAGACACTGAGTTGTGTTGGACACTTTAAAATGGTGAGTTTTTGTTATGTGAATTATATTTCAACTTTTAAAAAGTAGGGGGAGGGAGCTGGCTACAGTGGCTCAGGCCTGTGGCAGGAAGATCACTTGAGCCCAGGAGTTTGAGACCAGCCTGGGCAACATAATGAGACCCCGTTTTTACAAAAAAAAATTTAAAAATTAGTCGGGCTTGGTTACGTGTACTTGTAGTCTCAGCTACTAGGGAGGCTGAGGTGGGAGGATTGCTTGAGCCCAGGAGATCGAGGCTGCAGTGAGTTATGACCTCGCCACTGCACTCCAGCCTGGGTGAGAGAACGAGACTCTGTGTCTCAAAAATAATTTTTTTTAAAAAAGGAGGAGGAAAAAAAGATGTTGGAACACCTAAAAGGAGAAAGAGCTGGGGCTTCATCAAACTTTCAGTGTACGTAATATTTAATCTGAGATTTTTTTTTCTTTGTAATCAAGTAGGAAAGTGTAGAGAGAATATTCTTGGCTGTCACCCACCTCTATATACTGAATGCTGCCAGTATAAATTTGAGAATGACTACACTGGCATAGGTCAATTGACAACTGGCATAGGTCAACTGTCATGTATGTAATCATTAAATATTTATCAATCAAATGATGCATTAAAAGAGAAGGATGCTAAATTGAAATAAAGAGAAAAGGAAAGACATTATCTTAGGTTGGGCTTCAATATGTCTAGATGAGGGACAGACTGATATTTCATAGTCTGCTCCCATGAGAATACAGGGCTGTCAAACTCCAGCATGAAAGATACAGAGCAAGTCAGAATGAGGTAGAGATGGAAAGATAAAAAAGGAAGAGGAAGAGGAAATTATAAAATGTGGTGAAGTAGAATGTAAGAGGAGAGACACCAAATAGATTAAAAAGTGATCTCACAAAAATAAATGATCTAATTGCAATGGAACTTGATGTATCAGAGAATCCAGAAAACAGAACCTAAAATAAAAACTGTTAAAAATGAAAATTTATAGGAACATAATTATGATGTAAGGTGTTATCATCATTTATGATGTCAAGCAGAAACTAGATAAATAAGGTCCTAGGCCGGGCATGATGGCTCACACCTGTAATCCCAGCACTTTGGGAAGCCGACGCAGGTGGATCACTTGAGGTCAGGGGTTCGAGACCAGCCTGACCAATATGGAGAAACCCCGTCTCTACTAAAAATACAAAAATTAGCCGTGCGTGCTGGCACATGCTTGTAATCCCAGCTACTCAAGAGGCTGAGGCAGGAGAATCGCTTGAACCCGGGAGGTGGAGGTTGCAGTGAGCCGAGATGGTGCCACTGCACTCCAGCCTGGGTGATAGAGTGAGACGCCATCTCAAAAAAAAAAAAAAGAAAAAAGAAAAATAAGGTCCTAGAGGATGTAATTGGCTGCAATTTTCTTGAAAACGGAATATAAATATCATTTGGTGGGGGCATGTGATCTTCAGTCCTCCACAGGCCTCTCTGGCTCTGCAGGCCCTATGATATTATATGAGGTTACCTACCTGATCCTCAAGGCATTTGGAATTTTAATCTTAGCCTAGAGGATATAAAACCTTAGACCAGGCACAGTGGATCATGCCTGTAATCCCAACACGTTAGGAGGCTACATCAGGAGGATTGAAACACTTTAGGCCAAGAGTTCTAGACCAGCCTGGGTGACACATGGGTCCCTGTCTCTCCAACAATTTTTCTTTATTTAACTAGTCAGGTATGGTGGTGCGTGCCTCATAGTCCAAGCTGCTCAGGAAGCTGAGGCAGGAGGATTGCTTTAGCCCAGGAATTTAAGGCTGCACTGGGCTATGATCATGCCACTGCATTCCAGCTTGGGTGACAGAAAAACAGAAAAGAAAATAAAAAAGAAAAAGAAAAAACTCCTGAAATCTGAAATCAATTAGCTTTAAATAACAGGTATATGATTTCCTCATTACAAAGGAAAAATTTTAAATGTTAATGTTTCTGAATTCAGGATCTTCTTACAATTAAAGCCAAAAGAATCTCAAAGCAGTCAAGAATGCATTTTGATGGGAAGTAGTTCTAACTTGATATATGGTGCAAATTTAGCTTTGTAGAGAAGAATCTATCCTATCTTCATGACAGTTGAGTTATTTGCTTAGCATTGCATATCCCAAACAGCTGGATTTTAACATTAGATTCTTAATTTTCACTTAAAATGTTTGAAAATGATTATTGTCTGATGCAGTATGACACAAAAAATAATTGCGTGGAGAAGGTTGTCCATTGCAGGCTAGACCATGCAACTGTAAGGCAAAGGCAAAAGCCTAATTTCTTAGAATAAAGCATATAATTTTTAAAGATGGGGAGGCTGATGTGGCCAATACGTGAGTCAGAAAGACTATCACTTCAGGAATCAAACATCTAATGTCAAAAACTTACAGCTGAGGCCGGGCACGGTGACTCACGCCTATAATCCCAGCATTTCGGAGGCCGAGGCGGGCGGATCACGAGGTCAGGAGATCGAGACCATCCTGGCTAACACGGTGAAACGCTGTCTCTACTAAAAATACAAAAAATTAGCCAGGTGTGGGGGCGGGTGCCCGTAGTCCCAGCTACTCGGGAGGGTGAGGCAGGAGAATGGCATGAACCTGGGAGGCAGAGCTTGCAGTGAGCAGAGATTGCGCCACTGCACTCCAGCCTGGGCGACAGAGCGAGACTCCAGCTCAAAAAAAAAAAAAAAAAAAAAAATCTTACAGCTGAATTTCTAGAGAAGCTGTCAGGAAAGAAAGACAAAACATCGGCAATGTTCAATAACCTCAACATTTTATAAAGAGGTCAACATCACATGTCCAAGTTTAATATGTTTAAGCTCTGTTTTATGAAAAAGGTTCAGACTTAAATTGTGAAGTACTATAAAAGGGATATAATGGTAAGGATAAATGCATGCTCTATATGTTAGTAGACAAGAAAAATTTGTGTACATTTAATACAGTGTTGTTTATTCTTCCTGAAAAAGCTGTTATTAAATCAATGGTTTCTCTCATGATTATGAAGTCCCATAATCAAGGAAATAAACGATAATACATTTTGTGTTGCATATAGAGGATGGCTCCTTTATACATGACAATATATATATTTACAGAAATATATCTGAAACATATGCTAATTCACAAAAATTTTAATAAATTTTAAAAACAGAAAAATTATACAAGTTATATTCACTGATCACAAAGTAATACAACTAGAAGTGTATAATGTACCTATAAACGAAAATTGTCACTCCTCATAATTGTACCAAAAATAAATCTAAAAATATAAAAAATATACAAATAAAATTTATATACATGTATGTAATAAATTTATATAAAAGTATATAATAAAATATAAGGCCATACAAACCTATAGGATATAGGCAAATTTGCAATCTGGGGTAAATTAATGGATTAAAATTATTACATAAAAGAATTTAGAGTCTGAGAGAGAGGATAAATTGCTAACAGTGTTTCTCAGCCTTGGCTATGCATTGGGAACTTTAAAAAAAATTTGAAAGACCAGATCTGGCCGGGCGCAATGGCTCACACCTGTAATCCCAACACTTTGGGAGGCCAAGGTGAGTGGATAACCTGAGGTCAGGAGTTGGAGACCAGCCTGGCCAACATGGCAAAACCCAATCTCTACTAAAAACACAAAAAATAGCCAGGCACGGTGGTGGACACCTGTAATCCCAGCTACTCAGGAGGCTGAGGCAGGAGAATCACTTGAGCCTGGGAGGTGGAGGTTGCAGTGAGCCAAGATTACGCCACTGCACTCCAGCCTGAGCAACGACAGAGTGACATTCCGTGAAAAACAAACAAACAAAAAACCCAGACCCTTGCCTAAGTAAGTTAAATCAGAACCTTGGGGAGGGGACTATTACTATTTTTTAAAAGCTACTGATGGGGTTCAGGACATGCTACCTCGGCAAATATGCCGAGGCACATGGCACCTTGGCATTTGAGAAAAAGGCAGAAGCAGGAAGGTCTCTCTGACCTTCTTCCATCATTCTCCCCGGAGGCAGGTCATAACACCTAGGAAGGTCATTCTCTGACCTTCTCCCTTCCTCCTTCCCTATAGACTCGCATGTGACAGGTGTCCTGCCCTATACCCAGAGGAAAGGAGTGTCACATAAGGATGAAGAATAAAAATCGGAACAAACAAATCTTGCTATTATAAGTTCCCCCCAGTTTATTACCATTAGATCATATCCTTTTGTCCTCCAGTCACAGTTCTACATGACTGTCCATAAAAATAGTTTTTCCTGTTTCTTTGGATCATTTCTGAAGGCTCCATGTCTCCTGAAGCTTTCATTAAATAAATTTGTGTGCTTTTCTCTTGTTAATCTGTCTTTTGTTATAGAGGTCTCAGCCATGAACTTTGAGATAGGCAAGTACAAGATCCTTCTTTTTCTTTCCTACTCTCCCCAGGTAATTCTGAAACATAGCCAGAGTTTAGAACCAGTGAGCAATGATTCAAACAAAAGCTTTTAAGGCCGGGCGCAGTAGCTCACGCCTGTAATCCCAGCACTTTGGAAGGCCAAGGCGGGCAGATCACCTGAGGTCAGGAGTTCAAGTCCAGCCTGGCCAACATGGTGAAACCCCGTCTCTACTAAAAATACAAAAAAATTAGCTGGGCCTGGTGGTGCATGCCTGTAATCCCAGCTACTCAGGAGGCTGAGGCAGGAGAATTGCTTGAACACAGGAGGCAGAGGTTGCAGTGAGCCATGATCGTGCCACTGCACTCCAGCCTGGGCGAAAGAATGAGACTGCCTCAAAACAATAAACAAAAGGTTTTGAAAAAGCAAAAATTTGTCATAAGAAAAACAGAAAGCAAAAAAGATAGTAAGGATATATAAATTTGAAAGAAGAAAAACAACTGCAATAAATAAATCCAAGGACTTTTTAAATAAATAAAATAGATAAGATTTTAGAAAGCTCATCAAGAAAAATATAAATAAAATGAGAAATGATACAGTGCATGACAGAGATGCAATTATAAGATATAAACCATAAGATAAATTATCTTATAATAATCATGCAAACATATGAAAATGAATTTTAAAATTGCAATTAAATAAGTGATATTCTGTAAGAACCGTGACTTATCAAAAACACAATGAATAAGCTAATAACCAAGTAAGCAGTGAAAAAAATTACCAAAGAATTGCCCCAATAAAGTCTCCAACCAGGATGATTTACTAATGAATTTGTTCCAACTTTCAAGGAAAAGAAAATTACCAAATTATATAACTCTCCAGGATACCAAAAATGATGGAAAGCTACAAAGGTGAATTCCTATGCCTAATAGACGTACCATGAAAAAAAAGTAACTGTAAAACAATAGTTCTCACCCTGGCTACACATTAGAATCACCTATAGAGCTTTTAAAAATCCTGATGCATTGGCCACACTGTCCACCACCAGCCCCCCAACCCCCGCCACAGACATCCACCATCCCCCATACACACACACACACACACACACACACACACACACACAGAAATCAGATTCTCTCAGGGTGGGCCTAGGCATCAGTAATTTTTAAAGCTCCCCAAGTGATTACAAACTGCAAGCCAAGGTTGAGAACTACTGCTACAGAACAATTTCACTACTTATGATTTACAGAAGATCCTAAGTAAAATACAAGCAAACAGAATTTAATAGTCTGTAACAGTTACAAGCCACCTACACAAAAAAAAAACAGCATTTTACTCACAGATGCCAACATGTTTCCCAATTAGGAAATATGAGCAAATATATAATGATCTCACACCATTTCCTACCACATACATTTTTAAATGCAAGGGTAGTTCCTTAACAAGATTACAAAAAGATCTGCTTTAAAACAACAGCCTAAATATCTAACATAATACTTAATTAAACTATGTGCCTACCAAAATCAGGAATAGAACAATAATGCCCCTACTAGCATCATTATTTAATATTGTTTTTAAAAGCTCTGGACAACGTAGAAAGATATGAAGTAAAAATATTAGCAAGAAAGAGACAAAAATTATCATTATGGGTAGATAAAATAATGACCTAGGCAAAGGCTGAAAAACTAACAAAGATTTCAGTACAACCATACCTGAATTTAAAATATTCTTATGTGTTAGCAATAACCAGCTAGACCATACAATGGGGGGAAAGTATGTTCATAATACAAAATTACAAAATACTTAAAAATAGTTTTAATAAAAACTCTGTGACCCAGATAAAACTCTAAAAATATTTACTAGAAGATATATTAATAGAAGAGCTTGACTAAAAGGATAGGCGAAGTATATTCTGGATAAGCAGACTAAAATAACTTTTCAAGTGGGTATTTCAATGTCATTCTGGAGGGACTTAGAATTATTATTTTTTTTTTAGATGAAGTCTCACTCTGTCACCCAGGCTGGAGTGCAGTGGTGTGATCTGGACTCACTGCAACCTCTGCCTCCCGGGTTCAAGTGATTCTCCTGCCTCAGCCTCCCGAGTAGCTGGGACTACAGGGGCACACCTCCACGCCTGGCTAATTTTTGTATTTTTAGTAGAGACAGAGTTTCACCATGTTGGCCAGGCTGGTCTCAAACTCCTGACCTCAGGTGATCCACCCGCCTCAGCCTCCCAAAGTGCTGGGATTACAGGCGTGAGCCACCGGGCCTGGCCTAGAATTATTTTTTTAAGTCTACCTGATAAATAGTTCAGCCTATTAAAGATAGTTGTAAAATTTAAGTGTAATGAAGGAAATCTAGCTCTCCCAGACTTTATACCTTAATATAATAGTTCATTTATTAAAGTAGTACAATACCACAGTAACAAGAGACATAGTAGGTGTAAAAGAACAGATGCCCTGGAAATAGACTCTGTTAACAGGAATTTAACACATAATGAAAGAGGAGTCACATATCAATAAGCAAAAAAAGTACCAACTTGGAAAAGCATCAGTGTATAGCCTCCTTCCTGTAAAATCCAACCCAAATATCAGATGAAGTATTGGCTTAAATATAATAAATCAATTCCTTTCACCTTCCAAAAAAATAAATATGTGTCAAGCCTCAGAAGGAGGAATGACATTGCAGGCTTGGGAGAAAAAGAGAAAGAAAACATTTTTAAAAATTAAGATTTAACTACATAAGTTATAACTCCGATATACTAAAATATAAACAAAAACATGCTAACAAAACATTTTAGAAAATATGGCTAAACTTTAATTTTATAAAAATGTTTAATTTTTTAAAGACCCTAAAAGAGAAATGGGAAAACAGCATAAACAAAATTCATGAGAGGGTCAACAAATAAAAAGAAGTTCACTCTAAGAAACTGTCAGATTAAGTGCAAATTAAAATAACAACGAGGCATAGGGTTTATGTGTGTGTTTCTCCTATTAAATGGACCACTCATTACGGATGAGATTTTAAGTTAGTACAATTTTCTGCGGCAATGTAATGTTATGAGGAACCAATTTAAAATTCCTACCTCCTCTCAGGAACTCCATTTCCCCGCACGTAGTCCAAAGAAACAACCCAAAATACAGAAGAAACTTGTATGTGCAAAGATGTTCTTTGCAGCTTTTTATCATAGAAAAAAAAAGGTAGAATAAGGGGACCTGAAAAGTTAACAAAAAGGGAAGGGCTTGGTGAATTACGGCACATCTACGTTCTCCATGGAGTATTATAAAGGCACCAGCATGATATTTTTGAAAAACATGAGGCAATAAGAAAAATACTGAGGCTATACAGTAATGTTAAGTGACTAAAACACAGGACTGGGCCGGGCACGGTGGCTCACACCTGTAATCCCAGCACTTTGGGAGGCCGAGGCAGGTGGAACACCTGAGATTAGGAGTTGGAGACCAGCCTGGCCAACATGGTGAAACCCCGTCTCTACTAAAAAAAAAAAAAAAAATACAAAATTTAGCCTGGCATGGTGGCACGAGCCTGTAGTCCCAGCTACTTGGGAGGCACAGGCAGGAGAATCACTTGAACCCAGGAGGTGGAGGTTGCAACGAGCCGAGATCGCACTACTGCAATCCAGCCTGGGCGACAGAGTGAGACTCCCTCTCGGGGCGGGGGGGGGGGGGGGGTGGGGGGGGGTGGGGGGGTGGGAGAGGAGGACAAAGAAAAAAACAAAAACAAAAAAAAAACACCACAAGACTGAAAATTGTTATATACCACAGTCATAACTATGTTTTTTAAAACTATGTTTTTAAACTATGCTCTAAAAACCATGACTACGCTTTTGGAAGAAACTGAGGGTGGAGGGGAGGAACAAAAAGCATGTAATGGCTGCAGCTCGGGTAGACACGTGGCTGGGCAGTGAGAAGAGGCGTGGTAAAGGAGGGGCTGGATGGCCGTGGGGAGGTGAGTGTTGCTCTTAGATGGAGCGGGCTGCTGGCCTGACCCAGGCTGGCAGGCGAGGTGATGGGGGCTGGGCAGGCTTCCCGACTCGGCTTCTACAGTATGTTCTGCCCTGTCCTCCAGCTGGCCGTTGGGGATCAGGGCATCTAGGCCAGAAGCCCACCCAGGGGCACCCTGTGTCTGATCCCTAAGGTGTCTTGTAGTCATTTCATGGACTCTGACATCTCCAAAGGGCCTTGTATTCCAAACCAAAAGTAAGAGTTTTGATCGGAAGCACTTTGTTTGTTTTTGAGACAGAGTCTGGCTCTGTCCCCCAGGCTGGAGTGCAGTGGTACGATCTCAGCTCACTGCAAGCTCTGCCTCCCAGGTTCACGCCATTCTCCTGGCTCAGCCTCCCGAGTAGCTGGGACTACAGGTGCCCGCCACCACACCCAGCTAATTTTTTGTATTTTTAGTAGAGACGGGGTTTCACCGTGTTAGCCAGGATGGTCTCTATCTCCTGACCTCGTGATCCGCCCACCTCGGCCTCCCAAAGTGCTGGGATTACAGGCGTAAGCCACGGCGCACGGCCGATCGGAAGCACTTTGACTCCCCGGAAGCACTTTGACTCCACGGAAGTACCTTTTTTTTTTTTTTTTTACATCCGGGAAGTTGCACAGCGCAAAATCAGACCATTTGGGACAGTCTTAGGAGTGCGTTCCGGGCTCGGACGCCATACCAGGCCACTTTGACTCCCCGGAAACACTTTGACTCCACGGAAGTACCTTTTTTTTTTTTTTTTTTTTACATCCGGGAAGTTGCACAGCGCAAAATCAGACCATTTGGGACAGTCTTAGGAGTACGTTCCGGGCTCGGACGCCATACCAGGCCTGGATCCTTAGGACTTCTCCAGAGCACTTTGAAATAATTGTGGAAGGGCTTTGGCATCTCTAGAACACCGAGAACTGTGATAGACAGTTGAAAAAAGGAGGCGCCGGAGTGGCGTGAGGGCCCTCCAGCTCTGGGGCCCGTCGGCACGCAGAAAAGTACCACCGGAGCGGCACTTAGGTAGGATCCCCCAGCAAACACAGGTGCCCCGCAGAGCTCAGTAACGTGGTTTGCAGCAAACACAGGTGCCCCGCGGAGCTCAGTAACGTGGTTTGGAAGGGGAGAGAGGCCCCAAAGGCCTGAAAGGCCTAAAGGCTACTTTGTGGCCTGCACACCGTGTTTTTCTCAAGGTTCATCCTGCCACAGAAATTCTTTCTCCTCCTTCTCCTCCCATTCCTCAGCCACTGGCCTGATTAGGGCCGGCTCCAAAGACTGCCTCATTTGGAGCATTTGGAGTTCCTTTCGTCCTTGTGATCCCCAGTGCACTCTGCCAGCCCCGTTTTTAAAGAAATGGCTTCTCTGGAGGAGGGTATCTACAGCCTTAAAATTAATTCCAAACGTAGCTCCTATAATTCCATGAACCCTCAATTTACAGCTGGAAGTGAGGGTCAAAATGAAACTGAGGAACCAAACAAGTTCCAGAGCAGGAAGGGTAGACCTCAAGATAGTGGCTCTTCATTGTCTCTGAGTGTTCTCCAGGAGATCCTGGGAGATGACATTCCAAAAGTAAAGGAAGAGGCTGTCATTAGTTCACAATCAGACCTAGGAGAGTGTCCCTACTGTGGAGAAAGACCAGCCAGGAATGCCACTATCTTTGCTCCTCAAAAAGAGAAAGAGTCAGCCCCAGAAATGAGCAGCTCCTGTGACAAGAGGGTGACTGTTAATCCTCCTGAGAAATTCAGTGAGGGGCGACCTAAAACACAAAATACACTCATTTGTGAAAAATGCTCTCAGCCTTCAAATTTTCTGGATGACTATAACCCCCATGTAATAATCCAAAAGCGACTTAGCAACCAAAGTAGAGTCATTTGTGAAAAAAGCTCTCCACCTTTAAATGTTCCGGATAACTATAACTCCCATTCAGTAATTCAAAAGCACAAAGAAAAGATGGCAATTGAGCGCCCCTCTTCAGGGAGTGACTGGTCTGATGTAGGTGGAACCACAGTCATATTCTCTGAAGAGAAGCCATTCTCACTGTGTCTTCCTGTAGTGTCAGAGCCTCCATACTACGCCACTGACTACACCACTTTTCCACCTCATTATAGTCCTTGGCATGACTACACCAGCTCTTGGTTCAGCAGTACCAAGTCTTCTTGCTATCCCTCCTTGGGCAGCAGCAGTAACACATTGCAGGCTGGGAAGAGCAGCTGTAGCAGCAGCAGCAGAAGCAACAACAACATATTCCAGGGTGAGAGGAGCAGCCACCAGAGCTTCCTGAGTGATTATTCCACCAGTTTTCCAGTGAGCTCCGAAAACACATCCAGAGATCTGAAGATGACAGAGGAAGGCAGATCCAAGAATTCTTCCTTATTTTACTACTCCAGAAATGTGGAAGCAGAGGCGAAGGAGGAGAGAGTATATCAAGAGGAGACATTAGGACATCCTTATGGAGGACGTGCATCTAGCTTTCCGCCAAGGACCATCTGGCAGCCAGAGCAACCGGGTTTCATTGATACCCACTGTCATTTAGACTTGCTATATTCCAGGCTGCCTTTCAAAGGCACCTTTACCAAATTCAGAAAAATTTATAGCAACACCTTCCCCAAGGAGTTTCAGGGCTGCATTTCTTGCTTCTGCAATCCTCAAAACCTAAGTGATAACCTGTGGGAGGATCAGTTGAAAGATGATCTGGTTTGGGGGGTCTTTGGCTGTCGCCCTCATTTTGCCCATTATTATAACAACTATCAAGAAAGAAGTATTTTAAAAGCCTTACGACACCCCAAGGCTGTGGCATTCGGCGAAATGGGCTTGGATTACTCCAGTAAGTGCACCACGCATATCCCAGAGCAGCAGAAAGTATTTAAGAGACTGCTGCGGCTGGCCGTCTCTCTAAAGAAGCCCATGATGATCCACTGCCGAGAAGCCGATGAAGACCTACTGCACATCTTGAAAAATTACGTGCCCTCTGACCACAAGATACATCGCCATTGCTTCACTGGGAGTTACTCAGTCATCGAGCCCCTGTTGAACCACTTTCCCAACCTGTATGTGGGCTTCACGGCAATTCTGACTTACTCTTCTGCTGGGCAAGCCCGAGAAACTGTGAGAAAGATCCCGCTAGAGAGAATTATTGTAGAAACCGATGCTCCCTTCTTCCTCCCTCGCTGGGTTCCCAAAAGCTATTGCCAGTATGCCCACCCAGGCCTGGCCCTGCATACTGTGCGAGAGATTGCCAGAATCAAAGGTGTGTCGCTCTCCCACACCTTGACCGTCTTGCGGGAGAACACCCATCGCCTCTACCATCTTTAAACAGAAAAGGCACAGTCAGGAGTCTTCCCAAGAAAGGAGACCGGTAGCCTAACAAAACATACAGACTAGATTTGAACTCTGCGTATGTCCTGGGTCAAGGATGTGTTTGAAGAATTCGTTGGAACGGAGTAAACTAGGACAGGATATTTTCCTCAAAACCTTTTCGTAAGACTTCTGTTTCTGGCTGGTAGGGTGGGGTACAATGGGATGGCAGGAGGGTTAAGGTAAACTGCCCTTGATGTTATTAAGGTTTTTCTTCCCAGCAAAAATGCCTTAAGGTAGCCAGTAAAGAAGACAGCTTGATAGAATACAAAGAGTTTCCCAATCTAAATCCCTGTCCTCTGCAGCCTGCTTTTGATCGCTTGGTGAATAAAGTCACCCTCCTACTTGTCTTTAAAAAAATGTAGAATTTTAAAAGTGAGGTAGGTGATTTGTGTATTATATTTGTATATTATAGGAATTCTATTTAAAAAAATTTAAAAATCGGCCGGGCATGGTGGCTCACGCCTGTCATTCCAGCACTTTGGGAGGCCGAGGCGAGCGGATCACTTGAGCCCAGGAATTCAAGACCAGCCTGGGCAACATAGTGAAACCTCGTCTCTACAAAAAAAAAATAAAAACAACAAAACAACAGCCGGGTGTGGTGGCACACACCTGTAATTCCAGCTACTTGGGAGGCTGAGGTGGGAGGATCACTTGAATCCAGGAGTCTCAGGCTGCAGTGAGCTATAATCACACCACTGCACTCCAGCCTGGCAACAGAGTGAAACTCCCATCTCTAAAAAAAAAAAAAAAAAAAAAAAAAAAAGTTTTTTAATGAAAAATAGGCCGGGCGCAGTGGCTCACGCCTGTAATCCCAGCACTTTGGGAGGCCGAAGTGAGTGGATCACTTGAGCCCAGGAGTTTGAAACTAGCCTAGGCAACATAGTGAAACCTCGTTTCTAAAAAAAAATTTTTTAAATAAAAAATGTAAGTATACACTCAACAAGGTAAGCAAGATATACACACAATGAGTTTTCCTTTCAAAAAAAATTTTTCTATCAAAAAAATTTTTTTTAATTTTAGATGAGAAAACTACTTTTCCAACCTGCTCCTCTCTCCCTGCATTTCTGTGTGGCAAATGCAAGTATTATACTCTGCAGTGTTTCTAACATGCAGGAGAGAACCTTGTTGCAATTCACCTTTATTTCTTTAGGAAGGGGAGTGAGCAATGTAGTTCTGAGTGTAGTATATCAAGAGTGGCCTAAATCAAAAAGCACAACCTTCATTTACTTATTCCATGAGTGAGGTAAAGAACAGTTCACTTACTCATGTTACTAGTAAAATCTTGCAATGCAAATGTGCAAAATTTGGGACACTTAGTAAATAGTTTGCTACTTAAGTGATAGATATTCCATTGAACCTCGAAGAATTATTATTTAGCATTTATTTTTCTGGCATTTGGTGTGTCTACTCTCCCATCCTGGAGGCATCAGAGAGCTGTGAAAGTAGCCAGTAATCTAGAAATTCAATTTACTCTTAGTGGTCCCTGGGCCATTAGTCCAGAGTCACAGAGCCTCTCAAGGCCCATTAACAGGCTCCCTGAACCTTGGCAGTCCTTTCAGGGCATGTCAACATTTCGCTTCACTTAAATTTTAGAAAGGCAGCTATTTCTACCTTTAAAGCTCAAAAGAAACAAACTGCCCACTTTGTCTTGGGAGACAGAGGGATTTGCTTTTTCAGTTGGTTTTTATTCATATCTAACTTCAAAATTCATACCTGCTTATTAAAAATTTTTGAGACAAGCAAAAAAATAAACGTGATTTTTTAAAAACCCAAACAAAATAAAAGCAACAGAAGGAAAAATGCACATGGTAAAATTGATTTTTTAAAAATCAATAGAAGAGTCAAATATTTACAAAATCTGGATATACAAAATTTGACTTAGGAAAATTGATTTTGGTAGAAATGTGATCATCAAAAAAAACTCAGATTGTCAAAAGCCATGATGGACAGCATTCATATAGACAAAAATTAATGAACCAAATGTTTCCAGTAAAATTTATTGTAGAAAAAAAATCTATTGAAAATATTTCTTAATAGGAAAATATGGTAACAGTTTACCCGCATGGAAAAATTGTTCAAAGAATTAAAGTAGCTTGTAGTGGGGAAAAAAGTAAAAAGTAAAAATTAAAAAAAAAAACACACAAAGAGGGAGTAAAATAGCCCATAATGCTACCCACTTAGAGACAATCACTAACATTTGGAGTAGCTCTTTGGCAGTTTTCTCTAATATTTCCATATATTGGCCAATTCCAGCATTGTACTTAAGTCAATTTTGCTAATTAATACTATTCACTTCATAGTTAGCATAGCTATACATTTTACTTTCTCTGAGTTTATGATTTAAATACATTGTTTTCTGTATTTTTTGTTTAGGTTTAATTCTGTTTGTTTTAAATACTCAACTCAGACGGCATGTGCTTTTTCAAAACTATTGTTTACTGATACAAAAAATTGTGCTTTGAAATTTATTTTTCTTTTTGTTCTCTGATGTCTGTTTTATTGTGTATTTTTTAATGTCTTAAGCTAAATGCTTAGTTTATTTTTAATTTGGAGAGCAATAACAAAGCAGTCAATACTACAAATGTGTCTGTAATTATAACTCTGCTGTATACATAGATTTAATTTGATAAAGTTTACACACTATAAAAATACAAACGTATTACAAAAATATGGAAATAGAGAGTAGCAGGAAAAAGTATATGGCATTTCTATTACCTAGAACCCCACTGTTGTTGATGTCTTTCCTTGACATAGTTGTGACCATATAGCCTGTTAAATTGCATATTCTTCTAAATAATTCATATTTTTTTTCTATCCCTATCTTGGATTTGGGGCTCATTTTATGATTGTTATTCTTTTATCTTTCAATAAATACTCAAAATGTTTATGTTATGTTTTGAATTTTATTTATATTTCACGACCTATTATATATGTTTCTTTCTACTACTCACCACTAATCATTTTATTTCATGACCTCCCCATGGTTGAACTGTTTAATTTGCTTTATCTCTTAATTGACTAGCAATTAAGCAACTTTTTCAGGAAAAGTATGTGGATAGCATATTAGTGATAAATTATATAACTGAGATCTTACTGCTGTTTTCACTAATGATAACACCTTGGCTGAGTTTAGATTTTCTGAGTCACATTTTCCCCTAAAAGTTATAGACATGGCTTCATTGTCTTCTGGCATTTAGTATTGCTGAGAATTCCAATGTCAACTTTGCCTTTGAGGGTTAAATTACTTTTTCTATCCTGATGCTTGGTAATTTCCTTGCTTTATCCTTGAAAATTTGTCAGGGTAGATCTAATTATTGATCTCTTTTTTATTTTCTCTGGTACAGAATAAGTATTTTATCTGCCGGTCTACATCTTTCTTTTCTTTCTTTTTTTTTTTTTTTTTTTTTTGAGACAGAGACTCACTCTGTCGCCAGGGCTGGAGTGCAATGGCGCAATCTCGGCTCACTGCAACCTCCACCTTCCAGGTTCAAGCGATTCTCCTGCCTCAGCCTCCCGAATAGCTGGGATTACAGGCACCCACCACTACACCCAGCTAATTTTTTGTATTTTTTGTAGAGATGGGGTTTCACCATGTTGGCCAGGCTGGTCTCGAACTCCTGACCTCGTGATCCGCCCGCCTCGGCCTCCCAAAGTGCTGGGATTACAGGCGTGAGCCTCGGCACCCGGCCCGGTCTACGTCTTTCTGTAATCCAGAAAGTTGCTTTTGTTTGTATTGTTTTCTTATGGTATGCTTAATCAATTTGGTTGCTTTTAATCTAGACTTTAATTCTTTAGGAACAATTGTCTGCATGTTAGAGCTCAATCCTCTGTCCAACCTGCCATCATCTCATTGCTCTGTTATCTTTTTCCATTGCATTTCAGGAGAATTTCTCAAGTTTACCTTTTCCATCACTCATCCCATTCTCCCCAGTTTTAATACTTTTCTTTACTACATATAATGCATTTTTAGATTCCTCACATTTCATCCTTCTTCAGCAATCTCCCTTTGACTTTTTGCCTGCAGTCTCATTCAATAATATTTTTAATTTGCTTTTACTTCTCACTTTGTATTATATACTTCCTTACACAAAGCACATTGTTATCAAAAATACTTATTTTTTTCTGTAGAAAACATACTTTTAAAATAAGTATTTTTCTTCCTCTGCCTCTTGAATACTATGTTCTCCATTTATGTTGTAGAATCTTTTCAGAAACCTTAAGTTTCTTTGTTCATTCCTGAACAAAGAGCAGTCTATCTAGGCTGGTGTTTTCCACAAAATAGGGTGGGTGGGTGGGTTTTCTTTCACTCCCTTCACCATCTATCCTAATGTTCTTAGATACCTCCTCTCTGGTTAATATAAATTCATGTAGAGTGGTCAAGAGAAGTAGGAAGGGAGCTGGAACCATGGGTAGTCCCCAGCAGGAAAAACTTCTAATTTTCCATATAAACATTTTATGAGTTGACCCAACCTCCACTCCAGGAAGAGTGGCCAGTCCTTTGTATGCCGTTGCCTGTTCCATCAGAGAAAAGCCCGAATGCAGGGCCTGCTTTGACTTCAGTGTGACTATATTTCTGGGTCTCCTAGTGACACTCTTAAGCCATCAATAGTTGTGAAAGTAAACCATGTGGAAACCCCTACAGGTTGTCCTAACCCCCAACTCGATTCTTGTCACTTTCTCGGGAAGTGAAATTGCAAGTTCGTTTGGGTATATTCTTTCAGTATCATCCCATCTGCACTATATCAGGTGGAAACTCTTCAAAGTTTGCAACATGAAGGTGGAACACCTCCCTGGCCTCCAGCATGAATTTAGTTTCTCCACATTTTAAAATTTTGCAGTGATTTCAATTGGGATTGTGGAGGTGGGGGTACATCTAAATACCAATGCTCAAGTTATAATCTCACTCCAAATTCTTATTTTTTTCCTCTCACTTCATTTTTTGATAAATTTATGTTCCTATGGATACTGTGTTTATATAGGCGTATCTTATTTTAAGAAAACTCAAGTTATACAAACCTGAATCTCATTTAGCATGTTGAACATAAGAGATGGTCAATAAAGGTAAGTTGCATAAATGAATAACAAAAAAGATAAATTACAGAGGGATGACTTCCAAAGAATTTTTTTGTATTACAAAAATATCATAAACCTATTTATAATCGATACTCAAGTTTTCATGACTAAATCTATGGTTTAAGATAAAATGCACCTGTATGGGCAATATAAGCATTCATAAAATTTAGTTTTACTTGTCTGCATAAGACATGATTTTATGATGCATGAAAATGGAAAGGGAAGTGGCTAGAATGCTAGAATGTTCACGTAGCTTTATCACTAATTAACTACATCACTGGTACAAACCACTTAAGCTCTTTGTTCACTGATTAACCTTTCAGCAAAAATTAGAAAATCAACACTTGCTAACCACAGTGATAACCACAGCACTATTTAAAGAATTAAGAAAATTATGTATATATAACAGCTTTGGAGAGAAAATGAATGTATAAAAATACTGAATAATATATAAATCAGTGTAGGATGCAAAGCTGGAAGCTTGAAAATACTGTCAAAACCATATCTAAAATAGTCTTCACATCCTTATGGAGTCTATTGCGCAAGCAATTAAAAAACACTTGATATTACTAAGAGAAGAGATTCCAAACCACTGTTTAAAATCAGACTTCCTGGAAAAATGATACTAGGACTAGAAGAAAGGGGGTCACCCTATCCTGCAGAAATCACATTGCTAATCATGGAGTTTTATAAACTGAATCAAGAAAACTGACATTCAATATGAAAAATACAAAAGAAAAACACCTACCATATAAAAAATTATATATATGTGTGTTTTTTTGTGTGTATATATATACATATATGATTGTTCCTTTATCTTTTATAATATTTTTCATTTATCACATACACACACACACACAGAAACACATATGTATGTACATATGTAGGTTCGGTACCCCATATCCGAAATTCTTGAGAACAGAGTGTTTCAGATGTTTTTCAGATTTTGGGATATTTGCATATACATAATGAGATATCCTGGGGATGGGACACAAGTCTAAATAAGAAATTCATTTATGTTTCATACACACCTTATACACATAGCCTAAAGATAATTTTATGTACTATTTTTAATGATTTTGCACATGAAACAAAGTTGTGTACATTGAACCATCAGAAAGCAAAGGTGTCACTATCTCAGCCACTCATATGGACAATCTGTGGTTATTTGGCATAATCATCATTCCTGACTGAATTTATATGCTTTGGATAAGCAATAATTTTCTTACACTTATTCACATGTGATATGGTTTGGATCTGTGTACCCACCCAAATTTCATGTCAAATTGTAATTCCCAATGTTGGAGGTGGGTCCTGATGGGAGGTGATTGGATCAAGGGGGTGGATTTCCCCCTCGGTACTGTCCTCACTATAGTGAGTTCTCATGAGATCTGGTTGTTTAAAGGTGTGTGGCACCTCCCCACTCCTTTTCTTCCTGCTCCAGCCATGTGAAGTGCCTCACTCCCCCTTTGCCTTCTACCATGATTGGAAGCTTCCTGAGGCCTCCTTAGAAGCAGATGTGCCATGCTTCCTGTACAGCCTGCAGAACCATGAACCAACTAAACCTCTTTATAAATTACCTAGTCTCAGGTATTTCTTTTCCTTTCTTTCTTTTTTTTTTTTTTTTTGAGACAGAGTGTCGCTCTGTCGCCCAGGCTGGAGTGCAGCAGTGGTGCGATCTCGGCTCACTGCAACCTCCACCTCCAGGTTCAAGCAATTCCCCTGCCTCAGTCTCCTGAGTAGCTGGGATTACAGGTACGTGCCACCATGCCCAGCTAATTTATACACTCTATTTTTTTAGGTGAGAAGAAACATCAGAAGAAGTTGAGGGACCAGGAAGTAGGTCCTCTAGAGATGAGGAGGCATTCTGCTGGATGGCTTTCTTAAATGTTTCCTCCAGAGTTATCAGCCTCATTAATAGAGGTTTTTGTCTTATAAGTGCCCCTGATTTTATCAACTGACATGATTTCTTGTTCTGTTATGGATGCATATGGCTCTAGTCATCCAATAATCCCATCACAATTTCACCACATCATCTATAGGCACTTTTTTTTACAGTTAGCAATGTCATCTTCATCATCACCTTGATTTAGAACCATTTCAGCTATTATAGGTTGGTGCAAAAATAATTACAGTTTTTGCCATTGAAAGCAATGGCAAAATTTTTGCCATTTCTTTGCTTGTTTCATAATCAGCATACCATTAAATGGCACGTGTTCACTGTGATACTGATGGACTCACTCTTTCAATACATGTTTGAGACCTTCATTTTTAGCTTTATGCACTGTTTTTCTATTTTTCATTAATAACCTCTATACATCACTTTTGTATAGAACTTCAACTGTTTATCATTCTGTTTCTTCAGGTCATATATAGTGGTCACTCCAACACCATACTCTCCTGTAAGATGCTTCACAGTTACACTGCTGTCCAGTTTCTCCCACAGCTTGACTTTCTATGCTATGGATACACATAAATCCTTCCTCTTACCCATAGGGCTATCTTCAGACCTATTTGACATTTTCAACAATATCTTTACACCACAGAGCAGAGAATAAGCAAAAATACACAATGAGTAATGCACGAAGGTCTTGGTCCTACACGGGGAATTGTGGGGAACGTGCCGTTGGCATATCCAGCCTGCACATGTGCCATTTTATTACACTTTGTAGGCATGCTTGTTTGGGGGAATCTGGACATGTGCAAAGAATCTATACTGTAGGTGAAGGGGGTTGGAAGGGCTTTTTCTTCCCTTGGGATGCTGAATAAACTGTGTTGTGCACTTGTGTTTTGACTGTGACCCATCACATGAGGGCAGGTGTGGAATTTTCCACTTGTGGCATCATGTCAGCACTCAAAAAGTTTTCAGATTTGGTATACTCAACGTGTGTGTGTGTGTGTGTGTGTGTGTGTGTGTGTGTGTGTGTGTGTAAAATTAGCAGGAATAATATGAGAACCAAGGCAAAAACACTCCTTCATGCCATCATTTTGCAATATTTTTTAAAAGCTGGATTCCATGCAAAAGAGTCAGAAGAAAGATGCTTGGATATGATGCCCTTTATGTTCTCCTCCAGTCCAAAGAATTTGTTCTATAATTCTAGTAATTACCCAATAAATTGGACCTCCCAGTACATTGGATGATTTTAATGGGATTTTAATGATCCCAAAGTATGTTATTTATTTCCCACAAGTGCATCACCAACCAAGGTCACAAAATGGGTACTTCCATTACTAATGGAAAATAATACAAACCAAACCAGCCACAGAATACCTGCTAAGTTCAAAGCTCTGTGCTGTGGATACAACACTCAATAAGACAATCTCTCCAGCTACAAAGAGTACACAGTCAAGTAAGGGGAATAAGACTATATGCAAATAACTGCAAAACAGAGTATGGTACCTCCAAATAATGATAATGCATTGGAGATAAAAGCTAAAAGCCATTAGGAAAGACTTAATAATATTGTAGCTCCGTATATATTGCCAAGTTGTCTTCCATGTGTCAGGCGTTGTGCTAAGCTCTGAGAATTCAAAGCTAAATAAAATAGCCAACACTGATTAAGTACTTATAATGGGTCAGGCATTGTATTAAGTACTTTTATACTCTTATCTCATTTACTCCTCACAAAACACCAATAAAGTAGGTAATACTGTGATTCTCATTTTATAGAATTCAAGATTTGGGAGGTTAAGTAATCTACACACAGTCTCAAAGTAAGAGAATGAGACAGCTGGGAACACAAGATGCCTAGCCTCAGAGGCCACAAGCTTAACCACTATGCCCTGAACTGCCACAAAATCTCCACTCACTCCTGCTCAGTGGAGGACACAGAGAAGAGTAATAAGGGTTTATGAAAATGCTCCAAAAGGAGAGGGAATTGCCAGTCACCTGAAAGTATTAAGCAGAAGGCATCATGGTGGAGGTAACATCTGAAATGGGTCTTCAATGGGCTGAAAGACGGAGTAAGTGGACAAGAAGGGAAGGGCATTCTCTGCAAAGGGGAACAGCATGTGCAAAGTTATGGGAGCATAGGAGTGTTCGGTATGTGGGGTACTGCAAGTCATTTTGTGTGGCTAAGGGTTGAGTGGTGATGGGGGAGCAAAGGAGATGAGACTACAAAGGTACAAGAGCCAAAATATAGGTGGTCCCTAAGCCATGCAAAGGAGGTCAAAGGAGTCTAAACATTTTAGAAAGTTAACTCTGTAGCAGAGTGGGCAGTTGAGAAAGGGAATTATATTGAAGGCAGGGATGCCTTCAACGGAGGCTACTCTCCAGGTGAAAGATGAACTAGGATGGCAGCAGTGGCCATGGAAAGAAGCAGACTGATGAAAGGGAGATTTCAGAGGGAGACGAGAGGACTTAGGTCAACTGATCAGTGTTGGGAGAGGGGTGGGTAATGGCAGTTCTCTTATTTGTGTAAGCATACACAAAAATATATCATTTAGTAAGTTAACATTTAGAAGTAACTCAAATAATAAGCCAGTGTGGCTTAGTCTCAGCATGGTAGTATATTCAAAGAAAAGGCCCAGCAACTAATAGCAATTGAAAATCCTGTTTCATCTTCACTTAGACCTCCAAGGAAAATCTAAAGGTGATCCAATTTATGCTGCACATCCACACTTCTCCCCCAAAAAAGCCTTTTCTCTCTTTTTCGATTCTCACGAGTTTCACATTTCATCACCATCAGTGCTCTCCCACTCATACTCTCTCTCCCTCCTATCCACTTCTTCCTTTCCTATATCCCACAAAGCATAAGAACAACTGAAAAAGTCAGAAGAATCCTTAGAGGATGGAGGTGGAGAAAAGTGGAGTGAGCAAAGACAAATTTTTGTTTAGCAGGCAGGGTATGTGGAAAAGGAGAAAGCTGGGAACACACAATAATATTATCTCCATTACCTACCCATAAGAACCAAAGCTTCAATTCATAAAGCTGACTGTAAAAGCCAAGTAGACCAGAACTGAAAATAGTTTTAATATGTAAAACTATTAAAATATGATATTTTTGATATGTAAATATAAATGCAAAAATAAATGCTTTGAAATTCTGAATGAAAAATATCAACAAGTAGAATCAAAGAGAAATAATAAAATGCATGCAAAACATATTTCATATTTTAAGCCAAAAAAAGGGGGGAACATGGTAGACTGCAAAGGAAGTACAATTTCAACTAAACATAAAAGGACCTGCATGAAATTTCTAGAACCTAGAGGATCATGGTATAAAATCTATGAGTACAGTTATGAATAATAGGCATGTAAATACAGTTGTAGCAGCCTATTACTGACTGCTATTAGTTCAGAATAATGAAAAAATAAAATAATTTAAAAGGTAGTTATTTATCACCTTTCCTCCTAAAAGACCATTAAGTAAATTTGCTAAAATAGAAGAGACATGACAAAATCTTTTGTTTAAACAATATATGATTTTATGAACTACCCTAATTTCAACATAAATGGTGCCCAGAACAATTGGAAAGAGCAATACAATGATAGCTTAATAGCTGCTTTTTAGAACTCACTGGGCTCAGTGGTAGCATCTCCAAATTTATTCTTCTGGAAAATCCCAGAATTTTTCCCAAAGAAAAATGCAAGAATCCTGTAGCACAAATGAGCATTGGGATAGTCCCAGCTTATGCTTCACTTCCCCTAGGAAAACTGCTCTCCCCACCCCATGTAAGGAAATAATTCTTCGTGACTACTATGACCTGGGCATTTGACATGCATTACCCATTTGATACTCACGGCAACTCTAAGGTGGGTTTTGTTATTCCCACTTGACAGATGAGGGAATTCAGGCTAAGAGAGGTTAAAAACATGGCCAGGATGAAATAGGTAATAGATGGTAAATCCAGGTTCTAAACCTCAGTCTAACTGAAAAGCCTTGTTCTTTCTACTATACCAAAGAGCCTCTCATTAAGGAGGTATTGCAGGCAGGCCATGTTTCCAAAGAACACCCTAGACACTGCACACAGAGTTAATTTCAGACAACACTCCATTTGGAGAGACATATATACCCTGGGTCCAGCCCTAGGGGAAAGGGGAAGGGGAAAGGCCCTAGTAATAATAATATCAATGATGGGCTGGGCACAGTGGCTCACACCTGTAATCCTAGCACTTTGGGAGGCTGAGGCAGGCAGATCACGAAGTCAGGAGTTCCAGACCAGCCTGACCAACATGGTGAAACCCCATCTATACTAAAAAAAATATATAAAAATTAGCTGGGTGTGGTGGCGTGCACCTGTAATCCCAGCTACCCAGGAGGCTAAGGCAGAAGAATCATTTGAAACCGAGAGGTGGAGGTTGCAGTGAGCTGAGATTGCACCACTGCACTCCAGCCTGGGCGACAGAGCGAGACTCCATCTCAAAAAAAAAAAAAAAAAACCGATGATGATGATGATGACAACAATGATGATACTCTCCTAAGAAGAGAAGTCAGCAACTGCAAGGCCAGAAACAGGCGAAGACAAAGTAAGGAAAGGAAGAAAGTTAAATAGGGCACTCACAATAGAAGATGAATAAAAATGGATGAAAGTAAAGAGAATGAGGATGAAGAGACAGAAGTCCAATAAAAGAGAAAAGAAAACAGAAAAAAGGTAAAAAAATAAAAATAAAAATAAAATTAAAAAAAAAAAACACCAGAAGGGAAGGGACAAGAAGGTTGAGAGAGATGGAATAAAAGAAAAGGAAATGGGACAACATTGAAAAAAGAATGGAGATAAGCATTTCTTCATATCTTTGAATAATGTGGTGTTATTAACATCTTAAAGTATTTTAAAACCTCTGAAGGAGGTTAGAAGAGTAATTTGAAAAAACTGAAGCAGAATGTTTTAAAGTAAAGGGATATCAAACCAGAGGACTAAAAAGGACTGTAAAATGCCCAGAAATCTGTTATAGTATATTATTACATGAATTTGCTACACTTTGTTTATATACACATTGTCAAAGCTGCGCCTCAAATCTTAAATCTCAAACAGTAAGCTAGATTCCAGGGCAGATGCACCATAAGATTCCGTTTATCTGAAATCTGAGAAAAAAATGAAAGACTAAGCTATGGTGATAGAAGTCAGAACAATGGGAAAGGGCTAAACGAATTGGGGGAATAAGGGAACCTCCTGAGGCAACAGAGACGTCTAGACGGTGTCTGGGGTGGTGGTTACACAGATGCATACATTTGTCACAACTAATGGAATTGTATACTTAAAATAGGCTCATTTTGGCCAGGTGTGGTGGCTCATGCCTGTAATGCCAGCGCTTTGGGAGGCTGAGGCAGGCAGATCACGAGGTCAGCAGCTCGAGACCAGCCTGGCCAACATGGTGAAACCCCGTCTCTACTAAAAATACAAAAATTAGCCAGGCGTGCTGGCGGGCGTTTGTAATCCCAGCTACTTGGGAGGCTGAGGCAGGAGAATTGCATGAACCCAGGAGGTAGAGGTTGCAGTGAGCAGAGACCGCGCCATTGCACTCCAGCCTGGGCAACAGAGTGAGACTCTGTCTCAAAAAAAAAAAAAAAAAAAAAAAAAGGCTCATTTTATTACATATAAATTATACCTCAATAAAGTTGATTTTAAGAATTAAAATGAAGTTTACCTCAATAAATGAGGACTCAAACAGCAAAATCCTAAAGAACACAGTTATTCTGTATCCTGAACATGGTGGTGGTTACATGAATCTATATATGGGATAAGATTCCACAGGACTGTTAAACTAAGGGGGAAAAAGTGAGTGCATGTAAAAACTGGTGAAATCCAAATAAAGTTTGCGGTTTAGTTAATAGTATTATACTGTAAACCAAAAATAAAATTCTAAGCCCCCCAGCCATCTGAACAGATCCCTCCTCTAGGCCAAGGACATTCCCAAGTTAGCCTGAAAAACTAGTTTCAGGCCATGATGGGAAGGGGGAACCAGACATTCCTTATTATACCCTCCTCCCTTTTGGAATTCAGGAAAAGTTGACCAGCATTATCGTCAACACAGACCTTAAGTCTGATAAGAAACATTTACAATCTATTCTGTCTGAAGCCTGCTTCCTGGAGGCTGCATCTGCATGATAAAACGTTGGTCTCCACAAGCCCTTATCATAACCCAGACATTCCTTTATATTGATAATAACTCCTTCAACCAATTGCCAATCAGAAAATCTTTGAATCTGCCTGTGACTTGGAAGCCTCTCCCCGGCTTTGTGTTGGCCCGCCTTTCCAGATCAAACCAATGTACATCTTACATATATTGATTGATGTATTATGTCTCACTAAAAATGTATGAAAGCAAGCTGTACCCCGACCACCTTGGGCACATGTCGTCAGGACCTCCTCAGGCTGTCACAGGCACATCCTTAACCTTGGCAAAATAAACTTTCTAAATTGATTGAGACCTGTCTCAGATACTTTGGGGTTCACAATGCCAATGCTGATTTCCTGCATTTTTGTTCTTGTTTTACCATGTTGCAGAAGGTAAAATCCTGGTTTTGATAAGGTATATCAAACTGTTATATAAGATGTTATCATCGGGGAAAGCTGTGAAAAGGGTATTCAGGAACTCTCTGTACTATTTTTGTGACTTTTTGTGAGTCCAAAATTACTTTAAAAAAAATTTTTTTAAGAATACAGCTAGATTATATGGTCTATGGCATTTGTGCTATCACCCACCATCAGCGTTACAAAAAGTGAGTTTACCATAGGGCAGAGTCCTGCAAATACAAAATAAAGGAAGGTAAATAATTTTTTTTTTAATATTTCAAATAAACTTGCAGCTGGTTTGAACTCGGGGGGGAAGAATACATAAATAACCATGACTTTTATAGATTAAAAGTTCAGAACAAAATATAAATCAGCCTAAAATTTAAGTCAACAAGTCAAATAGTGACTATCAGTTTCTTCCTAATTTGTGAACTAAAATCTTATAAATGACAAGGATTTTATGTTCAAAATAACTATAATTAGTGTGCACAGAGGATGAGGCAGCAAGAGGGTAGTCATCTGTAAGACAAGAAGAGAGGCCTCAGGAGAAACCAACCCTGCCAGCACCTTGACCTTGGACTTCCAGCCTCCAGAACTGTGAGAAAAAAAATTTCTGTTTAAGCCACCCAGTCTGTAGTATTTTGTTATGGTGAAATCGTCTTTACAAAAATCATAATTGAGAAAATTATTACAGTGAAAGAGATCTGACCTAACCAACTCCATCTTGCTTCTAACCTCCAAGCTGTCCTTGTTCATTCTGAGGCATAGGTCAAACTAACTTCAGGAGGAACTTAGTGTATAGTTAAACTTTGAAACAAAAACATACTAGCCCTTTCCCAAAACAACCCCTTCCTGCCTAGGGACTAGACTGCCTTTGCAGAAGTAACGAATTAGCCACAAGATTAGTGATTATGGTTTAGGAGTCATATAGCTGGAGGCTGCAAGATTCTAAACCTCCCCAAATTGCTCCTGGGGATGAATAAGATCACTATTATAAAACCTAACATCACCAGGTACAGTGGCTCACACCTGTAACACCAGCACTTTGGGAGGTCAAGGCGGGCAGATCATGAGGTCAGGAGATCGAGACCATCCTGGCCAGCACAGTGAAACCCCATCTACACTAAAAATACACAAAATTAGCCGGGCGTGGTGGCACACGCCTGTAGTCCCAGCTACTTGGGAGGCTGAGGCAGGAGAATCGCTTGAACCCAGGAGATGGAGGTTGCAGTGAGCCAAGATCACGCCACTGCACTCCAGCATGGGTGATAGAGTGAGACTCTATCTCAAAAAAAAAAAAAAAAAAAGGAAAACCTAACATCAGTGCTTGAGATATTTTGCAGACCCTGTACTCAATGGATCAGCTGGCACCACCCAGATTGACAAACTGGCTCATCTGGCCTTGTGGCCCCCACCCAGGAACAATTCAGTGCAAGAGGACAGCTTCAACTCCCTATGATTTCCAACCTGACCAATCAGCACTCCCCACTTTCCAACCCACTCCCCCCCCGACCAAATTATACTTAAAAAACCCAATTCCTGAGTTTTGTGGGAGACTGATTTGAGTAATATTAAAACTCTGGTCTCCTGAACAGCCAGCTTTGTGTGAATAACTCTTTCTCTATTACAATTCCCCTATCTTGATAAATGGGCTCTGTCTAGGCAGCAGGCATGGTGAACCAGTTGGGCAGTTACAATGGCAACCCAAACAAACTAATATTTTAAGCTGTAATTTATATACCATAAAATTTACTACTTTTAAGCATACAGTTCAATGGCTTTTTGTAAATTTACAGAGCTGTGTAATCATCACCACAATCCAGTTTAAAACATTTCTATCACTTCCCCCACAAAAGTCCCCTCTCCCACCATCAGCCCCAGTCAACTGCTGATCTGCTTTTTCCTATGTATTTGCCTTTTCTAGGATTTCATATATATGGAATCATATAATAGGAAGTCTTCTGTGTCTGGCTTCTTTTACTTAGTGTAATGTTTTTGAGGTTCACCCATGTTGTAACATATATATCATTAGGTTTCTTTATTGTTGTATAGTTTTCATTATGTAGATATACCATATTTTGTTTATCCATTATTACTTAAGGGACATTTGGGTTGTTCCCTGTTTTTTGGCTACTACGAATAATGATGCTATAAACATTTCACACAGAAGTTTTTGTGTGAACATGTTTTAATTTCTTTTAGATGGATACATAGAAGTGGAATTACTGGGTCATGCAGCAAGTATATGTTTAACTAAGAAACTGTCAAACTGTCTTTCAAAATGGCAGCACCATTTTACATTCCTACCAGGAATGTATGAAGGTTCTAGTTTCTCTACATGATCACCGACACTTAGTGGTAAGAGTCTTAAAATTATAGCCATTCTAATGGGGATGTAGTGGTACCTACAAAAGTTAAAGTTCAAAAAGACAATTTTAACTTTGGACTAATCAGAATAAGCCACAGGCCTAGTTACTGATAAAAAGTTTTGGCCTGAGGGAAGGGCCTTAAAATGTTGTCAAATAGCTAAATTCTAGGTTTTAGAAAAGAGGGAAGGAAGAACTCTCTTCTTTAGTAAAAGGCTCATTTATGATTCTCATTCTTTTTATTCCAAAAACATTTATTCCAGACTTGGGGATTATTTTTATTAAGTGCCTTTTGAATTTCAAAAGAAGATTAAAGAAACCTACATAATACAATGAAATTGGAAGCTTTATCACTTTAATATAAATTTAAAGACTAAGTGTTTTATTCTTAGTGACAAATGCAGAATGCATAGTTGAGAATTTGGGGTATGACATGGTTGATTTCAGGCAAGATTTTTTATTTCTTCTCTAAAACTAAATAGCTGAAGATCTGTGTACTTGTGATGTAAAACATGGGATTAAAACGGCAAATGTATTGCAATTACGTTGTCTTATAATTATACATGTTGGTGTCTTTTATGACATGGTAATAGCAAGAGTCAGATAATCTGAGAATTATATAAACCTATAGAAAGATTTCCATTTGAAATTTCGGGTATGGTTTAATGGTATATCTAATGTATTTTCCAGTTTTTTTAAAAGCTTAATTGTATTTTATTTTTATATATTCTGATTATATTTTATAACATTCCTAACTGGCTTTAGGCAAAACTTCAAGAATCTGTATTTACGTATTGTTCTTTGTTAAGCAAGTGAAATTATAATGTACCTGATCATTCGTTAATCCTACCGCAGGAAAATTAAAAATTCTAGCTAGTACTGGGTAAGAAAGAGAAAAGTAGCCCCTGACATCCAGGAGCCGGCCTATACTATCAGCTGGTCTTGGTGCTGTTACAAGCTGGCCTGGCATCCACAGCTAGGCCTTGGTGTTCTCCTGCTAAACAAGAATAATTTCAGAGACCACCAACATCAGACAAGGCCACTCTGTGACCGTGACGGATCAAGACAAAACCAAGACCACTCCACAGTCACATCTAAACACAGAAAATGAACCTTGTCCAGCCATGAAATGTCAAACATCCCCCTCTCCTGGCTCACAGAAGTGACAGCTGCTTCTCTCCCAATTATAGGTATAGACTCACTCTAGTCTGTTCTCTCCCTCTGAGATTTATTAAGATACCCAGTTGTAGATGTACCCCTACTTCCTGATAGCACCCAATCCAGAGCAAAGCCCTGCTTCCTTAATCACTCCCCACAATTACTTAACACAAGCCCAAATCCTATAATAAGCCTTTTCTAACACCTGCTTCATTAGACATCCCACAGTTGCTTAGGGTATGTTTTTTCCCTTGCTGCAAATGAATAATAAACTAACTTGTTTAATCTAAAAAAAAAAAAAAAAATCAAGATGACCCAGGGGACCAAATTATATTTTAAAAATTTATTTTTATATTGTTCAAATCATAGAGTCACACAGCTACATAAATAATCAGCTACATAAATAATCAGCTCATTACAAGCTCGATGTCAATTAATGTAAGTGATTAAAATTCAATTGTGCGGTCAGTAGTTTTGATTATAACCATTATGTTTACAATAGATGGAAAAAAAAAGAAATAATATTTTCAAATGTATGCATATCCCATAAGATCAACTTTTATCTTGCCACTTACTATAACTGAGTCATTTGTGAAATAGCAAACAAATTAGGCTAACTAGGAGCTGTTGACAAATGAAAAATGAGAGCAAAATTGTAGAGTCTATGTAAATGGGGCTTAACTTCCAGACGAAAGTCATATAAAAACATTCAGTCATTTGTATATTTCTAAATATTCCAACGTTTTATAAAAGCAGCTAACTATAGATCTTATACAGCCACCATAGCGTAGCATAAACTGCTAAATGCCAAATTTCAATTAATAATGAAGTAGTGGGTGCCTGATGTAATTAGAGAGTCCTAGGCCATTAGATCCAGGGTCTGGGCTCAGTTCTAGGATAAACAAGCTGAATTTGACTTTAGTCAAGTTTTAGACGTAAATTGCCAGAGGTAAAAGGGCCTTACAGATCAGCTAGCCAAGTCCTGCATTATAGTTAAGGAAACTGAGGCTCAGAGAGGTAAAGTGACTAAGCCACAATCACACATATAGTTAATGGCGGGACCAGAACCAGAATCAGTGCCTCCAACACCCAGTCTCAGACTCTGGTTCCTGCTCCATTTCTCCTTGAGAATGATTCTTCATTTATATGATGAGGACAACCGTCTATATTTGCTTCCTACTCATGGAGGTACTGGGATGATGACTGGAAATAACTGGCGTGAGTGATGCATTTTGTGACTTGGACAGTGTTCGTGTTCTGTGTTCAGACAGTTATGATTATGGAATAGTCTTGTTTTTGTCTTGGCCCCATCATAGTCTGCTTTTATTTAAATGAATTCAATGAAATAACGAAGTCTTTGAAGGGTGGGTGCAGTATTAAGCAAAATTCTTTTGCCTGTTTTTAGAAATTCTCCCAATGCTACGGGTTTTAAGCAAGTAGTACACACACTGTGTTTCTCGGTGGAAACAGTATTGGCATTTGAGGTAGAACAATTTTTCCCCAATGTAGGGTTGCCTTCCCCACACTGCAGGATATAAAATATACACTTGGCCCCTGGATACTCAATGGTAGCAGCACCTCCTGGTCAGGGCTGGCCCTAGGGTGAGGCGATTTAAAACATCAAAATTAATGCAAGCCAGGCGTGGTGGCTCATGCCTGTAATCCCAGCACTTTGGGAGGCTGAGGGGGGTGGATTACCTGAGGTCAGGAGTTCGAGACCAGCCTGGTCAACATGGCGAAATCCCGTCTCTACTAAAAATACAAAAATTAGCCGGGTGTGGTGGTGGGTGCCTGTAGTCCCAGCTACTCGGGAGGCTGAGACAGGAGAATCGCTTGAACTTGGGAGGCGGAGGTTGCAGTGAGCCAAGATCGTGCCACTGCACTCCAGCCTGGGCAACAGAGCGAGATTCCGCCTCAAAAAAAAATAATAAAATAAAACAAAATTAATGCAAAATATCCAGGAGAAACAAAATATCAAAATGCCAAATTTTTAATGAAGATTGGATCAGTATTACTGATTTTTCCTTTTGCCTCAGGCTCCAATATAACTTCCATGGCACAGTTGCTGATCTTGTCTTTATTTAAAATGTTGGCATTTTGTTCATCATGAATTTCTGGCATTAATTTGATTTTTTAAAATATTATACTAGCTTAATAACAGATAATAATAATAATTAGATAATAAAATATTATCTAGCTTAATTGCTGAGTTTTGGGGCACCCCAAATGTTGCACCGAAGGCAAGTGCCTCATTTGCCTTACCCTAGTCTGGCCCTGCTCCTGATCATTGTGACAACTCAAAACACCTCCACATATTTCCAAATACCTTGCTAGGTTGAGAATCTCTGAAATATAGCCTGATTTTTCTCACATAACTACAAGTCCAAAGAGAGGCAGCCTGGGCCTTAAACAGTGGCTCCATGATGCCAACAAGGACCTAGGTTTCCTTTATCTCTGTCATGCTCACAAGATAGCTGCTGTGCCCTAGGAATTATGTCCTAGTGTAACCGCACCAGACTAATCTAGTTCAACTTTTATAAAACAAAATCGTGAGTTGTTTTTCAGTTGCCGTGGACCCCAGGGTTGAAGGTCATACAACCCGAGCATGCCCAGTTGAACCAAGTGTGCACAGGTGAAACCTAAGTGCTTGGACCAAGGAACAGGGACTGAATTAAGAAGTGGACCCCATATGGCAGGATCCAGGAACCAAAGAGATCGTGCTCTGGTGTCACCCCATAGCAGGATCCAATCAGATTATGCCTCCCAGCATCACCTCATTGCAAGATGCAATCAGATCACACCTCATTACACTATGCTTATAAAACCCGACCCAGCCCCCAGCTCCAGGAGACAGATTTGAGTGTTTCCTCCTGTCTCCTTGCCAATCAACTCAATAAACCTTTCTTGCTGCAAAAACCTGGTGCTTTGGCGTTTGGCTTTCCCTTGCATGCAGGTAAATGGACCCAGTTTGGTTCGGTAACACTAGTTCCAGACAGGAAAAACAAAAGGAGGGCAAAGGGTAGGAAAATCATACCTGCTGAGCCTGTTTTCATTAGAAAAATAGTAACTCTCCCACGAGCCCCACCCAATAAATCTTAATGCATATATCATTGGCCAAAAGTGAGTCATGCGGCCAGCCCTAGCTGCAAGGAGCCTGGGGAGGTAACACATTTAAGTGGGCACAATTCCAGCCTGCATAAAACCGTTCTGCCTATAAGAAGGAAGGGTAGAATGCATAAAGGATAAACAGCTAGAAGTGTCTGCCGCAGGGGCCATGCGGGATAACAAATACTGGCTCCTTTTCATGATTGCAAAAGGCATTTTCTCTGCTTGTAATGTGATAGTCTACTTGAGCAAGGCATTTTGGTGGTTGCTTTCAGAATTATGGATTAAAACCTGGAATGTTGTCTTAGGTTGGGGTTCCATAGAGGCAGAGCCTGAAACAGGGATTTTAGTGCATGTGATTTATTAAGGGCAGACTCTTGGGAGAAACCTGTAAGGGAGTGAGGGAAGCAGCAAAGGAAAGGGAAATGAACCGCGCAAGCAAGGATGCATTCTCAGGTCAAGTGTAGCCTTGGTCTGATGCACGAGGGGCTATGGAGCCTGAATCATAGCAAAGAATTATCCCCCCTTCAGGCAAGGAAGCTGACCTTTTTTTACCCTTGATAAATCAGTTATTAGCTGCCCCCTCTTAGGGGAAAGGGGCCAGTGTAACCTCTCAGGTGTCTCTGAGAGATGCAACTCCCATCAGCCAAGAGCAAGTCTCCAGAGAGGGTTACAGGTGTGAGCTGTTTGTCAAACCATTTGTCACAGCTGGGGGTGGGGGATCACCACCCCAGCATGGATCTGGGTGGGCACAAAGAGCATCTACTACAAATATTAATTTTAATACACTTTCCAAAGAACTGTCTTTATTTTTACTTTGTATTATTTGAGAGTGTAATGCTAGATATATTGCTAGGATTAAAAGCTACTGGAAAAACTGGCAACAAGTTGAAAACGTCTTTTATTTTTTTTGGCTTTCTTCATTTTAATGTTGTACAAGTATAAGGACCATATAATCTGGATTAACTTTAGGTAACAATAACTTAAAAGATAGGAAAATGTATTATATTACAGAGATTTAAAAATTGACTATACCATAAATGATGAAGGAAACTAACAATAGAACAGGACAATGTTCAAATAGCGAATACAATTAACAAATGGGGCCAAAAGATCAACATTTATCTCTCATCATCTTTCATGCAATGTCTCAGCTTTCTTCTCCCAAACATAAAGGCAGATTAATTCAAAGTAGCCGTATTAAGAATATTTGTTTATCATGCCTGTAATCCCAGCACTTTAGGAGGCTGAGGTGGGTGGATCACCTGAGGTCAGGAGTTCGAGACCAGCCTGACCAACATGGTGAAACTCCATCTCCACTAAAAATAAAAAAATTAGCCAGGTGTGGTGGCACATACCTGCAGTCCCAGCTACTCGGGAGGCTGAGACAGGAGAATTGCTTGAACCCAAGAGGCAGAGGTTGCAGTGAGCCAAAATCGCACCACTGCACTCCAGACTGGGCTACAGAGCGAGACTTTGTCTCAAAAAAAAAAAAAAATTTTGTTTCGTTCTGAAATTAATATTTGAATGGAAACTGTATGAATAACTCATGGTTTCCTACTGAAGTTTAAGATTCCCCTAGATAATACTCAGATTTAGACAATGCTAGAATAAGACACTGGGTGATTATTTTAAAGTATGAACTACAGGTAAAATCTAAAAGGACATACATAATAAAAAATTTCTGATTTAAAAGACATAGTAAATATAAATGAATTAACTCACACAACGTACTTACACACAAACAAAACTAGAATAAACAACAACTTGTAGGAACCACCTCTAGTTGATTTCACCACTTAACAGGAGCAAGATCTTAGGTTGGTCATTTTGTTTAAGGATGACTTGAAGTTTTACAATACTACCTTAGCTCCCACATATAAGTGCTTTTAAAGCATTATCTCATTTAATTTAATCATAGCACATAAAAAAGACCTCAATAAAAAGAGACATATTCTTGTATTAAAAGAAAAAAAAAAGAAAAAAAAACTCTTCAATAGTTTTTTCTTATCAACTAGAAATTGGGGAAAATATAGTGAGAAATAAAATGGAACGGCTTCTCACACATATGAAGGCCCAGATCACGCCTAAATTTCTAGTGATTTAACTTAAGAAGCTCCTTGCCCTGAGAGATTCCTTTATCCCACAACACTCTACTCAGAGGGGGCAGAGAATCCCAGGACACTACCCAAGCCGCAGGATAAAAACACAACCTGTCTTCTATCTGGCACCAACAGACTAGTATCTATCTAAACACAGGACTGACTTTAAAGTTGGTTAACGAGTATTTTAATTCACTAAAATAAAACTTAGAAATTACATGCTTAGTCTACACAAGTTTAACTTACTTTAGTCACTTAGTGAATTGTGAATTGGCTCCCATTAGTGGTCAGGAGAATGCTTTGTATTTGGTGTAGAAACCAAATAAATCAAGCTATTATCGCCTTGTGAGTACAAACAATGTTTATTTGTTTGTAAAGTGCCAGTTTTATATTTAAGTAAACATTGAAATCTGCGCTGAAGCAGTGAGGCTGCATCTTTCAACTTTCAACTCCCTGTGCTGGTTAAATGACTGTTTAATCCTGCTGTGCCAAGCTCACTAGAGGGTCAACCCTCACTTTAAAGCCAAGACTGCCATTGTCACTGCTATAGTAAGTCACAGCCAGCCAGGCCTGCTGGCAAAAGGTGATACTACCAGCATTATAAATAAACAGGACTGGTTGTGAGGTAGCTACACAGTTTTAAAGATGCTGTTAATGAACATTATGGACAATTCATGGTGTGGCTAGTTGATAATACTTCAGCTGATTTTTTTTATGAGATGGAAAAAAATCAGCAAAATAAGGGCACATCTTCAGTTCATTTAGAAGTCAGCATTTAAGGTAAAAGAATTCTCTTTTGGACTTGACACCACTCCCATCCTCTGATACTCGCCTACTCTCCTCTCAAAGAAGTTAGTCTTTCAGTGAAATATTCTCCGTAAAGTCAAATGGGCTCTCTACTCCGAAAACCTTGCTAAAACCCAGTTCCAGCATAAGTCTGTCTGCCACAAACTCAATGTATTGCTTCATTAGAGTGCAATTCATCCCAATGAGCTTCACAGGCAAGGCCTCGGTGAGGAATTCTTGTTCTATCTGAACAGCATTGATAATTATTTCTCTCACTTTCTCCTCCGATGGTTTGTGTACCAGGTGTTTGAACATCAAGCAAGCAAAATCACAGTGTAAACCCTCTTCTCTGCTAATAAGTTCATTGGAAAACGTGAGGCCAGGCATCGGTCCTCGTTTCTTGAGCCAGAATATCGATGCAAAAGAACCAGAAAAGAAGATGCCTTCTACTGCAGCAAAGGCTACAACACGTTCACCATAGGTAGCCTCTTTGTCCCCAATCCAGCGCAAGGCCCAATCTGCCTTCTTCTTGACACAAGGCATCGTTCAATGGCATTGAAGAGAAATTCCCTTTCTTTGGGATCTTTGATGTAAGTGTCAATAAGGAGACTATACATTTCAGAATGTATGTTTTCCATGGCAATTTGGAAGCCATAGAAACAGCGGGCTTCTGTAATCTGAACTATTTGGCTAAATCGCTCCACCAAATTTTCATTTATTATGCCATCACTTGCTGCAAAGAAAACCAGAACATGGGATATAAAATATCTCTCCTCGGGCTTCAGGGATTCCCAGTGCCGAATGTCCTTGGACAGGTCCACCTCCTCGGTGGTCCAGAAGGAAGCCTCCGCCTTCTCATACATCTGCCAGATATCATGGTACTCGATGGGGAAGATGACAAAGCGGCAAGGGTTTCCTCTCAGCAGCGGCTCATCCTCCACGCCGGGGGCAGCTGCTTTAGTTTTCGGCTCGCGGGCTCCTGGAAGATCCTCCATGCAGTCTTGCTGGCCAGAACCCGGGTCCCGCTCAGGGCCGGCGGCCTGTTCACCTTGTCGACCAGGCTGAGCCCCTTCAGCGGCGAGAGCTGCAGCTGCTGCGGGTCCGTAATGTGCAGCAGCGGGACGCGGACGGAGAGCATGGTGGTAGCGCGGCAAAGGAGAGTGAGGGGCCGGGACCGGGCGGCTGGGATGGGGTGCACTGAAAATGTCTCATTTTTAAGACAAATGATTAACAAGTGTTGACTTGTTTTTGTTGAACCGCTAATGTAGAAAGCGCTTTATAATTTGCTTGGGGTATTAACCAGGATCTAGTCTGTAGTTCACAGTCTCATCAGAGCACGTAAATATTTCAGTCTTAGTGTCTCATTTAAAGCTCAATGAATATTTAATAGAAGTTGACCAACAAAATAACTGAAAGAATTATGTTGCATTTAGTTAGCCCTGAAATGAGCAAGCTCTTCGTTTACTCAAGTAGTCTGAAGCTAAAATTATTCCAGATTCATGAAATATTCTACATAAGTAATTAAAGGCCTGCAAAATAGGCTTGAAAGGCACATATTAAATATTGAGAAAAACATGAAATGACTTTTCGACTTGAAATGCAAGAGAATAGTTTAATATTAATACATTGTGGCCTACGATACTTATTCAGTAGTGGATTAGTTTAAAATATTGTCGATACCCTCTATTTTACATGAGGTAAAAATAGAATCTTTTCTTTGGCCCATGCAAAGTAAACATCCTATAAGATTGAGAGTAACAGAAAACTATGCATAATCCACCCAAGTCAGTCAGCCCAGAATTGTTTTTGAGCTTTGGGTCCAGCACTGAGCCAGGTACTGAAAATAATCCAAGAAAAGAATATTGGCCCATGTTGAAAGGAGAAATGGTTTCCCAGGAAGGAAGCCTCCCTGTGGTCTGTTAGATCACTATAAGTGTCAGAACTAGGCTTCAAAAAAAAATGTGCACTCTAATTGATCTACCCTATCACAGATGACATGGGGATGTGTCAATTTGAGGACATTTTAATTAGAATCAAAGTACTGCCAACCAATCCATGTTAAAAGCTGCTAAAAACCACCTGGTAAACTTAGCATGCTATGGTTTCAATTCTTTATCTAGTCCTGAACTATCTTTCAATTACAGGATCTAAAATAATCTAATAACTAGTTCTTTCTGGAGAACAGAACATTGGGCTGTGATACAGGGCTATCTGATAAACACAGCATATCCATATAGCTGGTCGCCTTTTCTTTCCTCTGATCTTAGCCTTTTTAAAAAATATTCAAATACATTCCTTTTTCTAACTGCCAATATGTCCATATGTATATGTGTGTGTATGTGTATAGACATATACATTAAAAAATTCCAACTCTTGTCTAATAATGGCATCACTTCCTTTCACTATTCTTCTTGCCACATCACATTTTAGCCCTTAGGGATGGGGAATCATTACTACGGTTTATTACTAATTAGTATGGAGAAAAGAAGAGAAGGCATTTTTCTATTCCTATTTAAAGCCACATTCAGACTCAAACACAATTATTTAGTCAATGGCAACTCAAAAGCAAAAGTGACAATCTGACGAGACTCTTAGTTTCTATAGGACAGATTATCCTGTCCAGTGAAGGAGATGAGAGAAAGGTTAATAAGCATTAGCCAAGAAAGATAAACATTTGGCATTCTGCAACCAATGTGCCTGATAAAAAAGAGCAGAGCAAGAATGATTTTTCTTTGTTTAGGATACTTTTGTTCTTGAATTTATCTTTTCAGAAGAACTAACCTTAGTCAAAAGAAGCAAAATTTCACTTAGGAGGAATACGTTTAAGAGATCTATTGTATAACACAATGACTATAGCTAATAACAATGTATTGTATATTTGAAAATTGTAAGACAATAGTGTTTTCATCACAAAAAAAGAGAAGCACATGAGGTAACGCATATGTTAATTAGCTCAATTTAGCCATTCCATAGTGTATACATATTTCAAAACATCATGTTGTACACCATAAATATATACAATTATGTTTGTCAATTTAAACAAATAAAGACAAAGGGAGAAACACTAAAAATAAAACACTAAAAATAAAGGCAATAATAAGTAGAAAAGGCAAAAAGAAAAAGAACTAGCCTTAACATTTACACTGAAGACTCCTACTTTCTCAAAACTAAATTATTTAGCATCTGTAAAATGCTAAGACTGCATTCCTCCCAGTGTCATGTGACTTACCTGTTTATCAAAGGCTACCCATGATGGTACATCACTTCCATCTCCTTTAGGATATATGCTACATTTAGGCTTTATCTTTTGCCCCAGAAGTGGTTCTCCACCTATTCCAGGCTTTTCATCACTCACCAACATCATAACATTGTTGCAAAAGCCCCAATGTTGGGATTTGTGAAACTTCTCCTTTCCCACCTGTGAACATAAGAGACAACATAAAATAGCCAAAGTTACTCTTTATGACTTTTCTAACCTGTTTGTAAAATGTCAACACATTTTCTTACCATGTATTTTTCCCTCACAAAATGCAAATAAAGTGGCAAATAATTATGATCAATCTTTATCCATAAAGTTGTGTCACATTCTTAAATTTAATTCATTTTAATCAATTCAAAACATTGAAAAGCAGTACACATAAACCTAATGTTCCATGCTATATAAAACATTAAAAAATGACTGTTACTGCAAGTAAATATTTAGAACATTAGCTTGCTAATTGGTCTTTCCTACTTGTTTGCCAAGAATGCAAACAGCAAAAAAAAAAAAAAAAAGAAAGAAAGAAAGAAAAAACTGCTCTGCTTCAGAATAAAAAGTGTATGTAACTGTTTTCCACAGAAGTCTAAACATTATTTTCACCAAAACAGAGAACAAAATCTTTTCCTCATTAAAGTAAATGTAACAGGAAATTCTTCAGAGCTGACATTCTCCTTTAATTGAAAAACCTTAACTCCCACCTTTTCTGGTGATCTGGAGAGAGAGGAGAAAGCACAGATACAACTACCAAGGGTTGGCAAGGACATGGCCAACATCAACATTTGTGCACTGCTGGTGGGAAGGTAAAGTAGGACAATCACTCTGAGGAGCGATGTGGCAATACGAGCAAAGAGAGAGGCATATATGTCCTATGGCCTAGCCAATCCACTCCTACAGAAGTATCTTGTCTTAGGCACAAGGAACTGCATATCAGACTATTGTTATAGCATTGTTTGCAAAAGTGAAAAATAGGAAACCACTGAAATGTCTACCCAATAGCAGAAAAGATACATCTCTTTATAACATGGAATATTAATACAGAGTCTAATATTACACGTATCAATATAGACAAATCTAGGCCAGGCACAGTGGCTCACACCTGTAATCCCAGCACTTTGGGAGGCTGAGGCGGGAGGATCACCTGAGGTCAAGAGTTCTAGACCAGCCTGGCCAACATGGTGAAACCCCATCTCTACTAAAAATATAAAAAATTAGCCGGGCATGGTGGTGGGCACCTGTAATCCCAGCTACTTGGGAGGCTGAAACAGGAGAATCGTTTGAACCTGGGAGGCGGAGGTTGCAGTGAGCCGAAATCATGCCACTGCACTCCAGCCTGGGCAACAAGAGCAAAACTCTATCTCAAAAAAACAAACAAACAAAATAGACAAATCTCAAAAACTGCCAGGCAAAAAATATAGGTAGCTGAAGTACACATAAAATTTCACGACACATATGTAAAGCTGGAAAATACTCGAAAAATACGGTAATATTTATGGATAATACATGCATAGAAATGATAAGCAGCAAATACAAGATTATACAATGTTCATGATAATAAATGAACACTCATATGCCCCACAGCCCTGCATAAAAAATAAATACCTCAGAGATAACTGAAGCTTTATCTCAGAGCTCATAGCCCTGCCTCCCTTATCCAGAGGTAACCATTATCCTGAATTTGCTTCTTTAATGTTAGCACACTGCCCAGGACTGTATATAGCCAGGGCAATAGCCTCTTGCAAAACATGATGCCTTGGCAGAGAAGTCTGATAAGGTCAAAAATACCTCATTTCCTTTTGTGGTAAAGGCAGCCTGGAAGAATGAGGAAGGCCTGAGCAGCCCTCCCCAGGGGAGTCAGGGCCATAACAGCTGCCCTGGGCAGATAACAGCCCAGCTCTAGGGCTGGGAGAGGAAAGCTAGATGCAGTGGTTAGGATGGTGAGCTGTAGCTGGCTCTGTCCCTTAGGGAATCAATTGTCGCTACCTCCACCATTCCCTCCACTCTCTCTCTCTGTCTCTCTCTCTCACACATACACACACACACACTTGCTCACACATACAATCAGATTACCACAAGTCAGTCCCAGATCCCCATAAAACAAAGCAAAAGTTGGGTTTCAGAAAATGAATCGTAGAATAATATAGAATTCAATAATGATATACTGTCTCCTAAAGCAAGTAACTCCGAGTAATCACAAAGTCACCTCGAACCAACAAATGTTTCTTAAGTACTTACTATAGTCCTAACTTTGTGCCAAATATACGAGTTAAAATAAGCATAAGACTCAGCCCCTGCCCTGAAGAAAAAAACCCACAATCTTGCGGAGGAAGCAAGATTTAGATATATAAAATGATACCGTTTGGATGTTTGTCCTCTCCAAATCTCATGTTGAAATGTGATTCTCAGTGTTGGAGGTGGGGGCCTGGTGGGAGGTGATTGGATCGTGGGGGCAGATCTCTCATGAATGGTTTCACACCATCCCCTTAGTGATAAATGAGTTGTCGCTCAGTTATTTCACATGAGATCTGCTTGTTTAAAAGAGTCTGGGACCTCCCCCTTCTCTCTCTTTCTCCCACTCTCACCATGTGATACACTGGCTCTCCCTTTGCCTTCCACCATGATTGGAAGCTTTCTGAGGCCCTCATCAGAAGCAAATGCCAACACCACACTTCTTGTACAGCCTGCAGAACCATGAGCCAATTAAGCCTTTTTTTTTTAATAAATTACCCAGCCTCACGTATTTCTTTATAGCAACACGAGAACAGCCAAATACAGCAAACAACTAGAAAACAGTACAGCTACCATTTTTGACCGCTTACTATGAGCTGGATGCTTTACTAAGGGTTTTATATCTCATTTATTATCTCATTTCACTGTCACAGAACTGTTTTAGCAGTGTTATTACTGCCATTTTTCCAATGAGGAAACCAAGGCAGAGAGAGGGAGACTGGCCCACCCAAGCTTACACAGTAACTAGTGGAGCCTGCATCTGAACCTAAGATCATGTGACCCTAAGCTCTGGTAAGTGTATAGCTAAGTGTATGGCTGACTAGAGCCATACACTGATGTGCTGGAGTAGTAGTGTTGAGGTTCTGTGGATAACTGGATACTGTCTTGGGCCTGGAGGAATGAGATGAATTAGATAGGAGAGGAGAGGCAAGGATGTTCCAAGCAGGGTTAGGAGTGATGTACTGCAGCTGAGCTGACAGCACCTAGGAGAGGGGCGAATCTGGTAAAAAAAGAAAGTCAAGGTCAAGTTTGGAAGGAGGGCGAGCTAGAGTAGAATATATAAGGAGGACTATATCATGAAAAGCCTCTCATGTAAATATCTTAAAAGTCTCCCTCATCAGGCCACTGGAATATTTACTAAAGCCTAATACCGGCCAGGCCCTATTCTAGAGAGTATGGTATAAAGATGAAGTCACAGCCAGCCTTCCTTCCCCTGAGGAGCTTTCTCCACTACTCACAAGTTTCCTCCATGGATCTAGGTTTCCATAATCACATGGAAAAAGCCCTTGCCACCGTTGAAGGCCTCACTCAGCTACCTGTCCCCCAGAATTCCACAATTTGTTCATGTGTACCCTCCTCTTTGGTCAGACCACATCTTACAGCTTATAAGGTACCTTAATGTCTATTCAAAGTCATGTCCCTGGTCAGGCTATACTTCTACACAAACCCCTCTCCCCACCAAGGGTCAGCTCACATCCCACTACATAGTCATCCCTTCTACAAACATCTGGTGAGCATCCATTGGGTGCTAAGTTGTGAGAGACTTTGGGGACATGGCCTTGGGCAAGCCACAGCTCCCAACCCTAGAATAGAAGCCAGTCACTATGGCTCTGGATTTGGCAATGGGTTTCATACATGTGGCACCAAAAGCACAAGCAACAAAAGGAAAAATAAATTGGGCTTCATCAAAATTAGAACTGTGTGTCAAAGGATACTATCAAGAGAGTGAAAAAATCCATAGAATGAAGTTTGGGTGAGGTGGCTCAAGCCTGTATCCCAGCAACACTTTAAGAGGCTAAGCTGGGAGAATCACTGGGGCCCAGGAGTTCAAGACCACCCTGGGCAATAGAGTGAGATGTCATTTCTAAAAAACAGAGAAACCCAGAGAATGACAGAAAATATTTGGAAATCATATAAGGGTCTATTATATAGAATATATAAAGATTCTCACAACTCAGCAAAAACACAAACAATTGAATTTAAAAATGGGCAAAGGATGTGGTAGACTGCCACAGTTACTACTTGAGACTGTCACCACGACAGTTACTACTTTTACTACTTAAGACCGTCATTACAACAGTTACTACTGTTAGTACTTGAGACCGTCATTACAACAGTTACTACTGTTAGTACTTGAGACCGTCATTACAAGAGTTACTATTGTTACTACTTGAGACCGTCATTACGAGACTGAACGAAGGGGGATGAACATAGAAATGAAAACTTAAGACAAAAGAAACTGTTTTAAAGGAAGGGTCCGGGGAAGAAGAGAGCTCCCTGCTTCTAGTGAGCAAAGGCAGCCCCCCTGAGCTTCCACAGCCCTTCGTATTTATTGGGTAGAATGAGTAGGGAGGAGGAGGTAATGATTGGTCAGCTCCTTAATTGATCACAGGTTCATATTATTACTAACAGGCTTCTGATGTACCTAATCACAATAAACACTGCACTTGGGGCATAACTGCCCTCAGCATTCCTTCTGGGTGGCAGACGCAGTTTGTCAGTTTGCCAACATTCTGCATTTATGAGAAAGTTTGCTGTTTACTCATATAGCCTCCAGTGGTATACTGAGTTGACCACGACCCTCATTTCTCCAAAGAAGATATACAAATGGCCAACAAGCACATGAAAATATGTCCAATGCCATTAGTCATTAGGGAAATGTAAATCAAAAGTACAATGAAGCCTGGCACAGTGGCTCACACCTGTAATCTCAATACTTTGGGAGGCTTAGGCAGGCAGATCATTTGAGTCCAGGAGTTTGAGACCAGCCTGAGCAACATGGTGAGACCTTGTCTCTACATAAAATACAAAAATTAGCCAGGCATGGCGGTGCATGCGTATAGTCCCAGCTACTCGGGAGGCTGAGGTGAAAGGAGCGCTTGCGCTCACGAGGCTGAGGCTGTAGTGAGCTATGAAGCTATGATCGCACCACTGCACTCCAGCCTAAGCGACGGAGACCCTGTCTCAAAAATAAATACATATATACATACATATACTGTGATAACGCTTCACATTCACTAGGGTGGCTATAATTTTTTTAAAATGAAAAATAAATGTTGGTGAGGATGTGGAGACATTGGAACTGTCACACCTTGCTGGTGGGGATGTACACTAGTATGGCTGCTGTGGAAAACAGTTTGGCAGTTTCTCATTAAGTTAAACATAGAATCATCATATGATCCAGCAGTTGCACTTCTCAGTATATTCTCAGGAGAATTGAAAACATACATCCACAGAAAGAAACTTACACATAAATGTTCATAGCAGCATTATTTACAATAGCCAAAAGGTGGAAACATCCCAAATGTCTATCAGCTGATGAATGGTTAAACAGTTGTGGTATATCCATACAATGGAATGTTATTCTGCCGCCAAAGGGAACAAAGCACTGATATCGTGCTACCATGTGGATGAACCTTGAAAACATTATGCTAAGAGAAAAAAGCCAGATACAAAGGGCCACATATTATATGATTCCATTTATATGAAATATACAAAATAGGCAAATTCATAGAGACAGAAGGCAGATTAATGGTTGGCAGGGACTGGGAGGAAGAAAGAATGGGGAGTGACTGCTTACCGGGTACAGGTTTCCTTTGAAGTGATGAAAATTTTCTTGAAACAGTGGGGACAGCTGCACAGCGTTGTGAATGTACAAAATGCCACTGAATTGTATAATTTAAATGGTTAAAATGGTAACTTTTATACTTTGTATATTTTACCACAATAAAAAAGAAAACCCCAGCCAGCATGAGATTCACACACCACAAATGAGCTATATGATGACCAAGCCCAGGGATGGGCAGATTCATGAGGCCTTCTCTGACCACCAGCCCTTCGTCGTGTACATGCACCATAATATGTGCACATACTCGTGTTTGATTTGTCTCAACTAGATGACACATTTTTTAAACTCTGGGACCATGGTGTATATTTCTGCCTTTTTCTATGTCCCCTCACCATCTAACATATTGCTGCAGATACAGGAAGCCCATAAAACTTGAGTGGTAGATTCACTGGTTGCCAAATTGAACATTGTGGTCTGGATCAAATAGGCAACAAGGAGCCATTAAAGTTTCCCGAGGGACACAGGGACAATATGAGGCAGCACGTCTGAAGACAGATCCACTAACAGTGGGCAGGGTGGGTTGGAAGGGGGAAGGTCTGAAGGCAAAAGACTTTTTTTTTTTTTTTTTTGAGACAGAGTCTCACTCTTGTCGCCCAGGCCGGAGTACAGTGACGTGATCCCAGCTCACTGCAACCTCCACCTCCCAGGTTCAAGCAATTCTCCTGCCTCAGCCTCCCAAGTAGCTGGGATTACAGGTGCCCACCACTACACCTGGCTCTTTTTGTATTTTCAGTAGAAACGGGGTTTCACCACGTTGGCCAGGCTGGTCTCAAACTCCCAGGCTCAAGTAATCCGCCTGCCTCAGCCTCCCAAAGTGCTGGGATTATAGGTATAAGCCACTGCGCCGGGCACAAAAGACTTTTAAAGAGGCCACTGCCATATCTTAACATGAAGATCTTCAACCAATCTTAAACTGAAACTGATTAAGCAAGCCACAGCATGCCAACCCTTGCGCTGTCTCTGCACACAAACACCCGGGCCTCACTCTTTCCAGGGATGCCACCCTAGTTGGTAATGGAGACGATTTCAGAGGGCGCGCAAGAATGTTCATCTTCCTCTATCCTCTTCCTTTCGATTAAGGCAAGGGTGAGTCTCAATTTGGTAGTACTGACTATACCTCCCAAATACTTGCCTATAAAAAAGAAAGCAGGCCTCAGGCTCCTAACTTTTTGTAGGCATCAAATCTAAAAACACTGTTTTGTTTTCATTTCTTTTTTTCTTACCATGACCTTCCACTTAGATCAAATGATGTGGTTTTCATTTATGGTAAGGATATAAAGTTTCCCTTTTAAATATGTTTTAGTTTTCCAAAAGTGATTCAATTCACAGAGAGATATTAAGTAAATAATGGATCGGTTGGCATGTAGATACATTTTTTAAATTCCAAAGACAGCATGTATGCTTCTAAAGTTTCACAGCCTCTGACCCTATCAAACAAATGTCACAGGAGCAGATAAGTTTTTATTTATTTTATTTATTTTTTTTATTTTTTTATTTTTTTATTTTTATGAGACGGAGTCTCACTCTGTCACCCAGGCTGGAGTGCAGTGGTGCAATCTCGGCTCACTGCAACCTCTGCCTCCTGGGTTCAAGCAATTCTCCTGCCTCAGCCTCCCAAGTAGCTGGGATTACAGGTGCATACCACCACAACCAGCTAATTTTTGTATTTTTAGTAGAGACAGGGTTTCACCATGTTGGCCAGACTGGTCTTGAACTCCCAGCCTCAGGTGATCCACCCACCCTGGCCTCCCAAAGTGCTGTGATTACGGGCATGAGCCACTGCAACTGGCTTGGAGTAGATAAGTTTAAAGCACCTGGGAGGAGGGCAGGAATTAAGAGACAAAGAATAGTGATCCAGGAAGCAATGTGACCCTCAGGACCTGTGTCACATCCACAGTGTTCAGGAGCCTGGAGCAGAACAAGGGAGAAGGCACTGGGATTAACTGGCAGGCATAACAAAAGGGCTGGTAGTAGACTGAAGATAATTAGAAGGCTCTGGCCAGAAGACAGAGTGAAGTGGTGGGATAAAGCCATGCAACTAAGCAAACAAAAGTGACTGCAGTCAATTTATGATTTCCATATTCACGTGGGTCCTAACTGTCTCTCCTTGCAGTACTGGCTTACTTGTGTCCCTGATAAGTCAGTGATCAACAGCATTAGCCTCTCCCTTCCATGGCCTCCTTTCAATGAACTCATAAAGACACTCAAGTCTTTCAACTCTTAGAGGAAGAAAAGCCTCCTTCAGTGCCCTTAGTCTTGCTTTCGTTACCATCTTGACTCCCTCCCATCCTCTATCTTCATGTTTCACGAAACAGTAGTCTGCAGTCACCGAGAGTCCCTTCTCCCCTCCATTCACTCCTGCACTCTGGATTATCATACAACCTCCCCTGTTAGGCCTTACCTTGCAGGACACCACATTATTCTGGTGTTTGAAAGGTCTAGAGTCCTCTAACTTGAGACATGAGGTTAAGAGTATAAACAGGGGCCAGTGCCTTAGAGGTTTAAGGAACACTGGATTTTGTTTTGAGCAGGGCATAGAAAGGATCGCTCTGGCCACAATACAAAGAACTGGGGATATTGCAATAGTCCAGGCAAGAAATGATAGTGGCCTAGACCAGGTTAATAGAAGTAGAGACAGTGGAAGTGATCAAGTTCTGTATGTATCTTGAAGGTAGAACAAAAAGGATTTACCAATAGATTAGATGTAGGGTGTGGAAAAAGAGATGAGTTATTAACAACCCCAAGTATTTTGGCCTGAACAACGAGAAGAATGGAGTTTTAGGTGCTGGGATGTAGAATGGTGGGAGAGAACTTAAATGAGAATTCTGGAGGTAGGAGGCAGGCACAGGAGTCCAGAATTCTATTTTGGACATGTTACATTCAAGATACCACTCAGACAAGCAAGTAGAAATGTGGACTAGCAGGTGGATATGGGAGTCTGAAGTTCAAGCAAGAAGTCGAGGCTGGATATAAAAATTTGATATACATCAGTTGATGGATGGTATTTAAGGCTACAGTGCTGGAATGAATGATGATAGTGCAGAAAAGAAGTCCAAGACTGAGCTTTAAAATATCCCAATGTTACGTGATCAGGGAGATGGGGTAGAATTAGCAAACAAGACTAAAAAGGGGCAGCTGGTAAGATGGGAAGAACACCAGGAGAGTTTAGTATCATGGAAACTACCTAAAGAAAGCATTTGAAGGAACACGTGACTAACTGTGTTAAATGCTACTAATAATTCAAATGAAGACGAGGCTTGAGACTTGACCCCCTGATTTGGCAACATGGAGGTGGCTGGTGACCTTGACGAGAATGGTTTCAGCAGAATCATGGGGACAGAAATAGCTTGTGAACCATATGGCTCTTTGAACAGCTCTAGGTAAGGTATTGCAAATCAAAACTCTTGAGTTTCTAGTATTTATAATTTCCTTAAAATAACCCAAGCTCAGAAAAATGCAAGAAATAAATAAAAGATCATCTAAATGTCATCTCTTAAAGTCTTCTCTGACTGCCAGAGGCAGAACATTCTGTTCCTGCATAGATCTTCTATTAAAGTCTGGAAGGTTACCCTCTCTTTAACTATTTAGGAACTTACCCTTTCCCCTCCCCCACCCCCAGCTGTATCACCAGGGCCAGGCCAAGTGCCTAGAACAGAGAATAAAATGTTTTCTAAAAAATAATACACGTGCTCCTTGAAAGGGCAGCAGTGGTACAGACAAACAATCTCACAAGGTTCATTCTTGATTCATTCATTCTATACCCATAATTCCTGTACAGCCATCACTGTACTCACCATATTATACTATAGTTTCCTGTTTATATACTTGCATCTTATACTAGGCTTTGTACTTTCTGACAGTAAGGACTATAGGGCCTTGCACATAGTAGGTGTTCAATGAGCATCTATCGAATGAATAGAACATAAGCTGTGGATTATTTTCAAACAATCAGATATTGTCAGCTGATCTTTCCCTGTTCATGTTACCTGGCTTAGACCCCCTTAAATCTAATAATCAAACATTTGGAATGGAGAGCAGCACCAGGGAGTAATAGGGTCATAAAGGATAGGACAGGAGACCTGGCATCAGAAGCCTGGCATTCACCTTCCAGCTTTGCCTCTATGGGTCATGTGATGCTGGAGCAGTCACTTTACTTCTCCAGAGGCTTGCCATGTCTAAAGTGAGAATAATAATACCTGCTTCACGAGACAGTGGTTAGGACTAAGTGAGAGAATATCTGTGCCTGTGCCTGCCTGTTAGCATTTATTATTTTGTTTTCTCAAGAGGAAGGACTTGGTATTGGCTTTTAGAGAGAACTGAGTCAGAGCTCCAATAAAAAGGGACCAAGTATAGGAGTTCAAGACCAGCCTGGCCAACATGGTGAAACCCCGTCTCTGCTAAAAATACAAAAATTAGCCAGGTGTGGTGGCACGTACCTGTAATCCCAGCTACTCACGAGGCTGAGGCAGGAGGATCACTTGAACCTGGGAGGTGGAGGTTGCAGTAAGCCGAGATCGCACCACTGCACTCCAGCCTGGGTGACAGAGCAAGACTCCGTCTAAAAAAAAAAGGGACCAAGTATGACTCCCTTACTAACCAACCCAAGAGCTTATATGTTCTTTTCCACAAATAGATTTATAGATTTATCTCCACTTTTATGACATTCTTAGCCATAATAATATTTGCTCCATGAACATACATAAATTATGTGATCTTCATTCCTGGGTTAAATGTCACTTTTAACACTGTTCCTCTTAGTTCCATGGAAGCAGGGCCACATGTTAAATGCTGAATAAGAAACATTCAACATTTAACACAGGGCCTGATAGGCATGAGTCAATAGTTCTTCAACTTAAACATACCATCTATTTTTATGATTTATTTTTTGGGCAATCCACTGTAGCAAACAGCCAACCCTATGTATATAGATTAGGGTTACAGGAATTCAAAGGAGTATACTATGGAGCAGTCGATGCCAGAGAAAAAATCATGTAGAATTTGAGTCTTAAAGTGAACCTTGAACCATGCACTGAATTTGGGCAGAGTAAAAGACACTGAAACATGTTGAAGGACCAGGACTAGACCCAGCTAGATACAGGGGCATTTCCTATAGTAGTGGGACATGAACTTTGAAGAGTTAATGTGGAAATCAATCCATAGAGAGCCTTAAATAGCAAAATCAGACACTTAAACAACATCTTACGGGGTATGAGGCTCATTTCTGCTAGTATTTCTAAAGGAGGCTGAAGAGGTGGATTGAAATTCAAGAGCCCTCCACAAGGCTAACCTTCCTTTCCTACTCACTACCACAGCTGCAAGAGAAAGAGAAGGGGCTGGAAAAAACAAGGTCAAAAGAGGTATGCCTGAAACTTCCTTTGCAAAAATTATGACAGTAAAAGAAATGTGACCTACCTGACTCCATCCTGCTTCTAACCTCCAGGCTGCTCTTGTTCATTCCTGGACATAGGCCAAACCAACTTTGGGAGGAGTTGATAGTTTAAATTTGAAACAAAGATGATAACAGCCCCTCCCCAAAACAAACCCCTGCTCCTTGCTTGGGGACCAGATCACCTTTGTAAAACTAATAAATTAGCCACAAGATTGGAAATTATGGCTTAGGAATCACGCAGCCTGAGACCACAAGATTTCTAACCTCCCCAATTGCTCCCATAGATAACATTACTATTATAAAACCTAAGATAATTTTCAGACCCTGCATTCTGATGGATCAGCTGGCACCACCCAGACAGGTAAACTGGCTCATCTGATCTGTGGCCCCCATCCAGGAATTGACTCAGTGAAAGAGGGCAGCTTCAATTCCCTATGATTTCATCCCCAAACCAACCAATCAGCATTCCCCATTCCTTAGGCCCCTGCCTGCCAAACTATCTTTTAAAAACCTCTGTCTCAAAATTTTCAGGGAGACTGATTTGAGTAATAAAACTCTGGTCTCCCATTTAGCTGGCTCTGAGTGTATGAAACTCTATTGCAATTCCTCTGTTTTGAGAAATCGGCTCTATCTGGGCAGTGGGTAAGAAGAACCCATTGGATAGCTACATGCTTGCTTCTTTGAGGGGCAGCAACCACTGCAAACCCACCTCCCCCAACCCCTGCATACACACACACACACAATTGCTACAAACTCTTACCAGCATATCTTTGTCCAGCTATAATAGTAACAATAACTAAGAATATATGATGGGGCCTTTTAATTTTAAACATTAAAATCCACCAAGGCCAACAGAGTTGTGTGGAAGCATGTGGGGCCCATAAAATCCAACAATGCTATAAAAATTGAGAAGAAACCAAAATATATCAAAGTCAGAATGCAGTTCATTCAACCAAGTTGCAGCTAAATTTATGAGCAAATTCTCCACCCAAAGAGTATTATCCAGATACCTGTTAATCATTTCCAATTCTCTTGCTAAATAAAATAAAATCAGCCACACGTAATTATTTAAAACAATGCTTTTAGCATGAAAGGAACTATTACTAAAACCTCTCCAAAACTCTTGGCTTGTGAGTTGTGAATTCACACATTCAAACTCAAAACAACAAAACACACACACTTTTTTTTAAGTCCAGTGATGCCAATTGCTATTGTTATTCTAATTGACATAGCATGCAAAACTCCATTTTTGCACTATTAGAGTATTAGCTTGAAATTTCAATTCAGAATTCTATACCTTAGAAACTAACGCATTGAGAATTTGTTTGATATGATGTAACAGTCCATAGGGCACTTATTTAAAATGTTTGCCCCCATGCACACACACCCCCAGACACTTACAAAAACTTGAGATTTGCCATTATAGCCTCTTAAGATGGCATGGCAACCTGCCTTTGCCATAGTGACTGTGTATTGGTACTCAGTCTCAATTTAAGGAAATTAGCAAATGTCTTAGCAAATGATAAAGTTAGGAACATAACTATTCCTAGATCCTAGGTCAGTGCTCCTTGGCATCTCAACTCCCTGATTCCCATTCCACCACTGTTGGAAAGGTGGCAGCCAAATCCAGACTCTGCTTCATATCAAATTCAAAGCTACAATCAGCACCCCTTCCTCGTTGCTAAAAATTGGAAGGGCAATTTTATCACATGCATAAGTTGATTAATCAATTAGTTATCAAGGCCGCTACAGAAACCGTAAAGTTAATCCAAACTGAGAAGCTGGCTATAGTCATCTACATCAGGAGCTGTTGATCTGTTTGCAACCTCTATTTCAGAACTCCAGCACAGCAGTCTCTTGTTTCTTTCTAGCCTACACTCAAAAGCCCAGATGCTTGACAACCACAAGACAAAGGCAGGTAGTGTGAGGTGCCTGGTAAGAATGGGACAGCTTACTAGATAAGCCATGAGCTAGATAAGCCAATATAAATGTCATTTCTATTGCCACAATAGCTAACAATTGTAGCACTGTTCTAAGCACTTTAGAAGCATTAAACTTTTTTTTTTTTTTGAGACAGGGTCTTGCTCTGTCACCCAGGCTGGAGTGCAGTGGCGTGATCACAGCTCACTGCGGCCTTGACTTCCTGGGCTCAAGCTATCCTCCCACCTCAGCCTCCTGAGTAGCTTGGGACTACAGGTACACACTACCACACCCTGCTAATTTCTGTATTTTTTGTAGAGACGAGATTTCACCATGTTGCCCAGACTGATCTTGAACTCCTGGGCTCAAGTGATCTGCTCACCTCAGCCTCCCAAAGTGCTGGGATTACAGACATGAGCCACCATGTCTGGCCACATTAAATTCTCTTAATCATTGGGAGTATTAAAGGCTGGAAAGGGGAAGGAGAGGAGGTGGGGAGAGGTTGGTTAACAGATAAAAAATTACAGTAGATAGATGAAATGAGTTCTGGTGTTCTGTAGCACTGTAGGATGAATATGTTTAACTATAATTTATTATATATTTTCAAAAAGCTAGAAGAGAGGATTTTGAATGTTCTCAACACAAAGAAATGATAAATATTTGAGGTGATAAATATGCCTGATTTGCTCATTACACATTGTATACACATATGGAAAGACCACTCTTTATCTCATATATATGTACACTAAGAAAAGGAAAACCCAACAGAAAAATGGGCAATGGATTTGAAAAGGCACTTTGCAAAAAAAGGAAATGGAAATAGCCAATAAACATACTAAAATATAGTTAACCTCATTAATAAATGAGATATGCAAATTTTTTAATGCTCTTAATCCTCAGAGAGAAAAATCTCTGAGTATATTCTATCATCATCCCTATTTTATGCATGGAGTCTGATTTTTTTTTTTTTTTTTTTTTTTTTTTTTGAGACAGGGCCTCACTCTGTAGCCCAGGCTGGAGTGCAGTGGCACAGTCATGGCTCACTGCAGCCTCAACCTCCTGGGCTCAAGCGATCCTCCCACCTCAGCCTCCTGAGTAGCTGAGACTACAGGCGCATGCCACCACACCTGGCTAATTTTTGTATTTTTTGTAGAGACGGGGTTTCACCATGTTGACTAGGCTGGTCTCAAACTCCTGGGCTCAAGCGATCTGCCCACCTCGGCCTCCCAAAGTGCTAGGATTACAGGCAGAGCCACTGTGTCTGGCCTAGATGGGGATTCTGAGAGACAGAGTTTTAGTAATTTGCCCAAGGTCACTCAACTAGTATAAGTGGTGAATCCAGGAATGCAAACCCAACACCTGAGCCCTTAAGCAATGGGCCTCATATTCTTTGTGCTTTTTGAGAAAAGTAATAGATGTCTCCTTGTTTAAGTCATCAGGATTGAATTGTTACTTTTGCTTTTGGCAAATATAATAGCAAAAACATCCACCATGACCCGGAAGGGAGGAAATAGACCAAATAATTGGATCTAGACTCAATCCCTTAAAAGCTGGGGAAGTATTAAAAGAGAGTGCTGTAGAAATCCCTCTACAGTCACCAGCAGTTACTGGAAATTTGGGAATTGAAGAGAGATAGTTAATATTTAATATTTCAATAAACATTAACACAACTTATTTTTCTATTTTTTTAGGTTAATAGAAAATTTGATACAGAATTATCTAAAACTATCATTCTTAGATATTTCTGCCTGATCAGGTTCTGGACTAATTTGCTTCTATTCTGTGAATAGTGTGGGGTTTTTTCCTCCCTCGTCTAATATTTATTTTAAAAATTCATTTATTCTTTTCTTTTTTGCTGTACTTTCATGGAGAAGAAAAAGTCATTCAGCAGATACTGTGAACCTCCCAGAGAAAATAACAAAATTGCCTCAGGTATAGTGGGATCTAAGAATGTAAGACTATAAGAGCATGAAAGCCATCATTACTTATTAATTAAGCTAAATCACTCAAAAACTAACCCCAAATGTGCAAATTAAAAAGGCACGTCAAAGAAAATCTCAAACATTTTTTAAGCTAATTTCCTCTCTTTCTAAAAGTAACTTGAAAAAGTGTTGTGCTCATGATTCTTAGCCATCAACTCAATATAACAATAAGATTGATTTTATACATTTAATAATGTATTTAAATCAGTAGAGTGAAAAACAAAATTTAAATCAATAAGATCTGGAGATCTGCAGAATCTTTCTCATAAGGCTATGATATTTTTGCTCTAAATAATTCAACTTAAGGCACCAATCAATAAACAGAATTCTAAAGATTTTACCCAAAGTAAGTTGAAACCACTGGCTCACGGTAGCTGATTCGTGCAGCCATTCCCAAATTCCTTCTCCCTTGCAAGTCTCCATTTAAAAACTCCAGAAAAAGCTACACACTGCACTTGTTTCCTCAGCCTCTTTTTAGGAGTCTGTTTTGGAATTCTATGAAGGATTTTTGCTCTCTTGAGCCAAGGGACAGATACAGGTCACGTTCCCCTCATTCACCTCTTCTTGCCTTGAAATGTATATATGATCCCTGGAGCTGCAGCAGCCATCTTGGGATAATGGGCAAGATTGCAGAAATGCTGGCTGAGACAATGCTGAGCCTCTATACATGTGCCAGCAGCCATCTACCTCTGAAGCAAGAGAATAGGGTCTGGAGGCAGGGAACCTAAGGCCAATTTACGCTGACTTCTTAGAACTAAATCAAAAGGAAAACCACAACTTTCCACACCTAAGTAACAAAAAGACCCAAGGGAGGCTACTCCCTTTGCAATCTCCCCGTGACCCCCACCTTTTTCTGCATGGCAGATGGAAAATTGAAAGTATCTGATTGGCTGCAGAAAGCAAAAAGTATCTCTGATTGATTGCAGAAAGTTTGCATAGGAGTGTAACTATGTAACTTCACTTTAGCCTCTGATTGGTTGCTTTCCACAACCAATCAGATGCTTGCATAGGGTGTAACCTTTGTAACTTCACTTCAGCCTCTGATTGGTTGCTTTCCGCAACCAGTCAAACTGATTGCTGGGCCACTACTTCATTTACATAGGGTCTACGTCAAGTAACCAATGGGAAGCCTCTAGAAGGTATTTAAACCCCAGAAAATTCTGTAAAGGGGCTCTTGAGCCCCTATGCTCCGCCCGCTCCCGGACTGTGGAGTGTACTTTCATTTTTAATAAATCTCTGCTTTTGTTGCTTAATTCTTTCCTTGCTTTGTTTGTGCATTTTGTCCAATTCTTTGTTCACGATGCCAAGAACCTGAACACCCTCCGCTGGTAACACCTCCAGGCTTCCTACTTGGTGAAAAAAATAAATCCCTGCTTCTTTAAGCCTCTATTAGTCAGGTATTCCATTACTTTCAGGAGAAAGCATTACAAACTAACGCATGCAGTCTCTAAAAGCTATCTTTTAATTTTTTTAGCAGAATAAGATTATTAACTGACCTAAAGAGTAATTTTCTTTATATATTAGGAAAAACAAAAAAAAGACAAATAATCTTGACAAAGAAAAATAAAGTGGGAGGAAGAACTGAACCTGATATTAAGGTTTACTATACAGATACAGTAATAAAAACTGTGTGGCAATGGCAGACGGATAGACACAGCGACCAATGGAACAGAACAGACAACTCAAAAGACAACCCACACGAATATGCTCAAATGGTTTTGTAAAAGATTCAAAAGCAATTCAATGGAAGGATATCCTTTACAACAGATGGTGCTTGAGCAACTGGGCATCTATAGGACAAAAAAGTTCATCATGACCTAAATCTCACACCTTAAATAAAAATTAACTTAAAATGGATCACAGAATTTTTTTTTTTTTGATACAGGGTCAAACACTGTCCCCCAGGATACAGTACAGTAGTGTGACCACAGCTTACTGCAGCCTCCATCTCTCAGGCTCAAGCCATCCTCCCACTTCAGCCTCCCAAGCAGTTGGGACCACAGCTGCACCCCACCACACCGGGCTTTTTTGTATTATTATTTTTGTAGAGTCAAAGTCCCCTTATGTTGCCCAGGCTGGTCCTGAACTCCTGGCCTCAAGCAATCCTCCCACCTCAGCCTCCCAAAGTGCTGGGATTATAGGCATGAGCCACCATGCCCGGCAGATCACATTAAATATAAAATGTAAAACTATAAATCCTTTAGAAAAAAACAACAACATAGGAGGCCAGGCACAGTGGCTCACACCTGTAATCTTAGCACTGTGGGAGGCTGAGGCAGGTGCATCTCTTGAGTTCAAGAGTTTGAGACAAGCCTGGGCAACATGGTAAAACCCTGTCTCTACAAAAAAAAAAAAAAAAAAAAAATGAGCCTGGTACGGTGGTGCACACCTGTTGTCCCAGCTATTGGGGGGCTGAGGCAGGAGGACTGCTTGAACCTGGGAGGTTGAGTCTGCAGTGAGCCGAGATTGTGCCACTGCACTCCAGCCTGGGCAACAAAGTAAAACTCCATCTCAAAATAAACCATCACAGGAGACAATCTTCATGATGTAGGGCTAGGCAGTGAGTCCTTAGACTTGACACCAAAAGCACAACTCATAAAAGAAAAAAACCGATAAATTAGACCTTAACAAAATGAGACACTTTGGCTCTACAAAAGATACTGTTAACAGGATGAAAAGATAAGCCACATACTGGGAGGAAATATGTGCAAACCACATCTCAAAGGACTAGTATTCAGAATGCATAAAGAATTCTCAAAAGTTAACAGTAAAAAAAACAAGGCTGGGCACGGTGGCTCATGCCTGTAATCCCAACTACTTGGGAGGCTGAGGCACGAGAGTCACTTGAACCTGGGAGGCAGAGATTGCAGTGAGCCAAGATCATGCCACTGTACTCTAGCCTGGGCAACACAGTGAGACTCTGTCTCCAAATAAATAAATAAATAAATCTTAGTAAAAAACAATCCAATTAGAAATGAGCCAAAGACATAAACAGACATTTCACTTAGCTGGATATACAGATGACAAATAAGCACATGAAAAGATATTCAATTAATTAACCATCAGAGAAATGCCAATTAAACCCACCATGAGATATCACTACACACCTCTCAGACAGCTAAAATAAAAATAGTGATAACACTAAATGCGGACCAGGGTGCAAAGAAACTAGATCACTCATATATTGTTGGGAATCTAAAATGGTAATTTGCTCTCAAAAATAGTTTGATTGTCTTTTTATAAAATTAAACATGTAAGTATCAAATAACACGCAATTACACTCTTGGGCTCTTATCCTAGAGAAATGAAAATGTATGCTCACACAAAAACCTGTACATACATGTTCACAGCAGCTTTATTCATAATAGCTAAAAACTAGAAATAGCCCCAATGTCCTTCCAAAGGCAAATGTAAAGAAATTGTGATACATACATGAACTACTACTCAGTAGTAAAAATGAATGAACAGTTGATATACGCAACCACCTGGATAAATGCCCAGGGACTTATACCAAGTGGAAAAAACAAATTCCAAAAGGTACATACTTTATGACTCCATTTATGTAACATTTTGAAATAGCAAAATTTTAGAAATGGAAAACAGATTCGTTGTTGCCAGGGGTTAGGAATGGTAGGGTTGGGGGAGTTGGTGGAAGGGAGCGAGGTGTGGTTATAAAAGGACAACATGAGGAATCCCTGTGGTGATAAGACTGTTTTATACCTTTACTGTGGTGGAAATGTATACATTGCACCACATGTGTAGGTTAGACTAAATACACACACACAAACATACAAATGAATACAAGTGAAGCTGGGGAAATCTGAATAAGATCAGTGGAGTATATCAATGTCAAGATACTGATTGTGATATTATACTATAGCTTTGAAAAATGAGCTGGACACAGTAGCTCACACCTGTAATCTCAACACTTCGGGGGGCCGAGGCAGACAAATCGCTTGAGTCCAAGAGTTCGAGACCAGCCTGGGCAACATAGCAAGACCCTCCAACTCTAGAAAAAATAATTTTTAAAAATTAGCCAGGTGTGGTGGTGTGCACCTGTGGTCCCGGCTACTCAAGGGGCTGAGGTGGGAGGATCGATTAATCCAGGGAGGTCGAGGTTGTAGTGAACTATGATCATGCCACTGCACTCCAGCCTGGGTGACAGAGCAAGACCCTATCTTACAAACAAAAAGAAAAGAAAAGAAAAATGTTACCATTGGGGCAAATGGGGTGAGGGGTAAATAGGACCTCTCTGTACTCTTTCTTAAGTGAATCTACATGTCAATTTACAATTATCTCAATAAAAACTTCAATTTAAAAAAAAAAGGAAAGAGAAGGTCCACGTTCCTTAGTCACTAGGAGAGGCTCTACTCACGTGCCTTTTATAAAGTTTAGGTCTGAACACAGCTGAGCAACAAATGACTAAACTCTAACCGAAATGATATGGAAATAGTCCTGTAAGTGATTAAACAAACATCTGTGCTTGAATTTAACAGAACAGTATGTTTCAATTACCAAATTCATGTGAAGAAGAAAAGGTAGTCTAAATTACAGTTAAACCATGCAATTGACCTAAACTTCCCCCCACCCCCAACCCCAAAAAAATCTAGTTGTTTTGACCATTCCCTCCTTTGGGATGTCAAACATACCATTAGGAAAGCAAAGAATTTGTTCAGTATTCAGCTGGTCAAGCTGTTCACTTTGCCACACTGGAGTCACCAGGTAGAATTTGAGCACCCAGGGGCCTGGGTAAGGGGGAAATAAAAATGCACATCCCTCAATACCCTTTGCTTTAGGGAATCCCCCCTCTGCAAGAAGTTGGCTCTGCCCTTTCTGCAACTATAGAAACAGAATAAACTCCCCCAGGAAATGGCCTAAGAAATCCCTTTACCATTAGCATAGCCGGAATCCTACTGAGGGGAGAATGGTCTCCTTAGGAGTCCTGACTGATGAATATGCATAGACAAACCTGCTGCTTCCAGGAAAACCCAAACTGGATGCCAATAAGAGAGAGAAAACTATCCCTCAGCATGGTGCAAGAGGCCACAGAGAGGCTTTGTGTCACAATTTAGATAGGGACATCTTCATATTGCCCTGGCTGCTGTGTATAAACCATGTATCCCGAGAGACTTATCTCCTATTTAAGCCACAAAAGCAAATGACTTTCTTCATCCTTTATATTCACTATTGCTAAAACAAGAACTATTTTGTTCCACAGCAGCAGCGGAAGACATAAGCAGGAAACTAATTCCAGAGAAGATTCCCCCAAGCTGTGTTTATTTCCATCTATGTTTCAACCATGGTTGCTGCAGGTAGAGGCAGCAATGGACAATCACCTATTAAGGACCCGGTTTGTGTAAGGAAGGCACTGAGAACGTGAAGGGCAACCCAAAGAGCCACCAATCACAGTTTCTTAGTCAACTGAGGACTGCCACGATCACACATAAAGAACACAAAACACAACGCAGGAAATAAGGCGGTAAATGGGCAATATGAGCATGCAAGCTTATGTAGACAGATGGTTCTTGCTGAGATGATCGGGGAAGGCTTTAATGAGGAGGGGGGATTAAAGCCAAGTTTTGAGGGAAGGTCAGGATCTAGATGGGAAGAGGAAGAGGCATGAGGATGCTGCTATCAGGCAAGGGGACAAACAAACTAATAATTGAGTGGAAAAGTCCAAAATATACCCAAAGGACAAACAGTGAACATGCTGGATTAACTGGAGTATTAGGCTTGTTTCCCATTATGGAAAAGAAGATAGTTTACAAAGAACAGTATTCTTGGTATCCTTCGCAATATTGATATACTCATGTGTTACTTGTATAATTTAAAAACACAAATTGTAATGAAAGGGATACTACTAAGTCTGACAATACCAGACTCACAGGTATTGTCTGTGGCTGGTGTGACAAAGTTTGTTGGCCACTATTGAACCCTCTTTTCCCTTTCCCACCTCCAAAAGTAGATGGTGAAAAAAAAAACAAGATAATTTCCCAGCATTCCTTGTAGTAAAGGATGGCCATGTGCATCAATTTTAGCAAATAAGATGGAAGGAGGGAATCTACTGGGGGGCTCCTGGAAAACATTTTGTTTTCTCATATAAGAAGAGCTGTTTCCCCTCCCTCTCCTTCCTGCTTGTCTTGAACATGGTTACATGTAGTTGTGATGACTGGAACTGAGGCAACTATTTTGCAACTATGAGGTCACAAGCCTAAGAAAGAAAAGCCAATATTCTGAAGATGGCAGAATGCAGAGATAAAAAGAGCCTGGGTTCTTTATGACATTCATCAGTCACTGCCTAAATCTGAAACTGCTACACCTCTAAAGTTCTTATGAGAAAATTAATTTGGCTTAAACCACTGTTAGTCAGGTATTCTGTGACTTATAGTCAAATGTACCCTAGGTGACAGAGCTACGAAGTTCAGTACAGAATGCATGGTGACCAAAATTAGGTGTTTGAATCCTACATAGGCAAAGAGACTCTAATTCCTGAAATTCAAATGAACATTTAGGAATAGCAATGGAATATGTTATTTCCAAAGTATGGATGGCAGCTTCAATAAGCGGCCCAATCTGAAATAATGTAATTTCAAGGATATTTTAATAGTTACTGGGAACAAAGTGACAGAATTCTTTATATCAAAACTATCCTGTGATCTAGCATAGTAGACAGCAATTGTTTTGTCTGCCCAGCAATCCCATACCACCAAAACTGGATTATTTGCCTTTTTGTTTGTTTGTTGGCTTTTTGAAATGAAGTTGCACTCTTGTTGCCCAGGCTGGAGTGCAATGGTGCGATCTCGGCTCACCACAACCTCTGCCTCCCAGGTTCAAGTGATTCTCCTGTCTCAGCCTCCCGAGTAGCTGGGATTACAGGCATGCGCCACCACGCCCGGCTAGTTTTGTATTTTTAGTAGAGACAGGTTTCTCCATGTTAGTCAGGCTGGTCTCAAACTCCTGACCTCAGGTGATCCGCCTGCCTCAGCCTCCCAAAGTGCTGGGATTACAGGCATGAGCCACCGCACCTGGCCTATTTGTCTTTTTATTATTGAGTTTTGGGAGTTATTTACATATTCTGAATATAGTCCCTTATCAGATAATATGCTTTATAAATATTTCCTCCCACACTGTCAGCTGCTTTTTCACTTTTCTGATAGTGTCTTTTGAAGCACAGTTTGGCTATTTATTGCAACATTATTGGATAACAAAAGACTGGAAATAATGTAACTGTACACCAAAAGGGGATGGTTGAATAAACTATTGTAAGTCTACAAAATGGAGTACTATGTAACTATAAAAAGAAATGAGGAAGAGCCCTATATACCACTACCAAGTGATCTCCAAGATATACTGTTAAAATGAAAAAAGGAAGGTTCAAAAGACTGTGTAGATTATGCTACCAAGTATTGAATAAAAGGGGAACATGTGAATAAATTTAACAATTTGCTGTTTTAAAAATTAAAAAAAAAAGAAAGAAGAGAAGGAGGAAGAGAAAGAGGATAACCTCAAACTAAATAAAGTTTTTTCTTTAAGTTATTATGGAGAGAGGGAGAGAATAAGATTGAAGAGACAGAGATAAAAGCTAGAGCTCTCTGAAAGTAACTTACTTTGCAAATTTGACTTTGAGACCATACAAATGCCTTTTTTTAAGTTCAGAAACAAAAGCACAATGAAACAAATGAACCTAACTAGATACTGAGTTGGTGACTTAACCATACCGACAGCAATGATTTAAATGAAACTAAAACCCAGTAATTTGACTATACATTCCTGGTGGGATATACTCTCACAACAGAAATAGCTATAAAGAAATCTTAAACTATTTTCAAAACTCAAATTGTTAATAATGTTATTATTAATTAAAAATTATTATATGGTTGTATATTTTTATTTATGTTAGGATAAGTAATTCAGCTAATGTACTTATGAAGCAAGATTACATGTAAATATATAAAATCAAAGAAGTAAAAACCCTATAATCCTTAATTTGCATTGAAAACAATAGTTTTTGAACTCATGTTATATTTTATCCTTAAATATATGTACATATTTTTTAGCCTTGCTTTAAGAGAATGAAAATTCAAGCCATAGACTGGAACAAAATATTTACAGACCATACATTCAATAATAGACTTGCACCCAACTTGTATCCAGACTATATTAAAAATGACTTTCAAAACTCATCAGGCGGATCGCCTGAGGTCAGGAATTCAAGTAAGGAAACTCCCCAATTAAATATGAGTAGAAGACACGAACAGACATTTCACCAAAGGGGATATACGGATGGCAAATAAGCACATAAAAAGATGTTCAACATCATAGCCATTAGGGAAATAAAAATTAAAATCAAGAGGAGATACCAGGCCGGGTGTGGTGGCTCAGGCCTGTAATCTCAGCACTTTGGGAGGCCGAGGTGGGTGGATCACCTGAGGTCAGGAGTTCAAGACCAGCCTGGCCAACATGGTGAAACCCCGTCTCTACCCAAAATACAAAAATTAGCCGGGCGTGGTGGCACACACCTGTAATCTCAGCTACTCGGGAGGCTGAGGCAGAAGAATAGCTTGAACTGGGAGGCAGAGGGTTGCAGTGAGCCAAGATCGCGCCACTACACTCCCCTGGGCGACAGAGTGAGACTCAGTCTCAAAAAAAAAAAAGAGAGAGAGAGAAAAGAGGAGATACCACTATACACCTATTAAAATGGCTAAAATCCAAAACACTGGCAATACCAATTGCTTACAAGGATTTGGAATAACAGAAATTCTCAATCATTGCTGGTGGGAATGCAAAATGGTAATTTCTTATCAAGATAAACACACACCTACCATATGGCCAGTTCAAAATTTACATAAAAGTAAGCATCCTGCCATTCATAGGAGAGCAATGACCATTTTGCTATAATTTTCAACTTCTTATACATGTAAGCAAAGCTTTCCTTGTTTAACAAGTATTGAAAAGGCCAGAAATCTTCTCATTCCAGTTGAAAATGAAATTGATGTGTGCTTATTTCAAGCTTGACCCGGAATTATTTATGTGGCAAAATATAAACACAGATTTCAGAGTGGAGAGGTAAATTTTATTATTTATTTTTAGCTTTTAAAAAATAAGACTGTTATGTACATACAGGTCTATAAAGAAATCAAGATTATAATTTTGTAACTGCCTATATTTAAGCCCAATCATGTCAGTCAGTAAAAGAACCTAATTTTTAAGTCTTGTATAAAATTATATCTTAGGTTATATTTTTACTCATAATGCTTTGTCATATAGTTTTAGTAGCTTTATTATGTAACATTGTCAATACATTTTGATGTTGAAAACAGCATTAATTACGAGTTTACAACCTTTATTTAAATTAAATCATCTTAGCCTACTTTTTGAAAAAGTAAATTCCATCTTAGATATAAACAGAAATAACTTGAATTATTTAACATGTTTATATTATGCTGACTGAAAAGTTTTTTGAATGTATGGAAAGGAAAGAAAGGTAAGCTAAGTTTAACTATCTGTTTTGGGTTTTTTTTCCCTCAAAAAAGCTGGTAAAAAGTCCTTTTCAGTTTTTAATAGGGGAGAAAACTACTTTTGTTCATACCATATACCATATATCATTCCTCAATAGCACCCTCTATAATAGAAACTATAGAGAACTTTTAGGCCTACTTGGATAAGGTAAAAAGGAAAAATAAATCAAGTAGAAAATTTTACCATAAAACAACCTGAAGTTTCCTCTTCTACATTCCCACTTGCTTTAGGGTTGATAACCCTTTGTGAGAAAGGGAAAGAGTAGGTAAATAAGTTGGCTGAAATCAAGAGATCCACAGAAAACTACCATTTTTTACTTTAAAAAGACAATTATTATTGGATTATTATAGCTACAATATTCTCATTCCAGTTGAAAATGAAATTGATATGTGCTTATTTTGAGTTTAACCCAGAATTATTTATGGGAATTTATTTATTTCACATAAATTCGGAACTGGCCATATGGCAGGTGTGTGTTTAACTTTATAAGAAATTACCATTTCGCATTCCCACCAGCAATGAGTGAGAATTCCTGTTATTTCAAATCCATGTGAGCAATTGGTATTGTGTTTTGGATTTTAGCCATTTTAATAGGTATACAGTGGTATCTCATCTTGATTTTAATTCTTATTTCCCTAATAGCTATAATGTTGAACATCTTTTTATGTAATTACATATTTATTATCACAGATTGTGCTAATGTACCATGGGCTATAGATATAGTTTTTATGCAGGAGTTCTCTAAGACCTCAAAATCATTTCAAAGACTCCTCCAGGGTGAAAAGATTGAGATTTGAGGTGATGAAAATGTTCTGAAACTAGTTAGAGGTGTTAGTTGTTGCACAACAGTGTGAATGTACCAAGTACCACTGAATTGTATACTTTTAAATAGTTAGTGGTTAATTTCATGTTACATGAAATTTACCTCAAAAAATTTAAAAATATACATTAAGAAAGGCTGACAAGGCTCTTTGAAGGGTGAGAGATGAGATCTGACCTTGAAAGAAGCTGAAGATCTAAATTTAAATAAGAATTGCCCAGTCTGGACAATACAGTGAGACCGCATCTCTACAAATAATAATTTAAAAAATTAGCTGGGTATGGTGGTGCATGTCTGTAGTCCTAGCTACTGTGGCAACAGAGGTGGGAGGATGTCTTGAGCCCGAGAGGTTGAGGCTGCGTGCAGTGAACTGTGAGCTGTGATCCTGCCACTGCACCCCAGCCTGGGAGAAAGAGCAAGACCCTATCGCAAAAAAAAAAAGATGGAGATGGCTCGAATGAGTGTTTTTCAAACACTGATTGCACAACCACAGTAATAGGCATATTTTAGTGCAGGCCAGTTCACATACATACACAAGCACACACAGGAAGGACAAAAAGGTCCGTGCAACACTTAACTCCTCTCAAGCATAATACACTCTAATTCTTCATTCTACCCCACTCTCTTCTTTTTCTTTTTTCCTTTTCAAAAAAAAAAAAAGCTGGTCATGATTCATTAAATTCCTTTTTTTTTTATTGCTGCAAATTCAAATATGTTTTCTTTTTTCTTAAGGAGGACTTTGCTTCACTACAAATTAGATGATGGGCTATTTACAGCAAACCCTCCTAAGATGGTGGCAAGGTAGCTTCATTAAAAGCAGAAAGAGCGGCCAGGCGCGGTGGCTCACGCCTGTAATCCCAGCACTTTGGGAGGCTGAGGCGGGTGGATCAACTGAGGTCAGGAGTTCGAGACCAGCCTGATCAACATGGTAAAACCCCAATTCTACTCAAAATACAAAAATTAGCCAGGCGTGGTGGCACACACCTGTAATCCCAGCTACTCAGGAGGCTGAGGCAGGAGAATCGATTGAACCTGGGAGGCAGAGGTTGCAGTGAGCCGAGATGGCGCCATTGCGCTCCAGCCTGGGTGACAGAGCGAGACTCCATCTCCAAAAAAAAAAAGCAGAAAGAGTGAGCTCTTCATCATTCATTAGAGACACTCAGGATCAGGATGGGCCACACAACCATCTGTCCAAAATACTGCAGAAAGGATTTTTGGCTTTGGCTGGAAATGTCCCTTTTAATTTTAATATTTTCAATTTTGATAATATGCCCAAGATTCTCTTGCTCAATACAAGTTCAGCATGGAAATTGTTGGAAAAAAGATACAGTGTATCTAGAATTTAGTTGTGATATTTCCCTAAGGTTTTCAACTCATATCAAAATAATTGTAATGTCATCAGAGGTACAAATGTTCATATTTTAGAAGGCACCATACTTCTTGTATTTGAGAGAGAGAAATACAGGTTGCGTATCACCTAGCCGTGGACAGAAATCAATCTATTGCTTTTGACTGACCACTGGCAGCTAAGTAAGGGGCACATAAGTTCCTTTTCAATTCTATGGAAAAGCAATAAAAGTTAGCTGTGTTATAATTTTAAATCCAAACAGCCAAGTAATTATGCTATCTACAGGAGGCCAAGGTTTTTCACTTGGTAATTTAATTCAGCAAGCAGGGGAGGGGGGAAGGGCAAGACTAAAAGGCCAGATATGGCTTTACTGACTTTCTAACCATTCTATGCCAGAGAACATCCAATCTTTTAACTAAGTACAAGTTTTTAAAATATTAATTTGTGGGCAACACACAGTACATTTAGTACCAAGGCTAGTGTAACAATTTTTTAAATGTAGTCACCTAATTTTGGCATATACTAGGATACTCAATAAATAAATACTGATTTGTTGAATGAGTCCAAGGTACTGTCATTCTCTAGTACACACGCACATACACACATGCACGCACACACTCCCATTGTTCTCAGGCATAAAGTAAATAAATGTTTTAAATATTCATGAGTCTAGAAATAGACCCACACGTAGCTGGATGCTTGATTTTTGACAAAGTGGCTCTGCAGAGACATGGAGAAAGAGTGATCTTTTCCAAAAATTATTCATCAAAAACATCATTAAGAGAAGGAAAAGGCCAATCACAGACAAGAAGATACCCAAAATTTATATAGAACTTCTACAAATCACTAAGAAATAGGCAGACAACCCAGTAAACATTAGACAAGAGATAAGTAAGTACTACACAAAAAAGTAGTGACCAATAAATGGTCATACAAATAAAGCCAGGCACGGTGGCTCACGCCTGTAATCCCAGCACTTTGGGAGGCTGAGGCGGGCGGATCGCCTGAAGTCAGGAGTTCAAGACCAGCCTGGCCAACATGGTGAAACCCCGTCTCTACTAAAAATTAAAAAAAAAAAAATTAGCCAGGCATGATGGCGCATGCCTGTAATTCCAGCTACTCGGGAGGCTGAGGCAGGAGAATCGCTTGAAGCCAGAAGGCGGAGGTTGCAGTGAGCCGAGATTGCACCACTGCACTCCAGCCTGGGCAACAGAGCAAGACTCCGTCTAAAAAAAAAAGCAGTGACCAATAAATGGTCATACAAATGACCAACAAACGTGTAAAACATGCTCAATTTCATTAGGAATCAGGAAGTACAGATTATAACTACAAAGAGTTGCTATACCCACCAACCAAAATATCTAAAATTTAAAAGACTAACAATACCAAGTGTTAGAAAGAATGTGGAGCAACAGGAACATAAAATGCTGTTGGGAATTTAAGTAGTATAATCACTTTGACAGCATCTACTACAGCTGAACATACGAATACTGTATGATCTAGCAATCCTACCAAAAAACATGAACAAAAATAGTCACAGTAAAACTATTCTTAACAACCCCAAACAAGCCAAATATTTATCAAGAGTAAAATGTATATATAAATGATGTGAAAAACATACAATGCAATACTACAGAGTAATAAAAATGTACAAACTACCTCTATAGACAGCCACATGGACAAATCTAACGAACATACTGTTGAGCTAAAAAAGCCAGTCACAAAAGAATAAACACCAAACATTTCCATTGATAAAAGGTTCAAAGGCAAGCAAAACCTAATTATAGTGATAGGAGCCAGAACAGTGGTTATATCTGGAGAGTAGAGATGGGGTAATGAACAGAAAGGTTCATAGGTAGAGTTGTCACATAAAATACAAGATTCTCAGTTAAATTTGGTAAACAATAAATAATCCTTTCCCATAAACAGGTTCCATGCAGTATTTGAGATATGTATTTTTATTCGCTAAATCTGGCAACCCCAGTCAAGGGTGGTATTTTTGGAGAACAGGTCATATTTTATTTTATTTATTTTTTTGAGACAGGGTCTGGCTCTGTTGCCCAGGCTGGAGTGCAGTAATGCAATCATGGCTCACTGCAGCCTCGACCTCCCAGGCTCAAATGATTCTCCCACCTCAGCCTCCTGAGTAGCTGGGACTACAGGCATGTGCCACCACGCTTGGCTAATTTTTTCAATCTTTTGTAGAGATGAGGTCTTACTATATTGCCCAGGCTGGTCTCGAACTCCTGGGCTCAAGGGATCCTCCCATCTCTGCTTCCCAAAGTGCTGGGATTACAGGCGTGAGCCACTGCGCCCAGCCCCCATATTTAATTTCTTGATATTCATTTTGTGATCATCCATTGTGCATCTTTCTGTATATGTGTTGTACTTCATGATCTTAAAGTTTTTTAAAAAGCAAAAATATACGCAGAACCTTGCAGATTTATTAATATTTCATCCATCCACTGTTTTTCCTTCCCATCCTTAATCACTGCACGTGAGAGCTATGATACTTCTGCAGGAGGCAGGCACTGGTAATCAGAGTGTTGCTGGGCAAAAAGCTGTAGGCTTTACTTTCATTTTTTATTAAAATTACTTTTACACAGCATGCTTCTTTACTTCTGGAATCTGTTTTCATGTCCCGTCTCTCAGGGGCCTTTCTTGTTTGCGTGACTGGCTTAAACTTACCAAAGGGCAATGCTATGCTGGAAGGCCAGCCTCTGCCCATCAACCAAGAAATGCACAAATCAGTGTTCAAAGTTGGACTGACCAGACGTGTAGGGGTCAGAATTCAATGGCGTGAAGCTACAAAGAAAAAACTTGTACTTCAGGGCCAACAACTTAGATACAGACAGTGTTTGGAAACCATAAAGCCAAATACTTCAATCTGCTGCCTGCTTTCTAAAGTTATCAAAGGTTTACACAATTGCCTTGAGTGGCTCCATCTAATTCCCTCCCATCTAATTGGGAATTAGCTTCTCCTGCAGACACAGATGGCTGACCCAAGTGAAGGGTAGTAACCAGTATAAACAAAAGCCTGAATCATTTTCCTGCTGTCGTTTAAATGAGGTGCTATTTATTGGCAAAAGTTCTTTCATGCTCAGGGTTTTTTGTGTTGTGTTGCTTTGTTCTGTACGTTCATCTTCTTTTGAAATGAACCCCTCCAGGACAGGCGCAGTGGCTCAGCCTGTAATCCCAGCACTTTGGGAGACCGAGGCGGGCAGATCACTTGAGGTCAGGAGTCCGAGGCCAGCCTGGCCAACATGGTGAAACCCCATCTTTACTAAAAATACAAAAATTAGCCGGTGTGGTGGCGGGCGCCTGTAATCCCAGCTACTCGGGAGGCTGAGGCAGGAGAATCGCTTGAACCTGGGAGGTGGAGGTTGCAGTGAGCCGAGATCGGGTCACTGCACTCCAGCCTGGGCGACAGAGCGAGACTCCGTCTCAAAAAAAAAAAAAGAAATGAACCCCTCCCAATTATAAATAGAGAAAAAAAAAATCCCTCCAAGTTTGGGTGCCTGTCTCTATAAAGTTTGGGAGTAAACTTTACAGGCTGATAGAACTCTTATCTGCCACCTACCCCTCTTGATAAGTGCCAGATTTCTTCAATTTGATAATTGAAACGGTATCTTTTTTCACACAGGATACTGGGGATAATGATTAGGCTCCTGAGCTGTGGAGACAAGGTTGCTTGAAAGAAACCCAGCTTCACCACTGAGACTGTGTGGTTCTGTGCCTCAGTTTCCTCAATAGTAACTGGGAATAAAAACTACCTAATTCAAAGGGCTGTTGGGACACTGGATGCTGCATAAGGTGATTAAAGCACAGCGCCTGGCACACATTAAACCCCCAATGGTTATCGTCACTATTATTTGTTACCTTTGAGGGTCCTGCCACCTATAAGGACTCTCTCTATATATTTCTAAATTAGGAAAAACATTCAGATGCAGCTGGAGAGATGGGAGAAGCAGCCTATAAAGTTTGGTCCAAGTTGCCACCAACCCAGGGCAGCAGCATGGGGCCTCCAGGAGAGTCTGCGGAGGTGGCCACGCCACGACCCTGCCTGGACCCCAGACTCCAGCCGGGAGCTGTGACCTCGGACGCCCTTCCTACTCACGTTGCGGTTGAAGCTGTTGCCCGGCAGCAGAGGCAGGGCCATGGCGCTCAGTGTCCGAAAATCCAGGGTCCCAGAAGAGAGGGCCCGGCAGGCAGCGGCGCCTCCCGGCCGTGTTGTTTGGCCCCCACGTTGCCTGGAGACGGGAAGCGGCGTCACGGAGGGAGGAGGGGCGGGGGGTTGGCGAGAAGGATCGTGGGGGGCGGGGGACACCTCCGCGGCGCGTACCTCCTCCCCAGCCCCAGTTCCCCTCCACCCGCTTCATCCCCGCACACACTCAGCCAGGTCCTGGTCTCCTGAGGAGTCTTCTCTCTGCACACGCAGTGTGCACACACAAAGATTGACTGTTCCCTGCCCCCGCCGCTTTCTGGTTTAACCCCCTTATAGAACTCAAAGCCTTTCTTGTACTTTCTTGCTTTTCCAATTCTTGTCGCCAACAGTTTTTTGCTATGTGGTTCAAACACACAGCAAAGTACAGAAAGTAATATGACGCCCGTGTGCTCACTGAGATGTTACACAAGTCGATATTTTCCTATGTTGCATAGACATCAGCTTTTATTTTGTAATTAAAACGTTCAAGATGAATCTAAAGCCACATATACCCTGACGAAAACGCGTTGTAATGGTAACCACCGCCTTCAGTTTTTCTTCTGGATATTTTTATATTTGTTGTTTGTTTGTTTGTTTGTTGTTTTAAGACAAGGTCTCACTATGTTGCCCAGGCCGATCTCGAACTCCTGGGCTCAAGCAGCCCTCCCGCCTCTGCCTCCCAAAGTGCTGGGATTACAGGTATGAGCCACCGTGTCCGGCCCATTTTTGTATTTGAACTAAACGTTTGTAAGGCCCAATCAGGGGTGGCCGGGGCGGAGTCAGGTGTCACAAATCGCAACCCCTGTCACTCCATCGTTCACCCCAAGATAGCCGGGCCAGGAACCTCCTCTCCCGACACCTACGTCTAATCCCTCCCTGAAGCCCTAAAGGTTGGACTCGATGCTCTCTCTCAGTCACCACCTCGTCTATTTCAGCTGCGATCCCATTGTTTCTTGCCTGGTTTTCTTCTTTAAAAAGAAAAACAAACACACACAAAAAACTAACTGATCTTGCCTCCAGAGCCGTCGTTTTTATAATTCATGGTGCAGCTGTTACTCTTCTGCTTCAATAATCTAGCCTTCCCGCCGCCTTCAGAAGGTGGTGAAACTCCTTATAGCCTGGTCTGAGGAGCTTTTGTCAGAGGGCACCTACCAATGCCCTCCATCCCTTTCTTTGCCCCCTCCTCCATCTACTCCAGCTCTGAGAAACCACTGGCAGTTTCTAAATCAGGCTCTGCGGTTTCTCCTCTTGGGGCTTTTGCAAATAACACTATCGTCTAGAAACACCCTTCCTTCCTATCTTTCACATAAGTAACCCCTTCTTGTCTTTCAGGACTTGAGGCCAGCGTGGGAGTGGGGCATAGAAGGTATTGCCATTTCTTCAATATATTCTTTCACCTTCTTCCTGCCGCCTCCATCTGTATTTGGTGTCTATTCTGATCGTGGCTTTCATCCTACTACATTGTAATTACCTGTTTACTTGACATTTCTTTAAATGCCCCCAAATACCTCCAGGGCAGGGACTGTATCTCCTTTTTTATTCATCAACAATATCCATTATTGCTTCTGTGTTTATAAATTTTACACTCTAAATTTCTGCTACTTGCTTTTTTTGCCTGATTCTGTTATTGAGGCCAGGCGCGGTGGCTCATGCCTGTAATCCCAGCACTTTGGGAGGCCGAGGCAGGCGGATCAAGAGGTCAGGAGGTCGAGACCAGCCTGGCCAACATAGTGAAACCCCGTTTCTACTAAAAATATTAGTAGAATATTAATATGCTACTGGGAGGCTGAGGCAGGAGAATCGTTTGAACCGGGGAGGCTGAGGTTGCAGTGAGCTGAGATTGCTCCACTGCACTCCAGCCTGGGCAACAGAGCAAGACTCTGTCTTGAAAATAATAATAATAAAATTCTGTTATTGAGATTTCTACACATTGACACATGTAGTGTTCATTAATTTTAAACGCATTGTATGATTATACCACAAATTGTTTAACTATCTGCTCTCATCTGTTGATGACAATTAGATTGTTTCCAATTTTCCACTAGTTACCAACAATGCTGCAGTGAGCGACTCTGCCTGTTCCTTTGGCAATGATCTAGGGCACATACTGAAAGATGGAATTACGTACATATCTGAGTGCATGGCTTCATCTTTACTAGATTTTGCTAGATGATCTACAGACAGATAAACCAATTAAGAAAGTCCCCTTCCCCGTTCATCCTTTCAACAATAGGTATTACCAAATTATATAATTTTGGATAATCATCTGAATAAGTGTGAATGGTATACTATTGTTATTTTAATTTGTTTCTCCCTAATTCTCCCTAAGCAGTTGGTCATGTTTTCCCATGGTTGTTACTTTCTCCTGTGACTCAGCTATTCATATCCTTTGCAGATTTTTCTCTTCGGTCATTTGTAGTTTTTTTTTTTTAGATAGATAGATAGATATAGAGATATTCTGGATACTAATCCGAGGCATAGCAAATATTTTCTCATTGTCGTTTGTCTTTTAACTCCACTTATATAGAGTTCTTTATTGTACATAAATTTGTTACTTTACTCAAATATATCATTCTTTCAGTTATGGTTGGTGGGTTTTTTGATTTATTCTACTTTTTATTTTTTGAGATGGAATCTCACTCTCTCACCTAGACTGGAGTACAATGATGTGATCTAGGCTCACTGCAACCTCCGCCTCCTGGATTCAAGTGATTCTCCTGCCTCAGCCTCCTGAGTAGCTGGGATTACAGGCATGCACCACCACACCTGGCTAATTTTTGTATTTTTAGTAGAGACGGGGTTTCACCTTGTTGGCCAGGCTGGTCTCGAACTCCTGGCCTCAAGTGATCCACCCACCTTGGCCTCCCAAAGTGCTGGGATTGCAGGCATGAGCCACTGCACCTGGCCTGTTTGGTGTTTTGTATGTGAATTCAAAAATCTTATACTACTCCAAAAGAACAGTTATTCTCCTACATGTTCTTACAAACATTTTTAAAATTCCCTGTTGCTTTTTAAATTGAAATAATTTCAAGCTAGTAAAAAGTTGCAAGAACAGTCCAAATAACTCTCATTTATCCTTTCCTCAGATTCCCCAATTGTTTTATATTTTACCACATTAATTTTGTCATTCTCCCCATATATATCTTTTACATTTTAGAGTTAAGTTGCAGATATCATGCCCCTTGACTCCTAAATACTTCAGTGTGTATTTCCTAAGAATAAGGACAGTCTCTTATATAACTGAAGTGCAATAATCAAAATCAGAAATTTAATATTAATACAATACTGTTTTCTTTTTTCTGAGACAAGGTCTCACAATGTTGCCCAGGCTAGAATGCAGTGGCATGATCATGACTCACTGCAGCCTCCACCTCCTGAGCTCAAGTGATCCTCCCACCTCAGCCTCCCAAGTCGTTGGGACTACAGGCATGTGCCACCATGCCCAGCTATTTTAATTTGTTTTATTTTTTGTAGACATGGGGTCTCATTATGTTGCCCAGCCTGGCCTCGAACTCCTGACCTCAAGCAATCCCATCTCGGCCTTATAATACTATTTTCTAATCTAAAATACATATTCAAATTTTGCAATTGTACCAATAATGTCCTTTTTTTTTTTTTTTTTTTGCAGACAGGGACTTGCTGTGTCACCCAGGTGCAATCACGGCTCACTGCAGTTTCTACCTCTTGGGCTCAAGCGATCCTCCCACCTCAGCCTCCCTAGTAGTTGGGAATACAGGCACACACCACCATGCCCGGCTAATTTTTTTTTCTTTGTTGAGACAAGGGTCTCACTATGTTGTTCAGGCTGGTCTCAAACTACTGGCTCCAAGCAATCTTCCTGCCTTGGCCTCCCAAAGTGCTGGGATTACAGGCATGAGCCACCACATCTGGCCTATAATGTCCTTTTTTAGCAAAAAGAAAAATAATTTGTTTTGACCCAGAATCTGATGCAACAACACACATGGTGTTTGATTGTCATGTCTCGTGGTTGTCATGTCTCTTTATTCTCCTTTAATTGGGAACAGTTCTTCCATCTTTCTTCGTCTTTTGTGACCTTGATATTTTTGAAAAGGATAGGCCATGGCTAGGCGTGGTGGCTCACGCCTGCAATCCCAGCACTTTGGGAGGCCGAGGCGGGCGGATCACTTGAGGCCAGGACTTCGAGACTAGCCTGGCCAACATGGCGAAACACCATCTCTACTAAAATACAAAAATTAGCCGGGCGTGGTGGCAGGTGCCTTTAATCCCAGCTACTCAGGAGGCTGAGGCAGGAGAATCGCTTAAACCTGGGAGGTACAGGTTGCAGTGAGCCAAGATCATGCCATTGCACTCCAGCCTGGGCGACAGAGTGAGACTCCATCTCAAAAAAAAAAGAAAAAGAAAAAGAAAAGAAAAAAGCCTAGGCCAAGTATTTGGTAGAATGTTCTTCAATTTAGGTGTGACTGATGTTTCCTCATGAGGAGATTCAGTTTATGGCTTTTGGACAAGAACGCCACAGGAGGACTGTTGTGTCCTTCTAGTTCATCAAAGGAACAGGCACATAATGTGCTTTTACCATCAATGATGAGGTTCTCTTTGATCACTGGGCTAAGGTGAAATGTGCCAAGTTTCTGTCTACAGATAGAAAGATGAAGATATAGATATACAGAGAAAAAGATATATTAAAAGTCATAAGTTTATGCTCATACCTCCAATTCCAATCAACATAATAGTGTCCCTGCTGGTATTCCCCTTTCTGCACTGGTGACGCTCTGCTCAAGCTGTAAGAAATCTCATTCCCATTATCCTCAAAATATAGTTGGCCTTTGAACAACACAGGTTTGAACTGCATTGGTCCACTTATACACAGACTTTTAAAATTATTCGTGGGGCAGACAGCCCTTTCTCTGCTGTGCTGACTGTTGCAACTTTGCCATGTAAAAATAAAATAAAATATTGGTGGGAAGCAAAACCCACATATACAGAGGGCTGACTTTTGTATACATAGGTTCTCCAAGGCCAACCATGGCACTTGAGTGTTCAAGGATTTTGGTATATTCGGAGGTGCTGGAACCAATCCCCCGTGTATACTGAGGGACAACTGTATTTACTTATTTGCTCTATACTACAAGACCCTGAAAGCAGCCTCAGAACACCTAACTCATGTCTTTGTAAAACAAGAGACAAACCTAGTAACTAGAGTTCAATATTTGCTTGCAGTGTTTTTCTTTGGTCTTAATGTACACAGTCAAAATATTAGGCTCAAAAATTACTTAGGCTTTTGCCCCCCTCCCTGTTTAGAATGCTTATGTTATTCATTTACAAAACAGTTTGGTTTGTTCATGCCTATTCATATTCCACATTATGTCTTTTTTTTTTTTTTTTTTTGAAACAGAGTCTTGCTCTGTCGCCAGGCTGGAGGACAGTGGCGCAATCTCGGCTCACTGCAACATCCACCCCCCAGGTTCAACCAATTCTCCTGCCTCAGCCTCCCAAGTAGCTGGGAGTACAGGCGCCCGCCACCATGCCCAGCTAATTTTTGTATTTTTAGTAGAGACAGGGTTTCACCATGTTGGCCAGGATGGCCTCGATCTCTTGACTTCGTGATCCGCCTGCCTCAGCCTCCCAAAGTGTTGGGATTACAGGAGTGAGCCACCGCACCCGGCCTATTTCTTCTTTGTCTTGTTTTGTATAAATATGTTTCTCCCTTTAGTAGTTTGATTAATTTAGCTAGTGGTTTACATATTTTCTTACTTTTTTCAAAGAACCACAATTTTTATTTATTAATTTGACCCACTGCTTTCTATTCTTAACCTTTACTATTTTTCTGCTTTTACTTTTATTGTTTTCTTCCTTGTGCTTTCTTTTGACTCATTTGTTATTCTTTTTTTCACTTTTTAAGCTGATATTGTAAAATTAAATAATTCAAACTTAAATCTGTTGGAACTTTAAATTACCCTGAGCCTTGAGAGGATTCTAACTATGCAACCTGGGTCACAAGGCATGCAGCTGCAACTTCTGCCTTTTTTTCTCTTTTTCCTGTAAATAATTAAGACCAAATAGCTCCAGAGATAAGAACCCCTGACTCAAGTCACTACCCCTCCTCACAGAGTAATAAAGTAATCTTCGTTGGAATGTAGCAATCTGCAACCAATCAAATCACTGTGGCGCATGTGCACTGGTCTTATATGGAAAATGTAATCCTGCTGGATCATCTCCGTCTCTGCCTATATAATTTAAACTTTAACTTCTCCATTTTAAAACCACTGACGCTATTCGTTTGGAGTCTGTGCTTTCCCAGTGGCCATCCTCAAGTTTTGTGCTTGGATAACCTCTACACTTAATCATATTTTCTGAATCTTTCTCTCTCTCTCTCTCTCTTTTTTTTTTTTTTTTTTTTTTTTTTTTTTGAGACAGGGTCTCGCTCTATCACCCAGGCCAGAGTGCAGTGGCACCATCTCTGCTCACTGCAACCTCCACCTTCCGGGTTCAAGCAATTCTCCTGCCTCAGCCTCCTGAGTAGCTGGGATTACAGGCGCCTGTCACCATGCCCAGCTAATTTTTGTGTTTTTAGCAGAGACAGGGTTTCACCGTATTGGCCAGGCTGGTCTCGAACTCCTGAACTCAAGTGATCCACCCGCCTCAGCCTCCCAAAGTGCTGGAATTACAGGTGTAAGCCACTGCACCCAGCCTGAATATCATTATTTAAGGTTGACAATATAATTCACTCATTTTCATCCTTTTTTTTATTGATATAAGTGTTTACGGCTATAAATTTTCATATCATCTCTACTTTAAAAGTATCCAATATCCTGATACGTAGTGTTTTCATTACTTGCTTTTTGTTGTTGTTGTTGATTTGTTTGCTTTTTAGATATTCTGTGATTTTGGCTTGTATTTTCCCTTTCACCCAAGAGTTGTTTAATAGAAAATGTTAACAGTTTCTAGTTGGAAAAGATTTGGGGGGGAGGCTTTTATTTTGTTCTTAGTTTTATTGCACTTTGATAAGAATTGTTTTAATATTTCTTTTCTTTCTTTCTTTCCTTTTTTTTTTTTTTTTTGAGATGGAGTCTCGCTTTGTCGCCCAGGCTGGAGTGCAGTGGCGAGATCTCGGCTGACTGCAAGCTCCACCTCCCGGGTTCAAGCGATTCTCCCACCTCAGCCCCCCAAGTAGCTGGGACTACAGGCGCACACCACCATGCCCAGCTAAATTTTTTTGTATTTTTAGTAGAGATGGGGTTTCACCATGTTGGCCAGGTTGGTCTCAAACTACTGACCTCAGGTTGTCCCCTCACCTCAGCCTCCCAAAGTGCTGGAATTACAGGTGTGAGCCACCACACCCGGCCCTTAATATTTCTATTGTGTAGAATTTATTGATGCTTTATTTGTGATCTAATATTTGATCAATTTTTGTAACTATCGCATATGCAGTTGAGAGGGAAGGTGTATTCTCTATTATTAGATTCTACAGTTCAGTATAGATCAATAAATCTATTTTATTGACTATGCTGTTAACTTTATATCCTTACTTATATTTCTACCACTTGATCTGTTTTGCTCTGAGTGGTGTATTATACTCTCCTACTAGCCAAGTGTTTCTATCTGTATCTCCTTTCAGCTGTAGTTTCTGCATTTTAAAGATGGCTATTTGGTGCACAGATTTTCATAACTGTTAAACCTACCTTGTGAAACTGACTTTTTTTTGGTCACATTTAATTATTTGTTGGCCTAAATTCTACTTCGATATCAGGATCTCAGCCCCCACTTACTTGTTATTTCCATTTGCCTGGTACTTTTTTGTCCATGCCTTTGTTCTTAGCCCATCTGAATTATTTTGATTTAGATGTATCTCCCATACACAACATGTAGTTGGGTCTTGCTTTATGAGCCACATTGAAGATATTTTTGTTTTAGTAAGTGAGTTAAGCCCATTCACATTTGTTGATAAGATTCATATTTGTGGTCTCAACTTCAATATATTATTTTATATTGTAATCACCATGTATATTATGTATATCTACTGTTTCTCTTTCTTCATGCTGTTGTTGTCTTTGCTATTATAATTTATAAATATCTTTGAATATTTAGGAAGGCTTGTATTTTTGTTCTAGTGTTTGCCTTTGTACTTACAACATTTTTAAGAGATAGGGTACACACATCTTCAATTTTACCAAGTAATATTAAACTCCTTTTAAAGTGAACATAGCTGATACATTAAAATGTTAATTTCAATAAATTTAATTTTATTTCTCTAAATCTCATTTGTTCTTTTTAAATCTATATGTTCTTTCTTTTAAATAGAGTCTTACTCTTATAATTTCCCTTGCTAATTTTATTTCTTTAATCATTTTAAGCATACTTAGCAGAGTCCTTAACCAACAATTCTGATCTCTTATGTTCATGGGGTGCCACTTACCCTGCTTCCTGTGTTGGCTGACTCTCCTTCATGGTGGATTGTTTCCTTATGTGTTTATAAATGTTTATGGTGATCCCACCTATGTGGCAACTCATCAAGGTGGGACTGGCACCTTCTGATTCCAAGTGGAGTGTTCTCTTTAATATGCCACAGCTCACATATGCTGACCACTGCTCCATCACAGCCACAATCTACACAGAGAAGGCCTCTGCCTTTCACAGTGAGGATATTTTACAAAGCAAAAAGCAGTTCTGATAAGAATTATTTTCTTAAGGAGTAATAAAGGAAAATATCTTAAATTAGGGCTGTTGGAAAAGTCTAGGACCTAAGGCTACCATACACATCCATCTACTACCTGCATGTTCATACTTGCCACTTCCTTTGGGGACAATGATATCTTTATCATTTTGTACCTATTTAGATACTCGCCACATAATGTCTGCTCTCCCATACACACACACAGAGTTTTAGAATAATTGATTCCATAGTTTCTCATTTAACAAATATTTATTGAACTTCTACTCTGATGTGCCAGAACCTCTTCCAAACACTGGGACAAATCAGTGATTAGGACAGAGTGAACACTTCCAAACACCCGAGATCTGAGATTCTCAGTCTTTTATAAGTTGTAATATCTTGCTTCGTTTCCCTTCTGTGACACATATCTTCCCATACTGCCTCTCATGACACGTCTACCACAAAGGAACATCTGAAATGGTATATAGCTCTTTTTAAAATAAATTTAAAGTAAACTAATTCTGGGAATTACAAGACACCCCCTGAAATAACCGAAGACACCTTGGGACATGTCAAGACCAGCACTGGGAAGCACTGTTCTTGATGTTCAAAGAGCCTGTGTTACACACCCATGGATGAAGAAAGCGCAGGGGAGGCCAACAGAACTAACACTTCTAAGCAAGCTCAAACTGGCCTAAGAGCAAGGAAATATTTGCCCGGTTGGAGAATTTCTTCTGCGGAATGAGGTCATCTTGTAATCTGGAGCCTTTCTACAAGATGCAAGAGCCCTTGGCAGCAGGAAGGAGTGCCTTTGATGGTATTTCTGCACAAACTTCCTTTTCTCCTCCAGCGAAGCCTTGTCTGTCAATTCTCCCTTCTCTTGATATCTTCAGAAATATCACTGCCCCATTCCTCTCAGCTCCTGAAAGCTAGCACTCTTCTTCATTATTTTGTGCTTCCTTGGTTATATCCACATGTCAAGTCCTCATCCTGAGCGCTTAAAGAAGAATTAGCACCAATCCTTTACAAATGCTTTAGAAAATAGAAGAGAAGGGAACACTTCCTAACTCATTCTATGAGGCCAGTGTTACCCTGACACCAAAACCAGACAAAGATATTACAAGAAAAGAAAACTATAGACCAACATCTTTTATGAATAGAGACACAGAAATCCTCAAAAAAATACTGGCAAACCAAATCCAGCAACCTATAAAAAGGATTATAAACCATGACCAAGTGGGATTTATTCCAAGAATGCAAAGTCCGTTTAGCATCTGAAAATCAATCAATGTAAGGTACCATATTAACAGAATAAAGGACAAAAACCATATGATTATCTCAATAGGCACAGAAAAAGTACTAGACAAAATACAATGTCATTTTTCAATAAAAACACTCAACAAACCAGGAATAGAAGGAATTTCCTCAATCTGATAAAAGCAGTTTATGAAAACTCACAACTAACACCACACTTAATAGTGAAATACTGCATGCTTATACCCTAAGGTCAGGAACAAGAGTAAGATGTTCCTTCTCACCACTTCAGTTCAACTTGTACTGGAGGTTTTAGCCAAGGCAATTAAGCTAAAACAAAATAAAAGGCATCCAGATCAGAAATGAAAAAGTAATCTCTATTCACAGAAGACATAGTCTTGTATATAGAAAATCTTAAGGAATTTACACACAAACAATTGAAAATAACACATTTAGTAAAGTTGTAGAATACATCAATATTCAAAACTCAATTGTATGTCTATGTACTAACAAACAATTCAAAAATGAAACAAGAAAACTATTGCAATTACAATAGCATCAAAAAGAATAAAATACAGATGAATATATTTAACAAAAGAAGTACAAGACTTGAACTAAAAACTGTAAAACATCATTGAAAGAAATTAAAGAAGACCTAAATAAATAGAAAAACATCTTTTCCATGGACTGGAAGACTAAATATTGTGGGGTTTGGGGGAGGGGGTTTGAGACAGAGTCTTGCTCTGTAGCCCAGACTGGAGTGCAGTGGCACAATCTCAGCTCATTGCAACCTCCACCTCCCAGGTCCAAGCGATTCTCATGCCTCAGCCTCCCAAGTAGCTGGGACTACAGGCATGCACCACCACATCCAGCTAATTTTTGTATTTTTAATAGGGATGATGTCTCGCTCTGTTGCCCAGGCTGGTCTCGAACTCCTGGCCTCAGGTGACACACCCGCCTCAGCCTCCCAAAGTGCCTGGGATTACAGGTGTGAGCCACAGCATCCAGCCAAGAAGACTAAATATTGTTAAGATGGCAATAGCCCCCAAATTGACCTACGCATTGATTGCAATCCCTACCAAAATCTCAGCTGCCCATTTTTGCAGAAATGGACAAGGTAATCCTAAAATTTATGTAGTAATACATAATCCTAAAATTTATGTTCTAATACAAGTATTACAAAAGAAGCAGAAACTGGCCGGGCACGGTGGCTCACACCTGTAATCCCAGCACTTTGGGAGGCCGAGGAGGGTGGATCACCTGACGTCAGGAGATCGTGCCATTGCACTCCAGCCCGGGCAACAAGAGTGAAACTCTGTCTCAAAAAAAGTAAAAAATAAAAAAAGAAGCAAAAACCATCTTTAAAAATAATAAAGTTAGAGGACTCACACTTCCTGATTTCAAAATTTACTACAAAACTACAGTAATGATGACAATGTGATCCTGGTAAGGACACATATATAGATCAAAGGAATAGAATTGCAAGTCCAGAAATAAACTCTTACATTTACTGTCAATTGATTTTTGACAAGAATGCTAAGACAAATCAATGGGGGAAAGCACAGTCTTTTCAACAAATGATAGGACAACTGGATATCCACATGCAAAAGAAGGGAATTGTACACCTGCCATACACCAAGACATGGATATCTCACTATATACAATAATTAGGTTGAAATGGACCAGAGACCTAAATGTCAGAGCAAAAACTACAAAACTCTTAAAAGAAAACATAGGAGTAAATTTTTTTTTGAACTTGGTTTAGGCAATGATTTTTTATATATGACACCAAAAGCGCTAACAGCAAAAGAAAAACAGATACATTAAACTTCATCAAAATTTAAAACTTTTGTGCTTCAGAGGAAATCATCAACAAAGTAAAAGGGCAACTCAGAACATGGGAGAAAATGTTTACAAATCATCTATCTAATAAGCAACTGAGTTGTATCTAGAATCTATATGTGAAAAAACTCTTACAATTCAAGAACAACTACAAAAAGAAAAACAATAAATAACCCAATTTAAAAGTGGACAAAGGATTTGAGCAGCCATTTTTCCAAAAATAAACAAATGACCAGTAAACACATGCAAAAATGCTCAGCATCATTAGTAATTAGAGAAATGTAAGTCAAAACCACAATGAGATACCACTTTACACCCACTAGAATGGCCATCATTTTTCTAAAAAATAGAAAACCACACTGGGATGGGTGGCTCATGCCTGTAATCCCAGCACTTTGGGAGGCTGAGGCTGGTGGATCACTTGAGGTCAGGAGTTCGAGACCAGCCTGGCCGACATGATGAAACCCCGTCTCTACTAAAAATACAAAAAATTAGCTTGGTGTGGTGGTGGGCGCCTGTAATCCCAGTTACTCGGGAGGTTGAGGCAGGAGTATCGCTTGAGCCCGAGAGGTGGAGATTGCAGTGAGCTGAAATTGTGCCACTGCACTCCAGCCTGGGTGACAGAGTGAGACTCCATCTCAAAAATAAATAAATAAATAAATAAATAAAAGAAAATCACAAGTGTTGGCAAAAATGTAGAGACATTGGAACCTTCATATCTTGCTGGTGGGAATGTAAAGTGTTGCATCCACTTTGGAAAACCATTTGGTAGTTCTTCAAAAAAATGAAACACTGAGTTAACATATGACCCAGCAACTCCAACCCTAGTTACATACTCAGGAGAATTGAAAGCATATGTCCACGTAACGATTGGTACAGGAATGTTCATAGCAGCATTACTCATAATAGTCAAAAAGTAGAAATAACCCAAATGTCAATCAGTTGATGAATGGATAAGCAAAGTGAGGGATATGCATACAATAGAGCATTATCCAGCCATAAGATGAAATGAATTAACTGACACGTGCTACACTGTGGATGAATCTTAAAAACATGATGCTAAGTGAAAGAAGGTAGACGTAAAAGGCCCATATGATAGGACTCCTTTATATGAAATATTCAGAATAGAGACAGAAAGTAGATTCGTGGTTGGCAGGGGCTGGGGAGAATGAGAAGTGACTGCTAAAGAGCTTCTTTTAGGGGTGATGTAAATGTTCTGGAGTAGATGGTGAACAACGTACAACTTTGTGAACATACTAAATCCACTGAATTGTATACTGTAGAAGGTGACCTTTATGGCATGTGAATTTTATCTCAATAAAGCTGTCAGTAAACATTTTTGTTGTTGTTTGTTTGTTTGTTTGTCTGTTGTTGAGACGGAGTCTCTCTCTGTCGCCAGGCTGGAGTGCAGTGGCGCGATCTCGACTCACTGCAACCTCTGCCTCCCTGGTTCAGGTGATTCTTCAGCCTCAGCCTCCCGAGTAGCTGGGATTACAGGCATGCTCCACCACACCCAGCTAATTTTTGTATTTTTATTAGAGACGGGGTTTCACCATGTTGGCCAGGATGGTCTTGATCTCCTGACCTTGTGATCTGCCCACCTTGGCCTCCCAAAGTGCTGGGATTACAGGCGTGAGCCACTGCGCCAAGCCAACATTTTTACTTAATTAAAATTAAGTAAAATTAAAAATCTATTCCTTTGGTTGCACTAGTCATGTTTCAAAGCCTCAATAGTACATATGGCTAGTAGCTACCACTGCACTGGACAGCACAGATAAGGAATATTTTGATTATTACAGAAAATTTTATTGGACATTGCTGGTCTAGATCTCACTACTGGATGCCAGAGATTTCAAAAACATATTAACCAGGTGCAACGTAAGAGCCTTATTTGAATTTCTATTTTAACAAACAGTAAAATAAAGTTGAGAAAACTGGGAGAATTTGAATACTGACTGATAGTTGATTATATTAAGGAATTACTGTTAACGATTTTAGGCGTGACAATAATATTGTGGTTATTGTTTCTAAAAGTACTAATCTTTTAGAGATAAATACTAAAATACTATGGATGTGGCCGGGCGTGATGGCTCACGCCTGTAATCCCAGCACTTTGGGAGGCCAAGGTAGGCGGATCACCTGAGGTCAGGAGTTCGAGACCAACCTGGCCAACATGGTGAAACCCCATCTCTACTAAAAATACAAAAATTAGCTGGGCATGGTGGTGTGTGCCTGTAATCCCAGCTACTCGGGAGGCTGAGGCAGGAAAATTGCTTGAATCCAGAAGGCAAAGACTGCAGTGAGCTGAGATCATGCCACTGCACTCCAACTTGGGTGACAGAGTGAGATTCTGTCTCAAAGAATAAAATAATAAAATAAAATAAAATAAAATACTATGGATGAAATTAAGTATCTGGTATTTGCTTTGAAATAATCTAGAATTTGAAATAATCTAGAATTCAGGAGAACAGAGAAAATAGATATAACAAAATTGGCCATGAGTCTTCTGCAGAGCTAAGGAAACAACTGGGGGAAGAGAGAACCTACAGAATGGGAGTTAGTTGCAAACCAACCATCTGATAAGGGGTTAGTATTCAAAATATACAAGGAACTCAGACAACTCAATAGCAAAAAACCAAGTAACCCTATTTTAAAATGGGCAAAAGATTTAAATAGATATTTCTCAAAAGAAGACATACAAGTAGCCAGGTATATGAAAACATGTTCAACATCGCTAATCATCAGGAAAATGCAAAGTAAAACCACAATGAAATACCACTTCACACTTGTTAGAATGGCTATTATCAAAAAAGTGAATGATAACAAATGTTAGTGAGGATGTGAAGAAAAGGAAACCCTTGTGTACTATTAGTGGGAATGTAAATTAGTACAACCATTATGGAAAGCAGCATGGAGGTTCCTCAGAAATAGAAATATCAGGCCGGGCACGGTGGCTCATACCTGTAATCCCAGCACTTTGGGAGGATGAGGCGGGTGGATCACCTAAGATCAGGAGTTTGAGACCAGCCTGACCAAAATGGTGAAACCCCATCTCTACTTAAAATACAAAGATTTGCCAGGCGTGGTGGCGCATGCCTGTAATCCCAGCTACTCGGAAGGCTGAGGCCGGAGAATCACTTGAACCCGGGAGGCGGAGGTTGCAGTGAGCAGAGATCACGCCATTGCACTCCAGCCTGGGCAACAAGAGCAAAACTCCGTCTCAAAAAAAAAGAAAGAAAGAAAGAAAGAAACAGAACTAGCATATGATCCCAGTACTGGGTATATATTCAAATGAAATGAAATTTGTATGTTGAAGAGATAACTGCACTCCCAAGTTCATTGTAGCGTTATTCACAATATTGAATCAACCTAAGTGTCCATCAGCAGATGAACAGGTAAAGAAAATGTGGTGTGTGTGTATATATATATATACATATATATAATGGAATACTATTCTGCCTTTAAAGAGAAGAAAATCCTGTCATTTGCATCAACATGGATGAACCTAAAGGACATTATGTTATGTGAAATAAGCCAGGGACAGACAGAAAGACAAATACCACATGATCTCACTTATTTAGAGAATCTAAAAATGTTGAACTGACAAAAGCAGAAAGTAGAATGGTGGTTACCAGGGGCTAGGGAGAGAGAGGAAGGGTTGGGGACATGTTGGCCAAAGGATACAAAATTTCCATTAGATAAAAAGAATAAGTTCAAGAGATCTATTGAGCAACATGGTGAGTATAGTTAATAATAGCATATTGTATTCTTAAAAATTGCTGAGAAAGTAGATAATAATAACATTGTATTCTTAAAAATTGCTGAGAGTAGATGTTAAGTGTTCTCACTACAAAAAAATGATAAACATGTGAGATAATGGATATGTTAATTAGCATTCAATTTAGTCATTCCACAGTGTATACATATTTCAAAACATCATGTTGTATGTGATAAATATATATAGTTTTTTGTCAATTAAAAAATAAAATTTTAACAATAAAAAACAGGCTGGGTGTGGTGGCTCATGCCTATAATCCCAGCACTCCTAGAGGCTGAGGCAGAATGATTACTTGAGGCCAGGAGTTTGAGACCAGCCTGGGCAACACAGCAAGACCCCTGGTCTCTACAAATATTTAAAAATTAGCCGGGCTAACGGTGCACACCTATAGTCCTAGCTACTCAGGAGGCTGAGTCAGGAGGATCCCTTGAGCCTAGGAGTTCAAGGTTACAGTGAGTTATGATAATTTCACTGTACTCCTGCCTAGGCAACAGAGCAAGACCCTGCCTCTTAAATAAATAAATAGATAAAACTGACCATGAACCAAAAATTGCTGTATTCCGATGATGGGAATCTAGGGGATTATTATGCTCTTCTCTCTGTCTTTGAAAATATTTGAAATCTTTAAATGATAAATATAACATAATATAATATAATATAATATAATATAATATAATATAATATAAACACATAGAGGCAGCCAATACTTACTTATATCTAATTGACTATTACCACATGGAAACACAGTAAGGTCAGATTTTCTAATGTTTTAAGAGAATTCTGAAATCCAGATTCTAATGTAAAATCTTTGGTGTTTACTGATCCATTTGTTTAATCATAGGGCACAAAAAAATTACATCTGGAGCTTGAATTCAGCACACAGCTCCCATTTTGCAATGTCCAATTTAGAATAATTGATGGAATTAAATGGATTCTGAGGTCATCCATCATAAAAGTAATTTATCTTGAGCATATGTCTAACATTGCATATTTTATTTTTAAAATTATGATCTGTTTCCAAAAAGTGCAAAGAATAATAAAACAATCACTCATGTACCAGCTATGAAGCCTTAACAAATCTTAATATTTTACCATATTTACTTCAAAAAGAAATAAAATATTATGAATACCATTAATGCCCTCTTTGTGCCTCTCCTTGATTCCTTTCCCTCTGCCTCTCTAAATAACACTCTCCTGAAGTTTGTGTCCATCTTTCCCAACCAAATTTATAGAATTTCACGGAAGTTGTCATGTATCCAAAAAGCAATAAATGTGTTGTTTTCCTTTTTCTAGACGTTAAATAGAGGCTTCATTCCATCAAAAAAATCAATTGCATTTATATCTACCAACAACAAACAGCTAGAAAACTAATTTTTAAAAAGACTATTAAGAATAATATTAAAAAGTGACATGGATCTAGGAAAAAATCTAGCAAAAGATGGGCAAGACATTTAGGGAGAAAATCATAAACTATATTGAAAGGTATTAAAGAAGACCTAAATAAATGGATAAATAACATTTATGGGTTGAAAGGCTCAAAATCATGAAGATATCAATTCTCCTCAACGTTATTCCAGTCACAATCCTAAAAGAAACATGACGTAGAGAGGAAAAAAGTCAAGTTGCAGAAGACAACATACAGAATGATTCACTTCTATAAATCTCAAAAACATGCAAAAGCAAATGATATATTGTTTAGCTACACAAACATATATGCAAACTATAAAGAAAAGCAAGAAAATGATAAAAGGAAATAAATGATACAGGTTACATTTGAGGGGAAAGGGAATAGAAATTTAAAGGTAATGATAATATTCTATTCCTTAAACATGGTGGTATGAACGTGGGTGATCATTGTATAAAAATTCTTTATAACTTACACAAATTTCATATTCTTTTGTGTTCAATCAATATTAAATAAAACCAATTTTTTTTTTTTTTTTTTTTTTTTTGCAGTGGAGTCTCGCTCTGTCACCCAGCCTAGAGTTCAGTGGTACGATCTCGGCTCACTGCAACCTCCGCCTCCTGGGTTCAAGTGACTCTCCTGCCTCAGCCTCCAGAGTAGCTGGAACTACAGGCATGTGCCACCACACCCGGCTACTTTTTGTTAGAGACGGGGTTTCACCATGTTGGCCAGGCTGATCTCGAACTCCTGACCTCAGGAGATCCACTTGCCTCGGCCTCCCAAATTGCTGGTATTACAGGTGTGAGCCACCGCACCCAGCCAAATAAAACCAATTTTTTTTTATTATTATACTTTAAGTTCTAGGGTACATGTGTAGAATGTGCAGGCTTGTTACATAGGTAAACATGTGCCATGTTGAATAAAACCAATTTTTTAAAAACAACGAGATAGATAGGTCTATATCACTATCATGGAAATATGTCAACAACATATGTGGTTAAATGATAATATTGAAAAGCCCTACATGTAATATTAAGTATGTACCAAAATGTTAGTAGTGGTTACATAAAATATTACATAGAATATGCGCAAATTGATAATAGTGGAAATATGCACCAATAAAATATGCACCAAATTTTAATAGTGGTTTTGCTTAATATTAAATAAAATGTGCACCAAATTGTTGATAGTGGTCATATCCAAGGGCAAGTTTGGCAGTCTTTCATTTTCTCTGTTCTGTAACAGTTGGATTTTTCACAATTCATCATCAGAAAAGAAAGAATTAAAAAAACAATAACAAAGAATCAGAGACATGCAGGAAGTATTCAAAGCGTATTATATGAACAAAAATGCATTAAAAGAGAAAAGCCCTTAGAAAAAGCCTCAAAACAGCAAAAAAAAAAAAAAAAAAGTTCTTAATACATACAGAAGTAAAGTATTATAGCCAAGGAACTGGAAAGAAAGGGATAGATTCAAAACACTTCACAGAAGGGCTCTAGGGGCTAATGAGACAAGAAAGAACCCAAATCTAATGGTTGGGAGAAGTTAGAAAGAGGGATGATGTGCTTTTAGGGGGAGATTGAAGAGATTAGTTTTAGAAATTATATGTTTAAGACATAATAGCAAATTTATCTTATTCTCTTTTTATGAATGAAAATTTCGACACAGAATTTGAGCAGTTTGCCCAAGTTACCCATCTGGCAAGTAGTAGAAGCAGGATTCAAAACTTTGGCAGTCCACATGCAAGGCCTTCGCACCTTACTACTACACAACTGTGCCTCTTGATACTCATTAGGTAACATCCAGTTTCACATCTTTGATATTAGAGTTCAGGGGAGTTTAAAGATGTTAGGACTGAAGATAGAATATTTGGGAGTAAGCTACACACAGATTATGGTATGAGACCACCACTTCTCGTGTTGTCTTTCCCAGTTTCTCCCCAACCTCCCCTTTTCCCTAGTTTATAAGACAGGAGAAAAGGGAGAAAGCAAAAAGTTGGAAAGAAACAGAAGTAAGATAAATAGCTAGATGACCTTGGCGCCACCACCTGGCCCTGGTGGTTACAATAATAATATTAACCCCTGACCAAAACTACTGGTGTTATCTGTAAATTCCAGACATTGTATGAGAAAGCACTGTAAAACTTTTTGTTCTGTTAGCTGATGTATGTAGCCCCCAGTCATGTTCCTCACGCTTACTCGATCTATTATGACTCTTTCACGTAGACCCCTTAAGAGTTGTAAGCCCTTAAACGGGCTAGGAATTTCTTTTTCAGGGAGCTCGGCTCTTAAGACACGAGTCTGCTGACGCTCCCAGCCGAATAAAAAACCTCTTCTTTCTTTAATCCGGTGTCTGAGGAGTTTTGTCTGGGACTCGTCCTGCTACAAGATTACTATTAAAACTGAAAATGATGGTCTCCAGCTTCATCCATGTCCCCTCATTCTCAGCAAACTATCGCAAGGACAAAAAACCAAACACCGCATGTTCTCCCTCATAGGTGGGAATTGAACAATGAGAACACATGGACACAGGAAGGGGAACATCACACCCTGGGGCCTGTTGTGGGGTGGGGGAGGGGGGAGGGATAGCATTAGGAGATATACCTAATGTAAATGACGAGTTAATGGGTGCAGCGCACCAGCATGGCACATGTATACATATGTAACAAACCTCCACGTTGTGCACATGTACCCTAAAACTTAAAGTATAATAAAAAAAAAAACTGAAAATGAGTTCTCTTACGGGAGATTATAAAAGAGGCAAAGCAGCGAACTGGAGAATAAGCCTTGGCAAGCAACTCCCTTAATTATCACTATTTCTTACCAAAGTCAAATGACTTCCTAGAAAGAACAAGACTTAAAGAAAGAAAGGCATGTGTTCAAATTCCAGCTCTGCTGTTTACTAGCTGAGGAATCTTGGGAAAATCACTTTCCTCTCTGTGCTTTAGTTTTTCATCTATAAAATGGATGGTCATGAGGATTACATGAAAAATATACATAAAGCACTTAGAGTTGTAGCATGCACATAATATGCACTCAATAAATTCCACTTTGTTTTTAAATTTTGTTTTAGAAACAGGAAGATCAGAGCCTGAGAGAGTAATATCTAGGCATATAAACATATGTGTTAAAATTATTTTAAAATGTGGTTTTTTGTTGAGGTTTTCATAAAAGTTCTCCATGCAGGAAGTATTCAAAGTATATTATATGGAATATAATTTTCATAATAATTTTCCATTTTCTGTGATCTACAAATTTTGGCATAATCTGAAAAACAAACAAAGAAAAAACAAACAAAAATAACAGAGTTTGAAATATGCAATTTAGAAAAACTATTTCACCAATGTTTACTGGCAGCTCCATTAGAGAAAATTGTAGGGAACAGGTTGGTAAGCTGATCTCTTCCTTGCCTCCCAGTTACCAAATTAAGAATCATTTTACTCATTACTTGTGGATTTAGGGGGTACAAGTATAGATTTCTTACATGCATATATTGAGGTCTGGGCTCTTAGTGTACCCTCATTATTTGATCTATTTTCCTTCAAAGAAGAGATGCTCTTACCTCTTTCTTTTCTGAGAGAGAGAACCATAGGAGTAAAAAAGCAAAAAATTAGAGCAGGTGTTAAAATCATATCAGAAATAAAGACTGTAACATAAATACATTTAAAATATGTTTAAAGTAAAGAAATAAGAATTTGAGAAAAGGACAATATATCATCAAACAAGATGAGGAATAATTGAAATATGACCTCTAGAAATGACAAATGTAACCACTAAAACTAAAATATTAATGGACAATTTAAAGAATTAGATTTATTTGAAGAGAGAATTGGTGACTTGGAAGACAGGAAATTTCCCAGGATGCAAAACAAAGAGGGTAAGGACTGGAATTTATGAATGAAAAAAAAAGACGCAGGTAGAAAAGCATGAGAGGATCCAACATATGCTTAATAGAGTTCCAGGAAAAAAAAAAAAAAAAACTAGAACATTGAAAAAGCAACCTTCAAAGTTGTATTGACTAAAGATTTTCCAGAGGGGTTGAACGACATCAATCATCATTTACAGAAAGTACAACAGATCACAATCCAAATAAGTAAAAATAGATTTCAGCCACAAAAGCTCACAATGAATATTTATCAAACACATACAGCAACAAGCCACCATCAACATTACAGAGAAACTTAAAGACTAGCCAAGTGAACAAAAACAGGTGAGGCTGGAACTCTCATATATTGCTGATGGGAATGGAAAACAGTATAGCAGCTCTGGAAAATTAGTTAGTAGTTTGTTATAAAGTTAAACATACTCTTATCATGCGATCCAGATATCCCACTCCTTTCATTTACCCTAGAGAAATGAGAACATAGGCTCAAACACCTGCGTGAACTCAAACCTGTAAGCTTATATTCATACCAGCTTTCACTGTAATTGCCAAAAACTGGAAACAACACAAATGTCCTTCAGTGACTGAATGGATAAACAAACTATGGTACCTCCATAAAATTAACTATTAATCATCTATAAAAATGAACTCTCAATACATGCAACACCATGGATAAATCTAAAAGGCAATTTGCTAAGAAAACGAAGCCTGACGTAAGGTTCCATACTGTATGATCCCATTTACATGACATTCTTGAAAAGACAAAACTATAGTGATGGCGAAAAGATCTATGGTTGCCAGAAGTTAGAGGTGAGGACGGTGTGTGACTATAAAGGGAGCACAAGGAAGTTTAGGGGGCATTGTGACTGTTCTGTATGCTGATTGTGGCGGGGTAACACAAATCTACATGTATTAAAATTCATAGAACTGTACATCAAAAGAAAAAACAGTCAATTTTATTATATGGTAATTTTTAGTCACAGCATTATTGAGATATATAATTCACATACTAAACAATTTACCTATTTATTTTTTGAGATGGAGTTTCGCTCTTGTTGCCCAGGCTGGAGTGCAGTGGTGCAATCTCGGCTCACTGCAACCCCCGCCTCCTGGGTTCAAGCGATTCTCCTGCCTCAGTCTCCCGAGTAGCTGGGATTACAGATGCCTGCAACCATGCCCGGCTAATTTTTTGTATTTTCAGTAGAGACGGGGTTTTACCATGTTGGCCAGGCTGGTCTCGAACTCCAGACCTCAGGTGATTCATCTGCCTCGGCCTCCGAAAGTGCTGGGGATTCAGCCATTTAAAGTGTATAATTCAATGGGTTTTTAATTTTTTCTCTTTAATCAACAAATAAAACTGTATATATCTATAGTGTACAAGATGACGTTCTGCAATATGTATACATTGCGGAATGGCTAAATCAAGCTAATTAACATATGCATTACCTCACATACTTTGAGGTAGGAACACTTCAAATGTACTCTCTTAGCAATTTCAGCAATTTCCAAGTATACAGTGCTTTGTTATTAACTATAGTCACCATGTTGTACAATAGATCTCTTGAACTTACTCCTCCTGTCTAACTGAAATTTTGTATCCTTTGACTATGTAATAATTTTAATATAAAAAGTGGACAACCCGAATAAACCAATAACTATTGAAGAAATGTAAAAGGTAACCAAAAATATGCAAAAACGCTACCATGTCCAGAAGGTTTGATGAGAGATGTCTCCTAGCTCTTTAAAGAACAGGTTCTCTCTTGTTATACTGTTAAAGAACTTACAAATCTATCATTTCCAACTCTCTGTGATGCCAACTAGCAAAATCCTAACATGAGTACCAGACAAAAAGAGAAAAAATGGAAGGAAGGGAAGGAGTGGAAAAGGGAAAGAGAAAAGTTAACGAAGAAAAGAGTAAGAAAAAAGCTACAAGTCAATCTCACTTATAACATAGATGCTAAAATCTTAAATAAAATATTAGAAAATTGAACCTGGGTCAGGTGCAGTGGCTCATGCCTGTAATCCCAGAACTTAGGGAAGCCAAGGTAGGCGGATCACTTGAGGTTAGGAGTTCAAGACCAGCCTGGCCAACACTGTGAAACCCTGTCTCTACTAAAAATACAAAAATTAGCTGGGCATGGCGGTGTGCAACTGTAGTCCCAGCTACTCGGGAGGCTGAGGCAGGAGAATCGCTTGAACCTGGGAGGTGGAGGCTGCAGTGAGCTGAGATCACATCACTGCACTCCAGCCTGGGTAACAGAGGGAGACTCTGTCTCAAAAATAAAATAAAATAACTGAACCTGGCAACATACTGGATGAATAATACCTCATAACAAGGAATAGAAAAGAAAATCCCCACAAGAGTATTTTAGGCTTTAGAAGAATTTAATAAAGGAAGAACTCAAGGCAAGGTGGTAAAGCAACAAAATAAGATAGACGTGGGGCTAAAGAAAAACTATGTACATGCGATGTATTTAATAAATGTACAGAACAAGAACTATGCTTTCATTTCTGGCAATATTATACAATAGCTATCCTTTTAAACACTAGGAGGCATGTATAAAGCCTGGATTCAAAAAGCAATAAATTCCTTTTAAATAGATAGCTGAGTTTGATGAAAGTAAGGAAACTCGTAGGATCCAAAAATGTAGAGGATACTGAGAATCAGAGTAGTGAGCAGGCAATGATGGTGTCAGCTGCTCTACCCCAGGTTAGTTTCTCAACCTCAGTAACTAGGACACTACTAAAGTCTATAGGCTGCAGGAGCAAGAAAGACGCCCGGGGCCCAAACAAGGCTGGGATCCTACAAGGGCTACACTCTGAGTGGAATGGCACCCTAAGATGCACTCCCCACACCAGCAATGGCGATACAGCCATGCACTACGTAACAACATTTCAGTCAATGCCAGACTGCATATATGACAGCGGTCCCATAAGATTATAATAAAGCTGAAAAATTATTATTGTCCTAGTGACGCAGTAGCCATCGTGATGCCATAGCACAATGCATTACTCACATGCCTGTGGCGATGCTGCTGTAAACACACCTACTGCGCTGCCACTTGTATAAAAATCCAGCACATACAATTATGTACCGTACCTAAAACTTGATAATGATAATAAATGACTATGTTACTGGTTTGCGGATTTACTATACTATAAAATGATTTTATTGTTATGTTAGAGTGTACTCTTTCTACTTATTGAAAAAAAAAAGTTAGCTGTAAAACAGCCTCAGGCAAGTGATTGAGGAGGTATCCAGAAGAAGGTATTGTTATCACAAGAGTCGACAGCTCCATGCGTGTTATTGACCCTGAAGATCTTCCAGTGGGACAAGAATTGGAGGTGGAAGACAGTGACATGGATGAGCCTGACCCTGTGTAGGCCTAGGCATTAGCACACATTAGTGTGTGTGCCTATGTCTCCATTTTTAACAAAAAAGTATAAAAAGGAAAAAAATCATTTATAAAAATTTTAAATAGAGAAAACCTCATAGAACAAGGATGTAAAGAAAGAAAATATTTTTGTATAGCTGTACAATGTGTTTGTGTTCTAAGCTAAGTTTTATTATAAAAGAGTCAAAAAGTTTAAAAAATGAAAAAGTTGGCCAGGCGCGGTGGCTCATGCCTGTAATCCCAGCACTTTGGGAGGCCAAGGCAGGTGGATCACCTAAGGTCAGGAGTTCAAGACCAGCCTGGCCAACATGGTAAAACCCCGTCTCTAGTAAAAATACAAAATTAGCCGGGCATGATGGTGCATGCCTGTAATCCCAGCTACTCAGGAGGCTGAGGCAGGAGAATCACTTGAACCTGGGAGGCAGAGGTTGCAGTGAGCCGAGATCGTGCCATTGTACTCCAGCCTGGGCGACAAGGGTGAAAATCCATCTCAAAAACAAGGAAAATGAAAAAAAAAGTTTATAAAGTAAAAGAGTTATAGTAAGCTAAGGCTAATTGATTATTGAAGAAATAAAAAGAAATTTTTTTTTTTTTTTTGAGACAAGGTCTTGCTCTGTCACCCAAGCGATCTTCCTACCTCAGCCTCCTGAGTAGCTGGGACTACAGGCGCCCATCTCATTTCTATACATTTTGTGGAGACAGGGCTTTCGCCATGTTACCCAGGCTGGTCTCAAACTCCTGGGCTCAAGAAATCCTTTCACCTTGGCCTCTCAGAATGCCGGGATTACAGGCGTGAGCCACTGTGCCCAGCCAAGAAAAAATATTTTTATAAACTTAGTGTGGTCTAAGTGGACAGTGTATATAAAGTGTACAGTTGTGTACAGTAATGTCCTAGGCCTTCACATTCACTCACCACTCGCTCACTCACCAGGAGCAACTTCTGGCCCTGCAAGCTCCGTTCACGGTAAGTGTCCTTTACAAGTGTATCTTTTTTTATCTTTTATACCATATTTTTACTATGTATTTTCTATGTTTAGAAATACAAATACTTACCATTGTGTGACAGTTGTCTACAGTATTCAGTAGAGTCACATGCTGCACAGGTTTGTAGCCTAGGAGCAATAAGCTATACAATATAGCCTAGGTGTGTAGTAGGCGATACCATCTAGGTTTGTGTTAGGACACTCTATGATGTCCGCACCCTATCACCCTAATGATGCATTTCTCACAACCTATCCCTGTTGTTAAGCAACACATGACTGTATAAAGATGCTTAATTGACTTGGACTGGCTTAAGTTGGGAAATAAATCTCCCATTACCCATAGGCCTGCCCTCGTGCAGGTCAAGGTTAGAATATTTATTTTCACCTGCTGCAACCTCTCTGACAAAGGTTACAAATGAACCCCTGATTGTCAAACCCAATGGACATTTTACTGTCTTTTTTTTTTAAGACAGTGTCTCACTCTGTCACCCAGGCTGGAGTACAGTGTCACGATATTGGCTCACTGCAACCTCCACCTCCCAGGTTCAAGCGATCCTCCTGCCTCAGCCTCCCAAGTAGCTGGGATTACAGGTGCATGCCACCACTCCTGGCTAAATTTTGTATTTTTAGTAGAGACAGTGTTTCACCTTGTAGGCCAGGCTGTTCTTGAACTCCTGACCTCAAGCGGTCCACCTGCCTAGGCCTCCCAAAATGCTGGGATTACAGGCATGAGCCACTGTGCCTGGCCCAGACATTTACTGTCTTTACCTTCTAGATTGTCCTGAAGCAGTTGACACTGGGGTCCACTAGTTCCTCCTAGAAAGTCCCTAGTGCCCCAGCTTCAATAGCATTGCACTCTCTGGGGCCTCTTTTCATGACCCCTGAATGTTATTTCTGTGTCTCCTTCACGCTCCTCTCTCAATCTCCCTGATTCTCATCCTCAGTCTATAACTTCTTAACATGCTCTCTGATTGATACGACTTGACCTCATGCACTTAACCATAAGTGCTTCCTAATCTATGCCCTAGCCCAGAAATGTCCCCTAAGCTTTAGAATCAATAGGGCTCAAAACATGCTACCCCAAAGTATGGCACCTTGGCATATTGAATATTTTAAGCTGAAAGAATTTGAGAAACAGCAGGTACAGAAAGGACTCTCTGACCTTCCCCTGAAGCAGGTCTGAAGACCCTCATGTGAGAGGTGCCCTCCCTAGACCTAGAAGAAAGAGGCATCCTTATCTCCGAAGATGGGACACCAAGAAGAATCCAAATGAACAGGCCTTGCTAAATTTCCCCCGGTTAACTATCCTTAGCTTATACCGCTTTATCTTATCACACTTTTTCATGACTCTTCACTCTTTATCACACCAGTATAAAGATGCTCAGGTTTAATGATTTCTTTGCTCTTCATTTCCTTCTGAAGACTCTCATGTCATATAAAACTTATATTTAGTTAATATGTATGCTTTTCTCTTGTTAATCTGTCTTTTGTCAACCTAATTTATTGAGCCCCAAACAGAGAACCTAGGAGGGTAGAAGAAAAAAAATATTTTTTCCTCCCCTACAGAATACCCCATCCAAATTCCTGCTGCATGGGCCCGCTTGGGTGGTCCATTGGCCCCTGTAATCCAAAAAGTCCAAAACAGTGCTCATTACACTTTCCCCTGAAATTTATCTCCTGTCTTTCATCTCAGCAAAAGACACACAACCAGAAACCTGAGGATGAACCTATGGCTCTCCTCTCACCCTCCACAGCAATCAAACACCAAGCCCTGGTAATTCCACCCACTAAAATATGCTTCAAACCCACCACTCATTTCTCTACTCCTGCTTTCATTGCTTTAATTCAATCTAAGAATCGTAGCAAAAGACCTCCCAAGCGGTCTCAGCTTCTAGTCTTGCCTGCCTCGCATCCATACCTGGTACCACCTGAATGATTTACCTAAATTGCAAATCTGACCACGTCACTTTCTTTTTCACAACCCTTCCATGGTGCCTCATTTCCTGCTAAGCTCCCTAGCATGGCATGGCTGGCTTGGAGTAGCGAAGAAGCCCTTCTTGAGCTGGCCTTTGGACACCTCTCTAGTATCTTTCCATACTGACTATACCCAGCACTGTACCTATACTGACTGTATCTATCCACAAAATGTATAGAAATGAACTGGGCGCCTGTAGTCCCAGCTACTCAGGAGGCTGTGGTGAGAAGATCGCTTGGGTGGCAGAGCAAGACCTTGTCTCAAAAAGCACGTTATTCACCAGTAATCCTAGCGAGGCTTGCAGTGAGCCATATAAACCACGTCGTTTCTTATCTCTAACCCTTCGCTCATGCTGGAACCTCTGCCTTTCCTGCCCCCAGCCTCCTGGTCAATTACTATTTGTCCTCCTTGTCATGCCAGGGCTCTCTCTTCTAAGAGACCTCCTCCTCTGTTCCCATTGTCCCCTGTGCATACTGCCAGCATACATGTTTTGTCCATGAATATGTTTTTCTCTCCAGCTGAGCTAAAAAGTCCTTGAGGGAATAGACCCCATCCTGTTCAACGTTGCATCTTAGCATATAGTAGAAACTCAATAGGCTTTTGTTGTCTGAATTGAATCTGAAACACAGAGAGTAAAATTTTTTAAATCAAGTAATGACATAATTGATTTTATAAAAATGAGAAATGCTCTTTATTTTTAAAAACTCAAGAAATACATCAAAGTACAAATCCCCCAGAGTCTCATCAGGTGGAATTAGCCAATGTCAACAGATCCAATGATGGATATAGAGAATATAACACATCCAGACACCCCGAAGTAATTTCATAAGAATACAGTTGGACTAGACATGCTATGTCTAACAAAACATATGAAATTTAATAATAGTTTAATTTAACTTGAGAAAAAAACCTGAAGTGAATCTGCAGGAATTTTCTGAACCATCCATGAAGTGTTCCTTCACCACAAGCAATATTAGCAAGTTTTAAAAGTGATTCAAACTCCCAGGCAAATGATCTGCACTTGGCAGAGTAGTTAACAACTTCAATTATTGTGTAACTTTGGGATTGGCTAGGGAGTTCCCAGGAGGATGGAAAAGTTTTACCTAGAGACAAAATGTATTGAGTCAAGCAATAGGGAGTTCAAAAACAATTATTATTAAGAGTCTCACTGTTTTTTTAACTTCACGAAATTGGTTTTCATTACTTTCACTCTTGGTTCAATAAAAAGGCTTTTAAATTGGATGTTTTTTTAGAATTTAATAAGCTCCTTTAAAGTGATGCAAATATTTCTTAAATCCTGAAATAAGCTTTCCACTGCATTCAGATGTGCCCAACTGAAAAGTTAATTCCAATCAATGGCATTTAACAGATGTACCTAATTGAAGGATTACTTAGTGGGCACTTTACAGCATGCAATCTAAGAGAACCACCACCCCCGCTTTTCAGGAACTTACAATCTGGTAGAAATGTGTTCATTCCTCCCTTAAATATTTTTCACAAAAGATGACAGTGTGCCTGGTATTATGCAATGCGTGATGGTTGTGATGTCTATGTCTTACCTAAAGTAAGTGGAGGGTTAAGAGGTTACTTTGAATTGATACAGTCATGGAACTCAAACAACTTATCTGTTAAGCCTCCATCATTATGCCTTCCTCCTTTATCCCCTTCAGAAGAGTTAGCTGATCTGCTTGCTCTCTTCCCTTGCCACCATGTGCATGTGTGGATTATAGCATGCTCTATATTACCCATCTCTCTTCCCTGTGGGACTATGGATATCTGGAGGGCAAGGCTAAGCCTTGGACATGTTTGCACTGATAACCTAGAGCAGTGTCTGACATTAAATATTTGATGAAAGAAAGAAAAGAAAAGAAAGAAAGAAAGAGAAAAGAAAAGAAAACAAGAAAGAAGGAAAGGAAAGGAAGGAAGGAAAGAAGGGTGGATAGATGAATGGATGGATGGATGACTTAATGAATGGGGTTGGCATTAGAGAATGGCCTTAAAGAGTGAGTGGACTTCCAATATGTGGACATGGTGAAAAGAACATTCCAGATAAAAGGAAAAACATAAGGAAAAGCCCAAGACTCATTCAAGAATTGACAGGAGGCCGGGCATGGTGGCTCATGCCAGTAATCCCAGCACTTTGGGAGTCCAAGGAGGGTGGATCTCCTGAGGTCGGGAGTTCGAGACCAGCCTGGCCAACATGGTGAAACCCCATCTCTACTAAAAATCCAAAAAATTAACTGGGCTTGGTGGTGCACTCCTGCAGTCTCAGCTACTTGGTGGTGTGTGCCTGTAGTCCCAGCTACTTGGTAGTGTGCACCTATAGTCCCAGCTACTGAGGTGGGAGAATCGCTTGAGCCCAGGAGGCGGAGGTTGCAGTGAGCTGAGGTTGCACCACTGCCCTCCAGCCTGGGCAACAGAGTGAGACTCTGTCTCAAAAACAAAAACAAAACAAAACATAAAAAGAATTGACAGGTAGAACAGTTGGGTTGGAGTTGGGGATAGGATAAGGCTGAGAATGTGATGATTTGACACCAAACTGAGAAGTGGCTTATAAGTGAGGCTAAGGAGTGAGGCTATTATTTATCAGCCAGTAGAGATCTACTCTATAGAATGGTAAAGGAAGGTAAAATGAGGCAGGTGGACAGGTTGGGAGATTATTACAAACATATGAGAACAGATGAGAAATAACAAGGGAGATTTGAAGTGAATATGGAAGACAAATTATATACATGAATGTTCAAAACTAAACAACAGATTGGATTTGGAAAATGAAAGAGAAAGACCCGAAGATAACTCAGATTTGGTGTCTGATGAAAGCATGAACAGTAGCATTAATAACAGAGACAGGAAAGTCATAAGGGAAACAAGTGTGAGATCAGTGTTGCCAAGAATTTTTCAATTGCCTGGTCTCACAACTTCAGAGTAAATGGCGGCTTCTGTTTTAAATAAACTGATTTTGAGATCGAGATTCCTTTCAGGAATTCACAAGAAACCAGCCAATCCTCAGGTCTTCCAGACTCAGCATTCTACTACAAATGGTTTCCAGACTGAACCAAAGGGTCCTGCTTCATAGATGCTGCCTAGAAAGAGTGATGGAGTGGTTAAGAGCCTGGACTCTGAAACCAGATTGTCTGAGTTTCAATCCCAGCCTCTATCCTCATGAGTAATGTGGTCTTGGACTGCTTACCTAGCCTCTTTGGGCCTCAGTTTCCTCATCTTTAAATGGAGATATTACCTATACCATAGTCTGAGGATTAAACTAAATAGTAAATGCTTAATAATTGTTAACTATCTTATTTCCTAAGGGAGGGAATAGAAAGAAAAGAGGGCTATGGATAGAATATCATGGAATGAACACATTTAAGGGGTGGGAGGTGGAAGGAAAGCCACAGAAGAAAGTAGAGAAGGGACAGAAAAACTGGAAGGTGGATAATAGAGTGCAGAGTCCTAGAAAGCAAAGAAAGAGAGTCTCTCAAGAAACAGGAAGGCAACAGCTTCAGACACTGCAGAGAGTTGAAGGTGAAAAGGCCACTGTATTTGCTAAGTAGGAGGTCCTTGTTGATCTTTAAGAGACCAGAGCCACTGGCCCATAGTACTTTCTTGTTACCTGGTTTGCCTTAAAGTAGTACAACTGTTAGCCCTTTGCTGCTTCCTCTGTGATCATGTTTGGTCAGTTTCTAAAAAGATGAAATATTGTGTAATGAGATATTGTCTGGCTCCACAGCAACAGCTAGAACAGTAATGCTCAACTTCAGATTTTCAAAATTCCAGGACTTGTGTTTTTATACAGTAATAATAATAATACAAACTCTCAATGATGATGATAATTACTAAAAATCAAAAGTAATATAATGCTCTACAGTTTTCAAAAAATTTTCAAGATCGTTCAGTTATATCTCAGAGTACCACAATTCGTAAAAGATTTGTGTCCCTCAAACACAAATATATTTGATCTATGAATTAAATAGATGCCTAATGATTCATTTAATATTATGCGATGATGGAGTTCAGAACACACTATCCCCAAAATATGGCACCTTGGCATGTTCAATGTTTTAAGCCGAAGGAATTTGAGAAACAGCAGGTACAGAAAGGACTGCTCAGGTTTAACAGTTTCTTTGGGTTTTTATTTCCTTACGAAGGTTCCATGTCACATAAAACTTACATTAAATACATTTGTGTGATTTTTTTCCTGTTAATTTCACTTTGTCAGTTCAGTTTTTAGACCCAGCCAGAGACACTAAGAGGGTGGAAGAAGTTTTTCCTCCCCTATGGTAAACAATCATCTCTGGGTCCCTGCTTTGTGTCACCTACTTAGGTATGCTTTGGGAATTGGTGGATCGTTAGATATAGTCTTGAACCTCAAAGTTCTGGAGAGAGAGAGAGAGAGAGAGAGAAGCCATCTTAATGTAACATGATCAGTATACAGAAGAGGTGGGCACAAAATACAACGTGCAAAGTGATAAAGGAAGGACCCACTTAGCCTGGCGGTGTTTAGAAGGCCTCTCTGAGTTTACAAATATCTTCTCCCATTCTGTAGGTTGTCTGTTTACTCTGCCGATAGTTTCTTTTGCTGTGCAGAAGCTCTTTAGTTTAATTAGGTCCCACTTGTCTATTTTTGTTTTTGTTGCAATCGCTTTTGGGGACTTAGCCAAAAATTATTTGCCAAGGCCAATGTTGAGAAGAGTATTTGCTAGGTTGTCTTATAGGATTTTATTTTCTTTTCCTTTTTTTTATTCTTTTTCTTTTCGAGACAGGGTCTTGTTCAGTTGCCCAGGCTGGAGTGCAGTGGCACGATCTTGGCTCGCTGCAACCTCCACCTCCCAGGTTCAAGTGATCCTTTCAGCCTCCTGAGTAGCTGGGACTACAGGCACAAGCCACCACACCCTACTAATTTTTGTATTTTTTGTAGAGATGGGGTTTTGCCATATTGCCCAGGCTGGTCTTGAACTCCTGGGCTCAAGTGATTCACCTGCCTCAGCTTCCCAAAGTGGTGGGATTACAGGTGTGAGCCACTGTGCCCAGCCAAGGATTTTTATCATCTGAGGTTTTTTATTTAAATATTTATCCATTTTGAGTTAATTTTTGTATATGGTGAAAGGTAGGAGTCCAGCTTCAATCTACATATGGCTATCCAGTTATCCCAGTACCATTTATTGAATAGAGGATCCTTTCCCCATTGCTTGTTTTTGTCAGCCTTGTGAAAGATCAGATGGTTGTAGGTGTGTGGCTTTATTTCTGAGTTTTCTATTCTGTTCCATTGGTCTATGTGTCTGTTTTTGTACCAGTACCAAGCTGTTTGGGTTACTGGGCTTTATATTATGGCTTAAAGTTGGATAGTGTGATGCCTCCTGCTTTGTTCTTTTTACTTAAGATTGCTTTGGCTATTCAGGCTCTTTTTTGGTTCTGTATGAATTTTATCATAGGTTTTTTTTTTCTAATTCTGTGAAGAATAACGTTGGTAGCTTGATAGGAATAGCATTGAATCTATAAATTTCTTTGGGCAGTATGGCCATATTTATGATATTGATTCTTCCAATCCATGAGCATGGAATGTTTTTTCATTTATTTGTGTCATCTCTGATTACTTTCAGCAGTGTTTTTTAGTTCTTCTTGTAGAGATCTTTTACCTCCTCGGTTAGCTATACTCCTAGGTATTTCATTTTCCAGAATTTATAGGGAACTTAAACAACATGCAAAAAAAAAACACCCAAATAACCCCATTAAAAATGGGTGAAGGACACGGACAGACACTTCTCAAAATAAGACATATCAGCAGGCAACAAACATATGAAAAAAATGCTCAACATCACTAATCATCAGATAAATGCAAATCAAAACCACAATGAGATACTATCGCACACCAATCAGAATGTTTATTATTAAAAAGTCAAAAAACAGCAGATGCTGGCAAGGTTGTGGAGAAAAGGGAATGCGTATACACTGTTGGTGGGAATGCTAATTAGTCCAGCCACTGTGGAAAGCAGTCTGGAGATTTCTCAAAGAACTTAAAACAGAGCTACCATTCGATCCAGCAGTCCCATTACTGGGTATCTACTCAAAGGAAAATAAGTTATTCTACCAAAAAGATACATGTACTCATATGTTCTTTGCTGCACTATTCACAATAGCAAAGACATGGAATCAACCCAAGTGCCCATAAATTGTAGATTGGATAATGAAAATGTAGTATATATACATCATAAAATCCCACACAGCCATAAAAAAGAATGAAATCATGTATTTTGCAGCAACATGGATGCAGTTGGAGACCATACTCCTAAGCGAATTAATGTGCGAACAAAAAACCAAATGTTCTCCCTTATAAGTGGGAGCTAAACCCTGGGTACACATGGACTTAAAGATGAGAACAATAGACACTGGGAACTACCAAAGCGGGGAGGGAGGGGGCAGCAAGGGTTGAAAAACTATCTATTGGGTACTATGCTTACTACCTGGGTGATGGGATCCATACTCCAAGCCTCAGCATCACACACTATTCCCATGTGACAAATCTGCCTATGTACCCTCTGTATCTAAAATAAAAGTTAAATTTTTTTTTACAAAAGAAGACTGCACTGAGGAGGAGACATCTGAAATAAATTTTGAAGGCTGATATGGTTTGGATGTTTGTCCCCTCCACGTCTCATGTTGAAATATGATCCCCAATGTTGGAGGTGGGGCCTAGTGGGAGGTGTTGGGGTCACGTGGCCAGATCCCTCACGAATGGCTTGGTGCCTCCTTGAAGTAATGAATGACTTCTAACTCAGTTAATTCATGCAAGATTGGGCTGTTTAAAAGCGTGTGGCACCTTCCCCTCTCTCTTGCTCTCACCCTTACCATATGACATGCTGGCTTCCCATCGCCTTCCACCATGATTGGAAGCTTGCTGAGGCTGCACCAGAAACAGATGCCAGCACCATGCTTCCTCTATAGCCTGCAGAACCGTGAGCCAAATAAATCTCTTTTCTTTATAAATTACCCAGGCTCAGGTATTCCTTTATACCTACGCAAGAACAGACTAACACAATGGCTGAGTAGAGATTTGCCAGGTGGGAAAGAGAAAAAAAGAAATCTCAGACATTCCTCTTTTTTAGAAAGTCTGGCAGGTGACTTGACAGGGAAACAGAATATTCCCAAAAGGTGGCAAGTGCCTATGGATTTTTTCATCAAGTCAGTTACAATATTCTAATACTTTAAGTTTAGACAGAAATGGCTGGCTTATTTGGGGGGAAATTTTAACTTCTAGCTATATTTTGTTTTGTAGGACTATGTATGTAACAATGAAATTTGTTTTTAAACGCCGGCTCTTCTGTGACTGGATATTTGCAGCACATCCAAGAGGAAAATATGCTAGGAGAGGGTATGAGAGTATTAAATAAGAATAATTTTCAAGTAAGGTTGTAAAAGCATCCAAACTGCTGTTGGAGGAGTGGGGGACCCCAAAGACTATCCTCAGTTTCCATAATTTGCTAGGAGGACTTACAGGACTCAGCATACCGTTATACTCATGGTGCGGATATATCACAGCCAAAAGACCCAAAGCAAAATCAGCAAAAGCAAAAGGCACATGGGGGTGAAGTCTGGAGGAAACCAGGAGCAAGCTTCCAAGAATCTTCACCCAGTGGAGTCACAAGGGATGTACTTGATTTCCCCAGCAATGAGTTCTGAAATGTCTACCAGGGAAGCTTATTAGAAATTCAGCACCCAGGGCTTTTCCTGGGGGGCTGGTCATGGAAGTACCCCTTGCCTGGCAGGTACCCAAATTCCAGACTCCCAGAAGGAAAGCAGATAGATGTTCAGCATAAACCGCATTGCTTGCATGAAGTTTAGGCACAGTGAGCCACTCTTACCAATTCTAGAAATGGTGGGAACCCTCCTGAAATTCAAGTTCTGGGATACCAGCTAAGAGCCAACCTTGTGAGCAAGCCTTTCTAAGGATAAGCAGTTAGGACTCTATGTTAACTCTTTACTGCACTGAGGTAACAGTTTATCTCATGGGTGCTTTTTTTTCTCTCCTCGTGGCTTGTGTCATTATTCCCATCTCTTAAGATCTAAAGCAAAGGCCTTTTAGTAAAATGAATCAACATATATTTGGGCCTTGAGGGTGTGTGTGTGTGTGTGTGTGTGTGAGAGAGAGAGAGAGAGAGAGAGAGAGAAAGAAGGATCGGAAACGGTGTAATCCCAGCACTTTGGGAGGCCAAGGTGGGTGGATCATTTGAGGTCAGGAGTTCGAGACCACCCTCGCCAACATGGTGAAACCCCATCTCTACTAAAAATATAAAGGAAAAAATTAGCCAGGTGTGATGGCGGGTGCCTGTAATCCCAGCTACTTGGGAGGCTGAGGCAGGAGAAGCGACTGATCCTGGGAGGTGAAGGTTGCAGTGAGGTGAGATCACGCCACCACACTCCAGCCTGGGTGACAGAGCAAGACTCCATCTCAAAAAAAAAAAAAAAAAAAAAGGGAGAGAGAGAGTGAGTGAGTGAATACTTAAAATAGTCATCATAATTGAAACAGCCTAAGCATTTTGGGTTGCAGATGTCTGTCTGAAGTCTTTCCTTTATGGCTAATACATTTTGAAGCCCTTACCCAGATGAGTAATTACAAGAAAGTGCAGTGGCCCACTGTTTCTGTTTTAAAATCATTCCCCACCCATTAGAATTTGCTTCAGCTGCTTTTAATATCAATTTTTATATGCAGGTACTTAGTAAAATAACAAAAATAAAAATACACCTCTGGGCAACATTTCTTCTTCACTTCAGTCACTTTTTTTTTTTAAGTCCACACCTCATCTGTTGTGTGTGGAATTGCAACTACATTTTTAGTACTGAGTTTGCGTATGGGTCTGATTTTTACCTCTTTTTTTCTTTGCTGTGTAGTTGATGTGTCTGTAACATACAATCCTATATAAAGCAAAGTCAAAGCTTCCAAGGCAAAGAAATATTTGAAATCAATCATAATCACATCTTATTCAAATAAGGCTCTTACTTCCTGAGAATTCTTCTATATCATCTGGTGCCCAAATCTTGCAGATCAATGGCCTTCAACTTTTACTCCTGGGAGATTATTTCAAATAATGACTCTCTTGCACATGCTCTTCTTCAAATCCTTATCTTCCCCAAATTTATTTAAATTGACTATGTATTCATTTTTTATTTATTCGTGGACTAAACATTTATTTAATGTCTATCATATGCCTTCTGGGTATTGGAGATACAAATATTAAAGAAAACAAAGTCACTGTGCTCAAGGAGTTAAAAGTCTAATAGGACAATTAAACAGGTTAAAAAGGCTGGGCACAGTGGCTCACACCTGTAATCCCAGCACTTTGGGAGGCCGAGGTGGGTGGATCACCTGAGGTCAGGAGTTCGAGACCAGCCTGGCCAACATGGTGAAACCCTGTCTCTACTAAAAATATAAAAAAATTAGCTGGGAGTGGCTGCGAGAGCCTGTAATCCCAGCTACTCAGGAGGCTGAAGCAGGAGTATGGCTTGAACCCAGGAGGCAGAGGTTGCAATGAGCCAAGATCGCACCATTAGACTCCAGCCTGGGCGACAGAGTGAGACTCCGTCTCAAAACAAAACAAAACAACAACAACAACAAAATAAAAATAAAACAGGTTAAAAAAACACAAATGTCTAAAGCACCAGGTATACAGGACATGGAGTAAGTAGAGGAGATAGAGTTTAAGTGGATCAGAAAAGGTTTCAGATACATGAATTCAGTTTAGAAAGATAAGTAGGAATTCATCAGAGAAACCCCAATATTCCACATGTACAGCGACCCAAAGAATGAAAACAAATGGCATATTCAAGGAATTGTCACTAACTTAGCTTGCCAAAGGGTAGGGCAAGTGGCAGGAGGTAAAACTGAAAACATTGTCAGAGGCCAGATTGTGTAGGGACTTGGAAACTATGCTTGCGAATTTTGATATTGTCCTGTAGGCAATGTTTAATCCCGGAAGAATTTTAAGCAAGAAAGAGATGTGTTGAGGTTTATGTTAGGAAGAAATATCTCTTGGGACACACTAAAGGGGGTTGGAATGGAAGACATTGAGTCCATTTGGGAAGATGCTGGCTAATCCCAGTGGGGGATTATGTGGGCCTGACCTGTTGTGACTAAGAATTACTTATTCGTAATTTAAGTCCGCATTTTAAGCTGTATTCAAAACAGAGAGGCCCGGCACCGTGGCTTATGCTGATAATCCCAGCACCTTGGAAAGCTGAGGCAGGAAGATCACTTGAGCCCAGTTCAAGACCAGCCTGGACAACATAGTGAGACCTTGTCTCTACATAATAAAAAAATTTAAAAATTAGCCAAGCACAGTGACATGTACCTACAGTCCCAAGTACTCAGGAGGCTGAGGTGGGAGGATCACTTGAATCTGGGAGATGGAGGCTGCAGTGAGCCGTGATTGTACCACTACACTCCAGCCTGGGTGGCAGAGTGAGAATCTTTCTCAACCTCCCCCACTCCCCCGCCACACACAAACAAACAAAACAGAGAGATCATGATTGGCTTGGATAAAATCTGGAAAATGCTACCTCTCAGGGTCATCTTGAGGCTCATAAGGGTAATGGAGAAGAGATTGAGGACCACGTGAGGCAAAGGAAACTTATCGGGCATTTTTTCTTTTCTTTTCTTTTTCTTTTTCTTTCTTTTTTTTTTTTTTTTTAGAAACAGAGCCTTGCTGTATTGCCCAGGCTGGAGTGTAGGACACAATCACAGCTCACTGCTGCCTCAACCTCCTGGGCTTAGGCAATCCTCCTACCTCAGTCTCCCGAGTAGCTGGGACTCCAGGCATGCACCACCATGCCCAGCTATTTTTTTTTTTTTTTAGAGATGGGATCTTGCTATGTTGCCCAGGCTGGTCTTGAACTCCTGGGCTCAAATGATCCTTCTGCCTTGGCCTCTCGAAGTACTGGGATTACAGGCATGAGCCACTGAACCCAGCCTAATTTTTTTTTAATTGACTTTTTCACTGGACAAAAATAATTCATGAATAAATTTTAGTTGTAAAAAAAAGTTCAAATTCCAAAGTCCACTTTAAAAATCGAAAGTTCCACCCTATTCTACTTTCATCTTCTAAGCAACCAGTGCTAGGAATTTGTGTATCTCTTGCCATAATTTTTTATACACTTAAACATGTATACAAAGAATCTAGTTGTTCTTGTTTGTTTTACAAAAATATCACATTATACATATCATTTTGCCACTTACTTTATCCACCCAACTGTATACCTTGGCGATCACTCCATGTTAGTGCATAAAGATCGAACACATGCTTGCTTTGGCAGCACATATACTAAAATTGGAACCATAAAGATCGACCTCATTTTTTCTTTTCTGTTTTTTTTTTTTTTTTTTTTTGAGACGGAGTCTGGCTCTATTGCCCAGGCTGGAGTGCAATGGCATGATCTCAGCTCACTGCACCCTCCACCTCCCAGGTTCAAGCAATTCTCCTGCCTCAGCCTCCTGAATAGCTGGGATCACAAGTGTGCACCACCATGCCCGGCTAATTTTTGTATTTTTAGTAGAGATGGGGGTTTCACCATGTTGGCCAGGGTGGTCTTGAACTCCTGACCTCAAGTGATCCGCCCACCTAGGCCCCCCAAAGTCCTAGGATTACAGGTGTGAGCCACCGTGCCTGGCCGACCTCATTTTTTCTAACCAAGGCACAGAATTCCACAGTATGGCTAAACCATAAATTTAACCAGTCCACTACTAATGTACATCAAGGTTATTATTATTATTATTAACATTACTATTACAGAGTGCTGTAATTCCCATTCTTGCACATTTATCTTTGAATGAATGTATAAGTGTTTCTGCATAATAAATTTCTACTAGTAAAATCAAGAGTATGTATCTTAAACTTTCATAAGTAACACTGGGTATGTCTCTTGCCCAGTGATTCCCAGTTGGGTGAGGGAGAGCTGCCTCTCTGCGTTGCCTGGGAAACATGTCAAAACCACTGGTGCCCATTTCCCCTGGGCCATGCTCACCCCCATCAGACCCTGGAGGGTAGGGAGAAGGGGAGAAGCAATGTGTGTAGTTCCCTGGGTGATTTTGTTCCAGGTCTTCCTCTCTTGAGGACCATTGCTATGGCTTTTCTAATTAGATTGATGCTCTGAGTTAATTCACTTCCCACTGGAGAGAGTTTGGTTGACCACAATCCCTGTGAGAGAAAACGTTCCTTTAATATTTACAGGTCCTGTATTCCTTAAGAAGCAATTCTTTTTCCCCCAGAGTCAATGTTGTTTATTGAACATGCCTGATTCAACAGAATAGCATGAACATAGGTCAGTGATGATCCATGATCCATGAAGCAAGAGAGAACCCAGAGGGTTATGTATTTCATCTCCAGGCCTCTGGTCAAAACCATATTTAAACCACCCTAGCAGGGTCAGGATGAGGGCCTTCTTGCCTTGTCTTCATCCTGGCCCTGTACTCCAAACAACTTTCCTGAAAACTCAATGAGAATGTAAATTTATTTTTGGAAAAACAAACAAGGTAATTGACAAAACAGTATAGCTGTTCTCAACAAGACAGGAACCTAGAAATGGACATAAAAGGCAAAGAGACTGTTAAACCTTTTAACAACTTTCACGTGAACAATGTAATCTTTCTGTAACTTCCCTGAAAAAGAAAGTGTAACCTCAAGAGGCAAAGCACTTTACTAGAATTCAAAGGCCCAAGATTTAAAAGAAAGGACTAAACTTGAGAAACTGGGATTAATTATCTAAGAAGGGAGAAAAATGAAAGGTAGGAATTTAAAAATAAAAAAATAAAAGCTTCCAAGCACAAGAAACACAATGGTATGAAGGATGATCAATAGCTGCTTTCTGTTTTCACCGTGGATGAGTCCCTTAGACATAGATTTGAACTATACATGAAAGAAGATTTACAAATTTCTTGAAGTAAACCTTCATTATAGTTAAAGCATTTAGATGCATTTAAAAGGGAGATAACAGATTATCCTTACTTTTCAGAATGAGAATCTATGTTAAAACTGTACTAAGCTGTGTCTAACCCCAGTAAGTCACCTGGTAGATAAGAAAGGGTTGGCTATATATGAAGCCCCTCTCTCCCGGATGATTTGCTCCAAAGTGACTCCAAGCCCTGCACAGCTGCTCAGGGCAGATGTGGGTGTTCCCAGGCTGGTATCAGAGAGCACGGCACAGTGTCTTCTCAATCTCGTTTATCTAACAGGGAGCTGGTGAATGGATCTTTCTCTCCCTCTCTTTGTCTCACATACCACCACCACTTCCACCACCACATTACTTTTAAATGTTTTAAAATATTTCTACAAAAAATCTTTTCCTTCTTAATTCTTGATTGCACTGATTTGCAAGCCTCCTGTTATTATGCAAAATAGTAATAATAACACTTTATTACTTTCCTTAGACCCAAACTTCCTCCTCCATTCATATGTTGCTTCCTGGGGAAAACAAGGGCAAAGAAATAGGTGCCCTCCTACCCTGTTGGTAAATCCTTGGTGGCCCATCTTCTGGGCTGCTCGTGTGTGTGTGTGTGTGTGTGTGTGTGTGTGTGTGTGTGTGTGTGTGACAGAGTTTTGCTCTTGTTGCCCAGGCTGGAATGCAGTGGTGCGATCTCGGCTCACTGCAACCTCTGACTCCCGGGTTCAAGCAATTCTCCTGCCTCAGCCTCCTGAGTAGCTGGGATTGCAGGCATGTGCCACCACAGCTGGCTAGTTTTGTATTTTTAGTAGAGATGGGGTTTCTCCATGTTGGTCAGGCTGGTCTCGAACTCCCGACCTCAGGTGATCCACCTGCCTCGGCCTCCCAAAGTTCTGGGATTACAGGCGTGAGCCACCGTGCCCAGCCCAGGCTGCTCTCTTGATTACCCAAGGGCCTAGTCAAAGCTTTTATAAGCAGTTGGAAAGATTCAGTTCTCCCAGCTTTTCCCAGCTCCCTCTCTATTTCTCTCTTGGTCATTTTCCTTGATAAAATTTTTACCCATTTAATGTTGTCTTGGTGTCTGCCTCTCAATGCACCTGTGATAAGACAGCATTCTTTATTGTAAGGCTTCTTTCACTCAGCATATTGTTGTCAGAAAATGTCTTCATTTGTGTTGTCAGAGCTAAACACCGCATTTCCATGGAGACATCACAATTCTCTACATACACCTCAGGTCAAGTTAGATTTTCAGCATCACACAGATGACTCAAGGAATGTTCTTTATACTAAATTACTTCAATCGTTCTCACGCATGCTGCTGCTGAAACTTATCTCCCCCATCCTTTATCTATACTGTTTGGTTTGGACACAAGTAGAGTGTCTGATAGGTAATCCTGGAAACTTGTCTTCCTTAATAAAACAGCAAGAGAAGTGGTATTGTCAGAGGCATTTGAACCACAGTGACTCCATCTTGGAATAGGGGCTAGGTAAAATGAGGCTGAGACCTACTGGATTGCATTCCCAGGAGGTTTGGCATTCTAAGTCACAGGATGAGATAGGAGGTCGGCACAAAATACAGGTCACAAAGACCTTGCTGGTAAAACATCATAAGGTAAAGAAACCAGCTGAAACCCACCAAAACCAAGATGGCAATGAAAGTGACCTCTAATTGTCCTCACTGCTCATTATACGCTAATTATAATGCATTAGCATGCTAAAAGACACTCCTACCGGCACCATGACAGTTTACAAATGCCATGGAATTGCCCACCCCTTTCTGGGAAAACTCATGAATAATCTGCCTCTTGTTTAGCGTATAATTAAGAAGTAACAATAAGTATAATCAGTGAACAGCCCATGCTGCTGCTCTGCCTATGGAGTAGCCATTCTTTATTTCTTTACTTTCTTTTTTTTTTTTTTTTGAGACGGAGTCTCACTCTGTAGCCCAGGCTGGAGAGCAGTGGCGCAAACTCGGCTCACTACAACCTCTGCCTCCTGGGCTCAAGCACTTCTCCTGCCTCAAGCTCCCGAGTAGCTGGGATTACAGGCGTGTGCCACCACGCCTGGCTAATTTTTTGTATTTTTAGTAGAGACGGGGTTTCACCGTTTTAGCCAGGATGGTCTCCATCTCCTGACCTCGTGATCCACCCACCTCAGCCTCTCAAAGTGCTGGGATTACAAGTGTGAGCCACCGTGCTGGGCCCTATTTATTCACTTTCTTAATAAACTTACTTTCACTTTACTCTATGGACTCACCCGAAATTCTTTCTTGCACAAGATCTAAGAACCCTCTTTTGGGGTCTGGATTGGGACCTCTTTCTTGTAACGGTATGTGTGCACAGAGATGTTTGTCCCAGCTTGTTTAGATATACAAATGTGCACAACAGTGCAGAGATTAAGAACATGGGTTTTGGATGCAGACCACCTGACCCAAGTCCCTGCTCCACTTCAAGAATACAGTTGGCCCTCCTTATCTATGGGTTCTGCAGACGGGAAATATTTAAAAATAGAGATGGCCGGGCACGGTAGCTCATGCCTGTAATCCCAGCACTTTGGGAGGCTGAAGCAGGTGGATCACGAGGTCAGGAGTTCAAGACCAGCCTGACCAACATGGTGAAACCCCGTCTCTATTAAAAATACAAAAATTAGCCAGGCATGGTGGCACACACCTGTAATCTCAGCTACTCAGGAGGCTGAGGCAGGATAATCCCTTGAACCTGGGAAGCAGAGGTTGCAGTGAGCCAAGATTGTGCCATTGCACTCCGACCTGGGTGGCAGAGCGAGACTCTGTCTCAAAAAAAAAAAAAAAAAAAGAGAGAGAGATAAAGAATAATAATACAATGATAAAAATAATACAAATAAAAAACCAATACAGTACAACAGCTATTTACATAGCATTTACATTGTACTAAATATTGTAGGTAATTTAGAGATTATTTAAAGTATATAGGAGGATGTGCACAGATGACTACGTATCAGGTAGGAATGCTTTAGGAGCAAGTTACAGAAAAGCAAATCAGCAATGGTTTAAATAGGAGTTCATTTTTCTCACATTATATGAAGTCTAAAAGCAGGCAGCTCCTGACATTGGTTTCAAGCTTAACAATGTCAGGTCTAGCATCTCTGCAATGCCCTTGACCTTTTCCTTATACTTGCAAGATGGTGAGATAGCTGCATCATCTTAAATTATCTCTTCCATGTTCAAGACTGCAAGAAATGCAAAGTCTTTCAAGAAGCTCCCGGCAGACTTCTTTGTATGTCTCATTGACTTCTCCCAGCTGCAAAGAAGGTGTTTTTCTAGTGTAATGGTGGAGGTGGATAAAGGAGAAAGGGTTGGGAAAGGGTGTTGAGTTTGATCATCAATACTGATACTGTAGCTGCTTACTACCTGAACAATCTTGGACAAGTTGCTTACCTCTCTCACCTCAGTTTTTTCATCAACAATGGGATAATAATATATTTACTTTATAATTCTTACTGTGAGGATTAAAGCAGTTATTATATATGAAGTGTTTAGAATAGTACCTGGAACATAGTAAATCCTCAATTAAGGTAGATATTATTTATCATAGGGAAAAATTGAACATGGCTTAAATATCTATCAAAAGGAGATCAGTTATGTAAATATATCCAAATGGAATACTATGCAGCTGTTAAGATGCCAACTAATTGTGACTGACACTCAAAGATCTACCACATATTGTTTAGTAAATCTAACAAGTTATAGGACAATACAAAAAGGATGATCCCTGTTATGTAAAAGTGTACACATAGGAGTGAACATAATATAAAAAGAACCATCATTTTTTATGGATTGGAGATCTTCTGGGAACTCAACTACATTCTGCTTATGTAAACTTCATGTAGTTTTCAGACCAAAAGTTGACTTTGTTTCCTGAAGAAATGACTTACTGAATACTTTTCCTAAATTTCCCAGAAAATTTTAAGAAATTATCAAGATGCCTAGTTTACAATTGAATAACTTAGTCCCAAAGAGTATTTGACTCAACGAGTATGTCCTGTTTGATTAGGAATTTGGATTTTTATTAGCAAGAAAATCAGTTATTTAAGTGGCACACTTAACTTCCAGTTTTTGAGAAGTCATACAGTGTAATCCATAGAGAATACTACATTTGGATTTGCATGTCCAAATACTAGAATCCTCAGATTACTTTTTTCAAACAACCCAATAAATATAGAAACAGTTTGTTTTCTCTGGAAGTATCCTTATGTCTATGTCTCAAATGTTACTCTGATGGCTTTGAGCAGGCCCTCTCATCATGTCGTTGAGCCCAGTTACTTCTTTGGCTACTTTCAGGGAAATTTTTCTGTTACTAAAAGTATTGAACAAACTAACAGTAACAGCTTACCAACCTCTACGTTTGAGCTTCAGTGGGATTTATTTTAAAGCTTCACCTTCTTGGTAAATTTGGGTGAAATCGGAGATTTCAGTGTGATTTGGGACATCAAATCCCCTACGGAGTTAGTCTATTTTGCAGGCCTCTGAATTACTTGCGCGCTTAGGGAAGGAAAGACCAGGAAAAGCTTGAAACTACAATTTATGTTGGGGAGTATAATTGTAGATAAGATTTTAATGATAAATGTTAATTGCTAAGAGACCTGGGAGAGCCTTGAGAATGTTATGTAACATACAAAGAAGCTGGAACACAGCATCTAGAAGAATCAGCATATCCTCTGTCATACCCCCGTCCTCTCCAGTAATTGTCATATATAATTTGTTTTTGTATCTCCCTATAGATGGTGAGCATCACTGGGTTTCTGGGCAATCATATGTCTAAGAAAGACTCCTCTGGTAAGAGAAGTAACACCACTGTTCTCTCTCTGCACAACACAGTGGTCTTCCCTCCTGGCAAGATGGCGCCTGAACTCCCTTCCACTCTCATATGGGGGCTGGGGTGGGGATACGTGAGTCAGTTAAGGCTAAATACCAAGTTAGCCAGCACCCTGGGCAAACCACATATCAGATAAGGGATTAATATCCAAGATTTAGAAAGAACTCATACAACTAAATAGCAAAACCACATAACCCAATTTAAAAATGGACAAAGAACTTGAATAGGTATTTCTCCAAAGATGACATAAAAATGGCTAACAGGTACATGAAACGGTGCTCAACATCATTAATTATCAGGGACGTGCAAATCAAAACCATTGTGAGATACACTATCAAACCTGTTAAGATGGCTATTATTAAAACGAAGAGATAAGTGTTGGCAAAGGTGTAGAGAAAAGGGAACTCTTGTATACTGTTGGTGAGAATGTAGATTAATGCAGCCATTACGGAAAACAGTATGGAGGTTCCTAAATAACTTGAAACTAGAACTATCAGCTGGGCGCAGTGGCTCGCGCCTGTAATCCCAGCACTTTGGGAGGCCGAGGCGGGCAGATCACGAGGTCAGGAAATCGAGACCATCCTGGCTAACACAGTGAAACCCCGTCTCTACTAAAAATACAAAAAAATTAGCTGGGCGTGGTGGCGTGCGCCTGTAGTCCCAGCTACTCGGGAGGCTGAGGCAGGAGAATGTCCTGAACCCCAGAGGCAGAGCTTGCAGTGAGCCGAGATCGCACCACTGCACTCCAGCCTGTGGGACAGAGCAAGACACTGTCTCAAAAAAAAAAAAAAAAAAAAAATAGAACTATCGCCGGGTGCGGTGGCTCACGCCTGTAATTCCAGAACTTTGGGAGGCCGAGGCAGGCAGATCTCCTGAGGTCGGGAGTTCGAGATCAGCCAGATCAACATGGACAAACCCCATCTCTACTAAAAAAATACAAAATTAGCCGGGCTTGGCGGTGCATGCCTGTAATCCCAGCTACTCGGGAGGCTAAGGCAGGAGAATTGCTTGAACCCGGGAGGGAGAGGTTGCGGTGAGCCGAGATCACGCCATTGCACTCCAGCCTGGGAGACAAGAACGAAACTCTGTCTCAAAAAAAAAAAAACAAAAAACAAACAAACAAAAAAAAACAAAATTGAACTATCATATGACCCAATAATACCTCTTCTGTGTATATGCCCAAAGGAAATGAAATCATCACTTCATAAAGATATCTGCAACTCCATGTCCATTGCAGCACTATTCACAATAGTCAAGATATGGAAACAACCTATTTGTCCATCAATGTACAGATGGATAAAGAAACTGTGGTGTGTGTGTGTACATATATGTATATGTACAGATATATGTGCATATATATACATATATATGTATATGTATATATGTACATATATCTATACATATATATATACACACACACACACACACACACACACACATATACACCCACAATAGAATGTTATTCAGCCTTAAATGAGGAGGCTTGAGCCTTCCTGAGTTTGAGACCAGCCTGGGCAACATAGTGAATCCTCATCTCCACAAGAAAATTTTAAAAATTAGCCAGGCATGGTGAAGCACACCTGTAGTCCCAGCTACTCAGGAGGCTGAGGCAGGAGCATCGCTTGAGCTCAGGAGGTCAAAGCTGCAGTGAGCCACGATCACACCACTGCACTTCAGCCTGGGCAACAGAGTGAGAGAGACCCTGTCTCTCTCAAGAAAAAGAAGAGATCCCACCATTTGCCACAACACAAGTGGACCTGGAGGACATTATGCTAAGTGAGATAAGCCAGACACAGAAAGAAAAATATTTCACATGAGAGAATGGAGGGGAAAAAAAGGAAAATATTGCAAGATCTCACTTACATGTGGAATAGTTTGTAAAAGGTCAAATATGTAGAGAGAGAATAAAACAGTGTTTACCAGGCCCGGGAATGGGGAGATATAAGTCAAAGGATACAAAGTAGCAGATATGTAGGAAGGATGAACAAGTTGAAAGATACAATGTATAACATGAAGACTATAGTTAATAATAGTGTATTTTACTCAAGATTTTTGCTAAATGGATAGATTATAGCTGCTCTTGCCACGGGGTAGGGTGGGTGTAGGGGGTAGAGAGGTGGAGCATGGGTAACAATTCGAGGTTATGGATATGTTAATTTGTTCCACTATAGTAACCATTTTAGTATATATGTGTGTATATATATATGTATCTCATAACATCATGTTGTATGCCTTAAATATACACAATACTATTTATTAATTTTCAGACAAGGTCTTGCTCTGTCACCCAGGCTGGTGTGCAGTGATAGAATCACGACTCACTGCAGCCTTGACCTCCCTAACTCAGCCTCCTGAGTAGCTGGGACTACAGGTGCATGCCACCAAACCCGGCTAATTTTTAAAAAATTTTTGTAGAGACAGTTTGCTATGTTGCCCAGGCTGCTCTCAAATTCCTGGGCTCATGCAAACCTCCTGCCTTGGCCTCTCAAAGAACTGAGATTACAAGCATGAGCCACTGTCCAGCCAAAATTTATTTTATTTAGTTTTTTTAAAAGAATTGCTTCTGGAAGGACCCAAATGAAAACCCAGACACTGAAGCACAGTGCAGGGAGGAGAGCTACCACTATCCCCTGACAGACTAATGGTGAAATGAGGCAAACACCGGCTTTGTGAAGTCAGATAGGGCTGGATTCTAATCTCTAACTGTCTATATCCTAATTCTGTAACCCTGGTCAAATTATATACTATTTCTGAGTCTCAGTTTACTCACTTGTAAAGTCTTACCTTATAGGGTTGTTGTGAATATTAAATAAGATAACAGATGTAAAGGTCATGGAATATAGGATGAACTTAAAAAGAGATGAGATTGTTATTACTGCAAATCCCTGCAACTCCCACCCCTAGGCTAAGCAATGGAACAGAAAACTGTACTTTCTATATGAAAGTGGCCTCCCAGCCTGGCTAACATGGTGAAACCCCATCTTTAGTAAAAATACAAAAATTAGCCAGGCATGGTGGTGCACACCTGTAATCCCAGTTACTCGGGAGGCTGAGGCATGAGAATCACTTGAACCTGGGAGGTCGAGGATGCAGTGAGTCAAGATTGCATCATTGTACTCCAGCCTGGGCGACAGAGCGAGACACTGTCTTCGAAAAAAAAAAAATTGGGGGGAGGGCCTCCCAGAAAGAACTCTCTTTCACACTCACATGCACCATTCTGATTTCTCTCAAACACCTAAAGTGGAAAAATCCCCCACTCCAGCCTGATTCCTGCGAGGAATATGCTCTAACATTTAATAGCTGATAATTCAGCAAGTTTCTTGAAGGGTTAATGTCTAACCTAACTCATCACCTCAAACCAAGCAATGGCCTCAATCACATAAATCACTTCAGATTTTTCAACAGAAGCAGCCATTTACATCAGGGAGCAGCAAAGCCCATGAAATTTCCCCAAATTTCCTGGGGATTTGGGAAAGCAGGCAGAGTATTTTTTCTTCCCTTGAGGGACCTCAACATACACTGTGATCTCCCCTGGTCCCCAGGATACTTGGGACCTGTATTTTGGTATCAGCAGCCACTATGGGACAGGTTATGTACACAACTGCTCTGGTGCATTTTAATGGTGGAATTACCACCATCTCCCTTAAGGGAAGAATAATAATGATGATTCGAATCTGCATAACACTTTTACTCCTCCAAGTGTGTCTGTATATCTTATTTTATTTTGTATTCCAATAGTTCTAACATCAAAACATTTTTCCTCTTTTTTAATCAGAATTTTTGTGAACTGTACTGTATTTCTCATGGTTGTGTCTTCTGGGATTTACAGACTAAATAAATCCTCCTCCATGTTAACACCTTTTAATAGCTGTAGACTGCTGCTGCGGACCATTCTCCTCCCTCCTTTCATGCTTTTAACTATCAAATTTACTTCAAACCCATGTGGAGGAGGCAGGTAGAATGCCAATAGGCCCCATACAATTCCATCAGCAATGTCTTCACATATACTTTGTATATTTCCTCATTCTTCTTTCCTCCTATTTCCTATAATTATTGTTGTGCCTCTTCTCTGATTTTAAGAGGAGGATATTATAGGTTAAAATGTCGGCAACATCACTGGAAAAAAACAATTTTTCAAGTCTCAGGCCTGCAGTCTCTTTAAGATAAAAACAATTGTAGCCACCTTGGCCCTTTTTCCTCTCCTTGCTTCCCTCTGTCTCTGGTTGAAGGCATTTAAATCCTGCTGCAAAATTTCTACAAAGAATACAGTTAATGCGGATTCAGTTATTTCTCTCTCATAGCCCATTCAGACATCTTAATCTGACAGGCCTGACAGTTGAAAATACTTCCCTGTAACTGTTCACACACACACACACACACACACACACACACAGCCTCTTTTTGCTCAGAATCCAGGCTCCATGTGACCATGTCATAGCCAATCTCCCACCAAGCTGTGTCCCAGATTCAGCTTCTGCCTCAATTAAGGAAACATGGGAGACAAAGCAGCACTTATTTTTAAATTAAAAAGCCTCCTGGCTTCCCTTACAGACTGCCTTGAGTGTGCTGCCCTGATCAAAGCTGCTTTGAACACTCTTCTACTCTGGCAGGGACAGGAAAGAACGTTGCCCATAGAAGAAACTAATGTGAAACATTAGAGCATCAGGAACATGTGAAGGGCTGAAGTCCCCATGGAAGAGGCTCAAAAGTTTGTTTGTCTTCATTCCAAGAGTTTTCGAAGAACATGATTAAAAACAGAAGTATCATGATTCTAATTCTTTTTTACTTATTCTCATTTTTGTAGGTTTTTCCTTTCTCATTTCTCCATCATCAATTGTTTGTTTGCTTCTTTGTTTGTTTACTGCTTCTTCGTATCCTTGCTAAGGGGAAATTAATTTTCCCCTTGGATTAGCTTTCTCAAAAGCCCCTTTGATTTCATTTTTCATCCACCTCCCCTACCCCCAGTGTTTCAACTGCATTCCCTGCTTCTCTGTAGCTCCTCTTACAAAAGAAAATCATCACTAATGCAGCAATCATTTTTACCATTTCTCACCCTCCTTTAAAATTGATTTGAAAGAAAAAATGTTTAGAGTAGTATTATACACAATAGACTCAAATTGGAAACAACTCAAATGTCTACCAAGAGGTGAAGAGACAAATTGTGATATGTCCATACAATGGAGTATTACTAGCAGTGAAAAAGAATGAACTGCTAATAAACACAACATCATGGGTGAATCTAAGCAAAATAAGTGTTAAGTGAAAAAGAAGCCAGACATAAAAGGGTATATCTGTATCATTCTACTTATATGGAGTTCAAGAGCAGGTAAAACAAATCTGTGCTCATAGAAATCAGAACAGTGGTTGCAAGGAGATGGAATATTCCATCAAAGGAGGCACGAGGGCATTTTAGGGGGTGATGGAAATAGTCTTTATCTTGATTAAAGTGTGTTTGCATTTGTCAAAACTCATTTAACTGTGTGTTTTAGATCTGTGCATTTCAAGTCATAAATTATATCTCCATTTGAAAATAAAAGTAAAGGATTTTAAAAGGCCAGGTGCGTTGGCTCTTACCTGTAATCTCAGTGCTTTGGGAGGCCAAGGTGGGAGGATCACTTAAGCCCAGGAGTTGGAGACCAGCCTGGGCAACAAAAAGAGACCCCATCTCTACAAAAACTTTAAAATGTAGCCAGGCATGGTGTCACATGCCTGTAGTCCCAGCTACTCGGGAGGCTGAGACAGGAGGATCACTTGAGCCCAGGAGTTCCAGGCTGCAGTGAGCTATGATCATGCCACTGCACTTAAGCCTAGGTGACAGAGTGCAACCCTGGCTCTAAAATTTTTTAAAATAATACATTTAAAAGGAGATAATTAAGTTAATAGTGGTATTTAGATAGCATGGCTTATGACATGACTATTTAAAATCATTTTTCTGAATACCATTAGTAACATGGAGAAATGCCTAAGTGTGGGAAAGACAGGACACAAAATTTTACCTAAGAATGGCCCCATTTTCCATAGGAAGCTTCTACAAAATAACAATAATAGAAACTCAAATCCTGGCCAAAAACAACAAAAAAGGCCCCATTTTTCTTTCTTTGTTTTTGTTTGTTTGTTTGTTTGTTTGTTTTTGAAACGGAGTCTCGCTCTGTTGCCCAGGCTGGAGAACAATGGCGTGATCTCGGCTCACTGAAACCTCTGCCTCCCAGGTTCAAGCAATTCTCCTCCTCAGCCTCCTGAGTAGCTGGGATTACAGGCATGTGCCACCACGCCTGGCTAATTTTTGTATTTTTAGTAGAGACGGTGTTTCTCCATGTTGGCCAGGCTGGTCTTGAACTCCTGACCTCAGGTGACCCACCTGCCTTGGCCTCCCAAAGTGCTGGGATTACAGGCATGAGCCACTGCATCTGGCCAAAGGCCGCATTTTTCATAAGAAAAATTTTATACAGTATATGCATGGAAAAAGATGGAGGCATTAAAAAAATAAGAAGACAATATTATTACTCTTCTTTTCATATATGGGACTTTGCTTTCCTTAGTGTTTGGTCATGATGTTTATTTAAAGCAAGACCTTAACAAAAAGGCAAGAATTCTTTCAAAAAAACCACAAGCTGTACCTATTTGACTATTATAGTCACCCAAAAATGTGTAGTGGGCTGAACAGAAAGTGAATGGATCCTGGGAGCCTGCATGGTTTGCTTTCCAAAATTCCTTTGTTTGGTTCAGCAGACTTTAATTTGATCTCTATCGCTTTGTCCAAGTGTCCAGAGCCCTGAAAGTGTGCCCTTCAGAGGGCCCACCCACCACTTATTTGCCTCTTAAACTGGATGTGGTCAATTATGATATCCAGGCTGTAGGTACAGGGTTTCCCATCCAAGTCATTCATCTGAGTAATTTCAGGAAATGTTAAATAACTGTGGGGGGAAGAAATCCTTATGGAATGCACCTGATAAACCCATTTTCAATATACACGAATGGGGATGATAGGGCTTTTTTTTTTTCCTCCAGATCAAGTTTAGTTGAAGAAGGTACAAAACCTGCAGGAAGTGATTAAGAGTCTTGGTAATTCTTAGACTTTTTTTTGTTGTTCAAGAAATGATATAAAGAATATGAAGATCACTCTTGAAAGGAAAAAGAGAGACAGACTAGGTAGCAGGTAAAAAAAAAACTAAACTAAAGCATAATGGAGTTTTCATAAATATCAACCAAGGGAAAGTGAATTTTTTATTTTTATTTTTATTTTTATTTTTTGAGACAGAGTCTTGCTCTATCGCCCAGGCTGGAGCGCAGTGGCACGATCTTGGCTCACTGCAACCTCCGCTTCCCAGGTTCAAGCCATTCTCCTGCCTCAACCTCCCAAGTAGCTGGGACTACACGTGCCCGCCACCACACTGGGCTACATTTTGTATTTTTAGTAGAGAAAGGGTTTCACCATGTTGGCCAGGCTGGTCTCAAACTCCTGACCTCAAGTGATCTGTCCACTCCGGCCTCCCAAAGTGCTGGGATTACAGGCATGAGCCACCATGCCTGGCCAGGAAAGTGAATTTTTTACAAATAATAATGACTTGGGACAGACTGGCTACATTCTCCCACCCTGTCGTCTTTTCCTTAATTCACTGATGAATGTATCTTCAGGAGAGAATACATCCTTATTTTTGTGGAGATATAGGAATACAGCATATGTTGTTTTATTGCGTTTCACTTTATTGTGCTGCACAGACAACTGTGTTTTTTAGAAACTGAAGATTTGTGGCAACCCTGTGTCAAGCAAGTCTATCAGTGCCATTTTTTTCAACAGCATGCGCTCCCTTCCTGTCTCTGTGTCACATTTTGGTAATTCTCACAATCTTTCAAACTTTTTCATCATTATTCTGTCTGTCATGGCAATCTGTGATCAGCAATCTTGGATGTTACTATTGTAGTTGCTTTGAGGCACCATGAACTTCACCCATAGAGCATGACAAACTTAATAAATGTTGTTTCTGTGTTCTGACTGCTCCATCGACTGCTCGTTCCCTCGTCTTGGTCTCTCTCTCTCTCTCTCTTCTCAGTCCTCTCTATTTCCTAAGACACAACAATATTGAAATTAGGCCAATTAATAACCCTACTATGGCCTTCAAGTGTTCAAGTGAAAAGAAGAGTCGCACATTTCTCACTTTAAATCCAAAGCTAGAAATGATCAAGCTTAGTAGGAAAGGCATGTGGAAAGCTGAGATATGTTAAAAGCTAGGCCTCTTGTACCAGTTAGCCAGGTGCAAATGCAAAAAAAGACTTCTTAAAGGAAATTAAAAGTGCTTTTCCAGTAAATACATGAAAGAGAAGAAAGCAAAACAGCCTTATTGCTGATGTAGAGAAAGTTTTAGTGGTCTGGATAGAAGACTAAACCAGCCACAACATTCACAGAATTGAAGAGAATTGGGGCCTTGCTCTGGATTAGGATTAAGCCAAAGCCTAATTCAGAGCAAGGCCCTAACTCTCTTCAATTCTATGAAGGCTGAGAAAGATAAGGAAGCTGCAGAAGAAAAGTTGGAAGCTAGCAGAGCAGTTGGTTCATGAGGTTTAAGGAAAGAAGCTGTTTCCATAACATAAAAGTGCAAGGCAAAGCAGCAAGTGCTGTTGGAGAAGCTGCAGCAAGTTATCCAGAAGATCTAGCTAAGATCATTAATGAAGAGGGCTACACTAAACAACAGATTTTCAATCTATATGAAACAGTCTTCTATTGGAAGAAGATGCCATCTAGGACTTTCATAGCTAGAGAGGAGAAGTCAATGACTGACTTAAAGCTTCAAAAGGCAGGTTGAGTCTCCTGATAGGGACTAATGCAGCTGATGATTTCAAGTTGAAGCCAATGCTCACTTACCATTCAAAAGATCCTACAGCCTTTAAGGACTATGCAAAATATACTCTGCCTATGCTCTATAAATGAAATAACAAAGCTTGGATGACAGCACATCTGTTGACAGCATGGTTTACTAAATATTTTAAGCCCACTGTTGGGACCTACTGCTCAGGAAAAGAAAAAGATTTCTTTCAAATATTACTGCTCATTGACAATACACCTGGTCATCCAAGAGCTCTGATAGAGATGTACAAGGAGATTAATGCTGTTTTCATGCCTGCTAACACAACATCCATTCTGCAGCCCATGGATCAAGGAGTAATTTTGAGTTTAAGTCTTATTATTTAAGAAATACATTTTGTAAGGCTGTAGCTGCCATAGAGAGTGATTCCTCTGATCAATCTGGACAAAATAAATCCAAACCCTTCTGCAAAGGGCTCACCATTCTAGATGCCATTAAAAATATTCGTGATTCATGAGAGAAGGTCAAAATATCAACATGAACAGGAGTTTGGAAGAAGTTGATTACAACCCTCATCAATGACTTGGAGGAAGTAACTGCAGATGTGGTGAAAATAGCAAAAGACTTAGAATCAGAAGTGGAGCCTGAAGATGTGACTGAGTTGCTGCTAGCTCATGATAAAAGTTGAATGGATGAGGAGTTGCTTCTTATAGATGAGCAAAGAAAGTGGTTTTTTGAGATGGAATCTACTCCTGGTGAAGATGCTGTGAACAATGTTGAAATGACAACAAAGGATTTCAAATGTTATATAAACTTAGTCGATAAAGCAGCAACAGGGTTGGAGTGGATTGACTCCAATTTTGAAAGACATTTTGTGGATAAAATGCTATCAAACAGCCTTGCATGCTACAAAGAAATCTTCTGTGAAAGGAAAAGTCAATCAATGTGGCAAACTTTATTGTTTTCTCATTTTAAGAAATTCCCACAGCCACCCCAACCTTCTGCAAGCAGCACCCTGATCAGTCAGCAGCCACCAGCATTGATGCAAGACTCTCCACCAGCAAAAAGATTACAGCTCACTGAAGGCTGAGATAATCATTAGCATTTTTTAGCAATAAAGAATTTTTTCATTATTTCATTTATTTATTAGCAATAAAGCATTTTTCATTTTTTGTTTTGGGCATAATACTATTGCACACTTAATAGACTACAGTATAGTGTAAGCATGACTTTTATATGCACTGGGAAACCAAAAAATTTGTGTGATTTGCTTTACTGTAATATTCACTTAATTGTGGTGATCTGAAACCAAATCCACAATATCTCCAAGGTATTCCTGTACTTCTTGATTGACTAGTTCAGTTCCTCTTCTAAAGAAGGATAGTGTTGGAGTGGACACTGTTATTTGCCTACACAATGTGAGCTAAGGCTTGCATTACCTTTGCACATGGCACAGGTTGAGTACCCTGTATCTGAAATGCTTGGGACTAGACCTATTTTGGATTTGGAATTTTTTTCAGATTTTGGAATATTTCCATATACATAATGAGATACCTTAGGGATGGGATCCAAGTCTAAACATGAAATGCATTTGTTTTTCATATACACCTTATACACATAGACTGAAGGTAATTTTATATACTATTTTAAATAAATTTGTGTATAAAACAAAGTTTGTTTTCAATACTTATGTGTGGAATTTTCCACTCGTGGCATTACATCAATGCATTTTGGAGCATTTTGGATTTCAGATATTTAGATTAAGGATACTCAACTGTAACGGATTTTCTTATTTTTAAACCAGTTTGAGCCTTATTTCTGTTACCTGCTGCTGGAAATAACCTGACTGATACAGATGTTCCCTATTTGATGCATATAAATAAGTTTTTATATGATTTTTTTGCTTACATATATCCATAATTATTTTTCCCCCATCCTTTGGCAACCAAGTATTTTCAAAACATATCACACACAGTTAATTGTGTTCATAATATAATAATACAACTCTAGTAAGACTAACCAAAAACCTAAATTCATAAGATTTGGTAAAAATCTGTTTACAGTTCAATCATGTATTTACTCATCCAACAAGCAGTTATTGAGAACCTACTATGTATCAAGCATTAAATAATGTGAAGTCTGCTGCACCCTAATTCTGTCCCTTTAAATTACATTTGAGCACAAAGAAAATAGGGCAATCTGTGATTATGCATATATTCATTACCAACTACTGCACAAATATTTGGCTCGTAACTATGAGTTAAATGGTATGACATTTCCATGAGAAAATTAATTACTTGAACATGTGTTGTATAAAATACGTTAAATCATTTATTTGGATGTTGTAGATTGTATATTAGTCTTTAGCCAGGGAAATACATGAGAAATAAACATGAAATGCACACTCTACACATTGTAAATGTCATGTTATGCCCAAAGGCCTTTTGCACATGAGCAGTTTTTTTCTGGATGAGGAGAGTGGCATCCAAAAGACCATAAGATCACAGATTCAAAGTAGGGAGTTGTTTTGCAATGACTTTTTCATGCACTTAAAGGTTGCACCTATTGATAACTTGCCTGTTTAAAGACTATGTGTTTCATACAAGTAACTATGTGCAAAGAATGGGTAGATTAATCATTTCAGATACCGAACTGCCATCTAAAATAGTTTGGAATTCTAACAGCATAAGAATAAAAAAATAAAGATTTGTGGTATGAGTACTTACATTCTGATGCTTTTTATGGTTTCAACAATTTTGAAGGAGAAGGATCTATATAAAGATCTGTAAGAGACTGTAAGAAATGCCACTCGAGATAGACATATAATATTAAAATAAATGACAGTGCAAGATAACTAAAATTTAAAAAAGAAACTAGTAAGGTCAAATACATACACAAACAAAATAAAGCCTGTATTTATTGAGAGCCAAGAAACAGTTCAGAAATAGAAGGAACATCCCCGGGGAAGCATATGGACTTCACTCTATATGCTCTAGAGGGAATATGCTTATTCAGTCAGGCATATGGCAGAACTTTCTCCATATTAATATAGGGACGGGGTAAGAGTGACGCCTATCACATAAATTAACCATGTTATAGCAAGTTTTCATTATATGCTCTTTGATTTTAGGCCCATAGATTTATCCTATAAAGTATCCAAGCTCATTTAATTAGAATGTCCAATGTCAAACTTCCCATTCACAAAATGGCATTTGCCCTCCAAGTTACAGAATTTACAAATGGCTTGATTTATTTCTAAGTGTCTTAGTTTCAGTAACATCATTCTCTAGCCTGGAATTAAATACTTAAACACATTTGCATTGAGATGGTATTTTTTCTATCAGGCACCGAGGTACATTCCTTGGCTCTGATTAAGTCTTCTTTATGTGGGATTGAATGTTGTCATAATTGCAGTGGACAGGGTGAGTTCACCACGAGTCATGTTCTCAGAAGCCGTGGGCGTTTTGCTTTAGGAGGCAATAACAAGAACTCTTCTGTGTGGACTTGGACACAGTCCATGATTTGAAGTACTTTAAATTCTGTCAGTAGAGGTCACAGTATTGTTTATGATTTTTTTTTTTAAATAAAAAAGGATATGTATGGATGGGAAGGAGTAATGTGTAAGGAGATGTTCTCTGGTCAAACCAGTAACCTACCTACTGAATGTGACACTCAAGAGTAGATCATTTTTTTAACACATCCATCTCTATATGAGAAAATGTAGTAATCATTATTATTTTGATTTTTAGCTTAAAAATGAGCAATTAACAATTAAAAATAATACATTTCAAATTTCAAAATTGCTATAGTTTCAATGTTTGTGTCCACCCAAAAGCCGTATGTTGAAATCCTAATCCCCATTGTGAGGGTATGAGGAGGTGGGCCTCGGGGAAGTGAGTAGATCATGAAAGCAGAGCCTTCATGAATGGAATTAGTGCCCTTGTAAAAGAGACCTGAGGAAGCTCATTTGCCCTTCCATCATGTGAGGACACAGTAAGAAGGCACTACCCATGAGTCAGAAAATGAGCCCTCATCAGACACTGAATATGTGGGTGCCTTGATCCTGGACCTCTCAGCCTCCGGAATGGTGAGAAATAAATTTCTTTTATTTATAGGCTACCGAGCCTATGGTATTTTGTTACAGCAGCCCAAATGAACTAAGACAACAATGCTATTTAAATACACAAATATATTTCATGTATGAACTAATATTTTGACTCACCATCAAAAATATCAAGTATCACAGGCTGGTGTGCGTGCAGCGGTGTTTACAACTAATTGATCACAAGCAGTTATAGATTTCTTTGTTCCTTTTCCACTCCCACTGCTTTACTTGGCTAGCCTAAAAACAAAAAAAAATAGATGCCACAGTTTCTACTTTGCTTCACTGTTTTAAATTTAAAAACAAACACAAACTCCAATTGCTAACATAAAATGATAGAATTGAACCATCTCATGTTCTGTTTCTTTTGGTTTACAATCACTATGATATTATTTCTTATTTCTAATTTACTCTTTATTCTTAGGAATATGCAGTACCACAGTAATTAGAGACAAAAGTGGTGCCTAAACCAGCTCTCACAATTGTGAACCATTATAAAATTAATATCCGAACAAATACATGTGTCTCAATCCTCATGTTTTAGGGGCTGACTATATGCCTGGGAATTCTGGAAGCTGACTACCATTTAGACTGCAGTGTTTATTAAAGGATAAGTAATAAAATTGTGCTAAATTGAAGCTCTTAATATATTATTACTAGGCAACCAAAACCACAGCTTTTGTTTAGACCTTAAACCTGCTCTGTCCAATACAATAGCCATTAGCTGCATGTAGCTACTGAGCACTTACAATGTAGCTAGTTCAAATTTAAATATGCTGTGAGTGGAAAATACACATCAGATTTCAAACTCTAAGCATTAAAAATTAGGTAAAATATTCTATTAAAAATTTTTATATTGACTGCATATTAAAATGACAATGTCTTGGATATGTTGGGTTAAATTAAGTATATTATTAAAATTAATTTCACTTATTCTTTTTTCAATGTGGCTATTGGGAAATGTTTGTTATTAAATTTTTTATTGATACATAGTAGATGTACATATTTTGAGGGTACACGTGACAATTTAATAATTCATATAATTCACATAATTTGTAAAGATCAAATTCATGTAATTGAGATATCCATTACCTTAAATATTTGTCTTTTCTTCCTGCTAAATACTTTCTAATTATCCTCTTTTAGCTATTTTGAAATATACAATAGATTATTGTACACTATAGTCACTCTACTGATCTATCAAATACTAGATCTTATTTCTTCCATCAAACTGCATATTTGTACACACACATTAATCAATCTCTCTTTGCCTCTCTCTCCTCAACCCTTTCTGGCTTCTGGTAAACATCAATCTACTCTCTATCTTCATGAAATCCATTTTTAAAGCTCACAAATATGAGAGAACATGCAAATTTTCTCTTTCTGCGCTTGGCTTATTTCACTTACCATAATGACCTCCAGTTTCATCCATGTTTCTTTAAATGACAGGATCTTGGCTATGTGCGGTGGCTCACACCTGTAATCCCAGCACTTTGGGAAGCCGAAGCAGACGGATTGCTTGAGTCCAGGAGTTTGAGAGCAGCGTGGGAAACATGGTGAAAACCTGTCACTAAAAAAATACAAAAATTAGTTGGGTGTGGTGACTCATGTCTCTGGTCCCAGCTACTTGGGAGGCTGAGGTGGGAGGATTGCTTGAGCCAAGGAGGCAGAGGTTGCAGTGAGCCGAGATTGTACCACTGCACTCCAGCCTGGGCGACAGAGTGAGACCCTGTCCAATAAATAAATAAATAAATGATGGGATCTCATTCTTTTTAACTGAATAGTATTCCATTGTGTATATACCACATTTTCTTCATCCATTTGTTCATTGATGGGCACTTAGGTTGATTCCATATTTTGACTATTGTGAATAGTGTTATAATAAACATGGAAGTGCATATATCTCTTTGACATATTGATTCCCTTCTTTTTAGATACATACCTGGTAGTGGAACTGCTGGACTACTGGATCATATGGCAGTTCCATTTTTAGTTTTGTTCGTTTGTTTGTTTTTGAGACAAGGTGTTGCTCTGTCACCCAGGCTGGAGAGCAGTGGCCTGATCTCGGCTCACTGCAACCTCTGCCTCCCAGGTTCAAGTGATTCTCGTGCCTCAGCCTCCTGAGTAGCTGGAATTACAGGCGTGCGCCACCATGCCTGGTTAATTTTTGTGTTTTAGTAGAGACGGCGTTTCATCATGTTGGCCAGGCTGGTCTCGAACTCCTGACCTTAAGTGATCCACCTCCCTTGGCCTCACAAAGTGCTGGGATTACATGCGTGAGCCACCATGCCTGGCCTCCATTTTTAGGTTTTTTAAGGAACCTCCATACAGTTTTCCACAGTGACTATATTAATTTACACTTCCACCAATGGTGTACAAGGGTTCCCTTTTATCTACATCCTCACCAGCATCCATTCATTATTTGTCTTTTTTATAAAAGCCATTTTAACTGGAGTGAGATGATATTTCACTGTAGTTTTCACTTGCATTTCTCTGATGATTGGTGATACTGAGCATTTTTTTTTATATACCCGTTGGCCATTTGTGTGTCTTCTTTTGAGTAATGTTTATCCAGATCTTTTGCTCATTTTTAAAGTCAGGGTTTTTTTTTGTTTGTTTGTTTTTGTTTTTGTTTCTGTTTTTGTTTTGCTATTGAGTTCTTTGAGCTCCTTATATATTCTGGTCATCAGTCCCTTGTCAGATGGATAATTTGCAAATATTTTATCCCATTCTATGGTTGTCCCTTCATTTTAATGATTGTTTCCTTTGTTGTACAGGAGCTTTTTAGTTTGATGTAATACCATTTGTCTGTTTTTTGTTTCTGTTGTCTGTGCATTTTATGTCTTACACAAAATTTTTTTTTTTACCCAGACCAGTGTTCTGGAAAACATTTCCTCAATGTTTTCTTCTAGTAGTTTCATAGTTTCAGGCCTTAGATGTAAGTCTTTAATCCATTTTGATTTGATTTTTGCATATGGTGAAAGATAAGGGTCTAGTTTCATTCTTCTAGATATGGTTATCTGGTTTTCTCAGCACTATTTATTGAAGAGACTGTCCTTTCTCCAATAAGTGTTCTTGGCACCAATAAAAAATCAGTTGGCTATAAATGTGTGGATTTATATCTGGGTACTTTACTCTGTTCCCTTGGTCTATGTGTCTGTTTTTATGCCAGTACCATGCTGATTTGATTACTATAACTTTGTAGTATATTTTGAAGTCAGGCAGTGTGATGCCTCCAGCTTTGGTCTTTTTGCTCAGGATTGCTTGGCTATTTGGGATAATTTGTGGTTCCATATAAATGTTAAGATTTTGGGCCAGGCACAGTGGCTCACACCTGTAATCCCAACACTTTGGAGGCCGAGGCAGGTGGATCACCTGAGGTCAGGAGTTTGAGACCAGCCTGGCCAACATGGTGAAACCTCATCTCTACTAAAAATACAAAAATTAGTTGGGGGTGGTGGCAGGTGCCTGTAATCCCAGCTACTCAGGAGGCTGAGGCAGGAGAATCGCTTGAGCCTGGAAGGCAGAGGTTGCAGTGAGCCGAGATCGTGCCATGGCACTCCAGCCTGGGCGACAGAGTGAGACTGTCTCAAAAAAGAAAAGAAAAGAAAAGAAAAGAAATGTTAAGATTATTATTTTTATTTCTGTGAAGAATGTCATCGGTATTTTTATAGGGGTTACATTGAATATGTAAATTGCTTTGGGAAGTATTGTCATTTTAACAATATTAATTCTTCCAACCCATGAACATGGACTATATTTCCACTTTGTGTGTGTGTGTTCTTCAATTTCTTTCATCAACGTATCGTAGTTTTCCTTGCATAGATCTTTCACTTGTTTGGTTAAATTGACTCCTGGGTTTTTAAAATATTATTTATAGCTATTATAAATGGATTGTTTTCTTGATTTCTTTTTCAGATTGTTTGCTGTCAGCATATAGAAATACTGATTTTTGTATGTTGATTTTTTTCCTATTGCAACTTTACTGAATTATTTATCAGTTCAAACACTTTTTTGGTGGCATCTTAAGATTGTCTACGTATAAGATCATGTTGTCTGTGAACAAAACTAACTTCACTTCTTCCTTTCCAACCTGAATGCATTTCATTTCTTTCTCATGCCTAATTGCTGTGCCCAGGACCTCCAGTGCTATGTTTAATAAGATTGGTGAGAGGTGGTATCCTTGCCTCGTTCCAGATCCTAGAGAAAAGGTTTTTATTTTTTCCACTCATTATATTAGCTGCAGATTTGCCATACATGGCCTTTATTATTTTGAGGTATTTTCCTTCTATACCTAGTTTGTTGATGGTTTTTATGATAAAAAGATGCTGAATTTTATTGAATGTTTTTTCATTATCTCTTGAAATGATCATATGGTTTTTGTTCTTGGTTCTGCTAATGTGATGTATCATGTTTATTGATTCGCATATGTTGAACCATCATCCTTCCATTCCTGGGATGAATCACACTTGATCATGATAAGTGATCTTTTTTAATGTGTGGTTGAATTCGGTTTGCTAGTATTTTGTTGAGGATTTTTATATCTATGTTCATCAGTGATATTGGCCTATAGTTTTCTTTTTTTGTTGTTGTGTTCTTACCTGGTTTTGGTATCAGGTAATTCTGGCCTCATTGAATGAGTTTGGAAGTGTTCCCTCCTTCTCCATGTTTTTGAACAGTTTGAGTAGAATTGGTGTTAGTTCTTTTTTAAATGTTTGATAGAATTCAACAGTGTAGCCATCAGGCTCTGGGATTTTCTTTGATGGGAGACCTTTTATTAGAGCTTTAATCTTATTACTTGTTATTGGTTTATTAAGTTTTCTATTTCTTCAAGGTTCAATATTGGTAGGTTGTACGTGTCCAGGAATTTATCAGTTTCTTCTAGATTTTCTAACTTGTTGGCATATAGTTGCTCATAATAGGCTTTAATGATTCCTTTTACTTTTGTGATCTCAGTTGTTATGTCTCCTTTTTTGTTTCTGATTTTATTTATTTGGGTCTTCTCTCTTTTTCTGCTAGGTAGTTTAGCTAAAGGTTTGTTTATTTTGTTTATCTTTTCAAAAACCAACTTTTCATTTTGTGAATCTCTTATTTTTTTTTAGTCCCTACGTCATTTGTTTCTGCTCTGATCTTTATTCTTTCTTTTCTTCTATTGATTTGGGGTTTCATTTGTTCTTGCTTTTCTAGTTCCTTGCGATGCATTGTTAGGTAGTTTGTTTGAAGTATTTCTACTTTTTTGATATAGGCATTTATTGCTAACATCTTCCCTCTTAGTACTGCTTTTGCTATATCCCAGTACTGCTTAGTACTACTTTTGTATTTTGGTATGCTGTATTTTCATTTTCATTTGTTTCAAACAATTTTTAAATCTCCTTAATTTCTTCATTGACTCATTGGTCATTTGGGAACATGTTGTTTAATTTCCATGTGTTTGTGTGTTTTCCAGGATTCCTCTTGTTAATGATTCTTAATTTTATTCCATTGTAGTCAGAAAAGACACTTGATATGATATCTACTTTTTTGAATTTGTTGAGACTTGTTTTGTGGCCTAAGGTATGGTCTATCTGTGGAATGTTCCATGTGCTCATAAAAAGAATGTGGTATTCTGTAGCGCTTGGGTGAAATATTATTTAAATGTCAGACCTATTTGGTCTAGTGTGTAGTTTAACTCCAATATTTTTCTGTTGATTTTCTGGCTGGCTGATCTGTCCATTATTGAGAGTGCGGTGTTGAAGTCCCCTACTATTATGGCATTGCAGTCTATCTCTCCCTTTAGAACTATTAATGTTTGCTTTACGTACGTGGGAGCTCCAGTGTTGGATGCATAGATATTTATAATTGTTATAGCCTCTCGGTGAATTGACCTATTTATCACTATATAGTGACCTTCTTTGTCTCTTCTTACATTCTTTGACTTGTACTCTATTTTATGTAATACAAGTATAGCTACTCCTGCTCTTTTATGTTTTCCACTTACATGGAATATTTTTTTTCCATCCTTTCACTTTCAGTCTGTGTGTCTTTGTAAGTGAAGCGGGTTTTTTATAAGCAGCATATAGTTGATCTTGTTTATCCATTCAGCCACTCCTTATGTTTTCATTAGAGAATTGATTAACCTTCAGTATTATTATTGATATTACTTATCAATCCCTACTGGACTTACTACTGCCATTTTGTTGCTTCTTTTCTGGTTGTTTTATAACTCCTCTCTTCCATTCTTCCTTTCCTACTGTGTATTTTTGTGGTTAAGTGACTTTCTCTGATAATATGTTTTAATTTGTCTCTGGATTTTTTGTTTGTTTTGTTTTTGTTTTTGTTTTTGAGATGGAGTCTTACTCTGTTGCCCAGGCTGGATGCAATGGCACAGTCTAGGTTCACTGCAACCTCCACCTCCCAGGTTCAAGCTATTCTCCTGCCTCAGCCTCCCAAGTAGCTGGGATTACAGGCATACACTACCACACCCGGCTAATTTTTGTATTTTTAGTAGAGACGGGGTTTCACCATGTTGGTCGGGCTGGTCTCAAACCCCTGACTTCATGATCCATCTGCCTCGGCCTCCCAAAGTGCTGGGATTATAGGCATGGGCCACCATGCCCAGCTTTCTCTGTTTTTTTTTTTTTTTTTTTTTTTTTAAGTAACTCTGTTATAGGTTTTAGTATTGTGGTTACCATGAGGGTTACAAAAAACATTTTATAGATATAACAAGTTATTTTAAAGAGATGAAAACTTATCTCAGATCACAAAGAAAAGAATAGAGGCTCATGCCTGTAATCCAAGCACTCTGACAGGCCAGCCGAGGTGAGGTGATCATTTGCAGCCAGGAGTTTTGAGACTACCCTGGTCAACATAGTGGACCCCATCTCTACAAAATATTTTTAAAAAATAGCTGGATGGGGTGGTGTACACTTGTAGTCCTAGCTACTCAGGAGGCTGAGGCAGGAGGATTGTTTGAGCCCAGGAGCTCAAGGCTGCAGTGAACTATGGATCATGCCACTGCACTCCAGCCTGGGCAACAGAGCAAGACACTGTCTCTAAAAAAAAAAAAAAAAATTAAAAAAACCTCTACAAAATCTCTGCATTTTAACTTCATCAGCCCCACATTTTTACCTTAAGTTTTTGCAATTTACTTATTTTTATATTGTCTATCTCTTAATGGGAAATTTAAAATAACACATGGCTTGCATTATATTTCTATTGGACAGCACTGCCGTAGACTGACAAAAGATTTTTGAGGGAGGAGTATTTTATCACTGAAATTGTTTAGAATTGCCAATGCAATAAAAAGCAGACTGACTTTAAGTTGGCTTTAATACTGTTTTTAGATTTCCTATAGACAATCACCAAGTTATTGATTGCACTTGAGGCCTGATGGCCCCACTGCTCCTCCCTTGGTATGCCACTCAATCAAACCAGCCTAGCTCACCTAATGGGAGGATCCTCACCTTACCCACAGACTGTAGCTGGGCACTCAGTTCTCTCATGGGGTCCTTGGCCCCTTTCTCCACTGTCCCTTCAGTTTTCCTGCCATCTTCACTTCTATTTTTAGGTTTTAACATTGTTTTTGCTCATCTCAATGTTCTATCTGAAATGCTTCAGCATCTTTCTCTTCCAGTTGAAGATTTCTCCCTCAAATCTTTCTCTAAGAATCCAGTCCAGGGATCTCTTCTATTCCCACTCTCTCCCCTGTTTTCTCTCATTTGTTCAGGCAAGCATGGTCTGTGCTATTCATTAAAGTAGACAAATGGTGCTTTGTCGTTGCTCAAAAAATATTATTAGTGTGAATATCTCATCTCTCCAACCACTTGAGAGTCTCTTAAGTAGCTTGGTTTGAAATTTACATGCCTTTTTCATCTCATTGAGGGTCTAGCATGGTGTTATGACATTTTATATGTTCAATAGATATTTGAATGAATGAATGAATGAATGGCATCACAAGTTAAATTCATTAAGGTTAGCTCCTATGTGACTGACAGATCACTCAAAATAACACACATTTGCACAAGATAGAAGTTTATTTTTCTGTTATATAAATGTCTTGGTAGGTGGCACAGAGCTCTTTTGGTACTGAACTGTATAGGGTGTCTTGGCTCCTACCAGCTTCTGTTTTGCCATTCCTAGGATATGGCCCTCAACCTTATGGTTCAAGAGAGCATCTTACACAATAGCATGAAAAAGAATAAAATAGGAATAAATTTAACAAAAAAGTGCAAGACTTGTACACTGGAAATTACAAAACATCATTGAAAAAAATTAAAGAAGACCTAAATAAGTGGAAAGACAACCTGTATTTATGGATCAGAAGATTTAATATTGTTAAGCTCACAATACTCCCCAAATTGATCTATAGACTCAACACAATCCCTACCAATGTTCAAAATGACTACTTTGCAGAAATTGACAAACTGATCCTAAAATACATATGGAAATTTAAAGGACTGAGAATAGTCAAAATGATCTTTAAAAAGAACAAAGTTGAGAAACCCAAACTTCCCAATTTCAATATTTACCACAAAGCTAAAGTAATCAAGACAATGTGGTTCAGGCACAAGAATAGACATACAGAAGTCAAAAAAAGATGAAAGAGACCTTACTGATGGGGAAAACAACTCAGGTGGCAGTGGATTTCTTATCAGAAACCATTTAGATAAGAAGAAAATGACAAAAAAATAATAATTTCAAGGGCTAAAACAAAAGAACTGTTAACCCAGAATGCTATATCCAGTGAAAATACACTTCAGGAATAAAGGGAACATCAAGACACTTTCAGATAAAGGAAAACTAAGAGAATTTGTCACTAGCAGACCTACATTTAAAAAGAATGGCTAAAGGAAGTTCTTGAAAAAAAAACAGAAATGATAAAAGAAAGAATCTCAAAACATCAGCAAGGAATGAAAAATAAGGGGAAGAGTAACAATAAATATAATAGACTTTTCTTCTCTTGAGCTTTCTATATTTTGTTTGACTTTTGAATCAAAAAAGATAACATTATGTGATGTGGTCCTCAATGTATGTAGAGGAAATATTTCAGGCAATTATAAACAGAGGAGGGTATAAAGACTTGCAGGGAGGTAAGATTTCTATATTTCACTCAAAGTGGTAAAATGTAGACACTAGAAGGCTGTGATAACCGATGGGAGTATAATGTAATGCCTAGGGCAACTGCTAAAAATCTGTACCAAGAAATAAATTCAAAAATAATATAGAATCTGGGGACAGAAGTTGGAGATGCTACTGTTATCTAGTGAGTAGAGGCCAGGAATGCTGCAAAACATCTTGCAATACACAGGACAGTCCCCCACAACAAAGAATTATGTCAACAGTGCTGAGGCTGAAAAACTCTGGCCTATACCTTATCCGATGCTGAATATTGTCATTTTTAAAATAACACTGCTTTTTTTTCTCTTTTGTTTTGTATTTATGTCTTCCTCTTACCTTCTCTCTATGTTGTCAGTGATAACTGATTTACTGCAACTATACCACTTTGTTAGTCTTTTTAATCTTTCCAATCTGGTAATTTGAAAAAGGATATCTTATTTTATTTTATATCTCTTGAAGAGAATAGAATTATTTTTACAGGTGCAGTGGCTCCTGCCTGTAATCCCAGCTATTTGGGAGGCTGAGACTGGAGGATCACTTGAGCCCAGGAGTTGAAGACCAGCCTGGGCAACACAGTGAGACCCCATCTCTAAAAAATATTTTTTAAATTAGCTAAGCATGGTGGTTTCATTACTATGCATAGAATATCCAGTTTTCCCAGCACCATTTATTGCAGAGACTATCTTTTCTCCAGTGTATGTTCTTGGCACCCTTTGTTGAAAAATGAGTTCACTGTAGGTATGTGGATTCATTTCTAGGTTCCCTATTCTGTTTCATTAGTCTATGTGTCTGTGTTTATGCCAGTATCATGCTGTCTTGGTTATGATAGTTCTGTAGGATAATTTGAAGTCAGATAATGCGTTTCCTCCAGTTTTCTTCTTTCTGCTTAGGATAGCTTTGGCTATTCTGGGTCTTTTGTGGCTCCACATAAATTTTAGGATTGTTTTTTCTATCTCTGTGAAGAATGTCATTGGTATTTTGATAGGGATTGCATTGAATCTGTAGATTGCTTTGGGTAGCATGAACATTTAAATAATATTGATTCTTCCAATTTATGAACATGGAATATCTTTCCATTTTTATGGTGTCCTGTTCAATATCTTTCATCAGTATTTTATAGTTTTCATTATAGAGATTTTCCACTTCTTTGGTTAATTCCTAGGTATTTAATTTTATTTGTGGCTATTGTAAATGGGATTACTTTTTAATTTTATTTTTCAGAGTATTCACTGTTGGCATATAGAAATGCTACTGATTTTTTATTTTGATTTTGTATCCTGAAACTTTACTGAATTGTTTATCACTTTTAATAGTCTTTTGATGGAGTCTTTATATTTTTCCAAATATAAGATCATATTATCTGCAAACAAGGATAATTTGACTTCTTCCTTTCCAATTTGGATGCCCTTTATTTCGTTCTCTTGTCTGATTGCTCAAGCTAGGACTTCCAGTACTATGTTGAATAACAGTGGTGACAGTGGGCATCCTTGTTGTGTTTCAGATCTTGGAGAAAGACTTTCAATTTTTCCCCATTCAGTATGATACTAGCTGTGTTTCTGTCATATATGGTTTTTATTATGTTGAAGTATGTTCCTTCTATACCCAGTTTTTTAAGGGTTTTTATCATGAAAAGATGTTGAATTTTATCAAATGCTTTTTTCAGCATCAATTGAAATGATCATATGGTTTTTGTTCTTCATTCTGTTGATATGATGTATCACATTGATTGATTTGTGTATGTTGAACGAGTCTTGCATTGTGATTAATCCCACTTGGTCATGATGAATGACGTTTTTAATGTATTGTTGAATTTGGTTTATTAGTATTTTGCTGAGAATTTTGGCATCAATATTCATCAGGGATACAATTTTGTTACTTGTTATTTGTTGTATGTGTCTAGGAATTTGTCCATTTCTTTCTTTTTTTTGAGACAGGGTCTTACTCTATTGTTCAGGCTGGAGTGCAGTGGTGCAATCACAGCTCACTGCAGCCTCAACCTACCCAGGCTTCAGGTGATCCTCCCACCTCAGCCTCCTGAGTAGCTGGGACTACAGGCTCATGCCACCACACCTGATTAATTTTTGTATTTTTTGTAGAGATGGGGTCTCACTATATTGCCCAGACTGGTCTCAAACTCCTGGGCTCAAGTGGCCTTTCAAAGTGCTGGGATTACAGGTGCAAGCCACCACACCTGGTCGAAATTTGTTGGTTTCTTCTAGATTTTCCAGTATATTCGCATATAGTTCCTCAAACTAGCCACTAATGATCTTTTGAATTTCTGTGGTATCAGTTATAATGTTTCCTTCAGCTCTGATTTTGATTATTTGGATTGTCTCTCTTTTTTTCTTAGTCTGGCTAAAGGTTTTCTTTTTTTAACTTTTCAAAAAACCAACTTTTTGTTACATTGATCTTTTGTATTGTTTTCTTCATTTCAATATCATTTATTTCTGCTCTGATCTTTATTATTTCTTTTCTTCTAATTTTGGGGTTGGTTTGCTCTTGCTATTCTAGTTCTATAAGATGTATTGTTAGGTTGTTTATTTGAAGCTTTTCTTCTTTTTGGATGTAGGCACTTATAACTGTAAACTTCCCTCTTAGTCACTGTATCACATAGGTTTTGGTATGTTTTGTTTCCATTACGTGTTTCAAGAAATTTTTCAATTTCCTTCTTAATGTTTTCATTGACCCACTGGTCATTCAGGAGTATATTGTTTAATTTCCATGTGTTCGTATAGTTTCCAGAATTTCTCTGTTATTGATTTGTAGTTTTATTCCATTGTGGTCAGAGAAGATGCTTGATATTATTTCAATTGTTTGAATGTTTTAAGACTTGTTTTGTGACCTAGCATATGGTCTATCCTTGAGAATGATTTCTTTGCTGAGGAAAAGAATGTATATTCTGTAGTTGTTGAATAAAATGCTCTCTAAATATCTATTAGATCCTTTTGGTCTATAGTGTAGATTGAATCTGATGTTTCTTTGTTGATTTTCTGTCTGGAAGTCTCTAGCTATTATTGTATTGGGGTTGATCTCTCTTTTTAGCTCTAAAAATATTTGCTTTATACACCTGGGTGCTCCAGTGTTGAGTGCATATATATTTAAAATTGTTATATCCTCTTGCTGAATTGACCCCTTTATGATTGTATAATGACCTTCTTTGTCTCTTACAGTTTTTATCTTGATATCTATTTTGTCCGATATGAGTGTAGCTACTCCTGCTCTTTTTTGGTTTCCATTGGCATGGAATATTTTTTCCATCCCTTCATTTTCAATCTGTGTGTATTTTTATAGGTGAAGTGTGTTTTTTGTAGGCAACAGATGAATGGGTCTTTTTATCCATTCAGCCAGTCTATGTGTTTTGATTGGCGAGTTTAGTCCATTTATATTAAATGTGATTATTGATAAGTAAGGACTTACTCCTGCCATTTTGTTATGTGTTTTCAGTTGTTTTGTGGTCTTCTCTCCCTTTTTCCTTTCTTCCTGTCTTCCTTTTAGAGCAGGTGATTTTCTCTGGTGATACGATTTAGTTTCTTGCTTTTTGTTTTTTGTGTATCCATTGTACATTTCTTTATTGGAGATTACTATGAGGCTTGCAAATACCATCCTATAACCCATTATTTTAAGCTGCTAAGAACTTAACACTGTTTGTATAAACAAATAAGCAAGCAAAAAGAAAACTAATACTCTATGCCTTCACATTGTTCCCCTGCTTTTTAACTTTTTATTGTTACTATTTATATCTTATCATACTATGTCTTAAAAATTTGTAGTTATTATTTTTTATTGGTTCATCATTTAGTCTTTCTACTTAAGAGTAGTTTACACACCACAATTACAGTGGTATCATATTCTTAGTGGTATCATATTCTTTGTTTTTCTGTGTACTTACTATTACCTGTGAGTTTTGTACCTTCAGGTGATTTCTTATTGCTCATTAATGTCCTTCTCCTTCTGACTGAAACATTCTCTTTCACATTTCTCGTAAGACAGGTTTGGTATCGATGAAATCCCTCAGCTTTTGTTTGTCTGAGAAAGTCTTTATTTCTCCTTCATGTTTGAAGGACGTTTTTGCTGAATGTACTATTCTAGGGTAAGAGGTTTTTTTCCCTCAGTATTTTCTTTTTTCTTTCTTTCTTTCTTTCTTTCTTCTTCTTTTTTTTTTTTTCTTTTTTAGACGGAGTTTCACTCTTGTTGCCCAGGCTAGAGTGCAGTGGTGCAATCTCGGCTCACTGCAACCTCCGCCTCCTGGGTTCAAGTGATTCTCCTGCCTCAGTCTCTCTAGTAGCTGGGATTACAGGTGGATGCCACGATGACCAGCTAATTTTTGGATTTTTAGTAGAGACGGGGTTTCACCATGTTGATCAAGGCTGGTTTCAAACTCCTGGCCTTAGGTGATCTGGCCGCCTTGGCCTCCCAAAGTGCTGGGATTACTGATGCAAGCCACTGCACCTAGCCTCCTTCAGTATTTTCAATATGTCATGCCACTGTCTCCTGGCCTGTTAGGTTGCCAATGAAAAGTCAGCTGCCAGACATATTGGAGCTCTATTGTATGTTATTTGTTTCTTTTCTCTTGCTGCTTTTAGAATCCTTTCTTTATCCTTGACCTTTGGGAGTTTGATTATTATTAAATGCCTTGAGGTAGACTTCTTTGTGTTAAATCTGCTTGGTGTTCTGTAGCCTTCTTGTACTTGGATATTGATATCTTTCTCTCTAGGTTTAGGAAGTTCTGTGTTATTATCCCTTTCAATAAACTTTCTACCCCATCTCTTTTTCTAACTCCTCTTTAAGGCCAATAACCCTAGATTTGCCCTTTTGAGGTTATTCTCTAGATCCTGTAGGCATGCTTCACTTTTTAAAATTCTTTTTTCTTTTGTCTTCTCTGACAGTGTATTTTCAAATAACTTGTCTTCAAGTTCACTAATTCTTTCTTCTGCTCAATCAGTTCTGCTCTTAAGACTCTGATGCATTCTTCAGTATACCAATTACATCTTTCAGCTCAAGAATCTCTGTTTGATTCTTTTAAATTATTTCAATCTGTTACATTTATCTGATCAAATTCTGAATTCTCTGTGTTATCTTGAATTTCTTTGAGTTTCCTCAAAAAAGCTATTTTGTATTCTGTGTCTGAAAGGTCACATATGTGTTTCTCCAGGATTGGTCCCTGGTGCCTTATTTACTTCATTTGGTGAGGTCACATTTTCCTGGACTGTCTTGATACTTATAGATGTTCGTCTGTGTCTGGGCATTGTAGTCTTTGTAGTCTGAGCTTGTTTGTACATGCCCTTCTTGGAAAGGCTTTCCAGATACTTGAAAGCACTTGAGTGTTGTGATCTAATCTGTACTGCTTTAGGGGGGACTCCAAGCCCAGTAACAGTGTGGTTCTTGCAGACTCATAGAGGTACTGCCTTGATGGTCTTAGACAAGATCCATAATTCTCTGGATTACCAGGCAGAGACTCTTGTTCTCATCCCTTACTTTCTTCCATACAAATGGAGTCTCTCTCTGTTCTGAGCCACCTGGAGCTGGAGCTGGAGTGACACAAGCACCCCTGTGGCTACCACCACTGTTACTGTGCTGAATCACACCTGATGCCAGCACAGTGCTGGATTTTGCCCAAGGCCCGCTGTAACCACTCCCTGGCTTACACCTATGTTTGCTCAAAGTCCTTGGCCTCTACAATCAGCAGGTGGCAAAGCCAGCCAGGCCTATGTTCTTCCCTTCAAGGCAGCGAGCTCCCCCAAGGACCTGGGCAGGTCCAGAGTTGCCGTCAAAACTTTAGAGTCAGAAACCTTAGAAGTCCACTTGGTGTTCTATTGTACTGCAGCTGAGTTGGCACTCAAACCACAAGACACAGTCCTTCCCATTCATCCTGCTCCTTTCCAAAGGCATAGGATCCTCACCTCATGACCACTGCTACCATAGGCCTCTGGGGACTACTGCCGATGCTCCCTTCAAGGCCCAAGGGCTCCTCAATCTCCTTGTAGTGAATGCTGCCTGGCCTGGGACTCACTCTTCAGGGGAGTAGCCTCCTCTCTGGCCCAGAGCAGGTCCAGAAATGCCATCCAAGAGCCAAGTCCTGGAATCAGGGACCCCAAGAGCCTGCTTGGTGCTCTACCCGCTTAGTTGCCAAGCTGGTACCTAAGGTGCAAGACAAAGTTCCCTTTACTTTTCCCTCTGCTTTTCTCGGGTAAGAGGAATCTTGCCCCATAGCCACCACAGCTAATGTGCTGAGTCTCACATGAAGCCAGCAAGCCTCAGTGTCTCACCCAAAGACACTTGATGTAGTACCTGAGTATCGCTGCTGGTTATTCAAGGCCCAAGGACTCTTCAGTTAGCAGGTGATGAATCCTGCCAGGACTGGGTCCTTCCCTTCAAGGCAGCGGGTTCGCTTCTGGCCTAGGATGTGTCTAGGAATGTCCAGGAGCTAGGGCCTGGAAAGGGGGCCTCATGACTCTGACCCATGCCCTATTCTGCTGTGACTGAGCTGGCATCTAAGATGCAAGACAAAGTCTTCCCCACTCTTTCATCTCCTCTCCTCAAGTGGAAGGAAAGGGTCTCTTTGGAGCCTTGAGCTGCATAGCCTGGGGCTAGGGGAGGGGTGATGCCAGCAATCTCTTAGCTGCCCCGGCTGGTATCTCAGTAGGTTGTGTTCCCCCTAGTCCACTGGCTCTGTGCCCAGTTCAGCACTAGGACTCACCTAGGAGTTGCAGTCCTTGTGGGATAGACTGCCTTTCAAGTTTATTTGGGGCCCCAGAGCACTTTAGCTAGTTGTGGCAAGGCTTGCCAGAACTCAAGTTCTGACCACTGGGATCTGTGATTCTCCTTTGGCTTGGGCTGGTTTAAATGCACCCTCCATGGGCAAGCATCAGCTACATTTGGTCTGGTTTTTCTTCGTGCTATCACAAAGGCAGCACTGAGTTCAATGACTCACAATTGCTGGCTCTCCCTCTCCTGAGGGGACAAAAACACCATCCACACCACACCTTGGCTGCCAGGGGATGGGGGAGAGGGGAGGAGTGGCATGGGCGATTCAAGACTGTTTTATCTACCTCTTTAGTGCCTCTTTCAGTGATATGAAGTTAAAACTAGGTACTGTGAGTGCTCACCTCATTTTTGGTTCTTACAAAGGTGCTTTTTGTGTGTGTGGATAGTTGCTAAATTAGTATCCTTGCAGGGGAGATGATCAGTGGGGCCTTCTATTCCACCTCTCAAGCCACCCCCATTTTTCTATTTTTTGTAAAGAACAGGGGTCTCACTATGTGGTTCAGGCTGGTCTCAAACTCCTGGTCTCAAGTGATTCTCTTGCCTTGGCCTCCCATAATGCTGGGATTACAGGAGTGAGCCACGACACTTAGCCCTGAATTTGTAACTTTAAAACTCCCAAGAAAGTAATCCTCAGGCCCATATGAATTCTACCAAACATAAATTTCAAGTGACATCTATCAAACCTTTAGAAAAGATTTAGCACCAAATCTACAAAATATTTTCCAAAAGAATAGAAAAGGAGGAAACATTTCCCAACTGATTTTATCAGGCCTATATTATTCTGATGCCAAAACCAGAAAAAAATAAAACTGCAGACAAATAACCATCATGAATCTAGGCACAAAAGTACTTAAGAAAATATTAGCAAATAGAATTGAGCAACATATAAAATAATTACACATTATGAACAAAGGAGATTTATCCCAGAGATATAAGGCTGGTTCCATATTTGAAAATCAATCCACATAAGCCCTCATTTAAATCTAGAGAAGAAAAATTATATAATCATATCAATTGATGCAGAAAAAGTACTTGACAAAATTTAACACCCAAATTATTGAAGATGTTATTGAAGGTGGTGGAATAAGGAATTTCAAAAGTCTGTTCTTCCATAAAAGCAATGGAAAAACTGGCAAAAAATCAACTTTTTTAGAACTCTGGAAACAAGCAGAAGCTTGCAATGACCAACCCAGTGCTTAATCAAGAAAAACAAGCTGAATCTCAGTAAGAACAGCAAACTGCATGGCATGTTAACTTACCCTATTCCCATCCTTCACTCCCCACCTCAGTGGTAGCCTTGAAAATAATTGCCTTCTAGTGCTGGTGTGGGAAAGAGTAGAACAGATTGCATTCACAAGAATCGTAATCATTTCCTCTGACCCATCTGAAAGGCCAGCTAAAAAGCTTGCCTTTATCTTGCCTACCACTAAATTTGAACAGTTTGTTAAAAAGTTAAACATAGAATTGCTATATGACCCAGCACTTCCACTCCTAGGTATATGCCCAAGAGAATTGAAAACATATCTTTATATAAAAACTCAAATGTGAATGTGCATAGCAGCATTATTCATAATAGCCAAAAAGTGGAAATAACTCAAATGATGAATAATGATGAACAGCTCAAATTATGATAATGATGAAAAGTAGAAATAGCTAAACTGATGAATGGATAAACAAATTTTGGTATAGCCATACAATGGAATATTATTTAGCCATTAAAAGAAATGAAGTATTGATATATGCTACAACATGGATGAAGTTGAAAACATTATGCTAAGTGAAAGAAGCCAGACAAAAAAGATACATATTGTATGATTCCATGTACATGAAATATCCAGGATAAATTCATAGACAGAAAGCATATTAGTGGTTGTCAGGGGCTGAAGGGTAGGGGAAATGCGAAGTGACTGCTTAATGGCTCTTAATACCTTTTGAGGTATTAAGAGTGTTCTGAAATTGGACAGTGATGTTGGTTGAACAGCATTGTGTTTATACTAAAAAACACTAAACACTGAATTGTACACTTTAAAATAGTTAAAATAATGAATTTTTATATGTAAGTTTTGTTTCCTAAAATTGATGCAAAAACAATTCAACACCCATACATGATTAAAATGCTCAGAAAACTGGCTGGGCATGGTGGCTCACACCTGTAATCCCAGCACTTTGGGAGGCCAAGGAGGGTGGATCACCTGAGGTCAGGAGTTCAAGACCAGCCTGGCCAACATGGTGAAACCCCATTTCTACTAAAAATACAAAAATTAGCTGGGTATATTGGCACATGCCTGTAATCCCAGCTACTTGGGAGGCTGAGCGGGAGAATCGCCTGAACCTGGGAGGCAGAGGCTGCAGTGAGCCGAGATCCCGCCACTGCACTGCAGCCTGGGTGACAGAGCGAGACTCCATCTCAAAAAAGTAAAATAAAATAAAATAAATAAAATGCTCAGAAAACTAAGAATAGAGGAGCACTTCTTCAATTTAATAAAAAACATCTTCAAAAACCCTGTAGCTGACATCATACACAATGGTGAAAGACTGAATGCTTTCCTCTTAAGTTCAAAAGCAAGGCAAAGATGTCTGTTCTCATCGCTCTTATTCAGCATAATACTAGAATCCTAGTAAGTGCATTAAGACGATAAAAGCCATACAGATCAGGAAGGGATAAATAAAAACATCCCTATTTTTCGATGATATGATGGTCTACATAGAAAATTTCAAGGATTCTACATAAAAACTCCTGGATAGTTCTTTCTAATAACTGAGTAATAATCAACAACTGGAAGCAATCTAAATGTCCTTCATTAGATGAATGGTTAAACAAACTGTGGTATAGCCATACCATGGAAGACTTCTCAGCCATAAAAGGGAACAAACTGTTGATACATGCAACTTATATGGCTCGCAAGAGCATTTTGCCAAGTGAAAAAGGTCAATCTCAAAGGTCACATACTGTATGATTTCATTTATATAACATTCTCAAAATGATAAAACCATAGAGATGCTGAGCAGATTTGTAGTTACCAGGAGTTAGGCATGGTGGATGGGAAGGGAATGGATGTGACTATGAACGATAGGTAGGAGGGAGATCTTGGTAATGATGGAACTGTTCTGTGTCTTGATTGTGATGGTGAGGTTACACAAATCAATGCACGTGATAAATGGCATAAAATTATACATACACATTGTACCAATGTCAGTTTCCTGGATTTGATATTGTACGATGGTTACCTAAGATGTAACCACCGGGAGAAACTGGGTGAAGGGTACATAGCAATTCTCTTTATTATTTTCACAACTTTCTGTGAACTACGATTACTTAGAAATAAAAAGTTAAAATTGTGAAATAAGCTAAAATGAAAAGTAATGAGCTAAGCATTGAACTTAAAAAGTTAATAAAAGAGAAACAGGATAAACCCAAGGAAAAGAGATAATAAAGCTAAATAATAAAAGAGAAGACAGGCTGGATATGGTGGCTAACACCTCTAATACCAGTGCTTTGGGAGGCTAAGGTGGGAAGATTGCTTGAGGCCAGGAGTTTGAAACAAGCCTGGGCAATATAGCAAGACCCTTTCTCTACAAAAAGTTTTTAAAGTTACCTGGCACATGCCTGTAGTCTTAGCTACTCAGGAGGCTGAGGCAAGAAGATCTCTTGAGCTCAGGAGTTTGAGGTTAGAGTGGGCTATGATCACACCACTGCACTTTAGCCTAGGCACAGAGCAAGACCCTGTCTCTGAAAACAAGCCAAAAAAACAAAAGACAGACAACAAAGAGGATCAACAAAGTCAAAAACTGGTGTATTGAAGAGATAATACTATGAAAATTTTAATGCCAATATATTTAGGACTTGAAAAAGGCAAAACTCCTAGGAAATATAACCAACCCTAACTGACTCAAAGAAAAATAGCAATCTTGAGTAGTCCTATAAACAATGAGGGAATAAAATCAATATGTAAAAGCATCATGCCCCGATTATTTTGTTGTCAAGTTCTACTAAGCATTTAAGAAAGAAATCATTCCAATATTATAAACATTCTTCCAGGGAATAGAAATAGAAAGAAAACTCTCTAGCTCTCCAACTGCTTTGAGAGCTGTGTTATATACAACCTCCATAGCAAAAACAGAAAAGTATAAGCAAAGAATACTACAGAACAATTTCACTCACCAATGCAGATATAAAAACCTAAACAAAATATATACAAACTGAATCCAGCAATGAAGAGACAGAAAACATTAAAACTAAGCTGTGCTTATCCCGGGAAGGTAAAGTTAATTAAATTTTAGAAAATCCATTATTTTTATTCACTGATAAAAACAGAAAAAACAAATTATCTTAACAAATACAGTACAAGCATTCAATGTAATTCAATGCCTATTTGGAATAGAATTGCCTAACAATCTAGGAATAACAGATACTTAATAAAATTTATTTACCAAACACCTAAAATCAACCTAATACCTAAATCTGAAACATGAGAACATTACCTTAAAAATTAAATCAAGAACAAAACAAGGATTATTACTGCCTCTATTCAACATCTAACTAGAGATTCTGTCCAGTTAAGTAAAATGATAGCAGAAATTAAAAACTCAGGGGTGAAATTCAAGGACAAAAAGAAGAAAAATAGTGAGGAAAGAAACGTGAAAAAATTAAACAACCAGACAAAGTGGTAGCAACACTTGAAAAATGTGAGTTATAGAAAAGAATGCTGAAAGCAGAGGTGGGAAAGTTATCACTGAAAGAATAAAAAAAAATTTTCTCCAAACTCAGGGACGTGAATTGTCAGATAAAAGGAGCCTGCCTGGAACACAGCACAGTGGGAGAAAATAGGCTTACATCAAGATAACTTCAACACAATAGGAATAAACAGAAGTTTCTAGAAGAGAAAAAATATATTTTATACAAAGGATCAGATAGGAGAATGGCTCTATTCTTCTTAACAGCAGCAAAGGAGGCAAGAAAACAATGAAGCAATGGCTCTAAAATTTTGAAGGAAAATTATTTTCATGCTACAATTTTTATTCAACTAAACTATCATTTTAGAGTGAGTAAATAAAGGTATTTGTAGACATGCAAGGTCTCAAATTACTTGTTCCCCAACCACAGTTTCCCAAGAAGCCACTGGAGGAGGTGCTCACCAAAATATGAAGAGTAAATCAAGACATAGGAAGATATAAGACACAGGGAACAGGAGATTCAATGTAGTAAACAGATTAAGGGAGTTCCCAGGTAGCTGGTAAAGGGATATCTTGGGATGACAGCAGTGCACCGGACATGTGCAGCCAGTCCAGATTGGAGCAGGAGACTCAAGCGCTAAGCATATTGAGGGATGCCATTACCAAGTTGCCCATTGCCTTTGCACCATCTTTTTACCATGAGAGCAGCTTACCTGAGTAACTCTGACCAAGATTTTTCTTTTTGACTTGTCTTAACCAAAACTTACATTAATAATAAACTTGTGGCTCTCCCCAGCATGATCTGCTTCCTGGATTTACTGAGGGGATGGACTCATCTCACCCACAGGAATGTTCTGCTTTGACCTTTTCCTAGGAGCTAGAGCTGGTGTCTTGCCACAGATGCAGACATTTTTTCATGTGGCCATTTCTCATACACTTTAAAAAATTCAAAGACATAATATCTGGCGTCAACCAGTGAAGATATTTACATTTATTAACATTTATATTGGTAATAATATGCCCCTGGTATGTTGCTTTCTAGGGATCTAACAATACAGGAGAATAGCTTAGAGAAAACAAAGAATGAGTGGTATATTAGTTTCCTGTGGCTGCTGTAACAAATTGCCATAAATTGGGTGGCTTAAAACAACAGAAATATATTCTCACACAGTTCTGGAGATCTGTTATCTCTGAAATCAAGGTGTCGCAGGGCGGCACTCTCTCTGGAGGCTGTAGAAGAGAATTTGTTTTCTGCCTCTTCCAGCTTTTGGTGGCTGTGTTTGTTGGCTTTTGGCTGCATTACTCCAATCTTCACCTCCATGAACACCTTGCCTCCTCTTCTCTGTGTCTCTCCTTTTGTGTATCTCATATAAGGACATTCAATATTGGCTTTAGGGACTACCTGGATAATCCAGGAAAATCTCCTCCTCTCAAGATCCTTAATTTAATTACATCTGCAAAGACACTTTTTCCAAATAAGGTCACATTTATAAGTTCCAGAGATTCAGATGTGGACATAGCCTGGAAGTCCTGCCATTCAACCCACTACAAATGGCTAGCAAATCCCTCAATTTAGTGTTTCTCAGATTTCAGCAAGATACAGATTACTTCTAAAATAAAGACATTTTCATAGAAAACAGAACAAACACAATTTCCAAGAAATTTTTGTGTGTGAAATTTGACAAACTGATTTAAAATTTATATGATACAGCGGAGTGAAGAACAGCCCAGACACGCGTGGAGAAGAATGACAAGGTTAAGGGAACCCTGCTCCAAGTCTTATAAATTTATAGTAATTAAGGCACTAAGACACTGGCTCAGAGATAGACAAATGAACCAGCAGAACACAATAACACAATCAGTAACCCAGCAAGACGTCAAAACATACAGACACTTGATATATGACAGAGGCATTATTGCAAATTAACAGTCATTTGTATGAAAAAAATGGACCTTTACCTAATACCATAAAAAAATCACTTTTCAGGTCGTTCAGGATTCAAATATGAACAGCAAAACTTTAACATACTTGGAAAATACAGCTTTTTCCTGGTTTAGTCTTGGGAGAGTGTATGTGTCGAGGAATTTATCCATTTCTTCTAGATTTTCTAGTTTATTTGCATAGAGGTGTTTATAGTATTCTCTGATGGTAGTTTGTATTTCTGTGAGATCGGTGGTGATATCCCCTTTATCATTTTTTATTGCGTCTATTTGATTCTTCTCTCTTTTCTTATTAGTCTTGCTAGCGGTGTATCAATTTTGTTGATCTTTTCAAAAAACCAGCTCCTGGATTCATTGATTTTTTGAAGGCTTTTTGTGTCTCTGTCTCCTTCAGCTCTGCTCTGATCTTAGTTATTTCTTGCCTTCTGCTAGCTTTTGAATGTGTTTGCTCTTGTTTCTCTAGTTCTTTCAATTGTGATGTTAGGGTGTCAATTTTAGATCTTTCTTGCTTTCTCTTGTGGGCATTTAGTGCTATAAATTTCCCTCTACACTCTGCTTTAAATGTGTCCCAGAGATTCTGGTATGTTGTGTCTTTGTTCTCAATGGTTTCAAAGAACATCTTTATTTCTGCCTTCATTTCATTATGTACCCAGTAGTCATTCAGGAGCAGGTTGTTCAGTTTCCATGTAGTTGAGCGGTTTTGAGTGAGTTTCTTAATCCTGAGTTCTAGTTTGATTGTACTGTGGTCTGAAAGACACTTTGTTATAATTTCTGTTCTTTTACAATTGCTGAGGAGTGCTTTACTTCCAACTATGTGGTCAATATTGGAATAAGTGCGATGTGGTGCTGAGAAGAATGTATATTCTGTTGATTTGGGGTGGAGAGTTCTGTAGATGTCTACTAGATCTGCTTGGTGCAGAGCTGAGTTCAATTCCTGGATATCCTTGTTAACTTTCTCTCTCGTAGATCTCTCTAATGCTGACAGTGGGGTGTTAAAGTCTCTCATTATTATTGTGTGGGAGTCTAAGTCTCTTTGTAGGTCTCTAAGGACTTGCTTTATGAATCTGGGTGCTCCTGTATTGGGTGCATATATGTTTAGGATAGTTAGCTCTTCTTGTTGAATTGATCCATTTACCATTATGTAATGGCCTTCTTTGTCTCTTTTGATCTTTGTTGGTTTAAAGTCTGTTTTATCAGAGACTAGGATTGCAACCCCTGCCTTTTTTTGTTTTTCATTTGTTTGGTAGATCTTCCTGCATCCCTTTATTTTGAGCCTGTGTGTGTCTCTGCACATGAGATGGGTCTTCTGAATACAGCACACTGATGGGTCTTGACTCTTTATCCAATTTGCCCGTCTGTGTCTTTTAATTGGAGCATTTAGTCCATTTGCATTTAAGGTTAATATTGTTATGTGTGAATTTGATCCTGCCATTATGATGTTAGCTGGTTATTTTGCTCATTAGTTGATGCAGTATCTTCCTAGCCTCAATGGTCTTTACAATTCGGCATGTTTTTGCAGTGGCTGGTACCAGTTGTTCCTTTCCATGTTTAGTGCTTCCTTCAGGAGCTCTTGTAGGGGAGGCCTGGTGGTGACAAAATCTCTCAGCATTTGCTTGTATGTAAAGGATTTTACTTCTCAAAAGAATATCTGATGATCTCAGGAATCCAAATATCCATCAATAGGAAAAGAGTTAAATAATAGATATTCACACAATAAAATACTTGTGAGCTTTTCCTCTAAGAACCAGAACAAGACAAAGATGCTTATTCTTACCACTCTTATTCAACATAGTACTGGAAGTCCTAGCCAGAGCAATTATGCAAGAGAAAGAAATAAAGGGCATCCGAATTGGAAAGGAGGAAGTCAAATTGTCCCTGTTAGCAGATGACATGATCTTATGTAGAGAATAACATAAAGACTCTATGGTAGTGCTGTCAGCAGTTCACCTTCAGTGGTGGGACCTCAGGGACTGCCTCAGTTGCAGAGAGCTGCCTGGTCCAAGATCACCTTCCTTGCTGGGGTGGCCACATCCAATGACTGATCAGTCCAACTCAGGACAAGTGGGAATATTTTGAAGGGCTATTCTAGTTTCATTTTATTGGCTCATGATATTGCAGGTGAGGAATTTAGTCAGGGCTTAGCTGGGCAGTTTTGCCCCACATAGGATCAGCTGGGGTCATTCACTCCGCTGCATTCAGTCCGTGATTGGACTGAGCTAGGAGGTGCCATATGGCTTCATGCACATGTCTGGCACCTCAGTGCTCCTCCAAGTGGCTTCTCTCTTACTATAGGGTCAGCTTCAGCTTAGACTTCCTCACAACATGGTGGTCTTGGAGTAATCAGATTTCTTACATGGTAGCTTGGAGCATTACAAATGGTAAAGGAAGAAGTTAGAGACCTCTTACTTCTTAGTCTTGGAAGTTACTACATTCTATTAGTTGAAATAAGTCACAAGGCCAGCCCAGATCCACAAGGAGGAAAAATACTCTCCATTTCTTGATGGGGGCATGACAAGGTCACATTGCAAAAAAGCTTCTGGGATGGGAGATATTTTGTGGACATAGTTGGAAACACAATCTGTCACAGCCTTATGTACAGCCAAGCAGGTTCTACACTGTACAACTCCAGGGGTTATCATTCACCCAGACCTCAAGGCAAACAGCCCCCCCTAGAGTTGTGCAGTACACAGCTGGCATAATTGGTCCCCAGAGCAGTAGACTCTCACACACATAATGCTTATCAAAAAGCAAGTTATAGATGAATATATGCAATATTTTACCATTTACATGAAGTTTAAAATGTCAAATGAAAGAATATTTTATATTCATACATTAAAATGTAGTAAGCCTAAAAAAAATAAGCAAGGAAATGAGAAACACAAAATTTAGAAAAGGGGAGGAAGATGTGGCCTTTTAAGATCGGGAGGAACACAGAAACATCAATGGTCTTGGTAATAATTTATTGCTTTAGTTAGGTGGTAGATATATGGGCGTTTGTTATCTACCTAACATTCTTTTGTATGTACAAAATACTCCACACTCAATTAAGAATGAAAACAAATAATACAGTAAAATAGAAAAAGTAAAATAAAGATTAATTCAAGATTGCCGTAGGCTCTGGAATAATGGAAAGAGATATGACAAGAGAAGTTTATTCAAGGGATGTAGTAGTGTTAAATGATATTTATTAGGTCAGCTTGGTAAATATTTGCTACATTTTTCTTTATATCTTACAAATTGATTCTATACCTTCTTTTGTTTGTGCTAATATCTCATAATAAATGCATTCATTAAAAAAATCATTTATTGAGCACTTGATATATGCTGGGCACTGTTCCAGGCCCTTGGGATACACTGATGAACAAAACTGGCAAAAATCGCTGTCCTCATGTGGTTTTCATTCTTTTTTTTTTTTTCTTCACGAATACCAGAAAATTGTGAACTAAAGTGGAAGCAGTAATAACAGTCAGCCCTGAGGACAGGCAATAAACAAGGGCATTGTCTTTAGGGAATTTGAAAACAATAGCATGAATGAAAATTAGTCTGTCTTTTACTATATCAGTGTGTCAACAATTCTAAACAATATCAGTGATACAATACTCTTCCCCACTGGAGTACAAGTCTCCTTCCATCCTCTCCTTTATAGCAGAAGCACTTAGGGCATACATTATGGTTTCTTACATTCTAATTCTGTGTAAGCCCGGGGGGTGCTCACGCCTGTAATGCCAGCACTTTGGGAGGCCGAGGTCAGCAGATCACCTGAGGTCGGGAGTTTGAGCTCAGCCTGACCAACATAGAGAAACCCCGTCGCTACTAAGAATACAAAATTAGCCAGGCGTGGTGGCGCATGGCTGTAATCCCAGCTACTCGGGAGGCTGAGGCAGGAGAATCACTTGAACCCGGGGGGCGGAGGTTGCGGTGGGCCAAGATCATGCCATTGCACTCCAGCCTAGGCAACAAGAGTGAAACTCCGTCTCAAAAAAATCAAAATCAAAATAAAATAATTCCATGTAAATTAATGATCTAACACACTATACATCGTTTCCAAGATGTAACACGGATTTAGTCTTTCAGAACAAATTTTTGTGTTGCCATTTACATTTTTGTGCTAAATCCAGGGGAGAGAAAAAATGGGTGAAGAGTAGAGAAAGAGAAAAAGAGAGAAGTGGCAGATACATGCTAGCTGGTCATTGAGGGTACAGAAGGTGACTATTGGCTGTCAGAAAGTGTAGACCATGGAATCAGTGGTGAATAGAATGGTGCCTTAACAAGGATTAGTCCCACCTGGGAATAATTACTTCCATCTGGATGTAACTCACAGTACTCAGAGAGTATACAATAGAAACAAAGTCTAAACATCTCACTCTAGAAAGGCCACAGGTAAGCCTGTAAACAAAAAAGAAAGAAATATTCAACTTCTTTTTCCAGGATGCAAAGTGATAACATCAAACTCAATCTAAACCAAGAGTATAAAATAAAAGTTGAAGCGGAGGAATGCATTGTCATTGTGAGAGAGATCGATTTTAATAGTGGATACAGTCTGAAATGGTTGAAGTTGTCATCATGTCATGCCTTTGTGAAAAAAAAAATTGGAGGAAAGAGACCACTGTTTAAGGACCAGTCATTGAATTTATATCATGGTTAAATATAAAAAGACTACCATTTCTGTTTTTAGAATCTTTCATTGCGATTGTAACAGCCATGTCAGAAGAGCCTATTTTACTCTTAAGACTCCTAAATTTATGTCCAGCATTTTCCAGAGTCACTCTGAAGATAAGATGACATAAATATTGTAATGTTTGTCACACATTCTCTTTTCAGAGAATCAGGGTGGCATTCTAAAGAGGTAGTTTTTGAGAAAACCAGGCACACGCATATGGAACCATTTAAGTCATTTGTTGTGACAGTAATAAGAAATTGAGTAAGCTATATTTCAACAAAGAAAACTTCTGTAGGAGGGAAGTCAAGAACTCTAAAAGACATTGTGTTAGGATCAAATCCACTCACAGCTCAGTTCTTCACAAAAACCTTAGCTTGATTTTTCAGCAAACTAGTCCTTGGATGTAGTGGAATATACTGTGTGAGTTATAGGAAGAGAATTTTTCCTAGAACTATTCAAACATGCAGTCAAAGGCAGAAGAATGCTTGTATAATTTCAAAGCAGGCTTGAGTAAACAACACCTGAAATAGATAGCTATTGTGATCTGCCGCTTTCTCTTCCCCTCTTCTAGAAACAGCTCACCACATTTTATATAAACTGTCCCCTCTACCACTCCACTTAACTGCTCACAGTGTGGTAACCAGTCATACTTGTGCCCATGTGACCCATATGACCCCATAGAATTCATTCTGTTTTTACATGGAACTTGACAGGATCAATCTCTCTCAGACAGCAGAACTGTGACTCAACCTGGTCTCAGCCACGATCATATCTCCCTTGAATGATTGCAATAGGTACCTAACTGGTCTCCCTACTTCCACCCTTGCCTCTCTACAGTTCACTCTCAACACAGAAGCCAGAGGTGAACGCAAATCAGATAATGTCACTTCTCCATGCAAAACCCTCTAGTAGTTGCCTAACTCATACTCTAAGTCAAGGTCAAAGTCTTTGCTATGACTCACAGAACTCTACAGAATCTGCCCCGCATTCTCTTACCTCCCTGGCCTCATGTCTTTGCTCACTCCTATTTAGCCTTAGACCTGTTGCTGTTCCTCACACACACCAAGTACATGCCTACCTCACGTCCTTTGCACTTGCTGTTCTCCCTGACTTCAGTCCTTTGTCCTCAGTTATTTGCATGGCTTACTCCCTCTCTTCTTTCAGGTCTTTGCTCAAATGTCATCTTCCTAGAAAGGCCCACCATGACTACTCAATTTAAATTGCAACTCCCCACCCCAGCGCTTTCTATCCCTCCTCTATGCTTAATTTTTTTTTTCTTTTTGTTTTTGTTTTGGTTTTGAGACAGGGTCTCACTCCGACACCCAGGTTGGAGTGCAGTGGTGCAATCATGGCTCACTGTAGCCTGGACCTCCCAGGCTCAAGAGATTCTCCCACCTCAGCCTCCCGAGTAGCTGGGACTACAGGCACCCACCACCACACCCAGCTAATTTTTGTATTTTTTGTAGAGACAGGGTTTCACCACGTTGCCCAGGCTGGTCTCAAACTCCAGGGCTCAAGTGATCCACTGGCCTCTGGCTCTCAAAGTGTTGGGATTACAGGCATAAGCCACCATGCCTGGCCTTATGCTTGATTTTTTTTTCCATAGCACTTACTACTTTCTAACATACTGTAAAATATTTCTCTTTACTTTTGTTTACTGCCTGAATTTCCTCCTCTAGAATATGAACAGAGTTTATTTTCTTGCATTTCTTCTCCTACTATTTCCAGCACCTAGAAAAGTGTCTGTAATGTTATAGATGTTCCATTGATACGTGTTTTATGAATTGGATGAATGAAATCTGGGCAGATGAGAGTTAGCAGCTTCTGTCATCGGTGGGCCAGTCTTGTGGAAAAGTCCCTGAAAGAGGACAATTGACACAAAGAAAGCTTCACTCTCCATGCTAGTAGGGGACCAGCCTCTGTCCCTGTCCTCCCAGAAGCCAGCTACACCTTTCTCTTTACAGGGTTTTCTACAAGAGCCAATAAATCCTCCTTTTTCTCTAAGGTGGCTCCAGTTGGGCCTCTATCATTTGCAATCACAAGATTTAATATAGGAGTGTTCTTTGCACAGACGTATACAGGACAAATTTTCTCTTTTACCAAGGACATGCCTCTCTGAGTGGTCTACATCCTCAGCTCATGCTCTGTTTCATTTTCCATCCTCAGCTCATCCTGGCTTGGCAACAGCAGCCAATTCCACATAAGGAGGCTTCTGTTGAGACATCATTTTCAGTTATTTGAAATATCTATGTTCATCAGCCTTGTGCAAAGCAGAATATATAGACAAGGCAGGGTGTGCTGCCTCCTGCCTCCTGCTTTCTCCCAACCAATCCTTCAACAGCCACATCCCAAACACTTGACCTCTAGACACTCACATGTTTGCCCATGTTGTCCCACTTCCTGTCTCTACTACAGTTACCACTAAATTCTACCTTGCCAGACAGAAATTGATAACAGAATCAAGAAACTAAGGATACTGTGGCTCATCAAGTGCATCTTCATGATCCACCAAAGTGACCCAACCCACTGGTTAGGAAACAGAAGTTCAGGAAGGTATTCTACATGCTGTTCATTTTACAAAACAACCAGCCAGCCAGATGAAAAAGGATTAAGAGAATTTGAGACACCTATTTATTATGAATTTAAATGTCTGAATCAACACACATGATGTTATAACAGACCTATTTTGTAACTTCTTAGCCATTAGAATTACACACTCATGTATTATTGGTGTTAAAAAAAACTCTGTCATTCTTCCATCCAGTCATTCATTTGACAAACATGAATTGAACTCCCATGTATGAGTCAGACTTTGCTAATGCCAGGCCCTGAAGGAGCTCCCAGTCTGGAACAAGAGATACACAATAAAATGGCAAAGAGGCACCAGGTGCAGGGGATTTTGAAAGCACAGTGAGGAAGCATGTATTTTGTTTTGAGGAATCCAGAAAAATGTCTTGGAAGAGATGATGCCCAGAAATTAATCTTAGAGGAAGAGTGAAAGTTAGCTCAGCAAAAGAGGAGAAGGATATTCTGAGAAGGGAGGCAGCATGAGCAAAGGCATGGAGACCACAAGCCTTTAGTGTGCTGGGTTAGAAAGGGGAAGCAAAGGCCGGGCACGATGCCTCACGCCTGTAATCTTAGCACTTTAGGAGGCTGAGGAGGGCGGATCACTTGAGGTCAGGAGTTCAAGACCAGCCTGGCCAACATAATGAAACCCCATCTCTACTAAAAATACAAAAATTAGCCGGGCGTTGTAGTGCACACCTGTAATTCCAGCTACTCTGGAGGCTGAGGCATGAAAATCGCTTGAACCCAGGAAGTGGAGGTTGCAGTGAGCCGTGATAGCACCACTGCACTACAGCCTGGGAGACACAGCAAAACCCTGTCTCAAAAAAAAAAAAAGAAAGGCCAGGCGCGGTGGGTCACGCCTGTAATCCCAGCACTTTGGGAGGCCGAGGCGGGCGGATCACCTGAGGTTGGGAGTTCAAGACCAGCCCGACCAACATGGAGAAATCCCGTCTCTACTAAAAATACAAAATTAGCCAGGTGTGGTGGTGCATGCCTGTAATCCCAGCTACTTGGGAGGCTGAGGCAGGAGAATCACTTGAACCCAGGAGGCAGAGGTTGCGGTGAACCGAGATCATGCCATTGTACTTCAGCCTGGGCAACAAGAGCGAAACTCCATCTCAAAAAAAAAAAAAAAAAAAAGAGAGAGAGGAGAAGCAAGGAAGGCAGAAGGAGAGGGCAGGAGGAGGGACAGGGATAGGGCCATAGCAGGTTGTGTTGACTATGGACATACACAGCCCAGATCCCCCTATGAGGAAGGCCCAGGTAAGAGAGTGCTGTAAGCACACAGCCCTCAAATGCCAGCCCCTTCAGAGTCTGCCTCAGTCACAGAGACACATCTCACCCCAAATCACACTGTCCTGGGGATGGCCAACATTCAATGACTGATTGAGACAAGGCTATAAAGGACTGGTCACCTTGGCCCAACTTGGGACAATTTTGAAGGGCAATTTAGCTCTAGAACTCCCTGTAGGTAGGTCAAAGCTGTCTTTGGGCCTGCATCACAGCTCAGAGTCTCCCTCTGGCCACTTCTGCTTCCTTCCTCTCCTTTCTACAGTATTGATTCCAAGTGCTCTCCTTAATAAACATCCTGTACACTAACTCAGTTTCATTGTTCACATCACAGGGAACCCAACTTATGACATGGATCATTAATGCTTATTAAGAAACTTGGAGGCCAGGCACAGTGACTCACACCTATAATCCCAGCAATTTGGGAGGCCAAGGCAAGGGGATCACTTGATCCCAGAAATTCAACACCAGCCTGGGCAACATAGTGAGATCCCATCTCTTCAAAAAATAGTAATAATAATAATTAAAAATTTTAAAAAAGAAACTTGGACTTAAAGCTTCCCTGGGATTTTAAACAAAGTTCCCTTCCCACAACACGTCATTATCACCATAGGTGCTCCCCTTCAAAATGATACTGTCAGACACAAGAGGCACTGTCTCACTTACCCCAGCAACCACGCCTACATAGTGGCTACATAGGAAAGAAGTCCAACTCTGCCCTTCAGTTTTCCCTAAAGGTGACCGAACTGTGTGAGGAGAGGAAAGTATGCCTTCTACAGAACACCCATCACTCAGCCACACCCATTCACCTATTCATTTATTCATTTAAGAAACATGTCTTGGACATATGCTAAGTCACTATGCTAACTTGGTCACTTTTTGCCCTGGTGTTTTTTTGTTTTTGTTTTTGCTTTTGTTTTTTTGAGATGGAGTTTTGCTCTTGTTGCCCCGGCTGGAGTACAATGGCACGATCTCGGCTCACTGCAACCTCCGCCTCCCAGGTTCAAGTGATTCTCCTGCCTCAGCCTCCCGAGTAGCTGGGATTACAGACACCCGCCACCATGCCCAGCTAATTTTCGTATTTTTAGTAGAGATGGAGTTTCACCATGTTGGCCAGGCTGCTCTTCAACTCCTGACCTCCAGTGATCCACCCTCCTTGGCTTCCCAAAGTGCTAGGATTACAGGTGTGAGCCACCGCACCCAGCCCCTGTGCTAACTTTTAAGATTATTTTAGAATGCTCAACTACGGTCATAGAAAAAAAATAGATTAAAATAAACTTTAATCATAGGAACACCAACGTTTGTGGTTTGCTTTGGAATTCCTTAGCTGTTATCTGATTCCAAACACCCTAAGTGTACCTTTGTTTGCAGCTTGGGTTCCCATATGGTACTTGCAGAGAAAGACAAGGCCATCCCAAGGGCTGTCAGAACTCTTTTCAATTACAGTTGCTATTGAGAATTCATAAATAGGCATTCTGGACTCCTTTATTTGTGTGATAAATTCATGGATTATGAGATACAACATGGAAATTCTTGGTTCCAAAAACAAACTAGAAGGATTTGTCCCAAAGTAGTATTGAGTTCAACAACTTTTCTTTGCTTTTATTATTTTTTTAATTGATGTGTAATAATTATACATATGTTGGGGTACATGTGGTATTTAGATATATGTATATAATATGTAATGATCAAGTCAGGGTAACTGGCATATCCATCACCTCAAACATTTATCTTTTTTTTTTTTTTTTTTTGAGAACATTCAAAATCTGTTCTTGGCTGGGTGTGGTGGCTCAAGCCTGTAATCCCAACACTTTGGGAGGCCAAGGCGGGTGGATCACCTGAGGTCAGGAATTCGAGACCAGCCTGACCAATGTGGCAAAACCCTGTCTCTACTAAATGTACAAAAAAAAAAAATTACCTGGGCGTGGTGGCGCACGCCTGTAGTCCCAGCTACTCGGGAGGGTAAGGCAGGAGAATCACTTGAACCTGGGAGGCCGAGGTTGCAATGGGCCGACATCGTGCCAATGCACTCTAGTGTGGGTGACAGAGCAAGACTCCATCTCAAAAAAGAAACAAACAAACAAAAATCTGTTCTTTTTGCTATTTGAAAATAGACAATAAATTGTTGTTAATTATAACAGTCACCCTAGGGTGCTACAGAACACTAGAGCAGTTCAACAACATTTATTAAGCTCTTTGTGTTAAGCACTGTGTAAATCCGAAGATAAGCAACGTGACAAAAACAAGCAATGGGGAAAGGACTCCCCATTCAATCAGTGTTGCTAGGATAACTGGCTAGCCAAATGCAGAAGATTGAAACTGGACCCCTTCCTTACACCATATACAAAAATCAACTCAAGATGAATTAAAGACTTAAATATAAAACACAAAACTATAAAAACCCTGGAAGACAACCTAGGCAACACCATCCTGGATATAGGAATGGACAAAGATTTTGTAACGAAGATGCCAAAAGCAACCACAACAAAAGCAAAAATTGAAAAATGGGATCTTATCAAACTAAAGAGCTTCTGCAAAGCAAAAGAAACTATCAACAGAGTTAACAGACAACCTACAGAATGCAAATTATGCATTTGACAAAGGTCTAATATCCAGCATTTATAAGGAATTTAAGCAAACTTACAAGAGAAAAACAACCCCATTAAAAAGTGGGTAAAGGACATGAACAGACATTTTTCAAAAGAAGATATATATATGGCCAACAAGCCTATGAAAAAAAGCTCAATATTACTGATATTGAGAAATGCAAATAAAAACCACAATGAGATGCCATCTCACACCAGTCAGAATGGCTGTTACTAAGAAGTGAAAAAATAACAGATGCTGGTGAAGTTGTGGAGAAACAAACACACTGTTGGTGGGAGTATAAATTAGTTCAACCATTATGGAAAGCAGTGTGGTGCTTCCTCAAGGAGCTAAAAGCAGAACTACCACTCAACCTAGGAATCCCATTACTGGGTATATAACCAGAGGACTGTAAATCATTCCATCATAAAGACACATGCACATGAATGTTTATTGCAACACTATTTACAATAGCAAAGACATGGAATCAACCTAAATGCCACCAATGACAGATTGGATAAAGAAAATGTGGTACATATACACCATGGAATACTATGCAGCCATAATAAAGGAATGAGATCATACCTTTTGTGGGAACACAGATGGAACTGGAGGCCATTATCTTTAGTAAACTGATGCAGGAATAGAAAACCAAATACCACATGTTCTCACTTATAAGATGGAGCTGAATGATGAAAACTCATGGACACATAGAGGGGAACAATACACACTGGGGCCTATTAGAGGGTGGAGGGTGAGAGGAGCAAGAGGATTAGAAAAAATAACCATTGGGTACTAGGCTTAGTACCTAGGTGACTAAGTAATCTATACAACAAACCCCCATGACACAAGTTTATCTGTATAACAAACCTGCACATGTACCCCCCCAACCTAAAATAAAAGTTTTTTAAAAAGATAAGCAAGGCACATTCCAGACCTTACAAAGCCTGTCTACAGATGAGACAAGCCAACAAACGACTGATATAATCAATAAAGATAACAAGATATAATAAAGGGAAAAAGAAAAATGTAGAAAGATCTTGAATTTGGGCACCCCCTATGTGGGAGGCACTTTTGTCTGTATTATCTCATTTAATGCTCACAACAAACCTATGAAGTGGCCGTTTTGTAATCCTATTTTGTTGATAAGAAAAACTGCAGAGGCCATGCCCACACTACTAGCAAGTGGAGGAGTCCCAGCCTGCTTGGCTCCTAAGTTCAGGCTCTTTCCCTTCCAACCTGCCAGCTCCCATAGTGCCGCAACGGAAGTGTGAAAAGAGTACTGCTTGGCCAGGTGCAGTGGCTCACACCTGTAATCCCAGCACTTTGGGAGACCAAGGTGGGCGGATCACAAGGTCAAGAGTTCAAGACCAGCCTGGCCAACATGGTGAAACACTGTCTCTACTAAAAATACAAAAATTAGCCAAGCATGGTGGCTCATGCTTGTAGTCCCAGCTACTCAGGAGGCTGAGGCAGGAGGATCGCTTGAACCTGAGAGGCAGAGGTTGCAGTGAGCCAAGATTGTGCCACTGCACTCCAGCCTGGGTGACAGAGTGAGACTCTCTCAAAAAAAAAAAAAAAAAAAAAAAAAAGAAACTACATGCTAAGGCCGAGAGTGGTGGCTCACGTCTCTAATCCCAGCACTTTAGGAGGCCGAGTGGGGGCAGATCACCCGAGATCAGGAGTTCGAGACCAGCCTAACCAACTTGGAGAAACCCCATCACTGCTAAAAATACAAAATTAGCCAGGTGTGGTGGCACATGCCTGTAATCCTAGCTACTCGGGAGGCTGAGGCAGGAGAATCGCTTGAATCCGGGAGGCAGAGGTTGCAGTGAGCCAAGATTATGCCATTGCACTCCAGCCTGGGCAACAAGAACAAAACTCCATCTCAAAAAAAAAAAAAGAGTGCTCCTAGTAGAGATTCAAAAGGAGAGTAAGGTCTTCTGGGCTGAGGAGTCAGGCAAAATGCTACGGAATAGGTGATGTTTGGGGGAGGCCATGAAGAAAAAAGAAAAATGTATTAGGGAGTATACTTTGGATCAATCCCTGTGGGGAGTGAAAGACGTAGAATTTTGCAGGGAAAGCTATTGGACTTCAATATCATCACAAAAAACAGGCCTTAGCCAATCCCATGGATTGACTATTCAGAGACAAGGCGAGGCAAGTATTTATAGCCCCTCCCCTTGACCAGTCATTGGATATAGAGAAAGGAATGTGAATTTTGGGTGAGGTGGTTCTCCTCAGCTGACAGCAATCCCCAGAGAGGAACTAAAATGCAAGCCATTATCCACCAACACTCCCAGCAGCTGAGGGAGTGAGTGTCTCAGTCGTAAAGGGGTATTCTGGCTGGCTCACCACTGTAGCCCACTATAGGATGTGTGCCCTGGGCAGTAAGCAGGTTGATCTAGCCAAACATGAGAGTGCAAGAGTTAGGAAAGAATGAGGTTGGAAATTTGGGAGGGATGGACTTTGAAGGCCCAACATTGTGTTTTGTAAGTAAGGAGAAAGGGTCTTCGGTGTGAGGCAAGGTCATGGCTAGAAGTTGTACCATCACAATGCATGGGGCCATCTAAGGGTGGGGAGAACCTAGAGAAAGGACTAATTTTTACTGGCTCCACGGTCGAGGTGGAAAGTGGAGAGAGGACGAGTGAACAGGTAGCAGTGGCAATGGGAAGGAGGGGATGGAGATGGTAGAAGCACTGAGGACGCACAGACATTGCATGCTAAGCATTTTCTACAAAAGACCTATGAGACTGAAAAAGAGACAATGCCTTACCATGGTTCAACCATTCCATAGAATACTACCCTGCTTTTCAATGTGATATGGCTTGGATGTTTGTCTCCTCCAAATCTTGTTGAAATGTGAACCTGCGGAGCGCAGTGGCTCACGCCTGTAATCCCAGCACTTAGGGAGGCCAAGACAGGTGGATTACTTGAGCCCAGGAGTTTGAGACCAGCCTAGGCAACACGGTGAAACCCCGTCTCTACAAAAATACAGAAAATTAGCCAGGCATGGTGGTGCATGCCTGTAGTCCCAGCTACTTGGGAGGCCAAGGCAGGAGGATCACTTGAGCCTGGGAGGCCAAGGCTGCAGTGAGCTGAGATCATGCCACTGCACTCCTGCCTGGGTGACTGAGTGGGACCCTGTGTTTGGCTCTGTGTCCCCACCCAAATCTCATCTTGTAGCTCCCATAATTCCCACGTGTTGTGGGAAGAACCCAGTGGGAGATGACTGAATTATGGGGATGGGTCTTTCCTGTGTTGTTCTCATGGTAGTGAATGGGTCTCATGAGATCTGATGGTTTTAAAAATGAGAGTTGCCCTGCGCAATCTCTCTCTTTGCCTGCTGCCATCCACATAAGGTGTGACTTGCTCCTCTTTGCCTTCCACCATGATTGTGAGGCCTCCCCAGCCATGTGGAACTGTAAGTCTAATTAAACCTCTTTCTTTTGTAAATTGCCCAGTCTCGGGTATGTGTTTATCAGCAGTATGAAAATGGACTAATACACCCTGTCTCCAAAAAAAAAAGGAAAGAAAAAAAATGTGATCCCCTCAATGTTGGAGGTAGGGCCTGGTAGGAGATGTTTGGGTCATGGGGGTGGATCTCTCATGAATGGCTTAGCGCCATCTTCTTGGTAATTAGTGAGTTAATAGCTCAGTTACTTCACAGGAGATCTGCTTGTCTTAAGGAGTCTAGGACCTCCCCCTTCTCTTGTTTCCACTCTCACCAAGTGACATGCCTGCTCCTCCTTCACCTTCCGCCACGATTGTAAGCTTCCTAAGGCCCTCACCAGAAGCAGATGCCAGTGCGGTGCTTCCTGTACAGCCTGCAGAATAGTGAGCCAATTAAACCTCTTTTCTTTATAAGTTACCCAGCCTCAGCTATTTCTTTATAGCATGCAAAAACAGACTAACACACAGTGTAAGTTCCATATGAGCAGGGATTTTTGTTGTTTTCCTAGCATTTAGAACAATACCTGGCAAATAGCAGGTGTTTGTACCAATCAGCTTTGGCTGGGATCATGCTGAGTTACAAAAATCCCAAAATCTCAATGGCTTGCAGCAACAAACATTTATTTATTGCTCGTGGCTCTATAGTCAATGGTAACAACTCTGGTCCAGGCTGTGGGTTGGGTCCAGGTCTGCTCCATGTGTCTTTCTAAGCAAGGGGCTCAGCTGAAGAACGTGGGGGACATACAATTTTTTTAGTGGAGGGGAGGGGCCCAAGAAGGCTAGCAGAACTTGCTATGTTTCTGTAAGCTTCTGCTAGGATCTGGCACACTGTCCTTTCCACCACTCTCATTCCCTTGGCCTAAGCAACTCATATGAACAAGCTCCACATCAATGGGGAAGGGAAATACACTCCTCCTCTGGGGAGCTGGGGGAAGGGGAGTGAATATTTGCTGAGCCACGATAAAATCCACAATCGTGCTCAATAAATATTTGTTGAATGACTGTATGAATAAAGTCTACATGTACTGATATGGGAAGATCCCTAACACATCTCATTAAGTGAAAAAAGCAAGTTGCAAAGCAGTATATACACTATGATCTAATTTATAAACACACATACCAAAAATAGAAGCATACACTGATATATGCACATATTTTTTCATAAATGCATAGAGAAGGGGCTGGAAGTGGATATGCTACACAGCAGTGTAACTTCTGGAAAGAGAAGTAAGATTGGGTAGGAATCAAAGAAAACATTTGCTTTTTCATCATTTGAAAATTCTTTTTACAAAAAAGTATTTGTGCTTAACTTGTATGGTTTTCTTTTTAATTATAGAAAGAAGGAAAGAAAGAAAGAAAAGAAAGAGAGAAGAAAGAAAAGAAAGAAAGAAAGAAAGGAAGGAGGGGAGGGAGGGAGGGGCGGAGGGAGGGAGGGAGGGAAAGAGAGAGAGAAAGAAAAAGAAAGAAAGAAAGAAAGAAAGAAAGAAAGAAAGAAAGAAAGAAAGAAAGAAAGAAAGAAAGAAAGGGAAGGAAGGAAGGAAGGAAGGAAGGAAGGAAGGAAGGAAGGAAGGAAGGAAGGAAAGAAAGCCAATGAGGCAATGTCCATTGTGAAGCTCCTCACACAATCCGAATTGGAAAAATGTCAAATGAGCAATTTGGAGGAAGGAAGTTAATGTCATAGTAAGAGTGACAAATTAATAACAAAATGTGCCCTAACTCTTATAATTGCTCAGTTACTGCTCTGACATTTAAAAAACATTACAACTTTTATGGCAAGTGCCTTTATCTGGCTTTTGAAACGATTATGAAATTACTTTGACAGTATCTTGCACTTACATTGTGTAAAAAGTAACATTTACTTAACCCATGCCATATAATAGTAGATATTCAGTGTTCCTTACACTTAATAAGTAAAAACCCTAGCAAGTCTATTAATAGTTTACTTTTTTCCGGCTCACATAGGAATATCAAGTCTTAATGAAAAGTAATATTCTCTAAAGGGCATTCTTTATCTTGAATATGCTGCAATATGCCATACTATAAAATAAATTGAACATTCCTTCAACTTTCCATCCCTTTCTCTAGAACCTAATGCCTTATCTGGATAGTCACAGATGTAAACTTTCTGAAAGACTGAATCACTTTATCAAGTTAGAACATCTTTCTAAGGCTGTGCTGGTGTTCACTTTTCATAGCTAATATCTCAGCAACCACACAAAGAATCAAAAAGTTTTGATGGCTGAGGACTTGCAAAAGCGGCCAAACAGCCCCAAAACTCTCAATGATCACCCACACAGTGCATCCAGACCACAGAACAAACACCAATTCTATTTCTCCCTCAAGAAAACAATAACAGGCCAGGCACAGTGGCTCACGCCTGTAATCCCAGCACTTTGGGAGGCCGGGGTGATTTGATCACCTGAGGTCAGGAGTTCAAGACCAGCCTGGCCAACATGGTGAAACCCCGTCTCTACTAAAAATACGAGAATTAGCTGGGCATGGTGGCAGGCGCCTGTAATCCCAGCTACTCTAGGGGGGCTGAGGCAGGAGAATCGCTTGAATCCAGGAGGCGGAGGTTGCAGTGAGCCAAGATGGTGCCACTGTACTCCAGCCTGGGCAACACAGCAAGACTCTGTCTCAAAAAAAAAAAAAAAAAGAAAAAGAAAAAGAAAAAGGAAAGAAAACAACAACAAATAGGTCATTTTAAAATTTGGTATTTTAAGGAATCTTTAAGGTGGTTCTTGTTGTTGACCATTTCTGTTTTGGGTGTGATTTTTCAAATGTCCAGGTAGGTTCTGAAATTTAAATTTGTTAAATTAGCGCCAGTTGAGCTCGCTCATCAGTTGGCCTGGCTCATGATAATCAGATTTATAGGAGGCTCACTTACAAATCAGATCATGAGTTTATTCATTTATACGCACCCTACCATATACCTCCCAGAGCACCAGGTTCACTTGCTTTCTGCCCTCCCTTCCCACTAAAGTAAGGTTGAATTAAGTTCAAATAATTGGCTGATAAACACTAGATTCAAAAAGAGGGAACTGTATGGTTTTAATAAGATTATTAATTTGTGGTACCCCAGTAAGCTCACTGCTCACAAAAATATCTGCCTCGCTCAAGGGGTCAGTGCATTCAGAGCAAGCCTCTTCCTTGATGGTGCTGGGAGACCCTGAAAGACTATCCTGATCAACACCTCATTAAGGATTTCATTCAACGGCCGGGCGCAGTGGCTCATGCCTGTAATCCCAGCACTTTGGGAGGCCGAGGCGGGTGGATCACGAGGTCAGGAGATCGAGACCATCCTGGCTAACATGGTGAAACCTCGTCTCTACTAAAAATACAAAAAATTAGCTGGGCGTGGTGGCGGGCGCCTGTAGTCCCAGCTACTCGGGAGGCTGAGGCAGGAGAATGGCGTGAACCCAGGAGGCGGAGCTTGCAGTGAGCCGAGATGGTGCCACTGCACTCCAGCCTGGGTGACAGAGCAAGACTCCATCTCAAAAAAAAAAAAAAAAAAAAAAGATTTAGTTCCAATGTTAGCCTGTGGCTATTAGGGGCCTTCCAATCACCAACTGATCTTGATTCCCATTAGCAAAGATGGACTCTTACGCAAAATAATAATAATAATAATAAAAAGTAAGTTATTTGCTCATTCCTGAACCAAATACAGTGGCCAAAGGGATGAAATGTGCCGATTGTCCAAGCCCGGGGTTCTCAACCACCTCTAGGATGAGTCCTGCTCCCCAACAAATCAACAAATCATAAGTCCTGAGGAAGGGCAGAGCTCCTTCAATGGAAAAGAATGAAGACTGGATGGTAGGCAGGCAAATAAAAGAACAACAGCAACAATAATAGTAATAGATGTCCACTATACCAAATTTATGGTTGTAATTCTTGACCACACTCCTCTCACCAGTTCAGAGTCTGTTTCAGCAGGTAGGGTGGCATGGGCACCAATCATAGTACAATAATGAACTGTTGATTCCTTCTGGGGAGAAAAAAAAAAACACAAACTGAAACAGGATGTTGGAATAGGCTAATGGCTTGACTTCATTTCAATACTTTTAATACTGACCTTTCTGTTTGCCTTTTAGCCTGTTTCATTTTTTACCTAGTTCCTGTTATCCCAGAAGCGCCGTATCTGAAAGACAATATGACAACTTAATAAAACAAATCATAATTATGAAAGTCCTCTGTGCATTGGTTTAAGGATTAAAATGTCAAATTTCAAATGTTGATGGGTTCACATGATTTGTGCCTGATGAAGATAGTAGAGTTAGAAGAGCAGGCAGAGTTGTGAGAATCAAGGAGTCTGGGACATGACATGAGGGACCAACTCCCAGCTAATATAAGGAGCCTGTCCCCTCACTGTTTGAGGCTAGAATTTGGGCAAGAAGAGAAGGAATTCTGTAACTGCAGTTACAAACTTGATTCCAATTGAGGTTTTGCCACTTACTAGTAATGCAGCCCATGGCGAAGTTAATGAGAAGTAATAACACCATTTCTTAAGCTGATTCTGTACCAAGTGCTTTAAGCTTTATGAGAACCTTGGAGGGGATGTATCATTAAATCCCTTTTATCAAACCCTATCAGTGGCAAGACATGTAATCAATTTAATAATAGCTTTATAGGGTAATGCTTTACAAGACATAGGCAGCCAGGTGCAGTAGCTCACGCCTGTAGTTCCAACACTTTGGGAGGCCAAGGCAGGAGGACGGCTTGTTGCCAGGAATTCCAGATGTTGCCAGGAATTCCAGACCAACCTAGGTAACATAGTGAGACCCTGTCTCTTTTTAAAAAAAAAAAAATTAAATTAGCCTGGTGTGGTGGCACATGCCTGTAGTCCCAGTTACGGGGGAAGTGGAAGTGAAAGGATTGCTTAAGTCTAGGAGGTCAAGGCTGCAGTGAACCGAGATCACGCCACTGCACCACAACCTGCATGGCAGAGCGAGATCCTGTCTCAAAAAAGAAAAAAAATAAAAAAGAAGACATAATCAATTATAAAACACAACTCAATTTCAAACATTAAAATAAGAAGGGAAGGCCAGGCACGGTGGCTCACGCCTGTAATCCCAGCACTTTAGGAGGCCGAGGCAGGTGGATCACAAGGTCAGGAGTTCGAGACCAGCCTGGCCAACATGGTGAAATGCCATCTCTACTAAAAATACGAGAATTAGCTGGGCATGGTGGCAGGCGCCTGTAATCCCAGCTACTCTAGGGGGGCTGAGGCAGGAGAATCGCTTGAATCCAGGAGGCGGAGGTTGCAGTGAGCCAAGATGGTGCCACTGTACTCCAGCCTGGGCAACACAGCAAGACTCTGTCTCAAAAAAAAAAAAAAAAAGAAAAAGAAAAAGAAAAAGGAAAGAAAACAACAACAAATAGGTCATTTTAAAATTTGGTATTTTAAGGAATCTTTAAGGTGGTTCTTGTTGTTGACCATTTCTGTTTTGGGTGTGATTTTTCAAATGTCCAGGTAGGTTCTGAAATTTAAATTTGTTAAATTAGCGCCAGTTGAGCTCGCTCATCAGTTGGCCTGGCTCATGATAATCAGATTTATAGGAGGCTCACTTACAAATCAGATCATGAGTTTATTCATTTATACGCACCCTACCATATACCTCCCAGAGCACCAGGTTCACTTGCTTTCTGCCCTCCCTTCCCACTAAAGTAAGGTTGAATTAAGTTCAAATAATTGGCTGATAAACACTAGATTCAAAAAGAGGGAACTGTATGGTTTTAATAAGATTATTAATTTGTGGTACCCCAGTAAGCTCACTGCTCACAAAAATATCTGCCTCGCTCAAGGGGTCAGTGCGTTCAGAGCAAGCCTCTTCCTTGATGGTGCTGGGAGACCCTGAAAAACTATCCTGATCAACACCTCATTAAGGATTTCATTCAACGGCCGGGCGCAGTGGCTCATGCCTGTAATCCCAGCACTTTGGGAGGCCGAGGCGGGTGGATCACGAGGTCAGGAGATCGAGACCATCCTGGCTAACATGGTGAAACCTCGTCTCTACTAAAAATACAAAAAATTAGCTGGGCGTGGTGGCGGGCACCTGTAGTCCCAGCTACTCGGGAGGCTGAGGCAGGAGAATGGCGTGAACCCAGGAGGCGGAGCTTGCAGTGAGCCGAGATGGTGCCACTGCACTCCAGCCTGGGTGACAGAGCAAGACTCCATCTCAAAAAAAAAAAAAAAAAAAAAGATTTAGTTCCAATGTTAGCCTGTGGCTATTAGGGGCCTTCCAATCACCAACTGATCTTGATTCCCATTAGCAAAGATGGACTCTTACGCAAAATAATAATAATAATAATAAAAAGTAAGTTATTTGCTCATTCCTGAACCAAATACAGTGGCCAAAGGGATGAAATGTGCCGATTGTCCAAGCCCGGGGTTCTCAACCACCTCTAGGATGAGTCCTGCTCCCCAACAAATCAACAAATCATAAGTCCTGAGGAAGGGCAGAGCTCCTTCAATGGAAAAGAATGAAGACTGGATGGTAGGCAGGCAAATAAAAGAACAACAGCAACAATAATAGTAATAGATGTCCACTATACCAAATTTATGGTTGTAATTCTTGACCACACTCCTCTCACCAGTTCAGAGTCCGTTTCAGCGGGTAGGGTGGCATGGGCACCAATCATAGTACAATAATGAACTGTTGATTCCTTCTGGGGAGAAAAAAAAAAACACAAACTGAAACAGGATGTTGGAATAGGCTAATGGCTTGACTTCATTTCAATACTTTTAATACTGACCTTTCTGTTTGCCTTTTAGCCTGTTTCATTTTTTACCTAGTTCCTGTTATCCCAGAAGCGCCATATCTGAAAGACAATATGACAACTTAATAAAACAAATCATAATTATGAAAGTCCTCTGTGCATTGGTTTAAGGATTAAAATGTCAAATTTCAAATGTTGATGGGTTCACATGATTTGTGCCTGATGAAGATAGTAGAGTTAGAAGAGCAGGCAGAGTTGTGAGAATCAAGGAGTCTGGGACATGACATGAGGGACCAACTCCCAGCTAATATAAGGAGCCTGTCCCCTCACTGTTTGAGGCTAGAATTTGGGCAAGAAGAGAAGGAATTCTGTAACTGCAGTTACAAACTTGATTCCAATTGAGGTTTTGCCACTTACTAGTAATGCAGCCCATGGCGAAGTTAATGAGAAGTAATAACACCATTTCTTTTTTTTTTTTTTTTTTTTTTTTTTTTTTTTTTGAGACGGAGTCTCGCTCTGTCGCCCAGGCTGGAGTGCAGTGGCGCGATCTCGGCTCACTGCAAGCTCCGCCTCCCGGGTTCACGCCATTCTCCTGCCTCAGCCTCCCGAGTAGCTGGGACTACAGGCGCCCGCTACCACGCCCGGCTAATTTTTTGTATTTTTAGTAGAGACGGGGTTTCACCTTGTTAGCCAGGATGGTCTCGATCTCCTGACCTCGTGATCCACCCGCCTCGGCCTCCCAAAGTGCTGGGATTACAGGCGTGAGCCACCGCGCCCGGCCAACACCATTTCTTAAGCTGATTCTGTACCAAGTGCTTTAAGCTTTATGAGAACCTTGGAGGGGATGTATCATTAAATCCCTTTTATCAAACCCTATCAGTGGCAAGACATGTAATCAATTTAATAATAGCTTTATAGGGTAATGCTTTACAAGACATAGGCAGCCAGGTGCAGTAGCTCACGCCTGTAGTTCCAACACTTTGGGAGGCCAAGGCAGGAGGACGGCTTGTTGCCAGGAATTCCAGATGTTGCCAGGAATTCCAGACCAACCTAGGTAACATAGTGAGACCCTGTCTCTTTTTTAAAAAAAAAAAAATTAAATTAGCCTGGTGTGGTGCCACATGCCTGTAGTCCCAGTTACGGGGGAAGTGGAAGTGAAAGGATTGCTTAAGTCTAGGAGGTCGAGGCTGCAGTGAACCGAGATCACGCCACTGCACCACAACCTGCATGGCAGAGCGAGATCCTGTCTCAAAAAAGAAAAAAAATAAAAAAGAAGACATAATCAATTATAAAACACAACTCAATTTCAAACATTAAAATAAGAAGGGAAGGCCAGGCACGGTGGCTCATGCCTGTAATCCCAGCACTTTAGGAGGCCGAGGCAGGTGGATCACAAGGTCAGGAGTTCGAGACCAGCCTGGCCAACATGGTGAAATGCCATCTCTACTAAAAATACAAACATTAGCTGGGCTTGGTGGCGGGTGCCTATAGTCCCAGCTACTTGGGAGGCTGAGGCAGGAGAATTGATTGAACCCGGGAGGCGGAGATTGCAGTGAGCCGAGATGGTGCCACTACACTCCAGCCTGGGTGACAGAGCGAGACTCCATCTCAAAAAATAAATAAATAAAATAAAATAAAATAAGAAGTGAAAATAAAAGGCTGCTTAGAACAGCCTTTTAAAATGGAATATTGCCCCATTTTACCTACAAGACCACTGAGGCTTAGCTAAAGAGTTTATGCCATTTATCCATCCAAAGTCACACAGCTATTTGTGAATATGGAGCCAGAAATCTAATTCAGCTCTATTTGATTTCTATTCACCACATTGTACCTCCAGGGTCACAGTTCCTTAGTTTCCTTATATATAAAACGAAAATGAATAGACACCTCTCAAGATCATCACAAGAATCAAATGGTGTGTATGAAAACATGAGTGCCTAGAGATAGCTGGTGCTTATTATTCTTTTTAACAATAAAGCAACCATAGACATATGCCAAGTGAATAGAAAATAAGAATTTAAGGGAGACTGGGGCTAGGCAAGATAGGAACCAAGCAGACTTTGAATTCAGCTGATGTCTGCTTGGGCAGGAAATTCTTAGAAAAATCCTGCTGGAGAAAAGGTCAGTCCTAGGACATAGAAAATCCATATTATAAATTTGGGCTTTGACTAAGCTGTAGGTGCCAAGTACCACATTAAGATTGCTCAAATAGCCAAGGACTTTGCCCAGACTCGCCCAAATTAAACAATGAGTTTTTTCCAACTTTACTTGATAAGAATCAATCTCTTTATTAAACTGCTTACACATAACTAAATGTAAAGTCAAAAGAAAGGACAGATGAAGTCTGAGCCAACGTGGTGTAAATTCTGAACAATTAGGTGCTTTTTTCTCTATCCTTCAACTGTTACCATTCCTAATCTCTTTCTTCTTTTTAGTCCCATGCTCTGCTTTATTTTCTTACTTTTATTTTTATTATTTATTTACTTATTAGACACGGGGTCTCGCTCTGTCACCCAGGCTGGTGTATGGTGGCATAATCATAGCTCACTGCAGTCGCAAACTCCTGGGCTCAAGCAATCCTCCTGCCTCAGCCTCCCAACCATGCTCCACTTTAAAGAGAAATTGCTTGGCAAGTGACGCTGGTGTTAATGAAATAAAACAAAATAAAATAAGATAAAGAAGAAATGCTTATGTACTTAACTTGAGGCCAAGAGTCGTTTCTTAATACAAGATACAGCTGATCAACTGACTCAATCTGTATTATTTGCTGTGATTACTTTCCTTCTCCTAAATTGCCTTTATTACAGTTTTTAGTGCTGTTTTGCTTCTGTCCATTTAAAGAGACTGTGCCCCTTTAAAAAGGACAGAAAAACTTTTTCATTAGGAAAGCCACGTGTCACAGATTGCCAACCACACATGTTTCTGTCTTTCAAGGCTGCGCTCATTCTCTGACATAATGAAATTTGTCAGGCTTTCTTTATGGTGGGCATCTGTATTAGTTTCCTAGGGCTCCTGTAACAAATTAAAACAAACTTGGCAGCTTAAAACAACAGAAATGTATTCTCTCACGGTTCTGGAGGCCAGAAGTCAGCAATCAAGGTGGCAGCAGGGCCATCCCCCATCTGAAGTCTCTAGGGAAGAATCATTCCTTACCTCTTCCAGCTTTCTGGTGGCTGCTTGCATTCCTTGGCTTGTAGACACATCGCTTCAATCTCTGTCTTCACATGACCTTCCTCTACACTTTGCTCTTCTTATAAAAGCACCTGTCATTGGATTTAGAGTCTATCCAGTAAATCTGGGATGATCTCATCTTGATATCCTTAATTACATCTGCAAAGACCCTTTTTCCAAATAAGGACTTGCACATATCTTTTCAGGGGCCACAATTCAATCCACTACATCATCCAACTCAAAGAGGTATCACTTTTAACCTAATAACACCTTAAATCCTATAATGGATTGTTTTCCCTCTCACTTTTTAAATTTTTTTTCTGTTTTTTTTTTTGTTATGAGTATGTATTTCCTATATAATGGAATAATAGAACATATTTTAAATGTACAATTATTTAATGTTTCCTAGTTTCCAACATTTGAACATCACTCAGGAGTTTATAAGTGATGTTCAATATCACTCCATCTGTATCTCCTTAGATGCCCCCAGTGACACTAAGTGATGGGTCTAACAAACATGATCACTTGAGAGATGTGGAATCTGAGGCTCAGAGACTTGTCCAAAATCTCCTGTCACTGTAAATCTGGGTTTTCTAAATCATCATCTTTTCATTATACATCAGATAACAAAGAGTGATTTTTTTTGTTATAAGTTCATACAGAACATGCTCATCTTCAGTATTAACCTTGATAGAATTGAAAAACCCTGTGCAACAGCCAGAATGCTTGTGTCCTTCAAAAATTTCCTATGTTGAAATCCTAACCCTCAAGGTGGCAGTGTTAGGAGGTGGGGTTTTGGGGACGTAATTAGGTCATGGGGACTCTGCCCTCATGGCATTAGTGCCCTTATAAGGAGACCCCCAGAAAGCTAGCTAGTCCTTTCATGCATGTGAGGACATAGGGAGAAGACAGCCATCTATGAACCAGAAAACTGGCCCTTACCAGACACCAAATCTGCCAGCACCTTGATCTTGGACATCCCAGTCTCTAGAAAATCCTTGGAAAAATATTGCATTCCAGAGCAGTCAAAAATGTACACTACTCGGCCAGGCGCAGTGGCTCACGCCTGTAATCCCAGCACTTTGGGAGGCCGAGGTGGGAGGATCACGAGGTCAGGAGATCGAGACCATCCTGGCTACCACGGTGAAACCCCGGCTCTACTAAAAATACAAAAAATTAGCTGGGCGTGGTGGCAGGCACCTGTAGTCCCAGCTACTTGGGAGGCTGAGGCAGGAGAATGGCGTGAACCCTGGAGGCAGAGCTTGCAGTGAGCCGAGATGGCACCACTGCACTCCAGCCTGGGTGACAGAGCGAGACTCCGTCTCAAAGAAAAAAAAAAAATACACTACTCAGGACAATCGTACGTTGTTTTCTGTAAGGTTCATGGGACGGTAATAGTCGTTATTTTCTACCCTCATTCCAGCTTTCCAGCACTCACAGTCCTTCTAGAAGCACATCTTTTGTGCATTTTGCAAAGTGGAGAAATAAATGTTGTTTATAAGCCACCAGTTTGTGGCATTTTGTTATAGCAGCAGGAACTCAGATAACCCACTAGCATTTTGTCTTTAGGACTTCATTAGCTTACTCAATGCAATGGCATCTAACACATATTTGGAAAACATGTATTTGTAGTCACCTGATCAAAACATAACTCTGACATCCAGTAGCTCTTTCTTACATAGTTATGTGTCTAGTACTGGAACAGTGGTAGTGTGTGAGTGGTTTTCATGAATATTTTCTCTCCTTCTGAAATTGAGGAGGACTTAGCTTTGTGAACCAGGGCTTCCAACAAAAACAGTAGAACCGTGGTAGCTTCAGGTAAATAGCTGGGCTCAGTCCAGTAGGAGGACTTCCTGAAGGATAACCCGAAGTGGACCACTTTGCAAAATGCACAAAAGATGTGCTTCTAGAAGGACTGTGAGTGCTGGAAAGCTGGAATGAGGGTAGAAAATAATGACTATTACCGTCCCAAGAACCTTATAGAAAACAACATACAATTGTCCTGAGTAGTGTAAATTTTTGACTGCTCTGGAATGCAGTATTTTTCCAAGTGGGCAAACCCTTGATGGTGTTGATTCAGTTTTGTGTTTGCCTCTAATAATAAAAGGGAAGTGGGAGATTTCTTGTGGTAGGCAGCCAAACCATTCATCTAAAGATTTTGTGTGTATGTGTGTGTGTGCTTACTTTGAATTATATAACATATTCCCATTTAATCATTTATATTGACTTTAAAGAAGCAAACAGCATCCATATGGAAAGTTAAATTTATCATGCGATACCTTTAGAGATTGCTTCAGAAGTCTCCCATTTAAAAGAAAACAATGATTTGTCTAATCTCAATCACATCCAGTGTGCATGGACCAGGAGATCACAGAACCAGAGATGAAATAATAGCGCCTGCTGGGTCCATTGAGAGGTACATATATCATGAGGGGGAAAAGTTCGTCAGTAAATATAATGCAATGCACATCTCTGTGTGTTGTCTGTTTTTTGTGCCTCTCTCACTTCTGACTCTGTCTCTCTCTCTCTCTCTCTCTCTCTCCCCCGCTCCCTCTCTCCTCTCCCCCCACCCACCTACATGCAAGCCAAGATGCTATGCAGACTCGCCTGGCCTCAGCACTATACACTTGCACAATGCCATACCCTAGGATTGTCTAAGAAGAAAAGGTGACTTCCTAAATACAAGACATTAGTTATTATCACAGGTTGCAACGTAAAGGAATTTTCTATAATGACCGTAAGCATGCTGAGCAGACCAGTCACACTGGCTCCCCAGGAAGGGGTCTCGCAGAGTGACAGCAACGCTGAGATCCTTATCATGAATACTTTTGTTACCTCATCCAAATCCTCTTTTCCGGGCCAGTACACCCATTCCCCAGCTGCCAAGAATGGTGGTTGCTGAGAGCTCACAGCTGCTGTTCTCCAGAGAATTGCTCTTGGCCAAAAGGAGCCATCTGGCAACAGAGATTATACCCTACCCTACTACCCCAAAGCCATCCAAAGTCAATGACTGACTGATTCCCAGGCTAGAAAGGCAGGCCCTTGCCTCAAGGTGTGACTGATGGTGTGGTGCAATCAAGTTCCAGAGTTCCTGGCAGGATCTGGCTGAAGCTAGTCTCCAGGTGAGACCCTCTCCTTTTTTAAGGTCTTTCCACTGTTCTAGTCTTCTTCCCTCACTCTTCAGAATGCTCCCTCAATAATCATTTGCCCAAAAATTGCTGTCTAGGGTTTTGTTTTTAGGACCTTGGTGAAGACATGGCTTTATGTGGATTGCAAGAGCAATCCTAGATAGCAGAAATGCCACCTCTCCCCAACACCCCATCAAGAGGACTTGCATTGTCACTCTGACCTCTGATCTCTGCCCTATGAGAGTTCTCCCTCTCCCTTACCCTTGTGGACAATGAGCCACCAAATAAAGCCTCAATCTCCTCAGTATCTCATCATTCCAAGCTCCCCCCAGTCATCAGGCTCTCTTGACTTCTTAACTAGATAAATGCTACTTCCTCCTAACTGGTTTTCCTAACTTTAGGCCTATTAGCTACCTGCTGGTATCTTTCTGAGTGACAGATATGGTCATGTTACTTTTCCTCAGAAAATCTCATTGGCTACCTGATTACTATCAGAGTAATAATAGTAATAGTCACCCTTTATTATATACTAAGTGATTTACATTCATTATCTTATCCTGTGGCGTAAAACTGCAACAAAGTTAGAATTTCCCCCCTTTTGGAGGGAAGAACACTGAGATGCAGGAAGGGTGAGGAATTCACCTAAGGTCACACAGCTAATAATGGGAGGATCAGGGAAGAATTCTAGCTGACGCCAAAGCCATGCTCTTAATCTCATCACTAAATTGCCTCTCAGTAAAATCCAGACCCAGTATTCTGGCTTTCAAAGCCCTCTATGGACGAGACCCAAAATAGTTTTCCCAGTTTATCTCCCCCTTTCCTTATACTCCTCATCCCAGCTACACCAGTTAATCTGCTATTCCTCAAACAAACTTTGAACAACCCTCTGCCATACTCCTGTAGTTTTATTGGACTCAAAGGCCTTTTGTCCACACTTCTACCTATCACGTCTTTGTGGCAGACTATATTTTCCAAGGATGGCTGCAACAATATCTCCCATCCCTCATTCTCTTTTACAATGTGACTTTGACCCTCCTCCCATTGAGAGGTGGGGCCTATGGTCCCTCCAAATCTGAGCTGGCCTTTGTGAGTCTCTCATTTCCAGTAGAATGTGGCAGAAGGGACGCCACATGATTTCCAAGGCTAGGTCAGAAAAGTCCATGCAACATTTGCCTGAGACCACCACGCCAAAGGGGCCATGTGTAGGCACTCCGGTTGGCATAGCAGCCCAGTTGAGTTCACGGCTGACAGCTGCTGTCAATGTGCCATCTTGGACGCTCAGCCACTTGAGCCTTCAGATGATACCTGATTGTACTCACTTAAGACACCCCAAGCAGCAACAACTGCTCAGCTGAGACCTTCCTGAATTCCTGAACATAAAATTGTGAGTAAACTAAAATGATTGTTCAACACCACTAAGTTTTGGGGTAAACTGTTACACAGGCATAGCGATCATGATAGCTCCACAAACTTTCAGTGCCTTAATTAAATGACATTTCCTGTAGGAAGCCTCTCTATCAGGAATTAATTGCTACCTTCTTTAAACACTCTTAGCAATCAGCTTCTCAAATATGTCACCTATTACAGTTGGCCTTATGTTACAGTTATTTGTGTGTTTCCCTTTTCCCTTCATTCCACACATCTTGAGGGTAGGAACAGTGCGGCATTGTTATTTATTAATCTTTACATTCCATAACCACTAAGCCGGTGCCTGGTATCACATAGACACTCAATAAGTGTTTGTTGTCCTGAACTAAATGGGATAGGAAATATCTTATTCCCTACCAACAGAAGAGAGTTGCAAATCTCTAGGCCTAATGGAGCTAACAGCCTTTTGCTGTATGTCAGACTTAGGTAAAAGAATGAAACTTGCCAATAAAAGAGTGAAAAGCCTCCATTAAATGGGAGAGACAGTACAGTGTCATATCGTTGAAGACAATGCGTTCCATCAGCCTGAGTGAGATTGTCAGCTCTACCACTTACTAGCTACATAATCTTGGTAAGCTACTTCCCACCTGGAAACCTCAGTTATCTTCTCTATAAAATGTATCAATAGTGCCCACCTCCTAGAGTTGTCCCGAGGAGAAAATGAGATAATTTTGTAAAGCACTTCATTTGAAGCTTCAATAATAATCCCGCAATAAGTGGTAGCTATTCATGTTATAGGTAGTGGGCCTATATTAAAATTCCTGGGACAACATCAATTTCATAGTTTCATTCTTTTCTACACAATGATTTGACACATAAATAACTAAAAGCTATGTGTAACACTCCTTTTAAATATACCCACAGACGATGAATAATTCTTTCTCAGACCATTTGTCCTGGTTTTTGTTGGAAAAAAATATGATCACCAAACCTACAGACCACAGGACCAAAATCGACTGTCCTAGTTGGGTCACCTCTGTGCTGTGAGTACCTCCATACAAGGGCCCGACTTAATCACTCTCTCACACCCAGTAGTGCTCAGAGAAAGGAGGATATCTTAAAGTGCGTTTGGGTGCCAGCTTCTGTTCTGATAATACTGGCCTCAATTTGTTGCCATGGTAGCTTGGACTGTAGATAATGCTCCCTAGCTAGGGACATTAGATGAGGCAAAACCCCAAAAGTGGCATATGGAAGCAAAATCTGGACCCTTCCAAGTGATGTGCAACTCCAGGTCTTAACATTTACATTGTTGGATTCCAAGAGGTGCCATTCATATAGAAGACAATGTAACAGCACCCCTTGGAGTTGTACACCTTGGCAGCCTGGATCCTGGTGAATGCTCCGTATGCTGCATGCGCCCTTACCCAATCTGCCTTCCCTATTGCGGAAGAAAAAAAAATTAGGAGGACACTTTATTCCCAATCTACATCTTTAAGTTCTCTAAAGTGTAAGTACCGAGGGATTCTTTATTCTGGGAAAGAGGATAAATAATTTGTGCAATGATTATTTTATAAGACGTAAAGACATGTTCTCAAACTATTATCTAACATGAAAGGCTCAAAACAGATCTGGTTTTCTGATTTTTTTCATAACGGACAAAACTCTTTCAAGCTAAACTTTTCATAAACAAATGTTCCAATTTTCTTTTCTCAAAAAATTTCCCTTCCTCCACCAAAACAAATAAGCAAATAAACTTGCTCATGGCGCTACCCATTATACAACATCAACACTTATGAGCAGGCCAACAGTGGGGAAGATCATGAAAGAAGATAATTTAAAACATCCCCCCAAAATGAGTTTAAGCATAATGAGGGTTCTGAAAAAAAAAAATCCTTGGCTTTGTTGTTAATGTGTGCATTTTGTATTATGTACAGGGATTCCTTTGGGTGGCTTCGACAATGCAAAGCCAGTGCTGAATTTTAAAGCTGAACTACACTCAAATAAACCCAGAGGCAATGTGTTTTCACAGAATGCAATCTCCTACCACTGAGGGTCTGGGAAAAGTCTGCTTAAGTCCATCCTAATTCCTTCTGCTCCAGCTTTTTTCTGTTTTCTTTTATGTTGTCCTCAGTGGAAATGGGGAAACTTCTCACCATTAAAACCCTTTGCTATATAGGGAGTTCATCCTCCCTCCTGGGTAGAGGTCATTAGATTTCTGAGCATTTGCCCGAAGAGAAAATCCTGCTGCCCGAATGCTCCAGCCTTTTTTTTTTTCTTCTTCTTCTTTTGAGACCAATCTCACTCTGTCACCCAGGCTGGAGTGCAGTGGCACAATCTTGGCTCACTACAGCCTCCACCTCCCAGGTTTAAGCGATTCTCATGCCTCAACCTTCCAAGTAGCTGGGATTACAGGCACACGCCACCATGTCCAGCTAATTTTTGTATTTTTAGTAGAGATGGGGTTTCACCATGTTGGCCAGGGTGGTCTCAAACTCCTGACCTCAGGTGATTCACCTGCCTCGGCATCCCAAAGAGCTGGGATTACAGGCGTGAGCCACTGCGCCCAGCCTCCGGCTTTTTTTTTTTTTATTGGCTGTTTACAGAAGCTTCTGAGTGTACTGAGGGATGGAGGCATCGTGTGGGGCGGGGGGTGGGGAGCGGGGAGGAGGATGTAGGAGTCTTTGTTAGTGCAGTAGAATAGGACAATGTGAAGATGTGGTGAAAAGTGGGGTTGCTGGGACTCGAAGACCTGGACCCCTTCTCCCAAGCTTCCTTCTTCTGTACTAAACCTACTTCCCTAGTGCTGAAACTTTTCATCATAATCCATGAGAGCTGTCCACTAATAATAATCACCATTCCTACTACTACCTTTTCAATACCACTTACAGAACCCCTAGCAGGGACCAACACATCGAATCCTCATTATAACTTTCCAAGATAGGTATTAATATTACTGTTTTACTGAAAATGCAACTGAGACTCAGAAAGATAAGATCACAGGGCTAGAAGGTGGCAGAGCTGGGATTGGATCCAAAGTCTGCTGGACCCCAAAGCCCAAAGCAGGCTGACCCTGGCTTCTGCAAACCATGTGGCCTTGATCAAATTTGGACCCAGAAGCAGAATCCCCCTTATGGGTCTCAAACGCTTTCTTTTCATCCAGGTATTCCATGCTTTGTCAAGATTTCAGAAAAAAATAAAAACCCTGAGACATCAGTCCTTATATCCTATTATATCCTAAAATATACTAAACCTTCCTAACCCATCCCTTTCCCCATGGCACTCCCCACCATCTACTTTTCAACACTCCCTGACACCCACAGCAAGTAGAAAGGCCATGTGGTCAGTGGCCACAAGCCTGTTGAGATGGAAACATAATTTATTTAAGCAGACATGCATCCCTGTTCCTCTAGAAACAAATGAAAAAAAGGTATGGGTACACTGCACCAGATGTACCATCACCAAAATAATATGCAGCATATATTCATTGTTTCATTAATGTTTTTTAAATTTTATTTATTTATTTAAGAGACAGAGTCAGAGTGTTGCCCTCACTGGAGTGCAGTGACTATTCACAGGCACTATCGCAACTCACTACAATCTCGAATTCCTGACCTCCAGTGATCCTTCTATCCCAACCTCCCAAGGTGGCTGACACATGCCACCATGCCCAGCAGTTTCACTAATATCTGAGAGCAATTTGGATGACAAGGTTTTTCTTAACACTTTCTTACATTGCTAGGATGAGTCTAAATTGGTACAATCTCTATGGAGGGCAATTGAGCAATATCTACAAAATATATAAAAATCACATGTGCGCACATCATTTGTCTTAGACTGAGCTTCCTAGAAACAGGCTGAGACAGGGACTCTGTACAGATGACTTATTGAGGAAATGTTCTCAGGAGAAACCTGCAGGGGAGTAAGGGAAGCCGGATGGCAGGGGAAGTACCTAAGGCAAAATGTGGTTTTAGAAGCTTAGTCTCAGCCTGATCCCACAAGGAGCTCTTGAGTGAAAACTGCACCACAGAAATCGTCTTGTCCAGAGACAAGAAGGCTGGGCTGTTATATCCATGCATCTGTTTAGTCACTGGCCAAGGGCTTTCCCCAGAAGTGTGTGTAACTTTCAAGACGTCTCCAGGTCAGGCAGCAACTGTCAGCCAATAGCAGTTCCCTAGAAAAGGAAGCAGGTGTGAGCTTTTAGCAACCAACATCTGCAGCAGCTAGAGGATGGGGATGCCAGCCCCATAAAAGATCTGGGCCAGCCGTCAACAATACCTGCCATCATTTGACCCAGCATTTTCACATCTAATCATTTATCCTGAGATATGCTTGCACATGTGCTAAGCGATGCATGTGCAAGTTTGTTCATCACAGCACTGCTTATAATATGAAAAGGTCCAATAACAAGCAACTGGTTAATTACATTGTGGTACATCCATACAGTAGAATATTAGGTGAATGTGAAAAAAATAAGGAAACTGGCTCATGCCTATAATCCCAGCACTTTGGGGGGCCTAGGAGGGAGGATTGCTTGAGTCCAGGAGTTTAAGACTAGCCTGGGCAACATAGTAAGTAAGACCCCATCTCTACAAAAAAAAATTTTTTTTAATTAGCTGGGCATAGTGGCACATACCTGCTGTCTCAGCTACTCAGGAGGCTAAAGCAGGAAGATCGCTTGAGGCCCAGAGGTCAAGGCTACAGTGAGCCATGGTCATGCCACTGCAATCCAGCCTGGGCAACAGAGAAAGACCCTGTCTCAAAAAAAAAAAAAAAAAAAAGGAATCTTTCCACATGTGGATATGGAATGACTTTATATGAAAAAACAAGGTACAGAATACAATATGCATAATATTTTACTATGTTTTCAAAAACATATATATGTATATATATATATGTTCTGTATCAGCATGTATATATATACACACACAGCATACACACACACACACACACACACACACACTCACACATATGTATATGCATTTGCTTATATATGCTTGAGTTAACCCTGGAAGGATAGATAAGAAACTGGAAACACTGTGGTTGGCAGACAGAGTGGGAGGGGGAGTTTTCAATGTATATCTCTTAGTACCTTGTGAATTTAGTACTGTATATCTTAGTCCATTTGGCTGCTATAACAAAGCATCTTAGACTGGGTAAATTATAAATAATATAAGTTTATTTCTTACAATTCTAGAGGCTGGGAAGTCCAAGAACAAGTCACCAGCAGATTCAGTGTCTGGTGAGGGCTTCCTACTTCAAAGACAGCACCTCTTCCTGTATACTTACATGGCAGAAGGGACTTATGCTGTATTCTCACATGGCAGAAAGGCAAAAAGGGATGAATTTGCTCCATCAAGCCCTTTTATGAAGGCATTAATCCCACCCATGAGAGCAGAGCCCTCATGGTCCAATCAACTGTCAAATACCCCTTAATACCATCAACCTTGGGGTTTAAGTTCCAATATATAAATTTTGGAGGGATACGTACATTCACACCATAGCACCATATTAATATATTACCTATTCCAATGAAATGAGTGAAGATGGATGGATGGATGGATAGATAGATAGATAGATAATTGATAGATAGATAGACAGACGGATAGATAATCGATTTGCTCTGAGACTCAGCCAAGAGTTTCTGCCACTCGTTTGACAACCAAGAGAGGTAGAACCAAAAGGACATTTAAAATTCCAACTGTTTTTCTATTCAGAAGTAACTTCCTTCTCAATTTTTGCTAATATAGACCCCACATTTTCACATAATTTCTGCTTTAACTAATAACCTATTATTTTCTGATATGATATTTCAGATCTTCCACCCATTCCTATTCCTCATATATCCCCCATGGAAGTTTGATTTCTTTATCGACATGAGATCAACCAACTATCGCAACTGCAACAGACTCTCATTCTGAATTGAGCCAAGCTATGGTCCTAAGCTATAACTGAAGGCCAGTATTTACTAAAATGTATTCACCAGGGTCTAATTCTTTCAATTCAATGCTAAAAAGTGTCTCAAGACAAAATGACTCTGTAGCCAATAAGTTTTGGTTAAATAGATGCCTTGCTGCAGAATTTATCAGAGCCTTTAATGTTACCATGTGCATTTCGAATCTCCTAAAGATATAGAATTCCCCCCAAAATTATTCTGTTGCAGAATTGGAGACGGGCTCAGCTGGGAAGTTCTTGCTTAGAGTCTCTCAATGACTGGCTCAGCTGAACTGGACATCCAAAATGACTTACTCATGTGGCTGGCAGTTTGGTTATTGGTTGGAAGTTCAGCTGGGCTGACTACTGGAGCACTTCCATATGGTACTAATAGCATGGCCTGAAAGGTTTCAGGGTAGTTGGACCTCTTATGTAGCACCTGCTTTCCCCACCACATGTGTCCCCGAGAGAACCAGGTGGAAACTACGTGGCCTTCTATGAACTAGCCTCAAAAATTATGCAGACCACTTCTGCTGATTCTATTGGTTACAAATAAGTCACTGAGGTCAGCCCAGGTTCAGGGGGAGCAGCCATAGGACCCACCTGGGAATAGGGTTAAAGAATTCACAGACATTTTTAAACCGCCACAATTTATTATCACTGCAATTGTACAGATGGGACCCCAAAAATATGTTTCACCAAAACAATTGAATCTATGCTGCTGAAAAGACAAAGTGGTAGTACAGGCATTTCAGCGTCGAATATAGTGTTTCCTTAAGGGCTTGGAAGATGCTATATAAACATGCATTGCCATGTAATCAAAGGCAATGGTGGTTTCAGCATAAACCTGCTCTGGACCGTGACTCATGCCTATCTGTCATAGAATCATGCCATGTGTTAACCGCATGCTTCATTGACTTTCGAAAGTTGACAAATAAAGCTGGTTCAAAGATTAATTATTGTGTAAAAGAAGGAAAGAGTTGTCAAGTGTTCTGTCAGTCTATTTGATAATCACACCATTTACAACTATGAAGGAACTGTAACATCTCTGATCAATTAATTTTACCATGTTTATGAAATTGAATTGTGTATCCTTTTTGGAACTACAATTTGAGGGAATGAAATGATGCTCCGCAGTTTAATTTGACAAAAATAACAAAAGAAACATTAATTTTCTTTGAGAGAGAGAGAGGATGTCACCCTGTCACCCAGGCCAGAGTGCAGTGGTGCAATCATGGCTCATTGCAGCCTCGACATCCTGGGCTCAAGCAATCCTCCTGCCTCAGTCTCCTAACTGGTTGGGACCACAGGTGCATGCCACCATGCCTAGCTAATTTATTTTTATGTTTTTTAGAGGCTGGTCTGAAGCCCCTGGGCTCAAGTGATCCTCCCGCCTCAGCCTCCCAAAGTGCTGGGATTACAGGCGTGAGCCACCGCCCAGCCCCATTAATCTTTAGTATAGAAATTTTGAGTCCTCTGTTTACACTGTCAATATTACCTCAGTCTTTCAATGATATTTGCTTACAGAAGTAAAGTTGAACATCCAGATTTTGGGGGGTTTTTTTGTTTTGTTTTGCTTTGTTTTTTGAGATGGAGTCTCGCTCTGTCGCCCAGTCTGGAGTGCAGTGGCGCGATCTTGGCTCACTGCAACCTGCGTCTCCCGGGTTCAAGCAATTCTCCTGCCTCAGCCTCCTGAGTAGCTGGGATTATAGGTGTCCACCCCCACGCCTGGCTAATTTTTTTTTTTTTATTTTTAGTAGAGACAGGGTTTTACCATGTTGGCCAGGCTGGTTTGGAACTCCTGACCTCAAGTGATCCGCCCGCCTTGACATCCCAAAGTGCTAGGATTACAGGAGTGAGCCACCGCGCCCTGCCTAGATTTTTTTAAAATGCTGACTTCCTTTACCATCTGACTGAAAGAAGAAAATATTAAAAGGATGTTATTTCATCAAGACAGAGAATAAAAAACGAGACGCCCTCCAACACACACACACTTAAACATATTATGATGGAGAAATTTTCTGAGGGCAAGTCTGAGGATTGTGTAGCCACTCCAAGTCAAGTATCTTCTCCCCAGTCCAGTAAAATGACATTAGCAACAAAAGCTCAGAGTACGTGAGTAATGCATAATTAACACATTTTGAAAATCATGTGGCTAAGACAAGTAGGTCTTTCCAAGCTCTTAATGTACAAAAAGATTTTACATATTCAGTGAAGAGAGGAGAGCAAAACAGGCTGGCTGAAGAAGAGATTTCAAAAAGGTGGGATAATTTTTTAAGTGAGAGGAAGGCAGGTAGCAATTGGCTGCAGAGATAGGGAAAGCAAAGTGTTTTTGTCCTCTCCACCCAAGGTGGGACTAATGATACTATTCATAGTCCCGCACCGAGTAGGTACACTGGAGCAGGAGAGGACACCCTCAACAGCAGGTCACAGAACAAAAAGCAGGGAACAGAACCAATGGGAGAGGGTTGAGGGTTGGAGGGAGGGCGAGGCTGGTCAGGAAACCTGAAGTTATCAGAAAAACAAACTGGCCAGGTGCGGTAGCTCAGGCCGGGCACGGTGGCTCACGCCTATAATCCTAGCACTCTGGGAGGCCGGGGCAAGTGGATCACCTGAGGTCAGGAGTTCGAGACCAGCCTGGCCAACATAGTGAAACCCCGTCTTTACTAAAAATACAAAAAATTAGCCCGACGTGGTGGCATGCGCCTGTAATCCCAGCTACTCAGGAGGCTGAGGCAGGAGAATTGCTTGAACCCGGGAGGCAGAGGTTGCCTTGAGCCGAGATGGCACCATTGCACTTCAGCCTGGGGGACAGAGCAAGACTCCATCTCAAAAAAAAAAAAAAAAAAAGACTATCTTAAAACACTGGACATCCCTTTCCCAATGGGTTCTTGTCACTTTACTAAGAGTGGCCTAGCTCCACAATCTTTCACTCTTTCTTTGCTATTGAAGAGGCTACAGGGGGCATTGCTCTGGATCATGTCAAAGATTCAGCATATCTTAAAACTGGGAGGAACCTTAGAAATCATTTGGTTCAGCCATTTTCATTTTGAGAGAAGTCCTCTGGCTCTCAATACAAGACTACTTTCTTCTCTTCAAAGGTCCTTGGGCTCAATTGTTAGTTGTCAACTTTGTAGGACTATTCCCACTTCTAAAGTCTCTTCTGCAAACTCCATTTTCTCAGAGCTCTCTATGAGCTCCAGACTCTTAGAATTGTCCATGATTTCCCACAGGGAAGTCACAGTGGCCAAATGCCACAGTCTCCCAAACTTCTCAAGCTTTCACTTCATTGCTGGAAAGTGGAAGGTTGGTTGGATCATTGTGAATTTGAGAATTCCTGGAGAACTTCTGAGAACCACCTGTCCCAGTCCAATGGTTCGTGTTGAAAGCATCAGTGACTGTTTCTTCAGCCTTCCAGCTGCAGCCTTCAGACCCTTACTCCCCCACTCCTCCATATTCCTGTGATCCTTTAAACCCTTTGTTTCCTGCAATACATACAATGGCCCAGTTTTCCTGACCAAACTCTGCCTTTCTGTAAAGTTTGTCTGTAGCAGGAGGTGTCCAAACTCTCCCACTGAAGATTGAAAACCAAGATTGCTATTCCAAAGCAGGGGTTGTGGAAGTGATAACTTCCAGAGTGTGGGGTGCAGTAGTGCCTGGCATAGGAATCACAACACACTGTACCAAGGGACGCCCAAGAGACGTAGACTCACCATGCCTCTTTTGATTGCAAGTATCAGAAACTCCTTGGAGCAAAAAATATATAGGAGAGGTATTATAAGGACACCTAGGTGTCTCCTGGAATCTAAGGAAGTGTTAGACAATCAAACTTCAGGAAGGGCAGAGAACAGGGCTTGAGGAAAATGGGGAACTCATGAATTCCTCTCTCCCCATCTCTAGGTTTTGTTTCTGCATTTCTGCCTTGTTCTTCTCTTTCACTGCTGAAAGGTTTTCTCCGAATCCCAAGCCAAATGGAATGAAGATTCTGGATTAGTTTACGCAGAAGAAGCAAGTAGAGATAGGAAGAGGGCAATTTTTTTGCACCAAACCTCTACTGGGGTCAAGCTCACAAAAATGTAAATGTAGTGCATGCACATAGAAGCCAGAGCCTCCGCCTGGAAAGAGGGCATGACTGGGGCCCTGGTTAAAAGAGAAGTCTGAGCTGGTGCAGAATCAAATTACAAGAGATGCCAGGGGTTCACTGCGGAAGTGATGGTTTCACTTTTCATGGACAATGGTTCTTCAAATCTATTTGGAGTAACAAACCCAGGAAATATAAGGCACGTGCGCCACTTGAATTCCATTTCCTGCTACTAAAGGAATGCTGAGTTGAGGCAACTGCCAAACAGCTCAATAGAGAAAGAATGTCAGTGAAAATAAAACAAATGAAAAGGAAATTTAAAAAAAAGGAAAAGGCACTCCAAATGAAGGTGCAGACAAAGATTCTACAACACATGAAAAAATCTCATGCTAAGGCAAAAACATGCAACAAAATAAAAATTTTGATATGAACTCAATACATGTAAAGTCAATGTTATGAGACAGAAAAAGACTTGAAAATAATTATGTTTGGGATGCTCCAGGAGATCAGTGAAGACAACACATTTATTAAAAAGAGGGCAGGACTGTGGAAAGCATTTGGAGCTTTCTTAAACAACTTAGAACTACCATTCAACCCAGCAATCCCATTACTGGGTATATATCCAAAAGAAAATAGATCGTTCTACCAAAAAGACACCTGCACTCATACGTTCATTGCAGCATTACTCACAATAGCAAAGACATGGAATCAACAATCAACCTACGTGCCCCTCACTGGTGGTTTAGATAAAACGTGGGCTGGGCGCTGTGGCTCAAGCCTGTAATCCCAGCACTTTGGGAGGCCGAGGAGGGCAGATCACCTGAGGTCAAGAGTTCAAGACCAGCCTGGCCAATATGCCAAAACCCCCGTCTCTACTAAAAATACAATATTTAGCCAGGTGTGGTGGTGGGTGCCTGTAATCCCAGCTACTTGGGAGGCTAAGGCAGGAGAATCGCTTGAACCCTGGTGGCAGAAGTTGTAGTGAGCTGAGATTGGGCCAGTGTACTCCAGCCTGGGCAACAGAGTGAGACTCCACCAAAAAAGAAAGAAAGAAAGAAAGAGAGAGAGAGAGAGGAAGGAAGGAAGGAAGGAAAGAAATGTGGTACACATATACCATGGAATGCTATGCAGCCATAAAAAGGAACAAGATCATGTCCTTTGCAGCAATATGGATGCAGCTGGAGGCCATAAACCTAAGCAAATTAACACAGAAACAGAAAACCAAATACTGCATGCTCTCACCTATAATTGGGAGCTAAACATCAGGTACTCATGGACATAAAGATGGGAACAATAGATACTGGGGACTACTAGAGTGAGGAGCGAGGCAAGGGGCAAGGGTTGAAAGACTAACTATTGAGTATTATGCTCACTTTTCTAGGTGATGGGATCTTTACTCCAAACCTCAGCATCACACACTATACCCAGGTAACAAACCTGTACTTGTACCCCCTGAATCTAAAATAAAAGTTGAAATTATTTAAAAAAAAAAAAAAAAGGGCCAGGAGTGGTGGCTAATGCCTATAATCCCAGCACTTTGGGAGGCCAAGGCAGGTGGATCACGAGGTCAGGAGTTCGAGACCAGCCTGACCAACATGGTGAAACCGTGTCTCTACCAAAAATAAAAAATTTAAAAAATTTAAAAAAAATTAAAAAAAAAAAAAGAATTAGCCAGGCATGGTGGCGCATGCCTGTAATCCCAGCCACTCAGGAGGCTGAGGCAGGAGAATCACTTGAACCCAGGAGGCAGAGGTTGCAGTGAGCTGAGATTGATCGCACCACTGCATTCCAGCCTGGGTGACAGAGCCAGACTCCGTCTCAAAAAAAAAAAAAAAAAAGAGGAAGAAGAAGGCAGGGCTCCTTCCCCTCTCACTGGGTTTCTTCCCTGCCCCCCAGGCTTCTAACCACAGCCCCCAGCCCTTCTGAGCCACCCAACACCCATGGACCTCACCCCCCTCTCCCTTAAGGCCATTAGTCCCACACAGTGAGCCCAGAGCTATTTCTTTGCCTTTGGGGGCTCTGCTTGAGGAGCAGGAGGCCAGATCCCCTCTTCTCTCCTCTGGGTGCTGGGCTCAGTGAGTACACTCCACTGTGCTCCCGATCCTGCTCTTGTCTGCCAGATGCCATTTTGCAGAAGGTCTATTCTGCTGTTTTGACAGCTTTTTAAAAGAAGTTGGCCAGGCACGGTAGCTCACGCCTGTAATCGCAACACTTTGGGAGGCTGAGGCGGAAGGTTGCTTGAGCTCAGGAGCCTAAGACCAGCATGGGCAACATAGCAAGACCTTGTCTCTACTGAAAATGTTTTTAAAAATTATCCAGGCATGGTGGTGCACGCCTGTAGTCCCAGCTAATCTGGAGGTTGAGGCAGGAGGACCACTTGAGCCCAGGAGGTCAAGGCTGCAGTGAGCTGTGATTGCACCACTGCACTCCAGCCTGAGTGACAGAGTGAGACCTTGTCTCTAAATAAATAAATAAATGAAGTTAATATGCTTTCTTTTATAGAGCAGTTTTAGGTTTACAGAAAACGTTGATCAGAAAATATAAAAAGTTCCCAAATGCCTCCTCTCCCAACTATCACCATCCCCCTACCAGAGTGGTACATTTGTTACTATTGATGAACCTCCATTGACACATCATCATCACCCAAAGTCCATAATGTACATTAGGGTTCACTCTTGGTGTTGTATATCCTATGGGCTTGGACAAATGTATGTCACTTATACATTCCAATCATACAGAATATTTCTGCTGTACTAAAAATCCTCTGCACTCTGCCTGTTTCCTCCCTTTGTCCCCACTAACCCCTGGCAACCACGTATCTTTTTACTGTCTCTATAGTTTTGCCTTTTCCAGAAGGTCATATAGTTGGAATCACACAGGAAGTAGCCTTTTCAGATTGGGTTCTTTCACTTAGCAATAAGCATTTAGGGTTCCTCCATGTTTTTTCTTGGCTTGATAGCTCATTTCATTTTAGCACTAATAATATTCCATTGTCTGGATGTGCCACAGTTTATTTACCCATGCAGCCACTGAAAGAGATCTTGGGTGCTTCCATGTTTTGACAATTATGAATAAAACAGCTATAGACATTTGTGTGCAGGTTTGTGTGTTATATGTAAATATTCAACTCATTTGGGTAAATAGGAACATGATTGCTAGATGATATATTAAGGGTGTGATTAGTTTTGTAAAAACCTGCCAAACTGTCTTCTAAAGTGACTGCACCATTTTACATCCTCATCAGCAATGAATTAGAGTTCCTGTTGCTCCAAATCTTCACCAGCATTTGGTGTTATCAGTATTTTGGATTTTGGGTCATTCTAATAGGTGTGTGGTGGCATCTCATTGTTGTTTTAATTTGCAGTTTCTTAATAACATATGATGTGGAGCATCTCTTCCAATGCTTATTTGCCATCTGTACATCTCCTTTAGTGAGGTGTCCTTTGCCTATTTTGAATACTCTTTTATAACTACTGGTTTTCGAAAAACTGGATCTCTGAGTTCTTTCATGGCATTAACTACAAGCCACCCCAGTGTTCCCTGAAATGTTTCACAGACCTTGGGTTAGGATTTTCCCTCTCTTTCCTGGCTCTCACAGGAGCTTTTTGATCTGTGGATGTGGAGTGTGCAATTGCACAGGCCACCACTGGTAGGCTTGCTTCAAGGGCCCACTTGCTAACTAGAGCTACAGCCCATGCATCTTGGCCCATCCTGCCGATGAAGGGACATTTGCAGCCACAGCGCAATAGTACTTGTGACAAAGAAGCAATACAGTGGCAACTGCCAAGGCTTGTTTGTAGTAATGTCAAAATCTCACAGGACACAATTCACCTCTCTCCCAGGCCTTTTGAATCCCACATTTAAAAATATATATATATATATATGTATACATATATATACACATATATGTATACATATATATACATGTATATATATACACATGTACATATATACATGTACATATATACATGTATATATATATACACACACATATATACATATATATATACACACATATATATACATATATATATACACACATATATATACATATATATATATATCCGGAGAAGAGGAGGTTGGGTGAGCAGAACAGCACCGAGTCTCTAAATCAGCTGCAGCAATGGGTCAGCTTATACTCACCCTCTGGCCCAGATGGCAAGTGCTGCCATAGTTCTACCCAGAGCTGCTGAAGAATGCACAGGAAAAAGCAGGAAGTCTTCAACCTGGAAACAGGGTCAAAAGGATCATAGATAAGATGAAATAGGCCAGGCACAGTGGCTCACACCTGTAATCCCAGCACTTTGGAAAGCCAAGGCAGAAGGATCGCTTGAGCCCAGGAGTTCGAGATCACCCTGGACAACACAGGAGGACCCCGTCTCTACAAAAATAAAAATTTAAAAATTAGCCAGGCATAGTGATGTGCGCCTGTAGTCCCTGCCACTTGGGAGGCTTAGGTAGGAGGATCACTTGAGTTCAGGAGTTCGAGGCTGCAGTGAGCTATGATAGCACCACTGCACCCTAGCCTAGGTGACAGAACGAGACCCTTTCTCAAAAAACAAAACAAAACAAGACAGAATACAGGGCTTGATCAGTATGAGCGATGGCTATGATTAATCTGATTTCTTCACTGACTGATTTGGACTTGAGGCATATCATAAGCTTATTCCTGCTTCTCTGACCACAAAGTATGGAGGATATTACAATAAGTTGAGAACCCTGCAGTTATGACAAACACCAGAATCTGATGATGACTTCAATATAGAAAAATCAGCAAAAAAGTAGAAGGTGAAGAAAGGTGGTGAGAAGATAAAGAAGAAAGATGACACTTTCAACAAGGAGATGAAATGAACAAAGCCCAGGTTTTCCAAAGCTGACTTTACAGACTTCAGTGCTGGTAAAGAGAAGAAGAAAGAATGTTCTTGGGGCTTTAAGGAATCAAGAGGTTTGAGAAATTTCAGAAAGAAATAGGCCCAGGAAAAATGGGGACAAGGAACAGAAGCCTGTGGGAATTGGGAGCACCTCCCACCCGTTGCTCTTAACCTTCCGCTCTGCTTCTGACAGTAACTTGCTTCAGGCGGCCACTGCCATGGTCTCTCTGACAGATTTGGACTTGAAGCAGCTGCTCAGTGAGTCTCCAGAAGGAAGAGCCTTCTGTGATATGGATGATGAAAGAGATTCCCTTAGGGTGGGATTGGCCTAGGAATTCGGAGTTCTCTTCCCTCCCAGAAGGCCTACCAGTGCCCCTGAAGAAGGTCATTAAGGAGGCGGTTCAGGCTGCCAGAGCTGCTGAGAGAGAGCAAAGGGAAGTCCTTCACCCAGGATACAGGTGGCATCCTATTGGACAAGGAGATGCAGATATGGAAGCTGAGTAGCCAGATTTGCTGTGAGGTGCATGGCCAGCCAGATATCTCGCTCCATGCCTGCCCTGCAGCGAGGACACCCTGGTCAAACTTGCTCAATACCTTCATCTCTATGAACTGTCGAGTGCATCTGAAGGAGCCTCTAGAGAAACTCGAAGAAGCCACTGGCAGGGCAATGCCAGAGCAGATGGCCACGCACCAGGATGAATGCCAGGCATAGACACATGCAAAGATTGCAAAGATGCTGGAAGAGGAGAAGGACAAGGAATAGAGAGAACAGGTTTTTTGTTTGTTTGTTTGTTCCTGGTAAGGAAGAAGAAATGAAGAGCAGGGCCTGGAAGAAATTCCAGTGGAGTGATGAAATCAAGGAGGTGCTCTGGCTGGGAGTGAAGATGAACCTGGAGGGCTTGATCCAGAAGGAAACAAGACCGGTGTGGAGAGGACTGCAAGAAAGCTTGCCTGGATGACAGAATGCAAACTGTCTGACCTCAAAGCTTGGTGCAGCCCAGGTTTCTGTGTAAGGATAGCAGACCACAGCATAAGTCCTTGACATCAATACTGAACAAGAAGAAAGTAATGGCACATTCTAAAGTCAAGGTGAAGAAATCATAGACTGAGATTGCTAAAAAGGTCCTCATGCCTTCAGCCCACATTGCCAGCCTCATTGTTTGGCCTTCAGAACATCAGGGAGGTCTGCACACTGGGCCTCAAACAGGATGCTCTCATGCAAGGCATTGGTCAAGAGTCTTGCCAATCCTGCTTTTCTCAACCTGGAAGACTCATTAAATAAAGACTTTAATTATTACTTCATCCACTTGTTCAAAGCTGCGTCCAAGGAACTGGCTCTGTTGACTATCAGAGCAAGTGGGAACTCTGTACTCACACCCCTAGACCAAGCTTGTCCAATCTGCGGCCCATGGGCCGCATGCACCCCAGGATGGCTTTGAATGCAGCCCAATACAAATTCATAAACTTTTTAAAAACATGATGAGACTTTTTTGCGATTTTTTTTTTTTTTAGCTCATCAGCTATCATTAGTGTTAATGTATTTTATGGGTGGCCCAAGACAATTTTTCTTCTTCCAAAGTATCCCAGGGAAGGCAAAAGATTGGACACCCCTTTTCTAGACCCTTGGAAGCATCTGCTATGGACCGAATGTTTGTGTCCCCACCCCAAAATTCATATGTTGAAATCCTAATCCCCAGTATGATAGTATTAGGAGGTGGGGCCTTTGGGAGATGATCAGGTCAGGAGGGTGGAGCCCTCATGAATGGGATTAATGCCCTTGTAAGTAAGGCCCAGCCGGGTGTGGTAGTGCATGCCTGTAGTCTGAGCTACTTGGGAGGCTGAAGTGGGAAGATGGCTTGAGCCCAGAAGTTTGAGACCACCCTGGGCAACATAGTGAGACCCTGTCTGAAAGAAAGAAAGGAAAGAAAGAAAGCAAAGAAAGAAAGGAAGAAAGAGAGAGAGAGAGAGGAAGGAAGGAAGGAAGGAAGGAAGGAAGGAAGGAAGGAAGGAAGGAAGGAAGGATGGATGGATGCGGTGGCTCACGTCTGTCATCCCAGTACATTGGGAGGCTGAAGCAGGTGGATCACTTGAGGTCAGGAGTTTAAGACCAGCCTGGCCAACATGGTGAAACCCCATCTCTACTAAAAAAATAAAATAAAAATTTTAAAAAAAATTAGCTGGGTATGGCAGTGCATGCCTGTACTCCCAGCTACTCAGGAGGCTGAGGCAGGAGAATTGCTTGAACCCGGGAGGCGGAGGTTGCAGTGAGCCGAGATGATGCCCCTGCACTCCAGCCTGGGTGACAGAGGGAAACTCCTTCTAAAAAAAGAGAAAATAAAGAAGAAAGAAAAGAAAAGGAAGGAAGGAAGGAAGGGAGGGAGGAAGGGAGGAAGGGAGGGAGGAAGGGAGGAAGGGAGGGAGGGAGGGAGGGAGGGAGGGAGAAAGGAAGGATCCCAAGAGAGAACTCTCTTGCTCCTTCCCTCATGTGAGGACACAGCAAGAAGTTGGCCATCTGGAACCCTGAAGAGGACCCTCCCCAGAACGTGACCATGCCAGCACCCTGATCCTGGACTTCCAGCCTCCAGAACTTTGAGAAATAAATTCCTGTTGTTTATAAGCCACCCAACTTATGGGATTTTGTTGTAGCAGCCCAAATGGACTAAGATGGTTGTGTTCGGCCATTCTCGCATTGCTATAAAGAAATACCTGAGGCTGGGTAATTCATTGAGAAAAGAGGTTTCATTGGCTCGTGCTTCTGCAGGCTTTTACAGGAAGCATACTGCCAGCATCTGCTTCTGGGGAGGCCTCCAGAATCTTCCAGTCATGGCAGAAGACAAAGGGGGAGCAGGCGTATCACATGGCCAGGGTAGGAACTGCAGGGGTGGACGGGGGTTGGGGATGGGGTGCCACACACTTTTAAACAGCCAGATCTCGTGAGAAATCATATTGTGAGGACAACATTGCGTCATGAGGGATCCTCCCTCCTGACCCAAACACCTCCCACCCGGCCCCACCTCCAACATTGGGGATTAAATTTCAACATGAGATTTGGGTGAAACAAATATCCAAGCCATTCGATGGCACTTAAAGAAAAAGTCACAGGTCTTTCATGTATGAAAGTAAAAATGAAACTTTCTAAGGCCCAATTCCTTTGAGGTATCACCCTCTAGCTCTCCGTAACCACTCCCTTCAATTTCCTGGCTGAGTGGACAGTGGCACTGGCACAGCCCTCTGAGAAGAAAAACCCCAGGAGTTCTTCCTGGCTACAAAGAGCTCTCCTGCTGGGCTCCCCTCAGCAAAAGCTTTCCAGAGGAGCAACAGTCTAAATTGCAGCAACACAGTTTGCCACAGACATCTAATGAGGACCCAGAACCTGGACCCAAGTCAGTCTTTTATGAACGGTATGGACAGCACAAAAGCTTCACTCCCACTTTCCACTCAGCTCCATTTGGCAACAACCTCTCAGACTCCAAATCTTCCTCCTCTGAGTCTCAATATCTATTTCTCCAGGGCTTCAGGAGGCATTTTCAGCCCCCAGCAGCAGCTCTCTTAAGAACCCAGCCTCATCCTCCACTTCCCTGAGCCATATGGCCTAACAACGTTCAGCCAAACTCTTCAGAGCCATCTTACACGTTTCCCTTTGCTGGCTCCCAACATAGGATTTCTTCTAGCAGCTACTCCTCCAGAGCACCACTTCCTCCTGGAAACTTGCTTCCAGGGATACAGCTTCCCTCCACCGGACAGTCTCTCAACTGTTTCCCAGAAACTGACCGTGGCGGTTCAAATGAAGAGTTCAGTGATGGCAGCCGGAGAGGAACAAAGTTACTGACCTCATCCTTGAAACCCACCATGGTTAGCAGCCCAATGCTTCCCAAAAAGAATTTGCCTGTCATGATGAAATCTTGCTGTCTGGCCGGGCGCAGTGGCTCACACATGTAGTCCCAGCACTTTGGGAGTGGCAGCACTTTTGGGAGTGGGCAGATCGCTTGAGCCCAGGAGTTCGAGACCAGCCTAGGCAACATGGCAAAACCCCATCTCTACTAAAAATACAAAAATTAGCCAGGTAGAGTGGTGCACGCCTGTGGTCCTAGCTACTCAGGACGTGGAGAATCACTTGAGCCTGGGAGGTTGAGGCTGCAGTGAGCCATGATCATGCCTCTGCACTCCAGCCTGGGTGACAGAGCTAGAACCTGTCTCAAAAAAAAAAAAAGAAAGAAAAGAAAAGAAAAGAAAGAAAGAAAGAAAGAAAGAATGAAAACTTGCTATCTTTAAAAAAAAAAAAAGGCTGGGCATGATGGTTCATGCCTGTAATTCCAGCATTTTGGGAGGCCAAGGTGGGTGGATTATCTGAGTTCAGGAATTCAAGACCAGCCTAGCCAACATGGTGAAACCCCATCTCTACTAAAAATACAAAAATTGGCCGGGTGTTGTGGTGCACACCTGTAATCCCAGCTACTCAGGAGGCTGAGGCAGGAGAATAACTTGAACCCAGGAGGCAGAGGTTGCAGCGAGCCAAGATCATGCCACTGCACTCCAGCCTGGGAGACAGAGCGAGACTCAGTTTCAAAAATTAATTAATTAATTAATTAATTAATTAAAAATTAAATTAAATTTAAAAAAGGAACTTGCTTACTTCCTTTGGGCTTCATAGCTAAATCACTGGACATCTGGTGGAGGGACAGATCTTAGGATGGACAGAGTTCTAGGTTCAGGGGATAGGACCATGTGTGTTTCTGAGTTCCAACACTGTGGTAAATCAGTTTGTAAACCTATATTTGAAATCCACCAGATACCTTGGCATTTGGTCAGAATACCTCATGGAGTCCCATAGGCCAAGGGCTCCTTCTGGTTACAAAAGGATTCATGGAATGGTCATGTTATCTGTCCCATCCTCACACTGTGTTTAACAGGACAGAAACCTGGACTAAAGACACAACTGAGAGACCTAGCCTTGTCTCTTTGAAAATACATTAGGAACACCCAATGCATACTCATCGTGGAGGGCCAATTTCTCCTCTGAACATGACAATGAAACTCTCTTAGAGAAAGGACTTTTATAGATTCATCAATTGCAAGACAATTGCGATAGGATTTTTAAAGGCACTTATTTGGGGCTCAGTTTTCAACATTACCATTAACTGCACTGGATAGAATGATACTGTTCATGGTATGTCATATTATAGGAAGACATAATTCCAATGCCTTTATGGTGGAAGAGAATTGGATAGCTAACATCCATTTCAGCACCTGAAACACTTCTCGAAGACCTTTTTAAAAAGATATGCCTGTTTTAGAGACAGAGACAGTTTTATTTAGTTGGGCTTTTTACAGTTGCATTCTGTAAATCTGTGACATCCTGACTTGAAGGTCATCAGGGCCCAGAAAGCCAGCTTTCCAATCCAACCACAGTTCCAGTTTTGTTTTTCCAGAGTTCATACAGATGAACCCCAGAGCTCCAAAGCTCTCATTGGTCAAATCTTCATTTCTTTATGGGCAGACGTTACAAGCGGTTCCAAGTCACAGACAGACATGCCAGTTTGCTTCATTCTTAAAAAATCCCCTCGGCAGCACCGCAGCAACAGACCTCTATGAAGTGTCTGTCATGTAGAAATAGGCCTTGATGGCCAGGCGCGGTGGCTCATGCCTGTAATCACAGTACTTTGGGAGGCCGAGGCGGGCAGATCACAAGGTCAGGAGTTCGAGACCAGCCTGGCTAATACGGTGAAGCTCCGTGTCTACTAAATACAAAAAAAATTAGCCGGGTATGGTGGCATGTGCCTGTAGTTCCAGCTACCTGGGAGGCTGAGGCAGGAGAATGGCATGAACCCGGGAGGCAGAGGTTACAGTGAGCCAAGATGGTGCCACTGTACTCCAGCCTGGGCAACACAGCAAGACTCCCGTCTTAAAAAAAATGAAAAAAGAAACAGGCCTTGAAGTCCTTGGACGCTCCATGCACTGGAGTATACATTAATTCAAAGTAATATGCAGCAAAGCTTGGAGGATGGATCGAGATGGACTAGAACAGATATTCCAGAGCTTCCAAGTCACCAAGTTTTTCGCTAAATGCTTCACAAGGGTTTCTAGAATTGTGCCTATGATATCTGTACCACAAGGTGTGTTTGAACTGTCTGCTCTAGCTAAGTTAATTCAAATATGTTAAGTGTAAACAGTATGTGGGTGAATTGTATAGTTATGTAATTTATGCAAATTCAGAATGTGATAGACTCTATAGAACAAATGACTCACTTTCTTCCACAAATAAATTGCAAGGGGAAAAAAGGGAAAGGAAACCTATAAACTAAAAGAAACTTAAGATTCATATTAACGAAGTACAATGTGCGAAGCTTGTTAGGATATTAATTTGAAGATATAAACTGGTTTTATTAATGAGCCAATGGGAAAAAAATGGAACATTTATTGGATATTGAAAATTCAAATTAATTTTTTAAGTGTGATAATGATATTGTGGTTCTGAAGGAATGAAGGAATAGAGAGAGAAGAAAAGCAAAGGAATTTGGACTTTGTCCTCAGTTCCCGGGAGGCAACCTCTAAACCCTTGAAATTTCCCAAGTGATAGGAGCGTCTTGGTTAGGCATGTGGACCCCTCAGACCCCACCTGATAGTTTAAGCTAATAGATGGCTCAGGTTGGAGGCTGGCCATGCCAGAAAGACCAACCACATAATTAGAAGGTTGGGGCTTTGAGCCACATGATATCAGCCTGCCCTGTGGGAGTAGAGTGTGGCTGGAGCTTGAGTTCAACCACATGGGTGATAATTCCACCAACTATCCCTACATAATGAACCTGGTAAAAACTCTGGACACCAAAACTTACGCAAGCTTCCTGGGTTGGCAATTCTCCGTGCATGTATTGCCAAATATCTATGCCAGAAGGCTAACACATCCCTGATGACACAGAAGCTTCATATTTGGAACCCTCCCAATCCAGGATTCTTCCCCATGTATCTCTTATAATTTGCATTCTTTGCCTGTAATAAACATAGCTGTTAGTATATTGGGTTTTGGTGAATTCTATGAGTCTTTCTAGCAAATTATTAAAACTGAGGGTGGTTTTGGGACACCCCCCCAGGCCCCACCCCAACTTATAGTTGGTATCAGAAATCTTGGGCAGACTTGGCAGTGGAGGACTATGCCCTTAACCTTGAGTCTGGCTACTTCCAGGTAGAAAGAAAAGAGGTCCTGTCTTTGAATATACATATGGAAGCATTTGCAGATGAACTAGTATGTCTTAGATCTGCTGCAAAATTACCTAGGGTGTGAGAAGGGAGTTGGAACATAGACTGGCCATGTAGAATCACAGAAGATGGATGCTGGGAACATGAGAGTTTGTGAAACGATGAAACTATTGTCTCTACTTTTGTATGTGATTTAAATTTTCCAAAATGAGAATAACATAGTGATCCATGCATTAAAAATATGGATCACTACCCTCCACCGTGTGGTAGGCAGAATTCTAAGATGGCTTCCAGGATTCTAGGCCCATGGTATACACACATTTTCAGCCAATTATTCAGTCAAACACTAATGTAGGTGGTGCTGTGAAGGAGTTTTGCCGATGTGATTAAGATCCCTAATCACCTGGCCTTAAGATAGGGTGATTATCCTGGGTCAACTTGACCAAATTAGGTGAGCCCTTTAGAAAGCTGGGACTTTTCCTAGAGAAAAGACTCACAGAGAGATTTGAAGCATGAGAGGGATTCAACACAAGGCAGGTTCTTCATTGCTGGCTTTGAAGATGGCGGAGGCCACATGGAAGGGAATGTGGATAGCCTCTAGAAGCCAAGAGGAGCCTCTGGCTAACAGCTGGCGAGGAAACGGGGACTTTAGTCATACAGCTAAAAGAACCAAATCCTACCACAATCATGTTAGTTTGGAAGAGGACTTCCAGTCCCAGGTGGGCATGCAGACAGACAACAACTTGATTTCAATCTTATGAGCTCCTCAACAGAGAACTCAGCTATGTTGTTGTGCCAGACTCCTGACCTATGGAAAAAGTGATCTGAAAAATGTATGCTGTCATAAGACGTAAAGTTTGTGTTAATTTCTTATGCAGCAATAGAGAACTGACACAATCAATAAAAATAAATTCCAATTTAAAAAACAAACTTTTACAAATTTTTGAACCAAATTTAGAAAAATGTATTTATGACTGTGGTGCAGGGAAAGATTTCTTTTCTTTTTTTTTTTTTTTTAAGGTTACACAATAATTTATTGAGAGCCTCCTCTCCCTGCCCTTGCAGTCTCTAGTTTACTTTTTCTGCTTATAGATTTTGCGCACCAGCCCCAGAAAGATGGCTGGGGTCAGGGGTGCTGCGTACTGTTCAATGAGACCCATAATGTGGCTGTAACTGTCTTCCTCATATTGCAAGAACACGGCCAGCAGATTCAGCTCCTCAGATAGTGCCTTAACCTGGGCCACCTTCTTGGCCTTCTTCTGCCGGTAGTTCTCCTTCAGGATCTGGTACTATTCTGGAGTGGCCTGTTGCAGACACTGAACCACCAGCCAACCGCATTTGTTGTCCTGGATGTCAGTGCCAACTTTGCTGGTCACACTGGGGTCCCCAAAGAGGTCAAGGTAATCATCCTGAATCTGAAAGAACTCTCCCATCTCCAGCAGGATCTTCTTGCCATTAGCATGCTCCTTGTCGCCATCAATTCCTGCTGTACATGGCTGCAGCTACAGGAAGGTAGGAGTAGAAAGCTGCCTTGTACTTGACGATAGATTTGTACCTCTTTTCAGTGAATCTGCCAAGATCCACATTGCCCTGGGGGGCTGTGATGAGGTCCAGGGTCTACCCAATCTCAGTCTGATAGGAACTCTGCAGGAAGAGCTCGATTAGGTCCAGGTAATAGGGCTGCTCCAGGCTGGGTGCGGTGGCTCACACCTGTAATCCTAGCACTTTGGAAGGCTGAGGTGGGTGGATCACCTGAGGTTGGGAGTTCAAGACCAGCCTGACCAACATGGAGAAACCCCGCCTCTACTAAAAATACAAAATTAGCCGAGTGTGGTGGCATATGCCTGTAATCCCAGCTACTCGGGAGGCTGAGGCAGGAGAATCACTTGAACCTGGGAGGCAGAGGTTGTGGTGAGCCAAGATTCCACCATTGCACTACAGCCTGGGCAACAAGAGTGAAACTCTGTCTCAAAAAAAAAAAAAAAAAAAAGAAAGAAAGAAAAAAAAGAAAAAATAGGGCTGCTCTGGGCAATAGAGCTTCAGCAGGTGGTAGATACATACTTCCAGAAGCATAGCATCATTGATGGCATCCAAACCCATGCCCGGCTTCTGATACCACCAGATCTGTCCCCGGCGGGAGACGGATGAATCCATGATGTCATCTGCCACCAGGAAGAAAGCTTGCAGCAGTTCCACACACCAGCCCACGGTCAGGGCCTGCTGGAGACTATCAGCATCCTGTTTCCTCGGCTCCACCAGCTCCCAGAATGCTACTAGCACCATCAAATCCTGGTGATACTTGCCTCCAATGGCATTGTACTCCAGGACCTCCTTGAGCCGGTCAACAGCATCTCCTGTCTCTGAGTGCCCCATCTCATCCTCACTCAGCACCCTAATGATCTGGGGGAAGTGCTGAACGAAATCCTGCTTTTCTTGGGCATAAACATCTGATTTCTGGTCTCCATTCATTCTGAGGGAGGAGCAAAGGGCTCTGTTCCTGGATGTGGGTTCCTGCTCGGTCAGGATTTCTTAAAATATAAAAGGCACAAACTCTAAAGGAAAAGGTCAATAAATTCAACTGTACTAAAGTTACATACTTCTGGACTATAAAATGCACCAAAAAATAAAGTGAAAAATAAATCTGTGGACTAGGAGATGCTATTTACAACACATAAAACTTAAAAAGAGTATTTTTAAGAAGCTCCTACAAATCAATGAGGGAAAAAGAAGCCAGCAGAATATGAATTGGTAACTCATAAAAAGGAAGCTTGAAAAGCCAACAACAAAAAGATGTCCAATATGACTATTCATCAGAGAAATGCAAATTAAAACAGTAATAAAATATCATTTTCCCCCATTGGGTGGACAAAAGCTAAAAATTCAGATAATACCACGTTTTGGCAAGGATGTAGGGTAACAGAAACTGTCATGTCCTGCTGATAGAAGTGTTAAATTATATAGGCACTTAGAGAGCAACGTGATAATATCTAGTAAAATTGAAGATGTGTATACCCTTTGACCCAGCAATTCTACTTATGGGAATATATTCTAGAGAAAATCTTATACGTAGGCTCAGGGAAACATATATACAAGTATCATTGCAACATTATTTGTAATTCAAAAAACTGCAAGCAACCTAAATGTTCATTGACAAGATGATGACATTAATTAACTTTTCATTTTTATCAGTTCTCAAAATGCTCATTTAATCTTGACTGCCGACCCATCTAGAAATGATCTGGAAGTATGAACTGCTTATTACACCAGCTCTAAGAGTTACCTGCTATTCTCTGGATTGTTGTCATCCTCAGAAAAATGTTTTCACTGACTGTGATCTTCAAAGAAGGCCTCTGAGCCAACAGGGATCAAAAGTGCCCAATATATCTGGAAATCCACTTTTTCCTGAGGATGAAATGACTTGCTAAAGTGAGCTGGAAATTGCTGTGCTGAAAGAGAATATAGGTAATCCAAGGCATGCAAATGAATGCTTCTAAGCTACTGAGAAAGGAATCTTCTTTTCAAAGGTGCCCCCCCAGTCCACATGATAATTCATTTCATTTAATGAAACTGAGCATAGTGAAGCTTAGTGTCTAAAAGCCAATCTGTGGATTCCTCCAAACATGCTAGAATGAGACATCATACTCTGGAACACATTCAACTTTGGCCGGGCGCAGTGGCTCACGCCTGTAATCCCAGCACTTGAGGTCAGGAGTTAAAGACCAGCGCGGCCAACATTGCAAAACCCTGTCTCTACTAAAAAAAATACAAAAATTAGCCGGGTGTGGTGGTGGGTGCCTGTAATCCCAGCTACTCAGGAGGCTGAGGGAGGAGAATCGCTTGAACCCGGGAGGCAGAGGTTGCAGTGAGCCGAGATTGCGCCATTGCACTCCAGCCTGGGAGACAAGAGTGAAACTAAACTACATCTCAAGAAAAAAAAAAAAAAACCAGAAACAAAGAAACAAAGAACACATCCAGCTTTTTAAATCACCTCCAAACTTTGCCATCTTCATTTTGGTTTTATTTACACCTTACTGTCTCAGATGGAAAATGTCTGAGTAAATTTGTCTGAATAATGGCTAGTAAAAGCATGAGATAACCTCAAGAAGCTGCTTATGTATGAATTTAACAAAATAAAGAAACTGGAGAAAGGATTCTTTTGTTGTTCTTTATCTCTTCCTGACAAACTTGTACTTTTAAAGGGATTTTCATGCCCATTCTAGATCCAATTTGTATTTTAATTACATTGGATGTTTATAAGGGAGTACACATTGGAAGCAGGTATACGTTATATGATTTATAATTGTTTTTCTTGGATACTATCTAATGCCTTCCATTATAATAATTGACTAAATAGAACTAGCCAAGATACATTTTTCCATTTTTGCTGAGATACAATGGAGTGATATTTTAAAATTCAAACAATATATTTTCCTAAAATACTCAAATTGCAGTAATGCATGAGATGCTACAAAATGTATATGAGTTTGATTAATCGTTTTATGAATAATCATCACATAATTACCCAGATTTATCACTTTAAATTAAATGAAAATTATTTGTTGCAAGTTTGTACAACTATGGAAGTGTTGACTTTTGTTCTCATTTGCTCAGTTTGAACCATGCCACATTGTGACATGCAAAGTCATTTTCTCTTTGTGCTAATTATCCAAAAGTGAATTAAAGGTGCTTTTCATTTACCTAGGTACAAAATCAAAAACTGAATTGCTAAGTCAAAGTACTGAGCAAAGGCTCTAGATTGCTTCCATTCCAACCCTAAGGAGTTTTAACATGACGACCATTTTATCAAGCCAAGGAAGGCTTTCCTGCTTAATCACTAAGCTCAAGGAAATAGAGTGTCTAATTATAACAAAGTGATGAAAAATTAAAATAACAAATAAGATCCTTTATGTGATACCTAGGGGGAAATAGGCAATACCAACCATATCCTTAAGAAGTTAGTCAAGGAACAGGTGGGGCCACCCACAGTAGCCTCTCTTTCAGGGCCAGAGCCCTACTCCAACGCAGCATTCGCTCTTCTTTCTCCATCATGTGTCCAAGACGTTGGCTGTCCCCTCCCCTCTGGCAGCCTCCACACAGGAGTCCACATCTATTTCTGTGCTCCTGAGATCATTCATTTGGGCCAAAGCATCAGAAACCACCTGGATTTTCTGAGATAGGTGTAGAAAGTGCTTACATCATGCCCCACAGAGCAAGCTCCATTTCTCTTACTATTTCTCTCTTTCAGGCCCCGCTTGCTCATTTTGCCACAAGAATGCCTCTTCCTGACCTCTCCTAGCAGGGCTCTGCCACCTCCCATCTTTTGCTTCTCCTGCTTTCTGCTGCCAGATCTTGCCCAGGCCTTAGTATCTCTGCTGATTCTTACATAAAGCCACTTAACCCTCCTACAAGTCCAAATTTGTCCCCCATTACTTGCATAGAAAACAAAGTATTCTCCTTGTGTGGGATCCATCCTTAGAGGGTCTTATGAGGAGTTACAAGCAGCAACAACTAAGAAAATGTTTTTTGTTGTCTCACATCTACCTACCTGCTCTGGCTACCTCACAGGAATCAGAGATAATGTAACCGGACTCAGGTTCAGCTGCTTGCTGCTTGAAAAGCCAGACACACAAGAAGCAAGGTTTCATGGAAGGAAAGCAGGTTTATTCAAGAACTAGCAGATTGGGAGATGGCCACATTCAAGTGTCAAAAAGCCAGCTCAAATTCTCAGGCTGGCTCAAGGGGTTTTAAGCAAAAGGTATGCATAGGCTGCAGGTCTGCTTGTCGTTTTCTGACGGCTAGCTTGAGTAATTGACCATCCAGAGGCCTGGTTAGCATCATCTCATTGGAGGTCAGGTTATGGATTAACTGTGCACCAATTCCTTCTTGGAAGGGGGAAAATTGCAACTGCCAGTTCCACTTCATGCCTGGATTGTTTCAAGATTAGCCTTTGGAATTCTCAAGCAAACAGGTAATTGGGTATTTGTATAGCAAGAAACAAATGGAGAAAGGGGTTACTTTTAGAGTAAGCTAACAAACTGGTTATACTGGTTAAAATAATACATGTGAAAGACATTTTTTAGTTATAAAGCACTATATACTTTTTCTTGGTGATTATTTATTCCACTGCCCACATTTTACAGATGATACAACTGAAGCCCAAAGAGGTTAAATAACATGCCCAAACATTTAATGGTAAAGATTGACTTTAATCCTGGTCTCTAACCCACTGTCCTATAATTCCTTCCATTCATCTGAACTGCTTTGGGTAATTCACAGATTTCTGGAGGCTTTGCTTTCCCTTTCTCCACTAATTTGGGATTAAACATGACCTTTCTCCTAGGGCTCTCTATCACATTCACACACCGGCATGCGGTCATTCACACAGATCTTATTGTTGAGGAAATGGAAGGAAAGGCACTATTTACTCTTCTACTAATTCATTCATTCAACAGATATTTTTTGAGCATCTGTTTGGTTTCAGAAGCTGTTTTAAACTCTGGAGACATAGCAGTAATCAAAATAGACAGAAACCCAATGCCCTTGTGGAACTTCCATTCTAGTGGGATGATGAACAAATACATCACATATTTAACATGAAAGATGTTGGCAAATGCTAGGGAGAAAAAATAAGCAAGGGAAGGAGGATAGGGAGTGTCAGGGGAAAGAGGAAGGAGGTTGCAATTTTATTTTATTTATTTATTTTTTGAGATGGAGTTTCGCTCTTGTTGCCCAGGCTGGAGTGCAATGGCATGATCTCAGCTCACCGCAACCTCTGCCTCCCGGGTTCAAGCAATTCTTCTGCCTCAGCCTCCCAAGTAGCTGGGATTACAGGCATGTGCCACCACGCCTGACTAATTTTGTATTTTTATTTTTATTTTTATTTTTTTTTATTATACTTTAAGTTCTAGGTACATGTGCACAACGTGCACGTTTGATACATAGGTATACATGTGCCATGTTGGTTTGGTACATCCATCAACTCATCATTTACATTAGGTATTTCTCCTAATGCTATCCCTCCCCCAGCCCCCGACCCCCCGATAGGCCCCAGTGTGTGATGTTCCCCGCCCTGTGTCCAAGTGATCTCATTGTTCAATTCCCACCTATGAGTGAGAACATGCAGTGTTTGGTTTTCTGTCCTTGTGATAGTTTGCTGAGAATGATGGTTTCCAGCATCATCCATGTCCCTGCAAAGGACATGAACTCATCCTTTCCATGGCTGCATAGTATTCCAGGTATATATGTGCCACATTTTCTTAATCCAGTCTATCATTGATGGACATTTGGGTAATTTTGTATTTTTAGTAGAGATGGGGTTTCTCCATGTTGGTCAGGCTGGTCTCGAACTCCTGATCTCAGCTGATCCGCCCACCTCGGCCTCACAAAGTGCTGGGAGCCACCACACCTAGCCTGCAATTTTAAATAGGATGGTCAGAGAAGTCTTCCCTGAGGAGGTGACATTTTGCCAAAGACCTGAAAGACATGAAGAATCAAACCATGCGGCTATGGGGAGAAGAGCACTCCTAGCAGTAGAAACACCAGTGGAAAAGCCCTGCGTGAGAAGTAAGCCAGGTCTGTTGGCAGAGCAGCCAGTGTAGCAGAACAGAATGAACGGGAGAAAAACAGCAAATAAGGACAGAGAGGTGACAGGGATATCATTGTGCAGGTCCTTGGAGGCCATAGTAAGGAATCTGGCCTTTAATCTGAGTGGGATGGCTCCCACCCCCACATCACTCCTTCTGTCTTCCCCCTCCAGCACCCCTCATTCCAAGTTTCGGGACAAGGGCATCAAGTCATCTAGGTCTGGGTGGGAAGTTCAGGCACCACTTCCCCTTTTCTCTGGGATATCTGCACTTTGAGTCTGTCTTTTTTGGCAGAAAAAATAAAAGAGCCTAATTAGAGGACACTTGTTTTCCAAGACCTCTGTGGGTTGCCTAAAGTCTCTTTGCAGAATAGGAAGGGACAAACCTAAGAACTATGAAGTTAGGAGAGGCAGCAGACACAGGCAGCTTCCAGGAAGTCAAGGAACAGGGGAAAACTCAGTCCGGAAACCAAAGAATTAATACCTGATACGTGTGTAGGACCGTCACACAAGTTTAATAGTTGACGATTCTGTGTCCCAGGGACTTAGAGTAGACGGCATTAGCCCTGTCTATCGTGTAACCAGGAATCTTAGGAACAGAGAGATTCCATGATTTGCCACTAGTGTAACCGCCCAAGGGTTTCACCTTGCCCGCTGCCTAGACAGAGTCAATTTATCAAGACAGGGGAATTGCAATAGAGAAAGTAATTCATGCAGAGCCAGCTGTGCGGGAGACAGGAGTTTCATTATTACTCAAATCAATCTCCCTGAGCATTCGGGGAGCAGTTTTTTTTTGTTTGTTTTTTTGAAATGGAATCTTGCTCTGTCACCCAGGCTGGAGTGCAGTGGCACGATCTCGGCTTACTGCAACCTCCACCTCTTGTGTTCAAGCGATTCTCCTGCCTCAGCCTCCCGAGTAGCTGGGATTACAGGAATGTGCCACCACGTCCAGCTAATTTTTGTATTTTTAGTAGAGACGGGTTTCACCATGTTGGCCAGGCTGGTCTCGAACTCCTGACCTCAACTGATCCATCCGCCTCGGCCTCCCAAAAAAGTGCTGGGATTGCAGGTATGAGCCACTGCGCCTGGCAAGGGAGCAGAGTTTTTAAGGACAACTTGGTGGGGTGGCGGTGGGGGAGCTAGTGAGCTAGGAGTGCTGATTGGTTAGGTCAGAGATGAAATCATAGAGAGTCAAAGCTGTCTTCTTGAACCGAGTCCTGCGTGGGTGCCACAAGATCAGATGAGCCAGTGTATCGATGTGGGTGGTGCCAGCTGACCTATCAAGTGCAGGGTCTGCAAAATATCTCTAGCACTGATCTCAGGAGCAGTTTAGGGAGGGTCAGAATCTTGTAGTCTCTAGCTGCATGGCTCCTAAACTATAATTTTCAATCTTATGGCTAATGTTAGTCCTAAAAAGGCAATCTAGTTTCCAGGCAAGAAGAAGGTCTGCTTTGGGAAAGGGCTGTTACCATCTTTGTTTTAAACTATAAACTATAACTAAACTTCTTCCAAAGTTAGTTCAGCCTACGCCCAAGAATGAACAAAGACAGCTTGGAGGTTAGAAGCAAGATGGAGTCGACTACGTTAGCTCTCTTTCGCTGTCTCAGTCATAATTTTGCAAAGGCAGTTTCAATCGCACACAGGTACAGGGCAGAAGTGGATCTAGAGCACAAGTAGTGACTCTGGACCATAGTGCGCCCACACTGTAAGTCCAAAAGATTAGAATAGTCTGAAAGGGGAAGTGGAGGCAGCTCTCCTCAGGAGGAAAGATGGGGCCGTGAGGAGCCAGCTCTTTATGTTATCACACACAAATTTCTTACTGAGATGAATCAGCAAAAAACAAAGTCAAGAGCTCTTGCTGGGAGAGCAGGGGCCTTGCCCTTTTCGGCATGCCTGATTCATTGTGTACTCACAAGAAACTCCCCTTGATTATGATCTCCTGTGGGCCATGGGCAGGACTTATTCCATTAGATGGGAATGAACCCTGAGCACCTCTCCTAATGGAAGCTATGGGGTGATTTCCCTCTAGGGGATGAGCCAAGCTGACAGGTTCAATGTAGCCTCAGCCCAGATGCGGTTGATGTTGGAGCCTGGGGCTCTGGTCTATCCTTCCCAAGTATCCTTCCTAACAGGTTCAGCTTCTCGAAATCCCTCTTGTACTGAGGCCCCTGTCTCCCACACTCTCCCTTTATTTCTTCCCCAAGTCCTGAAGTTCGGAAAGCAGAGTTGGAGGGAGAAGCTGTTGCCTGGGGCCTGAGAAGCTGAGTTTCTGGCCATTGATAAAATTATCCTTCCCCTCAGTACACCAGGGCTCCTTGACATGGCTGTCCCTGCTTGTTTTCCCTCCACTAGCTGCTCCTAAGCTTCTCATGCTTTCTTATCTGGAGGGGAGGAGTAATAGGGTTATCAGCTGACACCAACACTCTGCCATTTCATCATCACTCATCATTGCACATGTAGTTACCACTTATTGAGAACCTGCTGTGTACATGTCAAGATCTGCATTCAGCGATTTACATGTTATTTCTCAAAAACTGAAGGGCTGAGATTTTACCCTACTTACTGTTGCTGGAAAGGGGTCCTGATCCAAACCCCAAGAGAGGTTTCTTGAATCTCGCGCAAGAAAGACTTCGGAGTGAGTCCATAAAGTGAAAGCAAGCTTATTAAGAAGGTAAAGGAGTAAAAGAATGGCTACTCCATAGGCAGAGCAGCAGCATGAGCTGCTGGTTGGCCATTTTTATGGTTATTTCTTGATTATATGCTAAGTAAGGGGTGAGCTATTCATGAGTTTTCCGGGAAAGGGGTGGACAATACCCATAACTGAGGGTTCCTCCTCTTTTTAGACAATATATGATAACTTCCTGATGTTGCCATGGCATTTGTAGACTGTCCTGGCTCTGGTAGGAGTGTCTTTCAGCAAGCTAATGAATTACGATTAGTGTATAATGAGCAGTGAGGATGACCAGAGGTCACTTTCATCACCATCTTGATTTTGGTGGGTTTTCCCGGCTTCTTTACCACAACCTGTTTTATCAGCAAGGTCTTTATGACCTGTATCTTGTGCCAACCTTCTGTCTCACCCTGTGACTTAGAATGCCCAACCTTCTGGAAATACAGCCCAATAGGTCTCAGCCTTATTTTACACAACCCCTATTCAAGATGGAATCATTCTGGTTCAAATGACAACATTATGAAGGAAACCAAACTGATTGCACCCCATAATATACTTCTTTGGCATATTTCAAGATGGCTATTCAGAGGGGCTGCAAATGGCCGGGTGAGGTGGCTCACGCCTGTAATCTCAGAATTTTGGGAGGCCCAGATGGGCAGATTACCTGAGGTTAGGAGTGTGAGACTAGCCTGGCCAACGTGGCGAAACCCTGTCTCTACTAAAAATACAAAAAATTAGCCGGGTGTAGTGGCAAGCACCTGTAATCCCAGCTACTCGGGAGGCTGAGGCAGGAGAATTGCTTGAACCTGGGAGGCGTATATATATAAAAAAAAAAAATATATATATATATATATATATATATATATATATATTTTTTTTTTTTTAAAGAAGGGCATCTCGCTGCCTCTGGAGGATTTAAAACTGGAAAGGCAGGACATGCCCTCCACATCCCTGAGGCGTGTGGTGGGCCTGGGTCGGGGCCTAGGGTAACCTCTAACAAAGACTACCCAGCAGGACAGTTTTTTCCCCCATTTCTCTCTCTCTCTCTCTCTGTATCTCTCTCTCTCTCTCTCTGTATCTCTCTCTCTCACACACACACACGCAAGAATAAGTTGCTAGCAGATAAAATTTCTTATAAATTGTTTTCCCTTTGCTTGCTACTGCTTATCTGCTAGAAGTCAACGAAATTTTAAAAAGTATAAATGAAATATTAAGAGAAAACAGCCAGGTGTGGTGGCTCATGCCTGTAATCCTAGCACTTGGAGAGGCTGAGGTGGGTGGATCACTTAAGGTCAGGAGTTTGAGAACAGCCTGGCCAACATGGTGAAACCCTATCTCTACTAAAAATACAAAAATTAGCAGGGAATGGTGGTGCGCACCTGTAATCCCAGATACTCGGGAGGCTGAGGTGGGAGAATCACTAGAGCCTGGGAGGTGGAGGTTGCAGTGAGCCAAGATCACACCACTGCACTCCAGCCTGAGCGACAGAGCAAGACTCCATCTCCAAAAAAAAAAAAGAAAACAGTTGTGCTTTCTCAGGGATATGTTTGCTACTGGGTGTGACATTTTTCTTAATATTACTTAAAATATAGTTGGGTTTTTGGTTAATCATTCCAAATTGCTCTGAGGTAATTAAACATCCCAGGATGACTATAGTTAGTGACAATATATTATATAGTTTCTGATAGCTAGGAGGAGGATATTGAATGTTCCCAACACAAAGAAATGATAAATATTTAAGAAGATGAATATGCCAATTACCTTGATCTGATCACTATGTATGTATTATATGTATTGAAACATCACTATGTACCCCATAAATATGTACAATTATTTTTTAATTTTCCATTTAAAAAAAGAAAGAAAAAGAAAAAATCCCAAAGAGCACCCTATGTCTTTCCACAAAGAGTCCCCTGATTCTAGGAGCTCCCCTGCTTCACCCAGCCACAGGATCCCTGGTGGGAGCTCAGGATGGAACATGATTTGTCACATTTTGGGGCTTAAGAAACAAGAATTGAGCCAGTTAGGGTGAGGCAGAGCAGCCGCAAAGGGGGAAAGAAGATGACAAGACAGACAGGTATGAAATGGGGAACCAGTCCCAGGAGGATTTAAATACCAGGATGGATTTTGTTCTAGCAAACAGACAAAGGTTTGAAGGTTTTTGAGCTGGGGATACTTAATAAAAGTATAAAATGCACTAGGAAGCTGTACCTTCCGCCATACAGGGAATGGACTCCAATGGAAAGGTCCTAGACACAGTGGTTCTCTACTCTCACTGCATATTAGAATTACTCAGGGAGCTTTATAAAAATCCCGATGTCCCAGCCCCAGCCAGACCAATTAAGTCAAATCTCTGGGAGTGGTGCCCAGGTACTAATACTTTTTCAAACTCTTCAGGTGAATGACTGCTAAGGGGTATGAGGTTTCTTTGGGAGTGATGAAAATATTCTGGAATTAGATAGTGGTGATGGTTGTGCAACTTGGTGAATATACTAAAAATATCACTGAGCTGTACACTTTAAAAAGGTGAATTTTATGCTATGTGAATTACATCTCAATAAAAGGAAGAAAGAGAAAGGAAGGAAGAAGGAAAGAAGGAAAGGGGAAGAAGGGAAGGAGGGAGGGAGGGGGGAGGAAGGAAGGAAGGAAAGGAAAGAAGGGAGGGAGGGGGGAAAAAGGAAGAAAAAGGGAAAGAGGGGAGAAGGAGAGAAGCTGGGAGGGCAAGAGAGAGGGGCAGAAAAAGAGGGAAGGGGCCAGGCGTGGTGGCTCACGCCTGTAATCCCAGCACTTTGGGAGGCCGAGGCAGGTGGATCACGAGGTCAGGAGTTCAAGACCAGCCTGGCCAAGATGATGAAGCCCCATCTCTACTAAAAATACAAAAAATTAGCCGGGCATGGTGGTGGGCACCTGTGATCCTAGCTACTCAGAAGGCTGAGGCAGAGAATTGCTTGAACCTGGGAGGCAGAGGTTGCAGTGAGCTGAGATCATGCCACTGCACTCCAGTCTGGACAATAGAGTGAGGCTCCGTCTCAAAAAAAAAAAAAAAAAGAGGGAAGGAAAGACAGAGACAGAGTGAACTCCCCAGCAGATTGCAATATGCAACCAGAATAGAGAGCCACTGGTCTAGAGAAAAAGAGAGTTCTGTTGTGATTCAGACCCAAAAGTATGGGGCCAGCAGCGGGGCAAGTCCCAGTGGAAAAGTCAGCTGTAAGGCACGGTACAGAGGAAAACTGGCCAGCAGTACAGTATTTAATGTCTGATTGGTTGCAGAAGGTGAGGAAAATAAAACAGAAGGTAAAGACTTAAGCTAATGTTTTCAGCCTCAGTGACTGAAGAAACGCAGATTTGACACGGGGAGGAAGAAACAGCCAGAGATTAGTTCCATTTAGACATGTTGAGGCCAGCGCGGTGGCTCACACCTGTAATCACAGCATTTTGGGAGGCTGAGGAGGGCGGATCACTTGAGGCCAGGAGTTCAAGACCAGCCTGGCCAACATGGCGATACCCTGTCTGTAACTAAAAATACAAAAATTAGCCGGGCGTGGTGGCACCTGCCTGTAATCATAGCTACTTGGGAGGCTGAGGCAGGAGAATCACTTGAACCCTGGAGGCAGAGGTTGCAGTGAGCCAAGACTGCACCAACACACTCCAGCCTGGGTGACAGAGAGAGACTCCATTTAAAAAAAATGTTAAATTCCAGCTGTCGCAAAGAATTTCAGATGTTCTGCAAACAACTGCAGGTTGAAATAAATAAAAGCCATACACCATGACCACGAGATAGGAAGCAGGATATAGGGCCAGGTGCGGTGGCTCATGCCTGTGATCCCAGCATTTTGGGAGGCCGAGGCGGGCAGATCACGAGGTCAGGAATTCAAGACCAGCCTGACCAACACGGTGAAACCCCATCTCTACTAAAAATACAAAAATTAGCCAGGCATGGTGGTGCATGCCTTAATGCCAGCTACTCAGGAGGCTGAGGCAGGAGAATTGCTTGAACCCTGGAGGCAGAGGTTGCGGTAAGCTGAGATCGTGCCATTGCACTCTAGCCTGGGCTACAAGAGTGAAACTGCGTCTCAAAAAAAAATTTTTAAATAAAATAATCCAATTCAACATAAAATGATTTGTGTGGATTACTTAGTCAGCACTATATTTAGCTGCGGTAACTAGAAAAGGACAGACATTATGAGAGAACTATTTACTTAGGCTTTCACTGCCATGAAAATTTAGTCTTTAGCCTATAAAACTTAACCCCAGATTAAATTCTGCATGGACCTTGCAACTGAGTAAAATCAAAGTGCATCTCATGTCAAACGCTATGTGCATAATTGAATTTTTGCAAACCTAATCATAATCTAAACCAAGAGTCAGCAGGCTTTTTTAAAAAGGACCAGATAGCAAATATTTTAGGCTTTGCAGCCCATATGGTCCCCGTGGCAACTCTTCAGCTCTGCTGTTGTTACACAAAAGCAGCCATGGACAATATGTAAACAAATGGGCAGTGTGGCTGTGTTCCAATAAAACTTTATTTACAAAAACAGACAGCAGGGTAGATTTGGTCTACAGGCTATAGTTTACTGACCCCTAATCCAAACATACTAGAAAACAGCTTGTTATGTAAACTAAATTTGAAAGAAGTTTTTTAAATTACATTAAAAAGTTCTTTCATAATGTACTTCCCACGTCCCCACCCCTGCGCACTTTTTTTTCTTTCTTTTTTGTAAATTGAACTTAGAATATTGGATATGCTGCAAACAAAGCAAATCCATACCAAATGTCACTGTGACTGGAAGGACTCTTGAGCAATGATTTTGCTTAGTCTCCTAACGTGAAATAAATCTGTGTCTAAATTGTCTCAGAAAGATGACAATTTGATGATCCACTAAGAGTTACAAGAAAATTTGATCCAATATTGCCTTAATAATCCATGTTATCCTCAAAATAAAATCACTTTTTCTTATACCTAATCCCAACCTTCTCGACCTATCTTCCGTAGAAAGAGTAAACATCCAGCTTTTGACTTCCTTCAGTATTAACCACCTCTGGATGATAATTCATTCACAAAGTCAGCCTGAGGTCATCAAGGATCACTTGGCTATAGGTAGCATGTCCCCTTGGACGGCCCCTTAAAGCCACAAGTATTTTCATAGAGGCAATGATGTCTTAGCATAACATCTGTAATCTCTTATGTCTTTTTCTTTCTTTTTTTCTTTTGAGACAGAGTCTAACTCTGTCTCCCAGGCTGGAGTACAGTGGTGCAATCTCAGCTCACTGCAACCTCCAACTCCTAGGTACAAGCAATTATCTTGTCTCAGCCTCCCAAGTAGCTGGGATTACAGGCGCCTGCCACCATGCACAGTTAATTTTTGTTTGTTTGTTTGTCGTTGTTGTTGTTTTGTTTTTGAGACAGAGTTTCACTCTTGTTGCCCAGGCTGGAGTGCAGTGGCACGATCTTAGCTCACTGCAACCTCCGCCTCCCAGGTTCAAGCAATTCTTCTGCCTCAGCCTCCCGAGTAGCTGGGATTACAGGTGCCTGCCACCACGCCTGGCTAATTTTTTGTATCTTTAGTAGAGATGGGGTTTCACCATGTTGGCCATGGCTGGTCTCAAACTCCCAGACTCAAGTGATCCACCTGCTCCTGCCTCCCAAAGTGCTGGGATTACAGGCATGAGCCACCATGCCAGGCCAGTTTTTGTATTTTTAGTGGAGACGGAGTTTCACTCCGTATTGGTGAGGCTGGTCTCGAACTCCTGACCTCAGGTGATCCACCTACCTCGGCCTCCCAAAGTGCTGGGATTACAGGTGTGAGCCACCGCTCCTGGCCTCTTATGCCTCTTTTAGCAGACTTTTATACCCATCCCCCTTCTCTTCCTGCAACATTCCAACCAAGTACAGTTTTAAAGAAATGGGAAAAAAGGGAGCTGGCACAGTGGCTTACACCTGTAATTCCAACTACTTGGGAGGCTGAGGCAGGAGGATCACTTGAGCCTAGGAGTTGGAGGCTACAGTGAGCCATGATTGTGCCCCTGTACTCCAGCCTGAGTGACAGAGTAGGACCCTGTCTCTAAAAGAAAAAAAAAGAAAAGAAAAAAGGGAAAAGATTAAATGGCCATTGTACTAGCTAAAATGTGATCTTGCAATTTGTGCATTTTACATGTTTGGCTTCTTGTATAAACTCATGTGGGGAGCGCTGAGAATACAGTTGACTTAGCGAAATCCACATGGAAATGTAAGAGGCCACTTGCAGGAGAAATCTATCACAGATGGGCCTCCTTAAACCTGGCAGAGGTGTATTTACTGAGAAGCTTCAGGGCCCCTCGCTGTATAGGCACCTTCCAAGGCCCTGAAAGGAGTCTTAGCTGTGTGTTCACATAGCCAGAAGTTTCTATAAAATTCACAAAAGACAGATAGTATCATTCCAATCACTTTAGATCATTGTCTGTTTCCACTGCAACTTACTCTTCCTCACACATTCCCTCCTGTAGAATGGAAGTGGAGGGGCTGTGGACATTCTAAATAAATATTCCCTTCAAATTGGATTTACTTCAAAATTAATATTCACATTTGAATCTAAATTTTGATTCAAAAAAACAAAAACAAGAATCTCTGTGACTCTAGCCAGTAATCGATTTTTTTCTTCATGAGAGCCCTTGCCCACAGCCCCCCAGCACACACATACATATCAAAATCTGTCTTCGTATCCTGGTTATAATCTCAGAAAAGAAAAAGACCAAATGTGGTTGTAATATATTAGCTAGAGACTAAATCAATTGAATTGCGCCTGTTTGAGGAAAGGGTGACCCCAGAACGGGTTTAGTAGATTCCAGATTAGGAAAAGCAGCCTCGAAAACCCAGAAGTGGGCCATGTTTACCCAACACTGGCTAAGAAGAAACACGCACAAGGATGAACAAGCCACTGAGATCATTTACCACCCCCTCCTGATTCCACCCTTCCCATTCTATTTTATAACAATTCTATCTCCCAAAATGCCCTCAACCAGAACCACAAGCCTCTGGCAACTGAATCAGAATATCCTCAGGCTGAAAAGTAAGTTGGGATTCTGTCTCTTCTCAGTGTGGTTCCACTCCCTCCGAGTACAATCAACACTGTGGCCACTGACAAAGTTCAGGGTCTGGATATGCATATGGAAGGCTGAAAACCTGGGGAGCCTGATCTTGGCAGCCAGAGACCATTTTTTTTTTTTTTTTTTTGGAGATGAAGTCTCGGTCTGTCGCCCAGGCTGGAGTGCAGTGGCATGATCTCGGCTCACTGCAACCTCCACACCCCGAGTTCAAGCGATTCTGCTGCCTCAGCCTCCTGAGTAGCTGAGATTACAGGCATGCGCCACCACACCCGGCTAATTTTTGTATTTTTAGTAGAGACAGGATTTCACCATGTTGGCCAGGCTGGTCTCAAACTCCTGACCTCAGGTGAGCCACCGGCCTCGGCCTCCCAAAGTTCTGGGATTACAGGCATGAATCACCGCACCCGGCCAGAAATTTGTCACTTTTTTAAAAAAAACATGCTTACAAAAAAAATTTTGCTGCCACATCAAAGCTTCATAAGATTAAAGATTCTTGGCTTCTCTAGACATCATGGAACCTCTGGGGTGTGGATAACATTCTCATCTTGTTTGAGCAGGTGGTTTCACAGGTGTATACTTACATAAAAATTCATTGAGTTGCACAGATAAGACTTGTGCCCTTACTGTATGTAGGCTACACTTCAATTTTTAAAAAGGCATGGTACAAGACAGTGTGCACAGAAGGCTTCTATCTGCATATAAAGGAGCAGGGAGATTCTCTGTAAGTATGTGCTTGGATAGGCATATATGTGTCTGGAATGATGCATAAAAATCTGACAACATTGGTTGTTTGGGGGCACTTAGGGAGGACGTAGGAAGGATAAAGACTCATTTGCACTGTATACCGTCCTGTGTCTGGTGAATTCTTGCTATACAAATGGGTTTACCTGTTTTAAAAATTAGTGAATAGATCATCTCAAGGAAAAAGAAACACAAAACCACAAAGTTCTCATGAATGTATCAAAATCAATCCGGTGATTGATTTCGGAGTATCGGTCAGCGATACTCCGAGGGAGTGCAATGATGAAGGGAAGACGTTCTTTGTTTTTTGGTTTTTTTTTGAGACAGTTTCACTCTTGTCGCCCAGGCTGAAGTAGTGCAATGGCCGATCTCGGCTCACTGCAACCTCCGCCAAGGGGGAGACTTTCAAATACACTATTCTATTTTTCCAGTTTCAGGAGAAACGATGAGGATTTGCTCTCCCTTTCGTCTCCACTGTAGTTATGACACTCAGCTAATAATGGCAGACAGGGATGAGGTTGGTGAAAACATGCAAAAGAAATAAACATGCCTTGATAATTACCAAGAGTGAATAATTGTCATTGGACATGATTTTTTATTTTTGCTTTTGTCTTTCAACCCTTTGCTTTCCTTCTATTTTTGTTCTCAGGTATGTGTATGACATGGAAAGTGGAGATGAGGGCGAGGCGTGGTGGCTCATGCCTGTAATCCCAGCACTTTGGGAGGACAAGGTGGGCGGATCACCTGAGGTCAGGAGTTCGAGACCAGACTGGCCAACATGGCGAAACCCCGTCTCTACTAAAAATACAAAAAAAGTAGCCGGATGTGGTGGCACACGCCTGTAATCCCAGCTACTTGGGAGGCTGAGGTAGGAGAATTGCTTGAACCCGGGAGACGGAGGTTGCAGTGAGCCGAGACCACACCACTGCACTCCAGCCTGGACGACACAGCGAGACTCCATCTCAAAAAAAGAAAGAAAGAAAGAAAAAGAGCTGGGCACGGTGGCTCACGCCTGTAATCCCAGCACTTTGGGAGGCCGAGGTGGGCGGATCACAAAGTCAGGAAATCGAGACCATCCTGGCTAACACGGTGAAACCCCGTCTCTACTAAAAATACAAAAAATTAGCCGGGTGTGGTGACAGACGCCTGTAGTCCCAGTTACTTGGGAGGCTGAGGCAGGAGAATGGCGTGAACCCGGGAGGAGGAGCTTGCAGTGAGCGAAGATCGTGCCACTGCACTCCAGCCTGGGTGACAGAGCGAGACTCTGTCTCAAAAAAATAAAAATTAAAAATAAATAAAAATAAAATAAAAAATAAAGAACAAGAAAAAAGAAGAAGAAAGAAAAGAAAGTGGAGATGAGAAATTCAGAGAAAATTGTTCAGATTACCTAAACTAAGATGCCATTGGAATTAAAGAAGCATATGCGAAAACAGAAAATACTGTAGAGGAATCCACACGCCTGTTTCAGACGCCTGTTCCCTTTCCTAACTAACTTCAGAGATGATGTGTTCATCCTCTAGGTGGTGGTTTTTGTGGCAGTTGTCTTGAAACCACTGAGTTATCTTGTTATCGGCAGATTTCAGAGCACTTTGTAAGAAAATGCATGATTATTTTAGATGTAAATGAGAAAAATGAGGAACAGAAGAAATTAAATGATGAGCACAAGATACCTCAGTAAAATAATTTTACAAGCAGAACAAGGGTTGTTAAACAAAAACAAAAAAAAATTTCTTTCTTGAATTGTATTTTATTTTTTATTTTTTTTTTAAATCTCTCTCTGTCATCCAGGCTGGAGTGCAGTGGCACGATCTTGGCTTACTGCAACCTCCTCCTCCTGGGCTCAAGCGATTCTCCTGCCTCAGCCTCCTGAGTAGCTGGGATTATAGGTGCCCGCCACCATGCCTGGCTAATTTTCACCATGTTGGCCAGGCTGGTCTCAAACTCCTGACCTCAAATGATCCACCTGCCTTGGCCTCCCAAAGTGCTGGGATTACAGGCATGAGCCACCATGCTCAACCTTCATTTTATTTTAGATTTTGCCCAAATACTGAACATTTTACCCAATAGGTAATTTTTCAACCCTTCCCCCTTTTGGAGTCCCCTGTGTCTATTATTTCCATCTTTATGTCCATGTGTACCTGTTTTTTATCTCCCACTTATAAGTGAGAATATCAGTACTTGATTTTCTGTTTCTGAGTTAGTTCACTTAGGATAATGGCCTCTACCTCTATCTATGTTGCTGCCGAGGACATGATTTCATTCTTTTTTATGGCTGTATAGTATTCCATGGTGTGTATATACCACTTTTTTTTATTATTTTTTCTTTTTTGAGACAGGATCTTGCTCTGTCACTCAGGCTGGAGTACAGTAGCACAATCACACCTCACTACAGCCTTGATCTCCTGGGCTCAAGCTACCCCTCCAACCTCAGCCCCCCTAGTAGCTGGAACCATAGGAACCATAGGCATGCACCATCATGCCTGGCTGATTTTTTTTTTTTTTTTTTTTAGTAGAGACAAGATCTCACTATGTTGCCCAGGCTGGTCTCAAACTCCTGAGCTCAAACAATCCTACCAGTCTTGGCCTCCCAAAGTGCTGGGATTATAGGCATGAGCCACCATGCCCAGCCCACATTTTTTTTTTATTGCGGTCAATAACTGATGGACAGTTAACATTAGTTCCATGACTGTGCTATTGTGAATAATGCCACAATGAACATACAAGTGCAGGTGCCTTATTTATATAGTGATTTCTTCTTCTTTGGGTAGATACCCAATGGTGGGATTGCTAGGTTGAATGGTAGTTCTATTTTTATTTCTTTGAGAAATCTCCATACTGTTTTCCATGGAGGTTCAACTTATTTACATTTCCACTAACAGTGTATAAATGTTCCCTTTTCTGTGCATCCACGCCAACATCTGTTGTTTTTTGACTTTTTAATAATAGCCTTTTTGACTGGTGTAAGATGATATCTCGGCTGGGCACAGTGGCTCACGCCTGTAATCCCAGCACTTTGGGAGGCCGAGGAGGGTGGATCACCAGGTCAAGAGATCGAGACCATCCTGGCCAACATGGTGAAACCCCGTCTCTACTAAAAATACAAAAATTAGCTGGGTGTGGTGGTGCATGCCTATAGTCCCAGCTACTCTGGGAGGCTGAGGCAGGAGAATCACTTGAACCTGGAAGGTGGAGGTTGCAGTGAGCCGAGATCGCACCACTGCACTCCAGCCTGGCGACAGAGTGAGACTCCATCTCAAAAAAAAAAAAAAAAAGAAAAAAAGAAAAAAAGATGATACCTCATTGTGGTTTTAATTTGCATTTCTCCAATATTAGTGATGTTGAGCATTTTTTCATGCACTGTTGGCTGCTTGTATGTCTTCTTTTGAAAAATGTCTATTCATATTCTTTGAACATTTGGGCCAAAAATGTGCACTTTTTAATGGGGCTGTTTGGTTTTTTTCTTGTTAAGGTGTTTGAGTTCCTTGTAGGTTGTGGATGTTAGTCCTTTGTCAGATGCATAATTTGCAAATAATTTCTCCCTTTCTGTAGGTCATCTGTTTACTCTGTTGATTATTTCTTTTGCTATGCAGAAGCTTTTTAGTTTAATTAAGTCCCACTTGTCTATTTTTATTTTTGTTGGATTTGCTTCTGGGGTCTTCATCATAAATTCTTTACCTAGGCCAATATTCAGAAGGGTTTTTCCTTGGTTTTCTTATAGGATTTTTATAGTTTCAGGTCTTATGTTTAGGCCTTTAATTCATCTGGAGTTAATTTTTGTATATGGTGAGAGGTATGGTTCCAGTTTCATTGTCGTGCGTATGGCTAGCCAGTTTTCCCAGCACCATTTATTGAAAAGGTTGTCCTTTGCCTATTGTTTATTTTTGTTTGACTTCGTTGAAGATCAGTTGGTTGTAGGCATGTAGCTTTATTTCTGGGTTCTCTATTCTGTTTCATTGATCTATGTATCTATTTTTGTGTATTGGTACCATGCTATTTTAGTTACTATTGCCTTGTAGTATAATTTGAAGTCAGGCAATGTGATGCCTCTAAATTTGTTCTTTTTGCTTGGGATTGCTTTGGCTATTCAGATCCTTTTGGGGTTCCATATGAACTTTAGGATTTTCTTTTCTTTTCCTTTTTTTTTTTTTTTTTTTTTTTTTTTGAGACGGAGTCTCATTACCCAGGCGGGAGTGCAGTGGTGCGATCTCGGTTCACTGCCACCTCTGCCTCCTGGGATCAAGCAATTCTCCTGCATCAGCCTCCCGAGTAGCTGGGATTACAGGCATGTGCCACCACACCCAGCTAATTTCTGTATTTTTAGTAGAGATGGGGTTTCACCGTGTTGGCCAGGCTGGTCTCGAACTCCTGACCTCAGGTGATCCACCTGCCTCAGCCTCGCAAAGTGCTGGGATTACAGGCGTGAGCCACCATGCCCAGCCACTAGCATATTTTATTTCCAGAAAGTAGGCATGTGTATGCAGCAGTGCATATACATACCCAGAGAGTCCATCCTTAAAACAGAATTTATAATCATTTAGGGGGAAGTGCACTGATATCTGTCATTTACTTCGAAATATGTCAAAAACAAATAAGATGGATAAAGCAATAAATAGATGGATAGATATATGATAAAAAGCAAGTCCAGTAAAATTTTAATTGTAGAATCTAGGTGGTAGGTAGATGAGTGTTTATTGTAACATTCTTTCAACTTTTCTGTATGTTTGAAAATCTTCACTATAAAATGTTAGGAAAAAAGAATTCATGCATATTTAACTATCATAGCTAGAAAATCAAGAGGTTCCATTCACTTAATTATCTTACAGGAAAAAAAAATGCAGAAAAAGATCTTTGTCAAACACCAGACACGGTGGCTCACGCCTGTAATCCCAGCACTTTGAGAGGCCAAGGCAGGCAGATCACTTGAGGTCAGGAGTTTGAGACCAGCCTGGGCAACATGGTGAAATCCTGTCTCTACTAAAAATACAAAAAATTAGCTGAGTGTGGTGGCACCTGTGTCCCTAGCTACTCAGGAGGCTGAGGTGAGAGGGTCCCTTGAACTCAGGAGTCAGAGGTTGTAGTGAGCCAAGATCACACTACTGCACTCCAGCCTGGGTGACAGAGTGAGACCCCATCTCAAAAATAAATAAATGAATAAATAAATAATTTTAAAAATAAAGGAAATAGCTGGGCGTGGTGGCTTACGCCTGTAATCCCAGCACTTTGGGAGGCAGAGGCAGACGGATCACCTGAGGTTGGGAGTTCGAGACCAGCCTGGCCAACACGGAGAAACCCCGTCTCAACTAAAAATACAAAATTAGCCAGGTGTGGTGGCACATGCCTGTAATCCCAGCTACTCGGGAGGCTTGAGGCAGGATAATTGCTTGAACCAGGATAATTGCTTGAACCTGGGAGGCAGAGGTTGTGGTGAGCCAAGATTGTGCCATTGCACTCCAGCCTGGGCAACAAGAGCAAAACTCCGTCTCAAAAAATAAAAAAAAATAAAGGAAAAAAAAATCTTCATCAGTACTGCCAGGGATATTCTTTTCCCTCCAAAATTTTGCTATTAAATTTTAGTAATCTAATAACATGATAAAACTACCTAATAGTCATGAGGCAGTTCAAAATATTGAGGTTGACTAGCGTTAAGAAAGGGCTCAGGCCGGGCATGGTGGCTCACACCTGTAATGCCAGCACTTTGGGAGGCCAAGGCGGGTGGATCACCTGGGGTCAGGAGTCAAGACCAGCCTGGCCAACATAGCGAAGCCCTGTCTCTACTAAAAATACAAAAAATTAGCCAGGTGTGGTGGCAGGCGCCTGTAATCCCAGCTACTCAGGAGGCTGAGGCAGGAGAATCGCTTGAATCCGGGAGGCAGAGGTTACAGTGAGCCGAGATTGCGCTACTGCACTCCAGCCTGGGCAGCAAGAAAGAAATTCCATCTCAAGAAAGGGCTCAGATTCACTAATTGTCCTATTTTGTAGATGGAGAAACTACTGTGGAGATCATGCCCTGTATTTTTATTTATTACTTATTTTTTAATTTTTTTAGAGACAGGATCTTGTTCTGTCACCCAGGCAGGAGTGCAGTGGCATTATCACAGTTTACTGTTACCTTGAACTCCTGGACTCAAGTGATCATCCCACCTCAGCCTCCTGAGTAGCTAGGACTACAGGCATGTGCCACTACACCTGGCTAATTTGTTATTATTATTTTTTGTAGAGACTGAGTCTCACTATCTGGCCCAGGCTGGTCTCAAACTCCTGGCCTCAAGCGATCCTCTCCCCTCAGCTTCCCAAAATGCTAGGATTACAGATGTGAGGCACCATGCCCAGCCATGCTGTGTATTTTTAAAGAACTGCTTTACACAGGAATCTTCTCCAGTCTTAAATTTCAAGGATTCTGCCATTATTTTTGACATTTTATTAATTAAAAATAATCTTAAAAATGATTTCCCCCTTAGGAGCTTCACTGCCTAATAAAATCAGAGATATTGAAATATCCAAGTTAAATCAGATGCATCACATTCTGTAAAACCCTTCCTGCTCTTAATAATGGTGACTGTTGCCTTTAAGCATTTCATTAGACCATAATTCAGCCCATGTTTATTGAAACTACAATATGTCAGAAACTGTGTGTACAGTATCCACCCTTAAGGGCGTTGTAAATTGTAGAGATTTATACCATGTGAAATGGCTATGCTGTTGTCATCCTAAGACTTTTAGAATCAAATTATTCCATGGGTACAGGCTAGGATCTTTGAGTTTAGTATTTTGCAAATTTTTATTTTATTTATTTATTTTTTGTTTGTTTTTGAGATGGAGTCTCATTCTGTTGCTCAGGCTGGAGTGTAGTGGCTCGATCTCGGCTCACTGCAACCTCCGCTTCCCAGGTTCAAGCAATTCTCTGCCTCAGCCTCCGAGTAGCTGGGATTACAGGCGCATGCCACCACGCCCGGCTAATTTTTGTATCTTTAGTAGAGACGGGGTTTCACCATGTTGGCCAGGCTGGTCTTGAACTCCTGACCTCGTGATCCACTCGCCTCGGCCTCCCAAAGTGCTGGGATTACAGGCATGAGCCACCATGCCCGGCCGTATTTTGCAAATTTTTAAAAAGTAGGTACAGAACAAAAGACACTCAAAATGATTAGTCATCCGAGAAATGCAAATTAAAACCACAGTGAGATACTAATATATCCCCCTAAAATGTCTAAAATGTAAACATCTGATCATTCTAGTTGTTGGCAAGATTATGACACCAATGGAACTGTCATGTATTGGTGATAGGAATGGAAAATGGCACAACCACTTTGGAAAATAGTTTAGCAGTTAAAATCACCTGCCATACAACCCAGAAATTCCATCACTGAATATTTACCCAAGATAAATGAAAACATGTCTAAACTGGCCGGGCACGGTGCCTCACGCCTGTGATCCCAGCACTTTGGGAGGCCGAGGCAGGGGAATCACCTGAGGTCAGGAGTTCAAGACCAGCCTGGCCAACATGGTGAAACCCCGTCTCTACAAAAATACAAAAATTAGCTGGGCATGATGGCGGGTACCTGTAACCCCAGCTACTTGGGAGGCTGAGGTGGGAGAATCGCTTGAACCCGGGAGGCGGAGGTTGCAGTGAGCCGAGATCACACCATTGCACTCCAGCCCGGGCGACAAAGCGAGACTCCGTCTTGAAAAAAAAAGAAAGAAAAAGAAGAAAACATGTCTAAACAAAGAACTGTGTGCAAATGTTCAGAGTAGCTTCAGCATAGGAGACAAAACCCAGAAGTATTCCTTATCTATAAACAGACGAATAGGTAAACTGTGGGTATGTCAATACAATGAAGTACCACTCAGCAAGAAAAAGCAATAAGCTACAAATAGACACAACATTGACCCATCTCAAAAATATTATGCTAAGAGAATCCACAGTTTGAGAACCACCACTTTATTCCAATACTTACAAATGGTTCAATCTCACATAGCTATTCAGTCTTCATGATACATTTTCCCACTGATGGAACAGAAGTGACAGCCCATTTTACTATGAGCACATGGTCTAAGAAGTAACTCTATAAGCACTACAACTGTAGAATCCATTTCAGAACTATAAGGGAATTTTGAGATCATCTACCACAACTTCCCAACCCCTGTTAAAAAACAAAACAAACAAACAAAAAACTTAAACTGTACCAATTTTGCTTTTTGTCTTATTAAACCCAGAATGCTGAAAAACAGAATTTTCATTAATTTAGGATCTTGCTGTTCTTCCAGGTCTTTATCTGAAACACCAGTTTTCAATTTACAGCATCGCCCATGTAGACAGCAGATTTGTACATGAATCTGGAATTTTTATTTTATTTTATTTTATTTTTTTTTGAGACCAAGTCTCACTCTGTCGCCCAGGCTGGAGTTCAGTGGTGAGATCTCAGCTCACTGCAACCTCCGCCATTCAGTTTCAACGATTCTTGTGCCTCAGCCTCCTGAATAGCTGGGACTGCAATCGCACGCCACCACACCTGGCTAATTTTTTTGTATTTTTAGTAGAGACAGGGTTTCACTATGTTGGCCAGGCTGGTCTCAAACTCCTGACCTCAAGTGATTCGCCTGCCTTGACCTCCCAAAGTGCTGGGGTTGAGCTGAGACACTGCGCACGGCCTGGATGTTTTTTATATTTTATATTTTATTTATTTATTTATTTTTGAGACGGAGTCTCACTCTGTCGCCCAGGCTGGAGTGCAGTGGCACAATCTCGGCTCACTGCAAGCTCTGCCATCTGGGTTCACGCCATTCTCCTGCCTCAGCCTCCTGAGTAGCTGGAACTACAGGCGCCTGCCACCATGCCCGGCTAATTTTTTTTGTATTTTTAGTAGAGACGGGGTTTCAACGTGTTAGCCAGGCTGGTCTCGAACTGCTGACCTCGTGATCCACCCACCTCGGCCTCCCAAAGTGCTGGGATTACAGGCGTGAGCCACCGCGCAGGCCTTTTTATTTTTTCTTATTTCTACACCTGCTGCTTCCCATTTCTAGCCCCTGCCCTCCTCAGGCCTCCTCTTCCCTCCTTTCCTATCATTTACCTTTGTTTCTCTAGCAATTCTTTAGGATCCCTGCCTTGATCACCTTATTTTCAAATTAAGAGCACTTCTTTAATCAATTCTTTGCCACTTCTCAGTCAATAAATGACCAACATAGACAGGGTTTTTGCTTATGTGTCTTTCTGTTTTTTAAATTTTAGAGAAACGGTCCCGCTCTGTCACTCAGATTGGAATGCAGTGGCACAAACTGCAGTCTCAAACTCCTGGGCTCCAGTGATCCTCCTGCCTCAGCTGAGTAGCTGGGACTACAGGCACGTGGCACCAAGGCCAGCTGGGTTTTTGTTTATTTGGTTGGTTTTTGTTAAACCTTGTTTTGTGTCTCTAGATATAAAAATTATGTTTCTACAGTTTTTTGTTTTTTGGGGTTTTTTTTTGGAGACGGAATCTCGCTCTGTCACCCAGGATAGAGTGCAGTGGTGCAATCTTGGCTTACTGCAACCTCCACCTCCCAGGTTCAAGTGATTCAACCTCCACCTCCCAGGTTCAAGCGATTCTCCTGCCTCAGCCTCCTGAGTAGCTGGGATTACAAGCATGCACCACCATGCCTGGCTAATTTTTGTATTTTTAGTAGAGACGGGATTTTACCGTGTTGGCCAGACTGGTGTAGAACTCCTGGCCTCAAGTGATCTGCCCGCCTCAGCCTCCCATAGTGCTGGGATTATGGGCGTGAGCCAACATGCCCGGGCTGTTTCTACAGTTTCATATGCCTTGATTCTTCTAAATCATTTCAGACTCTCCTCTGGAGAATGCTACTCATGTGTCATTGTCTTTTAGTTTTACTGAATATATCCATAATATTGTCACATAAAATATGTTCTCAAGCAACCCTGACTGAGGGAGGAAGAGGATTTCAAATTAAATTACTACCCCTAAGCAGCCAAACACTGACTTACTAGCCAGCTGATCCCTATTTGTTCATATTTGGTCAGTTTCTCTTAAAAAGAGAAACTCTTTTTAATAGCAGACTATTAAAGCAGATTATTACCAGAGAGAGTCCATCTTGAGTTCATCTAAATTCCTAATCAACTCTTGCTTTCCAGAAAACTAAACTACTACTACTCCTGTCAATGAAGAGTTAACAATTTTGTTTCTCAGATTACCATAATCCATAAACTCTTCAGTCTTTGTTAAAAATAAAGACATTTTGACCAGGTGCGGTGGCTCATGCCTGTAATCCCAGCACTTTGAGAGACTGAGGCAGGTGGATTATTTGAGGTCAGTAGTTTGAAACCAGCCTGAACAACATGGTGAAACCCTGTCTCTACTAAAAATATAAAAAAAAAAAAATTAGCTGGGCATGATGGTATGCACCTGTAATCTCAGCTACTCGGGAGGCTGAGGCACAAGAATTGCTTGAATCCAGGAGGCATAGGTTGTGAAATGACCTCATTGTCTGGAGTAACACCAGAGGTTCGTTGTCTCATGCCCACAGAGAACAAGGATGCAGACACACAGTGAGGTTGAGAGCAGAAGTTTAATAGGCGAAAGAAAGAGAATAGCTCTCTGCTTCTGAGATGGGTCCCAGAAAAATGGGTTGCTAGAACCATGGTGAAATGCAGGGAGCTTTATAGATGAGCTGGTGAGGAGGCAGTGTCTGAGTTTCACAGGGCACGAAAGACTGGTTAGAACAGGTGTGCCATTTGCATAGGGTGTGAATCTCTGGCCTTCCCCACCCTAATCTTTTATTATGCAGGCGGGTTCTCTGCCTGAGCTGTGTCATGTTGCCCATTTCTTTATTACTGTACACGTGGTAACAAAAAAAGGGAAGATGGAGCCTCCATGTTGGACATGCCTCACCCCCAGGTAGCACTTTCCTATTGGCACAGGGGCTGGCATTCCCCCATGCAGGCTTCCAGCTTGCCTATCTATGTTTGCCGCTCTATTTTTCAGGCTGCTCTTTGTTAGGAAAAAATAATTTATTGGGCTTCTTTTTATTAGAAGGGAAGCCTTGCCAGGGACTCTTTTGCCCTCACTATCTGCCTAAATAATTTCTTTCTACCTCCTGTATCACTTGAGTGGAGAATGAGTGATTTTTTATTTCAGTACATAAAGCATTTTTTAGTCTTTGTATAGCTAACTAGTGTTCCTGCACTCCAGCCTGGACGACAGAGTGAGACTCTGTATTCATAAATAAATAAATATAGATATTCATTCAAAAGGATAAATATTTAAATGTTTCTGATGCTGACTGTAATAAATTATTATACTTCTGAAGCAGAAATTATGTTCCTTTCCTCAATTTGAACGAAAAATGTGAGGCTATATTTCAGCTCTAAAGCTTACATTAGTTTAACTTTTAAAAAGCAGGTTATGGCCGGGCATGGTGTCTCACGCCTGTAATCCCAGCACATTGGGAGGCCGAGGCAGGCAGATCACGAGGTCAGGAGGTCGAGACCATCCTGGCCAGCATGGTGAAACTCCGTCTTTACTAAAATACAAAATATTAGCCAGACGTGGTGGTGCTCGCCTGTAGTTCCAGCTACTCGGGAGGCTGAGGCAGAGGACTTGCTTGAACCCGGGAGGCAGAGGTTGCAGTGAGTCAAGATCACGCCACTGCACTCCAGCCTGGCGACAGAGTGAGACTCCATCTCAAAACAAAAACAAAAACAAAACAAAACAAAAATGTAGGCTATATGTTCACATGATTCAAAAATCAAAATATAGTAGATATGGATGGCTTTTTTAAAAAAAAAAATCACAATGAAAGTGTGGATAGAGAGAAGTCTCACTCCCGATGTGGTTCCTGTAAACATCATTTTTCCCCCATCCCATAGAGATAACCATTTTTATCTATTTCTTTCTTTTTTTTTTTTTTTTTTTTGAGACGTTGTTTCGCTCTTGTTGCTGCCACTCCCCGCCCCCACCCCGCACACACTGGGTTCAAGCGATTGTCCTGCCTCGGCGTCCCGAGTAGCTGGGATTATAGGCTCCTGCCACCACACCCAGCTAATTTTGTATGTTTAGTAGAGACGGGGTTTCACTTTGTTGGCCAGGCTGGTCTCAAACTCCTGACCTTAAGTGATCTGCCTGCCTCGGCCTCCCAAAGAGCTAGGATTACAGGCATGAGTCACCTCACCCAGCCTAGACTTCATTTTTCTACACTCAACTTTTGCTTACAAAAAAGATAAGGTTCCCTGGGCTTAAAAATCAAAAGAAACAGAAAAGGCATTGTGTTTTGGCTCTGAATTATCTGAATTTTTTTTTTTTTGAGATGGAGTGTCGCTCTATCGTCCACGCTGGAGTGCAATGGCGCGATCTCGGCTCACTGCAAGCTCCGCCTCCTGGGTGCACGACCTTCTCCTGCCTCAGCCTCCCAAGCAGCTGGGACTACAGGCGTCTGCCACCACGCCCGGCTAATTTTTTGTATTTTTAGTGGAGACGGGGTTTCACCGTGTTAGCCAGGATGGTCTCGATCTCCTGACCTCATGATCCGCCTGCCTCAGCCTCCCAAAGTACTGGGATTACAGGCATGAGCCACCGCGCCCGGCTGATATGTTATAAATGTTTAAAAATTCCTAGTTCAAGACAGCTCTTTTTCTTGGATGCTTACTCATCCTTAACCTTCCACTTCTTTTATGTTGCAGTGCTAATTTAATTACGCCAAACCTCTCACCCAATCACTCCACATATTGACAATCAACAAAGTTCAATGACATTCTTCTTTTTTTTTTTTTTTTTTTTTTGAAATGGAGTTTTGCTCTTGTCGCCCAGGCTGGAGTGCAATGGTGCAGTCTCGGCTCACTGCAACCTCTGCCTCCCGGGTTCCAGTGGTTCTCCTGCCTCAGCCTCCCAAGTAGCTGGGATTACAGGCATGTACCACCATGTTGGGCTAATTTTTTTGTATTTTTAGTAGAGACAAGGTTTCACTATGTTGGTCAGGCTGGTCTCGAACTTTTAACCTCAGGTGATCCACCCACCTTGGCCTCCCAAAGTGCTGGGATTACAGGCGTGGGCCACCACGCCAGGCTGACATTCTTAAAAGAGAGTAACATTCAGGTAAGGACTTGGATGAAACTAGAACTACTATTTAACCAAGTAAAAGAATGCTAAATAGGCCAGGTGCAGTGGTTCACACCTGTAATCCTAGCACTTTGGGAGGCTGAGGTGGGCGGATCACCTGAGGTCAGGAGTTGGAGACTAGCCTGGCCAACATGGTGAAACCCCGTCTCTCCTAAATATACAAAAAAATTAGCTGGGTGTGGTGGTGCGTAACTGTAGTCCCAGTTACTCAGGAGGCTGAGGTACGAGAATCACTTGAGCCTGGGAGGTAGAGGTTGCAGTGAGCCAAGATAGTGCCACTGCACTCCAGCCTGGGCAACATTGGGAGAATCTGTCTAAAAAAAAAAAAATATATATATATATATATATATATATATATACACACATATACACACACATTCTATTACCTAAGAAACAAGAAGTGTAGATAAATAATATATTTTATAATAAAAAATTGATTAGGAAATACTATTGAGCCATAAAAAGGAATGATATTTTGATAGATGCTACAACATAGATGGACCTTGAAAACATTATGCTTAATGAATAAAACAGAAGGACAAATACTGTGTGAGTCCACTTACAGGAGGTACCTAGAATAGATACATTCATAGAGACAAGAAAGCAGAATAGAAGTTGGCGGTGGGGAGCGCTGGGGAAGGAGGGAAAGGGGTGTTAATGTTTAATGGTGCTGATATTGTGAAATATACATCTTGTCTTCCTAGTCCATTTCCTGGCCTACAGCTCCCAAATCCCTTGCAATCTCTGGAGTGAAAAGTGTCTTTTATATGCTAATTAGTTGACTGCTAGCTGAGGACTCCTACATAGCTTTAGGATGGGAGCTGGTTTCACTGGAAAGACCTAGGCATGATTAGGGGGTTGGGACTTTCAGCTTCCTCCCCCAACCTCTGGGTAGGGGAAAGGGGTTGGAGGTTAAATTGATCACCAATGGCCAATAGTTTAATCAATCATGCATACACAGTGAAGCCTCCATAAAATCCCAAAAGGACTGAGTTCTGGGAGCTTCCAGATAGCTGCACAAGTGGAGGTTCCTGGATGGTAGTGCATACAGAGAGGGCATGTAAGTTCCGCGCCCCTTCCCACATGTCTTGCCCTACGCATCTCTTCTATCTGGCTGTTCATCTGTATCCTTTGTAACATCCTTTATAATAAATGGGTAAATGTAAGTAAAGTGTTTCCTTGAGAGCTGTGAGCCACTCTAGCAAAATAATCAAACCAGAAGGGAGAGTCATGGGAGCCCTGATTTGTAGCTGGTTTATCAAAAGTTTTGGAGGCCCAGACCTGTGACTGACATCTGAAGTGGGGGATAGTCTTGTGGGACTGAGCCCCAAACCTGTGGGATCTGACGCTATCTGATTGAATAAGCAGACACTCAGCTTGTGTCCACAGAATCACTTGTGGTATGTGGGGAAATACCCCCACACATCTGGTATCGGAAGTGTTGACTGTGTGAGAGTAGGGAAAAAACTTTGCTTTTTCCAATATCACAACAAATGGGTATAGAGTTTATGTGGGGATGATGAAAAAGTTTTGGGTGTAGATAGTGGTGATGGATACTGATTCATATCAAATACATATGAATGTATTTGATGCCTCTGAATTATACACTCAGAAATGGTTAAAATGATAACTATGATGTGTATTTTACTACAATAAAAAATCAAAAAGGATACAGACAGCCAGGTGGAGTGGCTCATTTTCATTTTGATTTGTAGAAGTTGTTATATATTTTAGAGTATTTGTATATTATATATGTGTCAAATATCTCCTTATATCCTTGATTTTAAACCTTGTTTATGGTGTCTTTTATGACACTAAACTTTTAAAAATTGATACAGTCAAAATTATTAATTTTTTTTTCTTTATGGTGTTACCAGCTGCAAGTCTGTATGGGTTTGCAGCAAACTCAATCCTAGCCTCCTTGGAGGAAAGAATTTGGCCAAGGGGCAGAAGTCAGTTCAAAGCAGAGGGAGAGAACAAGGCAAATTTTAGAGCAGGAGTGAGAGTTTATTAAAAAGTTTTAGAGCTGGAGTGAAGGAAGCAAAGTACACTTGAAAGAGGGCCAAGGGGGCAACTTGAGAGATTCAAGTGCCCTATTTGGCCCTTGATAGGGAGATTTATACATTGGCATGGTTCTGGAGTTTGTGTTTCTTCTCCCTTGATTCTTCCCTTGGGGTGGGCTGTCCACATGCATAGTGGCCTGCCAGCACTTGGGAGGGGCTGCATGCACTGTGTGTTTACTGAACTTGAGGCATTTTTCCCTTACCAGTCAAGCAGTCCCAGAGGAAAGTCATATACTGGTTAAACTCCACCATTTTGCCTCTTAGTGAACACGCTTGAGTCCACTTGCCCAACTCCTGAGATCTTATCAGGAAGCTGCTGATCACCAGCTCCAGGTGTTTTCTATGTATTGGGAGACTGCCTTTCCCTGGCACTGGCTGTGACCAATTGTCATTTTAGAGAGACAGTTAACAACACTTGACCATCACCTGATGGACACCTGACATTCCTGGGGGTGAGGCCCTCCCCTGCCCGCTCATGTCTGACTGACTACCTACTCTAGCAATGGTTTGTTGCTCCTTTGAGAAATCCATCCTATTAAAATAATAAACCATTCTCCTATATTTCCATCTGAAAAAGATAAATAAGATAGTTTGTTTTTTTAAAAAATATAAAGCCTCAATAATTTAAAGTGGAGTACTGGCACATGAGCATAACATCTAGAAATGAACCCACTTGCATATGGAAATTTGGCATATGATGAAGGTAACATCTCAATACAATGGAGGAAAGATGGACTTTTTAGTAGATAGTAATTATGTAACTTGTTAGCTAGATAGAGAAAGATAAAAAGGGATCTGATAAATTCCAAATAGAGCAGAGATTTAAAAGTAAAAAATTAAACCATACAAGTCTAGAAGAAAACATAGGTAAATTCTTTTACAGCTTGGGATTGCAAAATCCATAAGCAAGAAGGGAGAAATATTGCTAAATTGGACCACATAAAAGTGAAAGAAAACTGCATGCCAAAATACATCATAAGTCAAGGAAAAAGACAAATGGCAAATTGGGAAAATATATTTGGAACCTGTATACAGATAAAGGTTTAATTTCCTTTAATTATTTTTTTAAACATAGAAAACAAAAGGGCCACCTACCCTCATAGAAAAAAATGGGAAAGAGAAATGAACACACATTTTAAGAAAAAGAAATGCAGATGTTCCTTAAGCTTATGAAAAGATGTTCGCCCTCACTGGTAATAAAAGAGATGCAAATTAAAGTTACACTAAGATACCATTTCTCACCTATCAGATTGGCAAAATTCAAGTTTAATAACACACTGGCTAAAGCCTCCAGTACAATGTTGAATAGAAACAGTTAAAATAGACTTCCTGGTTTCATTCCAAATGTGCACACTATTTCACCATTAATATGATGCTAGCTGTAGGCTTTTTGTAGATACATTTTATCAGATTGCAGAAGTTTCCTTCTAACTTTGAGTCCATTATTTTTTATCATAAGTAATTGTTTAATTAAATGCTTTTTCTGCATCTACTAAATGACAATATGGCCTTTTCCTTTATTCTGTTAATGAGGCGAAATACATTGATGGGTTTTTTATGTTGTGTATTTAAGGCACACAACATGATGTTATGGGATAAATACACATAGTAAAAAGGTTACTATAGAGAAGCAAATTAACATATCCATCATTTTGCAGTTACCCTTTTTTTCTATTGTTTCAAGAGCAGCTAAAATCTACTCATCTACCATGAATCCCAAAGAGAGCACAATTTTATTAATATTACCTATAGTCCTTACGTTGTTGATCCTACATATATGCTACTTTGTATTCTCTGACCTACATCTCCCCATTTCCTTTCCCATCCCCAATCCCTACACTGTAATCACTGTTGTGTTCTCTGTATATTTACATATTGGGGTTATTTTAGATTCCCCATATTAGTGAAATCACACAATATTTTTCTGTGTCTGGCTTATTTCACTTTGCATAATGTTCTTCAGGCTTATCCACATTGTGGCAAATGGCAAGATCTCTTTCTTTTTAAGGGCTAAATAATATTTCATTGTATATGAATATATATATATATATATAAAATCAGCTTTTTTATTCATTTGTCTATCAACTGACACTTAGGTTTTTTCATAACCTAAGTGAATAATGGCCATTGTGAATAATGCTGCAATGAATGTAGGAGTTCTGACATCTTTACAGGGTGGTAATTTCATTTCCTTTGGATTTACATCCAGAAGAGGAATTGCTGGGTCATATGATAGTTCTATTTTTAATTTATTTATAAACCTCCATACTGTCTTCCATAATGCCTGTCCCAATCTACATTTCTACCAACAGTGTACCTTTTCTCCACAATATTGATTGATTTTTTCTTTTCTTTCCTTCTTTTTTTTAAAGACAGGGTCTCACTCTGTTGTTCAGGCTGGAGTGTAGTGACACAATCACAGTTCACTACAGCCTCAACTTTTTAGGCTCAAGTGATCATCTCACCTAAGTCTCCTGAGTAGCAGGGACCACAGGTGTGTGCTACCATGCCCAGGTAATTTTTTAATTTTTTTGTAGAGATGGGGTCTTGCTATGTTGCCCAGGCTGGTCTCCAACTCCTGAGCTCAAATGATCTTCCCATCTCAGCCTCCCAAAGTGTTGAGATTATAGGCATGAACCACCACACCCAGCCTTGATTGATTTTGAAGTGTTAAACCAGTCTTGCATTCCTGAAATGAATCCTATGTGGCCATGATGTATTGTCGTTTTTACATATTGCTGCATTTCATTTGTAATATTTTTTCTTTTTCTTTTCTTTTTTTTTTTTTTTGAGACAGAGTCTCACTCTGTCACCCAGGCTGGGGTGCAGTGGCACAATCTCAGCTCACTGCAGCCTCTGCCTCCCAGGTTCAAGCGATTCTCTTGCCTCAGCCTCCCAAGTAGCTGGGATTACAGGCGTCCACCACCACGCCCAGCTAATTTTTGTATTTTTAGTAGAGACGGGGTTCACCATGTTGGCCAGGCTGGTCTCAAACTCCTGACCTCAGGTGATCCACCCACCTTGACCTCCCAAAGTGTTGGGATTACAGGCGTGAGCCACCTCGCCCGGCCTTTCCAGGATTTTGAAGTCTATGTTCATAGAGATATTAGCGTTTAATTTTCCTTTTGTAATGACCTTGTTAGGCTTGGATATTAATGTTATAATGGTCTCATAAAATGAGTTTGGGAGTTTTTCTGCTCTTCCTATTCTTTGGATACTATAAATAAGAATGGCATTATTTGTTTTTAAATGTTTGGAAGAATTCACCATTAAAGCCATCTGTGCCTAGAGTTTTCTTTATGGGAGACTTCAAATTGTACATTTGATTTATTTAATAGATATAAGAATCTTCAGGCCAGGCGCAGTGGCTCACGCCTGTAATCCCAGCACATTGGGAGGCCAAGGCGGGTGGATCACGAGGTCAGGAGTTCGAGACTAGCCTGACCAACATAGTGAAACCCCGTCTCTACTAAAAATACAAAAATTAGCCGGGCATGGTGGCGGCGCCTGATATCCCAGCTACTCAGGAGGCTGAGGCAGGAGAATTGCTTGAACCTGGGAGGCGGAGGTTGCAGTGAGCCAAGATTGCGCCACTGCACTCCAGCCTGGGCAACAGAGCAAGACTCTGCCTCAAAAAAAAAAAAAAAGGAAGAAAGAAAAAAAGAATCTTTAGATCTTTAGATTTTACTCAGATTTTGCATTTCTTGGGTACATTTTAGTAAATTGTTTTTTGAAAAATTTACGCAATTCATGCAAATTTTCATATCCTGCCCTTCCTGTTCTAACTGTATCTAAAAGTAACCAAATAGATGATGAGGAAATGTTCTTTTTTTCTAAAATAAATTCATGTTTATAAATTATTCGTTCTAGCCAGGCATGACAGTTCATGCCTGTAATCCCAGCACTTTGGGAGGCTGAGGCAGGAGGGTCGCTTGAGCCCAGGAGTTCAAAAGCAGCCTGGGCAACATAGTGAGACCCCATCTCTAAAATATATCTATATATCTCTGTATACATATAGAAATAAATTATTCATTCACAAACAAATAACTAACCTAGAACACTGTTATTCTGTAACCCCAAATGAAATAGATCTAGCTGGGTACGGTGGCTCACACCAGTAATCCCAACACTTTAGGAGGCGGAGGTGGGAGGATTGTTTGAGTCCAGGAGTTCAAGATCACCCCGGGGAAGGTAGAGAGACTTCATCTCTACAAAAAATACAAAAATTAGCCAGTCATGGTGGTACATGCCTGTAGTCCTAGCTGCTCAGGAAGCTCAGGCGGGAGGATAGCTTGAGACCATGAGGTTGAGGAGGATCACTTGAGCCCAGGAGGTTTAAGCTATAGTGAGCCAAGATCATGTTACTGCACTCCAGCCCGGGTGACAGAGTGAGACCCTATCTCCAAAAATATAAAAAATAGAATAAAATAAATAAGAGATCTAGGCAGTGATAATTAAGGTGCTCAAAACATGAAGTGATAAACTGATGGGAAATTTTATAATGGCTGACACCACCTGAATCTACTGATCAATCTTAACATCTCCTAAAGAGAAATAACCACAGTATGTGTTGCTTCTTGTGACGCATACAGTACGAAGTACATACCACTATCTATGCAATGTTCTTGACAGAAAAATCAAACCTGAATCTGATTATGTATGTAGAATTACCCAGCAGTTTACAGGTAATACAGGGGACAAAAGAACATGTTAAATAACACCACAAGGATACAATCAGCAACATCCAAAATATAGGAAGTTCTATAAGAAAATGACCCAGTTTTGTCAGCAAATAAAATGTATGGGATGGAGGAAGGGAAATGGGTCCAATAAATTAAAAGAGAATTAACAAGCTTCACAGAAATCAAATATAATGTGTGGACACTGTTCAGATATTGATTCGAAAGAACTGTTACAGAAAGAAAAAATTTGAGATAATTGGAAAAATTTGAATGCTGAGAGGATATTTGATTTTATGGATTTATTGTTAATTTTTTTGGCGTGATGACAGTAATAGTTTTTTTTTAAGAGTTCTTATCTTTTAGAGATGCATACAAAAATATTTACTAGTGATATATCTGGGGTATATTTCAAAATAATTGGGAGGGGGTGGTCAGAGGTAGTGGGGAGTGTAGCTGAAATATAATTGGCCATGTCTTGATAATTATTGAAGCTGAGTGATGGGTATATGGGGATTCATTAAATTATTCTCTCCACTTTTATATACATTTTAAAATTGGCATAATAAAAGCTCTTAGGCTGGGCATGGTGGCTCATGCCTGTAATCCCAGCACTCTCGGAGGCTGAGGCGGGCGGATCATGAGGTCAAGAGATCAAGACCATCCTGGCCAACATGGTGAAACCCCATCTCTACTACTAAAAATACAAAAATTAGCTGGGCGTGGTAGTGCACGCCTGTAGTCCCAGCTACTCAGGAGGCTGAGGCAGGAGAATCACCTGAACCCAGGAAGCAGAGGTTGCAGTGAGCCGAGATTGCGCCACTGCACTTCAGCCTGGCGACAGAGCGAGACTCCGTCTCGGGAAAAAATGAATAAAAATTTAAAATAAATAGTGTTTAAAAACCATAACAGTGCTAGAAAACAGGTACCATTCACAGGTTATAAATTTTGTGAAGGCCGGGTGTGGTGGCTTACGCCGCCGCACTTTGGGAGGCTGAGTCAGGCAGATCACCTGAGGTCAGGGGTTCGAGACCAGCCTGGCCAACATGGCAAAACCTCGTCTCTACTAAAAATACAAAAATTAGCCGGGTGTGATGGCGCACACTTGTAGTCCCAGCTACTCGGGAGGCTGAGGCAGGAGAATCGCTTGAACCCGGGAGGCAGAGGTTGCAGTGAGCCGAGATCGCGCCACTGCATGACAGCCTGGGCAACAGGGTGAGCCTCCGTCTCAAACAAACAAACAAAAAAATGTGAAATTCAGGACATCTGAAAAAACAGATTGGAAGAGAAATAGGAGGATAGAAACCCACAGATCAGTCATCAGAAGGGTTCTTGTCAAAGGAGCCTTGGAGAAAGGGGGAAGGGGTGATATGGCTGCCTAATGTTCTGTATTTTCAAAACTTATCAGCATGACTAGAGACAATTAGATTCCTTTCTCTCCACCATGCCCTTTTCTCCCTCACCTGAACAGAACTGCTAGCAGTAAAAGTCTAAGAATGTTCTCTAAAGAAACTGGCCCTACGGAGGGTGTCAAAACCGGAGAAGTAGAACTGGCACTATTCCAGGGACAGGAAATAGAAAACACAAAACAGCCGCATCCCTCTAGCTCTCCAGTAGGTCCTCCATCCAACTGCACTTGCCTACTCCTCCTCCTCCTCCCCACCAGCTATCAAGGAAGCCCTCCTGCTGCCAAAACCTGCCCCTTTCCACAGAGCCTGTGCCCAGCCCTCCTCTTCAAAAACAAATATGGCATGATTTCCACTGGCCTTGATTTTTCAATTTTTTTTTGTTTTTTGTTTTTTGTCTTTTTGGAGACGGAGTTTCACTCTTGTTGCCCAGGCTGGAGTGCAATGGCGTGATCTCAGCTCACGATAACTTCCACCTCCTGGGTTCAAGCAATTCTGCCTCAGCCTCCTGAGTAGCTGGGATTACAGGCATGCGCCACCACGCCCTGCTAATCTTGTATTTTTAAACGGGGTTTCTCCATGTTGGTCAGGCTGGTCTCGAACTCCCAACCTCAGGTGATCCGCCCGCCTCAGCCTCCCAAAGTGCTGGGATTACAGACATGAGCCACCACGCCCGGCCGATTTTTCAATGTTTTAAAATGTTAACTATGTGTATCTTTTGTGTAATGACAAGAATGCACAGTGAAAGGACACTAACATGCATTTTCAAAGTTCTCTAATTCCGTTTTTAAGAAATCACATTTTGAGATACATTTACAAAATTTTAAAACTCCAAGGTAAAAAAAAAAAATCCACAAAGCTTTCAAAGAAGAAAGGTTACTCAAAAAGGTTCAAAATCAGACTGACATCACACAACATCAGATGCTAACACATTAGAATATAATGGAGCAATGTCTTCAAAATTCTAAGGGAAAAATATTGTCAATCTTGAATTGTATGAGAACAAAAGGTAATTTAAGACACAGAAGAACTCAGGAAGTTTACCTCCCACACCCTGTAAGAATTACTCAAGAAAATAGTTTAACCAAAAATATAAGTAATCCGAGAAAGAAGACAATATGAAATAAGAAACGGGCTGGGCACAGTGGCTCACGCCTGTAATCCCAGCACTTTGGGATGCCGTCCCTACTAAAAACACAAAAATCAGCCAGGTATGGTGGCACGCACCTGTAATCCCAGCTACTAGGGAAGCTGAAGCAGGAGAATCACTTGAACCCAGAAGGTGGAGTTTGCGGTGAGCCGAGATCACACCACTGCACTCCAGCCTGGGTGACAGAGCAAGACTCCGTCTCAAAAAGAAAAAAAAGAAAGAAACAGTAGGTGGTGCTAAATCTGACCCAGACTGAAGGTGGGGACAGGAGGATTAGAAAAAAATTAAGAGGCTTTCAGCCGGGCACTGTGGTTCTCGCCTGTAATCCCAGCACTCTGGGAGGCTGGGGTGGGCAAATCACCTGAGGTCAGGAGTTCGAGACTAGCCTGGCCAACATGGTGAAACCCCCCCTCTCTACCAAAAATACAAAAATTAGGGCTGGGCATGGTGGCTCACCTGTAATCCCAGCACTTTGTGAGGCCGAGGTGGGCGGATCACTTGAGGTCAGGGGTTTGAGACCAGCCTGGCCAACATGGTGAAACCTCGTCTCTAGTAAAAATACAAAAAAATTAGCTGGGCGTGGTGGCGTGTGCTTGTAATCCCAGGTACTGGGGAGGCTGAGGCAGAAGAATCAGTTGAACCCAGAAGGTGGAGGTTGCAGTGAGCTGAGATCGTGCCACTGCACTCTAGCCTGGGTGACAGAACAAGACTGCGTCTCCAGAAAAAAAAAAAAAAAAAAAGCCAGGCGTGGTGGGTGGTGGCACACGCCTGTAATCCCAGCGACTTGGGAGGCTGAGTGAGGCAGAATCACCTGAACCCAGGAGGTGGAGGTTGCAGTGAGGTGAGATCGCACCACTGCACTCCAGCCTGGGTGACAGAGCGAGACTCTGTCTCAAAAAAAAAAAAAAAAGAAAAAATTAAGAGGCTTTATTACATCTTGATGCCTTGAGAATTCTCTATTGAATGGTGAAGTTTTATAAACATTTCCTTTTCTATGGAGCTAAGCCCACTACTCGATTCTACAGTGATGTTCATGTAAAATCATTGTGAATTCTGTTCATTTTTCCTTTTGAAGTGTGATTACTGACACAGTTGGATTTATTTTTGCCATTTTATTTTATGCTTCCTCTTTACCCTACTTTATGCTTCCTTCTTTTTCCTTTCCTGCCTTTGTTAAGACCGAATTGCTTGTTTGTAAGTTCGAAATGTTATTGGTTCACAACTAAAAGTAATGCATTTACGGACTGCCCTTAAATTTTTAATATGCATGCACACGCAGAGTGTGAGGTTAATCAACATTTTGGAACAACACGAGCACTTTATACAACTTCAAATATTTCAGTTCTGCACTTAAGTTTTATTGCCCACCCGCCACACCACCACCCTTGTAGACACAATTATTATCATGCAGCATTGGCTTAGATTTACCCACTGTAGCAGACTGTTGATGCCCCATACAGACTCCTTTTGTTGGGCCAGTACACCCACTAGCCAGCTCTAGTATTATTTGACAGTTAGAACGTTCTCTTGAGGATTACTCCCATTAGGACAGGGCCTATCTGGCTGGGAGGTCACCCACCCTAATCTCTGAGGGGACACTGCAGCAAATGCCCGACTGACTCAGTGATAGAAAAAGCCAGCTCCCGCCGGGCACGGTGGCTCACGCCTGTAATCCCAGCACTTTGGGAGGCCGAGGTGGGCGGGTCACAAGGTCAGGAGATTAAGACTAACACGGTGAAACCCGTCTTACTAAAAATACAAAAAATTAGCTGGGTGTGGTGACACACTCCTGTAATCCCAGCTACTCAGGAGGTTGAGGCAGGAGAATCGCTTGAACCCGGGAGGTGGAGGTTGCAGTGAGCCGAGATCAGCCACTGCACTCCAGCCTGGGCAACAGTGAGACTCAGTCTCAAAAAAAAAAAAAAAGGAAAAAGCCAGCTCCCTTGCCACAGGAAAGATAACTCAGTGATGCCACTATTAGCTTTCTATTGCAGCTGTAACAAATTATTAATAATGCAAACCTAATAGATTAAAACAACACAAATAAATAGCTAGGCAGAGTGGCACATGCTTGTAATCCCAGCTCCCCGGGAGGCTGAGGTGGGAGGATCACTGGAGGCCAGCAGTTGGAGACCAGCCTGGGCAACACAGCAAGACTCCCTCTTTAAAACAAAACAAAACACACACACACAAAAAGAAAAAGGCCTGGTGCAGTGGCTTGTGCCTGTAATCCTAGCACTTTGGGAGGCCAAAGCAGGAGGATCACTTGAGTGCGGGAGTTCCAGACCAGCTTGGACAACATAGTGAGACCTTGTCTCTATTTTTTTTTTTTTTTTTAAAAAAGCACATACACACAAATTTATCATCTTACAGGTATGGAGATAATAAGTCTGGCATGGGCCTCACTGGGCTAAAATCAAGGTGTCAGCAGAGCTATGTTCCTTTCTTGAGGCAATGGAATCCATTTTCTTGCCTTTTCCAGCTCTAAGAGGCTACCAGCATTCCTTGGCTCATGGCTCCCTTCCTCTATGTTCCAGGCCAGCAGTATGGCCTCTACCTGACCATTCATTATTCTGTAGTCACATCTGACTCTCTTCTTCCTCTTTAAAAACCTCTGTGATCACACTGGGCCCCCCAAGATAATCCAGAATAATCTCTTTATTTGAGATCAGTTGATTAGCAACCTTAACTCTCCTCTGCCATGTAACCTAACATATGCACAGATTCAGGGGATTGAGACATGGACATCCTTCAGGGCCATCATTCCACTGATCACAGTGCCTTTCATGCTTCAGAGCTATTTGCAGGTTCAGGCTAAGGCTACAGTCCAGCTGAACTCACATAAAAGGATCTGTAAGAAAGTTGCATCCGTCGGGCGTGGTGGCTCACGCCTGTAATCCCAGCACTTTGGGAGGCTGAGGTGGGCAGATTACCTGAGGTCGGGATTTCTAGACCAGCCTGGCCAAAATGGCGAAACCCTGTCTCTACTAAAAAATACATAAAAATTAGCCGGGCGTGGTGGCATGTGCATGTAGTCTCAGCTACTTGGGAGGCTGAGGCAGCAGAATCACGTGAACCCAGGAGGCGGAAGCTGCAGTGAGCTGAGATCACACCACTGCACTCCACACTCCAGCCTGGGTGACAGAGAGAGACTTCATCTCAAAAAAAAAAAAAAAGAAAGTTGCATCCTTATTCAACAGTAAACAGTATTTGTCATAATGATGTGTAAAACTTCAAAGGAATTTAATAAATTGGTAGACAAGAATGTGAAAAAGAAGGTGTTATAGAGCTAACTCCACATAGGAAGTTCAAGTCATTTATGATAATAGGAACTCTAAAAATTACAGTTGTAGTAAATACCAACAGAAACAACTCTTATAGTTGAAACTTCTCTGAGAAAAAGCCACTAAACTGGAGAGAGGTGAAGCAGAGAAATGCTTTTTTTTTTTTTTTTAATTGACAGAGTTTTGCTCGTTGCCCAGGCTGGAGTGCAATGGCACAATCTCGGCTCACTGCAACCTCCACCTCCCAGGTTCAAGCGATTCTCCTGCCTCGACCTCCTGAGTAGCTGGGATTACAGGTGCGCGCCACTACGCCTGGCTAATTTTTTGTATTTTTAGTAGAGACAGCGTTTCACCATGTTGGCCAAGCTGGTCTTGAACTCCTGACCTCAGGAGATCCACCGGCCTCAGCCTCCCAAAGTGCTGGGATTACAGGCATGAGCCACTGCACCTGGCCAAAATGCTCCTTTTCTTTAGGCTTCTAAAGCATTTCTCTGCTTTAATAAAAGCAATATAAAAAATAAATTCAGTGAATGAAGCAGAAAGGTTAAAAAGAAAAAGCCCTCTAAAATAGCAGTAACTTATTAATTCTAAATTCCTATTCTTTTTCTAACTATAAATTAGTATGTACTCACTGTAAAGACTTTGGACAATATAAAAATATTGGGAAAAAAGTGAAAATCCTGTATGTCAATCTCTCAAAGATAACTACTATGAATATTTGTGTGTATATTTATGCTCAGCTGGGTATTTTTTCCAAAAAATGGAATCACACTGTAACCTGATTTATCACTAACATGTGGATATCTTTCTAGACGAATTTATACAGCTCTACATTGCTCTTAATAATTGTATACAGCTGGGCACAGTGGCACACACCTGTAGTCCCAGCTACTCAGAAGGCTGAAGTGGGAGGTTTGCTTGAGCCCAGGAATTCAAGGCTGTAGTGTTCGACGATCACACCTGTGAATAGCCACTGCATTCCAGCCTGGGCAATACAACAAGACCCTGTCTCTTTAAAAAAAATTGCATAGAATTCTATCATTTGAATATGACATAATGCAGTAATAATAACTTAACAAAAACCAGGAGGGAAGACAGACTCTATTGTCTTCATCTTTCATTACAGGGAATTAGCAGATATTACCTAAAGTTGGTAAATAAAGACTAAAAAATTAAAGTATAACATTTAAAATAAAGGCAACCACTAGAAAAACTAAAAATCTATTAGCAATCAAAAGAAAGAAAGGAAAAACAAAGAATGTATACAAAATTCCTCTCCTTTCAGAGTGGACATTCAGTATATACTGTCTAAACTTAGATAATTAAAATAAGTATATTAAATATATATTTTAAAAGATTTTTTAAATTATTATTATTTTTAATAGAGATGAGGTAGGGGTGGGGGGGTCTCACTTTGTTGCCCAGGCTGGTCTTGAATTCCTGGCTTCAAACAATCCTCCTGCCTCCAAACAATCCTCCTGCTTCAACCTCCCAAAGTGCTAGGATTACAGGTGTGAGCCACCATGCCCGGCCTCAAAAAAAAAAAATTTTTTTTAAATATTGGTTGTTCCATAAAAGGGAACGAGGATGGGCATTAATGTTATACCTTTATGTTACCACAAATGTACCTACTATTATAAAAAGATATTCATAATATGTAACTGAAAATAGCTACTTATGAAATAGAACATAAACTATGACTCAATTTTTATATAATATACACATATACATGATCATACACAGAAAGAAAAGACCCCAAGGGCTACACACCAAGATATGAACAATAAGTATCCCTAAGTCCATATTATAAACTTCTGGCCAGGCGCGGTGGCTCACGCCTGTAATCCCAGCACTTTGGGAGGCCGAGGTGGGCGGATCACGAGGTCAGGCAATCGAGACCATCCTGGCTAACACAGTGAAACCCCGTCTCTACTAAAAATATAAACTTCCTATCTATTCTTTATGTTGATTTTTCTATAATGAACATATTTTATTCATATGATATTTGAAATGAGAAAACAAATTAAAAATCATGTATTTTTGTAAGGGGGTCTGGGGAAGATTATAATAAAATTAAAAATCAGTCAAAATGTTCCTACATATCTTTCAAAGCCTCAGCCTCAAAATAGATATACTCCATATACACAAGTTTGTTTGTGTTTGTTTGTTTGTTTTTTTTTGAGACATCTTGCTCTGTCGCCCAGGCTGGAGTGCAGTGGCGCGATCTCGGCTCACTGCAACCTCCGCCTCCTGGATTCAAGCAATTCTTGTGCCTCAGCCTCTCGAGTGGCTGGCATTACAAGCACCCACCACCACTCCCAGCTAATTTTGGTATCTTTAGTAGAGACGGGTTTTCGCCATGTTGGCCAGGCTGGTTTCGAATTCCTGACCCCAGGTGATCCGCCCACCTCAGACTCCCAAAGTGCTGGGTTTACAGGCATGAGCCACCACGCCCAGCCTCCATATACTCGTTTTAATAAATCTTGCAAACAGCCTTTATGCCTTCAAATATAAACATCTCCATTTTGTCAAAGGCAGGCTATATAAGCTTTTCATTGCAACCAAGCCCCACAAAGTCATTTCTGATGGAGCCTCTGATTCACTGGACACAGAGAAGGAACAGTTTCCTACAGGCTGACAATAAATCTAACACAGTAATATGCTTTTCACATACTTGATCACACATCACAATACTAACTGAATACCTACTGTGAGCAAAGCACTATGCCACATGCTTTACAAGTGAGAAATTGATTAACACATAAAACTGTTCCAAGTAGACTCCAACCTTGTGGGAGAAAACAGCATAGATACGAGACAGAACAAGAAGCACTAACAGAGATGGGACAGTATGGAGAGTACTGGTAATATTCTATACTTGCACACAAATATTTTCAAATATCATGACAGATACTTAGAAATGTATAGGTAAAAATGAAGTGCTACCTTTTTCAGTTTTCATTCATATGTTCAAGCTCTCAAATTAGTTATCCCTACTACTCATTTGCCACTAAGTCATATGCCAAGTTCTCCTATATTACTATACAACTTTTAATATAGGAATATTTATGTCTATTCAATTGAAAGCTCAAGGGCAGACATTTTTGTGCCCCCCACATTCTTAGTACATCATGCACAGGACACTATATTTTCAGAAATGAACAAAATGATCCAGCAACTAGAGCTCTCCACAGCAGCCTGCCTCACTGTATCAGATAAGAGCATCGTGCATGTGTGGCACACAGAAGTGCGGCCAAGGCTTTACCTAATGTGACCTGATCACACTCATGAATATCCGTCACTTTTAATTCCACAGCAACGAAAAGCTTGGCAAAGCAGAAACAAATAAGAGCACAAAGAAAAAACAAGTATTTTGGCCAGGCGTGGTGGCTCACGCCTGTAATCCCAGCACTTTGGGAGGCCGAGGTGGGCAGATCACGAGGTCAGGAGATCGAGACCATCCTGGCCAACATGATGAAACCCCGTCTCTACTAAAAGTATATATAAAAAAAAAAAATTAGCCGGGCATGGTGGCGGGAGCCTGTAGTCCCAGCTACTCGGGAGGCTAGGGCAGGAGAATGGCGTGAACCCGGAAGGCAGAGCTTGCAGTGAGCCAAGATGGCGCCACTGCACTCCAGCCTGGGCGACAGAGCGAGACTCTGACTCAAAAAAAAAAAAAAAAAGAAAAAACAAGTATTTATAAGCAAAATCACTTCCTATTAAGAAAGTCCCAGTTTTATTTAGCATTGTATCTGAGGCACTAACGAGAGTAAGAAACCAAAGATAGAGGCCACATTAAATGTTAAGGAGTCTCACGATAACGAAAGCATGCAGCCTGTAACCAAACTTGAAAGCATGAAATGTCATATGTTTACAATACACAAAATATACTATAGGGACTTCTTATAAAAAGGAGATGGTCTGAATATCTGCAAAGACTTTCTAATATGAAGACTCTAATACATGTTGTTCTGCTGCTTTTCCCAATTCCAACCTAGAACTCTATGGGCAAAACTAACAATACAGAAAGCTTTTTTGGGCAAAGGAGCCTCTGAGGAAGTATGATACCAGCCCTGAGAAATAAGTGAACTGGCCTAGTGTTTAACCAACATAATGCTATCAAAAGCCTGAAATCTTGGTATTGACATCTAACACTAGATTACATCGAGGAGACAATTCTCTTTAAGCTGCAATTTCACAATTATATTTTTTATAAAATCACTGTTCTTCAGACAGTAAATTCATACTATGCTACTAAGTATTTTAAAGTGACTTTGGCCTCTTGGTAATGAAGGGACCAAAATAATGATTTTTAGAAATGAAAAGCAGATGCATTCAAGGTTAATTAAACGAATCAGTGATCTAACTATATGTAACCCCAAAATAATTAATTCTGCCCAGACTGCCAGGATAAACAAACAAACAAGAAAATTAGAAGCTTACATATAAGAAGATATTTTTTAAACTACAGACATCAAAAAAGAAAAAAGAGCTTTAGACATGTTATAGTATTTCCTCAGAAGAGCCTTTTTTGAAATGTACAGTTATGGCTGGGCATGGTGGTTCATGCCTGTAATCCCAGCACTTTGGGTGGCCAAGGCGGGCGGATCACCTGAGGTCAAGGGTTCGAGACCAGCCTGGCCAACATGGCGAAACCTCGTCTCTACTAAAAATACAAAAATTAGCCAAGTGTGGTGGTACGTGCCTGTACTCCCAGCTACTCAGGAGGCTGAGGCACAAGAATCGCTTGAACCTGGGAGGCGGAGGATGCAGTGAGCCAAGATCATGCCACTGCACTCCAAGCCTGGGTGACAGAGCAAGACTCTGTCTCAAAAAAAAAAAAAAAACAAAAAAGAAATGTACAATTATTACACTTATAACAAAGTAATAACTCCAGGAAAAAAAACAACATAAAAATTGGTATCATATTACATCAGCAGAGTCTGTTTAATATCTTTAATAATTATATCATTTCTAAAGCTTTCCACAAAAGGGTATTACAGTTTTTTAACTTATTGCAAACATATCTTAAAAAAAAAAAGTCAGCCTTAATACTGAAACTATAACATGAATTTTAAATTATGGACACATACCATAAAACACAATGAAGAACATTTTATTTAAATAAAAAGAGAATATTTCGCTAAGCAATAAACCCAACATATTTCTTTTCTCTCCATATCTACATCCAATGGTGATATTTTATAGGCTAGTTTCTAAACAGATGCAAATTTTTACAAAGCGATGAAAGCCACGTTTTGCTCAGGAATACTACGGTTCACATACCATATAGGTTGTTTTACAGCAGATACTAGTTTGCCAAGCTTCAGATGGCAAAATGCTAAGTTGTGAATTGAGTATTGTCCAGCTAGTTGTTTCTCCTTGCCCTAGAGACTCTGGCAGTATGACTTTTGAGAGACTGCCTTATTGCTGCCACTTCTCTTCTCATAGTTGAATCCGTTATGGGAGAATATTCATGTCCTTAAGATGCAAGTCCGAGCAAAAAGCCTCCCACAAATCCACTGGATATCACAATGTTCTGCTTGATAAATTCTGTTGCCTGAAACAAAGTTTAAACAAAAATACTCTTAATTATGCTACAACAGGGATGAACCTTGAAAACATTATGCAAAGTGAAATAAGGTAGACAAAAAAGAACAGATATTACATGATTCTGCTCGTATGAGTAGTCAGAAAGCAGAATACAGATCATTAAGAGCTGGGGAGAGAGGGAAACTGAAAATTAATGTTTAATGGGCACAGAGTTTGGGATGATGAAAAAGTTCTGGAAATAGTGGTAATGATTGCAGAAAAATGTGAATATGCTTAATGCCACTGAACTGTATGCTTAAAAATGGTTAAACTGGTAAAATTTTTGTATAACTATTTTACCACAATAAAAAGATGCACAAAAAAAAATTCTTACTGAATCCAGAGCCAAGTAGCAGTTTCAGCTATTTTCCTCAATTCAATAAATATTCAGCAAAAATTCCTGTGCACCTACTACTGCAGGTATCAAATAGCATGCAAGATCCCAGAAATGTCCCTGACTAATTGAAGGAGACTAGAGAACACAGTCATGCCCAGTAAGCTCCTTGGCTATTGAGATAATAAGTATATGGGCAGCAATGATCTCACAAGTAAAAAGAAATCTACCTGTAAGGTAGAGATGAATGGCCCATCATCAAGTTATTAACACAGATTATTTAATAAATTGTCACAGCAGGCACAATGGTATTTATTAATAGTCCATTTAGCCAACAGAAAAAAAAATGTACAGGATCAAAACCAAAACAAATTACTTTGGTAAAATGTTTAACCAGAATAAAATCATGAGGAAGCCATCAGACAAAGCCAGACTGTGGGATATTCTGCCTAGAGGTGTCAAAAATGTCAGTGCCATGAAAGATGGGGGAATAAAATTAACAGATGAAAGGACTGTTTAAGACTAAATGAGACTTCATAGACATGATAACCGAAAACAATATATAATTTTTTTTGGGGGGGTGAGTGGGAACAGGGTCTCATTCTGTCAGCCAGGCTGGAGTGCAGTGGCACAATCACGTCTCACAGCCTCAAGCAATCCTCCCACCTCAGCCTCCCAAGTAGCTGAGACTATAGGTGCATGCCACCGTTCTAATTTTTGTATTTTCTGTAGAGACAAGGTCTCTCTCTCTTACCCAGGCTGATCTCAAACTCCTAGGCTCAAGAGATCCTCCTGCCTCAGCCTCCCAAAGTGCTGGGATTACAGGAGTGAACTACTGTACCTGGCATATAATTCTTAATTGGGAAAAAAAAAGCCACACAAGATATTTTGTAGAAAAATATTAATATGAACTGCATATTAGAAAATACTGGCTGGGTGTGGTGGCTCAAACCTGTAATGCCCAGCACATTGGGAGGCTGAGGCAGGCAGGCTGCTTGAGCCCAGGAGTTTGAGACCAGCCTGGCAACATGGCAAAACCTCATCTCTACAAAAATATAAAAATTAGCTGGGCATGCACCTGTAGTCCCAGCTACTTGAGAGGCTGAGGTGGGAGGATCACTTGAGCCCAGGTGCTCGAGGCTGCAGTGAGCTGTGATCACACCATTGCACTCCAGCCTGGGTGACAGAGCAAGACCCTGTCTAAAAAAAATTAACAAAGAAAGGAAATACTATTATCTCATGTTACATTTTTTTTTTATTAATAATGGCATTTGGCCAGGCATGGGGGCTCACGCCTGTGATCCTGGCACTTTGGGAGGCCGAGGCATCATGCACACCTGTAGTCCCAGCTACTTGGGAGGCTGAGGTGGGAGGACCATTTGAGCCAGGGGAGTCAAGGCTGTAGTGAGCCATGATGATGCCACTGCATTCCAGCCTAAGCAACACAGCGAGACAGAATGAGACCTGTCTCAAAAAAAACAAAAAAAAAAAACAAAAAAAAACAGTTGGCCGGGCCTGGTGGCTCACGCCCCTAATCCCAGCACTTCGGGAGACTGAGGCGGGTGGATCATGAGGTCAGGAGTTCGAGACCAGCCTGGCCAACATGGTGAAACCCTGTCTCTACTAAAGATACAAAAAATTAGCTGGGAGAGGTGGCGCGTGCCTGTAATTCCAGCTACTCAGGAGGCTGGGGCAGGAGAATCGCTTGAACCCGAGAGGCGAAGGTTGCAGTGAGCCAAGATTACGCCACTGCACTCCAGCCTGGGCTACAGGGCGAGAACCCGTCTCAAAAAAGAAAAAAAAAGTTTCTGAAGTGGCAGTTCCCACACAGTAAAAAAATAAAAAAGGGGGGGGGGCGTATTCATAGTTGTATAAGAGAATATCTGTACTCTTAGAAGATACATACTGAAGTATTTAGGGATGAAAAGTTATGACATCTTAAATACTTTGGAAAAAAAATTATCTGTGTGTGTCACCCACACACAGATAAAGTAAACACGGCAAATCATGAACAATTTGGTGAATAGATGAAGGGTATTGAGATATTCACTATATTTGTCTTTCAACTTTTTAACTGGTTTGAATTTTTTCAAACTAAAAAGTTGAGGGAGGTAAAAGGATAAAACAAAAACAAAGGCAAGGAAGTATTCAATTCCATTTTAAACAGTACAAAAGTAAAGGGTCAAATTACACCTGAAAACATTAATAAAATATATTAATCATATTAAAAAAACATATTTTCAAACTATCCTCAAGAAAAAAAATGTGTACTTTTAAGTTTTACTACACCTGTACATGTTCATTTATAAAGGCAGAGGAAATATGTTGAAAAGAATGTTCTTAGTTTTTACAACAAGATCAAAGTGAGCTAGAGATATGCAGGGGAATCTATGATAACCACCAAAAAAAAAAAAATAATGACTGATTTAAGTAGTGGTGTGATCTCAAATTTTACTTAACACTCTAGATATATAACCAAAAACACCATTTTTAAAAAAGACAGTAATCCCCCCCGGTCACATTTTCTGCTAAGGGATACCCATTAACCAAAAAAAGGAAAAAAAAAAAAAAAGTCAAAATTATATATCATCTTACTTCTTCAATTAAATTGTTGATTTCAGGTGCTGCTTTGTTCGCTCGTTTCTTAATCTGTCTTTTTGCTTTATTTACATCTTTTTCAACTCTCTTCCAGTCAATCTGCACATAGCCACTATGACTAGCAATCTGCAAAAAATATAATAAAAATTATCAATACTATACCAACTAGGTTGCTGACTATAATAGCCAAGAATATATAAACACTTAAGAGTTCTAGTAACCTATAAAACTTATAGCTAAGAAATTGCTTTTTCTCCACTAGTTTATTCATTTAACAGACACTAGTGCCTACCCTATGCTAAGTACTGAATAAGGGAGACATAAGCCCCTATCCTCAGAGAGCTTCAGGTCTGTTAGGGAAAACAGATATTAAGCATAAGTAAGTAACTAATTATTTAGATGTGATGAACAGTGTTTAGTACATGATGGGAAAATGATTCCAAAAACTGTCTTTTAACTATACTATCATTCTGTCACACCTTTTGGAATAGGGAATTAGTTAAAAAGATACAGAGATTATCTAGATTATATAGCTAATTTAAAAATACTTTTTAATTAAATAGATCTTTAATTATAAGGGATCATAAGCCAATCAGTTATTAGATCACTAAAGAAATTTAAGTAGCCTGGTAAGTATTTAAATAGCTCTCTTTACTTAAATTAAGAATACTTTCTGGTAATTGCTTTTGAAAGTAGAATATAAAACAAACTGCACTCTACACAAGTTTCATGCCATAAATCCTTTTAATAAAACTATAGCTAAATGCCTATCATAAGAAAAATTATCATATGGTACTACTGAGAGACTGCAATATCTGAACAGGAACAACAGTGTGTGTGCAAGCCAGTCCAGTAACTCAGTGCCTCCAAATAATAAAATAGCCATATATACCATTATAAATCACTTCTGTCAAGCTTATGCTTTCTTTGTAATTTTTTAGTGCATCACTTTTCTTTTGCCATTTGCACCCTGAATGAACACACTGACTTTTAGCCACACAGAAAATACTTTAAATAATAAAAATATCTGATTTTGCATAAACAGGCTGACTAGAAATCTTAGGTTCTATTTTGTCTGTGAATGACTCCATAGAAGAATTTGTTTATCTGCATTTCTTCTTGTATTTATTCATCTACTATCACTTCAAACTCCAGCCTCAGCAAAACAGTGGTGATCAAATCAAATGGCAAGTGAAGGCTTTTTCTGTTAGTACTTGATACAGCAATTTGAGTCACAGGCATGGAGGTGATGATGAACCTTAGGAAAATTCTACATATAAATTGAAAAGACTTCTTATTGGCTTGCACTAAGTAATCAAAATAGTTGATTACTTTGAAGCTTTTGCAGAATTTTACTTTTTGCTGAATCTTAACATTTCTTCTTAATCCAAAGCTTGTGAGAAGTACAAATATTTTATGTATGTATATGGCTTTATTTTTTGGTTAGAACAAAATTTTTTTTATTTTTGTTTTTTGAGACGGAGTCTCGCTCTGTCGCCCAGGCTGGAGTGCAGTGGCGTGATCTCTGCTCACCGCAAGCTCCGCCTCCCGGGTTTATGCCATTCTCCTGTCTCAGCCTCCCGAGTAGCTGGGACTACAGGCACTTGCCACCACGCCCGGCTGATTTTTTGTTTTTTAGTAGAGAAGGGGTTTCACCGTGTTAGCCAGGATAGTCTCGATCTCCTGACCTCGTGATCCACCCGCCTCGGCCTCCCAAAGTGCTGGGATTACAGGCATGAGCCACCGCGCCCGGCAGAACAAAAATATTATCTATACCACCACTCATCAGCAACTCCCAATTCAACTGTCATTTTCAAGACTTAACATTTTAAGTTACAAAGTTTTTTTTAAAAAGCTAATCTTCATGCCATGAGTTAAATTGGAAGTGAAATTAAAAAAACAAAAAACAAACCTTAACTATATTCCCTGGGTGAGACCCCTTATCCACCCCCCAATCCCCAGCAAATGAATAAAGGAAACCATTTTAATGAGACAGATTAAACAAATTCTCACAAACAGCATTCTATACACAAAATATTTTTACATAGCCATTTGTCACTGATAATTAGTAAACCCAGTGTTATCTGAGATAAAGATTTTGTATAATTTAAAGAATTCTCTACGTTTTGGGGGAAAATGTCAAACAGTTGCAAGGAAAATGAAAAACCTTGAGATGCTAAAGATACTAACGCCTCTTTGGAAGAAGACTTCCCTAACACCTCCAAGCAGACAGAGCGTCTTCCCTCTGCTCTCTCAGCACTAAACACACCCTTCTAGCTCAGCACTGACCATATGGGCTGTGAATCTCTATATCCCTAGAGTCCCAACTAATGCCAGATGAATGAGACATAGTAAATAAATGATAACAAAGACAATGAATAAAGACTAAATCTCAAAAGCTGTATTAACCAACCTGGCTCAAATAATGACTCTCAGCAACAAAATGGATGAGCTAGATTATCCCAAAGGACCCAACCTAGCATGTCTACTAACAAGAGAATGATCTTTGATGCTGGAGTGATCTACCATCACTGAACAAATTCCCTTGAGAATCTGTTCCCTTGCAGGAAAAATGAAAAACCTTGAGATGCTAAAGATATTAATGCCTTAAAAAAGAGAGAGAGAGATGAAGTCTCACTATGTTGCCCAGGCTGGTCTTGGACTCTTGGCCTCAAGCCATCCTCCTGCCTTGGTCTCCCAAAGTGCTGGGATTACAGTGAGCCACGGCACCCAGCTGAGAAGTACACTTCTGATCAAACCGAAGAATACCAGTCTAAATTGAGCACCCTGCTCCAGTACAGAGATGACCAAGGACAAGCAATCTGCCCCAAGTGGGGTTCAGGTACAACCAACTTAACCAACCAATACATACAGGACCCAATTCAGTCTTGTCCACACAAAATTCATCTGCAACTACAAGGAAATGCAAGCCAACAGACTGGGGAGGGAATGGGGCAGTGATGACTGCTTTTTGAACATTTGACTTCCTATAACACTAAAATATTTAATGGGATTACATAAGGTACTTTTATTAGAATAAAAGCTTCCAAGTTAAAAATAAATAAATAAAATAAAATAATTCCAGGCCGGGCTCCGTGGCTCACGCCTGTAATGTTAGCACTTTGGGAGGCCGAGGCAGGCGGATTACCTAATGCCAGGAGTTCAAGACCAGCCTGGCCAACATGGTGAAACCCTATCTCTACTAAAAATACAAAAATTAGCCGGGCATAGTAGCGCATGCCTGTAATCCCAGCTACTTGGAAGGCTGAGGCAAAAGAATCACTGGAACCCAGGAGGCAGAGACTACAGTGAGCCGATATCACGCCACTGCACTCCAGCCTGGGCAACAGAGTGAGACACTGTCTCAAAATAATAATAATAATGATGACAGAGGGGCTGGGCGTGGTGGCTCACCCCTGTACTCCTAGCACTTTGGGAGGCCAAGGTGGGCAGATCACTTGAGGCCAGGAGTTCGAGATCAGCCATGTCAACATGGTGAAACTATGTCAGTGAAACTAAAAACACAAAAAACTAGCTGGGTGTGGTGGCTCACACCTAATCACAGCTACTCAGGAGGCTGAGTTACAAGAATCAGGAGGCGGTTCTTGAACCCAGGAGGCGGAGGCTGCAGTGAGCTGAGATCTCGCCACTGCATTCCAGCCTGGGTGAAAGAGGGAGACTGTCTCAAAAATAAATAAATAAATAAATAATAATGCCAGAGGCCAGGCTCGGTTGCTCACGCCTATAATCCCAACACTTTGGGAGGGTGAAGCAGGCAGACTGCTTGAGCCCAGGAGTTTGAGACCAGCCTGGGCTATACGGCGAAATTCTGTCTCTACAAAAAATACAAAAATTAGCCAGACATGGTGGCATGCACCTGTAGTCCCAGCTACTTGAGAGGCTGAAGTGGCAGGATCGCTTGAGCCTCAGGAGTTCAAGGCTGCAGTGACCCATGGTCACGCCACTGCACTCCAGCCTGGGCCAGAGAGTGAGACTGTTTCCAGAAAAACACACACACACACACACACACACACACACACACACACGGCTTTCAGATGAAGATTCATGTTGGCCAGACACACACACACACACACACACACACACACACACACACACACACACACACACACACGGCTTTCAGATGAAGATTCATGTTGGCCAGAAAGCTCTAAACAGGTAGATGGGGCTTTTTGCTTGTGAACTTCACCATATGCTGATCTAATTGGGCTGTTTCACTGCGGGAAATTCTGCCCACCCCCAACTCCTTATCTTTAGATCATTTTTCTTGGACTGGTCAGATTTCCCAGAGAAGGGAAAGCCCAATCCACATGTCCATATTGTTTAGAGCTTTCCATCAACTTTTAGTGCTCAATTCTTAAATATGAGCAGACAACCAAGGATCATCAGACTTGGAGGAAGGCCTTTAACTTGAAAACTAGAAACCAAAATAAACAAGCAGGAAAAAGGTTGGGGAGGGGGAACAAAACACCTTAGACAAACAGGGACTTGGTAGGAAGAAGCTTAAAACACACACACACACACACACACACACACACACACACACAGAAGCTTGATCATTTATGTCCTCAGAGAGCTTAAAAAAGACAATGCACAACTGAAAGAGCTCTTAATGGCCAAAGCTGGTAAAATTTGAGCAATAAAAGAGCATTAGATTATAAACCAAAGTATAAAATAAATATCCATGAGTCCATATTGATATAAATAAATGACTGAATAAATAAGAGACAAACCTTCCAACAGACTATTTCTAAATAATTTATGTAGCTACTCTGCCTTCAGAAAGGTGGAGCATAATTACACTCCTGAAATGTGGGCTATACACAGTGACTCCCTTCCAAAGAGTACAGTATGAGGCCCGGCACGGTGGCTCATGCCTGTAATCCCAGCACTTTGGGAGGCTGAGGAAGGCGGATCACTTGAGGCCAAGAGTTCAAGACCAGCCTGGCCAACATGGTGAAACCCCATCTCTACGGAAAATACAAAAATTAGCCAGACAGTGGTGTGCGCCTGTAATTGCAGCTACTCGGGAGGCTAAGGCACGAGAAACACTTGAACCTGGGAGACTGAGGCTGCCATAAGCCAAGATCACACCACTTGCACTCCAGCCTGGGCAACAGAGTGAAACTCTGTCTCAGAAAAAAAAAAAAAAAAAAGGAACCCCAAGAGTACAGTATGAAAAGGGGGAAAAGCTGGTGGATCCTCTCATATGGGGATAGTAGGAATACTTTCTGGAAGGCTACTTGACAATCAAGAGGCTTAAATATATATATGTGTGTGTGTGTGTATATATATATATATTTTTTTTTTTTGAGACGGAGTTTCGCTTTTGTCACCCAGGCTGGCGTGCAATGACATGATCTCGGCTCACTGCAACCTCTGCCTCCCAGGTTCAAATGATCCTCCTGCCTCAGCCTCCCGAGTAGCTGGGATTACAGGCATGCACCACCATGCCCGGCTAATTTTGTACTTTTAGTAGAGATGGGGTTTCACCTTGTTGGCCAGGCTTGTCTCGAACTTCTGACCTCAGGCGATCCGCCCGCCTCGGCCTCCCAAAGTGCTGGGATTACAGGCGTGAGCCACCATGCCTGGCCTAAATATGTATATTTTTGCTTTGTCTTAGACAAGTGTGCAAAGCTGTATATAAATGGCTAGTCACTGCAGAGTTGTTTGTAAAGCTGAAAAAATAAACTGCTAGATGAACATTCTGTGTAGATGCTAAGAATTGCTTGTAGGACAGACTATTTGGATCAACACTCTGAACCTGCAGTCTATTAAGGCAGTCACTTCCAACTAGCATCTGGTGATCTAAGGAAAACTTTCAGTCTCTGCCACTTTCTAAGAAGCTTCTATCTTCGAATTAGAGAAGACATTCAACTATACCATCTCTCACAAGCCTTCTTGGTCTATAGACATGCAATTAAAATGGTTTCCAAGAATGTTAGTGCTCCAGTAATATGATGTGTTTCTAAAAGTCTTATTGAAGGGACGGTCTTCTAACCATTGCATTGGTTGAAACAATGGGTTGGAGGAGGACAAGTCACACATAATAAATACATCCCACCAATCTCTTAAAAAAACAGTATCCAAGGCCAGGCGCAGTGGCTCACGCCTGCAATCCCAGCACTTTGGGAGGCCGAGGCAGGCAGATCATGAGGTCAGGAGATCGAGACCATCCTGGCTAACACAATGAAACCCTGTCTCTACTAAAAATACAAAAATTAGCTGGGTGTGGTGGCAGGCGCCTGTAGTCCCAGCTACTCGGGAGGCTGAGGCAGGAGAATGGTGCAAACCCGGGAGGCAGAGCTTGCAGTGAGCCGAGATCGTGCCACTGCACTCCAGCCTGGGTGACAGAGCAAGACTCCGTCTCAAAAAAAAAAAAAAAAAAAAAACAACAAAACAACAACAACAAAAAAATAGTATCCAAGTATTAGCCATTAAAAATTTTTAAAAAAGATACTGCTCACTGCATCCATGAAGGAAAAGCAAGAAACAGAATGCTAAAGTCACATTAAAAGAACAACAGCCGGGCATGGTGGCTCACATTTGTAATCCCAGCACTTTGGGAGACCGAGGTGGGTGGATCGCTTGAGCTCAGGAGTTCAAGACCAGCCTGGGCAACATAGCAAAACTCCATCTCTACTAAAAATACAAAAAATTAGCCAGGCATGGTGGTGCATGCCTGTAGTCCCAGCTACTTGGGAGGCTGGCGTGAAGAAATCACCTGAGCCCGGGAGGTCAAGGCTGCAGTGAGCCAAGATCGCACCACTGCACTCCAGCCCAGGTGAACAGAGTGAGACTCTGTCTCAAAAAAAAAACAAAAAACAAAAACAACAAAAAAAACTTGTTGAAGTTGAAGAAATCTCCCAGAAAATAGACCAAAAAGATAGAAGTGGAAAATTGAAAAGATTATTAGTGTTCTACCAAATCTAAGAAAGAAAAAAAAAAAATTATTAGGCCAAGCAGTCAGTGGCTCACACCTGTAATCCCAACATTTTGGGAGGCCAAGGCAGGAGGATTGCTTGAGACCAGCCTGGGCAACATAGCAAGACCTCATCTCTATTTAAAAAAAATTAAAAATAAGTCTAAAACTGTAAAATAAATAAAGAAAGAAAAATTAGACAACTGGTCCAGGAGATCCATATAACTGGAACTACAGAAAAAAAGATGGGAAAATTAAAGAGCAGGATATCATTAACTAAATAAATATAAAGAAAATTTCCCCAAACTGAAAGGGCCCCTTGAGTTTCCAGCACAGTGGATGAAAATAGGCCCACAGTAAGGCACATCACTGGGAAAAATCAGAATACTGAGGACAAAAGAAAATCCTATAAGCATTAACTGAAAGGAAAAAAAAAAACCCACACATGTAAAGGTTCAGAAATTAGAATTACTTTAAACTTTTAACAGCAACACTGGAAGTCAGAAGACAATGGAGCAATACCTAAACACAGCTATTAATAAATTATCAAACAAATGTGAGGATAAAATGAAGAAATTTTCAGACATGCAAAGTCTCAAAAACTATAGTTCCCATTCTCATTTTCTACGAAAGCTATTGGAGGATGTGTCCACCAAAACAAGAGAATACATCAAGACATAGGATAGGCCAGGTGCAGTGGCTTACACCTGTAATCCCAACACTTTGGGAGGCCAAGGCGGGTGGAATGCTTGAGCCCAGGAGTTCGAGACCAGCCTGGGCAACATAGCAAGACCTCCCTATTATACAAAAATACAAAAATTAGCGGGCATGTGGCACACGCCTGTAATCCCAGCTACTTGGGAGGCTGAGGCAGGAGGATCCCTTGAGCCCAGGAGGCAGAGTTTGTAGTGAGTGAGATTGTACCACTGCACTCTAGCCTGGGCAACAGAGCAAGACTGTCTCAAAAAACAAACAAACAAACAAAAGACATAACATACAAGAAACAACCCAAAACAAAAAGGGAATATCCAGAAGGTATTGAAGAGAGATCCCAGGGTGAGAGCCGTATACCAGGCCTAGAAAGCAAACAGGACAGATGACTCTGGGACCAAGTTTGCCCAGACGGTTAAACTGATGAACTATTTGATACATACGACAATGAAAGGTGATTTACACAACTAGTAGTTGTCTAAAGAAATAATACTGGGCCAGGTGCGGTGGCTCACACCTGTAATCCCAGAACTTTGGGAGGCCGAGGCGGGCAGATCATGAGGTCAGGAGATCGAGATCATCCTGGCTAACAGAGCAAAACCCTGTCTCTACCAAAAAAATACAAAAAAGTTAGCCGGGCTTGGTGGCGGGCGCCTGTTGTCCCAGCTACTTGAGAGGCCGAGGCAGGAGAGTGGCGTGACCCTGGGAGGCGGAGCTTGCAGTGAGCTGAGATCGCACCACTGCACTCCAGCCTGGGTGACAGAGCAAGACTCTGTCTCAAAAAAAAAAAAAAAAAAAAAAAGAAAGAATCCTGGCTGGGCGCGGTGGCTCACGCCTGTAATCCCAGCACTTTGGGAGGCCAAGGCGGGTGGATCGCCTGAGGTCAGGAGTTCGAGACCAGCCTGGCCAACATGGTGAAACCCCATCTCTACTAAAAATACAAAAATTAGCCAGGCATGGTGGCAGGTGCCTGTAATCCCAGCTACTTCGGAGGCTGAGGAAAGAGAATCGCTTGAACCCAGGAGGCGGAGGTTGCAGTGAGCCGAGATTGTGCCATTGCACTCCAACCTAGGCAACATGAGCAAAACTCTTGTCTAAAAAAAAAAAAAAAGAAGAAGAAAAGAAATAATCCCGGCCGCCCGTGGTGGCTCACGCCTGTAATCCTGTAATCCCAGCACTTTGGGAGGCCGAGGCGGGTGGATCAATAGGTCAAGAGTTCTAGACCAGCCTGGCCAAGATGGTGAAACCCCATCTCTACTAAAAATACAAAAATTAGCGGGGTGCTGTGGCAGGCAGCTGTAGTCTATAATCCCAGCTACTTGGGAGGCTGAGGCAGGAAAATCACTTGAATCCGGGAGGTGGAAGTTGCAGTGAGCCAAGATTGCGCCACTGCACTCTAGCCTGGGCGACAGAGCGAGACTCTGTCTCGAAAAAAAAAAAAAAAAAATCCCAAACTTCCTAGTAGAAATAATGGCCAAAACCTTCCCAAACATGATTAAAGACATAAATTCACAGGCTCAAGAAGTTCAGTGAACTCCAAGTAATCAATCTCAGTGAACTCCATATAATGAATGATCTAACACAATTATGAAAAAAGGGAAGTAACTACACTCAGACGATTGAGGGAGAGGGAAGAAAGCATTCAGGTATGTGAGATTTGGGGAAGTATAGGGAAAACAAAACAGGTCAATAAATGACAGCTAAATTTTCCCATTCCATAATGGGAAGCCAATAGTTCACACCTAAAACTGAAAGATCAAGAAATGTCCAATTAACTTGTTTAGGGAAAAAGAGATTACTACCTTAAGAATCAGTTAAGAGTGCAAACTGGATGTCTCAAGGGATGGAAAAATGGGGGTAGTGAGAGAGGTGGAGGATTACTCTAATCTGTAACAAGCCTTGCACAAGTACTTGGCCCTTTGAATTATAAGGATGTATAACTCCAAAAAATTAAAACGAAGAGACTGTGTACTTTAAGATGGCAGTGTAATAAATATCTATTGGAAAACACTTGATATTGTTACTAGAAAAGCTTTAAGTTCTAAATAAACTAATATTTACCTTTAAATATAAGAAAGGTCATAAAAATATGAAAGTGGGCCTAAAGAATATTAGGCAATTAGCCTAAAAGCCATTTGTTACTTTATTTCCCCTTTCACTTTCCTTCTACTGAGTTTTCAAGGTTAGTCGTATTTGTGGGAAAAACTGGTTTGATGCAGATAGGTCCTATGTTGCTCTGCCTTAAAAACTTCAAAGACTACGTGTACTAAATGCGGAAAAGTGGGAGGTGGCAATGACAAAATGTGGATTTGAATGGTGCATATTGAGTGAACTGAAATGGACTTCTGAAAAACTGACATGCAGAGTGGATTAAAATATACACTTCTCTCCATTCTGTGAACATTTTAGGAAACTCTGCTTCAGTCCAGTACCCTTTTACACTAACAGAAATGACAACTGAGTCTTCAAAATAGCTATGGAATAAAATATGCTCTTGATTCCATATAAAACCAAGTCAAAATCAGCTTAAGTAAAATTATCATCTGTACTAATGCTGGCATATTCATCCAAAGAACTAAATTTAGGTATTAATCATTTTTTTTACCTCTTACCACAAGTAATAAGCAATTATTCGTAATAATGTCACCAAAAGAAAGAAAACATATATATTTTTAAAAGGCTGTTTAGTGAACAACTCAAAATCTGTGCTTCATACATACAAATCTAGTCCCCTTGTACTACAACTACACTAGTTATTACATGATCGATGGCTTAGGTGCTGAATTCAGATTCTGGTGGCTATGAACATCAATCATTTTTAAAATCTAGTACAAGTGACAGTTCTCTGTATCTTTAAAAGTGCTGCTCACATTCATTCGTAGAGATTTTCAATTTTTGGATTTACTATATTTGATCTTCAAGGAATGATATTTTTGAAAAAATACATGCCAAACAGACATGAATGCCAGATGATGCCCTGATAAACATCCTCTAATGGCAAAGCATTTTTAGATCTTATACTTACAAGAATATGAACAAAACTAAAACTTCAAATCTATCTGCCTCAGATATAAGATTATGGATTTTTGTTTTGTTTTGTTTTGTTTGGAGACAGAGTTTTGCTCTTGTTGCCCAGGCGGGAGTGCAATGGCACGATCTCGGCTCACTGCAACCTCCGCTTCCTGGGTTCAAGCAATTCTCCTGTCTCAGCCTCCCAAGTAGCTGGGACTACTACAGGCGTGCACCACCATGGCAGCTAATTTTTGTATTTTCAGTAGAGACGGGATTTCACCATGTTGGCCAGGCTGGTCTTGAACATCTGACCTCAAGGGATCTGCCTGCCTCTGCCTCCCAAAGTGCTGGGATTACAGGCGTGAGCCAATGCGCTCGGTAATGGCTGTCTTTTTAATAGCTGGGATCAAACTATGCTTAATAACTCAGAAGTATTTAAATTGTTATCTTTCAAGACAAAAGTCAGCTTCCAAAACTCATTGTAGCTCTTCCATAAACTGATGCCTAAAAGAAAAATTCCACCTTCTATGAAAGCAAAGGCAAGTGCTTAAAGCTCTGACATACCTGAAGAAGAAGAAAGCCACCACCTACTGCAGTTGCTGCAAGTTTTCCAACTTTCTGGAACAGAAATCCTGCACACCTTTAATCAAATAACAAAAGATGAAAACAATCAATTATGTACTAAACCCTCTCCCTCTTCTACTTTTCATTGCTTTCCTAATAAAATCTTATGTCTTTGCATTTCTTTTGATCACATCCCTTACCTGCTCAGAAACCTTCTCAGAAACCCCTCAGTTATACAGGCTAGTCAAAAATGCACAATCTAAAATGTCTGAAATTTGCTTCAAAATAAGGGACGGAGAGAAGAGGAGGAGAATTTATAGAAAAAAAAGAGCAGCTACTAAAATAACGACAAGTACTCAGGGGTTCATTATATTCCTCCTACATTTGTATAAGCTGAAACCTCCCGTAATAAAAGTGATGTTTTGCTTAATACAGTCAAGATGGTCCATACACCTGGTTGACCCCCACCTTCGGCTCCAACCCCATTAACCTCCAAATAGGTCATCACCTTTGCTCAAGCTATTAATCTCCCTGCTTCTAGGGGTTTCTTCCTAGCTCTACCTATCTAAAGCTTTCCTACCATTCCTACCCTTTCAGGTCCAGCTGTTGTTCCACTCAATAACTATACTTCAGCCCACATTTCTAAAGGCCTCCTTATCTATATCTACCTATTTTTATATTAAATGTTTTTTGTGTCTCATCTACCCTGTGTCAGCTCATACTTCTTTTGTCATTAATTCGCTCCTTCAGTGAGCTCACATTCCCTTCAGCATTCCAGATCCACACTGTGCAAATGAATCCTATATTTCTAACTCTAGCCTTCTGCACTGGGTTGAATGGTGTCCCCCTCAAAATTCATATCCTTCCCAAAACCTCTAAATGTGACCTTATTTGAAAACAGAGTCACTGCAGATGTAATAAGTTCAGATGAGATCATACTGGACAGGGTGGGCCTTTAATCCGATAAGGACGCACACAGAGGGAAGACGACATGTGAGGACAACAGAGGCAGAGACTGGAGTAATACGTCTACAAGCCAAGGAATGACAAGGATTGCTGGCAACCACCAGAAGCTAGCAGAGAAACATAAAACAGATTTCTCCCTCTGAGCCTCCAAGAAGGAACAAACCCTGTTGACATCCTGATTTCAGACTTCTAGCCTCCAGAACTGTGAGAGAATAAATTTCTGTTATTTAATTTAATTAATTAATTTATTTTTTAGATGGAGCTCGCTCTGTCACCCAGGTTGGAATGCACTGGTGCCATCTCAGCCCACTGCAACCTCCGCCTCCCGGGTTCAAGCAATTCTCCTGCCTCAGCCTCCTGAATAGCTGGGATTACAGATGCCCGCCACCACACCCAGCTAATTGTTGTATTTTTAGTAGAGACGGGGTTTCACAATGTTGGCCAGGCTAGTCTTGAACTCCTGACCTCTGGTGATCCACCCGCCTCGGCCTCCCAAAGTGCTGGGATTACCAGTGTAAGCCACCGCACCTGGCCTCCACAGTTCTATATATTTTATCTCCAAAACATTATTTGACTGTCTTCTCCTTTCCACTCTCAAGGTCATCATTACCTTGCTTCCAGAACACTTTAAGGGCCCTCTAACTGGTCTCAACACCTCCCATCTCTCCTAGCAAGGACCCATCCTAATAGTTTTAATTTTTTGTCATGATCAAAAGCCTACAGCTACCTACAGCAAAATAAAATCTCCTCAGCCTCCTATACATGTCTTGAATTGGTCTAAATTGCTAACTTGTTAGGTTAGTGCCTATTAACTGTTCCTCCTTAATATACACCATAATATCACATCAGTTTTACATCCTAAGAAAATTGCAAAAATTTACTACACTGAATATAGTCATTGCAACAAATCGCCTGTATAATTATTAGAGTTGTATTATACAGCTCCTGGACCAACACCTGGCTGTAATCCAAATGTGTGTGTTGTGTGTGTGTGTGTGTGTGTGTGTGTGTATGTATATATACATATATGTCAGCAACAAAGGCTCAGAAAAGGGAACAGAAAAGGCAGGCAGCAGCCACAATGTCCCTTGGACTGTGTTCCACAAGCATGTGTATCCATTGCTTGATGGCATCAGTCACTAAAATGAACCTATCTCCTGCTGCTCTGTCTCTAGGCTTTCCGAGCAAACTTCTGCCAATGATGGGGCTTCATCTACAAGGAGTCTGGTCTCCAAGGAGAAACAATGAAATGACTTGATAATTCTATTCTCAATTATTTTTGAGTCTGTTTTAAGACTGGGCTTTAGGCCCTGACTGACATTAACCAATCACCCATGGAACCAAATTGTGAGCTTATTTAAGCAGAGCCATACCCTGAATTACAGGGCTAGAGGAACTATCAGCCTGTGGAGAATTATCTGAATGACCAGGCCCTGACAGGCATCTCTCTTCTAATTGCAGGCTTTTTTCCTGCAGCAGCACTAGTAAGTACATATCATGAATAAATGCCGCACCTCTGCACCACAGAATCTTCACAATGAGTACTTCTATCATAAAATGGCATTTGCAAAAAAAAAGGCATAGAAGAGTGGGTCATTATTCCAAGGTGCATGTAAAACACAAATCAAAAAACTCATCGTTATACTTATCAAGTGGAAACAGGTAAATATTTCAATTAAATCTATGTAAGATGAATTTAAATAAGAATCTAAGAAAAAACGCTTATGCACAAGTTAAGTACCCTCACTAACTCCAAAATTTCTCTACAGTCACGAACATTTTCAAAACAGTCAAATTTGTTTCTGCCCCTTGTTATCTGGCTAGTTTTTTTATTATAAGAACAGAATTAGATCCACAGTAGCCATTGTGTTATCACGTGGTCTGAAATGTTAACTGGTCAGGCTGATGGTTATTAACTACTTCTTAATGGACTCCACAATATTATCAAGTAAGCAATCAGACCTTTAAACACAGAATTAACGTTCTACAGCTCTTTTTCAAAGAGTTATCATAATCTGAACGAGCCCACAAAAAACAGAATCATCTGTATCATCACCAATAATTCATACTGAGCATTTTACACTGCTCTGTACAGGGCTGACAATACTAGAGGCCAGTTCTACCGTGGGAGTTTCTTAGGTTTTTTCAGCAGTTAGCACTGAATGAAATGTAAAAATTTACATATAATTAACTCATATATTTCTTCCTATCTACTATCACTGAATCAGATCCACGACATTTGCTGAACATGAGAATGGGGAAATTATATAAAGAATCAAAAGAAGGATGAGGAGGGAGAAGAGGAACAGTGGTGGGCATGGGGGAGGGGATCGCCAAAACTCAACAGGGAGCCTGGGAATGTAGATTACATCAATTTTAACTCAGAGAAAAGCCTCTTCTGGAATTAACAGTGTAGACCTACTGCCTGTGCACGGTGATTCTTGCCCATGTATGAAAGGACAGCAGTGTCAGGCCCCCAAATGAAATTTAATGAAAAAGACGTTGTTCTCACCAGCCAGTAACGCCACCCATTACAATCTGGGTAGCTACTGAGTATTTTTCTACCATAGGTCCCGAACTGTGGCCAAACACTCGATTCCACCACTGGTGTCTTCTTGCATACTCAGTTAAATCCAACACTTCATAAGAGTCGTCATCACTTTCATAGTCTTCAAAATAGCAAAATGCAAAAAATAAATGTAGAGTCAATCAAAAGTCAGAAATGTTCTATACATCTTTTTAAAAATCTGTTACAACTCATTAGTTCTGGCCTACAGCTAAAAATGCCCACATAGAAACTACTGACTTTATTTAACTCAATTCTTGAGACCAGGGCCTCAAGAGTAAAGGACCCTGCAACAATGACCCCCATCTGCTTTCCCAAAGGCCCGGGGACCAGCCTGGGGTCACGAAGCCAGGGCCAACTCAGAATGACACAGTAGTGAGGGGTCACCCCCACCTCCAAACCTTAGTAGGGTCAAGGTCAGAGCAGGGTCCATTTTCATCAGTGGGAGGAATGGGGGTGGGGAGGGGTCCTCCTGAGAGAACTAGTCTGGAGCTCAGCGAAATCACTTGAGTCCAGACGTTTAAAAAAAGAAAATAATACATTTGAAGATGGGAGATGAAGGGCCGGAGGTGAAGGTAAGGCAGGAGGCAGGTAGGGCTGTGCTGGGGGTGGGGGTGGCTCTCCGCTTGAGTTCCGCAGAGAGGGGAGGAAAAAGTCTAGCTCGGAGGGGGTGCTCGAAGGGGCTGCCTTAAAAAAAAAATGGAGCTCGAAGAATCCTAGGGCAGGGGAAGGAAGAGGTGCCATAGGAGCAAGGTCGAGAGCTGTGAGCCGCGTCCCAGATACCACTTCGGGCCCTGGCCGCTCACCTTGGGGAGGGGGGTTCCGGGTCGCCATGATACCGCCAGCGGCCAATTCTGGAGTGGTCCCCACCCGCCCTCCTCTCCCTGGCACTTTAAGGGCCGCTCTAGGCCAGGATGGAAGTCTATGGTCTCTTTTTTCCTCCTTCTCCTACTCCAGGCGCGTAGTCCTGTCTCCGCCCCCTTCTCTCAGCGCAGGACCTTCTGCCTTCTGCGCAGGCGCGAAACTCCGGAATGTGGGGAGGGCCGGGCGGATCATAGCCCCGCGAGAGCGTAGGGGACTTGTAGTCCGTTGCCTTCCGCAACTAGGAAGGGGGAGGGACCGCCCCTCCTAGAATTTCCGTAACTTGAATTTGATTATTTTGTTTTAAAAGAGCCTTAAGGGCTGAAGGAATGGGGTGAAGGGCGCCACATGGTGGTACAAAGGGAGAACCAGCTGGGTATTGACAAAGACTCTCTCCTTGACCAAACTTTAGTCAGGAGGCTCCTCTGAGCTGTTTTTGACTGGGTCTCCTCCTTGGGTCGTCTTTGACCTGCCTAGTCCATTTGTGGTAAGAATGCAGTTAAGTCAGTTTAGTAAGAACTCCCCCACCCTTAATATCGAATCACCCTCAATATCCGATCGAATTCCTCAACCCCACTCTTGATATCTGATCACTCTGCCACCAGCAAAAATCCTGTTAAATTGGCTTTAGCAAGAATACCCCTACCCTTCATGTCTACTCTTGGTAATCTTCCACCCATTGATCCATTCACTCTGATCATTTACTATAAATTCCCTGCTGTATTCAGAGTTGAGACCCATCACTCACCCCTATTGCCATAGTCTTTGTTTTATGAGAAAAGGTATTGCTCTGTCACCAGGCTGGAGTGCAGTGGCGCTATCATGGCTCACTGCAGCCTCAAACTCCTGGGCCCAAGAGATCGGCCCACCTCAGCCTCCAGAGTACCCAGGACTCCAGGCGTGCATCACCACTCCCGGCTAATTTATTTTTATTTTTTGTGGAGAGTAGGTCTCCCTGTGTTGCCCAGGCTGCTCTTAAACTTCTGGGCTCAAGCAGTCTTCCTGCCTCTGCCTCCCAAAGTGCTGGGATTACAGATGTGAGCCACCATGCCAGGCTGTATTGCAATAGTTGTGATACCTATTGCAGTAGTCATGAACAAAGTCTTCCTTACCATTTTAAGAAGTGTCCCATAATTTTTTTGTCAGGCCCATCACTTGCATACTGTCAGAATAATTTTTTAACAGTATTTTGAACATTACCAGAATTCAAATGCTTGAGGAAAAAGGCTTGTAAAAGATAAGAGAAACCCTGTTTCAAGCCATACTTTTCTAAGGGCGCAAGCGCTCACAAAGGGACCACAAGTTTTCTAATGCCCTGCTGCTAGAAGTTGGAATCTGTTTACCTGCTCTCTCTCTTGAGTTCCTGCCAGGAATCCAAAGGAGGTAAAGAAAGGCCTAGAAACCTCGTAATTCCTGACCTGGCAAGAGGACATAATTTTTTAGTGTCATTCTTTTGTTTGTTTGTTTGAGATGGAATCTCGCTCTGTTGCCCAGGCTGGAGTGCAATGGCACAATCTCGGCTCACTGCAACCTCCACCTCCCGAATTCAAGTGATTCTCCTGCCTCAGCCTCCCAACATCCCAAGGAGCTGGGATTACAGGCACGTGCCACCACGCCCGGCTAATTTTTGTATTTTTAGTAGAGAGGGGGTTTCACCATGTTGCCCAGGCTGGTCTCGAACTCCTGATCTCAGTGATCCACCCACCTGGGCCTCCCAAAGTGCTGGGATCACAGGGGTGAGCCACCGTACCCGGCCAGCATCATTCTTATTATTTAAATCTGACAGAGGAACAAGGTCAAGGTCTTCACCCAGAAACCCCATGGGATTCTATGAATACAAAGCCATATTGATCACCAAGCAGCTAACCCAAGTCCACATAAACCAACCCAGAAACTTGTCTTGAACTTGCGTTGCACCCGCATCTGCTGTACAATTAAACAAAAGTCCTCTCAGTATTCATTTTAATGGAAAAACAAGGAATTCTGGCATAAATTGCATTACTTTAAAAATTGGCTTGCATAGATGCACTTGGCTTTTCAAATCCTGGCACTTTATTATTTCTTTTTACAATATGCCCATTTATTAATATTCTTATTTATTAATTACTTTTAATAGCAAACCACAATTACTTTTGCACCAACTTAACACATAGCTTGCAAGTTTATGTTTTGTCATTTGTTGACTGGGAAAGGAATTTTCCTAAGCATGTAAAATCCCTATAAATTGAATGGCTTACCTTCATTATCATTTGTATTATGATACTAATTTCTAGTAACTATTGAGTAACTTGTCTCCCTTTATTTCTTACCATATCTCTGCAACTAATTAGCCTGTTAGCTTCAATTATGTTTTATTTTAATTTAAAACTGATTGGAAAATCAAATTCTCTTTTGCTACGACCCAGTATAATTTCACTGTGTAGAGATAGCAAAAGCATGTGGACAATCCTGGCAATCACTTTATTTAAATTAATGTTCATGGAGGTGGTTTGCAAGGTTGTGTTTGAAATGCTTGTTCTCCGGTGCCATAAAGAAATAGCACTTGAACATAAATTTAATTTATTTAGTAAGGCCATTTTTACTTTTTGCAGAAAGGGAACACTCGCTAGCAGTTTTGCCACAAGAGTACACTGAACAAAGGACACAGGGTCATTTATAACCTGACGCGTCTACCTTACTGCTGTGTCCGGTTTCCACTGGCTGGAACGGGACCTCACATTCTGTATTTGTCTTGATTGGCTAGCAACTTGGAAGTTTTTAAAAGAGGCAAAGGTAGAGGAGAACAAAGGAAAGAGGAAGTAACTTGTGGAATGCTGAGAAAGATAAAAACACTTTTAAATAAGGAAGAGGAACAAGCTATGACCTAATGCTTGCTTGGACCAGTATAAGCATGCCAGGGCAAATATTGAGGCTAAATTGTAGGAGATAAGAAGATAAAATACATTGATTCCTTTATTATGGCTAGCAGATATTTAAGAATGTTAGCACAGGTCTTTGAATAAATTTTGCTTTTAAAAGAAGTTACCATTTATTCCTAATTAGACCGGGAGGAACGTCTTTGAAGAGGAACCTCTATTTTACTTTTTACAGTTGAGGGAAGAGGATGGAGGAGAGGACCACAAACTGTCTAAACACATAGCCAAAAAAGAACACAATTAAGATGAGAGATTGGGCTGGGCACCGTGGCTCACTCCTGTAATCCCAGCACTTTGGGAGGCCGAGGCAGGTGGATCACCTGAGGCCGGGAGTTTGAGACCGGCCTGACCAACTTGGAGAAACCCCGTCTCTACTAAAAATACAAAAAATTAGCTGGGTGTGGTGGTGGGCACCTATAATCCCAACTACTCGGGAGGCTGAAGCAGGAGAATCACTTGAACCCGGGAGGCGGAGGTTGCAGTGAGCCGAGATCACACCATTGCACTCCAGCCTGGGTGACAAGAGCAAAACTCCATCTTGAAAATAATAATAATAATAATAAATGAGAGCTGGGCTTGGTGACTCATGCCTGTAATCCCAGCACTTTGGGAGGCCGAGGCGGGAGGACCACTTGATGTCAGGAGTTCGAGACCAGCCTGGCCAACATGGTGAAACCCCGTCTCTACTAAAAAAAATACAAAAATTAGCCGGGTATGGTGGCGCACGCCTGTAGCCCCAGCTACTCAGGAGGCTGAGACAGGAGAATTGCTTGAACTCAGGAGGCGAAGGCTGCAGTGAGCCGAAATCACGCCACTGCATTCCAGCCTGGGTGAGACAGAGCAAGACTCCATCTCAATAATAATAATAATAATAATAAATGAGAGACTGAAGTATCTCAAAAGTGAGGATATTGGAAACTTTGGACATTAATAGGGTGGTCTAATGAATACAGACACACTGAAATAATGTGTTCATTCTTAGGCAATTAAGTTCATTGTGTTGCTGATCCCAAGAAACAACATTTTATCCAGACATAGTGACTAATGACTATATAAAATTTTTAAAACATTAGTGTAACCAAACCTATACTCACCCTGTGCCTCTTCAAACTCACACCTAAATTGAGAATGGGACCAAGGAATATGCCTTATTCAAGATTTTAAATCAGACCTTGAAAGTGATTAAAGTGATTATTTCAGGACGTTGGTGAAAAATTGTTAAATTGACTATATAGTTCTATAAGATTTACTCTCAATTCGCTAAATAGAAATCATAGGTCTATTTTGAAAGTTAAGTGAGGACTTACTGCATATTTATGTTTGTCAACGAAAAGAGTCAAACTCTGTAAAATATTTGAAGAGCTTTATTCTTAGCCAAATATAAGTGACCATGGCCTATGACACAGCCCTCGGGAGGTCCTGAGAACATGGGCCCCAGGTGGTCAGGATGCAGCTTGGTTTTATACATTTTAGAGAGGCATGAGACATCAATCAAATACATTTAAGAAATACACTGGAGGCCCGGCATGGTGACTCAGGCCTGTAATCCCAGCACTTTGGGAGGCCAACATGGTGAAACCTCGTCTCTACTAAAAATACAAAACTTAGCTAACCGTGGTGGCACATGCCTGTGGTCCCAGCTACTTGGGAGGCTGAGGCAGGAGAATCACTTGAACCTGGGAGGTGGAGGTTGCAGCAAGCTGAGATTGTGCCACTGCACTCCAGCCTGGGTGACAGAGAGAGACTCCATCTCAAAAAAAAAAAAGAAAAAAAGAAATACATTGGTTTGGTCCAGAAAGGCAGGACAACTCAAAACGGGGGCTTCCAGGCTGTAGGTGAACTTAAACATTTTCTGATTGAGAATTGGTTGAGTTTATCTAAAGACCTGGGATTCATAGAAAGGGAATGTTCAGGTTAAGATAAAGACTGTGGAGACCAAAGTTCTTTTGAAGTCTTATGAAGTCTTATAGTGGCTGCCCTTAGAAACAATAGATGACAAATGTTTCCTATTCAGATTTTAGTTAATTTCTTTAGGATTAGGAGGGTTTGGAAGAAAAATATCTAGCTATGTTAATATAGATTCTTTACAGATGCAAATTTTCCCCCACAAAGAACAGCTTTGTAGGCCATTTCAAAATATGGCAAAGAAACATTTTGGGGTAAAACATTTGATTTTCTTCTTTGTCTTGTAATGTTAGGCCAGAGTCAGTTTGGAAAGTAAGTCACAATGTATAGGGTTAAATAAAACCCATCTGATGAGAATTTATGATTTGTAGGGCATGACTCCCCAGACCCCTTAGATAGCAATTTGGGCAAGATAAAAAAATCAGAATTTAATTCTCATGTGTGACACGGATTTTTTAAAGTATGAATCAGCAGCTGGGTGTGGTGGCTCAGGCCTGTAATCCCACTTTGGGAGGCTGAGACAGGAGGATCACTTAAGCCCAGGACTTTGAGACCAGCCTGGGCAACATAGGGAGACCCCCGTTTCTACAAAACAAAAAAAAAAAAAATTGGCTGGGCACAGTGGCTCATGCCTGTACTGCCAGCACTTTGGGAGGCCGAGGTGGGCAGATAACCTGAGATCAGGAGTTCGAAATGGGCCTGGCCAACGTGGTGAAACCCGGTCTCTACTAAAAATTAAAAAATTAGACAGACACGGTGGCACACACCTGTAGTCACAGCTACTCAGGAGGCTGAGGCTGGATAATCTCTTGAGCCCAGGAGGGCAGAGGTTGCAGTGAGCCGAGATCATGCCACTGCATTCCAGCCTGGGAGACAGAGCGAGACTCCATCTCAAAAATAAAATATAAAAAATTAGCCAGACATGGTGTCGCACACTTGTGGTCCCAGCTACTCGGGAAGCTGAGGTGGGAGGATTGCTTAAACCTAGGAGGTTGACGCTACAGAGAGACCCTGTCTCAAAAAAAAAAAAAAAAAAAAAAAAGATGTGAATCAAGGAAATAACCATTAAGGCAAATATGATTTAAGAAAATCCTGGCACTTTAGATACAAGGGTTGGTTCCCCAAAGTTCCTCAGCCTGTAGCCCTCAACATGCAATTCTAAGACTGGCTAGAGAAGTTAATGTTTATTTAAAAGACAGTTACTTTGTGTATGACTCCACTTTTCAAAAACAAAACGACATTACGGGACATAGCTTCAAGTCTCCTCTCTGAAATATTTTTCCAAAAATTACAGATTTGAATTCGTACACTCCTTCTTTCCCGTTGCCAACCCATTCTTAATGAGGTGCTAACAAATAGAGAAGTAGCAAATGATGGGCCACTGAAAGAAGAGAAAGGGAAAAAAAAACAAGAGAAAGGAAAACAATAAATTGGAAGAGTAAAATGGAGGGTTGACAGGGCCAATGACATCCAAATAACACTGACATATTGAAACCGTCTTTGCAAAATTATGAGGAGACAGTGAAAGATATCTAACTTAACCGACTCCATCTTGCTTCTAACCTCCAAGCTGTCCTTGTTCATTCCTGGGCATAGGCTGAATTAACTTTGGGAGAAACTAAGTTTATAGTTTAAAGACCACAGCCAGGTGTGGTGGCTCACGCCTGTAATCCCAGCACTTTGGAGGCCAAGGCAGGCGGATCATTTGAGGTCAAGAGTTTGAGACCAGCCTGGCCAACATGGCGAAACCCTGTCTCTACTAAAAATTAAAAATATATATATATATTAGCCAGGCATGTTGGTGCACGCCTGTAATCCCAGCTACTTGGGAGGCTGAGGCAGGAGAATCGCCTGAAACTGGCAGGTGGAGGTTGCAGTCAGCCAAGATCACGCCACTGCAGTCCAGCCTGGGTGACAGAGTGAGACTCCACCTCAAAAAAAACAAAACAAAACAAAACAAAACAAAAAACAGATGATAACAGCCCTTTCCCAAAGCAGACCTCCTTTTTGCCTGGGGACTAGATTGCCTTTGTAGACAAACATTAGCCACAAGATTAGAAATTATGGTTTAGCAGTCATGCAGCTGGAGGCTACTACATTCTGACCCTCCATAAACTACTCCTAAAATCAGTGCTAGAGACATTTTGCAGACCCTGCACTTGATGGATCAGCTGGCACCACCCAGATTGATACACTGGCTCATTTGATCTTGTGGCCCCCACCCATGAACTGATTCAGTGCAAGAAGACAACTTTGACTCCTTATGATTTAATCTCTGACCAATCAGCACTCCTGGCTCACTGGCATCCCCCCTACCCACCAAGTTATCCTTAAAAACTCTGCTTCCCAGGCCGGACACGGTGGCTCACACCTGCAATCCCAACACTTTGGGAGGCCGAGGTGGGTGGATCACCTGAGGTCAGGAGTTCAAGACCAGCCTGGCCATCATGGTGAAACCCCATCTCTACTAAAAATACAGAATTAGCCAGGTGTCGTGGTGTGCACCTGTAATCCCAGCTACTTGGGAGGTTGAGGCAGGAGAATCCCTTGAACCCGGGAGGCGGAGGTTGCAGTGAGCCGAGATTGCGCCATTGCACTACAGCCTGGGCAAAAAGAGCAAAACTCCTCTAAAAAGAAAAAACAACAACAACAAAAAACTCTGCTCCCTGAATGCTCAGGGAGACTGATTTGAGTAATAATAAAACTCCAGTCTCCCACACAGCTGGCTCTGCATGAATTACTCTTTCTCTACTGCAGTTCCCTGTCTTGATAAATTTGCTCTGTGTAGGCAGCGGGCAAGGTGAACCCCTTGGGTGGTTACAATATTTCTAGCAATATCTGCCAACTACAGAAAGAAGTCACTTACCTATCAAGTATATGGTAGTTAGAATCAAATGGCTATGGAGAAATGAGGAAGAGAATTTTTTAAGAAATATTCCTCTTAAAATGCTGTTAAATAAAATGTATATGCCGGTGCAGTGGCTCACGCCTGCAATCCTAGCACTTTGGGAGGCCAGGGTGGAGGGATTGCTTGAGTTGAGGAATTCTAAACCAGCCTGGGCAATACAGTGAGACCCCATTTCTACAAAAAATAAAAATATTAGGCGGGCATGGTGGCACGTGCCTGTAGTCCCAGCTACACGAGGAGGCTGAGGTGGAGGATCACTTGAGCCCAGGAGGTTGAGGCTGCAGTGATATCTGATTGTGCCACTGCACTTTAGCCTGGGTGACAGAGAGAGAACTTGTCTTAAAAAATAATAATAAATAAATATAAATGAAAATAGAATAAAATTTATAGGAGGCCTTTGGTTTGGACTGAACTCCCGCACTAGGACCAACAGACCAAAGCAAAATAAAGTCACTCATGTGGAAGTTCCATACCACCAAAAAGCCAAGAAATCTTTTGACCTTCCAAGAAATCAGGAGAGAGATAATAGCCAAATCCCCAAATAGTCCCCTTTGCTTTAACCTTTACAAGGAAAGTAACTTTCTTTTTCTTTTCTTTTTTTTTTTTTTTTTTGAGACAGTCTTTCTCTGTTGCCCAGGCTGTAGTGAGGTGGTGCGATCTCGGCTCACTGCGACCTCCACCTCCTGAGTTCAAGCAATTCTCCTGTCTCAGCCTCCTGAGTAGGTGGGATTACAGGCATGCACCACCATGCCTGGCTAATTTTTGTATTTTTAGTAGAGACGGGGTTTTGCCATGTTGGCCGGGCTGGTCTTGAACTCCTGACCTCATGTGATCCGCCCGCCTCAGCCTCCCAAAGTGCTGGGATTACAGGCATGAGCCACCGCGCCTGGACTGGAAAGTAACTTTCAAACAACCAATCTGCTTTCTGTTCCCTGTATCTGCTTTCCTCAGCCAGGTTCTGTCTATAATAAAGCCAACCTCCTCTGCTCAGCCCATCAGAACACTGATTTTACTTTATAGAATGAGATGTTGCCTGATTCTAGAATCACAAATTAGAGCCAATTATGATCTTTAAACTAAATCTGTTGCAATTTTGTTTTTTGACAATGCCAAAGAATAGATCGTTTTGCCTAAAATGTATCCAGAATGTATCCACAAATGAATTAAAAAGCAATCATTTCTCTAAAGTCTTTGAGGGCTGAGAAAGAAGTTTTTAGCATTTTTCCCTTCCATCTTGGGATAATATGCCCTTGTCATTACCTTACAGAAGTTGGCTGTATAATGTATTTTTCTAGTGTGGATTTTTTCTTTACCAGTAGTGAAAAAGCTGTCATTTTGTTGGCTGAGTGACGAGTGGTTTAATGCGTTAATTTTATACACAAACTTTACAAAGCACTATAACCCTCAGGATGTGTTCAAAAGAGTGTTTTTTATTATTATTATTCCCATTTTAAATAGTGTATTTTTTTTTTCAGTCAGCATTAATACTTTTTTTTTTTGAGATGGAGTCTCACTCTGTCGCCCAGGTTGGAGTGTAATGGCGCGATCTCAGCTCTTTGCAACCTCCATCTCCAGGGGTAAAGTGATTTCTCCTGCCTCAGCCTCCCGAGCAGCTGGAACTACAGGCATGGCGGTACATGCTAATTTTTTTTTTTTTTTTGAGGCGGAGTCTCGCTCTGTCGCCCAGGCTGGAGTGCAGTGGTGCGATCTCGGCTCACTGCAAGCTCCGCCTCCCGGGTTCACACCATTCTTCTGCCTCAGCCTCCTGAGTAGATGGGACTACAGGCGCCCGCCACCACGCCCGGCTAATTTTTTGTAGTTTTAGTAGAGACGGGGTTTCACTGTGTTAGCCAGGATGGTCTCAATCTCCTGACCTCATGATCTGCCCGCCTCGGCCTCCCAAAGTGCTGGGATTACAGGCGTGAGCCACCGCACCGGGCTTAATTTTTGTATTTTTTAGTAGAGATGGGGTTTCACCATATTGGCCAGGCTGGTCTCGAGCTCGTGACCTCAGGTGATCTGCCCACCTCGGCCTCCCAAAGTGCTGTGATTACAGGCGTGAGCCACCGGGCCCAGCCAGTATTAATAAATACTTTCATTGTGAACACTGGTATCTTCTCTATGACTACACTAGAATATAATTCCAAAAGTTTATGAGTAATTTATTTGAAATAGAGAATATATTCTCTTTAATCCATAATGAAGCTATCACGAAGCCTGATCATCCCTTCCTGATCTCTAGCTTTCCTCAAGGTCTCGTCTTTGGAAACGTCAGTTGTTGAAAACAATTTAGTGAGAATTGAGAAAAACAAAAAGCTGACAGGACAACAACCAGAACATTTCCCACTCCCTGAACAATCTTACCTCCCCACCTTGGCTACACCTGTCACACCCTGCTAGATATCTACACTGAATCATCTACATATTCACCCACTCCCAAACAACTGCCTCTGTCTTTGAAGCTACCCAAAAGAAAAAGACAAAATTCAGGCTCGCTTTATCCCTTCCCCTTCCTTTTCTCTCACAGGTAGACATCCTTTCTCTACTTGAATACCTGGCAACACTTGTCCCTTACAGGATAAAGTCTTTACAAAATAAAGTCTAAATTTCTGGCACACTGCAGTGTGTGGCAAATTTTGTTGTAAAGTACCAGATAGTAAATATTTTAGGGTTTGTTAGCCATCTATGGTCTTCGTCCCATATTCTTTTTTTTTTTCCCAACAATTCCCTAAAAATGTAAAAACAGTTCTCTACACAGACTCCACAAAAATAGGAGTGGGGAATATTTGACCTACAAGTCTTGGTTTGCTGATCCCCGTGTTGAGGAAAAGAGTCAAATTCTGTAAAATATTTGAAGAGATGGATTCCAAGCCAAAGCCCTAAGCAGTTTCCAGCTTGAGTTTTGCTTAGTGATTTTGGGGGCCCAAGATATTTTCCTTTCACAATGTACATTAGTTCAGTATTGAAAGGCAGGTCAATTGGAAGGGTGGGAAGGGAGGGAACTTCCAGGTCATAGGTGGATTCAAAGATGTTCTAACTGGCAATTGGTTGAAAAAGTTATTATCTAAAAACCTGGAATCAATGGAATCAATAGAAGGGAATGTCTAGGTTGATAAGGGGTTGCGGAGACCAAGGTCCTTATTACACAGATGAAGCTTCCAGGTAGCAGGCTTCAGAGAAAATAGGTTGTAACATTTAAAGTGCCAGACTCTTAGATAATTCTCTCCTGGATCAGAGAAAAGACCTGGAAAGGGAAGGGGATGCTCAACAGAATGTAGATTTTCCCCACAAGAGACAGCTTTACAGGACTATTTCAAAATATGTCAAAAATATATTTTAGGATAAAATATTTCAATTTATTTCAGGGCCTGCTATCGGTCACATGATGCTATACTAGAGTCAGGTAGGAATTTGGTATCTTATTGCTACAAAGAGTCTGTTTGATCAGTCTTAAGAGCTCTGTTTTAATGTTAATGCTGGTCAGTTGTGCCTGAATTCCAGAGGGAGGAGGATATCATGAGGCATGTCCTGAACTGGGTTTTCAGGTTAACTTTGGAATGCCCTTGGCCAAGAGGATGGGTCCATTTAGTTGGTTGGGGACTTAGAATTTTATTTTTGGTTTACATCTGGCATATAGGACTCTTCACATTTTGGACCCAAATTACCTCTCTGGTCTCCTGCTGCAGCTTGCTTCAAGATTCCTTCTCTTCTAGGTCTACTAAACTTACTAAGTTTTCTGAATACGCATTGCTTTTTCCAACTTCCATGGCTTGGCTCATGCTCTTTCCTCTATCTTAAAACAATGGCTCTTATCTGCCTGGCAACACCCAGACATGCATTTTTTTAATTTTCTTTCTTGAGACAGTCTTACTTTGTCACCCAGGCTGGAGTGCAGTGGCATGAACAAGGTGGCTTATTGTGGCCTCAACTTCCTGGGCTCAAGGGATTCTCCTGCCTCAAGCCTCCCCAAGTAGCTGGGACTACAGGTGCATGCCACCATGCCTGGCTAATTATTTGTATTTTTTGTAGAGATGGGTTTTTGCCATCTTGCCCAGGCTGGACTTGAACTCCTGAGCTCAAGCAGTCTGCCCGCCTCTGCCTCCCAGTGCTGAAATTACAGGCATTATCCACCACATCCAGCCCAGACATGTTTTAAGATGTATCTTAAAAAGTAAATTCTACAGTTTTTTTCTATTTCTCCCAAAGACCTTCCTACCTACCTTGTGTTGAATTTCAAGCAGGCAGTTCAGCATTTTGACTAAGCATGTGGATGAACTTTGGGATCAGCCAGACATGAGTACAAATTCCAACTCTGGGCCAGGTGTGGTGGCTCATGCCTGTAATTCCAGCACTTTGGGAGGCTGAGGCCAGTGGATCACGAAGTCAGGAGTTCGAAACCAGCCTGACCAACATGGTGAAACCCCGTCTCTACTAAAAAGACAGAAATTAGCCGGCATGATGGCACATGTGTAATCCCAGCTACTCAGGAGGCTGAGGCAGGAGAATCACTTGAACCCGGGAGGCGGAGGTTGCAATGAGCCGAGATCGCACCGCTGCATTCCAGCTTGGGTGACAGAGCGAGACTCCATCTCAAAAAAAAAAAAAAATCCAGCTCTGTCCTTCCTAGCTTTGTCTTTGGAAAAGGCGTATAAACTAAAAATAAAACTCCAAGCCCCACAACGGACTGAACTGACCATCTCTTGGCCAACGGGACTGCAGAATAATCTTGGAAACTGAGTTCTCAGTCATGATGGGATAAGAAATTAGCTATCCCTTGTTATACCCCAACCCTGGGTAACCACAGTTAGGCTTTCTTCCCTAAAGGCTGAACAGAAACCAGCCCTTTCAAAGGACTCCACTATTGATTGATATCAACCAATCGCCTGCTGCTTCTCCTCCTTTTTCGCCTGATAAGAGATCACTTATCATGGGCCGAACCCAGTGGCTCACACCTGTAATCCCAACACTCTGAGAGGTCTAGATGGGCAGATCACCTGAGATCAGGAGTTCGAGACCAGTCTGGCCAACATGGTGAAACCCCGTTTCTACTAAAAATGCAAAAATTAACCAGGCATGGTGGCGGGCACCTGTAATCCCAGCTATTCAGAAGGCTGAGGCAGGAAAATCGCTTGAACCCGGGAGGCAGAGGTTTCAGTGAGCCGAGATTGCGCCATTGCACTCCAGCCTGGGTGACGAGTGAAACTCCATCTCAAAAAAAAAAAAAAAAAAGATATCACTTACCATGCAGTGGTTCTGGCCGGTCTATGGACCGGCCACAGTAAAGGTTTTCCTGTATTCTGCTTCACCTTTTGAGGTAAGAGGGCCAAAAACTCCTACCTCAGATAATGCTAACACCTCCGTTTTTCGTACATGGGTCCCATAGAGAGGGATAAAGATCAATTGTGCATGCACAGGTTTCTCTCATACATATTCGTGACCCCTCCTATAGTTTATTAAATATGTATATTTGATCACCCCATTCAGCATAAATTCCTCTTTCCTTTGTTCCTCCCTCAAAGTGTCTGTTTCTGGCTTCTGGCTGGAGACTATGCTTCCCAATCTATCAGAATGGCTACCCCTGCAGGCTACAACCCTTTATGAGAAATAAGGCTCTCCTTTCCAAATGTATAAACCTCATCATTTTCAGCTGACAGGTATTAGCCTCCTCTCAAAACTTAGAAAGGTGAATTGAACATAAGATAATAAACTCAAGTATGTTGAGTTTTGAACGTGGCTCATAATGAATATTCATGAAAGGTTAGCTTTTATTATTCAGTCATTTATTCACTCACCAAATGTTTATTGTGCACTTCCAAAGGGCTAGGCAGTGTGCTAGGCACTGTCAGTGATCGATCAGCAAACAAGATAAGCTAGTTATCTTCCTAGATGTTAGGGTGTATTAGTCAGGGTTCTCCAGAGGGTCAGAGCTAGTAGGATATATGTGTATATGAAAGGGAGTTTATTAAGGAGAATAGGCTCACACGATCACAAGGCAAAGTCCCACCATAGGCCATCTGCAAGCTGGGGAAGGAAGAAGCCAGTAGTGGCTCAATCTGAGTCCAAAAGCCTCAAAAGCAAGGAAGCCAAGAGTGCAGCCTTCAGTCTGTGGATGAAGGCCCGAGAGCCCCCGAGAAACCACTGGCATAAGTCCAGGAGTCCAGAGGCCAAAGAACCTGGAGTCTGATGTCCAAGGGCAGGAGGAATGGAAGGAAGCATCCAGCCTGAGAGAAGGATGAAAGCCAGAAGAGTCACGGCCAGGTGTGGTGGCTCATGCCTGTAATCCGAACACTTTGGAAGGCCAAGACCGGTGGATCACTTGAGGTCAGGAGTTCGAGACCAGCCTGGCCATCATAGTGAAACCCCGTCTCTACTAAAAATGCAAAAATTAGCCAGATATGGTGGTGCATGCCTATGGTCCCAGCTACTCGGGAGGCTGAGGCAGGAGAATTGCTTGAACCCAGGAGGCTAAGGTTGCAGGGAGCCAAGATTGTGCCACTGCACTCCAGCCTGGGCAACAGAGTGATCACAACTCTGTCTCCAAAAAAAAAGAAAAAAGAATGAAAGCCAGAAAACTCAGCAAGCCAGCTTATCCCACCTTCTTCCACCTGCTTTGTTCTAGTCATGCTGGCAGCCCATTGGTGGTGCCCACCCACATTGAGGATGGGTCTTCCTCTTCCAGCCCACTGACTCAAATGTCAACATTTGAGTCTCTGGCAACACCCTCACAGATATACCCAGAAACATTACTTTAACAGCTATCTAGGCATTCTTCAATCTGATCAAATTGATACCTAATATTAACCATCACATACAGGATCAAAGTAAAACAGATAAATACAGATTGTAATTAGTGCTGGGAAAGAAATGTAAAGGGCCTAAGGCCTAACATACATAATCAATAATCTATTGAATGAAGTCCCAAATTTAATTTAGACAACTCTTCGGAGTTCTTTTGGCCTCCCTTAACTACAAAATAAAGATTAGATTTCTAAACTCACTTCCAACTCCCAATTTTTTTAATTTTATTTATTTATTTATTTATTTTTGAGACAGAGTTTCACTCTGACACCCAGGCTGGAGTGCAATGGCATGATCTCAGCTCACTGCAACTTCTGCTTCTGGGTTCAAGTGATTCTTCTGCCTCAGCCTCCGGAGCAGCTGGGATTACAGGCACCTGCCACAACACCCGGCTAACTTTTTGTATTTTTAGTAGAGACAGTGTTTCACCATGTTGCTCAGGCTGGTCTCAAACTCCTGAGCTCAGGCAATCCGCCCACCTCAGCCTCCCAAAGTGCTAGGATTACAGGCATGAGCCACTGCGCTAGGCTCCAACTCCCAATTCTTTTTTACTTTTTTTCTTTTTTCTTTTCTTTTTGAGACGGAGTCTTGCTCTGTCACCCAGGCTGGAGTGCAGTGGTGAGATCTCGGCTCACTGCAGCCTCCGCCTCCTGGGTTCAAGCGATTCTCCTGCCTCAGCCTCCCCAATAGCTGGGACTATAGGCACCCGCCACCACGTCCAGCTAATTTTCCGATTTTTAGTAGAGACGGGGTTCCACTATGTTGGCCAGGCTGGTCTCGAACTCCTGACCTCGTGATCTGCCCACCTCGGCCTCCCAAAATGCTGTGATTACAAGTGCCCGCCACCATGCCCGGCTAATTTTTGTATTTTTAGTAGAGATGGGGTTTCACCACATTGGCCAGACTGGTCTCGAACTCCTGACCTCAAGTGATCCGCCCACCTCGGCCTCCCAAAGTGCTGGGATTACAGGCATGAGCCACCGCATTTGGCCCATGATAAGTGATCTCTTATCAGGTGAAAAAGGAGAAGCAGCAGCAGGCAGTTGGTTGATATCAATCAATAGTGGAGTCCTTTGAAAGGGCTGGTTTCTGTTCAGCCTTTAGGGAAGAAAGCCTAACTGTGGTTACCCAGGGTTGGGGTATAACAAGGGATAGCTAGTCTCTTATCCCATCGTGACTGAGAACTCAGTTTCCAAGATTATTCTACAGTCCCGCTGGCCAAGAGATGGTCAGTTCAGTCCGTTGTGGGGCTTGGAATTTTATTTTTAGTTTATACGCCTTTTCCAAAGACAAAGCTAGGAAGGACAGAGCTGGATTTTTTTTTTTTTTTTTTTTTTTTGAGATGGAGTCTCGCTCTGTCGCCCAAGCTGGAGTACAGTGATGTGATCTCAGCTCACTGCAACCTCCACCTCCTCCGCCTCCCAGGGTGCTGGGATTATAGGCGTGAGCCACTGCACCTGGCCTCCAACTCCCAACTCCCAATTCTATGTGTAATATTCCACAGTCAATTCTGGTATTCTCCACCTCTCTGCCCCAAGTACCAGTGTTAGCAAGAAATCTAGAGATCCCAGCTACCCTGCTAAGGTTTCTGTTATGGACTAAATTGTGTCCCCTCAAAATTTATATGTAAAGCCCTACCCACCAATGGAGACAGGGCCCTTAAGGAAGTAATTAATGTTAAATGAGATCATAAGGATGGGACCCTAATCCAACAGGACTGGTGCCCTTACAAGGAGAGTAAGTACCACCTCATCAGGGCCACCCTCATCTACCAGAGAGCTCTCCCTCTGTCCATGGGCACACAGAGAATTGGCCATGTGAGGACACAGTGAGAAGACAGCCATCTGCAAACCAGGAAGAGAGTCCTCACCAGAACCCAGCCCTGCCGGCACCTTGATCTTGGACTTCCAGACTCTGGAACTGTGAGAAAATAAATGTTTGGTTTTGTTTGTTTCTTTGTTTGTTTGCTTGCTTGCTTGTTTTTTGAGACAGAGTCTCACTTTATCACCCAGGCTGGAGTGCAGCAATGCAATATCAGCTCACTGCAAACTCTGTCTCCTGGTTCAAGCAATTCTCCTGCCACAGCCTTCCCAGTAGCTGGGACTACAGGAGCATGCCACCATGCCTGGCTAATTTTTGTATATTTTCAGAGACAGGGTTTCACCATGTTGGCCAGGCTGGTCTCGAACTCCTCACCTCAGGTGATCCACCCACCTCGGCCACCCATAGTGCTGGGATTTCAGACGTGAGCCACCGCACCCAGCCAAATGTCTGTTGTTTATAAGCCAACTGCTTGTAATATTTTTTTATGGCAGCACAGGCAGGCTAATACAGTTCCTCGGCTGCTTTCTGCTCTCTGTGTGTTCCCCAGGTACTAACCAGAAGTTCAAGCTAGGGGTTGGAGAAGGAAGGTCATACATACAGAAGCAAGAACCTCAACCCCTAGAACTGCTATGAAAATCAAACAAAATGCTATTTGTAAGTAGTCTTCCTGTGCTGGACTAAATTAAAAGAACTTTGCAGCTCTCCCTCTCTCCGTGTTTTCTCAGCCTCTGGAATCAAGGGCCTTTATCTCTTCTTCCTATTCTGTGCTGAGGCTTACCCATTAGTTCCATTTCTCTTAACTTTTCTGGCAACCTCATTTCAAGACTCTGAATGGTTATTTAAGACACTGGGCTTTCATCAGTGGCACCCTCATCTACCACTATAGATGTTCATAATTCAAATCTCCACAAGTGTTTTTTGTTTGTTTGTTTGTTTGTTTGTTTGTTTTGAGACAGAGTCTCGCTCTGTCGCCCAGGCTGGAGTGCAGTGGCACAATCTCGGCTCACTGCAAACTCTGTCTCCTGGGTTCAAGCAGTTCTCCTGCCTCAGCCTCCCGAGTAGCTGGGACTACAGGTGCATGCCACCACACTTGGCTAATTTTTGTACTTTTAGTAGAGACGGGGTTTCACCATGTTGGCCAGGCTGGTCTCGAACCCCTGACCTCAGGTGATCCAGCTGCCTTGGCCTCCCAAAATGCTAGGATTACAGGCGTGAGCCATCGTGCCCGGCCTCCACAAGTGTTTTTTGAAGGGGGAAGGGGGACTAGTAGTTATTAACTCCCAGAAGACACCTGGGCCCCTATGTAAATAAATTGACTCTTCCCCAAACCATATCAGCATTCCAAGAGGGAGAAAGCTTGTGCAAAACTTATTTTGTAAATGAACTTGTTCCACCCTAATCCTAACACAATGGGGCCCGCTCACCCCACATTTACATGATTTTAAATGTCCTAAGTGACTCTTCAAAGGACTAAGATAATTAGGCCAGGGCAGTGGCTCACTCCTGTAACCCCAACACTTTGGGAGGCCAAGGCGGGTGGATCACTTGAGGTGAGGAGTTCGAGACCAGCCTGGCCAACATGGTGAAACCCCATCCCTACTACAAAAAATACAAAAATTAGCTGGGCGTGGTGCTGGGCGCCTGTAATCCCAGCTGCTCGCGAGGCTGAGGCAGGGAGAATTGCTTGAACCCGGGAGGTGGAGGTTGCAGTGACCCAAGATCATGCCACTGCACTCCAGCCTGGGCAACAGAGCGAGACTCCATCTCAAAATAAATAAATAAACAAACAAACAAAGGACTGAGATAATCAATTTGCTATTGAAGAAAGTGTGGTAAAATTGACACTGCATATACTAGTATATTAGAATGTAAACAGGTACAAATTTTAGTAATGTGAATACGCAGTCTTAAAGATGCCCGTATCTCTTGCCTCAATAATCTCACTTAAAAGTCTATGCCAAAACCGGGCACAGTGACTCACGCCTGTAATCCTAGCACTTTGGGAGGTTGAGGCAGGAGGCTCGCTTGAGCCCAACCGTTTGAGATCAGCCTGGGAAACATAGCAAGACCCCATCTCTCAAAAAAAACCCCAAAAAACAAACAAACAAACAAACAAAAAAACAAAGAAAATTATAAAGAAAAATCAGTGCCAGCTGGTCACGGTGACTCACACCTGTAATCCCAACACTTTGGGAGGCCGAGGCAGGTGAATTTCCTGAGGTTAGGAGGTCAAGACCAGACTGACCAACATGGTGAAACCCAGTCTCTACTAAAAATACAAAATTAGCCAGGCGTGGTCATGCACGCCTGTAGTCCCGGCTGCTGGAGAGGTTGAGGCAGGAGAATCGCTTGAACCCGGGAGGCGGAGGTTGCAGTGAGCCGAGATCGCGCCACTGCACTCCAGCCTGGGTAACAAGAGTGAAACTCAGTCTCAAAAAAAAAAAAAAAAAAAAGGAAAAAGAATAAGAAAAAGAAAAGAAAAATTAGTGCCATAAAGGAGGAGGAGCACAAGGGTTGAAAAACTACCTATTGGGTACTATGCTTATTATTTGGGTGATAGATTCAATAGAAGCCCAAACCTCAACATTATGCAGTATATCCATGTAACAAACCTGTACATGAGCCCCTGAATCTAAAATTTAAAAAAAAGAATACAACTTATATGATAAAAATTTAAAAATAAAAATAAATCAGTGCCCAAAATTGTATGAAGAATCCTTATGCTTAAAGATATTTATTGTAGGCTTGGTTTTTTGGGGGTGTTTTTTGTTTGTTTGAATTTTTTTTTATCATAATGAAAAGGAATAGAAACAATAGGGGAAATGGAAAGTGTCCAACAGTAGATGAATAGTTGAGGAAATTATGGAATGTTATGTTTAGAAAGACTGTAGGGCCGGGCATGGTGCCTAACGCTGTAATCCTAGCTCTTTGGGAGGACAAGGCACGCAGATCACCTAAGATCAGGAGTTTGAGACCAGCCTGGCCAACATGGCGAAACCCTGTCTCTACTAAAAATACCAAAATTAGCCGGGCATGATGGCACGTGCCTGTAATCTCAGCTACTCAGGAGGCTGAGGCAGAAGAGTCACTTGAACCCGGGAGGCGGAGGTTGCAGTGAGCCGAGATCGCTCCACTGCACTCCAGCCTGGGCGACACAGCGAAACACCGTCTCAAAAAAAAAAAAAAAAAAAAAGACTGTAATAGCAGGAAAATGCTTAAGTGAAAAAAATTATATACCAAATTGTATACAGTTTTATTGTGTTGTTTATTTTATTTTATTTTATTTTGAGGCAAGGTCTTGCTCTGTCACCCAGGCTGGAGTGCGGTGGCCTGATCATAGCTCACTGCAGCCTCGACCTCCCAGGCTCAAGTGATTCTCCCATGTCAGCCTGCTGAGTAGCTGGGACTAAAGAAACATGCCATCACACCTGGCTATTTTTTTAATTTTCTGTAGAGATGAGGTCTTACTATGTTGCCCAGGCTGGTCTCGAACTCCTGGGCTCAAGCTATCCGCCTGCCTCAGCCTCCCAAAGTGCTGGGAGTACAGGCGTGAGCTACCGTGCCCAGCCTTATTGTGTCATTTATTCAATCTCTGCTAAAAAGGCATTAAGACTTGATAGTGTAATGGATCACATTGCAGACCTGATGCAGGCTCTTTGGCATTTATCTCCACACTAGGCTGAACTAAAAGGTTTATAAGGTCCTGAAAGAAAAGTGCTGGGTGGAAAAATAAGCAAAGATATCCAGGAAAACTCTAAAAAGTAAAAGCTATAAGAGCGGACTAGTCTGACCAGATATAAAAATATAATTAGTAAAAAGTCAATAATTAAAACAGTGCGATACTACTGCACAAACTGACAGGCTGACTAAAGGAAGAAAATGGAAAGTACAGAATAAAGACAATATATACCAGAATTGAGTATATGAAAAAGGTGGAATCTCAAATCAGGTAAAGACGGACTTTACTAAAAACTGTTTTCAGAAAATGAAAGCTGATACCTGACATCTGGAAAAAGATACAGCTGCATCTGTACCTCACAACATATACCAGAATGAACTCCAAATGGCTCAAGTATCCACATGTAGAAATTGAAATAATATGCTGGGCACGGTGGCTCACGCCTATAATCCCAGCAGTTTGGGAGGCCGAGGCGGGGGGATCACGAGGTCAGGAGATCGAGACCATCCTGGCTAACATGGTGAAACCCCATCTCTACTAAATACAAGATACAAAAATAAAAAAAATTAGCCAGGCATGGTGGCATGCGCCTGTATTCCCAGCTACTCGGGAGGCTAAGGCAGAGGAATCACTTGAACCCGGGAGGCAGAGGTTGCAGTGAGTCGAGATTGAGCCATTGCACTCCAGCCTGGGCAACAGAGCAAGACTCCATCTCGAAAAAACAAATACAAAAATTAGCTGGGCATGATGGTGCATGCCTGTAATCCCAGCTACTCAGGAGGCTGAGGCAGGAGAATCCCCTGAACCCGGGAGGTGGAGGTTGCAGTGAGCCAAGATTGCCCCACTGCACTCCAGCCTGGGTGACAGAGCAAGACTCTGTCTCAAAAAAAAAAAAAAAAAAAAAAAGGCCAGGCACAGTGGCTCACGCCTGTAATCCCAGCACTTTGGGAGGCCAAGGCAGGTGGATCACGAGGTCAGAAGTTCAAGACCAGCCTGGTGAAACCCCGTCTCTACTAAAAATACAAAAAATTAGCCGGGCGTGGTGACAGGTGCCTATAATCCCAGCTACTCAGGAGGCTGAGGCAGAGAATTGCTTGAACCCAGGCAGCAGAGGTTGTAGTGAGCCGGGATCACATCAATGCACTTCAGCCTGGGTGACAGAGCGAGACTCTGTCTCAAAAAAAAAAAAAAAAAGGAAAGAAAAGAAAAAAAATTGAAATAATAAAAACACTTGAAGAAAATCTGGGAAAATTCCTTTATAACTTTGCAGTGGGGATGGCCTTTTATGAATGACTCAAAAGATTGATAAATTTAACTACATAAAAATTAATACTTAGCATAAAAAAGCAAAGTCAAAAGACAAATTGCAAATTAGGAAGAATGTCTACAATTCATATAGAAGGGAAAGGACTAATCTTCCTAATATATATAAAAGTTCTTAAAAAGATAGATTAAAAAGACCAACCGCCCCAATGAAAGAATAGCAAAGAGCATATAGACAATTCACAGAAAAAGAAATACACATAGCCTTACACATGTGAAAAATCCTCAACCTCAGTCAGAGTAGTTGAACATGGTAATTCTCACTTAACAGATTAACAAAAACCCAAAAGTGTAACAACAGACTTGATATTTTCACTTGATACCTTCACATGACTACAAGGTTATTCCCTGTAGCATTGTTTAGAACAGCAGAAGACTGGAAACAACTGAAAGTGTCCAGCATTAGGGAACTAGTTAATAAACCATAGTATATCTACTCAATCACTGTTATCATAATTAAATAAATAAGAATGAGGAAGGTCTCTGTTTCCTGACTTGGAAAGCAAATCCATTTGGAAAACATATTCTAGAAACTGTCTAGAATATGTTGTTATAGGCCAGGCATGGTGGCTCATGCCTGTAATCCCAGCAGTTTGATAGGCTGAGGTGGGCGGATCACTTGAGGTCAGGAGTATGAGACTGGCCTGACCAACATGGTGAAACCCTGTCTCTACAAAAAATACAAAAATTAGCCAGGTGTGGTGACACACACCTGTAGTAGATCACGCCACTGCACTCCAGCCTGGGCGACAAAGCAAGACTCCCTCTCAAAAAAAAAAAAAAAGAATATGTTGTTATCAGAAAAAAAGCAAGATGCAGAACAGTGTGTTATGCTTTTTTTTCCATTTTTAAAATTTATATATAAAAATTTTATTTAAAATAGAGATGGGAGTCTCACTGTTTACCAGGCTGATCTCAAACTCCTGACCTCAAGCAATCCTCCCATCTCAGCCTCTCAAAGTGCTGGGGTTACAGGCATGAGCCACCACACCCAGCCAACTACCTTTTTTTTTTTTTTTTTGAGACGGAGTCTCACTCTGTTGCCAGGCTGGAGTGCAGTGGTGCGATCTTGGCTCACTGCAACCTCTGTCTCCTGGGTTCAAGCAATTCTCCTACCTCAGCCTCCCGAGTAGCTGGAACTACAGGCGTGCGCCACCACACCCAGCTAATTTTTTTGTATTTTTGGTAGAGATGGGGTTTCACCATGTTGGCCAGGATGGTCTCAATCTCTTGACCTCGTGATCCGCCTGCTTCGGCCTCCCAAAGTGCTGGGATTACAGGCGTGAGCCACTGCGCCAGGCTCTTTTTTATTGTTTTTTTTTTTTTTTTTTTTTTTTTTGAGACGGAGTTTCGCTCTGTCGCCCAGGCTGGAGTGCAGTGGCGCGATCTCGACTCACTGCAAGCTCTGCCTCCCGGGTTCACGCCATTCTCCTGCCTCAGCCTCCCGTGTAGCTGGGACTACAGGCGCGCGCCACCATGCCCGGCTAATTTTTGTATTTTTAGTAGAGACGGGGTTTCACCGTGTTAGCCAGGATGGTCTCGATCTCCTGACCTCGTGATCCGCCCGTCTCGGCCTCCCAGAGTGCTGGGATTACAGGCGTGAGCCACCGCGCCCGGCCTCTTTTTTAATTTAAACAGCTTTATTGGCATATAATTCACATATCCTACAATTCATCCATTTAAAGTGTACAGTTTTTACTATATTACACTATTATTTTTAAAAAATTGTGATAAAATCAACGTAAAAGTTGCTATTTTTACGTGTACAAGTCAGTGGCATTAAATACACCTACAATACATCACGACTATCTATTTCCAAAACTTTCTTATCACCCTAAACAGAAACTCTGTAAATCATCAAGCAATAACTCCCCATTCTCCTTCCCCTCAACTCCTAATAACCTCTAGTCTACTTTCTGTCTCTTTGAATTTGCCTCTTCTAGGTATCTCTTATAAGTGGAATCATACAATATTTGTCCTTTTGCATCTGGCTTATTTCATTTAGCATAATGTTTCTAAGGTTCAACCTTGTTATTGCATGTATCAGAACTTCATTTTTATTTTATTTTTTAATTTTATTTTAGTGCAGTGGCGCAATCTCAGCTCATTGCAACCTCTGCCTCCTGGGTTCAAGGGATTTTCCTGCCTCAGCCTCCCCAGTAGCTGTGATTAGTGGCGTGCACCACACGCCCTGCTAATTTTTGAATTTTTAGAAGAGACAGGATTTCGCCATGTTGGCCAGGCTGGTCTCAAACTCCTGACCTCAGGTGATCCGCTTCTCTCCACCTCCGCAAGTGCTGGGATCACAGGCGTGAGCCACTGTGCCTGGCCAGAACTTCATTTTTTTTTTAAGTACTAGCATTTCATTGCATGGATGTACCACATTTTGTTTATCCATTCGTCTGTTGATGGACATTTGGCTTGCTTTCATCTTTTGGCTATTGTAAATAATGCTGCAACGAACATTGGTGTACAAGTCTCTGTCCAAGTCCCTGTTTGGTATGCTACCTTTTGTGTAACAACTCTCAGTCAGGTACAAATACATATTTGCTTATAGCTTGATCTGTATACAGAAATACCGAAAGACACCAGGCTTGGTGGTTCACTTCTGTAATCTCAGCACTTTGGGAGGCCAAGGCGGGCGGATCATGAGGTCAAGAGTTCAAGACGAGCCTGGCCAACATGGTGAAACCCCGTCTCTACTAAAAATACAAAAATTAGCCAGGCGTGGTGGTGGGCGCCTGTAATCCCAGCTACTTGGAAGGCTGAGGTACAGGAATCGTACCTTAGTGAGCCGAGATCGCACCAGGGCACTCTAGCCTAGGCGACAAGGGCGAAACTCCATCTCAAAAAATATATATATGTATTGCCTAAGCAAAAAAATCCAAATGTATGACATTCCTGAGTTACTACCAGCAAGGGACCTATTAATAAAGGCAGAAGTCTACATACGGGGAAGGGTGGAGGAGCAAAGTAGACATGAATAGCAAGTACTCCACTCTCCAGTCAGTGAACTATTTCTACAAGTTCAAATTGAGTAAAGAATAATTTAGCTACTGAATTAACTTATTCAACAATATTTATTACATTTTCCTATATGCGAAAGACAGGAATATCAAATTATACTAATTATTCTTGTCTGTAATATTAATGTTAAGATAATGATTCTTGTGAACCACACACACAGCATTGCTAATAATATTATCTTACTATTTTTCAAGTTACAATATTCTGGGATGGAAAAGAAAATAACCTTCTTTGGAGAATGTGGTTGAAGAAGACAGCTGCCCGAGGAAATAAATGCAACAAAATATAAAGGCAAATTTTCCTAGTTCTCTCAGGAGTAGATAGTATTGCCAGAGACATTAAACTCACACTGCCTCATACTTCCTTCCAAAAAAGTAGGGCTCTAAATGACCCAGGACCAAAGAAAAAAGACCAAAAGCCATTGTGTGTTATTGTAACCAGAAAACACCAGAGCATGAGAGGAAATTCGTTTTTCAAAGAGAGGCATAGAAGGCAGAAGAGAAGGTTAATAATAATGTCATCTGATTATTTAACAAAAGGAAGCAGGGCTCAGATCGCTAAACAGGCTACTATTAAAGAGTACACAGAGGAGGCCGGGCGCAGTGGCTCACACCTGTAATCCCAGCACTTTGGGAGGCCGAGGCGGGTGGATCACGAGGTCAGGAGATGGAGACCATCCTGGCTAACACGATGAAACCCCGTCTCTACTAAAAATACAAAAAATTAGCTGGGCGTGGTGGTGGGCACCTGTAGTCCCAGCTACTCGGGAGGCTGAGGCAGGAGAATGGCGTGAACCCGGGAGGCGGAGGTTGCAGTGAGCCGAGATGGCACCACTGCACTCCAGCCTGGGTGACAGAGCAAGACTCTGTCTCAAAAAAAAAAAAAAAAAATAGTACACAGAGGAGAAAAATGTTCACATGAGTCAGGGATGGTGGAAATAATCTTCAATCAGATAGAAATCCTTAAAGTTATAGGCAAAATTGGCCCCAGCACCTGTCTGATCACAGGCTTTCCAAAGGTCATTGGTGGGTCCTAGGAAAGCTCTTTCTGTGGCTTTATCTTTTCTGGCTAATTTTTATGTAACTCAACACACTTCCTCAAGGCACTAAAAAGCAAACGTGTGGCCAGAGCAGTCAGCCCTGAGTATGTCAGGAGACGAGAAGGCTGCCAACAGCCCCATTCCCTGATGTAAGTCTTCCTGCCCATAAGCTGATTTCAAAATAACATTTCTCACTCCAAAATATCTACCGCATTCTAACAGTTCTTGTATGAGTGGAAATGGATCTGTCTGTTCTTTGAGGGTACTTTGAGAGTATATCTCTTGCAGAAGTTTTGAGACCCTACTACATTCAATGAGAAAACATCCAGAACATCAGGCCATTAAAAACAAAATAAAAAAGACCAGTCTTCCCAGCAATTTGCTGTGCCCTAATCACCTTCTGATGACCCATTAGAATCCCCAAGTTAATCATTTTTCGGCCAGGCACGGTGACTCACATCTGTAATCCCAGCACTTTGGGAGGCCAAGGCAGGTGATCACCTGAGGTCGGGAGTTCAAGACCAGCCTGGGCAACATGGCAAAACCCCGTATCTACTAAAAATACAAAAATTAGCCAGGCGTGGTGGTGCAGGCCTGTAACTCCAGCTACTCTGGAGGCTGAGGCAGGAGGATCTCTTGAAGCCAGGAGGCAGAGGTTTCAGTGAGCCGAGATCATGCCACTGCACTCCAGCCTGGGCAACAGAGCAAGACTCTGTCTCAAAAAAAGAAAAAAAAATACTTTTTTTACTCTCCTGATTGTGCCTATAGACTTTTTTTAAGAGGTGGGTGTCTCGCTATGTTGCCCAGGCTGGTCGCAAACTCCTGGCTTCAAGTGATCCTTCTACCTTGGCCTCCCAAATTGCTGGGATTATAGATGTGAGCCACTGTACCCAGCCAACCTTGGCTTTTATGAGAAACAATGAAAAACATTTAATACTGGCGGTTTTCAATTACATTAACCTGATTCCCAGCCATGGAGTTTCAGTCAGGATTTTTTAATTAGCTCTTCTGAGCTAAGAAAGCTTTGGAATTGCTAAACATGACCTCAGCAGCTGGCCAAGGGAAAGCTCCAAAGACAGCTCCCTACAGGCCCAGGAAGTATCTGAAGGGCCAGGAGCTAAATTAGATGATGCCCTACCCAGAGCTGGCAGCCAATTCACTTCCTCTGGATTTGAACCCTTCCCCAAATTGTTTTGTTGTTGCTGTTGTTTAAGCCCTTGTCATCTCCACTTGGAAGAATAAACATTAAACAGGAAATTTGCCTAAAGACCCATGTAACCTGAATGCCTTTGCCTCACTTAAAAGCGGATCCAGGCCGGACACAGTGGCTCACACCAGTAATCCCAGCACTTTGGGAGGCCCAGGCGGGTGGATTACTTGAGGTCAGGAGTTCGAAACCAGCTTGGCCAATACGGCAAAACCCCGTCTCTACTAAAAATACAAAAATTAGCTGGGAGTGGTGGCACACGCCTGTAATCCCAGCTACCCGGGAGGCTGAGGCACAAGATTCACTTGAACCCAGAAGGCAGAGGTTGCAGTGAGCCAAGATCGTGCCACTGCACTCCAGCCTGGGTGACACAGTGAAACTCTGTCTAAAAACAAAAACCAAGAAAAATGTAAAATAGGAACTTACTGGCTGGGCGCAGTGGCTCATGCCTGTAATCCCAGCACTTTGGGAGGCTGAAGCGGGTGGATCACCTGAGGTCAGGAGTTCGAGACCAGCCTGGCCAACATGGTGAAAGCCAGTCTCTACAAAATACAAAAAACTAGCTGGGTGTGGTGGTGCGCCTGTAGTCCCAGCTACCCAGGAGGCTGAGGCACGAGAATTCCTTGAACCCAGGAGGTAGAGGTTGCAGTGAGCCGAGATTGCAACACTGCACTCCAGCCTGGGCAACAAAGAGAGACCTCATCTCAAAAAAAAAAAAAAAAAAAAAAAATGGTCTTTTACTGGCATTACCAATGCATCAAATAATTTTAAAAAATCTCATTCCACATCTCCTAAACTCTGGGCACCTTTTTTCTTACCAGGGCACATATTTCCATATGGAAAATCAGTCTTCTATCTTTCCACATAGTGCTCATTTTTTCACACGTGATGCTGAAAAACCATGATTTAATTATTCGCAGAGTTTTTACTTTTCTTGCAACACTCAAAGTCAAGAGGTTGGTTTGTTTCCTGTGGGTCATTTTCTGGGAACACAGCAGGGTGTGGATTGGTGTCAAGTTGAACCTGGTCTATGAATAAGGAGTTTGTACCTAAAGACCAATTGACATATTGCCCCAGGTACACCTCTCACTTTAGCAGGCTACATCATGCCTCATAAAACAACTACTAGTCAAGAAAACATCTCTTCTCTTATAATTTGATTTCTCACTTAAAATCAGAACAAGCTGTCATCCAGCCCTTTCTCTTCATATCTGTGCGACATGCTTGCTAAGTGCTGAGTCATACTTGGCACTTCAATGGTTTCAGCTCACTGTAAAACAAAATATCAACCTAGCGCATGATATTATTTTTGCCAATAGCTAATTCTGCTTTTTCTTTGAGCAAAATATATATCATCAATTTTGAGTTTGATTTTACAAGCATCCACAAGTAACATGATTTATATTTGTGTTTGCCACAAGAAGGGCAACTTTGAATCACACCTCATTAGGTGGGTCTCTTCTCTATCTTTAGGCATAAAATTAGTAATTTGCATAATAGGAAGTGTTATTTTATGTTTGTTTTGAGTAAACACAATACGTTTACCAGAAAGGTCACTCTGTTTGATTTGAAATGACAGAAGTTTCAGTGCCTTCCTTCCACTATTTAACAAAGTTACATAACAGACTATGCCCTGCATGGGGGTTTAAGTAGATCACAGGAACAATAAAAATCTAATTTTTAGATATTATTCATCCACTTCACACTTTTCTTTTCCAGCTACTTGTCAGAAATCATCACAAGCAGATTCACTTGTACTAGCATTTACAGACTCATAGTATATATTAGACTGAAGCCCTATTGACTATATCGATGCCATTATTTTAAGCTGGAGTGTGTACATCATGATTTCCATCACTACCTTTCAATAAACCACTCGTGAGTCATTGACCCATTTCTGTGAATTGTGGATTCAACATAAAAACACAATAACCAGAAAAAAATGCAAATTTAACAATGTACTCAATAGTTTGGAAACAATGTGAGTTAATATTAGCCAGCCCAACAACACTGTTAACTTGATGTTAGCAGCAATGAACTGGCTAAATTGTACAATGTGTTTCTCCAGAGATGTACAAGTTTAGAACATGAGGGGAAGGCAGAGCTGGGGGAAGAGGGCTGAGGTGTGTGTAGGTGAGCTGACTCCATACCAGTGGTTGGCAGGGGAAGGAGGAGCACATTATGAGGTACCCTAAAGGCCGCAGTGGCTCACGCCTGTAATCCCAGCACTTTGGGAGGCTGAAGCAGGCAGATCACAAGGTCAGGAGTTCAAGACCAGCCTGACCAACATGATGAAACCCCGTCTCTAGTAAAAATACAAAAATTAGCTGGCTGTGGTGGTGTGCACCTGTAATCCCAGCTACTTAGGAGGCTGAGGCAGGAGAATTGCTTGAACTCAGGAGGTTGCAGTGAGCCGAGATCGCGCCACTGCACTCCAGCCTGCAGGACAGAGCCAGATTCTGTGTCTTTAAAAAAAAAAGGTACCCTTTGGCAACCTGCTCCTTGTGTTAAGATCCAGCTTTTCCCACTCCATCTAACGGTCTTTCATCACAGTATTAACAAATATAAACCAAAAATAAAATCATAAGGCCCCCAGGCCAGACACAATGGCTCATGCCTGTAATTCCAGCACTTTGGGAGGACAAGGCAGGCAGATCACAAGGTCAGGAGTTAGAGACCAGCCTGACCAACATGGTGAAACCCCATCTCTACTAAAAATATAAAAATTAGCCAGGTGTGGTGGTGGGTGCATGTAATCCCAGCCACTCAGGAGACTGAGGCAGCAGAATCACTTGAACCCAGGAGGCGGAGGTTGCAGTGAGCTGAGATCGCACCACTGCACTCCAGCCTGGGTGATGAAGCGAGACTCTCTCTCAAAAAAATAAAAAATAAATGATAAATAAGGCCCCCAAACCATCTTGTTATAGGAAAGGGGTCTGGTTCCAGACCGCAAGAGAGGTTCTTGTGTTGGTTATAAAAATGCTCTAGGAATAAATGCTCTGTGCCACAAAGTGAAACAAGCACTCAGGCAAAAGTTTTCTCAGCAAGGCAATTTACTTCTGCAGAAGGGTGCCACTTGGCATCAATCAAGATCACAAGAGCACAGGCAACAAAGGAGAGCAGGGCAGGGGTTTTTTTCTCTCTGATGCATAGTCCTTACCTCTGTGTCACTCCCTGATAGGCTAGGGTCAGACTGCACAATCTGAGCTGACCTGATTGGCTACTTACAAATATTTTTCTAAATATGGAAGGGAAGGGGGACGTGAGGTACAGTAGTGAAGTGTGTGAGACATGCAGTTTCAGGGGAACAATGGGTGCAGATAACCAAGGGAAAGATATAAGTTATTGATTAGAGGACTGACGGGAAGTGGGTAGGCTGTTTTACAGTAACTAGGGGCAAGGAGGAACAAGAAAGTTGAGTTTGAGAACAAAGGCCAAGGAAGTTAGCAGGCTAAATCTTTGAAGAGAAACTCAGAGAAATTATATCTTCCACTTGGATCTCACACAAGAAAGAATTTAGAGCAAGTCCATAAAGTGAAGGCAGGTTTATTAAGAAAGTGAAGGAATAAAAGAATGGCTGCTACAGGGACAGAGCTGCCTGAGGGCTGCTGGTTGCCCATTTTTATGGTTATTTCTTTTCTTTTCTTTTTTTTTTTTTTTTTGAGACAGAGTCTTGCTCTGTCGCCCAGGCTGGAGTGCAGTGGCAAGATCTCCACTCACTGCAACCTCCGCCTCCCTGGTTCAAGTGATTCTCATGCCTCGGCCTCCCGAGTAGCTGGGATTCCAGCTAATTTTCTTTGAGACAGAATCTCGCTCTGTTGCCCAGGCTGGAGTGCAGTGGCATGATCTCGGCTCACTGCAACCTCCGCCTCCCAGGTCCAATCAATTCTCCCACCTCAGCCTCCTGAGTAGCTGGGATTACAGGTGGGCAGAACCACACCCAACTAACTTTTTTTGTATTTTTAGTAGACACGGGGTTTCACCATGTTGGCCAGTCTGGTCTCGAACTCCTGAGCTCAGGTGATCTGCCTGCCTCCCAAAGTGCTGGGATTACAGGCATGAGCCACCACCCCAGCCTTATTTCTTGATGATATGCTAAACAAGGGGTGGATTATTCATGTCTCCCCATTTTAGACCACATAGGGTAACTTCCCGATGTTGCCATGGCATTTGTAAACTGTCAGGTCGGTGGTAGTAGTGTGGCGGTGAGGAGGTCACTAGACTAGAGGTCACTCTCATCACCATTTTGGTTTTGGTGGGTTTTTGCCAGCTTTCTTACTGCAACCTGTTTTATCAGCAAGGTCTTTATGACCTGTATTTTGTGCTGACCTCCTCTCTCATCCTGTGACTTAGAATGCCTTAACTGTCTGGTAATGCAATCACCATTCAGCTGCAGCCTCAAACTGCCAGGCTCAAGTGATCCTCCTACCTTAGCCTCCAAAGTAGCTGGGACCACAGGCACGAGCCACCATGCCCGGCTATTTTTTTTTTTTTTGGTAGAGATTGGGGGTGGGGAGTCTCACTATGTTGCCCAGTCTCAAACTCCTGGGCTCAAGTGATCCTCCTGCCTCAGCCTCCCACAGTGCTGGGATTACAGGTTTGAGCCACCGCACCCAGCCACAGAGGGCATGAACTTTGAATTCAGACTTGGGCTCAACCTAGTTCTTTAACTTACTAGCTATATGACCTTGGGTAAGTTCCTGAAATTTTCCTAGCCTGATGGCATTGTTATGCAGATCAAAAGAGTACCAGGTTACATGCATTGTGCTAAGAACAGTGCCCAGCACATAATAAGTATCCAATTTGGACTGGATGCGGTGGCTCATGCCCGTAATCCCAGCATTTTGGGAGGCCAAGGTGGGTGGATCACTTGAGGTCAGAAGTTCGAGACCAGCCTAGGCAACATGGTGAAACCCCATCTCTGTTAAAATAAAAATATTAGCTGGGCATGGTGTCGCACACCTGTAATCCCAGCTACTCGGGAGGCTGAGGCAAGAGAATCGCTTGAACCTGGGAGGGGGAGTTTGCAGTGAGCCAAGATGGTGCCACTGCACTCCAGCCTGGGCGACAGAGTGAGACTCCGTCTCAAAAAAAAAAAAATGTATACAATTCATATCTTCAAGTTAACACTCAAATAGTACTGGAAGACTAGTATTAGTAATAACCATTGTCATGGCACATAAATAATACTCAATACATGGTGGGTATCATTACATCTCTTCTGAACTTTTATACCACTCTTCTTGTTTCTGTCACTCCTGCAGTCGTTATGTTGCCATTATTTGCGTATGTTATCTCCATGCTGGATTATAAACTTCTTTAGGGCAGGTTGTGTATCACTCTTATTTATATTTCCCATTGTGCAAGCCTTCAATATTTGTGTGTTAAGTGACTACATGTTTGTAACATAGCCCATTGATCATAACATTACAGTTGCTGCTGTGGTGAAAGCCCATTACATTGTGAGCAAATGTTAACAGCCTTCCCTATAAGAGAGAATACAATAAATTCTTGCCCTCCTTTAATTGCCATACAAAATACTGTACTTAATTAAGTAGATATCCACTTAAACTAGTAGCTGGTCCAACAACAGATTTCTTCCTTCATCAGAGAATTATTATTATTTTGTTTCTTTTTGAGATGGAGTCTCGCTCTGTCACCCAGGCTGGAGTGCAGTGGCATGATCTCCACTCACTGCAACCTCCACCTCTCAGGCTCCAGTGATTCTCCTGCCTCAGTCTCCCAAGTAGCTGGGATTATAGGCACCTACCACCACACTTGCTAATTTTTGTACTTTTAGTAGAGACGGGAGTTCACCATGTTGGCCAGGCTGGTCTCGGACTCCTGACCTCAAGTGATCCGTCCACCTCAGCCTCCCAAAGTGCTGGTATTACAGTCGTGAGCTACTGTGCCCGGCCAAGAATTATTAGTTTATTAAATAATTGTTTCCCTTTTTGGCAGTGGAGCTATATTCTAAAAATTTATAATGTGCTATGATATATTCTATATTTCTATATCTAATTCAATTTACATAAGAAGTATTTCAAATGTTTATAAGTAAAAAATTATTTCTCTCATCTATAAAAAAGACTATATTAACATACTAATGAAGAAAAGTTTAAAAACAATACAATTTTAAATCGGAACTGACATTGTGTTTTATGCTATTTTGTTTTTAATGCAACAAGATGTTTGGTGTTTTCAATAAACGCAGGCTGCATAGTGTCAACTGATGTAATAAACATAGAAAATACAAAGATCCATTTTGTCACTGTGAGTTTCAGATGGTAAACAAATTAAAAGAATGCTGTATTTGTCTCCTGAGAAGGCAATAGTAACACGTTGCTTATTAGGATAAAGAATTTCATTCCTATACAAAGGAGAAATGAAATTAAAACTCAAATACAAAACAAAATTCATATAAATTGATTCCACATTTTATGCTAATATAAGCATACCTTGTTTTATTGCACTTCGCTTTAATGCGCTGGGCAGACATTGTGTTTTTTTACAAATTGAAGGTTTGCGGCAACTTTGCGTTAAACAAGTCTATCGGTGCCATTTTTCCAACAGCATGTGCTCACTTCATGTCTCTTTGTCACATTTTGGTAATTCTCAAAATATTTCCAACTCTTTCATTATTATTATATCTGTTATGGTGATCTGTGATCAGTGATCTGTTTTAAAAAATTATTTATTATACTGTGCACATGCCTTGGAAGTTTGTGTGAAATGTTTTTTGTTTGTTTTGTTTTGTTTTGAGATGGAGTTTTGCTCTTGTTGCCCAGGCTGGAGTGCAATGGCGCAATCTTGGCTCACTGCAACCTCCGCCCCCTGGGTTCAAGTGATTCTCTTGCCTCAGCCTCCCGAGTAGCTGGGATAACAGGTGCCTGCCACCATGCCCGGCTAATTTTTGTATTTTTAGTAGAGACGGGAGTTCACCATGTTGGCCAGGCTGGTCTCGAACTCCTAACCTCAGGTGATCCACCCACCTTGGCCTCCCAAAGTGCTGGGATTACAGCCGTGAGCCACCGCACCCAGCCAGTTTGTTTGTTTTTTGAGATAGGGTCTCGCTCTGTCACCGAAGCAGGAGTGCAGTGGCCCTGTTCGGTGATATTTGTTTTTTGGGGTTTTTTTTGCATTGTTTTGTTTTTGGAGATGGAGTTTCACTCTTGTCGCCCAGGCTGGAGTGCAGTGGTGCAATCTCAGCTTATTGCAATGTCCACCTCCCTGGCTCAAGCGATTCTCCTGCCTCAGCCTCCTGAGTAACTGGGATTACAGGCGCCTGCCACCACGCCTGGCTAATTTTTTGTATTTTTAGTAGAGATGGGTTTCACCGTCTTGGCCAGGCTGGTCTCAAATTCCTGACCTGAGGTGTGATCCACCCTTCTCAGCCTCCCAAAGTGCTAGAATTACAGGCATGAACTACCGCACCCAGCCAATCAGTGATCTTTGATGTTACTATTGTAATTGTTTTGGGGCACCAGGAACAGCTCCCATAGAAGAGAACAAACTTAATCAATAAATGTTTTGTGTGTTCTTACGCCTTCACTGGCCATTTCTCTATCTTTCTCACTCTCCTCAGGCCTCCCTATTCCCTGAGACACAACAATATTGAAATTAGGCCGATTGATAACCCTACAGTGGCTTCTAAGTATTCAATGAAAGGAAGACTCACAGTCCTCTCTCTTTAAATCAGAAGCTAGAAATGATTAAGCTTAGTGAGGAAGGCATATCAAAAGGAGAGATAGGCCAAAACTAGGCCTCTTGCCCCCAACAGTTGTGAATGCAAAAGAAAACTTCTTAAAGGAAATTGAAAGTGCTACTCCATTCAACACACAAACAATAAAAAAGCAAAACAGCCTTATTGCTGATATGGAAAAAGTCTGAGTGGTCTGGATAGAAGATCAAACCAGCCACAACATTCCCTTAAGCCAAAGCCTAATCCAGAGCAAGACCCTAACTCTTTTCAATTCTGTGAAGGCTGAGAGAGATAAAGAAGCTGTAGAATAAAAATTGAAAGCTAGCAGAGGTTGGTTCATGGGGTTTAAAGAAAGAAGCTGTTTCCGTAACATAAAAGTGCAAGATGAAGTAGCAAGTGCTGATGGAGAAGCCGCAGCAAGTTATTCAGAAGATCTAGCTAAGATCATTGATGAAGGTAGCTACACTAAACAACAGATTTTCAATGCAGATGAAAAGCCTTTTATTGGAAGAAGATGCCATCTAGGACTTTCATAGCTAGAGAGAAGTCAATGACTGGCTTCAAAGCTTCTAAGCTAAGGAAAGGCTGACCCTCTTGTTAGAGGCTAATGCAGCTGGTGACCTTAAGTTGAAACCAATGCTCAGAAAATCCTAGAGACCTTAAGAATTATGCTAAGTCTACTGCCTGTGCTCTATAAATGGAACAACAAAGCCTGGATGACATCACATCTGTTTATAGCACAGTTTATTAAGTAGTATAAGTCCACTGTTGAGACCTACTGCTCAGAAAAAAAGATGCCTTTCAAAATATTACTTCTCATTGAGAATGCACCTGTTCACCCAAGAGCTCTGATAGAGATGTACAAGGAGGAGAGTAATGTTGTTTTCATGCCTGCTAACACAACATCCATTCTGCATCCATTCTTTTTTTTCTTTTTTTCTTTTTTCTTTTTTTTTTTGAGATGGAATCTAGCTCTGTCGCCCAGGCCGGAGTGCAATGGCAGGATCTCATCTCACTACAACCTCCCCCTCCCAGGTTTGAGCGATTCTCCCACCTCAGCCTCCTGAGTAGCTGGGATTACAGGCACGCACCACCACGTCTAGCTAATTTTTGTATTTTTAGTACAGACGGGGTTTCACCATGTTGATCAGGCTGGTCTCAAACTCCTGACCTCGTGATCTGCCCACCTTGGCCTCCCAATGTGCTGGGATTACAGGCATGAGCCACTGTGCCCGGCCTTTGCATCCATTCTTTTTTTTTTTTTTTTGGAATGCAGTGGGGCAATCTCAGCTCACTGCAACCTCTGCCTCCCGGGTTCAAGCAATTCTCCTGCCTCAGCCTCCCAAGTAGCTGGGACTACAGGCACACACCACCACGCCGAGCTAATTTTTGTATTTTTAGTAGAGACGGGGTTTCACCCTGTTGGCCAGGATGGTCTCGATCTCTTGACCTTGTGATCTGTCCACCTCGGCCTCCCAAAGTGCTGGGATTACAGGCATGAGCCACCACACCTGGCCTCTGCATCCATTCTTAATCCCCATGGATCAAGGAGTGATTTTGACTTTCAAGTCTTACTATTTAAGAAACACATTTCATAGGCTGGGCATGGTGGCTCATGCCTGTAATCCCAGCACTTTGGGAGGCCACGGTGGGCGGATCACCTGAGATCAGGAGTTCCGAGACCAGCCTTACCAACACGGAGAAACCCTGTCTCTACTAAAAATACAAAATTAGCCAGGCATGGTGGTACATGCCTGTAATCCTAGCTACTTGGGAGGCTGAGACAGGAGAATCACTTGAACCCGGGAGGCGGAGGTTGCAGTGAGCCTAGATCCTGTCATTGCGGTCCAACCGCGGCAACAAGAGCGATACTCCATCTCAACAACAACAACAACAACAACAACAACAACAACAACAAAAGAAATACATTTCAGGCCTGGCGCTGCGGCTCATGCCTGTAATCCCAGCACTTTGGGAGGCCGAGGCAGGTGCATCATTAGGTCAGGAGTTCGAGACCAGCCTGATCAACAGGGTGAAACCCCGTCTCTACTAAAAATACAAAAATTAGCCAGGTGTGGTGGCACACGCCTGTAGTCCCAGCTACTCAGGAGCCTGAGGAAGGAGAATCGCTTGAACCCAGGAGGCGGAGGTTGCAGTGAGCGGAGATTGTGCCACTGCACTACAGCCTGGGCGACAGAGCAAGACCCTGTCTCAAAAACAAAAAACAAAAAAAAAGAAAAAGAAAAGAAATATATTTCAGACAGCAGAGGTGGCATGCACCTGTAGAGTACCAGCTACTTGGGAGGCTGAGGCGAGAGGGTCCCTTGAGCCCAGGAGTTCAAGACTGTAGTGCACCTTTGTATAGCCACTGCACTGCAGCCTGGGCAACATAATGAGGCTCAGTCTCTAAAAAAATAAAAACTTAAAAAATAAAATAAAAAAAAAGAAATACATTTCATAAGGCTATAGTGGCCACTAATAGTGATTTTCTTGGTTATCTGAGCAACGTAAGTTGAAAACCTTCTGGAAAGAATTCACAAATTCTCAATGCCATTAGAACATTCATGATTTATGGGAGGAGGTCAAAATATCAACTTTAGCAGGAGTTTGAAAGAAGCTGATTCCCACCTTCACAGATGACTTTGAGGAGTTCAAGACTTCAGTGGCGAAAGAAACTGCAGATGTGGTAGAAATAGCAAGAGAACCAGAATTAGAAGTGGAGCCTGAAGATGTGACTGAATTGCTGCCATCTCATGATAAAACTTCAACAGATGAGGAGCTACTTCTTATAGATGAGCAAATACAGTGTTTTTTTGAGATGGAATCTACTCCTGGTGAAGATGCTGTGAACATTGTGGAAATTACAAGAGAAGATTTAGAATATTACTTCAATTTAGTTGAGAGGATTGACTCTAGTTTTGAAAAAAGCGGTTTTTTTTTTTGGTTTGGTTTGGTTTTGTTTTTTGAGACAGAGTGTCTCTCTGTCACCCAGGCTGGAGTGCAGTGGAGTGATCTTGGCTCACTGCAACCTCCGCCTCCTGGGTTCAAGCAATTCTTGTGCCTCAGCCTCCCTAGTAGCTGGGATTACAGATGCGCACCACCATACCCAGCTATTTTTTTGTATTTTTAGTAGAGACGAGCTTTCGCCATGTTGCCCAGGCTGGTCTCGAACTCCTGAGCTCAGGTGATCCTTCTGCTGCGGCCTCCAAAAGTGCTGCAATTACAGGCATGAGCCACGGCACCTGGCCTAATTTTGAAGAAAGTTCTACTATGGGTAAAATGCTATCAAACAGCATCGCATACTATAGAGAAATCTTTCACAACAAGAAAAGCCAATCAATGCAGCAAACTTCATTGTTGTCTTAAGAAATTGCCATAGCCACACCAACCTTCAGCAACCACCACCCTGATCAGTCAGCAGCCATCAACATTGAGCAAGTACCTCCACGAGCAAAAAGATTATATGAGTCACTGAAGGCTCAGATGATTGTTAGCATTCTTTAGCAATAAAGTATGTCTTAGTTAAGGTATGTACTTTTTTTAGACATAACGCTATTGCACACTTAATAGACTACAGTACACTGTAAACAATGTTTTTCTGCACTGAGAAATAAAAAAACTGTGTGACTCACTTTATTGTGATATTTGCTTTATTGTGGTAGTCTGGAACAGAAGCACAGTATCTCCAAGTTATCCCTGTATGTATGTATATGTATATGTATATATAGTTATATCCACAATCCACACAGCACCTGCAAGATTTGGAAGTCAGGAGACTAGAAGGAATTATAGAAACTCATCCAAAATAGAGGTAACCTTAGAGACTCTCCTACTGAAATGTTGCTTAATTTAACAATACAGCAATTAAAAAAAAAAAAAAAGAGACTGGGTGCAGTGGCTCACGCCTCTAATCCCAGCACTTTGGGAGACCAAAGCAGGAGGATTGCTTGAGGCCAGGAATTTGAGACCAGCCTGGGCAACATAGCAAGATCCCATCTCTACAAAAAACTTTTTAGATAATTAGCCGGGCATGGTGGCTCACACCTGTAGTCCCAACTACTCAGGAGGGTGAGGTGAAAGAATCACTTGAGCTCAGGAGTTCGATGCTGCAGTGAGCTATGATTATGCTATTGCCCTCCAGCTTGAGGGACAGAGTAAGACCCTGTCTCAAAAAAAAAAAAAAAAAAAAAAAAAGATGACCCCTGCCCTGAGGGGATTAGAGTCCGAAAATATATGTCAGGTGCTGTGGCTCACGCCTATAATCCTAGCACTTTGGGAGGCCGAGGCAGGTCATCACCTGAGGTCAGGGGTTTGAGACCAGCCTGGTCAACATGGTGAAACCCTGTCTGTACTAAAAATACAAAAATTAGCTGGGCTCGGTGGCATGCACTTATAATCCCAGCTACTCAGGAGGTTGAGGCAGGAGAATCGCTTGAACCTGGGAGGTGGAGGTTGCAGTGAGCTGAGATCATGCCACTGCACTCTAGCCTGGGCAACAAAGTGAGACTCTGTCTCAAAAAAAAAAAAAAGGGATGTTTGAAGTATTAATAAGCTATGTCAGAAAATTAAACGAAACCTACCGTTGTAAAATATCACTTCCTAAATTAGTCATAGTTCATGATATTAGACTTTTATTTATTTATTTATTTATTTTTGAGATGGAGTCTCTCTCTGCCACCCAGGCTGGAGTGCAGTGGCGTGATCTCGGCTCACTGCAACCTCCGCATCCTGGCTTCAAGCAATTCTCCTGCCTCAGCCTCCTGAGTAGCTGGGATTATAGGTGTGCGCCACCACACCCGGCTAATTTTTGCATTTTTAGTAGAGACGGGGTTTCACCATATTGGTCAGGCTGGTCTTGAACTCCTGACCTTGTGATCCACCTACTTTGGCCTACCAAAGTGCTGGGATTATAGGCGTGAGCCACAGCGCCCGGTCTTTAGACTTTTTTTTTTTTTTTTTTTTTTTACTAACCCACATAAAAGGTTTATTGATATGGTTTGGCTGTGTCCCCACCCAAATCTCATCTTGAATTGTAGTTCCCATAATCCCCATGTGTTGTGGGAGGGACCCAGTGGGAGGTAATTGAATCATGGGGGTGGTTACCCAGATGCTGTTCTTGCGATAGTGAGTGAGTTCTCATGAGATCAGATGCTTTTATAAGGGGCTTTTCCTCTTTTGTTCGGCACTTCTCCTTGCTGCCACCATGTGAATAAGGACATGTTTGCTTCCCCTTCCACCATGGTTGTAAGTTTCCTGAGGCCTCCCCGCTATGCAGAACTGTAAGTCAATTAAACCTCTTTCCTTTATAAATTATGCAGTCTTGGGTATTTCTTGATATTGCATGAGAACAGACTAATACAATAAACTGGTACAGGTAAAGTGGGGTGTTGCTATAAGGATACCTGAGAATGTGGAAGTGACTTTGGAACTTGGTAACACACAGAGATTGGAACAGTTTGGAGGGCACAGAAGACAGGAAGATGTGGGAAAGTTTGGAACTTCCTAGAGACTCACTGAATGGCTTTGAGCAAAATACTGATAGTGATATGGACAACGAAGTCCAGGCTGAGGTGGTCTCAGATGGAGATGAGGAACTTGTTGGGAACTGGAGTAAAGGTCACTCTTGCTATGCAAAGAGATTGGTGTCATTTTGTCCCTGCCCTAGAGATCTGTGGAAGTATTAATTTGAGAGAGATTATTTAGGGTACTGGCAGAAGAAATTTCTAAGCAGCAAAGCATTCAAGAGGAAGTAGAGCATAAAAGTTTGGAAAATTTGCAGTCTTACGATGCGACAGGAAAGAAAAACCCATTTTCTAGAGAGAAAGTCAAGCTGGCTGCAGAAATTTACATAAGTAACAAGGATCCAAATGTTAATCACCAAGACAATGGGGAAAATGTCTCCACCACATGTCAGGGACCTATGAGGCAGCCCCTTCCATCACAAGCCTGGAGGCCTAGAAGGGAAAAATTGTTTCCTGGGCCAGGTCCGGGGTCCCCCTACTGTGTGCAGTCTTGGGACTTAGTGGCCTGCATCTAAGCCACTCTAGCCGTGGCTAAAAGGGGCCAATGTACAGCTCAGATCATTGCTTCAGAGGGTGCAAGCACCAAGCCTTGGCAGCTTCCATGTGGTGTTGAGCCTGTGGGTCCACAGAAGTCAAGAATTGAGGTTTGGGAACCTCTGCCTAGATTTCAGAGAATGTATGGAAAGGCCTGGATGTCCAGGCAGATGTTTTCTGCAGGGGCAGAGCCCTCATGGAGAACCTCTGCTAGGGCAGTGTGGAAGGGAAACATGGGGTCAGAGCCCCCACACAGAGTCCCCACTGTGGCACTGCCTAGTGGAGCTGTGAGAGGAGGGCCACCGCCCTCCAGACAGCAGAATGGTAGATCCACTGACAGCTTGCACTGTGCACCTGGAAAACTTGCAGGCACTCAATGCCAGCCCGTGAAAGCAGCTGGGAAAGGGACCGTACCCTGCAAAGCCACAGAGGTGGAACTGCCCAAGGCCATTGGAATCCACTTCTTGCATCGCATGACCAGGATGTGAGACATGGAGTCAAAGGAAATCATTTCGGAATTTTAAGGTTTAATGACTGCCCTATTGTATTTTGGACTTGCATAAGGCCTATTGCCCCTTTGTTTTGGCCAATTTCTCCCATCTGGAATAAGTGTATTTACCCAATGCCTGTATCCCCCTTGTATACAAGAAGTAACTAACTTGTGGCCTGGCATGGTGGCTCACACCTATAATGCCATCACTTTGGGAGGCCAAGGTGGGTGGATTACCTGAGGTCAGGAGCTCAGGACCAGCCTGGCCAACATGGTGAAACCCCGTCTCTACTAAAAGATACAAAAATTAGCCAGGCATGGTTGTGGGCACCTATAATCCCAGCTACTCAGGAGGCTGAGACAGGAAAATTGCTTGAACCTGGGAGGTGGAGGTTGCAGTGAGCCGAGACCGCACGATTGCACTCCAGCCTGGATGACAAGAGCAAAACTCCATCTCAAAAGAAAAAAAAAAAGAAGTGACTAACTTGCTTTTGATTTTAAAGGCTCATAGATGAAAGGGACTTGCCTTGTCTCAGATGAGACTTTGGACTTGGACTTTTGAGATAATGTTGGAATGAGTTAAGACTTTGGGGAACTGTTGGAAGAGCATGATTGTGTTTTGAAATGCGAGGACATGAGATTTGGGAGGGGCCACGGGCAGAATGATACGATTTGGCCAATTGTAGTTCCCATAGTCCCCACATGTTGTGGGAGGGACCCAGTGGAAGGTAATTTAATCATGGTGGTAGTTACCTTCATGCTGTTTCATGATGAGTGAGATTTCACGAGATCTGATGGGTTTTGTTTATTGCCTTTTGTTTTGAAACAGAGTCTCACTCTCACACAGGCTGGAGTGCAGTGACACAATCTCAGCTTACTGCATCCTCTGCCTCCTGGGTTCAAGAGATTCTCATGCCTCAGCCACCCAAGTAGCTGGGATTACAAGCCTGCACCACCACACCTGGCTAATTTTTGTATTTTTAGTAGAGACAGAGTTTCACCATGTTGCCCAGGCTGGTCTTGAGCACCTGAGCTCAAGTGATCCGCCTGCCTCGGCCTCCCAAAATGCTGGGATTACAGGCATGAGTCACCGCACCCGACCTATCTGATGGTTTTATAAGGGGCTTTTCCCCTTTTGACCGGCACTTCTCCTTCCTGCCCCCAGGTGAAGAAGGAGTGTTTGCTTCCCTTTCTGCCATGACTGTAAGTTCCCTGAAGCCTTCCCAGCCATGCTGAACTGTGAGTCAATTAAACCTCTTTCCTTTATAAATTACCCAGTCTCAGGTATTTCTTCTTAGCAGTGTGAGAATGGACTAATACATTTATATTTTCTATTAGATACACTCCTACTTTTTTATTCCTGTGATATCTGATTATATAACTTCATGTCGTTTGTCAGGGTATATTTATTTGTAGTTTTCTTCTTATGTTTCAGATTTTTTTTTTAACAAAACAAGCAAATCTTTAAGTTTAAGGTCTCTTTGATTCTCACTCTAGTTGTGGCAGACAAACTTTAGGGTAGGCCTCCATGATTTCCACCTCCTGGTATTGTTACCCTTCTACATTTCCCTCCTTTTGAGTATGGGTGAGACCTGTGACTTGCTTCTAAACAGTAGAACATGGCAAAGGTGATGGGATGTCACTCCTATGATCACATTACATTATATAACTCCAACTTACTAACAGATTCTCTCTCTTTTTGCTGGCTTTGAAGAAGCAAGCTGCAGCGAATCCTACAATTGTGAAAAACTGAATGCTGCTAACAACTGTGGGAATGTAGAAGAAAATGCTTCTATAGTTAAGTCTCCAATTAAAAGCTTTGTCTTCTGGGTCCTGTGGTTCACACCTGTAATCCCAATACTTTGGGAAGCCGAGGTGGGAGGACCACTTGAGCCCAGGAGTTCAAGACCACCCTGGGCAACATAGCAAGATCCTGTCTCTACAAAAATAAATTTAAAAATTAGCTGGGCATGGTGACATGAGCCTGTAATCCAAGCTACTCAGGAAGCTGAGGTGGGAGGTCATGGCTGCAGCGAGCTATGATACCACCACTGCACTTCAGCCTGGGTGACAAATCAAAACTGTGTCTCAAAAATAAATAAATAAAAATAAAAGCTTTGTCAACACCTTGATTGTAGCTTGTGGGACCCTAAGCAGAGCACCTAGCTAAGCAACGCCCAGACTTCTCATACAAACTACAAGACAGTAAATGTGTGGTGTCGTAAGCCACTAAATGTGTGGTAATTTCTTATGCAACAATAGAAAACTGCTGTAGATTTTCTACTTGGAATGGGGTGCTGTTGTAACATGTACCTTAAAAATGTGAGAATGGCTTTGGAATTGGGTAGTGAGTAGAGGCTGGAAGAATTTGAAGGAGCGTGATAAAGTTGAAATCACCTTGAACAGGATGTCAGTAGGAATCTAGACTTTGAGGATGCTGCTGGGGAGGCCACAAGTGGAAGTGAGGAACATGTTATTGGAAACTGGAGGAAAAGGGATCTTTGTTATGTGGTGGCAGAAAGCATATGCAGTTATGTGGAAAGGAGAATTTGTAAGAGATAGACTTCAATATACAGCCAAGGAGATTTCTTTTCTCTGTCTTTTTTTTTTTTAGACAGAGTCTCGCTCTGTCATCCAGGCTTGAGTGCAGCAGCATGATCTCAGCTCACCGCAACTTCTGTGTCCTGGGTTCAAGCAATTCTCCCGCTCAGCCTCCTGAGTAGCTGAGACTACAGGCACGCGCCACCACACCTGGCTAATTTTTGTAATTCTAGTAGAGATGGGGTTTCATCATGTTGGCCAGGCTGGTCTCAAACTCCTGACCTCAAGTGATCCACCTGCCTCAGCCTCCCAAAGTGCTGGGATTATAGGCATGAGCCACTGCGCCCGGCCAGCCAATTCCTTGGCTGGATTTCCAAGCAAAGTATTTAAGGTAACTTCTGTTTACTTGCTGCTTATAGTAAAATATGAGGAAAGAGATAAATTGAAGGGGAAACTGCTAAACAAAAAGGAATCAGGATTTGATGATTTGGGAAATTCTGTGCCTATGCACATGGCAAAAGACAATAAATTTAAGACAATATGGTTTAGAGAAAAAGCTGAGGGTCTTCCTCTAATGCTTTTTGCTGGAACAGCAGTAACATCAAAAGATCAGAATACAGTTAGGCATCACTTAATGACAGGGATACATTCTGACAAATGCAACATTTGGCAATTTTCTCATTGTGTGAATATCATAGAGTGTACTTACACAATCCTAGATGGTATAGCCTACTACACATAGAGGCTATATGATATAGCCTATTGCTTCCAGGCTACAAACCTGTACAGCATGTGACTGTACTGAATACTGTAGGCAATTGTAACACAGTGGTAAGTATTTGTGTAGCTAAACATAGAAAAGGTATAGTAAAAATATACAGTATTATAAACTGATGGGATCATCATCTTTTTCTTTGTTTGTTTTTAGAGATGAGGACTTACTCTGTCACCCAGGTTGGAGTGCAGTGGTGTGATCATAGCTCACTGCAGCCTCAAACTCTGGGTTCAGGTGATTCTTCCACTTTAGCCTCCAGAGTAGCTGGGACTACAGGCGTGCGCCACCATACCCACATATTTTTATTTTTATATTTTTGGAAACAGAGTCTCACTATGTTGCCAGGGTGGTATTGAATTCCTAGCAGGTCTCAAATGATCCTCCCACCTCAGCCTCCTGAGTAGCTGGGATTAAAGGGGTGCCCAGTTGGAACCACCGTCTTTTTTTTTTTTTTTTTTTTTTTAGACAGAATCTCACTTTGTCACCCAGGCTGGAGTGCAGTGGCCTGATGTCAGCTCACTGCAACCTCCGCCTCCCAGGTTCAAGCAATTCTCGTGCCTTAGCCTCCCAAGCAGCTGGGATTACAGGCGTGCGCCAGCATACTCAACTAATTTTTTTTTTTTTTTGAGATGGAGTCTTGCTCTTGTTGCCCAGGCTGGAGTGCAGTGGCACGATCTCGGCTCACTGCAACCTCTGCCTCCCGGGTTCAAGTGATTCTCCTGCCTCAGCCTCCTGAGTAGCTGGGACTACAGGCGCGCACCACAATGCCCAGCTAATTTTTCTATTTTTAGTAGAGACGGGGTTTCACCATGTTGGCCAGGATGGTCTCAATCTCTTGACCTTGTGATCTGTCCGCCTTGGCCTCCCAAAATGCTGGGATTACAAGTGTGAGCCACCATACCCGGCCACTTGGCTGATTTTTGTATTTTTAGTAGAGACGGGGTTTCACCATGTTGGCCATGGTGGTTTTGAACTTCTGACCTCAGGTGATTCACCCGCCTCAGCCTCCCAAATTTCTGGGATTACAGGTGTGAGCCACTGCACCCAGCCTACCACCATCTCATATGCAGTTCATCGTTGACCAAAATGTTATGCAGCACATGACTTTATTCAGCTCTACAAAGGGCCCTTTTAAGACATTAAAGGTGTGCCTCACAGATCCTTTAAATCAAACCAGAGAGACTCTAGGAAGTTTACAGGTGTTGTCTCTCAGTCATTTGAACACAATCCCAAAATAGAGAAAGACTCACAGAAGGCAAAGCGAAGATCGATGGGTGAGGCTTTTATCTAAGCAAGTCAACACCATTCGAATCAACCAAAGACTCAAAACCTTGAGGGAAATATTTCAGCAGAAATACTGCCGACTTGAACCAAAAGGGACAGAGTATAGAATGAAGGGAGACAGACTCCCCAAATTCTACTCACAGGAAGTAGGCTGATACAACTACTCAGCTGAAAATACATACTACCTTTCCTGAAAAAGAAAGGATGACTCCAAGGATGGAAACAATGGCCTTGAGAATGGAACCAAGAGCCACAGATAATTATTCCTAGGCCTTGAAACCTAATCAAGGAACTCCCAACATTTGCCCAGATTCCTTTTCCTTTTTTTTTTTGAGACGAAGTCTCACTCTGTCACCCAGGCTGGAGTGCAGTGGCAAGATCTCGGCTCACTGCAACCTCTGCCCCCTGGGTTCAAGCGACTCTCCTGCCTCAGCCTCCAGAGTAGCTGGGATTACATATGCGCATCACCATGCCCAGCTAATTTTTGTATTTTTAGTAGAGACGGGGTTTCACCATGATGGCCAGGGTGGTTTAGAACTCCTGACCTCAGCGTGATCCACTCGCCTCGGCCTCCCAAAATGCTGGGATTACAGGCATGAGCCACCATGCCGAGCCTTCTTCTTTTTTTTAACCATCCATAGGACTTTGCTTGACACCAAATTCTCCATCCACAGAAACTGTGAGATAATAAATATAATAAATGTGTCTAGTTTTAAGCCATTCATTTTGTGGTAATAATGTTATGTAGAAATAAATAACTAACACACTAGTCTTATCTTATTTCCTTCATCCCAAGTCTAAGCACTATCGTGTATGTCTTTGCGCCCATGTTTAAATCACTTTTCTAGGCTGGGTGCAGTGGCTCACGACTGGAATCCTAGCATTTTGGGAGGTGGAGGCGGATGGATCACTTCAGGTCAGGAGTTCAAGACCAGCCTGACCAACAAGGTGAAACCCCGTCTCTACTAAAAGTACAAAAATTAGCCAGGTGTGGTGGTGTGCACCTGTAATCCTAGCTACTGGGGAGGCTGAGGCAGGAGGACGGCTTTAACCCAGCAGGCAGAGGTTGCAGTGAGCCAAGATCACGCCGCTGCACTCCAGCCTGGCTGACGTGACAGAGTGAGACTCCTCTGTCTCAAAAAAAAAAAAAAAAAAAAAAAGGTCAGGTGCGGTAACTCACACCTGTAATCTTAACACTTTGGGAGGCTGAGGCAGGCAGATCACTTGAGGTCAGGAGTTCGAGACCAACCTGGCCAACATGGTGAAACCCCATCTCTATTAAAAGTACAAAAATTAGCCAGAAATCACTTGAATCTGGGAGGCAGAGGTTACAGTGAGCAGAGATCATGCCGCTGCCCTACAGCCTGAGCAACAGAGAGAGGCTCCATCTCAAAAAAAAAATTACTTCTCTACATATATATTTACCAATATGTAAAACATTTTTTATTTTTTTATTTGTCTTTCTTTTCTTCTTTTTTTTTTTTTTTTTTGGAAATGGAGTCTCACTCTGTCACCAGCCTAGAGTGTAGTGGCGCGATCTCGGCTCACTGCAACCTCCGCCTCCCGGATTCAAGCGATTCTCCTGCCTCAGCCTCCTGAGTAGCTGGGACTATGGGCACGTGCCACCATACCCAGCTAATTTTTTTGTGTTTTTAGTAGAGATGGGGTTTCCCACGTTAGTCACGCTGGTCTCGAACTCCTGACCTCGTGATCTGCCCGCCTCGGCCTCCCAAAGTGCTGGGATTACAGGCATGAGCCACTGTGCCCGGTTTCATTAGTTTTTAGATGTTCATAAATGGTATCACAGTGTACATATTGTGCAACTGGCATTGTTCTCTCAATATTATATTTTTGAGATAGAGCCATATGCTCCACTGTATAAGCATGTCACATTTGTTTATCCATTCCATTATTGACGGACATTTACTTTGTGTCTTTCTTTCTTTCTTTCTTTCTCTTTCTTTCTTTCTTTCTTTTCTTTCCTTTCTTACTTTATTTTTCTTTCTTTCTTTCTTTCTTCTCACAGCATTTCACTCTTGAAACCACCATTGCAAAACTGCAACTGAGACAGTGAAAGAGATTTGACCTAACCAACTCTGTCTTGCTTCTAACCTCCAAGCTGTCCTTGTTCATTCCTGGGCATAGGCTGAACTAACTGTGGGAGGAACTTAGTTTATAGTTTAAAGCAAAGACAATAACAGCCCTTTCCCAAAACAAACCTCCTTCTTGCCTGGGGACTAGACTGCCTTGTAGGACTAAAAAATTAGCCACAAGATTAGAAATTATGGTTTAGGAGTCATGCAGCTAGAGGCTACAAGATTCTGACCCTCTCTAAACTGCTCCTAAGGTCAGTGCTACTTATATTTTGCAGACCCTGCACTTGATGGATCAGCTGGCACCACCCAGATCAACAGACTGGCTCATCTGACCTTGTGGCCCCCACCCAGGAACTGACTCGGTACAAGAGGACAGCTTCGATTCCCTATGGTTTCATCTCCTACCTAACCAATCAGCACTCCTGGCTCACTGGCTTCCTTCCACCCACCAAGTTGTCCTTAAAAACTCTGGTCCCGGCCAGGCGTGGTGGCTGACGCCTGTAATCCCAGCACTTTGGGAGGCTGAGGTGGGTGGATCACGAGGTCAGGAGTTTGAGACCAGCCTGGCCAACATGGTGAAACCCCATCTCTACTAAAAATACAAAAATTAGCTGGGCATGGTGGCAGGTGCCTGTAGTCCCAGCTACTCAGGAGGCTGAGGCAGGAGAATGGCTTGAACCCTGGAGGTGGAGGTTACAGTGAGCCGAGATCGTGCCACTGCACTCCAGCCTGGGCAACAGAGTGAGACTCCATCTCAAAAAAAAAAATCTGGTCCCGGACCAGGCCCAGTGGCTCTTGCCTACAATCCTAGCACTTTGCGAGGCTGAGGCAGGCGGATCACCTGACGTCGGGAGTTCGAGACCAGCCTGACCAACATGGAGAAACCCCGTCTCTACTAAAAGTGCAAAATTAGCCAGGTGTGGTGGCACATGCCTGTAATCCCAGCTACTCGGGAGGCTGAGGCAGAAGAATTGCTTGAACCCAGGAGGCAGAGGTTGCGGTGAGCCAAGATCATGCTATTGCACTCCAGCCTGGGCAACAACAGCGAAACTCTGTCTCAAAAACAAACAAACAAAAAAAAAAAATCTTTGATTCCCAGATGCTCGAGGAGACTGATTTGAGTAATAATAAAACTCTTGTCTCCCGCACAGCCAGCTCTGTGTGATACTCTTTCTCTACTGCAATTCCCGTCTTGATAAATCGGCTCTGTCTAAGTAGTGGGCAAGGTGAACCCATTGGGCAGTTACACTCTGTCACCCAGGTTGGTATGCAGTGGTGCCATCGTGGCTCACTGCAACTTCTGCCTACCGGGCCAAGCAATCCTCATGCCTCAGCCTTCCAAGTAGCTAGGACTATATGCATGTGTCACCATGCCTGGCTAATTTATATATATATATATATATTTTTTTTTTTTTTTTTTTTTTTTTTTGTAGATACAGGGTTTTACCATGTTGTCCAGGCTGGTGTCAAACTCCTGGGCTCAAACGATCCACCCACCTCTGCCTCCCAAAATGCTGGGATTACAGGCAAGAGCCACCACACCCAGTGGGTGTATGTATTTTATTTTATTTTTGAGCATTACAAATGAGCAGATACATAAAAGTTTTTGTTGTTTTTTTTTTGACAAGTTCTCACTGTTGCCTAGGCAGGAGTGCAGTGGCACAATATCGGCTCACTGCAACCTCTGACTCCCAGGTTCAAGCAATTCTCGTGCCTCAGCCTCCCGAATAGCTGGGATTACAGGTGTGCGCCATCATGCCTGGCTAATTTTTGTATTTTTAGTAGAGATGAGGTTTCACTATGTTGGCCAAGCTGGTCTCAAACTCCTGAGCTCAAGTGATCTGCCTGCCTCAGCCTCCCAAAGTGCTGGGATCACAGGCGTGAGCCACCATGCCTGGCCTTTTTCTTTTCCACTCTGTATTCAATGATGTCAGTAGCTAGAAATCAGCCACAGTGGTAGTATTTACACCATAGATATTGGCAAATGCTAGAAAAGAGAACTTTTTATCCCTGCAGAGAGCTAGTGATTACATATTTGCTACCACACTACTGCATATCCTGGTGTTTATGTAAAAAGTTTCTCTAGATTATAGTCACAGAAGAAGAATTTTTAAATCTTAGGATTTTAACATTTAAAATTTTACTATATGTTGTTGAATTGTCCAGGGAAGTGTTTGTACCATTTTATATTCCCACCACCAATGGGAAAGTTCATGATTTTTCAAATCCTCACCAATGCTTGCTATTTATTTTTATCAAACTTTTGGCTATGAACTGGTATAATTATTTGGTTTTTGTTTATTAGTAACAGCCTTATTGAGATATAGCTGACATATAATAGACTGCACGTTTAACCTGTACAAAACTGATGTTTATATATATATATATATATGTGCACCCATAACATCATCACTATATCATGACAGACAATAATGAATATATCTATCATCCTTGAAAGTTTCCTTGTGCCCATTTGTTATTGCTCTGTCTTAGTCCATTCAGGCTGCTATAACAAAAATACCATAAACTGGCCAGATGCTGTGGCTCACACCTTTAATCCCAGCACTTTGGGAGGCCGAGGCAGGTGGATCACAAGGTCAGGTGATCGAGACCATCCTGGCTAACACGGTGAAACCCCGTCTCTACTAAAAATACCAAAAAATTAGCCAGGTGTGGTGGCGGGCGCCTGTAGTCCCAGCTACTTGGGAGGCTGAGGCAGGAGAATGGCATGAACCTGGGAGGCAGAGCTTGCAGTGAGCCGAGATCGTGCCACTGCACTCCAGCCTGGGCAACAGAGCGAGACTCCGTCTCAAAAAAAAAAAAAATATCATAAACTGGTTGGCTTATAAACAATAGAAATGTATTTTTCACAATTCTGGAGGCTGGGAAGTTCAAGTTCAAGGCACCCACTGATTCAGTGTCTGGTGAGGGCCCATTCCTCCTAAAGGGTGCCTTCTCGCTTTGTTTGCACATGGTGGAAGGAAATTGTGCATTTTCAACAGTATGCAAGATTGTTGTATCTTGTTGTTGTATCTTGTTGTTGTATCAGGCAGAATTATGACCTAGTTATTGTCTTTATTTGGAGATTAAGTATGGTTTAAGGAGATACATATGAGTGCCAAGTTGACAAGAGGTGGACTTGTGACTGTTAGTTTTATGTGTCTATTTGACTGGGTTAAAGAATACCTAGATAGCTGGTAAAACATTATTTCTGGGTGTATCCGTGAGGATATTTCTGGAAGAGGTTGGCATTTGAATCAGTAGACTGAGTAAGGTGAGTAAGAAAGATCCATCCTTACCAACGTGGGCAGGCATCATCCAATCCACTGAAGGCCCAGATAGAACAAAGAGACAGAAGAAATGCTAGATAGATAGATAGATAGATAGATAGATAGATAGATAGATAGATAGATAGAGATAGGTAGATATCGTACCACTGTACTCAAGCCTGGGCGACAGAGCAATCATATATATATATATATATATATATATATATATTTATTTATTTATTTATATATTTTTATATATTTATTTATATATTTATATATTTATTTTTTTATATATTTTATATATTTATTTTTATATATTTATATATTTATTTTTATATATTTATATATATTTATTTTTATATATATTTATATGTACACACACACACACACACACACACACACACACAAACACACTATGTTGCCCAGGCTGGTCTCAAACTCCTGGGCTTGAGCTATCCTCCCTTCTCTGCTTCCCTAAGTGCTAGCATTACGGTGTGAGCCACTGCGCCTGGTCTAGTTCATTTTTTAAATTTTTAACTAGTATTCCATTATATGAATATACTACAATTTGTTTATCCATTCACATACTCATAGATAGTAGGGTGATTTCTAGCTTTTGGCTATTACAAATAAAGCTGCTATGTACAAGTCTTCTTGTGGACATAAGTTTTCATCTCTCTTGGGTAGATACCTAAGAATGTTGTTACTGGATCCTGGGCATATATTTAATCTTATAAGACACTGCCAAACTTTTCCAAAGTGGTTGTATAATTCAACATTGTCACTAGCAGAGTATGAGAGTTCCAGTTGCTCCACATCCTTGTCAACACTTGGTATGGCCAGATTTTTTTTTTTTTTTTTTTTTACATTTTAGACTTTATAATATGTGTATAGTGATATCTCATAGTGGTTTAATTTGTATTTCTCTATTGAATAGTCATTATTTTATTGTATTTTATTTTAATTAAAGCCTCAAATTCCTGGGCTCAAGTGATCCTCCTACCTCAGCCTCTGAGTAGCTGAGACAACAGGCACAAGCCACCACTCCCAGCAACTAATAATTTTAAGTATCTTTTCATGTACTTATTTTCCATCTGTATATCTTCTTTGGTGAAGTATCTGTTCAGACCTTTTTCTATTCTTTTTTGGATTGTTTGTCTATTTATTATTCAGTTTAGGAGTTCTTTATAGACTCAGAATACAAGTCCTTACCAGATAAGTGGTTTCCAAATATTTTCTCCTAGTCCATGGCTTGTCTTTTCCTTCTCTTAATAGTGTCTGACCAGAAGTTCTTAATTTTGATGTATCTCATTTTTTTTTTTGGATTGTGCTTTTGGTGTAGTATCACATAAATCTTTGCCTAACCCAAGATCACAAATATTTTTTTCCTATTTAACTGCCAGAGGGGGAAGAAAGAAGATATATTCGATAGAAGACAGTTGAAGAATATCCTTAAAGTACTGGAATTCTATATCCAGTGAAAATATCTTTCAAAATTAAGACAATGTAGCCGGGCGTGGTGGCCAGCACTTTGGGAGGCCGAGGTGGGTGGATCACGAAGTCAGGAGTTCAAGGCCAGCCTGGCCAAGATGGTGAAACCCTGTCTCTACTAAAAATACAAAAATTAGCCGGGTGTGGTGGCAGGCGCCTGTAATCCCAGCTACTCGGGAGGCTGAAGCAGGAGAATCACTTGAACCCGGGAGGCGGAGTTTGCAGTGAGCCGAGATCGTACCACTGCACTCCAGCCTGGGCAACAGAGACAGACTCTGTCTCAAAAAAAAAAAAAAAAAAAAAGGCAATGTAAAGACTATTTTGTACATACAAAACCTGAAATAATGTATTATCAGAAGATCTGCACTACAAGAAATGTTCCAGCCTAGGCGACGTGGCGAAACCCCGCCTCTACAAAAAATACAAAAATTAGTCAGGCATGGTGGCGTGCATCTGTAGTCTCAGCTACTCAAGAGGCTGAGGTGGGAGGATCACTTGGGCCCAGGAGGTAGAGGTTGTAGTGAGTCAAGATCAAGCCACTGCAGTCCAACTTGTGCGACAGAGTGAGACCCTGTCTCAAAAAAAAAAAGAAAAAAAGAAAAATGTTGAAGTCCTCCAGGCAGAAGGGAAATGGTACCAGATGGAAATTTGGATCTATACAAACTTGTAAAGAAGGTACTATATATATGTGGGAGTATACTAGTTTTCTATTGTAACAAATTACCACAAATTTGGTATATCAAAGCAACACAAATTTATCTTTTTTTTGAGATGGAGTCTCGCTCTGTCACCAGGCTGGAGCGCAGTGGCACAATCTCGGCTCACTGCCACCTCCGCCTCGTGGGTTCAAGCAATTCTCCTGCCTCAGCCTCCTGAGTAGCTGGGACTACAGGTGTATGCCACCATGCCCGGCTAATTTTTTTTTTTTTTTTTGTATTTTAGTAGAGATGGGGTTTCACCATGTTGCCCAGGCTGGTCTCAAACTCCTGAGCTCATGCAATCCGCCCGCCTCTGCCTCCCAAAGTGCTAGGATTACAGGCGTGAGCCACTGCACCTGGCCAAATTTATCATGTTACAGGTCTGTAGATCACACATTGATATGTGTCTCACCAAGCTAAAATCAGGGTATTAGAAGGGCTACGTTCTTTTCTGGAGGCCCTAGGGAAGGATTTATTTCCTTGCCGTCTGTCAGCTGAGGGGGTTACCCTAAACCTTTAGAGTTCTGTGGTCCTTGCACATGACCTCCTACATCTCAGAATCTTTCTCACACTTCCATCACTCTGACTCACTCTTTCACTTCCCTCTTCCACTTTTAAGACTTGTGTGATTATATTGGACTTACCTAGTGATCCAGAATAACCTCCCCATCTCAAAGTCCATGACCTTAATCACATCTCCAAGGTCCTCTTGCCATGAAAAGCAACATATTTCACAAGTTCTAGGAATTAGGATGTGGACATTTTTGAGGGATCATTATTCTGCCTACCACAGTAGTAAATATAAATGACCATTTTCTTATTATTTAAGTAACTATAAAAGATAATTGAATGTTTAAAGCAAAAATAAAAACAATATCTTGTGGGGCTTATAAGATGTAAAGGTAAAATATAGGATAACAATAGCACAAAAGCCTAAAGGGGAGAAATAGAAGTGTAATGTAAACTCTTTTTCTTTTATTTTTTTAATTTACATTTTTTAATTTTAGTAGAGATGGTAATATGGTTTGAATTTGTGTACCAGCCCAAATCTCATTTCGAATTTTTTCTTTTCTTCTTTCTTTCTTTTTTTTTTTTTGAGACAGAGTTTTGTGCTTGTTGCCCAGGCTGGAGTGTACTGGCACAATTTCGGCTCACTGCAACCTCCGCCTCCCGGTTCAAGCGATTCTCCTGCCTCAGCCTCCCAAGTAGCTGGTATTACAGGCACTTGCCACCATGCCCAGCTAATTTTTTGTATTTTTTTTTTTTTTTTTTTTTTTTTTTTTTTTTTTTTTTTTACTAGAGACAAGGTTTCACCATGTTGGCCAGGCTGGTCTCAAACTCCTGACCTCAGGTGATCGGTCCGCCTCAGCCTCCCAAAGTGCTGGGATTACAGGCACTTGCCACCATGCCCAGCTAATTTTTTGTATTTTTTTTTTTTTTTTTTTTTTTTTTACTAGAGACAAGGTTTCACCATGTTGGCCAGGCTGGTCTCAAACTCCTGACCTCAGGTGATCGGTCCGCCTCAGCCTCCCAAAGTGCTGGGATTACAGGCATGAGCCACCGTGCCTGGCTCCTGTCAAATTTTAACCCCCAATGTTGGAGAAGGGGCCTGGTGGGAGATGACTGAATAATGTGGGTGGATTCCCCCTTGCTGTTCTCATGATTGCAAGTTTCCTGAGGCCTCCCCAGTAATGCTTCCTATACAGCCTGCAGAACCGTGAGCCCATTAAACCTCTTTTCTTTATAAATTACCAAGTCTCAGGTGGTTCTTTACAGCAGTGCAAGAATGGAGATGGGGTCTTAAGCTATGCTGCCCAGGCTGGTCTTTAACTTTTGGGTGCAAGCGATCCTCCTACCTCAGCCTCTCAAAGTCCTGGGATTACAGGCATGAGCCACTGTGCCTGGCCTAAAGTTCTAATACTAAACATTAAGTAGTGTAATAAGTTAAAGATGTTAACAATTTTAGCTAAGAAATGTACATCCTTGTGCATTTTTCCCTGTATTTCTGAATGAGAACTTCTTTAGTTTTTTATCAATGAAGTGAATTTGTAAGGTCAAAGAACATGTGCTTATTGAGTGTCTTCATTAGAGAGGACGGGTGCAGTGGCTCAGGCCTGTAATCCCAGCACTTTGGGAGGCCAAGGTACAAGGATCACTTGAGCACAGAAGTTCAAGACCAGCCTCAGCGACAAGGTAAGATCCCGTATTTACAAAAAATTTTAAAAATATCCATGTGTACTAGTGTACAATTGTGGTCCCAGCTACTTGGGAGGCTGAGGTTGGAGGATTGCTTGAACCTGGGAGGTCGAGGTGGCAGTGAGCCAAGATCATGCCATTGTATTCCAGCCTGGGTGACAGAGCCAGACCCTGTCTCAAAAAAGAAGAAAAACATTTCACTAGAAATTGCCAAACTGGTTGTATTCATTTACATTTTTTATTAGCAATCAATGAGACTTCCTGTTTTATCATGACAGTACTTGGTGTTGTTAGATTGCTTAACTTTTGTCAACCTCAAGGATATGAATATAATATGTCATTTCATTTTACATATTGAGTATCGTTTCATGTCCTTTCATATGCTTATTAACCATGCGGGTTTCCTTGCCTCCTAAAGGCTTATTGTCCCTTTTTTTTTCTTTTTCCTTGGATTTATAGAAATTCTTTACAGACAGTCTGTATACTAATCTTCAGGCAGTTATGCATATTGAAAATGTCTTTTGGCCGGGCACGGTGGCTCACGCCTGTAATTCTAGCACTTTGCGGGGTGGAGGTGGGTGGATCACTTCAGGTCAGGAGTTCGAAACTAGCATGGCTATCATGGTGAAACCCCGTGTCTACTAAAAATACAAAAATTAGCAGGATGTGGTGGCAGGCACCTGTAATCCCAGCTACTCGGGAGGCTGAGGCAGGAGAATTGCTTGAACCTGGGAGGTGGAGGTTGCAGTAAGCCAAGATCATGCCACTGCAGTCCAGCTCAAAAAAAAGAAAGCCAGGCACAGTGGCTCATGCCTGTAATTCCAGCACTTTGGGAGGCTCAGGCGGGCGGATCACCTGAGGTCAGGAGTTTGAGACCAGCCTGGCCAACACAGAGAAACTCCGTCTCTACTAAAAATATAAAATTAGCCGGATGTGATGGCACATGCCTGTAATCCCAGCTACTCGGGAGGCTGAGGCAGGAGAATCGCTTGAACCCAGGAGGCAGAAGTTACAGTGAGTCGAGATAGCGTCATTGCACTCCAGCCTGGGCAACAAGAGCGAAACTAGGTCTCAAAGAAAAAGAAAAGAAAATGTCTTTTTATTAGTCTCTGGCTTGTTTTTTTTCACATTGCTGATGGTCTCTTTTTTGTATAGATTTAAATTTTTTTTTTTTTTTTAGAGAAGGGGTCTCTGTTGCACAGGCTTGAGTGCAGTGAGATGATCACAGCTCACTGCAGCCTCAACCTCCCAGGCTCAGGTGATTCTCCCACTTCACCCTCCTGAGTAGCTGAGACTACAGGCATGTGCCACCGGCCTGGCTAATTTTTTTGAATTTTTTGTAGAGACAGGGTTTCGCCATGTTGCCCAGGCTGGTCTCGAACTCCTGAGCTCAAGGGATCCTCCTGCCTCTGCCTCCCAAAGTACTAGGATTACAGGCATGAGCCACCATATATTTAAAAAAGTTTTAATTCAGTCAAACTTACTGATCTTTTGTTTGATTATTTATATTTATTTTTACTCTTGCTGGAAAGAAACTACATTTTCTTTTGCAAGTTTTTATTCTCACATTTAAGCCTTTAGTTCACCTAGAATTCATTTTTGTTTAAGATCAAATTGTTTTTCTGTTTGGCTTCAGTTGCCCCAGTATCAGGTCATCTTTTCCCTATTGATTTATAAAGCTACCTTTGCTGTATACGAAATTTCCATAATTTTTTGGGTCTGTTTCTAAATTTTTAAAATTATGTTCAATTAATCTATTTATCTATCTCTGAACTATTAGCACACTGGTTTATTTTACTATAGCTTTGTAATAAGTCTTAATGTTTGGTAGGGCAAATCTCACTTCTTATTCTTCAGAAACTTATTGAGTATTCTACAGAATTTCTTCACATTGCAGGCAGAGTTTTTTTGTTTTTGTTTTTTTTGTAATTGAGATTAGCACTAAGACATTGTGCAGTTCCCACCACACTTGGAAAAATCTGAATTCCTTACCCTGACCTACAAAGCCCTCTGTGATCTACCCTTGATACCTTCCTTTTTTTTGAGACAGAATCTTGCTCTGTCACCCAGGCTGGAGTAGTACAGTGGCATGATCTTGGCTCACTGCAACCTGTGCCTCCCAGGTTGAAGTGATTCTCATGCCTCAGCTTCCGAAGTAGCTGGGGCTACAGGTGCCCCCCATCACGCCTGGCTAATTTTTATATTTTTATTTTATTTATTTTTTATTTATTTATTTATTTTTGAGATGGGGTCTCCCTCTGTTGCCCAGGCTGGAGTGCAGTGGCATGATGTCAGCTCACTGCAACCTCCGCCTTCCGGGTTCCAGTGATTCTCCTGCCTCAGCTCCCCCAGTAGCTAGGATTATAGGTGCACGCCACCAGGCCCAGCTAATTTTTTGTATTTTTAGTAGGGACAGGGTTTCACCATGTGGGCCAGGCTGGTCTCAAACTCCTGACCTCAAGTAATCTGCCCACCTTGGCCTCCTAAAGTGTTGGGGTTACAGGCGTGAGCCACCCCGCCAGGCCTAATGTTTGTATTTTTAGTAGAGACAGGGTTTCACCATGTTGGCCAGGTGAGTATCGAACTCCTGAACTGAAGTGATCTGCCCGCCTCTGCTTCCCAAAGTGCTGGGATTATAGGCCTGAGCCACCGTGCCCGGCCTGCCCTTCATACCTTCTACTGTGTACTTCTAATCTTTTATATGAGTTTTAGAATTCGCTTGTCAAGTTCCAAGGAAATTCATGTTTAGATTTTGTTTTGAATTGCCTTGCATTTGTAGATTTCTCTTTCTTTTCTTTTCTTTTCTTTTTCCTTCCTTCCTTCCTTCCTTCCTTCCTTCCTTCCTTCCTTCCTTCCTTCCTTCCTTCCTTCCTTCCTTCCTTCCTTTCTTTCTTTCTTTCTTTCTTTCTTTCTTTCTTTCTTTCTTTCTTTCTTTCTTTCTTTCTTTCTTTCTTGTTTTTGAGATGGAGTCTCACTGTGTCACCCACTCCGGAGTGCAGTGGCACGCGATCTTGGCTCACTGCAACCTCCCCTTCTTGGGTTCAAGCTATTATCCCTTCCTCAGCCTCCCAAGTAGCTGGGATTACAGGCGCCTGCCACCACGCCTGGCTGATTTTTTGTATTTTTAGTAGAGACAGGGTATACATACATGTGTATATGTATACGTACACATATATGTGTATATGTATACGTACACATATATGTGTATATGTATACGTACACATATATGTGTATATGTATACGTACACATATATGTGTATATGTATACGTACACATATATGTGTATATGTATACGTACACATATATGTGTATATGTATACGTACACATATATGTGTATATGTATACGTACACATATATGTGTATATGTATACGTACACATATATGTGTATATGTATACGTACACATATATGTGTATATGCATACGTACACATATATGTGTATATGCATACGTATACGTATGTGTATATGCATACGTATGTGTATATGTATATGTGTATGCACACATATATGTGTATATGTGTATGCACACATATATGTGTATATGTGTATGCACACATATATGTGTATATGTGTATGCACACATATATGTGTATATGTGTATGCACACATATATGTGTATATGTGTATGCACACATATATGTGTATATGTGTATGCACACATATATGTGTATATGTGTTTGTATACATATATGTGTATGTGTATGTATACATATATGTGTATATGTGTGTATATGTGTATGTATACATATGTGTATGTGTATGTATATATGTATATGTATACATACATGTGTGTATGTATGTGTATATGTATACATACATGTGTGTATGTATATGTTTATGTATACATACATGTGCGTATGTATATGTTTATGTATACATACATGTGCGCATGTATATATGTATATGTATACATACATGTGCGTATGTATATATGTATATGTATACATACATGTGCGTATGTATATATGTATATGTATACATACATGTGCGTATGTATATATGTATATGTATACATACATGTGCGTATGTATATGTATACATACATGTGCGTATGTATATGTATACATACATGTGCGTATGTATATGTATACATACATGTGCGTATGTATATGTATACATACATGTGCGTATGTATATGTACATATATGTGCGTATGTATATGTACATATATGTGCGTATGTATATGTACATATATGTGCGTATGTATATGTATACATATGTGCGTATGTGTATGTATACATATATGTGTGTATGTGTATGTATACATATATGTGTGTATGTGTATGTATACATATATGTGTGTATGTGTATGTATACATATATGTGTGTATGTATATATGTATACATATATATTTGAATTTCTTTTTACCTTTTTAAAAGGGAAGTTGTTTAAATAAACTAAGGTTCAAACATATAACTTTAATATTAACAAAGACAAAATCAACTATAATTTTGCATGCCTTCGTGATAATTGAAAGGAATGAAAATTTAAATTAGAGGTTAGTGAAAATAAGTATTTTTTTTTCCCTGTTATGTTTATAGACTCCTTAAATCTACTCAGAGACTCCTCTGGAAACTGAGAAGTCCATGGATCTTAGATTAGGAACTCCTAACTTGAGCAAAACAAAAAAGGCTTGGGAGTTTCCAGAATAGACTGGAATTGAAATGTCCATGGGTACGGCCAACTTAAGATGGGGGACTAAATAGAAGAAACATTGTAGAAACAAAAAAATGTATGCCTTACATTCTTTTTTTTGAGACAGAGTCTTGCTCTGTGGCCCAGGCTGGAGTGCAGTGGCGCGATCTCGGCTCACTGCAACCTCCGCCTCCTGGGTTCAAGCATTTCTCCTACCTCAGCCTCCCGAACAGCTGGGATTACAGGCGCCCACCACCACACCCCGCTAATCTTTTGTATTTTTAGTAGAGACGGGGCTTCACCATGTTGGCCAGGCTGGTCTGGAACTGCTGACCTCAAGTGATCCACCCGCCTCCGCCTCCCAAAGTGCTGGGATTACAGGCAGGAGCCACCGGCGGCTCCAGGCCTGCCCCACATTCTTTAGGTCCACAATGACTAGAAAATATGTCTGAAGTCAGAGCCTCAAGGTGCAATTAGCAATTAATGAGAAAACTTGAAAATAATATGAACGCTATTGGTATACTATCACACCTGGTTAGATAAAAAACAATTTAGGGCTGGGAGCAGTGGATCACGCCTGTAATCCCAGCACTTTGGGAGGCGGAGGCCAAGGCGGATGGATCACCTGATGTTGGGAGTTTGAGACCAGCCTGACTATCATGGAGAAACTCCGTCTCTACTAAAAATACAAAATTAGCCGGGAGTGGTGGCACATGCCTGTAATCTCAGCTATTCAGGAGGCTAAGGCAGGAGAATCGCTTGAACCCAGGAGGTGGAGGTTGTGGTGAGCCAAGATCGTGCCATTGCACTCCAGTGTGGGCAACAAGAACGAAACTCCGTCTCAAAAAAAAAAAAGAACAATTTAGAAAATATTTACAAACCATTTCCCAGGCCAGGCGTGGTGGCTCATGCCTGTAATCCCAGCACTTTGGGATGCTGAGGTGGGTGGATCACTTGAGGTCAGGAGTTTGAGACCAGCCTGGACAACATGGTGAAACTCCATCTCTACTAAAAATACAAAAATTAGCCAGCCGTGGTGGCGTGCACCTGTAATCCCAGCTACTCGGGAGGCTGAGGCAGGAGAATCACTTGAACCCAGGAGGTGGAGGTTGCAGTGAGCCAAGATCGCCCCACTGCACTCCCGCCTGGGTGACAGAGACAGACTCCACCTCGAAAAAAAGTTAACTTGTAACCTCAAAACTGTAAATGTCCATTATAGGAAATTAAAATTATTAAAATGTAAAAGAAGGAGTTATGTAATTCTTAAATGTCATAAAAGGATATTTACAGTGACTTTTTTGTCTTTTCATAATGTTTTGTATTTTCTTTCAGTTTTTTTGCTATTAAAATACTTCATATATGTGTATGTGTGTATATATATATATATATATATGTATTTTTTTATTTTTTATTTTTTTGGTGAGACAGAGTCTCACTGTGTCACCCAGGCTGGAGTGCAGTGGTGCAATCTCAGCTCACTGCAACCTCCACTTCCTGGGTTCAAGTGTTTCTCCAGCCTCAGCCTACCAAGTAGCTGGGACTACAGGCGTGTGCCACCACGCCCAGCTAACTTTGTAAAATACTATGTTTTTTTTCCAGGATGGAAGGCAGCTAAAAAGACGAAAAAAAGCAGTAAAATACTGTATTTTATACAATTGCATTTTATAACTGATTATTGGGTTTAGGAATATTACTATTATTATAGTGATCTTGTATTCAGCAACTGTGCTAAACTAATTCTAAATATTGTCCTCGTTTTCTATCTGGACAAATCATATTGTCTACAATTAACAGCACTGGGTCTCTTCCTTGGCAATCTATGCTTCCTAATTACTTTTCCTTTCTTATTACATTGGCTAGGACAACTAACACAATTTGGAATAAATGTAATTATTATGGGCACATTTGTCTTATTTAAAAAGTTAATGTGGCTGGGCATGGTGGCTCATGCCTGTAACCCCAGCACTTTGGGAGGCCAGGGCTGGCAGACCACTTCAGGCAGGAGTTTGAGACCAGCCTGGCCAACATAGAGAAACCCCGTCTCTACTAAAAATACAAAAACAATTAGCCGGGCATGGTGGCTCATGCCTGTAGTCCCAGTTACTCAGGAGGCTGAAGCAGGAGATGGAGCAGAGCCCAGAAGGCAGAGGTTGCAGTGAGTGGAGATTGCACCATTGCACTCCAGCCTGGGCTACAGAGCGAGACTCTGTCTCAAAACAAAAAACAAACAAACAAAAGTTAATGTTTCTTTATTTTCACCATCAAACAGGAAGTTTGCTCTAGGTTTTTTCAGATACCTTTCTCAAGGTAAGGCCATTTCCTACAGTCTCAGTTTGCTATAAATTTTAATCCTGAATTACTGATGAATTTTATCATATCTCTTTTCTATCTACTAACATGACCCTGCAGTTCTTTTTTAAAAAAATTTGTAGATACAGGATCTCACTATGTTGCCCAGGCTGGTCTTGAACTCCCGAGCTCAAGGGATCCTCCCACCTCAGCCTCCCAAAGTGTTGGAATTACAGGTATGAGCCATCGTGGCTGGCTGAGTTCTTCTAATCTGTTAATATGGTTAATTCTGTTGGTAAAATGTTCTGATTTTCAACAAGTCTTGCACTCCTGCCATAAATCCTACCTAGTCATATTATATTATTTTTTTAATTCAGGGTTGCACTTAAGTTGTCATTATTTTATTTCAGATTTTGGAATTTGCAATTAGATGTAAAGTTAATCTATAATTTTCTTGTTCCTCATAAAATACATTAAATAGCTCTCTCTTTCTATTATCTGATATAGCTTGCATAAATGAATCTCAAGGATTTCATAAAACTCACCTGTAAAACTATCTTAACCTGGGACTTTGATGATTTATGATTTATTACCAATTAAATTTCTCTCCATGGTTAGTAGTCAGTCTCCTCACATCTTCTATTTCTTCTGTTTTTTTTTTTTTGAAACGGGGCTCCCTCTGTCACCCAGCCTAGTCTATTTCTTCTTGGATCAACTTTGGAGATACATATATATATATTTAATATGTTAATTAAACATATGTATTTAATTACCCATTTATATGTTCTTTATTGGCACAAATTTGTTAACAGTGTTATCTATTATTTCTGAATTTCTACATTAATTTAATAATAATTGCTTTCTATTCCTAATTTTGTTTTACTCATTTTTTTCTTGATCAGTCTTGCTAGAGATTTATCTTCGTAAATTTGTGAAGAAAATTTTCCGTAAGTATTTTGCATAAAAAATGTTGTCTGTTTTTTCCCAGGAATTTATTTTGTTATTTGTAGTATCTATATTGAGATTTTCTCATTTAAAAAGTAATACTTGCTCAGTATTTTAAGATTTTAAGAGTAACTGTTGAATGTAGCAAGTGACCTATTTGCTTATTTATCATTAGCTTTAAAAGTATGATCTTATAATACATACTGTCTTACACCTTGCTATTATCTTGTATGATATTTCCTTTTTCAAATAAAGATATTTTACTTACAGCCAGGAAGTTATTAGCCTTACTAATAGTAATTTAAACCTGAACTAAATTAACTAATCTGCTAACTTGTTATTTTGGCTACAGACATTAACCTTTGACCTGCAATATACATCACATTTAAGATGAATCTTACAATGCATGTAAACATTTAACTCTGCTGTTTTAATTTACAGGGATGAATAATAGAAGACTTTCTTTTTCTTGGATTAGCTTAATAACAGCTCACATTTCATCCTTCAGTATGTTGGTTTTGAATGTAATCCTTTTTGTTTTTAATGTAGCTACGTTTTTTCATCTTAAAAATATTTATATTTAGCCAGGCGCAGTGGCTCACACCTGTAATCCCAGCATTTTGGGAGGCCAAGGCTAGGGGATCACCTGAGGTCAGGAGTTCGAGACCAGGCTGGCCAACATGGTAAAACCCCATCTCTACTAAAACATACAAAAAATTAGCCGGACGTGCCAGTGTATGCCTGTAATGCCAGCTACTCGGGAGGCTGAGGCAGGAGAATCACTTGAACCCGGGAGACCGGGAGACAGAGGTTGGAGTGAGCCGAGGTTTCACCATTACCCTCCAGCCTGGGTGACAGAGCAAGACTCCACCTCAAAAAAAAAAAAATTGCATTTCTCTTTTCCGGTTTGAAAGCCCTTATATAAGCTCCATGAACATCTGTCCTAGCTCTTCCAGAACAAGGACCTCAGGTCTTTCTGTTTATGAATCTCCAGCCTCCAGCACAATGCCTGGATCATTACAGATGATGACATTATTGATAGCCACCATCCATTGAAAGCTTATTGTATTCTAGGAACTGTGCCAACCGTTTTGCATGCATTATGACAATTTGATGAAAAATTTATTTTAAAAAATCAGGCTCTTTTATAACAGAAAGTAGAATGATGGTTGCCAGGGACTGCAGTGAGGGGCAAATGGACAGTTGTTTAAATGGGTACAGAGTACAGAGTATCAGTTTTAAAATATGGAAAAGTTCCTGAGATCTGTTGAAAAATGACATGCATGTAATAAACACTTTTTTTTTTCTGAGACAGAGTCTTGCTCTGTCACCCAGGCTAGAGTGCTGTGGCACAATCTCTGCTCACTGCAACCTCTGCCTCCTGGGTTCAAGCGATTCTCCCGCCTCAACCTGCCGAGTAGCTGGGATTACAGGCACCTGTCACTGCGCCCGGCTAATTTTTGTATTTTTAGTAGAGATAGGGTTTCACCATGTTGGCCAGGCTGGTCTTGACCTCCTGACCTCGTGATCCACCCGCCTCAGCCTCCCAAAGTGCTGGGATTACAGGCGTGAGCCACCACGCCTGGCGTAATAAACACTTTTATACTGTACTCTTAAAAACGGTTAGGATGGTAAATTTTATGTTATGTGTTTTTTACCACAATAAAAAATTGTTTTTTAAATCAGGCCCTCTTAAATCAAAACCACGATGAGATATTACCTCACACCTGTTGGCATGACTATTATCTTGGAAACAAAAGAAAATAATTGTTGGCGGCTGGGTGTGGTGGCTCATACTTGTAATCCCAGCACTTTGGGAGGCTGAGGCAGGCTGAGGAGGCTGAGGAGGCTGAGGATCACTTGAGGCCAGGAGTTCGAGACCAGCCTGGCCAACATAGTGAAAACCTGTCTCTACTAAAAATACAAAAAAAAAAAAAAATTAGCCAGGTGTGGTGGCGGGCGCCTGTAATCTCAGCTACTCGGGAGGCTGAGGCAGGAGAATCATTTGAACCCGGGAGGTGGAGGTTGCAGTGAGCGGAGATCACGCCATTGCACTCCAGCCTGGGTGACAAGAGCAAAACTCTGTCTCAAAAAAAAAAGAGAAAAAGAAAATAATTGTTGGCAAAGACATAAAGAAATTAGAATCCAAATGTTGGTGGGAATGTAAAATTTTGTAGCTGCTAAGGAAAACAGTACAAAGGTTCCTCAAAAAAATTAAAAATAGAACTACCATAGGCTCTAGTAATCCCATTTCTGAATATAAGTCCAAATGCAACAAATTCATTATCTTAACCCCTACAGTCCTCCACTTTACCAACTAAGTTATCAAAGAGCATCAAATTCATTATCTCAAAGAGATGTCTGTACTTTCATGTTAATTGCAGCATTATTCACAACAGTCAAGAAGTATGTATTAGTCTGTTCTCACACTGCTATAAAAAAATACCTGAAGCTGGGTGCTGTAGCTCATGCCTGTAATCCTGGCACTTTGAGAGGCCAAGGAAGGTGGACCACCTGAGGTCAGGAGTTCAAGACCAGTCTGGCCAACATGGTGAAACCCCATCTCTACTAAAAATACAAAAATTAGTCCGGGCGTTGTGGCTCACACCTGTAATTCCAGCACTTCAAGAGGCTGAGGTAGGCAGATCACTTGAGGTCAGGAGTTCAAGACCAGCCTTACCAACATGGTGAAACCCCATCTCTACTAAAAAAAAAAAAAAAAAAAATTAGCTCGGCGTGGTGGCAGGTGCCTGTAGTCCCGGTTACTCGGGAGGCTGAGGCAGGAGAATCATTTGAACCTGGGAGGTGGAGGTTGCAGTGAGCCCAGGTCGTACCACTGCACTCCAGCCTGGGCAACAAAGCTAGACTCCATCTCAAAAATAAATAAATAAATACAAATAAAAATATAAAAATCAGCTGGGCATGGTGGCACACGCCTGTAGTCCCAGCTACTCAGGAGGCGGAGGCAGCAGAATCACTTGAACCTGGGAGGTAGAGGTTGCAGTGAGCCAAGATCACGCCACTGCACTCCAGTCTCGGTGAGAGAGCAAGACTCGGTCTCAAAAAAAAAATTAGCCAAGTGTGGTGGCAACTGCCTGTAATCCCAGCTATTCGAGAGGCTTAGGCAGGAGAATCACTTGAACCTGGGAAGTGGAGGTTGCAGTGAGCTGAGACTGTGCCACTGAACTCCAGCCTGGGCAAGAAAACAAAGACTCCATCTCAAAAAAAAAAAAAAAAGAAAGAAAATTGTATACACATACAATGGAATACTATTCAGCCTTAAAAAGGAAGGAAATCCTGGCTGGGCATGGTGGCTCACGCCTATAATCCCAGCACTTTGGGAGGCCTAGGCAGATGGATCACCTGAGGTCAGGAGTTCGAGACCACCCTGGCCAACATGGCGAAACCCTGTCTCTACTAAAAAGACAAAAATTAGCCGGGCATGATGGCACACACCTGTAGTCCCAGCTACTTGGGAAGCTGAGGCAGGAGAATCGCTTGAACCCTCGAGGTGGAAGTTGCAGTGAACCAAGATCATGCCACTGCACTCCAGACTGGGTGACAGAGTGAGACTCTGTCTCAAAAAGAAAAATAAATAAATAAAGGAAAGAAATCTTGACAAATGCTACAACATGGATGAGCCTTGAAGACTTTATGGTAAGTGAAATAAGCCAGTCACAAAAAGACAAGCATTGTATGATTTCACTTATATGAATTACCAAGAGTAGTCAAATTCATAAAAATAGCAGAATGGTGGTTGCCAGGGGCTGGGGGATGGAGAACAGGGAGTTGGATATGGAGTTTGACTTTTTTTTTTGAGATGGAGTCTCACTCTTGTTGCCCAGGCTGGAGTGCAAAGGCACGATCTTGGCTCACTGCAACCTCCGCCTCTCAGGTTCAAGTGATTCTCCTGCCTCAGCCTCCTGAGTAGCTGGGATTACAGGCATGAGCCTCCATGCCCTGCTAATATTGTATTTTTACTAGAGACGGGGTTTCACCATGTTGGTCAGGCTGGTCTCGAACTCCTGACCTCAGGTGATCTGTCTACCTCGGCCTCCCAAACTGCTGGGATTACAGGCGTGAGCCACCGTGCCCGGCCTTAAGTTTGATTTTTGCAAGAAGAGTTCTAGAGATCCACTGCACAGCAATGTGAATACAGTACAGTATGTGTACATCCTGTACACATAATGTTGGCCAGGCTGGTCTCCAACTTCTGGCCTCAAGTGATTTGCCCACCTCAGCCTCCCAAAGTGCTGGGATTACAGGTGTGAGCCACCGCACCCATCAAGGTGGGCTTTATTTTTACTTATTTATTTATTTTTTGAGATGGAGTCTCACTCTGTTGCCCAGGCTGGAGTGCAATGGCTTGATCTCGGCTCACTGCCACCTCCACCACCTCCCAGGTTCAAGCAATTCTCCTGCCTCCGCCTCGCAAGTAGCTGGGATTACAGGCATGAGCCACTTCGCCCAGCTGGGTGGGCTTTAAATGCCATCACAAGGGTCCTTATAAGTGAGAGCCAGTGGGGGATAAGAGATATGAGAAGGTGATGTGAAGACAATGTGAATACAAAGGCAGAGCTTGCAGTGATGCAGTCACAAACCCAGGAATGCTGGCAGCCACTGGAAGCTGGAAGAGACAAGGAATGGCTTCTCTCCTGGATTATCCCCTAAGGAAGCATGGCTTTGCCAGGTTTCAGACTTCTGGTCTCCAAACTGTGAGAGAATAAATTTTTGTTGTTTAAGCCACGAAGTTTGTAGTAATCTATTACAGCAGCCTCAAGAAGCCAAATAAAGATATTTTTATGTGTGCCCTGCTTACCCTCAATGTTAACTGAAATTGACTACAAATAAGCAGTTGATATGCTAGGATTGTCTACAAGGTAATTTGTAAAACATCTTCATGGCCAGAGGGGAAAAAAAATCTAATCGGATCTCATAATCAGAACATCAAAAATCAGTGCATGAGTTATGAAATGCATTTCCCCTGGCCTCACAGAAGTTCCTGTAACAGTGGTTGAAGCCACAGGAGTTGTGCTCAGAATAAAGCCCTGGCCAGGTGCGGTGGCTCATGCCTATAATCCCAGCACCCTGAGAGGCCGAGGCCACAGGGTCACTTGAGGCCAAGAGTTTGCGACCAGCCTGGGCAACATAGTAAGACCTCATCTCGATTAATTAAAAAAATTTTTTTTAATTAAAAAAGAAGAAAGCACTGCAAAGAAAACACATTACAGCTTGCATCCTTTGGGATCAGTCAACAAAAGACAAGGATGAGTAGTCAGGACATTATTACAGACTTCAGTGTTACCATTTTCAATAGAATTTCTGATGCCAAGTGCCAACCTTGGCTGCGTCCTGAGATTATGCAATTCATGCCCAATCTTAGGGCATGTGCCCCTAATCCCAACACTGTGGAAGGCCAAGGTAGGAGGATCGCTTGAGGCCAGGAGTTTGAGATCAGCCTGGGCAACAAAGCAAGACCCTGTCTCTACAAAAAATGGGACATTAGCAAATGTCTTGCAAAATGGCAGATGGGGAGAGAGTGGAGAAAGGCCAACAGCTGACAAGTATTTGATTGTTGGCTTGGATAGACAGTAGACCAAGGTGAGTAAAAATGCATTAGTCAGATGGCAGCACTCCCACCTGACCTCCTTGAACCACCGTTTTCCCACAAGACCGAAGGCTTCTGATGTTGTGAAAGAGGCAAAGTGTCCAGAAGCCAATGGAATTCAATAGAGGTGTTAACTTTATGATATTAGCAAGGCATTAAGATAGCTTATGAACTCAAGGTTAGCAGTAGGCTGGATGCAGTGGCTCACGCCTGTAATCCCAGCAATTTGGGAGGCCAAGATAAGAGGATCGTCTGAGGCCAGGAGTTCGAGAACAGCCTGGGCAGCATAGCGAGACCTCATTTCTTTTTCTTTTTCTTTTTTTTTTTTTGAGATGGAATTTCACTCTTGTCGCCCCAGGCTGGAGTGCAATGGTGTGACCTTGGCTCAGCACAACCTCCACTTTCTGGGTTCAAGCAATTCTTCTGCCTCAGCCTCCTGAGTAGCTAGGATTACAGGCACATGCCATCATGCCCAGCTAATTTTGTATTTTTTAGTAGAGACGCGGTTTCACCATGTTGGTCAGGCTGGTCTCGAACTCCTGATCTCAGGTGATCCCCCACCTTGGCCTCCCAAAGTACTAGGATTACAGGAGTGAGCCACTGGGCCCGGCCGCGAGACCTCATTTCTACAATTTTTTTTCTTTTTTTTTTTTTTTTTGAGACGGAGTCTCACTCTGTTGCCCAGGCTGGAATGCAGTGGCGCGATCTCGGCTCACTGCAACCTCCGCCTTCCCGATTCAAGTGATTCTTCTGCCTCAGCCTCCTGAGTAGCTGGGATTACAGGTGCGTGCTACCACGCCCGGCTAATTTTTGTATTTTTAGTAGAAAGAGGGTTTCACCATCTTGGCCAGGCTGGTCTTGAACTCCTGACCTCATGATCCACCCGCCTCGGCCTCCCAAAGTGCTGGAATTACAGGCGTGAGCCACCACGCCCAGCCTTTTTCTTTTTCTTTTCTTTTTTTTTTTTTTTTTGAGACAGAGTCTCTCTCTGTTGCCCAGGATGGAGTACAGTGGTGCAATCTTGGCTCACTGCAACCTTCGCCTCCCAGGTTCAAGCGACTCTTGTGCCTCAGCCTCCTGAGTAGCTGGAATTACAGGTGCAAGCCACTAGGCCAGGCTAATTTTTGTACTTTTGGTAGAGACAGGGTTTCACCATGTTGGCCAAGCTGGTCTCGAACCCCTGACCTCAAATGATCCACCTGCCTTGGCCTCTCAAAGGGCTCGGATTATAGGTGTGAACCACCTCGCCTGTCCCAAAAGATATTTTTAAAAAAATTAGGTGGCTAGGCATGGTGGCTCACACCTGTAATCCCAGCACTTTGGGAGGCCGAGGCGGGCAGATCTCCTGAGGTTGAGAGTTCAAGACCAGCCTGACCAACATGGAGAAACCCCATCTCTACTAAAAATACAAAATTAGCCGGGCATGGTGGCGCATGCCTATAATCCCAGCTACTCGGGAGGCTGAGGCAGGAGAATCACTTGAACCCGGGAAGCGGAGGTTGCGGTGAGCCAAGATCAGGCCATTACACTCCAGCCTGGGCAACAAGAAACTCAGTCTCAAAAAAAAAAAAAATTAGGCATGGTGTCATGCGCCTATAGTCCTAGCTACTTGGGAGGCTGGGGTGGGGGGTGGGATTGCTTGAACCCAGGAGATTGAAGCTGCAGTGAGCCATGATGGCGCCACTGCTCTCCAGCCTGGACAACAGAGCAAGACCCTGTCTCAAAAAAAAAAAAAAAAAGAAACAAAAAACCGAAGTTAGCAGTCAAATGATGCACTTTGAAATCTATTCAGGACTGTAGAGTGATTAAGGAGGAGGCAAAACCTTTTTTTTTTTAGACAGAGTCTTGCTCTGTTGCCAGGCTGGAGTGCAATGGCATGATCTCGGCTCACTGCAGCCTCCGTCTCCCTGGTTCAAGCGATTCTCCTGCCTCAGCCTCCGGAGTAGCTGGGATTACAGGCACGTGCCACCACACCCGGCTAATTTTTGTACTTTTAGTAGAGACAGGGTTTCACCACGTTGGCCAGGATGGTCTCAATCTCCTGACCTTGTGATCCACCAGCCTCTGCCTCCCAAAGTGCTGGGATTACAGGCGTGAGCCACCGTGCCTGGCCAGCATAACCTTTTTGTTAAAGCAGGAATCTGTGAATTGCGATTGGAGCTGGAAGAAGAAAATGGGCAAAGAGTGAACTGGAGCAAGAAGTCATTTTCCAAGGATAGTGAGAATCCTTGTAGAGAAAAAGATCAGGAGGGGAGGTTGGGTACTACTTGGAGTGAAGCGTGGAAAGGAATTGAAGGGTTACTGTTGACTCCCAGGGTCTCAGCAAAGGACTTCCTAGGTAATTATCACTTCTTCCCAGGATTGACAGGGAGAAAGGAAACAGATCTCCATCTTGCGTGGAAAGTTGCCTTGGAGAGCAAGAACTGTGCATGGGCTCTGTGTGTGGGGATTTGGAGGTGGGCAGGGGCGGGAAAGGGAGCTGCCTAGATGCTGCCATCATTAAACAAGGAGCACAGAGCCCCTCTTCTGAGGCTCCACACTTTTGAAATAACAGTAAGTATGAGCTTTCGATCATCCTGCCTCAGCCTCCCGAGTAGTTGGGACTACAGGCGTGCACCACCACACCCAGCTAATGTTTATTTTTTTGTAGGGACGAGATCTCACTATATTGTCCAGGCTGGTCTCTAACTCCTGGGCTCAAGCAATCTACCCGCCTCAGCCTCCCAAAGTGCTGGGATTATACGCATGAGCCACCGCAACGGAACAGAAAACTATTCTTTGTTACCTACATTTTCGGGTCACCAAAAGTACGTTGAATTGTGGGCAAGTTAGTAAACTCTATTTACCTAGAATGGAGGATAGTATAATAAGGCTTTCTTCATCAAGAAAGCAGAGGGGGCTGGGCGAGGTGGCTCAAGCCTGTAATCCCAGCATTTTGAGAGGCCGGTCAGGAGTTCAAGACCAGCTTGGCCAACATGGTGAAACGCCCTCTCTACTAAAAGTACACAAATTAGCCGGGTGTGCTGGCACACCCCTGTAATCCCAGCTACTCGAGAGGCTGAGGCAGGAGAATCACTTGAACCTGGGAAGTGGAGGTTTCAGTGAGCCGAGATTGTGCCACCTCACTCCAGCCTGGGCCACAGAGTGAGGCTCTGTCTCAAAAAATAAATAAGGAAAAAGAAAAAAAGAAAGCGGAGGGGAGGCTAACAGCTTTTGAGTGCCAGGTTAAGTGTGTTTATGTTCATTCTCCTTTGATAAAAAATACCAAACCTCAGCTGGGCACGGTGGCTCACGCCTGTAATCCCAGCACGTTGGGAGGCTGAGGTGGGCGGATCATCTGAGGTCAGGAGTTTGAGACCAGCCTGACCAACGTTGAGAAACCCCCATCTCTACTAAAAATACAAAATTAGCCTGGTGTGGTGGCACATGCCTGTAATCCCAGCTACTCAGGAAGGCGGAGGCAGGAGAATCGCTTGAACCCAGGAGGCGGAGGTTGCGGTGAGCCAAGATCGTGCCACAGCACTCCAGCCTGGGCAACAAGAGCAAAACTGTCTCAAAACAAAACAAAAACAAACAAACAAACAAACAAACAAAAAAATACCAAACCTCTCTGAATATCATCCCAAAGTTCCATGCTTATAATTTCCGATAACATTTAGTTAACTCCCGAATAGCATACATCCTTGTCAGATTATGTTTTCTCACTTCCACGTCAACATTTTTTGGGTGCCCATCCAACCTGATGCATATAAATCTTCATTTCCCATTGGAATGTCCCCAGAAATATTCAGCATTAATGGATCATTTGTTCGTGTCTTATGCTAAAATTTGTTTAAGATGAGTAGGTGTCTTGTTTGTTCTGTCATTAGAGAGACCATATGTTAGCACAGCCATATGTGGGAGTGTTTTTATTCTTTTAAGAGTTCAAAACAGGGCATCTCCTAAGAAGCCTTAACTGGATGTCCAAGTACAATATAAAAGCAAAACAATAACTGATGTCCTAGTCATTCCAAACACTATTTATTTTATTCCATTTATTTCCTACATTAAGCTTAATGTCTAAAAGCAAAGCAAAACAAAACAAAGCAGAAACTAATTTTATTATACAGCTAGACACTGTATAATCTTGGTGCCTAAGAAAATTATACCTGCATATTTTCGAACTCTTGAGCTCAAAGCTATCCACCCACTTCGGCCTCCCAAAGTGCTAGGATTACAGGCATGAGCCAGCACGCCTGGCCAATACTTGCATATTCTGAGCATAATAGCGACTCTAAGCAGGGCACAGTGGCTCACACCTGTGATCCCAGCACTTTGGGAGGCCGAGACAAGAGGATCGCTTGAGCCCAGGAGTTGGAGACCAGCCTGGGCAACTTGGCAGGACCCTTTCTCTACAAAAAAAACTTTTTTTTGAGACGAAGTCTTGCTGTTGTCAGCCCGGACTGGAGTGCAATGGCATGATCGCGGCTCACTGCAACCTCCACCTCCCAGGTTCCAGCAATTCTCCTGTCTCAGCCTCCCAAGTAGCTGAGATTACAGGCACGTGCCACCACACCCGGCTAATTTTTGTATTTTTAGTAGAGACGAGGTTTCACCATGTTGGCCAGGCTGGTCTCGAACTCCTGACCTCAGGTGATCCGCTTGCCTCGGCCTCCCAAAGTGCTGGGATTACAGGCGTGAGCCACTGTGCCCAGCCAAAATTTTTAAAAATTATCCAGACGTGGTGGCACATGCCTGTAGTTCCAGCTATTCGGGAGGCTGAGGTGGGAGGATCACTGGAGCCTGGAAGTTGGGAGGTTACAGTGAAATGTGATCATGTCATTGCACTCCAGCCTGCACGACAGAGCCAAAGTGAGATCCCATCTTTCTCTCTCTCAAAAAAAAAAGCAATTCTATAAGCCTAATCAAATGATACACTAGTATAGCAGCCAGACCCCAAAATAAGATTATTTCCTTTCCATGCAGTGAAAAAAAAAAAGGTTTGTTTTTTTTTTAGTTTGTGTGTGTGTGTGTGTGTGTGTGTGTGTGTGTGTGTATGTGTTTTAAAGAGTCAGGGTCTCCCTCTATTGCCCAGGCAGCCTCAAATTCCTGGGCTCAAGCAATCCTCCCACCTCAGCCTCCCTAGTAGCTGGAGCTACAAGTGTGCACCACCACGCCCAGCTAATTTTTGTATTTTTTGTAGAGACAGGGGTCTCCCTCTGTAACCCAGGCTGGTCTTGAACCCCTGGACTCAAGAGAATCTCCTGTCTCCGTCTCCCAAAGTGCTGGGACTACAGGTGAGAGCCACTGCGCCCAGCCTAGAATTAAGTCTTAACATGGAGAAGTGTTTATTGTCCTTTGATTTGATAACTGGTTTTATCTTCAACACTACTTATAAGTTTTTTAAGTGTATAATAACTTTACCAAAGTAAAGCCTCCATTTAAATATAAAATAATATATATTTCTTACAATGCACAAGTTATTTTTTAGAAAATAGAGACCCATTTTTTGAGGACTTTTCAAACTAGATTTCTCTGAAGATTTTTGTAGTTCTCCCCTTTCAAAACATTTATTCTTTACCCTTTAAAAGGAATTTATGCATCTGCTGTTTTGAAAACATCTCAAGGTCTTCTTGAGAATACACATATTATACTCTGAAATCCTGAAATAGCTGGAGTTCTGGGGTGTATACCCAAATTACTTAAATTCTTAAGATGATGAACTCTAATTTTCTCAATTTTTGCAAGTTTTCAATTCTTATGGTCCTGCGTTTCTAAGTATCATATTTTAATCTATGACTTTCCTCCCTCAGTGTAGCAGGTTGTGATATTATGGAGTTAGAGTCACTTCTGAGAAATACCTTTCAGGCCAGACATGGTGGCTCACACCTGTAATCCCAGCACTTTGAGAGGTCGAGGCAGAAGGATCCCTTGAGACCAGGAGCCTGAGCAACATAGTGAAACCCAGTTTCAAAAAAAAAAATTAGCTAAGAGTGGTGGTGTGCACCTATAGTCTCAACTACTTGGGAGGCTGAGACAGGAGGAACACTTGAGCCCAGGATATTGAGGCTGGAAAACAGAGGGAGACCCTGCCTCTAAAAATAAAATAAAATAAATCTTCCTAAGATTTATCTTTAAGGCTTTGAAATGCTCAGGCTAAGGTTTCTCCTCATTCAAAACGCAGAAGAGTGAAAGCAGAGGTTGTTGCAAGAGGGAGTCTTTCATTTGTGCAGTTTTTCAGTCATTTATGTGCTAAAAAGGTTAAAACTTCTAATGCTCCGAACGTGTTGCCTCCTTGTTGATCTAATTTAGAGGAATTAAATGTTTCCAAAAGAGTTTGTTCAAGAATACACAGATCTATGTTTTGGGATAGCTGTGGCTGATTAGTATTCCTTGTGTGGCTGTAGGATGGTTTATTCAGTAGTTTCCTATTGACATGTAGATTGCTCCCAAACTTTTGTTTGTACCAATAATGCTCACTGGTAGGGCACAGTGGCTCACGCCTGTAATCCCAGCACTTTGGGAGGCCAAGGCGGGCAAATCACCTGAGGTCAGAAGTTCAATGAGGTCAAAAGTTCAAGACCAGCCTGGCCAACATGGTGAAACTCCATCTTTACTGAAAATACAAAGATACAAAAAATAAATAAATAAATAAAAATAAAAATCAGCCCGGCATGGTGGCAGGCGCCCGTAATCCCAAGTACTTGGGAGGCTAAGGCAGAAGAATCGCTTGTAACAGGGAGGCAGAGGTTGCAGTGAGCCAACATGGTGCCACTGCATTCCAGCCTGGGCAACAGAGTGAAACCCTATCTTCAAAAAAAAAAAAAGCTCAATAAATAACCTTGTGCATATGTTACTTCAAATCTGTTCAGGTGTAATTTACATTTGCCTTTTGTTTATTTTTGTAGAGATGAGGGTCTGGCTACATTGCCCAGGCTGGTCTTGAACTCCTGGCCTCAGGCAATCACCACCCCTCACAAACTGCCCCTCTCCCCCCCGCCTCTGCTTACCAAAGTGCTGGAATTACAGGCGTGAGTCACCATACCCTTCCAATAATTCACAATTGATTTGTAGAAGTGGAACTTCTGGGCCAAACTGTGAACACATTTGCATTTTTGCTAGTTATTGCCCCTGCTGCCCCTTTGCCCCATCCCCCCTCCACTGTTTTAACACCTTAAGCCCTGCATAAAACTCTTGGTATAATTTCAGTGTATGTTCTTACACCTCCACAGTGATACTACTGCACTGGGCTACTCAAGGGGACAATGTTGGTGTCACCTCTGGGAAGGACAGTCAGGTATGACCACCAAGGTGACCAGACAACATTTGCCTGTCCTCCTTCTCCATTGCCGTCTTCCTCTGTCAATGTCACTCTCTTCAGAGCCTTTGTGAGGCCCCAGAGGTTGCTCCCCAGGAAACCCTGGCAGTGCCTCATCCATCCCTGCCCTCTCTCCAGTGTCTTAGAATGATCTCACATCATCAAGAAGCATCTCCTACATCCCCCTTGAGGCCTTCTCTGAAGATTTATAAATAATCCACCACAAAGTTTTAATGACATCATGAATTACTGAATGGGGATTTCAGTTAAACACTGCTTTACCCAAAGGACCAAGCCTAATGGTGGAAATTTCCATACCCAAGGCAAGCCTAGTCATAAGTCACTGCTCTGCAGGGAGCCTTTGCTGATGTTCCACCGCCACCCCCTCTGTCCCCTTCCCCCAAGGCAAGGTGTTGAGTGTTCCCCTCCCAGACTTCTCTTTTTATTTTTTATACAGAGTCATACTCTGTCACCCAGGCTGGAGTGCAGTGCCGTGATCTTGGCTCACTGCAATACCTGCCTCCTGGGTTCACACGATTCTTCTGCCTCAGCCTCTCAAGTAGCTGGGACTACAGGCGCACGCCACCATGCCCGGCTAATTTTTTGTATTTTTAGTAGAGACAGGATTTCACCATGTTGGCCAGGCTGGTCTCGAACTCCTGACCTCAGGTGATACACCTGCCTCAGCCTCCCGAAGTGCTGGGATTACAGGAGTGAGCCACCGTGGCCCACCAAATGATATCTAACTTCACCTACTCCATCTTGCCTCTAACCTCCAAGCTGTCCTTGTTCATTCTTGAGCATAGGCTGAACTAAATTTGGGAGAAACTTTAAACTATAGCTTATAGTTTAAAACAAAGACGATTAACAGCCCTTTCCCAAAGCAGACCTCCTTGTTGCTTGGGGACTGGATTGCCTCTGTAGGACTAACATTAGCCACAAGATTAGAAATTATGGTTTAGGAGTCATGCAGCAGGAGGCTACAAGATTCTGACTCTCCCTAAACTGCTCCTAAGACCAGTGCTTGAGATATTTTGCAGACCCTGCACTTGACGGATCAGCTGGCACCACCCAGATTGAAACACTGGCTCATCTGATCTTGTGAGCCCCACCCAGGAACTGACTGAGCACAAGAAGACAGCTTCGACTCCCTATGATTTCATCCCTAACCAGTCAGCACTCTCGGCTTACTGGCTTCCCCGCACCCACCAAGTTGTCCTTAAAAACTCTGCTCCCCGATTTGATTTGAGTAATTTGAGTAATAATAAAACTCCGGTCTCCCGCACAGCCGGCTCTGCGTGAATTACTCTTTCTCTATTGCAATTCTTCTGTCTTGATGAATCGGCTCTGTCTAGGCAGCAGGCAAGGTGAACCCATTGGGCAGTTACAATAATGGCTCACTGCTGCCTCGACCTCCCGGGCTCAAATGATCCTCTTGCCTCAGCCTTCCTAGTAGCTGGGAATACAGGCATGCTCCACCATGTCTGGTTATTTTTTGTAGAGACAGGGTCTTGCTATGTTACCCAGGCTGGTCTCGAACTCCTGGGCTCAAGGGATCCTCCCGCCTCGGCCTCCCAAAGTGCTGGGATTCCAGGTGTGAGCCACTGTGCCCGGCCAAGTCTAAACTCTTAATAAGGTCAACTCATTGAATGATAGTTTTCTGATAGGGTTATGGTCACTTTATTCAAAAAAAGAACCTCAAACCACTCTCTTTTACCAGGCTCCCGGCTGTATTTCTATTGTCCGACTTAAAAATCCAGGACTTTTCTCAATATGAGTAAAGAGTAAGGAAACAAGTGATGCATCCCTTGTATAAGCCTGTGGTTAGAGAAGCCTGTGAGGGGCCAGGAGTGGTGGCTTGCACCTGTAATCCTAGCACTTTGGGAGGCCGAGGCGGGTGGATCACCTGAGGTCAGGGGTTCGAGACCAGCCTTGCCAACATGGAGAAACCCTGTCTCTACTAAAAATACAAAATTAGCCAGGCATGGTGGCGCATGCCTGTAATCCCAGCTACTCGGGAGGCTGAGGCAGGAGAATCGCTTGAACCCAGGAGGCAGAGATTGCAGTGAGCCGAGATGGCCCCTGCACTCCAGCCTGGGTGACAGCAAGACTCTGTCTCAAAAAAAAAAAAAAAAACTTAGATCTCATTCCCTGTCTCAGTCATAATTTTGCAAAGGTGGTTTCATTATCTCACCACTGCACTCACACCTGGGTGACAGAGTGACACCCTGTCTCAAAAAAAAAAAAAGAAAAAAAGTTTAGATTTGATGACTGGGTCAATCGGCAAATTTCCACCCAAGAGAGACAGGAGACAATGAATCAATTCGTTCCTCTTTGTTGTCCCTGTCTCCTGCCCCAGCTTCCTCCTGCTTCCGTCAGCTAGAGAAGTCCTGAGACAGAGTTTATGGGGCTTCTCTGGGGCACAGTCCCACAGATTGAGCAATCATATTGCACATAAAGATGGCCAGCTTGATAACACACCATTTCATTGGCTCTCCGTCCTTCTCTGCTTTGCTCCCCCAATGGGGAAACAACATATATGTCCTCTGTCTCAGGCTTTGCTTTCTGAGGAAATCAATCTGAGATATAAAAAGAAAAAAGAGTGATAGGAGCTATAGTGTAGCTAAAATCTCTGATTCTAATTGAGAAAGACTGATAGAGAGAAGGAGTCAGACACTGGCGAGCAATCAGAGTAGAATATAGCTCAGCATAGACTCAGAGAAGGATATAGGTCAGAAAGGCTTCTTAGGCTGGGAAGCATCAACAGTCCTTTTGTGTTAAAAATTGAAGAAAGGCCGGGTGCGGTGGCTCACACCTGTAATCCCAGCACTTTGGGAGGCCAAGGAGGGCAGATCACTTGAGGTCAGGAGTTCAAGACCAGCCTGGCCAACATGGTGAAACCCCATCTCTACTAAAAGTACAAAAATTAGCTGGGCGTGGTGGCATGCACCTGTAATCCCAGCTACTCAGGAGGCTGAGGCAGGAAAATCGCTTGAACCCAGGAGGCGGAGGTTGCAGTGAGCCGAGATCATGCCATTGCACTCCAGCCTGGGTGACAGATCGAGACTCCGTCTCAAAACAAACAAACAAAAATAATAATAATAATTGAAAAAAAATGTTGGGGGGACATGGTAAAAAACCATAGACATGGACAAAAGAAATATAAGAAACAAAAAATTTGCAAATTATAATTATGTTGCAAAAGTTCTTAACAATTGAGAAGAAAAAAACAAATAGAAAAATCAGTGAAAGACATGATCAGAGGGTTCATAGAAAAAAGCAAGGAGTCTCAAACATGAAAAAATGTTCAACTTCACTCATAATAAGGGAAATGCAACTGATCGGTACACTGAAATACCATGTCTTATTGATCAGATTGGCAAAAATTCAAGTTTGAAAATGTACTCTGTTGGTGAGCCTGTGGAGAAGTAGGCATTCTCATTCATTGCTGGTTGGAGTGCAAAATATTACAGCCCCTATGGAGGGGAATTTGCTCATATTTAGCAAAAAGACAAACGCATTTACAGTTTTTGACCCAGCAATCCCACTTCTCGGAAACAAATGTAAATTATACCTGGGCATTATCTGTACAAACAAAAGTTTGGGAACAATTCACATGTCCATCAATAGAAAACTGATTGAATAAACCATTGTACAGACACCGAAGGATACTATTCAGTCATAAAAAAAAAAAAAAAGCATGAGGAAGGTCTCTGTATTAGTTTATTGTGACTGCCATAACAAATTGCTATAAATTTGGTGGCTTAAGACAACAGAGCTTTATTATCTCACAGTTCTGGAAGCCAGAAAACCAAAATCAAGGTATCAGCAGAGTTGATTCCTTCTGGAGGCTCTGAAGGAGAATATGTTCCATGCTTCTCTCCTTGCTTCTGGTGGCTGCCTGCAATCCTTGGCATCCTTTAGTTTATAACTGCATCACTCTAATCTCTACCTCCATCTTCACAAGGCCTTCCCCTCTGTCTCAAAACTCCCTCTCTTTTTTTTTTTTTTTTTTTTTTTTTGAGGTGGAGTCTTGCTCTGTCACCCAGGCTGGAGTACAGAGGCACGATCTTGGCTCACTGCAACCTCTGCCTTCCGGGTTCAAGCGATTCTCCCGCCTCAGCCTCCCGAGTAGCTGTGATTACAGTGCGCACCACCATCCATGGCTAATTTTTGTATTTTTAGTAGAGACGGGGGTTTCACCATGTTGCTCAGGCTGGTCTTGAACTCCTGACCTTGTGATCCACCCAGCTTGGCCTCCCAAAGTGCTGGGATTACAGGCATGAGCCACCGCACCCAGCCAAAACTCCCTGTCTTTTCTCTTATAAGGACACTCCCAACTGGATTTAGGGCTCACATTAATCCAGAATGGTCTTGTCTTTTTTTTTTTTTTTTTTTTTAATTTTTGAGGCAAGGTCTGGCTCTGTCGTCCAGGCTGGACTTCAGTGGTGCCATCTCGGCTCACTGCAACCTCCACCTCCCGGGTTCAAGTGATTCTCCTGCCTCAGCCTTCCAAGTTGCTGGGATTACAGGCGCGTGTCACCACACCTGGCTAAATTTTTGTATTTTTAGTAGAGACGGCATTTCACCATGTTAGCCAGGCTGGTCTCAAACTCCTGACCTCAGGTGATCCGCCTGCCTTGGCCTCCCAAAGTGTTGGGATTACAGGCGTGAGCCATAGTGCCCAGCTTAAGATTCTTACCTTAATTACATCTGCAAAGACTCTTATTCCAAATAAGGTCGTATCCTCAGGTTCTGGATACATCTTTTGGGGAAAAAATGTAACCCACTACAGTATATAATAATACCAATTAATTTCCAAAATGTATCATTATGTCTAAAAAGCAAGGTGCAAAACAGTGTTGATCAGGCACGGTGGCTGACACCTGTAATCCCAGCACTTTGGGAGGCCGAGGAGGGCAGATCACTTGAGATCAGGAGTTTGAGACCAGCCTGGCCAACACGGAGAAACCTCATCTCTACTAAAAATACAAAAATTAGCTGGGTGAGGTGGCATGCTCCTTTAATCCTAGGTACTCGGGAGGCTGAAGCAGAAGAATCTCTTGAACCCTGGAGGCGGAGGTTGCAGTGAGCTGAGATCACACCACTGCATTCCAGCCTGGGCACAGTTCGAGACTCCATCTCAAAAACAACAACAACAAAAAAAAAAACAGTGTTTATTTATTTATTTATTTATTTATTTGAGATGGAGTCTCACTCCCGTAGCACAGGCTGGAGTGCAGTGGCACGATCTCAGCTCACTGCAACCTCTACCACCCGGGTTCAAGTGATTCTCCTTCCCCAGCCTCCCGAGTAGCTGGGATTACAGACATGCGCCACCACGCCCAGCTAATTTTTGTATTTTTAGTAGGGACAGGGTTTCGCCATGTTGGCCAGGCTGGTCTCAAACTCCTGACCTCAGGTGATCCGCCCGTCTCAGCCTCCCAAAGTGCTGGGATTACAGGCGTGAGCCACCACGCCCAGCCAAACAGTGTTTATAGTATGCTATATTTTGTGTGAGAAAAGAGAAGAAGTAAGAATAAACACACATAGACACATCTATGTACCTATTTATACAGGCAGATATTTTCAAACAGTAACGCTGGAATAATAAACTAGAAACTAATCAAAATAGTTAACTCAGGGGGTGGGGAGGGAAGTGAGAAGGCAGGAATAGAAGAGAGACTTCTGAGTATGCCCTTTTATATCGTTTTGGCTTTTGAAACATGTAAATGTTCTACCCATTATTTAAAATTATTATTATTATTATTATTTTGAGACGAAGTCTTGCTCTGTCGCCAGGCTGGAGAGCAGTGGTACAATCTCGGCTCACTGCAATCTCTGCCTCCCAGGTTCAAGGAATTTTCCTGCCTCAGCCTCCAGAGTAGCTGGTACTACAGGCACGCACCACCACACCCGGCTAATTTTTTGTATTTTAGTAGAGACGGAGTTTCACCATGTTGGCTAGGGTGGTCTCGATCTCCTGACCCTGTGATCCACCTGCCTCGGACTCCCAAAGTGCTGGGATTACAGGCATGAGCCACCGTGCCCGGCCAATATATTATTATTTTTTTAAAGGCAGGGTCTGACTCTGTTGCCCAAGCTGGAGTGCAGTGGCATAATTATAGTTCACTGTAATCTCAAACTCCTGGGCTCAAGTGATCCTCCTGCCTCAGCCTCCTTACTAGCTAGGACTACAGGTGCATATCACAATGGCCGGTTATTTTTTTTAAATTATTTTTTGTAGAGATGGGGTCTTGTTATGTTGTCCAGGCTACTCTTGAATTCCTGACCGAACAATCCTCCTGCTTTGGCCTCCCAAAGTGCTGGGAATACAGGCATGAGCTGCTGAGCCTGGCCAAATTAAAACCTAACTTAAATATTTTTTAAAAATCCCAAAATTGAAAACAAATTTGAGCAAATGAACCTAATTCTATGTCAAGTAGTATCACTACACAGAGAAAATATTTACTTTATGTGATAATTTTAATATTGAATTATGGTATATCCTTATAGGTACATATTCTAAGATAAAAAGAATTGCAAATACATTTTTTTTTTTTTTTTGGACGGAGTCTCACTCTGCTGCCAGGCTGGAGTGCAGTGGCGAAATCTCGGCTCATTGCAACTTCCACCTCCCGGGTTCAAGCGATACTCCTGCCTCAGCCTCGTGAGTAGCTGGGATAATAGGTGCCTGCCACCACGCCCGGCTAATTTTTGTATTTTTAGTAGAGATGGGGTTTTACCATCTTGGCCAGGATGGTCTCGATTTCTTGACCTCGTGATCCGCCCACCTTGGCCTTCCGAAGTGCTGGGATTACAGGCATGAGCCACTGCCCCCGGCCATATCTTGTATATCTTATCTTGTATATCTAAAAATAAACTTTTACATTTTAATTAGAAATATAAATAATAAAAGAAAAACAGAAAATGAATGAGACCAAAAGCTGTTTTTTGAAAAGATCAATAAAATTAAAAAATTATAAAGTTAGTAAGAGAAATAAGATCAATAAAATTGAATTTTTCCATTTCGTCTGTGTTAACACATATATTGGAATAAAGCTGTTCATAGTATCTCCTTACTAGCCTTTTTTGTGTGTGTTTTTAAGACAAGGTCTTGCTCTGTCACCCAGGCTGGAGTGCAGTGGCATGATCTCAGCTCACTGCAACCTCTGCTTCATGGGCTCAAGTGATTCTCCTGCCTCAGCCTCCAGAGTAGCTGGGACTACAGGCACAAGCCACCACGTCTGGCTAATTTTGTTTATTTTTTGTAGAGACAAGGTGTCCCTATGTTGCCCAGGCTGGTCTCTCGAACTTCTGGCCTCAAGTGATCCTCCCACCTCGGCCTCCCAAAGTGCTTGGATTATAGGTGTGAGCCACCACACCTGCTTAACTAGCCAGGATGTCTGTGTTACCATAGATGTCTGTAGGCTCTATGGTGGTGAACCCTCCTTAATCTCTGATACTGGTATTTTTTTTTTTTTTTGAGATGGAGTCTCACCCCGTGGCCCAGGCTGGAGTGCAGTGGTGCGATCTCAGCTCACTGCAACCTCTGCCTCCTGGATTCCAGCGATTCTCCTGCCTCAGCCTCCCGAGTAGCTGGGACTACAGGGGCACACCACCACGTCCAGCTAATTTTTGTATTTTTGTAGAGACAGGGTTTCATCATGTTTGCTAGGATAGTCTGGATCTCTTGACCTCGTGATCCGCCCACCTTGGCCTCCCAAAATGCTGGGAATACAGGCATGAGCCACCACACCTGGCCAATACTGGTATTTTTTTTATCTTCTCTTGCTTTTTCTCTTTCTTTTTTTTTTTTAATCATTCTAGTGCATTATTTTTTTTCCCAGAAGCAAGGAGATCCTCAAATACTAATGGAGGCTTTAGAAAAGAGCTTGTCGTTTAAAAAGAAAAAAAGAAAAAAGGTTAATGAAAGCATATTGAAAAGATAAATGAACTAGATTGAAGCGGCTCCCACTGATTAAATTTGTGATTATTTGAGCATAAAAAATAATGAATATAATTAAGCAAAACACATGAAATAAGAAAAAAATACACCAAAAGCCCCAAACCAAACCAAATCTTATTTCTCAACATAAGAGGTAATTAGTATACATATTCCTAATTCTGAAAATTGGTTGTTAAAGGAGATGATCTAAGCAACTTTTTTGCCTTCTCCATAGGAATCGTATTTCAGGGATAATAAAATGGTCTTAGCTGAAAAGGAAACTCTTCTTTTCTGAAGACTGCCTGCTAATAAATGGAGAAGAAATAATAAAATTGGAACAATCCCCAGGCCAGGCGTGGTGGTTCACGCCTGTAATCCCAGCACTTTGGGAGGCCGAGATGGGCGGATCACTTGAGGTCAGGAGTTCGAGATCAGCCTGGTCAACATGGTGAAACCTCGTCTCTACTAAAAATGCAAGAATTAATCCCGGCTACTCGGGAGGCTGAGGCAGGAGAATCGCTTGAACTCGGGAGGGGGAGGTTGTAGTGAGCTGAGATCACGCCACTGAACTCCAGCCTGGCAAACAGAGTGAAACTTGGTCTCAAAAAAAAAAAAAAAAAATTTGTAACAATCCCCATTTTGCTACCTTCAGTGAAATAATTGATTCAGACGAAAATTATCAATGAGTGTTAAAACCACTACACAAAACCATGACATCTCCCCTACATCATGGAAACTGGATGTTCCCATGGCACTAAGTATGACTCCACAGATAACTCCCTGATTGAAAAGTAAAAACTGTTAACGTTGTGATAAAAAAGATTTAGGGTGTAGGGAAAAATTGTGAAAGACTTTGAAATGGATCAAAGATTCTATTCTTCAATGGAAGATAGGTGTTGTCCAGGTTATCTGATTCCATTGGGACTCTGGGCCTTTTATTATTTTTGAGCTATTTTTCAAGCCTGTAAGTTCTAGAATATTGAGAACACTGCAAATGATTCATGTCCTTAGAAAAATGGAAATTGTCTAGTAGAGGTGCAGTTGATTGTTGCCCTATGGACATTGACCAATTTGAGCAAATTCATTTTAACTTTTATTCAGCCTGTATATGTGTCTGCTCTTTGGATTTTCCTCTAGACCAGTTGTAATATCTTACTGGTTTCCTCAGTAATTAATGAGCTAAATAACATCTTTGGTACATGTTCATTTTGTATTTGTTTGAGAGTCCTGAGCTTACCCTTTTTTTTCCCAGCTAAGTTTGCTAAGGATTACCCTTAACAAAAATTGTCCTTTAACAAGCAAAAAACACCTTAATTCAGTGAACAAAGTTAGCATCATTAATAATAGACACATTTTTAAAATGTGCCTCCTGGCTGGGCACAGTGGCTCACGCCTGTAATCCCAGCACTTTGGGAGGCGGAGGTTGGTGGATCACCTGAGGTCGGGAGTTCGAGACCAGCCTGACCAACCTGATGAAACCCCGTATGTACTAAATTAAAAAATTAACTGGGAGTGGTGGCACCCGCCTGTAATCCCAGCTACTTGGGAGGCTGAGGCAGGAGAATTGCTTGAACCTGGGAGGCGGAGTTTGCAGTGAGCCGAGATTGTGCCATTGCACTCCAGGCTGGGCAACAAGAGCAAAACTCCTTCTCAAAAACAAACAAAAAAAAAGTGCCTCCTGATGTGATATATATAAAGCATACATCACCTGTGTAGTATTCTTAATCAAGCTTTTAGATCTAACTTCCTCTTTACAAATTAACTGCAAGAAGAGAAACAATCTGAGTGTTATGACACAGAAATAATTATACAAAGTTAGAATGTGAGACATGCTACAAAATATTTGATCATTCTCTTCCAAAAGTCAATGTCATCAAATAAGAAAAAAGGTCTGGTCAGGTGCGGTGGCTCACGCCTGTAATCCCAGCACTTTGGGAGGCCGAGGCGGGCAGATCACCTGAGGTCAGGAGTTCGAGACCAGCCTGGCCAACATGGCGAAACCCCGTCTTTACTAAAAGTAAAATCCCAGCTACTCAGGAGGCTGAGGCGGGAGAATCGCTTGAACCCAGGAGGTGGAGGTTGCAGTGACCTGAGATCGCACCACTGCACTCCAGCCTGGGCTACAAGAGCAAGACTCTGCCTCAGAAAAAAAAAAGAAAAATGAAGGTCTAAATTTTAAAAGGCTGAAGAGATGTAAGTTCAAGACAGTCAATGATCCTTGACTGAATTCTTACTGTTAAAAAAGAAAGAAAGAAAGAAACAGCGATAAAAGGTAATTTTTTTTTTTAATCTGTCACGCAGGCTGGAGTGTAGTGGCTATCTCAGTTTACTGCAAGCTCCACCTCCTGGGTTCATGCCATTCTCCTGCTTTAGACTCCTGAGTAGCTGAGATTACAGGCACCCGCCACCATGCCTGGCTAATTTTTTTGTATTTTTAGTAGAGACGGGTTTTCACCATGTTAGCCAGGTTGGTCTCAATCTCCTGACCTCGTGATCCGCCCACCTCAGCCTCCCAAAGTGCTGGGATTACAGGCATGAGCCACCATGCCTGGCCTTACAAAAGGCAATTTTTAAGCAATTGAAGACATTTGCAAAGGAAATCGGTATTAGGTAATAGTAAGAAATTATTGCTCATTTTCTTACATTTATAGTATTGTTGTGGATACATAGGAGAAAGTTATTTATTTAGAGATTGCTATGGTCTGAATGTTTGTGTCTCCCCAAAATTTATATGTTGAAATCCTAAACCCCAGTGTGATGGTGTGAGGAAGTGAGGTTGTTGGGAGGTGATTTGGCCATGAATACTCCACACTATAAGGGATTAGTACCTTTATAAGAGACTCCAGAGAGCTCCCTTTCCCTTTCTACCATGTGAAGACACAGCAAAGAGATGGCTCTCTATGAAACAGGAAGAAGGCACTCACCGAATCTTCTTGATCTTGGATTTCCCAGCCACCAGAACTGTGAGAAATAAATTTCTGTTGTGTATAAGCCATACAATCTATAGTATTCTGCTAGAGCAGTGCAAAGGAACTAAGAAAGAAAAAAAATTTTTTTTTTAAGACAGAGTCTCCCTCTGTCACCCAAGCTGGAGTACAGTGGTGCGATCTCAACTCACTGCAACCTCCACCTCCCGGGTTCAAGCAATTCTCCTGTCTTAGCCTCCCAAGTAGCTGGGATCACAGGCGTGCGCCATCACTCCTGGTGAACTAAGACAGAGATTAATGCTAAAGTTTTCAGAAGTGAAGTATCACGATATCTGTACTTTAACACAGTGCAGAAATGAAGCAAATGTGGCAAAAGGTTAATGATTTTTCAAACTAGTTGGTAAGTACAAGGATGTTCAGTTTCCTGTTCTTTCTGCTTTGTTTTCTCTTTTGTTGTTTTTTTTTTTTTTTTTAGAGATGGGGTTTTACGATGTGGCCCAGGCTGGAGTACAGTGGCTATTCAAAGACTCAACTGAGTCTAGCTCACTGCAGACTGCATAGCACACTGCAGCATTGAATTCCTGGGCTCAAGTGGGCCTCCTGCCTCAGCCTCCTGAGTAGCTGGGACTAACTTTGCTCTATTTTTGAAATACCCATAATAAATAATGAGAATAAAATGAATCTTTATGTATGGAAGCTCCATGGACATCTCATTGAAAACAACATTGACTTACAAAGGTAGCTTCATTCATATTTGTTTCCTTTTTTTTTATTCACCCTTCATAATACCCCAATTTCATAATGGAACTTTATGAAAATTAATGGTGATCAGACCGGGCACAGTGGGTGGCTCACGCCTGTAATCCCAGCACTTTGGGAGGCTGAGGCAGCGGATCACTTGAGGTCAGGAGTTTGAGACCAGCCTGGCCAACATGGTGAAACCCCATATCTACTAAAAATACAAAAATTAGCAAGGTGTGGTGGCAGGTGCCTATAATCCCAGCTACTGGAGGGGGCTGAGGCAGGAGAATCGCTTGAACCCGGGAGGCGGAGGTTGCAGTGAGCCAAGGTTGCACCACTGCGCTTCAGCCTGGGTGACAGAGACAGACTCTATCTCAAACAAAACAAAACAAACAAAAAAGAAAATGAATGGTGATCAACTCATAATGATATAATAATCTGTATTCAATTTCATTAATAACTTTTAAGTGATACGCCCATCTAACAGCAACCTAGTGACAGGAGTGGCCATGGTCTATTAATTCCTGAGTATCAAATAATTAAATGAAAATTCAATATTTTTGTTTGTTTTCTTTTTACTTTTCCATGAGCTTTCAACTCTGAAAAAACATTCTATTAAATTAGACAAAACCTATGTATGTAAAAAAGTTCAAGTGGACTGCTCCCCAGAGTCAAATAAGTCATATATGGCCCTGGGGCCCAGGGTATTTTTCAACCACATAATTGTAATAGACAGAAATATAGGCACTGGAAGATCAAATCTTATAGCTAGTGGCAGAATTGAAACCAGAATATTTAGGTATTCTGAATACCAGGTATATTTATTACTCAGTGGCCCTCAACAGGTGGGCCCCCACCTAGGGAACACTTGGACATGTGTTATAGATGGGAATGTTTTGGGTTGTCATAATGACTGAGAGTTGCTTATGGCAATTAGTACCTAGAGGCTATGGATGCTAAAAGTGAGGCAATTTCAGAGAAAGTCTCACACAATAAAAAACGAAACAAAACAAACTGTCCTAATTCAAATGCCACTAACTCAACTTCCCCCATCACATCACCACACACTGAGAAATTGCTACCCAAATACAACTTAATGTCAATTTGGCTGATTAAAGGCATAATGTAATAATGAAGAAAATTCAAAACAGACAGACAAAAGACAATTTCTTTTTAGGCATTGATATTTTTAAGAATCAAATTTCACCAGGCACAGTGGCTCATGCCTGTAATGCCAGCACTTTGGGAGGCCGAGGCAGGTGGATCGCCCAAGCTTGGGAGTTTGAGACCAGCCTGGCCAGCATGGTGAAACCCCATCTCTACTAAAAATACAAAAATTAGCCGGGCGTGGTGGCAGGCGCCTGTAATCCCAGCTACTTGGGAAGCTGAGGCAGGAGAATCGCTTGAACCCGGGAGGCAGAGATTGCAGTGAGCCGAGATCGTACCACTGCACCTCCAGCCTGGGCAACAGAGTGGGACTCCATGTCAAAAAAAAAAAGAATCAAATTTCATTCCCACTGATAGTTGTTTCCTGTTTGTGTTAAACTTTACTTGGATTTTTAAGTCAAACATCAATGAAAGAATTATGACATCCTGAAGTACACTGAAGAAATCTTGAGATTAAAACTAATTCACATGAAACTTACATGTTGGCATAAGCTGAGAACCAAAATTAAAATGAACTGAACTAATTTACTAAGGAGCAAAAGCAATAAAACAAACAAAAGCAAAATTTTAAAAACCAATATAGTGAGCTCATTTGACTTGAAAGTGAAACTCCTTTTGTTTTCCAAACTCAGCGAACTGGAAGGGAAAAAAGAACCATAATATACTCAAAGCAAACCAATATTTAATTCTTTTCAAGACCATCTCAGTGAACAATATGTGTCAAAGAGCTGTGGTTAATTGAAATCCCTGACTGTACTGTATATTGCAGACCTCAGTACTTTTTTTTTTTTTTTTTTTTTTTTTTTAAACAAGGTCTCTTTCTATTGCCTAGGTTCCAGGCTGCAGCCTCACCCTCCCAGGATTAAACAATCCTCTCACCTCAGCCTCCTGAGCAGCTGGGACTACAGGTGCATGCCACCACGCCTGACTAATTTTTAAACTTTTTTGTGGAGACAGGGTCTCACTATGTTACCCAGATTGGTCTCGAAACTCCTAGGCTCAAGTGATCCTCCCACCTCAGCCTCCGAAAGTTCTGGGATTACAGGCATGAGCCACTGCACCTGGCCTTCTTTACTCTTAATAGTAATATAGCTATCACCTTTTGCTCTTATCTTGCCAACCAGTGTTTAGCAGATATACTTTAACTGATTTTAGAGGTAAATATATGGAAACAGAGAATGCATAAAATGTTACAGAATACACTTTGTGGTCCTGAAATGCTGTGGGATATCCATTAATTTAACTCTTGCCTGAGTACCTGCTATGTGCCAGATTCTATCCAGCACTGTGGTAGGTACTAGAAATAAAGTGTCTTTCTTTTCTTTTTTCTTTTTTTTTTTTTGGAGACAGAGTTTTGCCCTTGTCCCTCAGGCTGGAGTGCAATGGCGCGTTCTCTGCTCACTGCAACCTCCACCTCCTTGGTTCAAGCGATTCTCGAGCCTCAGCCTCCCGAGTAGCTGGGATTACAGGCGCCTGCAACCACGCCCGGCTAATTTTTGTATTTTTAGTAGAGACGGGGTTTCACCATGTTGGGTTTCACAATATTGGCCAGGCGCAGTGGCTCAAGCCTGTAATCCCAGCACTTTGAGATTACAGGCCAAGGCGGGCGAATCACCTGAGGTCAGGAGTTCGAGACCAGCCTGGCCAACACGGTGAAACCCCGTCCCTACTAAAAATACAAAAAACTGGCGCAGGCAGTGCTCGCGGCAGCAGCGGCGGCGGTGGGAGGTTCGGTTGTCGCCCGTTGACACTCGGCGGCCGCCATTGCAATTTGTTTTCACTTGCTTTTTAAAGACAGAAAGCTCATGGTGCAAATTGTTATTTCCTGGGAATCCCTGCGCTGATCGTGTGGCATCATATCCTGAATGGGAAAATCATCCCCCCCGGAGAAAGCTTTTGCAGTCCCTGTCAAACACACTCCTGGATATCAGGACTGTGATGAGCTTGGCCGCAAGACTGGCACTTGGTACCTGGTGAGAGCACTCATCAAAGACAAGATCCTTTTCAAAACCTGCCCCAAGCCCATTATCACCAACGTCCCCAAGAAAGTATGAAAGAGCTCGGATTTTCCCTAGAGAGCGGCCAACTCCTTGGACTGGTGCTCCGCTGCCACCTCAAGGATGGCTGGACGGTTCCCTGGGACGACAGGGGGGTCCTGTTCTGAACACAGGCCACCCACTGGGTGTGAACTCGGATCCCTTCCTTATGGCGGCTGGTTTTCTTGGTGGAAATCTGGCCCCATTTCCAAGGAACTCATCTCCTTTTCCAGCTTCATCAGGCTCATTGGCTTCAAATCCAGCACCTTTCCCGGCTGGTGCTCGTGACCCAAGCATGGCTTCTTTTCCAAGAGGGATGAATCCCACTGGCACAGGTGCAGTTTCTTTCCCAAGGCCTGGTGGCTTCTTGGGGCCAGGCCCGGGACGAGGCCCCACCCTAAACCCTAGGACAGGGGCTCTTCCAGGCCTGGGGCCTCTGTCTAATCCCAGGTTAGGGGGTCTCCCAGGACCAGGTCCTATATCCAACCTAAGGGCAGGTAGTCTCCTGGGAGCAGGTCCTGACCCCAGAAGTGGTGGTCCCATGGGCCCTGGATCTGGACCTAACCTGAGAGCAGGTGTTCTGTTGACTTCTGGGAATGGTCCTCCCAATCCTTGGCCAGTTGGCCTGGGCCCAGGACCAAACCCCAATCTGAGATCAGGCTTTTTAGGGACAAACCCTGCCCCCACGTTAGGTGTGTTTCCAAGACCAAGTGGCCTGGGCCTGGGCCGTAATCTAGATGCCAGAGCAGGTGGCCTCTTGGGCACAGGACCTGGTCTTAAGAATAGCTGGACCTCAAGGCCTCGATCTTTTCCCCATTCTAAGAGCGGCAGGTCTTTTAGGAGCAAATTCAGCTTGTCACAGGCTTCTGGAAACATGGGCACAAGCCCGTCTTCCATGGCAAGAGTACCTGGCCCCATGGGTCCAAACTTGGGTCCTGGCCCTCGGGAAATTGGCCTTCCAGGGCCAAATCCATCTCCCATGTCAAGGGCTCCTGGCCCCATAGGCCCTAATTCAGCTCATTTCTCAAGGCCAGGGGGCCCCATGGGGGTAAATGCCAATCCCTTTCCCAGGGGAGCGGGTTCATCTGCCTTCTCTCAGTCTTCTGGCACATTGGCATCAAACCCAGCTATCTTCCAAAGGTCTGCTGGCCTCCAGGGCTCAAATCCAACAGTTTTCCCAAGAGCCTCTGGGCCACTTGGCCCCAACCCAGCTAACTTCCCAAGGGCCGCTGGCCTGCAGGGTCCAAGTCTGACTACCTTCCCAAGGTCTACTGGCCCATTAGGCTCTGGTCAAGTTACTTTCTCCAGGTCAGCTGCCGGGCACCTGGGCTCTTCTCCAGCAGGCCCTGTGGGTACCAACCCAGCTCCTTTCGCAAGGCCAACTGGGACCCTGGGTCTCAACCCGGCTTCCTTTCCAAGGATGAATGGCCCTGCAGGCAAGAGTTTGGTCCCATTTCCTAGAGTGGGGAGCCTCCCTGGCACAAACCCAGCTGCTTTCCCCAGACCAGGGGGTCCAATGGCTGCAGTGTACCCAAATGGAATGTTACCCCCTTAAACACCTTTTTCCCTCCAGGACCACCTTAGTTTCTAGGCACTGTGGTTCTCAGCAGTGGCTGTCTCTTAGGTAAAAGGGTGGAGCTACAGTCTGAAGAACATAGCTGGGGCTCAAGTTCAAATGAGCCATCTTTTTCCTCTGCGTTTTTCTTGACTGAAGGTGAGCTGTTATTTGTGGCACATGAACTGTGGCAGGTGAGAATAATCCTGGCCTTGAGAGAAAGGATCTCCAGCCTCCCAGAAGCCTGCTGTGCTTTCATCCCACAGCTTTCTGCCCATTGTTTCTTACTAGTTTCTTGAATTGTTCTTGTGAACTTTTCCCCAGGGATACATTGGCCTACGGGTCCCAGTTCACATGTAGTCCCCTGCTCACCGTTGGAGAATCAGCTCACTGCTCTCTAGAAACGTGGCATTGGTGAACTGACCATTCTTCCATAGCTCTGACCTGGGCAGCTTGGAACTGGTCATCCTCAACTGCCATACCTTTCCCTGGGGGCTTGAACACAGAACAGGGAGATGGACAACCACTTCAAAGACCCACCAAATGCAGTTTCTGCTTGACTGACTGGGCCTGTAGCTCCCTTCTCCTGGGACTTAGGAGTAGCCGGATTTAAGGCTCCTCTACCCATCCAGCTCCCTCTTCACTGGTACTCCCAATCAAAGAACCTCAAAATTTAAACTGATGTGGATGGGTATATGGGAATTGGGGTGAGGGTGGGGGAAGGAAGGGAAGAAATCACTGTGCTTCGTTCAGCCTGGTGTGAAAGGATGGTTGGTGGTTTTCCTGCGTTGTATCTTTTCTTACTGTTTCTTTAATAAATGGGATGAGAGGGCAAAAGAAAAAAAAAAACACTTAGCCAGGCATAGTGGTGCACGCCTGTAATCTCAGCTACTCGGGAGGCTGAGGCAAGAGAATTGCTTGAACCCAGGAGGCAAAGGTTTCAGTGAGCCAAGATTGTGCCACTGCACTCCAGCCTGGGTGATACAATAAGACTCTGTCACAAAAAAAATAAAAAATAAAAAATAAAAATAAAAATAAATAAATAAAAATAAAAATAAATAAATCAGCATATCATGGTGGATCACAGACCACATTCTGGTCTCAGGGAGATCTGGGTTCAAATCCAGCTCTACCAGCTCATGACTATGAGTTATAGCCAGATAAAAATAGAAGATACAGGATAAAATAGAATATTTAAGGAATTCAGAGCCCAATTAGAGGTAAAGAGAGTTTAGTCTGCCACTTGAGTAGGGTTGCAGATTTCTAGTTAACCCAATCAGGTAACTAAAACTTTATAGCTAAAAGGTATGGCCTTATGCCCTCCCATGAGCAAAGTGGCTATTTTTTAAAAAAGGGGGTTCCTCACTTTTGCTATGAATAAAATTATTGTGACTAATTTTGTAAGAAAAATATGATATGGTTCATTAGTTTTTTAAAACCAAGTTTATTGACATAACAATAAACTGCCTCTATTTAAAGCATAAATTTTAGGTCCAGGAGCGGTGGCTCAAGCCTGTAATCCTAGCACTTTGGGAAGCTGAGGCAGGTGGATCTCCTGAGATATGGAGTTTGAGACCAGCCTGGTCAACATGGCTAAAAACCATCTCTACTAAAAATACAAAACTTAGCCTGGTGTGGTGGCACGTGCCTGTAGTCCCAGCTACTTGGGAGGCTGAGGCAGGAGAATTGCTTGAACCTGGGGGGTGGAGGTTTCAGTGAGCCAAGATCGTGCCACTTCACTCCAACCTGGGCAACAGAGCGAGACTCCAACTCAAGAAAAAAGAAAGTGTAAGTTTTGATATATGTATATACTCTTAAATTCATGTCTGCCCTCAAGGTAATGAACATGTCTATCCCCCTATGGTGGTCTCTCTCTTCTCCTTGAACCCCCATCTGCTTTCTGTCACTACAGATTAGTTTGCATTTTCTAGAATTTAATATAAAAGGAATTAAGTGGTGTGGATTCCTTTTTGATTGGTCTCTTCCATGTAGCATAATGATTTTGAGATTCATCCCTGTTGCAGTGTGTATCAGTAGTTCTTTCTTTTTTATTGCTGAGTAATATTCCATTGTATCAGTACATCACAATTTGTCTGTTGATCTGTTGATGGACATTCGGTTTGTATGCAGTTTTGGGCTATTACAAAGAAAGCTGCTATGAACATTCATGTAAAAAAAAAAGCAGGGGTTTCCTGTGTACCCTGTGACTAAGATAGAATAATTCAGGAAGCATGAGTCTCTTAAATCCTATGTCTGGGTCTTGAATTTCTAACTATACAAACACATCCTGAGGGGAAAAGCCACCTTCTGACTTCAGCTCAATTTACCTGATATAGTAAATCTACTACCCTTATTTGGGTAAGTGACTTTTCAACCCTGGGGAGAATTTAGAATGATATGATGAAGTAAATAGCCATAGTAGAAACACTTTTTATAAATTAAAAACAATTTCTTTGTAATGTTTAAGAGAATCTAGCATTTTAGGAAATCTGTTAGATTAGCCTTCAGCAATTGATTTTGACTTGTAATTTCACATAGATAAGTATAAGAGATTTTCACAAGCATATTAACAGTATTGAAATGTTTATGAAAGCTCAAGATTCAACAAATTTATAGGCTTAATTTATTATCTTCACCAGAGTCATTTAACCAACTGGTAGAATTTTGTTTGTTAGGATTATACTTACGCCTTGTCAGGCAATTGAAGGGCTCGAAAAGTTCAAATATATTAAATTTATGAGTGTAGTTTAAAAAGGGGAAATAAATAAGTTTATAAATTGGATTGTTTAAAGTGATTTTAATCTGCTTGAACTGTGTTGACTATTAATCAAAGAATAAATGAAAGTAATTGCTCTTATTTTATACAATTACAAGATTTATAAATAGCATAACTAATAATATTCATAAATTGTGTTTAACACTTTAAAAAAACTAAATGTGCAAGTTAGAAATTGCATATTATTATAAAACCCAAGTAACTATAGGTAGTCCAAGAAACCCCTAGTTATGTCACCTTTGGATGAGCTTCAGTAGCCTCATCTGGAAAATTTCTAGAGTGTTTGTGGAGACAATTAAATAAGATAATATGTCCAAATCACTTAGTCCAGTATCTCTCATAAGGTTTCACTTGACAGATCATTCTACATTTAAAAGCCTTCAAAAATATGAATGTAGGCTGGATGCGGTAGCTCATGCCTGTAATTCCAGCACTTTGGGATGCCGAGGTGGGCGGATGACTTGAGGTCAGGAGTTCGAGACCAGCCTGGCCAACATGGTGGAACCCCATCTCTACTAAAATTACAAAAAAAATTAGCTGAGCATGGTGGCGAGGGCCTATGATCCCAGCTACTCAGGAGGCTGAGGCAGGAGAATTGCTTGAACCCGGGAGGCAGAGGTTGCAGTGAACAGAGATCACACCACTGCACTCCAGCCTGGGCAACAGAGGGAGACTCCATCTCAAAAAAAAAAAAAAAAAAAAGAGAAAGAAAGAAAGAAAGGATTTAAATATGTGGATTCACCATCAGGTAGAAGAGGAGCCAAATGCATTCTGTAATGACCTGGAGAATGGAGCTGGTAATACCATGAAGATGGAGACTACAACAATACAGGTCCACAGATGCTGGGTACTTAACTACGTTCCAGGCACTGTAATTAGTGCTTTACATAGATTATTTCATTTATTTGTCGCAATGTACTGGTATCATTGGGGTTTGATCAGAGAAGCAGAACCACTGTGAGTTAAATAAGAAATTTAGCTTACAGATCAGACCTTACGAATATTGAGAGCTGTGTAGTTTGTGTATAGCTCTTGCTTCTGCATCGGATTTTCGGCCTGAAGTCAGCATCTGCAGGAGTTGGGAAGGGAAAATGGGTGTAAAGTGGAAGATAGCAAGAAAGAGCTGAAACTCACATCTGTCTCTCATCAGAACTTACATTGGTCACATTGGTATCACATTGGAATCTTCGTCGGTCTCTCACTGTCTCTAAGCCTCCGACTTTAAAGATGCCAGTGACCTGTAGAGGAGCTGGCACACTTCACCACAGAACTTCACACAGAGTTGGCCCAGGATCCAGAGATACTGAAGAAGAGCTGGCCAGGGCTGGAAGAGCTGCAGGCCCAGTTGGTGCCCTACATGAATAATGCAAACCAGATCTGTGCTGATGTAGGGAAACTACAACAGCAGTGGCCCTATACCCTACTTCCTGCCTTACTTCTGCCCTCCAGTTTCCCCTGTGGTCAACTCTAACCCAGCACCAAACAAGGAAGGGAATTCTGGGAATCTTAGTTCCAACTTAGCTAAATTGATACAATGCAAAGCTACGGTTATCCCCATTTTACAGAGAAACAAACTGGCTTAGAAGGTTAAATAACTTGCACAAGAGCACACAGATGGTAAGTGGGAGAGCAGGAACATGAACAAAGACAGTCTGGCTCAGAACCGGAATCTTGACCACTGCCCTCTACTGCCTTTCCCTAATGCGTGAAAATTAGAAGAAAGCAGCCAGACTCGGTGACTCAGGCCTGTAATCCCAGCACTTTGGGAGGCCAAGGCAGGTGGATCACCTGAGGTCAGGTGTTCGAGACCAGCCTGGCCAACATGGCAAAGCCCCATCTCTACTAAAAATACAAAAACTTAGCTGGGCATAGTGGCATGCACCTGTAATACCAGCTACTCGGGAGGCTGAGGCAGAAGAATCACTTGAACCCAGGAGGCGAAGGTTGCACTGAACCAAGATTATGTCACTGCACTCCAGCCTGGGCAACAGAGCAAGACTCTGTCAAAAAAAAAAAAGAAAGAAAGAGAAAGAAAGAAAGAAGAAAGAAAGAAAGAAGGAAAGAAAGAAAGAAGGAAAGAAAAAGAAAGAAAAAGAAAGAAAGAAAGAAAGAAAGAAAGAAAGAAAGAAAGAAAGAAGGAAAGAAAGAAAGAAAAAAGAAGGAAAGAAGGAAAGAAACAGAAAGGAAGAAGGAAAGAAAGAAAACGAAATTTAGAAGAAAGCAAGTTTCAGCTCAATGGCAAAATGATCAGTTTAGCAGTATGAGCTAGCCCACGGTGGAACAAGCTGCTTTGCAAAGCAGAGGGTTCCCTGTCCTAGATGATGCTCAAACACAGGCTGGGTGGCCATCTGTCAGAGATATTACACAAGAGGGTACCCACTGGGAGGGAGAATGAACTATGTGGCTACTCACAGCACTTTCAACTCCAAGATTCTACGTTTCTAGAACATATAGTTCAGGGAAAGGGCTGGAACTCACAGCGTACAAGGAACATAACAGAAGGGACGGAGAAGACAGAAATGCTCAAGGGTGGGCTGGAAAGAGACTTAGCCAAGCTGTGCCAAACGGTGCCAAAATTCACTGTGAGAAAAATAAAAATTATAGTCAACCCAAGAATTGTTTTTCACACACATGGTACCACATTAAAAAAAGAAAAAAAAACTCTTTAGTGGTGTTTTTTTTTTAATTCCATTAATTGACTTGATCTCACTGAATTGACAGGCCATTTTTGTTGTTGTGTAGGTGTGATCTTTAAAAGACCTGTGGAAAGACTGCAAATTAAGACATGCTATCCATTGACTCTTTAAAATGAAAGTTTAATCAATTGAGGGCATGACAAAAAGTTTGAAGCAAATATCCAGATACTTCAGAGAATGGCTTAGAAAAGAATTTTCACATTTGAATCTCTGCCAACATAAACACATAATAGTGAACCTTATGTCTCGGTTACAGTTTAAAAAATTAAAAGAAAAAGGCAGTGACTACTCCAATGTTTCTGTAGCTGATGCATCCTAATAGCATCTTTCCAAAGCAGATATTACAATAATTTTCTTTTCTCCCCTCAAATTCTACACAAGCTGGTTCACCAGCTATACACATTGGAGGTCATGAAAAATCAAGGTAAAGTTGTTAGATGAAATTGACTTCTCACCAAAAAAATTGCAAATCTGTAAAGTTTATGGAATAATAAAATCTTAAAGCCAATAGATATAAATGAAATCCCATGAGAAAGGTTATTGCAAGCCGGGCGTGGTGGTTCACACCTGTAATCCCAGCACTTTGGGAGGCTGAGGTGGGTGGATCACGAGGTCAAGAGATTGAGACCATCCTGGCCAACATGGTGAAACTCTGTCTCTACCAAAAATACAAAAATTAGCCAGGCGTGGCAGCACGTGCCTGTAATCCCAGCTACTCAGGAGGCTGAGGCAGGAGAATCGCTTGAACCCGGGAGGCAAAGGTTGCAGTGAGCCAAGATAGAGCCACTGCACTACAGCCTGGCGACAGAGCAAGACTCCACCTCAAAAAAGAAAAAAAGAAAGATTATTGCAGTGTAGCAGATGTCTCTCTCCACCCTTCTCTGCCTGCTCTCTACCCAGGTGGCTGACTTGAATGGAGCACAATTAGTGGGCATCATTGTTCTCTGGTTTCCAGTGGGGTTTAGCCAATGCGCAGTCCCAGAAGATCAGAGGGAGGAAAGAGAGTCAAGTTATGGTATTTATTCTCCTAGCATTCTCCGTTCAAGGTCACCTTAGGCAACAGAAGATAGTGTTATTTATTTATTTATTTATTTATTTATTTTCGAGACAGAGTCTTACTCTGTTGCCCAGGTTGGATTGTAGTGGCGATCTTGGCTCACTGCAACCTCCACCTCCTGGGTTCAAGTGATTCTCCTGCCTCAGCCTCCCAAGTAACTGGGATTACAGGCATGAGCCACCACGCCCAGCTAATTTTTGTATTTTTAGTAGAGATGGGGTTTCACCATGTTGGTCAGGCTGGTCTCGAACTCCTGACCTCAGGTGATCCGCCCCCCTTGGCCTCCCAAAGTGCTGGGATTACAGGCGTGAGCCACCACACCTGGCCAGATAGTGTTGTCCTTAAGGCATCTCTCTCTCTCTCCACCTCTCTCTCTTTCTCATCCCATTGTTAGTATAAACGGTAAAGGCCCTCCACTGTTAAGAGACTCAGGGGACTACACTCTCCTCTGTGGCCTCCCTACTCCCTGCCCCACACCTTTGTAAGCAGTCGGTTATTAAACCCTCCTCAAATTATGTTAATTAGAGAATGCCTTCTGTTTCTTGCTGGGCCCCTGACTGATACACACAGAATTATTAAAATACTAGTAATTGTCAGATCTCAGCATTAGTGCTATGTCCACCATTTTCAGAAAGTTAGATTCTCACATTTCTTTTTTTAATGTCTCTTAAACATTTTTTCACAAAGATTCTCACATTTCTATTTCTGAAAATTCTAATTATGAGTGAGACGGTTACACCTAGAGTTTGGTGTTGTTAATATTTCACACTCTGGAGCCAGAATGCCTGGGTTGAATCTCAGCTCTAACACATACTAGTTCTGTAATTTGGGCAAATCATCTAACCCAGTGATTCTCAACCTGGGGGTAGTTTTGCCCCTCAGGGAACATTTGGCAATGTCTGCAGACATTTGGATTGTCACAACTGGGGTGGAGAGGTGTTGTTATGGCACCTAGTCATGGATAGACAACAGAGATGTTGCTAAACATCATACAAATGCACAGGACAGCCCCCCACCACAAAGAATTACATGGTCTGAAATGTTAATAGTGCCAATAGGTTGAGAAACCCTGATGTGACCCTTCTGTGCCTCCATTTCCTAATCTATAAAGTGCAGTTAACATTAGCACATACCTCATGGGATTGTCTGAGGGTTCAGTAAGCTAATACATGCAAAGCACTTAGAACAATGCCTGGGATATAGTATGCACTCAATAAATGTAAGCTGACATTGTCATCTTCACCATCATTATCAGGCTCTCTAGATCTCCTAGTACAAAGAGGACTTGCTCAAAGGCGGGCAGTTAGAAATTCATTATGAAAGACAATTCACTAAAGCACTGCAAAAGCGGAGCTCTTGTCTGGCTTTATTCTACTGTATCCTCTGCACCTTAGTGTCTAGCATCTATTTTATTTGTTGAATATATTGCACTGACTAGAATTCCTTACAAACACACAGTAGGTGCTCAATGGTAGTGGTGGTTGTGGTGGTTGTAATGGATTTCATGAAAGTATGTCTTTGGAGCTTGAAAACAAGAACCAGTGGGTATCTTCTTTCACTTTCTTGCTCAAATCTTTTTAATTTTGTTCAACAACTGTTCAACAACTCAAGGCCAAGAAGAAATTCACAGATAAGTTACATGATTTCTAAAATTGCAGAATGCATATTTATATTTTCCACATATTTTAAAAAGGTATTGATTTAGAATTATCTTAAGTGGCACTTTTTAAATTTTTTTATTTTTACCTTGCTTCAGTCCAATGGAAGAATTAGAGTTGGATGACAATGTCTAAAAATTAAGCAAGATGATAAGGCAAAAGCGAAAATGAGGGTAGAAAAAAATAGATGAAGCAAAGAGTTAGGTTAGAACCCCCCAAAATACCCTGTAAGAATCTAGCCCCCTGCTAGAAGGTCAAAAATTTGGCAGGTAAATGCAGAGAGTAACACCTGACCCATCACGTATTTTGCACATTCATACAGTAAAGAACTACAAGAAAAGAACAATTATTCTTTGTAATGAAACATGAAAGTTCTCCCTACACAGAGGCTACTGAAATGATATTAATCTCTTCAGTGGCGTCTTTATAGGGAAGTCAATAGTTTATGGGACTATTCTTTATAGTGTCCTGCAGTGTACACCAAAGATATGATGCTGAAGCACAGTCCAATAAAAGTAACTCTACAAAAGGGTAAAACGACACAATTTGGGTATAAATCTTTCTAGTAGTCTCCCCTAGTCCTGGGCTAACAGAGCGCTGTAAGGAATGGCCAAGAGCACTGTAAAGAATGGCCTCCCCAAGCTGAGCTGCTCACACACAAGCTCAGGTACGGCTGTACCTGAGCAGGACGATCTGGGTGGCAGACAAGTGCAGACACATGGTCTTTAGTGTCCGCTGAGCAGGCGATCAAGCTGACACAGCTTGTGGAAATTGAGGAGCTTAATGATGACAAAACACATTTCACATTTATGAGCTATTTTCTTGTGCCAGTCATTGTCCCAAGGGTCTTAGAAATATAAGCCATTAGGGCCGGGTACAGTGGCTCACGCTGTAATCCCAGTATTTTAGGAGGCTGAGGCAGGTGGATCTCTTGAGGCCAGGAGTTCAAGACCAGCCCGGCCAACATGGTGAAACCCCGACTCTACTAAAAATACAAAAATTAGCTGGGCGTGGTGGGGTATACCTGTAGTCCCAGCTACTTGGGGGGCTGAGGCGGGAGAATCCCTTGAACCCAGGAGGTGGAGGTTGCAGTGAGCTGAGATGGCACCATTGCACTCCAGGCTGGGTGACAGTGAGACTCCGTCTAAAAAAAAAAAAATATATATATATATATGTATATGTATTCCTACAACTTCATGCTGAGAGTACAATTAGTAAATCTCTCATTTTGCAGATGAGGAGACTGAAAAGGTAAAGTAAATACTTGCAAAACGTTATCAAGCTAGTAAGTGACAGTACGAGGAATTGGGCACAGGCAGCTTACATGTATGAGGTCTATATCACATGCAGCCTAAGAAGGGACAACGCTTCCTCCTTGCCCCCACACTTTGCCAAGTGGTCTAGGCCTCCAAGGTCAACCCAAGTCCTACTTACCCCAAAGCATTGCCACTGGCTTGAGTCCACATCAATCTTTTACTCAGTTTTTGTTTGTTTGTTTGTTTGTTTTTTGAGACAGAATCTTGCCCTGTCACCCAGGCTGGAGTGTGGTGACTCACTGCAACCTCTGCCTCCTGGATTCAAACGATTCTCCTGCCCCAGCCTCCCAAGTAACTGGGATTACAGGCACCCACCACCACACCCGGCTAATTTTTGTATTTTTAATAGAGACGGGGTTTCACCACGTTGGCCAGGCTAGTCTCGAACTCCTGACCTCGTGATCCACCCACCTCGGCCCCTCAAAGTGCTGGGATTACAGACGTGAGCCACCACGCCTGGCCAGTTTTTTATTTCAAGAAAATCTGCATGCGCTGCAGGGGCAGGAAGGCAATTGTTGCGGCTCTCAGACAACAGTCTCTGCTTTCAAGAGGCAAAATGGGATCCCCAGACAATCCGGAGACTCCAGAATCTCAAAGCCTAACTGTCAGATTAGTGTCCCAAACAGGAGACGAGAGAAGGAAGACCTAGACGAATGAAAGCTATTGCATCGGGGCCTCCACATACAGGAGGGGTCTCCAGGTGGGCTGAGAAAGAAGGAAAGAAGGAGAGAAAGAAAGGGGAGCAGAGAAAGCCAACTTGGCAGGAGGCAATATACTGACTGAAGGCTTCCAAAACCATGTATGGCACAGTGCCAGGAACTATTCGAAGTGCTTTACACATATTAACATATTAATGTTCACCACCACCATGCATGAGATAGGGATTATTATCATTCACCTTTCATATGAAGAGAGTAAGCACAGATGGGTTAAGCAACTTGACCAAGGTCACACAGCTAATGATAGGCAGTCTGTCTCCAGAGTCATTGCTCCTAATATCTGTGCTGTACTGCTTCTCTAGAAGGAAAGCTTCCTGTAGTGGAGCATGCAGAAATGGTGATGGCAAGGTAAGTAAAAGCCAAGGCAATGGAGAGCCTTGGAGGCCAGATTAAGGAGTTGCTAATTATGGATGCTGTAAAGGGCAGAAAGTCAAGTGTCAGGAGACCTTCAAGCCAGAAGATCCCCAATATGGGTACCCTGCTATTGGGTCATGGGAACTATTGTTGCATAACAAACCATCTCCCAAATTAGTGGCTTAAAACAACCATTTATTTGTTCACAATTCTGCAGTTTGGCTAGAGATTGGCAAGGATGACATGTCTCTGCTCCATGTGATGTTATCTGGGGTCAGTCATATGGCTACACTAAGTTGGGAGCTTGACTAAAGCTGGAACATCCAAAATGGCCCCAAGTCATGTCTGGCGCCTCAGCCTGGGTGGCAGTAGTGACTGGACACCTGAGCTCTTCTCTATCTGACCTCTCTCTCTTCTTCCACGTGGTTGTGCATCATTCAGATGTCTAGCCCAAGCGTCTTTATGTAACAGCTGGCTTCTAAGAGGGTGACAGCTGAAGGTGCCAAGTTTCTTCAGGTCTAGGCTTGGAATTGGTACAGCATCACTGTAACCGCCCAAGGGGTTCACCTTGCTCGCTGCCTAGACAGAGCTGATTTATCAAGACAGGGGGATTGCAATACAGAAAAGAGTAATTCACCCCCAGCTGGCTGTGCGGGAGACTGGAGTTGTTTCTTTTTTTTTTCTTTTTTTTTTTTTTTTTTGAGAGGGAGTCTCGATCTGTTGTCCAGGCTGGAGTGCAATGGCATGATCTTGGCTCACTGTAACCTCCGCCTCCCAGGTTCCAGTGATTCTCCTGCCTTAGCCTCCTGAGTAGCTGGGATTACAGGTGCACACCACCACGCTCAGCTAATTTTTGTATTTTTAGTAGAGACAGGGTTTCACCATGTTGGCCAGGCTGGTCTCGAACTCCTCACCTCATGATCCACCCACCTCAGCCTCCCAAAGTGCTGGGATTACAGGCATGAGCCACTGCACCCGGCTGAGACTGGAGTTTTATTATTACTCAAATCAGTCTCCCCAAGCATTCCGGGAGCAGAGTTTTTAAGGACAACTTGGTGAGTGGAAGGAAGCCAGTGAGCTAGGAGTGCTGATTGGTCAGGGATGAAATCACAGGAAGTCAAAGCTGTCTTCTTGTGCTGAGTCAGTTCCTTGGTGGGGGCCGCAAGATCAGATGAGCCACTTTATCAGTCTGGGTGGTGCCAGCTGATCCATCCAGTTCAGGGTCTGCAAAATATCTCAAGCACTTATCTTAGGAGCAGTTTAGGGAGGGTAAGAATCTTGTAGCCCCCAGCTGCATGACTCCTAAACCATAATTTCCAATCTTATGGCTAATGTTAGTCCTACAAAGGCAATCTAGTCCCCAGGCAAGAAGGAGGTCTGCTTTGGGAAAGGGCTGTTATTGTCTTTGTTTTCTTTTTATTTATTTATTTGTTTATTTTTGAGACAGACTCTTGCTCTGTTGCCCAGGCTGGAGTGCAATGGCGCTACCTCGGCTCACCGCAATTTCCACTTCCCGGGTTCAAGCAATTTTCTGCCTCAGCCTCCTGAGTAGCTGGGATTACAGGTGCCCACGATCACACCTGGCTTTTTTGTATTTTTTTTTTTTTTTTTTGGTAGAGACAGGGTTTCATCATCTTGGCCAGGCTGGTCTTGAACTCCTGACCTTGTGATTCACCCGCCTTGGCCTCCCAAAGTGCTGGGATTACAGGCATGAGCCACCATGCCCAGCCTATCATCTTTGTTTTAAACTATAAACTATAACTAAGCCTTCTCCCAAAGTTAGTTCAGCCTATGCCCAGGAATGAACGAGGACTGCTTGGAGCTTAGAAGCAAGATGGAGTCGGTTAAGTCAGATCTATTTCACTGTCTCAGTCAATTTTGCAAAGGCGGTTTCATCACTTCTGCCATATTCTCGTGGCCAAAACAAGTCCTAAGGTCAGCCCATTTTTAAGGGGAGGTAAATAGACCTCAGTACTTGATGGGAAGTGCCGGAGGCACATAGCAGGATGGGCGGGATTGTTAGCAGCCATCTTTACAAACAATCCACCACGATGACACCAGAGATCTCTGGTTTTGTTGTTCTTGTTCCCCCTCTAATGCTCTGTCATAAATGACATTCTCTCCACAGATCCCCAGGACATCATAGCAACATTCCCTATGCACTTACTCTCATCCAAATGACATGTAAGCTAAGGAAATTGTATGTCCAGGGTGTCATCAGGGAAAGTCATTTTAGACATCGCAGGGCTCCCGTGGGAAAAAACTCCACTCAGGTCAAAAAGAACCAGAGCACCAAAGGTCACCAAGTACTCCATGGCTTGAGGTGATGGTACACTGCAAGGACTCTAATTTTCCTCCAGGAAATGAGTGGGTATACTGGGATTCTGTGGCAAAATCTTGCCACTCGCCCTTTCTGTAGACAGTTTTATTGGAGCACAGCCATGCTCATTCATTCAACTATTGTCTATGACTGCTTTAACATTTAAACAGCAGAGTTGAGTAGTAACGACAGAGACTGCACGGTCCATAACACCTAAAATATGTGCTGTCTGCCCCTCTACAGAAGAAGTTTACCAAGCATGGCACCAGGAATAATGGTCAGTAACTGTACTCTTTCTCAAACTTACTTTATTTCCAGAAATTACACTGACCCCAGGGCTCACATTTTAACTGGCAGTAATAGGCAATTCTTGGGCTGGTCCGTACAATTCCTTGAACAGGCAAGAGAATATAAAGCTTTCAGTAATAAAATGTTAAGGTGCTTTTAAAGTCAAATTAACTTGTGCCCTTAGCACTTTTAGAACCTACTTACAAGCCTTCACTGGCATACTCCCTCTATGCCAACGTCACATTCTTCCCAGAACAGAGAGTTGCAGTAGATTTTGAATGCTCAGAGATTATTTTTTTTAAATAGCAGGCAAATTGGTCATCCTCAGTGGATAATCACTGTGCCAATTCACAATCAAGAAAACCCGACAGAGCTCTCGAACTCTGCTGACTTAGTAGTACTTGAACTTTTTGAAAACTTCAAGGTAATTATAGAGGCCTGCCCTTTTGTCTTCACTTGCTTGTATACATGAAAGACTTTCAAAATACCTACTTTTTAAAACACATTTAATACTGTAAAATTGTGTTGTTTATGAGAAATGATTTTGACCACGTTTTCATATGCAAAATACAATCAAAAGATTAAATCCAACATACTGTTTCCCTGGAACCCTTGAAGTTTTGCTCCCATGCCTATCAAGAGTATATTTTTGAAATTTTATGTTTAAAAAGCTTTCAGGGAGCTCTTTCCTTTTGCTGCTGCGGCCACAGCCGTGAGTATACTCAGTCTTCAGAAGAGGCTCATCTCTAGTGTCCTCCACTGTGGCAAGAAGAAAGTCTGGTTGGACCCCAATGAGAACAATGAAATCGCCAATGCCAACTCCAGTCAGCAGATCCGGAAGCTGATCAAAGATGGGCTGATCATTTGCAAGCCTGTGACTGTCCATTCCCAGGCACGATGCCAGAAAAACACCTTGGCCTGCCGGAAGGGCAGGCACATAGGCATGGGTAAGCAAAAGGGTACAGTCAATGCCTGAATGTCACAGAAGGACACGTGGATGAGGAGAATGAGGATTCTGTGCAGGCTGCTCAGAAGATACCTTGAATCTAAGAAGACTGATTGCCACGTGTATCCCAGCCTGTACCTGAAGGTGAAGGGGAATGTGTTCAAAAACAAGCAGATTTTCACGGAACACATCCACAAGCTGAAGACAGACGAGGCCCACAAGAAGCTTCTGGCTGACCAGGCTGTGGCCCGCAGGTCCAAGACCAAGGAAGAACACAAGCACCATGAAGAGCGCCTCCAGGCCAAGAAGGAGGAGATCATCAAGACTTTGTCCAAGGAGGAAAAGATCAAGAAATAAAAGCTCCTCCTTTGTCTTTTCATACTGGCCTCCTTGATTACACAGATCAGCCATTAAAATAAAACAAGCCTTTATCTGCCTGGAAAAAAAAAAAGCTTTCAGCCGGACATGGTGGCTCATGCCTGTAATCCCAGCACTGTGAGAGGCTGAGGCAGGCAGATCACTTGAGCCCAGGAGTTTGAGACCAGCCTGGGCAACCTGGTGAAACCCCTTCTCTACTAAATATACAAAAAATTAGCTGGGCGTGGTGGTGCTCGCCTGTAGTCCCAGCTACTCAGGAGGCTGAGGTGTGAGGAAAGCTTAAGCCCAGGAGTTAGAGGCTGCAGTGAGTTATGATCACGCTACTGTACTCCAACCTGGGTGATAGAAAGAGATCCTGCATCCAAAGAAAAGGTTTCAAGGCCAGGTGAGGAAGCTCACGTCTGTAATCCCTTTGGGAGGCTGGGGTAAGAGGATCTCCTGAGCCCAAGAGTTCAAGAGTAGCCTGGGCAGCATAGCTAAACCTCATCTCTACAAAAAAAAAAAAAAAAAAAATTGCTGGGCATGGTGGTGCATGCCTGTAGTCCTAGCTACTTGGGAAGCAGAGGCGGGAAGATCACTTGAGCCCAGGAGTTAGAGACTGCAGTGAGTTATGATCATGCCACTGCACTCCAGCCTGGGTGACAGAGAGAGAACCTGTCTCAAAAAAAAAAAAAAAAAAAAAAAAAAAGGTTTTTAAACACACATACTCACTGACCCAGCAATTCCAACTCTAGAATTTTTTCTAAAGTTCATGATATGGTATAATTCAAGATTATTCACAGCAGAATTGTTTGTAATAGCAGGAAAGCTTAAGTAACCTAATATCCATCAATAAGGGACTGGTATTGTTATCAGTAGAAGGTGTCCAGGTTCTTGGCTTCTCGAACAAAGAATTGGACAAAACCCACAATATGAAAGCTGTCAGCCATAAACAATACATAAACAAATAAGCATGATTGTGTTCCAACAATCTAATTGCAGTACATCTCCATGTTGGATTAAAAGAAATGGAGAGAGGCTGGGCACGGTGGCTCATGCCTGTAATCCCAGCACTTTGGGAGGCCAAGGCGGGCAGATCACCTGAGGCCAGGAGTTCAAGACCAGCCTGGCCAACATGGTGAATCCCCGTCTCTATAAAAATACAAAAATTAGCCAAGCATGATGGCGAGTGACTGTAATCCCAGCTACTCAGGAAGCTGAGGCTGGAGAATTGCTTGAACCCAGGAGGCAGAGGTTGCAGTGAGCCAAGATCACGCCATCACACTCCAGCCTGGGCAACAGAGTGAGACTCCGCATCAAAAAAATAAAAAATAAAAGGAATGGAGAGAATCTTTAGAATTGTATATAGAACTCCAGGATTATTGCTAAATGAAAAAGCAAAGTGTTGGATAGTGTATATAATATGTTATCATTTGTGAAAAAAATAGAAGAGAGAGAATAGATATAATTTGCTTCTATATGCATAAAATATTCTGGAAAGATACACACAAGAAACAGATAGTAGTATTTCGTTCAGAGGGAAATTAATAGAAGAAATTGGTTAGGTGATAAAGAGTTAGGACACCAAATAGAAGATTATGAATTAACCTTGGAGTTATTAATAGCAAGAAATGACTACCAGCCTTACGGATGAAGGAACACAGGGAGGAGGTGTTGTTACCAGATCCCAGAAGCTGGGCCAATTCAGCAGTAGTAGAACCGTGGTGGGGGCTGCCCAGAGGGGAGCTGGAGCCAAGAAGTTGCAGCAACTGCAGGAAACCCTATGCAAAGCATGAGGAGACAGAGAAATACCTTGGCTCTGCCTTCCTTGCACCCTCCAGTCTGTACCAGTGCCTGCCCTTCCCCCATTGCCTGAAGCTAGCCAGAAGCCACCAAGCAAAGGAAACTGGGAAATGTAGTTTCCTGCAATAGAAAGCAGAGCTGACAAAGAGCTGGGAATGGATTTGTGAAGAAACAGGCATGACAAGCCCAGAAGGAAATATGTTGACCTGGGAGACAGCAGTGGCAGGGGGATATTTTAATGTTTACCCTCTTGGGCTTCCTGAATTTTGAACCCTGTGAATATATTGCCTATTAAAATAAGTATAACTAAAACAAAGAATATGTGAAATAAATACATGTCTAATGGAGTGCACTTTTTTTTATTAGAAGAGGAGATTTCAAAGAAATGTCAAGCTAGAAACAACTGAATGATCAAGGGAATGGTGAAAGAATGGTGCATATGCACAATTAAATAACATACAGCTATTTAAAAGAATGAGTCATAGAATACCTATGAAAAGACACACAAGAAAGTAGTGGCTGGGCACAGTGGCTCACGCCTGTAATCCCAGCACTTTGGGAGGCTGAGGCGGGCGGATCATTAGGTCAGGAGTTCGAGACAAGCCTGACCAACATAGTGAAACCTCATCTCTACTAAAAATACAAGAATTAGTTGGGCGTGGTGGCACACGCCTGTAATCCCAGCTACTCAGGAGGCTGAGGGAGGAGAATTGCTTGAACCTGGGAGGCGGATGTTGCAGTAAGCCGAGATCACACAACTGCACTCCAGCCTGGGTGACAGAGCAAGACTCCATCTCAAAAAAAAAAAAAAAAAATGATGTCAATTGATACTCAAGGGAGATGATGAGTAGATGGGTGGTTGTGGGACAGGTGAGAAGACTAGATGACAGGGAAGGCCCATAGTGAAAACATTGTATGCCTTTTTGCATTTTCTGATTTTTGTAACATGTATACGTATTGTCCATTCAAAATAGGAATCAAGATTTTTTCTCCCTCTTACCCTTTTTCTTGAGACAGGGTCTTACTCTGTTGCCCAGGCTGGAGTGCAGTGGTACAATCCTGGCTCACTGCAGCCTCAGCCTCTTGGCTCAAGTGATCCTCCTACCTCAGACTCCTATGTAGCCGGAACCACAGGCGCACACCACCATGCCCTGCTAATTTTTTCCCCTAAAAAAATTTAACCAGGCCGGGCATGGTGGCTCACACCTGAAATCCCAGCACTTTGGGAGGCCGAGGCGGATGGATCACAAGGTCAGCAGATCGAGACCATCCTGGCTAACATGGTGAAACCTCGTCTCTACTAAAAATACAAAAAATTAGCCGGGCATGGTGGCGGGTGTCTGTAGTCCCAGCTACTCAGGAGGCTGAGGCAGGAGAATGGTGTGAACCTGGGAGGTGGAGCTTGCAGTGAGCCGAGATCGCACCACTGCTCTCCAGCCTGGACAACAGAGGGAGACTCCATCTCAAAAAAAAAAAATTTAACCAGTTGGGTGTGGTTGCTCACACCTGTAATCCCATAACTTTGGGAGGCTGAGGCGGACAGATCACCTGAGGTCAGGAGATCGAGATCAGCCTGGCCAACGTGGCAAAACCTCGCTCTACTAAAAATACAAAAATTAGTTGGGAGTGGTGGCAGGTGCCTGTAATCCCAGCCACTCGGGAGGCTGAGGCATGAGAATCACTTGAACCCAGGAGGGAGAGGTTGCAGTAAGCCGAGATCCTGCCATTGCACTTCAGCCTGGGCAAAAACAGCAAGACTCCATCTCAAAAAAAAAAAAAAAAATTAACTGTGCTAAAATGCACATAACATAAAGTTTGTCATCTTAATCATTTTATTTATTTATTTTGAGATGGAGTCTCACTCTGTCACCCAGGCTGGAGTGCAGTGGCATGATCTCGGCTCACTGCAACCTCCGTCTCCTGGGTTCAAGCGATTCTCCTGCCTCAACCTCCCGAGTAGCTGGGATTACAGGCACCCGCCACCACACCTGGCTAATTTTTGTATTTTTAGTAGAGACGGGGGTTTCATCACGTTGGCCAGGCTGGTCTGGAACTCCTGACCTCAAGCGATCTGCCTGCCTCGGCCTCCCAAATTACTGGTATTACAGGTGTGAACCACAGGGCCCAACCCATCTTAATCATTTTAAAGTATACAGTCCAATGGTGTTAAGTACATTCACATTGTGCAACCAATCTCCAGAACTTTTTTGTCTTGCAAAACTGAAACTGTACCCATTAAGCAACAGCTCCCCATTCCCCACTGCTCCCAGCCCCTAGCAGCCACCAGTCTGTTTTCTGTCTCTATGAATATGACTATTCTAGGTATCTCATATAGGTGGAATCATACGGTATTTGCATTTTTCATAACTGCCTTATTTCACTTAGCATAATATCCATCAGGTTCACCCATGTTGTAGCACATATCAGAATTTCCTTCCTTTTTGTTCTTTTGTAGAGACGAAGTCTCACTCTCACCCAGGTTGGAGTGCACTGGCACAATTATAGGTCACTGTAACCTCAAATTCCTGGGTTCAAGCAATCCTCCCATGCCAGCCTCCTGAGTAGCTGGGACTAAAAATGCGTGCCACCACACCTGGCTAAATTTTTATTTTTATTTATTTATTTATTTTTGAGACAGAGTCTCGCTCTGTTGCCCAGGCTGGAGTGCAATGGCACGACCTTGGCTCACTGCAACCTCTGCCTTCCAGGTTCAAGCAATTCTCCTGCCTCAGCCTCCCAAGTAGCTAGGATTACAAGCATGTGCCACCATGACCAGCTAATTTTGTAGTTTTAGTAGAGACGGGGTTTCACCCTGTTGGCCAGGCTGGTCTCATCTCCTGACCTCAGGTGATCCACCCGCCTCAGCCTCCCAAAGTGCTGGGATTACAGGCGTGAGCCACCATGCCTGGCCTCTAGCTAATTTATTTTTTTTAATTTTGTACAGAGATAGGGTCTCCCTATGCTGCCCAGGCTGGTCTCAAACTCCTGGGCTCAAGGGATCCTCCCACCTCAGCCTCTCAAAGTGTTGGGATTACAGGCATGCACCACTACACCCAGCCCCTTCCTTTTTAAGGCTGAATGATACTCCATTGTATGGATATACCACATTTTGTTTGTGCATTCATTCATTTATGGACACTTGAGTAGCTTCCACCTTTCTGGTTATAAGAAATCAAGATTTTGGCCAGGCACGGTGGCTCATGCCTGTAATCCCAGCACTATGGGAGGCCGAGGTGGGCAGATCACCTGAGGTCGGGAGTTTGAGACCAGCCTGACCAACATGGAGAAACCCCGTCTCTACTAAAAATACAAAATTAGCTGGTCATGGTGGCACATGCCTGTAATCCCAGCTACTAGGGAGGCTGGAGACAAGACAATTGCTTGAACCAGCAGAGGTTGCAGTGAGCCGAGATGGCACCATTGCACTCCAGCCTGGGCAACAAGGGTGAAACTCCTTCTCAACAAAAAAAACAAAAAAAAAGAATAAAAGAAGTTAAAGACTTTCTTATAGTTATGCTAAATATTTTAATGATGAATATTTTTAGAAGGACAGGTAATAAAATGGAATGTACAGCATGATTCCAATTTAGGGAAAAATATATATGTGTACACAGAAGAAAGTACTTCAAGGTCAGAAATGGAAATCCCTAGATAGACTGAACAAAGAGGGATCTAAAGACAGAAGGGATCTGGACTTTGGGTTGGCACATTAACCTGGGCATCAAAGAAAGAGGCCAGAGGGGAAGATGGAGACAGGGTCTGCAATGGCACTAAGGAACCACTAACTTAACTGACCCAAGTGTCATTAGTTTCTGGATTTCTTGTTAATGGGAAAATAAAATTTTCTGGATTAAACTAACCAGAAACTAAACTATCAAAAGTCCCTTTTGATTACATGTCCTCCTAAGTTCTAATCCGATTTGATCTAACTTTCTCCATTTTACATGATGTTATTGTCCAGTATCTTAGTTCCATTATGTGTTTTCTGTTTTTTTTTAGTTTATTTTATTTTATTGTATGCAGCTCATAACCTGAAGTTCCATTATGTTTTAATGCCCCCTTAATAACCATCCTTAAAAATATGTAGTAAATTCCTGTTTAGCTTTACTTATACATTTACCAATACATTTACCAATACATTTATTCTCATAGGTCTTCCATCTGAACTCTTGTTTCCTTGCTCAAATATCTTTTTCCTTATGAAAATCCTTTGCTTTTTTTTCTCAGTAAGGACTTAAACAAATTTTTTTTTGAGATGGTGTCTTGCTATGCTGCCCAGGCTGATTTAGAACACCTGGGCTCAAGCCATCCTCCCATCTCAGCCTCCCAAAGTGTTGGGATTACAGGCATGAGCCATAGTGCCTGGCCCACAAGGATGTGTTGGTAGTAAATTTGTGTAACTCTTTGTCTATAAAGGTTTTTGTTTAACTCTTTCAATCGAATGCTGGTTTAGCTTCATAATGAATTCCTTTGACTTACATAAGGCAAGGAATTGGAACGGCATATTCTACATAACTCCTGGGTCTTGAAGAGATGAACCATTAGTAAAAGGTGGAAAAGAAAAAAACCTACCTGCTAGCACAAGCTGACGACGAAGAATACGTTTCTTTGCCTGGCCTCTGGGTAGAAAAATACCTCCCCTGAAAAATGTATAACCCTGAGCCATACCATACGACCTGCATGGACCAAGAACTCCTACAATGAAAAGTTGACATAAAAATTTTTCCTAGTCTCTGGTGCCTGGCAGAAACAAGTACAAAAATACTTTGGAAGCCCACATCCCAAACCTGAGATACACAGGATCACACAGGTAAAGCTCCACTAATGTTGCACTTAAACTCTGAATTATAAAACACGGACGGGCGCAGTGGCTCACGCCTGTAATCCCAACAGTTTGGGAGGCCAAGGTGGGCAGATCACCTGAGGTCAGGAGTTTGAGACCAGCCGGCCAACATGGTGAAACTCTGTCTCTACTGAAAATACAAAAATTAGCCAGACGTGGTGGCGCCCACCTGTAATCCCAGCTACTCAGGGGGCTGAGGCAGGAGAATCGCTTGTACCCAGGAGGCAGAGGTTGTAATGAGCCGAGATCACGCCACTGCACTCCAGCGTGGGCGACAGAGTGAAACTCTGTCTCAAAAACATAAAAATAAATAAGTAAATAAATAATAAAACAGAAAAGGAAAAGATTCCATGGGGAGAAAAAGTGGGTGCAAAACTGCAGATCAATAGCCCCAAAGTACTTCAAATAATATAACAACCTAATGGAAAGGATAAAATGAATCTGTTTAAAATGATTAAAGACATAAATGGAAGCACTGTCATCCATAAGAACAAGTCGCTATTTTAAAAATAACCAACAGATTTTGAACCAAATTGGTCTCCTAGAAATGAAATATATAAATATTGAAATCTAAAACTCAGTGGACTTTTATATCATATTTAACATTGCTGAAGAGAATTACTGAACTGGAGAACATATCTGAAGAATTTACTCAAAATGCAGCACAACAAGATAAAAAGATGGAATACATGAATTATGGAGCATATGAAAAAGAGGTTATGATATATCCAGGATAGAATGAGTTAGTTAAATATATCTCTAACAGGAACTCCCCAAGGAGAAACTAGAAAGATTGTAGGGATAGTGGGATGATGGAGAATTGATATTTTAAAACATAATGGCTGACAATTTTTTCTGTATTGATTAAAGTCATAAATCCCAGTTTTAAGAAGCACATCCATGCCAAGCAGGAAAAGTAAAAATAAACCCAGACCGGGCGTGGTGGCTCAAGCCTGGAATCCCAGCACTTTGGGAGGCCGAGGTGGGTGGATCACTTGAGATTGGGAGTTAGAGACCAGCCTGGCCAACATGGTGAAACCCCACCTCTACTAAAAATACAAAACTTAGCTGGGTGTGGTGGCGGGCACCTGTAATCCCAGCTACTCAGGAGGCTGAGGTAGGAGGATGGCTTGAACCCAGGAGGTGGAGGCTGCAGTGAGCTGAGACCATGACACTGCACTCCAGCCTGGGCGACAGAGCAAGACTCTGTCTCAAAATAAAATAAAATGAAATAAACCCAGGCTGGGCGCAGTGGCTCACGCCTGTAATCCCAGCACTTTGGGAGGCTGAGGCGGGTGGATCACCTGAGGTCAGGAGTTCAAGAGCAGCCTGACCAACATGGTGAAACTTCGTCTCTACTAAAAATACAAAACATTATCCCAGCATGGTGGTGGGTGCCTGTAATCCCAGCTACTCGGGAGGTTGAGGCAGGAGAATTGCTTGAACCCAGGAGGCGGAGGTTGCAGTGAGCTGAGATTGCATCATTGCACTCCAGCCTGGGTGACAGAGCAAAACTCTGTCTCAGAAATAAATAAATAAATAAATAAATAAATAAATAAATAAATAAACCCAAACTTAGACACATTACAAAGAAACATCAACTACTGAAGTTAAACAGAAGCTTTTAAAAGCCGTCAGAGAGAAATGACAGAGCAACTTTAAAAAAACAAGAATTAAATTGAAAAGCGATATTGCATCAGCAATATTCGAAGCCAAAAGATAATGAAATAACATTTTTACAGGACTGAGAGACAAGAGCTATCAGGTTGGAAATTCAATATCCAACTAAATCATCATTTAGTCCAGAAGATTAAATAAAGACATTTTCAGACAGAGACTGAGAGAGTTTACTATAAACAGATCCTTGCTGAAAACAAAGCCCCCCAAAATGTTATCAAAGATGAAGAGGGAGATTTCATAATGATAAAAGGGTCAATTCATCAAAAAGACATAAATTCTAAATGCATATGCACCAAACAGCAGAGCTTCAAATTACATGAAACAAAACCGAGAGAACTTGAAGGAGAAATAGACAAATTCCCAGCTATTATTCAAGATTTCAATACTCCTCTCCCAATAATTAACAGAACAAGCAGACAGAAAATCAGTAAGGATATAGAAGAATTAAATGCCATCAACCAACTTGACATAATTAACATTTATAGAACATTCTGCCCAACAGCACATTATTTTCAAGTGCACATGTAAGAATCACCATGATAGATTATATGCTATGTTATAAAATAAGTCTCAATAAATTTAAATGGATTGTAATCATACAGCATGTGTCCTCTGACCACAATGGAATAAAATTAGAAACCAGTAATAGAAAGATAACTAAAAGATCTCCCAAATATTTGAATACTAAACAACATACTTAAAAAAAAAAACACAAAAAACAAAAACCCATGGGTCAACTGAGAAATCAAAAGGAGATTCTAAATAAACGAAGATAAAGTATCATATTTGTGGGATGCTGTTAAAGCAGTGCTTGGAAAGAAGTCTACAGGTGGCAGAAAGAGGGTGAGAGAATTCTTTGGGGTCTTTTATAAGGGCACTAATCCCACTCACGAGGGCTCCACGTTCATGTCTAATCATCTCCCAAAGGCCCCCACCTCCTAATACCATCACGTTGAGGGCTGAGACTACAACATATGAATTTGTAGGGACACACATATTCAGTCTGCTGCAATTTAGATAAAGTAAAATATTGCTCTGAGCTTTACTGTCTGAATAATTTTTTTTTTTTTTTTTGAGACGGAGTCTTGCTCTGTCACCCAGGCTGGAGTACAGTGGCGTGATCTCGGCTCACTGCAAGCTCCGCCTCCCAGGTTCACGCCATTCTCCTGCCTCAGCCTCCCAAGTAGGTGGAACTACAGGCACCCGCCACCACGCCCAGCTAATTTTTTTTTGTATTTTTAGTAGAGACGGGGTTTCACCATGTTAGCCAGGATGGTCTCGATCTCCTGACCTCGTGATCCGCCCGCCTCGGCCTCCCAAAGTGCTGGGATTACAGGCATGAGCCACCGCGCCAGGCCCTGTCTGAGTAAATTATTTTAAAGGAACACTTAACAATGATCTAGTATTCTAGCCGATGTGTGCTTTTTGGCCCTATTTGTACTATACCAAAATATTATTTTGGTGGGAAACAAGACAAAAAGTTCCCACTTATCATTTGGCATGGCGTAAATCAAAAAGAATAAACGTTTGTTGGTTTTAAAATATTTTGTTACAAAGCATTAAAAGATGGAGAATAATCAACACTTGTATGTTCTTTACCATGAAAAAATAGAAATTAACATTGGCCTTGGTGGCTTTATTCTCTCAAAATAAAATATTCTACTTTAGCTAAAGCTTCATCCTCTTCTACTACCCTTTTCCATTCCCAAGGAACGACAATATCCTAAAGTTGGTTTGCATCGTTTTCATGCATATATGAATTTACTGAAAAATTACTATTGTTGGATATTTATTTATCCATTCATAAATTGAAGAAGTAAAATTTATTTCCACTTTTGTTCCCCAATTACAGTGTTGCAATAAACACATGTACATGTTTACTTGGGCACATATGGGAGAGTTTCTCCAGGGTGGGTAGGAACACGTGGAATCTTGGGTTATTGGATAGACACATAGTTGACATTGCTATGTATTGTCAGTGGGCTTGCCAAATTACCCATCTAAAAGGTCTTATAGCTCTGTATCCTCACCATCACTCGGTGTTATCAGATATACGTATGTTTTAAATTTTTTCCAATCTGTTGTGTGTAAAATATTTCATGGTAAAATGATTTTTTTTTTTTTTTGAGATGGAATCTCACTCTGTTGCCCAGGCTGGAGTGCAGTAGCGCGATTTCGGCTCACTGCAGCCTCCGCCTCCCGGGTTCCAGTAATTCTCCTGCCTCAGCCTCCCGAGTAGCTGGGATTACAGGTGCCCGCCACCACTCCTGGCTAATTTTTGTATTTTTAGTAGAGACAAGGTTTCACCATGTTGGCCAGGCTGGTCTCAAACTCCTGACCTCAGGTGATCTGCCTGCCTCAGCCTCCCAAAGTGCTAGGATTATAGGCATGAGCCATCGTGCCCGGCCCTGGTAAAATTATATTTAAATTATATTTTCCTGGCCAGGCACGGTGGCTCATGCCTGTAATGCCAACACTTTGGGAGGCCGAGGCAGGCAAATCACGAGGTCAAGAGATCAAGACCGTCCTGGCCAACATGGTGAAACCCCGTCTCTACCAAAAATACAAAAATTAGCTGGGCTTGGTGGCGCGTGCCTGTAATCCCAGCTACTCAGGAGGTCGAGGCAGGAGAATTGTTTGAACCAGGGAGCCGGAAGTTGCAGTGAGCCGAGATCATGCCACTGCACTCCAGCCTGGCAACAGAGCGAGACTCTGTGAAAAAAAAAAAAAAAAAAAAAAAAAAAAGAAGAGGATCTCCAACCTGGTGACAGAGCGAGACTCTGTCTCAAAAAAAAAAAAAAGATATTCTATTTTTCTGACTATAAGAACATTTGATCTTTGGGCATATTTCATATGTTACCCATTTGGATTTATTCCTCTGTTAATTGCCCATTCAAACCTTTTGGCCATTGTTTTACTGGGCTGATTGTCATTTTGTTACTGATATATTATTAACATTCTTTGTAAGTTGAGATTACCAGTCTTCTGTTAATTAGATGTGTTACAAAAATATTCTGCCAGTCTGCATCTTGACTTTGTTCTTAGGCATCATCTGTTTTTTCCCGTCTCTTATAAAAACTTTTTAAAATAGAGATTTTCAAATATACAACAAAGTAGAAAGAATTGTATAATGAACCTTTGGGTACCCACCATCTAACTTTAACAATTATCATAGCCAGTCTTGTTTGATTTATACCCAACCTAATCCCCAGCCCTCCTCTCAAGCCCCACACCTCACCAATTCCTCTCCTTGCTTCCTGGTTATTTTGAAGTAAGTTCCAGACATTACATAACTTCATAAATATTTCAGTATAAATATTTTAAAAGGTAAAAACTTTTTTAAAAACATGATGATGTGGCTTGGTTTGTCATTTTGCTTTTGTGTCTTCTTCATACAAAAGTTAAAATATTTTTAAAACAGTCTAATATATCAAAAAATTTCAAAGTTTTGTTTTTCACGGTGAGGTCTTTAATTAAGCAGAATTATTTCTTTTTTGGTACAGAGTGAGGTTTGATTATAATGTTAAAAAAATTTTTTTATATCTAGCAGATTGTTCCAGCACGATTTAATGAATAGTTCATCCTTTTTAGACTTTTGCCAATAACAGTACTTCTAATTACTGCAGCTTTATAGAAGGCTTAATATCTGAAAGACAAATCTTCCCTTCTCCTCTTTAAGATTTCAATGGCTATTCTTGGTCCTCTACCTTTTTTATGGATTTTAGGTTGAGATGATCAAGTTCCCTGAAAGATCCTGTTGAGATTTTGATTGAAAGTACATTGAATTTATAGATCAGCTTTGGGAGACTGTATATCTTTATGATGCTGCAAATTTTCATGTACAAATATGGGATAGCTTACCATTTATTTGTCATCTTTTATATCTTTCATTAAAATTGTATAATTTTCTGGCTGCCCACGGTGGCTCATGCCTGTAATCCCAGCACTTTGGGAGGCAGAGGCGGGCGGATCACCTGAAGTCAGGAGTTCGAAACCAGCCTGGCCAACATGGAGAAACCCCATCTCTATTAAAAACACAAAAATTAGCCAGGCGTGGTGGCAGATGCCTGTAATCCCAGCTACTCGGGAGGCTGAGGCAGGAGACTTGCTTGAACCCGGGAGGTGGAGGTTGCAGTGAGCCAAGATCATGCCACTGTACTCCCACCTGGGCAACAGAGCAAGACTCCATCTCAAAAAATAATAATAATAAAAATAAACAAATAAATAAAATTGTATACTTTTCTTTATGAAAATCCTACGAGATATTTTTGTTAAATTTATTTCCAAGAACCTTCCTTCTCTGGCTATTTTAAATGTTATCCTTTTCAAAATTACGTTTTAGTTTTTTGTTGCTGGTATGGAAGAAGGCAAATGGTTTTGTATTTGAATTTTACGTCTAACAACTTTGTTGAACAATCTCATTAGTTCTGATAGCTTGTCAATTCTATAAAGACAATTTTATCATCTACAAATAGCAAGTTTTGTTTCTTTCTTTTTTCTTTTCTTTTTGAGACGGAGTCTCACTCTGTCGCCTGGGCTGGAGTGCAGTGGCACGATCTTGGCTCACTGCGACCTCCGCCTCCCGGGTTCAAGCCATTCTCCTGCCTCAGCCTCCCTAGTAGCCGGGATTACAGGTGCCTGCCACTACACCCACAGGCACCCGCCACTATGCCCAGCTAATTTTTTGTATTTTTAGTAGAGATGGGGTTTCACCATGTTGGCCAGGCTGGTCGCAAACTCCTGACCTCAGGGGATCCACCTGCCTCGGCCTCCCAAAGTACTGGGATTATAGGCGTGAGCCACCGCACCCGGCCAACAAGTTTTGTTTCTTATATATTTTAATTATTTTTCTTTTCCTAACTCATTGGCAAGAATCATTAATACAATATTATATAAAGTAGTGATAGTGGAGATCCTTTTCTGTCTTAAGTTTAAAGAGAATATTTATAATGTTTTGTGTAACAGTCAGGGCTCAATCTGAGAAGCAGAGCCACTAGGAGATATATATTTATTATGTATTTGTTACAGAAATTTGACCTTACAAAATGGCAAGAGCTGGTTAAGCAGTCTCTCTGAGGCTTCGGGCTGGAGCTTGAAGTCCACAGTGGGGAAGGGAAGATGGATGTAAAGTGTAGGAAGATAAAGGAAAAGATTGAACCCATAAGCAAAAACTGGAGCCCATGACGACTGTTGGAAACTTGTTTCAGCTCTTGTCCCTTCTGACCTTGATGGTCAGGGCTGCTTGTTACAGACACCTTGCCCTGGCATCAGAAAAACCCCACCAGGTAAAGAACTATGACCAGCTGAGGAGCTTGCTGAAGGCAAAAGGAAGATGTGATGGGTAGTGGAAGAAGATAGTGATAAACACCAGCTATGACCATGTGACCAGTTGTAGAAACAAGGACTGTGATAGTTATGAGTATTTCTTCCTTATTTTAATGTGAATAAGTTTATATATATATTAGCCAAATATTTTTGTTTTCTTCCTTTCTGGGTCTTAGCTACCACAGAGCTCAGATCACCCTCTCCCATCCCAGTAGCTACAGTGGCCCTTATTATTGGCATAGTTGTGGTCTCCCCTTTTGTCTCAATCATTTCCTCATGATTGCATTTGTCTCTTTTTGTTAACCAATTCATATATTTTTGGGAGAGAAGTAGAAATCAAATAAACAAACAATGATTGTAGTAGTAATCAGCTTTTGGACATTTCCTTTATTTTCCTTTTTACATAATACACATTTATAGTGGTACTACACATTTTTTCCTTGGGAACACACACACACACACACATACATACATATATATATATATTTTTTTTTTTGAGACAGAATTTCACTCTTGTTGTCCAGGCTAGAGTGCAATGGTGCGATCTCGGCTCAATGCAACCTCTGCCTCCCAGGTTCAATCGATTCTCCTGCCTCAGCCTACCGAGTAGCTGGGATTACAGGCATGTGCCACCATTCCCGGCTGATTCTGTATTTTTAGTAGAGACGGGGTTTCTCCATGTTGGTCAGGCTGGTCTCAAACTCCCGACTTCAGGTGATCCACCTGCTTCAGCCTCCCAAAGTGCTGGGATTACAGGCGTGAGCCACCGCACCTGGCCAGGAACATATTATATGTAATAACAATGAAACAGGGGCTGAAGAAAGTTTTCTTCCTAAAGGGGCTTTATCAGTCAAGATTAAATCAGAGAAGCAGAACCATCAGGAAAAATATATATATAATATATACATGTTATTTTATACACACACACACACACACATATATGAATTTGCTACAGGGATTTAACCTTAGGTGGTAGGAGATGGTAAAAAGTCTCTGTAAGGTTACTGTCTTCACATCTGATGCTGGAAATTCAAGTCCACAAGGCAAGCAGTTGGCAAGGGAAGATGGATGTAAAGTAAGAAAGAGCAGAAGTAAGTCTGAGCCCACAAGCACAAGCTGAAGCCTGTGAGAACCAACCAAAACCCACGTGTATTATTAGTCTATTCTCATGTTGCTAATAAAGACACACCCAAGACTGGGTAATTTATAAAGGAAAGAGGTTTAATGGACTCACAGTTCCACATGGCTGGGGAGGCCTCACAACCATGGTGGAAGACCAAGGAAGAGCAAAGGCACATCCTACATGGCGGCAGCCAAGAGAACGTGTGCAGGGGAATTCCCCTTCATAAAACCATCAGATCTTGTGAGACTTATTCACTATCACAAGAACAGCATGGGAAAAACCCACCCCCATGATTCAATTACCTCCCACAGGGTCCCTCTTATGACACATGGGGATTATTACAATTCAAGGTGAGATTTGGGTGGGGACACAGAGCCAAACCATATCACCAGGTTAGTTATTGTTGCCCCTGACTTTGATGGAGCTTTGCAGCCACTGCCTCACACCAACAAGGTGAACCAGAAGACAAGTGACAATACATGTGATTTACAAAATAGCTGCTGTTTCACTTCCAGCCTCCAAATCTCAGACAAGAATCTCTCTTATGGCTCCCACTAACTGGAAACACAGGAAGGGGAATACGGGGAAGTGCAGGTCAACTCAGGCAAGCTGACAAATTGTAAACCCATCACAAACTCTTTGTTGTTGTTTTGTTTGTTTGTTTGTTTTTTGAGACGGAGTTTCACTCTGTTGCCCAGGCTGGAGTGCAGTGGCGTGATTTAGGCTCACTGCACCCTCCACCTCTTGGATTCCAGCAATTCTCCTGCCTCAGCCTCTTGAGTAGCTGGGATTACAGGCGCCAGCCACAACGTCTGGCTAATTTTTGTATTTTTAGTACAGACGGGGTTTCACCATGTTGGCCAGGCTGGTCTCGAACTCTTGACCTGAGGTGATCCACCCACCTCGGCCTCCCAAAGTGCTGGGATTACAGGCATGAGCCACTGCGCGCCACTGCTTTGTTGTTTTTTAATAGCAGCTTTATTGACGTGTAACTTACAATAGAATGTGCCCATTTTAAGTGTACAATTTGATGAGTTTTGATAATTGTTATTGATTATACCCATATAACCAATAACTACCAGCACAGTTAAGATATAGAACATTTCTATCCTCCGTTGAAAGTTTGTCGTGACTTTTTGTAGTTAATTCCCCTCTATCGTCAGCTTTAGGCAACCACTGGTCTGCTTCCTGTAGATATAGATTAGATTCGGCTGTTCTGGAATTTCCTATACATGAAATCATGTGTTTGTCTATTTCACTCAGTTAAATAATTTTGAGTTTCACATATGCTGTTGCATGTATCAATAGTTCATCCTTTTTATTGCTCAGTAGTATTCCATGGCATGGATATATCACAATTTGCTTATCCAATAACCTGTTAATGAACATTTAACTTATTTCCACCATTCAGCTATGATGAATAGAGTAAATTCATGTATGAAGGCATTACATGGACATATTCTTTTTCTTGTATAAATGCTTATGAGTGAAATTCTTGGTCTATTCAAAAATTTTCCCCATTTGGCAAATTTGGTTTGTTATTGTTCTTATAATTGAGTTTCAAGACTTCTTTATATGTTCTGGATACAAATTCTTTGTCAGATATATGAATCATAAATATTTTCTCCTAGCCTGTGGCTTGCCTTTTTATTGTCTCAAAGATGTGTTTCAAATAGCAGCAGTTTTAAATTTTGAAGTATAATTTGCTAAATTTTTTATGATTAGTGCTTTTTGTGTCCTAAGCAGTATTTTCTTACCTCAAGGTGTATAATTTTCTTCTATGTTGTCTTTTATACATTTTATAGTTTAATTTTCACATTTAGATCCATCATCCATTTGCAGTTAATTTTTATATATGTGGTGAGCACTGATGTCTATTTGAAAAACACAGGCCAAATGCCGTGGCTCACACCTGAAATCCCGGTACTTTGGGAGGCCAAGCTGGTGGACCAGTTGAGGTCGGGAGTTTGAGACCAGCCTGGCCAACATGGTGAAACCCTGTCTCTACTAAAAATACAAAAATTAGCTAGGTGTGGTGGCGCATACCTGTAATCCCAGCTACTCAGCAGGCTGAGGCGGGAGAATTGCTTGAACCCAGGAGGCAGAGGCTGCAGTGAGCTGAGATTGCACCACTGCACTCCAGCCTGGGTGACAGAGTGAGACTCCATCTCTAAATAATTAAACAAATGCATACATAAAATAAAATAAAATAAAAAACTTAGATAGTTGTTCCAGCATTACCTTATCACTTTTCTCAAAGATCAGTTGATCAATGTGTAGGTCTGTTTCTGGACTCCATATTCTGTTCCATTGATCTACATGTCTATCCTTAGGCCAATATCACACTGCCTTCATAGCTGTAGCTTTATCATCAGTACTGTAAGACCTCAAAGTTTATTCTTGTTTTCCAAGGTTGTTTGGCTATTTTTGGTCCTTTTGCATTTTAAATCATTTATCAGATTCATTTTAAATCATTTATCAATTTCTGTTAAAAAGCCTGCTGGGATATTGATTGAGATTACATTAGATCAATAGATCAATTTAAGGAGAATTTCTGTCTTAACAATATTGAATGTACCAAATCAGAATCATATTATTTCTTTTTAATTATTTATGTCTTCTTCAATTTCTCACAATAATGTTTTACCATTTTTAGTGCAGAGGTTTTGCACATTTGTTAGGTTTATTCCTACATATTTCAGTTTTTTGTTGCTATTTGTAAACTGTAGCTTTTAGAATTTCAATTTCTAATTGTTTACTGATAGTGGTCTCTGTTCTTATATTTGTTATTTCCTTTCTTTCAGTTTCTGGGTTTTTTTGTTTGTTTGTTTGTTTTTTGAGATGGAGTCTTGCTCTGTCGCCCAGGCTGGAGTGCAACGGCGCAATCTCGGCTCACTGCAACCTCTGCTTCCCAGGTTCAAGCGATTCTCGTGCCTCAGCCTCCCGAGTAGCTGGGATTACAGGCATGCACCACCATACCCAGCTAATTTTTTTGTATTTTTAGTAGAGACGGGGTTTCACCATGTTGGCCAGGCTGGTCTCGAACTCCTGACCTCAAGAGATCTGCCTGTCTTGGCCTGCCAAAGTGCTGGTATTACAGGCGTAAGCCACCACACCCGGCCTCTTTCAGTTCTTTTGGATTTAGTTCGCTCTTCTTTTTCTAACTTTGTTTAGGAGGAAATTTAGATCATTGATTTTAAACCGTTCTCTCTTTTTTTCTAAAATAAGCATTTAAACCTATAAATTTCCCTCTAAGCACTGCTCTGACAGCACCCCACAAATTTGATATTTTATTCTTATTTTTATTCAGTTAGAATGTCCTTTGGAGAATCTCTTTTTGAGGATACAATGAGAACATGGCAGTTTGACAGCCCTCACCAGAACCTAACCATGCTGGCACCCTAATCTCAGACATCCAGTCTCCAGAACCGTGACAAATTTCTGTTGTTTAAGCCACCTGTCATACTTAGTTAAAGCAGCTCAAACTAAGACATTCATCTAAACATTTGCCTTGGTGTTTATTTATAAGAGCATAGAGTCTCATGAATGTGTCATTATAAAACAATTTCAGAGGTTCAGGCCTAGACTTAACATCTAGTTCAACATCCATATCGGTCAGAAGTTTTCCCAATAAACAGACCACAAATAAAAATACAGATGGCAAACGTCTGGAGTAGCAGGTAGGGTGACCCAGGTATAGCAGCTTCTACTTTTCCCCAGAAAAAATCATTTTATTATTGCCGTTATAAGCAGTGCTAAGACAACGCTGTCATTTTAATATTAATTTTGAATATTGTCTTGTTTTATGCTAATTTAAGAAACAATTCTTTAGAATGGCTATGACCCACTTGAAGAAAACACCCATGGAGATTACTGGAGCCCCAGTACCAGGTCTTCAGAATCCTAGGGGTAGATTGGAATCACTGAGAAGAAGGCCTCTTGTGCAATTATACTGTGTAAATCAGCATTCTCCAGTATCTTTATTACAGTTTCCCCCAGCTGGTAAAATATTGTTTCCTCCATCCTCTACATGCACAAACACTCGACCTAAGCAAATTTTGGCTTTGCAATATCAGGATCAAAGAACAAATGGTAAGGCCATAGAAGCATCATGTAGAGTCCCAGGAATATGTCTCTACTTGTGCCAGCAGAGACTTCCTTCCAAGATCTCAAACCCAGTTGCAGGCTTAGTGAGGTTGTCCTAAAATGTGAGATACACATAGGATTGGCAAGGTATGAAATATATCACGGGCTTTTCCTTCTTCTTCAGAATTATAGCTCTCAGTTAGACAGGAGGAAGACAAATGCGACATGAGTTCTGAATTATTCTTTTTTATTTATACACTTCAGCAGTTCATTGTTGCCTTATCTCCTGCAGGTTGAAACTAATGAGAGGCTGAATAATTTCATGTAAGTCAAGAAAATGGAAACTGGATATGTTTGGAATAGTCGTTATATAAAATATGGTTGTTTTTACTACTTTTAACTTTTGAATGGTAGACTATCTTGTTAATTCAATAAAAAAATTTATGAAAGTGAATAAGTAATGTTTGTAAGTTTCTCTAAGCTCTTTGGATGAAAGGTGCTATATAAAACCAAAGTATACTGTGTTGCATTATTATTTTATTTCATAAACTCTGCAGCATAAAAAGCTGCAAATAAAATCTCCCACTGCATTGGGAAAGATGATTATTATCTTCCTACTCCTGGAAATAGATTTTTCAGGCTTTTGTGAAAGCAGCAACCCCTGTTTTTTGTTGCTGCACAAGCTTTTTATGCTCACAGGCAGATATTGACAGGTCAAGTTTCATACGAGTTGTGTAGACAGCACGCGTGTGCGTGTGTGTGTGTGTGTGTGCACATGCAGTGGGCATGTGCATTCACATGGGAAATAAATCATGCAAAGGATGAATCAGACATTTGATTAGGTGTCAGTTTATGTCAATATTTATTTCTGATGCTAGTGTGTGTTGCATTTCTGAAATTGGTATATTATTTTAAAAGTAGGCAATTTGGGAGGAATTTATTTTCAGGGTCAAGAAAGTGAAAAGAAAAATTTGTGCTTTGTCATCTTGTGACAGCACTGAAATTTATATGTCATGCTCCAGAATTCAATCACTCCACAAAGATAAATTGAGTGCACTTATGAAATTCTCGCATCATAATCCCAAGCTGTGTTTGATGAATTAGGAAGTTTAATAAATGTTTAATAGCTTGACTACATTCAGAAAGCAATGAAGGGAGGTAAAGTATATGTGCATCAAAAGTTTAAAAACTACTAAAGACAGTAGTATATGTCAAAACATGCAAAATGAGTCATCTGAGGAGTAAAGGCTGTGTATTCAGAGGCAGGAGATGCAGCCAAAAAATCAGAGGTAAATGTGACAGCAGAGTCATCAGAGGGACTAGCTGCTGGAATGGAATTTTCAGGGAGACAATGGGGGAGGTGAGGTTGGAAATTTAGCTTGACAATACAACAAATTGAAATAATATCCTAAATAGTTCTCCATTTTCTCTCTCAGTTGTAATTATCTACAATTGTTTTGTCCTTGATTTAAATCGGTACATGTGAATATGCCTGCTGCCCAGGATGGAGACACACAGTTGGTCTTGCTTTTCCAATAAGTACAAAAGAACAGGCAATGACAAGCATCTTGGTTGATGATGATAATGTTTAAAATATTTTATTTAACAAGTTTTTATCCTAACTCTTCTTCATCCAACAGGCTCACATCACTGTCAGCAGCCCTGAAACACTTTATATGGTTGCTGTATCTCTATTTCTTTCCATCTTAACATCCTGGATCGACTGTCAGCAGTCTTGAAAGTTTGATTTAAAGCAAAATCAAACAGATGTGGAAAAATTGGAACCCTCATACATTGCTGGTAAGAATGTAATGGTGCAGCCACTATGGAAAACAGTTTGGCAGTTCCTGAAAATAGTAAATACAGAGTTATTAAATACCTCATGATCCAGAAATTCCTAAGTATATACCCAAGAGAAATGAAAACATGTTCACACAAAAACTTGTACGTGAATGTTCATAGTGTCATTATTCATAGTAGCCAAAAAGCAGAAACAACTCAACTGTCCGTCAGCTGATTAATGAACAGGTATAAAAAGCAAGAAGTATCGATACGTGCTACAACATAGATAAACCTTGTCCACGGGGAGTTGGACAGTGGGGAATGACCGCTAAAGGGCTTTTTTGGGGGATGATGAAAATAGTCTAAAATGAGATGGGAGTAATGGTTGCATACTGTGAATATGCTCAAAACCATTGACTTGTATACTTCAAGTGGATGAATCGTATGTTATATGAATTGTATCTCAATAAAGCTGTTTTAAAAATCAAACACAGCCAGGCGCGGTGGCTCACGCCTGTAATCCCAGCACTTTGGGAGGCCAAGGCAGGTGGATCATGAGGTCTGGAGTTGAAGACTAGCCTGGCCAACATGGTGAAACCCCGTCTCTACTAAAATCACAAAAAATTAGCCGGGCGTGGTGGTGGGCACCTGTAATCCCAGCTACTCGGGAGGATGAGGCAGGGGAATTGCTTGAACTCGGGAGGCGGAGGTTGCAGTGAGCCGAGACCATGCCACTGCACTCCAGCCTGGGTGACAGAGTGAGACTCCATCTCAAAAAAAAAAAAAGAAAAAAAATCGAACACAGTAAGATTTTTTTAAAAGCAAGAAAAGAAAGAAATAGAAATTTGCTTTTTTGTTATTGTTGTTTGGCTCTTCCTCTTGGCAGTCTTGTTCTCCTGCTTATGGTCATGCAATGGCTCTTATTTTATGCCCTGCATAATTTCTCTGGACCACGTATTTTGAATCTAGGCAGTTCTGGAATTTTCTTGGCAACTTTTTTTTTTTTTTTTTAGACGGGGTCTCATTCTGTTGCCCGCGCTGGAGTGCAATGGCACAATCAAGGCTCAATGCAGCCTGGACCTCCTGGGTTCAATCGATCTTCCCACCTCAGCCTCCTGAGTAGCTGGGACCACAGGTGTGCGCCACTACGTCCGGTTAATTTTTTTATTTTTTGTAGAGACAGGAGTCTCACTATGTTGTCCAGGCTGGTCTGAAACTCCTGGGCTCAAGAGATCTGCCCACCTCGGCCTCCCAAAGTGTTGGCATTACAGGCGTGAGCCACAGCACCCAGTCATTGGTGACTATCTTAAGGTTTGATTTCTCTTCTGCATCAAATGATAAAAAGGAAACAACTGTGGTGTTATAAATTCCTCTTTATGCTTGGAAATAGAAATTGGTTTCTTACCAAATGTGATATCAGGGAAATGACATCATTTTTTAAACTGAAAAGCCAATGTTTCTGATAAGAGCTGAGAGTTTATTCTTTAAATGAGATAAGACCATAAAATTATGTGTGTGTTTTCTAAAACGAACCCACTAGATTGTACATTTCCAAGAAGTTCTAGCACTTTCCAGGTAGTCTCTTTATGAGGCTTTGCATTAATGCCAAGATTGATAAAATCACTGCACACTGAAACTATTATATTGTTATGTTTTCTTCCAAATCCATGATACGTGATTTTTAAAATATCCTGAATGGCAATACATTTCTGTCCTTTCATGGTGATTTAATTTCTGGAAGTAGTCAAAAGTCACCCATGTTTGATAAATAGGCCAAAGGATCAATCTGGAGGGCATTTTTTAATGTCTAAAATGAAATATGACTCTAATGTAATGAAATTTTTCAGGATAACTCAAACAAAATTTGAAGGCACTTAAAAAATATGAGTTTCAAAAAATAATTTGAGTAGTCGATAGCATTATTGGAATAAGCCTCTGGCTTCTCACCAGACACAATGCCAGGGATTTTACACAGATTATTCCAATAAATCCTTCCAATAGTTCTGCAGGGTAAAAATTATCCCCATTTTACTGATAAGGAAATAAGATTGGAGATGCTCAACAACATGCCCAAGTAAACCCAGCCATCTTGAGGCAGAACTGGTTCTCAGATCTGCAACCTGCTGACTCTTGATGGGGATGGAAAACCAAATATGGCATATTCTCACTTATAAGTGGGAGCTCAACAATGAGAACACATGGACACAGGGAGGGGAACAAGACACACTGGGGCTTGTGGGGAGGAGGTGCAGGCAGAGGGAGAGCATCAGGATAAATAGCTAATGCATGCGGGGCTTAATACCTAGGTGAGGGGTTGATAGGTACAGCAAACCACCATGGCACACATTTACCTATGTAACAAACCTGCATGTCCTGCACATGTATCCCAGAACTAACTTACTTTCTTTCTTTCTTTCTTTCTTTCCTTCGTTCTTTCTTTCCTTCTTTCTTTCTTTCTTTTGAGATGGAGTCTCGCTCTGTTGCCCAGGCTGGAGCGCAGTGGTGCAATCTTGGCTCACTGCAACCTCCACCTCCCTGGTTCAAGTGATTCTCCTGCCTCAGCCTCCCGGTAGCTGGGATTATAGACATGTACCACCACCCTGGCTAATTTTTGTATTTTTAGGAGAGACGGGGTTTCACCATGTTGGCCAGGCTGGTCTCAAACTCCTGAACTCAAATGATTCACCCGCCTCAGCCTCCCAAAGTGCTGGGATTACAGGCGTGAGCCACTGAGCCCGGCCGCGGAACTTTAAATAAAATTAAATTAAAAAAAATTTTTTAAGTCACTTTGCTTCATTCTCAGAGTGGTTTATAGTTTTTATTTCCTATTTCTACATGCTGTGTGCATGTCCAAGCTTGAAACTGGGCCAAGTCTTCCTCAAAGATCTGGGACTTTTCTGCCCTTTTTTTTTCACTCTGTCACCCAGGCTGGAGTGCAGTGGCGTGATCTCGGCTCACTGCAGTATCAGCCTCCAGGGCTCAAGTGATCCTCCTACCCCAGCCTCCCGAGTAGCTGGGATTACAGATGCAAGCCACTACACCCGGTTAATTTTTGTATTTTTAGTAGAGACGGGGTTTTGCCATGTTGGCCAAGCTGGTCTTGAACTCCTGCCTCATCCTCCCTAAGTGCTGGGATTACAGGTGTGTGCCACCATGCCAGCCTCCTTTTTATCCCCTCATTTCAGATCTAGAACTACATATTGAGTTTAACTTCACAAAATTTGAGCGCAGCACCTTTCTCCTATAATAACACCGAGAACTTCTCATTTACCCTCTGTGTAAATTATCATGAATTCAAAGTCAGTGGAGTCCAAATTAATGAGGACTTGCAACATTTCCTCCCTGAGCTCCCTGGAAGGCCCCCACGCCATACATCATCCAACACTGAGCTTTTTAGCTTATAAAATCTGAAAACACAGCCTGAGGGAGCAAGGCCATAGAGAAGTATCAGGAGGATAATGTTAACACCTGTAATAAAATTAAAACCATGAATACAACTAGGGGAACTGTCCATCCATGAAATGAGCATGTTAGTGTAAATGAATTAAGAATTAGAAATCAATGAGCTGTATTAATTGAGTTGATTCCTGTAATCTGGTAAAATTCAAATAGCATCTTCTTTTTATTGGCCCATGGACTGCCTGGATGAACACCACTAGAACCTTTGGAAAGCAAGACTAAAAATAATCCAATGCTTAAAAACTTTCAGCAGGGCCATGCTGAAGGTAGCTTAGACCAGCACTTGGCTTTAGAGCTGTAGGTTCCTAGAATTCGTAAGAGTAATAATAATAATGACCACTTACATAGTACTACTGTAGTAGTCTGTTCTCACACTGCCAATAAAGACATACCCGAGACTGGGTAATTTATAAAGGAAAGAGATTTAATGGATTCACAGTTCCATATTGCTGGGGAGGCCTCACAATCATGGCAGAAGACCAAGGAAGAATGTCTTACAAGGCGGCAGGCAAGAGAGAAATGAGAACCAAGCAAAAGAGGTTTCCCCTTATAAGACCATCAGATCGGGCCAGGCACGGTGGCTCATGCCTGTAATCCCAGCACTTTGGGAGACTGAGGTGGGCGGATCACTTGAGGTCAGGAGTTTGAGACCAGCCTGGCCAACATAGTGAAACCCCGTCTCTACTAAAAATACAAAAATTAGCCCAGTGTGGTGGCAGGCGCCTGTAATCCCAGCTACTCAGGAGACTGAGGCAGGAGAATCACTTGAACCCAGGAAGTGGAGGTTGCAGTGAGCTGGGATTGTGCCACTGCACTTCAGCCTGGGTGACAGAGTGAGACTCTGTCTCAAAAAAAAAAAAAGCAAAAAAAGCACATCAGATCTTGTGAGACTTATTCACTAACCATGAGAACAGTATGGGGGGAATCGCCCCCATGATTTAAAATCTCCCACCAGGTCCCTCCCACAACACGTGGGAATTATGGGAGCTACAATTCAAGATGAGATTTGGATGGGGACAGAGCCAAACCATATGAACTACCTATGTGCCAAGTACTGTTATAAGTTTCCTCACTTAATCTTCACAGTTGTGCAGTGGGTGCTATTATTATCATCCGCATTTTACAGGTAAAGAGATCAAGGCACAGGTTAAGTGATTTGCTCAGGATCACATAGCTAGGAAGCAATGAAACTAGAATTTAAATGGTTCTAAATCATTACACTGCACTGCCTCTCTTCATGCTATGCTGCTTCTAATGTGAAGTGACTTGGCAAAAAGGATAGGGCTGGCAATGAAGGACAGTGTCTTTTTCGTGGGCCAGAAAGATGTTGTCTGGCAGTGTATTCATAAGCTCATCTGAAAAAAAAAAAAAGAAAGTGTACATCTTCAAACACAGATAATTGGAATAATTTGCCTTCTAATGAGGGGAAAAAAAAACAGCCTTTCTCCCTTTGCTGATTGAGTCCCCTTTGGGGTGCATCACATTACTATTCCCATCTCTTTCTCCCTTGCTATATCCATATCCTTTGCCTGGTAACTTTGCAGTTCTTCCCGTTAGAGGTGGAGTCTGTTTCTCCACTCCTAGGCTTCAGGCTCAGCCATATGATTCACTTTGGCCAAAGGGATATTAAGCCAAAGTGATGCGAGCAGGAGCTTGAAATGTGCTTGCGCAGCTGGGTTGCTTTTCCCCCTCACTTGCCATCGCCGTGGGAATTGCATGTTCTGGCAAGCCTGCTGGTTGAAGGAGGATGAGCAATGTGTGTGGAGCAGATCTGCACCCAGCCTGGGCTTCCAGCCAACCTCAGCTGAGCCCAGCCCACACCAGCTGACCCCACAGCCAACCTGCAGATGTGGGAGTGAAAATTAATGAATGTTGTTTTAAGCCACCAGGTTTTGAGGTGGTTTGTTTTGCAGTAAGAATACGGCAATAGCTGAGGAAGAATCTACTCCATTGCTTTTCTGCTTTACGTACCAATACCTCCCACCCATAAACACACCCAGACACATTTGCTTATATTTAATTATAGTAAATCCCCACAGCCCTCTTTCCCTCCTCCATCACCTTTGTCTTTATTATGGCTTTTACTACCACACTCATCTTTTTTTTTCTTCATAGCAATTTTTTTTTTTTTTTTTTAGACAGAGTCTCGTTGTGTCGCCCAGGCTGGAGTGCAGTGGCATGATCTCGGCTCACTGCAACCTCTGCCTCCCAAGTTCAAGCGATCCTCCTGCCTCATCCTCCCAAATAGCTAGGATTACAGGTACCTGCCACCATACCCAGCCAATTTTTGTATTTTTAGTAGAGATGAGGCTTCACCATGTTGGCCAGGCTGGTCTCGAACTCCTGAGCTCAAGCGATCCCCCCACCTCAGCCTCCCAACGTGCTGGGATTCCACAGTATTTTTGACACACTTCTGTCTGATCCACAACCACCTCTGTGATTGGATTGGTGGCACTGGGACGGTGCAGATAACACAACTGATCACCATTCCTTTCTACTGTTATGCATACTGTGATCTTATTGGTTAAAATAATACAAATGAGCCAGGTGCAGTGGCTCATGCCTGTAATCCCAGCACTTTGGGAGGCCGAGGCGGGCGGATCACCTGAGGTCAGGAGTTCAAGACCAGCCTGGTGAACATGGCAAAACCCCATCTGTACTAAAAATACAAAAATTAGCCATGGCCAGGCACGGTGGCTCACACCTGTAATCCTACCACTTTGGGAGGCCGAGGCAGGTGGATCATGAGGTCAGGAGATGAGACCATCCTGGCTAACATGGTGAAACCCCATCTCCACTAAAAATACAGAAAATTAGCCGGGTGTGGTGGCACACGCCTATGGTCCCAGCAACTCGGGAGGCTGATGCAGGAGAATCGTTTGAACCCGCGAGGTGGAGGTTGCAGTGAGCCAAGATAGTGCCACCGCACTCCAGCCTGGGCAACAAAGTGAGACCCCATCTCAAAAAAAAAAAAAAATTAGCCAGGCATCGTGGCGGGCGCCTGATACTCGGGAGGCTGAGGCAGGAGGATCGCTTGAACTTGGGAGGCAGAGGTTGCAGTGAGCTGAGATTGTGCCACTGCACTCCAGCCTGGGTGACAGAGACTCTGTCTCAAAATAATAATAATAATAATAATAATCCAAATGAGTATGACCAGGAGGAAAATAAAGAAGCCAGTTTTCGAAAGCCTACAACTCACCAATTCTCTTAGTTTGATTTATGAAGCGATTCTACAGGACCATACGTGATTTCCAACTAGTCTGGATTTAATCAATGGCTACCTGTCCCTTTTCAGTAAATGTGCCCATAGCAATCATCTACATGTTGGCAGAAACTTCTCTTCTAAAAGGATATTGTACTTAAGTCACTCTTCCAAAAGTATTTACATTATTATATTAAAATTAAAATTAATTATATTGAAATAATTTCAAATATACTCAGAAAAGTCGCAAGAATGTACAATGAAATCCCAAACATCCTTTACTTACATTTAGCAATTAACATTTTGCCACATTTGCTTTATCATTTTCTTTTTTTCTGTATTTTTCTTTTTTTTAACCTTTATTTTATTGTTTTGGGGTGTTTTTTTTTTTTTGGTTTTTTGAGACAGAGTCTCACTCTGTCGTCCAGGCTGGAGTGCAGTGGCATGATCACAGCTCACTGTAGCCTCTGCCTCCCAGACTCAAGCCATCCTCCCACCTCAGTCCCCCGAGTAGCTGGGACTACAGGTGCACACCACCACACCTGGCTAATGTTTTTGTATTTTTTTGTCGAGACAGGGTGTTTTATTTTGTTTTGTTTGATGGAATTTCGCTCTTCTTGCCCAGGCTGGAGTGCAATGGCATGGTCTCGGCTCACTGCAACCTCCAACTCCCAGGTTCAAGCAATTCTCCTACCTCAGCCTCCCGAGTAGCTGAGATTTCAGGCACCCACCACCACGCCTGGCTAATTTTTGTATTTTTAGTAGAGATGGGGTTGTATTTTTAGTAGAGATGTTGGCCAGGCTGGTCTCGAACTCCTGACCTCAGGTGATCTGCCCACCTCAGCCTCCCAAAGTGCTGGGATTACAGGCGTGAGCCACTGCGCCCGGCCGAGACAGAGTTTGGTTTTGCCATGTTGCCCAGGCTGGTCTCAAACTTCTGAGCTCAAGCAATCCTCCCATCTCAGCCTCCCAAAGCACTGGGATTACTGAGTATAAGCCACTGCACCTGGGTATAAGCACTGGTTATAAGCCACTGCACCTGGCCTTTTTTCTTTATTTTTTTTTTTTCCTGAACCATTTGGGAGTAAACTGCAGACATCATGCTCCTTTACCCCATCTTCAGTTTGCATTTCCCAGGAATGAAAACAATCTCTTACATGATCACAGCTCAATTATTAAAATCAGAAAATTTAATGTTGATGTAATGCTATTATCTGTATATAATCCGTATTCAAATTTTGCCAATTGTCCCAGTAATATTCTTTATGGCATTTTTTCCCTCTTCCTTGATCTAGAATCCAATTCAGGATCACAGATTACAATTAACTGGCATCTCTCTCTCTTTTTTTTTTTTTTTTTGAGGCAGGGTCTTGCTCTGTCTCCCAGGCTGAAGTGCAGTGGTGTGATTCTAGCTCACTGCAGCTTCAAACTCCTGGGCTCAAGCGATCCTCCTGCCTCAGCCTCCCGAGTAGCTGGGACTATAAGCATACACCACTATGCCCGTCTATTTTTATTTGTATTTGTAGAGACAGGGTCTTGCTATGTTGCCCAGGCTGGTCTGAAATTCCTGGGCTCAAGCGATCCTCCTGCCTCAGCCTCCCGAGTAGCTGGGACTATAAGCATACACCACTATGCCCGTCTATTTTTATTTGTATTTGTAGAGACAGGGTCTTGCTATGTTGCCCAGGCTGGTCTGAAATTCCTGGGCTCAAGAGATCCTCCTGCCTCAGCCTCCCGAGTAGCTGGGACTATAAGCATACACCACTATGCCCGTCTATTTTTATTTGTATTTGTAGAGACAGGGTCTCGCTATGTTGCCCAGGCTGGTCTGAAAGTCCTGTGCTCAAGAGATCCTCCTGCCTCAGGGCACATCTCTTTAGTCTCCTTTAATCTGGACCAGTTCCTTAGGCTTTCTTTGTCTTTCATGACATTAACATTTTTCAATAGTACAGCCCAGTTATTTTGTAGAATGTCTTTCAATTTAATATTGAGATTTCCCCACAGTGAGATTCAGGTTATGCATTTTTAGCAAAAATACTACATAGGTGGCAATTACATTTTAAATTCTATGTGTGATGAAAACAATATTTAATATGTTTTTCCCTCTGACTACATATAAGTCAGATGTAATATAATCTAAGGACTCCACCAGATGAAGAATTATTTTTGAGCGAGGGGGAAGTTCAGTGCGCTACTGATATTTGAAGCCAATATTATATCTCTGTGGTATACTTATTGTGATATAAAAGAACAGTATACTTTAACAAGAGCTTACTGTAATTACTGTCATGCAGAAATTACAAGAAGATTTTGGCTCTATATGAAAACATTCTAACTTTTAGAACCACATAAAAATGGCTTCAATTTTGTGAACTCGCTAACTCTGAACAATTTTACTGGGGAAGGTAGAGAGATCATTTAGGCATCAGACAAGGGCTGAACTAAATTACTTCTAAGGTACTTTGTAATTCTGGTCTGTGTTCCAGAAAGCCCGATGTCTGGGCTCACTCCAGCTTTCTAAGTGCTGGCAAGGATCTCACTCTTTGAATAAACAGGAAATTTTGTACATTAAGAGTCTACATGTCATGTGAAAAGATGCTCAATTTCACTCAAAATTAAAGAAATGTAAATTAAAACTATGATAAGATATCATCTTTTACCTACATGATTGACACAAATCTAAAAGTTTAATACCACGTTCTGTTGGTGAGGGTGTTGGGAAACAGACGCTTTCATGTATTACTAATGGGAATGTAAGCTGGTGTAGAAACTCTTTGGAAGGTAATTTAGCCATAGCTATCAAAATGATATTCATTTACCCTTAAATGAGCAATTAAATTTTAGGGAATTCATTCTACAGATATACTTGCACTCATGGAAAATGACATAAGTACAAGGCTAATCAATGCAGCACTGTTTGTGATTGCAAAAGATTAAAAACAATGCAAATGTCCATCAATAGGAACTGGTTCAATAAATGTTTACATATTCATCCAAAGAAACACCATGCAGATGTTAAAAACAAGAGGGAGAGAGACTTCTCTTTGCACTGATTTAAAAAGAACTCTGAGGCTGGGCATGGTGACTCATGCCTGTAATCCTAGCACTTTGGGAGGCCGAGGTGGGTGAATCACCTGAGATCAGGAGTTCAAGACCAGCCTGGCCAACATGGTGAAACCCCGTCTCTACTAAAAATACAAAAATTAGCTGGGCGTGGTGATGCACACCTGTAATCCCAGCTTCTTGGGAGGCTGAGGAAGGAGAATCGCTTGAACCAGGAGGTGGAGGTTGCAGTGAGCTGAGATCGCGCCACTGCACTCCAGCCTGCACGATGGGAGCGAGACTCCATGTCAAAAACAAAAAACAAAAAAAACTCTGAAATACATTAAGTGTAGGCCAGGCACAGTGGCTCACACCTATAATCCCAACACTTTGGGATGCCGAAGCAGGTGGATCAACTGAAGTCAGGAGTCCGAGACCAACCTGGCCAACATGGTGAAACCCTGTCTCTACTAAAAATACAAAAATTAGCCCAGCGTGGTGTCACACACCTGTAGTCCCAGATACTCGGGAGCTTGAGGCAGGAGAATTGCTTGAACCCGGGAGGCGGATGTTGCAGTGAGCCAAGATCACGCCACTGCACTCCAGCCTGGGTGACAAGAGCAAAACTCCGTCTCAATAATAATAATAATAATAATAATAATAATAATAATAATAATAATACATTAACTGAAAAAAATGCAACAGTTTGTATATGCAGATCAGTTTTTACAGTATTCTGTCTTTGGTATAAAGTGGAGAGGGGGGCTAAAAGTTTATACTCACATTTGCTTTCGTGTCCACACATAAACTAAGAAAACTAGTAAAGGAGATGCCTTGGCAGATGAGGGACAAGGATGAGCAAGAGGCTTTGTACTGTATATCCTATTGTACTTTCAAGTTTTTTTGTTTGTTTTTTGAGACAGAGTCTCACTCTGTTGCCCAGGCTGGAGTGCAGTGGCACAATCTTGGCTCACTGCAACCTCTGCCTCCTGGGTTCAAGCGACTCTCTTGCCTCAGCCTCCCGAGTAGCTGGGACTAAAGGTGTGTGACATCATGCCGGGCTAATTTTTGTATTTTTAATAGAGACAGGGTTTCACCATGTTGGCCACGCTGGTCTCGAACTCCCAACCTCAGGTGATCCACCCGCCTCGGCCTCCCAAAGTGTTGGGATTACAGGTGTGAGCCACCGCACCTGGCCACTTTCAAGTTTTTGAATCGTAAGACTATATTACCTATTCAAAAACTGAATTTAAAAATAAATAAACAAGCCAGGTGCAGTGGCTCATACCTATAATTCCAGCACTTTGGGAGGCTGAAGCAAGATGATTGTTTGAGGCCAGGAGTTAGAGACCAGCCTGGGCAACATAGCAAGACCCTACCTCTACAAAAAAGAAAAATAAATACATAAACAGAATGAACAGAAAATGGTAAAACAAACCAAAATGAGAAAGAATGTTTCCCTTCCTGTCTACCAGGAGTTATGAACTCCAGAGGCAATTTCCTAGCATTTAGGTATTTTTCTCTATTAAATGTGACTCACGGGGGCCAGGCACAGTGGCTCATGCCTGTAATCCCAGCACTTTGGGAGGCCAAGGTGGGCAGATCACCTGAGGTCAGGAGTTTGAGACCAGCCTAGCCAACATGGTGAAACCCCATCTCTACTAAAAACACAAAAACTAGCCGTGTGCGATGGCAGGTGCCTATAGTCCCAGCTACTCGAAGACTGAAGCAGGAGAATTGCTTGAACCCGGGAGTCAGAGCTTGCAGTGAGCAGAGATCATGCCACTGCACTCCAGCCTGGGCGACAGAGACTCCATCTCAAAAAAAAAAAAAAAAAAAAGTGACTGACAGGTATCAAAAGACCTTCTAATTCTCAGCAGTGTTAAAGAGAGAGAGGTGCAATTTTTTTCCCAAGAAACCAAATCCCCATGCATTTATAGAAGCATGGGGGAACTCTAAACAAATCCCCTTGGATCCCTTTTACATTTTCTATGAGCCCCCACCTCCTAGCTTCTGTGTGTGGCCTGCACCTGTGACACTCTTTGGAGGCCTTCCCTTGGGCTGTTAGAGCTACTTTGCCCACTTGTATAGAGAGCTAGAAATGCCTGAGAGTTTACTTCCCCTCGGGCAGCCTTAACCAATGACTGACCGACCAGTGCAACAGTAGGAAATCCTAGCTCCTTGCCTCTGCAGCTTGGAGGCATAGTTTGTTTCAGAGCTTTCCATGGGATCAGGCTGAAGCTGGGACTTGGCTTGAGAGTGCAGTCTTATTTGCTTCTTCCCTTTCCATGCCCTACCTCTCCCACTCCTTTATCCTTTATTGGTTTCTCCTGTGAGTACTTCCTTAATAAATCATTTGTATTTGAAACCAGGTCTCAGGGTCCCCATCTGGAGAACACGACCAAAGACATATGATTTATTGGATTTGGAATGGCTGTAACATGACATCAAAATTTGATTTTTCCTAAAAGATAGGTTTGAGAAATTGAGGTATCATTATCATCAGTTCCCACCCCACCTTTCATACATTGCTAATGCCCCAGATTATGCCTCATTACACAATTATTTTATGATGCATAATAATTTTAATACCTTGCTTCTAGGAGCAAATGGGCTTTCCCACACACCTAATCATATTACCAATTTAGTTAATGTAAAAGTCCTGCCCCTAGGGACTAGTATTTTAAAAGACTGTAAATGGAATCTACAATGTTTCAGGTAGACCAAGATGAAGGTAACAAAAGAAAAAACTCCTATATCATCTTAGGTTATCTGTAAACCTCCTGAAGCGTGAGATCAGACTAATCCTATCATTATTTTTACCTGCCTACCTCAAGATGCCATTAAAGCTCAAAATAGAATGCAGCTGATTTAACAACTACATGTTTGCATTTTCCCCCATAAAAGCTCATTTTCTCGAATATAACCCATCTCTGCGCTTACAAAAGGACCAGTTTCCTGAGCAAATTTTTCTATTTCCTCCTTCCCCATAAACATCACCTTGACATCTAGAATCTTCCTACAGGTAAGTGCTTTGGTCAAATGTTTAATCATTTAAGAAGCATCCACAAGGCACCAAAAGTTGGAAAGAACATTCTTGCCCTTTTCAGGTTTCCATTCTGAGACAAAAGGGATTAAGATTTAGATTAGGGGCTGAATGTGATGGTTCACACCTATAATCCCAACATTTTGGGAGGCTAAGTTGGGAGGATTGCTTGAGCCCAGGAGTTCGAGACCAGCCTGTGCAACATAAAGAGACCTTGTCTCTACAAAAAGTTTAAAAATTAGCCAGGTGTGAGGCCGGGCGTGATGGCTCATGCCTGTATTCCCAGCATTTTGGGAGGCCGAGGTGGGCGATCATCGGAGGTCAGGAGTTCAAGATCAGCCTGGCCAACGTGGCGAAACCCTGTCTCTACTAAAAATACAAAAATAAGCCAGGTCTGGTGGTGTGCGTCTGTAGTCCCAGCTACTCAAGAGGCTGAGGCAAGAGAATCACTTGAACTGGGAGGTGGAGGTTGCAGTGAGTCAAGATTGCACCACTGCACTCCAGCCTGGGCGACAGAGTGAGAGTCCGCCTAAAAAAAAATAAAAATAAAAATAAAAATTAGCCAGGTGTGATGATGGGTGCCTGTAGTCCCAGCTACTCGGGAGGCTGAGGTGGGAAGATTGCTTGGGCCCAGGAGGTTGAGACTGCAATGAGCTGTGATCACGCCAGTGTGCTCCACCCTGGGCAACAGAGCAAGACTCTGTCTCAAAAAAAAAAAAAAAATTTATATTAGGCATCTGCAACCTACAGACTACAGGCCAAATCTACCTGGTTTTTTTGTTTTGTTTTGTTTGTTTGTTTGTTTTTGAGATGGAGTCTTGTTCTGTCGCCCAGACTGGAGTGCAGTGGCACGATCTCAGCTCATTGTAACCTCCACCTCCCAGGTTCAAGCGATTCTCCTGCCTCAGCCTCCCGAGTAGCTGGGATTACAGGCGTGCACCACCAAGCCCAGCTAATTTTTGTATTTTTAGTAGAGACGGGGTTTCACCATGTTGGTCAGGCTTGTCTCGAACTCCTCACCTCAGGTGATCCACCCACCTCGGCCTCCCAAAGTGCTGGGATTACAGGCTCAAGCCACTGCACCCAACCAAATCTACCTGTTTTTGTACTGCCCCATGAGCTGAGAATAATTTTTACATTATTATTATTATTATTATTATTATTATTATTATTATTGAGACAGAGTTTCCCTCTTGTCGCCCAGGCTGGAATGCAATGGCACGATCTCGGCTCACTGCAGCCTCCACCTCCTGGATTCAAGAGATTCTCCTGCCTCAGCCTCCCAAGCAGCTGGGATTACAGGCGCCTGCCACCATGCCTGGCTAATTTTTATATTTTTAGTAGAGACGGGGTTTCCTCATGTTGGCAAGGCTGGTCTCAAACTCCTGACCTCAGGTGATCCACCCGCCTCGGCCTCCCAAAGTGCTAGGATTACAGGCGTGAGCCATCACACCCAGCCCTAATTTTTACATTGTTAAATTGTTAGAAAAAAATGAAAAGAATATTATTTTGTGACATGGAAAAATAATGTGAAATTCAAATTTCAGTGTCCATAAATAAAGTTTCATCAGATCACAGCCTCACTCAAGTGTTTACATATTTTCTAGGACTGCTGTCACACTACAAGGGCCCCACTGAGTATCTGCAACAGAGACAATATGGCACTCTGTGGTAGGGAGCATAATGGCCCCCCTCAGCCTCATCCCTGGAACCTGGGAATATATTATCTTACATGGCAAAAGGGACTTTGCAGATATAGTTAAGGTTACAAAGCTTCAGACAGGGAGAGTATCCCAGATTATCCAGGTAGGCCCTATCTAATCCTATGAGCTCTTAAAAGCAAAGAACTTTCTCCAGCTGGAGTTAGAGAGATCCAAAGCATGAGAATGATTTGAAGTGCCATTGCTGGTTTGAAGATGAAGGGGGCAATGTGACAAGGAACACAGGCTGCCTTAAGGAGCTGAGAGAAGCTGACAGCCAGCAAGAAAATGAGGGCCTCCAGCCACATTGAACTGGATTCTGCCAGCAACTCGGCTGATCTTGGAAGCTGATGCCGTCCCCAGAGCCTCCAGAAACTGAGGCTCTATCAACACCTTGACTTTGGTCTTTTGAGACACTAACCAGCTGAGCCCCACAGTGCTAGACTTCCGACCAAAGAAGTGTGAGGTTATAAACGGGTGTTGTTTTAAGCCTCTAAATTTGTAGTAATTTGTTACGGTAGCAATAAGAAACAAATACACCCTCAAAGCCTAAAATATATGCTATCTGACCCTTTCCAGATAAATTTTACCAAATCCTGATCTGGATCCTTGTTACTCAAATTGTGGTTTTCAGGCCAGCAGCATCGGTATCACCTGGGAGCTTGTTGGACATGCAGAATCTCAGACCTCACCAAGACCTACTGACTCTGAATTTGCATTTTAACAAGCTCTACAAGGGATTCTTTTACACACGAAAATCTAAGAAGCACTGGTCTGGAGTTTGTCTTGCTGTTGTCTTAACAGCTGGAGTGCACTGGTACGATCTCGGCTCACTGCAACCTCCACCTCCCGGGTTTAAGCGATTCTCCTGCCTCAGCCTCCCGAGTAGCTGAGACTACAGTCACGCAGCACCATGCCCAGCTAATTTTTGTATTTTTAGTAGAGATGGGGTATCATCATGTTGGCCAGGCTGGTCTCCAACTCCTGACCTGAAGTGATCCACCTGCCTCGGCCTCCCAAAGTGCTGTGGTTACAGGCATGAGCCACCGCGCCCAGCCCATTTGTATCTTGATATCACCCTTCTTCTCTGTGTCTCTAATTGTCCTTCGTAATGTCTTGACAGTGTCTCAAAATGGGGAAATGAGCAAAGGGTAGAGGGTTTTAAGGCATGGGGTGGGTGATTTTGAGAAGAGTCTCACAGGACAGAGTATCGGTTGAGATTGGGCAGAGTTCATGACATAATTGATCTAGATTAGACTGACAGCGAGGAGAGCCTGAGTGGTCACTTAGCAGCCTGGGTTTCCACAAAGATAAGCCTCAGGCTCCGTCTTCTGTACAATGAAAACCTTGCTGGAAGGCACGCAAATGTGGTGTTTCTAGCCACTGGTACCTCAACAGAAATGGGCTTGTCTGACAGCTTTCGGAGAGTTCAGTTTGATAGGGAAAGATGAGTTTGAACCAGGATCCAGGCTAAAGAAGGAGGAAACCTCACAGTTGTTTCTTGCCTTGATTCTACATTTGGTTATCCAGCCCAGCTATGTCTTTCCCTGCAGTACAGCAAAATTCCTGCCTCTCATTCTTCAGTTGGCACTACTAATATGTTAGATGTAACTACAGAAAAAAAAAGTATGCTCTATCCACTTATTTATAGGCACTACTTTATATTAAATTGTTTTCTTATTTATGATCCTTTTTTCTACTGAAACATATTCTTCCTTGGTAAGGGACTTTGTCTTGCTCACCATTCCGTCCCTAGAACCGTGCGTGCCACACATTAAGAGCTTGATAAATATTTGTATTGCCATTTGGACAAATACATTAAACTACTGTAGGATATATATGGATATGGCAGTCAGGCAGATAAAGTCTCTGCTCATTTATGTCTTGCTAGACAAATAAGTCAATTTCTAGATAAGATCTATTAAAATCCCACTGATTATGATAGTAAGGGTTTTGTGGAAGAGAAAGGTGGTAATAGAAATTTGAAATAGAAATACATATCATTCGGTTACTATTTTATTCTTAGAAGATTTAAGGTAGGGTGCACTGTAACAGCATCTAAACTGCAGGATAAAGATAAACCTCTGAAACCAAATCACAGCATTTATAATACAGGCTATTTTTCATTACAAAAATGGAAGCTAGGGTACATGATCCTCAATGAAGCAGCCAGTATATATTAAAGCAGAGAAAATTATTATGATGATTGGTTTTAATTTAGCACAACTGTGTCTTTAATAAATGAAATTTTCTCTTAAAAGAAATCTAAAATATCTTGGAGAGGTTGTCAAGAGAGGAGAGAGCTGAGCTTTGCAGGAAAAAAAGATAGAACGATGTTCTTATGGGGAATTCTGAAGAGTATTAAATTGACTAATTCATTAGAAGAGCTTTTTGTGAGCTTATTACAGGTTCTTCATTATTGTAGGTCTTCTAAAAGAGTTTAAAGGCCTTTTTTTTTTTTTTTTTTGAGACGGAGTTTCGTTCTTTTCACTCAGGCTGGAGGGCAGCGGTGCTATCTCGGGTCACTGCAACCTCCGCCGCCCAATTTCAAGCAATTATCCTGCCTCAGCCTCCCAAATAGCTGGGATTACAAGCATGCACCATCACATCCGGCTAATTTTTTTTATTTTTAATAGAGACAGGGTTTCACCATGTTGGTCAGGCTGGTCTTGAACTCCTGACCTCAAGTGGTCCGCCCTCCTTGGTCTCCCAAAGTGCTGGGATTATAGGCGTGAGCCACAGTGCCAGGCCTTTAGGATTTTTTAATGCAAAATAAACTGTACATCTTATTTCCACGTTTTCCAAATACCTGACCTTTTGAACATAGAATAAGTAGATATAAAAAGCATACATATTTTCAGCTTGCTCAGTGATTTTAAATGTTATTTTATATGATTCAGATAGTTCAGCAATTTGTTTATGGCCATTTTATTTTGTTCCATAAAATCATTATCTCATATCCTAAATATTTTTATTAGTGTGCAAACATGCTTTATTAACTTCCAACATACTCTAAGTTTATCATGCAATTAAATCTTCCAGTTTATTAGCACCAATCATAATTTCATCATTTTTTTGGCGTGGCTGTGGTTTACTGTAAAACGATGCAGATGCAAAAAAAAAGAAAGAAAGGGATATCTTTTAACTCACTGTATAGTTGCTGTTGGGTCAACTCCCCAGAGTATCTGATGCACTTAAGGCTATTTAAAAACCAGTCTTAAGTACCAACCTTGCATCTTCCCTTAAAAAGGTCTCAATTTATATTCCCCCAAAATGATATACATCCTTCATCCATTCACTATTTAAAAAGTAGATACAAAACTTGGAGACAAAGCAAAAGATAGGTGTAACATCCTTTCAATATTGCCTGAAGAAAGCTCACCCAAGGATTATTTAGGGCAATGTACCTTGTTTGCTCAGTCTATCATTGGTTAAAGGTCAGAGACTTAGCAGAGTTACATAAAAACTTAAAGAATTTTGTCCAGTAGAGATGCAGATCATTTCTGTCCAGTAGAAAAAAGAATTTAGGCCAGGCACGGTGGCTCACGCCTGTAATACCAGCACTTTGGGAGGCCGAGGCGGGCGGATCACCTGAGGTAAGGAGTTCGAGGCCAGCCTGGCCAACATGGTGAAACCCCGTCTCTACTAAAAATACAAAAATTAGCCGGCGTGGTGGGGGTGGGGGGTGGCGGGGGGGCGCCTGTAATTCCAGCTACTCGGGAGGGTGAGGCAGAGAATTGCTTGAACCCAGGAGGCGGAGGTTGCAGTGAGCTGAGATTGCACAACTGCACTTCAGCCTGGGCAACAGAGCAAGACTCCGTCTCAAAAAAAATTAAAAGATGGCTGAGCACTTTGGCTCACGCCTGTAATCCCCGCACTTTGGGAGGCCGAGGCGGGCAGATCACAAGGTCAAGACATCGAGACCATCCTGGCCAACATGGTGAAACCCCGTCTCTACTAAAAATACAAAAATTAGCTGTGAGTGGTGGTGGGCGCCTATAGTCCCAGCTACTCGGGAGCCTGAGGCAGGAGAATCGCTTGAACCCGGGAGGTGGAGGTTGCAGTGAGCTGAGATGGCGCCATTGTATTTCAATTTCAGCCTGGCGACAGAGCGAGACTCCGTCTCAAAAAAAAAAGAATTCCAAAGGTTATAGGTTTTTTTCCCTGTAGAAAAGTTTTGTATCTAACTCAGCCATTTTATCCTCATATTCCTTTATTGAATTGCCTGTGTATGCTTAGATCTTCACATGCACTTCAAACCAGCCTTAATATTCTACTGGTTCCTGAATAAATTAATGAGTTGAATAAAATCTTTAGCATATGTTCATTTTACATATGCATAAGAGTCATGATTTTACCTTTTTGGAAATTATACCTTAGTGCCACTTAACACCTCGTACCCCCTCCGGCAGGCAAGTGTTGTGGACTACCCCTATGGGAAAGAAAGCAGAACAGAGAGAACTTGAATATGAAAAACAAAATGAAAAATCACTGAAGTCAAGAAAAACATACCTTCAATCTTTGAAGAGAAAAAAAAAACCAGTCACCATAGAAACCAACGTTTGTGTGGTGGTAAAAATGACCTTTATTTGGTCCTTATTCTGTTTCTGTTCTCTGGAAAAGGGAAGGCATTGGGTTCCAGCAGTGGGAAAGGATAAGGGGATGCATTGTTTGTAAACAAGAGGTATTTGATTTGCAGATTTGATTACAGATCTTTTCTCTCATTGAAATCCATGGGATCCCTTAGCTAACAGGCTGAGGGCACTTCATTTCCTTTTTGCTTATTAAAAAAATGCTAGCCGGGCATGCTGGTTCACACCTGTAATCCCAGCACTTTGGGAGGCTGAGGTGGGTGGATCACTTGAGGTCAGGAGTTCGAGACCAGCCTGGCCAATATGGTGAAACCCTGTCTCAACTAAAAATACAAAATTAGCCAGGCATGGTGGTGGGCGCCTGTAATCCCAGCTACTCAGGAGGCTGAGGCAGGAGAATCGCTGGAACCCAGGAGGTGGAGGTTGCAGTGAGCCGAGATGGTGCCACTGCACTCCAGCCTGGGCGACAGAGTGATGCTCCGTCTCAAAATAAAATAAAATAAAATAAAATAATGCTAAGTCAAGCCAGGCACAGTGGTTCATGCCTGTAATCCCAGCACTTTGGGAGGCTGAGGCGGGTGGATCACCTGAAGTCAGGAGTTCGAGACCAGCCTGGCCAACATGATGAAACCCCGTCTCTTCCAAAAATACAAAAATTAGCTGGGCGTGGTGGTGCCCACCTGTAATCCCAGCTACTTGGGAGGTTGAGGCAGGAGAATCGCTTGAACCCAGGAGGCAGAGGTTTCAGTGAGCCAAGATCATGCCATTGCACTCCAGCCTGGGCGACAAGAGCAAGACTCCATCTCAAAAAAAAAAAAAATGAATGCTAAGTCATCACTCAATTTCCTGAGATCCAACTCTTATCTCCTTGCTCATCCCCATTTCCAAAGGTCACCCAAGTCATATTTCAGACTTGAACAAACATCTGGTTATTACCTGCTAGTGTCAAACAAGTGAGGACAAGCTGTGTCTCCCCGCTTCCAGGAAATCACAGTCTCAGAGAGGGAGGAAAAAGAAGCAGAGTGGGCATAGATCAGTGGGGGACAGAGGGACAGCTGGAAGGATCTACTAGGATTTGTCTAAGACTAAGAGTACCTAAGTCTAACATGACAAAAGAGGGGAAAGAAATGGCAGATTTCAGCCTGAGGAATAAAAGCAATAGACTGAGTTCCAGTTGGGTTTTCAGTTATTTTTCTAAGAAATGAGCCAGGAACCTATGGATTAGGTAGTCTTAGTCCATTTTTTGCTGCTATAACAGAATATCGCAGACTGGGTATTAACTTTTTTTTTTTTTTTTTTTTTTTTTTGAGACAGAGTTTCGGTCTTGTCGCCAGCAGGGCTGGAGTGCAGTGGCACGATCTCGGCTCACTGCAACCTCTGCCTCTCAGGTTCAAGGGATTCTCCTGCCTCAGCCTCCCAAGTAACTGGGACTACAGGCACACATGACCAGCTAATTTTTGTACTGTTAGTAGAGACGGGGTTTCACCATGTTGGCCAGGATGGTCTCAATCTCCTGACCTTGTGATCCGCCTGCCTCAGCCTCCCAAAGTGCTGGGATTACAGGCGTGAGCAACCACGCCTGGCCAACACACTCTTAAATAAAATGGCCTTATGTGCTAACTTTGGCCTCCTCTTCAATCTTCAGGGGTGAGGATGGGGAATCGAGTCCCTGGGGACCTACCAATAGGACAGCAGCTTTAGAGAGGAGAAAAAGACCAGGCCTGTGACATGTAAGGAAGAGAAAGCCTGGGATTCCGTCTCAGGCAAGAAACATCCTTCTTGGGATACAAATAATTTGCTCACAGTCCCTCTGTTGTATGAGTGAGCTTGCCTCTCCTCTGCCATACACATCTCTCAGGTTGCCCAAGAGTGACTTCCTTCTACTATCGCCTTGAGGTTCCTTTTAACAAAACGATATGTTCATTTATTCTGATGTAAAAGTATGCGAACTAGGAAATAAAGAAAAACACAAAATAGAAATCCCCCTTATTACCACCTCACAGAAGTAACATTCAATATTTTGGTGTAAATTCTTCTTTCAGTGTACATTTTCTACGTACCTGTAGCCATTTGCTAAGGCCGCTGTAACAACATGCCACAAACCAGGTGGCTGAAAGAAACAGAAATGTATTGTCACACCGTTCTGAGGCTGAAAGTCCAAAATCAATGTGATGGCAGAGTTGATTCCTCCTGAGTGCTGTGGGGAAAGGATCTGTTCCAGGCCTCTCTCCTGAGCTTGTGGATGGCCATCTCCTTCCTGTGTGCATCTCATCACATCATCTTCTTTCTATCCATGTCTGTCTCTGTGTTCAAATTTCCCCCTTTTATTTATTTATTTACTTATTATTATTATTTGAGACACAGTCTCGCTTTGTGGCCCAGGCTGGAGTGCAGTGGTATGATCTCAGCTCACTGCAACCTCCGCCTCCTGGGTTCAAGCGATTCTCCTGCCTCAGCCTCCCAAGTAGCTGGGATTATAGGTGCCCGCCACCATGCCCAACTAATTTTTGTGTTTTTAGTAGAGATGAGGTTTCGCCATGTTGGCCAGGCTGGTCTCGAACTCCTGGCCTCAAGTGATCCGCCCGCCTCAGCCTCCCAATGTGCTGGGATTACAGGTGTGAGCCATCATGCCCAGCCAAATTTTCCCTTTTTATAAGGACACCAGTCATGTTGGTTTAGGGCCTGCCCCAATGATCTCATGTTAGCTTGATTGCCCCTGTAAAGACCCTATCTGAAAATAAGATCATGTTCTGAGGTACTGGAGGTTAGGACTCCAACATTTCTTTTGGCAGGGGACACAATTATACTCATAACAATACCTGTCATATTGAGTGAGCAGATTGTTCACTGTCTGCCTCTCATTTCTTTTTTTGAAACAGAGTCTCTGTCTCCCAGGCTGGAGTGCAATGGCGCAATCTCGGCTCATTGCAACCTCAGCCTCCCGGGTTCAAGTGATTCTCCTGCTTCAGCCTCCCGAGTAGCTGGGATTGCAGGCGTGTGCCACCAAGCCCGGCTAATTTTCGTATTTTTAATAGAGACGGGGGTCTCATCATATTGGCCAGCCTGGTCTTGAACTCCTGATCTCAGGTGATCCAACTGCCTTGGCCTCCCAAAGTGTTGGGATTACCGGTGTGAGCCACCGTGCCCGGCCTCTGCCTCTCATTTCTCATCTCTTGGTCTTGTTCTGTGCCCAAAGAGGCTAACCTCTACAAATGACATTAATGGATCCCTCTGGCATCCAGTTGTGTTGGGCTTCTAGGAAGCACTAACCGACCAGAGGTCAGAAGGAGAGAGAAATTTGGTATTTATTTGCATCCTTTCAGCCCCTGCTTGGTGCTTCAGATCTAGAGGTAATAAGGGTTTCCCACTGTTACTAGGCTCTGAAGATTCCAATATCTCTTTTTGGTTCTCTTTAACCCTACTCACACCTTCGAAGCAGTCTATTTATTAAATGCCCTTCAGCTAAGTCCTTTGGTGTGACATCAATTCCTGGGAGGACCCTAATACTTTGACATACAACAAATTTTATGTAGTTGGCAGCTATGTGTTAAAAAATATATCCCAAGCCGGGCACAGTGGCTCACCCCTGTAATCCCAGCACTTTGGGAGGCCGAGACAGGCGGATCACGAGGTCAGGAGATCGAGACCACCCTGGCTAACACGGTGAAACCCTGTCTCTACTAAAAAATACAAAAAATTAGTCAGGCGTGTTGGCGGGCGCCTGTAGTCCCAGCTACTCAGGAGGCTGAGACAGGAGAATGGCGTGAACCCGGAAGGCAGAACTTGCAGTGAGCCGAGATCGTGTCACTGCACTCCAGCCTGGGGGACAGAGCAAGACTCCGTCTCAAAAAAAAAAAAATATATATATATATATATATATATATATATATATCCCAAACATTGCAAATAAGGCAAAGGGAAGGAGGCATGTCCTTTCAATGTCATACTGGGAACATTAGATAACAGAATTATTTAATTCTTTAGAAGACTGTATCCGTGTTTGACTTTGCTATTTACTTTTTGATTAGAGCTCAGACACTGTAAAGTTATATGTTAACTTGTAGATAATTTCTCTCCGGTAGAAAAGATAACCCCAAAGGTTATGGTTTTATTGCTGTATGACTCATTAATCAGTTTTGTATTTTACCTAGCCCCTTATTCGAACACTCTTTTCTATTAATACCTATAAGTAGCCAGTTCATTAAATGCTCTTTGAACCAGCTTTATCATGTCACTGATGCCCTCACTAATAAATTGAAGAAATCTTTTATATATGTTTATTCCATATTTAGATGAGTTTTGATTTTCGTTTTCTGAAAATTGTTTTGACATACTTCACACAGTTTTACATTATATGTTTTACACCTACCATATCAGCAACTAATTCCACTCAACCATTCCCCAAATGTTGGGGATTTAGGTGGTTTCCAGTCTTTAACTATTATAAACAAGCTTTGCTGGTCATATTCACTTTTAATTGGATTTCCCATTCAGGTAAATGTCAATGGGAAGGAGAATGGTATAAAAGTTTGCATTGGGCCTTCAACTCCTATGTTCACGATGGTCCTGACCCGCCTTTCTTCCGTGCTCTACCTTCATCCATTCCACTGCACCCCCACCACAGTCACCAAGATGTCCTTGTGGGACTTATAGCCAGCTTGAGGCATAGTGATCATGCCTGAGCATGCTCTTTTTTGTTGTTTTTTGGTTTTTTGTTTTTGAGACAGAATCTCGCTCTGCCGCCGAGCCTGGAGTGCAGCGGCACGATCTTGGTTCACTGCAACCTCCACCTCCTTGTTTCAAGCGATTCTCCTGCCTCAGCCTCCTGAGTAGCTGGGATTACAGGTGTGCATCACCATGCCTGGCCTTCCGGTGGCTATTATTCCACACTCTATGTCCATGCTGAGCACACCCTTTGCTAACAATAGCACCTGTACTCCGTCTTTGCTATATACAGACACTGCTGAGTGCCTGATATGCATGATCTCTTTGGGTCTTCATGACTACTAGTCAGCCAAGCCCTGTTATTATCTCCCTTTTCTCTCTATGAGGAGGCTAAGTTGGGATTTAAACCCAGGTCTGATCATAAAGTCTATGCTCTTAAGCACTGAGACAGAAATTGACTAGATATGTATTGCATACCTGGGTGAATGAATAAATGAATGATCAAAACCCTCCTGAGAGGGCTCAGCTGGGGGACCAAGGTAACAGAATCACACAAACTGGGCACAGTCCTGGCTGGGGCTGCCTTCTCAGGCTTCTTTTTGGCTCCTCTATTTACAGACCTCTACATGTTCTGCTGACCTGTCTTCTAGCTCAGGGGCTGGCAAACTTTTTCTCCAAAGGGCCTGATAGTCAATATTTTAGGCTTTGTAGGCCAAACATAGTCTCTGTACATATTTTTTAACCCTTTAAAAATGTGGGTCAAGGATGGACACGTGGCTCACGCCTGTAATCCCAGCACTTTGAGAGGCCAAGGTGGGCAGATCACTTGAGGTCAGGAGTTCGAAACCAGCCTGGCCAATATGGTGAAGCCCTATCTCTACTAAAAATACAAAAATTAGCTGGGCATGGTGGTGGGTGGTGGTGGGCGCCTGTAATCCTAGCTACTTGGAAGGCTGAAGCAGGAGAATCTGTTGAACCCAAGAGGCGGAGGTTGCAGTCAGTCGAGAATCTCCACTGCACTCCAGCCTGGGTGACAGAGCAAGACTCTGTCTCAAAAAATTAAATTAAATTAAAATTAAAATGTGGACCAGATGCGGTGGCTCACGCCTATAATCCCAGCACTTTGGGAGGCCGAGGCGGCCAGATCATGAGGTCAGGAGTTCAAGACCAGCCTGGCCAACATGGTGAAACCCCGTCTCTACTAAAAATACAAAAATCAGCTGGGCTTGGTGGCAGGCGCCTGTAATCCCAGCTACTCGGGTGGCTGAGGCAGGAGAATCTCTTGAATCTCTTTGGGAGGCAGAGGTTGCAGTGAGTCGAGATCTGCCACTGCGCTTCAGCCTGGGTGACAGAGCGAGGCTCTGTCTCAAAAAATAAAATAAAATAAAAACCAAAATGTCCAGCCTGGCCAATAGAGTGAAACCCCATCTCTACGAAATATACAAAAATTAGCCAGGCGTACTGGCAGGTGCCTGCAATACCAGCTACTCGGGAGGCTGAGGCAGGAGAATCACTTGAACCCAGGAGGCGGAGGTTGCAGTGAGCCAAGATCACGCCATTGCACTCCAGCCCAGGCAACATTGTGAGAGTCCATCTAAATAAATAAATAAATAATAAAATTAAAATGTGGGTCAGACAAAAACAGGCCATGAGGCCAGGCGCGGCAGCTCACACCTGTAATCCCAGCACTTTGGGAGGCCGAGGCAGGCGGATCATGAGGTCAGGAGTTCAAGACCAGCCTGGCCAACATAGTGAAACCCTGTCTCTACTAAAAATACAAAAATTAACCGGGTGTGGTAGCGCGCGCCTGTAGTCCCAGCTACTTGGAGGGCTGAGGCAGGAGAATCGCTTGAACCCAGGAGGCGGAGGTTGCAGTGAGCCGAGATGGTGCCACTGCACTCCAGCCTAGGCGACACAGCGAGACTCTCTCAAAAATAAATAAATAAATAAAACAGGCCATGAGACAAATTTGGCCCATAGGTGTTAGTTTACTGATCCTTTCCAGTTTACTGATTCTCCCCGCAGATTTGACTAATCTACTATTAAATCCAGCCACTGCATTCTTAATTTTGGTTATTGTATTTTTTCGGTTCCACAATTTTTATTTTTATTTTTCATTTTTCCTGAGACAGAGTTTCGTTCAATAGAGCTAATAGCCCAGCGGAGTGCAGTGGTGCAATCTCGGCTCAGTGCAGCATTGACTTCTCCAGTTCAAGCGATCCTTCTTCTTCCACCTCCCAAGTAGCCGGGACTATGGGCACATGCCACCACACCTGGTTAATCATTTTTAAATTTTTAGCAGACACAAAGTCTTGCTATGTTGCCCAGGCTGGTCTCAAACTACTGGGCTCAAGTGATCCTCACACCTCAGCCTATTTGGTTCTTTTTAATAGCTGCCAGTTTCCTCCCAAAATCCATAATTCTTCCTTTTATCACCATGAACATAGGAAGAATAATTAAAATATGCGTCTCATAATTCTAATATTTGTAGCCAGTGTGAGTCTTTTTCTATTTTCTATAACTTCTGCTGTTTTTTTATTTATGGCATCTTTCCTTCTATTGTGTCTCATTATTTCTCATTGGATGCTGGACGTTGTATTTGCAAATTTGTAGAAGTAATTTGATGCATGAGTGTTCTCTTCCTCCAGAGATTCATGCTTGCTTCAGTATGGTATCTGGGCATGCCAGCAGTTTGGAAAGTACAAGCAACACTAACACACTGGGATTTGCTTAATCCAAGTTCAGTGATTGAGATGATTACAGGCTGAGCTGTAGCCCCTTGGGAGAATCTATTTCTGGTTATAAGATGTAGATCTTGGCCGGGCGCGGTGGCTCAGGCCTGTAATCCCAGCACTTTGGGAGGCCGAGGCGGGTGGATCACGAGGTCAGGAGATGGAGACCATCCTGGCTAACACGGTGAAACCCCGTCTCTACTAAAAATACAAAAACTTAGCCGGGCGTGGTGGTGGGCGCCTGTAGTCCCAGCTGCTCGGGAGGCTGAGGCAGGAGAATGGTGTGAACCCGGGAGGCGGAGCTTGCAGTGAACCGAGATCGCGCCACTGCACTCCAGCCTGGGCGACAGAGCGAGACTCCGTCTCAAAAAAAAAAAAAAAAAAAAAAAAAAGATGTAGATCTTTGGGGTAAAGACTCAAGCCTCCCCTATTTCCTGGACAGGTTCCTTAGCGTGGCCAGCCTGTGAAAAGCGCTACTCGGCCTTTGCACTTCTCAGCTTCTCTGCTGGAATTAGGATAAATGCCCAAGCAAAAAGCAACTTCCTGGGCTTCCTTCTTCTCCTAGATCCTGGGCAGGAAGATCTAGTTAGCTCTCGAATGTCTTCACACAGACTTTGTCTATTTTAGCCAACTTTTCTACTTGTACTAAAGTCATGTACTTGGGCCAAATCACCTAGTCCACCATTCCAGAAGTGGGGGTCCAAAGATAGATTCTCTATGCAAAGGAAACTGGACCTTATCATTGAAAGAGATATTTGAAAAGAGGCTTATATTGTCCTTCAAAAATCCCAAATGAGATAGATCATGCAAACAAAGAAAACCCACCAACACATGCTTGTTATTTTGGTTTAAATTTCCTACTATATTTCAATATACAACAATTGCTAGAATCTTTTAAAAAAAACATTTCTAGGTTACTATTAATTATCTATCTTGTAATATACTCTAAAATCAACAAAATTCACTGCATAATTTGAGGTCCTTGCAGAAAAATTAAACAAAACAAATGAAAATACATTCCTTTGTGAAACCTAATTTTGAACTACAATTTCAACAGATTCTTGAATTTTAAAATATTAAAGATTCTTGATTTAAAAAAAAAAAGGATTCCATATTAAAGACCATTTTTGTCTGCTCCACCAAATAAAGGCTATTCATGTATTCTCTGGCCTTGCTATACTGCCTGGGCAGATTTTGCTTCATAAAGTCCTTTTCTCTGTGCACAAGTAAAGTGGGCTGTTCTAAGGATATAACAAGACATTTTTTTAAATGTTATACTCTATTTTTTTCTTTTCTTTCTTTTTTGAGACAGACTCTCACTCTGGTACCCAGGCTGGAGTGCAGTGGCATGATCTTGGCTCACTGCAACTTCCAACTCCTGGGTTTGAGTGATTCTCCAGCCTCAGCCTCCCAAGTAGCTGGGATCACAGGCGTGTGCCACCACGCCTGGCTAATTTTGTCTTTTTAGTAGAGACAGGGTTTCTCCATGTCGGTCAGGCTGGTCTCGAACTCCTTACCTCAGAGGATCCACCTGCCTCGGCCTCCCAAAGCACTGGGATTACAGGCGTGAGCCACTGTGCCTGGCCAAAATGTTATACTCTCTAATGTTACTGGGAGAAAAAAAGAAACACTTACCTTCACTCCCAAATCCAGGTGAGGCCCTGATTAGGGAGCAGTGTTTACCATACAGTTCTTGGGCACTCTCCAGCAAGGGCACCCCCAGGACATGGGAAGGAAGCCACACAGTTTTGGCCCAGCAACTGTTTACTCTGCCCGCTACCCTGCAGTTTTCTCTTTGAGGAAGACATAACAACTGCGGCTTTCATCATCATTGGCTGAAAGAAAATCTCTTTGTTTACAAAAATAAAGGCTAAGATAGAAGCTGTTACTTAAGGTCAGTGACCTCTTTCTCCTGGCCTAGCTCAATGATTGGAAGGAGGATTATGGAGGGCAAACCATGCCAATCTTCAGGGGAACAATTTCCAGTCCTGTGACCATCACCTGTCTGCCCTCATCTCCACTACCTATTGTCTCTGAATATGATGTACTGGCCAAAGTGGGTGAGTATGGCTATTGCCAGGTAGCTGAATTTTTTTTTTTTTTTTTGAGACGGAGTTTTGCTCTTGTTGTCCAGGCTGGAGTACAATGGCACGATCTCGGCTCACCACAACCTCCGCCTCCCGGGTTCAAGCAATTCTCCTGCCTCAGCCTCCCGAGTAGCTGGGATTACAGGCATGCACCACCATGCCCGGCTAATTTTGTATTTTTAGTAGAGAAGGGGTTTCTCCATGTTGGTCAGGCTGGTCTTGAACTCCCAAGCTAAGGTGATCTGCCCATCTCAGCCTCCCAAAGTGCTGGGATTACAGGCGTGAACCACCGCACCTGGCCGCCAGGTAACTGATTTGCTAAGCCTCTCTTGTCTGATCTCTTATGGTTTTCCCTCTACCGGGCATTCTTTCTTCTGGTCTATATTTCTCTGATCATTTTAAGATGAGCAGAAGTTTTCTAAAAACTTCCCCCATCCCCAGCATCTATCTGATAGGTCATACCATCTGCCATGTGACACACACTGTCCTGTGTCTAGGTGAAGTGGATTTGCAGACACTACTCTGGTAGACAAGAAGAAGCGAAGACCTGAAGCACTGTTCCAAATATATGCTTTCTTTTTTTAGTACTACTTAGATTCTGTTTTTTTCCATTTTAAAGGTAAATTTATATACAGTAAAATTCACTCTTTTTAGTATACAGTTCTGTGAGTTTTGATAAATGCATACAGTCGTGAAATTACTACTATAATTGACATATAGAAAGAGTCCCAAAACCCCAAAGATACCCTTAGACCCCATTCTATCAACCCCTCCCCCTATTCCCAGCCTTTGACAAGTACTTATCTGTTTACTGGCCCTGTATTTTTGCCGTTTCCAGATTGTCATATAAATAGAATCATAGAGTATGTAGATTTTTGTGTCTGGGTTTCTTCATTTAGCGTAATATATTTGAGAGTCCTCCAGGGATTTTTTATTTTTTATTTTTTATTTTTTATTTTTTTTTGAGACGGAGTCTCCCTCTGTCACCCAGGCAGGAGTGCAATGGCGCAATCTCGGCTCACTGCAACCTCTGCCTCCCAGGTTCAAGCGATTCTCCTTCCTCAGCCTCCCAAGTAGCTGGGATTATAGGCATGCGCCACCACCCCCACTAATTCTGTGTATTTAGTAGAGACGGGGTTTCACCATATTGGTCAGGCTGGTCTCGAACTCCTGACCTCAGGTGATCCGGCTGCCTCAGCTTCCCAAAGTGCTGGGATTACAGGCATGAGCCAATGCACCCAGCCCTAATTTTTGTATTTTTAGTAGAGTCGGGGTTTCACCGTGATGGCCAGGCTGGTCTCGAACTCCTGACCTCAAGTGATCCATCTGCCTCAGCCTCCCAAAGTGCTGGGATTACAGGCATGAGCCACCACTCCTGGTGTCCTCCAGGTTTTTGCATGTATCAGTACTTCATTTCTTTTTTATTGCTGAATAGTGTTCTACTATACTGATGTACCTCAATTTGTATAAACACCCACTGAGAGACATTTGGGTTGTTTTTAGTTTTTATCAATTATGAATAAGGCCCAAGTTTATTAATGAACAGGTTTTTGTGTGAACATAAAATTGCATTTCTCTATGGTAAATAACCAGGAATGATATTGCTGGGTCCTATAGAAAGTACATGCTTAATCTTATAAGAAACTATCAAACCATATTCCATTGTGGCTATATCATTTTGCATTCCCATGATCAAATTATGGAGAGCTCCAGTTGCTCCTCATCCTCACCAGCATTTGGCACTGTCATTATTATTACTATTATTTCTTTTTTTTGAGATGGAGTCTCACTCTGTCACCCAGGCTGGAGTACAGTGGTGCGATCTCAGCTCACTGCAACCTCCGCCTCCAGGGTTCAAGCGATTCTTCTGCCTCAGCCTCCCTAGTAGCTGCGACTATAGGCATGCACCACCACACCTGGCTAATTTTTGTCTTTTTGGTAGAGACGGGGTTTCACCATATTGGCCAGGCTGGTCTCGAACTCCTGACCTCATGATCCACCTACCTCAGCCTCCCAAAGTACTGGGATTACAGGTGTGAGCCACCGCACCCAGCCCATTATTGTTTTAAATGTTATCCATTATAATAGAAGTGTAGTGGCATTTCATTGTGGGTTTCATGTAAATTTCCTTAATAACTAATGATGCTGAACTTCTTTCCATGTGCTTATTTATCATCAATATATCTTCTTTAATGAAGTGCCTCTTCAAATTCTTAGCCATTTATTAACTGGGTTGTTTGTTTTCATATTATTGAGTCTTGAAAATTCTTTTTTTAATTGAGAAACAACTCACATACCATAAAATTCACCCTTTTAATACACAGTTCAGTAGTTTTTCATATATTCACAAAGTTGTGCAACTATCCCCATTGTCTAATGTTAGAACATTTTTACACCACAACAAGAAACCCCTTGTCCATTAGCAGTCACAACTCCCCTTTCCCCAGGCCCTGACAACAACTAATCTAATTTCTGCCTGTATAGATTTGCCTATTCTGGTCATTATGTATAAATTGAATCATATAGTATGTAAACTGTTGTGTCTGACTTCAGTCACTTAGTATAGCATTTTCACAGTTCACACAGGTTGTAGCACGTATCAGTACAGCTTTCTTTTTCTTTTTTTTTTTTTTTTTTTGGGAGTGGGGGACAGGTCTCGCTCTGTCTACCAGGCTGGAGTGCAGTGGTGTGATCTCGGCTCACTACAACCTCCGCCTCCCGGGTTCAAGCGATTCTCCTGCCTCAGCCTCCTGAGTAGCTGGGATTACAGGCGCACACCACCATGCCCGGCTAATTTTTGTATTTTTAGTAGAGATGGGGTTTCACCATGTTGATCAGGCTGGTCTCAAACTCCTGACCTTGTGATCCGCCCGCCTCATCCTCCCAAAGTGCTGGGATTACAAGCATGAGCCACCGCACCCAGCGAGCTTTCTTTTTATGGCTGAATAATATTCCATTGTATGGCTGGGTGCGCTGGCTCATGCCTGTAATCCCAGCACTTTGGGAAGCAGAGGTGGGTGGATCACCTGAGGTCGGGAGTTGGTCAGACCAGCCTGACCAACATGGTGAAACCCCATCTCTACTAAAAATACAAAATCAGCCGGGCTTGGTGTTGCATGCCTGTAATCCCAGCTACTCGGGAGGCTGAGGCAGGAGAATCGCTTGAACCTGGGAGGCAGAGGTTGCGGTGAGCCAAGATTGCATCATTGCACTCCAGCCTGGGCAACAAGAGCGAAACTCCATCTCAAAAAGTATATATATAATATATATATATAAATAAAATATATATATATATATTCCATTGTATGGATATGCCCCATTCTATTTATCCATTCATAAGTTAATGGACATTTGGGTTGTTTCCACTTTTTAACTATAATGAAAAATGCTGCTAGCAAACCACTATGGCACATGTATACCTATGTAACAAACCTGCATGTTCTGCACATGTATGCTAGAACTTAAAGTATAATTAAAACGAAAAAAGAATGCTGCTATAAACACCCATGTACAAGTTTTTGTGTGGACATATGTTTTTATTTCTCTTGTGTATACACCCAGGAGTGAAATTTCTGAGTCATATGATAACTCTATGTTCAACTCTTTGAGGAGTTGCCCAACTGTTTTCCACAGTTGCTGCACCATTTTACATCTCACCAGCAATGTATGGAGGTTTTAATTTATCACCATCATTGCTAACATTTGTTATTGTTTGTCTTTATTATTATAGACATCCCAGTAGGTGTAAAGTGACATCTCACTGTGGTTTTGATACGGATTTCCCTAATAACTAATGACGTTGAGCATTTTTTCATGTACTTATTGGCCATTTGCATACCTTTTTAAAATGTCTACTCAAGCCCTTTGTTCATTTTATTAATTGTATTGTTTTTATTGTTTAGGTTTAAGAGTTTTTTATAGGCTGGTGCTATGGCTCATGCTGTAATCCCAGCACTTTGGGAGGCCAAGGCAGGAGGCTCGCTTGAGCCCATATGTTTGAGACCAGCCTGGGCAACATAGCAAGACCCTGTCTCTACAAAAAAATTAAAAAAAAAAATTAGCTGGGCGTGATGGTATGTGACCGTAGTTCCAGCTACTTTGAAGACTGAGGTAGGAGGATCGTCTGATCCCAGGAGGTTGAGGTTGCAGTGAGCTGAGATCACACCAGTGCACTCCAGACTGGGCAACGGAGTGAGACTTTGTCTCAAAAAAAAAAAAAAAAAAAAGAGTTTTTTGTATATTCTGGATACAAGTCCCTTTTCAGATGTGTGATTATCAGATATTATAATTTTCCCATTCTATGGATTGTCTTTTTAATTTCTCAATGGTGTCCTTTGAAGCATAGAAGTTTTACATTTTGATGTGACCCAATTTATCTATTTTTTCTTTTGTTGCTTGTTTTTTTGGTGTCATTTTTAAAACCATTGCCTAATCCAAGCACGTGAAGATTTGTGCCCATGTTGCCAACAGTTTTATAGTTTTCTCTCTTACGTTTAGGTCTTTGATCTATTGATTGCTTTTCATATATTGAACTGACCTTGCAATCTGGGATGAATCCTTTGTGTGCGTGTGTTTTGTTTATTTGTTTTGCTTTCTGACACAGGAAAATCCAGGCTCATCTTGAACTTTCCCAGTCCTAGATCTGGAATCAATTCTCTCTCCAAGAAGCCCTGGCTCCTTTTAGTGGGGAATGGTATTCAGAAACCAAGATGCAGGTATTAATTGTTCTCATTGCTGTTGAGGGCAGGGGCATAGATTCTAGACCCTTATAGTATAAAACCAGGGGTCAGCTAACTATGGCCCTTAAGCCAAATCCATCCTATTGCTTGTTTTTTTGTAAATACAGTTTTTTTGTTTTTTGTTTTGTTTTTTAGACGGAGTCTCGTTCTGTCGCCAGGCTGGAGTGCAGTAGTGCTATCTCGGCTCACTGTAATCTCCGCCTCCCAGGTTCAAGCGATTCTCCTGCCTCAGCCTCCTGAGTAGCTGGGATTACAGGCACGCACCACCACACCCACGTAATTTTTGTATTTTTAGTAGAGACGGGATTTCACCATGTTGGCCAGGATGGTCTCAATCGCTGACCTTGTGATCTGCCTGCCTCAGCCTCCCAAAGTGCTGAGATTACAGGCGTGAGCCACCGCACCCGGCTGAAAGCCTTGATTCTTAATATGAACATAGTTACATATATTGTTTTAACCTATAATACATAAAAACAGTTTCAAAATTACAACATCACTATTACTTCAATAATAAAATTACTGAAGAAAATTTAAGATTTATTTGTATTTTCCATGTCTTTATAATATATTCCACTTAGAATGTACAGTCAGAGTACTGTGTACAAGTCACTTAAAATAACTCTTTTTTCCTCTGGGTAATGTTACTGATTTGATATACAGTTAGGTTCATTTGTTTCACTTTATTTTAATTTTGGAGTTTGCTTTATATTCCTTTTTATATTAATATAATTTTGAAATATGTAAAACACAATCCTAATGGAGGATTTTAACAGGCCTATTAGAAACTAATAAATAAGACCAGTAAGTATATAGAAGAATTGGACAATACAATTAACAAGCTTGAGAAAGCTGACTACCCAGCTCATTTTATGCGGTTAATATAATCTTGATACCAATAACAAAAAAGGAGAGTATGGGAAAAGAAATGTATGGGCCAATCACTGTTACAAATATAGGTACACAAAAAGAAAATTAGCAAACCGGCCGGGTGTGGTGGCTCACACCCGTAATCCCAGCACTTTGGGAGACTGAGGCAGGTGGATCACCTGAGGTCAGGAGTTTGAGACCAGCCTGGCCAACATGGTAAAACCCCGTCTCCACTAAAAAAAAAAAAAAAAAAAAAAAAAAAAAGAAGAAGAAGAAGAAAAATTAGCTGGGCATTGTGTCATCCACCTGTAACCCCAGCTACTAGGGAGAATGAGGCAGGAGAATCGCTTGAACCCAGGAGGCGGAGGTTGCAGTGAGCCAAGATCATGCCATTGCATTCCAGCTTGGGCAACAAGAGTGAAACTCCATCTCAGAAAAAGAAAAAAAAAAGGAAAATTAGCAAACCAAATCCAGTAGGATGTGCATAGTTAGATAGACAAATATTTGATAGATTAATGGATAGACAGATACATCAAGAGGCAGTATGAGATGGAAGGTGAGGCAGTAGACTCTGAAGTCAGAAAGCCTACCTTTGTATCTCAGGTTCACCAATTATAATCTGTATAAACTTGAGCAAGTCAGTTAATCTATCTTTGCCTTAGTTTCCTCATATGCAAAATAGTCATAATAATAGTACCTACCTTATAGTTTTGTTGTGAGGCATCAATCAGTTAATATATGTAAATACTTAACATGGTCAATGTTATAGAAGTGTTGGCTGCTATTATTTTTGCTATTTTTATTATTGAAGGACATCCTAGCCACAGAGTGGCCATGACTCACGGTCCCTCCACCAAGTTAACCAAACTCAAGGTTAAGGGTACTGTCCTCCAGATGGCCAAGTCTGCCCAAGACTTCTGAGATCAGATGAGATGGGGCATGTTCAGGGTGGCATGGCCATAGACTGCCCAAGACTTCTGATACCAGCTTCAGGGAGTTTGCCCTTCTGCCAAGTCAATGGAAATTGTCCTGCAAGACTGCCCTCATATCAGACCTCAGCTGCAAGTTTGGGGTTCCCCAGAGCCACTCTCACTTCAGAGCAGCTGGCTACAAATTCTAGGGTCCCCACAGACCCCCTCAGATTCAATAATTTGCTAGAAGGGCTGATAGAACTCTAGAGGAAAGCACTCAGCATAGCATTACTGTCTTATGGTAGTGAAAGGATACAAATGAGAGCCAGCCAAAGGAAGAGATGCACACGGTGAAATCCAGGATAGTCTCAAACACAAAGCTCTGTCATCCTCAGGGACGTGTTACCCTCTCCACATCAAAGTGTGACAATACTCAAAAAATACTGCCAACCAGGGAAGCTCACCTGAGCCTTTGGTGTCCAAAGTTTTTATTGAGACTCTGTCACACACTGCCCATGTGGCCAATCTTTAGACTCCAGCCCTTCCCAAAGGTCAGGATGAGTTTGGTTTCCGGTTCTTCTGGAGGTCAGAACTGGTATGGCGTGGCTCAAAGCCCCCATCATAAATCACACGGTTAGATCATAGCCAAAGCCCCAGGGCAAACAAAGACATTCCTATCAGGCTGGACATTCCAGAGGCCTAGAAATCACCTCCCAGTAGCTGAGGGCAAAGGCTAAACTGCTCTTCGAGTAAAATTAATTCTTCACTACAAGGCTCCCAAATCCTTTTTAGCCTTACTCACACTTCCTTACCTCCGGTGGTAGATGGGCATAATAATGGTCCCCTATAAATCACATCTCCCTACCGCCTAGCCATTACACTTTGCAATGAGATGTTGCCACTCCTCCTATCAAAAGGTAACATCTGTTTCTCCACCCCCTTGAATCTAAGTTAGCCACGTGACTTGTTTTGACCAATAGAAGGTGTTGAAAGTAGCACTGTGCACCCTCAGAGACTAAACCTTGACAGCCTATTCAGTTTTCACCTCTCTTCTCTTAGAAACCTACCTTGAGACCACCATGCTGATAGGAAGCTGGGTCGACTCCTGGAGTAAGAGAGGCCCTGTAAAGGAGAACCAAGTTATACCACTCAACAGCCAGCACCAACGACTTTGATGTTTGAGTGAAGCCATCTTTCCCCAGTCAATCTTCTAGCCGACTGCAATCACATGAATGAGCCCATGCCAAACTGTTGTTTTAAGCTACTAGGTACAAAAATAATTTGTCACACAGCAATAGATAATTGATAACTTATAATTAATTGGTGTTTCTGTGGGGAAATATGAGTGAGTCTGTTCCTTTCAACTCTGAAAACTAAAAAACATAAATTGTTTCAAACTTTTAATTGTAAGGAAGAGCCCTGAATGGAATACCATTGTGCATGAAGTTCAGTCTGCATTTTTAGTTATCTCCTTGTGAGAACACCCTTGGTCAAGTAGCGTGGATATTTCTAGATCTTTTTCTACATACTTCCAAAAGAATTTCCAGACACTGTACTGAAGCTCATTCTTTTTTTTTTTTTTTTTTTTTTTTTTTTTTGAGATGGAGTCTTGCTCTGTCGCCCAGGCTGGAGTGCAATGGTGCAATCTCGGTTCAAGCAATTCTCCTGCCTCAGCCTCCCGAGTAGCTGGGATTACAGGCATGCACCATAATGCCTGGCTAATTTTTTTGTATTTTTAGTAGAGACGGAGTTTCACCAGTTGGCCAGGCTGGTCTCGAACTCCTGACCTCAGGTAATCCACCCTCCTTGGCCTCCCAAATTGCTAGGATTACAGGTGTGAGCCACCATGCCCGGCCTGAATCACATTCTCACCAGTGGTGTATGAGGGACATAAGGGTATGTAACAGGCTTGACGTAAATACGTAACGAAAAATGATGGAAACTCCCCCATAGAAGGCAGAGTGCTAAAACCCTACTTCTTGAAATCTGCCTCACCTACTTCTAGGGCCAGCCCTGATGATACCAGGAAGCTGAATAGATGGCAGGCTTCAGCTGAGTGCTCCAGCCAATGCCCTGTGTCCAGAAGGCAATGTAGTATAATGGTCAGGAGAGAAGGTTCTGGAGCCAGGCTGCCTTAGTTTAAATACTGGCTCTATCTCATACAAAGCATGACCCACTTGAAGCTTCTTAACCTCTCTAAGCCTCAATTTGCTCATCTCTAAAATGGGAGGCTGGGGGCGGTAGCTCACGCCTATAATCCCAGCAATTTGGGAGGCCGAGGTGGATGGATCACCTGAGGTCAGGAGTTCCAGAACAGCCTGGCCAACGTGGTGAAACCCCATCTCTACTAAAAATACAAAAATTAGCCAGGCGTGGTGGTACATGCCTGTAATCCCAGCTACTTGGGAAGCTGAGGCAGGAGAATCGGTTGAACCCAGGAGGTGGAGGTTGCAGTGAGCCGAGATCACGCCATTGCACTCCAACCTGGGCGACAAGAGCGAAACTCCATCAAAATAATAAATAAAATAAAATTAAATTAAAGTAAAATGGGAACAATATTAGTATTCACCTCATAGACTTGTGAGGATTAAATGAAATAATACATGTCAATTGCTTAAAATAGTGCATGGCACTCTGTAAGTGTTAGCTGTCATTCTTATTCTCTATATTGTTTGTGAACTTGTCACCATATAGGCAAGCCTTTAATGAGGACTATTTCCCTCTCTCCTGGTCATGAGGAAATGCCAGTAACAGACAAAAGGAGAGATTTAAGAAGCCTCACTGGGCCAGGCGCAGTGGCTCACACCTATAATCCCAGCACTTTGGGAGGCCAAGGCAGGCGGATCACCTGAGGTCAGGAGTTCGAGACCAGCCTGGTCAACATAGTGAAACCCCGTCTCTACTAAAAATACAAAAATTAGCCTGGCGTGGTGGCACATGCCTGTAATCCCAGCTACTCGGGAGGCTGAGGCAGGAGAATCGCTTGAACCCAGGAGGTGGAGGTTGCAGTGAACCGAGATCGTGCCACTGTACTCTAGCCTGGGCGACAGAGCAAGACTCAGTCTTAAAAAAAAAAAAAAAAAAAAAGAAACTTCACTGATTTCAAAAGTCAGAATCAAAAGGGTCCATAACCCTCCACGCACTCCTCCTTGACTCAAAATGGTGTGTGGTCAGTGTACTCTCCGGGCTTGGGGGTAAGGTTGGGGGTGGGGATAAGGCTGAGCATTTGGCTTGAATTACTCAGAAAAGGGAAGTCTGGTAAGGCAGATTACTCTACGGGCTCCTGCTACAGCCTTTTCCCCCTTCGGTTAGGCAGCAGCATTTCCTTAATCACATGGCTTGAGAGATACCAACTCCCCATTAACTGCATGAACAAGGCCGCTTCTCAGTTTTTCCCTCTTGCCACTCATGTCAGACCCTCAGTATTACAGTCATCAGCTCAGAGAGGCCTCACACATTTCCACAGTTTCTTGCACTGAACTGGAGGCTTTTAGGGGCAGATAACAGAAAGCCAATTGGAGTCACTTGTGCAAAAGAGGATTCATTGAAAGGACAGTGTGGGCCGCTCCTGGAATTAGGAGTTTTACTAAATAAACATGAGTCGCAAAAGCAAAATCAGGACAGCTCCAGAGACCTCACAGTTTGAAATGAAGTTCTTCAGAACCAGTAGGTTCTCCCTGCATTCTGTCCTCTATGCTTCTCTCTGTGCGTCTGTGATATGTTCTCAGACCAGCTTTTTCCCAGAGGCTGAGACAATCCTGGCAGCTCGGGGCCTCACATCCACAGTTTCACCACCCAATAGGAAAGTGGCCTCTTTCCTTTGTTCTAATTAAAATTATCCTGAGGGCCAGGTGCAGTGGTTCGCGCCTGTAATCCCAGCACTTTGGGAGGCCAAGGTGGGCGGATCACCTGAGGTCAGGAGTTCGAGACCAACCTGACCAACATGGAGAAACCCCATCTCTACTAAAAATACAAAATTAGCTGGGCATGGTGGCACAAGCCTGTAATCCCAGCTACTCAGGAGGCTGAGGCAGGAGAATCACTTGAACCCAGGAGGCGGAGGTTGCAGTGAGCTGAGATGGTGCCATTGCACTCCAGCCTGGGCAACAAGAGCAAAACTCCATCTCAAAACCAAAAAAAGAAAAAAAAAAGTGTCCTGAACCAAATTTAACTTTTACTTGTCCTGTTGGATATCAATGAAGTTCTCCTAGACTATTGAGGTATATAGAGCTATTTGACCCAAGCCAAGGGCACCAGGCTATACATGTTTTCTTGTGTGTGTGTGTGTGTGTGTGTGTGTGTGTGTGTGTGTGTGTGTGTGAGAGAGAGAGAGAGAGAGAGAGAGATGGAGTTTCACTCTATTTCCCAGGCTGGAGTGCTGTGGTGTGATCTCGGCTCACTGCAACCTCCACCTCTCAGGTTCAATCGATTATCCTACCTCAGCCTCCCGAGTAGCTGGGACTACAGGCGCCCACCAACATGCCTGGCTAATTTTTTGGTAGTTTTGGTAGAGACAGAGTTTTACCATGTTGGCCCTGCTGGTCTCGAACTCCTGACCTCAAGTGATCCGCCTGCTTCGGCCTCCCAAAGTGCTGGGATTACAGGCGTAAGCCACCGCACCCAGCCCACGTTTTGATTTCTGATGTCGGTTTTAAGGTTTTGGTCTGGTATTCTCAGATGTTGTTTCCTACTGCTGTCACTGTGCCCCTCTCTAACAATTCTGCCCCTTAAACACCTCCCCACCTTGCTTATTTGCTAATTCTCATCTACCAAGGATTGGGAAATCAGATGACCAAAAATTTTACAATATTGTGTAAAATATTTGCAACTTCAGAAGCTAGAATTTACTGCTGTGAGGTCATATAGCCTCTGAATGAAGGCTGGGAACTCATCTATGAATAAATGAGGAGAGCTCTTTAACACTTACCCAGATATTTCTAGGCACTTGTTATGTTCTTTCTTATGTTCACGCCTCAGTTCACAGATGTATTCTAGATGGTTGAGTTACCTAAAGTATAATTGTATAATAACTGAGGTATTTCTTTACTTCTTTTCTTCATGTTATCTCTTTGCTAGTTTATAATCTCTTCATTTTTAAGCATCCATTTGTCTGTGAGTTCTCTCTCAGCTAACTATTTTAGGCCATTTCCAACAAGTCAAAAACATGGACCCCCTTTAAATCACTAAATGAATATGTGGGAGAGGGGGTGGAAATAGCATTAACATTCACATTGACCCAGCAGCTTCCTGCCACATAAAGAGAAAATTGGAGAAGACGTTTTCAGTAGATAAATCACTATTAAAGACTGTGATTTCAAAACGAACTGTGGGCAGTGCTGGATCCTGGAAATTGATGAAAATACTTCATTGTGAGGCAGAAGGCATGTAACAAAAACTGACATGGAATTAAGAAAAGATCTGAATTCAAACACATCGGATCTTGCTTTTACCGTAGATAAGAAAAAGAAAAAAAAATCAGCCCACTTCTCTGCTGTTAAATGATAGATTGAAATGACCATAGCCTACATATCCCAGATAGAAAGACCCACTGTGGAAACTTAATCTCCAAAAAGAGCAAGTCTGGCTTTGTTTACGCATGGCTAAACAACAATCCAATTGGTCAATTCAGGGAAAAATAAAACTGATGCTATGGCAAAATTAAGTAGGTATTCCAGTTACTTTGGTTGCATAATAAGCCTTCCAAATACTTAATGGCTTAAAAGACTGCCAGGCACTGTGGCTCATGCCTGTAATCCCAGCACTTTGGGAGGCCGAGGCAAGTGAATCACCTGAGGTCAGCAGTTTGAGACCAGACTGGCCAACATGGCGAAACCCTGTCTCTACTAAAAAAACAAAAATTAGCTGGGCATGGTGGCATGCGCCTGTAATCCTAGCTACTTGGGAGGCTGAGGCAAGAGAATTGCTTGAACCTGAGAGGCAGAGGTTGCAGTGATCCGACATTGCACCACTGCACTCCAGCCTGGGCAACAGAGTGAGACTCTGTCTCAGAAAAAAAAAAAAAAAGCAACATTTATTTTGCTCACAAATCTACAATCTGGGCAGGGCTCAGCAGGGACAGCTCATCTTTGTGCCACTCTGTCAATGGGTGATTCCAAGGCTAGTTCTACCTGGCATTAGCAAAGGTGGCCGAAGGCTGGGGTCTGAAATCACCCAAGACTGGCCCACATGTCTGGCAGTTAAAGCTGGAAAGACTCAAACAACTGGTGGCTGGAACAACTGGAGCTCCTTGGGCATGTCTCCCTATCTCTGTGTGGTCCCTCCATGTGGTCTCTCCAGCATGGTGGTCTCTGGGTAGCTAGACTTCTTATAGGATGGCTCTGGGATCCCAAGGCAGGTGTCTCAAGAGAGCAAGAGCCTGGCAGAAGGTGCCACCTTTTATGACCCAGCACCAACAATCACTCAATGTCACTTCCTGTATATTCTCTTCATTAGAACCAAGTCACCAAAGCCAGCCCACATTCAAGGGCAGGGAATAGACTCCACTTTGGTGGCTGTAGTGTCCAAGAGTTTGTGGGAATATTTTAAAACACCACAGTGGACAACAGGTATTGTTAGATCAAGTTTTTTTTGTTTTTTTTGTTTTTAATTTATTTATTTTTTGGAAATGGAGTCTGGCTCTGTCAGCCAGGGTGGACACTACAACCTCTGCCTCCTGGTTTGAAGTGATTCTCCTGTCTCAGCCTCCTGAGTAGCTGGGAAGCGTGCGCCACCACGCCTGGCTAATTTTTATATTTTTGGTAGAACCGGGTTTCACCATGTTGGCCAGGCTGGCCTCGAACTCCTGACCTCAGGTGATCCACTAGCCTCAGCCTCCCAAAGTGCTGGGATTACAGGCGTGAGCCACCATGCTCGGCCTAGATCAAGCTTCTTAATAGGGCCACTCCAGACCTTGTTTCACTCCCTCCTAATTATTCTAACGAGCTACTAACCCTTTCTGGCATCTTCCCAAATGCATCAAGTTGTGTGACTATGCTGACAAGGTGCTTATTTTTGGATGAATGTGAGATGGGAAGAAAAGGAAGAGAAGAGGTGACTGGGCTTAATTAGTGACTATCCCTTCCCAGAGGCCCAGCAGTGAGGAAGCTCCACTGAGAGCAATATTGCCTCGTAGCAAGTTTGGGTTTCATCAGAACAAGATCCCCAGAGCCAAGGACCAGGCAGAAGCCACTGTGGTGACAACTTCAGAGAACCCAGCCTGAGAGAGGAATTGAGAGAGCTCTGGGTCACAAAAAAGTGCCCCAGGGTCACTGAGTAGCCCTTCATATTCAACTACATTAATGACATCGAAAATAAGGTTTTAAATAAGATTGCTCTAAAAATAAGAGTAATCATGATAAATGCTTTAAAGTTGTTAGTCATTTTGGGCTTTGTAAAGTATAAATTCCGCATAAATTCCCTCATTTTCTGCTCTATTATGATAGAATTTCTGATTACTTTTCTACTGAATGGCAACTGAGGTCATTGCCAAGTTCATTTTTAAGGAGGAAATTGGGACAGTTTTGGAAAAGATGACTTCCTATGTTGTTGAGGGAGGCTCGGATAGCTGCTTGCAAATGGCGATTTTCATTGTTCAGGGTGAATTACTAGTTTTTTCATGAGTTTTCCCTGATACTTTAACTAGAAGTAATTGCTCCTTTTTCTTCACTGTCATAGCACAATGATCACACCTTTATTTCACATTTGTTCAGTCCTGGGTGCCATTTTGGTTTGCTGTCTTTTTATATCCTTACCCTATTCCCCATCCTCACTCCACAATTGTGAACTCTGGAGCATTAAGAGCCATTTTGTTGAATTTTTATTTCCTAAAGCACCTAGCATGGTGCCTTGTATGTATATTTTTGTTGAGGAGTGAATATATGAAAACATTATATAGAAACCTCAACATAAAAAATGGGAAGACATATGAGCATCACACTCATAAACATGAAAGATGTCTCTCCTAAACAGAGAAGACTAAGAAAAAATACAACAAAAGCACATAATCTTGTTTATCTATGGTATGAAGAAATATTCAATATCACCATCTATCTATTTTGATGAGCATGTGCTTGGTGTATCTTAGTGGGCCTACATCAATATTTGCATCATTATCATCAGAAAAGAATAGATTTTTAATATTTTATAGCAATTTCATGACCATCTCATTTGAAAATTGCATAGATATTATGAGAGACTCATTGTTTTAATAAGCAAGATTTATGGAAGACATTGCTAGTATCAAATGAAGAGGAGCCTCATCATACTTTCCTTGTAAATGACTTTTCATATTGCCAAGTCAATTATTACGGTTCTGAGACATTGAACCCAGAAAATCATTTCAGAGTCAGGAATGCTTGATTTGTAAGATAGGAAGCAAATGAATGTCTTTCCTTTGAATTATCATCCAAACCAAAGATAGACCAGCTATTAACTTTTGCAGAAAAGAGGACTCAAAGGCCAATGAAGTAAGACTAATTCTTTGCCTCATGGGCAAGAAGTTGATTGTCCAAGTAAAAAAGCAAATCGTGGGTTTCATGAGAGGGACAATATCTCTCACTCCATGAGCAGAAGATAGATGGTTTGGCTTTTTTGAGGTAATGGGGCACGGACAGCATGGCAGCGTAACCTTGAGCAGGAGGAATGAGAGCGGGTTTCCATGTGCCTGGATCATGGTGATGGGCCATCCTAGCTCAGTGCAGGCAGGACCACATTACTCCCATCCCCCTCTCCAAGAGCCAGCCTGCTTGCTCTTGATTTTCCACTCACAGAAATATTCTCACTCAACTACCATGCAAATAGAGGAATCCTACCTTCTAAAAGGGACAAATACTTTTGCTCAAGAATTAAGCACCTCTGGGAGAAAAGAAGAGGGACAAGCAGATGCCATTTTTCTCCATCCTTGTGAGATGGGCACTGAATCAATGGAAAGGGGAAACTGAGAAGATCATCCTGAATTTGAGTGTTTGTTCTGCATGTAATTTGCATTGCCCCCCACCCAGCTCCCACAAAGAAGAACCAATGTTCATTATGGTAATAAATAAAACTCCCGGGTTCAACCAATTCTCCTATCTCAGCCTCGTGAGTAGCTGGAATTAAAGGGGCCCGCCACCACGCCCAGATAATTTTTGTATTTTTGTAGAGATGGGGTTTCACCATGTTGGCCAGGCTGGTCTTGAACTCCTGACCTCAGGTGATACGCCCCACCTCGGCCTCCCAAAGTGCTAGGATTACAGGCGTGAGCCACCAGGCCTGGCCAAAGCCCTTATTTAGAGAAGCCAAGAAGCACTGGAGCTCAAGGCCTGTCCATGTCAGCTGGAGGTGAGGGATATGACACAAGATACAAAAAGCATCTACCACAGCTCCCTAAAGCAGCTGTAGCAGGCCAAACACACCTAGCCCAGAAGTGATTTGACCAGTTAAGTGCACAATGGCATATAGTTGACATGCCCACTCTGGCTCTGCTATTTCTTACAGAAGCCAAGGTTTGCCAACAAAGGGATTTCCCACCTCTTCTGCAAGGAAACCGTGCCCCATATATTCTTTTTGACTTTTGTGTCAGTGAGAGTTGCCTGAATCAGCAAATGTCAATTGGGCGATCTGGTCCCAACTTATTTATTTTCTCTTGCCTGTCTGCAATGTTTGGGGTAAATGAGATTTTCTTGTGAAATGTGTAAAGCCTTGTTATTCTTCCTTTGTTTACCCTGCCTAGACTGTAATTTGTTTGCCAACAGGCTTACAGTAACATCTATCTTACTCATATCACTGTATCTCTGGTGCCCAGCACAACACCTGCCTGCCACTTAGTAGTTTCTTAGTAAATATTGTTGAATGAATGAATGAATGAACACATGAATGAGTGGAGAAATAATATTGTATCTCATTATGATCCTTTATTCACCATTTCTAGCACCTTAAACATTCCTATGGCTTCTATCCTTCCTATAGAATTCTTTTTTCCCTTTGATATTTTATTCCTGGTGTTTGGTCCAACCTCTGCCACATCACTCTAAGACCTGAGTTCATAGTCAACCTACACCTGGGAACTAAGAACTGGGGTGGGAGAGGATGTCAGTCAGAGGGTTATAAAGACTCAGGGATCACCTGAGGTCAGGAGTTTCAGACCAGCCTGGCCAACATGGTGAAACCCTGTCTCTACTAAAAATACAAAAATTAGCTGGACGTGGTGACGGGTGCCTATAATCCCAGCTACTCGGGAGGCTGAGGCAAGAGAATCAATTGAACCTGGGAAGTGGAAGTTGCAGTGAGCCGAGATGGTGTAACTGCACTCCAGCCTGGGTGACAGAATGAGAATCAGTCTCAAAAATAAATAAATAAATAAATAAATATATACTCAGGGGATTGTGGCATTGAAGACCTTGAGGGAGAGACTGGTGAAGGGAGCTTTTGATGCCTGCCTAAGGATAACTCTGATGATGATGTACTTGATGGCAAAAGTAAAAGACTGTTTAGTCCCATCGTCTGGACCCTATGAGTTTGTATGCTGGTCTAAAACTTGAGATCCTCTTTTTTTCTTTTTTTTTTTTTTTTGACGGAGTCTTGCTCTGTCACCAGGCTGGAGTGCAGTGGCGCGATCTCGGCTCACTGCAAGCTCTAACTCCCTGGTTCAAGTGATTGTCCTGCCTCAGCCTCCCGGTAGCTGAGATTACAGGCACGTGCCACCACGCCCAGCTAATTTTTTTTTTTTTTTTTTTTTGAGACGGAGTTTCGCTTTTTCGCCCAGGCTGGAGTGAAGTGGCATGATCTCGGCTCACTGCAAACCTCCGCCCCCCAGGTTCAAGCAAATCTCCTGCCTCGGCCTCCCAAGTAGCTGGGATTACAGGCACATGCCACCACGCTCGGCTAATTTTTGTATTTTTAGTAGAGACGGGGTTTCACCATGTTGGCCAGGCTGGTCCCAAACTCTTGACCTCAGGTGATCCACCTGCCTCAGCCTCCCACGGTGCTAGGATTACAGGCATGAGCCACCGCGCCCAGCCAATTTTTGTATTTTTAGTAGAGACAGGGTTTCACCATGTTGGCCAGGATGGTCTCTATCTCCTGACCTCATGATCCGCCTACCTCGGCCTCCCAAAGTGCTGGGATTACAGGCGTGAGCCACAGTTGCCCAGCCTGGAGATCCTCTTCTAAATCATACAATAGAAAATGACTCAAGTGATTATTTATTCAATTCTCCCAAAGATGGTATATAGCTAGCTCCATTCTAGAGAGATTGGAGAGAAATAAATTTATTACACATGTTTAATAAAATTTCAACAAATTTAGTTTAAAGACCTAATTGGCTTTTATTAGTGATTCAGTGATTCATGAATTGAGCAGCATCTCATCTAAATGATTTAGAGAAAGCACTCTGCCAAGCTGAGCAGAGGAAGTTGGCTTTATAGGCAGAAAATAGCTGAACAAGCAGAAACAGGAGACAAAAAGGGGATTGGTTCTTTCTTTTTTTTTTTTTTCTGAGACAGAGTCTCACACTCTTGCCAAGGCTGGAGTGCAGTGGCGCCATCTCGGCTCACTGCAAGCTCCGCCTGCCGGGTTCACGCCATTCCTCCCGAGTAGCTGGGACTACAGGCACCCGCCACCACGCCCGGCTAATTTTGTGTATTTTTGGTAGAGATGGGGTTTCACCGTGTTAGCCAGGATGGTCTCGATCTCCTGACCTTGTGATCTGCCCCACCTCAGCCTGCCAAAGTGCTGGGATTACAGGCGTGAGCCACCGCGCCCGGCGGTTCTTTCAAAGTTATTTTCCTTATAGGGCAGTAACAGAGGGGACTTCCTTATCATGCTGACTCAAGTATATTAGGCCCCTTCTGATTGGTTGCCGTGAATCTCCTGGTTTTTTGTGGGGGGTTTTTGTTTGTTTGTTTGTTTTGAAAACCAGTTCATTTTAAAGTTCAATTTGACTATATAGCATCTAGCAAGAGTAACTCCTACCTGGTTTGATCTGATCTGTTGGGCCTAGCATAGGAGCTCAGTCCAAAACAATGGCTTCCTCTAAATTTTATTTAACACATACAGTAGATCCTGTATTGGTCGAGGTTCTCCAAAGAAATGGAACCAATAAGATATATATAAATATGGAAGAGAAGATATATTATGGACATTTGCTCATGCAATGATGGAGGCCAAGAAGTCCCACAATCTACTGTCTGCAAGCTGGAGAACCATGAAAGCTGGTGGTGTAAGGCCTGAGAACCAAAGTAGAGGGGTGGTGCTGGTATCAGTTTCTGAGTCCGAAGCCCAAGAACCAGGAGCCCCAGTGTCCAAGAGCAGGAGAAGATAGATGCTCCAGCTCAAAGAGAAAGAAAGAGAATTTTCCCTTCCTCCATCTTTTTGTTCTATTTAGGCCCTAACAGAGGGGATGCTGCCCATTCACATTAGTAAAGGTAGATCTTTTTTTTATTATTATTTTTGAGACAGAGTCTCACTGTGTCACCCAGGCTGGAGTGCAATGGCATGATCTTGGCTCACTGCAACCTCCGCCTCCCAGGTTCAAGTGATTCTTGTGCCTCAACCTCCTGAGTAGCAGAGATTACAGGTGTGCACCACTACGCCCAGCTAATTTTTGTATTTTTAGCAGAGATGGGGTTTCATCATGTTGCCCAGGCTGGTCTTGAACTCCTGAGCTCAAGCCATCCACCTGCCTCGGCCTCCCAAAGTGCCGGGATCACAGGCGTGAGCCACCACACCTGGCCTGGCAGATCTTCTTTATCTCAGTCTACCAATTCAAACGCTAATCTCTTCCAGAAACACTCTCATAGACACACCCCAAAATCATGTTTTTACCAGGTACCTGGGCATTCCTTAGCCCAGTCAGGCTGACACATAAAATTAACCATTACAGATACCTTAGGGTTTGATTCTCACAGGACCCAAGCTGAGAAAGTCTGGTCTATACTAAGATTTTCTTTTTGGTAATAAACACTGCCTTCTCACCTTCCCAAATATGACAGGCATAGCTAAGTTTATACATAAATCCAGGTGACCTGATTGAGATCACACAGGCCACACCACTTCCACTCCCCAGTACTATATCATGACCATTCGCCAGATCATGAACTTTTCTTTTTTTGAGATGGAGTTTCGCTCTTGTTACCCAGGCTGCAGTGCAATGGCACAGTCTCGGCTCACTGCAAACCTCCGCCCCGCAGGTTCAAGCAAATCTCCTGCCTCAGCCTCCCAAGTAGCTGGGACTACAGGCACCTCCCACCACGCCCAGCTAATTTTTGTATTTTTAGCAGAGACGGGGTTTCACCATGTTGGCCAGGCTGGTCTCAAACTCCTGACCTCAGGTGATCTGCCAGCCTCGGCCTCCCAAAGTGCTGGGATTACAGGCATGAGCCACCGCGCCCAGCCCATGAACTTTTCCAAAGCTCAGCCTTCAATGGCTACAAACACTTCCTCACATGGTTGAACCAAAGTGCCTCCAACTATTTTCCTGCTGTTGGACATCCTTGCTGCCTCCAATTTTTCACAAAGTTTCTTTTTTCATTTCAATAAAAGATCCTGACAGCAGTGTGGAATTTGGAGCAGATGAAAGAGAGACTCAAGACCACTTAGCCAGCTATTGCAATGGCTCAGAATAAGGTCATGAGATCCTGAATCCAGATTGAGGCAAAAGGAATAAAATGGAATGGACCAAGCCAGATTTGCAAGAAAAAAGACATTTTGGCATTTTGAGATATTCAGATGTCTGTTTTGCTCCACACCCATAACTTTCCAAATTTAGTTTTATGTCATGGTCACCTAACCGAGTTCTTAATTCCTTTTTTTTTTAATGAATTAAACTTTTTAGAGCAGATTTGGGTTTATAGCAAAATTGAGCAAAAGGTACAGAGGTTTCTCACATACCCCCTGACCCTACACAAGTAGAGCCTCCGCCATCATTAACATCCATCACCAGAGAGGTACATTTGTTTCAAGTGATGAACATTGGCACAGCATTATCTCCCAAAGTCTATAGTTTACATTGGGTTTTGTTCTTGGTGCCATACATTCTAATGCTGTACATTCTAGTGCTGTAATCCCAGCACTTTAGGGGGCCAAGGCGGGTGGATTACTTGAGGTAAAGAGTTCGGGACCAGCCTGGCCAACATGGTGAAACCCACCATTTCACCATTTCACCACGTTTGGACAACCCACCATTATAGTATCATACAGAGGAGTTTCATTGTCCTAAAAATCCTCTGTGCTCTGCCTTTTCATCCTCCACCACCCCACCCCCAGCCCCTGGCAACCATTGATCTTTTTATACTGTCTCCATATTTTTGCCTTTTCCAGAATTGAATGATACAATTCCAGTTGGAATCATACACTTTGTAGCCTTTTCAGATTGGCTTCTTTCACTTAGCAATATGTATTTAAGTTTCCTCTGTGTCTTTTCATGGCTTGATAGCTCATTTCTTTTTAGAGCTGAATGATATTTCCTTGTATGGATGTACCATAGTTTATTTATCCACTCCCCTACTGAAGGACATTGTGGTGGCTTCCAGGTTTTGGCAATTATAAATAAAGCTGCCATAAATATTCATGTGCAGGTTTTTGTGTGTCCATAAGTTCTCTACTCCTTTGGTTAAACATCAAGCCGTACAATTGTTGGATCATATGGTAAAAGTATGCTCAGTTTTGTAAGAAACTGACAAACTGTCTTCCAAAGTGGCTGTACCATTTTGCATTCCCACCAGTAATGAATAAAAGTTTCTGTTATTCCACATCCTTGCCAGCATTTAGTGTTATCAGTGTTCTAGATTTTGGCTATTCTAATAGGTACATAGTGGTATCTTGATGTTACTTTAATTTGCATTTCCCTGATGTAATACAATGTGGAGCATCTTTTCATATCCTTATTTGCCATTCTTAATTCTTTTTTTTTTTTTTTTTGAGACAGAATCTCACTCTATTGCCCAGGCAGGAGTGCAGTGGCACGATCTCAGCTCACTGCAACCTCCGCCTCCCAGGTTCAAGCTATTCTTCTGCCTCAGCCTCCCGAGTAGTTGGGATTACAGGCACACACCACCACGCCCTGCTTATTTTTGTATTTTTAGTAGAGATGGGGTTTCACCATGTTGGCCAGGCTGGTCCCGAACTCTTGACCTCAAGTAATCCACCCGCCTTGGCCCCCCCAAAGTGCTGGGATTACAGGTATAAGCCACCGGGCCCGGCCCCATTCTTAATTTTTTAAACTTGCCTCTTGAAACGTAACAGGGCACTCTGATTTCCATGCAATTGTTCCTTCTCGATTTTCTCCCTGAGCAAACAGTGACCCTTGAACGGTGTTTGCTGTCAATGGTTCTGCCCATCGCACTATCCGGAGTGAAGAAAGATCTGAAGGCAGCTGACCCTTTGGGGATCCTTTACCCTTGGGTGTCTGCTCTGGAGGACAAGCGGCAGGCAGCATACTTCTGTTGGAAACAAAGGGTTCCTGTTTCTCGCAGAATTTTTCACATTAAATTGAAGAAAAAAATTTAATTGTCTTAGAATTTTGTGATTTTTCTATACAGAAGGGCATCACTCTTACCAAGACAGAACCTAAAAGCTTAGGTCTCTAACTGTTTTCCTTAAGAGATTATCTTCAGATCTGAGAGCTAAGAGTCAAACGTCTGGATTGGGGATATGTTTATTTGCTTTTTCTCTAATACCAATGTTTCTAAATTCAAATTCAGAGGTGCTGATTCCTGATATTTTGGAGATATATATATTTATCTCAAAGTAAAGACACTTGCCTGGATTGGATGCCTAGGCAAGATTCTAAAATGTGCCTTAACACCTTGCCAAGCAAATAACACAAGCCTCATAGTAAATTCAGAAATCTGCTTTGCTCTCTTTCGGGTGAACGCTTCAGTCAAAACAGATTGCTTTTTTTGAGCATTCTAGAGTTTGGTTGCCATCAGTTTCTCTCTTAGTTCTTCAGCCTTGAGACCCTCCCTCAAAGTAGTAGCCTTATAATGAAAAGGAAAAACAATTATTCCAGACTGCCAGTTGCTTATTTTTCTGTTAATTGTATTGCCTTCCTTCCAGGGAGGATTTCATAAAAATCAATTGTCCCAGCCGGGTGCAGTGGCTCACGCCTGTAATCCTAGCACTTTGGGAGCCCAAGGCAGTTGGATAACCTGAGGTCAGGAGTTCAAGACCAACCAGGCCAACATGGTGAAACCCTGTCTCTACTAAAAATACAAAAATTAGTCGGGTGTGGTGGCACTTGCCCTGTAATCTCAGCTATTTGCAGGGGAGCTGAGGCAGGAGAATCGCTGGAACCTGGGAGGCGGAGGTTGCAGTGAGTCAAGATCGTGCCACTGCACTCCAGCCTGGGTGACAGAGCGAGACTCTGTCAAAAAAAAAAAAAATCAATTGTCCCTACTTTCAAGTGTTAGAGGCAACAAAGAATTCCCACATTGGGTGAGTTCAGCTCTAAAAAAAATCCAGCCCCAAAGGTCTATGGTTTTTCAAGTCTATATTCAAGTTGTTTTGGAAATAGGTTTATTAATCAATAACAAAAGTAAACTCTGATTTTCCTTCTATAGCAGTCCTCCACTCCCTGAGTGAGTCAAGATGAGCTGTTAATTTCACACCAAAGCCACACTTAATATCTCAAGTCCAAGATGATCATAGCAAAGCGGAAACTAGGAAGACTGTTGAAGTAATGTGACAGAAACTTAGAACAGAGAAAATGGTAATAAGCCCCTTGATTAAGAAAAAAGAAAGACGATATAAAAATCAGAGGAGCAAACTGTGTAATGAAATCCAGACACTTTATTTTGGTCAGTGAAGTAAAAACACAAGTAAATTTGAGGGAACATTAAATTCACCACCTGGGCCTACAGAGAACTACTGTCCAAATTTCAGCATATTTTGCTGTCTTACATTTCCTGTATCACTGTGACATGGGATCCTTGAAAACCCCATGTCTTTCAGCAGAGAAGCCCTTTAGTTCTGACTGGCACAAGCCTATCATGAGGGAGCGTTGCCACCTGTTCCTGCTGTTCCCTTCATATCTTCCTCTCTTCTTCTTTTTTTTTTTTTTTTTTTTTGAGATGGAGTCTCGCTCTGTTGCCCAAGCTGGAGTGCAGTGGCGCCATTCTGGCTTACTGCAACCTCTGCCTCCCGGATTCAAGCGATTCTCCTGCCTCAGCCTCCCCAGTAGCTGGGACTACAGGTGCCCACCACCACGCCCGGCTAATATTTGTATTTTTAGTAGAGACGGGATTTCATCATATTGGCCAGGCTGGTCTCAAACTCCTGGCTTCAAGTGATTTGCCCGCCTCAGCCTCCCAAAGTGCTGGGATTACAGGCGTGAGCCACCACGCCTGGCCCATATCTTCCTCTCTCTGAGTTCCTTGCCTCACAATTGCAATCCTGCAAAGCAAAGTGGTCTAGTGAAAAGGATAATGACATGAGAGTTAGGAAACTTGTCCCAGCCCTTGCTGTGCTGAGAACCCACGGAGTCATCTCAAACATGTCACACACATTGACTTTCCTCTTTAGTAAAATAAGGGATTTAGTCTAGATGATTCCATAATTATTCCTCTCTCTTCCATATAGACATCACTCTGAATTTAGAACTCAGGATCAACGAAACAAATGAGATTCTGAGCTATTCAGAAGTGCTCTCTGTTGGAACTGAAGTTCTCATGGGTAAAAGACAAGAATTTCTGCATCCAGTCTAAAGCACACATGCTGCACCTGGCAATGTGTTAAAGCTCATTCTCAGAATGGGTCTGATGGAGTCCTGATGGGCCCGATATGTCACTTATCTGTAGAGTGATTAACCTACTGTGTTTGAGCCCTGGGTTGGGGCCCAAAGCTAACTAAGCCCTCTTTAATCCATCCTAATGATCTTAAAAGTTAGGGACAAGAGCCCCCCATGTGCTTCCAGTGGCCATAGCAGCTATCTGGCCCCTTGGAAGTAGGCAAGAGACTCATGACCTATGGTGTTCCCTCTTGATCCTAGTAAGTCAAGATGCCCCAATATCGTCCCTATCCTAAGTAGCAGGAAATATGAACTGAGTCATTTAATCATGGAAGCTGTCATTCACCAAGCGCTTAGTCTGAGCTGGCAACATGTTGAGCACATTTCGGGGCTTAATTCTCACAGCAGCCTCTTCAAGTCAGCACTATTATTATCCTCACAATACAGATGAGGAAACTGAGTGTAGCAAGGCTTACATAACTTCCCTAAAGTCATACAACTGGTAAGTGGCAAAGCTAAGATTCCAATCAGGGAATCTGATACCAGAGTCAATATTACAAAAAATAACAAAAACAAACAAAACGCCTTTTATTTTGACATAATTTCAAATTGCAAGAACAGTATCAAGAATTCCAGGCTGGGTGCGGTGGCTCATGCCTGTAATCCCAGCCCTTTGGGAGGCCGAGGCAGGCAGATCACTTGAGGTCAGGAGTTCAAGACCAGCCTGGCTAACATAGAGAAATCACGTCTCTACCAAAAATACAAAAATTAGCTGGGCGTGGCGGCGTATGACTGTAGTCCCAGCTACCTGGGAGACTGAGGTAGGAGAATTGCTTGAACCCAGGAGGTGGAGGTTGCAGTGAGCCAAGATGGTGCCACTGTACTCCAGCCTGGGCAACAGAGTGAGACTGCCTCAAAAAAAAAAAAATCCATATATCCTGTACTCAGATTCTCCAAATGTTAGCATTTTACCGTAATTTGCTGTATCCTTCTCTTTGTGTGTATATAGTATATGCTTATGTAATACATATGTACATACATATATATTTATGTGTGTAATATATTACATACATACATAATATATATAATCTTTTTTTTGAATCATTTGAGAGTAGATTGCAGACAGGAAGCTTCTTTACTCCTAAAAAATTCAGTGTGTATTTCTTACAAACAAAGACATTCTTTTACATGAACACAGTATAATTGTCACAGTACTGTCAATGAACATTGAAATAATACCATTGTAAGATCTTTCAACCTTATTTAGATTCTGCCAATTCTTCCAATTAGGTCTGTTATAGAAAAAAATCTTCTGGCTCAGACCAGGATCAAATCTGTGATCACACATTGCATTCAATTGTCACATTACTTTAGTCTCTTTTAACTTTGAGTATTTCCTCAGTCTTTCTTTGTCCTTCATGATCTTGACAAGTGATTGTCAAGTTATTTTACAGAACATCCCTTCAATTTGGTTTGTCTGATGTTTCCTCCTGCTTGGACTCAGATTATCCATTTTTGGCAAGAGTGCCACAAATGTGATGTTTTGTCTCTGTGCCGCATATCAGGAGGCACATATCAGTTTATCCCATTACTGGCCATATTAACTCTGATCACTTGGTTAAGGTTGCATATGCCAGTCTATATTCACCCTTTGCAATGAATCTGGCGCAGACAGAGCCCACGCCCTTAACCACTACTCTAACTACCTCTAGGCAATCAGCACTGTGCTAGTCATTGAAGATACAAAGAGCCTTGAAGGAATTCTCCTGACAGAGAGCTTACAATATTAGTGGAAAGACAAGCATGTGATATATTACTTCAGCATCCATCCACAAATTGTCCTGTGAGTCCCACAGACAATTAGAGTTAGAGGAATTCAAGGATAGAAGTGACTTTTGAGGCCTAAGGGCTCCCCGAGGAGCCTCGGTTGGGAAACTGCTCTTGTTAGGGAATTAGAAGGGAGGATGGGTTTGGCTTCTGGGCACACAGGGCTGTGCAGAGCCATAGGTTGGAAGGGACAGAAACAGCCTAGGCACTGTCTTAGGAGGGCCAGAACAGAGTATCATTGTCTCATACAAGAAGACCCTGGCAGCCATTTTAGGGGGGTTGCTGGCAGCATGGATAGGGTGACCAAAAGAAAGCTGGAAGTCTGAATTCAAAGCCGCTTGGGAATCAGAGTGTGATGAGATACCGGGTTGAGTGGCTTGGACCCAGAGTAGCTCAGAAAAATCTGCCTGATTAACTCCTTAACTCCTGGGCTAGTATTTCACCAAGTTTTAACAGCACCAAGTGGCCCTGCCATACATGCTCTGAAGGATGTGTTCATGGTATTTCCAGTGCCAAGGCCAAAGATGTTTGGCAAGAGCAACAGTTTTTTGTGGAGGAATAAGGTGAACCAAAGTAGGAGAGATAGATGGGGAGTCATTGGGACAGGCTCACATGCTCCGTTAAGGAATTATTTGCACGATCTTAGCCTAGGGACTCTATCCTGTGTACATACAACAGAGTGACAGAGTGAGAGTTTGGAATTCTATGTCTGATTTCACCGGCTACTCCTAAACACCAATTAGAATCTTTTCAGAATACTATTTTCGCCTGCTTCTATAGTAAGAATAGGAACTGGCACTTCTCTGAAGTACCCTTTGCCTCTAATCTGGTTCAGAATTAAAGTGCTCTCATTAAATGGAGACCTCATTATATTCTGCTCTAATCTACAACACAATCATAACGCAGTGATTACCTTGAATTATTATTGCGCATACTTCCACCCACTTATTATTATATGTCTCTGTACTTTAATTATGTTTCAATGAATATAATTCCATACCCTTCAATACTTAAGTAAAATTCACTTTAAATATAACTGCCTGCCTATAATTCTCTGTAAATGTGAGTGCTTGCACTGCAAATAATAAAAATTAGTACTGCTCTGGAGGCTGAACAAACTAAGCCATGCCTGAAAGAAATCAGTTGGCATTTTAATGGAATTTTAAAACATCAAAATTTGTTACCACCTTATTTTTTCAAAAACACATTTTAAGAGGATGATTTTTGTAGCTTTAACAACAAAAAACATCTTTGGAAGGAAACAGCAATTCTGTAGAGGCTTTTATTGTCTACTAACCACTTCACCAGGGAATTCATTCCAATAGAGAATTGAATTTTTTTTTTAACTGCAATGAGGTTTATTTGTTTTTTGTTGCTGTTGTTTACTTATTTGTGGCCATGCTTCTGGAAGAAATTTCTTGGACAGTTCGAAGGGTCAAAGTGAAATTTCAGAATCAATAACCAGGTAACTGGCATTAAGACCTTCTACCTGCTCTACCCATCAGCACACACATTCTTATTACCCAGGAAAAAGAGTGGCATTAATGCTTATATTATTTCTGGCACGCACCCTTAGGAAGCCATATACTCCCTTATTTTTGCCAAGATATGTCTCAGAGGAGACTGTCTTCAGAGAATTTTTTTGAATTCTGTCGTACTTACTAGTATAGCTGCAACACATGTATATGCTTTGGTTGGTATTTATTTCAAACATAAGGTCAGTAATATCTTGGACTGAGAAGTAATCATTGTGATAAATTAATTCATGACCTCATGCCAAGAGACAATGCTCCCAAAGAACTAGAGAAATGGCAATCCTGCTCTTTCATTTCTAGTTTCTGATTTTAAAAGTAGCAGATGGCCGGACGCGGTGGCTTATGCCTGTAATCCCAGCACTTTGGGAGGCAGATCACGAGGTCAGGAGTTTGAGACCAGCCTGGACAATATGGTGAAAACCCATCTCTACTAAAAATACAAAAATTAGCAGGGCATGGTGGCACACGCCTGTAGTCCCAGCTACTCAGGAGAGGCAGAAGAATCGCTTGAACCCGGGAGGCGGAGGTTGCAGCCAGCCGAGGCCGCACTACTGCACTCCAGCCTGGGTGGCAGAGTGAGACTCCTTCTTAAAAAAAAAAAAAAAGTATCAGATGAGTTAGAGGCCTCAGGAACAGGTTTGTTAAGAGGAGAGAGAACTAAACCAAAAGCCATTTTGATCATCTTTGACAGGGAGTAAACACAGAGTAGGTTTTATAAACCCTCAGGTTAGGTAAACCCTTCAAGTTTAATCTCAGTTCCCTATTGTGAACTATTCAAAACTCATTGTCCAGGAAGAGTGCCCTGACATTATCACTGCTGGAAAGAATCGATGTTATTAAAATAACAATTCTTCCTGAAAAATATATTACAAAGTTGGCCACACAAGTCCATGGAGTAAGTCAAGCCATTATATAAACTGGTTACTAAAGTTTTATCTCAAAAGAAGGGAAATAGGCTGGGAACACTCACACTTGTAATCCCAGCACTGTGGAAGGCTGAGGCAGGCGTATCACCTGAGGTCGGAAGTTGGAGGCCAGCCTGGCCAACATGATGAAACCTCATTTCTACTAAAAATACAAAAAAAAAAAAAAAAAATTAGCCAGCGCCTGTAATCCCAGCTTCTCAGGAGGCTGAGGCAGGAGAATCGCTTGAACCTGGGAGGCAGTGGTTGCAGTGAGCCAAGATTGTGCCATTGTACTCCAGCCTGGGCAACAGAGCGAGACTCTGTCTCAAAAATAAAGAAGAAGAAGAAGAAGAAGGCCGGGCGCAGTGGCTCACACCTGTAATCCCAGCACTTTGGGAGGCCAAGGAGGGAGGATCACAAGGTCAGGAGTTCGAGACCAGCCTGACCAACATGATGAAACCCTGTCTCTACTAAAACTACAAAAATTAGCTGGGCATGGTGGCACACGCCTGTAATCCCAGCTACTCGGGACGCTGAGGCAGGAGAATGGCTTGAACCCAGGAGGTGGACATTGCAGTGAGCAGAGATCGCGCTATTGCACTCCAGCCTGGGCGACAGAGCAAGACGCTGTCTCAAGAAAAAAAAAAAAAAGAAGGTAAATGTAGCCTATGGTGACCCAGTCAATCTCCCAGATACCATGTTTCCATGTTTGAGCATAGTTCTCTTTCCATGTTAACTCCTTAGCTACAGTTCCTTTTCCCTGGAAATTCTTCCAACTCATCTACCAATTTATCAAGGCAATTGAGCCTATGGCATTATTTCACTTCATTACCTTGACTTTTGCCTAAAGGAAAAAAAAATACATAAAACCAATAATCATGGATCAATGTAAAAATCAAAGGCAAGTATTTCCACTTCCAGGATGACAATGTAAAGCGCTCTGCAGCCCCTTTCGCAGAGAATAATAAGTGAAACATTATTTTTTTAAAACAACCTTTCAAAGACTCTGGAAATGGTCTTAAGGGCATACAGCAAATAAGGAAGCATTTATTCAAGAAAACCTACTAAAACTCCCTAAGAATTTGTGGTATTTAGACCAAGATCTGCTTCCCTCCACCTTCCCAGCTCAGCAAGATAGAAACTCCATTCCAGACTTCTACATTCAAGAATACAGGGTTCCCAGTTTCCCCACTCCCCAGCTCCTAGTCAGAGGGATAGCTAGGAGAAGTGGGATGTGAGGATTTTTAGTCTTGTCCTCAGCTACCTCCAGCTGAGGCTATTCTGAATAAACGCAGCCAAGATGTATGGATTTTCTTCTTCCGCCAGCCCCTCTTTGTGCAATGGAAATTCTACCTTCAGTGCAACATTGCTGAGAATACTGAGGCCTCAACTGCCCTTGCCCCAGCTTATAAGGTAAAGGTTCCAAGTGGGGAGAGGCAAACTAAGGAGACTTCAAGCCACTGCCCTCCCATACCAAGTACTCAGGTCCTAAAGCTGGGGTTTCATTCAGAGAGAAACACACTATTGCTTCCACCTGCAGTTCCAGAGCCAAGACTCAAATTTTGCCTGAGGGTAGAGACAGGATATAAACCCAAGAGCTCTGAATCTCCTTCCAAAGACACTGACTTCATTTGCAACAGAGTGAGAAGTTTAGGCCTAAGGGCATTCTCAAAACTAGTGGAGGTTGTGATGAAAGGCAATTGGAAGGAGATGGGTAAAATCATTGGAGATACAGGCTAAACTGTAGAAACCACCCCCATGATCCAATCACCTCCTGCCAGGCCCCACCTCCAACACTGGGGATTACAATTCGACGTGAGATTTGGGTGGGGACACACAGCCAAACCCTATCAAGGCGCAATAATACAATTATATACATATTGTTTTATTCAATTACTTTTAAAATCAGTTAGAAGGAGAAATAGGCATTCATATGATCTTTTATAGTTACATAATTACCTTCCCCAGTGCTCTTTGGTTTTTGTGTTTGTGGATTTGGATTACTATCTGGGGTCACTTGCTTTCCACCTGAAAAATTCCCTTTAGTATTTCTTGTAAGGTGGGTCTAATGGCAACACATACTCTGGTTTTGTTTATTTAGGAATGCCTTTATTTCACTGCCATGTGGAGATTGTGCCTGCTACCTCTTCACCTTCTGCCATGATTGTAAGTTTCATGAGGTCCCCCACAACCATGCCTTTTGTATAGACTGCAGAACTGTGAGTCAATTAAACCTCTTTTCTCTATAAATTACCCAGTCTCGTAGTCTTTATAGCAGTGTGAGAATGGACTAAAGCAATTACCCTGTTACCAAAGCCAAACAAAGACACTACAAGAGAAGAAGGCCACAGACCAATATCCCTTAGAATATGGATGCCAAAAATCTCAACAAAATACTAGCAAACCAAATTCAGCAACATATAAAAAGAATTATATACCATGACTAAATGGGATTTATCCCAATAGTGTAAGGTTTGTTTAACATCTGAAAATCAGTTAATATAGTAACACGCCATATCAATGCAATAAAAAACAAACATACATGATCATTTCAACAAACACAGAGAAAGCATTTGACAAAACCAAACACCATTTCATGATTTAAAAAAAATAAAAACACTCAGGAAACTAGAAATAGAAGATAACTTCCTCATTCTAATAAAGGGCATCTAGAAAAAAACCTAGCTAACATCATTTTTTTTTTTTTTTTTTTTTTTTTGGGACGGAGTCTCACTCTGTCACCCAGGCTGGAGTGCAGTGGCGCGATCTCAGCTCACCACAACCTCCACCTCCTGGGTTCAATTGATTCTCCTGCCTCAGCCTCCCAAGTAGCTGGGATTACAGGCTCCTGCCACCATGCCCAGCTAATTTTTTGTATTTTTAGTAGAGACAGGATTTCACCATGTTGTTCAGGCTGGTCTTGAACTCCCGACCTCAGGTAATCCACCCGCCTCGGCCTCCCAAAGTGCTAGGATTACAGGCGAGAGCCACCGCACCCAGACTGCTAACATCATATTTAATGATGAAAGACTGCCTGCTTTCTTCCATCAGGAACAAGACAAGGGTGTCTGCTCTAGCCATTTCTATTCAATATTGTACTGGATGTTCTAGCCAGGGCAATTATAAAAGAAAAATAAAATAAATAAATAAATAAAATTGTATTTTTCTATACTTATAATAAACAATCTGAAATTGAAGTTATGAAACAGTTCCATTTACACTATCATAAAAAAGAATAAAATGCTTGTAAATAAATATCTTAAAAAAGTGCAAAATTTTTACTGCCAAATCTATAAAACAATATTGAAAGAAATTAAAAATGCAAATAAATGGGAAAACATCTGATGTTCATGTTGTTTTTCCAATAAATTGTGCTGAGACAACTGGATATATACATACAAAAGAATAAAGTTAGACCCTTAGCTCACATCATATATAAAAATTAACTCAAAAAGGATCAAATACCTAAATGTAAGAGTTAATACTATAAACTCTTAGAAGAAAATATAGGAATAAACCTTCATGACCTGATATTTAGCAATGAATTCTTAGTTATGGCACCAAAAGCATGAGCAACAAAAGAAAAAAAATAGACAAATTGGACTTCATCAAAACTAAAAACTTCTGTGCTCCTAAAAAACACCATCAGAAGGTAAAAAGACAACTCACAGAATGGGAGCAAATCTCTCCAAATCATATATCCGACATGGAACTTGCATCTAGAATATATAAAGAACTCTTACAACTCAGTAATAAAGAGACAACCCAACTTTCTAGCAGTGTGAGAATGGGCTAAAGGACCCTTCAAGTTACAAAGGATCTGAATAGACATTTCTCCAAGGAAGATGTATACATGGCCAATAAACACATGAAGAGATGCTATCATTAGTCATTAGGGAAATATAAATCAAAACCACACCCACTTGGATGGCTATAGTCAAAAAGTCAGCTAATAACAAGTACTGACAAGGGTGTATTTGGAGCCTTTATACGTTATTATTTAGCAGCTGCCTTGCTAAAAAAATTGGCAGTTTCTCAAAATGTTAGTCATAGAATTATCATAGGACCCAGCAATTTACTCCTAGTTATATACCCAAGCGAAGTGAAAATGTACATCCACACAAGAACTTGTACATGAATGTTCATAGAAGTATTATTCATAAAAGCCAAAGGGTGGAAGCAACCCAAATGTTCATCAACTGATGAATGGATAAACAAAATGTGATATATTCATATGACGGAATATTATTTGGTCGTGTAAAGGAATGGAGTACTAATACATGCAACAACATGGATCGACCTGAAAGATTATGTTAAATGAAAGAAAACCGTCACAAAAACTGCATATTGTATTTCATTTAGATGAAGTTTCCAAAATAGGCAAATCTATAGAGACAGAATGTAGATTAGAGGTTATTTAGGGCTGGAGTGGGGGATATTAGACAGGAGAGCAATAGCTAAAGGGTACAGGATTTCTTTTTGAAGTTATAAAAATGTTCTAAAATTGACTGTAGTGATGGTTTCATACATCTGTGAATACACTAAAAAACTAAAAATTGTATACTTTAAATGGATGAGTTGTATGGTATGTTATTTATATTTCAATGAGGCCGTTAATAATCAATGGCAAATGGCCAGGTGCAGTGGTTCACGCCTGTAATCCCAGCACTTTGGGAGGCCAAGGCAAGTGGACCACCTGAGGTCAGGAGCTCGAGACCAGCCTGGCCAACATGGTGAAACTCCATCTCTACTAAAAATACAAAAATTAGCCAGGCATGGTGGTGCACACCTGTAATCCCAGCTACTCGGGAGGCTGAGGCAGGAGAATCGCTTGAACCCAGGAGGCAGAGGTTGCAGTGAACCAAGGTTGTGCCACTGCACTCCAGCTTAGGCGACAGAGCAAGAGTTGGTCTAAAAAAAAAAAAAAAAAAGCAAATGTAATGGTACTTCAGGAGAATTTGGTGGTCTAAATAATGCACAGATTTGTTTGTCACAGTGAGCAGCAACACACAGAAACCCTGAAACTAATTGGTCAGAGTGTCTTAGTTCGTTCATGCTGCTATAAAAATACCTGAGACTGGGTAATTGATAAGAACAGAAATGTATTCCTTATGGGTCTGGACGCCAGGAAGTTCAAGATCTAATTGCCAGTAGATTCAGTGTCTGTAAGGGCTGTTCTCTGCTTCCAAGATGGTACCTTGTTGCTGCAAGCCCTTATGACTTAATCATTTCCCCAAAGTCCTCACCTCTTAATACCATTACCTTGGAGTTTAAGTTCCAACATATGAATTTTGGAGACACACATGCATTCAAACTGTAGCACTGAGTGTGCTTTGGGAACTGGGTTAGGCATGGATACCCATGTCATCTCGCTACTCCTCTTCTGCCACCAGAAAATATATCACTTGTTTATACACCCAACTTTTATTAAACTTTTAGCTTTATTTCTTTTATTTAATTTTAAAATAAGGTCTTGCTCTGTTATTTTGATTGGAATGCAATGGCATGATCATAGCTCACTGCAGCCTTGAACACCTGGGTTCAGAAATCCTCCCACCTCAGCTTCCCAAGTAACTGGAACTTCAGGTACGTGCCACCATGCCTGACTACTTTTTGTTATTCTTTTATTTTTTAGAGATAAAGTCTCACTATGTTGCCCAGGCTGGTCTCAAACTCCTGGCCTCAAGCAATCCTCCTGCCTTAGCCTCCTGAGTAGCTGAGATTATAGGTGTGAGCCACCACACCCAGCTAAACTTTTAATTTTCAGTAAATCACTTGCTTTTGGTGGTGGGAACACAAAGGACTCCCGAAACTCCCTGTCTGACAGGGTAGTCAGACATAAATAACCTTTATAGGGCCCAATAATACATTCTCAGAATTTGTGAATAAGGTCAAATAAAAGTCACCCTCTGAGCAAAAAATCAACGTAAAATAAATCAGCTTAGCCATGTGTAGAAGTTGCCTAACAGATGGTTTATAAATGTGCTGTTGATAGAGATACTTGGAAACCATCAGAGTCAGATGCAATAAACAAAGACCAGGCCAGTAAGGCTGAGGGGTCACATCCCTGAGATAGGCTCTGAGTTCTCTGCAAGCCTTTCTATTTATGATCAGAAGGCCATATTTGTATGAATTAGTCTGAGCACACTCTCCGCACTCCTGGGTTAGGCCTCTGATCTACCCAGGGAGTTTCTCTTATCTTCCTTTGGCTTGTCATTTCCTAACTTTCAGCTCCAGTACCCAATTTGGGTCACATCTCCAACATCCCTTTTGCCTCTTGAAGTAAGCTTGACATCTTATGCAGATTTTTGGAGCATCCCACCCTCAACCCAGATCTTGTCTTTACACTAATAGCCCATCCTTGTCTTGCTCTGGTACCTAATGCATATGGAGCAATGAGGAAGCATCTTCAGGAAAGCCTTCCTGGAATGTGAGTAATCTGCTCAATAGTTTTGTTGAAAGTAAATGATGAGTCAATAGAATGGGGATATTCTGCATGGAGTGTAGAAAAAAAAGAGAGCCAAGAGCCAAAGATTTGTGGAACTTCAGGATGGTCCAGAGATGAGCTATTCTCCTGACTGTCTGGCCTAGGTGTTCTGGAACTTTTGGCAAACACAACTCTGGAGGGGGAATGGCTTTGTTAGGTGACAGTGGCTTTATGACAGCAGCCATTTTAATCATCTGATTTCTTGTGGTCTGACTCCCATGCTCACCCAATAATCATCTGGTGGTATAGTCATTTGACCTCCCAGATACCCATTTCTACAAGGAAAAGAATGTGCTGACCAACCATGAGTAGTCCTGATTACTTGATGTCCTGTTTCTTACTATAATTTAATAAATTGGCATTTTGGCCTCTAGTAAGCTAGTAGTCCCCTGAATTTAATTGCCTCTGGGTTCAATGCTGAACTCCAGTGTCCTGGCCTCCAAAGCAAATTCTATCACCCATTGGAAAGACTCACCAGCCTTTCTGAAGTCTCTATTAAATGCAACCACTGTTATTTCACGAGAAATGTACTCTCGTGGGTTATAAACTAAATGCCAGGAAGGCATGGACTCAGAGTGATTTATATATCTTGGAAGGAAAGAAGTGGGAAATGAAAAAAACTTCACAGAGTAAATATTTGAGCTCTTAAAGGGTTTTCATTCGGCTTAATGATTTGAGAATCATTTTTCTAATTATAAAAGTAATACATGTTTAATGTTGCAAAATGTGGGTAACATAGAAAAGCATAAATAGAAAAAAATTAAAACATGATTAAGATTTAGACAGCTGAAGAAGTGAAAGCATTCTTTTTTGATGACTTGCAATCAATTTTTCTGACACAGGCTGCACTCAATCACTCAAGCCCAGACCAAAAACTCACTGACATATCAGAGTGGGCTGAATTCACATAAAGGCAAAAATTAAAGCTTTGGCTTTATGTGGATTGATTTCTGAGTTCAAACCTTTTATCTCATTTTTCTTCAAATAGTAGCCCATAGACCCACTGTCATCAGAACCACCTGGAAGGCTGGGCGCAGTGGCTCACGCCTGTAATCCCAGCACTTTGGGAGGCTGAGGCAGGTGGATCACTTGAGGTCAGGAGTTCGAGGCCAGCGTGACCAACATGGTGAAACCCCATCTCTACTAAAAATACAAAATTAGCCAGGTGTGGTGGCACACACCTGTAATCCCAGCTACTTGGGAGGCTGAGGCAGGAGAATCGCTTGAACCCAGGAGGCGGAGGTTGCAGTGAGCCGAGATCGCACCATTGCACTCCAGCCTGGACATCAAGAGTGAAACTCCATCTCAAAAAAAAAAAAAAAGAAAGAAAGAAAGAAAAGAACCACCTGGGGAAAACTTGTTTGAAAATGCAGATTCCTGGGTCCACTGATGACCTACTGAATGAAACTCTCTGAGGGTGGGACCAATAACCTGCAATTTAATATGCTTCTTCGGAGATTCTTATGCACACTAGCATTTGGGAGCCACTTTGAAAAAAGCTTTTTGGGGTGGTGAAAATGATGGTCTGGCAATGTGAATGTGGGTCCTTTAAAACATATCTGAAGGAATTGGAACCCTTGTGCGTTACTGGTGGGAATGTGAAATGGCGCAGTGGCTGTGGAAAATGATATGGATATAACTCAGCAAATTAAATATAAAATTACTGTGTGAGCCAGCAATCCCACTTCTAGGTATATAGCCAAAAGAAATGAAAGCAGGGACTCAAACAGATACTTGTACACCGATGTTATTAGCAGCATTATTCACAATAGCCAAAAGTTGGAATCAAGCCAAGTGTCCATCAACAGAGGAATGAATAAACAGGAAATGTGGTATGCACCTACAATGGAGTATTATTCAGCCTTAAAAAGGAAGGAAGTTCTGACACATGAGACAATGTGGATTAACCTTGAAGATATTATGCTGGTGAAATAAGCCAGACACAAAAGGACAAATAAAGTTTGATTCCACTTATATGAGGTGACTCGAGTTTGACTGAATTTGACTGTACTCATAGAGTTGCCAGAGGCTGGAAGCAGGGCAGAATTAGGGAGTTAGTGTTGAATGGATATGGAGTATCATTTGGGGAACATAAAAAAGTTCAGGGATGGATGGTGTGACCATTGCACAGTAATATGAATGTGCTCAATGCCATAAAATTATACACTTAAAAATTGATTAAAATGATAACTTTTTTTTTTTTTTCAGATGGAGTCTCACTCTGTCACCCAGGCTGGAGTGCAGTGGAGTGATCTTGGCTCACCGCAACCTCCGCCTTCCGGGTTCAAGCGATTCTCCTACCTCGGCCTCCCAAGTAGCTGGGACTACAGGCACCTGCAACCATGCCCGGCTAATTTTTGTATTTTTAGTAGAGATGGAGTTTCGCCATGTTGGTCAAGCTGATCTCCAACTCCTAACCTCAGGTGATCTGCCTACCTCGGCCTCCCAAAGTGCTGGGATTACAGGCGTGAGCCACCATGCCCAGCCTAAAATGATAAAACTTTTAACTTTTTTGTTTTGTTTTGTTTTGGAGACAGTCTCCCTCTGTCGCCCAGGCTGGAGTGCAGTGGTGTGATCTCGGCTCACTGCAACCTCCACCTCCCAGGTGCAAGCGAATCTCGTGCCTCAGCCTTCCAAGTAGCTGGGATTACAGGTGCCCACCACCATGCCCAGCTAACTTTTGTATTTTTTTTTTAGTAAAGACAGTTTCACCATGTTGGCCAGGCTGGTCTTGAACTCCTGACCTCAAGTGATCCGCCACCTCGGCCTCCCAATGTGCTAGGATTACAGGCGTGAACCACCGCACCCGGCCATTTTTAACTTTTATAGAGTTATGTATATTTCACTCCAGTTAAAACACACACACACACACACACACACACACACACGTGTCTGTGACCAGCAATTCCTTTGCTTTGCCTGAAGTGGAAATAAAAAAGGCTCTCACCAGGAAGCGACCACAGAAGTGTGGGTCAAGTTCAAGCTCAGATGCAGAAGGTTATAACCATCTCACAATGTATCTTGCATCCAGCCTTATTGGAAGACAAGGGCTTCCAGGTTACTTTACATTGTGATTTAAAGTGTTCAGCAAACTAACACAGAAACAGAAAACCAAATACCACGTTTGCACTTATAAATGGGAGCTGAAGGCCGGGCGTGGTGGCTCACGCCTGTAATCCCAGACTTTGGGACGTCGAGGAGGGCAGATCACCTGAGGTCAGGAGTTTGACACCAGCCTGGCCAACATGGTGAAACCTCTTCCGTACTAAAAATACAAACATTAGCCAGGTGTGGTGGCGGGTGGCTGTAATTCCAGCTACTCGGGAGGCTGAGGCAGGACAATCGCTTGAACCCGGGAGGCGGAGGTTGCAGTGAGCTGAGATCTCGCCACTGCACTCCAGCCTGCCTGGGCGACAGAGTGAGACCCCGTCTAAAAATAAATGAATAAAATTTAAAAATAAAAAATAAGGGCCTGGCGTGGTGGCTCACGCCTGTAATCCCAGCATTTTGGGAAGCCGAGGCAGGCGGATCACGAGGTCAGGAGATCCAGACCATCCTGGCTAACACGATGAAACCCCATCTCCACTAAAAATACAAAAAGAAATTAGCCGGGCGTGGTGGTGGACGCCTGTAGTCCCAGCTACTCGGGAGGCTGAGGCAGGAGAATGGCGTGAACCCGGGAGGCGGAGCTTGCGGTGAGCCAAGATCGCGCCACTGCACTCCAGCCTGGGCGACAGAGCGAGACTCCGTCTCAAAAATAAATAAATAAATAAATAAATAAATAAATAAATAAATAATAAAAATAAATGGCAGCTGAATGATGAGAACACATGGACACATAGTGGGGAACAACACACTGGGACCTGTCGGAGGGTGGGGTTGTGGGAGGAGGGAGAGCATCAGGAAGAATAGCTAATGGATGCTGGGCTTAATACCTAGGTGATGGGTTGATCTGTGCAGCAAAACACCATGGCACATGTTTACCTTTGTAACAAAACTGTACATCCTGTACATATACCCCTGAACTTAGAATAAAAGTTGGAAGAAGAAAATTAAGGTGTTCATTTAGGGCTGCAAATCTAGATTTTGTTAGTGAAAAGTTACCAAGGTCCCTGATTGGCCCAGCATGACAGGAATTATAGTCCGGAGCTCAAAGCAGAAACAAAAGCCAACAAAAGAATGCTGTTTTTTTCTAGTATTTGAAAACCTTAGCTAACAGTTATATTAAGCTGGAAATACTTATGTCTTCTACTAAAAAGCCCTAGATTTAGAAAGCCTATGTTGTTCTCAGGGCATCATTGGTTGATGCTAATCCATATTTTCCCTCTTCTTTACTGTTGGGAAACTGACCAATTTTACTACATAAAAGGGGCAGATTCAAGTGGTTTGCAAGCTATTTAGAGTAACTTTTTGACAAGTGTAGGCTGCTTTAGCAAAAAGCTTGGGAAGGCTGGAGGCAGAGTCATTGGAGAAGTTTTAAACTCAATAAATCACAATACAATCTCACTAAAAACTCTGAATTATGGATTTCTGAGACTTGAGATTAATTTCCTCAAATGCAAGAAGTTAATAAGTGGCAGACCATGACAGAGTAGATCATGGCAGACCTCTTTTAATGTAATGACACAAATCTGTTTTTGTTTTTAGGATCTGCCCTTATTTTCAAATACAAATATCCCTCCCAATTTGTTGAACCATATTCCCCTTTTATCTGCCAGCCTTGGGCAGACTAAACCCCAGAGCCTCATATAAGAAGACTCTGACATGGGAAAAGACTCTCACTACATTGTTAACTCAAATAAATACATGTAAAATAGAAATGGACTATACAGTATGTGCCAGTCATGTTTTTTTTTGTTTGTTTGTTTGTTTTTTTTGAGACGGAGTCTCGCTCTGTATCCCAGGCTGGAGTGCAGTGGCCCGATCTCGGCTCACTGCAAGCTCCGCCTCCTGGGTTCACGCCATTCTCCTGCCTCAGCCTCCTGAGTAGCTGGGATTACAGGCACCCGTCACCATGCCCGGCTAATTTTTTTTATTTTTAGTAGAGACAGGGTTTCTCCATGTTGGTCAGACTGGTCTCGACCTCAGGTGATCCACCCGCCTTGGCCTCCCAAAGTGCTGGGATTACAGGCGTGAGCCACCAAGCCCAACTCATTTGCATTTCTCTAATGATCAGTGATATTGAGCTTTTTTCATATGCTTGTTGACCCCATGTATGTCTTCTTTTGAAAAGTGTCTGTTCCTGTTCTTTGCCCACTTTTTAATGGGGGTGTTTGTTTTTTTCTTGTAAATGTGTTTAAATTCCTTATAGATGCTGGATAGTAGACCTTTGTCAGATGCATAGTTTGCAAATATTTTCTCCCATTCTGTAGGTTGTCTGTTTACTCTGTTGATAGTTTCTTTCGCTGTGCAGAAGCTCTTTAGTTTAATTAGATCCCATTTGTCAAGTTTTGCTTTTGTTACGATCGTTTTTGGTGTCTTTGTCATAAATTCTTTGCCCGTTCCTGTGTGAAGGATGGTATTGCCTACGTTGTCTTCCAGGGTTTTTATAGTTTTGGGTTTTACATGTAAGTCTTTAATCCATCTTGAGTTGATTTTTGTATATGGTGTAAGGGGTCCAGTTTCAATCTTCTGCATATGGCTAACCAGTCATCCCAGCACCATTTATTGAATAGGGAGTCCTTTCCCATTGCTTGTTTTTGTCAGCTTTGTCAAAGATCAGATAGTAGTAGGTGTGCAGATTTATTTCTGGGCTCCCTATTCTGTTCCATCAGTCTATGTGTCTGCTTTTGTACCAGTACCATGCTATTTTGGTTACTGTAGCCCTGTAGTGTAGTTTGCAGTCAGGTAACGTGATGTCCCCAGCTGGGCATGGTGGTACACACCTGTAGTCCCAGCTACTCAGGAGGCTAAGGTGGGAGGGACTCTTGAGCCAGGGAGGCCAAGGCTGCAGTGAACCATGATCACACCACTGCACTCCAGCCTAGGTGACAGAGCAAGATCTTGTCTCAAGTAAACACACACACAAATAAATTAATTAAGTAAATAAATCAGAAGTGTTTGGGCTGGGGACGGTGGCTCACACCTGTAATCCCAGCACTTTGGGAGGCTGAGGCAGGTGGATCATGAGGTCAAGAGTTCAAGACCAGCCTGGCCAACATGGTGAAACCCTGTGTCTACTAAAAATACAAAAATTAGCTGAGTATGGTGGCGGGTGCCTGTAATCCCAGCTACTCAGCAGGCTGAGGCAGGAGAATCATTTGAACCCGGGAGACGGAGGTTGCAGTGAGCTGAGATCGTGCCATTGCACCATTGCATTCCAGCCTGGGCAATAAGGCAAGACTCCATCACAAAAAAAAAAAAAAAAAAAAAAAAAAGAAGAAGAAGTGTTTGGCAGGCAAAAGCAAAAAAAAAATCTATTACTGCAGGTAAAGATATTTAAGAGCATGAAAAATTACATTCTTGAACCATTTCCTCCTCAATCTTTCTATCTTGAGTTTGATTTTTTTTTTTGTTATGTACAATTCTATCTATTTTTGAAAGTAATACATACTTGCTAAAGGAAAATTTGAAGACTCAGAGAAACACAAAGAAAAGAAATTTTAAATACCTGTAATCTTACCAGGCAGACATAACCACTGTTGCCATTTTGGTATATGCCTTCACATTTTTTTTATATGTACATATGCAATAAAAGTATGCTATTTTTGTAGTCTGCTGCTTTTACTTATCAATATGTCATAAATGCTGGGTTTTCTGAATCAATATCCCCCCAAAATGACTTTACACTATTAAAGTGCCTAACAGCCTTTAATTTAGCCTGTATAAAAATTAGAAATGTTCTAATTAGGAGGAGCTAATTTAATATACCTTTTCTCTATCTGTTCTATTTTTGGGGGAAAAAAATAACAACAAAAAACAAAAAATATCTTGACTTTTTCTTCTCTTCGTTGAAGATCTTCCTGTGACCTTATTTGTGAAGCTATTCCAGCCAATGGAATTGGCTATTATATCATCCATATCAAGATGATTATGAATATCTGAGGTTAATATTTTATTAAATTTTTAACATTTTATCCAATAACTGATAAATAAAAGTAATGTTTCTGTTAACCAGAGTATATCTAACCTCATTTAAAATCTAACCCTGGCTTTCCGCGCTACCTACAGAGGGGTCCATATGGCGTTGTTCTGGATTCCCATCGTAACTTAAAGGGAAACTTTCACAATGTCCGGAGCCCTTGATGTCCTGCAAATGAAGGAGGAGGATGTCCTTAAGTTCCATGCAGCAGGAACCCACTTAGGCGGCACCAATCTTGACTTCCAGATGGAACAGTACATCTATAAAAGGAAAAGTGATGGCATCTATATCATAAATCTGAAGAGGACCTGGGAGAAGTTTCTGCTGGCAGCTCGTGCTGTTGTTGCCATTGAAAACCCTGCTGATGTCAGTGTTATATCCTCCGGGAATACTGGCCAGAGGGCTGTGCTGAAGTTTGCTGCTGCCACTGGAGCCACTCCAATTGCTGGCCACTTCACTCCTGGAACCTTCACTAACCAGATCCAGGCAGCCTTCCGGGAGCCACGGCTTCTTGTGGTTACTGACCCCAGGGCTGACCACCAGCCTCTCACGGAGTCATCTTATGTTAACCTACCTACCATTGCTCTGTGTAACACAGATTCTCCTCTGCGCTATGTGGACATTGCAACAACAAGGGAGCTCACTCAGTGGGTTTGATGTGGTGGATGCTGGCTCGGGAAGTTCTGCGCATGCGTGGCACCATTTCCCGTGGACACCCATGGGAGGTCATGCCTGATCTCTACTTCTACAGAGATCCTGAAGAGATTGAAAAAGAAGAGCAGGCTGCTGCTGAAAAGGCAGTGACCAAGGAGGAATTTCAGGGTGAATGGACTGCTCCTGCTCCTGAGTTCACTGCCACTCAGCCTGAGGTTGCAGACTTGTCTGAAGGTGTACAGGTGCCCTCTGTGCCTATTCAGCAGTTCCCTACTGACGACTGGAGCACTCAGCCTGCCACGGAAAACTGGTCTGCAGCTCCCACTGCTCAGGCCACTGAATGGGTAGGAGCAACCACTGACTGGTCTTAAGCTGTTCTTGCATAGGCTCTTAAGCAACATGGAAAAATGGTTGATGGAAAATAAACATCAGTTTCTAAAAAAATAAATAAATAAATAAATAAATAAATAAATAAATAAATAAAAATAAAATCTAACCCTGGGCTGCGCACAATGGCTCACACCTATAATCCCAGAACTTTGGGAGGCTGAGGCAAAGTTTTGCCTCACTCGGCTGATCACTCGGCTAATTTTTTTTTCGAGACAGGATTTTACCATGTTGGGCAGACTGGTCTCCAACTCCTGACCTCAAGTCATCCGCCCATCTTAGCCTCCCAAAGTGCTGGAATTACAGGCATGAGCCACTGTGCCCGACCAATTTTTTTGAATCTTTTCTTCCTTATGACACACAAAGTTGCTCAGCCCATCTCTATTTTTTAAAATAAAAATAAAATCTACCTACGTTGGCAGAGGATTTGCTGTTGCTCTTTTGTTCTTGAACAGATCACTGAGGGACTCAAGAAGGTATGCCTATCCTTTCCAGAAAGTTTGCCACTCTTTAGAAGTCTGAGTCAAGCTCTAGGATTAGAACTCCACAACTTTATCCCTATCCTCACCTCCAAGCCCCTGATTAACTGATCTATGTTAGAAGAACATCTGGGCTTGTCTGTTGTTCATCTCCAAGACTCCTACCTCCTGTATTCACCTGCTAAACAGGAAGAATCTATCACGTACCATGTTTTATAGTAGGTGCTATGCATGAATTCGAGAAAGCTGCTGATGTCTGTGTTTGGAAATCCTCAGGTTAATGATAAACCTTGAGTATTTAATCTGTTGGTGTTTTTTTTGTTTTGTTTTGTTTTTTGTTGTTGTTGCTGTTGTTTGTTTTTTTCCGGTCTGTGGTGGGCCAAATAATAGCCTCCCAAAGATATCCCATCCTAACCCCTGGAGCCTATAAATATGTCACGTTCCATGGTAAAAACGGATTTTATAGGTGTGGTTAAGGTTATGGACTTTAAGATAAGGAACTCATCCTGAATTATCTGAATTGGCCCAATCTAATCACATGAGCTCGTAAAAGCAGAGAGCTTTCTCTGGCTGGAAGCAGAAGAAAGATATGGGCAGAAGTCAGAGAGATTTGAAGCATAAGAGGGACTTGACCTGCCATTGCTAGAGAGAGCCACATGGAAAGCATGAAAAGGAATGCAGGCAGCCTCTAGCAGCAAAGACCAGCTCCTGACTGACAGCCAGCAAGGAAATGGGGATCTTAGCCCTTAAATCACAAGAAACTAAATTCAGCCAACAGTCCAAATGAGATTGAAAGTGGATTATTTCCCAGAACCTCCAGAAAGGCTCTGCCAAAACCTTGCTTTTGGCATTGTGAGACCCTAAGGTGAAGACCCGGTTGAACCATGCTATTCCCAGATTTTTGACCTACAGAGCTGTAATAAATGGATGTTGTTTTAAGCCACTAAATTTGTGGTATTCTGTTATGGCTGCCGAAACTAACGTGCAGCCTGTAATTAAAATCTACCCTTTTCTCAAAATCTACCCTTGAGAAATAAGGTCCATTTTAAAACTTAATTATTAGGTTAAAAATAGAGCTCTCGGTCTGCACGGTGGCTCACGCCTGTAATCCCAGCACTTTGGGAGGTTGAGGCAGGCAGATCACAAGGTCAGGAGTTCAAGACCAGCATGACCAACATGGTGAAACCCAGTCTCTACTAAATATACAAAAAATTAGCCAGGCATGGTGGTGCACGTCTGTAATCCCAACTACTCAGGAGGCTTAGGCAGGAGAATCGCTTGAACCTGGGAGGCGGAGGTTTCGGTGAGCCGAGATCACACCACTGCACTCCAGCCTGGGTGACAGAGAGAGATTCCATCTCAAACCAAAAAAAAAAAAAAAAAAAAGCTCTCTGTAACGCAGGAATATTAACATATGAATTATGATATCATTATGATTTGTTCAGAAAACTCCAAAACAAAATAATGATTGCATTACTAGAAACCAACTAAACTGGGGCGCAACACTATATAAATTCCCTACTTACTTCTAGGATCATTCCTTTAGAGGATTGCAGATGTTTTGCATTTAACATTTATCATAATTTAAAAAGAAAAGGGGAAAGATAGTCTTTTTTTTTTTTTTTTGAGACAGAGTCTCTCTCTGTCACCCAGGCTGGAGTGCAATGGTGCGATCTCGACTCACTGCAACCTCCGCTTCCAGGGTTCAAGTGATTCTCCTGCCTCAGCCTCCCAAGTAGCTGGGATTACAGGTGCCTGCCACCATGCCAGGCTAATTTTTGTATTTTTAGTAGAGATGGGGTTTCACCTTGTTGGTCAGGCTGGCCTCGAACTCCCGACCTCAGGTGATCCACCTGCCTTAGCCCCCCAATGTGCTGGGATTACATGCGTAAGCCACTGCACCCGACCAAATTGGAATATATTTTAACTTGTACAAGACTATTGCCAGGCGTGGTGGCGCACGCCTGTAGTCCCAGCTACTCGGGAGGCTGAGACAGGAGAATCGCTTGAACCTAGGAGATGGAAGTTGCAGAGAGCTGAGATTGTGGCACTGCACTCCAGCCTGGGCAAAGGAGCGAGACTCCATTCTCAAAAAAAAAAAAAAAAAAAAAAAATATATATATATATATATATATACACACACATATATATATACACACACATATATATATATTCCAATTCAAGTACTCTATATACTGTCTATTGTTATCTTTGTGTGTGAAAGGGGATGAGAATATGTAAGGCTACTTCAAAATGATATTGATACATCATTCTGAAACACAGAGAAGCTTAAGATTCCAATCTCATTATTGCAAGGTGGCAGTTTTCCTCTTCCCCATTCCAACAAAGTCAGAGCCTATTGAAATGCAATCCAAGCCAGACAGAAATTAAGAGACAGAGTTAAGAAGGGTTCCCAGAAACAAGAAGAAGCCAGTTTGCAGGCAGCCAATTTCAGAGGTCAATACATTGACTGTGTCTATCTTTTCAGATCATCATATTCTGCTTCAGGCTTTGATGTGGTCAGAGAAAAGAAGCCACAAAGAAATACATCAGGGGAGCCCTAATGATGTGCAACGTGGGCTGTGGGTGGCCCAAACCCACAGCGATGCTTCCTTGTTATTACTAATAATTGCTTAGCATCATTGGATGGTTGCCTGATGTGTGCGAGATCATTTGAGGAATAAAAATGTTTTGAACACTGACATAGAGCAAATTTTTCTGATCTGTGTTATTTTTATGATGTTCCTTGTATGCACATTGTGACCAAACTCATGTTTGCTTTGGTTTTTGAGATTTCTCAGGTAGGCATTAAGGAAGATGCATTCAATTATTTGAAATGTTTATTGAAAAATACAAATGCCTTGATATGCCCTGTTCCAGGAGCCACATTGGAAAAATCCTATAAAATATAATTAAAATTGATACAGAACTGTATTTATACAGTCTACAATTCCAGGTATTTCCAGTGAGGGTAAGACTAGACACAAAGTTGGAACATATTAAATAGATTGTTTATTTAAAGTGTTAGGATGGATGATCATATAACACAATTCCATGTGAGACAAACACAATCCTATTAAGATTATGCATGCAACAGCCAAATCTGAAATAATCAGATTTCTTAAATTTATTTGAAATAGAATTACCATTATTGTTTTTGTATCACATTTATAATTTTGCACTACTTTTAATCTCTACTATTGCCTTTAGCCATTGTAATATTAGTAAGTAGCAGCTTCAAAAAACATATTGCATTAAAAAGGAAAAATGATAATTTTACTACGGGGAAATATGGAGGTTACCTCCTTTTTTTTTTTTTTTTTTTTTGAGACAGAGTCTCGCTCTGTCGCCCAGGCTGGAGTACAGTGGTGTGATCTCGGCTCACTGCAAGCTCCGCCTCCCGGGTTCACGCCATTCTCCTGCCTCAGCTTCCCGCGTAGCTGGGACTACAGGCGCCCGCCACCACGCCCGGCTAATTTTTTGTATTTTTAGTAGAGACAGGGTTTCACCGTGTTAGCCAGGATGGTCTCGATCTCCTGACCTCATGATCCGCCTGCCTCGGCCTCCCAAAGTGCTGGGATTACAGGCGTGAGCCACTGCGCCCGGCGGTTACCTCCTTAACCAAGTAATTCAAGGTAGCATCATCAATAATGGGACAAGCTGCCTCCTGATATGCACTGAGAATAACACAACATTGCTTCTCTGGTGTTCTCCGCCAAGTATACACAATATAAGCATGACTATAGTCCCAGCTACTTATGAGGCTGAGGTGGAAGAACGGCTGAAGCCCAGAAAATCAAGGCTGCAGTAAGCCACTGGACCCCACTCTGGACAACATAGCAAGACCCCATCTCTAAAAGAAAAGAAATACACAAACCTAAATTGAGGGATATTCTACTAAACAACTATTATTATAGTACTATTTTTAAATGTCAATGTCATGATAGACAGAAAGTGAAAAAATTGTTTCAGACTTTAAAAGTTTAGAGAAGATCTGACTGCTAAATGTGGGATATGATCCTAGATTGGATTCTAGATCAAGGGAGAAAAAGTTGCTATGAAGAACATTATCGGGGGCCGAACGCAGTGGCTCACGCCTGTAATCCCAGCACTTTGGGAAGCTGAGGTGGGCGGATCACCTGAGGTCAGGAGTTCAAGATCAGCCTTACCAACATGGAGAAACCCCGTCTCTACTAATGATACAAAATTAGCTGGGCGTGATGGCATGCGCCTGTAATCCCAGCTACTCGGGAGACTGAGGCAGGAGAATCACTTGAACCTGGAAGGCAGAGGTTGCGGTAAGCTGAGATCACGCCATTGCACTCCAGCCTGGGCAACAAGAGTGAAACTCCATCTCAAAACAAAACAAAAAAGAGAACATTATCAGGATAACTGGCAAAATTTCAGTATGTACTATGTACTACATCACAGTATTGTAGCAATATTACATTTTCTGAATTTGATTATTTTGCTATGTTTATGAAAGAGAATGTCCCTGTTCTTTAAAAAAATACACTTTTAAGTTTTGAGAAGGAAAAGGGGCATGAACTCTGTGACTACTCTCGAATGGTTTACAAAACTAATAATAATAATGACAAAACAATAATATGTATATGCGTATATATAGAGAGAGGAAAAAAATGTGTTGCAAAATGCTAACAACTGGTAAATCTAGGTGAAAGATATACCCAAGATCTTTGTATTAATTTTTCTAAATGAAATCCATCCATAAATTTAAATTATTTCCAAGTAAAAAGTTAAAATGAAATGAAATAAAAGATAAACCTAAGAAACATGGCAATTATGACAATCCTGAGACGCCAACTATACACCTTGCTCAAAAATAGGTAAATCTTAATTCAACTCAATTAAACTGCATAAGCTTTTCGGTTAAATTTGTGCATAAATATTTTACCCCAAGTTAATACTGATTCCTTATCAATGTCCTCTTTGCTTTCTCACCAACAAATATTATTCAAGGGGATGTTGCTGGAAGGAAAGACCACATTGAGCTGAACTATTGACCTTCTGAGAGATTTGCACTTCCTCAAAGCAACACAGCAGGATTGAAACAAGCAGACAGGATTACAAGCTGTTTACACCACAATTTCAGTGCCACTCTTAAGCGGAATTGACCTAGAAACAAGATGTATTCATGGAGACTTCTACCTGCCAACTCCCCAGAAACTACCTCATACCAAACTTTTCATTAAGGAACAGGTAACTCAACACTCTTTTTCCACTACTGTTATTGCTATTGCTCGAAATATAACAATGTTAGCACTATAAAATTAAATTCTGCTTATTTAGATAAGGCAAAAGGTAATGCCATTTCATTTTAAACAATTCTGCTTTTAATAGTACATTTTAAAATAGTTTCTTCCTTAAAAAGGAAAATACAATGTGTACATTTATACAATCGCAAATAGAATTTTCTATTACAGAATTCATATCTCAATTGTTGTCAATGAATGAGCACAGTCTATATAGCATATTTTAAGTTGGCAAATAGAATGTGCCAGAGAAATATATTACACCTTAAGACTTTAATTTCCCTCAACCTATTTATGACAGATACAGCTAGCCAATAAAAGAAAAGGAATGAAAATATAGAAAAGAATCCTATGCCTTCTCACTGCCCAGTCCTCACACTCATGATTCTCCCGGGGATGAGTTATAATTGCCTCCAGGGAGGGAGAAAAAAGAGACATGAAATCCGGCTCTGATAGTGTAAGAGATTGCTAATCACCAAGACAACAGTAATCACAGGACTAAACTACAAAATCCAGGGACCACAAGCAAATGAGTCAGCAGCAATTATTTAACAGCCTAAAAATCAGCTTCATGGGGGAAAATGCATTAGGGTCCCATGAGCCTAAAGGGAATGGGGCTTTCTTTAAAGCATTTTTTCAAACACTTTAAAAAGAAAGGAGGCACTCCTTTGCAAAGTCTTTACTACTTTAGAAATCATGTTAAAGATCCAGCACCAACGTTATGTTTTGTATCAATTTTTTATTCAGCAGTATATTATTTTGTGAAATTTCAAACTTTCAGAATACCACAATGAATACCCGTATATCCTTTACCAAGATTCGCCAAACGCAGCACATTTACTCTCTCCCCTCTCCCCATATATATTTCTTTTCTTTATTTCTCTTTTTTTCTTGTTTCTCCTTTTTCCTCTTCTTTCTTTCTTTTTCTGAACCTTCTGAGAATTCACTGTAGATATTATGAGACTTCAATCCTAGTATTTCAATATGTACCTTTAAGAATAAAGACATTATCCTACATTATCCTCCCATATATATTTCATTATTTCTCCTTTTCTTCCTTTCTTTCTTTTCCTGAACCATCTGAGAACTCATTGTAGATATTATGACATTTCAATCCTAATATTTCAATATGTACCTTTTTTTTTTTGAGACGGAGTTGCACTCTTGTTGCCTAGGCTGGAGTGCAGTGGCACGAATTCAGCTCACCACAACTTCCTCCTCCCGGATTCAAGTGATTCTCCTGCCTCAGCCTCCCAAGTAGCTGGGACTACAGGCTTGCACCACCACACCTGGCTAATTTTGTATTTTTAGTAGAGACGGGGTTTCTCCATGTTGGTCAGGCTGGTCTTGAACTCCCAACCTCAGGTGATCCGCCCACCTCGACCTCCCAAAAGTGCTGGGATTACAGGCGTGAGCCACCGCACCCAGCCAACATGTACCTTTTAAGAATAAAGACATTATCCTACGTAACCACAATATTGTTATCCCATTTGCAAACTTTGTTTTGTTTTGTTTTGAGACAGTCTTGCTCTGTTGCCCAGGCTGGAGTGCAGTGGCGCGATCTCAGCTCACTGCAACCTCCGCCTCCCGGGTTCAAGTGATGCTCCTGCCTCAGCCTCCCGAGTAGCTGGGATTACAGGAGCCGCCACCATGCCAGGCTAATTTTTGTATTTTTAGTAGAGATAGGGTTTCACCATGTTGGTCAGGCTGGTCTCGAACTCCTGACCTCAGGTGACTCACCCGCCTGGGCCTCCCAAAGGCCTGGAATTACAGGCGTGAGCCACTGCACCTGGCCCACATTTGCAAACTTTAACATTGGTACAGTACTGTTGTTTAATATACAGTCTATATTTAAATTTACTGAACTTTCCGCAAAATGCCCTTTGTAATAAGCTGGTTTTTTAAAATTCAGTTTCTAATGGAGGATCATGCATTACATGTCTCTTTAGTGTCCTTTAATCTAGAAAAGTCCCTAGCTGTTTTTCAGAATTTATTTATTTATTTATTTATTTTTAAACTTATTTTTTATTTTTTGAGATGGAGTCTCACTCTGTCACCCAGGCTGGAGCACAGTGACACAATCTCAGCCCACTGCAACCTCTGCCTCCCAGGTTCAAGCGATTCTCCTGCCTCAGACTCCCGAGTAGCTGGGATTACAGCTGTGTGCCACCATGCCTGGCTAATTTTAGTGTTTTTATTAAAGACAGGGTTTCATCATGTTGGCCAGGCTCGTCTCGAACTCCTGACCTAAGGTAATCCGCCCACCTCGGCCTCCCAAAGTGCTGGGATTACAGGCGCGAGTCACCTCGCCGGCCTCTAATTTATTTTTTGGACTTTCATAGCATGGATTTTTTTTTTTTTTTTCAGATGCAGTTTCTCTCTTGTCGCCCAGGCTGGAGTGCAATGGAAGGATCTTGACTCACTGCACTTCCACCTCCCGGGTTCAAGCAATTCTCCTGCCTCAGCCTCCCGTGTAGCTGGGATTACAGGTGTCTGCCACCATGCCCAGTTAATTTTTGTATTTTTATTAGAGATGGGGTTTTTACCATGTTGGCCAGGCTGGTCTCGAACTCCTGACCTCAGGTGATCCACCCACCTCAGCCTCCCAAAGTGCTGGGATTACAGGCGTGAGCCACCATGCCTGGCCACATTGATGTTTTTGAAAGGCTCCAGGCCTGTTGTTTGGTAGCTTTGGCATACAGTTTTTTGGGGAAAAACTAAGCCCCATAGTAAATTTAAAATGGAATGGAATGGTAACTTTTTAGTTGTATTCAATGCCCAGCTTTAGCTGTGACTTGTAACAAGTTTCTTAATCTTCTCTGAGACTCAGTTATCTGATATGTTAAATGGGAATAATGATTCCTATTTTACAAGGCAGATCAAAGGATTATAAATTGATGCAATCTTTCAGAAAGCAATTTGATAGCCTGTATCAAGAATCTTAAACATGCCTTTATTCATGGATCTAGTAATTCGGCTTCTAGTGATTTATCCTTAAGAAATTATCAGAGATACTGGCCAGGCGCAGTGGCTAACACCTGTAATCCTTGCACTTTGAGAGGCCAAGGCAGGCGGATCACCTGAGGTCAGTAGTTCGAGACCAGCCTGGCCAACATGGTGAAACGCCGTCTCTACCAAAAATACAAGAATTAGCCAGAAATCGCTTGAACCCGGGAGGCGGAGGTTGCAGTGAGCCAAGATCGTGCCACTGCACTCCAGCCTGGGCAACAGAGCTAGACTCTGTCTCATAAAAAACAAAGATCAGAGATACAAAAATGTTTAGGCAGTGATAGTCATTATCATGAGTGTCAGGATAGTAGTTGGGTGAACTGTGCTACATCTTCCATCTCCTCCCTTATCAGACTTGGGCTCCTTGCCCTCAATACTCATTGCTAACACTTAAAGGCTACCTCGTGTCCTGCACTGTGCTGATTTACAGACTGTTATGGCAAGCTTGAAAATCATGCCTTGAGCTGGGTAAGGTGTCTCACACCTGTAATCCCAGCACTTTAGGAGGCCAAGGCGGGTGGATCACCTGAGGTCAGGAGTCCGAGACCAGCCTGGCCAACACGGTAAAAACCCCGTCTCTACTAAAAATACAAAAAATTAGCCGGGCTAACGGAGGAGAATCGCTTGAACCTGACAAGCTGAAGTTGCAGTGAGCTGAGATCGTGACACTGCACTCCAGCCTGGGCAACAGAGCAAGACTCCATCTCAAAAAAAAAAGTCATGCCTTGGAGGAGCATTCAGTAACAAGAAACAAAAATAGGGTTTCATGAGGAGGTCTGTGTGTACCATGAGAACCCTACTTTGTTTTATGTTACAGAATTATGTTTAGATAAGAACCTAGAAAGAAATAGAATACAGTTTTACCCTGGGTGGTGCAATTTGGGGCAAATTTTGTTTAGAATGACAAAAACAGGAAACTCTGCATCAAAATTTTGAGTCAGTATGTGCCAAACCCTGTGCTTGCAACAAATGATTTGGAACAAGTCAATTCCATTTGACTTTCCAACCATATTCCACAGTCCACTCATCAATTGGATTCATGGTCCACTCAGTTCCACTCATGGTTGACTGGCAATACCTGATCTTATGGCCACTCGTAGATAAAAGCAGAACTTGGAAACGTAATCCCTGATGGTCCAGCTACTTCCCATTTATAACTCTATAAAAAAAAAAAAAAGATTTGGACCAGGCGCAGTGGCTCACACCTGTAATCCCAGCACTGTGGGAGGCTGAAGGGGGCAGATTGCTTGAGCCCAGGAGTTCAAGACCAGCCTGGGCAACACAGTGAAACCCCATCTCTACAAAAAATACAAAAATTAGCCGGGCAGGCTGGGCACGGTGGCTCATGCCTATAATCCCAGCACTTTGGGAGGCTGAGGCAGGCGGATCATTTGAGATCAGGAGTTCGAGATCAGCCTGGCCAACATGGCGAAACCTCATCTCTACTAAAAATACAAAAAAAAAAAAAAAGCTGGGTGTGGTGGCTCATGCCTGTAATCCCAGCACTTTGGGAGCCCAAGGCGGGTGGATCACCTGAGGTCAGGAGTTTGAGACCAGCCTGACCAACATGGAGAAACCCCGTCTTCACTAAAAATTCAAAATTGGCTGGGTGTGGTGGCACACGCCTGTAATCGCAGCTACTCAGGGAGGCTGAGGCAGGAGAATCACTTGAACCCAGGAGGCAGAGGTTGTGGTGTGCCAAGATCACACCATTGCACTCCAGCCTGGCAACAGAGTGAGACTCCATCTCAAAAAAAAAAAAAAAAAATTAGCCAGACACATTGGCACGTGCGTGTAGTCCCAACTACTAGGGAGGCTGAGGTGGGAGGATTGCTTGAGCCTAAGAGGTTGAGGCTGCAGTGAGCCAAGATTGCATCACTGCCCTCCAGCCTGGGTGACAGAGTGAGACCTGATCTCAAAAAAAACAAAATAAAGAGAGAGAGAGAGATTTAATGGATAGCTAGCTATCTCTGTCACATCACAAAGTCTATTTTGGGGCCAGGCACAGTGACTCACACCTGTAATCCCAGCACATTGGGAGGCCGAGGTGGGCAGATAGCTTGAGGTCAGGAGTTTGAAACCAGCTTGGCCAACATGGTGAAATCCCGTCTCTACAAAAAGTTAGCTGGGAGTGGTGGCACGCACCTGTTATCCCAGCTACTCAAGAGGCCGAGGCAGGAAAATTGCTTGAGCTTGGGTAACGGAGGTTGCAGTGAGCCCAGATTGCGCCACTGCACTCCAGCCTGGGTGACAGAGTAAGACTGTCTCAAAAAAAACAAAAAAAACTATTCATGTCTCGTTTTTTTGGTTTTTTGTTTTGTTTTGTTTTGCTTTGTTTTGTTTTTTTGATACAGAGTCTTTCTCTGTCACCCAGGCTGGAGTGCAGTGGAGCAATCTCGGCTTACTGCAAACTCCGCCTCCCGGGTTCCAGCAATTCTCCTGCCTCGGACTTCCGAGTAGCTGGGATTACAGGCACCCACCACCATGCCTGGCTAATTTTTGTATTTTTAGTAGAGACGGCATTTCACCATGTTGTCCAGGTTGGTCTCGAACTCCTGACCTCAGGTGATCCGCCCGCCTCTGCCCCTCAAAGTGCTGGAATTACAAGCATTCGCCACCATGCCTGGCTAATTTTTTTTGTTTTTTGGTTTTTGGTTTTTTTGGTATTTTTTGTAGAGAAAGGGCTTTGCCATGTTATCCAGGTTAGTCTCAAACTCCTGACCTCAGGTGATCTGCCTGACTTGGCATCCTAAAGTGTTGGGATTACAGGCGTGAGCCACTGCGCCAGGCCCTTGTCTGATATTAATACAACTACTCACATTTCTTTTGGTTACTGTATGGTACTAAAATATCCTTTCTTAACCTTTTATTTTCAATCATTCTGAGGTATTGTACATACAGGTAAACAGCACAAACCTGGATTTTACTTTATTTCTATTCTTTTTTTTTTTTTTTTTTGAGACAGAGTCTTCACTCTAACCCCAGCCTGGAGTGCAGCGCAATCTTGGCTCACTGCAACCTTGGCCTCCCGGGTTCAAGTGATTCTCATGCCTCAGCCTCCTGAGTAGCTGGGATTACAGGCGCCCGCCACCAAGACTGGCTAATTTTTGTACTTTTTTTTTTAAATAGAGACAGGGGGTTTCACCATGTTGCCCAAGTTGGTCTCAAACTCCTGGCCTCAGGTGATCCACCCACCTCAGCCTCCCAAAGTGCTGGGATTACAGGCGTGACCCACTGCACTTGGCCAAATTATCTTTTAAAAGTGAGAGAAAAGTAAAGATATTTCCAGATAAGGAAAAATTGAGAATTTTCTATCGTATGTTCTTCAGGAAGAATGATTCCATAATGAAGGTCTGAGATATAAGAATAACGGCAAACAAGTAAACTGGGAAAAATGGGGTGGGGGAATTTAAACACATATGAACTCTATCAGTAAATAATAATAGTGTTCAATTTAGGTAGTAAAAATTAAGATAAGGCCAGGTACTGTGGCTCAGGCCTGTAATCCCAGCACTTTGGGAGGCCGAGGCGGGCAGATCACCTGAGGTCAGGAGTTCAAGACCAGCCTGGCCAACATGTTGAAACCCCGTCTCTACTAAAGATACAAAAATTAGCCAGGCATGGTGGCAGGCACCTGTAGTCCCAGCTACTCAGGAGGCTGAGGCAGGAGAATCCCTTGAACCTGGGAGGTGGAGGTTGCAGTGAGCCGAGATTGTGCCACTGCACTCCAGCCTAGGCGACAGAGCAAGGCTCCGTCTCAAAAAAAAAAAAAAAAAAAAAGCCTGGGAGCGGTGGCTCATGCCTGTAATCCCAACACTTTGAGAGGCTGAGGCAGGTGGATCACGAGGTCAGGCATTCGAGACCAGCCTGGTCAACATAGTGAAACCCCGTCTCTACTAAAAATACAAAAAATTAGCTGGGCATGGTGGTGGGCGCCTGTAATCCCAGCTACTTAGGAGGCTGAGGCAGGAGAATCACTTGAACCCAGAAGGCAGAGGTTGCAATGAGCCAAGATCAATCGAGCCACTTCACTCCAGCCTGGCGACAGTGCAAGACTCCATCTCAAAAAAAAAAAAAGAGAGAGCAAGTTCATCCCTCCTGCTCTGTGAGGAAGCAGCATTCATCCCCTCCAGAAGATGCAGCAACAAAGCACCATCTTGGAAGCAGAGAGCAGCCCTCACCAGACACCAAACCTGCCAGCACCTTGGTCTAGGACTTCTCAGCCTCCAGAACTGTGAGAAATAAATTTCTATTGTTTATAAATTACCCAGTCTTTGCTATTTTGTTACAGCAGCATGAATGAACTAAGACAATAGGTAATATAAATTTTTTTGAGACGGACACTTGCTCTGTCACCCAGGCTGGAGTGCAGTGGCACGATCTCGGCTCACTGCAATGTCCACCTCCCAGGTTCAAGGGATTCTTGTGCCTCATCCTTCCGAGTAGTTGGGATTACAGGCACATGCCACCATGCCCAGCTAATTTTTGTATTTTTAGTAGGGATAGGGTTTCACCATGTTGGCCAGGCTGGTCTTGAACTCCTGACCTCAGGTGATCTGCCTGCCTCAGCCTCCCAAAGTGCTGACATTACGGGTGTGAGTCACTGCACCTGGCCAATAAGTGATATAAATTTAAATTCTAACCACATATGAAGGCAGGCTAACAGCCAGCTCTAAATTTTCAGGGAAGACTTTTTTCACCACTTAAAGGGGGAATTGAGACAAACAAGACTTGTTTTCTCCCCTTGCTGCAAGCAGACTCTTTTTCTGGCCTACTATTTCACTAGGCTGTAGTTCTTAGACAGTCCTGACTTCATGTGAAGCTGCAGTTCCAACAACCCTCACCCCCTTGTGTGGGCCCAGAGCCCTGTGTGCTGTGCTGGATCCCTGTACAGACACTGAAAAACAGAGTTCTGCATTTCTTACAGCAGCAACTACAAGTGGTTTTGGAGCTTACCTATCACTTTGGTTTCTATTTTATGTTCCTTTTTGGCTCCTGGAGATTTGCTTTCTTGGAGTTGTATTTTATCCATGATTTCTAAGTGCCTTGTTATGGAAAGGTTTATTGCACTATTCAATCTTTCATATTATTTGAAGTAGAAAACCCAAGGTCTTTTCATCTTTACAACAACTGTACAAATTAAGTACTATTATTCCCATTTTATTATTGCAGAAATTGAGGCTCAGGCAAGATAAAGGTCACATGGTTCCATCAAGTAGTAGAGCCTGAATGTGAACCCAGTACTATCTGGCACCAAAATTTATGGTTTTTTAAACACTAAGCTATATTGTCTCTTACTATACTCTGATTTTTTTTGTGTATTTTTTTCTTTTAGAAAATGTTAATTTTATCTATCATCAGAAAAAAATAAAATAGCTTTTAAAGGTACTATAAGTTGAAAAATATATCCCTTGGTTATAAAATGTATTTATTTATTAAACCTGATAAGCTCTGCTATCAAAGCCCTATAGCTAGGTCAAGGTCATCCATTGTATCTGTCAAGTACCATGTGGGATGAACAGAATATTTTCCTATACATAAATAATAAACAATACCTGAGCCAAGGTATTATATTTTCCTTTTTCCTCTACTTTGTTGTGTTTACCTTTTCCCTATGATCCTGTCATTTTTCTCCACCACTCTCTCCCCAGGCTGCTACTAGCTCTAAATAGTAGTAATAAATATGATTGGGTTCCTGCTACACTTTTGGCAAGCAGGATAGTCTTCTTGGATACAGTGGATATAGGCCTTATCTGTCTGGGTTGTTGAGTAGAAAAGCATGCTGGAGGACATGTAAACCTTAATGAAGTCTAAATAGATTACACCTATTGCTTCTCCAGGATCAGCATGACATGGCACTCATAATAGAAAACAGAGTAAGACTGGAACACTGGCTCACCATGGGATCATAATGCTAGCCACACACTAATTTTTGCTTTATTAAGTGCTGGAAAATTTATTGATTCATAATTTGTTCTGATGTTTTCCCAAGTATCTAGATATCTATAATTACTTGAATTATTCTTTTTTTCTTTTTTAATATGCACACACAGACACACATGGGCACGTACAAGCAATTTGTCATTTCCCAGGCTGTAGGGTTCCTCCTGGGCTCTCAAAAATAAGCTCTGAAGTCTCTAATGAAATTCACCAAAGCCGCCGGGCACCGTGGCTCACGCCTGTAATCCCAACACTTTGGGAGGCCGAGGCAGGTGGATCACGAGGTCAGGAGTTCACACCAGCCTGGCCAATATGGTGAAACCCTGTCTCTACTAAAAATACAAAAAAAATTAGCCGGGCAAGATGGTTGCACCTGTAGTCCCAGCTACTTGGGAGGCTGAGGCAGAAGAATCGCTTGAACCCAGGAGGCAGAGGTTGCAGTAGCCGAGACTGCACCACTGCACTCCAGCCTCGGCAAAAGAGCTCAAAAAAAAAAAAAAAAAAAAAAAAAGAAAAGAAAAAGAAAAAAAGAAATTCACCAAAACCTTAAGTTCCCTGAGATGTATATAATGAAATCTTGCTAATTTTGTTTTGTGTTGAATCCTCACTGTAAGTCAGATTATTTCTGTAAAGAATTTGTAAAAGTAAATTTATCTAAGAATCTGTCCAAGTACCTTTAGTCCAGAAGATACTCATTCTTTCATTCGTGTATACATGTCTGCATTCATTAATTTCACACGTATTTGTTGAGTGCCTACTGTATGTAAGGCCCTGTTTTAGTTGCTGGGGACGTAATGGTAATCTTTTTAGATGTGGTCTCTGCACTCATGGAGTAAATGATCTAATGTAGCAGTTAAATAAAGAAATAAATGAACCATTTCAGATGGTTATAAATTACATAAAGTATTTAAAAGAGGTGATAAATACAGAGTGATTGGGTTGGGGATGGGGTGCTACCTTAGATAGAGTTTTTCAGGAAAGTTGGCTAAGAAAGATTTCAGAATCTGGGCCATCACTCTTTTTTGATTCTCTTTATATGCCACTGACTGCTTCTTCTCAATCTTCTATGATGATTTTTATCTTTTCAACATCCAAATATTGGAGTGCCCCAGGGCTCATCTCTGGACTTCTTTTTGATCTTCACTCACTCCCTAGATGATCTCATTAAGTCCCTTGATTTGAAATAACTCCTGTACTTTATCCTTAAATGGGCAAAGTATGTATAGAACAGTAACACTTTTCTAAGAAATGGATATGGTAGAATACAAATATATATAGTCAAGAACAGTGAAGGGTCTGAGATTTTATCCTACTTGCAATCTAACAAGTTAGCCTGCCATGGTTTTATGGGATTCTGGCAGAAGACACAAGATTCTTGGGTCAGAGACAAAGGCATTTATTATTCACAGCAACAGCAGTAGTCAGAGTATCAATATTTCAGCCTGCTCTCCAAGCCGCAATTCCTAAAGGCTGACATGAAGAGGATCAGGTGAGGCCTGCATATGCAGTGGGATGCATTGCAGGAAAGAAACCTTGAGCTTAGAAAGTCTGAATACATCTCTACCCCAATAACCTATGAAAAGAAAGAAAAAAAAGAAAATCTGAATCTTTTATAATGAACAGTAAGCATGTCTGCCTTACATTGCAAAGGAAGCCACTATCTCTATGTACCAGGGCTGTTAGCTTACACAGACATCCCTAAAATGATAGTCCAGAACAAAAGCAGTCAGTGACTCTGTTCAAAAGATATGAAGAAATGTGAGAGGACCACAGAAAATTGTCTCTCAACCTGTATTTTCTTATATTTTCTAAATGGAAGGATAAGCAAAAACATTTTTAAGTTACTTATTTATTTATTTATTTACTTATTTTTATTTTTTTTGAGATGGAGTCTTGCTCTGTCGCCCAGGCTGGAGTGCAGTGGCACGATCTCAGTGCACTGCAAGCTCCGCCTCCCCGATTCACGCCATTCTCCTGCCTCAGCCTCCTGAGTAGCTGGGACTACAGGTGCCCGCCACCGCGCCCGGCTGATTTTTTGTATTTTTAGTAGAGACGGGGTTTCACCATGGTCTCGATTTCCTGACCCCGTGATCTGCCTGCCTTGGCCTCTCAAAGTGCTGGGATTACAGGCGTGAGCCACCACGCCCGGCCTAAGTTACCCATTTATAGAGAGAGGGAACAGGGTGGGAGGGACAAGGCTGGAAGCTAGACTTCTCCAAATATACTTTGAATATTTGATTTTGAAATCATCTATTTTACCTAATTAGAAAACAAAATTAAATTTTTTCAAACAATCCCTAAAATCTGAAAACTGCATGAAACAAATGAAACCAATTATCTATCAAATTGGTAGAATAACTGCACAGAGAATAATTATTTCAATTTATTTTTAAATACAGTGATTTGGCCAGGCACAGTGGCTCATGCCTGTAATCTCAGCACTTTGGGTGGCTGAGGCAGGAGGATTGCTTGAGCCTAGGAGTTTGAGACCACCCTAGGCAAGATGGTGAAACCTTGTTTCTACCAAAACAAAACAAAACAAAACAAAACAAAACAAAACAAAACAAAAATTAGCCAGGTGTCAGTCCCAGCTACTCAGGAAGCTGAGGTGGGAGGATCGCTTGAGCCTGGGAGGTCAAGGCTGCAGTGAGCCACGATCGTGCCACTGCACTCCGGCCTGGGTGACAGAGTGAGACCTGTATCCAAAAAAAAAAAAAAAGTACAGTGATCTGTCTATACATTCTTAGTAGGATATACTCTAAATGCAAAAGGAAATCCAAAAAGTCTTAAACTCTTTTCAGCAATCATGTTAGTGGTAGTGTTGGTGTTGATATTCTCAGACTGTTTCATGTAACATGTTGATGAAATTGGAAACTGAAATTTTTGGTATGAGAGAATAAATAGAGATACAGATTTAATATCAAAGAGGTTAAGCAAAACTCTCTAGTCTCAAATTTTAGGAAGTATTATATATGAACTCATTATGCTTTTTATCTTTATAGAAAAAAAAATCTATTTCCAAGCTCTAACACTGAAAAAGCATAAAAGCAATGACTGATCCAGTAGCAAAGAATACCCAGATTGTGGTATCCAAATACTATTTCACACTAGAAAAGACCAGAGCTCCTTGAAGAAACAGCTGATTCTGGGTCTAGGGTAGGAAATACACAAGATGGGCTTGAAATAACTCGTCATACTAGAAAGTAAGGAAGCTATCAAAGACTGCTGGGAAAGTGTCAAAAGAATTAATGTGCCAATTTACAGGAACTTCCACTGGCCAAAGATTTCAGCATCAATAGGAATTACAGTTGCATAGAATGGAAACGTTGTTATATTTAAATTCATGAGTTCATATAAGATATATTTTTAAGAAACTACTCATTGGTCACCTGAAGATAATGTTAGGGAACTCATTATTTTGCAAATTGGTCAATAAACAGAAAGAATCAAGATTGACCACCTTCCCAATGCCATCTATATGCTGAAGATTGCTAAATTTTTCATTTCTAAACTTAACCTCTTTCATGAATTCCACACTTACATATCCACCTACCTATTCAAGATCTCCAACTGAATATCTAATGGCAATGTCTAACTCAATATGTCCCAAACTAAAATCTTGATTATCTTCCTGTCCCAAATCGGCTTCTCTCAGTATTTTCCTTCTCAATAGAATGAGCAACGTTACTTGTTCACACCAAAAACATTGAAGTCTTCCTTGACTCCTCTCTTCCTCTCATACCCCGCATCTAATTTATAGCAAATATTATTGACTCTTCCTTTTAAGTATATCCAGAATCTGTCTTCTTCTCATTATTTCCTCTGTTCCCACACTGGTCCATGTTCCTGTGATTGGCTTAATGCATGTAAGGTCATGTCCCTGTAAGATTACAGCACTTATTTGCTCAAAACTCTCCAACTAGGCTAGGCATAGTGGCTCATTTCTGTAATCCCAGCACTTTGGGAGGCCAAAACGGGAGGATCACTTGAGGCTCAGAGGTTATGCCACTGCACTCCAGCCTGCGTGAAAAGAGCCCAGGCCACAAGAGCAAAACACTGGCTCAAAACAAAAACAAAAACAGACCAAAAAAACTCTCCAGTTACATCTCATGTCACTTAATATAATTGAGTAATATGCAAAGTCCTTCACATATGTAAATAAAGAGGTAACCAGAAGACTGAAAACTTAAAGGAAAAACAAAGGCCCCAGTTGATTTGGCCACATCCCATGACTGATTATTGGAGGCATACAGAGACCTGGTCATCCCTTCCCAATTCAGGACAACTCCAAAGGGCCACTCTAGCAATAGAGAACCCCAGAGGGTTGCATGAGGTATTTATTGTGCCCGCATGGCAGCTCGGCTTCTCTCCCTCTGACCATGCCTGGCTGTTCCCCAACCTCCCACAGCTATTGATAACAAGGGCACTCCCTAACTAACACCCTGCATGTTAACCTCCATCTGAGAAACTGCCTGGCATGGTAGCCACACTCCCTTCCCCAACCCCTCCAGGGCAATTTTTTTTTTTTAATTTTTTTGAGACAGAGTTTCACTCTGTCACCGAGGCTAGAGTGCAGTGGCGTGATCTCGGCTTCCTGCAACCTCCACCTCCCAGGTTCAAGCGATTCTTCTGCCTCAGCCTCCCAAGTAGCTAGGATTACAGGCATGCACCACCATACCCAGCTAATTTTTGTATTTTTAGTAGAGAGGGGATTCGCCACATTGGCCAGGCTGGTCTCAAACTCCTGAGCTCATGTGATCCACCCACCTCAGCCTCCCAAAATGCTGGGATTACAGGCCTGAGCCACTGCACCCAGCCCCATTATGACAATTTAATTGCAAAAAGCAGGCCATCGCTATCCACTTGTTCCAGGAAAACTTCCACTCCAGAAAACCCCCTGCCCTTAAGATTGAACAATCCTTCCTCTTTTGAAACGTCCCCAAACTGTTCCAACCAAGGACTGCCAAATATACCTGTAGATTAATTAGGAAGTCTCCCCACTTCCAAAATTCCCAACCATAAGAGAACACTTGTCAATCAGAGACTATCTCAGTATTTCCTCTTCTTACTCTATAAAACATAGTCTTTAAGACCCTTGAATCCCAGCTGAAGCACAAGTGATGGCAGATGGGTTCCCTTGAGGCAAGTTTATGAATAAAGAGCTTTTGTTAATTTTGTCACAGACTTAGTTTTGTCTTTGACACATCTCAGAGTTGGCTTCCCAGCAAACCCAACAGGCAATAATTTATCTACTTATATGCTTATGGTCTGTGTCCCTCTCACTGTTTCCTGTGAGTAGAGGGTTTGTAGAGACCCCTTCCGACTCTCCAGGTGCTAGACCAGTGCCTCACACTGGAAGCTGCTCGATAACTATTGGCTGGATGAATGAAAGGAATAACACTTAAGCCGAGACCTGAATGACAAGGAGCTAGCCAGCCAGCCAAAGATCTTATGGAAGAACATTTTCAGTGTTGGGAAATGGAATTCCGCAAAGAGCTCTTTCCTTTCTGTTTCCGTTCCACTTCTTCGCCACTGTAACTTAGCCTTTGGGACAGTTAAAAGTTTTGAAGTGTTGTGTTTGTTTTCATTTGTTGTTTGTTTGTTTGTTTCCTATTTCTTCCCACTCCCATTCTAGGATCACTTAATTTTTACAAATTTAGCCAGGATCACACACCTCTCTCCAGACCAATGTATAACTCATCAATTTTGTGTTTTTACTGATGCGGACTTATCAGACCTAAGATAACTCGGACTTATCAGACCTAAGATAACTACTCGTCTTCCTCAAAATACTTATTTGCAGGAGGACGTGGTAGTTGATATAAACTTGACTTTAAGGAGGTTAGTATCGATCAGGAATTTGTTTCATAATTATCTCAGAGAAAGTCCAACATCTCTTTTGGTCTATAGTGTTGTGGGTGGAGGGAGACTCATCAAAATCACCTGGGGAGCCTCACCGCCCCCGCCGCCACCTCCTCTCCCCACAACCCGCCACTCAGTCTCTCTCCTCTCCCCTCTACTCCTCATACACATTCTAAGTAGAGCCTAGCTATGTGGATTGTGTTTTCTGGTTTTATTTTTAAAAATAATCTGTGTGTCAGCCGGGCGTGTTGACTCATGTCTATAATCCCAGCACTTTGGGAGGCTGAGGTGGGCGGATCACCTGAGGTCAGGAGTTCGAGACCAGCCTGACCAATATGCTGAAACCTTGTCTCCACTAAAAATACAAAAAAAATTAGCCAGAGTGGTGGCGGGGGCCTGTAGTCCCAGGCTGAGGGAGGCTGAGGCAGGAGAATGGCGTGAACCCAGGAGGTGGAGCTTGCAGTGAGCTGCGATCGCGCCACTGCACTCCAGCCTGGGCAACAGAGCCAGACTCCGTCTCAAAAAAACAAAACAAAACAAAACAAAACAAACAGACAAACAAAAATTAGCCAGGTGTGGTGGCGGGTGCCTGTAATCCCAGCCACTCGGGAGGCTGAGACAGGAGAATCACTTGAACTCAGGAGACGGAGGTTGCAGTGAGCTGAGATCACACCATTGCACTCCAGCCTGGGCAACAAGAGCAAAACTCCATCTCAAAAAATAATAATAATAATAATAAATAAAATAAAATAATCTGTGTGTCTTTTATTAAAGCAGAATTTGCACATGGTTAAAATATCAAATACTATAGAATAGCTTCTATCCCCTTTCCCCTGGTGCTCTACCTTTATCTGTTCCTCCTTGAATTCTTTGATTTTTCTGAGCTTTATCTCTGTATCTCTAAATAATCTGTTTATCCTGCCATTTATTTATTTATTTGTTTATTTATTTATTTTGAGACAGAGTTTCACTCTTGTTGCCCAGGCTGGAGTGCAATGGTGCAATCTTGGCTCACCGCAATCTCTGCCTCCTGGGTTCAAGCGATTCTCCTGCCTCAGCCTCCCGAATAGCTAAGATTACAGGCATGCACCACCACGCCCAGCTAATTTTGTATTTTTAGTTGAGGCAAGGTTTTTCCATGTTGGTCAGGCTGGTCTCGAACTCCTGACCTCAGGTGATTAGCCCGTCTCAGCCTCCCAAAGTGCTGGGATTACAGGTGGAAGCCACTGCGCCCAGCCTATCCCACTATTTATTTATCTTTTGTTGTTGTTGTTGTTGTTGTTGTTGTTGTGATGGAATTTCACTCTTGTCACCCAGGCTGGAGTGCAATGGCAAGATCTCGGCTCCCTGCAACCTCCGCCTGCCGGGATCAAGCGATTCTCCTGTCTCAGCCTCCCAAGTAGCTGGGGTTACAGGCTCCTGACACCATGCCCGGCTAATTTTTGTATATTTAGTAGAGACGGGGTTTCACCATGTTGTCCAGGCTGGTCTCGAACTCCTGACCTCAGGCAATCCGCCAGCGCCAGCCTCCCAGAGTGCTGGGATTACAGGTGTGAGGAACAGCGCCTGGCCCATTTTTATATATTATCTGTCCACTTACTGGCATGACAGATGAGAATTTAGCTCAGTTACACAACCCCTCCCCCATCACTTCTTCCTCTCCAAATATGGTTAGAGCATATTTTTAGTTCTTCCATTGATTTTCTTTGTATTTCTTTACTTTGAAAGTTGTAAGCTTTCTGGCCAGGCATGGTGGCTCACGCCTGTAATCCCAGCACTTCGGGAGGCTGAGGCAGGTGGATCACCTGAGGTCAGGAGTTCAAGACCAACCTGTCCAACTTAGTGAAACCCCGTCTCTAGTAAAAATACAAAAATGAGCCAGGCGTGGTGGCGGGTGCCTGTAGTCCCAGCTACTTGGGAGACTGAGGCAGGAGAATCGCTTGAACCCGGGAGGTTGAGGTTGCAGTGAGCTGAGACAGCGCCACTGCACTCCAGCCTGGGCAACAAGAGGGAAACTCCGTCTCAAAAAAAAAAAAAAGAAAAAGAAAGAAAGAAAGGAAGTTGTAATCTTTCCCCAAATGGCTGGTGATCCTTTATTATCATATTTAAGAATGAGGCACTAGAAAAACAAATAACGGACTATGTGTACTTGGGTAGGTCTTGTTGACTAACCAAATCTCATCTACTTTAGGGTGAATAGGCTATAGTCCTGGGGACCGCTAAATGCTAGAAGTCATCATCTTTGCATCCAGGAGCTAATGTTGTTCTTGCCATCTACTGTCCTGCTTCTCCCTAGACCATTTGCTAAATTTATTTAGAGAGCAATCTGCCAATTTTTAATTTTTCGTTGTATTATTATTGCTATTGTTGTTCATTTTTCTTTGATGCTAGATGCCTGGCTGCTAGACATCCTGCATGAAGTGGCCAGGTGCGGTGGCTCATGCCTGTAATCCCAGCACTTTGGGAGGCCACAGCAGGTGGATCATCTGAGCTCAGGAATTCGAAACCACCCTGGGAAAACATGGCGAAACCCTGTCTCTACTAAAATACAAAAAATTAGCCAGGCGTGGTGGTGCACGCCTGTAGTCCCAGCTACACGGGAGGCTGAAGCACGAGAATCTCTTGAGTCCCGGAGGCAGAGGTTGCAGTGAGCCTAGATCATGCCACTGTACTTCAGCCTGGGCTACAGAATGAGACTCTGTCTCAAAAATATATTTTTTTTTGAATAAAAAATAATTTTAAATCCTGCATGAAAGTATGAAAGAGGGATGAGGAAGCAACACTTCCTCCCCACAGCAACCTGGTAATGCCCCTATTTTCACCTCTTCTGACCCTGGTGTCTCCCAGCTGTGTCCCTGGCTATAGCCCACACTGCACATATTCTAGGCCACCAGGCCCTCTTCCCCACCATATTAGTCATCAGCTTTCTATTGGCTTTCCTCTCCCCAGAATTTTTGAAATCCCTCATGCATAGATATTCCCACCACCACCACCACAGTCTCCTGACTGCCTATGACTGCCTATGATCTCTTCTTAGTTATTGGCTTATACTTGTTTTCCCTGCTCCTTTATTATTTTAAAGGGGCCTCAGGAAGGATAGGAAATAAACAGAGGTGCTCAGTCCACTCTTCTGAGTCAGAAGTTTGCAACATATTTTAACTTCAGCATGTTCAGTTTGAAATGCACATTTTGAAAGCTCTCAGGAGGTGGTTCCAATAATCCCCATCCCTCGCACTCCCTTGGAGACTTCCTGTTGACTTGAACAGTCTGGTCCACCCACTTTCCAACTCCGCTGGCTCACTAAAAGGTACCAACAACCCCCTAGCTGGCCATAAAGCTGAGCTGATTCCTTCTTTATCCTGAATCCCAACATCTAATCCACCAGCAAGCTCTGTCATTTCTATCATTAAAAGCATCTCGTGGGCAAAAAAAGAAAAATTACAAGCCAAACTGACTAAAGCCAAGGATTTTTTAAAAATCCTAATTAAAATTTTAAAAGTGTTCAAAAATAGCACACTGTGACCAAAATGGGTTGATTCCAGAAATGCCAGAATGATTCAATATTAGGAAATGTACCAAAGCAATTCATTGTATTAATAGATCAAACAAGTAAAGCCATGTAATTTTATTAATAAATGCTAAGAAGGCATTTAATAAAATTAAACATCCATTCTTGGCTTTAAAATCTCTTTATAAAACAGAAAGTAAATGTAAAACATAGCATAAAAACAACATGTTATAGGCCAGCTCACTGGCTCATGCCTCTAATCCCAGCATTTTGAGAGGCTGAGGCGGGAGGATTGTTTGAACACAGGAGTTTCAGACCAGCCTGGGCAACATAGCAAGACCCCCATCTCTACAAAAAAAAAAGAAAAGAAAATTAGCCAAGCATGGTGGCGCACACCTGTAATTCCAGCTACTCAGGAGGCTGAGGTGGAAGGATCAATTGAGCCCCGGAGTTGGAGGCTGCAGCAAGCTATAATCATGCCACTGCACTCCAGCCTGGATGATGGAGTAAGACTCTGTCTTAAAAAAAAAAAAAAAAAAAGACCTTGGACTAGAACTTAGCATTCACTACTATCTCCTTCACTGGAGCCATGAGCACTCTGTAGATTAAAAAAAAAAAAATTCTAAAATTCATATGGAACCAAAAAAGAGCCCAAATAACCAAAGAAATCCTAAGCAAAAAGAACAAAGCCATAGGCATCACACTACCCAACTTCAAATTATACTGTAAAGCCCCAGTAACCAAAACAGCATGGTACTGGTACAAAAGCAGACACATAGACCAATGGAACAGAATAGAAAAGTGAGAAATAAAGCCACACACCTACAACCATCTAATCTTCAGCAAAATTGACAAAACAAGCAATAGAGAAAGGACTCCCTGTTCAATAAATGGTGCTGGGATAACTGGCTAGCCATACGCAGAAGATTGAAGCTGAACCCCTGCCTTTCACCATATACAAAAATCAACTCAAAATGGATTAAAGATTTGAATTTAAGACTTCAAACTATAAAAATCCTGGAAGATGGCTGGGCATGGTAGCTCACACCTGTAATCCCAGCACTTTGGGAGGCCGAGGCGGGCAGATCACCTGAGGTTGGGGGTTCGAGACCAGCCTGATCAACATGGAGAAACCCTGTCTCTACTAAAACTACAAAATTAGCTGGGTGTGGTGGCGCACGCCTGTAATCTCAGCTATTCGGGAGGCTGAGGCATGAGAATCGCTTGAACCCAGGAGGCGAAGGTTGCGGTGAGCTGAGATCGCGCCATTGTAATCTAGCCTGGGCAACAAGACCAAAACTCCATCTCTGAAAAAAAAAAAAAGAATCCTGGAAGACAACCTAGGAAATACTCTTCTCGACACTGGCCTTGGCAAAGAATTTTTGGCTAAGTCCCCAAAAGCAATTGTAACGAAAACAAAAATAGAGAAGTGGGAACTAATTAAACTGAAGAGCTTCTGCACAGCAAAAGAAACCATCAACAGAGCAAACAGACAACCTACAGAGTAGGAGAGGATATTTGCAAACTATGCATCTGACAAAATCCTAATATCCATAATTTATAGGGTCTTAAATAAGCAAGCAAAAAACAAAAAACCCCATTACAAAATGGACAAAGGACATGAACAGACACTTCTCAAAAGAAGACATACGTGCAGCCAACAAGCACATGAAAAAATGCTCCACATCACTAATCATTAGAGAAATGCAAATCAAAACCACAATGATATATCATCTTACAACCAGAATAGTTATTATCAAAAAGTCAAAACACAGTAGACATTGGCGAGGCTGTGGAGAAAAGGAAACTATACACTGTTGGTGGGAATGCAAACTAGTTCAGTCACTGTGGAAAGTAGTTTGGAGATTTCTCAAAGAACTTGTAATAGAACTACCATTCTACCCAGAAATCCCACTACTGGGTATATACTCAAAGGAAAATAATTTATTCTATCAAAAAGATAAATGCACACATATGTTCACTGCAGCACTATTCACAATCGCAAAGACATGGAATCAACCTAAATGCCCATCAAAGGTAGACTGAATTTTTTAAAAAGTCTACCTTTTTAAAAAGTATATATTCCATAGTATACACCATGGAATACTATGCAGCCATAAAAAAGAACAAGATCATGTCCTTTGCAGCAACATAGATGGAGCTGGAGGCCATTATCCTAGGCAACCTAATGCAAGAACAGAAAATCAAATAGTGCATATTCTCACCTACAAGTGGGAGTTAAACATTGAGCGCACATAAACATAAATATGCAGACAATAGACACCATGGACTCCTAGAGGATGGAGGGAAGTGGGTATGGGTTTAAAAAACGACCTATGGGCTGGGTACAATGGCTCATGCCTGTAATCTCAGCACTTGGAGAGCCTGAGGCAGATGGATCACCTGAGGTCAGGAGTTCAAGACCAGCCTGACCAACGTGGTGAAACCCCAACTCTACTAAAAATACAAAAATTAGCCAGGCATGGTGGTGTGTGCCTGTAGTCCCAGCTATTCGGGGGGCTGAGGCAGGAGAATTGCTTGAACCCGGGAGGTGGAGGTTGCAGTGAGCCGAGATCATGCCACTGCACTCCAGCCTGGCCAACAAGAGCAAAACTCTATCTTAAAAAAAAAAAAAAAAAAAAAAAAACCTTTCGAGTACTAGGCCCACTACCTGGGTAACAGGATCCATGCTCCGAACCTCAACATCATGCAATTGTTTCATATAACATACCTGCACATATACCCCCTGTATTTAAAATAAAAGTTGAATTTTTTTAATGCCTTATTCCTCATTAGCATAGTGATGAGAAAAGAATAAAAGAAGGCCGAGGCGGGCAGATCATTTGAGGTCAGGAGTTCGAGACCAGCCTGGCCAGCATGGTGAAACCCTCTCTCTAATAAAAATACAAAAATTAGCCGGGCCTGATGTCAGGAGCCTGTAACCCCAGCTACTCAGGAGGCTGAGACAGGAGAATCACTTGAACCCGGGAGGCAGAGGTTGCAGGGAGCCGAGACCACACCATTGCATTCCAGCCTGGATGACAAGAGCGAGACTCCACCTCAAAAAAAAAAAAAGTATAAAAGAATACATTATGCCCAGGGATGAAAAATTTCTGGAGATACTTCTCTGCAGAATTCACAGAGAAAAAAAAGTTCTGGGGATGGATGGTGGTGTTACCTGCACAACAGTGTGAGTGTACTTTGTGCCACTGAACTATACACTCAGAAATGATTAAAATGGTAAATTTTATGTCATGTATATTTGACTACTGTGTGTGTGTGTGTGTGTGTGTGTGTGTGTGTGACTGTATGATGCCCAAAGTCCCATAATGCTTATTGGGAAAACACTGGAAGCATTCTCACTGGAGACTGGAATTAAGACAAGGATTTTCACTATCATTGCTATTATTTAACCTTAACCTGGAGATACTGGCTAAAGTAATTAGACAAAATAAATAAGTTAAAGGTATAAAATTGGATATCAGAAGGTTAAAATTTCACTACTGACATTTGATACAATTGTATACCTAGAAAAATCAAAAGAATCAACTGTAAAGCTATTCTACAAAATAAGATAGTTAAATAAAATGTACAGATACAAAATTAATTAAAGTGAATATATATGCATAATTTATATGTGACCTTAAGATACACAAAAAGAAGACATATTGGAAGAAAAGATCTCATTTACACAAGCCGTGAAAAACATAAAATACCTAGAAATACACTTAAAAAAATTTTTTTGAGACCAATTCTCACTCTGTTGCCCAGGCTAGAGTTCAGTGGTGCGATTTCAGCTCACTGCAACCTCTGCTCCCGGGTTCAAGCGATTCTCATGCCTCAGCCTCCTAAATAGTTGGGACTACAGGCGTGAGCCACCAAGCCTGGCTAATTTTGGTTTGTATTTTTAGTAGAGACAGGGTTTCACCATGTTGGCCAGGCTGGTCTTGAACTCCTGACCTCAGGTTATCCACCCGCCTTGGCCTCCCAAAGTGCTGGGATTACTGGCATGAGCCACCACGCCCAACCAAAATACGCTTGAAATATTTGCATGTTCCATATGATGAAAACTTATACATATGCCAAGGACACAACAGACATTTAAAACAGAAAGGAATAGCATATTTTTGGATAAGAAAAAAAATTAACATCATAGAAATTGTTCGTTTTTCCCACATTAATCTGTAACTTGAATGTGAGCCCAATTTAAAAATGCCAACAGGATTTCCTCTGAATCTAGACAAACTATTTTCTAGAGTTCATGTGAGCAAAAAAGAACAATCAAGAATAGACAATAGTCCAGGAGCAGTGACTCATGCCTGTAATCCCAGCACTCCGTCTCAAAAAAAAAAAAGAGTAGACAATAATTTTTTTTCCAAAGAAGATAAAAGGCAAGTAGATTTACAAAATATTAACAATTTGTATTTTAATATAAATATAAATTTAAATTGTTATTTAATAAAAAAGATATTGCAAAGTAACACCATGTGATAATGATGCATGAATAGACAGATCACTTCAACAGAATAGAAGGTTCAAAGACTGAGACAACTGCCCACAGAAATTTAGCATATGATAAAAGTGACATGTTGAAGTAGAATGGAAATGTTGGATTATCCAATAAGTTATATTGGAACTACTGGTGAGGATGTGGTGTTTTCATACCCCTTGCCTATTACAAATAGATCCAAGGTTTTTTTTTCGAGACAGAGTCTCACTCTGTCACCCAGGCTGGAGTGCAGTGGCGTGATCTTGGCTCACTGCAACCTGCGCCTCCCAGGTTCAAGCAATTCTCCTGCCTCAGCCTCCCATGCAGCTGGTACTACATGGTGCCCGCCACCACGCCCGGCTAATTTTTGTATTTTTAGTAGAGATGGAGTTTCACCATGTTGGCCAGGCTGGTCTCGAACTCTTGACCTCAAGTGATCCACCTGCCTCGGGATCCATGATTTATATGTCAAAAATGGAACCATAAAAATACTACAAGGAAACATACCAGCACTCTTATACTTGCAGAATGGCCTAAGTTGACGCAAAACCCAGAGCCAGAAAAGAAATGATTGGTATTAATGACTAAAAATTAAATATTTCTATATGGCAAATTCCACTAAAAGCAAAGTCAAAAGACAAACAAATTGGAAAAAAATGATTGCAACTCAAATGACGTATATAAAGGGCTTCTACAAACCAAGAATAAATACCATTAGCCTAAAAGAAAAATTGGTGGAGGCTATAAGCAGTCAGTTCACAAAAACGGAAATACAAATGACTTTTTTATTATTATTTTGTGTGTGTGTGACAGTCTCACTCTGTTGCTCAGGCTGCGGTGCAGTGACGCGTGTGATCTCAGCTCACTGCAACCTTCCTCCACCTCCTGGGTTCAAGCGATTCTCCTACTTCACCTGGGATTACAGGTGCCCGCCACCATGCCCAGCTAATTTTTTTATTTTTAGTAGAGACGGGGTTTCACCATATTGGCCAGGCTGGTCTCGAACTCCTGACCTCAGGTGATCCACCCGCCTCGGCCTCCCAAAGTGCTGGGATGACTGGCATGAGCCACCGCGCCCGGCCCACAAATGACTTTTAAATGCATGAAAACATGTTCAACTGTCTCATAAGAGAAATAAATAGTATGACACTGAGAAACTCTTCACTTATCAAATTTATTAGCTCCAAAAATTTGATAATCCAATAATTGGCAAAGATGTGTGGAAACAGGCTCGCAAGCATTGCTGATTGGGACTATAAATTGATATAAACATCTGGAAGGGACAAGTGACAATGCCTGTCAAAATTATAAATGCACCCAGCAATTCCACTTCTGGAAATGTATTCTACAGATATTCTCACACATCTACAAAATGGCATATGCAGCATTGTTTGTAACAGCAAAAGCTAACAAGCTAAATGTCCCTCTGTAGGGAACAGGTTAAAAAAATTCATGGGACATGCTTATCATGGAACACTATGCAACAACCCAATGAAGGAGGGAGCTGTTTAGATACCAATATGGAGTGATCTCCAAGATCTATTGTTAAGAAAAAAGCAATGTACAGAATACTATATTTAATGTGCTACCATTTGTGGAAATGCATTTGTTTGCATATGAAAAAAAAATCTCTACATAAGAAACTTATGCAATTTGTTGCCTTTTTTTGTTTGTTTTTTGACAGTCTCACTCCATCACCTAGGCTGGACTGCAGTGGCACAATCTCGACTCACTGCAAACTCTGCCTCCCAGGTTCAAGTAATTCATGTGCCTCAGCCTCCTGAATAGCTGGAATTACAGGCGCCTGCCAACTGCGCCTGGCAAATTTTTCTAAGTTTTGTATTTTTAGTAGAGATGGAGTTTCACCATGTTGGCCAATTTTTCTAATTTTTGTATTTTTAGTAGAGACGGGGTTTCTCCATGTTGGCCAGGCTGGTCTCAAACTCCTGACCTCAGGTGATCCGCCTGCCTCGGCCTCCCAAACTGCTGGGATTATAGGCGTGAGCCACCTCGCTCGGCCAATTTGTTGCTTCTTGAAAAGAGAACTAGATGGCTGGGTAGAAGGGAGACTTTCACTCTATTTCTTTTGGTGCCTTTTGAATTTTGAATCCTGTCAGTGTATTATCTATCCAAACAAGTAGACAGAATTTAATAAAATAAATCCCTAATTTGCCTTTTTCTCTCCATCACCACTACCACTTCTTCTTCCTCTTCCTCTTCTTCTTTTTTTTAAGAGACAGTTTCTCTCTATGTTGACCAGGATGGAGGGCAGTGGCTATTCACGGGGACAATCTCACTACTGATCAGCATGGGAGTTTTTGACCTGCTCCATTTCAACGTGGGCCAGTTCACCCAACCTTCTTAGGCAACCTGGTGGTCCCTACTCCCAAGAGGTCACCATTATCAATGTTGAACTTAGTTCGGGCCAGCATAGTGCACTACAGCCCAGAACTCCTGGGCTCAAGCCATCCTCCTGCCTCAGCTTCTGCATAGCTGGGACTTCAGTCTCACTCCACCATGCCTTGTGACTGCCACATCTGTTTTCCTAATGACTGAGTGACTTAAAGGGCTCTTTTTACAAGGAACTTCCCCTAACTCTACTTTCCCCTAACCGTTCTTTCCCATTGCTATACTCGATGCTATATCCAATAAGTGCTAGGAAAGTAAATGAACTATTTGTAATTATAGACATCATTTTGTTTCCTTCATTCATTCCTGGTCACCTGTTTCCCTTTCCCAAGAGGGTAGGAAATTCTTTTTCGTTTTGTTTTGTTTTGTTTTTGAGACAGAGTCTTACTCTGTCACCCAAGCTGCAGTGTAGTGGCGCAATCTCGGCTCACTGCAATCTCCGCCTCCTGGGTTCAAGCAATTCTCCTGTCTCAGCCTCTTGAGTAGCTGGGATTACAGGCTCACACGCCCGGCTAATTTTTGTATTTTAGTAGAGACAGAGTTTTACCATGTTGGCCAGGCTGGTCTTGAACTCCCAACCTCAGATGATCCACCCACCTCGGCCTCCCAAAGTGCTGGAATTACAGGCGTGAGCCACCACGCCCAGCCAGGAAATTCTTTTTTCTTTTTCTTTCTTTCTTTTTTTTTTTTTTGAGATGGAGTCTCGCTCTTGTTGCCCAGGCTGGAGTACAATGGCATGATCTCGGCTCACTGCAACCTTTGCCTCCCAGGTTCAAGCGATTCTCCTGGCTCAGCCTCCCGAGTAGCTGGGGTTACAGGCACCCGCCACCACACTCGGCTAATTTTTTTGTATTTTTAGTATAAATGGGGTTTCACCATGTTGGCCAGGCTGGTCTCGAACTCCTCACCTCAGGTGATCTGCCCACCTCAGACTCCAAAGTGCTGGGATTACAGGCGTCAGCCACCGCGCCCGGCTGGAAATTCTTAATGATTGATTCATCACTATAAACCCAGCATTTAGGCCAAGATTTGAAAGTTTACCACGAATAAGATTGTCTCACATTGATATTCTTCAGAGTAAGGTGGATCGGGGCAGACATTTTCACCATCTTTTTTTTTTTCCTTTCTCAGACAGAGTCTCACTCTGTCGCCCAGGCTGGAGTACAGTGGCTTGATCTCGGCTCACTGCAACCTCCGCCTCCCGGGTATTAGGGACAAACTGCCCCAAAAAGCTTCTTGGTACAGCCAACACTCCCGCCAAACCTCTCTGTGCTGCCCACCCTTTCCCCAATCCTTTTTACATTTCTAAGCCCTTATCTAGGCGCCGCGGGGGAGCCAGCAGACTTTACCTATCAGGCCTTGCTACGATAAACAAACCCCAATTACAAACCATCTGGATCACACAGGGGGAGGTAGTGGGAAGCATAAACAAACTTTACCTACACCCTCCTGTAAGTTCCTTCATCTAGGTGCTACCATAAACGTCACAAGGTGATATATGGCAAAGTTAACCAACAAACGACCCCAGGGTCTCTCTCCCCCCGTATAAACCCATCATTTTGTAAGCTCAGGGCTGCCTCCTCTGTCTGTGGTGGAGCAGCCGGCAGGTTAATAAAGGCTTGCCTAAACTTGAGTCTCTCTCTCATCCTTCTCTTGGCTAACCTTACACCAGGTTCAAGCGATTCTCCTGCCTCAGCCTCCTGAGTAGCTGGGATAACAGGTGTGTGCCACCACGCCCGATTAACTTTTGTATTTTTAGTAAAGATGGGATTTCACCATATTGGCCAAGCTGGTCTCGAACTCCTGACCTCAAGTGATCTGCCCTCCTCAGCCTCCCAAAGTGCTGGGAATACAGGCATGAGCCACCGCGCCCGGCACCCTCATTTTCCAGATGAGGAAATTAGTGGGCTTTAGTACATCTATCAACTTACTTACATTGTATTGAGAATTTTACATGTAGGGTCATTTCTGTCGGGGAAGCCTCCCAAGTTTTCATCAGATTCTCAAAGGGGTCTGTTATAGACCTCCACTGAATTAGTTTCTATCTCAAAAATTCAACCCTTATGGTTTCAGAAGGTATTTATCTTGGGAGACAGTAGAATGGTCAAGAAATCTAAAGCATTGGTTTTGGAATCACAAGTATAAGCCATCATGGTGTCAAAAGACAAAATCACAACAAATTTAGTTTAAAGATCTCAATTGGCTTTATTGAGATTCTAGAATCAGGCAACATTTTATTCCATAAAATAGAATAAGTGTTCCAATGACTCGAGCAGAGGAAGTTGGTTTTATAGATAAAAAAGGGGCTGAAGAAAGCAGAAATGAACAAAAAGCAGGGGACAGGAGAGAGATAACAACCTATTTCCCAAACATGACAGCTTCAACTTGGTGACATGGAACTTAGCATGGGTGACTCCATTTTGACTTTTAGTCTGGTCTGCTAGGGCCTAATGCAGAAGCTTAGTCCAAAATAATGGCCCCCTTAATTTTTATTTAACAACAGAAATAATTTGGTGATGGCCAAAAAAAAAAATGTAATCTGAACATTTTGCCTTTGCCTTTGCCTTTCCCACCACATCAACATACCTCTCTTATTCCCAGATGTCCCCAAGCTATGCTAGACAATATGCATCTTTTTTTTTTTTTTTTGAGATGGAGTTTCGCTCTTGTTGCCCAGGCTGGAGTGCAATGGCGCAATCTCGGCTCACCGCAACCTCCTCCGCCCCCCAGGTTCAAGCGATTCTCCTGACTCAGCCTCCCGAGTAGCTGGGATTACAGGCATGCACCACCACGCCCAGCTAATTTTGTATTTTTAGTAGAGACGGGGTTTCTCCATGTTGGTCAGGCTGGTCTTGAACCCTCAACCTCAGGTGATCCACCCGCCTTGGCCTCCCAAAGTGCTGGCATTACAGAGATGAGCCACCTCGCCCCGGCCTGGCAACATGTATCTTTATTACCCTCTGAAGTCATAAACATAAACATAATGTGTAAAACATTTTACATCTTTGTCCCATAAAATAACTTAGTCTACCAGGAAATTCACCTCGGGCTCTACAGACCTGCATTCAAAATCCTGTTACAAAACTTGAGTATTGGAATTTACTTCTCCAGGGCAATTTCCTTGTCTACTTTAGGTCTTTTGTGAGGAACAAATTAGCAGTTGCTCAATAGACTGTGGCTACAAGAGGGGTGGAGAAGTTTCCACCCTTGCAAAAATCTCTACAAGGCAATAGTTTAAGTTTAGCATTCTCTCTTTCCTTCCCTCTCCCCATTTCCTTTCCTCCTTCTCTCTCTTTCCCTCTCTCTCCTATCTCCCTGCATTGCCAGCACCTACTTCTTGACAAAAGCACCCTCAGGGTGAAACATCATGTGCTGTTCTGGAAAGAAGAGAGTCTTAAGATAGAAATATACCCAGCTAGACCACTAATTTCTACATAGCTTTGAGCAAGTCATATGCTCTGTCTGAGGCCCAGTTTTCTCATCCATAAAATAGGAGTAGGCCGGGCGCGGTGGCTCACGCCTGTAAACCCAACACTTTGGGAGGCCGAGGCGGGAAGATTATGAGGTCACGAGATCGAGACCATCCTGGCTAACACGGTGAAACCCCGTCTCTACTAAAAATACAAAAAATTAGCTGGGCGTGGTGGCTGGCTCCTGTAGTCCCAGTTACTTGGGAGGCTTAGGCAGGAGAATGGCGTGAACCCGGGAGGCGGAGCTTGCAGTGAGCCAAGATCGCGCCACTGCAGTCCAGCCTGGGCGACAGAGCGAGACTCCGTCTCAAAAAAAAAAAAAAAAAAAATAGGAGTAATACCCAACTTTCAGGATAGTGCCAGGCCCTTAAGCATTCAGTAATGGTGTTATTACCATAACTAGGTGCCATTTCCAGCCCAGGCCCTGGGCCAGCTTCCCTTCTATGGAGCAGCCTGGAACTACGTCTGCAAAAAGAGCAAGAAACAGACCTAGGACCATGTAAATAAAAGTATATAGTATGCACTCTTGTGTAAGGCTTCTTTCATTCAGCATAATATTTTGCCATCATACACTTTTTCCCTTTGGTGCTTTAGGCACAGTGATGTCCTGGTGGCCACCAAGGATCTCCATACTCCAGACCCATACAGTCTTACCAACCTCAGTGGCAGCAGCTCACACAAGTACCCTTCTCCAACACACAGGTGGCCTCCAGCATAATTCATCTGTGTCTTAGGTGTGTCTGCAGTGGGCATATTCCAGCGTATGAATGTACCACAGTTCATTCAGCCATTCTGCTAATGGACATCTAGGCTGTTTCCAGTTTTTGACTATTATGAATACAGCCACTAAGAACATTACAGTGCAGGAGCCGGGCGCGGTGGCTCACGCCTGTAATCCCTGCACTTTGGGAGGCTGAGGCGAGCAGATCACGAAGTCAGGAGATCGAGACCATCCTGGCTAACATGGTGAAACCCTGTCTCAACTAAAAATACAAAAAATCAGCCGGGCATGGTGGCGCGCGCCTGTAGTCCCAGCTACTCGAGAGGCTGAGGCAGGAGAATCACTTGAACCTGGGAGGCAGAGGTTGCAGTGAGCCAAGATCGCACCACTGCACTCCAGCCTGGGTGACAGAGTGAGACTCTGTCTCAAAAAAAAAAAAAAAAAGAATATTCCAGTACAAGTCTTTGTATAAATGCTTTCATTTCTCTCATAAATATATCTAGGAGTGGAATTGCTAGATCACAGGAAAGGTGCATATTTAACTTTTAGCTCTTGTCGCCCAGGCTGCAAGCTGCAGTGCAATGGCACGATCTCGGCTCACTGCAACCTCCTCCTCCCGGGTTCAAGCGATTCTCCTGCCTCAGCCTCCTGAGTAGCTGGGATTACAGGCGCCTGCCACCATGCCTGGCTAATTTTTGTATTTTTAGTAGAGACGGGGTTTCGCCATGTTGGCCAGGCTGGTCTGGAACTCCTGACCTCAGGTAATCGCCCGCCTCGGCCTCCCAAAGTGCTGAGAGTACAGGCATGAGCCACCGCACCCAGCCGCATATTTAACTTTTTAAGGAACTGCCAAATGTTTTTCTAAAGTGGGTGCACCATTTTATACTCCTACCAACAATATATGAGAGTTCCAGTCACTCCACAGCCTCACCAGTCAGGGGCAGGGGTTGTTCTAATTCAACCATCACCAGAAAACTCTTTTCCTTCTTCTTCTTCTTTTTTTTTTTTTTTTTTTTTTTGAGACAGAGTCTCACTCCATCACCCAGGCTGGAGTGGCATTATCTCAGCTCACTGCAACTTCCTCCTCCCAGGATCAAGTGATTCTCGTGCCTCAGTCTCTTGCTAGCTAGGACTGAGAGGTGAAGCCAGCTGGACTTCCTGGGTCCAGTGGGGACTTGGAGGACTTTTCTGTCTTACAAGAGGATTGTAAAATGCACCAATCAGCGTTCTGTAAAAACACACCAATCAGCGCTCTGTAGCTAGCAAGAGGATTGCAAAATGCACCAATCAGAGCTCTGTAAAACGCATGAATCAGCACTCTGTAAAATGCGACAATCAGCAGGATCCTAAAAGTGGCCAATTGCAGGGAGGATTGAAAAAAGGGCACTCTGATAGGACAAAAACGGAAAATGGAAGGGGACAAATAAGGGAGTAAAAGCTGGCCACCGCAGCCAGCAGTGGCAACTCACTCGGGTCCCCTTCCATGGTGTGGAAGCTTTGTCCTTTCCCTCTTCACAATAAACCTTGCTACTGCTCACTCTTTGGGTCTGTCGCATCTTTAAGAGCTGTAATACTCACTGTGAAGGTCTGCTGCTTTGTTCTTGAAGTCAGCGAGACCACGAACCCAAGGGTAGGAACCATCTCCAGGCACAGGACTACAGGGATGTGCACCACCACACCTGGCTAATTTTTGTATTTTTAGTAGATAGTAGAGACGGGGTCTCGCCATGTTGGCCAGGCTGGTCTCGAACTCCTGACCTCAAGTGATCTGCCCACCTCGGCCTCCCAAAGTGCTGGGATTACAAGCATGAGCCACCAGGTGGTACCCAGTCCTCTTTTCCTTCTTCATGCCAACTTCCTTGTAAGATTTTTAAGACCTCAGCTGGGCACGGTGGCTCACGCCTGTAATCCCAACACTTTGACAGGCCGAGGTGAGTGAATCACCTGAGGTCAGGAGTTCGAGAGCAGCCTAACATGGTGAAACCCTGCCTCTACTAAAAATACAAAATTGGCCAGGTGTAGTGGCGCATGCCTGTAATCCCAGCTACTTGGGAGGCTGAGGCAGGAGGATCACTCAAACCTGGGAGGCGGAAGTTGCAGTGAGCTGAGATCGTGCCATTGCACTCCAGCCTAGGCAGCAAAAGCGAAACTTCGTCAAAGAAAAAACAAAAACAAAAACAAAAACAACAACAACAACAAAAAACCTCAGGCTGCTCTCTGTGAACTCTTTTTCAGTTTCTGGTAGGTTTTAAAGACAAATAACCTCCACCCAGAGAGGAATGAACCTGAATTAATTTGGATTTTTTACTAGGTTTAAAATAGACGGATTTTTTTTTTTTTTTGAGACAGGGTCTTGCTTTGTTGCCCAGACTGGTGTGTAGTGGCCTGATCATGTCTCACTGCAGCCTCGACTCCCCAGGCTCAAGCGATCCTCCCACCTCAGCCTCCTGAGTAGCTGGGACCACAGATGTGTGCCACCATGCCCAGCTAATTTTTTTACATTTTGGGGTTTTTTGTTGTTGTTTGTTTTGTTGGTTGGTTTTTTTTTTTTTTTTTTACAGAATCTCACTCCATTGCCCAAGCTGGAGTGCGCAGTGGCACGATCTCAGCTCACTGCAACCTCCGCCTCCCAGGTTCAAGCAATTCTCATGCCTTAGCCTCCCAAGTAGCTGGGATTATAGGTGCCCACCACCATTCCTGGGGAATTTTTGTAATTTTAGTAGAGATGGAGTTTCACCATGTTGACCAGGCTGGTCCTGAACTCTGACCTCAAGTGATCCACATGCCTCAGCCTCCCAAAGTGCTGGGATTACAGGCATGAGCTACCCACCAGGCCTAACTTTTTGTAGAGACGGGGTATCACTATGTTACCCAGGCTGGTCTCAAACTCCTGGACTCAAGCAATCCTCTGGCCTTGGCCTTGGCCTTGGCCTTCCAAAGTGTTGGGATTACAGGTGTGAGCCACTGTGCCAAGTCCAACTGATCAATTTCATTTCTAATGCCCTGAACAAACATTTAAGTGCTGTCTGTTCACATAGTCCAAGATTGGCTAGGTCTCTATATACTGCACCTCATCTGTTAACTAAATCCCATTTCAAGAAGCCCTTTTCAGGTTTATTAAATCTTTTGCAAGGGAGGAGTAGAAATTTCTGCTACCAACATGCTTAACTTTGCAAAGACCCTCTATGCCTTGCAGAATTTTGTAGGACAAAGAGGCTCTCGAATTTACCTAGCTCAGTGGATCTCAAACTCTGATGTGGTAAGAAGCAGCTGCAATTGGCAGATTAGTCAGACTCAGAGACTCTGTAGGTCTGGGCCCAGGAATTTTCTTTCTTTTTTTTTTTTTTTTTTTTTTTTGAGACGGAGTCTCACTCTGTCGCCCAGGCTGGAGTGCAGTGGTGAGATCTCGGCTCACTGCAACCTCCACCTCCCTGGTTCAAGCAATTCCGCTGCCTCAACCTCGCGAGTAGGTGGGTTTACAGGTGCATGCCACCACTCTTGGCTAATTTTTTTGTATTTTTAGTAGAGATAGGGTTTCACCATGTTGGCCAGGCTGGTCTCGAACTCCTGGCCTCAGGCAGTCTGCCCACCTTGGCCTCCCAAAATGCTGGGATTGGAGGCATGAGCCACCTTGCCGGACTAATTTTCATTTTTAATAAGCCTCCACCCGATTCTCATGTCAGTTGTCTGGAGATCTTAGACCACAATTTGGAAAAAAAACTGATTTATTCTAATCACTGGTCTCCAGTGAAAAACCAGTTTATGACAGGGCGGTTACAAATCACCACAACAAGCTGGGCATGGCGACTCACGCCTGTAATCCCAGCACTCTGGGAGGCTGAGGCAAGGGAGGATTGCTTGAGCCCAGGAGTTCCAGATCAACCTGGGCAACATGGCAAAACCCTGTGTCTACAAAAGTCATTAAAAATTTAGCCGAGCATTGTGCATACCTTTAGTTCTAGCTACTTGGGAGGCTGAGGCAGGAGGCTCACTTGAGTTCAAGGCTGCATTGAGCTATAATCGTACCACTGAACCCCAGCCTGGGTGAGAGAGCAAGACCCCATATCTAAAAATAATAAATAAAAATGAAAAACTACAACAGCAACAACAGCAAATGAATTTCTTTATTTTACTATTCTTGGAATCTGCTGCGCCCAGCTGCCTTGGAGGAAGGAAAAAAAAAAAACTGGCTGGGCGCGGTGGCTCACGCCTGTAATCCCAGCACTTTGGGAGGCCGAGGTGGGCGGATCGCGAGGTCAGGAGATCGAGACCAACCTGGCTAACACGGTGAAACCCCATCTCTACTAAAAATACAAAAAAAAATTAGCCGGGCGAGGTGGCGGGCACCTGTAGTCCCAGCTACTCAGGAGGCTGAGGCAGGAGAATGGCGTGAACCCGGGAGGCGGAGCCTGCAGTGAGCCGAGATCGCGCCACTGCACTCCAACCTGGGCGACAGCGAGACTCCGTCTCAAAAAAAAAAAAAAAAAAAAAAAAAACTTGTGGCACATTTAAAAATTTATTTGCAAGCCTTCTCCCATTGTACAGGCTCTTATTCTCAAGTGGTTTAAATTCACTGTTTTCTAAATATTATACAAGGATTAATTTCCAAAAGGTAGCTGTGTAGGTGCCAGAAATAGGGCCTGGTGCTGAGGGCACAGTGGAAGAGAAGAGACTGGGGTCGTACAGAAACCTTCTGGAATCTGGTCCTGCCTCGAGACTGATGCCCATGCATCTACCCCAAGACACTGCTCTGTCAAGCTTTCCATCTCAACAATGAATTATATACATATATATATAAATTTATTTAATAAATTATAAATATAAATATATTTATATTTATAAAAATAAATTATAAATATATATATAATTTTTTTTTTTAGATGGAGTTTCACTCTTGCTGCCCAGGCTGGAGTGCAATGATGTGATCTCAGTTCATTGCAGCCTCCACCTCCTGGGTTCACACAATCCTCCTACTTCAGCCTCCCGAATAGCTGGGATTGCAGGGGCCTGCCACCACTCACGGCTAATTTTTGTTGTTTTAGTAGAGACAGGGTTTCACCATGTTGGCCAGGCTGGTCTCAAACTCCTGACTTCAGGTGATCCACCTGCCTCGGCCTCCCAAAGTGCTGGGATTATAGGCGTGAGCCACTGGGCCCGGCATGAATTATATTTTTAACTCTCCTCTAGAATTTCTTCTCCAGGAAATACAATGATTTTAAATGTGATATAAGGCAAAGGTAAATCAGATATCTATGGTAAATTTTTCCTAACACATACTGTAATCCACTGAAAGCTCCCCGCTGTAATCAGATGGCAATATGCAGGAAAGCTCTGTATGTGCCATCCTCATTTGCCTAAGGCATGTTCATGCCTCAGAGTTTTAAAAATTATAATTGTCACCAGGCGTGGTGGCTCACACCTGTAATCTCAGCACTTTAGGGGGCTGAGGCGGGCAGATCACAAGATCAGGAGATCGAGACCATCCTGGCCAACATGGTGAAACCCTGTCTCTACTAAAAATACAAAAATTAGCTGGGCATGGTGGCGCGTGCTTGTAATCCCTGCTACTCGGGAGGCTGAGGCAGAAGAATCGCTTGAACCAGGGAGTCGGAGGTTGCAGTGAACGGAGATCACGCCATTCCACTCCAGCCTGGCGACAGAGCGAGACTCCATCTCAAAAAAAACAAATTATAATTGTTTATAAATTCATAAAATCATTTCTAAATATAAATAAATAAAAATTCCTTTAGTCTTTGAATGGAGTTTCTGTAGAAAGAGTTGAAGCATAATTGCTTTTTAACAGTGTTCAGTCATCATATCTGACTTAAAACATTTACCAGAAAGCAGAAAGAGGAGTGTAAATAACAGCATGTATATGTGATGTGCTATTGTTTCTTTGTGGAAATTTGGAAGATTCATTCTTTTTTTTTTTTTTTTTTTTTGAGATGGAGTCTCACTCTGTCGCCCAGGCTGGAGTGCAGTGGTGTGATCTCAGCTCACTGCAACCTCTGCCTGTCGGGTTCAAGCGATTCTCCTGCCTCAGCCTCCCGAGTAGCTGAGACCACAGGCGTGCGCCACTACGCCCGACTAATTCTTGTGTTTTTAGTAAAGACGGGGTTTCACCATGTTGACCAGGCTGGTCTCGAACTCCTGACCTCGTGATCCTCCCGCCTTGGCCTCCCAAAGTGCTGGGATTACAGGCATGAGCCACCGCACCCGGCCAGAAGATTCATTTTTGATTGTACCAATGGCTGAGAGTCCCCAGGTGATGTATCCAGTGATATCTGCAGTCACGATGCAGCTGCTCTATTGTTGTTAACAATGGAGTTGGCTCCATTTGCTTGTATTATTCTGCAGCAGAGCATAAAATATATTACATGATTATGCAGGTATCCCTCAAATAAAAGAATGCATGCATTCTAACCAAGTGTGCTGTAAATTTAGATTAAATGAATCTGACTTTCCCATTGACTTCTATTATAAAATCAGAAATTCATATTGCAGGGGTGGGAAAAATTGGTCCTTGGATGTATTACATTTATACTTAATAATGCAGCAGCGCCTGTAATGAGACATATTCCAAGGGAAAACAATAACTCTCTGATAAAATATTAACGATAATGCATTTGGACTGAATATAAGTCACATTATTTTAAAACCACTGCAACTAGAACTATAAAACAGTGCCAAATTCTTGAAGCCTGATTGATTGTCTGCTTCACATGTGGTTTCCAAGAGGCAATCAACTATTAAACTTCCAAAGTTTACCAGTCTTAAACAGCAAAATACTTCTAACTTTATGTCCAAAGGAATTGTTTTTTAACTTTTTTGCTCCATTCTGGGATGGGGAAAGGATATTAGTGTTCTGCCTTTGAAAATTTTATCTCATGACCGGGCGCGGTGGCTCACATCTGAGCCACCTGAGGTTGGGAGTTTGAGACCAACCTGACCAACATGGAGAAACCCCATCTCTACTAAATATACAAAAAATTAGCCAGGCGTGGTGACACGTGCCTATAGTCCCAGCTACTCAGGAGGCTGAGGCAGGAGAATCTCTTGAACCCGGGAGGTGGAGATTGCAGTGGGCTGAGATCACACCATTGCACTCCAGCCTGGGCAACAAGAGTGAAACTCCATCTCAAAAAAAAAAAAATTTTTTTTAATCTTGTGGCTGGAAAATAGGGGTGACCGAGATGCATTCACTTACTCATTCATTCATTCATGTGAACGTCTACTATGCCTCAGGCACTCTGCTATTTGCTGAGGTCAAGAAAATGACATGCAAAGTTTCTGCTTTCAGGGAGAACAACAGGAAAGCAATTATGCTATGGTGCTCAGAGTTAAGCACAAAATACTACTGCAGACCATACACAGGAAGTGCACTTAATACAGACCTCTGAAAAGTGATGTCAGATTTGAACATTTAATAGAAGACCTCAATCTGGTGGCCCTACAGCTGAATCCAGCCACTCATTTTCACTGAGTGTTTTTTTGTTTTCTTTTGTTTTTGTTTTTTGAAACGGAGTCTTTACTCTGTCACCCAGGCTGGAGTGCAGTGGCACAATCTCAGCTCACTGCAACCTCCAGCTCCCGGGTTCAAGCAATTCTCCTTCCTCAGCCTCCCAAGTAGCTGAGATTACAGGCGCCCACCAAGATGCCCAGCTAATTTTTGTATTTTTAGTAGGGACAGAGTTTAGCCACTTTGGCCAGGCTGCTCTCAAACTTCTGACCTCAGGTGATCCGCCTGCCTTGGCCTCCCAAGGTGCTGGGATTACAGGAATGAGCCACCACGCCTTGCCACTTTCAGTGAGTTTTATTTGACCTCCTTAGAGGAAAAAAAAAAAAAAAACCTAACATTTGTAAATTGAAAGATTTCACACACACACACACACACACACACACACGTTTTCTGGCTTTTCTTGAAAAACCAAATGATCTGACAATATTAGGCATGCATTCCCACATGGCAACATTTGGTAGAATTGAGTAGTGGCTGTCCCTTTTTAGAAAGGCTTAATGTTCACTAGCTCACAACAATCCCCACCACTACCTTTGTTGCCCCAACATTGGGAAGGATAATCAGTTGCCATTTATTATCACACTTGAATTGTTGTTTTTCTTGTAGTAGAGAACTCTTTCTCTGAACCTATGTCTCTATATGAAGTAGGAAAATGAAAAATAGATCCAGATAGTCACCTATTTCAAGAAAATGGGAGTGAGCACATTACTTCTATTTGGCCTTTGCTCATTACATTAGAGTCTGAAACCTGAAACTCTTGTTTTTTTTCTTTTCTTTTTTTTTGAGATGGAGCCTTGCTCTGTCGCCCAGGCTGGAGTGCAGTGGCACGATCTCAGCTCACTGCAACCTCCACCTCCCAGGTTCAAGCGATTCTCTTCCTCAGCCTCCCAAGTAGCTGGGATTACAGGTGTGTACCACCACGCCCAGTTAATTTTTGTATTTTTAGTAGAGGCGGGGTTTTGCCACATTGGCCGGGCTGGTCTCAAACTCCTGGCCTCAAGTGATCCTCCTGCCTCGACCTCCCAAAGTGCTGGGATTACAGGCATCAGCCACTGTGCCCGGCCTGAAACTCTTGTTGTAAGAACCAGTAGGAATTAGTCAAATGGAGAATGAGGGAAGGAGGTAGTAGGAGCATAGGGAATAGCATGTGCCAAATGGTGACTGTGTGGCCAATGCAT